>NC_000023.11:130929381-133429381 GCF_000001405.40 Homo sapiens
AAAACAGAAAAGCAATAATAAAAATCGATGAAACAAAGAGCTTGCTCTTTTAAAAGATCAGTAATAGTGACAAACCTTTAGCAATACTGACAAAAACAAAATAAAAAAAACAGGCCGGGCTCGGTGGCTCACGCCTGTAATCCCAGCACTTTGGGAGGCCGGGGTGGGTGGATCACTTGAGCCCAGGGGTTTGAGACCAGCCTGGGCAACATGGCAAAACCCCATCTCTACAAAAAGTACAAAAAATTAGTCAGACATGGTGGAGCATGCCTGTAGTCCCAGCTACTCAGGAGGCTAAGGTGGGAGAATCACCTGAGCCCAGGAGGTCAAGGCTGTAGTAAACCATGATCGCACCACTGCACTCCAGCCTGGGCAACAGAGTGAGACTCTGTCTTAAAAAAATAAAGGGAAAAAAAATCACATATTACAATATTAGAAATGAAACAAGGGATATCACTTTACACTATGCAGGCATCGAAAGTATAATAGAGAATTATAAGAATAATTCTACACATATAAATTTGAAAACTTAGATGAAATAGACCCATTAATTAGAAAGCATAAACAACTACAACTCACCAAATATGAAATAGATTATTGAATAGCCTTATAACAATAAAGGAAATGAAATCATAATTTAAAAATTGCCCAGAAAAATAAATTTCCAAGCTCTCATGACTTCACTGGAGAATTCTACCAAACATTTAAAGAAAAATGAACAACAATTCTATACAATCTATTCAAGAAAATAGAAGACTAGGGAATATTCTTTTTATGAAGCTAGTACTATGCTGATACCAAAACCAGACAAAATCTGTACCAAAAAGAAAACTACATACAAATAATTTCCCTCTAATACAGACACAAAACTCTTCAACAATATTTTAGTAAATATAATTCAGTAATGTATTTTAAAAATGATACGCCATGACCAAGTGGAGTTTACTCCAGGGCTATGAGGCCAGTTCAATATTTGAAAATTAATCAATATAATCCACTATATTAACAGGCTAACGAAGAAAATTATCATATGAATGCATTAAAAGCATTTGTCAAATTTTAACACTCATTCATTATAAAAACTCTCAGAAAAATAGTAATAGACGGTAATTTCCTAAACTTGATAAAGAGCATGTACAAAGCACCTACAGCTAACATTATACAGGAAAAAATATTTAACGTCATTAGTGTAATGCACATTAAAACTACAATGAGATATCACTATACACATATTAGAACAGCAACAACTTAAAAATGACAATACCTAATGCTGTCGAGAATGTGGGGAAATGGAATCTTTCATACATTGCTGGTGGGGATGTATAACCTTTCTAGGAAACAGATTGACAGTTTCTTCAAAACAAAACAAAACATATACTTGCTATATAACCAGCAGTCATACTCCTGAGCTTTTATTCCTAAGAAATAAAAAATTATGTCCACACAGAAACACATACACAAATATTCATAGTACCTATATTTATGACAGTCAAAATTTGGAAACAACCCAGATACCCTTCAATGAGTGAATTTGTAAACTGTTGTAACATGCGTACAATTAAAAAGAAACAAACTATTGCTATACACAACAACCTGCCTGAATTGCCAGAGAATTATGCCGAGTGAAAAAAGCCAATCCCCAAAAGTTACATGCTGTATGATTCCATCTATATAACATTCTTGACATGACAAAATTATAAAGATTGCAAACAGATTAGTGGTTGGCAGGGATGAAAGAGGGAGTAGAGGTGGAAAGGAAATGGAGGTGAATATAAAAGAAAAACATGAATGATCATTGCGTTGATGGAAATATTTTGTATCTTGACTGTATATATATCGGTATTCTAATTGTGGTATTTTTCTATGCTTTTTCAAGATGTTACTGTTGAGAAAAACTGGGTAAATGGTATAGAGGAACTTTCTGTTAATTTCTTCCAAATGCAGATGGATCTAAAATAATCTCATAATAAAAATTTAATCAAAACATTTTCTGAGATCATAGGAGGAAGTCTCAGGAAGCTACCACTTTTGGGGAAAAGCAAAACATTGGAAAGGCAGCACCCCTTAGAGACTTGATGAAGGAAAGAAGGATGCAAGAAGGGAAATTAAAATTCTTGCAGAAACAACAAAAACAGAATGACAGAATCAGAAAACACACCATGACCATTAATCACCACCATCATCACCATCACCACCACCAAAAACCCCAACTTTGTTACACCAAAGTAAAGGGCACTCTTGAAACAAAAAAGCTTATTTCACCTCTACATCCCAATGCAACTGTTCTTGCTGTGCAGGAAAATATTTTATTTAAAAATGACCTGAAGGTGGCTGTCAATATTCATACATAGGTACTGTGAACAAAGTCAGAAAATTAGAATCAAAACATTTTGGCGATAAAAATTTCTTCCCAAATCAAGCATGAAGCAAAAGGAAATTGTGAGACTTCACAAACCAGTAAAAATGCTTTAAATTAGAAATTCAAAGCTCATAGCAGAAGTGGACATAAAAACAAATGTATGTAAAATAAGAGTTAGCTGAATTCAAGAAATTAATTGATGTCAAAATCATCATAGAAATGAGGACTAAATTGTAATCAATAAGTGAAAGACAGCTTGGCTCACACTGTATTTCCTTGAGTTTCTTGAACATGCTACTCCATTGTTGTCTTGCTTTCTATGTTATTGTTGGGAAGTTTGGTGCTAAACTTATTTTCATTCTTTTAAAGTTACTTCAACTTTTTGCCAAGAGGCCCTGAGCTTTATTTATTTACATTTGAAGTCTAAGATTTGGCACTGAGATTTTTATTGGTGCCAACCATTCTGGATCATCTTTCCCCCATACATGACGGACTGTATCTAGTATGACAATGCTGGTTTTATTTTGTTGCTGGAAAGTTTTTTTCTTTTAAGTATACTTTTAAACATTAGTTCTGTTTTATTGTTACATGGGGAATACATGGAGGTAAAGGGATATCAAATAAAGATTAAATCTGACAAACCAGGTAGTAGAAGGTTAAGTAAGGAAAGTAAGAGTATTATAAAAGACAGTAGTGTAAAGGTAACCACTAGAACAAAGTGACAAACCTGCCTAATTACCAAGGCAGGAAAAGAGCCCACATAGACACACAGAAAGTACAATATAATACTTACAGTGTGACGGCTCCCATGAGATGTCAGTTTGGCTGGGCTATAGCCCCCAGTTGTTCCATCAAACACTAATCTAGGTATTGCTGTTGAATGTTCTTGCTGATGCAATTAAAGCCCCTAATTCATTGATTTTAAGTAAGAGAGATTATCCTGGATAATCTGAGTGGGCCTGACTGAATCAATTAGGTAAGTCTTAAAAGCAGGGCTGAAGTTTCTCGAAGAGACAGAAAAAATTCTTCCTGTGGACAACAGCTTTGGCCTGTGCCTGTGGAATTTGAGCCTGCCAGTGAACTTCCCTTCGTGACTGCTTGCCCTAAGGATTTCAGGCTTTTTTAGCTAGGCCCTACAATTGCATAAGCCAATTCATGTAACAGACATACACCCTACATGTTCTACTTCTCTGATTCAACCTGACTGACACACACAGTAATAGAATAAAATAGTATGACAGAGTTGAAATTAAACATATCAGTGATATCAATAAATGTGAATGGGCTTAATTCACTATTTAGAGAAAATGATTCAGAGGAAATACAAGGTGAGTCTGGAGCATCTTGTAGTACCACAAAATAAGGAAGTAGTTTTTCTAAAAAAAAGGTAGGGCATGTCAAAGTGACACAGAAGGACAGAAGGCAATGTGAAAGAGCTCCCAATGAGCAAAGATGGAAAAATCTGAACAACAAAGTAAATCATGTACTACTGGATTATTACCCAAAGTACAAAATAAAAATATTTGAATCCTTAGTGGTATAAATAGATGATTGAATAAATAAATAAATGAGGGAAACAAGACAAATTTTCTTACAACAGAATTCCATGTTTATCAGAAATTTGTTAGAAATTTCTATAGATTCTCCCCTCTTGGAGATGATGCTTAATTATTATTGCCACCACCACTCCTTGAGTTTGGGCAAGACTTAGTGACTTCTTTCCAAACGAGGAAAAAAATCATCTTTACAGTAAAGAAACTATCACAACTGGCATCAGGATCCCTCATGTGACTCCCCCATATGCTTTAAATCCCTTTGACTTCCCCTTTTGCTACTAGCTGGAGAAAACTGCATTTAAAAGTGTTCATGTGATTTGACTAGGCTCACCTGAATAATCTTCCTTTTTTGAGGTCAACTACGCTGTGTAACACAATCATGAGAGGTATCTCATCATATATTAATATATCTATACAGGTTCTAGAGATTAGGGTATGACATTTTAGGGGCCATTTTAAGAATTCTACTTAACATACCGTCATATAAATATACATTTAAAATTAATAGTTGGGTGCGGTGGCTCTTGCCTGTAATCTCAGCACTTTGGGAGGCCAAGGCAGGTGGATCACATGAGGCCAGGAGTTTGAGACTAGCCTGACCAACATGGTAAAACCCCATCTCTACTAAAAATACAAAAATTAGCTGGGTGTGGTGGTGCATGTCTATAATCCCAGCTACTAGGGAGGCTGAGGCAGGAGAATCGCTTGAACCTGGGAGGCGGACATTGTGGTGAGCCTCCCACCTCACCATTGCTGGTGAGCACTCCAGCCTGGGCAAAACAGCAAGACTGTCTCAAAAATAAATAAATAAAATAATTAAATTAAATCACACTTACAGAAAACTGCATTTGTATGAAGAGGTTTTTCTTTTCGGAGAAATTGTTCTCCAAGAATCATCAGGTCTAACTGTAATACAATTTATTGGAAATTTATTACATTGTTATCACAACCTAAAAATGCATGTTGCTTTCATTATGTCAATTAAAAATGAGATTACTTGCCAGGCATGGTGGCTCACGCCTGTAATCCCAGCACTTTGGGAGGCCGAGGCGAGTGGATCACAAGGTCGGGGGATTGAGACTATCCTGGCTACGGAGAAACCCCGTATCTACTAAAAATACAAAAAAATTAGCCGGGTGTGGTGGCAGGCGCCTGTAGTCCCAGCTACTCGGGAGGCTGAGGCAGGAGAGTGGCGTGAACCCAGGAGGCGGAGCTTGCAGTCAGCCGTGTTTGCACCATTGCACTCCAGCCTGGGCGACAGAGCAAGACTCCATCTCAAAAAAAAAAAAAAAAAAAAAAAAAAAAAAAATGCGGTTACTAAAATTAAAAACTTTGAGGATCTAATAAATAATTTTCACAAAAGTGAGCCAAAAAAATCTTATGATCAATAAAAATACCACATTAATAAAATATTATTCATTGTATTATATAAAATTTTGACACCATTTTTGCAATTTGTATGTTTATATATCATTCAGGTATCATGTATCATTGCATGTGCAATTAAAGCCCCTGATCCACTGAATTTTAAGTAAGGGAGATTATCCTGGATAATCTGAGTGGGCCTGACTAAATCAATTAGGAAGTTTTAAAAGCAGGGTTGAGGTTTCTATAAGAAACATTTATGTATCATTGTTATCTATATTACATTTTATATGTAATAAAAGATTTTAAGGAAAAATGTTGATATTTTAGTACCTTTAACATTTTTAAAAAGCTTTATGAATAAGGGGCCCTCCATTTTCATTTGCACTGGGTCCCACAAATTATGTACCCCCAGCTTTAACCCGACAAGAGCATTACAAAAAAAGCAGATTACAAACCAATATCCCTCATGAACATAGATGCAAAAATCTGTTAAAAATATTGACAATTCAGGCCGGGCACGGTGGCTCACGCCTGTAATCCTAGCACTTTGGGAGGCCGAAGCCGGCGGATCACGAGGTCAGGAATTCGATACCAGCCTGGCCAACATAGTGAAACCCCGTCTCTACTAAAAGTACAAAAATTAGCTGGGTGGGGTGATGGGTGCCTGTAATCCTTGCTACTCAGGAGGCTGAGGCAGGAGAGTTGCTTGAACCCCGGAGGTGGAGGTTGCAGTGAGCCAAGATCACACCACTGCACTCCAGCTTAGGTGATAGAGCAAAAGCAAAACTCCGTCTAGAAAAAAAAAAAAATTATATATATATATATATATATATATATATATGTATATATATATACGTATATGTATATATACGTATATATACATATATATACACGTATATATATACACACACAATTCAAATCCACCAATATATAAAAGGAATAATACATTATGAACAACTAGTGTTTATTTGAAGAATCAAAGTTCTATTTAATGTTCAAAAATCTATCAATAATATTAAGAGAACAAAGATTTTTAAAAACCATATCATCACAACAAAGGCAGGAAAATCTTACAAAATTCAATAACAATTCAGAATGAAAAGAAAAATTCAGCAAACTAGGGAACTTCCTCAACCTAGAAAAACCAACAGCTAACATAACATTTAATTGTGAAATATTAAATGCTTCCCTCAAGGTTAGAAACAAGACAAAAATGTCTGCTTTCACTATTTGTATTCAACATTGTACTGGAGGCCCTGGTAAGTGCAATATGGTAAGAAAAATAAAGGGCACAAATATTGAAAAGGAGAAAAGTTGAACTAGTTTTCTTTTTTTTCATACCCAACATGATTATTTACATATAAACCCTAAGAAATATTCAAAAAATGGAAAATTTACAAGACAAAAGGTCAATACATAAAAACCAATTGTATTTATATATGCAAGCAACAAATAATTGGAATATGAAATTTAAAAATTTACCAAAGCTCAAAATATAGTATTCATATTTAATAAAAAATATGTAGGCTCTCTACACAGAACACTCAAAACGTTGAAGACCTAAATAAACTAGGGAATGTTTTCATATAAAGTGTTCATGGCTTAGAAGACTCAATATTTTAAGATCTGAAGTTATCGCACATTCATTCTTGCTTTCAACAGGATTCTGTTAAAAATTCCAGCTGGATTTTTTCATAGAAATTGTCAGGATATTTCTAAAATTTCTATGGCCATGCATCTTGACTAGAATAGGCAAAAACATTCTTGAGAAAAAGATTAAAGTAGGAGTATTTACGCTGATTTTAATATCTAAAATAAAGCTATGGTAATCAAGATAATATGGTATTTATATATGAAAACAGATCCATGGAACAGAAATAAAGTCAGGAAATAGACCAACTCACGTATTACCAAGTGATTTTTGACAATGACACCAAGGCGTCAAAACAACTAAATATCAGCATTGAAATAAATGAACCTTGTTTCATACCTTATACCATATACAAAAATAAACTCAAAATGGATCATAAATATAAAAACTAAAACTTTAAAACTCTTAGAAGTCATAAGAGATTATCTTTATGAACTGGAGGCTAGGCAAAGTTTTTTTAAATGTATAAAGCACTTAAGTTGATCGCATAAAAGTAGAGTAGAATAGTGATAACTAGAAGTTGGGAAGAGTGGAGGGAAAGGGATAGCCAAAGATTGGTTAATGGATACAAAATTAAAGCTAGATAGGAGGAATGAGTTCTGGTGTTCTATAGAACTGTAAGGTGATTAAGTTAGCAATAATTTATTCTGTGTTTTCAAAGAATTAGCAGAGAGGATTTTGAATGTTCCCAACATAAAGAAATGATAAACATTTGAAATTATAAATATGCTAATTACCCTGATTTGATCATTACACATTGTGTACAGGTGTTGAAATACCACACTGTACTCCATAAATATGTTCAATTATTATGTGCCAATTAAAAATAATTTTTATGAAAAATCAAGTCTGTCTTAGAAATAAGTAAATACAAGAACAATATACACTAAAATGCATAAGAGAAAAGACAAAAGCAAAAAATGATGAAATAAAAAATGATATGTGTATTTCATAAAAACCAAAAATGTCTACTCATCAAAAAACAACATTAAGAAAATAAGAAGACAAGCCATTGTACTGAAAAATATATTTGTGAAACATATAACTGACAAATGACTCACACACAGAACATGTGAAGAACTCTTACAACTCAATGATAAAAATAAGCAACCCAATAAAAATGTCTAAGTTTTTAAAACTTAGACATTTCATAGAAGAGTATCTACCAATGGCCAGTAAAGATGCTCAGCAACGTTAGCCATTGAGTTAAAGCCATAGCAATGTACTACTACACACACACCAAGATGGTTACAGTTAAGACGACTTTCAATATCAGATGTTGCAGAGGTTGAAGAGTATCTGAATCTCTTGTATGCTGCTGGTGGAAGTGGAAAATGGTATAACCACATTTCAAAACTCTTATAACTCCAAACATATACTATGTGGTAGGGTTCTTCAGAGAAACAGAACTAATGGGGCATGTATAGATGTATAAGACAGGTTATGGGAATTGGCTTATGTTATTATGGAGACTAATAAGTCCCACAATCTGCCATCTGCAAATTGTATAATTAGGAAAGCAGGTGATGTAATTTAGTCTGAGGCTGAAGGCCTGAGAATAGTTGGGGGTGGGAGTGAAGAAGGGGTCTGCTGGTATAAATTTCAGAGTCCCAAAGCCTGAAAACTAGCAGCTCTAATGTCCCAGGGTAGGAGAAATGGATGTCCTAGTTCCAGAAGAGAGAGAAGAGGGAATTCACTCTTCTTCCACCTTTATGTTCTATTTGGACCCTAATTGACTGGATGATGCCAGCCCACATTGGTGAGAGTGGATCTTTTTTACTCAGGCTACTGATTCAAATGCTAATCTAATCTGGAAATACTTTCATATACATGCCCAGAAATAATGTTTAGTCAAATATCTGGGCAGTTTGTGATCTAGCCAAGTTGATGCATAAAATTAACCATCACATATAACTACCTTATAATCCAACAACTCTACTCCTAGATAATTATTAAAAGAAATAAAGACCATATATCCACAAAAAATCTTAAGCATGCTCATTGCAGCTTTGTTCAGAATAGCAAAACATTGGTAACAATTTAAATGTGCATCAAAAGGAGAATGCATAAGTAAAGTGTGATACATTTACATGATTAAATAACACTCATAATAGTGGTTGCCTCTGGGTGGAAGGGGGATAATTAACTTGAAAATGGCATGGGGGATCTTTCTAAAGTGCTAGCAATATTCTGTGTCTTTATATTGGTTTTAATTACACAGGTGTGTTCATTTGTTAAAATTCTGATCAACCTGCACACTTAAGATCTGTTCATTTTACCAACTGTAACTATATCTAAACAAAATTAACATTAAAATGTATGTTATTAAACCAGCGTTTACGGAGAAATATATAGTTAAATATACAAATGTAAAATATATAGTATATATTTAAAGAAGAAAAATTAAAAAATTATCAGGAGGCTGAGGCAGGAGAATCGCTTGAACCCAGGAGGTGGAGGCTGGGCTGCAGTGAGCTGAGATTGCACCACTGCACTCCAGCCTGGGCAACAGAGCAAGACTCTGTCTCAAAAAAAAAAAATCAACAATCTACATGTCTAACTCAAGAAGATAAAGAATTGATAGATTCTGTGGCAAGACTGATCAAGCAAATAAAAGAGAAAAAACAGAAGTTACCAATTTCATGAATTTCATTTAATATCCTACAGATATTAAAATGATAATAAGATATTATGAAGAATTTTATGCCAAAAACTTTAAACTTTTGATAAAACAGACAAATTCATTTAAAAATTTTACCAAAACCAACACTAGAAAAATTGAAAATGTGAAGAGTCCTGTATCTATTATACTAAAGAAATACAAAACCATAATTAAAAACCATGCCACAGGAAATAAAACAGCCAGGCCAGATGACAACACTGGTGAATTCTTCTAAATATTTAAGGAGGACATGTAACACAAATTGCTTTTGAGGGAAGAAAAACAGGATACATTAGCAACTTGTTTTATAAGGCAAGCATAATTTTTACTTATAATATGAAAAAAGACATTATTTTAAAAGGATAATTATAGGTCAATATCTGTCCTGAACATAAATGCAAAAGACCTAAAATTTTTAGCAAATTGTATCTAGCAATATGTAGAATACTGTACTATATTATAAATACATAGTAAAATTTATTGTAGTAGGAGCAGTGTTTCAGTATTTAGGAATTTAGGGTTTAAGGCAACTTTATAGAGCATAACTACTTTGAATAATGAGAATTTACTGGAAATACATACAGCCATCCCTCAGTATCTATGTGGGATTGGTTCCAGGATCCCCCTCAAATACCAAAATTCATGGGTGCTCAAGTCCCTGATACACAATGGTGTAGTATTTGCATATCACTTATGCACATCCTCCCATATACTTTAAAGCATCTCTAGGTTACTTGCAACACCTAATACAATGTAAATGTCATGTAAATAGTTGTTATACTGTATTGTTTAGGGAATAATGACAAGAAAAAATCTGTACATGTAAGCACAGATATAACCATCTGGTTTTATTTTTCAAATATTTTTTATCTGTAGTTGGTTGAATCCACAAATGTGGAATCCACAGATACTGAAGGTAAACAGTATAATCATAATCCATCAGTGTTATTATTTTATGGGTTCAAGTAAAGTGTAGAAACCCTACCTCCTTTTACATTCCTGAGTCCTTCCCCATTTATGATATAATTGTCTTAAATATTTTTTACATATATTTAGAACCACAACAGTGTTATAATTTTTCCTCCACATATCACATATAATTTAAAAACTCAAGAATGAAAATTTCTTGTCTTTACTCATTTTTTTAATTTTATGATCTTTCTTCCTTCCTGATGTCCCAAGATTTATTTTTTGTCATTTCCTTTCTGTTTACAGACCCATTCTTAGAGGGTAGTTCTGCTAGTCACACATTTTCTTAATTTTTCTTCATCTGAAAATATCTTGATTTCCCCTTCATTCTTAAAGGATATTTTTTCTGGATATAGGATTCTGAGCTGACTGTTCTTTTGTTTCAGCTATTGAAAATGTTGTGCCATTTTCTTTTGGTCTCTCTATTTTCTGACGAGAAATCTGATGTCATTTGAATAGTTTTTCCTCCCATGGATAATGTGTCATTTCTCTCTCACTGCTCTCAAAATTTTTCTTATTTCTTTTTTAGTTTTCGGAAATTTGACTATGCTGTGTCTTAGTGTAGATTGCTTGGGGTGTATACTGCTTGGGGTTTGCCCAGCCTCTGAAATATGTAGGTTTGTGTCTTGTAACAAATGTGAGAAATTTCAGCTATTCTTTCTTATAGTACTTTTCCAGCCCTTTCCTTTTTTTCCTCTTTTTTATAGGACTCCAGTGACGTGAATGTCCTGTTGTTTATTATAGTTCTACAGGTTTTGGGGGCTCTATTCATCATTTTCAGGCTATATTTTCTCTCTATTGGTTAATTTCCATTGTTATATTTTCCAGTTTACTAATTTTTTTCCTCTGTCCTCTCCATTCTGATGTTGAGTCTGTGCAATGAATTTTAAAGTAGTGTTATAGTATTTTTCAGCTCTAAAATTTTCATTTTTTTCTTTTATACATGTTCCATTTCTTTGTTGAGACACGCTCTCTTCCTTGAGTCTCTGTTTTTCATTTGCTTCAAGTATGTTTGCAATTGTTCACTGAAACATATTCATGATGGCTGCTTATAATCTTAGGTAATTCTAACAGTGGGAGTTGAACAATGAGAACACATGGACACAGGGAGGGGAACATCACACACTGGGGCCTGTCAGGGGGTGGGGGGCTAGGGGAGGGATAGCATTAGGAGAAATACCTAATGTAGATGACAGGTTGATGGGTGCAGCAAACCACAATGGCACATGTATACCTATGTAACAAAACTGCACGTTCTGCACATGTACTCCAGAACTTAAAGTATAATAAAAAATAGAAATTATATACATTTAGGGTGTACAGCTTGATGGTTTGATATATTTATACACTGTGATATGATCATTACAATCAAGGTAGTTAACATACCTATTACCTCACATAGTTACCACTATTTTGATGTTCAGAATATTTAGGATCCACCCTCTTAGCAAATTTCAATTACTGTATGCAGTACAGTATTGTTAACTAAAGATGCTGTGCTGTAAATTAGATCTCCAGGACTAATTTATCTTGCATAATGGACACTGTACCCTTTGACCAATAATTCCCCTTTCTCTATACCTCTCTATTCCTCTTTCTCTAAACCTCTGGCAACCCATTCTACTCTGTGCTTTTATGAGTTTGACAATTTTATAGCCCACATATAAGTGAGATCATGCAGTACTTGTTCTTCTGTGTTTGGCTTATTTCACTTAATAGAATGTCCTCCAAGTTCATTTGTGTTGTCACAAATGGCAGGATTTCCTTCCTTTTAAAGGCTGAATGATATCCCGTTGCATATACACCACATTTTCTTTATCCATTTATCTGTTGGTAGACATTTAGGTTATTTCCACATCTTAGCTATTGTGAATAATGCTGCAATAAACATGGGAGAGCAAATATCTCTTTGAAATACTTTTTTTATTTCTTTGGGATATATGTCCAGAAGAGAAATTGCTGGATCATATGGTGGTTATATTTTTAATTTTTGGAGGAACCGCCTCATTATTTTTCAAAATGGCTGTACCAGTTTACATTTTCACCAATAGTGTATGAGGGTTCCCTTTTCTCTACATCCTCACCAACACTTGTCATCTTTTGTCTTTTTGTAATAATCATCTTAACAGGTGTGAGGTGATATCTCATTGTGGCTTTAATTTGCATTTCCTTGATGATTAGTGATATTGAGCACATTTTCATATACCTGCTAGCCATTTGTATGTTGTCTTTGAAGGAATGTCTGTTGAAGTCCTTTTCCATTTTTTAAATTGGAGATATATATATATATATATTTATATATATAGCTATTGAGTTGTGGAAATCCCTTATATATTTTATTTGTCTGTGTTAAGAATAAGGAATTGGCTCCCTAGCATCTCCCAAAGCTGACCAAATAAATGTGTTCTGGCTTGCTTTTTTATTTCATTGTATTTTATTTATTTTAGTTTTGCTCGGTTGCTCGGGCTGGAGTGCAATGATGCAATCATAGCTCACTACAGCCTCAAACTTCTGGGCTCAAGCTATCCTCCTGTTTCAGCATCCTAAGTAACTAATACTAGAAGCACACATCACCATGCCTGGCTAATTTTTTTATTTTTATTTTTTAAGAGACAGAGTCTCGCTCTGGACCCGGGCTGGAGTGTAGTGGCACGATCGTAGCTCACTGCAGCCTTGAACTCCTGGGCTCAAGCGATCCTTCCACCTCAGTTTCCTGAGTTGCTGGGACTACAGGCATGCACCACTGCACCTGCCTCCTTTGCATTGTTTTAATATCATGATGAGTTCATGTATCTAAACATTTTTATATGTTAAAATGACTGCAGTTATTGTTCTTTTTAATGATCAAATTGTTCTATCTTCCACTGGAAACCACTTAGGTTGGCTTCTGTGTCCTTTTTGACAAAACCTAAATAGCGTTTGTTAGTTTTCTTGCTTTCTGGCACGACAGAAAATAGCTTTGAATCATCTTTCTTGATATATAGAATGATATTTGCATGATATATAGAATCACCCATTATAATTTGAGGCTCATCATATATATTTCCTGCCACAGACTCAGTATGAGCTATTTCTTCAATGAATCCTGATTCCTTTTAATGGGAAATAGTGTTTAGAGACCACAATCTGAATGCTGTGGCAGTTAGTTTGCTACTATGTTCATATTTTCTAAGAGTTTTCTATGATCAGAGCTATTAAATAAATATGTGTTAAGAAGATTACATCATGAGTTCATACTAACATTTCAAATTTAAGTATAGGGTTATAGGGTTTTTATTTATTTTATTTCATTTTATATTCATATCTCTTTTCCCATATGTTGAAAACCTTAATTTGCTTTATTCTAAAATATTTATTATGGTGCTATGTATGGACTGAATGTTTGTGGTCCCCCCTGCTAAATTCATATGTTAAAATGCTAATCCCAATGTGTTGGTATTTGGAGATGGAGCCTTTGGGAGATAATTAGATCTTGAAGGTAGAGTCTTCCCAAATGGAATTAGTGCCCTTTTAAGAAGAGGCCAGAAAGCCAGCTAACTCTAGTTCTGCCACATGAGGACACAGTGAGAAGGCAGCTGTCTACTAGACAGAAGAGGGCTCTCACCAGAACCCAATCATGCTGGTACTCTGATCATGGACTTCCAGTCTCCAGAACTGTGAGAAATAAATATCTGGTGTTTATAAGCCACCTAGTTTATGGTATTTTATTATAGCAACCTGAACTGAATAAGACATATGTTTTCATAACCTTACCAATGTTATTGCTAACAATATGGCTACTGAAAATGCTTTAAGATTTATTTGTAGCTGCTTTTGTTCCTAAGGTATGTCCCACTGTGGATGTGTAGTTAAAGTATTGTGTTTTACAATCACTTGAAATAATTCCTTTCTGTATGGTTAAGGTTATGTTACCATCTCAATATAAGTTAAATTCATCAGTTTCATTTCGTGTTTTGATTTTTAGTGATTGCTTTATCATTTTATTTTACTTTTTAATAATTTATAAAACAGCATTATGGTTCCAAAGACAAATATACAAAATACATTACATTTACATACGTTTAGCTTCCTTTATTGTTCTTTTCACCCTGGTTTCTCCCTCCTCATAAGTTGCCATTTTTATTATTTTTGGTTTATCCTTCCAGTATTATTTTAAAATATACACATAAATACACATTCCTATTCTCTCTCTTTATCAGATTAAAGCTATCATACTGTATACATTATTCTGCACTTTGTTTTTATAACCTAACAGTAGATCCTGGAGATCACTTAATAGCAGCACATACGAAGATTCCTCATCCCTTTATGTAGCTACATAAGCTTTTTTTTTTACTGTGTGGCTATGAGTAGGTTATTCAGTCTCTAAAGAGAGTACTTTAATAGGAACAGTGTCACGCAACAAGCCTGGGAACATAGCAACCAGGGCACAAAGAAAAAGTGTCAATTCCAAGTTATGGGCAGTTACTGGCTTAAAGAGAAAATTGCTCAAATAGTGAAAGCAACATTTCAATACTGAGCTGTTTGTGGCAAAAAGGAATTGCATACTCAAACCAAAAGTGTGTTAAATTAATACAATGGGGGAAAATTACAACCATTGAAAGAGACTGATACCTTGGTTTATTAGGGAAAAAAAAATATGCTTTGGTAGGATGATTGCTGCTTGTAGAACTGCCAAATTGGGGACTGAATGAAAAACACTCAGGTATAATATAGCTACCTCAGAGTCTTTTAATTCCACATACCAAGGTAGATATTAATAATAATATATATTTTTTAATTCAGAAGATGTTTTCCCACATAGCTGTGGACAACACAAGGCAATTGTTAGAGGAAATTTGATGAAGTTGTCCTGACATTGTTCTCTCAGTGGGTTTCCCCTCTATTATTTCATTTCATCTTTACAACTACCTTTACAGCTATGGTGTTATTATTTTCTCTATTTGAGATGTGAGAATGTTCAGAGGTGTGAAATGACTTATCCAAGATCACTTAGGTGTCCAGTGAAAATAGCTGCCATTCCTAGCCCAGTGTTTTTTCCATGACATCAGAAATAGTACAGTAACAATCAAGTAAGGCCTAATCAAGTCGTCTAGTCAAATTTTGAACATACTCAACCCATAAAAATTCTTGTGCTAACTCTAAGTTCAGCAGTTCCCTAAAGGGTCTAGGGATAGAGCAGAGAAGAGAGGGCTGATAATAATCATGTAAACCAACACGATAATTTAGCAGCTGAGATACTTATCTATTGTTGCATAACAAATTATTCTAAAACTTAGCTTAAAACAACAAATATTTACTGTATCAAGCAGTTTCTGAGGGTTAGGAATTCAGGAGGAGCGGCTTAGCTGGATAGTCTGGCCCCAGATCTTTCATGAGGTTGTAGTCAAGCTGTCAGCAAGGGGTGGAGAATCTGCTGCCAAGCTCAGTTATGGGGTTGAAAGAAGCCTCTATTTTTTGACATACCACGTGGACTTCTCCATGGGGCTGCTTGATATGGCAGCTAGCTTCCTTCCCCCAGTGTGAGTGATCCAAGTGAGACAGAAAGCGCAAATGAATGAGAGTGCCCACGGTGAAAGACGAAGTCTTTTTTTTATAACCCCGTCTCATCACTTTTGCCTTATAACATAGACCAAATCCAATGTGAATGCCAGGAAACAGGGATCACTGGAGGCCCATTTGGGATGCTGGCACCACAATAGCTAATGCTGGGAGAAGTCTTACTGTGCATCAGACACTTTACTGAGCACTTTATATGTATTATTTTATCCATAGCCCTCACAGTGACACTGAGAGGCAGGCACTATTATTATTCCTGTTTTACAGATGAGGAAAGTGAAGCTCCGAGGTGTTGTCTGAGTGAGTGAACTTGTCCAAAGTCACAGAGCTAGAAAGTGTTAGAGCCAGGATTCAAACTCAGGTAGTCTGGCACTATCTCACTAAGCTATATTGTCTCTATGTTCAGATATTAGTAAGTGCTATGAAGGAAATAAGATAATATGATGGAGTGACTGGAGTATGGATCAGACAGGGATTTTTTATTTTGTTATGTTTTAAATTGAGTTGTCAGGGTAAACCACTCTGTAGAGGTGATACTTGAGTTGTGACCCAAATGGTGAGAGGAAAGCCAGCCTCATGAATTGGTGAAGATACACTTTAGACAGAGGGAATATAATGTGCAAAGACCTCAAGGCAGGAAAAATCTTGGTATATTGAAGGAACACAAAGAAATCAGTGTGGTTTGAGTATATTGCGCATGAAGGGATGGGAATAGGATCTCAGGTATAGAGAAGACATTTGTACAATCCCTTCTCTGTGGGGAGCTCAGAGAATCTTCTCCCCCAGAGAGATATTTGTTACACTGGTCAAAATTATCAAAGAAAACCTTTAAAAGTCTCTGGAGATTGTCCAAAACTGGGAGGGATTTATTCAACAAATTTGATCAAAACTTGTATGAACCACAGCAGGCCAAAGCACCTGAGCCAGAGGCTGCACCCATCTCTCCTCCAGCTCTGTGTATGGAGGAACTACTCTGGGCAGACTGAACAGATTCCACAGCTGCAACCAAGTAGGCAGCTTGTGTTACCCCATTTCTCTGGTATTGAAGATCTATATTTGCAAGGCAGTATGAGCTGGTAAACAATAGATTCCATTTCCTGCCATCTCTCTCATTTCTCCTATCTCCCCCATCTTCAGGCTGTAGAAATCTACATTGGGTGGTGGCAATAGCCAGGTGGTGTTGTCTGCTTCCTCAACCCACAGCACTCACTTTGTTGGAAAGAGGCGGGTGGAGCAGTAAGTGAAGAACAGTGTCCTCCAATTCTCCTACAACTCTCATGCCATGGCATTGCAGTTCTACCTGGGAGAAGGGGTGAGGCAAACTGCAAAGACTGGAAGATCTGGCTCCAGCAGAGAAGGAGATTTCATTTGGTTCAGAGAATGGTGGAATTCATGCCCTAGGGTATGTTGTTGAAACTATAAAAATCAGTGTCTAGCAATTGGAATAACAGCTTGGTAATAGCAATAGAGGGAGACCAGCCATGAGTTTAACAGGTAGATCCAGGAAAGAGACAGTCTAAGAAAACCCTGCTAAAATCACACCCATCTCTGGTGGTCAGGAAGACTTCCATGCTCAAGGCTGCACTTTCTCAGGCTGACTAGAAAACGGTACTTTCAAAATAAGTTTTCCCCTTAACAGAGAAAGTAATCTCCAAGCCATACATAGATCCTGTGGTAAAGGGTGAAAACTACTGGACCTGGGAACTTATTTACAACTTTTGACCAGTCAGTGGCTAACCACTAAGCTATGCTGATCTAGAGGCAACCTCTGGGAAATTGGTCTTTAAAACGAAAACAAGGGGAAAAAATCTTAGCAGGGACATCTGGGGCTACACACTGCAGGGGAAATAGACTTCACAGAATTAATCCAGACATATCACCAAACAAATAAACAAATGAACAAACAACATGAACAACAAGCCCCAAAGGGAGAATAGTATCTAGAGTTGCTACAATATTTTATCCAAAATGTCCAAATTTCAACAAAAAATATGAGACATATAAAGAAACAGGAAAGTATTGCCCTGTACAAGAAAAAAGAGCATTCAGTAGACCTGTCTCTGAGTGGACCCAGATGTTTGCTTAGCAGAAAAAGACTTCAAAGAAACAATTATAAACCTGTTCAAATAACTAAAGGAAACCACATTTAAATAATTACATGAAGGTATGGTGACAATTTCTTATCAAATAGAGAATATCAGTAAAGAGACAGATATTATAAAAGTAGCACAGTAGAAATTCTGGAGTTGAAAAGTACAATAGCAAATGAAAAATTCAGTAAAAGGGCTTACTTAACAGCAGATTTGAGCAGGCAAAAGAAAGAATCAACAAACTTGAAGCTAGATCAATCAAGATTTTGCAGTCTGAGGGACAAAAATAAGAATGAAAAAAAATGAACAGAGCCTCAGAGACCTGTGGAATGCCATCAAATGTACCACCATATGCATAACGGGGGTCCCAGGAGAGGAGAGAGAAAGGGGCAGAAATAATATTTCAAGAGCTAATTGCTGAACACTTCCCAAATTTGACAAAATACATTAATCCACATATCCAAGAAACTCAAGAAGACCTTCTCTAGTTTCTTTCTCCAAAGGCTTGGTGTCCTTCAGGGAGGAGCTCCCTAGTTTCTCACCTCCCTGAAATTGGGTAACCTCTCAGTCTAGAGACCAGTAGAAGTGTTGGGCAGGGTGGTAAGAAGGTCTGCTCTGGAAAATTGGGCAGGTTGGACTCTGTACAAGAGTGTATGGCCAAGGGAGTTTAAAGGGGCTATAATCCAGTCCATTCTCCACTCCCCAAGCCATATACCTGATTCAGGGTTGCATCTACCCAGAAGAAAAGCCATCATTTTCTAATCTGCCTAGCGTCTCAATCTGCTCTCCAAGCCCTGTGCCCATGGGGTTGCATGTATTAAAGGGACAACTTTTTCTAATTCTCTCAAAGGCACTTCTGGATTAGTGTAGGTCCTGATGTGGAAACAGTAGGGAAGTGGTGGGACTCAGGGAAGACAGAAAAGCCACTTCACAGAGGTGGATACCCATGCAATTAACCATGTGGGACTTGCGGTTTACTAAAACTCGGGCCACCCCAAACCTTACCTTCAACTCTGCCTGAGCTTGAGAATCCAACCATAAGAGTAGCTCTGTTAGTTTTAATGATTCCAAAAGGCTTTTGCCGAAATACTTCTTTGTTACTTAGGTGAGGCAACCCAGACCTAGCATGGTAGTTAAGAGCTGTGTGATCTTGGGTAAGTTGCTTCTCTTTTCTGAGTCTCAGCCTTTTCTTCTATGAAATGGGAAAATAACAATCCCTACTTCAGAAAGTTTTCATAAGAAGGAAAAAAAGAGTTTAAGTGCTTAGCAAAGTATTTGGCACATAATAGATTCTTTTTTTTTTTTAATTATACTCTAAGTTTTAGGGTACATGTGCACATTGTGCAGGTTAGTTACATATGTATACATGTGCCATGCTGGTGCGCTGCACCCACTAATGTGTCATCTAGCATTAGGTATATCTCCCAATGCTATCCCTCCCCCCTCCCCCGACCCCACCACAGTCCCCAGAGTGTGATATTCCCCTTCCTGTGTCCATGTGATCTCATTGTTCAATTCCCACCTATGAGTGAGAATATGCGGTGTTTGGTTTTTTGTTCTTGCGATAGTTTACTGAGAATGATGGTTTCCAATTTCATCCATGTCCCTACAAAGGATATGAACTCATCATTTTTTATGGCTGCATAGTATTCCATGGTGTATATGTGCCACATTTTCTTAATCCAGTCTATCATTGTTGGACATTTGGGTTGGTTCCAAGTCTTTGCTATTGTGAATAGTGCCGCAATAAACATACGTGTGCATGTGTCTTTATAGCAGCATGATTTATAGTCCTTTGGGTATATACCCAGTAATGGGATGGCTGGGTCAAATGGTATTTCTAGTTCTAGATCCCTGAGGAATCGCCACACTGACTTCCACAATGGTTGAACTAGTTTACAGTCCCACCAACAGTGTAAAAGTGTTCCTATTTCTCCACATCCTCTCCAGCACCTGTTGTTTCCTGACTTTTTAATGATTGCCATTCTAACTGGTGTGAGATGATATCTCATAGTGGTTTTGATTTGATTCTTAATATATGTGAGCTATTATTCATGATCAAAGTGTTGCCAAAGGCAGGGGCAGTGTGTGACTCCTGACACAGTGCTCCTAACTGTACCCTCCCTTACCAGAAGGGCTGGAGTCTCCAGGAATACAGTCTTATCCCTGGGGGCATTCATCCCCTTTTCCTTGGCTCTGCAAGGTAACTTCTGCACTCACTTCTCTTCAGGCTACATTGGCTGGCACTGGGGCTAGTGAGCACAGTCCTGGCCTCTTGGAGCTGGAAAGGGTCTCAGAGGGCCTCTGGTTTTCCAAAGGCCACTGTGTGAACAGGCTTCAGATCAGGAGCATAGGGGTCACTTAGTAAAATGCAGATTTCCCAAAACCTTCCTACAGAGATTCTGTTTCAGGAAGCCTGTGTTGAACTTGGAAATCTGTGCTTTTGACTAGTGCCCCAGATTATTCTTGTACCTTCTTCATACTCCATGCCCACAATTGTGGAATGCACCCTGTAGGGCCCCAACCACCTATACCAGGGATAAGGAGGCAGGCTGATGGGCAGGCAGGCTCTGGCTGTCAAAAGGTTTGTCCCCATCTAAGCCCACTTCTTCTACCTCCCATAACTTAGTGACAACACTAGGTTTGAGCTTCGAAGCCACAATACAGAAACCAGTTTTCTCCTTTATTCTCATGTCACCAACAGTGACAGCCATGCACCTCACAACTGAAAAAAGCTCCTGTCTCCAACCGGCCCTCTTCATGCTTCATTTCTCCAGACTGAGCAACCTTCCCACCCTCTGTGTAACTAATTGGCTTAGAGATATTACTGCCTCACCAGTGGGCTAGGAAACTGAGCTCTTGCCTTCAGCTTTCATTGCTTTTCCAGGCATGGCGGAGCAGTAGTAGGTGGCAGCTGTGTCCCAAAATGTTTCCATTCTCTCTCCCTTCCTCCCTCCTTTCTTCTCTTCTTCTGATCCTGTCCAAGACTGACAGGCGTTATGGGAGCACTGTCATTTTGCTGCTTTGAGTCCCCCAAAACCAACATGTTGAACATTGCTCTATACACATCATACAGAGGGCACATTAGTTTTGCTTGGTGAGCACACCCTAATTGGGTTCCCAGAGGGAAATTCTAATGCCAGTGCAGAGAATTAAGAACCAGCCAACAGATGGGGTGAGAAGCATGATGAGGAGGGTGGCAGCCAGGGCCACATCTTCTGGAGTCTATATCAACCATGAGACTGACAGGTTGGATCTGGGGGAAGCAGCTAAGCTCCCAGTGGAAAGATTGGATCAGATGGCAGAATGAAGTCATTTTTCACAATATTTACAAAGTAAATATCTGCCCACTCAGGGATACCTTTGCAGAATATGAAAGCAGCCACTTTGGACCTGCTATTTTGTTTTGTTTTGTCACTTTTTGAGGGGGTGGGGGAAGGAGGGTATTTTCCTCCTGGGTTCCTTGGACATAGACTCAAGTCATGAGGCCCATATTCCTATCCAAGATATCCCAGCCTAATAATCCCCAGCCTGTGGGTTGCAGACTCCTTACTGCAAGTAGTCCACAAATCCACATGCTTCAATGTTCCATACTTTTGTAATTGGGTAACTTTCTGAGGTACCTTTTTTTTTTCCGAGAACCTTCTTTGAAGTCTCAGTTATTAGTTTTTCTCTTTTCTCTAAGCAAGAATTATTCCCTTAATGATCTCATCCAGTCCCCAAGGTTTACTATCTTAATCCCTTCCCCCCAACTCTACTGCCAAACCCTCTCCACCTGCAGCCTTCACCATATTAACACCTTTACATCATCCTTGACACTTCTCTTTCTCTCACATCTTACATGCGTCTGTTAGAAAATTCTGTTCTACTTTCAAAACACTATGTATCCAGAATCCAACTGCTTCTCTCTACCTTTACGTTACTGCTATCATCCTAGTCGGAGCAATTATCCATTTATTCCTGGATTTATGCAGAAGTTTCCTAGCTGTTCTCCCTGCTGCCACCCTTGCCCTTCAAAGTTTGTTCTTAACAGCCAAGTGATGCTTTATTCTAATTGAAATTTTTATTGAGCTAATTGTAGATTCACATGCAGTTGTAAGAAATAATTTAGAGAGACCCATTGACACTTTGCTAAGCTTCCCAAATAGCAGCATTTTGCAACACTATAGTATAATATCACAACCAAGATACCGATACACTGATACAAATCACTAATTTGATTCTGATTTCTCCAGTTTTACTTTATACTTGTGTGTGTAGTAAGTTCTATACAATTTTATCACGTGTAGATTCACAAATTTAGCACCAGTCAAGATACAGAACATTTCCACAAGGATCCTTTGTGTTGCTCTTTTATAGCCATGCACACAACCCTCCTGTGCACCCCACAGTCCCATCCCTAAACTCTGGCAACCACTAACCTGTCATTCATTTCTAATATTTGGCATTTCATAATGTTCTATGAATGGGATTATACAGTGTGTCACCTTTTGGGATTGGCCTTTTAAAAAATTTAGCATAATTCTCCAAGTTGTGTTTATCAATAGTTCATTGCCTTAATTGCTGAGTAATATTCCAAATATTCCATGGTATATTAGTTTGATAGGGCTGTCATAACAAAGTACCAAAAACTACATGGCTTAAAACAACAAGAATTTGTTGCTCTACAGCTCTGGAGGCTAGCTGTCCCAAATCAAGTCAGCTGTCTCTGAAACTGTCATGGTAGAATACTTCCTTGTCATTTCCTAGCTACTAGTAGTGGCTGGCAATCTTTGGCTTGCAGCTGCCATCAGTCCAATCTTTGCCTACATTATCACATAACCATCTTCATGTCATCTTCCCTCTGTGCATGTTTGTCTCTGTGTCCAAATTTCCCCTCTTTATTTTATTAAGGAGAGGAGGGCAAGGGAACTTCTGGGGGAACGAGGGATCAAAGAGGAAGCTTAAGTGTCTAGGTTATATCACTGAGCAGCAGAGACTCTGAAGGGTAACAGTGGCTTAGAGTCTTTAGCCCTGTGGTTTGTCTTATCTCTGGCTAACAGGTGTTGGATGCAGTTTTGTGGAGTATGCAAAGCAGGAAGGCTCTAAATGAGTAAATATCTGTTTATTTGAGCTACATTTATAACAAAAGAATGTGTGAAAATTTGACCTTAGTACTGATGGGCTTTTGAGCTAATAAATCCTGGCTTGTGAAAAAAATAAACAAGATAGGGCTAACATACAGAGGCCATCTTTGACTCATTTGTATAACAGTGGGTCATATGGAAACTACATTTAATATGTTGAAGAAGTACCAAACTGTTATTCAGAGTGGCTACATTCTCACCCGTAATGTATGAGTGATCCAGTTTCTCCTCATCCTTGGCAGCATCTGATGTTGTCACTATTTTTTATTTTAGCTAAGCTGATAGTAGTGTAGTGATATATCATTGTGATTTTTTTTCACATTTCTTTAATCACTAATAATGTTGAATATCTTTCCATGTACTTATTTGCCATCTGTATATCATCCTCAGTGAAATGTCTGTTTATGTCTTTTTTCTATTATTTAATTGGATTTTTTAAACTGCTGAGTTTGGGTTACTCCTATACTCTAAATATTGTCCTTTCTGGATATGTGGTTTGCAGATATTTTCTCCCACTCTGTAGCTTGTTGTTTCATCCTCTTAATAGGGTCCTTTGCAGAGAAAAAGTTTTTTATTTTGATGAAGTCTTATCAATTTTTTCCTTTTATAAATTGTATTTTTAGTGTCAAATTTAATAAATCCTTGTCTAGCCTTAGACCCTGAAGATTTTCTCCTACTTAAAAAACTTTTTTAAAAAGTTTTATAATTTTATGTTTTACATTGAAGTCCATGATCCATTTTGAACTTTTATAAGGTATGAGGTTTAAGTTAAGGGTCATTTGTTGTCTATGAATGTCCAATACCTCTAGCACCATTTGTTACAAAGTTTATCCTTCCTCCAGTGATATATTTTGACAACTTTGTCAAAAATTACTTGGACACATTTGTGTGGGTCCACTTCTGAGTTCTCTATTCAGTTCCATTGATCTATGTGCCTATCCCTCTGCCAATTCCACAACCTTGATTATTGAAGGCATATATTAAAACCTTCATATTATTTAACATTTATTTATTATTTATAATAATACTTAGTATTTAATATTTAATAGTAAAGCTTTAATATTGGGTAGATTGATTATCCCTACTTTGTTTTTCTTTGTCGAGATCATTTTACATATTGTAGGGCCTGCACCCATCCATATAAATTTTAGAATAAACTTTTCCATGTCTACAAGGAAACTTTGCAGATATTTTTATAGGAATTGCATTAAACCTGCAAATCATTTGGAGGGAGAATTGACATTTTTACTATGTTGAATCTTCTATTCCATGAGCATGTTATTCCATTCCAATTATTTAGCTATTTTAAAAATTTCTTTCATTTTATTATTTTCAGCTTACAGATCCTGTTCAAGTTTTGTTAAGTGCATATGTCAGTATTTCATTTTATTTGGAGTGATTGCAAATGATATTTTGTTTTTAATTTCAGTGTATACATGCTCATTGTTAGTATACAGAAATGCAATTTATTTTTGTGCATTGGTCTTATAAACTGAAACTTTGCTGAACTACCTATAATTTCTAGGAGTTTAAAAAATTCCCTCAGATTTATTACTTAGGCCATCATGTCATCTGTAAATAGGGAAAATAGGAATAATTGTGTTTTTTCATTTCTGATTTCTAGGCCTTTTATTCCTTTTGCTTGCCTTAATGCAGAGGCCAGGATTTCCACTACTAAGTTGAATGAGAAAGGCAAGAGTACATATCCTGGCTTTGTTCTCAATTTTAGAGGAAAGCATTCAATCTTTCACCGCTAAGCATTGTTACCTATAGGTTTTTTTGTAAATGCTCTTTATCAAGTTCTCAATCATATAATGAGACATACTCTGTTCATGGATTAGAAGACTTATTAGGAGAGTTAAGATAGTAAATATGTCAGTTCTCCCCCAAATGATCTATAACTTAATTCCCCTCCTATTCCTAATTTTCTAAAACTTTTTATCATAAATGGGTTTTGAATTTTGTCAAACCTGTTTTCCACATTAATTGATATAATCATGATTTTTCTTCTTGAGCCTGTTGGCATGAGTTATAATATTTGATTTTCAGTTATTCAACTAGTCGTGCATACGTGGAATAAATCTCACTTGTTATAGGTGTATAATTCTTTTTTTACATTGTTAGATTCTGTTTGCTAACATTTTGTTGAGGGTTTTTGCATCTAGTTCATCAGAGACCTTGTTCTGTAGTTGCTTTTTTTGTATTATCTTTACACGGTTTTTGCTATCAGGGTAATAATGGCCTCATAAAATGAGTTGGGAAGGGTTCATCCAGTTTCTATTTTTTGGAAGATGTTTTGTAAATTCGGTATAAATACTTCTTTAAATGGGAGGTTTTCTGGGAGGTTTTAAATTATGAATTCTTTCTTTGATGATTATAGGGATATTCAGATTGTGTATTTCATCTTGGTTGAGTTTTGATAGTTTGCGCTTTTTGAGGAGTTGGTCCATTTCGTCAAATTTGTGTGTATTGAGTTCTTTGTAGCATTCCTTTATTCTCTTTTGATGTTTTCAGGGTCTGTAGTGATATCCTCTGTCTGATTCCTGATATGGGTAATTTTTACATTCTTTCTTTTTTCTGTCAATTTTGCTAATGGTTTGTTAATTTTATTGGCCTTTTCAATGAACCAGCTTTTTGTTTCATTAATTTCATCTATTTTTCTGTTATTAATTTCATTGATTTCTATTCTTGTGTTTATTATTTAATTTCTCCTCCCTGCTTGAATTTATTATTTTGTCTTCTTATTCCCTGAGGTAGGAACTTATTGATTTGACATATTTTCTCATTTCTAATATAAACATTTAGTGTTATAAATTACCTTCTCAGTATCACTTTAGCTGCTTACCACAAATTTTGATACGTTGCATTTTCATTTTAATTCAGTTCAAGGTATTTTTTAATTTACCTTTAGACTTCCTCCTTGACCCATGGGCTATTTACAAAAGTGTTGTTTAGTTTCCAAGTGTTTGTTTATCTTTCTGTTACTGATTTCTGGTTTGATTCCACTGTGGTCAGTGAATACATTCTGTATGATTTCAATTTTTAAAAATTTATTGAGTCTCACTTTATGTACCAGAACATGGTCTGCTTTGGCAAATGTTCCACAGTGTCTTGAAAAGAATGTGTATTCTGCTGTTTTGGGGTGAGGTTCTCCACACACATCAATTAGACCTTGTTGGTTGAGTGTGTTTTTCAGATATTCTATATCCTTGATGATGATTTTCTGTCTCGTAACTGTGTCAGGTGTTAATAAGAGGGTGTTGAATTCTTCAACTATAATTAAGGATTTGTCTATTTCTCCTTTTATTTCTGTCCATTTTTGTTTCATACATTTTGAGATTCTGTATTTTGGTGCATATAGGGTGATGCTTTAAAATCCTAAATTAGATTATGCTTTTCCTCCACTACAAAACCTCACAATGATTCCCTATTTCGGGAGGCTGAGGCAGGCGGATCACGAGGTCAGGAGATCGAGACCGTCCTGGCTAACATGGTGAAACCCCATCTCTACTAAAACCACAAAAAATTAGCCGGGCGTGGTGGCGGGCGCCTGTGGTCCCAGCTACTTGGGAGGCTGAGGCAGGAGAATGGCGTGGACCCGCGAGGCGGAGCTTGCGGTGAGCCAAGATCGCACCACTGCACTCCGGCCTGGACGACAGAGCAAGACTCCGTCTCAAAAAAAAAAAAAAAAAAAAAAAAAAGATTCCCTATTTCATTCAGAACAATTGATCAAGTTCTTATAATATTCTATAGGGTTCTACAAGATCTGGCTCCCGGTAACATCTCCAACTTCATTTCCCACTGTTTTCCCCCACACTTACTCTGCTGCTGCCACACTGGCTTCCTTGAACAGAACAGGCACACTGTCTCCTTCGGGCCTTTACTGTAACTCTTCATTCTGCCAGGAATGCTCCTCCACCTTGGAATGGGGGTCTGGGGTATAGTTATTGTAAAAATTGTTAGCTTTACATATCAGGGAAGCCAAAGCCTGGAGAGGGTAAACATCAATAACAAACAGTGTATAATTGGCAGAGCCGGTGTATTATGGAGATCAAAAGGTGAGCCTGAAGAAAAGCAGTGAGAGAAAATGAATGAAGAGGGATAAACAGCATCAGCTCTGGTTTTAAATATAGGAAGAACTGATACCCCAAATTCCCTCATTTTAAAACGTCTCTTCCAGCAGCCTGGCATTAGCTCTGAAATTCCAGCAGTATACTTTTTTGGGATAAGCATGTAAAGGCTATTGTAAAGGAATCCTGCAGTATAAAACTTTGTATAACAGATTTTGTTTTAGAACAAACTTTGTATACTTAGATTTCACCAAGAGATTCACAAAATTATTTGACAATAGAACATCTCCCCAACCCCATGACTGTCTCACAAAATCCATTTTGGAAAACAATCATTGAAAGCTTTGTGTTTCCAGAAAACTCCTGCCAAAAGGCTAATATTATTAGAGAGATTCACCTAGTTTAGTCTTTCCGACTCTGTGATAAATTATTTTATCCAATTAACTTAGGAGATGCAAACTATGGCAAAGGCCTCAGTCCTCCCCCGATTTTGTAAAATAAAGTTTGATTGGAACATAGCCATGTCCATTTATTTCTGTATTGTCTGTAACTGCTTTTGCATTATCATGGCGGAGTTGAGTAGTTGTAACAGAAACTGCATGGTCAGGAAAGCCAAAAATATTTACTATCTAACCCTTTACACAAAAGTTTGTTGAGCCCCGGGTTTACCCAATAGTAAGGCCCTGAGATTTATCTATCGCTGCTTAACAATTGACAACAAAAGTTTGTGGCTAAAAACAACAATTCATTATTATCTATAATGGTTCTGTGGATTGGGCGGGCTCAGCTGGGAAGTTCTCAATTTGCTTCTTTCATTCAGTGACAGTCAGAGGGCAACTGGAGCTACAGTCATCTGAGAGCTAAACTGGGCTAAACATTGAAAATGGCTCACTTACATAGCTGGCAGTTGATGTTAGATTTCAGCTGGGAGCTCATCAGGAGCTGTTGACTGGAGGACCTACATGTGCTTGCTCTTTTTAGGTTGGGTTTCTCGCAGCATGGTAGGTATGTTCCCAGAGGGAGCGTTTCAAGAGTGTGAAGTAGATAATGCCAGTTGTGTTAAATCCTAGGCTTAGAACTAGTGTAATGAAACTTCTACCTTTTCCAGTTAGTCAAAGCACTCTCATGAGTTCAGACCCAAGAGGACTTGAGGAATAAACTCTACCTCTGCACAAGGAAAGGGCAACAGCATACATGGAAAGACATAATGACTTCTGATTATGTTGAAGACAAACTACCACCATCTTCAATGGAGAATCAGTATGAGGTACTTGAGGAGCAGGGTGCAGCAGGTTTTCCTGGAAGGGATTTTTAGCGTGAATGAAGCCAACTGTGTTTTCACCCATGCCCATTTCATAGATAAATGTATTGAGGCTCAGAGCATTAGGAGAAGCTACTGAAAGTCGGTGTCTGTGTCACAGTGTTGGCAAGGACCTTGGTTAGCTTGCAGGAGGTGTGTAACTAACTCCAAAGAAGAGAGGGGTCTAGAGCTAACAGACTGGTATGAGGGGGCTGATGGAACCTGAGCCTTTGAATAAAGCCCCTTCCTTTCCCTAACATTTCCTTACCCTCTACTGCTCGCTCAGGTGTGTTAGTTACTATGTAAATATCTAGGCCTTACAGACACCCTAGATTCCTGCCACTATGCCTTGTAGGCTTCTGAAGTCTTTTTCGTATCTAGACTCTGCACTCCAAATAAGCTGTGAACACTTTGAACATAGAGATCACATCTACAATTTCTTTCACTTCTGGCCCTGAGATGTCTCATATAGATGTTATATACACAGCAGATAACAGAAATTGGAGGATTATTTGAATCACAGCTAATTTCCCAGCATAGCCTGTGTAAGTAGTATTCTATGGTTTGGTCCCTGCACACTATACTAGCCTTATTTTTGAATTTTATCCATTTTCAGTAATTGTGTTTATGCCAGACATTCAGTCATACATATTCATTCTGTCTCTCTCTTTTCTCTCAATCTCTCTCTCTCTCTCTCTCTCACACACACACACACACACACATACACACACACACACACACTTCTGGCCTGATGAACACCCTTCCTTTCCACTCACCCACACCAGTCTACCTTTTTTGACATGCATCAGGACTCAGCCTGAGTGTGTTAAAGAAAAAATGGGGGGAGGAGCCAAGATGGCCGAATAGGAACAGCTCCGGTCTACAGCTCCCAGCGTGAGCGATGCAGAAGACGGGTGATTTCTGCATTTCCATCTGAGGTACCGGGTTCATCTCACTAGGGAGTGCCAGACAGTGGGCGCAGGCCAGTGGGTGTGCGCACCGTGCGCGAGCCGAAGCAGGGCGAGGCATTGCCTCACTCGGGAAGTGCAAGGGGTCAGGGAGTTCCCTTTCCGAGTCAAAGAAAGGGGTGACGGACGCACCTGGAAAATCGGGTCACTCCCACCCGAACACTGCGCTTTTCCGAGGGGCTTAAAAAACGGCGCACCACGAGACTATATCCCACACCTGGCTCGGAGGGTCCTACGCCCACGGAATCTCGCTGATTGCTAGCACAGCAGGCTGAGATCAAACTGCAAGGCAGCAGCGAGGCTCGGGGAGGGGAGCCTGCCATTGCCCAGGCTTGCTTAGGTAAACAAAGCAGCCGGGAAGCTCGAACTGGGTGGAGCCCACCACAGCTCAAGGAGGCCTGCCTGCCTCTGTAGGCTCCACCTCTGGGGGCAGGGCACAGACAAAAAGACAGCAGTAACCTCTGCAGACTTAAATGTCCCTGTCTGACAGCTTTGAAGAGAGCAGTGGTTCTCCCAGCACGCAGCTGGAGATCTGAGAACGGGCAGACTACCTCCTCAAGTGGGTCCCTGACCCCTGACCCCCGAGGAGCCTAACTGGGAGGCACCCCCCAGCAGGGGCACACTGACACCTCACACGGCAGGGTATTCCAACAGACCTGCAGCTGAGGGTCCTGTCTGTTAGAAGGAAAACTAACAAACAGAAAGGACATCCACACCGAAAACCCATCTGTACATCACCATCATCAAAGACCAAAAGTAGATAAAACCACAAAGATGGGGAAAAAACAGAACAGAAAAACTGGAAACTCTAAAACGCAGAGTGCCTCTCCTCCTCCAAAGGAACGCAGTTCCTCACCAGCAACGGAAAAAAGCTGGATGGAGAATGACTTTGACGAGCTGAGAGAAGAAGGTTTCAGACGATCAAATTACTCTGAGCTACGGGAGGACATTCAAACCAAAGGCAAAGAAGTTGAAAACTTTGAAAAAAATTTAGAAGAATGTATAACTAGAATAACCAATACAGAGAAGTGCTTAAAGGAGCTGATGGAGCTGAAAACCAAGGCTCGAGAACTACGTGAAGAATGCAGAAGCCTCAGGAGCCGATGTGATCAACTGGAAGAAAGGGTATCAGCAATGGAAGATGAAATGAATGAAATGAAGCGAGAAGGGAAGTTTAGAGAAAAAAGAATAAAAAGAAATGAGCAAAGCCTCCAAGAAATATGGGACTATGTGAAAAGACCAAATCTACGTCTGACTGGTGTACCTGAAAGTGACGGGGAGAATGGAACCAAGTTGGAAAACACTCTGCAGGATATTATCCAGGAGAACTTCCCCAATCTAGCAAGGCAGGTCAATGTTCAGATTCAGGAAATACAGAGAACGCCACAAAGATACTCCTCGAGAAGAGCAACTCCAAGACACATAATTGTCAGATTCACCAAAGTTGAAGTGAAGGAAAAAATGTTAAGGGCAGCCAGAGAGAAAGGTCGGGTTACCCTCAAAGGGAAGCCCATCAGACTAACAGCGGATCTCTCGGCAGAAACCCTACAAGCCAGAAGAGAGTGGGGGCCAATATTCAACATTCTTAAAGAAAAGAATTTTCAACCCAGAATTTCATATCCAGCCAAACTAAGCTTCATAAGTGAAGGAGAAATAAAACACTTTACAGACAAGCAAATGCTGAGAGATTTTGTCACCACCAGGCCTGCCCTAAAAGAGCTCCTGAAGGAAGTGCTAAACATGGAAAGGAACAACCAGTACCAGCCGCTGCAAAATCATGCCAAAATGTAAAGACCATCGAGAATAGGAAGAAACTGCATCAACTAACGAGCAAAATCACCAGCTAACATCATAATGACAGGATCAAATTCACACATAACAATATTAACTTTAAATGTAAATGGACTAAATTCTCCAATTAAAAGACACAGACTGGCAAGTTGGATAAAGAGTCAAGACCCATCAGTGTGCTGTATTCAGGAAACCCATCTCACGTGCAGAGACACACATAGGCTCAAAATAAAGGGATGGAGAAAGATCTACCAAGCAAATGGAAAACAAAAAAAGGCAGGGGTTGCAATCCTAGTCTCTGATAAAACAGACTTTAAACCAACAAAGATCAAAAGAGACAAAGAAGGCCATTACATAATGGTAAAGGGATCAATTCAACAAGAGGAGCTAACTATCCTAAATATATATGCACCCAATACAGGAGCACCCAGATTCATAAAGCAAGTCCTGAGTGACCTACAAAGAGACTTAGACTCCCACACATTAATAATGGGAGACTTTAACACCCCACTGTCAACATTAGACAGATCAACGAGACAGAAAGTCAACAAGGATACCCAGGAATTGAACTCAGCTCTGCACCAAGCGGACCTAATAGACATCTACAGAACTCTCCACACCAAATCAACAGAATATACTTTTTTTCAGCACCACACCACACCTATTCCAAAATTGACCACATAGTTGGAAGTAAAGCTCTCCTCAGCAAATGTAAAAGAACAGAAATTATAACAAACTATCTCTCAGACCACAGTGCAATCAAACTAGAACTCAGGATTAAGAATCTCAATCAAAGCCGCTCAACTACATGGAAACTGAACAACCTGCTCCTGAATGACTACTGGGTACATAACGAAATGAAGGCAGAAATAAAGATGTTCTTTGAAACCAACGAGAACAAAGACACAACATACCAGAATCTCTGGGACGCATTCAAAGCAGTGTGTAGAGGGAAATTTATAGCACTAAATGCCCACAAGAGAAAGCAGGAAAGATCCAAAATTGACACCCTAACATCACAATTAAAAGAACTAGAAAAGCAAGAGCAAACACATTCAAAAGCTAGCAGAAGGCAAGAAATAACTAAAATCAGAGCAGAACTGAAGGAAATAGAGACACAAAAAACCCTTCAAAAAATCAATGAATCCAGGAGCTGGTTTTTTGAAAGGATCAACAAAATTGATAGACCGCTAGCAAGACTAATAAAGAAAAAAAGAGAGGAGAATCAAATAGACACAATAAAAAATGATAAAGGGGATATCACCACCGATCCCACAGAAATACAAACTACCATCAGAGAATACTACAAACACCTCTATGCAAATAAACTAGAAAATCTAGAAGAAATGGATAAATTCCTTGACACATACACTCTCCCAAGACTAAACCAGGAAGAAGTTGAATCTCTGAATAGACCAATAACAGGAGCTGAAATTGTGGCAATAATCAATAGTTTACCAACCAAAAAGAGTCCAGGACCAGATGGATTCACAGCTGAATTCTACCAGAGGTACAAGGAGGAACTGGTACCATTCCTTCTGAAACTATTCCAATCAATAGAAAAAGAGGGAATCCTCCCTAACTCATTTTATGAGGCCAGCATCATTCTGATACCAAAGCCGGGCAGAGACACAACCAAAAAAGAGAATTTTAGACCAATATCCTTGATGAACATTGATGCAAAAATCCTCAATAAAATACTGGCAAACCGAATCCAGCAGCACATCAAAAAGCTTATCCACCATGATCAAGTGGGCTTCATCCCTGGGATGCAAGGCTGGTTCAATATACGCAAATCAATAAATGTAATCCAGCATATAAACAGAGCCAAAGACAAAAACCACATGATTATCTCAATAGATGCAGAAAAAGCCTTTGACAAAATTCAACAACCCTTCATGCTAAAAACTCTCAATAAATTAGGTATTGATGGGACGTATTTCAAAATAATAAGAGCTATCTATGACAAACCCACAGCCAATATCATACTGAATGGGAAAAAACTGGAAGCATTCCCTTTGAAAACTGGCACAAGACAGGGATGCCCTCTCTCACTGCTCCTATTCAACATAGTGTTGGAAGTTCTGGCCAGGGCAATCAGGCAGGAGAAGGAAATAAAGGGTATTCAGTTAGGAAAAGAGGAAGTCAAATTGTCCCTGTTTGCAGACGACATGATTGTTTATCTAGAAAACCCCATCGTCTCAGCCCAAAATCTCCTTAAGCTGATAAGCAACTTCAGCAAAGTCTCAGGATACAAAATCAATGTACAAAAATCACAAGCATTCTTATACACCAACAACAGACAAACAGAGAGCCAAATCATGAGTGAACTCCCATTCACAATTGCTTCAAAGAGAATAAAATACCTAGGAATCCAACTTACAAGGGATGTGAAGGACCTCTTCAAGGAGAACTACAAACCACTGCTCAAGGAAATAAAAGAGGATACAAACAAATGGAAGAACATTCCATGCTCATGGGTAGGAAGAATCAATATCGTGAAAATGGCCATACTGCCCAAGGTAATTTACAGATTCAATGCCATCCCCATCAAGCTACCAATGACTTTCTTCACAGAATTGGAAAAAACTACTTTAAAGTTCATATGGAACCAAAAAAGAGCCCGCATCGCCAAGTCAATCCTAAGCCAAAAGAACAAAGCTGGAGGCATCACACTACCTGACTTCAAACTATACTACAAGGCTACAGTAACCAAAACAGCATGGTACTGGTACCAAAACAGAGATATAGATCAATGGAACAGAATAGAGCCCTCAGAAATAACGCCGCATACCTACAACTATCTGATCTTTGACAAACCTGAGAAAAACAAGCAATGGGGAAAGGATTCCCTATTTAATAAATGGTGCTGGGAAAACTGGCTAGCCATATGTAGAAAACTGAAACTGGATCCCTTCCTTACACCTTATACAAAAATCAATTCAAGATGGATTAAAGATTTAAACGTTAGACCTAAAACCATAAAAACCCTAGAAGAAAACCTAGGCATTACCATTCAGGACATAGGCGTGGGCAAGGACTTCATGTCCAAAACACCAAAAGCAATGGCAACAAAAGCCAAAATTGGCAAATGGTACCTAATTAAACTAAAGAGCTTCTGCACAGCAAAAGAAACTACCATCAGAGTGAACAGGCAACCTACAACATGGGAGAAAATTTTCGCAACGTACTCATCTGACAAAGGGCTAATATCCAGAATCTACAATGAACTCAAACAAATTTACAAGAAAAAAACAAACAACCCCATCAAAAAGTGGGCGAAGGACATGAACAGACACTTCTCAAAAGAAGACATTTATGCAGCCAAAAAATACGTGAAAAAATGCTCATCATCACTGGCCATCAGAGAAATGCAAATCAAAACCACTATGAGATACCATCTCACACCAGTTAGAATGGCAATCATTAAAAAGTCAGGAAACAACAGGTGCTGGAAAGGATGTGGAGAAATAGGAACACTTTTACACTGTTGGTGGGACTGTAAACTAGTTCAACCATTGTGGAAGTCAGTGTGACGATTCCTCAGGGATCTAGAACTAGAAATACCATTTGACCCAGCCATCCCATTACTGGGTATATACCCAAGTGACTATAAATCATGCTGCTATAAAGACACATGCACACGTATGTTTATTGCGGCATTATTCACAATAGCAAAGACTTGGAACCAACCCAAATGTCCAACAATGATAGACTGGATTAAGAAAATGTGGCACATATACACCATGGAATACTATGCAGCCATAAAAAATGATGAGTTCATGTCCTTTGTAGGGACATGGATGAAATTGGAAACCATCATTCTCAGTAAACTATCGCAAGAACAAAAAACCAAACACCGCATATTCTCACTCATAGGTGGGAATTGAACAATGAGATCACATGGTCACAGGAAGGGGAATATCACACTCTGGGGACTGTGGTGGGGTGGGGGGAGGGGGGAGGGGTAGCATTGGGAGATATACCTAATGCTAGATGACGAGTTAGTGGGTGCAGCGCACCAGCATGGCACATGTATACATATGTAACTAACCTGCACAATGTGCACATGTACCCTAAAACTTAAAGTATAATAATAAAAAAAAAGACATATAGTTTAAAAAGACAAAAAATTTGGATTGAGAATAGACATAATCTTGATCCAGTACCTTGGAAGTGGCCATCTCTATTTCCTCACTTGGTAAGAAAGCGAGAAAGACGAGAGAAGGAGAAAGAGAAGCAAAGAGAATGGGGAGAAGGAAGGGAGAGAGAAAGAAAGAAATCATAAATCATAGTATTATAAAAAATGACAAAGATTGCAAATTATCTACTCAAATTTCTTTTTTCTTTCATAACAGGATGTTAGGTAATGTTCCCAGCTGAATAAAATGACATTTCATTTCTCAAAAAAAAAAAAAAAAAAAAGAAAAAATGATTCGTGAAACCAGTTAAAGAATGGTAAGGCAGACTTTATTCATGTGGACTGTAGTGATAGACCTAGGTACTACCACAGTGAGGTTTTGCAGTAGGCAAAAAGGATTGAGCTTAACTCTGAATACAACAAGGAAAAGTGGAGATTTATAGCCGAGCAGCAGTGGGATGGTCAGTGGATGGAAAATTACTAAGAGGAAACATCAGGGGTCAGATGGGATCCTGGCTAATCTGACCTAACAGGATTCTTGCTGAAGATAGGCCAGGGTGATCAAACATCACCTGAGGGGTGATGGAGGTTGAAGAACTCAATAAGATGTTGAGGGTGATCAGATATTGAAGATGGGGAGTTCTGGCTAAACCAATGAGCGGGATACTTGCTAAAATTGTACAACGCATAGAAGTTCAAGAGTCAAGGCCTAGTTGGGAAGAGGATTCATCAGAGCCCGACTAAAGTTGGATTAAGGAGAGGCTCTCTGTCAGTTGTTACTTCTTCAAAGAGATCCTTACTGCTCTCCCAAGTACAGATTAGGTACCCCTCTTTTGTGTTCTCACAGCACCCTGTATTTCCCCTTTTAATAGTTATTTTCTCATTGTTTTCTAAATATAATTACTTACTTGTCTATCTTCTTGATTTGACTATGGTGCTGGAGGGCACAGACTGTCTTTAACTTGTTTCCCTATGGATTTGCAAGAGGTCTAACACAACAAATGGATACACTTTCTCTTCAGTGATCTCTACCTTATGTCTGCAGGAACCAGTTGTTTAATGGGCAGACACTGGGACAGTGGACAAGAAACGTGTGTCCAAAATGTCGTGCTGGACACGTGCAGCCCCTCTGAACAACTCTTAAGAGCTATTGCTGATCTTGTCCCGCAACCCTGATCGCAAAAACTAAAAGGCATCTTTGTAAGTCTCCATGCATATACTGCTCCATTTTCCCAGCCTCCTACTGCCAACTCAGTGAGCGCTGCATGTGGATCACCTTTCCTTGCTTCAAATCCTCCAAATACACAAGAACTGTGGCAGAGCACTGGGAATGTTTGCCAACTCCTGAGTTTAGGAAGTCTGATCTGGGCTTTGTCACAAAAGGAGAGGGGTGCGGTAGCTCTGGGGTGCCAATCAATTGCAAGAGGACAGCTAATGTTCTTGGGAGATGACTGGCCCCCTAAGGCCATTTGTCAAGCAGGATGATTATGATTAAATATAACTCACCAGTCTACAAGTGGCCCTCAGACAGCAGAAAGTATCCAGCAGGACATTGCATGTCACGAAGCAGCGCCAGGGTAGTGGACATCAACAGTTCTGTCCAATTAATCCTTGGAAGCACAGTCAGAATTAATTGGGAACTTGTTGAAAGTTGATCGACACCTTTGGAAAGGTGAAATCCTTTTCTGTTCCCATTAAGTGTTGTTAAGGCCATTAGCAGAAATTGGAATAGAGAAATATGACCTTTCATGTGGTAGATTCAGAGACTGAGAAGATGGACGAGATGGAAATGTACTGGCAGCTTATAATAAGCACCTGGGTGGGGAGTGATAACTAAAGATTGAAAATTGACAAATGGGTTAAACTGGCAGAGATCAAGACAGAGAGGGATGGGGTGCAGTTTGCATGCAGAGGTGGTGAGAGAAAGGAATGAGAGCATCAATAATCCAGCAGGGTCGCCCATGCTGAGGGTCAGATATGGATTACTCAGAAGGTAGGCAAAATTTGCTAGGTGGGAGAGTAGGGAGATTTGGTTACAAGATGAAGAGATCAATTTATAGCTGTTGAGAGGAGTAAATGATCTAGTCCTCCCCAGGGAGTTAGGATACCACAGATAAATACTCCAGACTAAAATCAGGAGGTCTGAGACATTTGTTTATTCAGTTGCAAAGTGACTGAATGTCTCCAACCCTCCCCTTCCCACAGTTGGTTATGTCCTTCCAAGTGACTAACGTGAAATTTCTTTGAAAGCCATCAAGCTATACAGATGTAAGGAATTATCATCATAATCATCCAACTGAATCAAGTGCAAAAGAATATTGCTATAAGGAAATATGTGAGATTTTAATTATTTCCTCTGATGGAGTAGAACATGTTTGCAGATAATCTTGAACAGCAACAGTGCCCGAATGATTTATCTTGGGCTTTACAGCCACACATCATGATATTTTGATGGAGGAAGGTCCGGAGTTGTGGGATGTGCATCAACATGCAATTTTCCCTGACATTTTGCATTGGCTCAGATTATGAAGCCCTGACAGTGGGAAGAAATGGACCACCAGAAAGTAGTTCTTAAATTACCAGGAGCGCTGTTTGCTGCAGAGACACTCCAGAATCTTCAAGTTAGGCGCAGCACGTGAGAGTTGGCAGTTTTCCACCCACCGACCTGAGTTGCTGTGGTTAGATGAGGGCTTTCTTGCAGGATCCACCAGAGGCTGAGGCTTTGGGTCACAGTTATCATTAGAATGTTGTCTCTTTGCCAGGTCCTATGCTAAGCATTTTACCTGCACCATCTCATTTAATCATCAAAACTACTCTGTGGAGTTAGATACTATTATTGTCTTCATTTTACAGATAAGGGAACAGGATTAAAAAGATTAGTAACTTATCCAAGGTCACATCACTAGCAAAAGACAAAACTTGGTATTAAACTCAGGCATTAGCTCCAGAGCCTGTGCACGGAACTGCCATACAATACTGCCATGCGCATATATGAATAAGCCTGAGAATCTGAGAAAGAAGGAGATGTGACCTACCTAAGGCCACTCAACTAGTTAGTTGTCCCATATACCATTTGTTTTTGTTGTTGGACCAGATCTAGTATGCTCACAGCAAATGAAGAATTTTAAAATTTCCATTTTATAGATGTAGCTCAGTTCTAGTAATAATGATGATGACAGTAACGACAACAGCAGTGGCAACTAATATTTACTAAACATCTGTTTTTGCTGAGCACCGTAATAGCTACTTTATGTATACACTCATTTATTCATTTATTGAAAAAATGTTTATTGAGAGCCTTCTATACACAAACAAGTGTGTTCACACAAAAGCTTGTACACAAGTCGTTTACAGCAGTATTGTTCATAATAGCCTAAAGGTGGAAAAATTCCAAATGTCCATCAACTAATGAATGAATACATGAAATCTGGTATATTCATGCACTAGAATATAATACAGCCATAAAAAGAATGAAATACTGATACATGCTACAACAAGGATGAACCCTGAAAACATTATGCTAAGTGAAAGAAGTGAGACACAAAAAGCCATATGTAGTATGATTCAATTTATATGAAATATCCAGAATAGGCAAATTTATATAGAGACAATGAATAGATTAGTGATTTCCAGGATCTGGGGGGAAGGGGCAATGGGAGTGATTGCTAATGGGTAGGGGCTTCTTTTCAGATGTGACGAAAATGTCCTAAAATTGATTGTGGTGATGGCTACACGTTTCTGTGAATATACTAAAATCTATTAAATTTTAGACTTTAAAATTGTGTGGTATGTGAATTATATATCAATAAAGCTGCTAAAAAAAGAGCCATTTCATATGTCATCTCCTTTGTCTAGCCTTTCCTGAGATCCTAGACAGGGTAGTCCCTTCTTCTGAATTCCTCTATCACCATGTACACACCTCTGCCATAGCACTTCTACCCCTGTATAAAATTGTCTACTTACGTGACCTTATACTTGGCTCTAGAAGCTCCCCAAGGTCAAGGAACATGTTTTATCTATTTCCTACCTCTTACAATGTTTCCCTGTCCTGCCTCCACCCTTTTTTCCTCCCTTAATCTCTCTTCCCCTCCCTTCCTTCTTTTTTCAACCCAAATTTTTGTTGAGCATCTACTGAGTGCAAAGGCACTGTGCTAGGTATTTGGGACTACAGCAGTGACTAAAGCATGGTCCTTGTCCTAGTGCACTTACAGTCTAATAAGGAAGATAGACATTAAACGTACATGATAAGTGTTAGGGAATAAAATTGTTTAACTGGGAAGTCTGACCTAATCTGAGGAATTAGGGAAGAAATCTCTCATGATGTGTTATTTTACCTGAAACTTGAATGACTAGTACAAATTAGTTGTGGGGGTAGAGAAACAGCATAGGGAATGTATTGAGGCTGGAAAAAGATTGACACCATGGAAAAAGTGAAGGGAGGGCAGTCTGGCTGAAATGGTAGAAATGAAGGTGTCAGGGGAGTGGAGTAGGTCATGGCTAACATAAGACTTGAGAGGAAGGTAAAGGCTTTGTTGGCCAGACTAAAGGATTTACACTTTGTTCCACAGATGGTTTTTAAGTGTGTGTGTGTATTTTTCAAATGCTCATTGCAGCTGTTCACTTGGAGAATGTATTGGAGAGAGCACAAGTATTACATTAGAATAATCCAGGCAAGTAACAATGGTGAGTAGGGTAACTGCAAGGGGTGTTGAGAAATGTGAATGAGAAGGGTTTGGGTCATAATATCAGAAGACACAATCCCAAAAGCCATAATCCCAATGTTGAAATCTTGAAAGACCACAATCTCTGAAGTCTATAAAATCTCAAAAATCACATTGCCAAAAGATCAAAATCCTGAAAAGATAATTCTGGGGGAAATAATTTTAAAATTATTTTAAATACATTTATTTACATTTTAAAGGGTGATTTATTTGAGAAACACATGAAATCATGACAGAACACTTCATAGGCTGGCCACTTTACACAATAAAATGGGCAAAAATAACGTGTATATTTTTGCAAACATAAACATTCAGGTACACTAACAGTAGTCACATGGGTATAAAAGTTATGAGAAGATGAACCGTATTCATAAAGAGATCAAAAAGCAAAATACATAAATGCATATTACTATAGTTAGTAATTGTTTTCACCCAGCTTTATAACTGTGGTCTTCTGAAATACTATAAGGGACAGCATAAGTCTTGACAAGATCATTCAAAAACTGCCATGGGTCACCACCGCATATAGTTACCCAAAAAGCTGAGATCTCAAGAAATTTTACCTTTCACAAATGCATATATACAAAAAGGGCATCTCTTCATTTATTGAGGAAGTTTCAATGTTTTCACATACATACACAATGCTTATACACAAAGTCAGGGTTGTGATAATGCAGTTTTGTGGAGTCAAATTTGCAAAAAAAATGCATACAACACATTAAAACTCTCTAAAATCTTTACACAATTATACTTTCAGTATTAGAAATGATGCAAATATGAAATACATAGTATGGTGAATTGGCACTGTGTGAGAAGGGACACAAGTCATACATAATTGAATAATCTGACAAAGCAGATTTCTTGTATTTTTTTGCCTGCATTTTCACTTCTACGATCTCTGAAACACTTGTTGCACTTGTATTTAGAGAGTGGTTGTGGCCTATGCATTTCCTAAGTATATGCTGTCCACTTAAAGTCTGATAATTGCTCAGCTGTTGAAATTATTTTCTGCTTTTGCAGCACCAATAGTAATTCGCTTTTAAACTTTTATCTTTCACCATTAAGTAGCCTTGTATACTTCTCACGGCCTTTTTGCAAAGGATCATTTTTTTTCAGGTCTCTTCTATTGTGTCATAAGGAGTACAGTAAGAAGGAATGACATTTAGCTCCCCCAATACTAAATCTGTATTAGTCAGGGTTCTCCAGAGGGACAGAACCGATGGGATACATATATAAATACTTGAGAGAGAATTCATTAGGGGAACTGACACCCACATGTATCTCCTTAAATCACACTTAATTTCCAAATAAAGACAATAACAAGGTAATAGTTCCACCTAACATGATGCAAGTATCCTATATACAACCAAAAATTCACTAATCTCTTCCCTAGAATTCAGCTTTCAGGGTTTCAGTATTTGGCATTTTAATCTTTCAGGATTATAATTTTCAGGCTTTTAGATGTTAGGGTTTTTAGATTTTAGGAATTTTGATCTTTTGGGATTCCAACATTCGGAATTATGGCATTTGGAATTGTGTCCTTCAGGATTATGACGATACTGTGTAATAGGTACAATCAATCAGTTTAGTGTTTGGTAGGATATGGGGAGTCAGCAAGGCCTCCAGAAAGATTCCTAGATATCTAGGTGGGGCAACTCGGTGAAAATGATGCCATTAATTTCAATAGAGAATACAGGGGAAGAGGTAGGGTTGGGAGTTATGTGGAAGTAAGGTTGTTTTTTTGTTTTGTTTTTGATGTGGTGACATGGAGGTACCTATTGGCAATTCAGGTAGAGAGGTTCAACAAGAATCAGTTGATGTATATGGAGTGCAGGAAAGATCATGTGTGAGCTGGAGTTATAGATTTCAGAGTTGTTAACAAGTAAATGGTAATTGAAGCCATGGACCTAGCTTATTCATCTTTGTATTTCCCACAGTACCTGGGGTGGTGTCTGACACAAAGTATTTGTTGAATATGAAGTAAGAAGATGTCAACCATAATCCCCTTCAAAGGGATGGTACATATAGGACTCCAGGTTGGTGTGCACAGCAGATACACATTAAGAGCTAATGTTTCTTGAGCCCATACTATGCATCAGTCACTTTCTAAGCCTCATGTCTTAATTGTCTCAGTAACACTATGGGGTAAGTATTAGCACTATCTCTATTGTTCAAAAGGGGAAATGGAGACACGAGGAGGTCACACAGCAAGTGGTAGAGTTAGGATTTGAATCCAGACAGTCCGAGTGTAGAACCTATTATTTTAACCACTGAGGTATATTTCCACTCTAGTACTTGAGGCCTAAGTTATTGGTTTGTTAATTGGTCAGTGTAGGCTGCTGTTCATGGTTGAAAATTCCTTTTCATGTCTTTCTCCTTCTCTCTGGGTAGCACTTTTATCCCTATTCTCCTGACATTTTTGTGCTTGCCTCCCAATCCAGCCCATTGTTACTGGGATAACTAGATTATCACATTCAAAGGAATGAAGTTAGACCTTGCAGTGGTTTGAATGTGTCCCCCAAAAAGCATGTGTTGGAAACTTAATCCCTAATGCAACAAAATTGGGAGGTGGAGCCTAATGGAAGATATTTAGATCATGAGGGTGGAGCCCTTATGAATGGATTAATGCTAATTATAAAAGGGGTTAAGGCTGTAAGTTTGATCTCTTGCTTTCTCTCGCCTTGTCCTGCTCTTCCACTTTCTGTCATGGGATGATACAGCAAGAAAGCTTTTGCCAGATGTCAGCCCCATGATCTTGGACTTCCTAGCTCTCAGATCTGTGAGGAAATAAATTTCTATTATTTATAAATGATCTACTTTGTAGTATTCTGTTATAGCAGCACAAAATGGACCAGGACAGACCTCTACCACACACTATACATAAAAATTAACTCAAGATAAATTAAATGCTTTTATGCAACAGCTAAAAAGATAAAACTCTTAGGAGAAAACGTAGATGTAATCATCATTCTTATGAATGTCAAGTCCATTTTCCCCAGCACCATTTGTTGAAAGGACTATTATTTTATTTAGTTGTCTTGGCATCCTTGTCAAAAGCTTTTCAAAGTCCCTATGAATATCTCACTCCCTAGTTTTAACTTTTAAGATTTTTGGTCACTCTATTGTTTGCCTCAACTGTTACTCACCATCTTATGCAGCAGCAGCGCTAATAAATTGCTTGGAATTGTTTTTGATAAATGCTCCCAGGTGGAAGGCTTTCACACTGGGAGAGTGCTGAATCAGGTTAAATACAGACAACCTTACAAGTGGCATTTCCTGGGAACCACCAGACAGGTTGAATAATGACAATTCTTTGGGAATAATTATTGGAAAGAGTTCCAGCTCCTTTCGGCTCTCTCTGGTGTCTGTCAGGATGTTGGTTTTCACCATGAATGCAGATTATGATTTTTCAAGCCTACTGTTGTGCTAGAGTGTAGGGAATTGGACTAGGACAAGTAAAAACACCACAATCTCACTCTTCTTACTGAGATTCAGCCATTTTTCTTGAATAAATGCACCTCAGATTGCTGGAAACTCTTGGATAATTTCTAGAGTTCTGAAAAATTTGCTTCTGACAATTTTTGCTAGTTTTCCCATTACTTTTATGGAGAAGAGGAGTTTTGGAGATTCCTACTCTGCAATTTTTCCCCTTTACTTTTTCAAACATGGTTTCCTTTAGTTCTTTAAACACATTTCTGATGGCAGCTTTAGAATCTTTGTCAAATCCAACATCTGGGCCCACTCACAGATTGTTTCTGTTGCCTGCTTTTGTTCCATACATATGATTGACTTTCTTCTGTTTCTTTAGTTGTCTCCTATTTATTTTTTGTTGAAAATTGGGCATTTTAGGTAACATCTTGCAGCAACTAGATATTGATTTCCCTTCTCTCTCTCCGAGGCTTCTTTTTGCCATTATTTGCTTGTTTAGTGACTTGATTAAACTATTTTAGTGAAATCAATTTCTCCCTCAGTGTGAAGTCTTCAGTGTTGATCTTCAGAGAGCACAGCCTTGGGCACGTGCACCATCACCCTAGGATGCCAGTGGTTTTATTGCAGCTCTCTTTCTCCATCTCTCTGTCAAGCTATGTGCATTGTTTGGAATCATACCCAGCTGCGAAGTTTCACTACTTGCTGGGTGATTGCTTTATTGTTTTTGACAAAGTCCTGGGATATAAATTGTTTCACAGATAAATCCAATTAAATCTAGGACCCTTTTCACAGATAGTACTTGAGGCAAGTCTTTGAGGTTTGTTCAGATCTCAGGAGGGTTCATCTTTGCTGTCTCCTTCTCTGGTTCTCTCTGGTGAGCTAGTTTGCCTATGTTTTAAGTGGTTGATCTTAATTAAGAGAATTCTCAGCCTCTTCTTAATTGCTTACCACCAAATATCCATTGTTTTTGAAAGTGCCCTTAGGTTTGAACTTCTCCAGTCTGTTTCAAATAAAGTTATTTACTTTAGGGAGAGCTTCAGAGCTGTCTGTCCTTATGACCTGCCTCTGCTGCTGAGCCAAAATCTGTGAGCCACAACTCCAGAGCTGGGTGCAAGGACAGTGGCCCACTTTTCTTGGAATGATATTCATGCTTTATGACGAGGCTGTTTGGCAGGGGCAGTAGACTCAGGTTTTCTCAGCTTGGCTCTCCCAGAATTGAACCTCTGCCCTATGAGTGAGATGGGGCAAGGACAATTAGTGCCTCAGTATTCTTATCCTTTCATACCTGGGGGTAGAGCCTCTGCCCTATGATTGTGTCTGGGTGGAGAAAGGAATACATCAGCATTTTTCTTGGCTACACTCATCTCTGCAACTCATGGTGAAGTGGTGGGGGGTGATGATAAATACTGGTGGCTTGCCCTCCTGTGAGATATTGAGTCACTTGACCGGGAGCTGAAGGGAGAGGAAGCCTTGTCATCTTGGCCTTATGTACCCAGAATGAAGTTTCTTTCATGCTTAGCTGGGGAGGGGAGATGGAAGGAATGGGTTATGGCTCAAGTGCAACAAACTCTTACTGTTCTTGTCAAGATTTAGTAGATTTTCTTAAATAAATATTTCCTCACTTGCAGTCTTGCCTTAGGACAATTTTGAGAGACTTTTAAATGGTTGTTCGTTTTTAAAATAACTTTTATCAGTTATACTTGTTTTACTCGCAAGTGAATATCTTCATTGTCATATACTTTTTTGATGCCTGCTTTTCTCTATAGCCTGAGGAAGATTCTGAATTCCAGAAAATCACCATTTGCAGTTGTCAATGCTATAATACATTGTGCCTGTATAATATCATCCCTAGACAAAGTTCCCAAATAGATATTAAGTTCTTAGAGGAGAAGGACTGGATTTAATACAACCATGACACCCTGTATACTTAATGGGCCCAAAGAATTCATCTAAAGAATGATGCACAAATAGATAACTATAGCTTCTATTTAAAAATGACCTCAACAATGGAGCATAACTCCCACCCCTTAAGTCTAGGCACTGTGTAGTAACTTTCCATTCATTATGGAAAGGGGAGAAAGAGCAACCTTACAATGGACAAACTTGACAAACATTATCTCAAGCTAGTTGATCAAGGTTAACAACAATAGTGACATGTTATATTAATAGTGTATACTCGTGATATGATGTGAATGAGAATGTCGCTTGACCTCTGAGGTCCTCCTGCCAAAAACACATTACCCCAGTTTGGTCATGAAAAAAATATCAGACAAGTCTCAATTGAGGGACATTCTGCAAAATACCTAACCATCACTACTCAAAACTTGTAAGGTCATCAAAAACAAGAAGTGACTAAAAAAACCATCACAGCCAAGAGGAACTTAAGGAGATATTATGGTCAAATGTGATGTGGTATCCTGGATTGGATCCTGGAACTGAAAAAGGACAGTAGGTAAAAACTAAGGAAATATAAATTAAGCATGGACTTTAGTTAATTATAATGCATTATTAATATCAGTTCACTAATTATGACAAATGTACCATACTAATGTAAGATGTTAATAATAGGGGAAACAGGATGTTGGGTATATGGGAGCTCCTTATACTATCTTACCAGCTTTTACCAAAAACAGTTCTAGAATAAAAATAGTTTATTTGGAAAAACCAAAAACAAAACAACAAACCTCTACTACAATGAGGCAGGCTTTGTGCTGAGCAGAAAAATACTCAGTCGACCTGAGAGTCTGTTTTTCTTGAGATCCCTTGTGGAGTGGGGCCCATGGAGACCCAGAGAAAAAGGTAGCTAGGGTAGAATCAGAACTCTGTGTTTTTTTGGCCCAATAGTTTCTTTCCTATGAATCTCTCTTAAGGAAACAGCCAGATGAATACACAAAAATGTCCATGCCAAGTATGGTTACTGCAGAGTGAAATACTGCAACATCCTAAATGTCCACACTGGGGCGGTATCTCACTATGTTTGTTCTATAGAGCATCAGTCCAATAAAATGCTCCGCATATACAAACAGGAAACGCTGCGTGCTATATTCCCGTCGAGAGTCCAATATACATTAGTGTAATAAGGCTCTGAGATGAGTCATGCTAAAAAAAATGTAAAGTTCTGTTAGAAACAGGGTTTGAAACTCACAACTATGGATCATTTTTTATACTTTTTTTTTTTTTAAACAAACGCTACTAATGTCTTCACACTTTGTAAATTGTTACACTAAAGGTTGGGTTATATAGATTATGAAATATGTTTCTATTGGAATATTATATAGCAATTAGTGAAATCATACTTTTATAGGACTAATGAATTGAGAAAAGTCACAATTTTAAATAAGGAAAACGAGATACACATTTGTATATACAATATAATCTTAATTATTTAATGTTTTCTGTACATAAGAAAAGGACAATTAAAAACTACAAATGGTTATCGCTGGGTTGTGTAGTTACAGGTGATTTTAAATTTCTTCTTTATAGTCCTTTAATTTCATAGTGGTCTACAAAGTAAATATATTATTTAAATAATCAGAAAAGAAAACACATCATAAAGCAATATTTTGTAAGCTAAATCATTCCTACCCCTCATGCACTCTAAACTTATTTGCTTTTTGTTATAAAAAAGTATTTGTCAGAATTTTTTTGAAAAAGCCAGATTATATAAGCTCGGGAAAGGGAACGGCAGAATGTCTTAGATGGGCTTGATTTAACTAGTGGAGCATTATAAAAATAGAGCATTTCTCTCTTATGGCCAGCAAGGAGATGGCCACAGTAACCTGAAGGAACGAGCAGTCCAGGCTGCTAAACTGTTGCTATTTTTTGGCTAATGCTGGACTGTGATGCCCTTCTTTGGCTAAAGCTGTACTGTACCATCTGAGATGGCATTTCCTTACAGATAAATGTTCTTCTTCTTGATTAAGGAATGAACACACAAGGCTTCAGCCTAATTCCCCATGTCAAAATGACCTCCAGAGGACAGATACTTCATCTTCTTGTTTGTGTGCAGGAATTCCTTTCAGGTTCCTCCTATGAGACTCCTACACTAATGCAAAAATTTCTGCTCTTTCTCAGGTGGCTGGAAGGGGAAGGGCTGAGCTGGCCACTTTCAGTGCCTCTCTGTGCAGAAACTCTGTGGCACTTACCAATGTCTGGCTGGCCTGGGATTGAGCACTAGCATGTGCAGGGTAGGAATTGCTGGATAAATAACCTGAAATGCATTTTCGGGTAATCAGTTTCATTCGTAGAAACTGCATTCAGCCAATTTGCAATGTTATATGATATCATATGATATGGTATGACATGTCTGAGAATAAAGTGCAAGATGCTGGAGAATGAGGGAAGCTCAGTAATAATCCTAGTTTTGCTACCAATTCTTTGTGTGATCTTTGACCATTGCTTCCCCTCACTGGGCCTCAGTTCCGCCAAATATAAAACAAGTGGTCGGTCTATGAAATTGGTTTCCTGATTCAGCTATAATAAAACTTAAACTCCTTTACATGAACCCCAGGGCCTTGCATGATCAGGCCTCTTGTCTCCCTCTTTGCCTTCATCACCCACTAGTTTCTCCCTTACACTATTCCAACCATACCTCAGGACCTTTGCACTATCTCTTTCCTCTGCCTGGAAGACTATCTCCCAATATCTGTCTCTGGTTTTGTACCTGGGTGTTAGCTAAATGTCACCTCCTAATAAAGGCCTTCCCTGACTAGCTGCTATAGTTATGGATTGTTTGTCCCCACCAAAACTCACATTGAAATTTGATACCCAAAGAGGCAGAGTTGAGAGGTGGGGCCTAGAGGGAGGTGTGTGGGTCGTGGCGGCAGATCTCTCATGAATGGCTTAGTGTTGTTTTCACAGTAGTGAGTGAGTTCTTGCTCTTGCAAGACTGTATTAGTTCCCACAGGAATGGATTAGTTTCCCCAAGAGTGGATTGTTGTAAAGCCTGGATGCCCTTCAGGTTTTCCCTCTCATGTCTGCTTCCCCTTTGACCTTCCCAACCATGTTATGACATAGCATGCAAGGTATTGCTAGAAGCCAGGGTCATGCCTTTGAACTACCCAGCCTGCAGAACTGTGAGATAACTGAACCTCTTTTCTTTATAAATTACCCAATCTAAGGTATTATGGTACAGTAACGCTAAATGGACTAAGACACCACCTTATGGAATGGTGCCCTGTGCCTTTTCCCCCATTACTCTCTTTCCTATTACCTTGTTTCATTTCCTTCCTGGAAATCATTACTTTAATATTTGTCTTATTTATTTTATTGCTGGCCTATTTACTGTTTGTCTTCCCCCACTAGACTCTGTAGGGAATCTTGTTGATTTTATTCATTTCTACATCCTTTCTGACTAGAAAGATGACTGGCACAGAGTAGGTAATTGATAGATCTATGTGGAATGATTGAGGAGGCACCTGACATTTGCTTACTTAACAAACACTCTGTGCCAATCTTTCTATACTGCTTTGCAAATTTCAATTTATTTAATTTTCATAACATTCCTATATATGAGGTAGACACTACTATTTTTCCCACTTTAGAGATAAGGAAACTGAGGCAGAGAGAAGCTAAGTAATTTGCCCACGGTTATACTGTAGTTTACATTAATTGTGTCTTCTAATCCTACCAACAATCCTACAAAGTACATATTATTTTTACTTCATTTTATAGACAAGAAAACCAAGACTTAGAAAAGTGAAGCAACTGGGTAGGTGACAAAGAAGTTGCTTGAATCCAGAGTGTCTGACTCCAGAACGCTGCTTACTCAAGACTGTCACATAACTGACCTATGTGATCTTTCTTTTTTAAAATATGTTTTTATTTCAATAACTTTTGTGGCACAAGTGGTTTTGGGTTGCAAGAATGAGTTATATAGTGGTGAATTGTGAGATTTTAGTGCACTCGTCACCCAAGTAGCGTACATTGTACCCAATATGTGGTTTTTTATCTTCGCCCCCACTCTCCCCCTTCTGAGTCTCCAAAGTCCATTATACCACTCTGTGTGCCTTTATGTATCCATAGCTTAGCTCCTACTTATAAGTGAGAACATGCGGTAACTGGCTTTCTATTCCTAAGTTACTTCACTTAGAATAATGGCCTCCAGTTCCATCCAAGTTGCTACAAAAGACATTACTTTTGTTCCTTTCTAAGGCTGAGTAGTATTCCATGGTGTATATATACCACATTTTCTTTATCCACTCAATGATTGATAGGCACTTAGGTTGGTTCCATATCTTTGCAATTGTGAATTAGGCTGCAATAAATATACATGTGCAGGTGTCTTTCTATACAAGGCCTGAAGGTTAGATAAGGCAGATATTGGGTCCACAGAGGTCATGTAGCAGACAGAGCTGTATTGAGTTGAGAGGCTGGTTTTCAGGGAAACTGTGGTTATGGGAGGGGGAGCCCTTTTGCCCACCTCACCCAGAGTACATGCTGGAGTGGGCTGGGCCTCTTTCCAAAGCTGGCTACATCCTGCCTCCCACTGGAGACAGTTCCGTTAAGGGGCCAGGCCAAAGGGACGTTGCTAGGGCCGAAGGAGCCTAAGTCCCAGAAAGAATTGTTGAGACACCCTGAAACCTTCTCTGCTCCAGGGACAACCATGACCACTCTCAGCTTGTACATCCAGCTGGAGAAACATCATAGAGGCCTAGGAAAGGTACAGGAGAGATCCAGAGGTAAGGCCAATGGCTGGGATTGCAGTGTGTCTGCTCTAGACACACTGACAAACTAGAATCATTGGCCACTCTGGAAAAACTTATAACTGCACAGATAACAAAAAGATAACTCCACCCACTGAGCAGACCCATGGACTGGTCTGGATGGTCAGGCTAGACCCTGGCCAGCCCAAACAAGCCACATAGTCTAGAGAATGTATTTTCTATCTGTTTATCTTCCCTTTTCCCCCATTGTTCTGCACAGGACCACCACACTGCATAAATCCAGAGTATGTCATTTCATTTCATAGTATATGTAAATACTGCCCCTGGAGTTGTGAGTAATGTGTATGGTGGTTCTGGTGCTACAGTTCACTTGTGTGTCTTTCTGTGAGTCCATTCTTATTTATCATGTTCAGCTACAGTGGCTACCTCCCTCAAACCAGTGGTGTGCAGTGGCAAATGGGCATATGAAAAGTTGCTCAACATCAGCTGGGTGTGGTGGCTCACGCCTGTAATCCCAGCACTTTGGGAGGACGAGGCAGGCAGATCACTTGAGGTCAGGAGTTTGAGACCAGCCTCGCCAACATGGCGAAACCGCATCTCTACTGAAAATACAAAAATTAGCCTGCCACGGTGGCAGGCGCCTGTGAACCCAGCTACTTGGGAGGCTGAGGCAGGAGAATCGCTTGAACTCGGGAGGCAGAGGTTGCAGTGAGCCAAGATCGGACCACTGCTCAACATCATTGATCACTGGAGCAATGGAAATCAAAACTACAATGAGATGTCATCTCACCCCAGTTAAAATGGCTTATATCCAAAAGACAGGCAGTAACAAATGCTGACGAGGATGTGGATAAAACGGAACCTTTGTACACTGTTGGTGGGAATGAAAATTAGCACAGCCACTGTGTAGAACAGTTTGGAGGTTCCTCAGAAAACTAAGCCTAGAGCGACAATATGATTCAGCAATCCCACTGCTGGGTATGCACCCAAAAGAAAGGAATTCAGTATATTGAAGAGATATCTGCACTCCTATGTTTGTTGCAGCACTGTTTACAGTAGCTAATATTTGGAAGCAACCTAAGTGTCCATCAACAATGAATGGATAAAGAAAATGTGGCACATATACACAATAAAGTACTATTCAGCCATAAAAAAAATGAGATCCTATCATTTGCAACAACATGGGTAGAACTAGAGATCATAATGTTAAGTGAAATAAGCCAAACACAGAAAGACAAACATCACATGTTCTCACTTATTTGTGGGATCTAAAAATCAAAACAATGGAACTCATGGAAAGAGTAGAAGGATGGTTAACAGAGGCTGCAAAGGGTAGTGAGAGGGTGGAGGGAGGTGGGGATGGTTAATAAGTACAAAAAATAGAAAGAATCAATAAGACCTACTATTGGATTGCACAACAGGGCAACTATAGTCAATAATAACTGTACATTTTTAAATAACGGAAAGAGTGTAATTGGATTGTTTGTAACTCAAAGGATAAATGCTTGAGGGGATGGATACCCCATTCTCCATGATGTGCTTATTTCACATTGCATGCCTGTATCACAACATCTCATGCACCCCATAAATATGTACACCCACAAAAATTAAAAATGAAAACATTTAAAAGTGGTCTCTAATATTTAGCTAGGTTGAATAATGAGGCTTTTTTTCTGTATTTTTTCAGCCAATATGTGTGCCAAGCATCCAGTGATCATGAGAAAATGAAGCCTTTTAATTTATAAATGTTGATACTGACAGATTGTAGTTATGAGACTGTAAGCCTTTCTGATCATTTATTTTCTTATTGTTTGAAAAATTAATCACAGAACTTCCCTATTAGGTGTACTGTTGAGTATGTTTATTGGAAAATTAATAAGTGCATAAAGACATTTATAGCCTTGTGTGTGTTTCTGAGTCTACCACAGGTGCAGAAGTTTTACAGAAATTGCTTTCTCATTTCCAAATCCATCTTTTGTCATGGAGAGACTGCTCTTTCAGGAATCTGATCGCTCAGAAGTTTGATCATCAGGCTCACTAGGGATTGCATCTGAAAAGAATAAGATTGTTAATTGTATTTACAATGAAATGTCTAAATAAATAAAGAAAGCCCTTTAACATTTGATTAATAACTATTAAGATCTGCTGAAACAGGATGTTATGCTGGATGCAGCTGGTTATGAATCACAGCAGTGCAAGAGTGTTTTATACATATTATCTCTTATTTTCCCAATGCCCCTGAAAGGAAGGAGTGATGATTTCCATTCACAGATGAGAAACCAAAGGATCAGAGGAAGGAAGTGACTTGCCTAAGATCCCAGAGTTGGTAAGTAGTAGAGCCAGCAGTTAAATATTTCTGGTACACGTCGATTTCATAACCTTAAAGACCATATAAACCCAAATTAGAATGCTGTGCTAGAATAGATACAAAATTATCTTTAATTCAAATTCTTCTGATTTGTGGGTGGCATTTCTAAACTTTCTTTACTTTCCTGTCCTAGAGATACCAGGACAGAGGGGAGTCCCAGAGAGTAGCCCTTAACATTTTGAGACACTAGGGCATCCAGAACTTGCTGAAGATGAGAGGCAGAGTGAGAGGGGAAGGTGGCACAGGGATAGGTGCTGAGCCAGTGTGGAAGACCCCTGGAACACAACAGGACATATTGATATTACCGCCAGCTGTTCATCAACAGCTGTTCATCAGAGAAGGGAGTCCTGTGGCTTGGTGCTTTTCTTGGGCAGAACTGACTTGGGCTTTGACTTCTGTTCTTCCTTCAAATTTCCCTGTAGAAATAGACTTGGGTCTAAGTCTTAGCTCTGCCATCCCCTCTGGCTGTGGAATCTCAAACAAGTCAACCACTCTGACCTTTAGTTCCTTGTCTGGGTTGATGTGAAGATTAAGCTAGCATCTAGTACAGTGCCTCGCTCACACTAAGCTCTCCATAATGAATATACTTCTTATTCCTATTGTGCTCTCACATTTCCACCCCAGACACCCCAACACTTTTCTCAGCGTTCATTTTCCACTTGAAATGAGCATGGAGCCCTGAGGAATGTCTGTGTGTCTTCCAGATGGTGCTAGCCCCCACTCCCATCCCTACTGCCTTCAGGTTTCAGGGCAGCATGTCTGTGTAGATCTGTATCTTGCTCTATTTTACCAGGTCTAGGCCTGCCTGTCTCTTTGCTTTGATCCCTCCATACACACGCATATACCTATACTATGCCCAGGTCAAAGTGGCATTGACATGGAAAAGAGTGAAGACCCTATCTCAACCAGACTAGAATCCTGACCCTGACTTAAACACTGACACAGCCCCTAACCTAAAAAAGGGGAAGGATTTCATTGAAGGACCAAAGGAAAGATATACAAAAGTCTACTTTAGAGATCTCCTGCCCTACTTCATACCTGTACCATGTCTCAACCTGTTGGTATAGCATTTTTATCACTGCCAAAGTGTACAAAGTCTCAGTTATAAAATGAATAAATTCTGGGAACTGAATATGCAGCATGATTATGATAGTTAACAATACTGTATTTGTATACTTGAAATTTGCTGAGAGAGGTGATCGTAAATGCTCTCGCCACACAAAAAAAGGTAACTTTGTGAGGTAATGAATGTGTTAACCAATTTGATTATAGTAATCATTTTGCAATATGCAGTCAGCCCTTCATTATCTGTGGGTTCCTTATCTATGGATTCAGTCAAACCAGGATTTAAAATATTTTTTAAAAAATATATGGTTGCAGCTGTACTAAACATGTACAGACTTTTTGTCTTGTCATTATTCCCTAAACAATGTGGTATAACAACTATTTATGTAGCATTTATGCTGGATTAGGTATTACAAGTAATCTGGAGATGATTTAAAGTATCCACCAGGATGTTCATAGGTTATATGCAAATACCACACCATTTTATAACAGGGACTTCGGCATTCATGAATTTTAGTATCCACGGGGAGTCATGAATTTTGGTAACCATAGGGAGTCTTGGAGCCAATCCCCCATGGACACTGAGGGACAAGTGTATATGTACATCAAATCCTCATGTTCTGTACCTTAAATTTATACATCTTTATTTGTCAATTATATATAAAACTGGGGGGAAAAGCATCAACTCTGGAATCAGACAAATACCAGTTCAAAGCCTGGCTTGGCTGTTCATCTGTGTGACTCTGGGCACATTTTTTAACTTCTCTGAGTCTCAAGTGGCTTGCCAGTTAATGGAAATAATACTTAGCCCTAGTTCATTCATCTATTCAACAATGTTTATCAAGCCCCTGACTACATGACAGGCACTGTGCTAGGCATTGGGAATATGATGATGAGAGGGGAGATAAACATGAATAAGAACACCCATAAATGTAAAATTGCGACTGTTCAAAGTAGTGACAAAGGTACATGGTATTATGAGCTGGTATCTGACCTAAACAGAGAAGTAAAATTGACAGGACTTGCTTGGTGATGGATTGAACTTGGAAGACAAGCTGGAGGAAGGAGTCAGGAACCATTCTTTGCTTTCTGGATGGCAACAGGTGCCATTCACCAGGACCAGCAGCAGTGGAACAGGGCCAGGTTTGGGGAATAGTTATGGCTGGTGGGGGATACACATGTGTGTATTGACTAAAAGTCCTTACTAGGCGTCAGGGACAGTTTCCTATTTGTCTCATTTAATTAAATCATGATGGCAGCTTCATTAGGAGAATGACTATTCGCATTTTCCAGGAGTGGAAACAGACTCAGAGGATTGAAGTGACTTGTCTTGGATCTTACAGCTAGTTAGTGGCAGATCCGGGACTAACTTTCATTCTGTAGCCCAAACACATGCTTTTTCCAATACTTCACCCTATGGGACCCAGCAAAGCCTGCAGGGGAAGGGAAGGCTGGCAGGCCAAGGGCAGGGACTCCAAGAAGGCAGAAAGGGTGGTGGGAGTAGAATGAAGGAAAGGGGAACAGAAGGAAAAAGAACTGTGGCAAAGGCAGGAGGAATTCTCTACAGTGACTTAAGATTTATTATTTGGAGACAGGTTGAGCAGGCCAAACTGAGGTTCATATTTCACAGGCCTACTGCCGCCTCCTACCAAATTTTGGCTCTGAACCCTGAGGAGGTGGCGGGGAGGGAAACAAATGAGGAGGCAGTTTATGAAGTGGCTTAAGGCCCAGGGCTAAATTTGAAATTAACATGGAGATTTCAGTCAGAGGAGTCAAGTTTCCAGGGCCGTGGCTATGCCCAGCAGCTGGGGCCCCAGGAGGGATAGAAAGCTGACCATTCCTGGCTAGTGCTTTGGCCCCAACCTTCCTGTCACCTGCTCCATGCTCCTGGCGTTCTAGGAAGCAATGAGAGTCACTCTTTTAGCTTGTGGCTTCTCCTGCCATCAGAAGCAGGCTTCTGGGCACCGATGTAGGACAAGGACAAAGGGAGCTGGGTGTGAGAAAGGGCTGGGAAGTAGGTTTAGGCAGATGGAGCTGATGTCTGCCTTCCTCCTCCAGTTGTTGCTTGGCTTCCCCAAACCAATGTCCTCCTCACCTGAGCTTCTTACTTAGCCCTGTTCTAGTTTCTTTCCTTTGGGGCCTGCCTGAGATAGATACAAGCACAAAGGCAGGGGATCACCAATATAACTTCACGGGGTATACATCATCACCTCAGTATTAGGGTTCCTATATCCTTTCTGGGTGATACATTAGGAATCTACTAAGCCAGAGTTTCCTCTGGGTTCTGACAACCTGTGGGAGTATGGGATATTCTTAGAGGTTCGAGAGTTTTCTGTGATAATTTTAAAATTGTGGGATGTTTTTCCTGTGGTTTTCTCTTGGATATATTTAAGGTATACAACGCGATGTTTTGACATACATCTACATAGTGCAATTGTTACTATTGTGAAGCAAATTAACATATCTAATATTTCACAGTTTTTTTGTAGCAAGAATACCTAAAATCTACTTTGTTAGCAAATTTCCAGTATACAATACAATATTACTAACTGTAGTCCTCATGCTATACATTAGCTTGCTAGACTCCTTCATCCTACATAACTGCAACTTTGTGCCCTCTAACCTACATCTCCCAATCTCCTCTCTCTGCTGCCCATGGTAACTAGTGTTCTACTCTATTTCTATATATTCAGCTTTTTTTTGATCCCACATATAAGTGCAATCATGCAGTATTTTTATATCTGTTTCTGGCCCATTTCACTTAGCATAATGTCCTCCAGGTTCATCCATGTTGTTCCAAATGACAGTATCTCCTTATTTTTTAAGGCTGAATAATATTCCATTATATATATACACACACACACACACACACACACACACACACACACACACACGCACACACACACACACACCCCAGAATTTTTTTTCCTTTTTTGAGTTATAATTATGTTTAACTTTTATTTTAAGTTCACGGGTACATGTGCAGGTTCTTTACAGAGGTAAACTTGTGTCATGGGGGTTTGGGAGTTTGTTGTACAGATTATTTTGTCACCCAGTTGTTAAGCCTGATACCCATTAGTTATTTTTCTGATCCTCTCCCTCCTCCAACTCTCTACCCTCTGATAGGCCCCAGTGTGTGTTGTTCCCCTCTATGTGTCTATGTGTTCTCATCATTTAGCTCCCAATTATAAGTGAGAACATGCAGTATTTGGTTTGCTGTTCCAATGTCTTTATTTATCTATTGATGGTCACTTAGGTTGATTCCATATCTTGGCTATTGTCAATAATGCTGCAAAGAACATAGGAGTGCAGATATCTCTTCAATATACACATTTCACTTACTTTGGGTATATACCCAGTAGTGGGATTGCTGGATCATATGGTAGTTCTATTTTCAATTTTTTTGAGGAATGCCTGTACTTCCATAATGGCTGCACCAGTTAAAATTGTGTTTTTATCACAATTAAAGTCTAAACCGAATGATATAAGCCTATTCTGTATCATCCATCTGCAAGGCCACCTTATAGCTAAAGGGCAACCATAGGATTTCTGGACTCTCATTTACATCTGCCTCCATGTATTAGGATCAGATTAGGCTGCATGTAACAGAAAAAAATCCAAAATAATACTGGTATAAACAAGATAGAAGATGAATTCTGCATCATGTCCAAAAAGTTCAAAGATAAGCTGTGCAGGTTTGGTGTGGCAGCTCCATGTTGTTAGGTACCACATATCCTCCCAGATCTCCACTATGCTGTTCTGAAGCCATGGCCGTCATTCTCGTGATGCAAGCTGATAGCCATAGCTCCAACTAATACTTGCTCATTCCAAGCAGTAAGATGGGGGAAAGGGCAAGGAAGGACCAGCCCCCTTCCCTTTTAGAAGATCCCCAAGAAATCACCAATAACACTTCCACTTGTATCTCATTGACCAGAACTTGGTGGTATGGCTACAATGGAGGCCATGGAATATAGTATGTGTTTTAGTTGAGCACATTAGGAGAGAAAGGGGTGAGTAGTGGGATGGATAACTAGCAATCTCTGCCACATTTTTGTGTAAAAGAACTCATTACCTTCACAATGTCCTACTTGCATTGTCAAGGACTAATGAGGAAAGAACATAGGAGGACTTAATACATAAATGATGGCTTAGTCCCAGTGAAGGCCAAATGATGTCCCTCAGGGCTACAGGAATGACAGGTTAGCAATAGATCTGATGGGGAAAAAAGTGGTGCGAGAGCTGAGTCATTGCCTGGCTCACAGTAATATAGCACGACGAACTCAAAAGAACCTGTATTGCAGTCAGCACCATAGTCACGATCTGAACAGCAATTTAATTTTAGCAAAACAACATCATCCACCTTGTTAAAAAGAACTGTTGTTCATTTGATTTTTATTGGTTTTGTGGTTTTGTTTACATTTCATTTGGAACTTTGTTTCAGCTTTATAATTGTATATCAGCCATAAGCATAGGGAGTTAGCAGCTTATTTTCTCTTTGTACCCAGTTTAACACCGTAATGAAGATGACTCAATAATTGCGATCCATATATATATATATATATATATATATATATATATATATATATTTCTTTTGAAAGGGGCTGGCTACTCAGCTGGGAAATGCTTCCTGAAACCACTGGGGACCACTGTAACAAACAGGACTGTAGGAGTTAGAACCCAAACTAAGGCGGGGTTCTTTTCACACCACCACCCCAGTGCTGGTGAGGAGGAGGTAGAATTGTGCTGCAAAACAGGTGTTGAACCTAGACGTAGCATATGATCAGAGGAGTCTAACATTGGAAGTGCTCATAAAAGTCACATGGCATGCCTCCTGATGGAAGCTTGAGCCTCTCTATAAGCCAAGTGCCTGGGTCAGTGGGTGAGGATGAGGTTGGTGGTTTAAGATGACATAATGGAACATTTTGAGGGGAAGGATGATTCAAGCATTATGTCCCTGACAACCAAGATTCCTTGGGATAGTTTTTGAGTATATTCATGTGAACATTTGATAAGCAGAAAGGATCCTGGGGTCAAATATATGAAAATGTATACCCTCCCTTGGTAACCTCATTCCACTTCCCTGACCATCTGCCACCGCCCAACTTGGCCTGGATGATGCCCATCCAGGCTCTTTCACTGCATTGCAACCTAGAGGGCAGCCTGTTTATCATGGGGGAGAGGGGCTGCAAGGGATGGTAGGGCCTCTTTTGACACTGGGGAGTTGGGGTGTGGGAGGTGTTTCCAAAAGACTTGTTTCAGGCCACTTATAGATGCAGGGAAGGAAAGCTCTTTCTCTCTCCTTCTGTGGCAGCAGTAAATCTTCCTAGCCCCAGCCACTGCCACCATCCTCAAGCACTTTCTTGGATTCTCCACCTGTTGTGAGGGAATTCCACAGGGCTCAAGATATCCTGAAAACCAAATACCACATGTTCTCACTTATAAGTGGGAGCTAAACATTGGATGCACATGGACATAAAGATGGCAACAGTAGACACTAGGACTACTAGAGGTGGGAGAGAGGGAGGGGAGCAAGGGCTGCAAAACTATTGGGTACTATGCCCACTACCTAGGTGATGGGTTCAATCAAACCCCAAACCTCAGCATCACGTAATATGCCCATGTAACAAAGCTCCACAGGTACCCACTGAATCTAAAGTAAATGTTGGAAGAAAAAGAAATTTTGAGAAAGGCTCTTCTATCAGGATGAAAGAAGAATCAGTGAGGGGGGCATACGATATAGAGAGCAAGACAGACTAAAAGAGAAAGTTATTTATAGAAAAAGATGGCATATGTGCATACATATATACATGTATATATACACATATGTACACATATACATATATACACATATGTACATATATACATATATACACATATATGTACATATATACACATATACACACATACATATACACACATATACACTATATGTGTGTATATGTATATATACAGATATACGTATATATACGTATATCTGTATATATACATATATGTATATCTGTATATATACATATATAGTGTATATGTGTGTGTGTATATATATATATATATAGATATGCAGAGATAGAGATGGAGAGAAGGGGAGATATTTATTAAGAGAGAAATGGAGAAACATGAAAAAAAGAACCAAAGAGAAAGAAGTGGAAGGGGAGAAAAGAGGAGAGAGAATAAAGAGTAAGAGAAAAAATTTAAAAGACACATTTAAATGTATAGAAAAGTCAAGTACAAGGCAAGAAAGGGCTTTAGGCCTCTGTGTTGCCTCAAGTATCAGGAAAAAGGATGACAGGAGGAAATGCTGTCATCGAGTCTGTGCTATGCCTACTGCATGGGGAGAACTTCACCAGCCTGATGCTCTCTCCAGGAAGCTTCCAGTCCAAAAGGACCTGTCGATGAGCCACTGAATTTACAGGCAGCAGGACAGTGGAAGAGAAGAATTCATAACAAGCCACAGCATACACAGTATCTGGAAGAGCTCAGAAAAGGGCCAAAGTTAACTTTGAGACAAGGTGGTTGGAAAGAATAGCCAGTACATGTACAGACAATGTCTGTCATTTGGAGAATCCACGCTGTGACTAAACCAAGGAAGAGTTTCTAGAGCAGAAGGTAATTTCTAGGGCTGTGGGAATGGGATGTTAGGCCACTGGGGTGGGCCAACAGCCACGCACAATCAACCATGCGGAAATTCTTGCTGAAGACTGATTCCCAGATTTCTCCAGCCTCCTGCCCACCCCTACTCCCTCAGACTCAGTAGCTGGCCTCTCTTCTTTCACAGAGAACGTGAAAGCTATCAGGTGGACCACCACCCCCGGCACCCTCTACTCACACTTACTTCTCCTTTTTTTTAAAATTCACAAATAATAATAGTATATGTAATACATATGGGGTACAATATGATGTGATGATACATGTATATATTGTAGAATGATTAAGTCAAACTAATTTTTCATAATATGGAAACAATCTAAGTGCCCATGAATGAATAAATGGATTAAAAAATGTCACACACACACACACACACACACACACACGAGTATTTTTCAGTCAAAAAATAAGGAAATCTTGTCACTCGCAACAACGTGGATGAACGTGAAGGACATTATGCTAAGTGAAATAAGCCAGGCACAGAAAGACAAAACCACATGATTTTACTTATATGTGGAATCTAAAAAAGTTGAACTCATAGAAGTAGAGAGTAGAATGGGAGCTACCAGGGGCTGGAGTAGGGGGTGGACAGGGAAAGGGAAGATGTGAATAAGAGGGTACAAAGTTTCAATTAGACAGGAGGAAGAAGAAGTTCTAGTGATCTACTGCACAGCATGCTCACTATAGTTAGTAATCATGTATTATACATTTCAAAATTGCTGAAAGAGTGGATTTTAAGTGTTCTCACCATAAAGAAAGGATAAGTATGTGAGGTGATGGATGTGTTAATTAGCCTGACTTAATCATTCTACATCTCCTTTTATTATTTCTCTTTTCCCTCCGGGCTCTACACACTGTCCCCTAGCCATTCTTTATTCACCATTACATGCTGAATATTCCAGACTTAGATGGCGTAGTCTCTGAAAAGGGTGTATTAACACATGCCATACCATTTTATCCCCAGAGCAATTTTCTGAGTTGGGTATCATAATACCAATTTTAAAGATGAAGAAACTGAAACTCAGAGAGGTTAGGCAACTTAGCCAAGATCACACAGCAAGGCTGAGGTTTAAACTTAGACATCCCAGGCTACTCAGCCCATTCTCCTTCACTGTGCCAGACAGGATCCCAGGTACACTGAAGAAAATACTTGATAAATGAAATTCTACCCATTTGGGACCTACTAGAGCCAGGGTGAGGGGGCTGCACAATGCAGTTCTGAGGAAATAATCTTTGTGGGAACAAGATTAAAATGTCAGGCTGATGTGCCCACTGGCTGAGCTATCAGAAGTGAGGAGAGAACAAGCAATAAAAATTAATAGTGCAAGGACAAGTTAATTTAAAAACCCCTGCACATGTATCTGGAAATATTGCACGTCATCACTTCCTCTCATAACCGCACAATTGTCGAGCTTGGCAGGCAAGTAGCTGGATCTACACCTGACACGGCCCCTTCCAGTCCTTTCACCAGGGCACAGCGCATCTGCAGGTACAGTTGAGGGGTCAGTGAAAATTTTTTTCTGAGACCTGTTCACCCCTCTTCTGGGTTCCCCGCTCATTGGTGACCACCCCAGCTCTGTGCCCAACCATCAGCTGCCAGTCACCCCATCTCTACTCTGGTTGAGTCCAGTTGAGGTGTAGTATCTTCTGGATACATTTATCTCCAATAGGAAGCATCTGGGCAACTTAACTGAGGGTATGAGTCTGTACTCATGGAATTTTAGGCACCACTGAAGAGAGGCTTTGCGGTAAAGAGGATTTGTTGGCCTTCCTGCTCCTTGATTTCTCACCTGCATGGTGGAGCTGTCAGCTTACTTAACATGCCAGCCACTGGACTAGATCAAATATATATCTATATGATTATAGGTGATCTCATTTTATGCTCAGTGCAGTCTTGTGAGGTATATTGTTACTATTTGACACATGATAAAACTGAAGCTCAGAAAAGCTAAGTAACTTGCCCAAGGTCACAGAGCAGGTAAGTGGCAGAGCTGGAATTTGAACCCAGGTAGTCTGGCTGTAGAGACCACACTCATAGCAATTATCCCCACGGCTTCCCTACAAACAAACGAAACAAAAACAACAATGAAACTGAATGGAAAAGCATGCTGTTTCTGTCCCACCACCGAAGAGATATGAAAATCCTGGTTCAATGGCCCATGGAGATCCCAACCTAAGGCTACTTCCTTCCTAATGACAGCATATCTGAACTGCAAAGTACCATGGAACATGTATGTTATTATACTTCTAGAAAGCTGGCTTGGGAATACCAAAGTGGGATTCTAACCTAGGTTTTCCTGACCTCTAATCTCATTATTTTGAACCTTTAGACTAGCTCCACTTTTCACACTGGGAGCCCTGATAGGACACAAGTGGGTACTGGGAGATAAACCTGGGCTATGGTCAGAGTTTTTGCACATTAGATAATATTTTCCATTGTGAACATGTTTTCAATATATGCACATACTCATAGTCTTTTGTATTCCTTTTTGGATTATTTCTGTATCCTTGTAGGTTAAAAATAATGGCCAATAGGCATCAAGCTCTTACTCTGTGCTACGCACTGTGTTCACTGCTTTATACGGATGATCTTTTACTCCTCCACAATCCTATGAGGTAGGTACTATTATTAACTCCATTGTACAGGTGATGCAACAGAGACTCCGGGAGGTTGAACGACTACCTCAAAGTTACACAGCTACTAAGTGGCAAAGCTGGGATTTGCCCCTTGGCCTGTGTGACTCCAGATCTGAGGCTGCTATCCACTCCTCAGGGCAGAATTTTTGGAGCAGCTAAATGAGGTTTTTATTAAATAATAGAGAGATCTGTCTAGCAACTGTTCCATTGCAAAGATGGGAGAATTGATGCTGAGAAATATCCAATGAATGGCTGAAATCACAGCCTGTCGGGGAGTTGAGCAGTGACTTGAAGCCTCCACAGTTCTTGTCCAATCCTCAGATACTGTGAAGTCTTTGAGGACAGGGCTGGGTCTGATCCACTTATCTCCCCAGTGTCTAGCACATAATAGGGATTCAGTTAATACATTTTTGGCAATGAAACGAATGTTTCTAATGATAATTTTTCATCTGGCCTGACTTCAATCTTCTCTTAATGCCAAGTCTTGCCGTGTTCTAGGTCGACACCAACCTCCCTCTAACAAATATGGAATATAGATGAGGGTCTGAGCCATCTGTGCTCTTTTGTTTGATTTAAGGTCATTGGTGGCTTCACCATCCAGATTTCACCACTGGCATCTCATACATTCATTTCTTGCCATTCCACTTCTTACAGAAGAAAACATATGAAGGGATAGTCATAGTAATGAGGAAGCCAAGGCTATAGCTACCAAAACAAAAACCCAGGAAACAAACTCACGTAATAAAAATAGCACCTCCAGCACACCAACATGGCACATGTATACCTATGTAACAAACCTGTACATTGTGCACATGTACCCTAGAACTTAAAGTATAATAAAAATATATATATATAATAAAAATAAAAATAGCACCTCATGGGTACTGAGGACTTTCCATATATGAGGCACTCTTCTAAGACATTTGTATGTACTAATTCATTTAATCCTCACAGTAATCTAATGAGATAGATAAGATTATTATCCCTATTTAACAGATGAGGAAACTGAGACTCAGAGAAGACTGGCTACGGAGTTAATAAGTGGTAGAATTAGAAAGTTCACTATGTTTGACCATGCTTGACTCCAGTGTCTCTGTTATTAACCATAATGCTAAACTACTTACACTTATTACCAGGGGACTTGTTGATGGTTAGGCTATGGGGACTGAGCCAAGGAAGGGGCAATAACAATTCCTAGGACAGGGCTTGTGTTTGATGAGAGTGGGGGTGGTCATGAGTTTGGCTTTTGAATATATCAAGTTTGAGGTGTCTTTGAGATACCCAGCTGGAGATGCAAAGAAGACAGGTGGATATGTAGTCTGAAATCCAGAGGAGACATTGGGGACTCTTCACCATATAGATAAAAATAACTGACATTTATTACACACTCACTAAGTGCCGGCACTGTCCCAAGAGATTTATGTGGATGAACGATTCTAATTTAATTCCCATGGCAGCTCTATGAAATTGGTGCTTTATTATCCTCATTTTAAGGATAAGGAAACTAAGATACAGAGAGGATAATGATTTACCCAGGGTCATATAACTGGTAAATTCTAGAGGCAGGATTCAAACCCAGGCAGTCTGAATCATCTGAGGTTCAGCTTCCTTAATTGTAAAATGGAAAAAATAATTTCCAGCATGCGAGGTTGTTAAGAAGATTATATATGTCAAAACCCTGGCACATAGTAAGAATTCCACAAATTAGAGCTGCTACCATTAATGCATCTAATATTATGTAATACTTATGATTGATACACAATTACACAGTTACTATCGTAACAGGTAGGACCTAAGTGTTTTCTCATCAGGATCTCCTTTATTTCCATTTTCTCAGTTTCCCTGAGAAAATGAGCCTGATCTCTTGGCGCTACAATGAGTATAGATACTATTAGTAACTATCTCAGAAAGATTCTGAAGAACTAATGGGCCAATGTTTGTAAAGAATTTAACACAGTGCCTGGCACCTGGTACATGCTCAAAAAATATTAGCTATTTCTGAGCCTTTGTCCTGGCCACAAACTGAATGAAGTCACACACTGAGCTCCAAATTCCAGCTACTGACTATCTTTCAACTTTCTTTTAACATCTTTCATTTTAAAGCACATTAGATGCCCCAGCTGAACTTGTCTTCAGTTCAGCTCACTTTAAGTCCTTTTTCTCAGTACTTTTGTGGCAACTTTGTCCTTTCCACTGGCAAGCCCTCCTGGGACTACAAGCACACTAGGCCCCACCAACCACACTGGACCCAACCACGCACTGAGAATCCATAAAGAAAAAAAAAAAAATCTTCAAAATCTCTGATTTACTTGGTGCCACCACTCTACCCACAAGGGGGCGCTACCTAATATATAATCCTTACGTTTTTGCTGCAGAGATGAATCAAAACCTAAGACAGTGGCAGAATATGAAATCCATGTAAACAGACCCCCAAATTTGTCTGGAGACCAAACCCCTAATGTTGGCCACAGCCTGCGACTTGTAGCCTAGCCTCGAGATGAGTCGTATTCTGCGGACCGTACAGCCTAATGGTTAAGGCCATGGCTTCTGGAGTCAACCTGCTTATTTTCTGATTCTGGCTCTATCATTTCCTAGCTGTGTGCACTCTGAGCCTGAGATTTTAACTGGAAAAGAGGGATACTATTAGCAACTATCTCAGGAAGATCCTAAGGAGCAAACAGGTCCATGTTTGTAAAGAGTTCAACACAGTGCCTGGCACCTGTTACATGCTCAAAAAATGTTAGCTCTTTCTGAGCCCACATCCTGGCCACCAACTGAATGAGGTCACACACTGAGCTCCAAATTCTAGCTACTGACTGTCTTTCAACTGGCTATCTCATACAGCACGGTCCTGGGATGGTGGCTGGTGGTTCCATGAACCTGCATTCCCACTAAGGGTGACACAATTTGAGGTTCTCTGATGCCTCTCTCCCATGTCCACCCTGGCCAGCTTCCTGCCATGTGCACCCTTATGCATTCAGGCCAAGGCTTCAGGTCAGTGTGCTAATTTTGGATTTCAGCTCCCCTGCTGGCCTTGGCCTTGGAGGCAGGCTTAGATTACATGTTCCTGCCCTGGAGAGCAAACCTATCCTCCCCAAACAAACAGGTACATGTACGCCACACAGTGAAACAGACACACAAACATTCTGTCTCACACACACACACATATACACACATACACACTCTTTCACCCAAACTCCAGGAGCAAATCCCTGCCCAGCGGGGAGGGAGTGAAAGGTAACTGAGCCCTGAAAGACAGCTGGGCAGCCAGCTCAGCCTCTGCCAGGCACTTTTCCTAGTAAGGGCATCCTTTGGGCGACAATATCCAATTGAAGACACAGCCGATAGGGAGCTCCATGACTGTTTCCCTTAGCCCTGCTAGCAATGTCCCCAGAACCTTTTTGGGTTCTGTATTTAGAGAGCTGCTGGTACTCAATGACCCGGTCAGCCGGCAGCTGGTGCCTGCCTGCCTGCCTCTTCTCTCTCTTCCTCTCCCAATGGCTGTATCTGTGCCCATAGAGATAAGTGATTCGAATTCCTCCAGTTTGTGGTCTTCCTTAGTGCTGAGTGTGGCCCAGGAGTGCCCTTTCCCAGTGTCGTTTGTAAGTTTTGACCCTGCATGCTTCAATCCCTCCCTTGCCATTTCAGTTTTTTCCCCAAAGGGCTGGATGAATTCTAGCTTCTCCAGCTGGAGGAATGTGTGGATAAGTCCTCCAGGGTCCCATCAGTTTATGAAGATGGGCTTCCCCTGGGTATGATTCCAAAACACCCGTGGATTCATTTCACAAATATTTAATGAGTCCCTATTATGTGTCAAACATTGTTCTCAGTGTAAGATACATAGTTTAAAAAAAAATGAAAGAATTCTCAAAGGAGCTCAAGAATAAGTGGGCTAACATGCCAGTATGTGCTTACTACATGTTAGGCACTGTTCTGAATGTTTTACCATCTATTAACTTCAAAACCATTTGTTGGTCTTCAAAACCTCATGATATAAGGAATATTATTATGCCCATTTTACAGACGAGGAAGCTAAGGATCAGAGAGGTTTCATCACTGTAGTAATTTGAATAGCATCCTCCAGATTCACATCCATCCAGAACCTCAGAATGTAACCTTATTTGTAAAAAAAAAGCCTTTGCAGACATAATTGTTAAGAATTTTGAGATGAAATCATCTTGGATTTGGGGTGGGTCCTCAGTTCAATGGCTGGTGTCCTTTTAAGAAGAGGAGAGGACATCACACAGAGACACAGAGAAGAAGGCGATGTGATGATTGAGGCATAGGTTGGAATGATGTGTCTATTAGTCAGGGATCACCAAAGACTGCCGACAATCATTAGAAGCTAGGAGAGAGGCATAAGACAGTTTCTCCCTCAGAGCCTCCAGAAGGAACCAACCCTGCAGATCCCATGAACTGTGAGAGAACACATTTCTGTTGTTTTAAGCCATCCGGTTTGTGGTACTTTGTTACACCAGCCGCAGGAAACAAATGCAGTGACTTACAGAGCTAAGATTTGAACTTCAACAATCAGCCTCCTGATTCTGTACTCTCAACCCCTCCTGCCTACTATGCCTCACTCTCAGGTAGGGAAGGTGGTTAGGGGGCCTCCACTGAAGAAGCTAGAAAAGTAATGCCCATGGTGACCCCAGATGAGTAATAGCCTGGCCCCTTCTAAACCTCAATTTTCTCATCTGTACCATCAGGAATTGGGGCTAGATGGTCTTTAAGGCCTCTTCCAGTTGTGGCATTTTTATGAGTCTATGATTCATAGTTTTGGGGGAGAGGTGGCACAGTGGCAGTCATGAGAGCAGGTTGTGGACGAGGGGATAGAGAATACACATTATATGTAATTGACTGATTTTCAAAAGGCCTGTGGATAAAACCCTATTATGGAAAATTTTTCATTATCTTTCCCTGTTGTTCTCTTTATGTCTGTTTCTCTCTGACTCCCCCGCCTTGCCTGTCTTGCACATGCATATGCATCCCCACACCCACACACATGCCCAGAGACTCCTCTCCAATCCTGGAGAGTAAGTTCATATTTATGAATTTCAAACTGGTGCAAAGGGAAGGGGCCAGTGTATGAGTGTCCAACAGTTCCTGGCAAGGGGAAAGGCATTGTGGGGAGGGGTGGGGAGGGCTCTAGAGATTTGGGGCTGGAAACAGTGTTATTAAGTATGTTCATTAATGAGCCTAAGAAGGAAATGACTAATACATTGATGGAAGGAGGCTGATGGCACCAAACCACTTGGTTAATTAAAACCACAGAGGTCTTAGAGTGACTCTGAAAAGCCCCTGAGGATGGAAGTGGTCGATAGAAGGAAAATAATAAAACCAAGAAAGACCATTCGGGGGTAATCATTGAAGGAATGTCTTGCACAGAGAGGTATCTAAGACTGGGAAAAGAGAAAAAGGACAAAACATCACAATTCTACTCCCCTGGGAGCACTAAAAGCTCCCTAGCACTTGCTTGTTTTTTTACAAATGTTGTGATGCCTGAACATAGCTGTTTGCCTAGCAGCCACTGAGAAAGGGTCTGGGCCAAGGTCCAGAGCAAATGAGAGGAGCTATGGCACCCCATGAAAGCCTCTAAATATTGGTCAGGTGGAAGGGCATCTGAGGGTCTTTTCCATTGTCAACAGCCAAGTGGCAGAGAGTCTCCCAGGCTAGATATAGCTTTCTCTAGATTAGCTCCCAGAAGGTGTTTCAAATGAAATGACAGGAAATGACTTTGCAAATTGCCACAGCAATAATTTAGGTTCTGGGTGGTCATTTGTGGAGCAATGATTGCTACCTCACAACTTGTATACAAAGACGTTTGCCGTAGAGACTGTCCTTAAGGCTTTATCTCTTGGAAGAGTGGTAAAGTACAAACACTTAGAAGTCTGAAATTAGACTAGACTCAGCAAGCTGCCCAACCTTGGTTTCTTCACCCATAAAATGGGAATAATTATAGTGTCTACTCATAGGGTTGTTTTAAGGATCAAGTTAGAAAACACAGAAAATGTACTATGCTTGGCATATAAGAAATACATAGCAGCCTTTGTCATTTCTACCTAGATGTCTTTCATGTACCTCAAATTTGACATAACTCATTACTTCCTCACCCTATGTCCCTTATCTCAGTTAATGGCATCACCATTTACTCAGTTTCTTAAACTATAAATTTCAGAATCATCCTCAGTCTCCCTGTTTTCCTTCAACCCCCACATTCAATTGACCACCAAGGCCTAGTTCCTCTTCTTGATCCCTCTTGCCCCACGTTGCCTCCACCTAGTACAGATCCTCATCATTTCTTGCCTGAATGACTGCAACAGTCTCCTAACTGGTTTCTATGCTACCATCTCTCCCCTCTGCAGCCCATTATCCACAGTGTGCCCAGATAAGCTTTTAAAAATATGAGTCTGATTAGGGAACTGTGCCTTAGCTTAAAACTTTTTCAGGACTCCCGCTTTCCTTAAAGATTAAGTCCACTTTCCCTATTTTTTCCCACAAGGAAATTCACATTCTCTTCCTGTCCAGCCTCCTGTCTACTCCTCATATATTTGAGCCTCTTTGAATCTCTTTTCCAAATATGCCATGCTGTCTCACTGTTCCATGCCTTTGCAGATGCCGTTTCCTCTACTCTTACCTGTTGAATCCCTACTCATCCAAAGCCGGTTCAAATGTGCTCTCCTTTGGGAAGCCCTTCCTGTCCCTCCAAAGTGGATATTTTGCTCTCCTCCTTATAATCCCATAGCACTTATCCAGGACCTATGTCCAGTACTTCTCTTGTTAGCTAGAGATTGTTTAAAGATGTACCTATTTATCCCACTGGTCTGAGTACTCCCTATCCCCATGCAGTAGTGAGAACAAGCTTCCATAGTCCAAGGACTAGAATCATGGCATCTGGCTATGGCCAGTCTGTGTCCTGGACTCTGCTCTTCTTATTTCTCTGCTGAGTCCAAAACAAACACTGTCATGGTCCCCCAGGGAACTTGAGAAACAGAGAAAATCCAGGTGACAGGAATTGATGTTGAACAAGCTGGTGCTACTGGATAAAATCTCATAACAATCCCTGATCAGCTTCCTGTCATTAAGATAAATGGCCCAGTGCTGATGGCTCTGCAATTACCAGCTCTTCTAATTGAATGTCGAGACCCTGCTTTTGGAAAACCAGTGGCTTAAGCCCTCCCTGCCCAACCCTAGGTATATGTTCTCTTTGGTCTCTATTCAAATTCAACAGACAGGTATTGAGTGCCTACCATGTGCCAGGCATTGTGCAAGGCATTTTATAAACGTATCTTCATTTAATCATCATAACAATCCTATCAGGAGGATATTATCATCTCCATTTGAAATATGATAAAAAACCTGATGGCTCCAGAGGTGAAAGGATTTGCTTGAGATTACTCAGCTAATAAAGACGACAGGTATCATTTAGTGAGTTCCTACTGTGTGTCTGGCACTGTGTAAAATACTCTATGGCCACTATTTTAACTATACAACTCTGAAAAGTAGATATTATAATCTCCATTGTATAGCTGGGGAAAACAGGGCTCAAAAATGAAATGATTTGACCAATATCTCATGACTAGTAAGTGGCAGAGCTGGGACTATTAATCCATGTCTTTCTGTCTTTAGATTCAGTAGTCTTTCTACCACACCACATGGTCTCTTTGACCTCCATCACACTAGAGTTCTCCAAATTGAAAGGCTGTATTATCCATGGCAAAGAGAATCTGTTCACAGTGGTGCTTAGCATGTGGCACGGACAAATTAAAGAATGAAAGCCAGGATGCTCCAACCCAAACTTTAGGGACAGGTACTGCTGTGAAAACAGTCCTAGGGAGGGCCAGCCCATTTTGTGGCACACTGCCCTGCCTCTTCAGGTCCCTGGGGTGAGCATCTTTAATTCTCAGGGTCCTGGAGGAAAGCTACTTTCCTGGCATGAAACGAGTTTTCAATGAGGAAACATATTCCCATCACAAGCCCATTGCTCGAGAGACAATCTTTGTTGACAAAAATTGAACAGAAATAGGAGCTGAAGCTGAAGCCACAAACTTTTCCATATGGTCATCTTTTGGGAGACACATGGATGATATAGCTGGCACATCTGCTAAGCATCCTTCCTGGGAGCCACTAGTTTCCTGTGTGGTCCTGGACTTCATTTCCACCACAAATCCAATGAGGTGATACACCAGAAGCCCTCTAAGGTTCGTCTAGTTTAAACCTACAGTTCTGGGTCCTCAAGAAGCCAACTTTGATTAGCTGGTAACCTGTTGAGTGCTGGGAGTTTCTCGGGCCAGCTCCCAGGTTAGTGTCAGGAGCGCCATATACCTAAGTGGCCAGTTTTGGACATATCATCAAGTTGGGTGCTTCATCTTCTTCCTGACAGGCTCTTAAAGTAAGTGGACTGATGGGGTGGACAGGAAAATGATGACTCTGGCGCAGACTCAGCAAGATCCTTTAGTCTCCCCACCACCAGCCAGAGCCAAAGCCAAATGAAATGGCCTTTGGAACAGAACTGGCTCATTCCATTAAGGAGATGAGAGTTCTATTAATTGGAAAGAAAGTTTCAAAGGCAGGCAGGTCAGCAACCAAGGCCCATGGCTAAGCACTACTCTCTGGGTAGGATAAATGGGGGCATTCTCCAGGCTTTGTGGTAGAGGTTGGAGAGCAAGAAGGCAGCTGAGCTCAAATGGAGAGCACCAGCCTGGCAAATACAATTAGAACCAGTCAGGGCTGCCCTTACCCACTCCTCATCCCTGCCACTTCAAACTCCTTCACATCGACAGAATTCCATGTCCTGTTTTCAAACCCCAGCCCATTCCCCATTACTTTCTGAATTTGTCCTCCCTGCTTATGTTATAATTCCCTGATGCTGTGGAACATTTCAAGCATGATAGAAGGCTCTCTCGTGCCTTTTCCCAGTTAATATTCCTCCAAGAGGTAACCACTAATCCAGAATCATCTGGAAGGCTTGTTGCACGGATGACTGAGCCCCACCTTCAGAGATTCTCATTAAATAGATCTGGATGCAGCTCAAGAATCTGCATTTATAACAAGTTCTGAAGTGCTGCTGTTGCTTTGAGATGCACTGTGCTAGTCTGACTTCTATCAGCAATGTTCAGCTTGCTTGTTCTTCAATGTACTCTTTCATGTCTGCCTTCTTTTATTCATCCCTACGTCTGTAAAATTCATCCATGTTGTTGAATGAGCCAGTAGTTTATTTTTTACTGTATTTGTAGCATTTCATTGTATGAACATATGGCATTTTATTTATCATTCCACTGCTGAGTGGACATTTGAGTGATTTCTAATTAGGGACTATTATGTATGATGTTGTTGCTATGAACATTCTTTCTTTGTCCTTTTTAGAAGGTTTATTTTTATTTTTATTTTATTTTAATTTTAAGTTCCTGGATACATGTGCAGAAGGTGCAGGTTTGTTACATAGGTAAACGTATACCATGGTAGTTTTCTGTACCTATCAACCCATCACCTAGGTATTAAGTTTCGCATGCATTAGCTATTTATTCTGATGCTCTCCCTCCCCGCACCCCCTGACAGTCTCCAGTGTATGCCAGTGTGTGTTGTTCTCCTCCCTGTGTCCATGTGTTCTCATTGGCTATAAACACTCTTGTACATGTTTTTAGGTGGGCATATGCACTTATTTCTCAATATACCTAAGTATAGAATTGCTTGATCATAGGTTAGGTTAGATCAAGTATGTATTTTACTTTGTTAGATACTGTCAAACAATTTTCTAAAGTGATTGTTCCTATTTGTACGCCTACCAGGAGAGTATATGAATTCTTGGTGCTCCTTATCCTTCCCAACACTTGTACTGATATCTTTTAAAAGAATTTAGCCATTTTTGGATGTGTGTGTGTGTGTGTGTGTGTTCATGGTTTTAATTTGCATTTAGGATTTAACTAGATTTCATAGTGTAAAATTGTTTGTAGTGATGGAAATGTCCAGTACAGGGCCTTCAAACAAGTGACAGCTGGTATGGACACTGCACATACCAGCTCAGATGGTATGGAGGAGCACTGGATGAAGAAAGGATGGGGAAATGCTCAAGGGAAAATCCAAGCTTCTTCACTTTTTTGGTTCACTATTCTCCCTTGTATAAACAAGGCAATTCTCCCCTTGGAATGGAGTTGAGGCCTCAAAGTTGGCTTTTGAGCTTGGGAATACTGAGACTGTTAATGCCAATCCTCCAGATGGAAATGAACTTGGTATATTGGAGGTATAGAAGAAGGGTAATATGGTTTAAATGTAAGAATAAAAGGGGAGGATATAGATAATATCAGAGAGATCAGCAGGGACCATCTTTTAGAGGGTCTTGTAGGTTTTGGGAAAGAGCTAGGAGCTCATTCCAAGCACAATGAGAATCCAGCAAAGGGTTTTTGAAGGGAGAGTGACAGAACATGATTTATATTTTGAAAATATCACTGTGTTTAATGTGTAGGGCAATGGTTCTCATCCTTGGCTGCACCTTGGACTTATCTGGAGAGCTTTAAAAAATACCGATTCCAGTTTCAGCTTTCTACATATGGCTAGCCAGTTTTCCCAGCACCATTTATTAAATAGGGAATCCTTTCCCCATTGCTTGTTTTTCTCAGGTTTGTCAAAGATCAGATAGTTGTAGATATGCGGCATTATTTCTGAGGGCTCTGTTCTGTTCCATTGATCTATATCTCTGTTTTGGTACCAGTACCATGCTGTTTTGGTTACTGTAGCCTTGTAGTATAGTTTGAAGTCAGGTAGTGTGATGCCTCCAGCTTTGTTCTTTTGGCTTAGGATTGACTTGGCAATGCGGGCTCTTTTTTGGTTCCATATGAACTTTAAAGTAGTTTTTTCCAATTCTGTGAAGAAAGTCATTGGTAGCTTGATGGGGATGGCATTGAATCTATAAATTACCTTGGGCAGTATGGCCATTTTCACGATATTGATTCTTCCTACCCATGAGCATGGAATGTTCTTCCATTTGTTTGTATCCTCTTTTATTTCCTTGAGCAGTGGTTTGTAGTTCTCCTTGAAGAGGTCCTTCACATCCCTTGTAAGTTGGATTCCTAGGTATTTTATTCTCTTTGAAGCAATTGTGAATGGGAGTTCACCCATGATTTGGCTCTCTGTTTGTCTGTTGTTGGTGTATAAGAATGCTTGTGATTTTTGTACATTGATTTTGTATCCTGAGACTTTGCTGAAGTTGCTTATCAGCTTAAGGAGATTTTGGGCTGAGACGATGGGGTTTTCTAGATAAACAATCATGTCGTCTGCAAACAGGGACAATTTGACTTCCTCTTTTCCTAATTGAATACCCTTTATTTCCTTCTCCTGCCTGATTGCCCTGGCCAGAACTTCCAACACTATGTTGAATAGGAGCGGTGAGAGAGGGCATCCCTGTCTTGTGCCAGTTTTCAAAGGGAATGCTTCCAGTTTTTGCCCATTCAGTATGATATTGGCTGTGGGTTTGTCATAGATAGCTCTTATTATTTTGACATACGTCCCATCAATACCTAATTTATTGAGAGTTTTTAGCATGAAGGGTTGTTGAATTTTGTCAAAGGCCTTTTCTGCATCTATTGAGATAATCATGTGGTTTTTGTCTTTGGCTCTGTTTATATGCTGGATTACATTTATTGATTTGCGTATATTGAACCAGCCTTGCATCCCAGGGATGAAGCCCACTTGATCATGGTGGATAAGCTTTTTGATGTGCTGTTGGATTCGGTTTGCCAGTATTTTATTGAGGATTTTTGCATCAATGTTCATCAAGGATATTGGTCTAAAATTCTCTTTTTTGGTTGTGTCTCTGCCTGGCTTTGGTATCAGAATGATGCTGGCCTCATAAAATGAGTTAGGGAGGATTCCCTCTTTTTCTATTGATTGGAATAGTTTCAGAAGGAATGGTACCAGTTCCTCCTTGTACCTCTGGTAGAATTCGGCTGTGAATCCATCTGGTCCTGGACTCTTTTTGGTTGGTAAACTATTGATTATTGCCACAATTTCAGAGCCTGTTATTGGTCTATTCAGAGATTCAACTTCTTCCTGGTTTAGTCTTGGGAGAGTGTATGTGTCGAGGAATGTATCCATTTCTTCTAGATTTTCTAGTTTATTTGCGTAGAGTTGTTTGTAGTATTCTCTGATGGTAGTTTGTATTTCTGTGGGATCGGTGGTGATATCCCCTTTATCATTTTTTATTGCGTCTATTTGATTCTTCTCTCTTTTTTTCTTTATTAGTCTTGCTAGCGGTCTATCAATTTTGTTGATCCTTTCAAAAAACCAGCTCCTGGATTCATTGATTTTTTGAAGGGTTTTTTGTGTCTCTATTTCCTTCAGTTCTGCTCTGATTTTAGTTATTTCTTGCCTTCTGCTAGCTTTTGAATGTGTTTGCTCTTGCTTTTCTAGTTCTTTTAATTGTGATGTTAGGGTGTCAATTTTGGATCTTTCCTGCTTTCTCTTGTAGGCATTTAGTGCTATAAATTTCCCTCTACACACTGCTTTGAATGCGTCCCAGAGATTCTGGTATGTGGTGTCTTTGTTCTCGTTGGTTTCAAAGAACATCTTTATTTCTGCCTTCATTTCGTTATGTACCCAGTAGTCATTCAGGAGCAGGTTGTTCAGTTTCCATGTAGTTGAGCGGCTTTGAGTGAGATTCTTAATCCTGAGTTCTAGTTTGATTGCACTGTGGTCTGAGAGACAGTTTGTTATAATTTCTGTTCTTTTACATTTGCTGAGGAGAGCTTTACTTCCAACTATGTGGTCAATTTTGGAATAGGTGTGGTGTGGTGCTGAAAAAAATGAAACTGGATCCCTTCCTTACACCTTATACAAAAATCAATTCAAGATGGATTAAAGATTTAAACGTTAAACCTAAAACCATAAAAACCCTAGAAGAAAACCTAGGCATTACCATTCAGGACATAGGCGTGGGCAAGGACTTCATGTCCAAAACACCAAAAGCAATGGCAACAAAAGACAAAATTGACAAATGGGATCTAATTAAACTAAAGAGCTTCTGCACAGCAAAAGAAACTACCATCAGAGTGAACAGGCAACCTACAACATGGGAGAAAATTTTCGCATCCTACTCATCTGACAAAGGGCTAATATCCAGAATCTACAATGAACTCAAACAAATTTACAAGAAAAAAACAAACAACCCCATCAAAAAGTGGGCGAAGGACATGAACAGACACTTCTCAAAAGAAGACATTTATGCAGCCAAAAAACACATGAAGAAATGCTCATCATCACTGGCCATCAGAGAAATGCAAATCAAAACCACTATGAGATATCATCTCACACCAGTTAGAATGGCAATCATTAAAAAGTCAGGAAACAACAGGTGCTGGAGAGGATGCGGAGAAATAGGAACACTTTTACACTGTTGGTGGGACTGTAAACTAGTTCAACCATTGTGGAAGTCAGTGTGGCGATTCCTCAGGGATCTAGAACTAGAAATACCATTTGACCCAGCCATCCCATTACTGGGTATATACCCAAATGAGTATAAATCATGCTGCTATAAAGACACATGCACACGTATGTTTATTGCAGCACTATTCACAATAGCAAAGACTTGGAACCAACCCAAATGTCCAACAATGATAGACTGGATTAAGAAAATGTGGCACATATACACCATGGAATACTATGCAGCCATAAAAAATGATGAGTTCATATCCTTTGTAGGGACATGGATGAAATTGGAAACCATCATTCTCAGTAAACTATCGCAAGAACAAAAAACCAAACACCGCATATTCTCACTCATAGGTGGGAATTGAACAATGAGATCACATGGACACAGGAAGGGGAATATCACACTCTGGGGACTGTGGTGGGGTTGGGGGCGGGGGGAGGGATAGTATTGGGAGATATACCTAATGCTAGATGACGCATTAGTGGGTGCAGCGCACCAGCATGGCACATGTATACATATGTAACTAACCTGCACAATGTGCACATGTACCCTAAAACTTAGAGTATAATAAAAAAAATAAAATAAAATAAAATAAAAATAAATGAAAAAAAAAGAAAAAAAAAAATACCGATTCCTGAGTTTCACCTCCTTAGATTCTGATTCAATTGGCCTGGAGAACAGCCCAGGAATTTCAAGTTAAGACAGAGAGAAGTGGACATATTTGAGACATATTTTGGATGTGAGACATACTGGGTTTGGGGAGTCTCTGTGGACTATAGGGAGAGAAAGGGGTAAAAGAAGTGACCCAGCATCTTACTTGGGACTTTTAACAGATGGTGGTGCCATTCACTACAATGGGGAGCACTGAGGGAAGAGGAGCAGATTGGGGGTGGGGCCATAAGTTCAGTGTTGGCTATGTTGAGTTTAAGATACGTGATCTGTTCAGGGAGGTAGACAGGACTCCATAATAGACTGGATTTGGAAAGGGCAAAGGGAGAGGAAGAGCCGTAGAGGATTTCCTGTGCTCATGTCCTATATTCTCATCTTGGTCATTTCCACTTCTCTGATTGGGATCCTATCTCTGTTCTCTGGATACTAATAGCCTAATCAGGTAAACTTCTTCCTGCAAATGTGTTAACTCTATTTTATAACCCCTTGAGATGCCTTTACCCAACTAAAATACACAAGTCCTACGTCCTTCAAAGAGTAGCTCTTCTGATAGAAATTTGAAGCCTCTGTGGATGATTGGTGGGGAAAGGTTGAAAGAAACTGTGCTAGAATTTTGCCCCTTCAATTTCAGTGAGAAGGAGATGGACTTATCAAGATAAAACAGGGTGTGCCCTGACTTCCTTTAGGAAAATTCAAACGCTGAGCTAGAAGTTTTATATCTATTATCTCATTTAGTATCTCAAATCACTTGAGTTGTTATTATTACTATTTTACAATTAAAGAAACCAAGGCCAAGGAAGGTTAAGCAACTCATTCAGAGTCATACAACTAGTCAGATTTAGAACCCAGAAGCATATTTCTGCCATGAGTGCTGAGAGATTTTTATTCATTAATTCATTCTCATTGTGCACTAGAGTACATGCCTCTGGGAGTCCAGAGGATCCTGCATAGAGCCCTTCTGAGGAGTATCAAGGGAGTAAAGAGTTCCTTTAGATAGAAACTAGGTTGACTGGTGGACTGGAGTAGGATCACCATTAGTGAGCTCCATCTCCTGGGTCCTGCCTTGTAGTAATCTGTCACCACTTCTGCTCCTGAAACAGAGATTCCCAAGAGCAGCAAGAGCCTTTAAAGAGCAAAGAGGCTCGTTCTAAAGGTAGGGAAACAGGTTAGAGAGAGACAAGGTAGTTTGCCCAAAGTCACAGAGCCAATTAGAGGCAGAATCAGGGAAAACCTTTTGGTGGGAGGTTCCCAAGAGCATATATCTCCAGGAGGATGCAGCTTTCTAAAAGAAGTAAGTAGGGGAAAGAGCAGAAAGAATCCTGGGGCTATAGCAGAGAACTCTGCCCAGAACCACTGCAGTCACGTCCTACTCACTGCTTGCTCCCTGTGCCAGCCAACCCCACAGCCTTCGCTCAGGGCTGGAAAAAGACACGGGACAGGGCTCCTTAATGAGAACATTTGGGAACCCGGGAAAGGTTAATGATCTGCAGCCTCGACCATCCATCAGCTGCCTAGCCAGGGACAGTAAACACCGTTACTCATCTAATTAGCCAGGAAAGGCTGGGCAGGGGCTGAAGATGGGGCCTTGGAGATTACAAAGTAAGGGTCCACTTGCTTAGGGTGCTGAGAGAGGCTACCAGAGGGCACAGGCCACCATTCCTGGAGGCATTTGTAAGGGGGCTCACTCTTAGCTGGTCCCCCTGCAGCTCTGGCTGCAGGCATGTGGTGAAAGGCATGGATATTTATTGAGGGCCTCTTCTGTGTCAGGCACTGTACTCATCAATTCTACGTGTCAATTTATTGTGTCCCCCCCAACAACACTGCAAAGTTCTTACATTTATTGAGCACCTGCTGTATGCCAGTCACTATATATATATGTATATGTATATATACACACACACATATACACTATATATACACACACACATATATACACTATATATATATATATATAGTGTATATATTGCAAATAGTTGCTGCAACATAAAAAATAGTTTTTTTTTTCACGAGAAATAGGTCCAATCTTCTGGGCTACTAAAGGGAGTGAATGTGCATATAAGTGTGTGCCTGGGTGCTTGCATTTGTGTGTGTGGAGTTGACAGAAACCACCACATAGGCATGTGTATACTTCTTCCTCACACTCTCACCCATACAAGCATAGCTTCTTGCAAAGTTGAATGCAACCCAACACACTATACATATATATATATATATATATATATATATATGGTGAGTGATTGGCATATATATATATATATATATATATATATATATATATATATAGAGAGAGAGAGAGAGAGAGAGAGAGTCATATCTTAATCCTTCCAAGAATCCTAGGAAGTAGTTGGTATTGTCCTCATGATATGGTTTTGTTCTGTGTCCCCACCCAAATCTCATCATAAATTGTAATCTCCAAGTGTCAGGGGAGGGGTCTGGGGGAAGGTGATTGAATCGTAGGGGCAGACTTCCCTCTTGCTGTTCTCATGACAGTGAATGATTTCTCACAAGATCCTGTTGTTTAAAAGAGTGTGGCACTTCCGCCTTCCCTCTCTCTCTCTCCTGCTCCACCATGGGAAGATGTGCCTTGCTCCCCCTTCATCTTCCACCATGATTGTAAGTTTCCTGAGGCTTCCCAGTCATGCTTCCTGTTAAGCCTGCAGAACTGCGAGTCAACTAAACCTCTTCTATTCATAAATTACCCAGTCTCAGGTAGTTCTTTATAGCAGTGTGAAAACGGACAAATACACTCCATTTTACAGGAGAGAAAACCGAGCATGATTGGTTAATTTGCTGATCTATTCAGCAAATATGTATTCATGCCCACTCTGTGCCAGGCACTGTGCTAGGTCCTAGGGATATAATGGTAAAAAGACACACATTTTGCCCTTGTGGGGTACCTACTGTCTAATGGTGGAGACAAACATTAAACATGAGCTCCACAACTAGAAAACAGCAAAACTAGATAGGGATCTAGTGTAGGGGAAAGCTGTAAGAAGGATGATGAGGGGCCTGAGGTGACAGGTGCTGTGGCAATCAGACCAGTATACCCTTGCTCATAACTGGCCTAGTCTGACTTCAGGAGGCTAGGCCCTGGGGTAAATGATGTATTTCTGCTTGGGGAAGTGGGAGATACCACTCTAGACATATGTGCTCATTGGACTCTGTGCCAGTGAGTGGGAGAGAATTCTCTAGATACATGTGCACATCAGACACATGTGCTCAAAGGTTCTTTGCTTTCCCAGCTGCCATGAATGATTCCAGCTCCAGAGAGGAGGTATTGGGGTTAGGGATAACTTTGTGATTGCTGAACAGTCAATGGAGTGGGCCACAGCTGGGGAATGGGTATTCTTTGAGCACCTGGTGTGTGCCAAACCCTGTGCGAAGTCCTGTGAGGAGGTGGCTGGAAGCAGTCAAAGACTGTTTTTTTCCAGGGAGGCTTTTAATATAGGTTGCAAATGGGACTTATTTTTGTGGAAAGATTAAGGAAGATAGCCAGTTAAGAGCTGAATAGGGCAGTTCTGACTCATCAGCTTAGAAGCCTGGGACTCCTTGAGGACTTCTTGGAAGAGAGAGAGGGAGGGAAGCAGAGCAACACACAGAGTGTGAAGGTGGGTAAGCAGAAAAGTGTGATGGAGAGGGAGAGAGAAAATAGGAGACAGCAAGAGATAGAGGAAAGAGACAGAGACAAAGTGTGATAGAGACCAGAGCAACAGAGAGACTGACAGACAAAATGAGACGGTAGAGGGAGTGAGAGAGAAAGAGAAAGTCTGGGGCCTGCAGTTGGACAGGAGGAAGCTCAAATGATGAGGTCACCCCGCACCCAATTTGAGGCCCTACAGACCATTGTGGAATCAGGCTTCAAATGGTTGCTGCATCATAAACAAAATAGTTGTGTGTGTGTGTTTTTTTTTCACCAGAGATGGCTCCAATCTTCTGGGCAACTAAAGGGAGTGAATGTGCATATAAGTGTGTGCCTGGGCGCTTGCAATTGTATGTGCGGAGTTGACAGAAACCACCACATAGGCATGTGTATACTTCTTCACACTCTCACCCTTATAAGCATAGCTTCTTGCAAAGTTGAATGCAACCCAAGTTGTGAAGGGAATCCCCTTTTTCCACTAAATGACATTTTCACTCCGTTTAGGAAAGGTCTCCACTGGAAAGTGAGTTCTTGTCATTTGAACCATAAGAAAATGCCATCCCCAAACCAGGGATATCAAAAGACCTGGACTCACATCCATACAAAATCAGAATTTAGTCACTTATCAGATCTGTGATCTTGAGCCGTGTGGTCAACTTCTCGGGGTCTCAATTTTCTCCCCAACAATGAGGTAGTTGTATTCAGTCCTTGGACACTTTCCCACTTGAGCAAGTGCAAGAAACAGGTGTAGACTGGGTCCCCAAGGAAATCTATCCTAATGACCGTAATTTGAAAGGGTAGATGGGGGGAGGGGATCTGTTGATCAGAAGGCAGCGTGGAATGAAGCAGGGGTATAAATAAAGTAATGCCTAAATAAGTCGACTGAAATGGAATGGGCCCCTGGAAACTCAGCCCTTGGTCTGGCTCTCTTGGCCCAGTTGGCTGGCTCAAGGGAGGAGCCTTCCACCTCTCAAAACCCTCTTGGCTCCCATCTGCCTCCTGCCCGTCTTCCACTTTCTGCTTAGTAGGGTTAATGTAGTCTGCTTTGCAGTAGAGGAAATGCCTTCACACCCTATTTTTATTTACAGTGGCAAATTTCTGTTGTGTGCAATGGAATAGGCCAGTGTCAGGAAGGATTAATGGGGACTCCCAACTGAGAACGCAGCATGAATAATGGTGGGAGGAGAGACAGAGTGAAAAGCCTGATATGGGGTTCTTCAGGCCAGTTAAGGGTGCTTTGGGGAAAAGTGGTCATATCTTACTTTATTAGTTATGGGCAAAGTTAATCTCCTCCTCTGCACCCCCAACGCCTCTGTCCCAGACCAGCTTGTCTTACTTTCTGACTGGATTATTGCAACAGCCTTTTCCCAGGCCTCTTTGCCTCTAGCTTCTTGGCTCTATTCCATTCACCACTCTTCACCTTTATCTTTCTATATCCCGACATTGATCACTTATCCCATCTACTTGACTATGACCTATACGAGAGAAGAGATTGAGTCATCTTGTTAATTGCCTAATTTCCTTTGCCAAGCACCGTGTTTTTCATAGAGGAGATGCTTAATAAATGTTTGACAGGTGATTCAATGAATAAATAAATACCATGGACCAGTGACTATGCTCATCATTGTAGGATAGTCCTCTCATGTGCTCCCACAGTCGACAATGTTTGCCCCATCAAAGAACTTATGCTATAGTTTGTAACTGCTTGTTTATGAGACTGAGAATTCTGTGAGGACAGGGACCACATTTGTCGGGTTTACCTTCCCAGACATATGTTACGTTCACACCCTGCACGGTGTTGAACGAATGCATGAATCAGTGTTCCACGGGAAATATATTTTACCTCCATTTCTAACTGTACATTCAGCAGTTACTGATTGGGCACCTACTATGTGCAAGGCCGTGTCTAGGCATTGGAAATTTTTCAGTGAACAAGACAGACAAAAGCCTCTGCTTTGATGGAGTTTATATTTTAGTGAGGAAGACAGTCAATAAATCAATGGACACATATTTATATAAGAAAATGTCAAGTAGTGATAAGAGCTATGAAGAAAAATGATGCAGGGCAAAGGGGTAGACAATGGTGGAGAAGATTCCTATTTTAGCTTGGGACTCTGAGGAGAGAACATATAAAAGACCTGAATGAGGTGAGTGATGAGGCATTCCAAGCAGAGAGGACTAAGAGTGCCAATGCCCTGATACAGGAATGTGTTTGGCAAGTTTCAGGAATAGTAAGGAGGCCAGTGTGGCTAAAGTACAGTGAACAAGGAGATGGGCATACGAGATCAGAGAGCTAGGCAGGGTCCAGATCATGTAGGGCTGTGGAGGCCATAATAAAGTTGAGAGACTGCTCTAAGTAAAATTAAAAGCCAACAAAAGACTTTAATGCAGGCAGTCAGCAACAATTTATTTATTTGTTATTAAATAGTAGGTCTGTGAACCCTGGTGAGGAAAATCCTGGAGGCAAGAGGAGACAACCCAGTTAGAAAGCTAGTGCAATAGACCAGGTGATGCATGATGATAGCTTGGTCCACTATTAGTAATGGGAGTGAGGAGGAAGTGGTTGGATCAGGATATATTTTGAGTACAGAGCCAACATATCTGGATAGTTTGGATGTATGGTAGGAGATAGTTCAAAGCCACCTCCTCTGGGAAGCCTTCCCTGACATTCCTTACCTTCCTACCATGGAAATCAATGTCTCTCCCTAGATACTCATGTCACTTTTCAGCTCTATAATGTTAATGACAGCATTCCATCTTCCGGCAGAGCTGAGATACCTGTTCACATCTACTACTCCCACTCGACTTAGACCTCCTCAGGGACCCTGGTGGTCATCTTTGTAGTCTTTACCAGACCCTGTACGATGACTTATGCAGAATAGTTGACCAATAAATACTGGTGAGATTGAATAGATTAACTAAATTGAAGCTGTTTATTATTGCTTCCAGTGTATGGTTGCAAAACTCTCCAATCATAGAATGTAAGCAGAAGAATTATTTCAACATCACCAGCTTTTAATTACTAAAGTCCATTTGATGGATGCCTCTGCTTGAATTATTGACATCATGAGGATTAAGATGTGGTCCCTTGATTAAAAAGAAGGGTTGAGTGAGGGGCGTGGAGAGCGCCAGAGGGTGGGATATTTAATGAAGCCTTTTCTCTCAGCTCATGTTCAGCTAGTGAAGCTGTCAGGGGAAGTGAAAACTATCTAGAGGAGGATCGAGCTGATATTTATAAAAACGGCAGAAGTGAGAGGAGGCAGGGACATTTGAAGCATAAAAGTTGGAGCACATGTACCTGGATTCAAATTTTAGCTTTCTCATTTGCTACTTACGGCTCTCTGAGAAAGTGTTTAAAAAGTTGTTTCATTTGCTTTTAACTGAGATACAACTTACATACAAAAATACATAAATCTTAAGTGTACAACCTAATGAATTTTTAGAGATGTATACATCATGTACCCATCTCCTATAAAAATGTAGAACATTTCCAGCACCTCAGCAGGCTCCGATATGCTCCTTCTAGTTAGTATCCCCTGCAGAGGTAGCTACTATGATAACTTCTATTACCGTGTAGCCATTTTGTCTGTTTTTAATCTTCATGTAAACAAAATAATGCAGAATGTTCTCTAGTGTCTGGCTTCTTTCTGAGAAAGTCATTTAAACCCTTTAGGCCTCAGTTTCCTCAGTCTTTATAACAGGAATACTAGTAGTAGCAGTTATATCAAAGAGGTATGAAGATTTCATGAGATAAATCATATAAAATGCTTAGAATAGTGTGTACGGGATAAATATTAGTCCTTTCCTTCCATCCTTTCCTTGTAAGTTCCTACAGCTATGATAAGCACTATTGGGCTACAAGGGAAGTATAAAGGGCAGTTGATACCCTTAAGGAACTTATAATCTAGTTAGACACAAGGATGTAATGTACTTGGTAAGCATAAAGGACAATATTAATATATTCTTAATATAATGAATATAATGATGTCAATTACTAATCCCACTGCTGAGTGAAGAGGAGGCAGGTGATATAGTGAAATGGTTAAAAGATTTCAGGTTTTGAAATCTTTGGACTTGGGTTCTAGCACCAGTTTCCCCAATTACCAGCTGTGTGACTCTGGGGATGTCACATAATGTTGCTAAGCCTTAGTTTCTTTATATTTAAAATGGGAATAACACTATTTTATCTACCTCATGGGATTGCTGACAACATTGAGTGCAACATGTTAAGTGCCTGGTACAGGTCCTGAAATATAGTATACATTTAAACAGTGGTATTTGCTGAGAGCTTTTTCTGCTTTGGGATACCAGGATTCAAAAAGATCCAGAGCTTTCACCCTACCAGGGTTAGCTAAGTGGCTTGCAAGGCCTCATCTACTGCAGTTGAATAAGGTGACTGCTGAAGCTCAAAGGGCCACTTCTTCATTTACCCCTCTACAGTTCTCCAGTAGACACTTGTGGCAGTACCAGGGACCATGGAGTTAAGGACTCTGCCTCTGCCTTGGGGAGCCCCCAGACTTGCTCCTTTCTTGTTCATAAGGCTAAATATATAATGATCCAGGCCTATAGCCGGGACCCTTTGCAGCCCTCAGGCAGGAGCCATGGCTAGTTGGTCCCAGTGCAGCAATGGGGGGACTCACTGTGATGGAGGAGTAAATAAACTTTTAAAAATAAAGACAATCTTTTAGGGCAGCTTGAAGTTCACAGATAAATGGACAGGAAGGTTCAGAGATCTTCCATATACCCTCTGCTCCCACACATGCACAGCCTCCCCTGTTATCAACATTTCCTCACCAGAGTGATACATTTCTTTCAATTGATGAATCGCTACATTGACACACCATTATCCAAAGTCCACAGTTTACGCTAGGGTTCACTCATGGTGTTGTACATTCTATGGCTTTGGGCATATGTATGATGACATGTAGTCAACATTATAGTGCCATACAGAGTAGTTTCACTGCCCCCAAAATCTTCTGCACTCTACTTATTCATCCCACCTTCCGCCTAGTCCCTGACAACCATAGATTCTTTTACTATTTCCATAGTTTTGCCTGAGGAATGCAATTTTCATAGCCATTTTGAAACCAACATTTGAAAATCAAAATTCTTTAAACACTGTTAAGCATCACAGTGTTTTGAGAAAATATTTTCAGAATGGTTTTATGCAGTCTGCTTCCCACTGCTCAAAACAAAAGTTTTTTTAGAAAAAAACTTAAAAATCAACATGTCTTAAAAATATTTTTCAAACCAAAACAAATGTCTCAAAAGCTATTTGCAGATATGATGATTGGTAAGATGATTCAGCCCTGAGGAATATTTTCTCTAGTGTTATTCTGATGCTTACATTTTGAGGATTTGATTTAGTCAGATTATTTTCTCAAAACTATATTTATTTTCTATCTATCCTGAAACTCAGCTAACAGACCAAAGAAATTCAAACCTTAAAGCTGCAACATGAAACATTTATTGAATAAATGAATCATTTTTTCCTTTTTGTCTTGGCTACCAGGAAACTCAGAGTTATGTTAGGTAGAGGAAACTGTTTCACCTTTGGTTCTCCCTTTCTCTACATGATTTTCCTATCATTCTTTTGATCTTTATTTATCTGCCCTATTTCTCTGAATTTTTATGTTAATCTGTTTCAAATCGATTTTGGATGTAGATGGAACTACATCTACGGATGAATCTATGGAAAGATGCCCAGTTTCAGTAGTACTCATATAAATGCAAATTTAAAAATCCACAAAATATTGCTTAACACACATTTGAATGGCAAAGTTATAAAGCCAGATAATATTATGAGCTGATGATGATATGAGAAATCATATATTAAGTTCTGTTGGTTGGAGTGTGAAGTGGTAGAGCCACTCAGGAGAGCAATCTGAAGGTGCTTAATGAAACTAAATATGCATAAACTCTATGAATGAGTTTATAATTCTATAACAGAACCATTAAGGGACATGTGCAAGGGTGTTTATAAAATCATTGTTTGTGATAGCACTGAAAGCAATATAGATTTCTATTACTAAAAGACTGAATAAGTAAAATGTGACATATGCACATGCTAAGAATACTATGTGAAGTCAGAACTCTAGTCAAGATACACATATTAGCTCTAGCTTCCGTAATAAAATGCCATAGACTGGGTGGCTTAAACAGCAGAAATTAATTTTCTCACAGTTCTGGGGGCTAGAAGTCCAAGATTAGGGTGCTAGCATGGTTGAGTTCTGATGAGGGCTCTCTTCCCGGCTTGCAGATGATTGCTTTCTCACTGTGTCCCCACATGGCGCAGAGAGAGAGAGAGAGAGAGAGAGAGAGCTAGTTCTCTGATATTGCTTCTTATAAGGGTACAAATCCCATCATGAGGGCTCTGTAATCATTACCTCATCTAACACTTCCAAGGCCCCGTTCTAACTACCAACACATTGGGAGTTATGGCTTCAACATATGAGTTCCGGGGGGACACAAACTTTCATTCCATAACATTTTGCCCCTAGCCCCCCAAAATTCATGTCTTTCTCACATGCAAAATATATGCAGTCCATCTCAACAGACCCAAAAGTCTTAACTCAGTCCAGCAACAACTCTAAAGTCTTAAGTGCAAGGTATCATCTAAATATCGTCTAAATCATGTATGAGTGAGACTCAAGGTACAATTTGTCCTGAGGCTAAATTTCTCTCTAGCTGTGAACCTGTGGAAACAGACAAGTTATGACTGAACTTGTTTTGTGGTTTTTTTTTTTTTTCACTGGGATTCTGGAAAGGAGATCCTTAGAGGAACAGGGGAGAAATTGGGGATATTTTGCCTAGGGTTGAGAGATGTCTTGGCTGTCTTTAGAAGTCAGAGGATTTGTCATTTGCAGAGACAGAACTGTGCCTTAAAGCTCCAGAGAAAATCCATAGGCCATAGAAATAAGTCTTCAAAGAGATAACATTACTTAATGGTAAAACAAATCAAAAGCACAGTAATATTAATAGTTGCTGCTTACATTTACTGATCACTTACTAGGTGCCACGCTCTGGGTTGAGCATTTTAAATTCATTATCTTAATTTGTTCTCTCAGAGATGCAATGAACTAAGTGTTCAAACCACCTCTTCAAAAAAACTGGCATAAGAAAAAAACAAAATTGACTATATTGAAACTTTGTCCCTAGAATTTAATCAAATTAAAATGAATCTTTTCAGTAGTAGAATTGTTTTTTCCACTAGATTTCAAGGCATGAAACTCCATTAAGACATAGAGCATCATACTATACCAGCATCTACCACCCTTGTGATGATCATTTCCTGAACTCTAAGGACCAGCTCACAGGCTTCCTTGACACTCCAAGTTCTGTCCTCATCCTGGGTGTCCTCAACAATATACACACGAAAGTCCCACCCCAAACACCCTGGCCTCACGTCTCTCTGACCTTTAACTTCTGAGCACCTCAACCACTCCCATTCACTTGACATCACTGGGTGTGGCTTCAACTCCAATATCCCACTGAGGCCCAAATCCCCTGATGAAGGCTGGGTCCATGCCATTTGCTCTTTGGCTTCACTGAGGGGCCAGAGCCCAAGACCTTCCTTTTCTCTTCACTTTTTTCCTTGTCCAGCCAGGATCTTGGAGCATATTTATTTAGTATTGACTGCCTCTTCTTCCCCTTGCCCTCCAATGACCACATCTGCACTATTTAGCCTCAGTTTTGAGTCTCTCCAAACTAATGATTTCTCTGATGTCATAATGGCCACTGTGGGAGAAAGGAGCAGCACCCCAAGTATTGGTACCTCTAACAGTCAGAATTTCCAACCTCAGTTGGTCCTTCTGGCCACCCTGCAATCCTTTCACATGCCCCAAGTCACCTCTTTCTCCAGTTTTTCTCCCATCTATACTCCAAGTTTTTCATCACTCCTCTCAAAGAACAGTCCCTTTCACTCTACCCTCACCGCACCCCATACAATGGCTAAGACTCCTAATTCATAAAGGAGATTGAAGTTAACTTCAGCTTCTTGTCCCCATACCTACAAAGGTCTCTTTGGCTTCACTAGCTCTCACTTCACATTTCTCTTTTAGTTTCAGAAGAACTGGCCCTCATCCTCTAGTTTCTCCACCTTTGCTCTGTACACCCTCCTCTAATTTTCCTCCTCCTATCTCCCCTAGAATCTTGCTTATACTACTATCCATTCTCTTTCCTGACTCTTTATTCCCTCTCTCCCTACCAGTTCCCTAACCTCAGGTTATTCATATGCTCAACTGTCCCTCTTCTTTAGAAATCTTTTCTTGCCACCACTGTCCCCTTCATCTACTATTAAAGCTGCTCTCATCTTTTAAGTCTAAAAAATCAGTGGTCTATACCCAATCTCAGTTTTCTCACTTCCTATTCTTTTTTCAACTCAGTGTGATCAATCATACTACTCCACTGTGCTACATTTACCATGATTACTCTTTAGTCCTGCTCTTACTTTTTATTACAGTTGTATTGAAGCATATAATAAATTGCACATATTTAAAATATACATTTTGATGAGTTTTGACACACGTATACACCCATGAAACTATCACCTCAATCAAGATAATGAACATATCTGTCACCAACAAAAGTTTCGAGATACCCTTTGGTAAACCAAACAGCCCACACACTGTCCCTAAGCAGCCATTGATCTGCTTTTATCAACACAGATTAGTTTGCATTTCCTAGAATTTTATATAAATGGATTCAGACAGGATGTACTCTTTTTTTGTCTGGCTTATTTCACTCAAAATAATTATTTTGAGACTCATCCATGTTGTGCATGCATCAACAGTTTGCTCTTTTAAATTGCTAAGTAGCATCCCATTGTATAAATATGCCACAATTTATTTATCCATTCTCCTGTTGATGAACATTTGGGTTGTTTACAGTTTGTGGCTGTTTTTAATAAAGCTGCAATGAGCATTTGTGGGCTAGTGTATATGCTTTCATTTCTCTTCGGTAAATAGCTAGGAGAAGGATGAATGGGTTGTAATATAGGTATATGTTTAACTTTTTAAGAAACTGCCACATTGTTTTCCAAAGTGGATATACCATTTTATATTCCCATGAGAAATGAATGAAAATTCCAGTTGTTCCACATCCTCACCAACATTGGTATGGTCAGTCTTTTCATTTTAGACATTCTAATGGATGTGTAATGATATCTCATTGTGGTTTTGATTCACATTTCTTTAAGGACAAATGATGTTGAACATCTTTTCATGTACATATTTGCCATTTGTATTTCTTCTTTCGTGAAGTGTCTATTCTAATCTATTGCCTATTTTTAGTGTATTGCTTATCTTCTTATTATTGAGTTATAAAAATTCTTTATATATTCTAGATACAAGTCCTTTATTGGATATGTGATTTGTAAATGTTTTCTCCCATCTGTGACTTGCCTTTTTATTTTACTAATAGTATTTTTTAGGAAACAATAGTTTTTAATTTTGATGAAGTCCAATTATTGATTTTGCTTAAGTCCTCATGCTTATTGTATTCTATTTAGAAAATCTTTGCCAAATGTAAAGTCACTTAGAGTTTCTATTAAGTGTTGTGCTGGAAGTTTTATAGTTTTAGCTCTTACTTTTAAGTCTTTGATCCATTTTGAGTTAATTTTTATATATAACATGAGATAAGGGCTGAGGCCCTACTTTTTTATACGTGATCTTTCCATTGTTTCAGAAGTTTGTTGAAAAAGATTTCCCCATTAAATTGCCTTGCCATCTTTGTGAAAAATCAAATGACCTTATATGTGTGGGTCTATTTTGGACTCTCTATTCTGTTCTATTGATATATAAGTCTGTTTTTATACCAATACTATACTATCTTGATTATTATACCTTTACTATAAATCTTAAAACCAGGCAGTTATTCGTTTTTTATTAAAGTTATTTTTGACACATCTAGGTCCTTTGAATTCCTATGTAAATTTTAGAATCAACTTGTCAATATCTATACAGAAGCCTACTGGGATTTTGAATGGGATTATGATGAATCTGTAGATCAATTTGGAGAAAACTGCTATCTTATCATTATTGAGCTTTCTGATCCATAAACATAACTTTCCATTTGTTTAGGTCTTTTAAAATTTCTTTCAGCAATATTATGTACATGTTTTCCATGTTATTTGTCGAATTTATTCCTAAGTATTTTATATTATTTGACGGTATTGAAAATAATATTTAAAATTTTTCAATTTCCTTTTGTTTGTTGCTAGGGTACAAAAATTGATTTTTGTATATTGACCTTGTATCCTGCAACCTTGCTAAACTCACTTATTACTTTTAATAGCTTTTTTGTAGATTCCTTACGATTTTCTACAGAGATGATCCTGTAGTCTGGGAATAAAATATCTTTGTTCCAAATACATATGTCTTTTATGTGTTTTCTCACCTTATTGTATTGAGTGTGGTCTCCAGTAAAATATTGAACAGAAGTGGTGAAAGTAGACACCCTTACCTTACTACTGAATCTTAGGGCAAAAGCATTCAGTCTTTCAACATTCAGTGTGATATTAGCAGCAGGTTTTCCATTTATCAGTTTGAAGATGCTGTCTTCTATGGCAGGTTTGCATAGAAGTTTCTATTTTTAACACCAGGAATGGACATTGAATATTGTAGAACGTGTTTTTGCTACATTACTAAGATAATTATATGGATTTTCTTTGTTAATATGGTGAATTATTATATATTGACATTTTCAAATATTAATCCAACTTTGCAATCCTTGAATAAATTTCACTTAACTATGATGTAGTATCTTTTAAATGTATTACTGGGTTTGATTTCATAAAATTAGTTAAACATTTTCATCTTCATGCTTGTAAGAGATATTGATATATAGTTTGCTTTACTTGTATTGATTACAACTGGTTTTAGTCTCAGGGTAATGCTGGCTCATAGACTGAGTCGTAAAGTATTCCCTCATCTTTACATTTCTGGAAATGTTTGTGTAGGATTGGTATTATTTCTTTCTTCAATATTTGGTAAAAATGACCAGAAAAGCCGTCTGGTCCTAGAATTTTTTATGTAGAAAGGTTTTCAACTACAAATTCTTTCTTCTTGAGCGAGCTTTGATAGCTTACATCTTTTAAGAAATTTGCTCATTTCATCTAAGTTGTTGAAACTATTAGCCTAAAATTGTCTATAATATTCTTTCATTATCTGTAAAATCTGCAGTGGTATCACCTCTCTCATTCCTGATATTAGTAAATTATGTCTTCTTTCTTTTTTTTCCTGAACAGTCTGGCTAGAGGTTTAACAATTTTATTTATCTACTCAAAAAATTAGCTTTTGGTTTTGTTGATTTTCACAATTGTATTTCTGTTTTACATAATATTTTATTGATTTCTACCCTTAACTTTATGCCCCTCTTTCTCCTTACTTTGAGCTTAATTTGCTTTTACTTTATAGTTTCTTAAAGTGGAAGTTTAGATTATTGATATGAGCCCTTTCTTCTTTTCTAATATAGCCTTTCATAGTATAAATTGTCCTCTGAGCACTACTTCATCTGCAATCTGCAAAATTGGTATTTTGCATTATCATTTTTATTCACTTCAAAATATTTTCCATTTCTTATGAGTTCCTATTTGACCCACGGGTAATTTAAGTGTATTGTTTAGGTTTTTTTTTAAAATATTTGGGAACTTTTCAGATGTCTTTCTGTTACTGGTTTCTAATTCAATTCCATATTGATCAGAATATATTTGTATAATTTTACTATTTTTTTAAAGTATTCAGGTTTGTTTTATGAGCCATAATATGGTCTATCATGATAAATGTTCTATCTGTACTCGGAAAAATATTTATTCCAATACTTTGGGTGAAGTGCTCTATAAATGTCACTTCGGTCAATTTCGTTGAAAGCGCTTTTTTAGTCTTTTCCAATCTCACTAACCTTCTACTTTTCTATCATTTGTTGCTACTATAGTTTGGATATACCTCCAAGCCTCCTGTTGAAATTTAATCCCCGATGTTGGAAGTGGAGCCTAATGGGATGTGTTTGGGTCATGGGGGCTGATACCTCATGAATAGATTCATGTCCTCCCTGAGATGAGGGAAAGTGAGTTCTTGCCCTCTTAGTTCCCACAAAAGCTGGTTTTTAAAAAGAGCCTGGAACCTCCCCACACCTTGGTTTCTCTCTTGCTATGTGATCTTTGTACTTGCTGGCTCCCGTTCGCCTTCTGCCATGAGTGGAAGCTCCCTGAAGCCCTCATCAGGAGCAAATGCTTGCTCCATGCTTCTTGTATAGCCTGCACAACTATGAGCCAAATAAAACTAATTCCTTTAAAAATTCCCCAGCCTTAGATATTCCTTTATAGCAACACAAAATAGACTAAGACAGAAGGGTAGTGAAATCTCCAACCATGATCGTGGATTTGTCTAAGCTCTATCAGTGTTTGCATCATGTATTTTTGAACCTCATTATATAAGATTATTATGTATTTTTAATGAATTAACCTGTTTAACATTATGAAAAGACCCCCACTGGTCTGAAGTCTACTTTGCATGTATTGATATAGCCACTTTAGCTTTCCTGTGTCCATTGTTAGCATGGTTAACAGGTTTGTTTCAGTGCTTTTAAATATATTTTTTTTCTGATGTCTTATAACTTGCATCATTTCCAATAAGAAATCTGCTGTCTTTCTTATAATTGTCCCTCTTTAGGTAATGTGTCTTCCACCACCCACCTAACCCACCCCACTCCCAGTCCCCTTGTACTGGCTTCTTTTAAGATTTATCTTAAAGATAAGATTTTATCTTTATCACTGATTTTAAGCAATTGGGTTATGATGTCCCTTGGTGTAGTTTTTCACAATTTTTATGCTTGGGATTTGTTGAGATTCTTAGATTTGTGGGTTCATAATTTTTATCTAATTTGAAAAATATTCAGCCATTATTTCTTAAAATATTTTTTCTGTCCTCCCTCCTCCTTTGATGACTCTGATTATGTCTATGAGGCTGATTTCAGTGGTCTCACAGCTCATTAACACTATGTTGACATTTTTTATTTTTCCTCTCTTTGTTTAATTTTCAGGCTTCTAACGTTATGTCTTCAAATCCAGTAATCTTTTCTCTGCAAGTTCCTTTTTCACCATTTACCCCATAAACACTGATGTTTTATCAGGGATCATTTTTATGCCACCTTTTCTTCTCGCTCTGCACACTCATACACTTCTAGGGCTTCAGTTACCATTTTTATTTTGATCACTGCCAAAACTGTATCTTTAGACCAGACCATTCAGTATTCTAGTATTTCTGACTGCCTATTTGACATCTTCCCCTGCTTAACCCTGCACTTTAGCTTATATAGAAACTATTATCTCCTCCTGTATGTTTTATCACAGTAAATAGCAACACAAAACAACTGGTTACCCAAACATGAAACATGGGTCTCATTCAAGATCCTTTTTGAAGGCTTATATATTGTTTTAGGCATTTATGTATACCTAGGTTTCTAGCACAATGCTTAGCATATTAAAATGCTTAGTAAATGTTTATTGATGTATAAAGTTATTTTTCCATGGGTTTAAAATTTGTAAGATTCATGGTAGGATTTGAATCTAGATTTTTATGAATTTAAATCCTTGTTTCATCCACCACGTGATATTATCTTCAAGGTAAATAGTCCAATTCCTTAAATCTTTATTTCTTGAAATTTCTCCATTCTTGTACAGTCTTTCCATGTGTATTTTAAAGTATGAGACTTTTAAGTCTGGAAATCTATAGAAAGTGTGGAAGTTTGTATTTTCCAAAGACAGCTACAACAATATGTCATATTCTATATGCTGTTTTGCAATGCCACTACCCCATCAAGAAGTAGAGTCTATTTCTCTAACTTTTTGAGACTGGATGGGACCTGTGACTGCTTTTACCAATAAAATACAATAGAAGTGATGCTGTTACAGTACTTGGAATAGCTCTTAACTGCTCTGGAAATTTTCACTGATTTCTTGAAAGCCAGCCAACATGTGACTACCCTAAGACCATCAACGCTATGAAAAGCTCAAGTCATATTGAGTGGGCCTGGAGGATGAGATGTCATATTGAGGTGGGGTACAAGGTTCCAGACCTTGAGGACATGTAGGTGCAGAAGCGATCTTGAAAGTGGAGTGTCCAGTCCCAGCCCTCCAGCCAACTCCACATGAATGAGAAACAAACCACTAGGCAAGGCCGTCTCAAATTCCTGATCCATGAAATAATGAATAACATAAAATTGTTGCTTAAGACCACTAAATTTTGGATGGTTTGTAGCACAACAACAGATAAGCAAAATGGAAGAGAAGGAAATATGACTAACATGCCTATAATCATGGAAGGTTTAGATCAAAATCTTTTTCTCCTAAGCCCCAAAATACCAAGAAAAGGAAGTCAACCTAGAGGGTAGGAAGATTGAATAAAGACATATAAGAGACTTCCTTAATACCCTCATCAGGAAATAAATACATAGAGATTGATACACCCTTGAAATGGTAAAGAAAAACTATGTATGATTTCCAAACAGGAAACAAAAAATAGAATTGCTTTTCAATAGTACAGATGGCAAAGAGCAAGAAGAAGATCTAGCTATTTTGGAGGGCAGAAAGAGTATTCCCCAAAGTCATGACTAGCTTGAATAATGGGTTAAATATAAAAGAATTTAGCAGTCATTAATGAAAAGTGAGGCAATTGAGTTCAACCTGCATATGTATACAAATAATTAAAATGACCAGTGAGAAAATAATTTAGGTGCCAGTAACTGCTCAGAGATAATAACTTCTTAAACCACATTATTAGAAGTGGAAAATTCCAAATGAAGAAGGCTGATCAGCTTTTTTTACTCAGAAAAAAACCTGGAAGATTGTCCTCAGTTATGTGAGCAATTGGGAGAATTCGAGGACACAAAGCCATACCACGTGGAGGAACTGTTGACTTTTTAGGTCTGTGTCAACCACGAAAGTCTTTGAAACTATATATTTAGATGCATTCTTGAAATTCTGAACGTCTCACGCAATTCCTTAATACCTAGTCCCAGCCTGGATCCACTGTAATGGTGTTCTTCAAATCTAACTTCATAATACTCTAACAGGGTCTGGAAAGGCAGAGCCCAGAGGGAGAATTGCTTCTGGGCTTTCTCATTGCAAGATTTGATTAAGGCAGGCTTTCCCGTAAGACTTCTGAGGTAGACTGGGGTGGGTCTTGTTTGGATGTCCCTGTTATTTCACAAACAGGAAGGATTTCCAATTTCCCACTTAGAAAGAAGAACCAGCAGGCCTGGGGTCAAGGTCAGTTGGACATGACTTCACCAGAGTTTTGCCCCGTGTGCTTGCTTTGTGATGTATGACTCATCATAATTAAATTTTGAGCTAGATTAACTATAATTCCTGCACTTATTAGGCGATCAGTGTTTAAAGCCCTTGTAAAAGAGGATGAGCTGCTCATTCTGATAATGCAATTAACTACCCAACAGAGCTAATATTTTATTTTAGGGAAGAGTAATTTTTGATTAATGATGCATTTTATTTCCCAAATCCCTGCAGCAGTGGGTCACATCTTTGGTGAGAAAGCCAAAGAAAAAGGGTAAAATTAGAAAACTTGGAGTGTTTGGAGGCAGATTAGTGTGGATTCTACAGAGCTGGCTGCTCTCTTGGAGCCCACTCCCAATTCCTGAACTCCTGCTCTCTTAGGTTTACATGTACCTCAGGATTCTCCACAGCAGAATACACCTCAAGAATATTTTTGGGGAGCATAAATCTCCCTTGTTCCAATTTCTTCTTACAGAAACAGGACATAACATCAGCATTTCTGAAGTTCTTTGGCTATGAGATGCTATTTAATTCCATTATTCCCAGAGCAAGATCTATGTGAAGAGAGGACTGGTTGAGAGGGATCCAGAGATGCTTCCTGGAAGAAGTGATATTTGAAAAGAGTACTGATTCATGGCTTGTGTGAGAATTGGGGCGCATTATTTGGGGTCAAGGACATCAGTTAGAAGGCTATTTTAGGAATCCAGTTGAGATATCAGCAGGGAGATAAAGAGAAGCAGACATAGTCGGCTAATATTAAAGAAGTAGAAATTTCAAGACTTGCTTGTTGATTAGATATTTAGGGGACAGTGGGTGGAGAGTGTCAAGAAAAAGGTCTAGGTGCCTAATTTGCATGATGAAGCATATGATAGTAGATTAGGTGGAAAAGCATGTTTGTTTCTTCTAGAATGGTGGAAGAGATTTCTTCTAGAAGTTTATTTCTTCTAGAATGGTGAAAGAGATTTCGAGTTGGAGTTAACTGTGGTACATCAAAGTGGAGATGTACAATGAGGCAACTGGATTTGTGGGACATGGACTCAGAAAAGAGAAGATAAAGATTTAGAGGTTATTGGCAAAGAAGTTGCAACCATGAGTGTGGACCACATTGCTCAGGAATGGCATCTTCAAATTAGACTATGAGAAGAGGACCAGGAACTAAACTAAAAAAGACTAACTCCAAAGAAGTAAGCCAAGGAGGAGCCAGGAAGAAGACTGAGCAGAAATAGGTATCAGTGGCTTTAACTATGGGGAAGTGAGGACCACTGAAGCAAAGGGCAGGAAAAATACCTTGAACAAAATGAATCTGCATCCTCAACAAGTGGAATTCATGGGAGATAGGCTGAGGATGACACTACAGGTTTAAAGTTTAGCACAAGTAAAGGCATAGAAGGTGAACTGGGGAAGGTGCCAAGGCCAAAATTTCAGTGAACAAAATTGAGCATTTTCCAGCATGGAGATTTCTCAAAGAACTAAAAATAGAACTACCATTTGATTCAGCAATCCTACTACTGGGTTTCTCCTGAAATGAAAATAAATCATTATTTTTTTAAAATGCCTGCACTCACATGTTTATCACAGCACTAGTTACAATAGCAAAGTCACAGAATCAACCTACATGTCCATCAACGGATGACTGGATAAAGAAAATGTGGTGTATGTATACACCATCGAATACTACCCAGCCATAAAAAGAATGAAGTCATGTTTTTTTGCAGGAAGATGGATGGAACTGGGGGCTATTATCTTAAGTGAAATAGCTCAGTATCAGAAAGACAAATACCACATGTTCTCACTTAGAAGTGGGAGCCAAACAATGGATACACATGAACATACAGGGAGAAATAACAGACATTGGAGACTTCAAAAGGTGGGAGAGTGGGAGACGGATGAGGATTGAAAAATTACGTATTGGCTACAGTGTTTACTCTTTGGGGGGATGGGTACACTAAAAGCCCAGACTTCACCACTAGGCAATATATGCATGTAAGAAATCTGGACTTCTACCCCCTAAATATATAAAAACAATTTTAAAAAACCAAAATTGAGCACATTTTCTCTGAAAGCAACTTGCCATTATTTGCTACCCTGCCAAAAAGACTTAGTGTGGCTTTCCCTCTTTTGGAACCAATGTAAGCATCACTATTTTTTCCCTTGGCCTGTGGATCCGAGGGAGCAGCGTCCATCCTTTGTGCCTTCCTCAAATCCTTCCTGCACAGCCACTGCTGGCCTCTGAGAAGGATGGAAACTGATGCTGGGCCCACAGTATTCCAAACTTACCATGATCTGGCCCAAATATATATTCCCATCTTATCTTTTTCTTTCTTGTATCCAATCCCAGCTCCATCAAAATAGAATTATTCACTGATTCCCTTCTAATCCGTCTGGTTTCTTACCACTGTGCCTATATCATGCTGTTCTCTTCCTGGCAGTCCCTACACCCACCCAGCTCCTATTTCTTCAAATTCTACTCATCCTTCCTTGGTCAGTTTCATATAGCATGAAGTCATCCCACATCCCCCAAACAGCAAACAGATCTGAATCTTTTCTCTAGGCTACCAGAGCATTTTACTCTTTCATGGCATGAATCCTACTTTGCTATGTATTTGGAATTAGCCATGTCTGTTTTAAATTCCTCCCTCTTAGACCATGATGAATTCCTTGAGGCTCTGGACCATATCCTGCCTTTCTTTATATCTTATCCATCAGCACTAAGCACAGTGCCTGGCGCATATGAAATATTTAATAAATGCTTATATACTGAATAAATGAATGAAGAAATGAATGAAGAAATGATTCGTGGAAGAGCCCAGTGATAATCTCAGACAGAGAACTTTCTCTTATCTGGCTTCCAGATTCCAAATGGAGTCTTATTACAAGTCGTGGATCTTGTCTTATTCCAGTAAGAAAAAGGTTTTGCAACCATGTCATGTTGAATCTCTCAATGGTCATGTGCATAGTTACTCATTTTCTGTGTTTTCCTTTCTCCATATCCAACTGTAAGCTAATGCTATGTTATAGGAGAAAGAGCCTGGCTTGGGTATGGGATAAAGTTGGATTTGAATTCTGATACTATCTTTTACTCACTCTCTGTGATTCTAGAACAGGTCACTTGCCCTCTCTGTGTTCTGTAAACAGGAGTGTCCATCTCTGACTTGCCTCCCTTCCAATACTGCTGTGAGGCCCCAGAAAGATACGGAATATACAGCTTCTTTGCAAACCATAGACTCTGGGCATAGGTGAGGAATTATCATAGTGAGGTAATTAATATGGCTTGAAAGAAGGAAATGTAGATCCTGTCCTGGTTGGACCAGGCTGCATTTTTAGTCACTATGCTGGCTCTTGCAGAGCTCTGGGACATGGCTTTGGGTTATGTAGATGACACTTGTTAATGACAACAGTCTATAGGGGGAAAAACTCAGTTACGCTGGGGAATCCAAGGTAGCTAGATTGGCTAGTGGCAAGCAGAGAACAGACTCTGCCTGGAATTGGTAATGAGATCGCCGAAATGGAAGAGAAAATTGAGCCAAAGTGTAAATGTTCAAGCAGTTTAGGGAAGGGGTGTGTGTGTGTGTGTGCATGCATGCATGCACACATATGTCCGATGGGGAGCAGGGGTCTTTAAGAGCAATGAGTCTTGTCATTTGCATAATAGCTCTTGACAATTTGCAAAGCATTATCATAGCCACCATCTCTGAGGTCAGAGAACAGTATCTCCTTTTCCAAGATAACTTCAACTAGACCACCATCTTAGTCTTGACCTTTCCTTCCCTTCCTTTCTCTTCTCTTCCCTTTTCCTTCCCTTTGTTTTCTTTCTCTTCCCTTTCCTTCCATTTCTTTTCTTTCCCTTTCTCTCAGTCAATATCTCCATCCAATCTCAGTTCCCTGAGGATGGTTGTAGAAACTGAGTCTCAGAGAGTGAGAGGAGCAGAGATGGAACATGAATTTTAGGCTGATGCCCTATTTTTCTTTAGTATTTACCTTTTTTATTGTGTATAAAACCAGTAAAGCCCATTGTAAAATGTTTGAGAGGAGAGGAAAACCCAGACACGTATGAAGAAGAAAACGTCAGTCATCCATAATGATCAATATTGGGTCCATATTTCCTTCCAGCTTTTTTTCTATGCAATTTGACATGCTTGAGATTCTGCTAAATGTAAATTTATAAATTCCAGTATACTTTCCACTGCATCATGATCTGTTGGTTTCCTTTTCTACACTAGGCATTGCCTCTTCCAAACTTCTGTAGCCTTTAAAGCCCCACTTGTCAAATAGGGTGTGTAGTAATGCCCCCTTGGCTTCTTGCAGCTGAAGTGAGAATCCTTTGAGATTCTAAGGGCAAGGGTATTTTGGAAATCTCAGCATGTGATTTGTGGAGGGGGTCTCAAGTGCAGGGTTTGGGGTTGAACAGCAATAGCCTACTCTGGCTCCTTCTCAAGTAAGCGCCCCTGTCCACTCACTGGAGATGAATGTTTCCAGGAGCCTCCCTGCTAAGCACTCCTTTGAGCAGTCTGGCTATGTCTTCACCCTCTCATCCTTTCCCCCTTTGTCCTTTCTCTCCTGTCTCCACTTCGACCTCAAGTGACCCTTAAGCAATAACCTGCAATGGTGAGTGGGATTTGATGATATTAAATATAACTTGAGAGCACAAGCAGGACATCTTGTACTTTTCCAAACTCATAGTTTAAAAAACACATAATAACATTTATTCTCTCATATTTGTTTTTGTCGCTATTGGGTTAATTCTTGTTCTGCAGATGTTTGTGTTACAAACTGACTATTCTTAGGCTGGGCGTGGTGGCTCACACCTGTAGTCCCAGCACTTTGGGAGGCCGAGGCGGGTGGATCACCTGAGGTTGGGAGTTCGAGACCAGCCTGACCAACATGGAGAAACCCTGTCTCTACTAAAAATACAAAATTAGCCAGGCGTGGTGGTGCATGCCTGCAATCCCAGCTACTCAGGAGGCTGAGGCAGGAGAATTGCTTGAACCCAGGAGGCAAAGGTTCTGGTGAGCTGAGATCACACCATAGCACTCCAGTCTGGGCAACAAGAGAGAAACTGTGTCTCAGAGAAAAAAAAAAAGAAAGAAAGAAAAAGAAAGAAAGAAAGAAAAGAAAAGAAAGAAAGAAAGAAAGAAAAGAAAAGAAAGAAAGAAAGAAAAGAAACTGACTATTCTTAATGTATCTGTAGATGAGAGAAACTGAAAAAAAGAGATCCCAATAGTAAGAGTTAGAATATGCATGGAATATTAACTTACTGATTAATGGATTTTAATCTATTATTATCTTATACTTTCAGTAGTGGCAAGTTCTTCATTGAGGGAGGTGGAGAGGTGTGATGGTTACTGGTGGCTTAGTCTCCTGGGAACTTAGCTCACTGGGGATGCCAGATCAATGCATCCTTGATGTGGGTTTCTGACATTGGAGTGAATAAGGTTCTGATGATTAGGTGACCTGAGGAGGGAAGGGAAAAGAGTGTTTCTCTCTCCCAGCTACTCATGTCTTTGATCAATAAAACTGTGGTTATGTAGCTACTCATATTCATTTTATACATCAAATATTAATCCCATAGCACACAGCAGTATTTCTCAATGTGTGATCTATAAATTATCCATATCAGAAGCACTTTAGTCGAGGCCTGGGGGTCTGCATTTGAAAAGTATCCCAGATGATGCAGATGCACACCAAAATCTGATCCCCAATGCTCCAGTCTCTCAAGTACTCTGTGAGAAAAAAAAGATGCCATGGTTAGGGAAGTTTCGAACACATTGCCTACTATATCCACCTCTGAAGAGGTTCATAATGCACATTAGCATATTAAAAGCTCTGAAAAATCTTTCAGTAACAGAACAATCTTATGTCCACTAACATAAGATTAATTAAATTATGATACACATACAATAAACTCCTATACTGTATTTTTTTAAAATGAGGTAGCCCTCAAAGAACTAACAGGCAGCTTGGTGTAGATGTTAAGAGCATAGATTCTGGCACCAGATAGACCTGAACTCAAATCCAACCTCTGCCATTAAATAACTGTAATCTTAGGAAAGTCCTCTGAGCTGTTTTCTTTTCTCTACAGTGGGAATAATAACAATAGTCTTCATCTCATGGAAGTTATTATGAGTTTTAACTGAATGAAAATATGAAGTATTTATAGAATTGTATTTGGTACGTGGAAAGTGTACAGTAATTATTAGCTCTTATGATCACTGACATGGGAAAATGCCCATGATATATTGTTAAATCAAAAGCAAGGCCAAGAACAATACATATAGCTTGCTTTCATTTGTGTTAATAAATTGTACATCATAAATAATTTCAAAGATAAGTGTGGAAGGATACTCAGTATTCTGTTAACAGTGATTACCTTTGGGGTTAGGTACTGGGAGGGAGGAACGCTGTCAATTTTCACTTTACATACTTTGGTAAGTTTTTTTTGTATTTTTCTCCCCAGCTTTATTAAGAGGTAATTGACAAACAAAATTGTATATATTTACAATGTACAATGTGACATTTTGATATATGCCTACATTGTGAAATGATTGAATCAAGCTATTTAACATATCCATTACCTCACATAGTTAGTATGTGTGTGTGGTGAGAATATTTAAGATATACTCTTAGCAATTTTCAAGTATACATTATTAATAACTGTAGTCACTATGCTGTAGAATAGATCTCCAGAATTTCTTCTTCCTAACTGAAACTTTATATCCTTTGACCAACATCTCTCCATTTCCCCTCCACCTTTTGTTTTTATTTATTTTTTAAAGATAACACACATCAGGGAGATAAAAGGAATTTTGCCCAGAATGGAACCCAGTATGGCCTGGATAATGGAAAATAATCAAGTGTTAGCACGGTTCTCTCTTGTTTCCAGAGAGGCACATTCAGCTACATTTAGCTTTTATTGTTTAAATTTTTTTATTTTTGCCAGCCTCACCATTCTTCTGACTCATCCAGCTGTCTGCCTACTGATCTCCTCTGCCTTCTGTATGCTGACGGCTGCTCTGTATATAAGCCTGTCTTTGTACATGTGAATTTTGAATTCCTAATGCTGGACATTGCATTTCACAGAGGTCAGCCCATGCTCCAGCCTACTGAGATTGTTTTGGATCCTGAGTCTCCCATCCAATCTGTTAGCTAGATCCTCTAGCTTCCCAGCATCCTCACTCTCAGAGAGCATGCCATCTGTCTGAGCTGTTGGATAAGAATGGTGACTTGACTGACACTGATGTAAAGATCTGTGACCTATCACTAGAGACACTGATCCACATATCAGCAGCCACCTGCTACCTCTGGTGTCTCACCTGCAGTCTGTATTTCTTCACTTTATCTATAAAAGGCTCATGAGAGTCTAAGTCAAAAGCCTTGTTAAAATCCAGATGCATCCTGTCTACAGCATTCTCCTGATCTACAAGCCTTGTAACCTTATCAGAAGAGTAAATTAAGTTAGTTCTGCCATGACTTGTTTTCCTAAAGGCCCTACTTAGTGTTATTACTAAAAAAGATTTGATTTGAGCCCAATTGTGGTTTCAATTTAGACATATTTACTGTATTTCCCTACCTGCTCAGTGTCCCTCCCTGTCCCTCCAAGGCTTGCCTGGTGGCTGGAGTTAATTGGATGCATAAATTCATGCAAAAGGACTAATGGAAAACAAGGGCTTATGTGTACTGTTTGCAATGTAGTAGCAAGAAAGAATTGCTCAAAAAGTAGAAATGTTGACATATATGTGTGAATTTTGGATTCCTAGTCCTTGACATTGCATCATGATAGATTGAGGGCCTATTTTGGCTAGAGGAGGATTTTGATGCTCTTTACAATACAACAGGAAGGTTGTTTATCATTCTACCTATGACCTGGGCTTAGTAATGGAGATCTATATTAGTTTCCTAGGGCTGCTGTAACAAACGATCACAAATTTTATGGCTTAACACAATAGAAATTTATTATCTCAAAGTCCGGAGGCCAAAAGTCCGATATGTTTCCTGAGCCAAGATCAAGGTGCTGGCAGGGCTGAGCTCCCTTTGGAGGCTCTAGGGGAGAATGCATCTTTTGCCCCTTCCCACTTCTGATGGTTGCTGGCATTCTTTGGCTGGTGGCCACGCCACTCCAATCACTGCCTCCATGGTCACATTGCCTTCTCTTCTTCTGTCTGCAATCTCTCTCTGACACACTTATAAGGGCACTTGTGATTGCATTTAGGGCCCAGCTGGCTAGTCCAAGATAATCTGTCTATATCAAGATGCTTAATTTAATCACATCTGCAAAGTCTCATAGAAGATAATATTCACATGTTCTTGGGAATAGAATGTGGATTTTATGGGAGGGGGAGCATTATTCAGCCTAACACAAAGACTAATAACAAATTACTAATGCCTTCCCCTGACATACTCTCCTCAGCCCCTTGGTTTATCTAAGTATGAAGGAGACAACTGGAATAGAGAAAAGCAAAATTTTGCAGAAGATGCCACTAGACTTTCTTTCCTCTTCTGGCCCCTGGTGGTATATCCAGCTGCAGATCTGTTCATGTACCTGTCCGGTTTCTGACCATACACACTCTGCTGGGAAACAGTGCAGTATAATCCACTCCTGAAATTCATCTTTGCCAGTTTTCACTCATTTGGGTGGCTTTCGACCTCCACAGCATAATTGCTGACGCAGGTTGAAACTTTAACGGGGGGAAAGATTGATTGGCTCACCAATAACATTTGTCTCTTGGGCTGGCATTGAGCGCAGAGGAACCATTTATGCAATCTAATTATTACGTCAATTGGGGGATGGAGTAATGTTTCCCAGATGCCATTTGGCACCTGGAAAGCTGCAAATCAGCACTATCATATAAGAAACATTAATATAGACCATTGATTGGATTCATTGATCCTATCCCTTCCCCCTACCGCCTTTAGCTTCTTACTTTGGTTTGGAGTGAAACGCAAAAGCTTTGCTTTGCTTCTCCTAGCTGCCATGTTCAGACAGGTGATCGGATTGATTAGATGTATTTTACAATTAAATGTACTTAAGGAATCATGTGCATTTCTGAATCATTTTCCCCTTTCCTGACCTTGAATCATTCAAAATATCTGTGGCCAGTAGGACTGAGATCTAGGCTCCAAAGGAAGCCAAAACAGGAGGGAAGAGCAAGGGGCAAAGTGCTGTTTGCAATTCCTGCATCCTGAGCCTGTATAATATGTCCTCAGAACTTTTCACTAGGCTTTTCAGGTTCATTGTTGGAACAGTTTCTTGGTGTTAGATCATTGTAAGCCCCCAAGAGGGCTTAATTTTTTATTTTTAATGATTCTTTTTATTAGTAACTAAGTAATCTGTTGGGATTAACCTCAACAGAGTGCAGGGCCCTAGAGCCCAAGGAAAGAGGATGTTAGGATATTGGGGAGGTTTATTATAACCTCTTTAATCTTCATTTCCCTTCCACAAATTCTTTTCCCTCTTGTAGGCAGATCCCTGCAATATTTTTAAGTGACAAAGTCTTTCATTCCACAATTGGAAACAAAGCTTAAAATGTAGCTAATCCAGGGAGAAGGAACATAGCTACTTAAATTTATACTAATGAGTAAATGACTGCTACTACAGACGCCTAGATGATCTATTAGATTTGGAAAGGGCTTCACAGCCCCGAGCCTAAACTTGTTATTTTAAGGAAGGGAGGACTGAGAATTGACTTGCCCAAGGTCTTACATAAATTTTGAAGTATAGTTTTTTTTCTGAAAGAAAGTTTTAATAGAGGAGCACCTTAAGGGGCATTGTAAACAGACATTTGTGACCAGTTTTACCAAGGGCTAGGTCTGGGGGATTCCAAAGCCAACTATAATCTCAGGTCTATTTTTAAAGGTAGTCTATCACCAGTGCTTAAAACACACTCTTCCCTTTGGCTCTGCCCTGGTGGGATTCACCAAAAGTTCATGTGTCTTATTCCTTTTTGTTATCTTAGTATCTAGTTGAGTGTCTGCCTCACAAAAGGCATTCAGTGAGTGTTTGATGTAAGACTGAATGTTTCCAGAAACAGGGAAGGCTTTTCACTGTACCCTCCATACTCTCTCATTCTGCCTCCTGTGTACACATTGCTTAAATAGCTGTTCAGGTTAGAGATTTTGCCCTTGGGTGGGACTAATAATTGTGTCAATGATCAGAGACCAAAGTGAAGAAGGCTATCCAACTTACCCAGGATCGAACCCACAACCCTAGACTTCCTTAAAGCATATGAGGAGATAGTCAGACTATAGTCTGAGATGTTAGAAGTGAATATTATGGAATCCATGTATCTCTGAAGGCCAGAGTCACCAAGTCTATATCTCTGATCATTGCGGGCATCCTAAGTCAGGGAATGCAGGTTGCAAGTGGGAGCCGGCACACCTTCTCCAATAAGCTTCTCTTACTTTCTTGGGAGGAACCCCTCCCTGGTTGTGGTTGGGGCTACAGAGAAAGAGTAAAGAGGGAACCATAGGGTTGTGGACAAGCTACTCAGATACTCATGGCTTGTGGGAAGGAAGGGTTTGATCGGTCAGGATCAGCCCTTAGCTTTAATCTCATAGTGCCCATGCCCACCAATTCTACTTGCTTATTGTCTCCTTCGCTGGTTCACCTGCACTCACCTGCAGGGACTGGGCCCAGGCATGGCCCCTGGCCCCAAGCATGCCTACCTCTCTCTGAGCTGACTCGATTAAGTCCCACTGCTCATGCCTTCTGTGTTCATGGCAAAAGTTTTCAGTCAGGGATGACAATGAAGAGACAAGGCAGCCCTTGGGGCAGGGCTACCCATCAGCCCTAGACGAAAACAAGATCCAGCAGCAAAGCCCATTCCTGTTGGCTGATGGCTTGGCATTGGCTGAGAGTCCAGAGAGCCTTCAGTTGGCCTGAACCAATGAAAAGGAGCCAAAGATACAGTCTCTCTTGCCATTAAAGAGATATTTCCACCTATGATTGGCCCCAGGATACTTCACCTCAGGGTTCTCCTATTGGCCTGGAATAGCATGCTGGCAGCTAGGGCACCCTGTGGTGAGCAGGCACCTACGTAGGCATGCAGTAAAGCACAGCCTGCTGCTGGGCACTCAGGGGACAGGCAGATAGAGGAGGAGGTATCAAGATCCTCTCTCTGCTTAACTGGTGACATCTTGGGGTCCACCAACTTCTCCTTTTTGTGCCTTTCCCCTCTGGCTGGGCCTGCTTGCTCTCCTGGTCCCATTCCCCAAAGGACTTCGATTCCCAGGTATGGTGGTGACTGGCAACACAGGGTAAGATGTAGCTTTTTCTTAGGGTTATTTGCATTGTTGTAGGGGATCCTGAAATCTGAAAAGTGGTGGTGGTCCAAAGAAATTATAGGTTCATAGAATTTTGGTGCCAAAAGGGAACTTTGAAATAGTTCCCATTTTACAGATGAGGAAGAAAACTGAGATGGACTCCAAGAAGTAATAGAATTTAGTCAAAATCATGTAGCTAGTTAGTGGCAAGTCTCCTGACCATAGGCAAGGACATTTCTGATGCATCCCAAATGAATCTTAAACTGTGGTATTTCATGTACATTTCTACTGTTTTTCAAACCACTGATTTTCTGTCCTAACGAAACTCCTAGCCTCACTGGGGAGATCTTCAGATCACAAATTAATGGCTTAATTAACATTTACAACAAGTTTTTGGCTGTGTCTTCAGTGTATGAAGAAGGGGGCTTGTGACATGGGCTTTCTCTCTGTTTACCCTCTTCTTGTACCAACCCACAGTAGTCAGATGACTGTGACCAGGGCTCTGGAGTCATGTAATCTGCTATCTAGCTAGGAAGTTGTCCAACTGGTGACTCTGTGATGTTTGAGCCATCACTGTGCAAGATGCAGCAGAGAAGCAAGTCAGTTACTAAATGCAAAAAGGTCTGAGTCTAAGCTACTGCCATATTAATACCAGTGCTTCGTTTTTCATGCATTTAGCCTCCAAATCCCCTTTAAGTTAGAGACCTGGGTTTATTTGTTCATATATTAGGTGGGACCCTGAACAGTCCTGAAATCCTGGCCCTGGGTAGCTCTGTATTATCAACAACAATGATAAGTATAAAGGGTTTGGGATTACTCAATCCAGCTTTCCCCCATTGTGTCTGTTTTCTTCATGCTTCTACCTTTCTCATTCCCCTTTTCCTTATCCTTTAAAGGCCAATTTAAGTCCTGCCTTCTCCAGGAGCCTCCCCTTACTAGTGCTGCCCACATCAGTCTTTCCCTCTTTTGGCTTCTTACTGTCCTTCCAGCCTATCCCTCAAAGTGACATTTCATTATATTCCATTTGTATTTATCACTATTGGTTCCATATATATCAACCTCATCTTCTCAACAAGAGTATAAGTTCCATAAGGGCAGGGTACACATTTTATCCTTGCTAAGTGTGCCCCACAATGTCTGATGGATGTTCAAATTAGACTAGAATGATAGCTTTTGTGGTGACATGGGAAATGCTCACAATATACTTAAGTGTCTAACTCAAAATACAAAAGTCTATGATCACAATTTTATAAAGACATGGAAAATAAAAGCAAGCAAGCAGAAAGGTAATACACGCAAATGTGTGAGAGGTGGGTGGGATGATAGGCAAGTCTAAATATTTATATATTTACCTGACTTTTCAAAGTTTCAACAAGGAGCATGTATTACTCTTATGAGAAAAAAACAAGGTGGGGTGGGGGGAGGGGGGAGGGATAGCATTGGGAGAGATACCTAATGCTAGATGACGAGTTAGTGGGTGCAGCGCACCAGCATGGCACATGTATACATATGTAACTAACCTGCACAATGTGCACATGTACCCTAAAACTTAAAGTATAATAAAAACAAAACAAAACAAACAAAAAAAAACAAAGATTATTTAAAAGAGAATCATAGATTTATGAGCTCTGGAAAGCAGAGCAGAAACAGATGAAAGAGCTCACGTAAGTCCTGTCTTATTGTTTTAAGATTGAAAAGCCTGGGGCAGAGCTATGGGAGATGCCTAGCTGGTAACTCAGTTTCCATCTTCTAGGAGCAAACAACCCAGTTTCCTGAAGCTCTAAGGCTGAGCCTCCTAACCTCTCCTCAAATCCACCTTCCCCTGAGCTTCTCCTCTAGGCATCGGTCCTGGAACTGCGTGGTTTTCTCCTGATGAGGTCTCCCATGACTCTTTGGTGTCTCCTGGGTTGGGAAGCCTGAAGGTTTGGCTTTGACTCTGTTCTAGTCCCTTGCTAGCCTCTCCTGGAACTCACTGCTTTGCCTCTGAAGCATCCCAGGACAATAAGCTATATAGTATCCACACTCCCAGGTGGCTGGAAGTAAAAAAACACCTAGCTGTACCCTTTCCTAGAAATATATACTTACTGCACTCTGAGTACTTGCTGGGAAGGGTGATCTCGAACTAATTCCACTCAATACCTTTGCAAAGCCTTGCTGAGAGCAATACTATTTAAGGAGGGCCACCTGAAATTGGTGCTTGAAGCCCATCCATTCCTTTCCAACTGGACCCAAAAGACTAGCCCCAGGTACCTGCCATGCCCATAACTTTCCCTTCTAGTTAGGCCTACCTCACTCATAGCCAGGAAAAAGGGCTGGATGGATGTTTTATGCAGAAGAGTGGCCCAGGGATTGCCACTTAACCCCAGGCAGGCCATCCATGATCTGGTAGCAGACCTATGTGGTGGATTTTTCTATTAGTGTTCCTCTTGCCAGCGATGGATTCTGATGTGCCCACAATTGGTTAAAGTGATGAAGACTCTTGTTAAATGCACATTTGTCACTTGAGATGATAAACACATGTAATTCATTGTGTACATCTATGTTTCCATCCTTCCATCCATCCACCAAACAAGCATTGGGCTCCTATTTCTTATTTTCACTTCCCAAACCACAAAGCTCTGAAAACCAAAAACGTTCTCATAAGTTTGACATTAAAACTCAGTTTAACTTATATTATAATAGTCTTTCTTTATCCCACTTAGTGTGAATGTTCATATATTTCATGACAAAAATATTAATGTATTTGATAATGGGGAGCTATACTGCAACCTGCTAGAGGTGTTATGTGATATTGGCAAATACACATGATTACCTTGATAAAATTCCCCAAATTCTTAATTTCGAAACATCTGGCCCTAAGGATTTGAGATAAGGCACTTTAACCCTTTAAGATCTAGGGATGGGGAGGTGGTAGATACCCTACCTGAGTTGGCCAGGAACAGAAGAAACCACTCAGTGAAGGGAGTAGGCATTCAAGTCTTTAGAGAGAGAGGGCTTGCTCAGGTTCAAGCCAAGGAAATCCAGTTGGGTCACTCAGCCATTAGTCCAAAAGGAAGGAACAGGGCTGCAAACAGAAGACGGAATAAAGACTCAGGAGAAAGATGGAACTGAAATGGAACAAGAATAGTTTGAGAATGGGGAAATGAGAGGGAACTAGAAAGTAGCAGGAACAAGGTGTCTTTGACTCCAGTCAATTGGCTGGTGGCTGTTAGGTACCAACTGGGGTCAGGTTAGCTTTAAATTTGGAAGATTGTGACAGGCAGATACTGAGAGAAATGAGACACAAACTCTCGTCCTCTCTTTGCCAAAAGTCTAGAATCTGCAGGGTCCTGAGAGAATGGATAGGAATTGGAGTTGCATTAGTCTGAAACAAAGATTTAGCTTTGACTTTTTTCAATCTCTGCATTTTTAAAGCTTTATTTTTTAAATTGTGAAATATGCCACACATAAAGAAAAGTGCATAAATCATAAATGCACAACTTGTTCAATGAAACACCCATATTAATCATTACCCAGTTAAAAATAGAATATTATCAGCACTCCAATGCCCAACTTGTGTCCTTTCCCTAATCATAACTCCTTTCTCCCCTACTAAAAGGTAACAACTTTTCTGACTTTTCCAAAAATCACTTCCTTGCTTTTATTTAGACTTGTACACCTTAGCATGCATCACTAAACATTATAGCTTTGCCAGTTACTGACTTTTATGTAATAATTCAGTATGTACGCTTTTGTTTCTGGCTTCTTTCATTCAATATTATGTTTGTGAGATTAATCCATGTTGTTGCATAAAACTGATATTGTTCCTTCTCAATGCTGTATAATATTCCCTTTTGTGAATATGCCACAACTGAGTTAACCATTCTACTGCAGATGGGCATTTTCAGTTTGGGACTGTTTGACTAACACTATTATGGTTATTTTTGTTTGACTTTTGGTGCACATGTCCCTGCATTTCTGTTAGTAGTGGAATCACTGAGTCGTAAGCACGTGTTCCATTTGCTAGATGCTGCCAGTTTTTCAAAGTTTGTATCAATTTGCACTCTTCCATTGTGCCAAATCATTATTAACAGTAAGTATTGTCAGAGTTTTACATTTTAATCACTCTGGTGGGTGTGCAGTGGTATCTCATTGTGGTTTGATTTGCAATTCTCTGGTGACTAATGAGGTTGAGCATCTTTTCATATGTTCATTGGCCTTTTGGATATACTCTTTTGTACAATTCCCATTTAAGTCTTTTGTCCATTTTATCCTACTAGATTGTCCTTTTCATATTCATTTCTAGGAGTTCTTTATACATTCTAGATGCAAGCTCTCTGTTATATGTGGTACAAATAAATTTTCCAACACTGTGGCTTCCCATTTAATGCTTTTTGAGTCTCATTTTCTTCCTCTAATTTCCATCAAGCTTCCCAGGCTCAAATGTCCCCCATTTTGCTAAGGTTCTAACAAGCTCACCTGGGCCCTGAGGGATAGCTCAGTAAGGCTGCAGGGCTGTTCTCTCCACCTTCCCTTCCTTCTTCCCTCCCACTTATCTGCCCTGTCTCTCTCTCTCCCTTCCCTCAAATTTTGCCCATTCTTGGGGGGCTGCTTATTATTCACAGGATGGATAGAAACAACCTTCTTTTAGCCATGGTGCCAAAACTGTCAGATTTGCCAAGTGCTATTAATACGTCAGAAAACCTTCACTCTGGAAAGCGCTTGGAGATTATGTAGTTCTAATGATGAGGAATCAAAAGCTCAGAGAAATTAAGCGGCTTGTCCATCATACTGCAAGTTAGTGGCCAACTTAGGACTAGAACTCAGGTCTCTTGCATGCATGCCCCAGCTTTTTCCACTCCATTATGCTAAGAAAGACCAGAGCACACAGCTGCACATTGGCGGGGGCATTTTTTTCTTCTTCTGAAAATAAGTGCTGTCTGTGTCTGTGTAACAACGCAATCGGTAGAGACTATGGCTCATGTCTGTCTGGACCCAGGTTGAGAGATCACATCACCTCTGCTACTTTCCCATCTCCTGGCTGTCAAAGCCTGAAGGACAACAAATGGCTTGAGTAATGAGATGAGTTAAGATAGTGTCTCCCACGCTGAGTTATGTGCCAGTTCAGGACTACAGGATTCTGCCACAATCCATTTACACAAGAAATTAAATTGAAGATCGCAATGTAATATTCATATATTAAATCCTGGCGGACAATCAAAGTAATTAAGGCCAAATGTTCTGAATCATCCTGTGGCATCATGAACATTCTATTGCTGGGTTTTTAGAAGGACTTATTTCTACAACCAATTATCTTGGAAATCATTAAACCTCCTTTGGAATGTGAGTAATTTGAAAGCCACCATGATACCCAGTGCTACTCAAACCACTTTGCCCCCATAAAAGAATAACTCTGCTACATAGGAGTGCTGGGTGGGTAAGGAAAATCTGATTTTCAAGAAGCTAAGTTTAGGGGATAGGAACCAGTCTCCGACCACCCCCCTCCCTGCATTGTGTTTTTCAAAAGGAGTGGCTATATTTCATCCTAAATTGAAGCAGTTAACTGATGCAGGCTACCAGGCTAATCCCAGCTACAGACTGATCTGCTTGCAGTGTAGTTCTGTGGTTCTCACAAATACATTCTACTGATTAAAACAAAACAAAACAAAACAGAGTCTGGAGAAAGAGGATGGCTCCGTCTAGCCCCACAATGATGAATAGGGTTGACCTTCAGACCTTCCCCAACACTCCCCACCATAGACCACTCGTCTCTTAAAGCTTCTCCACATACCCTCATCTCTTAGTCCCTGTTCTTCTCAGCTTCCCTTTGTCCACACCTCTGTTATGCCACTCATCATAAAGTCCTCGAGTTATTTGTTGGCTCCCCTTCTGGAGCGTAAGCCCTTCAAGGGCAGGGGCTATGCTCTAATCTTTCCAGTGTTCCCACTCGTGGCCCAGTGCACGCATCAGAGAAGGTGCTTTGTGTATGGTTGGTGCATGTATGAAAGTCTAGATATATAAAAGACAAATGATCAAGAGAACTCACAAACATACACGAATGTATCTCTGTTTGGGAATGACAGGCTTAGTGTCATGGCAGCATCAAAGAGAGGAACCAATCTTCCTTTCTCTTCCAGTAAATGTTTTAATTCTCTCCAAAATACAATGCTCTCAAACCATCACCAACAAATAAAACTCTATCATGGAGAATGTGTAACTAAAAGATAAACAAAAAGTATTAAATTAACTTGTACTTTTTCAGAGTTGTACTTAGGAAACAATCAAGTTATTTTACCTGAACTAATTATACGACTTCTTTGCATCTTGAATACTGTATACAAAAAAAGGTCTCTGATTCATCAGTTTTGCCAGTGGGAATAATTAAAAGTGTGCATATACAGTAATATTCCTACGAAATTATTTCTTCTCATAAATATTTATCCATAGCCTAAGTTTGTTGATGCTGAGCGGCATCAATATTTCTTGACTTTGGTTCACATACTGCCCCCTTGACTGTACCACAATTCTGATTCACAAATGAGATTCTTGGGAGATATTGGACTGTATCTTGTTCATGTCTATATTCTTAGTTCTAGCACAGAGCTTGGCACAGAGTATGCACTCTCTGTAGAATGAACGAATGAATGAAATACTAAGTGAGGCAGTAGCCTTCAGGGATGATTTGTATCAAAGTGAAGTTGTACAAAGCAAGACCCATTCACTGCTATTCTCTTTGTGACCCGTTGGCTACAGCATCCCTGAGCTTTTAGGGCAACCCGATCCACCCACCCAACCAGCATGCCCCTTTCAAAGGCAGTCGTGCTACCCCTCCATGTGCCCAGCACTAGCCAGAGAGGTTGGTGCAGTCTGTGTGCCAGCCCAAGCCAGGTGGACACAGCGACAACCACCTGTGGCTTTCCTGGGTGGGCATCTTGAGCCTACATGTTTCACGTCATCATGCACCTACCAGTCAGTGCTGGAAACTGCACCAAGAAATATTGATACTGCACAAAATCAATAAACTGGGGCCATGGCTAAATACTTATTGGGGCAGACAGTGACGCCGTTTGCTCAGAAAATTCAATCAAGTTCTGTGCAATTACTGCGGGTTTAGATTCGAACAAATTAGCTGTTAGTCATAGAATTTCAGAATGTCAGAGCTGAAAGGACCCTTAGAATTCATCTGGCTCTGTGTAACCCCGAGGTTTTCAAGCTTCGCTTTCGCAAGAAACACTTTTTAACCAAGGAAATCTTATGACGTTCATCTTATTCAAGTAGGGGTGCGGATCCTGATGCATAGCCTCCCCTTCTCAACTGCTTCAAACTGCAGAGGTGAAAAGGAAGGTCCAGTAAAGTTAAGGAGGATCGTGGCATACTAGGGGCAAAAAGTTCCAGTCTTGGAGTAAGTGTCAAGACAGACTGCAACTCTGTCTTAGCCAAGGGCCTGATATTCAGCCATTTACACTCATGCCTGAAGGGGTCTTTTGGATATGATCATTTAAACTGATGAGAGACGTGTGTTCCTAGGAGGGGAGACACAGTGACTAACAGACCCTAGCAGGAGTGAGTTTATTTAAATGAAACACACTGCTACCAACCTTCGCAAAGCCTAAAGGAAAATCCCAAGGGCAGGAGACCCAGAATGGTAAATGTCCATTATTAGAGTATTTCACAAAGGCAAAGAGAAGAGAGGAGGAACGGAGCTAGGCCAAACCTCCTCCTCCCATCCTGGCGGATATCTGCTTGTGTACCTGTCTATTCATGTGTCCATCTTTTAAGATGCCTTTATGTCATCTTCTGCAGTGGTATATCTAGTTCCTTGTCAGTTTCTGCCTGAGGCCCATTCTTGTGTTCAGGTTGGCTCTCTCTACTGTGAGTCTGTCGCTGCCTACATCTCAAGTCTTTCAGCTCCTCTGTGTCCAGATGTACTATTTTTCATGTGCTTATTTGCCTCAGAATGTGTGTCTGTGTCTGACTGATTTTATCCCACAAGAATGGCTAACAGTGAAAGTGGGAGGGAGGGAGGAAAAAACTGTTTCTGGTCCTCCTAAAGACTTCAATCTCCTCTTCTATGTTTCTTAACTTTTTTCACCTATTTTTTTCCCAGTATTCATATCTCCCTCATCCCTTTTTCTTTCACTGTGTTCCTTTATCTCTGGTTGTTCTATTTTTCTGTTTCTCTGTATACTTTTCTTTTCTATTTTATTTGTTTCTTCCCCTTTCTCTTCCCCTATTTGTTTTCTCTCTAGATTTGTCTTTCCCCATATATTTCCCCTTTTCTTATTTTTTTCTTTCTCTATATACCTTTCCCATTTTTGGGGATTCTTTCTGAGTCTGCTTTTTTCTTTCTTTCTTTCTTTGCTTTTTTTTTTTTTTTGACAGTGTTTCACTTTGTCACCCAGGCTGGAGCACAGTGGCATGATCATAGCTTGCTGCAGCCTTGACCTCTTGGGCTCAAGCAATCCTCTTGCCTCACCCTCCTGAGTAGCTAGAACTATAGGTGCATGCCAACATGCCTTGCTAATTAAAGAAAAATTATATTGACAGAGTCTTGCTATGTTGCCCAGGCTGGTCTTTAATTCATGGGCTCAAGTGATCTGCCCACCTCTGCCTTCCAAAGTGCTGGGATTACAGGCGTGAGCCACCGCACCCAGCTAGTTCTTTCTCTTTCTTCTTTTCCTCTTAGCTCCTATTTCTGGGTTTCTCTTTTAACTGTATTCCTCTTCCTCCATGTGTCTCTTTTCTGTGATCCTTTATTTATTTTATTCATTTTCTTTCCCTGTCTTTTTTATCCCTTTCTCCATGTCTTGTTTTTCTATTTCTCTTTCTCTTGCCCATTCTTCTCATCTCTCTGTCAGTAGCTCCTTGTGTATGAATCTGTCAGCCTCTTTTCTGCTTTGTTCTCCCCAAAGATGCTTCAAGCATCAGGAGGAGGAAGGAGTTACTCTTTTCTGCCCTGGGCTGGACTGTGGGTGGGTGGGGTTCATTATCTGTCTTTTCACTCAAGGATGGGTGGGGTCGTTTGCTGCTCCCTGGAACCTAACCAACACATCCTTGTTCCCCGCCCCCAAGACCCCATCTGCAGAGTCACACTGCGACTCCAGCTGCTGCGCTGCTTGCATTCCCTGCACGTCCCATGCAGAGTGATGAGCCCCCAGGTGCAGTGGGAGAATTCATCAGCCACCTGACAGGGCTAACAATTTACTCCTGAGAAATAATCCATATCCAGATAATGGATCACCCCTGACTCCCTGAGACCATTTGTCTTGGCACTTAAATGGCACCAGAATCCAGGGGCAGAGCCAGGCACTCTATCCCAGGTTCATTGGTAGATGAATAGGCTGGAATAATAATGTTAAGGATTATGATAAGGAACACTTTGCATTTGCATGGTGCTTTTTTAAAACTCTATAGATTTGGAAGAGATTAACCTTCCTTGGCTCATATCTTTTGCATCTCACACACTGTGGACCCTGCTTGCAGATTCAGAAAAAGGGGAATTTTAGTGACTCACCCAGACTCATCTAGCCTGTTACTGGCAGAAATTGGAGGAAAACTATTTCCTGACTTCCTGAGACTCTTTCCTCTGAATGCTACACGGCCTTCCAATCTCTGGGTCCCACTGTTTGTATCCAAGAAATGGAAGCTGATACTAAGAGACAGTATACTGGAGAGGTTCATAGATCTGGCTTTGAATCCTGGCTCTGCATTAGCTAGGCTAATGCAGGCTGCTTACTCACTTAGAAATTCTACTTTAAAGATCCTCCTCTTTAAAGTGGGGATCCAAATAAACCTTCCTCGTAGGACTATTATGAGAATGAAGAGAAATTATGCATGCAAAGTGCTTATTATAGTGCCTTCCTTATAGTAAAAGCTCCATGAATGTTAGCTGTGATTATTACTACTGCCTGTCTCTTTGCAGGATGCTAAGTGAACTCATACAAATGCATGAGAAAATTGGTCTAGAGGAGGGGAAGAGATAATTGGTGGCTTCCACATAAGTGTCCCTGAGGCCATTGATGGGGGAAGGGACGAGGAAGAGTGAATTCTGATTGCGGGAGGAACTACGGATTCTGCTTGGGGTGGGAGGTCCCGCCAGCTCTGGGAACAGGCAAAGAGAAGGAAGGAGATTGGGGATTTGTGTTCAGGCTCCAAATGTATTTCATTGCTCAGCAGGATCAATTGTTGGCCTTCAGTCCCAGCCAGCTAAGGTTCCCGTTCTCAGGGTCTCAGCTGTTTCTGTTTCCCTGGGGTGGTTCTCTTTCCCAAAAGCTGGACAGAGGAATATTTCTTTGGGGGAATATTGAAGCCCAAAAGATTTTGTGGAAGGCCAGCACAAACGAAAAAAATGAATTCTTGTGCAGGAGCCTTTTGCGTAAACAGGAGTTCACTGTACGAATGTAAAAATAATATTAATATTCCCAATAATAACAGTAATGATCAATCTTTAAAGCTTGTTCTATGGAGTGCCACTGCCAGAGGTTGACACATCATCTCAGATGGTGCGAAACATCCCCAGGGTCCATCTGCATGCAGAATCACAGCCCACATTCTTCTCCCCGTTTACGGAGACCTCACCCTCCCAGAGTCACACACATAATTTAGTCTTCGGTGAAATGATTCTGACGCTATAGAGGCTCCCTGGAGAATGGATGCTGTGCGGAGGCGGGCAGTGTGGGCTCCTGACTTCAAGCTGCAGGAAGGCGAGGAATTGATACATCTCCTAAGCTCCAAGGGCTCAACTCCTTTGGAGATCAGAAGGGCTTTGTCAAAGCCTGACGGTTTATTAATAATTCTCTCAACTGAAGAGAGCCCCATGCTTATCAATTGACAAGTATTTAGTGAGGACCCTCTGTAGGGGAGCTAAAGAGGTTTGGCAGAGCTGACAATGTGGTTGAGGAGACAGACCACAGACATAGAAAGATTATTGACAATAAAAGCAGTCCCTTCAACAAAGAGATGCTAGCAGCTGAAGCATCTCAGCTGGAAAAAAATGTAGAGTCAGGAGATTTGACCTCACAATCTCTCTGAGACTTGGTTTCCCTATCCTCTTAGAAAGGCAGTCTGGTATCACTTAAAGAATATTCACTTTGGAGTCAGACCAACCTGATTTAAAATTTCAGTTACCTCACAAACTAACTAGGGGTCATTGAACCAGTTACTTAACTCCTATGAGGCACAATTACCTTATGTATAAATTGAGATATAATAATAGCCCCCACCTCATAGTGTTGTGGTGAGAATTAGATGAAAGCACACATGTAAAATGCTAAACATAATGCCTGGCACATGGTAAACATTTAATAATCTGTTCTTCTTATTATAATATGCAGGGAGAAAGGCAGAGAATGTTTGGAAATAGAAGGGTTTTATTTTCCTCTTCAGCTTTTTATATGCATGACATTAAATTTCATACAAATGCAAACCAAAAAATACTCATATGTAAACAATAATTATAATATCACTGTATGATACCTTTTATATGCCTCCCCAGTATTGCTCACTAAATTTTGTATGATCAAATTTACAGAACAATGAAATAGCAGAGGAGGCAAATTATATGCTCCTTGTGATCTTGAATTCCTTTCTGAGCTTCAGTTTTCCCATCTGTATAATGTGGCTAAGAACACCTACTTCACAGTGCTGTTGTGAAAATTAAATTAAAATATGTATTAAGCACTTAGCACAGAATAGGCAGAAAACAAACATTAGCTCCCTCCTCTTCTCTCATCTATAAAAATGAGAATAAGAAAAAATTATCCTCACAGGGTTATGATGAGGATGAAGACAGGCAAATATACAGGAAATGCTTGTAAACTGTAAAATCCCCCATAATAGTCTTTACAGAACATTTGAAATGTACCAGGCATTGTGCAATTAACAAACGTTAATCAATTAGGTAAACATTACTTAAGTGTCTACTATATGGAGGACACTATTTTAGGTATTGTGAGCCATCCAGAGAGATAAGGGCCATCAGAGTAGATGAGCCCCTCCACATAAGAATAGAGCGTTGAGGACAGGACCTGAGCAATGCTCCCATTTAGGGTACCAAACGAGAATGCAGAGCCAGAAGGAGAAATCAGAGGTAAGAACACCAGTATAGCAGTGTCCGCAGAGCCAAGGGAAGAGTGAGTTTCAATAAATAGAGACTTACAATGTAGCATTCTGCAGAGAATGAAAATCAAAATAGGACAGAGATGTGTCCCCTTGGAGCAGGCCTCCAAAAAAAACATTCGTAACTGCTTTGAGAGGGGCTGTGTGTGTCTGCACGTGCATGCACGCACGTGCATGTATGGAGGGGGTAGGAGCCATCTTGCCGTGGATGGCAGGTATGTTTGGGGAAACGTAAGGTGAGCATATCTAGAATACTCTTTCAAGGTGTTAAGGACTAAGGCTGAGAAAGGAAGCATGGATGATAGCTAGAAGGGGACGCCGGGTTGAGGGAAGACTGTTTCCATATAGGAACGTTTCAATGTTTTTGTGGGCTACAGGGAAGAAGAAGCCCACAGGGAAAGAAAAGATGAATAAGTAGATGACAGAGAGGATTACTGAACAGACAGAAGAAGAATTCTGAGAGATGAGACCTGGGAGGTTTGGCTGAGAGCAGAGGAGTTTTCAATTAATAAGGAGAAAGAGATCATGGGGTAGCAAATGGCTGTCAAGTAGCCAAGAGGGCTGAGAGTTGACAAGGAGCCATTGCATCTAGAATTAGGAAGGCCTCAAGAGTGGAAGTGGAGTGGGAAGAGGTAAAATAGTGAGTTGATGGTAGACACTACACATTTGAGAAGTTTTGCAGACCCAGGAGCAGGTAGAACAAGGCTAAGGGAGAGATTATGCTTTACGGGGAGGTTTGAGATGTGTGTAGGAAGGAAGGAGTTAGCGGAAGAGAAGAGGCTGAAGGTAGAAGAGGGTCAGAGGTTTCTTGGTGGCTGAGGTGGCAGCAGCAGAAGGGGCCGAGCTTCAGAACACTAGTGAGGAGAACCCCAGAGAGGATCCCTTTTTTCCTTTGAGGTGGGAGGAAAGGACAAAAAAGCCAGAGGAGCCGACGTTCTGCACTTGGTCCTTGAACCTGGCCTTGGGCACTAATATCACCACTGTTGACCCCATAACTTTCAGGGCATCTCATGATCACTGAGTAGATTTGAGGGACTGTCTCTGAGGACAGCAAGGTGTGTGATTTGGAGAATATACTGGCGGCTCTTTCCCTAGGGAGATGGCAGAGAGCTGTAGCCCCAGTCCCAGGATACAAGGCCCCAGAGCCTGGCCCAGTGAGGAGGGCCTACAGTCCATGACCTATATCCATGTTACACAATCTCTTCCTTCCCTGTCACTGAAATTGCCACCCCAGAGCCAATCTTAAAAATGAAGTCAGGGTCCACAGTCACTCAGAGACTTAAATGTTCCTGTTATTTGCTAAGGCACTAGGGACCCAGAGTCCTGTGATCTGGCCAGAAATTTCCTTATTAGGGGCAAAAGGAAGGGCTTTCTGAATATAACCTGGTCTTCCCCTCTTCAACATGTGTGCACAGCCTGCCAAATGCGTCAAATGGCCGTCCTGCCACTTGACCCAGCCTCAGCTACAGCCCCTCTTCTCCAGCATGGCTGCTCTCTGGTCATAGGCAGATGCATCTCTGATGGCACCTTCCTGCCTTACCGCTTAGTTTTCAATCTCATAACTCTCCTGGGATCTGGGGGGTGGAACAGCAGGACGGTTATAAGCCCTGGGTGCTTGAAAGCAGGAGAGGGTTTTGGGCCACAGAAGTCAGGAGAGGGGGTCCTTGGGTGGGGGCCAGACCCAAAGTAGCTCAGAAGTTAAAGTCAGTCCTTGGTATCTTTTGTCCCAGGGTCAATTTTGGTGTTCACATACCAATCTTATGGCTCCTGGGATGGAGGAATACAGGGAGGGAAGGGCAAACAGCCCCTTAGTTAGGGAAACCTAGGGCTCTGGAGCTAGCCTTGCATCTTTGTTTAAGGTGTGGGTTGTCCCAGGATTGAGTTATAATGGAGAAAGACCTATTTGCATTGACAAATGGCACTTAATGAAGGGAATGATTAAAAGCGAGGGAAGCTACAGGCTCAGAAATGTCAGCGGTTGTTGTACAAGAGAATTCTTTTATTGCACTTTCCTCTCCCCCTTCTCCCTCGTCCTTTTTCTTCCCTCCCGCTATTGCTCATCTTCCTTCTTCTCCTCTGCCCTCCTCCTGCTTGCTCCATCCACCTCCACCCACAGCAACTGATGTGATTTCTCATGATCTACAGTCAAATGCCATTAATCCCGACAGACTCACGAGGGTCCAGCTAAGCTGTCCCATGAACCAATCCTGTGAGAAGACAGACCAGGGTACGCAACGGGCAGGCAGCCCCCCCACCCCGCCCCCTCACGAGTAATGGCAGATAAACCAATAAACCAGAGTGGCTGCCCCTAAAATAATCAATAAATCACTTGGGGTCCAAGAGAGGTGGAAAGCTCCCCAGCAAACAGTGCTCAGGATATTTTCCATTACCTTCTCTGCCTTGAATGTCCATGGCACGCTAGCCGCGTGGGCCAGGACTGACTCTGCTCTCAAGGTGCCGCTCCCAGATTCCGCCTGGCCCTCTCAGTTTCAGAGGGAGGTAATTCATTCCAGTGGGATGTGACAGGTGCCATCTTCAGGCGCCCGGCTCTGCTCCCAGCAGCAGGGACTGTCACTGACTGCAAATCCCCCAAGTGCCACGCTGGTCTGAAGAAAGCAAGCCCTGGGGTGGGCAGATGACCTTTCAAGAACCCAGGAAGCCAAAGTGGGATAGCAGCATGATGTAATGGACCGAGCCCTGGACTAGGATGCTGGACACCTGGCTTTTAGTCCCTTTTCAGCCACTAACTTGCTAGATGATGTTGGGTAAGTCACTTTCCCTTTCTGGATCTCAGTGTCCCCTTCCCACCAGCCCCCGTGATGTGAAGAGGTTGGACTAGATTATCTCTAATGGCACTTTCAACCCTGATAAGCAAGTTTTGAAATTAAAGAAAAAATTATTTTTGGAAAATTGCCAGCTCTAATTAGAATTTGTTTAAGGACTCCTCTCAGGCTCTAATTTAAGCTGCTTTACCATCAAATCCTTCACCCTAAACTCCCATGCAGTACAGGCAGCCACTTACCAGCACCCAAGCTCCATCTAAGACATCACAACCACTCACAGGTGTAGCCTTCCCCTCCTGCAGAGCTAGTTCTGTGTTTGGGGCTGGGTCATCCTGATAGGGTCCTGAGGTAGAGCCCCATGAGATGCATGCACCACTAACACTCAGATTTTAGCGTAGACCAGTGGGGTGGCTGCCTGGGAGGAGATTCTCCTTAACTTATACTTGTGTGTGTGTGTGTGTGTGTGTGTGTGTGTGTATACATAATAGCACAATAAATTATCTCTATCTATATATATATATATATATAGATAAAGGGAGAGAGAAAGAGAGAGTCATATATATATATATACTTGAAAATATGTTGCAGATATCATGACATTTCACTCCTAAATACTTCAGAATGCATCTCATAAGAATAAAATGTTCTTAGCTGGGGAGTTTCTCAGGCTTTCTAGGGGGTTTGGAATTCTCAGCAAGGTGAAAGTCTCCAGTTTTTGGAGTCCAAGGGAGGGGTCAAGAGACATATAAGATCTAAAGACCAGATTTTAGGCTGGATATGGGTAGTGTGAGAGGGAGCCATGTACAAAAGAAGGAAGCACAAAAGTGCTTCAAGAACAGGTTCCAAACAAACAAAAAAGGCAGTGACTTTAGGCAAGTCACTCCCCTTCCTCAAACTTTAATTTCTTCCTCTATAAAATGAGGGTTGTGCTAATCTCTGTCCTGCCAACCTCCCAAAGCTGTATGCAATTCAGATTGAAAATACATATGAGAGTACGTTGGGAGCTGCTACACTTAAATATATAAAGGCAAGTGCTTTGCAGAGATGAACTTCAGAGGTAGTAAAGCCCATGAGTCCATGGTAACACATAGAAGTGGACGGTCCCCCTGCTGAGCCCCTAAACTCTTGTTATTGGAAGCCACAGAATTTTCTTCTAGAATGGAAATGTCAGTGGCTTGCATGTCTTGTAGTTTTTCAAAGGCATAAGCACACACCTGAATTTTTTCTAGTTCTTTTTTCAGATAACTCCATTTTCTTATTGATTATGGCGCACAAAACTGAAAGAAAACATCCCTGTGCTTTTTGTTCTTTCTGACATTTTTTCCTGTGCCCCCCTTTGTTCCCACTATTCTCCCTACCCCACCCTGTTGAGACTTCTGGAGTTGGAAAATTCTTTCATCCTGCCTACCCCTAGCTCAAAGAGCAAAATGCTTTACAAAATTAAGTGAGCATTTGGGATTTTTAACTTGATTTTATCTTTTCATTCAACCAGAGGGGTATGTGTGTGGGAGATGCGCTTGTCAACTAAAAGCAATTTCTCTGCCTCCTTGGGGACTGAAGCGTAATCGTTGCTCTGTCTTTCTGGTGTCAGGATGAAACCTGCATTTCCTGAGTGGTGTCAGCACACTGACAGACAGCTCCTGGGATCTAGCAAGGAGTACCGGAAAAGAATGGGCAGGGGGCGAGAGATGTGGAGGCTGGTCTCAGCTCATCTCTTCTCCCCTGGGTGACTTTGGGATAGTCACTTACTTTGCCTCACTTTTCTAAATCTAAGAAAATGGGAATAATTCTCTCCCATATCTACCTCACAAAGATGGTGCCAGGACTTTGTCAGGTTTCAGTGATATGAAAATTTAGAATTAATAGAGCTATGGGAAAAAAGTGCTATGGAAGGAGTGTACCCCTAGAAATGCTGTTAAGTAGCTAGAAAGGAACTTCAAGATTTCTCTGTATAAACCCATTTGAGAAATGAGGAAACTGAGGCCCTTCTGAGGTTCGAAGTGGTCCCCCAAAGCACCCATGATTTCACTGACATGTTTACCATTTGCCCAGCTAAGTCTTTCACAAATAGAAAACCAGGGAGGCAGGGTCTTGAGGTCCTGGGGCTTGGAGTCCCCTTTAGAGAGCAAATATGATCCCTGTGTGCTCTGTGTGGACCTTCTGATAGGGCTTCTCAAAAGGAGATGCTGGGGGGCAGGGTGCTAATCTGCCAATTCCCTTCATGGACCCAGAAATAAGTACTTTGTTATCTCGTTCCTGAAAATGCAGAGACCTTCCTAACAATCTGTAGAGCAGAGGTGTCCAATTTTTTTGGCTTCCCTGGGCCACTTTGGGAGAATTGTTGGGCCATACATAAAATACACTAACACTAATGATAGCTGATAAGGTAAAACAAATGGCAAAAGAATCTTATGTTTTAAGAAAGTTTACAAATTTGTGTTGGGCCGCATCCAAAGCTGTCCTGGTTGCATGTGGCCCACGGGCCATGGGTTGGACAAGCCTGCTGTAAAGGGAGGTGGGTGGCAGGACTGAGATTCCCACTTCATGGAGGAGGAGCCTGAGGCTCATGTTGGGAAGCAGACACACATTCACCCAGCCAGTCAGCCAGTAAGTCCAGCCTCACTCTTGGCATTTTAACTGCCCTTTCCACTGTGCTCTCTTGCCTGATGCAAGGAACCCAACAAGTAGAATGTTCAAATGAAATAACCTGACTGGGAAGTGCTATGTAGACATATACACAAGGATTCTTAGAAAATCCAAATGAATGACTTGTATGGAGTATGCTCATTTTGAATACACCTAGGCCTTATGAAGAGTCAAGTTTCAAGGTTTAGTCAATTTTCCATGCTACATATTTCCCCATGCACCCAAAAGAAGTAGAGTGGGCTTAAAGTGACCAGTTTCCCCATTTGGTTGCCCCAGTGTTTCTTGTGGCTAGGGTGCCGCAGTGTTCCCTGTAGCTAGGGTGCAAGGGGAGGGTTTGCAGGGAAAGACTTCTTTCTTCTATATTAGAGTTTCTCTAACTTTAGTGGGCGTAAAACCACCATGGAGGGCCTGTTAAAAATACTATTTTCTAGTCCCCATGCCCAGAAATTCTTGTTTAGTAGGACTGGAGTGGGAGCAGGAAATCTGCATTGTTATATGACATTCCAAGTGATTCTGATGCATCTGGTCCAATAGATTGTACTTTGGGAAACACTGATCAACAACAAGGTTTAAGGGCCTTTAATTCCTAGAGTCCCATTTAATTAGCAATTATATGCCCGGGTGTCAAGCACTTTTGGGCTTCAGGAAAAAAGTTAAGAAGGTCTGAAGCCTATCTTCTAAAAGTCAACAAGCCCCAGATTCACTTTATCATTCTGGCTAAAGACCTCTGGGAAGACAATGACCCAAACTAGGAGCAGGATGCTTGGCTCTTAATTGGAATTACAATAGAAGACGCTTAAGAAGCAGTAAACTGTCGTGCCGTAGGTCTTGGACTGTCAGAGTGAGGACAAGGATGTCCTATGTATCCCTTGTGAGCACATACCGTGGGATGAGGGATTACAGGTCCAGGCTAGCAGGCTCCTGGCTGCTCGATGGGGGCACTAAGGACTCCTACATCCTCAGAAAGGAGGAGTCATAACTTGTTATGTGCCCCTGCACAGGAGGGGAATTCTGCGTTTTACTCGCAGGCCAACTTTCTCAGCCTTTTCTGGGTCACCAAAGCCAGCCCAGGTGCCCTGTGCCACTGGCACAACCCCAACCTAAAGGCCCTCGTCATTCTCCTATCTAGCCTAGTCCTTTATTCAGCAGAGACGAAGTTGTAGATTTTTTTCTAAGTAGGATTTTCTAACTCCAGAAAATAATATAGGTTTATTAAAGAAAAATTGGAGAATACTAAGATATGAAAATAATAAAACAGTTAAAAATTGCCCATAATTGCATTACCTAAATACAATCACGACTCAGATTCTGGTGCGTTTCCTTTTAGCCTTTTTTTTTCTGTATATAGGCTTATTATTTATTTGCGCTGTCTATATTACAATGTGTGCACATTTTGCATCCTGCCTTTTTTTCATTTAAAAATATCATACGCGTATTTTCAGTTTATCATATAAGCTTCTGAATTATACACTTAAAAATAATTGCATAATAATTCATTGAGTGAATCAACATTATTTGCATAGCTCAATATCTGGCACCTAGAGGACATTTGAAAAATATTTGTTGTATGAATTAATGGATTGATGGATGAATGCATTTCCCTATTATGTCTATTATGCCCTTCTACCCCAGGAAATTTAGTTAAGGATAAAGATTTTCAAAGGTAATGTAACACTAAGTAATTAAGTGGCAGAGTAGGCAGGTGGTCAAAGAAAAGGGACAGGGCAGAACTGCTAACTTAGTTACTAAATCAATTTTTTAAAGAATTCTGACCTCTGTATTTCCTCTTCTCTTTTTTCCCAAAAGAGTAGATGCTTTGGTCCACCTGGAGCTTTTTCATAGCTATTAATATCCCCATTTTACAGGGGAGGAAACTAAGCTTCAGAGAGATTAAATAACCCTCCCAAGATTACATGGCTAGAACATAGCAGAATTGAGCTTCCAATCTAGGTTTGTGAGTTTCTGTAGCTTTGTTCCTTTATTACATTATACCTCTTGAGAAAAAGGCAACAAAGAAGGACGGCTGTCATGGGTTTGTACCTCATGTAGAGCTGCCTTGGAAGCAGAGCAATTTCAGTTTCCGAGGACTCTGGGATTGGACCAAGCAGGCAGATTTTGTGCCATGAGGGAGCCCAAAAAAAGCTCATTCAGTTGGAAAAAAAAGGAACCCATTGAGGCCATTTCAAAAGCTGGTGCTGGATAAGCTCATGGGAAGAGGTAAGGCTGAGATTTCAATATCCAGGGCCTGAAACTGGACATTTCTAGATGTTAGGCTTGTTTGGCTTGGATGACTAAGTATTCGTAAAGAAGAAATCGGTAAAAGAGCAGGTCTGGTGAGTGTTTGTTGTCTGTGATTGCTTTTAGAAAACAGAGAAAATCAAAATGATTTAGAAGTTGGTACAAAGGCAGAGAGGTACCATTTTTCCCAGAAAGGAAGGAAAACAAGTGGAGGGCCTTTAAACTCTGAAGATAGCTCTGCTTTGCTAAGAATTGTACAGCAAAGTACAGGCAATTTTTCCATTTTATGCACCCCTTTTGCCGCATTAATACTAATATCAGTGGTTAGCAAAGCAAATATAATAACTGCTCTCCCCAGTGGACCCAGTGATTGAGGCTTCCACTCCTCTGGCCTGCAATCGAACTGTTGGAAGGAGATTTTCCATATTTCTTTCTACCTCCTCACTAGCATTTTGATCAACAGAGCCCCATTCTCCCAGTGGAGAAAAACAAGGCACAGAGTCACGTCTGTGGAGCTACCACTGGCGAATTGGGAGAGAAATTAATTTGGGCCCCTGGGCTTGAAGTAAAAAGGAAATTTCGTTTAGAAGCCCTTCCTGCCTAATGTGGTCCATCTCTGGTGGCTGCTTCTACCCCAGGATTTGGGGGGCAGGGCTCTTTTTACCACCACCAGAGGCCCCAAACACTGAACCCATTATGGCACGTGCTTCCATATGTATTTAAAACGTAAAAATACAAAGCCATAAAAGAAGTGTAAGAAAATCCAACACAGTACCACCCTCCATTGAAATATCAAATATCAAATTCTTTCTAAAAATAAATGTGGGTCCCCCTCCCATATCAGTGCCCTGAGCAAAAGCATTGGCAGTGGAATCTGTAAGTCGGCAGCAACTGGGGGGCACCCCACGTTTATACATACTTGACACTGGGTTCTTTTATCTCAGTTGATGATCAACCCCCTCAGTACAAAGGTTCCCAGGCAGGAGAGCATCTCCCTCTTCGCTGCGGAATTCGCAGGAGAAGGGAAGTAAGATTACTCTCAGATATGGGACTTCTTGGGGGAGGCGGCAAAATCGTTTTTCCTGCTCACATTCTTGGTCCTCTAGAACGGACCAGTGATTTAAATCAGACTTGGAGCTACTCGGGGCTGAGGTGATGCCTGCCCTAAGAGAGGGGTTAAGGGTGGGGGTGGGAGGGTCCCCAAGGGCTGAGACAGCATCTCCCCTTTAGATTCAGGGATCCTGGGGAACACACTGCTTCCCGCTTAGACTAGGCCTCTTGAGGGCTGAGATAACGCTCCGCTAAATCGTGGAGTTTTCTAGAGCCTGGGATACTGTCTCGCTCTCAGATCTGAGGCTCCCTGGGACAGGTGCGCTACCTCGCCTTCAAATTCCAGCCTTTGGGGGCAGGCCTGCTTTTATGTGCCCGATCAAGGGCTCCTGGGGTGGGGCTGGGGGACAAGGACCTTCCCTCCCTCTCAGATTTGGGGCTCACCAGGGCTGAGATGGCGTCTCCCCTCAGACTCTGGGCTCCCTGGGGTAGGGGCAGGGTCCCGCCCTCAGAATCAGCTTCCCAGGACAGGAGCTGTGTGTCTCTGCCTCCCTTCGCGTGGGGCAAGGGGCTGCGGGACCAGCGGCCTCTCTTCTGGCAGGAGGGGGGGTTCCCCGGAGGCCCTGCCCCCTTCGTGACATGCTCGAGGTGTCCGGTGACCGAAACACTCTTAGCTGGGTGCAGGGTGCGGCTCAGGGCGTGGTCACCGGGGGCTACTTAGGGCCGCCGGTGCGGGGGACGACGCAAAGGTTAACTGCGAGCTGCCGGGCACTCAGCGCGGGTCATGGCGTGGATACTGGACTGCCTTTTCGCCTCGGCCTTTGAGCCCCGCCCCCGCCGTGGTGAGTGGGGCCCACCGAGTCGGGGGGCTGGGGTGCTCGGCCGGGGGCGGCCGGCGGCTGCAGCCCCCTCTGGGCGCCCTGGGGCTTGGCTGGTCGCCCCCTTGCCTCCCTTCCTGCTGGCTTTTAGCTAATTGTTCCTGGCTCAAGGGACTGCCCCGTCGAGGCCCCGCATAAATCACCAGCTTTGCCGGGAACCGCGAGCAATCGCGCTAATGGCTCGGCGGTACGCGGGACGAGCGCGTGGGCGGAGTCGCTGGCTCAGCCGCCGGCAGGGACAGCCAGAGCCTTGGGGCCAGACGCGCAGGAGCGGCGTCCCGCAACTCAAGGACCCTCAAGGCCCAAGGATGAATGTCCCTGACAGGGCAAGCCAGGCCCCAGGGACCCTGAAGGAGGCGGGTATTCATTTTGCCTTGAAGTTCGTCCCCTTGTCTCAATCTCAAACACAGAATATCAGCAATGGACCCCCTAGAGTCGTCGAATTTAACCCCTTCATTTAAGAGATGATGACACTGAAGATGGGAAAAGCCTGCCCAAGGTTACCCAACAGGTTGGCAGCATACCTGGGTCAGCTTAGGCTCTGCCAGCTGCCCACTGCCCCAGACTGCCCAGTAGTGGACCCCTGCGGTCTTTAGTCGGGTTCTTTCCTTGGGTACTTGAGATCAATGCTTGGTTTCCCTATTTCTGTGGAATTGAGGACACAAGTGTGCAAAGATCACAGCACCGGCATATGTGGGTCACATTTCACCCCTTTTCGGGAACTGCTTCTACAAAGTACATTTTGACAACTGATTATATTTTCATCCTTAAAGTTTCAGGAGACTGATATTTTCTTTTTGACATACCCCAGGACCCCCACCCACACTGTCCTTCACTCCCCCTTGATAATAAGCCCCACCCCCTTCAGGCTGCCACCTGCCCCCACAGCCACCTGTTTTTTCATAGTCTCCACCTCCAAAATCTATATTGGTGAGAGTGCGTCATTGGGCACCAGCCATAGACCAAACCTGGGGTTGTCTCCTCTTTCCTCTGTCCCTTCACAGGCGGGGGAGGGGAAGCAGGGAAAGGAGGGGCCTCAGCAACTTAATTCAGCAGAGACCTGTTTTTAGTTCTTGCCAGCCCCAACACCCTGCTGAGAACCATCCCAGGAGTTTGACCTCCTGCTGAAAGACTACAGCTTGCTTAGGCAGTTCAAGTACAGCCTCAGGCCAGCAACAAGATCTCTGAGAAGGAAAAAGATCTGCATACACACAGAGTTTAATTTTTTCTTTTGCATATTTTTAAGGTTTATATGATCCTGGTGAATCAAAAATATAAGGGAGTTTTATAAGATGTCTTTTAAGGCCTTACTGCTCTAACAGTATACCCTGAAAAAGGGGGTGGGGGAAACATTTCACAGTTGCTTGGACTAGAAGGTTGTCATGTGACTCCAATGAGATCAAGGACATGAAGGCTCCTTTATGAGTAACCACATAGGAGGGAGTCCATATTACACCAGGAAGCCCATTCCCATCTAAAAACAGCAATGTCTATTAGAATTAGAAGGCTTTTCTTTAAACTGAACCCAAATCTATGTCCTGGGAACTTCCACCTTCTGGCCCTGGCATTGACTTCCATGGTCCTCCTTCCTAGGAAACAGTGTCAGCTCTCCCCATTGTCCCATCCCCTACTCACCCTGTTCTTACCTAGGCCAAACTTCCCCAGTTTCTTCATCTATTTAACATGTGACATAGCTTCAAGGCCCCTACCCATGTCTAGCTGCTTTTCTTTGAACATGCTCCAAGTTATAAATGTCCAGTGACCAGGCCAAAAGAGGCTTTCCAGCTGTGCCCCTATAAATATAGTCCTGGAAAGCTGACTTTCCCTCTTTTAGAAGCCTACACCACACCCAAGGTACACACATACGTAGTCATAAACACACCCATAACATACACATTACCACACCTATGCATGCCCATTTGCAAAGCCACGAACACACACACACACGCTTCACATGCACCACATACTTTCCACACACAACACAATATACTCACATCACCTGTGTATGCACCACTCACAAATCCCATGCACAGCCACACAGTTCACACAAAGACTTTATTCACATTGAATTACTTTCAACGAAAGCTACTCTTTTTCCTTAAGTAAACCCAAGTTCTTTTTGGAGTCTCCATTCTGTATTTGGTGTTTGAACTCAAGTGTAAGACCTTATATTCGCTGCTGCATTTCTAGTCTGGTGGTACCTGTTCCCCAACATACCCCTGCAGCACACCACTGCCTACATCAGCTCTATTACTCAAACAACAGCAGCTGATATATGTGAAGCTCTTCCCAAATGTTGGGCCCTTAGGCTCAATTGCTTACATGTATAATCTCACTTAAGTCACAGGGCATCACTTTGAAATAAATAATCTTTGGGTAGTTTTTTGACTGGGCAACAGCTCATTTCATTGCACTCCCCCTGAGAAATGCTGTACAATGTGAAGGGTAACTTTGTGGGTAACTATTGATATTCTGCAGGGCTATAATTGCTTTGGTGCCTCCCTTTGAATGTCCTTCAGAAGTCTTCAGGAGTCAGAGATGGGGTTGGGGGAGGAAGCTGTCAGCTGACTGGACAGAACTGGGGCAGTATCTAAATGTTCCTTCACCCCCATTCCCCTTGCCCAAGAGATAGCTGGCATGTGACAGCAATTTTTTTTTTGAGGGGCAGGTTTATTTTGTCTTCATTAGAATATCATCACTCTTTTGTTGATGTTTGCTATTTTTTTTTTTGTTCAACTCTTTTTTAAAAAAATTTACTTTAAGTTCTGGGATACATGTGCAGAACGTGCAGGTTTGTTACATAGGTATACATGTGCCACGTTGGTTTGCATCAGAGAGATTTTTCAGGGCGACAACGGGCAATGGGCAACCATAGGAAGGCACTTGGGAGAGGCATCACTGAGGTCTGGGAGGAATGAGGGCCCAGAAAGGCCTTCTTTCCCAGGGAAAGAGACAGCACAATTGACCCACTTGAAATTCTCTCCCCAGTTCACTCTTGGCATTGGATTTGGCCTCAAACAATTGGACTTCTGTAAAGCAGCCAAAGCTCTAAAGCTGAAGGGACCCTGGGGCGCACTTTACATACAAATTTGATCTTTTCTTGGAGATGGGACCGAATCGATTTGCTGAGGCCAGGCCTAGTTGTGCTGCAGCAGGATCAGTTTCCAAAGCTGGGGCGTGACTGCCAATGAGACCAATGAGACACCCCATTCTCCAAGTCAGGTCGTCAGATAAGCACCCCCATTCACCAATGGCAGGACTTCCCCAATTTTCTTTATTACTTGTTTGTACCTCAAAATACATTTCTCCCAAAGAAAAAAAATGTGATGCTCTAGAGCTTAGCCCATACCTTACCCATCGTGAGGATAAAATACAGAATCTGTGTGATGAAAACTGGCAGAAAATAATACTCTTGCAAATATATCTCAGGCTCCAGCAGTAGAGCTGACATTTATCAGGCTTAAATATCAAATGATGGAAAGCATTGAGCACTGATACAGCAAGGCACCAGGTCCGTGAGGGTGATTATGGCAATGGTGAAAGTAACATCATTCCTTTTTTTTCACACCTACCTACTACAACAACCTAAATGTCCAACAATAGTGGAATGGTTAAATAAATTCTGTGATATATCCCCTTATTAGATTGCACAGAATCATAAAAATTGTTTTTGTGAAGAATATGTAACAACATAGAAAATGGTATGATTGTAACTGTCAAATATGCATTTTTGAAAGACTAGAAAGAAATCGACAATAAGATAAAGTTAGAGAATCTATTAAGGTGGTGGGATAATAGTTATTTTTCTCTATGTTTTCTAAAGTCTATGAAGTTTGTTCTTCAATTACTGTTATAATTTAAAAAGGCATACAAGGGTAAATTTAGTACCTGTGATATGCAAATAATCTATACAGTGATCTAGAATTTCACTATACATAGTTTAAAGAATTTTTTCTCCTAATTTTAGTTTAAATGTAATGACTAGATCCGGCCAGCCAACCATGATCTTCCCAATGATCATGAAATTTCCACTAACTCTGGGTGGGAAGAGGAACAACTGGTTTGAATCCCAGGCCAGCTCTTATAAGGTTGCTGTGAGAGAGTTACTTAACCTCTCTTAAAATGACATAATAATGTCTATATTTTGGGGTTGTAAATAATAATAATAGTTCTTATTACTGCTGTTGTAGATGTCATTATGTTAAATGCTTTCTATGGCTCAGTTATCAAAAGAAGCTTTTTTCCCAAATGTTTACTATTTGTAAATACCAGTCATACTACATAAACTATCTCTAACCATAACAACTTTCTGAGGTTAGTATTATTGTCTCTATTTTAAGGACAAAATCTCAGAGAAGTTTAGTAACTTGCCCACTGTCACACAGTGGCTGAGCAGGGATTACAATCCTTTTTGATCTGACTTCGAAGCTTGAGTGAAATTAAAAGAGAGAAACATTTGCAAAACTCCTATGCTGACATATGGCAGACATTTACTAGGTGGTCAACATGATGTTGGTGATACTTTGCCCAGGACCCAGATGCTGGTCTTTGACTTATTTGATTATCTATAAATTTCTTTCTGTGAAAAGGAATTTCAACTGAAAGATGCAATACAAACGCACCACCTGTGTCCTCATAGATGTGGCTCTGAGTCACTAAGAAACGATTTCTGTTTCCTTCGGCAGTATCATTTGTTCTCACATGTATCAGCAGAAGTAGGTAGATGGCATGTTTGATGAGCCTTGGCAGCTACTGTCACGTCTCAGATACACTTCCTGAGAAACCACGCGGCTTCCTCGGGATGAGTACTCAATACTCAGCAGCTGGTAGGTCCCTGCTTATTAAGGAAACTTACTAAGTGGCATGGGCATATCTGGAACCCCTGCTCTAACTATTCTCTGTCTGATGTGGTTGACACCTAATTGCTACCCCTCCCATTTCCCTTTTCAAAGCTAAGGCTCCAGGATTTCCACAGAAGCATACAGGGGTAGGAGCTGGAGAAGTTTTTCGAAATTCTTAAATCCTCAGAGGGACTCACTTGCAAGGAGGAATCTAGGGTTAGTGAAGGTAGCATGCAGGATAAATAGAAGGGATGAAGGAGAGGGAGGAGTTGAAGGCACCTTCCAGAGTCTGGGAACATCTAGGGGTGGACCTCTCAGAGCTTTTCCTGCCATGAATCTCAATACCTCTCTACTCTGTAGTCTCTTTATCCCTCCCTGGGATTATATCCACCACCACCACCCCTCCCCCGCCCCCAATTTCTTGATCTTCCACCACCGCTCCCTGCTTAAATGCAGCTTTAGCTTGCAGTGACTTGCTTTTGTCTCTAGAGGGAGGCAAAAGCACCAGGGAGGAGGGGGTTCAGATTGGGGTCTTCTTCCACTTCACTAGTTTTGGCAAAGAGTAGAATTTATTTTCCTTTCATTGGGAACATATGAATAAAAGCTAATCAGAGATGTATTTTAAGTGCTGCATAGCATATCTCAGAGAACCATCATATCTTTCTCTATCATTCCATCTACCCCTCAACGTAGGTGGCTGCTAGAAACTGGATGGTCTTAGGCACTATTATTTCTAGAGTGAAAGTGAGGGCAAAGCAAAACAGGAGTCATAGGGCAATCTTAGCCAGGAAATAGTCATGCTTTTATTTTCTGGGGCACAATGGCACATATTTAGGAGACTGGGTTGGGGCTGGGTCAGCAATTGGGGTGGAGGGAAGTCTGGACAGTGAGCAGAAAGTTTGAAACTTTCCTGTGTGGAGTATTACATCTGAAACCTTGGTCTCATTAACACTGCGAGGAGAAACTGCAGAGTGAGAATTGGACTTAAGGTCCAGTTCTTCCGGGGCTGCATTAGGCTGATCAAACATCTTCCTAAAAGAAGAGGGACTATTTCAAGAGTGTCAGACAAGCCAGTAATGAGGAAAATTGGCAGTTTAGTCAGTTGGCTCCACTCCCTGAACACCATGGTTGAGACACTCTGGGCTACATGAGAACGAAAAAAAGTGCAGAAGGGAATTAACTAACCTTTTCTTAAACATTTACTGTATCTGTTAACCACTTGGCTGGTGGTTTCTATGGTTTACCTCCTTTAGTCATCTGAGCAATTCTAGGCAGGTGTTAACATCTCCATTTTACAGTTGAGGAAACTGAGGCTCAGAGAGGTGAAGTATCCTTCCCAAGATCACACAGCAAGTAAGTGCTCGAGCTGGGATACCAACACAAAGCTGTCTCATTCCGAAGCCTGTGGTCTTTCTCTGCCCTCCCCACATGGAAAAAACAAAAGCCCTGATTTTCAAGGGCTTTACTCTCATGGGGAAACCATGATCTCTCTCCCCACAAAAATCCACATTTTGGTGCCCTGCTCCTCCAGATTCTTATATTTAGGGTGAAATCAAACAAATCTCTGTTTATATTGGACAGTAATGGGAGTTAGTAAAGCATTTTCACCTTTACAATTCCCCATATAATCTTCATGTTATGGGAACACATTTTCTGAACTCCAAAGAGAGAGAGAGACTTATGACAGCGATTTTAAGCTCCAAGGAAGTGTGTGTGTGTTTGTGTGTGTGTGTGTGTGTGTGTGTGTCTGCGTGTCTGTGTGTCCATCCCATGGTGGTGGCATATTGATAGGGATTCTGATAGCCCCTCTTATTGCCCCAATTATATGGGTGGGGGGCATTAGAGAAGGATAGCTTTCAATTATTCTAATAGCCCCTGGCCCAGGACTGCATCTTTGGAGACATAGCCTGGAGCTTTTGGCTTCTTCAGAGTTGAAGTTTGTCTTCCATTGCACAGGCAGGAACACTGAGCTGGAGTGAACCAGATGGTCTTTATGAACCAAAGTGGAACTTACACAACAGGATTTAGATGGGTAGTCTAGCGATGTGTTTATGCATTTGTGCGTATGTGTGTGTGCTGGTGTTGAGAAGCAGGGGCAGAACCTCTGAGGAAGAGAGGCCTCACATGAACAGCTGTGAGGAGGTGGAAGTGAAGCCAGTATATTCAGAGGAGAATGAGGAGGTGTCAGATTGGCCCCACAGCAGCAGGAAAGCTGAGCATCTGAGACCAGATGCTGGGAGATACCAAAGTTTGCCTGAACACCTTGTATGGATTTAAGTTTAATGAAACCAAGGGGCTTCAGGTGGTCTATGCCCTGCCTGAGTAAGACTGACGTATTTAGGCTCCCTTTCCCCCTCCAAAGGATACTTTCTGGCTACATAATACTTTAGGCAATGCTTTCTGTGCCCACCCAGGATGAGGTGCTGACCCAGGCCCAGCTGGGGGGAAGCTTTATGGATGTTCCAACTGCTTTTCATCCACGCACCAGGCTCATTTGTGCCAGATGAAAGGGCACAATAATAACAGTGGCAATTTAAATCGTGCTTCTCACTTTCCCCCTGAAAAGTGGCGAAGTGACTCACCACTGTTGAATTGTCCCTCTCTATCCACCCCCTGACCTCTTTGCAGCAGTCTAGGCTGGTTCCCTGGGGGCTAAGCTGGGAGCTAGAGCTTCCAGAGGCCCTTTAGCTGTGACTGGGATGACATCATGCCCCCCCATAAATGTGTTCCCCAAAATGCGATGTATTGCTTTAATTTGGGTTTCTCAGATGAGGCTGCTTGGAAGGCATTAGAGCAGCATGAGCCCCATTAGGCAAGTGCAGTGCCCCCCGACTCATGAATAATATAAAATGGGGTCCATTCAGTAATCTTTTCTGAGGGAGAGGCTCTGCTTGTTTTTCTACATGCAGTTTGGTATGCAGATGCTTGCTCTATTTGAAATTCGCCATATACCAACTTCTGGTAGTGATATTGTAAAAATGGGTCTGGGGGAGCTGTGAAATCATTCTGTTACTCCACCCTGATTCTTCACCTCCATTTCCCTCCATACCCAAATCCCCTGACCCTGTGGCTAGAAAATGTTCATTTTCAACTCTTTCTTTCAGCACCAGCCTACGGAGAGCTCCCAGAACTGGAGCTAGTGAGGTGCACTTGTGCCTAGAGTAATTACAGATTTTGAAGTATCAACAAAGCAGGTAATTAGGTGGAGAAAGTATCCGCTGTCTGGGAGACAAAGACAGTAATTATGATGAGTACTCTTGGTGCTGTCAGTAAACTCAAAAGAAAGATTTGTAGAGAAATGATAATGTTTGATAGAAACTTCAATGTCTAGCAGGAATCAGGGGACTCTTAGTAAAGCCACCTGGTATGTAATACAGGTTTAGGAAATATGGTAGACCTGAGTTCAAATACCAGCTCAGCCTCCTAGGGTCTGTGTGATCTTGGGGAAATTACTTAACTACTCTGAGCCTGATGTATGAAGTGTAAAAATAGCAATAATTATAGCTCTGTCTACCTTACAGGATCATTGTAAGGACCCAAGGAGATAATGCATGTCAGAACACTTAGCACAATGCCCAGTACACAGTAGGTACTTAACAAATGGCAACATTATTATTATTATTACAACTATCCTTGCTACATACCAGGTATTCTCTACAGCCGTTCAGAGTTTAAAAAGGGAAAGAAATGATTGCAGTTATGTATGATCATGGCATGAGAAGTATGAAGGGTGTAATTGTGGTGGCTCAAAGAAGCGAGCCCTCAGTTGAGAGGGAAAAGTACAGAAGAGCAGAGAAAGTTTTGTGATTCTGGAGTTAGGTTTAAAAAAAATAAGTAGGAGTTTGTCACAAGGCCCAAGGGGAAAGGGCTTCCAGGCAACTGGATCTGCCCACACAAAGCCAAAAAGGTGTGAAACAGCCAGGCCCTGAGCAAATAGTTGGGCTCAGCTAGGCACCAGCTGGGATCTCCTGGGCGGGGGAGGGGTGTCAGGTCAGAGACCAAGAATCTTTCCAGCTTACTCCCACCAGCCCCTGTATCGCGCCCTAGGCGCCCTACCTGGCCAATCACGTGCGGTGCCCTCCTCTTCTTTCCTTTAAGCAGCCAGGTACATTCACACCCTGCCCCAGCGGGCCTTGCCGACACAGAGGTGGGCGGGCAGGCGAACCCCCACGGTGAAGATCAGACCAGCGGGAACCCCTGCCGGGGTCGCGGCCCCTACTTCCTTTCTTCTCTCAGTCCCAGCCCAACGTCCCACTCGTCCCCGCCCCCAACCACACACACGGTCACTTGGGTTCTTTTAGACAACCCTGTACTCTCACACACCGCACCCATACACTTACGCGGCAATCCCCCTTCAAGACACACACAACCCCTTCATCCAAGCACGTAAGCTGACCACATGCGTCCACACCACACACATGAGAACATCACACCAAAAGACACACACCGCACCCTCACATGCATAAACCTTTGAACACACATCTCAAGTAGATTGACTTATAGAGAAATCTTGCACACGCACACATTCACACACTACACAGTTCAACAGACACCACCTGTAAACCCACATTGACACACTGCATCTAAGCATAAACACACTCCACACATATGCACACAAGCTTCAACGGGCACACACACATCCACACATTGCACACACATATACACTCACCACAGCACGACCACAAACCCCGGCAGGAACAGCACACACCCACCTTCAAACCGCACCCACATAATCCCACTATAATCGGGCAGAAACATACAACCTATAAGCGTGCACACACAAACACATGCTGCATGTCAAAGCGCAAACCAAATACACACCACACCAAGCACTCCAGCTAAAACGTGCTCCGCGCACACACCCCCCACACCCGGCCACACACCGAACGCACACACAGATCTACCGCACCCGCGCGCGCGCACACACGCTTACATGCATACATACATACATACACAGCCCGCCCCCGCCTTCCCTTTGGGCGGAAGAGAAGGGGGCGAGGAGGAGAGGAGGGGAAAAAAGGAGGGGGGATGAGCGAGCCAGGCGGGGCGGGCACAGATGCTCTTTTCCTTTTGACCTGGGGTGTTGCCCCCATGTTCCCCATTCCCAAGCAAAGGGAGTAAGTGAGTTGGATCCAAGGAAAATCCAGGCGGAACCCAGGAAAACAAGAAGGTCTAGGGAATCAGCGAGCTGGCGCGAGGTCTCCGCGGGGACCCTGACTCAGCGCACTGTCGACCCCGCCGGAGGCTCCTCCTCCCAGTACCCTCCCCCTGGCCCTTTCACTGCCTTGACCTCTGTCCCCCTCCGCACCCCCACCCTCAGCCAGGACATGTGCTTCTCTCCCCGGCCCCCACCCGCCCCCACCCCCCGAGCCCCACTGGAGAGAACTGGCCACTGTTAAGGGTTGAGGGCTTTATTGGTTTCAAGAAGTAAGGAGTTAAGACTGGCAGACAAGCTTTTTGCGAAGCCTGTTCTAATCTAGCTTGAAGACTTTTCTTAATGGAGAGCTCACTCTTTCTCAAAGCATCACATTTTCTACGTAAAGGGCAATGGCTATTAGAAATCCCCGACCCCGCGCTGGACACATAGTAGGGCTCTCTAAATGTTCCCCCCTCCCGCTTATGTCACCACATTTGGCAAGGCTGTCTGCAGCCTAGCACTGGCTCGCAACAGCTGTTGGGCAGTCAGTCGGTGAGCTCTTTTCTTAGCCCACTAGCCCTCCTGAAAACAGCAGCTTCGGACTGGGCGCCACAGGCGGCAGGGGGCGATAGAGTCGCTAACGGTGCTTTGCACTTCTGGTTCTGGCCGCACAGCCCCTGTGAGAATCTCTGAGGTGCCCTCCCGCCATAAGCGGACTATGCGAGTGGTGGCGGCGGGGGTCACTCCGGAATGATCCGCGGCCAGATGACTTTCTGGCTCCTGTCCTCCACTTGCTTCTTTTCTGTGGAGATGGACAGCAAGGGAAAGGGAGATGGACCTCCCCCTCCGACTACCCCGTGGCGCATTATGTAAAGTGTCATGTAAAAATACCCAGGCTTCAGAGTTCTTTATAGGTTCGAATCCCAGCTCTGCCACTTCTTAGCTGACTAACGTGGTAAGTCGCTGGCTTAGGTCGCGGGGTAGTTGTGAGGCTTAGAGGAAGTAACATATGTGAAGTACTTCTTCCAGTTAACATACAGAGGATGTCCATTCCCTCCCTCTTTCCCCCACCCTCTTCAAAAATATAAAGATATGGGAGTTTAAAAGAAAGGGGATTAGAGTCTGGCAGGGGGGACATGGCCACCAGCTGATGCTCCCAAGCCAGGCCAGAAACACAGAGGACGGGCAGGAGTTCAGTTAACTTGCAATATGCTGTATTTAAGGGAAATGCCTGCACCAATGATTTGGTGATGCCATTCACTGGCCACAAGAGAATCCAGGTCACAACTCCAATCCTTGGATTTGTGATGAGGCTGTTCTGCCCATCACCTCCCCTCCTTACAAGGACTTCCTAACTCACCTCCACTTGTATTCTTTTCCTTCTTACAGAGATGCCACAGTAATATTTTTAAACTTCTTGTGAGCACTCCTTGGGTGCCAGGAATGTCTCCTGTTAACTTATGTCCCAGCAGCATCTAGCGCTGTGCCAGACACACAGTGCAAGCGCTATACAGGCGGCAAGAGATGTCCTGGGTGAAATCCCTAGGAAACATTGAGACTCGAGGGTACATGAGGAGTTATCATAAGGAACCTAAAGAGAGGACCCTAGGCACTGCAGGGATGGAGGGCAGTGGCTTTGGATAAAGAGTTATTCCATTGGACAAAGAGTTATTCCATTGGACAAAGAGTTATTCCATTCCTCCTCAAAGCCCTCCACCTCTAAGCCTGTCTGGAAGAGCATTGCTTCACTGCGGCTGAGGCTTCTGCAGGCAACTAAGAAGAAAGCCTCTTTCCTGGAGGGCAGAGGCCCTGGCCAGCTAGAGGGTGATTCACCATCTCAGTTAGGTAGCAGAGATGGCGCTAAAGTGGCAATGAATCAGTCCAAGATGGCATGAGGAGATTACCTGAGTGATGATGAGAAGGGGGATGAGGCAGGAGCCTGAGCCCTTGAGGCTGGGACTGAGTGATAGAACGTCTATATTCATATGCACAAAGTCAGCTCCTAACCTGCCTCCCCAGTTCCACAACCAAGTCCCCAAGGATAGCATTGGCACACTCCTGGGGAGGGGAATGTTTGGGAGACTTGGGTTCCAATCCTGACTCTGCTACTTACTATGTGACTTTGGGCAAGTTATTTTCCCCTCTCTGGGCTTCAGTGGCAAGGTAAGTGCTAGGTACTTCACCTATGTCATTTCACACATTCCTCTCCACGGTATTATTGGAGCACTAATTTTCCTATTTTGCAGTTGAGAAAACTGAGGCTGAGTGATATTTTGTTATCTACCTTCTCTCTATATCATGCGGTCTTTGTGTATGTATGTTACCAGGCAATCGCTGTAATCCAGGCCTCTTCTAGTATGCCAGTCCTCTATTTAAATTGGATCCCTATGTACTCAGGTTCAAATCGTGTCTCCCAGCTGCCCCCAATACCAGCCCATGTTGCTAGTTACCTGGGTGGGTTTTCTTTTCCTCTCCGGCGACACCCTCTCCCACCTCAACTCAAGTTTTTTTCCTGGCATATAGGTCTAAAATCTCACATTAAAAAGCAAGCGTCACCAGAAAGACGTACTCCAATGTTTTGTGTTTTATCACAGTGGAGGGTGCTGGTTGCAGGGTGCTGGTTGCAGGATGCTGCAGTGAGGAAGGGGAGCAGAGCTTCCAGGGCCAGAGGGAGGGGCTGCAGAAAAATCCAGGGAGAGAGAGAAGACAGAGAGAGAGAGAGAGAGACAGAGACAGAGACAGAGAGAGACAGAGAAAGAGGGGATGCCAGGGACAAATTGGACCAGCCTCAAACTGCTGCTCCCTCCCTTTCTCCCCCTCTACTTACCTGGTGCTCTAGAATGTATAAAGGGGCAGCACCCAGTCCACTTACAGCAGGAGGAGAGGGAGAGGTCCTCTCCTCTCCTCTCCTTCAATGGAAGGGCAAATTGTCCTGAGTATTCAAATTGTACTCCTGTGTTGGGTAAGATTTATTTAATTCTGGGGGGAGGGGAGGGCGAGGGCCTCATCATGGTAGCAATGATGGTGAGGTGGCACTTAAATTGAAAAGAGCACCACCAGTGCTGCTTAGAGCCAGACGCTCTCTCTCTTTACTAGAGGATAAGTGAAACTTGACACTGGGCTTCTGGATCTTATTTCCAATCCAGGCACCTAAGAGTCATATCTCTGAGCCTTTGGAGAATAAGTCCATGTCTGCCTGGGCTTCCACAGCAGCTATACTTGGAGCCAGCAGCTGTACTCTATCCTTTCCCTTCCTTTTTCTTCCTTCTCTCCTTTGCCCAGGCTCTGCTTCCCCATGTTTCCCTCTTGCTGGGCTCACCCATAGTCTCTTATATTCTTGACTCTTCTCTTTCTTCTCCATTTCTGTCCCTCTTTGTTGACAACACTGTCCCTTGTGCATTTACTTGGCCCAAGACAGGAGAGAATTCAATTGGGGGGGGTGTAATTGTGTATTTGAAATTCTCCCACTTAAGATCTTGTGATTATAACCCCATATTGCCCTTGTTGCATCAGATAAGAATATTAAGCTCTTGTAAATTATATATTTTTGCTTGGTTGAATGGTGATTTGTATATATGATTGGTGGGCTGCAGTTTAGAAGAGAGTATTTTTGGAAGAGGTATTAAAAGGTAAGATGGTTTGGGCTGGTGTAGATGGCCTCCTGACTTCTCTAAGTGCCTAGATATGCAAAGAAGACAGTACATGAAAAATTAAGACTATAGTAGTGGGGGGCAGGGGTGGGAGACCATTGCCAGCCAGGTCGATGGAGGACTTTGTGAAGTCAGCTTCTGTTTTGCTCTTGCTGATCATTGAACTTTGAAAAAAATGACCTTTTTATCTCTGAGTTTGGAAGACCAGAGGCCCTAGACAAGAAGACCAGAGGCCCTAGACAGGAAGGGGAAACAAAAAGCAGAAAGAGTGAGGCAAGGAGGGGAAAGGACTATTCCTTGTGCAGTCCTTGTGTGCAAAGGGCCAACAAAGAATGTCCCCTGCCCTCAAATGCCACACCAGTCAAGGCAGAAGGGAAGCAAAGTGCTGTGGCAAATTGTGTGCTGAGCTGGGATCCAGGAGTTCTGGACCTTCATCTTGGCTCTGCCACTAATTAGCTGTGTCCTTGGGTAAGTTTCTTAACCATCTGAACCTCCATTTCTGCTCTTCCTTCACTTGTACTGTGAGATTGTGTGGCATGGCCAGGGGAGGGGAGGTTCAGAGCATTCAGAGGGAAGGGACCCTTGGGCTGAATCTTGAAGGAGAGCTCTGCTTTGAATAGGGGAGAGAAGATTGTGGGGTACAGTGAGAACCAGTGGGAGTGGCCCAGAGAATTCAGCAAACAGGTATACGTAAGGCACTGAGCTGGCTGCTGGGTAGAAAATTGCTATGAATCAGCCCCCTCCTCACCGCGGCAAGCTTTCCAGAGAGTAGGGGAATCTGAGAGGCAGAGCCAAGCGCTGGCAGTGCCTGCAGCTCCTCTCAGCACTACCCGCTGCCGCCCGCCGGACTGTCGAGCAGGTCACGCAGCCTTTCCCTGGCCGGACCAAGAGGCTCGCCAAGAGGTAGTGCAGGGGTAGGGCACCAGTGGCCTGAGCGCAGCCCACTGCGGGGTGAGAGAGGGAGGTGAGGGCACTTCCACGTGGAAGGCCCGACGTGAGGGAGGGAGAGGAGACCTGAGAGTGTGGAACAAGTTGCCCAGGCTTTTGCGTTCGATGTCTCAAACGTAAGAGCGCAAGAAAGATTTAATTTTTCTAATTCTCAGAGGAGCAGGAAGCAGTGAGTGGTTTCCGCGCGCCGCAGGGCTTTGTTTAACTTTACAGGTTCTGCGCTGCCTGGAGCTACCCAGGGGCAGGACCCGCGCAGCGCACCTCAACCCAGCCTAAAGGCCATGCTCTGCAGCGCAGTGGCAGCCAGAGACCCAGGGCAACCCCGAGAGGCAGAGGGCGCACATTCCGCAGCCCCCTACCCTCACCTCTGTCCCTAGCTCAGAGCCGAGGGCACGCAGCGGGACGGGTGCTCGGGCGGAGGGTCGGAGGTGGAGACAGGCTCAGTCCCCTGCACTCTGGCCCCTTGGAGGGGCTTGGGGGTGGTGGGCTCTCTCTTCAACTGCGAATAGCAGCCGTGTGGCCCTGTGTCCCGGAGTTAGCTAAGTCCAGTGGAAGAATCAAGGACTTTGCAGACGTGAGAGTTGTGTCTCTACAGTGCCCTTAGATAAACAGAATGATAATAAATTATGCCAGTATGTTTCGGGCTTGGAGACGCTCTCTGACTTGCCCAAGGCCACCCAGCTGCTTAGTAACTGAGGAGGCCTCCTGACTCCTGGTCTAGGGATTTTTCTGATTGCGTCATAGCCATGAGAGTGGTCCAATTTTGAATGGGGATGGATAGATGGATGGATGGATGGATAGACAGACAGACAGATATTGATATTTTTAAAAATATGCTTATTTGAATGTAGTTTTAAAATACCATTCCTGCCATGAAAACTACAGGGAAAAACATCTCCCACAGCCCCAGTTCCCTATGACAGCCACTCAGACAGGATTTTGAAAAAGAAAACTGACAGAAAATTGGATGCTTGTTGGGGAAGATATGATCAAAGGAGAATAGAGGGGGTAGGAGTGGGGGAACAAAGATGGAGGAGAAGAAGCTCTCAGCACGGATTCTGAGAACTTCCTTATTCTGAAGGTTTCTTTGATATGGCCTCTGTTCAGATGGCTTCCGGGAGTGTCCCCATCAGTCCTTTATTTCTTATGCCCACTCTGTAGAAGCCACAGATGTGGTCTGGAGAGGCAGATATTGATGACCCTTCTTTTAATTAAGTCTCATTTCCCTTTTTCCCTCTCTTGTAGTGAGTACATCGAAGAAGGGAATTTTGTATGTGTGTGAGTGTGTGTGTGTGTGTGTGTGAGAGAGAGAGAGAGAGGGAAAATGCTTATGTAAGAGAGTGTAAGGGTGTGTGTGTACATGGATGTCTGTGAGTGGGAATATGTGTGTGTGTGTGTGTCTGAAAGGGAGCAGGTCTCAAAGAGGGAAGCTTTGAGAGAGGCAAGGGAGATAAGAAGAATGAATCCGAATTTACAGAGTGCAAACTAAAAACTTATAGCTGACTAGGGATCTGTCCAGTGCTGGTGGGCCTGGGGAAATAGTCAATTCTTAATATTCCTTAAAAGAACAAAGGAAAGGAAACATATTTAAATTAGTGCAAGAAAGATGATGTTAAACCCATGGGCCTTTCTTGATAGTCTTCAGACACTTGACATTTATGTGACCTTCGACTAGGCTGTGAGATCCCAGGGCAGGAACAAGGGCTTTCTACTCCAGGTAGCTCTCCCCTTCCCTCCACCATCTCTAGCATGGGTGGCTTCCATACTGTGCCAAGGAAGCCAAAGTTCAGGATTAAATCCATTTTGTAGGCCAGTTAGCTTTTATCTACATTTCATAGACTAGACTAATCCCCACATATCACACAGTTAGCTGCCTTGCATCTCTGATCATGAAAGACCCAGTGAAAATACAGTTCATCTTATCCCATCTAGAAGTGTGCTTCCTGCTGACAGTGGGTGAGTACCCATTTTCATCTTCAAAGGATGATACAGAGGCATTCTTCAGCAGGGGACACTATCTGCCTCATTCCAGATAGTAGCACTTCTGCTAAGTCTTCCTCTCAAGTTTGGCTCCCAGGTATTTTGGAGGGCAATTCCTCACCTTGCTTGTTTGCTTGCTTGGCATAGAAATGTACCCTTTGGAGAACACTTTCATTCTACCCTTTTATTTTATCTTCACAGCCACACTTAATAGGTACCATGATTCTTGTTTTGTAAGGTCATGGATCTGAGGCTCAGAAAAGCAAGATAATTTGCTCTCTGTCACATAGTTAGTGAGTGTGTAAACTTACATGGAGTGAAGCTGGGATTTGAAGCTAAGTTCCAGTCTATATCACAGGACCTTGCCAGGATACCATGCTGTCAGGTTGGGGGTGGGCTGGGGTAAGAAATATGGTGAGATGCCTACACAGGGCTTTTGGTGTCTTTCTCCTCTGTCAACTCCTCTCCTCTACCTTTCATAATAGTCTTTTTTTTCCAAAAACATATATATACTCTTCCTGTAAATATATATATACACACACACATATATAAACACACACACACGCATATATATGTGTGTATATATATGTGTGTGTGTGTGTGTGTGTGTGTGTGTCCATGTATCTATCTTTCTTTCTATCTTCATTTCCCACGGAATGGCACAGAGCAATGTATAAAAATAATACCTCAAAAATCCAACCACATCCTTAGGAAAGAAGGTAGTCTTGGTTTAGACTTTCCCAGTTCCAGGCAGCAGATGTTGGTGGTGAATACCAAGAACTGCTATGGTTTGGTGGAAAGGGCAAGGCTTGAGTTGGGGATAGGAAGGGAGAGCTGGTTCCCAGATCATATTCCTCCATGGCATTTTTGTGCAACTTTAGATAAGTCACAGCCTCTCCAAAGTCTTAGTTTGTTGCTATTGTAAAATGGGGAGGAAATATCCAACCTACCTCTTTCCCAGGGGTTATTGTAAGAATAAAGTGGCATGATTCATTTATTCATGAATCACGAATAGCTGTTTTAATTACAAGACTCTCAAGAGCTTATAATCCTGTGATTCACTCGACAAACACTTATTGAACATCTATTGTGTGCTAGGGTCTGGAGATAATGGGCATATGGAAAGCTTTTAAGAAAATGAAAAGCAGGAGACAAATTAGGCATTAAAAACTTTTACCTCCTATTGATAGAACATTTTATTTTTAACTTCTTCCACCACAATTTAATAGAAGCAGCAACCAAAAGGGGAAAAAATGATATGCATGACACAGCTTGTGATGCCAACACTATTATGCACCCTGATACATATTGCAGATAATAGTGAGAATATCTGTATCTTCGTGTACTTGATGTCACATTGCCTTGTTTACACTATCCTTTGGGATGTTTATAGCATAAAAATTGCCTTTCACCATCCTGAGCCTGAGTTGTTTCTTTAGTCAATAAAATTTAAAAACAGGATTCCATGGAATGACGACTGTACTTATTTTACAAAGATGCTGTAATATGTGGTGGCTGCCTGCCGTCAGATATGACCTACCCTGGCTTATGGAATCAGGCTTTGATTATGTGTATTCTTTTGATTTCTTTATTTAGCAATGCAGAATCTTGCAGCTAGTGAAAGCAAGTATGGGTGCGTCAATGGCAAGAGCCCTGAGACTGAAGAGAACTGGGTTCTTGTCCAAGCTCTGTTGTCAAATTGCTGTGTGGTCTTGGGAAAACCCCTGTCTCTCTGTGAGCCTCAGTTTTCTGACCTGTATAATGGAGGTTTGGGACCAGGTGATGGCTAAGGTCCTATTTCTGAAACATTCTAATATTATAATGTTTCTGAAACTTTCTTATTTTTTTGAAGCCAGGGCTTTTCTCCATATATTTTAACAGTAATATTACCTCTAGTTTATGACCTTCTGCTATAACATGATGGGCTGACTCAATGTATTGATGAACACTATCCCCAGATTTAATTATCTTGGAGCGTCATCACCACATTGTATAAAATGAGCCATATTGTTCATTGCATCAGCAGCCTTTGCTGAAATGGAGGTTATGGGATAACAACTTTAAGGCTAACTCATTAATGCTCTGGGATGAATAAGCTAATGTGTCAGCAGACCAAACTGGTGCCCAAATGTTTTCGTATAGAGACCCATATCTCTTTCCCATGTTGTGATACATTAATGGGGATGTCTTTATCCATTGCCGCTGCCTGTAGTCATTTGAATAATGTAGATGCAGTACCTTCTGGGCACCCAGCCCCATTCACTATCAATTTCCTAAACTTTGAGGCACTCTCAGAGGCTTGGACCAAAATTCTAGTGATGCCATAGAGTACCTAATTTATAAGGATTTAAACCATGGCATCAGTGCAGTCCCTGCTTTTTTTTTTCCATAGGTGTTTACTAGTAAGCACTGCACCATTCTTAACTATTTTATGGGGGTAATGGAGTAAATTAGTCCTCCAAATCATGAAGGCTGTAGATTTATGCCTAGTTGAAACCATTTCAGTCCTCACAATGTTGAAGTGGGTAACCTTTCTGACGTTAATTTGTTTCTCCATCTGTGTGCCATGCATTTTGGGAGGACGTGAGAAACAGGCTTGATGCCATTCAAGTGTGTTTCCCCTTTTTGTATTGATGGAAACTTGATTTGTGCCTGTCCGCTCTTTGTTCAAATTCTCTCTCTTGATATCTGCTCATATTCTAGCCCCTTTACTTATCCAAATAAAATCATATATATATATATATATATATATATATATATATATATATATTGCTAGTGACAATGTAGAATTGGATGGCTTGAAAGAGAAACAAATTTTGAGACATACAGGCACTTTATTAATCTGAATAATAACATTTGAAATATTAACCTATGCAGTTAGTTTTTCTAAATTTTATAAAATGTTTTTTTTAAATACTTGACTCTGCTGAAATTGGAGAATGAAGAAGAAAGATATATCCCTTAAAATCTCCTAAGATCTCTTTACATAATTCAAATTTAGTGGAGAAGAGTAGATTGTTCAATGGATTGATACAAATTCTAATTTTATGTAATTACTTTTGAAACATGATTTTTTTTGTAAACTCCAGCCCTCTGCAAAGAACCTTCACTATTAACATGTTTATTAAAAACCAATGCTAAATACCACACATAATATTATTCATTCAACTCTCAGACAACCACTGAAATGGATACTGTGTCATTTCACCATTTTATAGAGAAGGCCACTGAGACTCAGAGAATTCAACTGACTTTCTTAAGATCACACAGCTAAGAAATCTAGAGGCTGGCTTTGAACTCAGTTATATTTGGCTCTAACACTAGTAAAAGTATTTGTCTAAAGATAGTGTTTCTGCAAATGTTTTGAATTCTAGACTGAAACTGAGCTGGTTTGCTTTCATCTTGCTTTTGAATCTCATGGTCTCTTCAGGCTAGTGCCATGGTATACTGAAGGGGTAAGGGGAAAACACTTTGGAGCAAGAGAGGTCTCTTGGCACCTCTTTCCTGTAGGGAGCCTCCTTTTGTGTTCAGCTTGAAATGTCAGGCCTGAAGTATTCAAATCTCAAGATCCTGTTATGTGCCTCTCTCATAGTGCGAAAGCCTGCCTACTCATTCCCCCTCCCCACCCCACCCATCTGCTTCTTGTCTGGGGACATTGGTCTTCCTAAATCTGCTTCTGTATTGTATGCTACTGGCACCTTGAGAAGGTTGAAAGCAAGTAAGGCAATGCCAATTTTTCTGTTAGAACTGCAGCATATAACTGCTCTTAAGTTTAGCCCTGTGTGCTGGAGCAGGGAGGCAATGACAAACGGTTTATTCTAAGGCCTTTGATTTCCTTCGGAATTGTAAGCATCTAGGCTGACTCATCTCTCAAAGGCTTTTCTCTCTCTCTCCTTTTGGGGCTGTTGTTGATTGGGGATTTTACTGTTTGTTCTTACCTTATATTTGGGGGAGAGAAGGGACTGATTTTCATCTTATTTTTGGGTGAAAAAACCAGCTCTGCTCTTTGGATGATCAGATCTGGTAAGCTTCGATAAGAAGAAATAGCTGAAACTCCAAAACAGGTACAAAAGATATCTGGATTGGGGAAAGGGGAGAGGGGAGTAATGTTAGAGAAATTAAGCCAGAGCTAGGCTGTGTGTCTCAGGATGAGACCCTAGACTAATAGGCTCTGGACCTGCTATTTTGAATGGGGAATTGCTAGAGGCTTAGTCTGGAACTGTGGTTAAATGCATGTGCCTTTGGTTAAAATGGTCACTTTGCAAGTTGCAGTTTGGTGGTTGGGGTTAGGTGTTCACTTTGGGTCCAGGGGATGGAGCTTTGCAGTTGAAGGTTTAATATCTATGCTAGGTGTTTTCCTCTTGGTTTAGTTCAAAAGCCACAGGAAAACTCCTCATCTTTTCTCTTACTGCACCTATTTCTGACATCTGTGATCCTGGCTACTAAGGGAAGTAGGCAAAAGAGTTTTGGAGACAAAATTCAAGTATGGTTTATTTGTTTGTTTGTTTTTTGTTTTTTGTTTTTTGTTTTTTTTTTTTTGGACAGAAGGTAGCTCATCTATTTAGATTATTGCATGATAAACCGTTACTTAACTTTTCTCTGCCAAAGCTGCATTGCCTGATCTTTGAAATTTAAGCTCCCCACCCCCCAAATCATATATAGAATGTTATTGTAGATTCCATGGGAAAGAGACATTCAGTAAAGTTGTATGTAACTACTTCCTTTCTTGGCAAAAGGTTTAGTTCCCCATCTCCTGAATTATCTTCTCTATCAGGAACCAGCCATATTTACCCAAACCATGAACTTGGGAGCTATCCTAAATTGTTTTCTTTCCATTGCAATTAAAGATGTTCCCTAAGCCCTGTCAGTTCCATCCATGAGATTCGTCCCCTACTCCAGCCCTAGTGACACTGACTTGTGTCAATATCCCTTGCCTCTTGGCTCATCTACCTACTTCCAGCTCTCTACCCAAAACAGGCTTTTTCATGGCTTTCTGTGATTTTTCCAAGGTGCAACCCTGAATCTTTCACTCCCTGCCTAAAGCCCTATTGCCTTCAGGAAAAAGTCCGACTCTTTAAGCTGGCTTATAGGGCCATCCATGATCTCATCCCTGCCCATCCAGATTTTTCTCCTTCCAATCCCTTTATACAGCTTCAAGAATATGACAACCTCTCTCCCATCTCTTTTCCTTTGCACAAGCTGTTCTCTCTGGATGCTCCCCTCCTCTGTCTCCAGGCAGATTTAGCTGTTTTCTCCTTTCTGCTCTCACAATACTTTGTTTATATCTTGGAGGTCTAACATCACAAGGTTTTGTAAATTGTTGCTAACTTGTGTATCTCCTTCACTGCACTGTTAAATCTTTAAAAAAAAAAAAAAAGAAATAGTATTACCTTGCTCATCCTTTCAATCTTTAGCGCCTGGCACAAAGTGGGCAATTAATACAGGTTTTTGTTTTAATGAATGAATGAATGAGTGAACAAATGAGTAATAGAGAATGTGCGGGAAAGGATGCTGTGTGAGGTGTAGGGGCATACCCCATTGGGGATGCTTTGTAGTCTGGAAGTAGTATAAGATAGTGGGCATCATGGAGAAGGCACATATAAAATAGGTTTTACCATTACACTAAGACAAACTCCACTTTGATACCAATTCTGTTTAAGGAGTCTCACTAGAAATGGTCTGGAAATGATGTTTGTTGGTTTTGGTACAAATGATTTTTTTATGAAAAAGTAATATAATGAAGTTGTACAATGTTTGGTAAATAGAGAAAAGCAACAGGCAAACAAAATCTCACCAGTTAATGCAAATGCTGTTAGCATTTGGGTGCATTTCCTTCAGTCTTTTATTTTTATGCATGTTTTTCTTCACATAGTTGCAATCAAAATTAATACAATTCTGTGTTTTGTATTTGTTGTTAAAAAACTCTTTGTAAATATAACTTTAATGATTGCATAATTTTTCCATACTGTGGCCATTACAAAATTTATATAACTAATATCATTGCTGGGCTAGCTTTTTTTCCCTTTTTTTGTTACTATTATGGTTTATGTGGATATGCTTTTCCCTGTCTGTAGGAAGATTTTATTAGGATAGATTCCTAGAAGGGGAGTTACTAGGTCAAAGGGCCTGGGGACGATTTTTGGCTCTAGACCCATGTGTCCATTTTGTTTTCTGGACTTGTCTGAATTTGCAGCTCTCCTAACCTAGATGAAAGTCCCCTTTTTATCCAACCTGGACAGCATCGAGTATCGTCATGGAAAGAAAAAAAAAAACCTCTAAAAACGCTCTAATTAATTAACTAATTAATTAATGGAAAATACTATCTTATTTTTGTTTCAAAGTGCTTTTGTTAAAAAATGTTTTTCTCTTTTATTTTTTCTTCTTATTTTCTCTCTTTGTACTTTTTTTTTCTAATTAGGTTTTCTTTTTCCTGGACTATCTGTTAAGGGCTGAATTTTTGAAGTTGGATTTTTTTTTTCTTTTTTAGCAAAAACAACCAGAGGCTGCTCTGCTTGAGGGTGAAGCCGCCTCCCAGTTTTCCCTCCCCCTCTACCCCCACCCCCATAGTTCTCTCCACCAGGTCCAGTGACAATTGGATGATGCAGCCTTGATAATCATCCGATTCCAGAATGGGTGGCTGCATTCCTTTTCTGAAGGCAGCAAGGGCACTGTGCCCCAGAATCATGCCCCCTTTGCTGTTGTTGTCCGCCTTCATTTTTTTAGTGAGTGTCTTGGGAGGAGCCCCAGGACACAACCCCGACCGCAGGACGAAGATGGTATCGATACACAGCCTCTCTGAGCTGGAGCGTCTGAAGCTGCAAGAGACTGCTTACCACGAACTCGTGGCCAGACATTTCCTCTCCGAATTCAAACCTGACAGAGGTAAGCTGTACCCCGGATTGTGGCATCCTCGCCTTCGGGAGAGTGGACCCTCCGGGCAGGACGGGGCGGATTAGGGGTCTGGCAGGGTGGGAGGGGCTCACGCCTGATCTCGGACTTGATCAGTTCTCCTGGCGTCTGGGGAACTGAAGAAGCCGGAGTTGAAGGCTGTTTGTTGAATTGCGGAAGAGGTAAAAATTAGTTGAGTTTGGTCGAAGGCTGGGAGTTGAGGGGGCAGTAAGACAGACGGGCAGATGTCAGGGACAGACAAGTGGACAGAGGGCCGGTGAAGAGACAGCCGCAGCAGGTGCGGTGCGAGAATAGGGCAGAGCGAGACGGAAGCGCAGAGGGACACTCTGGAGAGAACTGGGAGAGATAGAGACAGCGCGGTCGAGAGACAGAGAGTAGAGGGAGATAGCAAGACAGTGCGTGAGAGAGAGACGCTCCTAGCCGGGCGGTGAACGGGAGGGCGGTGCGGGCGCGGGGGCGGCGGCAGGAGGTGCGCCTCTAGCACTGCCCACCTCAGCTGGCTGCCGGGGAGCGAGCAGGACGCGGCGCAGGACGAGGTTCGAGTGCACCAGGGAATCTCAGGGGTAAGCGCGCGGATTTGGCAGCGGAGCCCAGGCGGTTAGCGCGGACCCAGGCGCGCCCCAGAGGTATTGGAAAGTGCTGGGGGTGGCAGCTTCGCTAGGCGCGCACCGCGAACGCAGCTTGAATTGAGCGAAGCAAAGGGCGAGGAGCCCCCGCTGGCAGCCACTGATGCCAGATTCGGAGTGCGGGGACAGCCAGGTGTCGCCGCTTCTCCTACCGCAGCGCAGGGAGCCGACGGCAACCTGGTGCGAGCGCGCCCGCAGTAACTTGGCGACCCTCACCCGCGGTGGCGCTGCAGGAGAGCCCCTCCCTCCCCTCTCCTGTTGCGTGATCTGGGGGCTTCAGAGCCCCGGAATTTATGTTTTAAGTGTTGTATTGAGCGACTACGGGTGCGTAGCAAGATGCGCGGTGCGCACGCGGCGCATTAGATTGTCTGGTTTGGTTAAATTCTTGGAGTCTGATAAGAGTGAGATAGGCTTGTCCTTGTTGTTAGGTGGGGAAACTGAGGCTCATAGAAAGCAAATTACTTTTCGCCCGCTGGGCAGAGCTCGCCTCTCTGCCGCTCCCTCCCCCTGCTGCAGATCAGGGCATTGGGATGTTTTAGTCACTTATTAAGTCCTATTTGTAAGTGTATCTTTTCTTTTTTCTCTTTCTGTAGCTCTGCCTATTGACCGTCCGAACACCTTGGATAAGTGGTTTCTGATTTTGAGAGGACAGCAGAGGGGTGAGGGGGCTCTTGTATTTTCTTTAGAAAAGAAATAGAATGCTAACCCCCTGTGTAGTGTGGCCCTGGCTATTGGAGACTGGGTGGCGTCCACTGTCCCAGGGGACACTCTCCTCAGCTCCCAAACCCCACAGTGGGTGATATCAGGAAATGGCGCAGTAGCTGTAGGTGCTTGGGGCGGTCCTCTCAGACCTTCCTGGTGGACTCACCCCACACAGATCAACCCGAAGAAATCGCCCTCTTTGTTTCAAGGTAGTCACCCCCAGGGAAAATTTAAGGCAGGGACCTCGAGCCTCGTCGGGGTGGTTGAGTGGAGCTGAGTCCTTTCGCCAAACCACTGCGGGGTCTTTTTGGCTAGCTCCCCAGGGAGGGGCGCTGCGGTTCTGGAGAGGTGGGGTTGGCTGCGGGTGGTTGCTGGGAGGAGTGCTACAGCCCCTGCTTCCTCCTGATTTAAGCGCTGCGAGGCTTTGACGTTTCTCATTCTTTCTCTCGTGGCTCCCCAGCTGTATCACACAAGACATTTGGCATTAGCCTGGAAGAGGTCCTGGTGAACGAGTTTACCCGCCGCAAGCATCTTGAACTGACAGCCACGATGCAGGTTGAAGAAGCCACCGGTCAGGCTGCGGGCCGTCGTCGGGGAAACGTGGTGCGAAGGGTGTTTGGCCGCATCCGGCGCTTTTTCAGTCGCAGGCGGAATGAGCCCACCTTGCCCCGGGAGTTCACTCGCCGTGGGCGTCGAGTGAGTTAAACCCTCCAGGTTTCAGGCAGGGGCCTCTCCTGAGGTATGCAGGAATGTGAGGCCGGAGGATCAAGGCCTGTGCCCTCAGAGGCAGGGGGGAGCTGAACACAATATGTTGAAGTGGTGTCCTTGGCTTGCCACAAAGGGAATGTATCTTGTCCTGAATGTCATACATACAGTACTCAGGAAGGTCCTAATTGACTCTCTTTATTTCCCATTTTAAGATAATCTGGATTTCTCCACAGGGTGCAGTGTCTGTGGATAGTCTGGCTGAGCTGGAAGACGGAGCCCTGCTGCTGCAGACCCTGCAGCTTTCAAAAATTTCCTTTCCAATTGGCCAACGACTTCTGGGATCCAAAAGGAAGATGAGTCTCAATCCGATTGCGAAACAAATCCCCCAGGTTGTTGAGGCTTGCTGCCAATTCATTGAAAAACATGGTAAGGGAGCTGCAAATGGGTAAATCAAGGAAGGAAGCAAAGGGAAAGGAGGGATGTTCTGGAAATGGGGGGAGAAAAGAGGCCGAGGATGAAGGGCTTGGATAACATTCCCCTGACACCCAGTGGAGGTCGCGATGCAGTAGGGGGTGAGGGGAGAAGAGAAATGCCATGGGAAAGGGATTCAGAGATGCTTAGCATCCCCTGGTCTTTTCTTTCAGGCTTAAGCGCAGTGGGGATTTTTACCCTTGAATACTCCGTGCAGCGAGTGCGTCAGGTAAATTGGCTATGTTTACATGTTTGTTCCTCCAATAAGAAAGAGCAGGAGGAGGTGGGGTTTCCCCATAGACCTGACTACCTGGTGGGGGGAGGAGCAGGGTCTTCTTTGTAGCCCCCAGGCCCACCATATTGCCAGCTACCTCCACTGAATACTGGAACCTGTTGAAGGAATGACCAAGATGGAGCTGTGGTGGGCCAGGCAGACAGTCCCTGTCTTCTCCTTTTCCTAGCTCCGTGAAGAATTTGATCAAGGTCTGGATGTAGTGCTGGATGACAATCAGAATGTGCATGATGTGGCTGCACTCCTCAAGGAGTTTTTCCGTGACATGAAGGATTCTCTGCTGCCAGATGATCTGTACATGTCATTCCTCCTGACAGCAAGTGAGTCTTCTGACCTCCCTAGTAGGGCAAGGAAAGGAAATATTACTGGGGTCTAGGGGGTTCTAGGGACAGAGCTCAGGCTGGAGGACTTTGAAGAACTAAGGCAAAATGACCATAAGAAGATTTTAAAAACCTCTCCAGAATATATACAATTATTATTTGTCAATTAAAAATAAAATTTTAATAAAAAACTTATTTGGGTTACTTTCTTTGTATTTCTAAATGTTCCATTATAAGTCTGTTGCTTGGAAATTTCTCTAGAGCTTCTTGAAGATGTGTGTGCCCTCTCAGGTCAAAAAAAAAAAAAACCACCCAGGTTCTGTAGAGGAGGTCTGGTTTTTATGGGGGCACTTCTTGCTTTCAGAGTTCCTGAGCTCAAATGCTTTGGAAATGAGCAAAGGCAAGATGCCTGGGTACTTTCTCCATAACTGCCAGCAAGTTTCAAGCAGAATCTCACCTCCCTTGGTATCAGTCTGCAGCCAAGACTATCCCCCTGAGACAGCCCCTGTTTTCCTTCTTCTAGCTTTAAAGCCCCAGGATCAGCTTTCTGCCCTGCAGTTGCTGGTCTACCTGATGCCACCCTGCCACAGTGATACCCTGGAGCGTCTGCTGAAGGCCCTGCATAAAATCACTGAGAACTGCGAGGACTCAATTGGCATTGATGGACAGTTGGTAAAAAGATCTTGGAAAGAGTAGTGAAAACTGTAGTAGGGGACATATGTGGGAGTATATCAGCAAGAGGGTGGATGGAGAGGAGAGAGAGAAACAAGAATAAAAAGAGACATATTCATTTGTACAACTCCCAGTACTACCTCAGCGTCAATCACTTTCTGCTTTCCTTTGCCTAGGTCCCAGGCAACCGTATGACTTCCACTAACTTGGCCTTGGTGTTTGGATCTGCTCTCCTGAAAAAAGGAAAGTTTGGCAAGAGAGAGTCCAGGAAAACAAAGCTGGGGATTGATCACTATGTTGCTTCTGTCAATGTGGTCCGTGCCATGATTGATAACTGGGATGTCCTCTTCCAGGTAGGTGCAAGTTTTGGATGCACTTGTTTTACACATCCATCTCCTGTTCACAAGGCAAGGCACAGTTGTACCTGCATCTTTGAGGGTAGCCAAAACAGGCAGCCACAAGATCGTCCAGTCTAGAAATTCCTCCCACATTAGCTGGCCCTGGTACCTTTAGTCCTAGGTACCTGAAAGAGATGAGTATAAATGAAAAGGTGCTGTGTAATGATGGCTAATGTTGCTAATTCTACCCTCAGGTGCCTCCCCATATTCAGAGGCAGGTTGCTAAGCGCGTGTGGAAGTCCAGCCCGGAAGCACTTGATTTTATCAGACGCAGGAACTTGAGGAAGATCCAGTGAGTGTTTTTTGGGTTTGTTTATGCTTAGCCTGAAGTACCTCCTCCTATGGGGTTTTCCAACTCCAGACTATCTTTATATTAAGTAACGCAAGTACACAAACTGACTTTTTCAAAATCCTTCCCATTCAGGAGTGCACGCATAAAGATGGAAGAGGATGCACTACTTTCTGATCCAGTGGAAACCTCTGCTGAAGCCCGGGCTGCTGTCCTTGCTCAAAGCAAGCCTTCTGATGAAGGTCAGTTCCCTGCTGGAGGTCAGGCCCTTGCTGAAGGTCAGTCCCTTGTTGAAGGTCAGGCCCTTTTTGAAGGCCAGGTCGTTGCTGAAGATGAGCCCCTTGAGGAAGATGAGTCCTCTGAGGAAGATGAAGAGCTAGTATTTGAATATCTTAATCAAGGAGTAGTCTTTGGGGAAGCTCAAGGTCTAGAAATCCCAAATAACTTTGAGATTCAGGGCCCACATCTTGAAGGAATACCAGAGCTTGATGAGGAAGATGATGATGATGATAATGATACTTTAAATTTTGATGATCTTCCTCCCCTTGGAGATATTCTAGAACCAGATAATGAAATTCCAGAACTCATTGAGATCCCAGACTTTGAAGAAATTCCATATTTTGATATGGTCCCAGACCTTGAAGGAGCCCCAGATGTGCAAGAAATCCTGAACCCTGGAGAAAACTCAAACCATGACCTAGAAGAAGGAGCAGATTTTGAAGACCACCAAAATCTTAACCTTGCAGAAGCTCCCTATCTTGATGTAATCCCAAACAATGAAATCCCAGACCACGCAGATGCTTCAGATAATGATGAAATCCAAGATTCTGAAGAAGATCCCAGTCTTGAAGATGTCCCAGCTGTTGATGAAGTTCCAAATGATGAAGCCTCAAATACTGAAGAAATCCCAGACTATGAAGCCCCAGAGGTAAATGGGATTTCAGACTCTGAGGAAGACCTTGATTTTGAAGAAGTCTCAGCTCTTTATGTGGTTCCAAGCCCTGAAGAAGCCCCTGGTGGACATGAAATCCCAAATCATGAAGAATCTCCAGAGGTTAGTGGACTCTCAGACCCTGAAGAAGATCCCAGTCTTGAAGAGGTCTCAGATTTTGATGGAATCCCAAAATGATGAGGAAGCCTCAGACACTGAAGAAATTCCAGACCATGAAGAAGCTCCAGAGACCAATGGAATTGCAGGCCCTGAAGAGGTCCCAGCTCTCCATGTAGTCACAGGCCCTGAAAATGTCTCTGATTTTGATGAAATGCAAGACCATGAAGAATCCTCAGATGTGAGTGGAGTCCCAAACACCGAAGAAGCCTCAGATATTGAAGAAATTCCGGGACGTGAAGAAGCCTCTGATGTTAGTGGAAACCAAGACTCTGAAGAAAGCCCTAGTCTTGAAGAAGATTCAGTTCTCTATGTGGCTCCAAAACCTAAGGATGCCCAGATTTACAACAAAGTTCAAGATTATCAGAAAGACCAAGCCAGTGCATTTGAAGAAGAAGAAGTTACCACTATGGCTCCAGAAACTGATGATGTCTCCATTCTCAATACAATTCCAGACCCTCCACAAGACCTGGCTGTCAATCTTGAAGAAGTCATGGATGTGGAAGAAGTCCCAATGCCTAAAGATTTAAACTCTAAAGAGGTTCAGAATCCAAAGGCAATTCAGTTTCATAAAGATGCAGATGTTGCATTCCCTGTAGATACCACTCTCCTTAAAAACAAGTCTCAGCCTGGCCAAGTCATGGACTACAAGTCCTCACCAGAGGTGTTGAAGGGCAACACCTGCTTTCTGTCTTCCATGCAGTGCTGTAAGCTTTCAGCTCTAGCTTTGTTACTCATTTGCTTGGTAAAATTAGTCAGGTTACTTGTAGGGTGGTGGTGGTTATTAGGAGGTCGCCCTCTTACCTGTCTCCCTGGTGGTATTGTCCATTCCCTCTGAGCGCAGGGTATCTGTCTTACTCTTTCTCTTTCCTAACTCAGCTCTTTTCCCAGTTCCCACAGTGGTCCTAGATTCAGAGATCTGTGTTCTGCTGTCAGGCTGTAGTATTCTTATATGTCAAATGGGGATAATCATCCCTGTCCTACCTTCTTGCCTCATACTGTATTTGAAACTCAAAATTAGGTCTTAGTGCCTTGGGTGCTGCGCAAAGTATAAAGTCTAGAAACATAAGGAGTTAACATTGTTACTATTTTTCAGGTTCCTCTGAGGAGCCAGCTGTGCCTTCCGGCACTGCCCGTTCCCATGACGATGAGGAAGGAGCGGGTAACCCTCCCATTCCGGAGCAAGACCGCCCATTGCTCCGTGTGCCCCGGGAGAAGGAGGCCAAAACTGGCGTCAGCTACTTCTTTCCTTAGATGTTTTTCCTTCTATAAGGTGCCAGACAGGGGAAAAGGGTGGGGGTACATCTGGGATGTCACAGGAAACATTAAGGAGAGAGTTGAAGGTAAAGATCTGAAGGTAAGAAGGAGTTCCACCTGATGCTCGGGTCAGGATGAGAATTCCAAACACACTGCCAGCCCCTTCACTGGGGATGCTTGGTCTCTTCTGCTGGTAAAAGCAGAGATGTTTCTGTGTCATGCCCAAGCTCCCCGGTGCTACCTTGCCTTTCTCTTTTACCCCTGATCTTGGCTTTCTCTCTCTCTCTGCAGACTTTCCTTTAATTGATGTGACATTTGTGGTAAACACCTTTCCCAGGGAACCTCACAAATCTTGAGATGCTTTCCCTTCCCCAGATGGGATTGCATGATTTCCCTGACTTTCCTACCCTCCTCCAGAGAGCTCAGTTGGAAAGGCCCTCAAGAGGCATGCTAGAACGTTAGGTCAGCCTACTGACAGCTGACAAACAATTAATGCGAAATCATGTCACACCAACCCATAGCCGTGTCCACGCAGCAACTCCACCACCTTAGGATTTCCCCCTCCAAATTATTCAGACCAATGGCTTGCCAAATGGCCTCTCCCAAAATTCTGTACAGTTTTGCTCAGGTCACGCCAACAGGGAAACCTCAAGTGTAGGTCTAATTAGTGTTTCTGGGATCCAAAGTTAGAGGAAAATTTAGATTTTATTGCCTGGATCTGCTTTAAAGACAATTGGTGTTTACACCCTCTTGTCAGCAAAACAGCTAGTTAGGTAAGGACATATAGTTCCAAGTAGGTAAAGTCACTTGATTACAAATGTTCTTAACTATCGTCTCTGTAATTCCTTTATACAGGACAGTACAAAATTGTGGGACATGCTCTGGTAACACACAGATATGGGTTGCATATGATCCAGAATTACAGCTGATATTATGGATGACAACTGCTAAGGTCCATAAAATGAAGACTGTATTGTATTGAGGGATAGAAATTGATCATTTAATGGGTAACAACTGCTGAGCTCAAAGATTTGTGATTGTTAAAACTTCTCTGGCATTTAATCATTAATAAACATCTGTATTGTGACAGCAGCATATTCATGGCTTACTGTGTTTTTCTTCTTTTTAATTTGGGGGGTGAGTTGGGAAGCTCTGACTAGAGAGCTGAAGGGGTAAAGGAGAGGTGAATAGAAATAAACAGGACAGGGTGATGTAGAATAAAGAAGAAGATGACATGGGATAAAGGGAAGGGGGTGACAAGGAATGAGGGGGTGGAGTGATGTGGAATAAAGGGGAGGGAGTGAAGTGGGAAAAAGGGGATAGAGTGATGTGGGGTAAAGGGGAGGGAATAGAGTTGAATAAATGAGAGGGGGAGACATGGAATAGAGAGGGAATGACATGGGATAAAGGGAAGGGGGGTGACATGAAATGAGGGGGTGGAGTGAGGTGGAATAAAGGGGAGGGGATGATATGGAATAAAGGGGAGGGGCTGATGTGGAATAAATGGGGGGTGAGGTGGAATAAAGGGAAGTAAAATAGAATAAAGGGGAAGGGCTATAATGGAATAAAGGGGGTGGAAGTATTACTATTAAAGTAGAAAAGGTTAAGGGGAGATGAAAGAGAAGTAGAGGAAGCAAAGGAAGCTTAAGAGGAGAGCCTATAAGGGGGAAGGGAGGGGAATAAATGAGGAGACCACTAGGTATTTTCAACTGAGAAGTTCCCCCGAATCAGTGAAAAATAAAATCCTAAAAACATAGGCAGACATATGACTTCCAAGGGTCAGAGGAAGAACATACTGCTGTCTGACTGATAAAACTTCCAACCTTTCTTGAAAACTTATGGCTTCATGACATACTTGAAAATTTTCCATGTTAGATACAGGGCCTTAGAAAGTGGAATGGTTTGTGTTATTTATTTTTACACACTTTGCTTTAGGGTATTTCCTTGCATAGAGCTTTACAGACTGCAGACTCGTAGCATTGTCCCCTCCTACACTAATAAATTTTGTAAATAATAATAATCCTGATAGTTAACACATATCAAGGTCTTCCAAAGTGTCTGACACTGTTAAAAACTTTACGTTCATCATTTAATTTAATATTCACAATAACACTTTGAGATATATGCTACTGTCATCTTCAATTTACTCTTGAAGAAAATGAGGTACAGAGAGGTTAAATAACCTGCCCAAATTACACAGTTGGTTAGTGGAAAACCAGCCAGTCTCTAAAGCTGGCTTGTTTAAACACTAGATTATACTGGTCCATTCATCTTGGGATTTTGCCTCAGACACAAAGATGCACTGTGATGTCTGCAGCAATTTTTTTATATTGGGGTTTGGACTTTCAACAAGCAAGTTTCAGGTTTCTTCCTTATAGGTCCTTTCTCTCCAGAAAGGACAGGCTATTAGACAATAACTGATATTTCAGGCAGATTCTAGCAGTTATAGCTGGGGCTTACAGATATCAGAGGCAGAAGAAAATGTAGGAGCTCACCCATTCCAACCTTCTTGTTATGTGAATAGTCATACTAGGGCTCAGACTTGGGAAAGGTCAGAAATCCGGGAGTAAGATTCGGACAGACCTTCTGACTGCATTTCCAGGACTTTATGGGGTCAAAAAAGTAAAATATGTCCTGTGAAAAGTTTATGTGTGCTTTCACCATTCAGCTTCAAAACAAACCAGATAACAAAGAAGAAAGTAGATTTGAAAACATTGCCTTCACTCTCTGGCCTTCCCTGAAACCAGGTTTTCTCCTAATCTTACATTTCTTCCCAGTGCCAATTCCTAACCAGCCTCAGGGACTGGGCCTGAGAGTGTTTGTAGATGTGGGCATTATCCTTGCTGTTCTCCACACTGTAAGGACCCAGCTCACAGGCTTCCTGACACTCCAAGTCCTGTCCTTATTCTGGGTGCCACCAACAATGTACACATGGAAGTCTTACCCCATATACCCTGGCCTCACACCTCTCTGACCTTTAACTTCTTAGTACCTCAACCACTCCCAGTCACTTGGCATCACTGGGCGTGGCTTCAACTCCAATATCCCACTGAGGCCCAAATCTTCTAACGAAGGCTGGGTCCATGCCATTTGCTCTTTGGCTTCCCTGAGGGATCCAGTACCCAAGACCTTCCTTTTGTCTTCACTATTTTCCCTGTCCAGACAAAATTTGGGGCATATTGATTTAGTATTAACTGCCTTATCATCCCCTTGCCCTCCAAATACCACATCTGCACTATTTATCTCCAATTTTCGGTCTTTCCAAACAAATGTTTTCTCTGATTCCATAATAACCACTGTGGGAGAAAGGAGCAGCACCCCAAGAATTTCCAACCTCAGCTGGCCCTTCTGGCCACCTTGCAATCCTTTCACACACCCTAGGTCATCTCTTTCTCCAATTTTCATCCTATCTGTACTCCAAGATTTTCATCACTCCTCTCAAACAACAGCCCCTTTCACTCTACCCTCACCACACCCCATACAATGGCTCAGACTCCTACTTCATAAAGGAGATTGAGGTTAACTTCAGCTCCTTGACCCTACACCTACAATGGTCTTTTTGGCTTCACTAACTCTCACTTCATATTGCATAGCACTACTTCTTATTATATAGCACTCCTTCAGCTTAGAAGTTCCTATTCTAGTTTCTTTTCCCTTGCTCTGTCTCTCCTCTGCTTTCCTTCTCCATTACCCCCACCCCTAAAACCTTGCTTACACTATTATCTCAGTTCTCTTGCCTGATTTTTAAATCTCTCCTTGTCTACTAGTTCACTTACTTCAGGATATTCTCATGATCAAGTGTCTCTCATCCTTAGAAACAATTCCTTGATCCGTCATCACCCTGTAACAATTGCTATACTGCTCTTTTTGTCAAACTCATTGAAAGAAGAGTCTGTTCTATTCTGTATCTTCCTTCTTTTTTTTTTTTTTTTTGAGACAGAGTCTCATTTGTGTCACCCAGGCTGGAGTGCAGTGGCATGATTGTGACTCAATGCAACCCCTGTCTCCTGGGCTCATGCCATCCTCATGCCTCAACCTCCCAAGTAGCTTGGGCTACAGGCGCATGCTTCCACACCCTACTAATTTTTTTTTGTATTTTTTGTAGAGATGGGGTTTTGCCATGTTGACCAGGCTGGTCTTGAACTCCTGAGCTCAAGTGACTCACCTACCTCAGCCTCCCAAAGTGCTGGGATTACAGGCGTGAGCCACCACGCCTGGTCTCTATCTTCCTTCTCACCTCCCATGTATTCTTCAGTCCATACCAATCAGGCTTCTATTCCCACTACTCTAATAAAATGGTGGCAAAAGTCACCACCAATAACCTATTATTACATTCAGTAAACATTGGTAATACACTTATTTTCCTCAGTCTCAGTGACACCACCACACCATCATCTCTTGATGTTTTACTTATATTTTTTAAATTAAACATTTTTATTTGAGATAATTGTAGGTTCACATGCAGTTTTAAGAAACAATACAGCAAGGTCCTGAATATCCTCTACCCAGTTTCTCCAGTTGTACTATCTTGTAAATCTACAGTACAATATGACAACTAAGACACTGACATTGATACAGTCCAGATACAGCAATGTTCCATCACCATGAGAATTCCTCCTGTTGCTCTTTTATAGCAAAATAGACAAATCTACCTTTCATCCCCACCACCCCCTTTCCTAACCCTTGGTAACTAATCTGTTATCCATTTCTGTAATTTTGTCGTGTCAAGAATGTTATATAAATGGAATCATACATATGTGAGCTTTTGGGAGTGGCTTTTTTTTTTCACTCAACATGATTACTTTGAGATTCATCCAGGTTGTGTGTAGCAGTACTTCATCTCTTTTTATTGCTGAGTAGTATTTCATGGTATAGATGTACCATAGTTTGTTTAACCACTCACCTACTGAAGGACATTTTGGTTGTTTCTCCAGTTTGGGGCGATTATAAATAAGACTACCATGAACATTCGTGTACAGAATTTGAGTGGACATATGTTTTCAGTTTTCTGGATGAATGCCCAGCTGTGCAATTACTGGGTCGTACACAATTGCATGTTTAGTTTTATAAGAAACTTACAAACCACTTTCCAGAGTAGTTATACAACTTTATATTCACACCAGCAATGTATCTGCATGCTTGCTAGCATTTGGTCTTGTCACTATTTCTTTTTATCTTGCCCATCATGATAGTTGTGTAGCGATATCTCATTGTGGTTTAAATTTGTATTTCTCTGATGCTTAATGACATTGAACATCTTTTTATGTGTTTATTTGCCATCTGTATAGTCTTCAGTGAAATGTCTGTTCATGTGGATATCTAATTGCTCTGGCACCAATTGTGGAAAAGACTATTTGTTCCCCATTGAATTGCTTTTGTGCCACTGCTTGCATGATTTCTGGTGATAAGTCCACTGTAATTCTTATCCTTCTTCCTTTATAGGCAAAGTATTTTCCCCTCTGACTTCTTTCGTGACTTTCTCATTACCTTTGGTTTTCTGCAGCTTGAATATGATATGCTTAAGTATGACTTTTGGCAATTTATATGGTGTCACCTGAACTTCCGGGATGTGTGGCTTGATGTCTATCGTCGATTTTAGAAATTGATGTACCGTTATTATTTCAAATCTTTCTTCTGTTTCTCTCTCCTCTTTCTGGTAATCTATTTACACATGTTACATCATGTGAAAATGTCTCATAGTTCTTGGATGCTCTTTTCTTTTTTCATTCTTTTTTTTCTTTTTATTTTAGTTAAGAAGTTTCTATTGACCTATCTTTAAGATTACTCATTCTTTCCCTGGCCGTGCCCAATGTACTGATGAGCCCATTAAAAGCAGCTTTCATTTCTGCTAGTGTTTTTTCATTTTTGGCATTTAAAAATTCTTACTTAGAATCCCCATCTCTCTCCTTACATGATTATTCTGTTCTTGCATGTTGTCTACTTTTTTTGATTAAAGCCCTTAACATATTAACCATAGTTATTTTAAATTCCTGTCTGATAATCCCAACATTTGTATCAGTCTTGTTCTAATGCTTGCATTGTCTATTCAGACTATGATTTTTCATGCCTTTTGGTGTGCCTTGTAATTTTTGTTGAAAGCTGAACATATTGTATCTGATGTCAGGAATTAAGGTAAGTAAACCTCTAGTCTGAGGATTCATGTTAATCTGGCAAGAATTGGGCTTTGTTTAATCTTTTCTGTAACTATTGGTGCCTCAGGCTTAAACTTTTCTATGTTCTTGTTTTTGTCTCCCCAATTAACATTGTGCTTTCCTAAGTACTCCTCTGAGAGAGAGTCTGTGTCTTGCAGCTCTTTCAATTGTAACTCACTATTATTATACTGTAGCCCTGTTGGTATGGTGTTAAGGTGTGGATCGGGGGATATTTTATAATCTTCTGATTACATCTCTCTTTTAATGGGTCTGTGTCTTTGGGATGTGACTTTTACAAGTGTTTCTTTAATGATAGAGCTTTTCCCCTCCTGCCTCCTGTTCCATTCTTTGCCTGCAGTGTTTCCAATCTATTTCTTCAAAAGTCTGACCCTTGTTTACGATTTTTCCCTCAGGTGAGACAGGAAGGCTGGAAGATGCGGGAGGGCAGATGAATTCTCTTCTCTCAGCTAGGATAAAGTTTCAGAATTATGTTGGAGAGTTAGCATTTGTTATGGAGAGGGCTCTAGATGTATTTCAGAAAGGTTACTCTTCTATTATCTCACCAGTGCCATAAGGAGACTTTTCTTGGATCCTGTATCCTCATTGTAAGAACCTGATGGGGTTCCTAGAAGGGAAAGTAGATTAAAAAATGTGAGGATCCTCCTAAGACTGTGGATCCTATGAGTTTCTGACTCTCATACTAGTCCACACTCAGCCTTTTAGCAATTTTTCAGAACTACCGTTTAAATGTTTTTACCATCTTATGGTTCCAGTAGCTTCTGCTTTAGTTAAGCAGATTTCAGTTGCTGTAGATTTTTGAACGTGCCTTTCTCTCCAGATTTAGGGATGATAATTTGCCCTGTGACCTCAGTTATCTGATGGGTCAAGAAAAGTTGTCGATTTTTAGTTTGTCCAGCTTTTTCTTGTTGTAGGACGGAAGTGACAACTTCCAACCTGTTTATACGTTGGAGCTGGAACCAGACATATCTAATATTGCATTTCTAATGTCAGTTTCTACATGTTCATTGTTAGTATATAGAAAAGAGATTGATTTTTGTGTGCTGATCTTGTCTTATGTGACCTTGATGAGCTTACTAGTTTTAAGAGAGTGTTTTTTAATAGGTTACCTGAAACTTTTCTATGCAGCTAATCATGTCAATTGAAAATAATGGCAGTTTTATATCTTTCTTTCTAATCTATATGCATTTTATTCCTTTTTCTTATCTAAATGCAATGACTAGACTTTCCAATATTATATTGAATAATAGTGGTGAGAGAGGACATCCTTGCATTTTTCTTCATCTTTGAGGAAAAAGCGTTCAATGTTTCACCATTAATTATGATGTTAGGTGTAGGTCTTTTGTATAATAGATGCTTTTTATTAAGTTGAGATTGTGCGTCTCTATTCCTATCTTGCTAAGAGGTTTTTGCTTTTTATCATGAATTTTGGATTTTGTCAAATATTTTTTCTGTATCTGTTGATATGATCATATGATTTTTCATTTAGCCTGTAGATATTATGGATTACAATGGTTGATTTATGAATATAGAACCAGCTTACGTATCTGGAATAAATTCTACTTGGTCATGGTATTTAAGTTGTTTATTTTTACATTAATGAGTTCACTATGCTATTTTTTTCTGAGAATTCTTATGCCTAGATTAATGATCCATAATTGATCTGTAACTTTCTGTTTTTGTACTTTTTTATATAGTTTTGGTATCAAGATAATACTGGCCTCATAAAATGCATTGGAAATTGGTAATTCCTCCTCTGTTTTCTGGAAAAGATTGTATAGAGTTGGTGCTAGTCCTTCTTTAAACATTGGGTAGAATTCTCCAGTGAAACCAACTGGGACTAGAGATTTCTTTTTTGGGAACTTTAGAAATTATGAAAAATTATGAATTAAAGAATTTTATTTAATTATGATAAAACTATTCAGATTATTTTATTTTGGGTTTTCAAATATTAGGTACATGTCTTTTAGGTTGCAAAATCTATGAGATTAAATTTGTTCTTAGTATTATCTTAACATCCTTTGAATGTTTGCAGGGTCTATAGTGATAGTCTGTTTCATTCCTCATGTTAGTAATATGTGTCTTTTCTCTTTTTTTGGTTGTCAATCTTGTAGTAGATTTTTCAATTTTATTGCTCTTTTCAAAGAACCAGCTGTTTGTTTCATTAATTTTTTTCTATTATATTCCTGTTTTCAATTTTATTTATACTGATATCTTTATTATTTCCTCCTTTCTGCTTGCATCTGGTTTATTCTCCTCTCTACTTTCTTTAGGTAGGAACTTAGATTATTGATTTACTCTTTTCTAATGTAAGCATTTAATGCTATCTATTTTCATTTTAGCATTGCTTTAACAGTATACCACTAGTGTTTATATGGCGAGTGTTTATTTTCATTCAGTTTGATACATTTTTAATTTCTTTTGAGACATTCTCATTGACCCAAGGTTGGTTTAGTTTGGTTTAGTTTCCAAGTGTTTTGACATTTTTCTCTTATTGATTTGCAGTGTTGTCTGGATCATCTGTTATAGATAGCACTTCTATTTGATCCTGAGGAAAAATGAGCTTATATGACCACCTTCCGTTGCCAAGCTGGTGGTGAGGAAATGGCAGGCCTGGGTCACCATTTTCTGTTGGATAAGAGGTCATAAGATGACTGGCTACCATTTCGTTTTCCTAGTTCTGTGGTCCCAAACCAAGACACCTTCCTCTTCCACTTTTCAGAGTTTTTCTTTGGTTGTCTTTTGAGTTGCTTCCAGAGTTTATAGTTGTCCTTAGTGTGCAGGAGTTTGGAAAGAAAGATTTATGTGTTTTTCCTAAGCAGAAATCTCATGATTATTTGAAATAATTGTTTAGATATAATTTTCATATACATTTTACCATCTAGAGTGTACAATTTAATGCTTTTAGTATACTTTCAGAGGCATGCAACCATTGCCAGAATTTAAATAAAAATATTTTCATCACCTTAAAAAGAAACCATGTAGCGGTTAGCAGTCACTCTCTATCCTCCCCATCACCCAAATCCTAGGCAACCAAAGTAGTTTCTATCTTAATAGATTTGCCTCTTCTGGATATTTTTTGTAAGTGGAATTATGCAATATGTGATCTTTTGTGACCAGCTTCTTTCATGTAGCATAATGTTTTTAAGTTTCATCTATGTTATATGTATTAATAATATGTATCAGAACTTTATTCCTTTTTAATGCTGAATAACAATTAATTGTATAGCTATACCATGTTTAATTTGCATTCACCTAGTAAATAATGATGTAGAGCAATTTTTTGTATTTTTCCTCTTTCTTTCATCATGTATCTGTTCAAATCTTTTGCCCATTTTTAACTAAGATTTTGGATTGGATGTTGACAGTTCTTTGTACAATCTGGATTTTTTTTTTATTTTTTAGTTTGTGACTTGACTTTCATTCTCTCAATTGTGCCCTTTAGAGAGCAGAACTTCTAAAATTTTAATGAAGTCTAGTTTATCATTTTAAAAAATTTTATGAATCTTGCTTTTGGTGTCATTTCTAAAAAATCTTTGCCTAATCCAAGATCACAAGATGTCTCTCTTAGGTCGACATTAGAGGAAGGAGATGAGGCGCCTAAGGCACAAAATTTAAGGAGGAACTCATGCTGAGGGTTGTGCAAGTCCCTGAGAATGAGGATGTCCTTATATTTTGCACCCTCAGTTCCTCACTTGTGTCACCCTATTCCTGGTCCTGTATTCTTGTTTTTTGTTTCCTAGAAATTTTTTATCATTTAATTTATTCAGTCATTAGTTGAGGATCAATTAGGTTGTTTCCAGTTTTTCCTATTTTAAATATTGCTGTTATAAACATTCATATACAAGTTTTGGTGTGGAGGTATGTTTTCATTTCTCTTAAGTATGTATCTAGGAGTGGAATTGCTCGTCATATGGTAACCGTAAGTTTAAATATTAGAGAAACTGCCAAACACTTTGTAAAAAATGTGACTGCATCATTTTGCATTCCTACCAGAAATGTCTGATATTTCCAATTTCTTCATATCCTTGCCAATAATATTTGTTATCTGACTTTTTTATTATAGCCCTCCCAGTGAGTCTGAATGGCATCTTCTTGTGGTTTTGGTTTGCATTTCCCTATTGACTAGTAATGCCAATCAATGTAATTAATATATCATATTAAGAAACAAAATGTAAAAAATATATTTTTAGTTTGTTTATTTCTGTCTATGATTTATTTTGAGTTGATTTTTAAATTTTATTTTTATTTTTATATTTTGGAGACAGGGTCTCACTCTGTTGCCCAAGCTGGAGTGCAGTGGTGTGATCATGGCTCACCACAGGATCGATCTCCTGCGCTCAAAGGATCCTCCCACCTCAGTATCCCAAGTAGCTGGGACTACAGGTGTGCCAACACAACCATCTAATTTTTGTATTTTTTGTAGAGATGGGGTTTAGCTATGTTGCCCAGCTTGGTCTTGAACTCCTGAGTTCAAGTAATACACTCACCTCAGCCTCCCAAAGTGTGGGGATCACAGAAATGAGCCACCGCTAGCCTTGAGTTGATTTTGTATATAGTATAAGGTATGGATTGAAGTTTATCTTTTTCTTCCATACAGATAGTCACATTTTCTAGCACCATTTATTGAAAAGACTACCATTTCTTCACTGAATTGCCTTTATAGCTTTATCAAAAATCAGTTAATAATTCATTTTTTCTGTATTTCTACATTTTGTCTGTTTGAAGGATCTATTTGTCTATTTTTATGTCAGTATCATACTATCTTCATGACTATAAATAAACCTTTAAATTGAGTAGTCTTAGCCACCAAGTTTATTCTCCTTTATCCAAGTTGTTTAGAATATTCTTGGTCCTCTGCATTTAAATAGGAATTTTGGAGTCAGTTTATCAGCTTAATGAAAGCAGTCTCATAGGATTTTGATTGGTATTGCATTGAATCTGTAGATCAATTCCGAGATTCTTTTGACCCACTAACAAGGTAAATCTCCACTTATTTATGTCTTTTTTATTATCTGTCAGCAACATATTATAGTTTTCAGTAATATTGCAGCTCTGCTGTCAGAATTATTTGTATTTCACATTTCTGATGCCTTTGTAAATGGTATTTTAAAAAATTTTAACTTATGATTACTCATTATTAGTATATAGAAATAAAAGTAAATTTTGGAAGTTGAATTTGTATATTATCAGTCATAATAGTTTTGTTTTGTAAAATTGGTTGGCTTTTCTACATTGATGACTGTGGTATCTGTGAATAAAGTCTTCCTTATTCCTTTGGGGTCTGCAATAAAGACTCACCTCTTATTTTTCTTGTCTTGGGGCACTAGCTGCAACCTTTAGTGCAGCGACACACAACAACACACATTTATTTTCTCACAGTTTCTGTGGGTAAGGAATCTAGGCATGGCTTAATGAGATATTCTGCTCTGGGTCTCAAAGGCTGCAATCAAGGTTTTGATTGATTATATTTTCATCTAGAGAATCAACTAGAAAAGAATCTGCTTCCAAAATCATTAAACTTGTTGGCCTAATTAATTTCCTTGCAACTGTATGACTAAAGGCCTTTGTTTCTTACCTTAGCTGGAGGTGTCCCCAAGGTCCTAGAGGCCACCTTCAGTTTTTTTTTCCCATGTGACTATCTCTATAGGCAGTTCATAACATGTTCGTCTGCTTCTTTAAAGCTAGCAGAAAATCTCTCTTACCAGTCTGGTAAGACTTTTATAACGCAATATAATGATAGGAGAGGCAGCTTATCATCTTTGCCGTATAACAGGACCTCACTAAAGGAGTAATATCCCATTACTCTTGTCGTATTCTACCAGTTAGAAGCAAATCACATGTGCCACCTAAACTCAAGGTGAGTGGATTACACAGGACATAAAAACAGGAAGTAGAGATCCTGGGAACCATATTCATATTTTCTCTGCCACATAAGAATCCTAAGATATGCCATTTCCTCCCTCCCAATTTTTTGAAAATGTCACGTATTTTACTTTTAATATGCTAAAACCCCAGTGGTTTTCCTTCTTTTGTGCATATCCATATTTATAGATACACACCTGAAGGGCTTCCTGTACAATTTGCTTAATGCAAAATGTAATTAGTGATTAATTCTTTCAGCTTTTTTGTATCCTAAAATGTTATTTTATCCCTTTTAAAAAAACACATTTTGGCTGGGTATGGAATTGTGGATTTACTTTGTCCTTCTTACAGTACTTTAAACATATCGTTTTACTGTCTTATAGCTTTCATGGTTTCTGAAAAGAAATTATCTATCATCCTTACCTGTCTTCCTCTACATGATGTGTCTTTTTTCTAGGCTCATTTTAAGAGTTTGTTTTCATGAATTACTGTGGTTAATTTTATTATGATGTGCTTAATGTATTTTTTTTCATCTTTGTTGTGCTTGGACATGCTAAAGTTACTGGATCTGTGGTTTTGTAGTTTTCACCAATTCTAGAAAGTTTTATACTATTATTTCTTCAAATATTTAGTTTTCTGTCTCTCTCTCCTCCTCTTCAGAGGCTCCAATCACATGTATATTAGGCTACTTTAAATTATCCCACAACTTAATGATGTTCCTCATTTTACTTCCATCTCTTTTCTCCCTGTATTTCATTTTGGAGAGTTTTGATTTCTATATCTTTATCTTTGTTTATCTTTTACTTTGAATGTCTGATATATTGTTATTCCCATTGACTGTATTTTTCACCTCAGACAATGTGGTTTACATCTCTGCAAGTTAGACTTGGATCTTTTTTGTATCTTCCATTTCTCCAGCTAACAGGTTCATTCAGTATTTCCTCTATCTTCTTGAACATGAGATACAGGCAAATTGACTATTTTAATGTTCTTATGTACTAATTTTCTCATCTGTGCCAGTTTTGTGTCTGTTCTGATTAGCTGAGTTTTCTCCTTATTATGAGTAGTGTTTTCCTGATGCATTGTTCATCTTGTAATTTTTTGGTTGGATGCCAGATGTGAATTTTGACTTGTAGGTGTTGTATATTTTGTATTCCTATAACTATTCGTGAGCTTTGCTCTAGGATGCAGCTAAATTACTTGAAAAAAGGCTGGTACTTAATGTCTTCCTTTTAAACTTCCAGGTAGACCAGAACAGCACTTAGTCTAGGGTTCATTTTCTTCACTACTCAGACAAGACCCTTCTGAGTATTCCTCTCTATGTCCCATGAATTATGAGGTCTTTCACTCTGGTGGTAGGTACATAAATTATTTTCTGCCTTATGTGAATATGAGGTACTATTTCTATAATCCCTTTGGGTTCTTACATGCACAAATCCATCAGCCCTGATCTAAGCAATGAATAAGGACACTCTGCAGATCTCCTCATTTCTTTATCTGTTTGACTCTCTCCTCTCAATTACTCTGCCCTGTGAACTTTAGCTACCTGGGATTCCTAGGACTTCTAGGTCTAACTCCTCAACTCAGAGAGAATGCCTGGATTCTGGGCAACACCTGGGTTTCTATCCTCTGCACTGCACCTTGGTACATCTTTCAGGCAGCAAGCTGGAACAATTGTTGGCTCATCTCATTCATTTTCTGTCTTTCAGGGATCACTGTCCTTTGTTGTATGACATTCAATGTCTTGAGAACCATTATTTCATATACATTGATTGTTTTTAGTCATGTCAAGTGGGATGGTAAATTTGCTCCCTGTTACTCCTTCCTGTTCAAAAGGAAAATCAGAAATATTTATTAATTTTACACTGTTTAGAAGATTTCTGGATATCTTTCTGTTGTTTATTTCTAATTTAATTCTGTGTGGTTATAGAACATACTTTGTCTGATTCAAATCCTTCAAATTAGTTGAAGTTTGTTTTACAAGTCAGAAATATGGTAGTATATCTTGGCAAGTGTTGCATGTGTACTTGAAACTGTTTTGCTGTTGTTGGGTGCTGTATTTTCTGTATATATTAAGACAAGTGGTTAATAGTATAACTCAAGTAATCTGTATACTGCACATATTTATTTCTCTGTGCTTGTAGAAAGAGTACTGAAATCTCCAACTATAAATGTGAATTTGTTTATTTTGTTTTAAGATTTGTATTTGCTTCATCTATTTTTGAAGCTCTGATGTTAGGTACACACACATTTAGAATTGTTGTTTCGTTAGTGAATTGACCCCTTCGTAAGTATACAAAGGCCCTTTTATCCCTGGTAATATTGCTAGTCTTAACATTAACATTATCTGACATTAATGTAGCCATTTTGGCTTTCCTTTTTTCATTTTTAAAAACAGCTTTATTGAGATATGATTCATATACCACAAAATTTATCCATTTGAAGTACACAATCTAATGGTTTAGAAAATTGATAGAGTTGTATAACCATCATCACTACCCAATTTTTAGAACATTTACCTCCCTTTTAAAAGAAAAGTCATACACCTTAGCAGTCATTCCCTATTCCTTCTTATCCTCAGCCCTAGGTAACACTAATCTAAGTTTTATCTCTATAAATTTGCCTATTGTGGACATTTCCTATAAAGGGAATCTTAAAATGTGTGACCTTTTGTGACTGGATTCTTTTACTGAACATATTTTCAAGGTTCATCCATGTTATAGTATGTATAAGTACTACATTCATTGTTTATTGGCATTACATATTCTATTTTATGGATATATCACATTTTACTAATCTCTTCATTAGCTGATTGGCATTTGGACTGTTTCCACTTTGGGCTGTTATGAGCAGTGCTACTATGAACATTTTTGTGCAGATATATGTTTGATTTCTCTTGAGTAAACACCTAGGAGAGGGATTTCTGGGTCAAACAGAAACTTCGTGATTAATATTTTGGAGAAATGTCACTCTGCTTTCCAAAGTAGCTGCACCATTTTCCCATCCCATCAACAATGTACGAGGAATTCAGCTTCTTCATGTTCTTGCCATTGTTCATTATTTTCTGTTTTCTTTTTACTATGGCCATTCTGGTGAGTGTGAAGTGGTATCTTATTGTGCTTTTGACTTCTATTTCCTTAATGATTCATGATATTAAGTATCTTTTCATGTGTTTAATGGCCATGTGTGCATCTTCTTTAGAAGAATGTCAATTCAGAGCATTTGTTCATTTTCATATTATGTCTGTGTGTCTCTTTGTTATTAAGATATGTGTTCTTTATAAATATTGAATACAAGTCTTTTATCAAAGATATAATTTTCAAATATGTTCTCCCATCTTATGGGTTGTGTGTTTACTTCCTTGATTTACTTCCTTGATTATATCCTTCACAGAGATAAATCCCACTTGGTCATGATGAATGATTTTTCTAGTGTATTGTCAAACTCGGCTTGCTAGTATTTTGTTGAAGATTTTTGTGTCACTATCAATCAGTGATATCGGCCTATAGTTTTCCTTTTTTGATGTGTCTTTATCTGGTTTTGGATCAAGGTAGTACTGGTCTAATGAAGTTCAATTTATGTTTTCTTTTGTCACTTGTACTGTGGTTTCATAGTCAAGGAACCACTGGTTAACACCAAACTCGTGAAAATTTACCTTTAAGTTTTCTTCTAATAATTTTATAGTCTCAAGTCTTATTATATTTACGTATATGATACATTTTGAGTTAATTTTTGTGTATGGTATGAGGCAGGGGTCAAATTTCACCATTTTCTTTGCCCATTGCCTTGTCTTGGCACTCTTGTTGAAATCAACTGACAATATGTGTAAGGTTTATTTCTGGATTCTCAATTCTATTTCATTTATTTATATGTATATCCCTACAAAAGAGCCAAACTCAAGGCCATAAACACATCAATCACCTCACAGTTTCCTCCTGCCATTGTTATTATTATTTTGTTGAGGGAGGTAAAAACACTTAACAAGCAGGGTATGGTGGCTCATGCCTGTAATCCCAGCACTTTCGGAGGCCAGAGGATTGCTTGAGCCCAGAAGTTTGAGATCACCCTAGGCAACATAGGGAGACCCCATCTCTATTGAAAAAAAATACAAATTATCTAGGCATAGTGGCACGTGCCTGTGATCCCAGATATTTGGGAGGCTGAGGTTGGAGGATCACTTGAGCCCAGGAGATCAAGGCTGCAGTGAGTCAGGATGGCACCAATGCACTCTAGCCCGGGTGACAGAGTGAGACTCCATAAAAAAAAAAAAGAAAAGAAAAGAAAAGAAAAGAAAAAGAAAGAAAGAAAGAAAGAAAGAAAGAAAGAAAGAAGAAAGAAAGAAAGAAAGAGAAAGAAAGAAAGAAACACTACCTTCTTTGCAATATAGTGTGGTGAGCTATGGGCACTATGCTGTATGGTAGATCTCCAGAACTTTTTTTTATCTTGCATAACTAAACCTTTGTACACTTGACCAACATCTTTCCATCCTGCCCCCACCTCAGCCCTTGGCAACTACCATTCTACTCTGTGATTCTATGAGTTTGACTATTTTAGATCCCACATATAAGTGAGATCATGTAGTATATGTTTTTCTGCGTTTGGGTTATTTCACTTAGCATAATGTTCTCCAAATCCATCCATGTTGTTACAAGTGGCAGGAATTCCTTAATTTTTAAGGCTGAATGGTATTTTTTTTGTGTTTATATACCACAATTTCTTTATTCATTCATTCATTGTTGGATAATTAGATTGGTTCCAAATCTTGGCTACTGTAAATAGTGCTACAATAAACATGGGAGTGCAAATATCTCTTCAAGATTCTGATTTCAATGCCTTTATATAACCAGACGTGGGATTACTGGATTCCATGGTGGTTCAATTTTCTATTTTTTGAGGAACCTCCATACTGCTGTCCATAATGGCTGCACCAATTTATGTACACAATTGTGTATACAATTTCACTTTTCTCCACATCCTTGCCAACACTTGTTAACGTTTGTTTTTTAATTAATAGCCATTCTAACAAGTGTAAGGTGATTTCTCATTGTGGTTTTGGTTTGCATTTCTCTAATGATTAGTGATGTTGAGCACTTTTTCATATGCCTGTAGGCCATTTGTATGTCTTCTTTTGAGATATATTGATTCAAGTTCTTTGTCCATTTTAAAATCAGGTTGTTATTATTTTTTGCCATTCAGTTGTATGAGTTCCTTGTATATATTTTTAAAATATTAACCCCTTAACAAATATACAGTTTGCAAATATTTTCTCCCATTGTGCAGACTGCCTTTTCATTTTGTTGATTGTTTCCTTTACTGTGCAGAGATTTTTAGCTTGATATGATCCCATTTGTTTGTTTCTGCTTTTGTTGCCTGTGCTTTCAGTATCATATTTTAAAAATAATTGCCAAGACGAACATTAAGGAACTTTTTCCTTATGTTTTCTTTTTCCTGATAGTTGTTCATCTTATATTTAAGTCTTTAATCCATTTGAGTTGAATTTTGTGTATGATATAAAGGTCCAATTAATTATTTTGTATGTGGATATCCAGTTTTCCCAGCATCATTTATTAAAGAAGCTATCCTTTCCTCATTTTGTATTCTTGGCACCCTCGTGAAAAATTAGTTGACTGTATATGTGTGGGTTTATTTCTGGGCTCTCTATTCTATTCCACTGGTCTATATGGCTGTTTTTATGCCATACCACTCTGTTTTGATTACTATAGCTTTGTAATATAATTTACAATCTGGAAGTGTGATGCCTGTAGCTTTGTTATTCTTGCTCAAGATTGCTTTGTCTATTTGGAGTCTTTTGCAGTTTCAAATGACTTATAGGGTTATTTCTTCTATGTTTTATTTTAAATGCTACTGGAGTTTTGGTAGGGATTACATTAAATCTGTGGATTTCTTTTCATAGCATGTACATTTTAACAATATTAACTCTTCCATGAACATGAGATATCTTTCCATTTACTTGTGTCTACTTCAATTTCTTTCATCAATGTTTCATAGTTATCAGTGTACAGGTCTTTCACCTCCTTGCTTAAATTTATACCTAAGTATTTTATTATTTTTAATGCTATTGTAAATGGATTTTTTTTCTTAAATTCTTATTTGGATAGTTCATTGTTACTGTGGAGAAACACAATTGACTTTTATATGTTGATTTTTACCTTGTAACTCTAGTAAGTTTGTTTACTAGTTCTAAGACTACTTTGGTGCAGTTTTTAGAGCCACATGCATGTGTGCATGCACACACACATATGGGATCATGTCATCTGCAAACAGAGACAATTTTACTTCTTCCTTTCCAAGCTGAATATTTTTTATTTCTTTTTCCTTGCCTAGTTACTTCAGCTGGAACATCCACTACTATGTTACATAGAAGTGGTGAGACTGGGTATCCTTGTTTTGTTCTTGATCTTAGAGGAAAAGCTTTCACCTTTGCACTGTCATGTATGATGTTACCTGTGGGTATGTCATATATGGTTTTTATTATACTGAGTTACATTCTTTATATACTTGATTTGTTGAGAGTTTTTACCATTAAAAGATACTGAATTTTGTCAAATGCTTGTTTCTGCATCTGTTAAGATGATCATGTGATTTTTATCCTACATTTTCCTAATGTGGTGTATCATATTTATTGGTTTGTATATGTTGAAGCATCCTTGTATCCCAGGTATAAATCTCACTTGATATGTTGTGTAATACTTTTAATGTGCTGTTGAATTTTGTTTACTGGTATTTTGTTGATGTTTGTATGTATGTTCACCCGGGATATTGGCCTGTAATTTTCTTTTTTGTAGTGTCCTTGTCTACCATTGGTACTAGGGTAATGCTAGCCTCAGAATGAGTTTGGAAGTGTTCAACTTTCTTCCATTCTGGGGGAAAATTTGAGAAAGATTGGCATTAATTCTTCTATAAATGTTCGATAAAATTCACCATTGAAGCCATGCAGCCCTGAATTTTTTTTTTTGGAAGATTTTTTATTATTGATTCTACCCTCTTGTAAGTTTCTAGAAATTTATTCATTTCTTCTAGGCTATACAATTTATTGGTGTATAATTGTTCAGAGTAGTCTTTTATGATTCTTTGTATTTCTGTAGTATCAGTTGTAATGTCCCCTCCTTCATTTCAACTTTATTTATTTGAGATCTCACTGTCTTTTTCTTAGTTTAGCTAAAGATCTGTCAATTTCATTTATGTTTTCAAAAAGGTAGTTTTTGTTTTTTATCTTTATTCTTATATTTATTTATTTAATTTTTAAAACAATTTTGTTGGTGCATAGTAGGTATACATATTTATGGAGTACATGACATATTTTGAATAGGCATGCAATGCATATAGTAATCACATCATGGAAAATGGGGTATCCAACCTTACAAACATTTATCTTTTGTGTTTCAAACAATCCAATTACACTCTTAGTTATTTTTAAAATGTACAATTAAATTATTGTTGACTATAGTCACCCTGTTGTGCTAGCAAATACTAGGTCTTATTCATTTATGCTAGATAATTTTTGTACCCATAAACCATTCCTACCTCTCCCCCAACCCCCACTTCCCTTTACAGCCTCTGGTAACCATTCTTCTACTCTCTATCTCCATGGGTAAAATTATTTTGATGTCTAGATTCCATAAATAAGTAAGAACATGTGATGTTTGTCTTTCGTGCCTGGCTTATTTCACTTAGAATAATAACCACTGGTTCCATCCATATCATTGGAAATGACTGAATACCATTATTTTTATGGCTGAGTGGTACTGCATTGTTTACATGTACCACATTTTCTTTATCCATTCATCTGTTGATGGACACTTAACTTGCCTCCAAATCTTGGCTATTGGGAACAGAGCTGCAACAAACATGGAAGTGCAGATATCTCTTTGACATACTGATTTCCTTTCTTTTGGGTATATATCCAGCAGTGGAATTGTAGGATCATATGGCAGCTCTATATTGGTTTTTTTGAGGAACCTCCAAACTGTTCTCCATAATGGATGTGTTAATTTACATTCCCACCAACAGCGTATGAGGGTTCCCTTTTCTCCACATCCTCACCAGCATTTGTTGTTGCCTATCTTTTTGATATAATAGATTTTAACTGGGGTGAGATGATATCTCACTGTAGCTTTGGTTTGCATTTCCCTGATAATCAGTGAAGTTGAGCACCTTTTCATATGCTGTTTGCCACCTGTATGTCTTCAGAAATGTCTATTCAAATATTTTGCCCACTTTTTACTCAAATCATTAGTTTTTTTCCCCTACAGAGTTGTTCGAGCTCCTTATATATTCTGATAATTAATCCCTTGTCAGATGAGTAGTTTGCAAATATTTTCTCCCATTTTGTGGGTTGTCTCTTCACTTTGGTGACTGTTTCCTTTGCTGTGTAGAAGCTTTTTAACTTGATGTGATCCCATTTGTCCATTTTTGCTTTGGTATCCTATGCTTGTGAGGTATTACTCAAGAAATCTTTGCCTAGAATGATGTCCCAGAGAATTTCCAGTTTTCTTGTAGTAATTCTACAGTTTGAGGTCTTAGATTTAAGACTTTAATACATTTGTATTTGATTTTTGTATATGGTGAGATATAGTGTGATACGGTCTGTCTAGTTTCATTCTTTTGCATATAGTTATGGATATCCAGTTTTTTCAACACCATTTATTTAAGAGACTATCCTTTCCCCAGTGTAGGTATGTGGATTTTTTTTCCGAGTTCTCTATTCTGTTCCATTGGTATATGTGCTTGTTTTTATCCCAGTACCATACTATTTTGGTTATTATTGCTTTATTAGTATAATTTGAAGTCCGATAATATGATTTCTCCAGTTTGTTCTTTTTGCTTAGGATAGCTTTGGCTATACTGGGTCTTTTGTGGTTCCATATAAATTTTAGGACAGTTTTTTTCTATTTCTGTGAAGAATATCATTGGTATTTTAATGGAGATTGCATTGAATCTGTAGGTTGCTTTAGGTAGTCTTGATAGAAATTTTAACAATAAGGATTCTTCCATTCAATGAATATAGAATATCTTTCCATTTTTTTGGTGTCCTCTACAATTTTGTCCACTGATGTTTTATAGTTTTTATGATAGAGATCTTTCACTTCTTAAGTTAATTCCTAGGTATTTCATTTTGTTTGTGGCTATTGTAAATGTGATTACTTTTTTATTTCTTTTTCAGATTGTTCACTGTTGGCCTATAGAAATACTACTGATATTTTGTTGCTGATTTTGTATCCTGCAACTTTACTGAAGTTGTTTATCTGTTCTAATAGTTTTTTGTGGAATCTTTAGGGTTTTTAAAAAAATATAAGATTATTTCATCTGCAAACAGGGATAATTTGAGTTCTTGCATTCCAATTTAGATGTCCCTTAGTTCTTTTACTTGTCTGATTGCTCTAGCTATGATGCCCAGTAACAGTGAGTAACAGTGAGTAACAGTAACAGTGAGTAAAAGTGGGTATCTTTGTCGTGTTCCAGATCTTAGAGGAAAGGCTTTCAGTTTTCCCCATTCAGTATGATACTAGCTGTGGGTCTGTCATATATGGCTGTCATTATGTTGAGGTACGTTCCGCTATGCCCAGCTTATTGAAAGTTTTTATCATGAAGGGCTGTTGAATTTTATCAAATGCTTTTTCAGCATTTGAAATGATCATATGGTTTTTATCCTTTGTTCTGTTGATATCACATTAATTTATTTGCGTATGCTAAAACATCCTTGAATGCAAGGGATAAATCCCACTTGGTCATGATGAATGATCTTTCTAATGTATTGTCAAATTCAGCTTGCTAGTATTTTGTTGAGGATTTTTGTGTCACTATTCATCAGTGATATCGGCCTATAGTTTCCCTTTTTTGATGTGTCTTTATCGGGTTTTGGATCAAGGTAGTACAGGTCTAATAGAATGAATTTGAAAGTATTCCCTCTTTTGCTATTTCTTGGAATAGCTTGAGTAGGACTGGTATTCATTCTTCTTTAAATGTTTGGTAGAATTAAGCACTGAAGCCATTGAGTACCGGGCTTTTCTGTACTGGAAAACTTTTTCTTAGGGCTTTGATCTCATTACTTGTTATTAGTCTGCTCAGGTTTTAGATTTCTTCATGGTTCAATCTTGGTAGGTTGTATGTGCCTAGGAATTTGTCCATTTCTTCTAGATTTTCCAATTTATTGGCCTGTAGTTGCTCAAAGTAGCCACTAATGATCCTTTTAATTTCTGCTGTATCAGTTGTAATGTCTCCTTTTTCATCTCTGATTTTATTTATTTGGGTCTTCTCTCTTTTTCTCTTAGTCTAGCTAAAAGGTTTGTCAATTTTGTTTAACTTTTCAAAAAAACACAACTTTTTGTTTCATTGATCTTTTGTATTGTTTTCTTCACTTCAATTTCATTTATTTCCCCCTCTGATCTTTATTATTTCTTTTCTTCACCAGTTTTGGGTTTGATTTGCTATTGCTTTCCTAGTTCTTTAAGAAGCATCACTACGTTGTTTATTTGGCATTTTTCTTTTTTAATGTAGGCACTTACAGCTATAAACTATTAGTACTGCTTTTGTTGTATCCCATAGGTTTTGGTATGTTTCGGTCCCATTATCATTAGATTCAAGAAAATTTTCAATTTCCTTCATAATTTCTTCATTGACTCATTTGTCATCCAGGAGCATATTGTTTAATTTTTTTGTATTTGTATAGTTTCCAAAATTACTCTTGTTATTGATTTCTAGTTTTGTTCCATTGTGGTCAGAGAAGATGCTTGATATTATTTCAATTTTCTAAAAATGTTTTATGACTTGTTTTGTGACCTAACATATGGTCTATGCTTGAAAATAATCCATGTGCTGAGGGAAAAAATGTGTATTCTGCAGCTGTTGAATGAAATGTTCTGTAAATATCCATTAGGTCCATTTGGTCTATAGTGCAGATTAAGTTTGATGTTTCTTTGTCAATTTTCTGAGTGCAAGATCCGTCCAATGTTGAAAGTAAGGTCTTGATGTCTCCAGTTCTCATTGTATTGGGGTCTGTTTGTCTCTTTAGCTCTAATAATATTGGCTTTATATATCTGAGTGCTCCAGTGTTGGGTGCATAAATATTTAAAATTGTCATATCCTCTTGCTGAATTGACCTGTTTCTCATTATATAGTGACCTTTTTTGTCTCTTCTTACAGTTTCTGTGTTGAAATCTATTTTGTCTAATATAAATATAGCTACTCCTGCTATTTTTTGGTTTCCATTGGCATGTAATATCTTTTTCCATCCCTTTATTTTCAGTCTTTGTGTTTCTTTATAGGTGAAGTATGTTTCTTGTAGGCAACAGACCACTGAGTCTTGGTTTTTCATCCATTCAGCCACTTTGTCTTTTGGTTGGAGAGTTTAGTCCATTTACAGTCAATGTTATTTTGATAAGTAAGGACTTAATCCTGCCATTTTATTTGTTTTATGATTGTTTTGTGGTTTTCTCTTCCTTCTTTCCTTTCTGTTTTTCTTTTAGTGAAAGTGATTTTCTATTGGAATATGATTTAGTTTTTTGCTTTTAATTTTTTTATATCTGTTGTAGGTTTTTTGGTTTGACGTTACCATGAGGCTTGCAAATACTATCTCATAACCCATTATTTTAAGGTGATAAAAACTCAACACTCATTGCATAAACAAACAAACAAGCAAAAAAAACCTGATAAAGACTCTATGCCTTAACTTAGCCCTCTGCTTTTTTAACTTTTTGTTGCTACTGTTTATCTCTTATTGTGCTATGTCTTGAAAACTTGTAGCTATTATTTTTTATTGGTTCATCTTTCAGTCTGTCTACTTAAAAGTAGTTTACACACCATAGTTGCTGTGTTATAATATTCTGTGTTTTTTGTGTACTTATCATTGCAAGTTAATTTTTATCTTCATATAATTTCTTACTGCTTATTAATTTCCTTTTCTTTCTGATCGAAGTACTATCTTTAGCATTGCCTATAGGACAGGTCTAGTGTTGATGAAATTCTTAGCTTTTCTTTGTCTGAGAAAGTCTTTATTTCTCCTTTATGTTTGAAGGATATTTTCACCAAATATGCTGTTCTAGGGTAAAAGATTTTTTTCCTTCATCTCTTTAAATATGTCATGCCACTCTCTCATGGCCTGTAAGATTTCCACTGAAAAGTTTGCTGTTAGACATACTTGAGCTCAATCATATGTTATTTGTTTCTTTTCTCTTGGTGCTTTTATTATTATATTATATATAATATATATTAATATATATATTAATATATATTATATTATTATTAAGAAAGAATCCTTTCTTTGTCCTTGTCATTTGGGAGTCTGATTATTAAATTCCTTGAAGTAGTCTTCTTTGGATTAAATGTGCTTGGTGTTCTATAACCTTCCTGTACTTGAGTGTTGTTATCTTTCTCTAGTTCTGGGGAGTTATGTGTTATTATCCTTTTGAATAATTTTCTAACCCTATCTCTTTCTCTACCTCCTCTTTAAGGCAAATAACTCTTAGATTTGCCTTTTTGAGGCTATTATCTAGATCCTGTAGGCATGCTTCATTGTTTTTTATTCTTTTATCTTTTTTCTCTCCTCTGTGTATTTTCAAATAGCCTGTCTTCATGATCACTGGTTCTTTATTCTTCTTGATCAATTCTGTGATTAAAAGACTCTGATACATCCTCAGTATGCCAATTGCATTTTTCAGCTCCAGAGTTTCTGCTTGATTCTTTTTAATTATTTCAATCTCTTCATTAAATGTATTTGATAGAGTTCTGAATTTCTTCTCTGTGTTATCTTCAATTTCTTTGAGTTTCCTCAAAACAATTACTTTGAATTCTCTGCCCAAAAGGTCACATATCTCTGTTTCTCCAGGGTTGGTCCCTGGTGCCTCATTTAGTTCATTTGGTGAGGTAATGTTTTCTTGTATCATCTTTATACTTGTAGATGTTCATCTGTGTTCGGTTACTGAAGAGTTAAGTATTTATTGTAGTTTTCACAGTCTCAGCTTGTTTGTACCCAACCTTATTGGGAAGGTTTTCCATATATTTGAAAGAATTTAGGAATTATGATCTAAGCTGTATCTGCTTTAGAGAATACCCCAAGCCCAGTAACACTGTGGTTCTTCTAGACTCATAGAGACACCACCTTGATGGTCTTGGACAAGATCCAGAATAATTCTCTGGATTACCAGAGATTCTTGTTCTCTTCCTTTACTTTCTCCCAAACAAACAGAATCTCTCTCTCTGTTCTGAGCCACCTGGAGCTGAGGGTAGTGTGACGCAAGCACTCCTGTGGTCACCACCACTAGAACTGTACTGGGTCAGATCTGAAGCCAGCACAGCACTGAGTCTCACCCAAGTCCTGCTGTAACCACTCACTGGCTACTGCCTATGTTTGCTGAAGGCCCTAGGGCTCTACAATCAGCAGGCACCAAAGCTAGCCAAGCCTGTGTCCTTCCTTTCAGGGTAGTGAGTTTCCTCAGGTGGGCCTAGGGGTGCCATTCAGGAGCCAGGAACTAGAGTCAAAAACCCTTGAAGGCTACCTGGTGTTCTGTTGTACTGCAGCTGAGCTGGCACTCAAATCACAAGATGTAGTCCTTCCCACTCTTCCCTCCCTTTACCAAAGGCAGAAGAAGCTTATTCCATGGCCACCCCCCATCTCAGGTCCATGAGGAGTACTGCCAAACTAATGCTGATATTCTCTTAAGGCCCAAGGCCTCTTCAGTCAGCTTGTGGTGAATGCTGCCTTGCCTGAGGCTCACCTTTCAGGACAGTGGACTTCCTTCTGGCCCAGGGCAGGTCCAAAAATGCCATTCAAGAGCCAAGTCCTGGAATCAGGGACCCAAAGAGCTTGCTTAGTGCTCTACCCTCTGTTTCCAAGCTGGTACCTAAGGTACAAGACAAAGTCTGCTTTACTTTTCCCTCTGCTTTTCTCAAGCAGAAGTAGTTTTGCCCCCATAGCCACCACAGATGGGAATGTGCTGAGTCTCACCTGAAGCCAGCACATCTCACACCTGACTCAGCACACCTGAGTCACACCCATAGTCCTTGACATAGGACCTGGGTATTGCTGCTGGTTATTCAGTGCCCAAGGACTCTTCAGTTAGCAGATGATGAATCCTGTCAGGACTGGGTCATTCCCTTTAAGGCAGTGGGTTCCCTTCTGACCCAGGGTGTGTCTAGAAATGTCATCTGCAAGCTAGAGCCTGGAAAGGAGGCCTTACAACTCTGCTGTGGCTTAGCTGGTATTCAAGATGCAAGACAAAGTCCTCCCTGCTCTTCCCTTCCCTCTTCTCAAGTGGAAGGAAGAGGGGTCTCTTTTGGAGCTTTGAGCTGTGCAGCTTGGGGTTAGGAGAAGGGTGATGCCAGCACTTCCTTAGCCATCCTGGCTGGTGTCTTAGTAGGTTGTGTGCCTCCCCCCTGCCACCAAGTACACTGGCTTTGGGACCAGTTCAGCACTAGGACTGACTCAGGAGTTGTAGTCCTTGTGGCCTAGACTACCTTTCAACTTTATTTAGGGCCTCAGAGCACTTTAGCTTGAGATGGCAAGACATGCCAGAACTCAAGTTCTGATGCTGGCATCGACAATTCCCCTCTGCTATGGCTGGTTAAATTCTCCCTCTATGGGCAGGAGTTAGCTAAGTTTGGTCTAGTTTTGCTTTCTCCTATAACAAGGGCAGCATTGAGTTCAATGCTTCATATTTGCTGGCTCTCCCTCTCTCCAACCCACAGAAACACTCTCTGCACCACACCACAACTGTTGGGAGATAAGGGAGGGATGGCATCGACGATTCAAGACTGTTTTTCCTACCTCTTCAGTGCCTTTCAGGGATATGAAGTTAAAACCAGGTACTGTGGGTAATGACCTGATTTTTGGCTCTTATGAAAGTGTTTTCTTTTCCATTTAGATAGTTGTTAAATTGGTGTCCTTGGTGGGGGAACAATCAGTGGAGTCTTCTATTTTGCCATCTTGCTCTGCCAGCAAAATCTTAACTTTTTTTCAATCTTTTAGATTATTTTGCTGGTCTCTATTTCATTTATTCCTGCACCAATCTTCATTATTTCCCTCCTCTTGCTAACTTTGGGTAAGAATATTGAAATTATATTATGTATCTTTTCTGACCACAATGTTATGTTTTTCCAAACCTCTTATGGACATCTCATTTCACAGCTTTTCCTTTGGAATTACAGTCAGCCCTCTGTATCCATGGGTCCAAATCCATGGATTCAACCAATCTGGATAAAAAATATTTAGAAAAAAATTCCACAAAGTTCCAAAAAGTAAAGCTTGACTTTACTGTGCATCAAGTATTACATTGAATCCACATGAATTAAGAAATCTGTAGGTATTATATTAACTATTATAAGTAATCTAGTGGTGATATAAATTATAAAGTATATGCAAATACTCCACCATTTCACATAGGAGACTTGAGCATCTGCGGATTTTGGTATCCACGGGGGTTCTGATAACCAAACCCCCACGGATACCAAGGGATGACTAAATTTGGTCTGCTTCTTGTTTTCGATTTCTATTATGGCTATCTCAGGCATCTGTTGTATTAAACAATTACCATTGATAGTTTTTGAGAAATGGCCCTAGATGTAAACCTGTTTGCATTGAGTGAGCCCTGAGTTATGCAGGTCACATGAAAACAAGTGCTAGGAGTAAAGGTTCCAGGGAACTATCAGACTGGTCAAATAATGACAATTCTCTGGGAATGATGTTTTTAGGGTGGACTAAATCTGTTCTGCCACTTTCCAAGTGGTTGATAGCCTGCTAGTTTTCATCTTTTTTGCAGGGATGTTTGTTTCTAGAATTACTGCATAGCTGGGGCAGGGGGATGGGATTAGGTTAAGTTAAAACCCCACAAAACTTGCTGTGCTTAGTGAGTCATTCAGTTTTCTTAAATAAATGTTTTTTGAATTGTTGTAAGCCTTTGGATAATTTCCAAACTATAAATTCTGAATTCAATGTTGATTATAACTTCCATTATTGATTCTGAATTCAGAAAATTTTGACTCTGATTATTTTTGTCTAAGTTCTTGTTGCTTTTATGGAGGCTTGGATGTATGAAAGTCCTAGCTTCATCATTCTCTCTGATCCATACTGTTAGCTTTTACATTTTGGGCTTTGCTCCATACTGAGTTAAGTTTTGTGTATGATATGAGGCAAGGATATTTTCTCATCCATATTATTATTCAGTTGACTTTGAATTTACATGTATATTTATATTATTTGAAATCAACTTTACTGACATTTGAGTTACATAGAATCAAATGAATCCACTTTACATGTTTAGTTTGATGACACAAATTAAACCATCCATTTAATCACTATTATACGGGAAGTTTCTATCACCCCAAAAAGAAAGTTTCCTTATGTTGCTTTGCAGTAAATCTTCTCCTACATCCAGTTATAAGCAGGCACTGTTCTGCTCTCTTTCTTTTTTTTTTTTTCTTTTTGAGACATAGTCTCACTCTGTAGGCCAGGCTGGAGTACAATGGCATGATCTCGGCTCACTGCAACCTCCGCCTCCCGGGTTCAAGTGATTCTCCTGCCTCAGCCTCCTGAGTAGCTGGGATTACAAGGATGCACCACCACACCCTGCTAATTTTTGTATTTTTAGTAGAGACAGGATTTCACCATATTGGTCAGGCTGGTCTCAAACTCCTGACTTTGTCATCTGCCCGCCTCAGCCTCCCAAAGTGCTGGGATTACAGGGATGAGCCACTGTGCCTGGCCACTGTTCTGCTTTCTATCACTATAGATTTATTTTTTTCTATTCTTGAATTTCATTAAATGGAATCAGACATTATATACATTTTTTTTTTTTTTTTTTTTTTGAGACGGAGTCTCGCTCTGTCGCCCAGGCTGGAGTGCAGTGGCGGGATCTCGGCTCACTGCAAGCTCCGCCTCCCGGGTTCACGCCATTCTCCTGCCTCAGCCTCCCAAGTAGCTGGGACTACAGGCGCCCGCCACTACGCCCGGCTAATTTTTTGTATTTTTAGTAGAGACGGGGTTTCACCGTTTTAGCCGGGATGGTCTTGATCTCCTGACCTCGTGATCCGCCCGCCTCGGCCTCCCAAAGTGCTGGGATTACAGGCGTGAGCCACCGCGCCCGGCCATATACATTTTTTTGTGTGAGCATGGTGAAAAGTTCAGCATACATTTTGAAATTTGTCCTTTTTTGTTAAGGTTATCAGTAGTTTATTCCTCCTTATTGCTGAGTAATATTTTGTTATATAAAGATACCACAATTTGTGTACTAATTTACAAGTTGGTTAACTTCTGAGTTGCTTCCAGTTTTTGGCTATTATGAATAAAGCCATGCATATTCATGTACTGGTCTTTTTGTGGTCATCAGCTTTCATTTATTTAAGGAAAATACTTAGTGAAAGAATTACTGGCTCATATGATAAGTAATGTGGCCCATCCCGGTTTGCCTGGGATAGTCTCAGATTTAGCCCTAAAAGTTTCATATCCCAGCAAAGCTTTCAGTCCTAAAAACCTGGGACAGTCGGTGACAGTAATATTCTGACTTTACAAGAAACTGCTCAACTCTCTTTTTTTTTTTTTCTTTCTTTCTTTTTTTTTTTTTTTTTTTCTGACGGTCTTCTTCTGTCACCCAGGCTGGAGTGCAGTGGTGTGATGCTGGTTCACTGCAGCCTCAAACTCCTGAGTTCAAGTAATCCTCCCACCTCAGCTTCCCAAGTGGCTGGGACCACAGGTGTTCCTCAACGTGCCTGGCTAATTTTTATTTTTATTATTTTTGTAGAGATGTGGTCTATCTATGTTGCCCAGGCTGGTCTTGAATTCTGGGCTCAAGTGATCCTCTTGTCTGGGCCTCCCAAAGTGTTGAAATTATAAGTGTGAACCACCGCTCCTGGCATGCCCAGCTCTTTTCTAAAGCGTTGGCACCATTTTGCATTTTCATAAAGAATGTATAAGAGAGTTCCAGTTACTCTATATCCTGAAAAACACAAGGCATTGACAATTTTTGTTTGTTTTGTCTTGTTTTTAAATTAAAACCGTACTGGCAGGTCTGAAGTGTTATGTCATTACAGTTTTAACTTGCATTTCATTGAGGATTAATGATTTTGAGCATTTCTGCTTATGAGTCATTTACATATGTTTCTTTGTAGAGTGTTTTTATTCATCCCTAAGATTTTAAATGTATTATTAGTAAAAGTCTTTTGTCAGATATGTATATTGCAAACATTTCCTTCCTATTTCTTGTCTTTCATTTCATTAATGGTGTTTTTCAGAAAACAAAGTTTTCAATTTTTAAAAAAGTTTTAGTTTCAGGGGTACATATGCAGGTTTGTTACATGGGTATACTGTGTGATGCTGAGGTTTGGGCTTCTAATAGTCCTGTCTCCCAAGTAGCGAACATAGTAAAAGTTTTCAATTTTAATAAACTACTAATGTATCATTTTTAAAATTTGTAGTGTTTCTTGTGTAAGAATGCTTTTCCTACCCTGAAATTGAATATATATGTTCCTATGTTTTATTCTACATGTTTCACAGTTTTAACATTCATCTTTAGGTCTATAATACATTTTGAATTAACTTAGTATATGGTGTTAGTTAAGACTTAATGTTCATTGGTTTCTTAAGGATATGATGGTTCCATCACTATTTCATGAAAAGACTACTTTTCCTCCACTGAATTCCTTTGGTGACTTTGTCTAAAATCTGTTGATCATACATATGTGGGTCTATCTTTGTAATTTTCTTCTATTCATCTATGTCTCTTTCATCAAACCAATGTTGCAGTATTTTGCTGACCATAGCTTTGAAATTATGTTGTGTATATTCTCCAAACTTGTTCTCCTTTTAAAAGACTGTTTTGGCTATTCTAAATTCTTAGCTTTTCTACATAAATTTGGGAATAAAAGTGTCAACTGCTATATCAACTCTACTGGCATTTAGATTGGGGTTATATATATCTACACACACATATATATGTATAGCAAGAGAGAGAGAGATTAACTTGCTGACGTAATTAAACTGACATCTTAATATTGAGTGACTCAGTTCATAAGCATGATCTATCTCTCCAATGATTTCAATATTCTTTATTTTCAGTCAGCAACATTTTATATTTTTCAGCATTTAGGATTTTTTATATATTTGGATAAATTTATCACTACATATTTCATGGTTTTTGATACTACTGGAAGTATTTTTAAAAATTTCAATTTCCAGTTGTATATTGTTCATGTATAGAAACTCACTTCCTCTTTGAATATTGACATTGTGACTGCATAGTATTGCATTAGGCGATATACCTAATGAATATTGACATTGTGTCCTGTGACTTTTCTAAATTGTATTTATTGGTTCTTTTAATGCTTTGAAAAGATTTCATATGATTATCTGTAAACAAAAGCATGTCTTCTCTAAGGGAAGAGTGTTTTCTTTATTTACAATATATATGCCTTTTATGAAGTATATTTTATTTTCTTATTGCACTGGATAGAAACTCCAAGAAAATTATGCACAGAAGTAGTGAAAGCAGACATCGTTGCCTTGGTCTCAATTTTAGAAAGATTTCAGCATTTTACCATTAAAATTATGTTAGCAATCAGTTTTTCTTAGATTCCCTTTATTAGGTTGATGAAAATCTCTTCTATTCCTAATTTACTGAAATTCTAAAAAATCACAAATATAGCTATATTTTTCACATGATATTTTCCTGTAGTTACTGAGATGACAACTTAGTTATTTCCTTTATTATGTAAATATGGTCAATTGCATTGATTGGTTTCCAAGTTTTAAACCATCTTTTTATACCCAGAGTAAACCCCACTTTTTCATGACATGTTATCTTTTTTACATATTTTTGAATTGAACTTGCTAATGTTGTTTAAAATTTCTTTTGAATATGTACTTGAGAAATATTGGTGCATATTTTTCTTCTGTTTGTCTGGTATTTGTTTCAGGATAACTTGTCTTTCTAAGAGAATTGAGAAATGCTCCTCTCTTTCCTATTTCCTGAAGTAATTTGAATAAACTTGGTATTATTTCTCATTTTAGGTTTTGATAGAATAAAAAGTTAAAGATATGAGGGTCTGGAGTTTTCTTTGGGAAGGAATTTTAATTTAAAATTCAATTTCTTAAACAGATATAGACCTATTGATATTTTTATTTTTTTATTATTTTAAAAATTTTGTGTCTTTCAACAAATTTGTCCAATTCATCTCAGTTTTTGAATTTGTTGAAATAGAATTAATATCTTGTTATCTTTTTAATATCTGCATTATCTGTAGTTACATTTCCTTTTTTAGTTCTGATACAATGTGTTTCTTTTTTCTTTATAATAACTAGTCTTGTAAGGATTTTATTAGTTACATTAATATTTTCAAAGAAACACCTTTTGTAGTTCCTTTTTGATGTTGTTGATTTTTATTTGTTGTTCGTGTCCTCTTTCATTGATTTCCAGTCTTATTTTTATTGTTTACTTCTTTATACTCACTTTGGGCTTAAATTGCTCTTTTTTCTTTTAGCCTTTTAAGTTAGAAGCCAGAATAATCAATTCTAAACATTTATTTTCAATTTAATCATTTAAAGCAATACATTTCTTTCTAAGATCTGTTTAAGTTATAGCCCACAAATTTTGATATGTTGTCTTTTTATCATCATCCACTTCAAAACTTTTTCTAGTTTTCCTTGTGATTTCTTTTTTGACTTATGAAATACTTAGTAGTGTGTTATTTTCCAAATATTCAGAAATTTTCTAGATACCGCTGTGTAATTGGTTTCCAATTTAATTCCATCATTAGATAACATACCGTGTATAATTTTGGTACTTACAAATTTATTGAGGCCTTTTAAATATTGCTTAGCATATAGTCTATATTTGGAAATGTTTCATGTGCATTTGAAATATATATTTTACAGTTCTAGGGTATAGTATTCTCTGAATATCCATTACAATAAGCTGGCTGATAGTGTTTTTCAAATCTTCCACAACATTACTGATTTCTGTCTACTTGTTCTATCAATTACTGAGAGTAATGTTGAAATCTCTGAATGTGCTTTGGATTTCTTCATTCTTCTCTTTAGTTCTTTAACTATTACTTCATGTATTTTGAAATTGTGCCACTAGGCACACACCATTTAACCACTCTTTATCCTTTGTTTTACTGTTTTAATCATGTCTACATTTTCTGACATTAATAGAGCCACTCCAGAGTTCTTATGCTTATTTGTGATGATGTTTTCTTTCATCTTTTTACTTTTAATTTATGTCTTCAAATTTGAAAGATAATTTTTGCTGACAGTATTATAATTGGGTTGTAATTTTTGCTAAACCTGATAATATCTGGCTTTTAATTTATGTGTTAGGTCTACTGTTATTGAATGTAATTATTAATATGGTTGACTTTAAGTATAGCCTCCCTCTCTTTGTTTTCTCTTTTCCCTTATTTTGTTTTCCTTTTTCTTGTTTTCAGCCTTCTTTTAGATGAATTGAATATCTCTTAGTATTGAAGTTGCACCACTATTGACTTAATGGCTATAACTTTTAAAAATATTTTTATGTCGTCATCCATGATTTACAATATTCATCCTTAATTTATTACAGTCTACTTCAAATAATTTTCTACCATTCTATATAAGATGTAAAGATCCTAGAACAATGTACAACCATTATCCACTCCATCCTTTGAATTACTGTCATATAATTTATTTCTACACATGCAATAAACTTTACAAGATGGTATTATTAATACTGAGTTAAACAGGCAATTATCTTTATAAAAAACAAACAGGAGAAAAGTTTTTTATGTATATCACATATTTACCATTTCCAGTGCCCTTCATTTCTTTATGTAGATTTTCATTTAACATTGGTTTTACTTTCTTTCAGTCTAAAAAACTTCATTTATTGTTTCCTGTAATACAGACATTTATTTTGTGTGAAAATTTTTATTTTGTCTTTATCGTTCAATTATATTTTAACTGGATAATGAATTCTGCTTTGAGAGTGTTATTTTCTTTCAGTACTTTCTTCCATTTCTGGCTTCCACAGTTTTTAATTATATTTTAAAAGCCATTTCTCTTTCTTTTCCGTCATGGATATATTATCTTTTTCTGTGGCTGAATTTAAAATTTTCTTTTTATCTTACTTATCGGTAATTTAATTATTATTTATTTTGATTTGGTTTTCTTTTTATTTATTTATTTTTAATTATTATTATACTTTAAGTTTTAGGGTACATGTGCACAACATGCAGGTTTGTTACATATGATTTGGTTTTCTTTATTTTTTCCTCTTCCTTTCTTTGTGTTCATTGAGTTTTGATGAGTTTATATTTTGAACAGATTTGGAATACTTTGTGTAATTATTCATTCAAATATTTTCCTGCCCCACCCTCCCTTTTGGGGGCTCAAATTTCACATAGGGTATTGCTTGATTTTTTTTTATTATACTTTAAGTTTTAGGGTACATGTACACAATGTGCAGGTTAGATACATATGTATACATGTGCCATGCTGGTGCGCTGCACCCACTAACTCGTCATCTAGCATTAGGTATATCTCCCAATGCTATCCCTCCCCCCTCCCCCCACCCCACCACAGTCCCCAGAGTGTGATGTTCCCCTTCCTGTGTCCATGTGTTCTCATTGTTCAATTCCCACCTATGAGTGAGAACACGCGGTGTTTGGATTTTTGTCCTTGCGATAGTTTACTGAGAATGATGATTTCCAATTTCATCCATGTCCCTACAAAGGACATGAACTCATCATTTTTTATGGCTGCATAGTATTCCATGGTGTATATGTGCCACATTTTCTTAATCCAGTCTATCATTGTTGGACATTTGGGTTGGTTCCAAGTCTTTGCTATTGTGAATAATGCCACAATAAACACACATGTGCATGTGTGTTTGTAGCAGCATGCTTTATAGTCCTTTGGGTATATACCCAGTAATGGGATGGCTGGGTCAAATGGTATTTCTAGTTCTAGATCCCTGAGGAATCGCCACACTGACTTCCACAATGGTTGAACTAGGTTACAGTCCCACCAACAGTGTAAAAGTGTTCCTATTTCTCCACATCCTCTCCACACCTGTTGTTTCCTGACTTTTTAATGATTGCCATGCTAACTGGTGTGAGACGGTATCTCATTGTGGTTTTGATTTGCATTTCTCTGATGGCCAGTGATGGTGAGCATTTTTTCATGTGTGTTTTGGCTGCATAAATGTCTTCTTTTGAGAAGTGTCTGTTCATGTCCTTTGCCCACTTTTTGATGGGGTTGTTTGTTTTTTTCTTGTAAATTTGTTTGAGTTCATTGTAGATTCTGGATATTAGCCCTTTGTCAGATGAGTAGGTTGCAAAAATTTTCTCCCATTTTGTAGGTTGCCTGTTCACTCTGATGGTGGTTTCTTTTGCTGTGCAGAAACTCTTTAGTTTAACTAGATCCCATTTGTCAATTTTGGCTTTTGTTGCCATTGCTTTTGGTGTTTTGGACATGAAGTCCTTGCCCATGCCTATGTCCTCAATGGTAAAGCCTAGGTTTTTCTCTAGGGTTTTCATGGTTTTAGGTCTAACATTTAAGTCTTTAATCCATCTTGAATTGATTTTTGTATAAGGTGTAAGGAAGGGATCCAGTTTCAGCTTTCTACATATGGCTAGCCAGTTTTCCCAGCACCATTTATTAAATAGGGAATCCTTTCCCCATTGCTTGTTTTTCTCAGGTTTGTCAAAGATCAGATAGTTGTAGATATGTGGCATTATTTCTGAGGGCTCTGTTCTGTTCCATTGATCTATATCTCTGTTTTGGTACAAGTACCATGCTGTTTTGGTTACTGTAGCCTTGTAGTATAGTTTGAAGTCAGGTAGCGTGATGCCTCCAGCTTTGTTCTTTTGGCTTAGGATTGATTTGGCAATGTGGGCTCTTTTTTGGTTCCATATGAACTTTAAAGTAGTTTTTTCCAATTCTGTGAAGAAAGTCATTGGTAGCTTGATGGGGATGGCATTGAATCTGTAAATTACCTTGGGCAGTATGGCCATTTTCACGATATTGATTCTGCCTACCCATGAGCATGGAATGTTCTTCCATTTGTATCCTCTTTTATTTCCTTGAGCAGTGGTTTGTAGTTCTCCTTGAAGAGGTCCTTCACATCCCTTGTAAGTTGGATTCCTAGGTATTTTATTCTCTTTGAAGCAATTGTGAATGGGAGTTCACTCATGATTTGGCTCTCTGTTTGTCTGTTGTTGGTGTATAAGAATGCTTGTGATTTTTGTACATTGATTTTGTATCCTGAGACTTTGCTGAAGTTGCTTATCAGCTTAAGGAGATTTTGGGCTGAGACAATGGGGTTTTCTAGATATACAGTCATGTCATCTGCAAACAGGGACAATTTGACTTCCTCTTTTCCTAATTGAATACCCTTTATTTCCTTCTCCTGCCTAATTGCCCTGGCCAGAACTTCCAACACTATGTTGAATAGGAGTGGTGAGAGAGGGCATCCCTGTCTTGTGCCAGTTTGCAAAGGGAATGCTTCCAGTTTTTGCCCATTCAGTATGATATTGGCTGTGGGTTTGTCATAGATAGCTCTTATTATTTTGGAATATGTCCCATCAATACCTAATTTATTGAGAGTTTTTAGCATGAAGGGTTGTTGAATTTTGTCAAAGGCTTTTTCTGCATCTATTGAGATAATCATGTGGTTTTTGTCTTTGGCTCTGTTTATATGCTGGATTACATTTATTGATTTGTGTATATTGAACCAGCCTTGCATCCCAGGGATGAAGCCCACTTGATCATGGTGGATAAGCTTTTTGATGTGCTGCTGGATTCGGTTTGCCAGTATTTTATTGAGGATTTTTGCATCAATGTTCATCAAGGATATTGGTCTAAAATTCTCTTTTTTGGTTGTGTCTCTGCCCGGCTTTGGTATCAGAATGATGCTGGCCTCATAAAATGAGTTAGGGAGGATTCCCTCTTTTTCTATTGATTGGAATAGTTTCAGAAGGAATGGTACCAGTTCCTCCTTGTACCTCTGGTAGAATTCGGCTGTGAATCCATCTGGTCCTGGACTCTTTTTGGTTGGTAAGCTATTGATTATTGCCACAATTTCAGATCCTGTTATTGGTCTATTCAGAGATTCAACTTCTTCCTGGTTTAGTCTTGGGAGAGTGTATGTGTCGAGGAATTTATCCATTTCTTCTAGATTTTCTAGTTTATTTGCATAGAGGTGTTTGTAGTATTCTCTGATGGTAGTTTGTGTTTCTGTGGGATCGCTGGTGATATCCCCTTTATCATTTTTTATTGCGTCTATTTGATTCTTCTCTCTTTTTTTCTTTATTAGTCTCACCAGAGGTTTATCAATTTTGTTGATCCTTTCATAAAACCAGCTCCTGGATTCATTAATTTTTTGAAGGGTTTTCTGTGTCTCTATTTCCTTCAGTTCTGCTCTGATTTTAGTTATTTCTTGCATTCTGCTAGCTTTTGAATGTGTTTGCTCTTGCTTTTCTAGTTCTTTTAATTGTGATGTTAGGGTGTCAATTTTGGATCTTTCCTGCTTTCTCTTGTGGGCATTTAGTGCTATAAATTTCCCTCTACACACTGCTTTGAATGTGTCCCAGAGATTCTGGTATGTTGTGTCTTTGTTCTCATTGGTTTCAAAGAACATCTTTATTTCTGCCTTCATTTCGTTATGTACCCAGTAGTCATTCAGGAGCAGGTTGTTCAGTTTCCATGTATTTGAGCGGTTTTGAGTGAGATTCTTAATCCTGAGTTCTAGTTTGATTGTACTGTGGTCTGAGAGATAGTTTATTATAATTTCTGTTCTTTTACATTTGCTGAGGAGAGCTTTACTTCCCAGTATGTGGTCAATTTTGGAATAGGTGTGGTGTGGTGCTGAAAAAAATGTATATTCTGTTGATTTGAGGTGGAGAGTTCTCTAGATGTCTATTAGGTCCGCTTGGTGCAGAGCTGAGTTCAATTCCTGGGTATCCTTATTGACTTTCTGTCTCGTTGATCTGTCTAATGTTGACAGTGGAGTGTTAAAGTCTCCCATTATTAATGTGTGGGAGTCTAAGTCTCTTTGTAGGTCACTCAGGACTTGCTTTATGAATCTGGGTGCTCCTGTATTGGGTGCATATATATTTAGGATAGTTAGCTCTTCTTGTTGAATTGATCCCTTTACCATTATGTAATGGCCTTCTTTGTCTCTTTTGATCTTTGTTGGTTGAAAGTCTGTTTTATCAGAGACTAGGATTGCAACCCCTGCCTTTTTTTGTTTTCCATTTGCTTGGTAGATCTTCCTCCATCCTTTTATTTTGAGCCTATGTGTGTCTCTGCACGTGAGATGGGTTTCCTGAATATAGCGCACTGATGGGTCTTGACTCTTTATCCAATTTGCCAGTCTGTGTCTTTTAATTGGAGCATTTAGTCCATTTACATTTAAAGTTAATATTGTTATGTGTGAATTTGATCCTGTCATGATGATGTTAGTTGGTTATTTTGCTCGTTAGTTGATGCAGTTTCTTCCTAGTCTCGATGGTCTTTACATTTTGGCATGATTTTGCCGCGGCTGGTACCGGTTGTTCCTTTCCATGTTTAGTGCTTCCTTCAGGAGCTCTTTTAGGGCAGGCCTGGTGGTGACAAAATCTCTCAGCATTTGCTTGTCTGTAAAGTATTTTATTTCTCCTTCACTTATGAAGCTTAGTTTGGCTGGATAGGAAATTCTGGGTTGAAAATTCTTTTCTTTAAGAATGTTGAATATTGGCCCCCACTCTCTTCTGGCTTGTAGGGTTTCTGCCGAGAGATCTGCTGTTAGTCTGATGGGCTTCCCTTTGAGGGTAACCCGACCTTTCCCTCCGGCTGCCCTTAACATTTTTTCTTTCATTTCAACTTTGGTGAATCTGACAATTATGTGTCTTGGAGTTGCTCTTCTCAAGGAGGATCTTTGTTGCGTTCTCTGTATTTCCTGAATCTGACCGTTGGCCTGCCTTGCTAGATTGGGGAAGTTCTCCTGGATAATATCCTGCAGAGTGTTTTCCAACTTGGTTCCATTCTCCCCGTCACTTTCAGGTACACCAATCAGACGTAGATTTGGTCTTTTCACATAGTCCCATATTTCTTGGAGGCTTCGCTCGTTTCTTTTTATTCTTTTTTCTCTAAACTTCCCTTCTCGCTTCATTTCATTCATTTCATCTTCCATCGCTGATACCCTTTCTTCCAGTTGATCGCATCGGCTCCTGAGGCTTCTGCATTCTTCACGTAGTTCTTGAGCCTTGGTTTTCAGCTCCATCAGCTCCTTTAAGCACTTCTCTCTATTGGTTATTCTAGTTGTACATTCTTCTAAATTTTTTTCAAAGTTTTCAACTTCTTTGCCTTTGGTTTGAATGTCCTCCCGTAGCTCGGAGTAATTTGATCGTCTGAAGCCTTCTTCTCTCAGCTCGTCAAAGTCATTCTCCGTCCAGCTTTGTTCTGTTGCTGGTGAGGAACTGCGTTCCTTTGGAGGAGGAGAGGTGCTCTGCTTTTTAGAGTTTCCAGTTTTTCTAGAGTTTCTGTTTTTTCCCCATCTTAGTGGTTTTATCTACTTTTGGTCTTTGATGATGGTGATGTACAGATGGGTTTTTGGTGTGGATGTCCTTTCCGTTTGTTAGTTTTCCTTCTAACAGACAGGACCCTCAGCTGCAGGTCTGTTGGAGTACCCGGCCTTGTGAGGTGTCAGTCTGCCGCTGCTGGGGGGTGCCTCCCAGTTAGGCTCCTCGGGGGTCAGGGGTCAGGGACCCACTTGAGGAGGCAGTCTGCCCGTTCTCAGATCTCCAGCTGCGTGCTGGGAGAACCACTGCTCTCTTCAAAGCTGTCAGACAGGGACATTTAAGTCTGCAGAGGTTACTGCTGTCTTTTTGTTTGTCTGTGCCCTGCCCCCAGAGGTGGAGCCTACAGAGGCAGGCAGGCCTCCTTGAGCTGTGGTGGGCCCCACCCAGTTCGAGCTTCCCAGCTGCTTTGTTTACCTAATCAAGCCTGGGCAATGTCGGGCGCCCCTCCCCCAGCCTCGCTGCCGCCTTGCAGTTTGATCTCAGACTGCTGTGCTAGCAATCAGTGAGACTCCGTGGGCGTAGGCCCCTCCGAGCCAGGTGTGGGATATAATCTCATGGTGCGCCGGTTTTTAAGCCCGTCGGAAAAGCGTATTCAGGTGGGAGTTACCCGATTTTCCAGGTGCCGTCTGTCACCTCTTTCTTTGACTAGGAAAGGGAACTCCCTGACCCCTTGCACTTCCCGAGTGAGGCAATGCCTCGCCCTGCTTCGGCTCGCACAGGGTGCACGCACCCACTGACCTGCGCCCACTGTCTGGCACCCCCTATTGAGATGAACCCGGTACCTCAGATGGAAATGCAGAAATCACCCATCTTCTGCATGGCTCACGCTGGGAGCTGTAGACTGGAGCTCTTCCTATTCGGCCATCTGGGCTCCTCCCCCCTGCTTGATGTATTTTTACTAGTCTTTGGAGTCTTGCTTAACCCTTCTTTAAGAATCATCTCACTAGATTCTTCCTGTGATATGACAGTTCATCACTGACTGTTGTCTTATATCTGAAAAGTTGCTTCATATGTTTCATCTAGTTTTCTAGTTTTTTATGGTGAGGGTACTAGACTTCTGCAGTTTACTCCTCACAGCTAGAATAGACATTACATTTTATTGTCTTTTTCCCATCTGTGTCTTTTAACAAGCAGAAATATTTTTATTTTGATTAAGTCCAATGTGTCATTTTAGAAATGTTATTTTACTCTTTTTTTGTCTCTTCTCTGTATAATTTTTTCCTACTCAATGTTTATGAAGTTCTTTTTCTGTGCTTTCTTCCATAAACTTTGTAGTCCTAGTTTTCCATATTTAGTTCTGTGCTCCATCTTGAATCAAGTTTTTTGGTGCGATATAGGGGTTATGGCTCATTTTTTTTCTATGTAGATTTCTGGCATCATTTGTTGAAATCTTTCTTTTCTGCATTGAGTTCCCTTTGTGCTATTTTGGAAAATGAGTTGCTTTTGTATATGCGGGTCTATTTATGTGCTTTCTATTCTGTTTTGTTAATACACTTGTTCATTCTTAGGCCTATACCATACTGTCTTATTTTCTGCAACTTTATGGTAAGACTTGAAATCTGGTAGGTTGAATCCTTCAACTTTGTTTCTTTATAAAAGTCTTTTTTGGCTATTTTAGTGTCTTTACTTTTCCATATAAATTTTAAATCAGCTTATCACTCTCTTCAACAAAACCTGATGGGATTTTGATTGTAATTATATTATATCTTTAGATCAATTTGGAAAGAATTAAAATCTTAATATTGAGACATATAATCAATGGCAATTTTTTCCCATTTATTTTAATTGTCTTTAATTTCTTTCACCAATGTGTTGTAATTTTTAAGTGTAAAGATATTGCATTTTTTAAATTAAACCTATTCCTAAGCATTTCATGATTTAAAAATCTCATTGTACATGGCATTTTTGATTCCCTTTTCTAATTTTTGGAAAAAATTGTTTTATGGCCTATATATATAAATGTGATTAATTTTCATTTATTCATTTTATACCCTACTCCCTTATAAATTCAATTAGTAGTTCTAGGGTTTTTTGTTGTTTTTGTTGTTGTAGCTTTCTTTGTAGATTCCACAGGATTTTCTGTACATACAATTATCTCATCTATGAATAATGACAGTTTTACTATTTTTTCTCCAATCTTTCAGATTTCTACTTTTTTTTGTGTTATTGAACCGGTTTGGACCTCCAGTACAATGTTGAATGTAAGTGATGAGAATTGATTTCATTGCTTTTCTCACACTTAGTTAAGAAGGCAATGAAGATATCACCATTAACGTCATGTTAACTGTAGGTTTTTGGTAGACGCCCTTTATCACATTGAGTAAGTTCCTGCATACATTGTTTAATGACAGGGGTACATTCTTGACGGGGATACATTCTGAGAAATGTGTCGTTACGTGATTTTTGTCATTGTGTGAACATCATAGAGTGTACTTACACAAACCTAAATGATATAGCCTACTATACACCTAAGCTCTACGGTGTTTTTCAGCTCCATTATCTACTGCTCTGAGGCTACAAAACTGTACATCATATTACTGTACTGAATACTACAGGCAATTGTAACACAATGTAAGTACTTGTGTATCTAAACATATCTAAGCATAGAAAAGGTATAGTAAAAATACAGTATAAAATATTTGAAAATAGTACTCACGTATAGGGCACTTGCCATGAATGGAGCTTGCAGGACTGGAAGTTGCTCTGAGTGAGTCAGTGAGTGGTGAATGTTAAAGCCTATGTCATTAATGTACACTACTGTAGACTTTATAAGCACTGTATACTTAGGCTGCAGCAACTTTATAAAAGAATATTTTCATTCAATAATAAATTAACCTTAGCTTACTGTCACATAATAATTTTTAACTTTTTGACTCTTTTGTAGTAACACAACTTAAAACACAAACACATGGTATAGCTGTACAAACATATTTTATATCCTTATTATATAATGTTCTTACTATTTTTATTTTTAAATATTTAAACATCTGTTAAAAATTAAGACACAAACACACACATAAGCCTAGGCTTACACAGGGTCAGGATCATCCATATTGCTGTCTTCCCCCTCCACATTTTGTCCCACTGGAAGGTCTTCAGGGACAATAACACATGGAGCTGTCATTTCCTATGATAAAAATGCCTTCTTCTGGAATACCTCCTGAAGGACCTGCCTGAGGATACTTTACAGTTAACTTTTTAAAAAAATATAAATAGAAGAAATACACTCTAAAATAGTGATAAAAATTATAGTAAATTCATAAGCCAGTAATATAGTCATTTATTATCATTATCAAATATTAGGTATTGTACATAATTGAATGTGCTAGACTTTTATATGACCTGCAGTGCAGTGAGTTTAGTTACACCACCATCACCATGAACAAATGAGTAATGTATTGTGCTATAGAATTTTTCAGCTCCATTATTATCTTATGGGGTCACTAGCATAGATAGGTATGTGGCTTGTTGTTGACCAAAACATTGTTACAAGGCACATGACTATACCTACTAGTTTTCTGAGAGCTTTTATAATGAATAGATTTTGAATTTTGTCGAATAGTTTTTCTCCACCTATTATGCATTCTTTTTCTCATTTTGTTCTGTTAATATGGCAAATTAAGACTGACATTGATACAATTCACTTATCTTACTCAGGTTTCCCCAGTATTACTTGCACTCACTTGTGTATGTGTGTACTTAGTTCTATAAAATTTTATCATGCTTTTAGGTTTCTGTATCCACTACCAGTCAAGATAAATAACAATTTCATCACAAGGGTACCTTCTATTATAGCTACAGCTGCCTCCCTCCTGCTATTTCTCTCATCCCTAACCCTTAACAACCACTAGTCTGTTCTTCATTAAAAAATATTTTGTTATGTATTTATTTATTTATTTATTTATTTTGAGACAGAGTCTCACTCTGTCGCCCAGGCTGGAGTAAAGTGGCTCAAGCAATCTTCCCACCTCAGCTCTCCTAGTAGCTGGGTCCACAGGCACACGCCACAATGTCTGGGATCTTAAATTTTTTTGTAGAGACAGGGTCTCCCTATTTTGCCCAGGGTGGTCTTGAACTCCTGACCTCAAGCCATCCCCCTGCCTTGACCTCCCAAAGAGCAGGGATTACACACATGAACCACTGTACCTGGCCCCAAAATGTTTTATAAGTGGAATCATAGGTATGTAATCTTATGGGATTGACAAGTTGTATGTATCAATAGTCTGTGCCTTTTTATTGCTGAGTATATTGTACCGCAGTTTTACTATTCACCTGTTGAAGAACACCTGGGTTGTTTCCGGTGTTTGACTATTATGAATAAAGCTGCTACGAATGTTATGTACTGGATTTGGGGTGAACATATGTTTTCATTTCTCTGAGTTAAATGCCAGGAAGTGCGATTGCTGGGTTGTATAGTTGCATGTTTAGTTTTATAAGCACCTGCCAAACTGTTTCCCAGAGTGACTGGGGTTGAACTGTGTTCTCCCAAAATTTATATGTTAAAGTCCTCACCCCTCATAACTCAGAATGTGACCTTACTTGGAGATAAGATCTTTACAGAGGAAATCAAGTTAAATAAGGTCATTAGGGTGAGCTCTAATCCAATATGACCAGTGTCCTTATCAAAAGGGGAAATTTGGATACAGAGACATGCATTGAAGGAAGATGATGTAAAGAGACACAGGGAGAAGATGACCATCTACAAGCCAAGGAGAGGGGCATGGAACGGATTCTTCCCTCACAGACCTCAGAAGGGACTAATCCTACTGACATCTTGATTTTGGACTTCTAGCATACAGAACTGTGAGACAAAAATTTTCTTTTGTTTAAGCCACCCATTTTGTGGTACTTTATTACAGCAGCACTAGCAAACTTATAGAGGCTATACAATTTTACATTTTCACCAGCAGTGTATAAGTGATCCAATTAATTCACGTCCTCACTAGAATTTTATGTTGTCACTGTATTAGTCTGTTCTCACACTGCTAATAAAGACATACAAGAGACTGGGTAATTTATAAAGAAAAAGAGGTTTAATGGATTCACTGCTCCACGTGGCTGGAGAGGCCTCACAATCATGGCAGAAAGTGAGGAGGAGCAAAGTCACAACTTACATGGTGGCAGGCAAGAGGGCATGTGCAGGGGAACTTCCCTTTTTAAAACCATCAGATCTCCTAAGACTTATCCACTATCACGAGAACAGCACAGGGAAAAACCCTCCCCCATGATTCAATTACCTCCCACTGGGTCCTCACACAACACGTGGGAATTGTGGGAGCTACAACTCAAGATGAGATTTAGGTGGGAACACAGCCAAACCATATTCGTCACTATATGTAATATTATACATAATTTAATATATAATTATATATGTATGTAACTTATGTATAATTATATATACATATAATCTTCTGTCTCTTAATATATATACATATAATATTATGTATAATTATATATACATCTAATTTTTTTCTTTTTAATATATATATTTTTATTATACTTTAAGTTCTAGGGTACATGTGCACAACATGCAGGTTTATTACATATATATACATGTGCCATGTTGGTGTGCTGCACCCATTAACTGGTCATTTACATTAGGTATATCTCCTAATGCTATCCCTTCCCCCTCCCCCCACCTCACAACAGGCCCTGGTGTGTGATGTTCCCCTTCCTGTGTCCAAGTGTTCTCATTGTTATATACATATAATTTTATTTTTTTAGGGATGGAATCTCGCTATGTTGCCCAGGCTGGAGTGCAGTGGCTATTCACAAGTATGATCCCACTACTTATCAGCATGAGAGTTTTGATCTGCTGTTTCCAATCTGGGCAGGTTATTCCTCTCCTTAGGCAACCTGGTGGTTTCCTTCTCCTGGGAGGTCCCCATGTTGAAGCTGAATACTGAACTTAGTGCAGACAACCAATCAGCATAGGGCACCTCAGCCCAGAACTCCTGGGCTCAAGCAATCCTCCTGCCTCAGGCTCCTGAGTAGCTGGGTCTACAGGTGTGTGCCATCACGTCCAGTTGTCACTATATTTTTATTTTTGCCATTCTGATAGATGTGCAGTGATATCTCACTGTAGTTTTAACTTACATTTCACCGATGGCTAATGATGTTGAATAGCTTTTAATGTGCTTATTTACCATCTGTATATTCTCCTCAGTGAAATGTCTGCTCATGTCCTCTGCTGGTTTTCTCATTGGATTTTTTAAATGTTGAGTTTTCAAAGTTTTTGTATGTTATAGATATTAGTTCTTTGTCAGATAGCTGGTTTGCAAATACTTCCTTCAAATCTATGCCTTATTTTCATGTTCTTCACCTGGGCTTTTGCAAAAGAGAATTTTTAATTTTGATGATGTCCAGTTTGTTAATTTATTATTTTATGCATTATGCTTTTGGTGTTAACTCTAAGAATTAATTCCCTAGCCCTAGATCTTGCAGTTTTCTCCTATGATTTTTATAGACGTCTTATAGGTTTATGTTTTAAATTTAAGTTAATGTTTGATTTAAATTTTACATAAGGTGTGAGGTTTGAATTTTCAGTTGAAGTTGTCTCTGTGTGTGTGTGTGCATGCGTGCACACATGTTTGTAATTCCAATTGCTCCAACACTATTTGTTAGAAGGACTATACTTGCTTTATTGAATTGTCTTCACATCTTTGTCAAAAATCAGCTGAGCATATTTGTGTGGGTCCATTTCAGAGTTTTCTATTCTGTTCATTAACCTAGAAAAGAAAACACCAACAAATCCAACCATATCCTATCTATAAGAGATGTAATTTAGATTCAATGATACATATAGGTTGAAGTAAAAGGATAGAAAATAACATACTTACAAATATCAACCATAAAATACCTGGAGTGGTGATACTAATATCGGAATAATAAATAAATTTGTTCTTATGACAGGATGTCCCTTTGTCACCCACGCTGGAATGCAGTGGTGTAATTGCAGCTCTCTGTGGCCTCAAACTCTTGGGCTCAAGGGATTCTACTGCCTCAGCCCCCCAAGTAGCTGGGACTACAGGCATGTGCCACCATGCCAGGCTAATTTTTAAAATTTGGAAAGATAAGTTCTCACTATGTTGCCTAGGCTTCTCTCAAACTACTGGCCTCAAGTTATCCTTCTTCCTCGGCCTGCCAACATGCTGGGATTATAGGCGTCAGCCACCGTGCCCATTCTAATATCAGAATTTAAACAGAATTTAATACAAAAAAGTGTCACCAGAGATAAGGAGGAATATTATATAATAATAAAATGGTCAACTCCTCAGGAAGATATAACATTTTTATATATTTATAGATAATTATTTTATATATTTATTTTACATATAATATATAGATATTATTTTATATGTTTATATATAATATATAGATAATATTTTATATATTTATTTTATATATAATATATAGATATTATTTTATATATTGATTTTATATATAATATATACATATTTTATATATTTATAGAGACATGTTTTATAGGCTAGCAAGGCTAGCATATGGTCTATGCTGGAGAAAGTTTCATCTGCGCTAGAGAACAATGGGCATTGGCTATTGCTGGGTAGAATGCTGCACAGATTTGTCTTAGGTCTAATTGGTCTGTCTGTTATTGAAAGTGAGATATTGAGGTCTCCCATGATTACTGGTGAATTTTCTGTTTGTCTCTTCATCTATTTTTGTTCCATTTATTTTTAGGAATATATATATATATATATTTTAGGAATATATTTAGGAATGTATTTAGGAAATATTTAGGATACATTTAGAATATATTTACGAATATATTTAGGAATATATATATGGAATATATATATGGAATATATATATGGAATATATATATGGAATATATATATGGAATATATATATGGAATATATATATGGAATATATATATGGAATATATATATGGAATATATATATACGGACTATATAGTTGGAATATATATACGGAATATATAGATGGAATATATATATACGGAATATATAGATGGTCTATATATAGATGGAATATATAGATGGACTATATAGATGGACTATGTACAGATGGAATATATAGATGGAATATATATAGATGGAATATATATAGATGGAATATATAGAGATGGAATATAGAGATGGAATATATAGAAATGGAATATATAGATGGAATATACATAGATGGAATATATAGATGGAATATATATAGAGGGAATAGATAGATGGAATATATATAGAGGGAATATAGATGGAATATATAGAGGGAATATATAGATGGAATATATATAGAGGGAATATATATACGGAATATATATACGGAATATATATGTATATGTATACGGAATATATATACGGAATATATGTATATGTATACGGAATATATATATACAGAATATATGTATATGTGTACGGAATATATATAGGGAATATATATATGTATACGGAATATATATACCGAATATATATATGTATACGGAATATATATGTGTATACGGAATATATATATACGGAATATATATGTATACGGAATATATATATACCAAATTTATATAAACGCGGACTATATATATATACAGAATTTATATATACGCGGAGTATATATATATGCGGAATTTATATATACACGGACTATATATATGGAATTTATATATACGCGGACTATATGTATATGCGGAACATATATACGCGGACTATATGTATATACGTTACATATATACGCGGACTATATGTATATACGGAACATATATACGCGTACTATATGTATATATGGAACATATGTACGTGGAATATATGTAGATACGGAACATATATACGCGGAATATATGTATATACGGAACATATACGCGGAATATATGTATATACGGAACATATACGCGAAATATATATATACACGGAATATATATATACACGGAATATATATATACACGGAATATATATATGTACGGACTATATATAGACACGGAATATATATATGTGCAGACTATATATAGACACGGAATATATATATGTGCGGACTATATATAGACACGGAATATATATATGTACGGACTATATTTAGACAGAATATATATATGTACGGACTATGTATATACACGGAATATATATATATGTACGGACTATATATATACACGGAATATATATATATGTACGGACTATATATATACACGGAATATATATATATCTACGGACTATATATATACACGGAATATATATATACACGGACTATATATATACATGGAATATATATATACACGGACTGTATATATACACGGAATATATATATATACGGACTGTATATATACACGAAATATATCTGTACGGAATACATACATACACGCAATATATCTGTACGGAATACATACATACACGGAATATATCTGTACGGAATACATACATACACGGAATATATCTGTACGGAATACATATATACACGGAATATATCTATACGGAATACATACATACACGGAATATATGTATACGGAATGCATACATACACGGAATTTATCTATATGGAATACATACATACACGGAATATATATATGGAATATACATATACGGAATATATATACGGAATATAGATACGGAATATATATATGGAATATATAGAGATGGAATATAGAGATATGGAATATATAGAGATGGAATATAGAGATATATGGAATATATAGAGATGGAATATAGATATATATGGAATATATAGAGATGGAATATAGATATATATGGAATATATAGAGATGGAATATAGATATATATGGAATATATAGAGATGGAATATAGATATATATGGAATATATAGAGATGGAATATAGATATATATGGAATATATAGAGATGGAATATAGATATATATGGAATATATAGAGATGGAATATAGATATATATGGAATATATAGAGATGGAATATAGATATATATGGAATATATAGAGATGGAATATATAGAGATGGAATATAGATATATATGGAATATATAGAGATGGACTATATAGATATATGGAATATATTTATGGAATATAGATATGGAATATATATATGGAATACATGTATATGGAATATATATATGGAATACATGTATATGGAATATATATATGGAATATATATGGAAAAAATATACATATATGGAGTATATATTGAAAAAATATATGGAATATATATGTATATATAAAAAATATATGGAATATATATGTATATATGGAAAATATATATATATGGAATGTATATATATATATTCCTAAAAATAAATGAAACAAAAACAGATGAAGAGACAAATAGAAAATTCACCAATAATCATGGGAGACTTCAATATCTCACTTTCAATAACGGACAGACCAATTAGACCTAAGACAAATCTGTGCAACATTCCACCCAGTAATAGCCAATGCTCATTTTTCTGTAGCGCACATGAAACTTTCTCCAGCATAGACCATATGCTAGCCTTGCTAGCCTGTAAAACATGTCTCTATAAATTTAAAATTACTGAAGCCATACAAAATATAATCTATGACCAAAATGGAATGAAATTGGAAATCTATAACAGAATTAAAAATGGTAAATTTACAAATATGTACTTCTAGCTCATCTCCCCAAGAAGTATCATTGAGCTACCAGCCTTCTCTTAACTTGTCACCACCAAAATTGTTTTCAACAATACCTTAAGTTTGAATTTCCTTACACACTTTAAAAAATAAAGCCAGTTCCCTTAGTCTGAGCTGTAGAGTTCTGCTATTTTATGTCTTGCCTTTTCCCTTGGGCAGAATTTCTGTGCTATTGCAAGGGAGCCTGGGGTAAGGATAGCAGCATGCTTCTCCTAGAGTGACACCCCAGCTCTAGGAGCAGTGATCGGGTTTTGAAGGTAGTCCCTGGTCTTTTCTACTTGAAATGTGCAACCTCTACCCTTCTAGAGACCTAGGTCAGGTGTGTTCAGGGCAGAGTATACTATGCCTGCTCTGACTGAAGTAAAACTTCCACCCCATAAGTAGGCATTGAGTCGGGGGAAGGAAGACTGGCCTGCTGTAACTGCCCAGAATAGAACTTCTGCAATATGGAACTTGGGGTGATGACTGATGCTGGTGGCCTGCCTCACATAGGGTACAACTGTAACCCTAGATTGGGAGCTAGGTAGAGAGGGAGCCCATCTTCTTAATTGCAGATGCCTGGAGTAGAATTTCCATCACAGTGAGCTGGTAGTGATGGGGATATAAACATGCCAAGGCTCAAGTGTCACGGATTCTCATTGCTCTTACAGAGAGTTAGATAATTTTCTTGATTAGATGTTTTTCTATTTGCTTTAGGCTCTTAGGACAATTTCCAAATACTTTAAATGTTTTTTCAAAAAATAATTTGCAGCAGTAAAATGGTTGTTTTGCTGGGGAGAATGTCCACTGTGCACTTAAGCAGCCATTCTGGAAGTTCATCCAGGGTTGATTTTTTTTCCATAGATATATTCACTTGACTCAGAACTATACTGAACGAACCATTATTTCTCCAAAGTACTGCAGTGTTTTCTTGTTATAAATCAGATGACAGTATATGTGTGGGTTTAATTCTGGACTCTAGATTTTGTTCCATTAATTAGTTTGATTATCCTTTTGCCAATACTATGCCCTCTCAATTACTATTCCTTTATAATAGGGATTTTTATCTGGTAGTAAATTCCTCTTGTTTGGTCCTTTTCTATGAAATACCCATTATTCTTGACCCTTTGCATTTTCTTATAAATTGTAGAATCACCTAGTAAATTATCCAAAAACATACTGGGATTTTCACTGCGACTCTGTTGAATCTATATTAATTAAAGAAGATTTTACATCTCTTTGTTTTGAGATTTTACATCTTAGCAATATTTAGTCGTATGATCCATAATATAGTCTCTCTCTCCATTTATTTATGTCTTTTTTTCTCGAAATGTGATAAGTTTCAGCATAAATTTTTTTCATGCCTGTTATCAGATAAATTTCTAGGCATTTGATTTATTTGATTTGTTAATAGTGTCTGTATCAGTCAGGGTTCCACCAGAGAAATATATATACCATATACACACACATATACACTGTATGTATACTTTCTCTCTCTCTCTCTCTCTATATATATATAGATAGATAGATAGATAGATATAGAGAGAGAGAAGGGGAAGGGAGGGAGATCTATCTACCTATCTATCTATGTGTCTAAGTTATTCTCCTTTACTTAAAGTCAGCTGATTATACATGTTAATCACATATATGTAATACATTCACATCAATACCCAGATTTGTGTTTGATTGAATAGTTGGAGACTATAGCCTAGATAAAGTGGACATATAGAAATTACCATCACAATGCCGTTTCTTTATGAAAATTGGACCATTCAGATTTCCTATATATTATTCTTTCCTCACAGTATTCTAAGGTTAAATTTTACTGTTGTTTTCTAACTTCTTGAAATGTAAAAGTCCAAATTATTGATTTAGTTCTGTATTGATTTAGTTCTAGTCTTTCTTCAGTTCTATAGATGAGATTTCACACTTATAAAATTTCTTCTAATATCTACTAAAGCTGCATATCAGAAATTGCAATATATTCATTATATTCTACTTCGAAATGTTTTCTACTTTTACTTGTGATATCTTCCTTGATCCATTGACTATTTCATAGTACATTGTATAATTCACAGGAAATTTAGAATTTTGTATTTATTATTTTGTTGTTGGTTTCTAGATTACATCCACTGAATCAAGACGATACTCTGAATGATTTCAATCTTTATAAACTTGTCAAGGCTTTCTTTGTTGCCAAGCATGTGATCAATTTTGTTAAATGCTCCCCACATACTTTAAAAGAAAATGAGTCCTGCTATTGTTGCGTGTAGTGCTGTATGCGTTATAATTAGGTCACGTTTCATCATGTTCATCAAAATTCCTTGCCCTTACTCTTTTTTTGTGTGTGTAAGTGTTTTATTGATTTCTTTCTCTAGTATTTTTGGATGGAGCGCTTGTCCATACAACTAGGAAGTAGAAGTCCCTACATTCCCTGGAATCAAATACCATATATACAGTGTCAGCTCCCAAATAGATTTCAAATGCAGATCTTTCACTTCAATTAAGGCTCATATATTTAAGTGTTCACTAAATATTTACATATGTCTCAGACACTTCACATTTATGTTAAAACTAAAATCATCATCTTTCCCCTAAATTATCCTTATTTTTCCATCTTACCAATAGAATTGTCATTGATTAAGTTGCTCATAAAGAACAAAATGAGAGTATTATCATTAGAGTCCATTCCTGATGTCTCATAGCACATCCAGAAAGTCACGAAGTCCTTTACCACATTCATTTATCAGAACTAGGAGCTTTTTGGGTTAGTCTTTAGGGTTTTCTAGGTGTACGATCATATCATCAGCAAACAGCAACAGTTTGACTTCCTCTTTACCGATTTGGATGCCCTTTGTTTCTTTCTCTTGTCTGATTGCTCTGGCTAGGACTTCCAGTACTACACTGAATAGAAGTGGTTAAGGTGGGCATGCTTGTCTTGTTGCAGTTCTCAGGGAGAATGCTTTCAACTTTTCCCCATTCAGTATAATGTTGGCTGTGAGTTTGTTATAGATGGCTTTTCTTACCTTAAGGTATGTCCCTTCTATGCTGATTTTGCAGAGGGTTTTAATCATAAAGGGATGCTGGATTTTGTCAAATGCTTTTTCTGCATTGGTAAAGTTTCAGGATGAAAATAACTGTACACAAATCAGTAGCACTGCTATACACCAACAGTGACCAAGCTGAGAATCAAATTAAGAACTCAACCTCTTTTACAACAGCTGCAAAAAAGTAAAATACCTAGGAATATACCTAACCAAGGAGGTGAAAGACCTCTACAAGGAAAACTACAAAACACTGCTGAAAGAAATCATAGGTGGCATAAACAAGTGGAAACACATCCCATGTTCATGGATGGGTAGAATCAATATTGTGAAAATGACCATACTGCCAAAAGCAATCTATAAATTCAATGTAATTTCCATCAAAATACCGTCATCATTCTTCACAGAAGTAGAAAAACAATCTTGAAATTCATATGGAACCAAAAAAGAGCCCGCATGGCCAAAGCAAGACTAAACAAAAATAACAAATCTGGAGGCAACACGTTACCTGACTTCAAACTATACTACAAGGCTATATTTACCAAAACAGCATGGTACTGGTATAAAACAGGCATGTAGACCAATGGAACAAAATAGAGGACCCAGAAATAAAGCCAAATACTTACAGCCAATTGATCTTTGACAAAGCAAACAAAAACGTAAATTGGGAAAAGGGCACCCTATTCAACAAATGGTTCTGGGATAATTGGCAAGCCTCATGTAGAAGAATGAAATTGGATCCTCATCTCCTACTTTATACAAAAATTAACTCGTGATAGATCAAAAACTTAAACCTAAGACCCGAAACCATAAATATTCTAGAATATAACATCAGAAAAACTCTTCTAGACATTGGTTTAGGCAAAGAGTTCATGACAAAGAACTCAAAAGCAAATGCAATAAAAACAAAGATAAATACATGGGACTTAATTAAACTAAAAAGCTTCTGCACAGCAAAAGAAACAATCAGCAGAGTAAACAGACAACCCACAGAGTGGGAGAAAATATTCGCAAACTGTGCATCCACCAAAGGACTAATATCCAGAATCTACAAGGATCTCAAACAAATCAACAAGAATAAAACAAATTGTCTCATCAAAAACTGGGGTAAGGAGATAGACAATTCTCAAAAGAAGATATTTAAATGGCCAAAAACCCCATGATAAAAAATGCTCAATATCACTAATTATCAGGGAAATGCAAATCACACCCACAAGGTGATACCACCTTATTCCTGCAAGACTGGCTAAAATTTTAAAAAATCAAAAAATAATAGACGTTGGTGTGAATGTGATGAAAAGGGAAAACTTTTACACTGCTGGTGGGAATGTAAGCTAGTACAACCACTATGGAAAATAGTATGGAGATTCCTTAAAGAATGAAAAGTAGAACTACCATTTGATCCAGCAATCCCACTACTGGGTATCTACCCAGAGGAAAAAAGTCCTTATGTGAAAAAGACACTTGTTCATCCATGTTTATAGCAGCACAATTTGCAATTGCAAAAATATGGAACCAGCCTAAATTCCTGTGAACCAATAAGTAGATAAAGAAAATGTGCCTAGTTGATGGGTTTATCTGTGAGGCAAACCATCATGGCACATGTTTACCTATGTAACAAACCTGCACATCCTGCACATGTACAGTGGAACTTAAAATAAAAGTTGAAGAAAACAAAGAAAATGTGCTATATGTATATACCATAGAATACTACTTAGCCATATAAAGGAATAAAATAATGGCATTTGCAGCAACCTGGATGGAGTTGGAGACCATTATTCTAAGTGAAGTAACTCAGGAATGGAAAACCAAACATCGTATGTTCTCACTTATAAGTGGGAGCTAAGCTATGAGGATGCAAAGGCATAAGAATGATGTAATGGAGGCCGGGCACGGTGGCTTCTGCTTGTATTCCCAGTACTTTGGGAAGCCAAGGAGGGTAGATCATTTGAGGTCAGGAATTCGAGACTGGCCTAGCCAACATGGTGAAACCCCTTCTCTGCAAAACATACAAAAATTAGCTGCGTGTAGTCACGTGCCTGTAGTCCCAGCTACTGGTGAGGCTGAGGCAGGAGAATCGCTTGAACCTGGGAGGCAGAGGTTGCAGTAAGCAGAGATTGTGCCATTGCATTCCAGCCTGGGTGACAGAGCGAGATTCCATCTCAGAAAAAAAAAAAAAGAAGAAGAAGAGGAAGAATGATATAATGGATTCTGGGGACTCGGATGGAACGGTGGGAGTTGGAGGCGGGATAAAAGACTACACATTGGGTACAGTGTACACTGCTCGAGTGATGGGTGCACCAAAATCTCAGAAACATCACTAAAGAACTTCTCCATGTAACCATAAACCACTTGTTCTTCCAAAACTATTGAAATAATAGAAAAATAAAAACTTTTAAAAGAAAGTCACAAAGTCTTTAGATTCTACCTTGTTGACATCTCTCTGATCCATCTGTTCTCTATCCTCACTGATATTGCTCCATCATCCCCTGTTTGAACCCTTTCAATAACTTCTAATTGACCTTCCTGCCTTCAGTCTTGTTCTCTTTAATTTGCCCTCCATGCAACTGCCAGGGTTATCTTTATAAATCATAAATCTAACTCATTATTTCTCTGCTTAACATACTTAAATTGCTTCCTATTACCTGCAAGATGCATTTCAAACATCTAACTTTTGCAACAAGGTTATTTTTTTCATGGAGTGTCCTCTTGTATTTCATCTCACCCCTCTGTCCACTTAGAGAACATCTTTTCCATTTTGTAAGAATGAGTTCAAGTGTCAAGTTCTCTGCCCACCCTCCACTAGAATCGAATGTTTCCGCCATTGTTCCCTTACTATGTACAATATGGTCTTCTATTACAGACCGCCTAAAAATTTATTTTACTTGCTTTTATATGTCTGTGTCACTGACCCACACACCCAGACGCTGAACAATTCAACATCAAGAACTCTGTTTCGTCTTTAAGAACAATTCAACATCAAGAACTCTGTTTCATCTTTAAAATCAGTATTGAACTTGGCAGATACTAGACACATAATAAATGTTGGCTGACTGAGTAAATAGCAATAAAAAAACTATATACAATTTGTTATATTTTCACTCTTTCATGTTAAAAATCTTATAAATGTTAACAATCTTAATTTATTAATCTGATCATCTCCTATATTTGATCAGAAATAACCTTATTTTGTGAATAGCTGTGTTCTGTCTGTGAAGTTCTGAGTGCTGTAGGCTATGTCTGGTATTTCAGTTAATCAATTAAGCTACTGTAGGAATAAGTGAGAGGATAAATGATTTAGACAGAATCTTTAATGTGACATACCTCATGAGAACTGCTTCTTCACTGTACGATGTAGCAGAGCAGAGAGACTAATAACAGCCACATAGGATGATCCTGAGAATAACTTTCCTTAGAAATCTCACAGGCTAGACTCGTTGTCTTCCCAAAACCCATTCCCCTTTTCCATTCTGTGTCATAGTGAGTGGCATCACTATTCATGCAGTTGCAAAATCAAACACCTTACGGTCATTTTAAAACTTTCTCCTTTTTGTCATCCTACATCCCCGAATCCATCACCAAGTCCTATTGATCTTCCTCTAAAATATATCCCAAATCTGTCCATTTCATTTTATTTTCACTGCCACCATCCTCATTCAAGGTACCATTATATAAGTCCTTACCATAGTGCTGTAGATTTCGTTCTCTCCTGTCTCACCAATAGACTATGAGCTCCCCAAGGGCAATGGATATTTCTGATGCTCTATCCTTCTGGGAACATGTTGCCCTCAAATATGAAAATGGGTATAATAGTTAATATATAATTTAATATAGTATATTTCTCCCAATTATCATATTTGTATTTTAACAGACGCCTTCTAGAGACAGTGCTTTAGGACAATGTTTTCCAAATGGCAGTCTGTGGAACACTTGTCAGACCAGGTTAAATAACTGGGGAAGCTGCAAATTTTATCTCCTTGGATAATTATATCCCCATTTATGATGTTAAAGGTTTTGAAACATACTGCAATAAAGCATACAGTTTCACTCTATATAGCCTAGCATTTTACACACTTATTTAATCAGAGAACCTCCTTTTTCATGGCATATTTGTTAATGTTCTGCTGAATGATGTATTTTAAACACAGTCCATAAAACGACTTATAAGACCAACTTCAGACACCAGCTGTGCAATGTAGGACAGTTTATAAAGGGCAGGAGGGGATTCGGTTAGTCCTAACATCATCTTGGAAGGTTAAAGATGTCTCCCAAATGATTTCAACAACCCCTTAATAGCTTGATATAGCTATGGGATCCAAGGACCAACTCCTTAATCTGTTCAGTGTTGTTTTAGCCCAGAGTATCTGAGCACCCTCAGTAACTTTACACAATATATTTTTGGGAATGCTATGTGATCCATCTGTTTCTTTTTTATCCCATAAAAATAAAGTCCTCTTAAAATTGCTATTCTTACTGCTGTTCATTAGTTATGTTTGATTATTTTTCCCTGGATAGAATGAAAATCTTTTGAATTGCATCTATTAATTGTCTTTCTGCAACTTGGCATTCCTTAGGGAAAAACATTCCTTACCTCATAAGAGGGTTGTGGTTTACGTGTGTGTTTGTGTGTGTGTGTGGAGGCGGGTGGTGAGCGGAGATATTGGTTTGTAAATTTAGCATCTTTACCCTCTGTGAAAATCACAACACTACTTCAGGTTGGGAGCATTCCTGGCCCATGGATAACACTTAAAGGTCACGTGTCTCTGACCAATCCTTACAAGTCATCACTGACCCAATGCCATGCATATCTTGCCACACTATCTTCCCGCCCTGTCTTTTACAACTGTCCTCTATACCCCCTTAGAAGACCACTGGCATCACATCTGTCTTCATAGTGGAGCCCTCCTGGCAGCTTTATTACCCACCTCCTATGTTCCAGGCACTGTCCAAGGTACTGTGATTGACAATTGAGAATGAAACGGTACCTGTCCCTGCTTTCCCAGAGCTCACTCAGTTCAGATTTTGAATGTCTCTCTCTTCACTGCCTCTCTTTCTCTTCAGCTTTAAAAAGTGCCCAGGAGTCTCTCATATTGAGAATGCCAGTTGTCCTCTCAATGACCATCTCATCTCTTACCTTGCACTGCCTGAATCCTTTTCCCACAATTTGTAAAATAATCTTTCTAAAGCACAGATTTGATTAGTACTTATTCTAGCTTAAAAACCTCCTTTGATTCCCCACCATCTACAAGCTCAAACCCAACTTCTTAGTAAGGCACACGAGACCTTTCACAATATGGCAGCAGTTTGGTCTCTTGATCTAATTTCCCGAAAATCCACATTACAAACCCTGTGCTCAGGAATGAGACTAGAGTGAAGCACCTAGGATATGACTCTAAAAGTGAGTATCTCCTTAAATTTGTGTGCCCTAATTTCTTCACTCAACTGCCCTAGTCCTGACCCTGCTTGTATTAAAGCCACACATAATGTGCCCTGTATCCTCAAATACATGATATGCCTTTATATCTCTGTATCTTTGCAATGTTTTTTGCCTTCACCACCCCCTCCTCTCTCATCATTAAAAACAATTCATAATTTTAAACTTTATTTGTTTATTAGTGTCACGCCTAAGTAGAGTATAAGCCCCAAGAGAATAGGAGTCATGTCTATGTTGCTCACTGTTGTATCTCTAGCAATTAGGAAAAGGAAGAAATAAATTAATTCAATTCAAAGCCACTTCCTCTATGGAACCCTCCCTGACTCTTCTCTCCCTCTGAAAATTCAGTTGCTTTTCTTTTTGTGCTTACACAAGGCTCCATGGATATAACACACTTACAGCTTTATGACATTGTGTGATATTTACTAGAAGTATTTATCCCCAACTATAAATATATATTTAAGTAAACATTTCTATTTTAGAACAATTTTAGATTTACAGAATTATTACAAAGATAGTACAGAGAGTTTCTATATATGCCACACTAGTTTCCCTTTCATTAACATCTTACACTAGTATGCATACTTTTCACAGTTAATGAAACAATATTGATAGATTATTATTAACTAAAGTCTGTATTCAAATTTCCTCAGTTTTCCCTTAATGTTCTTTTTTTAATTCATCAATGTTCCATCCAGGATATCACATTACATTCAGTCACTGCACCTCCTGCAGCTCCCTTGGATTTTTCAAACTTTCCTTGTTTTTGATGACCTTAACATATTTTAGGGTTACAGGTCAGACATTTTATAAAATATATTTAAATTTTCAATGATGTTTTTCTCATGATCAGATTGGGGTAACGTGTTTTTGAAAGGAAGACCTCGGAAATAAAGTGCCATTCTCACCACTTTGTATCAAAGGTATACCAACAATATATATTAATCTTCATCACTTGGCTTGAGGTAATCTTTGTCAAGTTTCCTCACCATAAAGTTATTATTTTTTTCTCCCATTCCATGCTTTACTCTTTGGAAGAAGGTCACTCTTAAGTAACAGGGGTTTTTATTTCACCTCCTTAAGCGTGGAATATTTACATAAATTATTTGAAATTCTTCTGTATCTGGGACCTATTCTTCCCCATTTATTTATTCAATAATTTATTTATATTGGCACAAACTCAAGGATATTTGTTTTATATTTGGGGCTATAAGAATATTTTACTTATTTTGTTGCTCAAATATTCCAGCTTTGGTCACTGAGAACTATTTCAGTTGGCTCCTGTATTCCTTTTACATAGCCCCCCCTTTTTTTTTTAGCGCTTTTATTGTTTCTGGTACTCTAAGATACTCCAAGATCATTTTGTATAATTCATGCTCCAGTGATTGCCAGATATTTTCTCTAAAAAGTCCTGGTTTCTTTTATTGGAGAATGGTAGTAGAAACAAAGATCAGGGTGCCAGGTGTGTTCATTGATTGTGTCATTGCTTCTTGGCCGTCTCAGCTGACAGAGCAAGGAGATCTAAGTGTGATACTGAACCCATGTGTATAGACATATGTATAAATATTTCTCTATGTAACCACCTGCATCAGTATTAAGCTAAATGAGAGTTGCTAGTGATGTCTCTTATTCTAGTCCTCACCACATGGATCATTCTAGCCTCCTTCCCTTGCTTATCTGTAAACTTCCACTCCCACAGTGAGAAACCTGGCTCCTACCATTCACTATTTGTTTACTTAATTCTTCAATTCCAGTGTAACTGTATAGCAGTGTGAGAATTGTTAACTCATACTCCCATGGGAACCACCTTTATCACTGGAGCAGAATGCTTCTGAACAGTTCCTTTTGCCTTTAGTCTTACAGAGTTCACGCATTTCCAAAGGTACTCAGATCAGCACCTTATTCCCCCTGCCCACTTCAATTAGGTTGTTTAATACGCTTATAATGCATTTAGATCTTATTGTTATTCTGCATTCCATCCTGGGATTCCCTGGCTGTCTAAATATTTTTAATTTGCATACATTAAGTTTATTCTTTGTGTTCTAAATTTCTATAGGTTTTGACAATGCTTAATATCTTGTATTCACCATTACAATATCATAAAGAATAAATTTACCGACCTAGAAATTCCACTGTACTTTACCCATTCAACCCTCCTTCCCTCAAAACACTGTAACCTCTGACCTTTTCACTCTCTCTAGTTTTGCCTTTACCTGAATGTCACATAAGTGAAATCATGTAATATGTATCCTTTTCAGACTGACTTCTTGCACTTAGCAATAGGTATCTAATACTTATTCATGTCTTTTTGTGACTTTATAGCTCTTTTGAAATTACTTTTAAAAATCACAATTTTATTGTGTGGATGTATCAGTTTGTTTATTCATTCACACATTGAAGGGCATCTTGATTGCTTTCAATTTTTGGTGGTTATGAATAAAGCAACTACGAACATTCATGTGTACATTTTTGTGTGGACATAGCTTTTCAAATCAGTTGGGTAAATACCTAGAAGCATGACTGCTGCACTATATAGTGAGGTTTTGTTTAGCTTTGTAAGAAACTGCCAAACTGTCTTCCAAAGAGGCTGTACCATTTTTCATTCTCACCTGCAGTGAACGAGAGGTTTTGTACTGTTTACTTGCCAGCAGTTGGTATTGTCAATTGTTTGGATTCTAGCCAATCTAATACATGTAAAGTGGTATTTCATTGTTGTTTGAATTTGCAACGCTCTAATGACAAGTGGTGTTAACATCTTATATGCTTATTTGCCATCTGTGTATCTTCTTTGTTAAGTTGTCTATTCACATCTTTTGTATATTTCCCCCTGCTATATTATTTAATGTTTTAATGAAACATCACATACATGCATATGCAGAAGAAATCACAAGTGGCCACTATTTGAACTTCTATATCATAAACATACCCATGTAACAAGCGTCTGAGATCAAGAAAAAGAAGATCACTGACACCCCAGAAACTCCCCTGTGTATCCTCACATTTATTGCCCCTTGGCATCTAACAGAATAAATTTTTCCTATGTTTTAAACTTTATTATGAATGGGTTATGCAGTCTATATTTCTTTCTTTTTACTTCTTTCAATCAACATTATGTTTGAAGATACATCAATATTGTTACATGTAGTTTTAGTTTGTTCATACTCATTGCTATATGGTATTCCTTTATATAAATTTATTGATCAATTCTACACAAATATTTGTGTAGTTTGAAGCTATTATAAAGAGTACTACTATGAATATTCTTGTACATTTCTGTTGGTGCACATATATACATATTTCTATTTGGTGTATATCTAGGAAGGAATTGTTAGATTACAGAGTAGGCAGATATGCAGCTTTAGTAGATACTGCTGAACAATAGTTCAGAATGGTTTTATGAATTTACACTTCCACTAGTGTAAAAGAGTTCTAGTTTCTCCACATCCTTGAAAACACTTAGTATTGTCAGGCTTTTTAATTTTAGGCAATTTGGTGGGTGTTTTCTTATTATGGTTTTAACTTTTATTTTTCTGATAACTAATAAAGCTACTCATCTTTTCATGTGTTTATTGAACAGTTGGATATACTCTGTTGTGAAATGTCTCTTTTGGACCTGAAAGCATGTGTTAGTGAGGCTACAGAAAAGGGACTGTGACAGGAAACACCTAGTGTGATTTTAAAAGCAGGAAATAAAAAGATGCATGTAGTTAGCAAAACATTAAAGAATTTATCTAAATAGCTAGAGAGGTTCATTGCAGCCAGAAGCGGTTCCTTTATTTCTATAAGACATTCCAAAACCTGATAGGATAATTTCTCAAAAAAAACTTTGAGGAAGGAAGATGCAAGGTAGACCAAGCATTGAGCCATGCACCTTGTGTGTTTTCTTCATTCTTACAACAAATCAAGGAGGTAGCAATTTACAGACCCTAGTTTTATTCTCTCTATAATCTGCTGTGCTAAAAAGTGTCTTGCGCACCAATTGTCACAGCAGACTTAAGAAAATAATCTAAACATTAAATAAACCCTACGTAAAAAAAAAAGTCTCTTTCAATCTTTTGCCCATTTTTCTATTTGATGGTTGCATTTTCTTACTGATCTGAACTTCATATGTTCTTGATATAATTCTTTTGTTGAATATAGGTAATGCAAATATTTTCTCCAACCTATGGATTGACTTTTCACTTTCTTAATAGTATCTTCTCACAAATGGAAGTTATTACTTTTAATATAATCTAATTTATCAAAATTGTATCTTATGATTAGCATTTTTTGTGTTCTGTTTTAAAAATACCTTTGGAAATCATAATTCTCAGTAAACTATCGCAAGAACAAAAAACCAAACACTGCATGTTCTCACTCATAGGTGGGAATTGAACAATGAGAACACATGGACACAGGAAGGGGAACATCACACTCTGGGGACTGTTGTGGGGTAGCGGGAGGGGGGAGGGATAGCTTTAGGAGATATACCTAATGCTAGATGACGAGTTAATGGGTGCAGCACACCAGCATGGCACATGTATACATATGTAACTAACCTGCACATTGTGCACATGTACCTTAAAACTTAAAGTATAATAAAATAAAATAAAATAAAATAATAAAAAAATGCAAAAAAAAAATACCTTTGCCAACCACAAGATCATGAAGAATTCTCTAATGATTTCCTCTAAAAACTGTACTGTTTGGCTTTTTATATGATATGAGAAATGGGTCAATATTCATTTCTAATAGATTGAGAGACAATTGGCACAACCACATTTATTGAAAAGACACTTTCTCCACTATATTGCAATGTCACCATTGTCCTAATTAGATGACTTTGTATGTATCAGTCTATTTCTAGACTCTATTCTCTTTCTTTTTTTTTTTGGTTTCGGTTTTTTTTTTTTATTAACTTTAAGTTTTAGGGTACATGTGCACATTGTGCAGGTTAGTTACATATGTATACATGTGCCATGCTGGTGCGCTGCACCCACTAACTCGTCATCTAGCATTAGGTATATCTCCCGATGCTATCCCTCCTCACTCCCCCCACCCCACAACAGTCCCCAGAGTGTGATATTCCCCTTCCTGTGTCCATGTGATCTCATTGTTCAATTCCCACCTATGAGTGAGAATATGCGGTGTTTGGTTTTTTGTTCTTGCAATAGTTTACTGAGAATGATGATTTCCAATTTCATCCATGTCCCTACAAAGGACACGAATTCATCATTTTTTATGGCTGCATAGTATTCCATGGTGTATATGTGCCACATTTTCTTAATCCAGTCTATCATTGTTGGACATTTGGGTTGGTTCCAAGTCTTTGCTATTGTGAATAATGCCGCAATAAACATACGTGTGCATGTGTCTTTATAGCAGCATGATTTATAGTCCTCTGGGTATATACCCAGTAATGGGATGGCTGGGTCAAATGGTATTGCTAGTTCTAGATCCCTGAGGAATCGCCACACTGACTTCCACAATGGTTGAACTAGTTTACAGTCCCACCAACAGTGTAAAAGTGTTCCTATTTCTCCACATCCTCTCCAGCACCTGTTGTTTCCTGACTTTTTAATGATTGCCATTCTAACTGGTGTGAGATGGTATCTCATTGTGGTTTTGATTTGCATTTCTCTGATGGCCAGTGATGATGAGCATTCTTTCATGTGTTTTTTGGCTGCATAAATGTCTTCTTTTGAGAAGTGTCTGTTCATGTCCTTCACCCACTTTTTGATGGGGTTGTTTGTTTTTTTCTTGTAAATTTGTTTGAGTTCATTGTAGATTCTGGATATTAGCCCTTTGTCAGATGAGTAGGTTGCAAAAATTTTCTCCCATTTTGTAGGTTGCCTGTTCACTCTGATGGTAGTTTCTTTTGCTGTGCAGAAACTCTTTAGTTTAATTAGATCCCATTTGTCAATTTTGTCTTTTGTTGCCATTGCTTTTGGTGTTTTGGACATGAAGTCCTTGCCCATGCCTATGTCCTGAATGGTAATGCCTAGGTTTTCTTCTAGGGCTTTTATGGTTTTACGTCTAACGTTTAAGTGTTTAATCCATCTTGAATTGATTTTTGTATAAGGTGTAAGGAAGGGATCCAGTTTCAGCTTTCTACATATGGCTAGCCAGTTTTCCCAGCACCATTTATTAAATAGGGAATCCTTTCCCCATTGCTTGTTTTTCTCAGGTTTGTCAAAGATCAGATAGTTGTAGACATGTGGCATTATTTCTGAGGGCTCTGTTCTGTTCCATTGATCTATATCTCTGTTTTGGTACAAGTACCATGCTGTTTTGGTTACTGTAGGCTTGTAGTATAGTTTGAAGTCAGGTAGTGTGATGCCTCCAGCTTTGTTCTTTTGGCTTAGGATTGCCTTGGCAATGCGGGCTCTTTTTTGGTTCCATATGAACTTTAAAGTAGTTTTTTCCAATTCTTTGAAGTCATTGGTAGCTTGATGGGGATGGCATTGAATCTGTAAATTACCTTGGGCAGTATGGCCATTTTCACGATATTGATTCTTCCTACCCATGAGCATGGAATGTTCTTCCATTTGTTTGTATCTTCTTTCATTTCCTTGAGCAATGGTTTGTAGTTCTCCTTGAAGAGGTCCTTCACATCCCTTGTAAGTTGGATTCCTAGGTATTTTATTCTCTTTGAAGCAATTGTGAATGGGAGTTCACTCATGATTTGGCTCTCTGTTTGTCTGTTGTTGGTGTATAAGAATGCTTGTGATTTTTGTACTTGATTTTGTATCCTGAGACTTTGCTGAAGTTGCTTATCAGCTTAAGGACATTTTGGGCTGAGACAATGGGGTTTTCTAGATATACAATCATGTCGTCTGCAAAGAGGGACAATTTGACTTCCTCTTTTCCTAATTGAATACCCTTTATTTCCTTCTCCTGCCTAATTGCCCTGGCCAGAACTTCCAACACTATGTTGAATAGGAGTGGTGAGAGAGGGCATCCCTGTCTTGTGCCAGTTTGCAAAGGGAATGCTTCCAGTTTTTGCCCATTCAGTATGATATTGGCTGTGGGTTTGTCACAGATAGCTCTTATTATTTTTAAATACGTCCCATCAATACCTAATTTATTGAGAGTTTTTAGCATGAAGGGTTGTTGAATTTTGTCAAAGGTTTTTTCTGCATCTATTGAGATAATCATGTGGTTTTTGTCTTTGGCTCTGTTTATATGCTGGATTACATTTATTGATTTGTGTATATTGAACCAGCCTTGCATCCCAGGGATGAAGCCCACTTGATCATGGTGGATAAGCTTTTTGATGTGCTGCTGGATTCGTTTTGCCAGTATTTTATTGAGGATTTTTCATCAATGTTCATCAAGGATAATGGTCGAAAATTCTCTTTATTTGTTGTGTCTCTTCCTGGCTTTGGTATCAGAATGATGCTGGCCTCATAAAATGAGTTAGGGAGGATTCCCTCTTTTTCTATTGGTTGGAATAGTTTCAGAAGGAGTGGTACCAGTTCCTCCTTGTACCTCTGGTAGAATTCAGCTGTGAATCCACCTGGTCCTGGACTCTTTTTGGTTGGTAAGCTATTGATTATTGCCACAATTTCAGATCCTGTTATTGGCCTATTCAGAGATTCAACTTCTTCCTGGTTTAGTCTTGGGAGAGTGTATGTGTCAAGGAATTTATCCATTTCTTCTAGATTTTCTAGTTTATTTGCATAGAGGTGTTTGTAGTATTCTCTGATGGTAGTTTGTATTTCTGTGGGATCGCTGGTGATATCCCCTTTATCATTTTTTATTGTGTCTATTTGATTCTTCTCTCTTTTTTTCTTTATTAGTCTCACTAGCGGTCTATCAATTTTGTTGATCCTTTCAAAAAACCAGCTCCTGGATTCATTAATTTTTTGAAGGGTTTTCTGTGTCTCTATTTCCTTCAGTTCTGCTCTGATTTTAGTTATTTCTTGCGTTCTGCTAGCTTTTGAATGTGTTTGCTCTTGCTTTTCTAGTTCTTTTAATTGTGATGTTAGGGTGTCAATTTTGGATCTTTCCTGCTTTCTCTTGTGGGCATTTAGTGCTATAAATTTCCCTCTACACACTGCTTTGAATGCGTCCCAGAGATTCTGGTATGTTGTGTCTTTGTTCTCATTGGTTTCAAAGAACATCTTTATTTCTGCCTTCATTTCGTTATGTACCCAGTAGTCATTCAGGAGCAGGTTGTTCAGTTTCCATGTATTTGAGCGGTTTTGAGTGAGATTCTTAATCCTGAGTTCTAGTTTGATTGCACTGTGGTCTGAGAGATAGTTTGTTATAATTTCTGTTCTTTTACATTTGCTGAGGAGAGCTTTACTTCCCAGTATGTGGTCAATTTTGGAATAGGTGTGGTGTGGTGCTGAAAAAAATGTATATTCTGTTGAATTGGGGTGGAGAGTTCTGTAGATGTCTATTAGGTCTGCTTGGTGCAGAGCTGAGTTCAATTCCTGGGTATCCTTGTTGACTTTCTGTCTCGTTGATCTGTCTAATGTTGACAGTGGGGTGTTAAAGTCTCCCATTATTAATGTGTGGGAGTCTAAGTCTCTTTGTAGGTCACTCAGGACTTGCTTTATGAATCTGGGTGCTCCTGTATTGGGTGCATATATATTTAGGATAGTTAGCTATTCTTGTTGAATTGATCCCTTTACCATTATGTAATGGCCTTCTTTGTCTCTTTTGATCTTTGTTGGTTGAAAGTCTGTTTTATCAGAGACTAGGATTGCAACCCCTGCCTTTTTTTGTTTTCCATTGGCTTGGTAGATCTTCCTCCATCCTTTTATTTTGAGCCTATGTGTGTCTCTGCACGTGAGATGGGTTTCCTGAATACAGCACATTGATGGGTCTTGACTCTATCCAATTTGCCAGTCTGTGTCTTTTAATTGGAATATTTAGTCCATTTACATTTAAAGTTAATATTGTTATGTGTGAATTTGATCCTGTCATGATGATGTTAGTTGGTTATTTTGCTCGTTAGTTGATGTAGTTTCTTCCTAGTCTCGATGGTCTTTACATTTTGGCATGATTTTGCCGCAGCTGGTACCGGTTGTTCCTTTCCATGTTTAGTGCTTCCTTCAGGAGCTCTTTTAGGGCAGGCCTGGTGGTGACAAAATCTCTCAGCATTTGCTTGTCTGTAAAGTATTTTATTTCTCCTTCACTTATGAAGCTTAGTTTGGCTGGATAGGAAATTCTGGGTTGAAAATTCTTTTCTTTAAGAATGTTGAATATTGGCCCCCACTCTCTTCTGGCTTGTAGGGTTTCTGCCAAGAGATCTGCTGTTAGTCTGATGGGCTTCCCTTTGAGGGTAACCCGACCTTTCTCTCTGGCTGCCCTTAACATTTTTTCCTTCATTTCAACTTTGGTGAATCTGACAATTATGTGTCTTGGAGTTGCTCTTCTCGAGGAGTATCTTTGTGGCGTTCTCTGTATTTCCTGAATCTGAACATTGGCCTGCCTTGCTAGATTGGGGAAGTTCTCCTGGATAATATCCTGCAGAGTGTTTTCCAACTTGGTTCCATTCTCCCCGTCACTTTCAGGTACACCAGTCAGATGTAGATTTGGTCTTTTCACATAGTCCCATATTTCTTGGAGGCTTTGCTCATTTCTTTTTATTCTTTTTTTCTCTAAACTTCCCTTCTCGCTTCATTTCGTTCATTTCATCTTCCATCGCTGATACCCTTTCTTCCAGTTGATCGCATCGGCTCCTGAGGCTTCTGCATTCTTCACGTAGCTCTCGAGCCTTGGTTTTCAGCTCCATCAGCTCCTTTAAGCACTTCTCTCTATTGATTATTCTAGTTATACATTCTTCTAAATTTTTTTCAAAGTTTTCAACTTCTTTGCCTTTGGTTTAAATGTCCTCCTGTAGCTCAGAGTAATTTGATCGTCTGAAGCCTTTTTCTCTCAGCTCGTCAAAGTCATTCTCTGTCCAGCTTTGTTCCGTTGCTGGTGAGGAACTGCGTTCCTTTGGAGGAGGAGAGGCGCTCTACTTTTTAGAGTTTCCAGTTTTTCTGTTCTGTTTTTTCCCCATCTTTGTGGTTTTATCTACTTTTGGTCTTTGATGATGGTGATGTACAGATGGGTTTTTGGTGTGGATGTCCTTTCTGTTTGTTAGTTTTCCTTCTAACAGAGAGGACCCTCAGCTGCAGGTCTGTTGGAATACCCTGCCGTGTGAGGTGTCAGTGTGCCCCTGGTGGGGGGTGCCTCCCAGTTAGGCTGCTCGGGGGTCAGGGGTCAGGGACCCAGTTCAGGAGGCAGTCTGCCCGTTCTCAGATCTCCAGCTGCGTGCTAGGAGAACCACTGCTCTCTTCAAAGCTGTCAGACAGGGACATTTAAGTCTGCAGAGGTTACTGCTGTCTTTTTGTTTGTCTGTGCCCTGCCCCCAGAGGTGGAGCCTACAGAGGCAGGCAGGCCTCCTTGAGCTGTGGTGGGCTCCACCCAGTTCGAGCTTCCCAGCTGCTTTGCTTACCTAATCAAGCCTGGGCAATGTCGGGCGCCCCTCCCCCAGCCTCGCTGCTGCCTTGCAGTTTGATCTCAGACTGCTGTGCTAGCAATCAGTGAGACTCCGTGGGCGTAGGACCCTCCGAGCCAGGTGCGGGACAGACTCTCGTGGTGCGCAGTTTTTTAAGCCCGTCGGAAAAGCGCAGTATTCAGGTGGGAGTGACCCGATTTTCCAGGTGCGTCCGTCACCCCTTTCTTTGACTCGGAAAGGGAACTCCCTGACCCCTTGCACTTCCCAAGTGAGGCAATGCCTCGCCCTGCTTCGGCTCGCGCATGGTGCACGCACCCACTGACCTGCGCCCACTGTCTGGCACTCCCTAGTGAGATGAACCTGGTACCTCAGATGGAAATGCAGAAATCACCTGTCTTCTGCCTCGCTCACGCTGGGAGCTGTAGACCGGAGCTGTTCCTATTCTGCCATCTTGACTCCTCCCCCCTGTATTCTCTTTCTTGGTGTATTTATCAATCCTGGCACACTATATTAATTATTATACCTTTATAATAGGCCTTAACATATGGTAGTGTAACTGCTTTAGCTGCTCCAAATAGGTTTTGTGCTCCCAAATGTAGGTCTATATTTTGTTTTTCTTTCTTTTCTCAGGCCCCAACTCCGTGTCTGACACAAAGTCAGGTCTGAGTAAATAATCTAGCCTTCTATTTACCACCACACTTTTGGAGTGATTTATATCTACTTCTTTTACTTCCTTACTACCCACCTCTGCCTTAGACAGTGTCATTCAACCTCTACATTTCCATGCCAATAGAATGCTGTTTTCCAAGATCACCATTTGTGGTGAACAATGTTAGTGCTTCAACTAGATCTACTCAGATCTTTCTTTGTGTCTTCTGTGATTTGGGTGAGCATTTGTTCCAGCAATAAGCACTTGCGTTTCTTTTGCAGGTGACTGTTCTTGGATCTCAGAACCCCTTTATCCACCTGCATGGAGAGCCAGAAGTGCCAGGACATTTAGGTCCCTCTTGGATCTTAAACAATGAATAATGAATGAGGGAATATGAAAGTCCCAGATCTCTTGCCTCACACCAGAACAACTCTGGGACACAATATACTCCAAAGTTCCCCTGTGGAATCAGACTGTAGCTACATTTGGGGGACTTTGTCTATTATCATGCCCTTGCTTGACTTCTGCTCCATCCTTGTCTTGCTTCCCCAATCTCCTGTCAGTTCTCTTTGGGGGCACTACCTAGTATATGATTTGCATGTGTCTGAGGGCCTGCTTCTGAGGAAACTTTCCTAGGATAGTTGACCAAAAATGATCCTAGAAGCGGACTCTAACGATGTAATTCTGGAATTGTATCAGTTGTCAGCTACAGTGCAACAGTGATTTCTTGCTGCATTATAATTGCTAAACTTTCATCTGTTGTTAGTTGGAATGGATTCAAATGTAGAAGAAGATGCTGTGCCCTATGTGATATCTGTAGCATTTTGAGACATAGCAGGGAAATGGACTGTGGAATTTGTTGTTTCTGGGCAACACTGATGTGTTGAAGGGAGGAAATGACAGCCTCAAGTCAGCCAATTACCAACTTAATCCACTGTGTACAACTTAGAAGACCTCCATAGCAGCGTATAAAGAGACCCTCCTCCTGCATTGAGAATGGAAACCATACTGAAGACCTGATTTTTTAATTATTATTATACTTTAAGTTCTGGGATACATGTGTAGAATGTGCAGGTCTTATGTTTAAGTCTATAATCCATGTTAAGTTAATTTTTGTATAAGGTATAAGGAAGAGGTTCAGTTTCAGTTTTCTGCATATAGCTAGCCAGTTTTCCCAACACCATTTATTAAATAGGGAATCCTTTCCCCATTGCTTGTTTTTGTCACGTTTGTCAAAGATCAGATGGTTGTAGATGTGTGGCATTATTTCTGAGGCCTCTGTTCTGTTCCATTCATCTATATATCTGTTTTGGTACCAGTACCCTGCTTTTTTGGTTACTTGTAGCCTATAGAAATCAGGTAGCATGATGCCTCCAGCTTTGTTCTTTTTGCTTAGGATTGTCTTGGCTATACGGGTTCTTTTTTGGTTCCATATGAAATTTAAAGTAGTTTTTTCTAATTCTGTGAAGAAAGTCAATGATAGCTTAATGGGGATAGAATTGAATCTATAAATTACTTTGGGCAGTATGGCCATTTTCACAATATTGATTGTTCCTATCCATGAGCATGGAATGTTTTTCCATTTATTTGCGTCCTCTTTTATTTCCTTGAGCAGTGGTTTGTAGTTCTCCTTGAAGAGGTCTTTCATATCCCTTGTGAGTTGTATTCCTAGGTATTTTATTCTCTTTGTAGCAATTGTGAATGGGAGTTCACTCATGATTTGGCTTTCTGTTTGTCTACTATTGGTGTATAGCAGTGCCTGTGATTTTTGCACATTGATTTTGTATCCTGAGACTTTGCTGAAGTTGCTTATCAGCTTAAGGAGATTTTGGGATGAGATGATGGGGTTTTCTAAATATATAATCATGTCATCTGCAAACAGAGACAATTTGACTTCCTCTCTTCCTATTTGAGTACCCTTTATTTCTTTTGCTTGCCTGATTGCCCTGGCCAGAACTTCCAATACTATGTTGAATAGGAGTGGTGAGAGAGGGCATCCTTGTCTTGTGCCAGTTTTCAAAGGGAATGCTTCCAGCTTTTGCCCATTCAATATGATATTGGTTGTGGGTTTGTCATAAATAGCTCTTATTATTTTGAGATACGTTCCATCAATAACTAGCTTATTGAGAGTTTTAGCATGAAGAGGTGTTGAATGTTATCGAAGGCCTTTTCTGCATCTATTGAGATAATCATGTGGTTTTTGTCATTGGTTCTGTTTATGTGATGGATTATGTTTATTGATTTGTGTATGTTGAACCAGCCTTGCATCCCAGGGATGCAGCCAACTTCATCGTGGTGGATAAGCTTTTTGATGTGCACTGGATTCAGTTTGCTAGTATTTTATTGAGGATTTTCACATCTGTGTTTATCAGGGATACTGGCCTGAAATTTTCTTTTTTTGTTGTGTCTATGCCAGGTTTTGATATCAGCATGATGCTGGCCTCATAAAATGAGTTAGGGAGGAGTCCCTCTTTTTCTATTGTTTGGATTAGTTTCATAAGGAATTTGTCTTTGTACCTCTGGTAGAATTCGGCTGTGAATCCATCTGGTCCTGGGCTTTTTTTGGTTGGTAGGCTATTAATTACTGCTTCAATTTCAGAACTTGTTATTGGTCTATTCAGGGATTTGATTCGACTTCTTTCTGGCTTAGTCTTGGGAGGGTGTATGTGTCCAGGAATTTATCCATTTCTTCTAGATTTTCCAGTTTATTTGAGTAGAGGTGTTTATACTATTCTCCGATGGTAGTTTGTATTTCTGTGGGATCAGTGGTGATATCCCCTTTATCATTTTTTATTGTGTCTGTGTGATTCTTCTCTCTTTTCTTCTTTATTAGTCTTGCTAGCAGTCTATCTATTTTGTTGATCTTTTCAAAAAACCAGCTCCTGGATTCATTGAGTTTTGAAAGGTTTTTTGTGTCTCTATCTCCTTCAGTTCTGCTCCAATTTTAGTTATTTCTTGTCTTCTGCTAGCTTTTGAATGTGTTTGCTCCTGCTTCTCTAGTTCTTTTAATTGTGATGTTAGGGTGTCAATTTTAGATTTTTCCTCTTTCTCTTGTGGGCATTCAGTGCTATCAATTTCCCTCTAAACACTGCTTTAGCTGTGTCCCAGAGATTCTGGTACATTGTGTCTTTGTTCTCATTGGTTTCAAATAACTCATTTATTCCTGCCTTAATTTTGTTATTTACCCAGTAGTCATTCAGGAGCAGGTTGTTCAGTTTCCATGTAGTTGTGTGGTTTTGAGTGAGTTTTCTTAATCCTGAGTTCTAATTTGATTGCACTGTGGTCTGAGAGACTGTTTGTTATGATTTCTGTTCTTTTGCATTTGCTAAGGAGTGTTTTCCTTCCAATTATGTGGTCAGTTTTAGAATAAGTGTGATGTGGTGCTGAAAAGAATGTATATGCTGTTGATTTGGGGTGGAGAGTTCTGTAGATGTCTATTAAGTCCACTTGGTCCAAAGCTGAGTTCAAGTCCTGAATATCCTTGTTAATGTTCTGTCTTGTTGATCTGTCTAATATTGACAGTGGGGTGTTAAAGTCTCCCACTATTATTGTTTGGGAGTCTGAATCTCTTTGTAGGTCTCTAAGAACTTGCTTTATGAATCTGGATGTTCTTGTATTGGGTGCATATATATTTAGGATAGTTAGCTTTTCTTGTTGCGTTGATCCCTTTACCATTATGTAATGCCCTTCTTTGCCTTTTTTGATCTTTGTTGCTTTAAAGCCTGTTTTGTCAGAGACTAGGATTGCAACCCCTGCTTTTTTTTGCTTTCCATTTGCATGGTAAATGTTGCTCAATTTCTTAATTTTGAGCCTATGTATGTCTTTGCATGTGAGATGGGTCTCCTGAATACAGCACGCTGATGCGTCCTGACTCTTTATCCAATTTGCCAGTTTGTGTCTTTTAATTGTGACATTTAGCCCATTTACATTTAAGGTTAATATTGTTACTGTTATGTGTGAATTTGATCCTGTCATTATGATGCTAGCTGGTTATTTTGCCTGTTAGTTGATGCAGTTTCTTCATAGTATTGATGGTCTTTACAATTTGGTATGTTTTTGCAGTGACCGGTACTGGTTTTTCCTTTCCATAATTAGTGCTTCCTTCAGGAGCTCTTGTAAGGCAGGGCTACTGGTGACAAAATCTCTCAGCATTTGCTTGTCTGTAAAGGATTTTATTTCCCCTTATGAAGCTTAATTTGGCTGGATATGAAATTCTGTGTTGAAAATTCTTTTCTTTAACAATGTTGAATGTCGGCCTCCACTCTCTTCTGGCTTGTATGGTTTCTGCCGAGAGATCTGCTGTTAGTCTGATGGGCTTCCCTTTGTGGGTAACGAGACCTTTCTTTCTGGCTGCCTTTAACATTTTTTCCTTCATTTCAACCTTGGTGAATCTGACGATTATGTGTCTTGGGGTTGCTCTTCTCGAGGGGTATATTTGTGGTGTTCTCTGTATTTCCTGAATTTGAATGTTGGCCTGTCTTGCTAGGTTGGGAAGTTTTCCTGGATAACATCCTGAAGAGTGTTTTCCAACTTGGTTCCATTCACCCTGTCACTTTCAGGTACACCAATCAAATGTAGGTTTGGTCTTTTCACATAGTCCCATATTTCTTGTAGGCTTTGTTCATTCATTTTTATTCTTTTTTCTCTAATCTTGTCTTCACACTTTGTTTCATTAAGTTGATCTTTAATCTGTGATATCCTTTCCTCCACTTGATCAATTCGGCTGTTGATACTTGTGTATGTTTCATGAAGTTCTCATGCTGTGATTTCAGCTCCATCAGGTCATTTATGTTCTTCTCTAAACTGTTTATTCTAGTTAGCAATTCCTCTAACCTTTTTTCAAGATTTTTAGCTTCCTTGCATTGGATTAGTACATGCTCCTTTAGCTCAGAGGAGTTTGTTATTACCCACCTTCTGAACCCTACTTCTTTTAATTCGTCAAACTCATTCTCTGTCTAGTTTTGTTTCCTTGCTGGCGAGGAGTTGTGATCCTTTGGAGAAGAGGCATTCTGATTTTTGAAAATTTCAGCCTTTTTGTGCTTGTTTTTTCTCATCTTCGTGGATTTCTCTTCCTTTGGTCTTTGATGTTGGTGACCTTCAGATGGGATTTCTGTTTGGGCATCCTTTTTGTTGATGTTGATGCTATTCCTTTCTGTTTGTTAGTTTTCCTTCTAACAGTCAGGCCCCTCTGCTGCAGGTCTGCTGGAGTTTGCTGGAGGTCCACTCCAGACACTGTTTGCCTGAGTATTACCAGCAGAGGCTGCAGAACTGCAAAAATTGCTGTCTCTTCCTTCCTCTGGAAGCTTTGTCCCACAGGGGCACCCGCCAGATGCCAGCCTGAGCTCTCCTGTATGAGGTGTCTGTCAACCCCTGCTGGGAAGTGTCTCCCAGTCAGGATGCACGGGGGTCAGGGACTCACTTGAGGAGGCAGTCTGTCCCTTAGCAGAGCTCAAACGCTGTGCTGGGTGTTCCGCTGCTCTCTTCAGAGCCAGCAGGCAGGAACATTTAAGTCTGCTGAAGCTGTGCCCACAGCTGCCCCTTCCCCCAGGTGCTCTGTCCCAGGGAGATGGGAGTTTTGTCTATAAGCCCCTGACTGGGGCTGCTGTCTTTCTTTCAGAGATACCCTGCCCAGAGAGGAGAAATCTAGAGAGGCAGTCTGACTACAGTGGCGTTGCCCAGCTGCGGTGGGCTCCGCCCAGTTTGAACTTCTTGGTGGCTTTGTTTACACTGTGAGGGGAAAATCGCCTACTCAAGTCTCAGTAATGGTGGATGTCCTTCCCCCCACCAAGCTCGAGTGTCTCTGGTCAACTTCAGACTGCTGTACTGGCAGCAAGAATTTTGAGCCAGTGGATCTTAGCTTGCTGGGCTCCTTGGGGGTAGGATCTGTTGAGCTAGACCATTTGGCTCCCTGGCTTCAGCCCCCTTTGCAGGGGAGTGAACAGTTATCTCGCTGGCGTTACAGGTGCCACTGGGGTATAAAAAACAGCAAACAAACAAAAAAACTCCTGCAGCTAGCTTGGTGTCTGCCCAAACAGCTGCCCAGTTTTATGCTTGAAATCCTGGGCCATGGTGGCGTAGGCACCTGAGGGAATCTCCTGATCTGCAGGTTGTGAAGACCATGGGAAAAGCATAGCATCTGGGCTGGAATGCACCATTCCTCAGGGCACAGTCCCTTATGGTTTTCCTTGGCTAGGGGAAGGAGTTCCCCGACCCCTTGTGCTTCCTGAGTGAGGTGACGCACCACCCTGCTTTGGCTAGCTCTCCATGGGCTGCACCCACTGTCTAACCAGTCCCAATGAGAAGAGCCAGGTACCTCAGTTGGAAATGCAGAAATCACCCGCCTTTTGCGTTGATCTCGCTGTGAACTGCAGACCGGAGCCGTTCCTATTCGGCCATCTTGCCAGCCACCCTGAAGACCTGATTTTTAAAAGTAGAAGAGTGTCAGAGAAGGTGAAATTCATAGCCTCCATAAGACTAAGACCCGTACACAAAAATTATGGCTCTGACAGGGAATGACTCACAATCTGAGGCTTGGGTTGGGGTCACCTAAGTTTACCCACTGACGAAATATGGAACCTTTTTATTCTCCAAAACATTGTGGTCCTGCAATAAATAGTCCATTCCTTATTGCTAGTAGATAACAGCACTCTCCTGTCTGAAGGCTAAGTAGAGATTTTAACTGAAGTAGATGCCTTGCAAGCCAATACTTGCCCTTCTCAAGATCTACCCCAACATTTCTTTCTGGCCATTGGACCAATAACTAGGTCAAGTTAGCGTGACCAATCTGGGGAAGGTCTGGCTTTACTAATGGAGGAAATGTGTTATTAATCAAAGGAGCTACAGAATCTAATAATATGTGTTATCAGGAACTGGGGTAACATGCCTGCATATGTATCTTGAAGCTAACTTGATTAAAGAAAAGTGAAATATAAAGCTGGATAAGAGAAAACACTTTTAAAATTTGTTTTCTATATGTGAGCATTCTACTGTGACTCAATATTTAACATATCTTGTAAGGGTACCTGGAGCCAAGCCTATTAGTTAAAATGACTGAGATGACTCCTGGAAATTTGGGGGAAAATGTGAATCGCATTAAATGAAATGAGATGCTTGAACTGCTTTGTCAGAGTGTTAAAAAATGGGGATAAAAATGCTCTCAGAAGTGGGCATGTTAGAATGGATCTATTTCATAAAACCTGAGGTCCCACCAGAGGACTATTTTTGGGAAGGCTCAGAGTACACTCCCTTGACTAAGGTGAAAAGAAGTGCAATAATAAGGGGCAGTTCCAAAATATTTTAGAAGCTCAGAAGTAAATGATCTCTGCTCTGCTAGGCTGGAGCTGACTGTAGGAGATTAGGTTATAGAATTGAGCTTTCTAGTTTCTGTGGAAATGATAAGATTCCAGAAGAACAGAGGTCAGATGGCAGCACACAATCGCCAGAAGCCAGGTGAACACAATTATTGTAATGGTCAAGTGGCAACCAAAGTGTCCTGTCATGCAGGAATGTATGGTGATGACTAATAGATCATGGTGTTCCTAGAAGCAAGATACACAGTTGGCCAATGAGAGTGTTGTTTGCTTGACATATATAATTTATAATCATAAGTGGATGAATAGAAGTTAATCTACACTACCCCAATGAAGGGTCAAAATATTTTGCCTTGTTTTCATGCCTGAGCCAGTTGTTAGCCTCAGAAGTCATCAATCGAAAGAGAAATTGAGTACGCTTGAAGAAAGATCTTGCAATGCAAAAGCAAGCATATACAGTAGTGATTCTATCAGTTCTTCCCCAAAAGGGACTTATTAACATTTATAAATATAAGCGAACACTAAGAAAAAGGGGATTGCCCATATCTTTTAAGGGCTGTTGGATACAGAGTTTAAGCAGATGCTGATATTAAGGAACCTAAAGCACAATAACACCCACCCCCAACACTAAAATAGGTCCTTGTGGAATTCAGTTCTTGCCTTGGTCCATCTTACAGTGGGTCCAATGGGTCCAAAGACTCAGTGGGAATTTCTGATTGCTTAAGCAGAAGGACATACTTAGCATGTGGAAGAAACCTGACTTTTGGTTCCAGGACCCATGAATTAAGAGCTATTATGGTAGAAAATCACACATGAACATTATGAAAGTGGTACCTTCCCCAGAACAAGGTGGTAAATAAAAAACGATACCACATTTTAAGTGGAATGGTAGAGATTAGTGACAATCCCAAAGACTTAAGGGAGCAGGGCTGATAATCCACATTATGTCTTCATTCACTGTGAAAAAAATAGATGTACCATGGTAGATTATGATGAACTAACACAAACTTAAACAAGTAATAGTCCTGACTAAAGCTTGTATGCCAGATATGGTTTTTTTACTATAATGGATTATTATCAATGCAGCATCTGGTATTTGGTAGGTGGATTTGATGGGGCTAAAAGATTTGTTTAAATCTTCATCTGGAAAGAGGAGGAGAAGTTGTTCATATTCACCCAAATAGGCAGTAGTATACCTTTATGCTTTTGATTCAGGTCTATTTTAACTCTCCTGCCATTTGTTATAATACAGTACAAAGAGAATACGATCGTCTGAAAATTCTATAGGATATCATGATGGTCCACTATATTGATAACATCAATTTAATTGGCTCTGATAAAGAGAAAGTGGCAAGTACTCTGGATTCGCGAGCTCCAGAGGGTAGAAAATAAACCTTATAAGGATGCAGAGATTTGTCACATTGGTGAAATTTTGCAGGATTCACTTACGTTTCTTTGAATGGCAAAAAATGACAATTACTTTTGCACCAACATAATATTTAGGTCATGCCAGTATGTCCTTTCCATGAAAAGGGCACTTTATTACACCTTGACTCTCCTACTATTGAGAACATAGCACAGTGCTTTGTAGGTCTTTTTGGATTTTGGAGACTGCATATACTGCAATTGGGAATACTAGCTTGACTCATTTTTGAGATTACTTTGAAATCTTCCAGTTTTAATTGGGGTTATAAACAAGAAAGGGCATTGAGGAATATCCAGGCTATAGTACAAATGGCATGACTGCTTGAGATAAACAACCTGGCAAATTTCATGGAGCTGAGGATATTTGCAGTAGATACAGATGCCAGATGGAGTCTTGGGTGAATCCCAACAGAAGAGTTGAGGCATAAATCCCTAGGGTTTTGAAGCAAGTCATATTTTCTGCAGCAAAGAAAGGGACACACTTCAAAAAGAAGCTCCAGATATGCTATTAGGTCCTGGTAGAGAATGAGTGAGTGTCCATGGGACATCAATTGACTATGCATTCAGAGCTTGTATATAAACTGGGTTCTGTCAGACACACGAGGTCATAAGTTGGTCAATCACAGCAGCAATTCATGGTATATTTGGAATTAGATCTGACTATGTCCAGTGGGTATGAGTGAGTTACATGAACCAGTGGCCCAGTTCTCATTGTTGCAATAAGGCCTATCTCTTTCTCAGCTCACACCTATGGGTTCATGGGGGCATTCTCTATGACGAGTTGACAGAGGCAGCTAAACTACATCCTCACTCAGAGGTAACTCTAAAAATGCAGTAGTAATTGAAGTTTTTCAAGTATGCAAAGCTGGTCAATCATCCACTCTGGGTGAAGACATAAATGGCTCTTGTTAGTCATACATGAACTTCTGGACAGTGGTAAATAGTTTGTCTGATTGGGCAAGGTCTTAGGAGAAGCAGGATTGAATGATTAAGGCAAAGAAGAGGCATACAGTTAAACCTATAGGAGTTGGCACCAAATGTGAGGATCTTTACATCTCACAGTAATGCCCATGAAAGATCATCCACAAAACGAAAAGTACTAAACAATGGGTCAACAGAATTATTCGTTCAGTAGATGTCAGCATCTGTGTTTGTCATACAAGCACTTACATGATATACCTATGAATGTAGTAATCATGGTATGCGAGACAGAGGCTATGTATTGGACTAACATTTGGGCTTCCTTTCACCAAAGCTGATTAGCTACTATCACTTAGTATCTTTAATAAATATCTTTTTGATCTTTCAGCACTGGAGACTAATGCTTAATCTTCAATATGGTACTGTTTCTCAAAGAGAAAAACCAACTACTTGATGGAAAGTTGATTTTATCTTGCTTCAGAAGGGACAATGATTTATCAGAACTTCGATTTACTTGTATTCTGGGTGTGGATTTGTCTTTTCTACCTGCAGTGCTTCAACCCACTCTACTATCTATATTCTTATAGAAAATCTGACTTACTGACATGAGGTTCGATATAATATTATCTCACATTAATTGATTCACTTTATATCAAAGCAGTCATAACAATAATTTTATAACCATGGGATCCACTTGTTCTACAATATACCGCATACCCAGAAGCTGCCAGCCTTAGTGGAGTACTGACATGGTCTCTTAAAGGCACATATAAAGCAGTATCTTGGAAATGATGCCTGTGATTTGAGGGCTTTGTTCTTCATGAGGCAATGTATGTCTTAAACCAGCAGTCATTATATGACACTCTACCATAAATAGGTAGAATACACAGACCTGGCAGAAAATGAGTGGACATTGGAGTGACCCCATTCACCATCATTCCCAGGGACTCATTTGAAAACTTTAAGTTCTGTGGTTCTAGATGTCCTGGTTTCCAGAAAGTAGATGCTTCCGCTAGGGAACACTATAAGATTCCTACTAAACTTAAAGTTATGGCTGCCACCTGGTAATTTGAGGTTTCTTGTGCCACTGGAGCAGCAGGTAAAGAAAGGAGTTAACATACTGGCAAGGCTAATTGGCCTTGATCATAATGAGCAGATAGAGTTGTTTCTCCCATATACATTTTTAACTGTGAATGGACAATGGCCCTGGGAGGAAGGGGCTGGAGAACAGGAAAGTCAGTCATCTTTCTGCCATGTACAGCCTTCCAGGCATCTTGAGCACCTTAAGACTGATTCTACCTCCACAGCAATGAGCTCAGAACATAGCAAGAAGGGAAGACATTTCCAAGGTGACCCAGGCCCAAACATCACCTCCACAAGGCATCAGCATGAAGCATTCCCAATCATGATGAGGCCCGAGGATTGGCTCCACTCTCAGGAAAAGAAGGAAATGTATTTATTAACTATAGGCCAAGAGGGAATATGGCAACAGGGATCTGAATGTCAGGAAATGATGCCCTAGGTGGAATTGGATTACTTATTCAAAAGCTAAATCAAAAAAGTTGTTCAGTGCTGGCTGAAAGGGTAATTCTGGGACTTGTGAGGATTTGACTCCATCAGCCAGAGATGGGATAAACTTGCTATATCAGAGGGCCTATCCAAGGATCTATTTGGCATATTTTTATTTCTATGCCCGATCATATGACACTGAGTACCCCTCACATTATCCTACACTTATTCAAAGTTTCTTATTTGCTGAGTGTCCACAGTGTTCCAGGCACTGTGCCAAATTCAAGTAGTGGTGGGACTGAGAGAGTGGCACTGGGTGCTGGGATAAGATACACAGTTGAATTAGCCAGGGTACCTTCCCTTGAATAGACTGAGTGAGATCTAGCAGGGCAGACAGAATATTGATCGAAAATAGTATGAAAAGTGATAATACACAAGTCTAAACACAATGCCATGAGACTCCAAGGGAAGAATAAGTTGTTCAGCTGTCTGAAAGTCAAGGAAGTATTCACAAAGGAGAAGACACTTGAGTGAAGGTTTAATTGATAAGTAGAAGTTTGATAGGCTGAGCAGAGGAGGAAAGTCATTCTGGGCAGAGGGAATAAAGGCACAAAAATAAGAAAATAGCCAGATTTCTGTGAAATGGTGAGGAGCCTTTGTGGGGATGAGATCCATTACAAACAGTTGCGCAAGTTTTTCTCTGTATAAGGGTGCCTGGCTAAAAGATCCCCCCTTGCATTCTGCTTGATACATCAGACATTCTGATGAGGAGCTTTAAGCTGTGTCTTCCTAAAGAAAGGGTCTTATTCTACAAACTGTTGTTATCAGAGGTCCACAATTTTCCTTTTGTCTTGGAGTTTCATCCCAGGGTACTATAGAGAATGATCCCCTCAAGATATTCTCAGCCCCAAATCAGATACCAGTGGCAGATTTTTCTTGTGAATCTCTGCCAGGTCCTAGAGTTGATGGCTCTTACTTCATGCTAGAAACCCTGAGACATTCGGGGGAAGGAAAAACTGGAGATGGCCTCTTCCAGAGGCTCCTTGTGGCTTTGGAGAACATGGTGCCCAAGAAGTTCAGTGATTCAGGGGAGCCAAGGAAGGGGCAGGAGAGAGGCAATTGGTAGCTAATGCAAAGAAGAATAACTCCAACCATGGGCCACAAATACATTTAATATATAGTTAGACTCAACTAACAATACCTATTTCCTCCCACCACCAAGTACAAACACACACACACGCATGCACACACACACATTCTCCTACATTCTCCTAAGGAAGAAAAGGAAAAGGAGGCAGAACTATAAGCTGATGCCCTATCACCCAATAACCTAAAGCTGTGAGTCAGAAAATAAGCCATAGTAGGAATATAAAACTCCTTCTTGCTTTCCCTCACCCATTCTAACACTTTCCTCAAGTTTTTAGCAGATTTGCCCTAGCAGTACCAGGGCTGGCTGCCAGACATCAAAGCTTCATGTGTCCACTGTAGCTATTGCCCACTCCACTCCAGATGTCACAACTTGTTATTGATATTTTACCACCAATACTCCCAACTTGGAGGCAAGATGACTTTGTGCCTCTTTACATCTTTGTAGAGACTCCTCAGCACTCCATATCCCAATTTCTGTGACCTTGATCAGTTTGCTTGTCAGCACGAAGTCTGTTTCTTCATCTCTTAAACAGTAAAGATGATAATATCTATCTCAGTGGGTTGTTTGTAAGGATTAAATGAGATGTTTTGGGCAAGGCACCCAACACAGTGTGTCTGGCACATAGTACAAACCCACTAAATATTATTAATTAGTGTCTATCCAACACAGGTGCAGTTCAGTTACACAGTTAATAAAAGACTCAATGGGGGCTTGAACCAAAGTTTTATGATTTGGTCAAATTTATTAGTTTATGGATCTATCCACTTATCCTGGAAGGGAACTTTGGGGTTTTTCCAGTTTACTTTCTGAGTGTCTACTCTGTGTAAGTAACTAGGGCTCGGCACTGGAAATACCAAGATGAACAAGATATTATTCCTGCTTTTGAGAAGTTGATAGTCTCATCGGGGAGAATGGTGACCAAATAGTTACAATGCAAAGAGGTAGTCCTGTTATAGTTGGATGCAGGATTCTGTGGAAGCACAAATCAGAGGCAATTGGTTCAAAGTAGGAATAAAGGGAAAAATTTCTTCATGAGATGTCACCTGAGGTGAGTTTTGGCAGATGAGTGGGTGTTGGTGTTATGAAAAGGAGAGGCATGGGTGTGTTGCTGATAAGAGTTATGGGTGGGAGTCCACATCCAGGCTATGGTGCCTAAGCAAGATCCTAGTGTCCAGGGTACCTTAGGGCTGAAGCACGAGGGATAGGGAAGAAGCTAGAGAGTTTGGCAGGAACCAAGTCACGAGAGTTTGTAGACTCTAGATTATGGGACTTTTTTTTCCTGAGAGTAATAGGGACAATTGACTGATTTTAAAATGGACAATGATATATTTGGATGTGATGTTTTAAAAGGACTAGGGCAGGCACATCAGATAAGAGATACTTGCAGTAGTTGAGGCTAGAGATGAAGTTGGCTTACACCAGAGTAGTAGTAGTGGAGATGGAGGATATATATGTGATGGGAGATATATTTGGGGGATACAGAATGGACAGGACATGATAGGACTCATTGATGGATGAAGGGTGAGGGCAAAAACCAAAATCCAGGGTTACTGTAAGGATTTTGGCCTAAGGAACTGGGTAAATGATGGTGGCAGCCAGTAAGACTAGGAACATGGAAGAAATTTTTTCCTACTCTCTCATTTTGCATGTAAGAAAACTGAGTCCCTCAGAGGAGAAGCAGTATGCCCAAGGTTGCACAAAATAGTAGAAACAAGTTGGGGGTGTGGGACACAGATTTCATTTTTATTTAGTTTTTGTCCAACACATTTTACACTGCCCCAAAATGTTCCTCAGCTCAGCAGTCTTTGTACATTGGTAAGAGATAAATGAATCAAATTAACATCAGAAGCTCAGTATCAAAGCAGGGAGGGTAGATGCTTAGGTAATAAATCTACAGTTTTGTTAACATGACTCCCATTAAAGAGAATTTATTCACCAGGCATTGATTTTTTTCTTTTAGCATTGGACTTACAATGAGTGATTTCATATTTAGCAAAACACACTACTCTTGGTAATTAATGAGACAAGAATCACAGCCCAGTCAGGAGGATATGTGGTTTCCAACAACGATGTAAGGCCTGGTTGAAAAAGGAGAGATAGCTTTTATACTCTAAGGAGTCTCAGTCTTCAGCAACCCCCAGTCTGGAGAAGGAAATAGCTATTCATCCAAGTTATATCTATTGAGGGCCCCACTGTGTTCCAGGCACTGTTCTAAGCATTTGGGATATGTTGATGAGCTAAATAGACATAGGTAGCTGATTTAATTGAGCTTACATTTTAGTGAAGGAGAAAGACAATAAACAGTAAATGCCATATGTAAGTAAAACATATAGTATGTTTGATAAAGATAAATGCTAAGGAAAAATATGAAATGAAAAATATAAGCATGTGTTACGAATTGAATTGTGTCCCTCAAAAATTCATATGTTGAAGTCCCAATTTCCCGTACTTCAGATTGTGACTATATATGGAGATAAAGGCTTCAAAAATTAATTTAAAGGGAGGTCATTGGGGGCAGGCCTAATCCAATATGACTGGTGTCCTTATAAGTAAAGAGAATTTGAACATGAACATGTACACAAGAAGACCATATGAAAACACAGGGAGAGGACAGTCATCTACAATCCAAGGAGAGAGGTCTCAGAAAAAACCAACCTATTTGATATCAAACTTTCAGTCTCCAGAACTGTGAGAAAATAAACTTTCATAGTCTTAGCTGCATAGTTTGTAACACTTTGTTATGGCAGTCCTAGCAAACTAACATGAGAGGGGGATAAGGAGTGCTGGGGTGGCACTAGGGTTTCAGTTTTGCCTAGAAAGATAAGGTGAAATATGAGCAAAAAACATGGAGGAAATGAAGGAGCATCACAGAGAGATATCTGGGGAAGTGTGTCTGAGGCAGAGGAGAGAGCAAGTACAAAGGTCCTGAGGTGGGAGTGTGCCTGGTGAGTTTTACGAACAGCAAAGAAAGCCAGCATGGCTAAAGCAGAGTGATTAAGGGGGAAATTGGGAGGAGATGAGGTCACAAAGTTAATATATGATGGGCCAGATCATGTAGGGCCTTTTAGGTTATTGTATGAAAGTTTACTCTCGGTGAAATTAAGATCAAGCCACTATGGAAAACAGTTTGTTGGTTCCTCAGTGAATTAAAGATACACTTACCATATGACCCAGAAATTCTACTCTTAGGTATATACGCAAAAGAACTGAAAATAGATGCTTGTACGTGGATGCTCATAGCAGCATAATTTACAGTAGCCAAAAGGTAGAAACAACTCAAACGTCTAACAAAAGATAACTGGATAAATAAAATGTAGTATATCCATACAATGGAATATTATTTCACCATAAAAAGAAATGAAGTTAATTCCTGTACATTGTAGGACTGCTACAATATGGATAAACCTTGAAAATATCATACTAAATGAAAGGAACCAGTCACAAAAGGCTACATATCATGTAGTTCCATTTATATGAAATGTTTAGAATAGGCAAATCCATGGAGGCAGAAAGATTAGTGAATGTCAGGTTCTGGGTAGAATGGGGAATGGGGAGTGATTGCTTAATGGGAATCGATTTTCCTTTTAGGGCAATGAAAATGTTCTGGAACTAGATGGTGGTGATGATGACATAACATTGTGAATTTACTAAAATTCACCAATGGTAAATTTTATGTTACATATATTTTACCATGTATTAATTAGTCAGGATTCTCCAGAGGAAAAAACCACCTAGAGAGAGAGTGAGAGTAGAAATTGGCTCACTCAATTGTGGAGACTGGAAGTCTCATAATCTACCACCTGCAAGCTGGAGAACCAGGAAAGTCAGTGATGCAAGTCAGTCTGAGTCTGAAGGCCTGAGAACTAGGAGCACTGATGTCTGAGGGCAGGAGAAGATGGATGTCCCAGATCAAACAGGAAGTAAATTCACACTTACTTTGCCTTTTTGTTCCAGTCAGGCTTTCAATGGATTGGATGAGCCCACTGTATTGGTGAAAGTGATCTCTATTCAGTCTATCAGTTCAAATGTCAATCTCTCCTGGAAACACCATCATAGACGCACCCAGAAATAATGTTTGACAAACTATCTGGGCATCCCTTAGCCAAATCAAGTTGATACACAAAATTAACCATCACATACCACAGTAAAAATATTTATATCCAAAGTACTGTTTTGAACAGAGGAGTATAATGATTTGGCCTATGTATTTTTTAATAAAAGATCATTTACCTGCTCTGTTAAGAAGGAACTTATAGGCAACAACAGAAGCAGGGCTATCAATCAGAGGCTGTTTCAACATAAAATTGAAAGTTGTGACTTAGAATGGTAGTAGTGGAGATGGTGAGAAATGATTGTATACTGGGAATATACTGAACATAGAGACAGCAGTTTTTCCTAACAGATTAGATGTGGATGTGAGAGAAAAAGAAGAGTCAAGGATGACTTTAAGGTTTTGACTTGACCAAGTGGAAGAATAAAGTTGCCATCAACTGAAGAAGGGGCACTTTTGAAGAGAAAGATCAGGAGGTGTTTGTTTGCTTGTTTTTTGATGGACATGTCAAGTTTGAAATTTCTATTAGACATCTAAATGTATATGTTGATTAAATAAGTGGATGAAGAGTTCTGGAACTTAGTGGAAAGGTCTGGGAAGGAGATACTAGTTTGGAAGTTTTCAGCATGTAGATATTTAAAGCCATGAGACTTGATGAGATTATAAGTGATGGTTCTCCCATCCTATATAGGCTGTTCAGACTCTCACATTGTGGAACCTTAATTCTGATAGAGGAAACATAATTTCTTTACTCTAAAAAGCTCTCAATTTTTAGGAAGATATGGTCAACAGGTTCCTTGTCTGCACAGAGAAATTTTTGGTACCCTGATATGTCCCCAGCATGACAGAAAAATCATTGTCTCCTTACTCTAAAGATCTCCCAATTTTATTAGGGAGACATTGTCCACCTACTCTAAGTAACCCCAAGGTTGAGAAGAAAGACATTCTTTCTCAGTAGGGAACCTCCCCAAGCCTGATGAAGAAAGCGTGGCCTCTGCTCCAGTCTCCCTAGGGTTTATACCAGCTGCCCCAAGAAGGAGGCATATAAAGCACTAGCATAGCTCAGGCAGAAGCAACAGCTCACAGACCTAAAGCTAACAATGAAGAAATCCATACATGTTACAGCCCAAAGCTGAATACCAGCTAATGTCTATGTCTGGGAAGAGCAGTTAGAGTTCATTAATTGAGTTGCTGGTAACACTGCCATTCTCAAGGCTAATTATCCTTAATTGGAGTTGTCTACTTTGATAATAAGCATTTAGTTTCCTTCCATTCAATTTAACAATATTCCAGGCACTATGCTAGACACTTTGGAGAATACCATACTTTAAAGAGCTCAATGTTTAGGCATGAGATCAGCCTGATATGTAGATAACTCAAACTTAAGGCAGAAGGTAATGAGTGCAGTAGAGAATTATATGCACTAGCATATAGTGTTAGAGCAGAGATTAATTCTGCCTGGGAGTGGGGGGAGTTGGATGGAGTTGTATAGAAGAAACAATATTTGAGCTAGAATTTAGGAGAATGGAGTAAAATTTCCATGGGTAGGAGAAAGGCATTCCAGGCAGAGGAAACATCAGCAAGTGATTGAAAGCCTACAAATGCAGAGCATAAATAATTATCTATGTACTCACTTGTTTATTTCATTTATCCATTAATTTAGCAAATATTTATTGAGCACCTATTATGTCCCAGGCATCCTCCTAGGTGCTTTAGATATAACAGTGAACAAATCAAATTCCCTGTACTCAGGGAGTTTATATTCTAGAGGACTGGGATGGATTATAAACAAAGAAACAAACAAATATGTAATTTGTTAGGTAGTAATAAATGCTTTGAAGAAAAATAAAGCATAATAAGGGGTAGAGTGTGATGGGGAAGAGGTTCTGTCATTTTATATAGAGTGATCAGGGAAGTCATCTCTGCTAAGGTGCCAGTTGAATAGAGACTTGAATGAGATGAAGGAGTGCATAAAATACATATCCAATGGAAGAACATTTTATTAAATAGATGGGGAAAATAGCAAGTGGAAATACCTTGTGGCAAGAGTATGTTTTCTATGTTCTAAGGATCAAGACCTGAGCAACAAGAAGACTAAAATCACCATTTACCAAAATTGGGAAGCCTGAGATAGAGGCAGCCTTGGAATTTATGGAGGATCTGGAGTTTGGTTTGGAGTATATTAGGTTTAACATGTTTATTAGATATCCAGGTGTAGGTAACCAATAGGCAATTGGATATATGAATCTGTAGTTTAGGAGAGATATCCAGTCTGGAGCTAAAAACTGGGGAGCTGATGGCTCATCAATTATATTTAACATCATGAAACTGGATGAGATCGTAAAGGAGCAACTGAAGATAGAGTCATGGTCTAAGGACTGAGCTCCAAGGTACTCTAACGTTAAGCATTTGGATCAATGATCAGAAGCCAATGAAAGAGATTTGAAATAAATCATGAGTAGAGAGGTTTTCCAAAGTGAAAGCAAGAAGTAACAAGGCTCAGAATTACAGCCTGGCATTGGGGATATAGAAATGGGCTAAGGATCGGGTGTGGAGGGCACCAGGTTGGGGACGTGTAAAGGAGAGAGAAGGTCATGGGAGGCCTCATGGGTATTATTTTGGCTCACAGAACTTGGTAGATAATGGTGCCATTAGCTAATACAGGGGATATGAGCAGAAAAGAACTAGCTTGAGCAGAGGAAATAAGAGGAGTTGGGGAAATGTTGAGTTCAGTTTGTGATATTTGAGTTTGAGATTTTTGTAAGGCATTCAAGAAGAGAAATCAGATTGACATTTGTAAATGCAAGATCTCTAGAACATAAAAACTGGCATTGTTTCTTCAGCCACTAACCACTGTGTGTTTGTCACTCAATTTCATAACATGGTGTCCACTGATGAGTGAGGGCTGGAGGAGAGACATACTTAGTAAGGAGGAGATTCAAATTTCTGAATCTACTCTGCCACACACTAGATGTGAGACCTTGGGACAGTCATGTCATCTCTCTGAGCCTAGGTTTCCTCATTGGTAAATGGAGACAATATTAATACCTCATGGGTTGTTTTGGGGATTAAATGAGATAATGCATGGAAAAAATCTTGAGAGAAGTAAGTGCATACAAAATTTTGGTTGAGTGAAACTATGAATAAAACAATAGTTTGAGCACCTCCCAGGGGAACCAGGAAATTCCAGATGGGGAGGTGCAAGTCAGACAAGGCATATCTGGGACATAAGTGGGAAGTGGGAGTAGAAAGGACCTTTCTGGAAGTTCCTGGTGTTTCCCTAGAGACTCTAGAAGTTTAAGAGGTGGCCTTCAGGAAGGGCTACTGGGAAGTCACCTGCTTGTCTGGGCTTCGGGCAGACCTGCCCTTGAGATGTCTGTGCCAATTCCTCCAGGAGGGGAGCTGTCTCTGGGGACTAGGTGGGGCTCAGAAAAGGGATAAGAGGCCAGAAACTGAGGGCTTGTGGGCTGAGCAGATCTGAAGTGGGTTAGTCATTGACTGGGCTGGGGCAGATGGAGATACAGAAAAAGGGAAAGGATAAAAGGAGTATAACATCACAGCAATAATGTAAGAAACAGTGCATGTGTATGTGATGGGGTGAAGAGGTTGAGTGACAGAGACTGGAAATAGAATGAGAAAGCAATCAGCACTACAGCAGTGCCTGTCAGAGCCTAGCAGAGGGCCTGACACTCAATTGGTAGGCAGTATTTGTTGAATGAATGTATGAATGGAGCAGGGGGCAGGCTGGGAGGAGAGAGAGAGAGAGAGAGAGAGAGAGAGAGAGAGAGAGAGAATGATATGAGTGGTGGAAGACTGGATCTGTAACTCGACAAACATTATTGATCCCCTATCGCCTGCCAGGTACTGAGAAAATAACAGGCTGAAGCACAGCACTGAGTCACAAATAGCTTCAGGCCATAACAGGCTGGCGACTGTGTAGAAAGCAATATGGAAAGCAGTCACTGTTCTCAGTTGTCTGAAGTGTCTGAGTGTCCACCAGAAAATCCTTACCCTGCCTGCTTCTGTGGTGATTTAGTGTCCCTGTACCTACTGTATGTCAAACTCCAGGAAAATCAGCAAGCCTGTTTTAATATCAGTTATCAGTACATTAAACTGGGAAGAAAACTCATTTGGAATGCCAAGAACTGTCACCTGATTTATGTCTTTTGATTCTTACCAGAATTCTGAAAGGTAGGCATCATGAATCATTCCCATTTTCGATATGACAAACCTGAGGCTTATAAGTAGAATGGCTTGCTCAAGATCATAGCAGAACCAGGATTCAAACCTAGTTCTCCTATTCATTGGTCTGTTTTCTGTTCTCTCATCCCTGGCTGCATTCATGAATCCTGTACACATCCAGCCCCAGCACTGCCTCCCAAAGACTGGATAAATGGAAACACACATATCTGAAGTCAGCATATGTTGAACAGAAGCATATGCTGCACAGGAAGAATCTTGGCTTTAGTATAGATTTTACATCAGGGACTCTAATATAAAAAGGATCCCAGTGCAATTCATTCATACATTCATTACTCATTCACTCATTTAATCACATATATTCATATATACTTTGAACATAGGCTGGTCTCATGCTATGTGTCCCAAGTAGTTGTAAGTATAAACAGAAGTCAGAAATGGTGAGTTACATAGAGAAGTTCTCTCTATTAAGTGATGGGAAAATTAAAGAGAACAATGATAATAGCTAACGTTTATTGCATGCTTACACTGTTCCAACTACTTCCCGTGGTTTAACTTCTTATATCTTCAAAAATAACTGTATAAGGTATAGGTACCATTATTTTCTCCATTTTATGGTTGGAGAATGGAGACCCAGAGAAATTATACAGCTTGCCTAAGGTGACACAGCCAGTTAAGTGGCAGAGCCAGGATTTGAATCCAGGAAGTCTGGCTCCAGAGTTCCCAAAATGACAATTCCTGGCTGGGATAAGTGCTATGTTTTCTATCCTCTCTTCTCAATCATCCTGACATTCCTTCTCTGCTCAAAGGAGATCTCTCTCCCTTTTTGTATCATTCTCTTTGCCAGTCCATGCTTCTGTTTCTTCTGTTACCCTCACCTAGAGTGACCCTCCACTGCTTTATCCTCCTATCCAAGTCTCTGAATTCTTATGCTGAAAATATCACTTCCAATGTTGTCAACTTCTTCCTGAAGCTTCACATGAACCCACCTTATCAATGTGAAGTGAATTCTTTCTCTTTCTCTGTAGAGTAAGTATGTAGCACTTACTATATTCTGCTGATATTTTTGTTTTTATATTATTACTTGTATACTTATATTTCCTTCCTCTCCCCACTGCCAACTAGATTGCATCTTCCTTAAGAGCTAGGACCATGTCTTGAGTCCTGAAAGTGTTTGGCGTGGTGCTGAGGGGTTGTAGGTGTCTGTTTGTACAGAAGTGAATTATCTGATGCTTGGTTTCCCAGATATACATGAGCTTCATGCAATATGTCTTGGTGTATGAGTCAAAATCACCTGCTTCCTAAAGGGACTTTTCACATCTTTGATGCAAGTTGTAGAGGTGGTGTGGAGCATAGGTTTGATGATGCCATAGAAGACAACAATGAATTTGTTTATACCTTGGAAAACCTGTGAATGAGATTTTAATAGGCTGCAAAAGGACCTGGGGAAGAACAGCAGATAACACAAATGCAGTGACCTCAGTTGAAATCCCATGGTGTCAGTATCCTTAGAATAGCCCATAATACTTCCAGAGGGAGAAGGGATGTTTGGCTGGGGACTTTCTAGTGCTTTTGTCATTTCATAACTATGTTGACATTAAAAAACAAATTTCACCTGAAATTCCCCAATAGAGCTGGGATGAGGCAGGACATATATAATGGTTTCCTTGGAAAATATTGGTTATATAGAAGATAGGGAATTCTTACTTCTGAACACTGGGAATCACCTTCCAGCAGATAGTTTCAAAAATGGGGGTGTGGGAGGTGAGAGACTTTCCTCCCAAGCCATCAAGGAAAGAAAAAAAAAATACTGCTTCAGAAATTTGGGCACTATTTGAAGAAAGGAGCTATCTTCCCATGTTTGCCACCAAAAACTTTGCACTAGTCTGACTTAGACTTGAGGAACTATAGTTCTATCTGAATGCAGAATGTAGAGGAAAAGCTGCCTCTTCATTGAACCAATGAAAAACTGGATATTGGTCATGTTCCAGGACTCTAAACCACGCCTGCTGCCACTTTTACCCTTTGCAGCTGATTAAATCAACTGCCTAGGACCCACCTTGAGCCATTGTCTGCTGGGTTTCTACATCTTTGATGGAGGTAAATGCTTCTACATGAGTTTATCTCAGGCTCTAAAGAGCAAAGATTGGTGAGCAGAGACTAATCTGTTCAAATTCTCTCGACTACCTGAGGCTAGGTTATCTGGGGGATCTGGCTTCCAAAGGAGAAATTAGAACGTAATAGGAACCTCTGTGCAAAACATGTGGAGTGACTGAGGGAAGCTAACGTAAAGGTTAAAAATTCCTTCCTGTTTCTCTTCCTTCTGCTATTTAACTCCCTGCAGCCTGTAGCCTCGCAAACTGGTGGATACCCAGTTTACTTATTTTTTGTGATGCAGAGCTCATTAACATACACATGTGGTACATGTCGGAAAAGCTCTAGCTGTTTCTTATTACTCTATGGAGCCACGCAGAATAAGTTTGAACTTTCTTCAAAATGACAACTTTTCAAATATTCAAGATAGCTCTTATTGTCCTTCATCACCTAACACCCTGATTATTCAATATCCCCCAACAGATCTACCAAATCTCTGCCCTTCTTTCTAATCTATCCTGCAAAAATGTAATCTCTATACAGGGCCCTTTTATCCCGTTGCTTGCTCCAGAGCCTAAAATGCATTCCATCAGGTCTATTAAGGTATATATAGTAAAATTTACTAATTTTTAGGTTTACAGTTCTGAGTTTCAGAAAACATACAGTCATTTAACCATCACCACATGAATACATGGAATATTCTCATCAACCCATATCACCCCACTGACAGCCTTTGCAGTCAGTCCCTCCATCCATTCTCACTCCCACAACCACTAGTTTAATTTCTCTCCCTTTTCTTGAAAGTTAGATAACTGGACCATGGAATATATAGCCGTTTGTGTCCTTCTTTCACATAGCACAATGCTTTTGAGATTCATACATGTTGTGGCATGTATCAGTAGTTCACTCCTTTCATTGGTAGTATTGCTCCATTCTGTAAATGTACTACAATTTAATCATCCATTCCATAGTAGATAGAAATTTGGGTTTATCCTTCTTTGTTAGCTATTTTGAGTAAATCTGCTGTAAGTATTTTCATGTAAGTCTTTGTTGACGTATGCTATTATTTCTTTTGGATAAATACATAAGGGTGAGGTGGCTGGATCATAAGTTATTTGTTTAAATTCATAAGAAACTACTAAACTGTTTTCCAAAGGGGCTATACTATTTTCTTTGCCAACAGCAATGTATATACGTTTTAGTTGCTCTGCAACATCATCAGGTATTGTCAGTAATCTTTGCTTTGTTTTGTTTTTAACATTCTAGAAAATGTGTATTGCTATTTTACTGTGGGTTTAATATGAATTTCTCTAAAGAAAAATTATATTGGATATCTTGAATTGTCTGTTTGAAACTTGTCAAATTTTCTTTGGGTTGTTTGTTTTATTCTTATTGAGCTGTGAGAGTTATTTATATATTCTGGATACAAGTCCTTTATCAGACATGTGTTCTGAAAATATTTCTGTCTGCCTGTGGCTTGCCTGTTTATTTCCTTAACAGTGCCATTTGAAGAGTAGAGGCTTGGAAAGATAAAGTCAAATTTATTAAATTTACTTTTGTTGTCTGTGTTTTTTGAGTCCTTTCTAGGAAATCTTTCCCTAACCCAGATCACATTAAATTTCCCCACAAGTTTTATAGGTTTTGGTTTAACATTTACAACTATGATCCCTTTGGAGTCAGTTTTTAAATATGGTACAGCTTATAAGTTAAAGCTCATTTTTAGCTTGTGGTGGTCCTATTGTTCCAGCATTATTTGCTGAGAATACTATCCTTTCATCACTACTTATTTAGTCACCTTTGTAGAAAATCGGTCGATCATATGTATTTTGGATCTCTTTCTAGACTCTGTTTTGTTTCATTGATCTATCATTTTTTCTTGACATTGTAACTTTACACTAAGTCTTGGAAGCAAGCAATGTAAGTCTTCCAATGTTGTTATTTTTCAAAATTGTATTGGCTATTTTAGACAGTATAGCCCAATATAAAACAAGGCCTTTAAAAATTGAAAATCATTTTTAAGGATGATTTCAATCACCATTTTTCTATATAAATCTAAGTAGATGACTGAAAATCATCATGAGATCTATTTAGAAAAAGGGTAATTATCCCCATCACTTCTCCATTTAACAGTCCAATTTGGCCTGTTCTTAAACTTGGAAAGGTTGAATGGAACCTCATAATGGCTTATCTCAGCTTTAATTCTTGGTCCCGCCCATTAAGGCCCATGTATTAATTTCATATTATTGCTGTAACAAATTACCATAAATTAAAGGGCTTTAAATACCCAACTCTATTATATTACAACTCTGTAGATCAGAAATCTGACTCGGGTTATTATGTTAATATCAAGGTGTTGACAGAACTGTGTTTCTTTCTAGAATCTCTAGGGGAGAATTTGTTTTCTGGCCCTTTCCAGCCTCTAGAAGCTGTCCTCATTACTAGGCTTGTAACCCCTTTACATCTTAAAAACTAGCAATGGCCAGTTGAGTCTTTCTCATGTCACATTGCTGTGATGCTGACTTTTCTTCTGCTTCCCTCTTCTACATTTAAGGGCCTTGTATATTTATCTGGGTTCACTGGATGATCCAGAATAATTGTCCTATTTTAAGATCACTGGAATACAAAATTTACATTCCATATGAAACATTAGTACTTTTTAGCCATCTAACTTTTTCTCTCTATATATATTTATATAGAATGTATTTATATATTATTAATTACATAAATATATTTTATGTAATATACTTATATGTTACATATATAATAATATAATATGTATATTCATAGGTTCTGGGGGTTAGGACATGACATCTTTCTGAGACCATTATTTTGCCTACCACAGTCATGATGTATTTTCCTTAGTATATATTGCTAGATTCTGCTTGTTAAGATTTCCTTAAGGCTTTCCACATTTTTGCTCCTGAGGGATATTTTTCTGTACTTTTCTTGACTTGTGATGCCCTTGTCCAGTTTTGATATCAGAGTAATGGTGGTGTATTAATGCAATGTTCTGGACAATGTTTCTTAGGCTTATCTTTTCTGGAAGAGTTTGTTTGTAATTGATGTGATTTTTTTCATTAAATGCTTGGAAGAATTTGCCACTGAAGACACACATGACTGAAGTTTTTGTGTTGTTTCTGTTTGTTTGTTTGGATGTTTCTAACTATGAATTTAATTTCTGTAGTAGATATAGGACAATTGAAGTTGTTGATTTTTTTCTTGAGTGAGCAACAGTAGTGCCTTTCAAGGAATTTGTCTATTTCATTTAAATGATCAAATTTATTGGCATAAATTGTTCAAAATAGTCCTTCGTTATATTTTTTAATTTCTGTAAGATCTGTAGTAATGCCCTTTCTTCCTTTCTAACACTGGTAATTTGTGTCTTCTTTTCTTTCTTCTTGATCCATCTGGCTTGAGGTTCATAAATTTTATTGTTCTTGTGTGAGAACCAGGCTTTGGCTTCATTAATTTTTATTGCTTTTCTGTTTTTTCTGCCATTGATTTGTAGTCTTTGTATTTTCGTACCTTCTTCCCGCTTTAGAATCTAATTTTGCTCTTTTTTCTAGTTTCTTAAACTAGACGTTTGGATAATTGATTTAAAAGCTTTCTTCTTTTCTGACATAAGCTTTTTCTGCTAAAAAATCTTTCTCTAAGCATGTTTTATGTGTGTCCCACATATTTTGATATGTTTTAATTTTCATTAAATTCAACATATTTTATGATTTCATTTATAACTACTTCTTTGACCCTTTTTTTTTTTTAGAATAGTGTTGTTTACTTTCCACCTAATTATGTATTTCTGGAATAACAATTTCAAGTTTAATTCTGTTGTAGTCAGAAAATACTTTCTATGACTTCAATTATTTTAAATTTATTGTGTCTCCTGTGGCCCAGAAAATAGGCCATTTTTGTTGAAAGCACCATGTGCACCTGAAACCAATACATATTGTACTGTTGGCTGGAGTGTTCTATAAAAGTCAGTTATGTCAATTTTGTTGATAGTGTTGTATAGATCTATATTCTTGTTTATTTTTGTCTACTTGTTCTATTATTAAATGAAAGAAAAATGTTGAAGTATCCAACTGTAATAGTGTATTCATCTTTGTTCCCTTTTAGTTCTAACAGTTTTTGCTTAATGTATTTTAAAATTCTATAGCTAGGTACACACACATTTAAAATTATGATGTTTTCTTAACAAATTTAATAATGATATATAATTCAATTTGTTAAGAAAACATCATAATCATCTCTGGTGGTAATATTACTTATTCTGAAGTGTTCCTGGTGTGATATTAATTAATATAACCATTCCATCTTTCTTTTGGTTAAGATTTACATGATATATCTTATTTTTATTTTACTTTTCATCTATTGATGTTTCTTCTAAACAGCATATAGTTGAGTCTTGCTTTTACAGCCAATCTGAAAAGATTGAACTGTTCTGTGGGTCTTCAGATCATTTACAATTAGTGGAAATATTGATATTGTTACATTTACATCTATACCTTGATAGTTACTTTTTGTTCATCTGATCTTTTCTTTGTTCATTTATTTTCTTGTTTCCTTTGGAATAAATTGGATAATCTTTATGATTCCAATTTATCTCCTCTATTGACTTGTTTATGCCATTTTTCAAAATTTTGTTTATTGGCTTTACTATAGTTTACAATATACATCTTTATTTAATCTAAGCCCAACTTTAAATTATATTATGCAAATTCACATATAGTATAAGAACCTTACACCAATGTTTACAATTTCTACTTGACATCTATTGTGCCATTGTTGCCATACATTTCGCTTATACGTGTTACAAACCCCACCATATATTGTTACTATTTTTTATCTTGAAACTGTCTGTTATCTTTTATCGAGATTAAAATATTCAAAGGATGCCTTTTATGTTTAGTTTTATTTTTACCATTCCTGGCACTTTTCATTACTTTCTATAGATCCAAGTTTCCATCTGGTGTCATATATTTTCTGCCTTAATTACTTCCTTTAACATTTCTTATGGCATTTGCTTGCTAGAAGTAAATAATCTCAGCTTTTGTTCATCTGAGAAAGTCTTCATTTTCCCTTCATTTTTGAAAAATATTTTCAATAAGTGTAGATTTCTGGGTTGACATATTTTTCTTGCAATTGTAAAGATGCCACTTAATTGTCTTCTGGATTGCATAGTTTCTGATTCGAAATCCACTGTGACTCTGATTTTGTTCTTCTGTATTTACTGTGTCTTTTTACCATTAATATTTTTTTTATAGTTGGTTTTCTATCTTTATGTTGGTGTGTGTGAATGTGTGTGTGTTTATTCACAACTTGTTCCTCTCAGCTTCTTGAATGTGTAGTATATAGTCTTTCATTATTTTTGGAAAATTCTGTCATTATGTTTTCAAATAATTCTGCCAATTTTTTTCTGCCTTCCATTTCTGAGACTTGAATTACTTGTATTTTAGTCAACTATGTATTGTCTTACAGCTTTTTGATACTTATTCTTTTTACTTTTCTTTCTTTTGCATTGTAGTTTGGATAATTTATAATGACCTATCCTCAAGTTTACTATTCTTTCTTTGACTGTATTATGACTACTGGGAGAGGGACAGGAAATCCCTCCATCAAATTTATTTATTAATAACTTATTTTGACTTTTTTATTTATTAACAGCTCCATCAAAGCAATTATTCATCTGTATAATTTTATTACAGCATTACTTTCTTATTGTGGGGTTTTTAAATTTTCTAGCATTTCCATTTCACTTTTTCTTAGTGTTTTGATTGCTATGCTAAAATTTCCCATCTGTTCATACATGCATTTCCATATTTTCTGCTAGATCTGTTATCATATTAATTGTAGGTATTTTAAAGTCTCTTATGTAATCTTTCCAATATTTGCACCATCTCTAAATCAGGTTTGATTGATTGCTTTATTTCCTGGCAATCGATGATTTTTTATTGCCTTTGTTTTTGTACCTTATTTTTTATTTAATGTCATACAATGTGTATAGAGGAATAGTAGAGACTAAGGTAAATAGTAGCTATACCTGGAAATGGCCTTCAGTCTTCTTCTATAAGGCTTTTTAATTATGAAATTGAGCCAACCCACTCAGGAGTTGAGCAAGCCTTGGGATTTGTGCTATCATTACCATCAGTACACCACAGGTTTTAAATTCTCTTAGTGGACTGCTGCTGCTACCATATGCTTGGAATTAAAATTGTATCTAGAGAGTTTTTCTCAGTGTTTCTAGTTCCCCTTCAGCTTTCAGCTGCTCTTGCATGCCTGGGCCACAGAGGGGACTCTCTCTCCATGTTCTTGCCCTTCCTCCAATAGTAAAATGCTTTTGCTTGTTATTTGGTGCTCACTGCTCATAGGGAAATGGCATGTTCTCTGTTATGGTCCGGTCTCAATCTCTAGCAGGACTTGCACACATGAGCTTCAGAAATGGGGCTTAGTAGTGTTCCTCACAGTGGCAATGAAACTCTGCTTTGTAACTGTGGTTGTTCTTGAATAGGAATTTCCTGTCCCTCTCGCAGTAGTAGCAAACCTATGTTTGGTATGTTTGTAGGATCCTGTGCCTAAGAAAGTTCTCTGCCCCTTCTCTGGAGGAGAGGGTTTTGCTTATATTCTTTCCCCAGGAAAGATTTTTCTTGAGTCCTGGGTGCAAGAGAGTTTATACTCTCCCTCAGAGGGTTTATAACCTTTCCTCAGAGGCAGACACGTTTTGGTTCTACTACTCCCCAGAAGTAATAAGATTTTTGACTGTCATGGGAGTGAGGGGAGTCCCTGTCCTATCCCTAGCATCTTAAGTCTTTTGCTTCATAGGAGAGAAGAGTCTGAGAAAGCTGACAGGGAAGCCCTTCCCCCAAACTTGAACACCCAGTGTAGGCATATGGAAAATTGCATGTATGTGAATGCAAACTCCCCTTGTGTCAGAAACAACCAGCAACTGTATATTGACATACTATTTCAAACTCTTCCCTAACCTGTATCTTATGTTGAAATTAAGGCAGTCTTTTCATTGTTCCCATACACGGGTTCGAACCTGTTCTGTATTTCTTTATGCTGCCCCTCTTGCATGGAAAGCCCTCTTCCTTTTTATATAAATTCCCAAATCATTCCTAGTCAAGCTCAACTCTAATTTCTTCCTTGGTAATTCCAGCCAACTTTAATTTCTCCCTTGTTGGTATCTCTTATAACTTATTTTTAACCTATTATTGCCTCCAATTTACAAAAGGACATTAAAATGTGTACAATTTAGTGCTTTATTCCACTGTATTATATTATTCTCTTATTGTGTCGCAAGACCTAGCCAGATGTACAGTAGGTTCCTACTGTCCTAGCAATAAACTTTAGTTAGAAAAAAATGTATTAACCTCCTCTTGTGTAACATTGACTGCAATAACAAAATAAACACAGCTATTCCAGCTTCTTTTGATTAGTGTTTGTATGGCATTAGCCCATTAGCAGATTAGTTTGACAAATTAGCTCTGAAAGGCAGTGTAATGCTGCAGAAAGAGCTTGCACATTTAAAGTCCAATGGCTCTGAATTGCAATCTTGGCTCCACCGTTTATCGGCTGTGGGATTTATGGCAAATTATGTAACTTCTCCTGAAGATTAAATGAGATAATATTGTCTACTGGGCATAGAGAAGATGGTCTAGGATGAAGAGACATAAAATGGGTTGTTTTCTGGGGACAAGAGAGGGCAAAATTCTGGAATGTAGTTTGAAAAGGGTAAAGCCAAAATAGGACTTTGTGTGTGTGTGTGTGTGTGTGTGTGTGTGTGTGTGTGTGTTTGTGGTGGGGTGTGGGGGGGGCAGTGACAGTACAGGGTAGGACAGCAAAGAATGTAGTAGTATAGTTTTAAAAGTATTGGAAGCAGAATCATAAATATCTAGGTTCAAAACATGCCTCTGACACCAATTAGCTTTGTGGACCTTAGGCATGTCACTACATCTTATGGAACTCCATTTTCTATACCATTAAAATGAGGGTGGTCATTAAATCTGCTTGGATAATTTTAGAGAGCTGTCTCAAGAATCAAAAGAAGTAATTCTGACAGCAAGTTATAAACTATAAAGAGCTCTGCAAAAAGGTATGGCATTTGTAATGATAGTGACCCAAAGAGGGAAGCAAACAAGTTCCCTGCACTACCAGCCCTGTTCTTGTCAAAAACGATGTAAGTCAAGTTGCTGCCAGATCAATTCCCATTCAGACCAGGACTTGGGACAGTGATCACACACGTGATTTAGGACCTCAGTTTTCTGATCTTGCCTTAATCACTATCTCAGATCTAGTGCAGCCTCAGGGAAGTTAGATGTGAAGTTGACTGTTATGGTCTGAATGTCTTTGTCCTCCAAAATTCATATATTAAACCTAATCCCCAATGTGACAGTATTAAGAGGTGGTGCCTTTGGCGGTGATTAGGTCATGAGGACTCCACCCTCATAAACGGGATTAGTGCCCTTATAAAAAAGGCTTGAGGGAGCGTGTTCATCCTTTGCCCTTCTGCCATGTTAGTATGCAGCAAAAGGGTGCCATCTTTGAAGCAGAGAGCATGGCCTCACCAAACACTGACCATGCTGACATCTTGATCCTGGGCTTCTCAGCCTCTAGAACTGTAAGCAATAAATTATGTTGTTTGTAAATTACCCAATCCAAAGTATTTTGTTATAGCAGCCGGAACAGACTAAGACATTGCTTCAACAGGAGCAGGACTTGAGTAAGGATTTGGAAAATGCCAATTCAAAAGTGAAACCTGGTTCAGAAAAATTTTGAGTCTTGACAAAATATCCTGGGACGATGGGGTGTGGCACAGGGATAATAGTTTGCCATTTACTAATACAGTGAAGGAGAAAAATATGGTTTGTGGGGGTATTTTCCTATTTCCAGCTCTGAGTTTTACTTTATTCCAGAGAATGGTGACTTTCAAGTAAACACTCTAGTATTCCTCAAACTTCAGCTGCCAAGGATAGGCAGTAAATTGTATTGGGAATTTGTACAGCAACTTTTGTTTTTAAATGATCAAGTTAGGGAAAACTTTATATGCTGGGGCCAGTAAAGAAAGGGCTGGGAGCAGTGGCACATTACCACTTTGGGAGAATTCCGTTTGTCTAATTAGCCCAGGAACTCAGACTACTCTAAGTCTGAAAGTATATTTGTGTTGTGTGTATGTGTGATCATTTGTATGTTTTTATCTGTATATTCATGGATTTATATCTGTATGATAGTATGCTTCTGCCTGGTTCTTTTTGTTACCTTTTGTATGTGACTGAATCTGTATGTATGTCCTGTTAACATTTGAGTTTGTGTCTGTATGCACATACTTATCAGGGTTCTGGGATTATTTTAAGACTTTGGTAATCTATGGACTCTTTCTTATAGGATAAGCCTGTGAACAAAAGGAGGTGCTTGTTCACTGAGAAAATTACAGGCTAGACTGGAATTTGCTCTGATATTTAAAGGCTGCCCCCTCAATCAATGCCTCCTTTCTATTCCCACACCAACAACGCATGCTACCTTCTGATTGTCCCCAACTCCTACTCAGATCATTTTCCCACAGAGATAGGGTTCTGTTGAGGGATGATTGGGACAATTCCACACCTTTCTTTTGAGTGAGTGGAAGATGAGGTGTTACCAGAGCAGGGGGCTTTTTTCCCCATCCCAGCTTCCCTTCAGTTATTGAAGAATTGCAGTTCTGGCCTCAATTATTTTATGTTTACCTGCCTGGAGGTCTGCTTTCCATCCTTTTAGGCAAGTTTCAGAATGGGGCACAGAGACTGAAATTTTGGAGAAAGGCTTGCCTCCTTCAGAGAAAGTCTGTTGTTGTAGACTAGAAAGTATTAGTTTGGTGCAAAAGTAATCGCGTTTTTTGCCATTGAAAGCAATGAGATCTAGTAGTGAGAAATTGAATTAGTCAGCAATGCTCGTAGGCTACCTTGGAAACTCAGTCCTACTCCTGTGTTCCGATGAGAGGGCAGGGGTACTTCCCTAGGTGGGCCTCTGATTCGTTTATTCAGCAAATATTTGTGAAATACCTATTCTGCATAGCTCCAGCTCCAGGAGCAGAATTATCCTTTTGACAGGATCCTTTGAGAGATAATGGCTAGGAGCAACTTGTGGTAGGAATTGCAAACCAGGCCATGGGGGAGAGCAGTGGACTTCAAGACCCCACAGGAAAGGTGGAACTCTGTGCAGTTCCTTAATCCCCAAAGATAAGACTGTTCAGAGGTCATGGTTCTGCTTTTCTTTCTGCTGTTGATTCCAAGTTGGTTACCCCATAATTGGTGAAACCTGTGGGTTCTGCCTTCCCTTTCGTCCCTCCCTTTTTCCCATGCTTCAAAGCCATTTTATGAAACTCCTCAGGAGCAACAGTACTTGAACCACAAGGTGCTTTTATGAACTGCAGCCACCCAGAGTCTGAATCCCGCCCTTCACTTCTGTTAATGCAGGGTTGAAAGTGGCTTTTTCTTTTTCTTTTTTTTTTAAATTTATTTATTTATTATTATTATACTTTAAGTTTTAGGGTACATGTGCACAATGTGCAGGTTAGTTACATATGTATACATGTGCCATGCTGGTGTGCTGCACCCACTAACTCGTCATCTAGCATTAGGTATATCTCCCAATGCTATCCCTCCCCCCTCCCCCCACCCCACAACAGTCCCCAGAGTGTGATGTTCCCCTTCCTGTGTCCATGTGTTCTCATTGCTCAATTCCCACCTATGAGTGAGAATACGCGGTGTTTGGTTTTTTGTTCCTGCGATAGTTTACTGAGAATGATGATTTCCAATTTCATCCATGTCCCTACAAAGGACATGAACTCATCATTTTTTATGGCTGCATAGTATTCCATGGTGTATATGTGCCACATTTTCTTAATCCAGTCTATCATTGTTGGACATCTGGGTTGGTTCCAAGTCTTTGCTATTGTGAATAATGCCGCAATAAACATACGTGTGCATGTGTCTTTACAGCAGCATGATTTATAGTCCTTTGGGTATATACCCAGTAATGGGATGGCTGAGTCAAATGGTATTTCTAGTTCTAGATCCCTGAGGAATTGCCATACTGACTTCCACAAGGGTTGAACTAGTTTACAGTCCCACCAACAGTGTAAAAGTGTTCTTATTTCTCCACATCCTCTCCAGCACCTGTTGTTTCCTGACTTTTTAATGATTGCCATTCTAACTGGTGTGAGATGGTATCTCATTGTGGTTTTGATTTGCATTTCTCTGATGGCCAGTGATGGTGAGCATTTTTTCATGTGTTTTACATTTATGCAGCCGAAAGTGGCTTTTTCTGAGCCAGCTCCTGAGGAGTCAGAAACACCCACACTTGGGAGATAGGACACCTTGATTCTGGTTGAATCCTTGCTGCAGAGCCAGAAAAATGTAAGTATTTCCCTTTTCTAGCCATTGAAGAATTACATGTGAACAATCTTTAAGGCCTCTTCTGCTCTGGAATTCTATGATTACTTCTAAAAATGATTGCTTCAAGCCACTTCAATCTGCATTACCAAGTGCTAGAGACAACGTGGAATAGATGTACTCTCTGAGAACTAAAGTTCTTGCCATTTACTTATAGATTTGAAAAGGAAAGGAGCTGACATTTATTAAGTGTATTATGAGCCAGGCACTCTCTTATATTGTCCATTATTATTTCAATAATAATTCATAACCTGAAGAAATTTGGGGAGGATAAAGTGAGTGCTTATGTGAAGCAGAGTACAATGCCTGGAAGGAAGTCTGCACTCAGTAAATGTCATTCTCTGGCTCCTCCTTCAGCTCCTCTTTTACCCAGCTCCCAGCCTTTAAAGAGATAAAGAAACAGAAGCTCAGAGGGATTATGTAACTGCCCAAAGTCACCCAGATTTTCAGCTGCAGGGGCCATGTGTATCCTGTTATATTACACTGCCTCTGCAATGTGAAGTCTATAGTTATTGCCCCTATAGTTATTGTCCCTTGCTTGGAAACCTCCTACTTTCTGGCCCAGTTCCTCTTTGTGATCCAGGCCTGTGTTTGGGAAGTGGTCACCCAGAGATTTCAGGTGCACCACACATTTCCCTCTGCAGTATTATAACTGGTCCCACAGAGCGTGAACACTCCATATAGACATTGTTAACTTCAGACTCTCATTCTTGGCCAACCATCCCTTAGGGCAGTCCTCTGCTCACCGAGGCAAGGGTTCTGTGGAAACTCTGCCCTCCAGCTCTGTTCCCCTGACACAGATATGGGAAGATGACCATATGGGGGAAGAGCCAAGGGGTCATTTTCAAATAATAGAAAAGGTAAGTTTGCTTGCTCAGGATTGAATTCAGAAAATCATATCCTTGGCTGGCAGAATATTGAGCACTGGAGCAAGAGTGGAGGGTGTGGGAGTAGCTACGAGAAGAGATGAGGATGAACACTGACCCCAGCGAAGGAAGGAGGTAGGCTGGGAATTGCCTACTGAGAGGTATTGTCATTGGCCCACATATTAGTAGAGTTGAACAGGGGAAGTTGCTGAGCTGAATGACAGAGGACTGATCTTAAAGGCAACTTCATGCCTTGAAGATAATCTTCTTATGAAATCATTAAGTCCATTTGTTCTACATTAGGCTTTCCTGTGTTGCCCTTTATTTAGCAGAAGGTACCATGGAGTTCTATTTCTAGTAGTAAAGGTGATTTTGCATGGATCATGTCCCACTCTGGTCTAATACCCAGTGTGCATAGAATAATCCTGGGTTTAGGATGGCATCGATGTATCTTTTGTATAAGATTAAGCAGGTGGTTCAGAAATGCTATTTCGTGGTAGCTAGACTTGGTGGTTTTTTGTGGTCCCTTCCATCTCCAGGGTTACTAGCATTTTTGAGCTCTCTTTCTTTCTCCCCCTACCCTCAGCCGCATTCTCCCTATCTCCTCCTTACACAGGGCACTTTCTCTCCTAGGCTACAGAGGGCAGTCCACCTAACAGAACCCTACTGCTGGGGACCAACAATCTGGGCTCCCTAGTGGTGTACAAGATGATCCAAAATCTATTGCTTTGCATACAGTAAAACATAGTTTGCCTTCTAGAAGTAGCACAATATTCTGGAAAGAGTGCAGGCTTTGAAGACAGACAAACTTAATTTTCAATCCAGATACTGCCATTTCCTAGCTCTATGATGGCTAGCACAACAGTTGAACCTCCTTGAGCTCCATATCCTCATCTGCAAAATTGGGATAATCCTGGTTCTCATCTGCTAGTGGTGTTGTGAAGATTTACTGAGACAATTTATGGAAAGAATTTAGCTCAGTGCTTCACACAGAGTATGTGCTGAAGGCATGGTTCTTGAATGAACGAGTGAGTGCATATTGGTGTCATTCTTTCCCTTCCTCCCTATGATGAAGTGCTGTTAAAAGGCTTCTGCTCTCCTTTAATTAAGTGGTAAGAGCATGGATATAGAATTCAGCCAATTCAGGGACTGCTGTGTGATCTTAGTTAGTAGTTAAAAAATTATCTGAGGCTCAGTCTCTTTATGCATGAAATCTGGATAACAAGGCCAAGTGTGCAGAGCTGTTGTGACGATTAAAGGAAACAATGTATGCGATAGCACAGGACCTGGAACGTGGTGCGTAATTGATAATGCCAGGTCCTTTACTCTGCCTACCCCTAGGCACTTTCATGTATGTGGGCTCATTTAGTTCTCAGAACAACCATATGAAATACGTATTATCATCATAATGAGATAATGTATGTGGAAGGCACCTAGTACAATATGATGCAGGTGGTCAGTAAGTGTTTGTTTCCTTCCCTTTCTTTTTCTTCATTAAGACAATTATTATCCTGCCAACAATCGTGCTTTCGCATGAACTATGAATATTTTAAAGAATGAGGTGCTAATCTTATATCGTTATCAATTTAGAAGGCAGTCTGGACCCCTGGCTTATAATCAAAATTATGTTGATTTTAATAAGATGACAAAAGATCACAGAGTTTATAGATATAAAGTGCTTGCCTAATTCCTGCCTTGTTATGGTAAGTTATGAATAGATTAATTTGATATTTCAGAATGTAACAGTCATTAAGAAAGCATTTTCATGTAAGTTATAGTTTTACATATTAACGCCATACTTTCCTTAGCATCTAAAAGTACTGTTCTTTACTTACCATGAGAAGGAGAAAGTTTTGGATCTGTATTTGTAGAACTGGGGATTAGTTGGGGTTGAGTTCTTTTGACTTGAAACTGATCTCTTACCTGGTTTCACACCTTACCCTCTATTATCTTCTATGTCATGTATTAGAATATGATTTAGAGAGGGCCAAAGAGTGGGTAATATTTGCAAGGCAGAGAGCTTTATGGTGAAATGAAATCTCATCTGATCTATGAGCAAGTTACTTCACATCCTTTTTCCTTAGTTTCATTATTGGCAAAATAAGTATAATATTAACATTTACCTGACAGGGTTGCTTTGAGGATTAAATAGGATAAGTTATGAATAAATAAGTTAATTCATCTAAAGACTTTAACATAGAGTTCACTGTGTAGTGGACTCAATAAATGTTAACAGCTGGCACTGCTATGGCCACCACCACCACCACTTCCACCACTACAATGATAATGATGTGACCATTATCTTCAAGCACTACAGAATGGTTAAGGAATTGGGTATTCTGTCTCATGAGGTACTTCAGTTCTCTGAAGGGTAGGCTGAGAACTTTCTTAATTTCAACTCCCTTTTTAAAATCCCTCCAAGGGCTCTGTGTCCATATTGCTTGAGTTACCATGGAAAGTCTGGGATCAACATTGATTCTTGATACACTAAGGCTCTTTCAGGGCCATAGGTGGATCATTCATATACTGTTACCATTGTCCAAAGCTTCAGCTGTAGAAGGTGTAGGAAACTGGGCTGAATGTTATTTGAATGCAGAGAAGCCCTTGAAAATTTTTGTAATTTGAATTGTGATCATTTCTATTTTAATTTTTCTTAGTTCCCACAAAGCAAACTTTCTTAGTTTTGTTGAGTCTCAGCTGATCAGAATTTTATAAGAAACTTTTTCCTGTCTCTAAATAAACAAGACTGTTATATAGAGAGATTTATCTAGGTGTCATGCATATTCAAGGAAGTAGGGAAAAGGCAATACAACTAGGTTTAGTGAATTCTCTTTTGAATACTGACCAGTTGTTTGGCTGTTCTGAAGACTAAATTAATACAGGTAAATTTCCTAAGTGGCATATCGATGGCTCAGGTGGGAATAGTGAACCTGGATGTGTTGTCCGGAAATTTTCAATAAGTTACAGACCAGTGTGTGAGCTACAGACCAGTGTGTGAGCATGACTTTACTGACAATAAAAATGGGAGGTAACGAGAGCCATGGACACTTTTGTCCCATGAATTCTCAAAAATGAAATGATGAGCGGTTCAAATAATCTGTGTGAATGCAGAGGGCTAGACACTAGTGGTCTCTTATGGTTTCTTCTACCTCCAGGGCCTTAAGATTCTAGAATGCTTTACTCCAGCACCAATCTTTCTTTAGATGGTTTTCTTAGAACCACCCCTCTTCCTTCTTCCTTCCATGCCTTATATTCTTTATATTCTTCCTTCCCAAAATATTGTACTGACTGCACACTAAATGCCTAAGCACTGTTCTAGGCATTGGAGTACAGAATAATAAAGAGAAATGCTCCTCAACTCTCATGGGTTCGGCAATTTCTAATATTCTGGGATGTCCCTGACCTGATGGTAGGAAAAAGATGGCTCCTCAGTCATGGTTGAACTTTATTTTGTACATACGCAATTCCTTATAAGTGAGTTTTTTCCCCCTTTTCTTTGACTTGCAGGTTTTGAAATCTTGGACAAAAGGAACATTTTTTAGAATGCAAGTGACCAAGTTGAGGTGGCATAGAAGTGAGGCTGAGGTGCCTCTGACACAGCCTCATAGCTTAAGCAGCTCAAGGTCTCTCCTGCTTGCTATGCTCACCTGGATTATAGAGAGGGGGTGGGATGTGTATAATTAAAATAAACCATCAAGCAAACAAGCAAACAACCAAACAGGATCACAAGGAAAAACAAAATTCAAACCAAACTGAAAGACAAAAAGAAAATAAACACACAAAACTCCTCTTTCCAGTGGGCCCCACAGAAAGTTTCTTTCTTTGTCTTTGAAGGGCTCAGTCCATTTTTCTTTTAGTTACTTGATTTGATATTGAGGCTGCAGCATTAACACCTGGTAATTAAATAAATGGTCAATCCACTAGCTTTGTCTAAAAGGGAACTTAGGACCAGGCTGCCTGATCCCCACAAGCCCCCTCCCTTGCAAAAACAAACAAACAAACAAAAACAAAAAAGAAAAGATTCATCTTGGCGTCAGTTACTGACACTGGTTCCCAAAAGGGAGGGTGTTTGTGAAATGCCCTTCTGGAAGAATAGAGGAACAAAGCTAGGTGTTCTGTCGGTGTAAACTGGAAGCAAGTCTCAGCATGCTGGGACTCAGCACGCTGGGGCTCAAGGCACGCTAGCACCATGGGCAGGAGTTGGAAACTCCAGGCTGTTGTGCTTAAGAAAAAGAAAATTTATTATAGAGTTTCATCCACTTATTCATGAGTACATCAAAAGGGTATTAAGCGCTGACTAGAATTGGGAATAAAAGAGTAAACCCAAACATCTTTTCACTTTTCTGGACTCAACAAACATCATTTCCATATGTTAACAACCTCCAAAGGGGACCATAGCCATCAGTCAAGTAAACAATAATGTTGAGAACAAAAATGTGAGTCCACTGATATCATACTTTTCCTCTTCTTTAAGAGATTCTTAACTGACTGACTTGTTTTTTTCTAGCCCAGAGAAGAGAAAACCTAGATGTAGGCGTAGAATGGGACCTAAATATCTCTCTTCAATTATCTGAAAGGCTACATGTAGAAAAAGAGTTAGATCTGTTATATAAAATCAATGAGCAGACCAGAGATGAATGAGCAGAATTTAAAGAGATTCTAATTTTGGTTTATTTCTAATAATTAGAGCTTATCAAATGAATAGGTGGTCTTGGGAGCCAATAATAAGAACAATAATAATAGTGATAATTGCTATTGTTATTTTTAATGTATTTTGTATAGTACTTTAACTTTGGAAACACTGTGCCTCATTTAATCCTCAGTACTCATTTTGTATATCAGTCAAGGCAGATATCATTCTCCTGATTTTAGAGATGAAGAAACTGTGTCTCAGAGAGGTTAAGGATATTACTTCAGGTCACACAGCTAATATGAGATAAGCTGGAATTCAAATCAACACCTGTTGATTGGTTCTGAGGGAGTGATTAAGGAAGGACTCCCTTCCTCAGCTTGTTTCAAAATGTAAAGAAGCTGCCTTCAGATAGGAAGAATCAAATGGCAGCTCAAACTTCCCGTGAAGCAAGGGACATTTACCAGGCCACAGGCCAGTGTAGAACTGTGCTCTGCAAGCCAATCTGGATGAAAGTGAACTATTTTATTTTTATTTTTATTTTTTTTTTTTTGAGACGGAGTGAAAGTGAACTATTTTATTTATTGCCATTTCTATTTTAAGGCTGTGTTCTCTGATTTCAATGTAAAAATGTAGGTCTGGGCTGGTGGATGGCATCATGTACACCATTCTCTGTTCATCACAGCTGCAGTCACACTGTCTCCTGTGTACACTGATGTATGTTTGCTTGCACATATAAAATTACTTTCCTGGGACTGCAAACACAAACCAGGCTCACAATTTGCCTAATACAGTGAAGGTTGCAAAAAGAAGCATATTTTACCATTTCCTGCATAAAAAGAAACAACAGAATTAATTCATTTGATTGACTTGCCCATTTTTCCCAGTAGTTTTCTCGGCATGGGGAAGACAAATTCTCCACGAGTGAAGACTGTATGTGTGTGTGAGTATGTATGTGAGGGCCACCCTATAGCAAGCCCTGTTCTAAAACTTGTCCTTTTCTCTTAATATGTTTTCCAAAGTTCTGCTTGATAATTATGGATTGTATCTGGAGGCCCACTCGCTAAAAGCAGGTTGAGTCATAAGCAGGTTGTAAGAGTCCAGGAGACCTGCAGCGATGACTAAGAGAGTCATTATTTGATGAAAAGGGGAAAATAGGTGTTGGTTTGAATGGAAGGCTGGGGGAGCATGACGGACTTCTTGAGCAGGGGAGAAAAAAAACCCACTTGGAAGCTAGCTGGCAGGGTGAGTGGGGACCGGAGAAAACCGGTCTTGTGCAGTAAGACTTGCTGCTGCATTTTAATCACATCTCGATGTGACTGTTTTTTTTTCCCCCCTCTTTTTGTTTTTTCATCAAGAAAGAAAGGACTCAGAGAGAATTCAGCAGTAACCTAGCTCTTTAAACTTTGGACTATACTCTGCTCTCTTGCACATTTTAAAATTGACACCTAGAAATTTTTCATCATAAATTCAAGTAGATGCAAATACCGTATACTTTTTGTCACCTTGTAAATATTGAGTTTAAATTAAACTCTTGCATCACTCTTTTAACTTCTTCAATAGATTCTAAGTACCATAGTATTTTTATATCCATTGCCACCCATTAAAATACTAATGGAAAAGGTCTCTAACAGTTGGATATTTAACACCATTACCTTTTCTTCTTCAACTCACATTTCCATTCACTTGCTCCACAGAGTTTTATCCTAATATCTTTCATATTTTTATGTGGAAAAGGCTTTTCTTGTTCATCCTATTATGTATCCCAATAAAAATATGTATATAAAATGAAATGAAATTTTAAACCAAATTTTTCTGTGACCAGAAGTCTCCAAAGTGTTAAAATAAATAAGTAAGTAAATAAATAAGTGTTACGTAGCCCAAAAGTGACAGAGTAGTAATTAGAATCTAGGACTATGCTCTGACTTCCAGATCTCATCCACTCTGCTCTGCTCTACTCTGGAACCTCAGAGGAGAAAGTGAGCACAGCCATGGTAAGATTCAAGATGTCTGATAGGTAGTCCTTTCTCTTATAACGTAGGAGGAAGGTAATTGTGAAAGGAGAGGGGAGAAGGGAGGAACCAGAATGACTACCTAACCTCAAGCAAATATTGCCAAATGTCCCCTGGTGGGGCGGGGAGGAAACAAAATCACCCTCAGTTGAGGATGCATACTCCAGTTTGAACATTGATTGCTTATCTATCTTATTAGGAATGTGAAAAAGACCCAAAGCAGTCAAATGTATTATTTGCACTTTATTCAGGAAAAGGGCAAAATCTGGTTGTTTGTTTAAATTCTCTTTCCAGGGTGGGTGCGGTGGCTCATGCCTATAATCCCAACACTTTGGGAGGCCGAGGTGGGGGAATCACCTGAGGTCAGGAGTTTGAGACCAGCCTGGCCAGTATGGCAAAACCTCGTCTCTACTAAAAATATAAAAATGAGCTGAGTGTAGTGGTGCACGCCTGTAGTCCCAGCTACTCGGCAGGCTGAGGCAGGAGAACTGCTTGCTTGAACCTGGGAGGCAGTGGTTGCAGTGAGCCAAGATAGTACCACTGCACTCCAGCCTGGGCAACAGAGTGAGACTCGGTCTCAAATAAATAAATAATCTTTGCACATGAGTGGAGAGGGGGTTGTTGAATCCATCTCAAAGGTTTTGGGGCCTGATCAAACATTGGATCTCAAGGGAACTAAAATTAGATGTAAACATATCAGGGGAAGGGAAGAATGGAGAAGAGGAATGAAGTCACAAACAACAGAAATCATAATGAAAGCTGCCATTTACTTTGTGTCAATTGCTCTGCTAAGTGCTTTACATGGAGTATCTTGTTGAATAATCATAATAACCTAGGAGGTAATTGTAATCATTTGTTAGTTAGAGTGCAGGTTAGGCTGTTGTAACAAAAAGACTAAAAACTTTCAGTGACTTAGACAAAATAGAAATACATTTATTTCCATGAAAGGGCCAGGTAGGCTGTTCAGGGTTACTGTGGCCTCCAGGCTGCTTCTGTGCTGTTCCTCTGCAATTTCAATCCCCAGCTTCTATCACATGGTCCCAGATGGCAACTCTGGATTCTGCTATCAGGTCTGCATTCCAGCCAGTGGGAAAGATGAAAAGGGGAAGGTGAGAATATATACTTTTCTTCTAAGGGCACAATCTAAAAGGTACAAACCTCATTCCATTTATACCCTATAGGCTTGACCCATCTTGTAAAAGTAATGTGGACTTTAGCCAGGCAGCCATGTATCCAGCTACAGGGGCAGGTAAACTACACACTGAGGTCCAACAACCTCTTTCTGGTAAATGAAATTTTAATGGAACATAGCCACTCCAATTCTTCTATGTATCATCTATGCTGCTTTCTCAAAACAATGGCATTCTTGAATAGTTGTGACAAAGACTGGGTCGCAACAGTCCACAAAGCTTAAAATATTACTCTCTGGTCTTTAAGAAAAAGTTTGCCAATCTCTGATAGAGAACAAGAAGGGAATGGATATCTAGAGACACCTAAGGGGCCCTGTCAAGATTCTTATTTAACAAATGAGGAAACAGAAGCACATAGAGGTCCCATAAAAAGTCCCAAGGTCACATATGGATAAGTGGCAGAGCTGAGATCTGAATGTGGTTCTGTTTGGCTCCGAAGGCAAAGCACTGTTCGCTATATCATACTGTCTCACTAATTCATATAGCAAATATTTATTACATCTATTCTGTACCAGGCAATGTTCTAGGTGCTGAGGATTCAGTGGTGAATAAAAGAGAGGAAATATCTGCTCTCATGAAGTCTACATTAAAGGAAACAGACCATTAGAAATAATTAAGCAAAATATATTATACCTCAGAGGTGATACGTGTTATAAATAAAAATGAATCAGGAAAGAAGGGAAGACAGTGACAGAGTGTGGTAGGGATTCATTTTTCAAACAAATGGTTAATTATGGCCTCAATATTGGAGAAACCAAGGAGAATGAGTCTGAGCCAAAGCTCTTGAGAAGGAGGCAGGAGCCTGAGTTGAGAACACCCAGTAAAAACCCAGAGTTCCCCCTCAAAAGGGAGGTTAAACCAAAGGTCAGGAGCTGTACAGGAACTGGAGCCAAAAGAACAAAGACAGCAGTGTGGGCACCCATGGCTTGTGTGTGGTGTGTACACTGTGGTAACTGGTACAAGTGGGTGTGTAGGAAGAGAGCTTGCATAAAGGTACACAATTACACAGAAGAGTTTGCCTTTAATCCTTTTAGACAGAATCCTAAAGACTCTTTGCATGCAGACAAAAAAAAACATGCATGCACAGACGCACATACATGTAAATATAATGAGAGCAGGCAGTAAGTCAGTGCGATCTATGGAAAGATCATGGTTGTTGCAGTCCCGTGGAACTGTGAATCTCAGCTCTGCCGCATGCTGTTTTGATGACTTTAGGCAAATTGTTGGTACTGTTTTTAGTCACGATTTATTGAGTGTTTTGTATGTGGCAGGCACTTTATATACATGATTCATCTAATCTTTACATAACTCTATATAGACAGATGCTTGTAATATCTTCAATTATTTTCAAGTTAAATTAAGTGGTAAAATTAAGTGGTGATAGGTGACAGTCAAGAAGTAATGAGAAATGTACAATTTTCTTCCTGTGCATTTATATTGCTTTATTTTATTTAAGTATAGTGATTAATAATCTTGGTTAATGTTTCCGTGGGCTCATTTTTATTAAAAATTTTGTATTTTGAAAGTAAAAATATTTAATGCTTGTTTAGTGCTTACTATGTGTCAGACACCATTCTAATTACTTTACATGTACTTCTCAAAACAAAACTGTGAGGAAATACTCTTATGCGCCTCATTTTTTTCTGAGATGAGAAAACAGAGGCACAGAGAGGTTAAACAACTTACCCAAGGTCACACAGCCAGTAAACAGAGAGACTGAGATTTGACCCCAGGCAGCCTGGCTCTGGAGTTCATGTGTTTAATCATTACACTACATTGCCTTACAAAACAGACCAATAACCATATTGAATGAGAAGACATGCTAGCTTCTCTTTCACTTCTGGTGATGCATGTGGAAAGCCTGGTTATTTGTACTTTGTGATCTAACCCAGGGCCACTACCTCTTTAGTGTCAGCACATCTGAAATGGAGACCAAGTCCCACGGAGCGAATATTCCACTTCTAGAAGACTAACCTGGGAAACCCAAATTTAAAAAGTGATAGTAAAGATGACAGCATGTGTGCTCTTTGTAAGTGTGACTACCTACAAATGTGTGTGCATGCGTGTGTGTGTGTTTAGATGTGTACATGTGAGTCTAACTAGTAGTTTTAGATGTCAGGGGCTAGCCTTTCTCCCCAGGAGCCTAAAATCCAACTTTTTATGGAGCAAGATTTAGAAATAAGAAACCCTTATTTTGTTTCAGGATATATACCTGGTTTTCCAGAATCTATTTTCTCTCTAGAGACCAGTTCTGCTTCCTCAGGCATGTAACTACCAAACAAGCATGGATGCTCCAGTAACACCAATGAAATGATTCTCTGCTTCAGTCCTAGTGTATCAGCTCTCATTTCATGCTCCGATCAAAAAGGCCAAACATAATTTGCTATCTGGCCGGCCTCTTCTTCGAATTGTCAGCATTTAGTAAGGATTTTCTGTGGGAATATCTTCTGTCCAAAATGGCATAGAAGATTCCAAACATGGGCTCTACATGTCACCTTTGATTGTGAATTTGGGAGCCTCAACTTGTTACCAGTACAATTGTAATCTAGATGGCTACTTTAGGGATGAGGATAGATTTTTCACTGAGCCACTCCTTCTCTCATTTAGTCTCCTCATCCCTATTCCATACCCTAACCAGATGACAGGTTCAGCTGACTTCTAGAAACAGTTTTCTGAGGAATAATTTAACTGGCTATGATGAGGACCAATCCGCAAGAAATGCCCTCATCAGCACAGTGTTCTAATCACTGATAGAACTAGACTATGTGGAAAATCTAAGTGGTAGAGTGAGCTGACATATTGGTATGGAGAAGCTGACATTTCATCAGGAACTATTGACTTCTGTGGGGCCAGAAAATACCACTACGGTGGTGACCGAGTTTATCATACTGGGGTTTGGAGACCTCAAAGAATTGAGTCCCTTGTCCTTCCTGGTGTTTGGGGTTACCTATGTAGCCATCTTTTCTGGGAATCTTCCCCTCATGGTACTGGTGAGCACTCGACGGAGACCTCACACTCCAATGTTGTTCTTTTTGGTGAACCTCTCATGCCTGGAGATCTGTTATACAACCAACATTGTGCCCAGGATGCTGGTGGACCTGTTGACGGAAAACAGAATGATCTCTATGGTGGGTTGTATCATTCAAGCCTACTTATTTTTGGTCCTGGGCAGCACTGAATGTTATTTACTGGCAATGATGTTATATGATGGGTATCTGGCTATCCATCAGCCCATGCATTATTAAAAACTAATGCATGGAACCATGTGCGTGGGGATAGTAAGTGGCTCATGAACAGTGTAAGCTGCATTCCAGGCTGCTATGGTATCAAATTTGACCTTCTACGGTGGCGATGAGGTTAACCATTTATTCTGTGACTTGAAACCTCTGCATAAGCTCTCCTGCTCAGATCTCTATCTGGTCAACCTAGTCTGCATGAGTCTAACAGCTCTGTTGACCCAGCTTCCTTTGGACTAACCCTAACCTCCTACTGGAGGATTTTTTCAATGGTGTTGCATATACCTTCCATGACTAGTAGGCAGAAGGCATTCTGTACTTGCTAGTGGTTGTGATCTTGTTCTATGGGATCTTGATCCTGGTCTATGCTGTGCCCTTGGCTGGCCAAGTGCCAGCTCTCAACAAAACCTTCTCCTTGCTCTACACCATTGCTGCTCCCATGTGTAATCCCCTTATCAACAGCCTCAAACACAAAGATGTTAAAGAGGCTGTGAGGAAGCTGAGGATTTGATCCTACAATGATGAGGTTCATACAACTGACAAAAATTAGGGCAATCTGGAGGTCAAGGCAATGTTTTTGTCCTCAAGAAATTTCCAATCAGATTAGAAAAACACAGGATAGGTGGGGCGTGGTGGCTCATGCCTGTAATTCCAGTGCTTTGGGAGGCTGAGGCAGGCAGATCACCTGAGGTCAGGAGTTCAAGACCAGCCTGGCTAACATGGTGAAACCCCGTTTCTACTAAAAATACAAAAAATTAGTCGGGCGTGGTGGCACGCACGTGTAATCGCAGCTACTCGGGAGGCTGAGGCAGGAGAATAGCTTGAACCCAGGAGGTGGAGACTGCAGTGAGCCGAGATCATGCCATTGAACTCCAGCTTGGGCAACAGGAGCAAAACTCCATCAGAAAAAAAAAAAAAAAGAGAAAGAAGAAAAAAAAAAGAGAAGAAAAGGAAAAACACAAGATAGATTATAATTTTTATAACCTCAAATATTGGATAATTGCCAAATATTCTGATTTTAGGGGAAGAGTTGTTACTAGTCTCCTTGAAATAATCTAGTTTTTCTTGGGCATATTTATATTGCAAGAGGGGAAAAGTACTTTTGAGTTTATGGGAGGTAAACCATTCTGGGATAGATAATAAATAATTGCTCCACACAATCCCCCAAAGGTGCAATCTTGGAAGTAGGGATTGGCAGGTAAACTTTAATTGTGTTCAGTTTCATTTTTTAAAAAAATCACACCTGGAGGTTCTGGAGGTGGAGGAAGAGTGATAACTGTGTTACCCTCATAAGAGAGGAGAGCTCCCTAAATAAATAGTCCATGTTTATTTCCTTCACTGCCTAGACTACAGTTCTGGCTATGAGGCTATGATAATAATTTTGGACTTCTACTTGACCTGAGATTAAAAAGATAAAAATTGAATCTAATAGAACATATGGAAACCCACCAGTAGGCTAGCTTTGGAGAAATGTGCATTAAGCACTTATAGCAATTTGTTAGACATGTGGATTGCCTCACGGCACTTTTTTCGAGATTGCATTTTTTTTCTAGCATTTACAGCTACCTGCTGCATTTTCATCTATTTATTTTTGTTCCCCTCCCAGGTCCTTTTCCTGCTGTGTACCTGAGTTTACCTCGCTGGCTTCACTTGTGCTTCTGTTTCTTATTTTCCTGTTACCAGCTACCTAACATTATCAACTGATATATTCAAGCTACACTCCAAGGGAGAGTAAAAGCAAAAAGAGTCTGCTCTGAAAAGCAGATAATGCACTTATTAATTTATTCAAGCAAAAATATTTATTGAGAGCCTAATATTATCCAGTCATTGTGCTAGATGCTAGGAAGAGAATAGTGAACAACATAGATACAGCTTCCAACCTCAAAAATGGTAAAATCTGGTGGCCTTAGTGTTCCAGTTGCTCGGAATTTATATTTTTACATTGTTTATATAATATGTAGATCTTGAAAGAATCATTTCTAAAGAGAATCTCTGCATGTCAAATCCCAATATTGTTATTTACCTTCATTTTAAGAGTAACTATAATAATTAATGGGAAACAACCTTATGTAAAGACCTAATAAATCTTTTAGTAGAACATGTAAACAGAGAAATACTCAGAATGTCCCTCGTTGAGCTAAACTCACCCTATTTTGTCCTTTAAGATTCAACTCCAGTCCTACCTTCTCTTTGAACCCTCCATGAGTATGCTGCTTATGTCATTTCTCCCCCTGAGAAGTGCTTTATTTCTCTTCATCTGACATGTAGGATGCACTGCTCTGCACTTTTTATATATGTGTCCTGTCTTCTCATTAGATTGTAAACCCTTAAAGGACAGAGGCAGAAAGTTGTTTCTAGCTGTATCCTCAAGCACCCAGCATAATTCCTGTGCACACAGTCAGTGTTCGATGACCATCTTCACAGGATAAAATCCAAGATTCTCAGCATGAAATTGAAGGCCTTCTATTACTCTGTTCTTGTCCCTTTCTGCAGTCTCATCTCCCATCAGGCTGCAACTCACAATTTGCCACATTGTACCCTGTGCATCCTTATTCATGCCCTTTGCCTGGAAAATTCTGCCCATATTTATATTTCACCTGGCTAATGCCCCTCATCTTTTAATACTCAGATCCATCATCATCCTCTCCAGCAGGACTTGCTTGACCGTTTTCTCCTATCCAATACACTGAAGCAAATGATGCTTTTCTGTGTCTCTACGGGATTCATTGTAGATATAGTTTAATAAATTATTATTTTATCTGGTTGTTTGCCAGTGTCTACAGTGCCTAGGAGAATGCTTGGGATGTGGGAGCCACTCAATGAATATTTTTTGAGTGAATGGCTCAATTGTTTATGTGCCTTCCTCCCTCACTAAACTATTGTTATTTCCTTGTCATCAAGTACCACCTATAGCCTGACAATCCCTCAATAATTTAACACTGTGATAAATGTTATGAAGGAAATGTATAGGAAGGTATATAACAAGGTTATCTAATTTGGATTGGGTTAGGAATATCAGATAAGGTTTATCTGAAGTTATGACATTTGAACAGAGAACTGAAAGATAAACAGAAATAAGCCAGGCAAAGATAGGTTATAAGGTGAAGGGGGGTAGCAGAGGATTTCAGTGGCAGGACTAGCTAGCAACAAGGTCTGCTGTGGAAAAGTTCTTAGAGTGATTGGGAACAGAGAAAAGGCTAGCATGGTTAGAATGCAGTGATCAAGGGAGAGAGTATCATAGATGGGACTGGGAAGGTAGGCAGGAATCAGATAATGCATTGCTTCACTAGATTTCTTTGTGAGATTGGAATTCTTGAACAATTTTTAGTCGAGTGACATGATCCATTTTATGTTTTAAGATCACTCAGATTGCTACATGGAGAACAACTGTTGATGGGACTGGAGGGCTAATAGATGTTTGGAAATCAATTAGGACACTATTACAATGTTACCGGTGAGAGATGATGTTGGTGTGGACTAAGAGTAGTGGCAGAGATGGAGAGAAATGAATTGAAGTTGATATATTCAGAGATAGAATTGATATCTATCTATCAATTCTAGATAGGTTTGGTGATGGATTATAGAAGGAAGCATCAATAATAACTTTCTGGTTACTAGTTTGTGAATTGAATACATGCTTACACCACTCACAGGGATGGGAGACTCCTGGGATAGGGCCAGATTTGGAGGAGAGAAGTAATGATCACATCAACTTTGTGCAAGAGTATTCCAATATGGCAGTGGCTGTCAAGTAGGTAGTTAAATATACTGATCTGGAACTCAGAAGAGACATCTAGGCTAGAAATACAAATTTAGATGCCATCAGCATGTAGGTGGCATTTAAAAGCATGAGAGTGGGTAAAATCATGTAGAGGAACAGTCCAGACGGAGAAGAGAACCCAGAATGGAGCCCTGAGAATTCCTCTTTTTGAGATCATGTAGAAGAAAAATAACCAGCAAATGAGGAGGTGATAGAGAGGTAGGAGAAAAACCCTGAGTGTATAGGTTCATGCAGGTAGGGAGAGGAGAATGTTTTAAGAAGGAGAACTTAGTAAACTATGCTGAAGACTGTTGAGGGGAGGAGTAAGCTGAGGACAAAGACGGGTTCATTGTATCTGATAACATAGAGGGCAGTGATGACCTCAGTAAAGACACTTTTGGTAGAGTGATGAGTGCAGAAGCCATATTGGAGTGAGATAAAGAAATGAATAAAAGGTGAAGAAGACACTATATGTAGATAATTCTTTGGAGAAGCCTGGCTCTGGAAGAAAATAGATTTGATGAGAGCTGGAACAAGAAGCTTAAAGGAAGATGTTTGTTTTACAATGTAAATAAAAGAAAATGTTTGAATACCGTTAGAAGGATTCATTAAAGAGGGAGAAGTCTTCATTAAAGGGGTCTTCTTTAAAGACCCGGCACTCTCCACGCTTGGCTCTCATTTCATTTCTCCACTTGGTTTGCCCTGTGGACCAAGGTCCCTGGGAACCTTGGGTATGCTTCCCCCGCCCCTACCCCAAATCAGCAGTCCCCACTTCAGGCAGCTTCTCATGCATCTGGGTTCCTATTGTCCCCAAGGGAACTGGATGCACACCATGCAAAGCCCTCCAGTCCAACCCTGTCACCTTGCTCCTGCCCCCATGGAGCCTAGCTCTGCTAGGACTAGTGCTTAACTTAGCCTAAGCAGGCTCATTAGGTCAGTTTCAAGGAAGTAGTTCTGGCTAGAATGAACCAAAAAACAGGTGGCAGCTTTGGCAGGAGGATGCAGTGGAGACTACAGGTTGAAGATGCAGGGATATGGATGTATTCCCTGCAAAGGCAGGAAGGCCCATGGTCCAGAGCACATGTGAAGAGTGTGTCTTCTGATCAGAGTGACACTTACACTGTGACAAATATGTACTGAACACCTACTATGTTCTTGGTTTTATTTCAAGTCCTAAGGATCCAACAATGAGTAAATCATGATCCTTGCCCCCCATGGAGCTTGCAATCTGATGAGAGAGATAAGCAATTAAATAGACAATTATAATTAGGTTGATTAATGCTATAAGCACAGGGTCCTGTGGAAGCACTAGGAAGAGGCACTGTTATGGGTTGAGTTGTGTCTCCCAAAGAAAGATATGTTGGAGTCCTAATGCCTAGTATCTCAAAATGTTGTCTTATTTGGAGGTAGAGTCTTTGCAGAGGCAATCAAGTTAAAATGACATCATTAGAGTGGGCCGTAATTCAATACAACTGGTGTCCTTATAAAAGCAGAAATTTGGACACAGACACAGACACGCACAGAAGGAGAATGCCATGTGAACAGGAAGAGACTGGGAACATAGAAGCCAAGAGACACCAAAGACTGCCAGCAAGTCACTAGAAGCTAGGAGAGAGGCATGGAACAGATTCTTCCTTACTGGAACCAACCCTGCCTTGATGTTAGACATCCAGCCTCCAGAACTATAAGAAAATGAACTTATGTTGTTGAAGCCACTCAGTTTGTGGTACTTTGTTATGGCAGTCCAAGAAAACTAAACCAGGCATTTAAACCTATTCAGGGTGTGGTGGTCAGGTTAAGGGAAGACTTCCCAGAGTAGGTGTTATTTGTGCTGAATCAAGATAAATAAGTAAGATTTCATGGGTAGAGCCTGGGGAAGACATTCCATGTAAAGCGATCATAGTTTGCAATATCTAGGAAGTGAAAGGGAGTATAGATGGCTAAGCTACTGCAAGTAATCCAATGTGTCTGCATGTAGAGCATGTGGGCAATGGTGGTAACAACTGAGACCTGAGAAGCTGGAGCTTCTATTCATGAAGGGCCTTCTATTCCCAGCCAAGGAATTTGGACTTTATCCTGAAGCCAAGTGGGTGGCCTTTAAATGTTCATTCCCCCCTCCACTATTCACCCACCTTACTTCATTTTTCCAGGAAGCCTTCTCTTACATTTATTGTGGCACTTCTCACACAGAACGATAAACAAGAATTCGCTTCTTGGTTTCTTCCAACACATAGTAAGCTCCTTGAAGGCTGAGATGATGTCATGTTTGCTGAGATAGATATGTCCAGTGCCTGGAAAGTGCTTGGCATATAGTAGGTCCTCAATAAATGATTGTCTGGTATGTTATTTGTGACTGCATTGGGATTTCCTGGATCTCTTCAGGGTGATATTCCAGGACACGCCACATTTTCCCTTGACTCTGCTCTCCTCTTCCTTCCTCTCACGGATGACCCAGCACTCTCCACGCTTGGCTCTCATTTCATTTCTCCACTTGGTTTGCCCTGTGGACCAAGGTCCCTGGGAACCTTGGGTATGCTTCCCCCGCCCCTACCCCAAATCAGCAGTCCCCACTTCAGGCAGCTTCTCATGCATCTGGGTTCCTATTGTCCCCAAGGGAACTGGGTGCACACCATGCAAATCCCTCCAGTCCAACCCTATCACCTTGCTCCTGCCCGCATGGAGCCTAGCTCTGCCAGGACTAGTGCTTAACTTAGCCTAAGCAGGCTCATTAGGTCAGTTTCAAGGAAGTAGTTCTGGCTAGAATGAACCAAAAAACAGGTGGCAGCTTTGGCAGGAGGATGCAGTTGAGACTACAGGTTGGGGCAATGAAGTGGCTGGGTTTGACAGGTAGGTAGGGTCAGATAATCAGAGCAATCTCCAACTAAGCCAAATTTGACCCATGGGATCCCCGTTGAAGAAGGCAAAACAGAGTACTAAAAAAGGAAACCAGGAAGAATGATGGTCAAGGCAAGATGTTAGGCAGAAACCATGTGTTTTGCATTAGATTACATTTTTTTTTTTTTTGAGACGGAGTCTCGCTCTGTTGCCCAGGCTGGAGTGCAGTGGCATGGTCTCATCTCACTGCAACCTCTGCCTCCTGGGTTCAAGTGATTCTCCTGCCTCAGCCTCCCAAATAGCTGGGATTATAGTCACCTGCCCCCACGCCCGGGTAAATTTTTTGTATTTTTAGTAGAGACGGGGTTTCACCATGTTGGCAAGGCTGGTCTCAAACTCCTGACCTCATGATCCACCTGCCTTGGCCTCCCAAAGTGCTGGGATTACAGGCATGAGCCACCATGCCCTACCAGATTAAATTTATTTTTTAAAAATGTACATCCTGCACCTGTTGTTTCCTGACTTTTTAATGATTGCCATTCTAACTGGTGTGAGATGGTATCTCATTGTGGTTTTGATTTGCATTTCTCTGATGGCCACTGATGATGAGCATTTTTTCATGTGTCTTTTGGCTGCATAAATGTCTTCTTTTGAGAAGTGTCTGTTCATATCCTTCGCCCACGTGTTGATGGGGTTGTTTGTTTTTTTTCTTGTAAATTTGTTTGAGTTCATTGTGGAGAGGATGTGGAGAAACAGGAATACTTTTACACTGTTGGTGGGACTGTAAACTAGTTCAACCATTGTGGAAGTCAGTATGGCGATTCCTCAGGGATCTAGAACTAGCAATACCATTTGACCCAGCCATCCCATTACTGGGTATATACCCAAAGGACTATAAATCATGCTGCTATAAAGACACATGCACACGTGTGTTTATTGTGGCACTATTCACAATAGCAAAGACTTGGAACCAACCCAAATGTCCAACAATGATAGACTGGATTAAGAAAATGTGGCACGTATACACCATGGAATACTATGCAGCCATAAAAAATGATGAGTTCATGTCCTTTGTAGGGACATGGATGAAGCTGGAAACCATCATTCTCAGCAAACTATTGCAAGGACAAAAAACCAAACACCGCATGTTCTCACTCATAGGTGGGAATTGAACAATGAGAACACATGGACACAGGAAGGGGAACATCACACACCGGGGCCTGTTGTTGGTGGGGAAGGGATAGCATTAGGAGATATACCTAATGTTAAATGACGAGTTAATGGGTGCAGCACACCAAAATGGCACATGTATATATATGTAACAAACCTGCACGTAGTGCACATGTACCCTAGAACTTACAGTATATTAAAAAAAAAGACCAAAAAAAGTACACCCTTTAATGCCAGGCATTTCAACAAGCATAAACACACTTCAGCCTGAGCAATCTTACACACACACACACACCCCACAGATGCAAAGTGATGACACACAGACCCACGCCAGCACTGGCAGAACTAAGTGTGGAATGGTTGGCAGATACTGTCACACCTGATCTGTTTGCAATTGGCAGGGAAAGTGTGATTCTCTTTATGTGTGCAAGTACCAAATAATAGCCTCATTCATTCAAGTAGCCAAGTACTTTTCACTGTAATTGTTTCAAATGTATAGCTTTCTGTCTTGTAATACCAAGTGAACTTGATACAATTTAACTTTTTCTGGATGATTCCAGGACATCTTTATGCATACTAATTACTGTGGGCTGGGCTGAGAGATAGAGTGCTGTTAAGTGCTGTCTCGAGGTGTATTGGACTCTATTGCTCCACGAAATGCCTCAGTGTAAATATCCTATTTACACAGAGACACATTACCCTTATATATGCACAGAAACACATAGGTATAAACACACACACACACATATCTTTCATGTAAATGTCTCCATACAAAATGCATACACAAATCATACTGCATAGACACACACATTGAAGTTACTCAAAAGCTACCTATACACTCTTTGCAGCTAGGTTCATAAGTAACTCCCTTTCCTATAGCCAATAACCTGCTTCTTTTGTCATTCTCCTTTCTTCCTTTGCATGCTAATTATTGGGATTAAGGAGTTAGCACCTCATTCACTGAGTTGATGGTGTTAATTGGTCGCATCTGACTTAGTTAAAAGAAGGCATTTTGACTACAAAGAACTTCACTGGGAGATGGGCATAGGGCGAGTTATTAAAAGCAAGTGCATAACAGCTCCTTGGGAGGTCATTATTTTGTGCTTCTCCCCCCACCCCCCAGAAGTATGTTTATTATTGGTAGCAAGGTGAGAAGAAATTCCCTGACTTCATTAGAAACCCAGAAAAAGAACTTTTATTTGCCAATATCTTACTTTCTTGCTGGAACACATTTCTTCTGGAGGGTGCTATGGCAAAATGGCCTGGCCCAAGCATACTTTTTGTCTAAAGGGAGCGGTAACAAACTCCCTGGGGCTTCAGGGCTCATCCTAGACAATACTCCCGCCGCTCCCCGCCTCCACACTCACACACAGCAAAACAGCCACCTCATTAACTCAAAGTTGGAAGTAACTCAGACACCACCAAACTACTTGTATTCACGTGTGCACCACCTCAGGGAGGGGAAAAGAAAAGTTTCACAAACATTTGACTAGTATCTATTTTATATGCATATAAACAATGTGCTCATCAAAAACCTTTATCTGTTCATTGAGCCAGGCTGGCAGAACCCAGTGTGACATGCCTTGGTTGGCGGATACTGTAACACCAGATCTATTTGGCATTGGTCAGGAAGGAGATGTTTGTAAGTGCATGTCCCAAATAATAGAAGTGTCCCTTGCAGTACTAATTGTTTCAAACGGATAGGTCTCTGTGTTTTCATGCCAAGTGAACCTGACACAATTTGCCTTCTTCAGGTTGATTCCAGGCCATCTTTAAGGACATTAATCATTGGGTCGGGCTGAGATGTGTAGTGTCTTTAGGAGCAATCTTGAGGTGTATCAGACTGTTTAATTATCCAGTAAATGGCCGCAGGCTGTTTTTTTTTTTTTTTTTTAAGAACTATTCTGTCTTATATCTAAAGTTTTTACTTACTGATAACATTGTTTATGCCTCCAGTAGTCCATTGACATTTTCTCTTCTATCCTAGGCTCAGAAAATAAGCTGAGTTACAATTGTGTATAAAGTAGGATTGTGAACCTTAGGGGGTTTTTCTACAAGCACTCTGGATGAGGTTTGGGGCAGAGATTTTGTATCATCTCTTTTGGCTCTCCTAAGGTCTTTAAAGGTTATTTATTAGTTTTAGCTCTGTGAGTACTAGACAATTATGATTTCCAGGAAGGGGACCTTTAGATAAGTAATATATCAGTGTAGTTAGGGTTAGTATAGATAAAGTAAACCTTATTAATTTGGACTTCACTAGCTCATGACAGGGGACTGCTTTATTTATAGACTAGGCTTTGGAGTTTACCATTCCACCAGCTACAAAAAGAAAGGATATGCTTGGTAAACTAATACCTTAAACAAAATTACAGGGGTAATATAGGTTTCATTTACATGTGAAACATTGATTATATTTCTCTATTTATTAATATTGATGCCATTAAGCCATCTACTTGATAATACAATTCATTGTTTATATTTGGAGGTAACAATAGCAAACAATAACATCTCAATTAATCAATCCATTAAGTAGGAATTTCATTTGATTAAAGTTAGCCTGAGTACACAGAGACATAGAAGACTAATGGAAGCTCTCAGTCCTTGACTAGCAGCAGTGGCAGCTGAAGAAATGAGACAGCCTAGCTAGTTTCTTTTAATGGAGGAAGCTAAAGGTCTGTAGTATCTTCAGCTCAGCAATAACCAGTGTAGGGTCAAATCCCAAGGAAACAGAAGTACACTTGCAAACTTGAGTGAGCCACAACCTCCCCTTGGAGTATGGCTGGAATTGAGTATTGTTTCTGATGTTATTCTGTGAAGGAAGTTTCTGAATAAGAAGAGTCAATATTAATAGAGGTGTTACTTTATAACTTTGAAAGATATCCTGACTTTTCAGTAAGTCAGGCTGGTCTTCCCACTGATTAATAATAGATAGGCTGGTACCATGCTAAGTGTGTTATATATATATTATTTCATTTAATCTCTGTGAACTTTGCAGGTGGATATTATTTCTATCACGTAGGTAAGAATTCACTTGACTACATTAGTGAATGATCATTAAGTTTCAAGCCCAATTCTAACTTCAGAGCCTGCTTCCTTAACCACTACCATATACTGTAATTACTCAGGAGATAGGATAACACAAATAGTCTAGGGTGCTATAATAGGTATGTGTCAGCAACTAAGCTGAGACTTGGGGTAAGGGGCTCTCCCAAACCCTACTTACTTACCCTCGAAGCCCATACGGAAATGACCTTCAACTAGCTCAGGCTGATATAATGATGATGACAAGATACATGAAAGAGAAAGAACAATATAGGCATCTTAATTTCTAAAATAATTATCTTTGGGGTCACATATACATTGAGTTGTTATTCAATGTTGGGAACTGTGACCAAGGCCAAACTGGAAACATGCTTTAACTTTCAGGAACAAAACTATCAAGGTCAGTTAATCGGTCTTGCACTAGCTAGTATTGGTGGTGAAATGCATGCTAGTTTCATATCACTGCAAAAATCAATGGCCATTGTTTAGAGCAAAATATCAATATAAAATATTGCATAAAATGAATTTGCAAGTTAGATACTTCATGTATTAAGAGATGCTTATGGGGGCATGAATAATCTCAAGAGCAAAAATTGGGACTGCTATGAAAGGTTTAGGGAAGGTCTCCATGATGATGCATGACTGGGTCATCTAGTCATCCACAGGACAGATGGAAATATTGAAAAGGTCAGAGATTTGCTTCATTAAATGTCTTTATGTCTTGCAACTGCGAGAATGATGTCTGAAGAATCCAATTTGGATGAAGAAGCTGACTTGATCTGGAAGAAACCCTAAACACAAGCAAAGTTTCTATAAAGATGTCAATTCATTTTAAGTGATGAATGAAAACAGAAGGTTTGACATTTGTTTTGAACTTTCCAGGGAAGCTCAAAAGAAAAAGATGTTCTTGAGTAAAATAGTAACCAGGGAGGAAAATGGTTTTTCTGGTGTGATTAAGAAACAAAAGTGTTAGAATCTTCAGAGGCAAACTTCGGTCTGCCAGAGACCCCAAGATAAGCGCAGAATCCAACTACAGATGAGGATAATGGAGTTGTGCTATTTTTCCAACAACCATGGCACTGTCATGTAGAATTCACCTCTCAAAGGTAGTCAGACTAATAGGATAGACATTCTGAAGCACTGGCAGAATTATGTGGTTGACTTCTTCACCACCACAGTGTTATGAATGATACATCACTTGTGTAATTTTCATTGTGCTTAGGCCACTCAATAATTCTTGTGGGTTCGGCTCTGTCCTAGGTTCTTGGAACAATCATAGTTTGGCACAGAAGAAATATTAGAAATTCAGGCTTACTCTGACCTTGTCATCTCATGACTTTACTTGGGATCCTACTTAATTTCCTATAACTCTTCTAGAACCCAAATCTCATATTTGGTCCCCCAATTAACACTCGAGATCCCTGAGAGTAGGATTCTGGTTTACCTCTCTACAGGTCTTTTTAATCCTTACTTGAATACTATATTTCTATCTGCTCTTGGGTTTCCTGGACTCCCTCTGCCTATTTCTTGCCTTAACCTCTATTATTGCCACTGCCATGTCACCCTGACAATTTGTCACCTGCTTGAGCATGCTCCATAATACTTAGACCCATCTTAGAGTTAGTATCACACTGACTTGTCTGTTTAACTTTCAGATCCTGGCCTTCTCTGATTTGGCCCAAGGGCCTGAACTGCACTTAAGAACTTGTAACTAAAACTGATAGTTAAAGAATCTAACTTAGTTGAATGGTATGACTCAACTTAGTCTCCAAAGTTATTTATTACAGCAATCTCGGAAAGACTCTTGGCTATTTGTAGCATGCAAATCTATTCTCAAAAGATGAAAGTTAACCTCAGCTAAGCAGGACCAAAAGTCTGTGTCGAAGGATCTAAAAAATATACTCGAAAAGAGTCCCAGTGTTTTTTTTAAAACATCAGTGGAAAAAGTGTGTAGTTTCCCAGGGAACTTCTGTGAGAGGAAAACTCTCATTTGGATTATAAATTCTGATGGATTTGTCACACAATTATTCCTGTCACTTTGCTATTACTGTGAAACAGAGTTTGATATCAGCTTTGTTAAACTCCAATCTTGACCATGCAAAGAGTATTGAGACCTTATAGTCCCCACGCTGTATTTGTGTCTTCATTCATATTTATGCCAGCAATAATCTTGCACTACAGATGAAGTTGGGGATGGAAGGTAAACTTGAGGAGCCTGTAGAGCTTGAGAAGAGGAAGAAACAGATTATGCATTAAAATTTAGAAATCTTGGAGACCCTGCCAGGATACTCTGAATATAGTTTGCCTCTATTTTTGGTTTGTACTACAGTTGACCTATGCACCCCACTCTGAATCCCAATTCATTTGGCTGGGATCCTGATACCTGCCTAACTCTTGGAAGTTCCTTCTTCCTCAGGTCCTGGACTCTACCTCTAGGTCCTTTCTCTGGAGTTCTACTTCTAGGCACACTACTCTGCAATTTAATTCTAGCTTTTCTCCTGAAAATGATTAGCCCTACTGCCCAGAGAGCCACTTTGCCTTTCTCCTTCCCAGCCTGGCCCTTTGGTATAGCAATGCTAATACAGACAGTCCCCTGATGTTGAGGCAGATACTGTTGGCAACTTTCTTTTAGACCAGGCCCAAAACCCACTTTGCCTTTTCTTGTATCAGACTTGCCTGTTCCAGGTTTCCTCTCCCTCTTTCCTGAGCAGCTGCTGAGGTACTAGCAAGCCATCTGGCTGAAACAGCAGGGTTAAAGTACAAATTGAAACTGGAGCTCTTCTAATCTAGTATGACAGTTTGTACTGATCAGGTTAATGGGGATAATTTCTCTTTGGCTTGTACAGAGACATGAAAATTTAATCTGATCTGCTATTAATTACTCTGTCCAATCATTAACATAGTGTTTCACTAAATAAAGAAAAATCTATTCACACGGCAGAGGCAAGCGTTATCAACCAACGCACGGTAATAGAAAAGTATTGCCTTTTGTGTCCAGCAGGGAAGCTGTGCTACCACTGTAAGTAGGACATGTACTTTGACACGTTTCTCACCATTAGGGATGGACTGTCCTAAGCCAAACAATCTCTTCCAGTTCCCTCTGGGGGATTACACACATTTGTGAGATGATCGGCAGGGGATACTAAGGTGCACTGTGGTTTTGGGAACAGAGTGAAACTAATTGGCTCACAGGAAGATTAAATAATCACATCTCTAGTGAGAGCAACAAAATGCCCTATCAAATAAATGAAATGACTCTAGATGGCTCTTTTCCCTTCTTTTATTAACAAGTATTTATTGAACAATTATTCAGTGTTAAGTGGCTGTGCTGGGTGCTGAGGATGCAATATTCAAACAAAACTGACACAATCCTACCTTTGCGAAGTTTCTAGTGCAAGTAGGGGAGAATTATATATATAATATATGTATTATATATACACATATATTATATATGTATATATGTGTACATATATACACATACATACATGTGTGTATATATGTATATATATAGTCAGATAATTATTTGATTGCAGTTGTGAGAAATTTATAATGAAAGAGAGTCAGGGTGCTCTAAAAGTATATCATAAAGGGACTAGATATACCCCAAAAATTAGCCAGATGAAAAGTGGGGTGAGGAAAAAGAAAAAATAGCATGTGTGAAGGTACTGACGAGGCAAGTGGGTCAGGAACTTAAAGCCGGGGGGGGGGAAAGTTTAGAGAGCAAGAAAAATGCAAAAGATGAGACTGGAGATTTAGGCAAGGGTTTATATCTGTGTAGGCCATGAATGGATTATGGATGGACTACATGTCATTAGAGCTTGTGACAGGTAATCATGGCCACTTCCATGGAGCATTTGGGCTTTATTTTAAGGACAATGGGAAGTCATTGAAGGTTTCTAGGTTTAGTTGATCTTGGGCTAGTAGATATTTTTTTAAGTTTCCCAATGGCCAACACACTAAACATACCCCTGGACCTGTTTCAGAAACCTGGACTCAAAACGAAACAAAAGACATGTATGGATGGAGCAGGTAAGGCATTTCTACTCTGCATCTGCACAGAAGTCTAAGCAGAACCCCTGAGAGGCTGAAGAGTAATTACATTTCTACTCTGGATCTGTGTCTTAACCACAAGGAGTGTGTTCTGCAGGCTCTATTTCATAATTGAAGGTAATTACAGAAGTTAAAACTAGATTAGAGACAATTAGACCCTATACAACAGGGAACTCTGTGGGTGGTCAGGAAGGGAGTAGGGAGAACCAGCTGGGAAAGTGTTTCCCCAAGTACTTGGCATCCTTTGACTCATTGTAAGCAGAGGTTTTTGAGGTGTCTGTTAATGCTTCTGGTGCCTTTTTACAATTTGAGAGTGTTGGCCGGTGAAGTGAAGTAAACACATGCACACACACACACACACACACACACACACACACATCACTGACAACCAGTCAAGATTACCTTTTTCCTCAAGCCATAGGGCTTCATAGGCCAAGAGCCAATAAATAGAAGCAAAGGGGAAAAAAATGTAAGGATTGCATACAATTAACTTATTTGAGCAACTGTTTTTTGTCCTGTTCTGGATCTAGAGACTGTGGGGGAGGCATGGTAAGCATATGATCTTGCCTTTAAGGTGCTTCCATGTGTATTTGAGAAGTTTGATATGGCTGGAGAATATATCAAAGTGGGAGAAGGGGAATGGTGAGGGGTGGGCTCAAGAGATGTCCAGAGGCCAGGCTAAGGAGCTCCGACTCCATCCAGGAGCACTGGGGAACCAAGGAGGATGATAAACAGGGAAAGGACAGGATCGTGTTTGGACTCCAGAAAGATCCATCTGGCCACTGTGGGGTGGGTAGATGGGGAGTGTGGCAAGGAGCAAGGTTGGGGGGCTCAGTTGAAGCTGCTTGTGGAGGGAACTGGGGGTGTCTAAGATCATGAGGAGAATGGTGGGGAGGAGAGGCCAGTGCAGAGAGAAAAAGGTGACTTATTTTAGTCTCTTTATTCAGTACACACCCATTGCTTTGATTAGCCATTGATTCATTTAATCAACAAATAATTATTTTGCATCTACTCTGTGTAGAGCACCATGCTAGGAAAAGTTAAAAGGAATTTTATTTCAGTCTGTGATGGACCTGATTAAGTGTTCAAGTGAGTGGAATAGTCAATAACCACTCTAGGATGTTAGAGACAGTTCTGATCAGTGATGAAAGTGGATGATCTCAGAAACAACAGAAGGTGAAGTGTAGCAGTTGGAATGCACATGAACACTGAGAAGCACAGTGAAGGGCGCTGCTAGACAGAAGCTAAGAGGGTGTAATAGGAAGGACTGGAGGATAAGGGATGGGTAGGGTATAGCGACTATGTGTGTATGTAGGTATGTTTGGGGAGTGTGTGTGTATACACATGGACACAAGTATATAATGCAACCAGAAAACCTTAGGACCAACAAATATTTCTATAACGTGCGTACCCACACACACATGCATGCACGGAGGTGGAGAGAGAGAGAGAGAGAGAGAGAGAGAAAGAGAGAGAGAGAGAGAATGAGAGAATTTTGTGCCATGTAGCTGTTGCTACAAGCTTGATTCTTTCTAATTTCCCCTTAAAAGGCATCTATACATGGTGGTGTAGCCTGATGGAGTCACATTTGTTTTGGTAAATTTACTCTTTCCATGCAGGGTTAAACTTTAAGATCCCAAGAGCATTCGGCTGTAGAACCTGAAGGAGGGCGCTTGCTTTGGTCATTTCCCCTGGAATAAGGGAGCAGCAGTGGTCTGAACCCCTAAGTACTCAGCCTACTACCTGGCCTCCTTCAGAGAAGCACAGGCTGCTGGGAACAGGGACTCCCTGGGGATGACGAGCGCCCACTGACTCATGAGCCTCCTCGCAACCTTTTTAATGTCCTTGCTTTTCAAGCTGTAGACGATGGGATTGATCATGGGGTTGAGCACAATGGAAGCTCAAGGAAGAAGACACTAAACACAAAGAAGTACATGGGGGTTTGGAGATTTCAGTCAATGAAAATGACTCTAAAGATGAGAATGTTCCCCAGCAAGGCAACTATATAGATTCCCAGAAATATCCTCAAAATGAAAAACTGTAACCCATGGAGACTCCCAAATCCCAGAAGGAGAAATCCTCCTTTAGGTCCTAAAGTGCAATGCTCTTGGGATCTTCAGGTTTATCCCTGTGTGGTAAGATTAAGTTTTCTTTGATCATGGTCAGATTAGTCATATCTGTGAGATTCAGGCATCAGATGTGAGAAAAGAAAACAATTCTAGCTAATTAGAAAAAGAGTTATGCTACCAAAGGAGAGCAATGGCACCAGAAATGCCATCTAGCACATACCTCAAAGGCTCTGTTTTTTCTCCCCTGGAATACATTTTCTGTTTTGTTCTACTAGGTGTATTTACCTAATAGTCATAGAGGAATCCAAAAGTATGCCCTGGAGACTGAACAGAAAGGGCGTTTCCTCTGCTCTTTTCTACTATTTCCCTTGACATAACCGGTGATGAATCTACCTTTGGGAGTTTCACAGTGGGAGGCAAGCACTACTTAATGGGGACATGGTGCAGAAGCTTCTCTGAACTTAATATTGCCCGAACTTCTGAAACTCAGCTTTTAAGACTCAATAGAAATGTGAGTACAAATCCCAAAATAACGTCAGAATTCAGACCACCCTATCTCCCACTGAAACCCTGAATCAGGGTGGGTTTCACCAGGAACATAATTGGAGGGAGGAGGGGGATTCAGAACTATTGATCTTAAAGTATCTGTAAGAAAAACAAGAGTTTCTTCCAGGCTCTGGGGATATGTGGCTGATCGCTTCCATGGCATCAAATTCCTATGGAAATTGGGGGAAAATGTATGTAAAGTTATTCACTTGAAATGTTAGAGAAAAATAATGTTCCATCCTTCATAAATGAAAATGACATTCCTGACTCACAAGCAGTAGGATGTGCATTTAGAGTTATTTTTCTTTTCTAGCAGTGATGATGGGTTAGAGTGAGTCATGGATGTAGCCTCCCCTTCCCCACATGCCGCCCCGTGGTGCCCAAAGACCCATATTTGTGAAATGACTGTCTGGTCTTAGTGGCTGGGCTGTGATGGGATTTGAGATCAGTCTGCCCTGTGACCTAAATTAGAGGTAACTGTGAGGCCTGAGTTAGCAGCTTAGGTCAATTGGTGTTCTAGGCTGAAGGCTCAGTCTGTAGCCAGGGAATATAGCCAAGCCATCTTTGTTGCTTTGTTTTGGGTAATGGCAAAGTGTCCCTAAAAGCTTACAGAGAAATCATATTTTAGTAAATGCAATCCTATTTTAAATCCACTTAGGGAACTGGCTATTCAAAGGAATGTTATTAAGAATGCTTCTGTGATGTGAAATAATGTCTTCATAATTTACCCTTTTCATCAATCTGTATTGTTAATACACTGCACATGTGTAAGGGCAAGTCCACCTATAGTTGGGGGATCCAGGACATCGTGGCTGCCTAAGGTAGTACTGATTATGATTACAGCGTGTAAAGAAAATCAATCAGCATTCAGGGTTATCCCTGGGGGTAACAGCTGCTTTCTAATTGGGGGATTAAACTGCAGTGTCCTCTTACCATTTTACCTTGTCTTCAGAGACTGCCAGCCAGTATTCAGAACTGACATTAACATTGTTAGATTTGTATCATTCAATCCCAAGTCTCCTTAATTAGTAATGGAATAAACTTCACTTTCCCTTTTGGCTTATAGGCATGCTCCTTGGTACCTCCAAAGTCAGAGGCACATCAGCCTCCCTTAATCCCTTCCCATCTTCTCTTTTCTTGAAGTGAGGAGAAGTTAATGTAGACGCAAAAGAGAGGCTTCAGCTCAGGGCTCTATTCATTCTTTCATTCCTTCATTTATTCACTTACCACACCTTTGGACATATACTTTGTATCACCTGTTGAGCTAAGTAGGCACTGGGGGAATAAAACCATGAACAAGGAAAGCATGGCCCCAACGTTCCTAGAGTTTACATTCTAGTGGTAGAGGGAGATATTTAACATATGATTTTACAAATAATGGTGACATTACTATTGTGATCAATGCTATGAGGGAGAAATATAGGGTCCTGATACAAAGAATAATATGCATGGAGAGGTGACCTAGTTTCTGTGAGTTGGTCTGAAAAGGAAGTCATATTAAAATACAGTAGTCCAGGTAAGAGATGATGGCTTAAATCAAGCTTGGATGCAGTAAGATGGATTAATTTTAGGTCTTTTTACATAGTAGCATTGATATTTCTTTGTGTACTTTTCTGTATATATATTATACATTAATTAAAAGTTTACTCTAACAAAATAACATAGAATGTTGATGAATTGCATTAGGAGAGAGCATGAGGCACAAGAAGGAATTAAGGATGAATCCCAGGATTTGGTTTAACCAACTGCACAGATGATTATGTCTGTTCCTGAGGTGGGAAGACCAAGTAGGTAATTTAGTTGGCAGTGTGGAGAGGGGGATATATTTTTTTCTTTTCCTTTCCTTCTTTTCTTCCCTTTTATCAGATCTAGTGGGTTATGATCCATTTGTGGGATGACAGTTTCAATTCTCATATGGATCAGTAAACTGTTGACAGACACAGCTGTGGCCCTGAGAGGCAGGGCTCTCACCGTGGCCACAAAACAAGCTCTTAAAAAAAGTCTCACAAATTCTTGCCCTTGGTCTCAAAAGGGAAGAGAGTGAATAGGTCAATGTACCCTTTACTTGCTCAAAGCCCAGGGTTAGTGATTCCATGTCAGGGATATCTCTTTGCATGTGAAGCATGGGAGATCACATTTCAATGTGGACTGTTAGACTCCCTTTGACATGAGTCTCCAGAAAACCTTCCTTAATCGCAGTGCCACTACCCAACAATTTCCATTATCTGAGGCCTAAAAAAATTGTTTTGTTTCATTTTGCTTTTGTGTGAGACAGATGACAAAAAAAAGAGCTCAGTCAAAAAAACAATTTTCAGAGGATGTCCTGGGGTCAGAATACATTCAGTCCTACTCTTTCTCTCTCCTCCATCTTCATTTACAGTTCCGGCCAATCAGAATTAATGCTCAAAATGATGGCTGGAGGTTCTAAAAGATCCTCAATCAGTAAAGAGTGATTCAAGTACATCATTATACTCGATTTACTAAGTAGGGACAGTAGACTCCGATATCTTAACAGAATTTTTAAAAGCAAAGACAATGGAAAACATCTTTGTTCTTAACCTCCAGTTACCCAGAAAATCTAATCAACCATATCCCCTTTACATCTTTCTTCTGATATTCCCTTAATCAGGATTTGTCTCAGTACTAATTCTCTTACATCGTTTTGATCACCAGAAGCTATGCATTAGCATGAAAAGCTGTTTGGTGGACATATAAAGTACCCCCCTCCAGAGTTCATACCCCCACCCCCAAGATGTTAATAATTACAGAAATATGATAAAATGGAAAGTGTAGCAGCCTAAGTAGGGAGAGAGAGACTAGCTATAGAAGCTGAAACTGATTACCTTTTCTAAAGTCAATCCAGGAAAACCTCTTGGAAAGAAGGGCAGTGAGGAGGAATCCAAAGAACAGTTGAAAGTTGGATGCTGGAAGGGGGAAAAGTACGGCTAGACAAGGAGAGTGATGATCTGGCTGTACCAGTCAGGTACCCAGTGATCTCCCTCCCAACCTCCACCTCTATTCATTAAAACAAAAGATAAGTAACAAATACATAACACTCAAGTATGCTCTTGGATCTTTATCCTCCCCAAAGTGCAAATGGCTGCTATCAGGGGCAATTGTTTAATAATAAAGATCAGGGGTAGCTGGTAAATACAGAAGATCATCTTGATAGCCCAAGTCTCACTATTTAGTTCAACTCTTGGTCCAAATATGTATTGCCCTGTTTCTGAAAGTGCTGAGAGAAATTAAGCTGGCGAGCAGGCAAACTACCCAGAGATAGAGACTGAAAGGGCAGAGAAGAGAAGACACCTTTGACTGGTACTATACTAGCGCTCCTAAAAAAGAGGAAGTTGATTTTGTTGGTCAACTCTCTCTAAAAGTAGTGCTTTTCTTGAATAATTCAATTTTGTGCCATGCAGCAGGAAAATTTGGTGGAAAGTTTCTTTTTTTCCTGTGAAAACAACTTGTGGAAGATAATAGACAGCTCACTTTTTAAAGGAATTGTACATTAATGCAAGAAGCCCCCTGGTGTCCAGGGGAATGATTCTGTTATTTGTGTTTTTGCACCTTGAGACCTGGAGACAGGCATTATTGAGACCTGGAGACAGGCATTTCTGAGATGCCTCAGACAAATATTATTGAGACCCAGAAATAGACCGGAAGATAGGCATTATTGAGACTTGGTGACAGATATTTCTAATTCAACTATATTCTTTTGTGCCAAATACATTTTTTCCTGTTCTGTTCCATTTGTCAACACGACAGACAATGAAACAGGCCAGGAAATATTTTGAGCCAAATGATTTGTGATGTGTCATTATGTGACATACCTAGCCTAAATGTGAAGAATGACAACAATTATCCAGGTAAGTTGTGCAAAGAATAACGAACTCATACTTTTGGTCCCAACTTTCAAGATATTTCACATAAAAATTTTGGGAGTCTAAATAACCTAGATAAAAACCTAAAGTTTGTCATTTAACCTACAAATATAGACCAATTATGGCTGTTATGTTATAGCAAAACATCTGAAATTGATGGAATTCAAAGAACATTCAGTCAATAGAAATTCTAGAAAAAAAACCACTTGGCCTTTACAATGCCTCATACTCAGCTTGAATGAGTTTACTTTCTAATCAGTTATATTTTTCTAATCGGCTTCTTCTGTTCATCTTGCTCTCTGGGGAAAAAATTGCATTTGCTAGATTTTCTATGCCTGCTCCATTCCCTTATAGCTAGGAGAACTGGAACATCCTGATCTATCATTCTAATACTTACTTGCTCATACCCTCATGGTGCTAGCCCTCTGAATAGTGGGGACATTTATTTGCTTGCATCCTTCACTCTTTGTCCTGGTGTTGGATGATAGAAAAAAACCTGAGTACCTCTCCTACTTGCTGCTCTCTAATCTCTACCCCATAGCATTCACGGGCTTTATCTATCACCACTCATCATTTCTTTTTGAAGCTCCCTGCTCCTATACTCCCATTCTCTGATGATGACAAATTTTACAGTTGTTAGCAAGCTGCCATAGTCATAGGAACATGGTAACTTCGGTCTGTACTAGAGAATTTATCATATCATGGGGAAGTAGTATATTGTAGTAGTTAAGAGCATAGGCTTTCATGTCAGACAGTCCTGAGTTCAAGTTCTGACTCTGCCATGTACCATGTGACTCTGGACAAGGAACTAAACCTCTTGGTGTTTCAATTCTCTCAGTTGTAACATGCAGAATACTTATGACAACAAAACTACTGCATACCTCATAGTGTTTTATTTAGGATTGAATGAAATAATCTGTAAAAAGTGTTGGCAAGGTGCCAGCACTCCATAAGTGCTCAATCTCATTCTCATTTTGCAATGTGGCGCGTATGTATACCATTACTTTTAAGTTGTTTCTTGTGTCGTCGCCCTCAAAAAATTGTAAGTGCCTCAAAAGCTAAGTGCAATCTCACAATTTTTCTATTGTTTTCCCCTGATTTTCTCCACATGTCTAACACAAGAGGTGAATGCCCAGTAGGAGCTTAGTAAATGTTTATTGGTATCACCTTTTCCCCATCCCAGCTAAAATCTGCAAGCTCTATTTTGGTCACTACTGACAGAAATCCAGAGAGATTTTTCTTACCTCTCATTGTCCTTTTCTTCCCTAGAAGGACTGGCCACCATGTCCTCATGATCTGGCTGCTTCGTTCATCCTGACAGAGAGTCAGGACCCACCTTCCAGAGCATTCTCAGTCTAGCTGCTTCTCTAACTGCCCAACTTAATATCCTGCCTTAACTTCCTCCCATTAGGGAGTCAGGTCCTGCCTCTTTGCTCAATATGTTTTTCTCATGAAAATCAATTTCCCTGAAGCCTGTTTCCCAAGGGTAATATTTCCCCCTCCCCTGGGAAAGTCAAACAAAACAGTTGAGTATACAAGAGCATCCAGACTGTCCTGTGCCAACAAATTTCTCACCAAACCCCGAGTTCTGAAGTTTGTGGGTTCAGAGGAGCAAATTACTACTCTGAAAGCCAAACTTCTCTGCCATGGTAATGAACAGGGCCAACCCTCAGCAACACTGGGGTATTGGGAAAGATTTTTCTGCAGCTACATTTCCTCTCGCTTTAGCACATTGCACCTTAGCTAATACTCATTTCATACTGTCTCTGAACCCTTTTGCCATCTCTCCACCTCTAGGTCAGTACTCCTAGGAGTTCCTTTCAAAATATTATTTCCTCTTTAAAAATACACATTGCAGTTAAATACACATTGATTTTTAAGGAACTCACTTAATATAAAACCGAATATAGGCCTGTGGTGGAAATTTTGCATATAGTAGGCACTGAATAGTTGCTGACTAAACAAAATAAAGATCTAGAAATATAATTAGTTCCTCCTGAGTATGTTCAGTAATGAATCAATAGCAAACAGAAAGTGTTTTCAAACTTACACCTACTCACCCTCAGCTCAATACTCCTAGGAGGCCCCTTCAAAATCTCAGCCTACAATCAGGCTTTGATTTGTAGTTGTTTCTTGAACCCATAATGAATTTGGGATTTTTTGAATGAGGAGGTACAGAGCCTCATTACTGAACTAGCTATGATGGAAGAGTTTACTGAACAAATTCATGTTGTAAACAAGAATGCAAGGTGTCATACTTAACCTCCCTAAGAGAACTGAACACACCTCGTATAAACCAATGTTGCTGATTACAAATTACTTATGTCTGTTCCATAAAGCAAATACCTCAGTTCTTTGATAACATTTTAAAGCTGTTAATTTAAATTACTGAATACACTCAAGAGGAAAATAATTGCATTTTAGATTCCCAACATATTATTCAGTCAGAAAATATTTACTGAATGTCTACTACATGGATAATATCTCGCTATGGATATATCTTGAATTATATAATAAGTGTGCTCTTTAAAAAGTATATACCTTTAAACTTTTGTAAAACTGCTTCAATTTCAAATGCATTAGAGGTGATTTCCAATAAAAGACGTCCTGTAGGAAATTGTGAAAGAGTGAGGAATGTTTTATAACCACTTCTCTGATTCCTATGGCTCTGTTTTATAAATTTAAATTTTTAAGATTTTCTCAAAGCGAGTCATCCCTGTAATTTAAATTGGCCTTTATCCCAATTACTTTAATTTGGTAATGTGGAACTCTGGATTTCAGATAGCATCAGGGAAACATACACCTCTACACCTCTAAAATCTCTTTGGTAAGACAAATTCAGAAAGCACGCTTCCTTTTTGTCTAGTACAGTATGACCTTTTTCTCTAAGGAAGGTCTTAGAAGCAAAAGCTGGCTTCATTCTTCTTAGAATGCATCCTTAGGGAGTTCACTAGATGTATTTTTAGGGCCTTTCCCATATATATGTTTCTTAGGGTAAAAGCGAGGGATTTCAATCTGGGGGGTGATCACACGGTAGAAAAGACAGGCTGTAGGGTTCCCAGTGATGCTTCCCCCACAAAAGACCCAATTCAGAGGTGACTGAGCAGGTAGAGAAAGCAATAGGACTTCCATTGATGTGGGGGATCACAGAATGAGGATAGCAGTGTGGATATTTGATACCAGAGACTATAGCAAAGGGCTCACATCCACTGTGCAAGTGCTAAGAAAAAGGGACTCCTCTGGAGAACAGGTATTGATTTAAACAGGAGTAGTAGTGGAGTGGAGTGGAGAGAGCACATTCTTTAAAGTCGGAAAGAACTCATGAAATCACAACTTGGCCTCTTATAGTTGGATGACCTTGGGCAAAATTGCTTAAGTTCAGTGGACTTCAGCTACCACATTTGTAAAATGGGAACAATACCTACCTCATTGGGTTGTTGTGTGGTTTCAATGCAAGTGCCTTGTGTGCAAAGTGCCTGCTAAAATAGATGCTCAATAAATATTAGTTCCCTCTCTCCTCTCCTCTTTCATTTTTTTTTATGAAAGAAAATGATGATCGCTTCATTTACTGCAGAGAATGGCAGCTGGAATGCCAGCGTGATGTTGTGATTAGGATACAGGAACTGAGAATCAAGACTTCTTGCCAAGTGACATGTAAAATTCAAAGTTCATAGAAGCCTTATTTACTAGGCTATACATTTCTTGGGGGCAAAGGGCTGAGTCTATCTCATTTCTCTCTGTATTCACACAGTTCGCTGAATGGTAGAAAATCCAGAGGACACCAATCAAGCTTACAGGTGATCTCACATGGGGATATCTCTGCACTTAGCAGAACTTATTTAGGAGAAGCCAAGGAAAGAAACTTTGAAAATTGGATCACTAGTTCTCAAAGTTTAGTTGTACACTAAAAGCAAAGTTCAGGCTAGACAATCTTCAAGAGCTAAAGAATGTTATTGATAGAGAGTGGTGATTGGTATCTGAGCAGGCTAGTAAGTGCCATTACATAAAGGAGTCTAATTTCCTGCTCTGTATTTTTATCACAGGTTCCAGATGGAGAATTGGATCATAAGTTTAATGAACCCCTCTCATAAGAATTTGTAGTAGATAGGAGGGTGGTTTTCATCAAAGCTTAAGTGGTAAGGACAAAGGGACAAGATCTGAGGTTGTCATAGGAACCTCTTTCCCCTCAAGGGCCATCAGCAGGATTAAATAATGATCATGGTTCACACTGGCAAGACTAACGACCAGGCAGTCGGGTGAGGAACAAGATGGCAAAGAAAATGAGTGGGAGTAGGAGATGGGGGAAGAAAGAAAGGAAAGAAAATGGTGTTAATGCTACGACTAGCACTTTTAATCACTCAATAGTCATGCTTTATCAATCTCAGAACCCTCTATATTTTCTCTTTTTACCACTTAGGCATGTAGCCTCCAGTCAGGCAATGGCTATTTACTAAGTGCCTATTCCATACCACGTACTGTGATAGGTGCTGTGGTGATATAGACATGATCAGAACATGGTTAGACTGCAAAGGAGCTTTAGGTCTGGCACAGAAGGTGATCGCTTTATGCCAGGGTGGGATGAAAAATGCCAAGAGAGGGGTTCAAGCAAAGTGCTAGAATTAGAAGTAGAGAAGGCTTCCTTGAGAAGGTAACACTTGAGGTGTTCCTTGAAGGGTGCAAAGGACTTCAGTAGGTGTGATTGGAAGAAGATATTCAAGGCAGAAAGAATGACTAAGCAAAGAGATGGAAGAGTAGGATAAAATGATAGTAAACTTCTTTTTCTGTTTTCTGTGCACCAGGCACGGTGGCGAGCACTCTAGATGCAATACCTCATTTCATCCTTATAATAAACCTATGAGGTTAATAATATTCCATTATTATCCCTATTTTATAGATGAGGAAACTGAGGCCAGAGAGGCTGTATAAATTTCCAATGTTGCACAATTATAAAGTGGCAGAGCCAGGTTTTTAACTCAAGCCTATCTGAGCCCAAAGCCTATGCATACAATTAACCAATACACTAATTGCGAATCAGGTTATGGAAAGGAGTGAAAGCATAGTGTGTCTACAGCACAGAGCCCATGGAAAGGAGGAAAGGGAGAGGAGAATAGAAATGTAGCTGCAGCCAAACTGTGGGGCCTCTTTCCTGGCAGCCTAAGGGGTGGGGCTGGATCTTTTAAACAATGGGAAATCATAGGAAGTTTTAAAGTAGTGGAGTGACAGTAAGAGTGGTGCTTTAGGAAGATTAATCTGTCAGCAGTGCAGAGGATGGATGGGAGAGCGGAGTGATTGGAGGCAGTTAAGAGGCTATTACAATACAATAGTCCAAGCGTAAGGTAGGGTACACCCTTTTCTTGAGCTAAGAAATCCAAAGTGGTGAACAGACAGAGGAGAGACATTGTGAAGGAAAAAGAAAAAGAAGTCCATGACTAACTAGATGGGGAGAGGGGAGTGGTGGTGAGGGATTGGTAGGGATAAAAATTAAATAAGGAAACTGAGGTTTGGAGCCTTTCTGACTAGAAGAATAGTGATGCCAGTCACAAAGTTGAGGGATGGCTACCCTGGAGAGAAGTTTCAACTTAAGAATGAAACTGGGATAAATCTCTAAAGGTGATCTTTGCAATAATAGAAATGAATGGGATCCGCTTGAGAAGAGAACAGTCAAGGGCAAAAGCTTGGGGGATGCCTCCACCGAGGAGGTATGGCTAGGAGGGATAGTTAGTAATGGGGATAGGCAAAAGAGGTCATGGGGTAAGGCGAAGAAACAGGAAATCATGAGAAAGAGGTTTCTAGAAGGTTGAGTGATGAACAATGTTAATATAGTAGAGGGGTCAGAGAGAAAGAAGGATGCAAAGATACTGTTGAATTTGGTAATTAGAAGATCTTTCCTGAATTACCAGGAGCAGTTTCAGGATAGAGCCAGATTTCAGGGAGTGAAGAAGGAAAAGAGTAGGGGTGACAAATTGGAGACAGTGACTCTAAAAAATTCTCAGGAGAATTTTTGTGGTGAAATTAAGGAGCAAAACAGATACTTAAAGTGTGCTCAAGTATTGAAAGATGATCTCAGGGTAAGGATGACCTTAGCACAGCTAAAGGAAAATGTTTGTTAACTAACATTTGTTAGTGAAGATGTCGAGATTAAAGACGTGTGGTGAGGTCAGAGGTGACTGTGGCTGGAACAAGATTCTGCTGAAGGCGAGAAGGGATAGGGTCATGTGCCAGGTGGAATGTTTGTTTTGGCAAGTATGGTGGTGGTATCGTCCTTGGAAAATACAAAGAGACAAAAGAGGCCAACTAAAGATACAGAAATATTTGGAGATGGAGAGAGGGCATTAAACTAGAAGCATTCTGCATTTTCAAAGAAGTTTGTGCACCGTGCACTGGCTGGTCTTGGTGTTACCAGTAGATTATCTGTAGAATGGAAGGCAAGTGGACATGGGACTGAGAACTTCAAGAGTGTGTGTCTCCCTCAATTGATACAGTACCTGGCACACAAAAGGTGTTCAATAAGTATTATTTGGAATACATAAACAAACAAGATCTACAAAAGTCACTAAGAGACACAAACTACGATGTCATAGAAAGTGAATTTAAAAATTGCAGAACAACATTCACTGGAATGGTTAAGATGAGAAAGAAATGATACCATAGTTGGCGAAGACGTGCCACAAGTGGAATGTCTGTACACTGCTAGTGAGAGAGTAAATGGATACAGCCACTTTGAAAAACTTTGGCAAGCCTTATCTACTAAAGCTAAACATATGCATGCTTCATGATCTAGCAATTCCACTCCTAGATATATATCCAAGATGAATGAGTGTTTTGGTTCACCAAAAGACATGAGCAAGAATGTCCATACCAGGACATAGAAATTAATGCATCATAAAGTTTAAATGGCCTGCTTGAGTCCACTCAGGTTATAAATGGTAAGTCTGATACTTGAACTCTGGGCTTTCTTGCCACAAGTTTTTATTCAAATACCTCCAAAGGCTACTGGATACTGTTTATATAGTCAGAACTTTACATACGTTGTTGCTAATCTGCCCAGTCTTGCAGTATGTATATTATTGCTCTCATTTTACAGATTAATAAACTGAGGGCCAGAGAATGCTTACTCAAAGTCACTTGCCCCAAATGGTGGGTATATATATTTCTTGAGAACTGAGATGTGAACTTAGTTTTACCTGGCTCCAAAAGCTATGCTTTTTCTCTCCCATCAAGGAGTGGAGGCTTTTCTTATGTTTTGGCAAGTTGCAAGAAGGAAGTATGGTGGGCTGAGGTAGTTGAAATCATAAGAAGAGTTCAGTGAAAGAATCCTGTCTTGCCTGTCTTCGCTGCCAGTAAAACCAAAGCCACAGCCAGGTAATGTCCTCCCCCAGTTTTCCTCTGTGACCCACTCACATTATTGTTAAGGGCCTGGGAGACAAGGATGACTCTAGGCATAGTGATGAAGTAGTAAACACTCATCTTCTTTGTCATTCATCTTACCTATTGTAGGCAACCTATTAACACGTATATTTAACAGACACATGCATACACACATTTGCATGTACACATGCACACACCTGTAAAGCTATTTCCTTAACAATCTAACTTTTCTAACTCCAGAAGAATTATTAAATACTCAAAGAAGTGTTTATTTTTGAGGTGACTTAAGCTATCCATTGCAGGAATACAGATCAAGAACACTCCCCATTCACTTGGGTTCCTGTTCTAATTCCCTTCTCACAGCGGGTGTTCTGAGATGTGTGGCAATTATCTCAGGCTCTAGGTTTTCCTCATGCTAAGAGTATCAGAACACCCCTAATTCCTCCACATCCTAATATTTTCTTCCTAAAGAGCCCCCTGCCTGACCTTGAATCATTCATCTTTAATAAAAGCAATCCTGAGGTAAGAGATCCTAGCCAAGGTGGACTGAGCCCTAAAAGACAAGTTTTGAGGTCGCCAAGTTGGGTGTAGAAGCTCTGACCTTTGCCAGGTCTTTCCTTACTCCCAAACAAGAACCTTGCAGTACAAGCCCAATTGCTCTCTCTGTCCCTTCCCTCCCTGAAGTCAGGTGTCTCAGGCTCAGAATATGAGAATTAGTTGTCATGGTAACCTGTGACTGTGCCTGATAGCCTCTTCTCTTCTCTCAGCCAGTTCTAGGACCTGGACATCTGTTCTCAGTTCACCTCTTCTAATGTTCCTAAATCTAAGCCCAGGACTATATGCCAAGTTACACAGTTTCTGTGTGAGGTGGTGAAGAGGCCTTCCCCTGCATCCAAGGCAAGAGAAACAAGAAAGAGAGAATGGAGTAATAGGAAACAGTGCTTTAAAGAAGCTATCAGGGAACAGGGAGGCCAGGGCTACTAATTAAAGTTAATATATACACCTACTATGTACCCACAAAAATTAAAAATTAAACAATTCTTTAAAAAGTTAATTAAGCACTTACTATCTGCCAGTCACGGTAATGTCTTGTCCATTATTTCACTGATTTCTCTCAAATGACCTTATGAAATAAGTATTATTATCCCCACTATACAGATGAAGGAAATGGAAACTCAGAAAGGCAAATGGACTTGCCTAACATTGCACAGCTATGATTTCCACTTGGTCCTTATCCAAGTTTCCAAAACCCAGTCTCTTTGGATTACACTAGTTTATGGTTCATCATTTCTTGGAAGGAAAATAAGAGCTGCAGACAAGTCTTTCCTCAGCCCCTGTGCCTGTGAATCCCTCACAGCCTTTCCCCAGGAATAGATCCCCCACTTCAAATGCAGCCCCTCCTCAGACACCTTCTCCTCCATAGACTCCTTCCTTCCTCTTAAGTCACCTCTTTCTATTCTCCTGAGGCTCTCTACAATTGCCCTCTGGCCAAATCCTTGCTTTTCCCACTTTCTCTGGTAGATCCCTGACCTTTTCTTTCCTAAGGTATATCTTTAATGGCATGTCAAGGAGAGTAGGGTAGGCCAATTTCCTGACACAGGCGGAACAAAGGACATCTGTATTAGTTTCCTGTTGCTGCTACAACAAATTGCCAAAAATTTAGTAGTTGAAAGCAATATAATTTGTTCTCTTCCAGTTCTGCAGGCCAGAAGTCTGAAATCAGTTTCACTGGGCTGAAGTCCAAGTGTCAGCATGGCTGTTCTCCCTCTAGAGACTCTGGAGCCACCTTTTTCTGCTTTTGGAGCTGCATTCCTTATATTCCTTGGCTCACAGCCCTTTCCTTTATCTTCAAGGACAGCAGTATAGCATCTTCAAGTACTTCTTTGCTTCTGTCAAGCCTTTTCCTCCGTTCTCAAATTTCCCTTTGCCCCCCTCTTTAAGGACTCCTGTGACTACATCTATGGCCCGCCCAAATAATCCAGGGTAATCTCCCCATTGCAAAATCGTTAACATAATCACATCTGCAAAGCCTCTTTTGCCATATAAGGTAACATTAAGAGGTTCCAGGGATTCAAACCCAGAGATCTTTGGGGGCATTGTTCAGCCTACACAGCATCCAAAAAACACAATTTTAGTCTTGCACTGGGGACCAGTTGTCCTTCATTTCTGGAATGGATGAACCAGGAGCTCAGGAGTTAGGGTAAAAGGAATAAGCATGGATTAAGTTAAGAGAGTTATATAAACTTGAATTTTGCTGAAATGAATCCAGGTAGGGCAGGTGATTTCTGAGAGAGGGCTCTTTACTTACACACTGCCCCTCCAGAGAGAGGTGGAAAGGAAGGTAGGACTGAGAGGTGAAAGATTCTTATCTTCTCCTTTCCAAAACAGTTGCCTTATTTGTTCTTCTCTTTCCTGGGTGGTTTCACTGGGCAGAGAACAGTTGAGAAAAGGGTGACACTCTGGCTCCAGAGACAAAATGAAGAAGCTAGAACGTCTCTATAGCTGACCTCTCTTCTCCCTTTCCACCTCTATATTTAGTCTCCTCTTTCCCCGTCCTTGTTGTCAACCAGATGCTTCCTGCTTGTTGAGAAGTGAAGCTACAATGAAGTGAAGCGTGGAGTAATGAATAGTGAGTGAAGAAGAGGAGGAAGTTTCTTTAGGAGAAGCCCTCATGTCAGCCCACTTCAGGCCAGAGAAAAGCCTCCTCCAGCAGGCAGTCTTAGGGAGGTGTGGAATTTGGGATAGCTGCCAAGTAGAGTGACCAAGAGTTACAGGGTCACTCCTTGATAACCATTCACTTCTCTTCCTTGGTACTGAACATTGCTATCTAGTATATGGGGATCTTCAAAAGTCCCTTTCCACAAGTTTCTCTGCATGATGATTACCTTAAGGAACAATTTTAATCACACCTGGCAGATCTGGGCTAAAGCCTGGCAAAACTAGTGGAGAATGGGAATTTGGGGAGCTCAGATTTTGAAAACCATAGAAAGACTGGTTGGGATGGAAGTGTGGGGGCATGCCTGATCCGGGACTAAATTTTCATGGTCTTGGAGTGTCAACAGCAGCATCACAAACTCAGTGAGGTTTTGATTTATGAGCACCAGATGCAGAGTTGTGAACTGACGATTTTTGTAGAGTTAGCAGCTGGCTCCCCATATTTTGTTTCTGTTCCAGGACATCATCTATTATGTTGCTCAATGCTCCTCCTTATATAAAAACTCATAACAAATTCTTCTCCAAGTTTAGGGCCAGGAAAAAGTTTGTTTCTCCTAGTGAATGTGTCTTCTTTCTTCTGCCAGACAATGAAAGTAATAAAAAGGCACCCCACTCCACACCCAAGCCAGAGGGTTGACTTAAACTCTCCAGCTGTATGAGTTTTGAGTCTGCCGAGGGAAGGAGTATCACAGGTGATGAGGAAGCCAGAGGGAGCACTCAGAACTCACTCAAAATTGGGTAAGCAGGGCAGGCCACAACTTCAGAAAGGAAAGACTGGTCACCCACATGCCAAGACCAAATGGGGAATCCAGAGAATTCCCAGGCAATGATGACGGCACCAACAAATTCCAGGCTGAACCACATTAGGGAGTTTTCTAGCAGAAAATTAGGAGCAAGTCCTGGCTTCTAGGGCTAGAAAAAGCCAGGAACATGTGGGAAACAGATCTCAGACAGATCTTCCTCTCAAGGAGGGTGAAGAAACTCTGGGAACTGGTGGCACTCAGGCAGAAAAAGGGCCTAGTTGTCCGTGGGATGTCCAGAAAAGTCTCTGGATCTGATAGCTCTACAGAAGTACACTGATCCATCTGCAACAGGGTTCAGGAAGTATTTGACTTTCTAAATCCCACTAACTTAAATGACCAGTTCAATTATACATTCCTGCAACCCTTTTTAATTGACCATGAGACAAATGGGTCACATCTTACAGAAATCTGTATGAAGACCAGCATGAATGGTATTATCACAAGACAAATGTAAACATCATGTTTTGATTTTCACCTTTGTTGCTAGGAAACTCACCTCTAAATTGTATGCTTTATTGAACACTCTAGAAGCATAATGGGGTGAGGGTGGGGTCAATATATTTTGTCACCATCTCCTTCCATTTGCACTGCTTTTATTCTTTGTTAACAGATTTTAGTCTAATTGCACCAAGAATTAACCAGTTGTAAGCCCCCTCAAATTCGTTTTGAAAGTAGACAGGCAGTAAATAATCATACAGATATATGATATTTTCTTTGTAGGCTTGTCAAATTTTTCATATGCCCTTTCTTGGGTTTAATGTGAGAGGACTATTGACCTTGCCTTAAGCTATGCTCACCTTTGTTCTTCAGATTTGTTGCTATTGGCCACAAGGGGGTCTGGGCCAGTGTATGTCCTGCTAGCAGTCGAAGGAGTCATTGCTACAAAGTAAAGAAAGTACCTCATTTTGCTAGATGCTTTTATTACCCTTGGCACCACAATAACAGTTTCCTCAGGTTTCTTGTCTTGGGAACACCTAATGGCAAGATGCTCTTGATACTTCAGTAACTAAAGCTCCTTTAATGGGATCCATGATGGACCTGCCTTGTTTTGTTTTATAGTGAAAAATGTTTTAAGGAAGTTGCAGTATATATTTTGTTGGTAAAGATGCCTTAAGCTATTAAGGCCATTTGTTATTTTCTGAAAGCAAGAGAGATAATGCTCCCTAATAAAATTCACTGCACTGCAGGTAGCTCTACGTTTGTTTCCTACAAAGTGCTCCATAGCTCTTGTGGGCCTGTTTCTCTCTTTCGTCTTTCTTACGTCCTTATAAGATGGTATGGGGGCACAGCTTTTTTAGTGCTGAGCAATTGGACTCTGAATCCCAAATAAGTCACAAATAGGAGCTGGCTTAATACAAATGGCACTACCTCTTTGTAGCCCTCTCCTCTGGCCCTGGCTCCCCTGTTTGCTTCTCCTTGTTTCCAGAGTCCAGCCTCCTTGGGCCACTGATTTTGGCATCTCCTTGAAGACCCTCCCCTTTATTCCTATTCCTTGTCCACGATTCAGGCGTTGAAGTTCCTCTTAACCCAATTTCTCCCCGAATTGAAAATGCAAATGTGCCTGCTTTATTGTCTGTATGTGTTAAGCTTCTACAAGAGGTTTTGTGCTAAGCACAATGTTCTGTATGGGGAAGTACAAGAAGGTGGGGGTGAAGGGAGCAGAATGGTCTCTGAACTGCCACTGGTCAGCAGCTAGAGTGCTTTGCACCCTTCAGGCCTGCGATTGGAGTGAGGACAGCAGAAGAGGTGGATCAGGGCAGACAGAACCAGGAAGAAGTACTGTGGGTATTTTATCATGGAGCCAGGGTAAGTTGAACTGAAGAACTGACAGACAGTCATCTCAGGGAGAGGAAACAGAAATTTCTCTCTCATCCCAAATCTCTGGGCACAAAATTGTCTTTACAATTATACTGTTAAAAGGACATCAGCTCCCAGGAAGGGGAGAAAAGCACAAAATGGGGTGGCAAGGGAGAAAGGCTGTGGGTTTCACATCTCCCTTCCAGACCAAATCCAAGACATCAGGAAAATATACTTTTCCCCAAATGCAATGCTATATGATGTTACACACAAAGATCCGAGGTCAGTTCTACATGGGTAGAATTCGCAGACAACTCTGTGTGCTAATAGTTCCCCTGTAATACTAATTGAAGATGTTTATTTTTCTAGCTTCTATTTTTAAAAGCCACTGAAAGTTTAATAATATAAAGGTTTCAACTTTGACATCTAATGGACTAAACCCATGTTAGAGGGCTGAAATTTTATAATCACCATCTGATGGGACTCAAGAGTATTAAAAACAGAGGTTTATACGGGAGCAGGCAGGGATGGTGGCGGTATGCAGTCCATGGATCAACAACTGGCTTCTTTTAACAAAAACATAAAAGCTATTTCCAGCTGAAATTCTCAGAAACACTATAGGAAATTAATATAACTGATTGATGTGATCTCATCTAATAGAACTGGGAGTTGAAGCTTTATCCCTCTAGAACAGGTGATTAGAGGCAAATGAGGGGCAGGTTCCCATGGCAACCATTTGGCTATCTCAGACCCGAAGGAGGCCTCTGAAACAGAAGCTTTGAGAAGGAATATGGATTTTCAAAGGGAAAAAATATTAGACATTTGTCTTTTAGGGCTATGCTGGAGTGCATAGGGGATTAAGGTGGTGTGAGGGCATATCTAGAGTTGTTCTGTGAGTGCTAGGGACAGATTTTAGATACTGTTCCAGTCCCTTGAAGCTGAAGAATCACTGCTTTGTTTGGTTACTTCTCTCTCTACAACCTTCTGCCAAGGGAGACAGTACAGAAAAGGATCAGAGTGTCCATGGACATTCCTGTGAGCCTGCTTGGGCCATGGTGGGTGTGAGTGTCAGGTGAATCCAGCATGCCCTTCCCTTCACAAATATCTCCTCTCCTCCTTGAACTATTTCAATCAAACATTCTAGCCTGTGATGGGACTAAATGAATCTTTAGGGTGGCAGTGCTGTGCTGAGGGAGGAGTAGCAGAATATCAGGCCTCTTTGCATGAAGGGGTGTGGCTGAAGCTTTCTGTTCACTCTCTGTTAGGAGATTAAGGTTCTGTTTTATGGCAGCCACCAGTGGTTAGGGGTACAAGTCAAAACCAAGGGTCATTGATTGCTCTTCTTATTCTGAGGACTTTTCCATCTTCCTCTAATTACTCCTAAGCCACAGCCATTACCTTACCAGCCTCACTCTTCCTTCCTTTCCTCCTTAGAAGTGAAGTATTATAAGGTCTCCTGTTATTTTCTTTCCCCAGCTATTTGCACTTTTCTGTGGTTCCACCTCCTGCTTCTATCTGCGCCCCCCCTCCTCCCACACACACTCCCTAGGCCTTTGCTGACATCTGAGATGTCAGATTTGATGAAATATCTGTTTGCCTGCCCCTGGAATCTCAGAGGCCCTATAGGATTCCTAATCTAGGCCAACAGTGCCACTGAAGGATGAGGATCAGGGATAGATATAACACTTTCTAAATTCCTACTATGTGTTTTCACATACACTGATCCATCAAATCTACAAAATAGCCCAGCAGAGTAGACATTTTGTTATTCCTGTTCTACAGATGATGAAACTGATACAAGATTCACATGACTTGCCTCAGTGATTAGAACTTGTAAGTGGCAGAATCAGGATTTGAACCCTGGTCTTCTGGCAACCAATTCTGGTTTTTCTTCCACTCCATTAGGAGAATGTGAGGGGTCGACATGTTCCCAGGGACAGATGTTACTGTAGTGTCCTAAAGGCTGATGGAGAATGGGAGGGGCATCTTGGAAGACTCTGTTTAACTGTTGTAACCCCAGGGGCTTTACCTTGGTTCTCACTCAACCAGAGAATAATTGCAAGTAATTCATTCTCAGTCTCTCACTGGAGAATACCCAGTTCTCACCATAGGCTCTTGAATTACCTGAACCAAGAGTTCTCTCCACCCTGGCATTTTGATTTCCATTCAGGTATTCATCTCTTCATTCACCCATTCATTCATTCACTCATTCATTCATTTGATCAACTTAATTGAGTATCTCTTAGGTGCTAGACACTATGCAAAGAGTTGAAGATCCATTGATGATGCAGCCATAGTCCCTACTTTTCTGAAGGATTCAGAGACATCGATAGGAAATGATAATAAAACATAGTAAGAGTAGTGATAAATTTATGGACTGATTTGCAGCATGGACACTTTGACCAAAGTTGGGGGTGAGCCAGTTGTGAGGGTTTATCTTTGTAGGAATCAATCTCTCCTGGCTCCCAGGTACACCCCCAGTCCCCCACATTCCTTCTCCAGGTTCCTATGAGTAGTAATACTCAAAGTCACTATTTTTTTTAAATTGGGTTGTTGTGCAGGAACAGAAAACCAAACACCACATGTTCTTACTAGTAAGTGAGAGCTAAACAATGAGAACACATGAACACAGGGAGGGGAATAACACACACTGGGGCCTGTTGGTGGGTGGGGGAAAGGGGAGGGAGAGCATTAGGACAAATACCTAATTCATGCAGGGCTTAAAACCTAGATGATGGGTTGATAGGTGCAGCAAACCACCATGGCACATTTATACCTGTGTAACAAACCTGCACGTTCAGCACGTGTATCTCAGAACTTAGAGAAAAAAAAATTAAGATGGGTTGTTGTTTTTGGTGGAAGATGGGGAGATATGTTCATCATATGAATCATCAGTTGGAGTGGAGTCTTTCAAGAAAAATATAATGCACAAATACTCTTTATTGAATTTCTGGGAAATATTCTAGGAAATTAGCCCACAACCAACTAACGTAATTCCCTCTAACAGGAATATGTCCAATGAATCTAGAGAGCTTAGATTGCCTTGGTACATAAAGAAGTAAGTAGAATGCATTTTTTTTATTAACCTGCTTTGTAAATAAATGTCCTTGTATGAGAACATGATCTCTGAATGCTGTCTTCTACACGACCCTCTTCCTGTGTCCTCTCTAGGAGTGGGTGCCCATGTGCACTGCAGTGACCTTTTCTTCTCTCTAGTCTTCTTTGAAAGCTTGTTTTCTCTGGTTGTTTTTCTTCGAACAGACTTGATATAGAAATTCACACTGTGGTGTGAATGGATAAAAACAACTTAATACTGTACCCCTTATGAGGTATTTGCATTTTAACGAAGACCAGCCACTCAATTTGGAGACATACGTTCTTCTTTTTAAATTTCCATCCCAATAATCAATCTGTTTTTCAGAAACTTATGCACAAAGTCCCAGATTACAGGTCTTCTAGACTTAAATTCTAATGGGAACATTGTAAATTTGACTCTTCGGGAAATATTTTAAATAGTGGGAGCTCTTTCTCTTCCCTAACAATTTCCAACTCTGGCACAGCTGCTCAATGTGAAGTTTGTAATTTCTCCTTCCTTCCCAGAAGTACTTTTGGCTCAGCTTAATCTATTATGCCTTTGCAGTCGCCATTGAATGCCTCTAGTCCATGCAGAGTGGAATTGAGAACTGAAGTTGGACTTCCGTCATCCTTGGGGTATGAAGATAGGATAGGAATTGATCCGATTCTGGTTGGTTGTTGAGACAAGAATAACTTGGCCTCTCCTCATGTGTGAGTACTGTGGGCAGACAAGCTCATATGTCCCCTCACATGTGCATGTAACCGCATGTGGTCTTACACATATTTGAGGCTAAGGATATTGTGGGGGGATTGCTGAAAGATGGGCAATAATAAAGACTCAGCATGTTTCAGACACTGTGCTAAAGGAGCTATGTATCCTCAAAACCTTTGTATGAGATAGGTATTATTATTACCATTTTAACGATGAAGAAACAGAATCTCAGATATGTTAAATAAATTGCTTAAAATCACAAAGAAAATTTAAGAGACTGGGATTTGTACCTCAGTCTTGATCCACAACCTATGCTTTAAAAAATAATCACTACAATATACTACTTTGCATAGGAGTAGGTAGATAGATGAGGTACAGTATTCCAAACTGAAGAGAGATACAAGCTTGAACAATGTCCTAGAAATAAGAATGGACAAGATGTGCTTTAGGGACACTAAGTAGCCCAGTCCAGTGTAACCAGAGGCAAGAGTTCTTGTAGGGCAGTAGAGGAAAGAATTCCTGCAACGGTTGTCTGGGGTCATGTTGTGGAGGGTACAAATGTTGATCCAAAGAATAGCTTCTCTCTCCTTTATCTAGTATTTCAATTATTAAGGAGCTAAAGAGGTTTTCAGAAAGTATAAATGAAAATATTTTCAGAATTATACAGAGGACTTGGAGATAAGTGAAAGACTAAAGTCCTAACAGAAACATATTTAATAAAAGTAATCATTCAGCACCATAAAGCATTAGATGAAGTCTATTGTGAATTGTTTTCCCTGTGCACACACAGAGAAAACATCCAGTATTGTGATTACCAAGGTAATTTGTCTTAAGGTTAATAGATGGTTGGAGAAAATGATGTTTTGTTGTGTTCCATTCTACAGGGGCCAAAAGGTTCTGTTTGGCCTGTATAGCATTTACAAAGAAGGTACTGGTCTAATAATCCCAAAATGACAATCCCAGTAACATCACAAAATGACTTCTATTGTTGGATGGAACAAGTGGGAATCTAGGTAATAATGGAAATGGCTTCCTATGTGGCACTCCCTGACCTGGGAGACCACAGGCCTGGACTCCAATTCTAGTTCTGCCACTAATTAACCATGTGACCTTGAAACAGTCACTCAGTTGCTCTTGAGCTCAGTTTTCTCACTTATAAAATGTGGGAGTTGCAGGAGAGTCCCTGCCTGCCTTCCTTGTCACTTTTTCTTTTGTGTTTTTAAAACGTATTTTTAAAAATTTCACAAGTATTATGTGGATCTTTTCTCATTGTAAAAATGTTAAAGAATACCAAAATCCCCATTCAGCTCCCACTTCATCTCTCTTCTGAGATACAAATTATATTTGTAGCATCATTTTCCAGACAATTGTTATGTATCTGTAGTCATATAGATACATGTAGTTTCTGGGGTTATTTTAAAAATATATGATATCAAACTGTGTGTATTGTTCCACAAGTCAATTTTTGTTTCCATTGAACAGCATGTCTTGGGGATATTTTCATGTCAGTACATATAAATCTATTTCATTCTTTTTAACTGCTACATAGTATGCATATACAGTACCATCATTTGTTTAGCTATTTTTCACTGATAAGTATTTGTTTACAAATAATCATAGCACAGTTCTGCAGTGGACAGCCTTGGGCATCTCCTTGTATGCATGTGCAAGTGTTTCTTTAGGGTATATTATTTGATGTGGAATTGCTAGGCTTTAACATTTCAGTTTTATTCCACACTGTCAAATTGCTCTCTAAACTACTAGTGCCAATTTACACACCTGCTGGCAGTTTCATTACAAGTTGATCAACACTCGATATGGTCAGACATTTTCATTTGCCAGTCTTATGGATGAAGAAAGTTATCTCTGGTAACTTGGAAAGGTAAACGTTTTTTCCTATGTTTCTTATCCATTTGCATTTCCTGTTTGCTGGTCAGTTGCTCATTATATCCCTTGTCCATTCATTAGAATGGATTGTTTATATTTTTGGTATTGATATGAAGGATTATACTTTCTATATTCATATAAGTGCATATGTCAATAACTATAAAATTATATACAAATTATAATTATGTTATAGAATACAATTTCATTTAACTTTGCTTGTGGCGAATACCAAACAGAACTTAAAAATTCTCAATTCTGTCAAATTTATCTATTTTATATGATTTCTGCATTTTGAGTCTTGCTTAAAAAGTCTTTTTCCTCTCTGAAATTATTTCTACTATATTTTCTTCTAATAACTTATAGTTTTGCTTTTTTATAGAACTCCTTAATCCACTGGGAATTTATGTTTATTTTGTGAGGAAGGGATCTCCATCTCCAGCTGAGTCTATGTGTGTTTACGTGTGTGTATACACATATATATGTTTTATATATACATGTATATTTACATGTAATACATATTTATTCACAAATATTCTTACCAATCATGAAATGTCCTAACATTTACTGAAGCGTACATCATCTCCCCACTAATTAGAGACACTTCTTTATTAATCATATAATGAATTTCCTTTTATTTACATGGATCTGGTTTATGATCCTATGTTCTGTTTCACTGACCTCGTTGGCTATTCCTGTGTCAATACTATATTGTCTGAATAAACTGTAAGTTTCTAACATACTTTGATGTCTGATAGACTAAATCATTTTTTGGTTTCCTTTTCCAAAATTGTCTTGACTATTTTCATACAATTTCTTTTCTTGGTGAATTTTAGAATCAGCTTCAAATTCTGTAAATATTCCTACCTAGGTTTTGATTGTAATTGAATTTAATATAAAGAATAATTTGGATAGAAATGACATTTCTATAACAGTGATTCATCCCATCCAGGAACATTATAAGTCTCTTGATTTATTAAGTTCTTCTTTTAAGACCTTCAGTAAAGTTTAGAATTTCCTTAGACAGGTCTCGAATATGTCTTCTTAGGTTTATTCAGGCTTGAATGTGTTTTATTACATTTCTTCCTAAGTATTTCATTACATTTTTCCTACTGTGATTTTTTTTTCCTGTTACATTTTCAAATCTGTTGCTTCATTTATTTTATTTTTTCAAGAAATATTACTTGGGTGCCCACAATATGCCAGACATTGTGTTTGGCCCTGGGGATTAAAATGGAACAAAACAGACTTTTTAAAATTTCTAGTGAGTTTTTTTTTTATTTATTTGGCCTTTTCTTTCTTTTTTTTTTTCTTTTTAAAATTAACTTTATTTATTAATTTTTTTTTTACTATACTTTAAGTTTTAGGGTACATGTGCACATTGTGCAGGTTAGTTACATATGTATACATGTGCCATGCTGGTGCGCTGCACCCACTAACTCGTCATCTAGCATTAGGTATATCTCCCAATGCTATCCCTCCCCCCTCCCCCCACCCCACAACAGTCCCCAGAGTGTGATATTCCCCTTCCTGTGTCCATGTGTTCTCATTGTTCAATTCCCACCTATGAGTGAGAATATGCGGTGTTTGGTTTTTTGTTCTTGCGATAGTTTACTGAGAATGATGATTTCCAATTTCATCCATGTCCCTACAAAGGACATGAACTCATCATTTTTTATGGCTGCATAGTATTCCATGGTGTATATGTGCCACATTTTCTTAATCCAGTCTATCATTGTTGGACATTTGGGTTGGTTCCAAGTCTTTGCTATTGTGAATAATGCAGCAATAAACATACGTGTGCATGTGTCTTTATAGCAGCATGATTTATAGTCCTTTGGGTATATACCCAGTAATGGGATGGCTGGGTCAAATGGTATTGCTAGTTCTAGATCCCTGAGGAATCGCCACACTGACTTCCACAATGGTTGAACTAGTTTACACTCCCACCAACAGTGTAAAAGTGTTCTTATTTCTCCACATCCTCTCCAGCACCTGTTGTTTCCTGACTTTTTAATGATTGCCATTCTAACTGGTGTGAGATGGTATCTCATTGTGGATTTGATTTGCATTTCTCTGATGGCCAGTGATGATGAGCATTTTTTCATGTGTTTTTTGGCTGCATAAATGTCTTCTTTTGAGAAGTGTCTGTTCATGTCCTTTGCCCACTTTTTGATGGGGTTGTTTGTTTTTTTCTTGTAAATGTGTTTGAGTTCATTGTAGATTCTGGATATTAGCCCTTTTTCAGATGAGTAGGTTGCGAAAATTTTCTCCCATTTTGTAGGTTGCCTGTTCACTCTGATGGTAGTTTCTTTTGCTGTGCAGAAGCTCTTTAGTTTAATTAGATCCCATTTGTCAATTTTGTCTTTTGTTGCCATTGCTTTTGATGTTTTGGACATGAAGTCCTTGCCCATGCCTATGTCCTGAATGGTAATGCCTAGGTTTTCTTCTAGGGTTTTTATGGTTTTAGGTCTAACATTTAAGTCTTTAATCCATCTTGAATTGATTTTTGTATAAGGTGTAAGGAAGGGATCCAGTTTCAGCTTTCTACATATGGCTAGCCAGTTTTCCCAGCACCATTTATTAAATAGGGAATCCTTTCCCCATTGCTTGTTTTTCTCAGGTTTGTCAAAGATCAGATAGTTGTAGATATGCGGCATTATTTCTGAGGGCTCTGTTCTGTTCCATTGATCTATATCTCTGTTTTAGTACCAGTACCATGCTGTTTTGGTTACTGTAGCCTTGTAGTATAGTTTGAAGTCAGATAGTGTGATGCCTCCAGCTTTGTTCTTTTGGCTTAGGATTCCCTTGGCGATGCGGGCTCTTTTTTTGGTTCCATAGGAACTTTAAAGTAGTTTTTTCCAATTCTGTGAAGAAAGTCATTGGTAGCTTGATGGGGATGGCATTGAATCTGTACATTACCTTGGGCAGTGTGGCCATTTTCACGATATTGATTCTTCCTACCCATGAGCATGGAATGTTCTTCCATTTGTTTGTATCCTCTTTTATTTCCTTGAGCAGTGGTTTGTAGTTCTCCTTGAAGAGGTCCTTCACATCCCTTGTAAGTTGGATTCCTAGGTATTTTATTCTCTTTGAAGCAATTGTGAATGGGAGTTCACTCATGATTTGGCTCCTGTCTGTTGTTGGTGTATAAGAATGCTTGTGATTTTTGTACATTGATTTTGTATCCTGAGACTTTGCTGAAGTTGCTTATCAGCTTAAGGAGATTTTGGGCTGAGACAATGGGGTTTTCTAGATATACAATCATGTCATCTGCAAACAGGGACAATTTGACTTCCTCTTTTCCTAATTGAATACCCTTTATTTCCTTCTCCTGCCTAATTGCCCTGGCCAGAACTTCCAACACTATGTTGAATAGTAGTAGTGAGAGAGGGCATCCCTGTCTTGTGCCAGTTTTCAACGGGAATACTTCCAGTTTTTGCCCATTCAGTATGATATTGGCTGTGGGTTTGTCATAGATAGATAGCTCTTATTATTTTGAAATACGTCCCATCAATACCTAATTTATTGAGAGTTTTTAGCATGAAGGGTTGTTGAATTTTGTCAAAGGCTTTTTCTGCATCTATTGAGATAATCATGTGGTTTTTGTCTTTGGCTCTGTTTATATGCTGGATTACATTTATTGATTTGCATATATTGAACCAGCCTTGCATCCCAGGGATGAAGCCCACTTGATCATGGTGGATAAGCTTTTTGATGTGCTGCTGGATTCGTTTTGCCAGTATTTTATTGAGGATTTTTGCATCAATGTTCATCAAGGATATTGGTCTAAAATTCTGTTTTTTGGTTGTGTCTCTGCCCGGCTTTGGTATCAGGATGATGCTGGCCTCATAAAATGAGTTAGGGAGGATTCCCTCTTTTTCTATTGATTGGAATAGTTTCAGAAGGAATGGTACCAGTTCCTCCTTGTACCTCTGGTAGAATTCGGCTGTGAATCCATCTGGTCCTGGACTCCTTTTGGTTGGTAAGCTATTGATTATTGCCACAATTTCAGATCCTGTTATTGGTCTATTCAGAGATTCAACTTCTTCCTGGTTTAGTCTTGGGAGAGTGTATGTGTCAAGGAATTTATCCATTTCTTCTAGATTTTCTAGCTTATTTGCTTAGAGGTAGATTTTCTAGCTTATTTCTCTGATGGTAGTTTTTATTTCTGTGGGATCAGTAGTGATATCCCCTTTATCATTTTTTATTGTGTCTATTTGATTCTTCTCTCTTTTTTTCTTTATTAGTCTTGCTAGCGGTCTATCAATTTTGTTGATCCTTTCAAAAAACCAGCTCCTGGATTCATTAATTTTTTGAAGGGTTTTTTGTGTCTCTATTTCCTTCAGTTCTGCTCTGATTTTAGTTATTTCTTGCATTCTGCTAGCTTTTGAATGTGTTTGCTCTTGCTTTTCTAGTTCTTTTAATTGTGATGTTAGGATGTCAATTTTGGATCTTTCCTGCTTTCTCTTGTGGGCATTTAGTGCTATAAATTTCCCTCTACACACTGCTTTGAATGCGTCCCAGAGATTCTGGTATGTTGTGTCTTTTTTCTCGTTGGTTTCAAAGAACATCTTTATTTCTGCCTTCATTTCGTTATGTATCCAGTAGTCATTCAGGAGCAGGTTGTTCAGTTTCCATGTATTTGAGCAGTTTTGAGTGAGATTCTTAATCCTGAGTTCTAGTTTGATTGCACTGTGGTCTGAGAGATAGTTTGTTATAATCTCTGTTCTTTTACATTTGCTGAGGAGTGCTTTACTTCCAAGTATGTGGTCAATTTTGGAATAGGTGTGGTGTGGTGCTGAAAAAAATGTATATTCTGTTGATTTGGGGTGGAGAGTTCTGTAGATGTCTATTAGGTCCGCTTGGTGCAGAGCTGAGTTCAATTCCTGGGTATCCTTGTTGACTTTCTGTCTCATTGATCTGTCTAATGTTGACAGTGGGGTGTTAAAGTCTCCCATTATTAATGTGTGGGAGTCTAAGTCTCTTTGTAGGTCACTCAGGACTTGCTTTATGAATCTGGGTGCTCCTGTATTGGGTGCATATATATTTAGGATAGTTAGCTCTTCTTGTTGAATTGATCCCTTTACCATTATGTAATGGCCTTCTTTTTCTCTTTTGATCTTTGTTGGTTGAAAGTCTGTTTTATCAGAAACTAGGATTGCAACCCCTGCCTTTTTTTGTTTTCCATGTGCTTGGTAGATCTTCCTCCATCCTTTTATTTTGAGCCTATGTGTGTCTCTGCACGTGAGATGGGTTTCTGAATACAGCGCACTGATGGGTCTTGACTCTTTATCCAATTTGCCAGTCTGTGTCTTTTAATTGGAGCATTTAGTCCATTTACATTTAAAGTTAATATTGTTATGTGTGAATTTGATCCTGTCATGATGATGTTAGCTGGTTATTTTGCTCATTAGTTGATGCAGTTTCTTCCTAGTCTCGATGGTCTTTACATTTTGGCATGATTTTGCCGCGGCTGGTACCGGTTGTTCCTTTCCATGTTTAGTGCTTCCTTCAGGAGCTCTTTTAGGGCAGGCCTGGTGGTGACAAAATCTCTCAGCATTTGCTTGTCTGTAAAGTATTTTATTTCTCCTTCACTTATGAAGCTTAGTTTGGCTGGATAGGAAATTCTGGGTTGAAAATTCTTTTCTTTAAGAATGTTGAATATTGGCCCCCACTCTCTTCTGGCTTGTAGGGTTTCTGCCAAGAGATCCACTGTTAGTCTGATGGGCTTCCCTTTGAGGGTAACCCGACCTTTCTCTCTGGCTGCCCTTAACATTTTTTCCTTCATTTCAACTTTGGTGAATCTGACAATTATGTGTCTTGGAGTTGCTCTTCTCAAGGAGGATCTTTGTGGCGTTCTCTGTATTTCCTGAATCTGAACGTTGGCCTGCCTTGCTAGATTGGGGAAGTTCTCCTGGATAATATCCTGCAGAGTGTTTTCCAACTTGGTTCCATTCTCCCCATCACTTTCAGGTACACCAGTCAGACGTAGATTTGGTCTTTTCACATAGTCCCATATTTCTTGGAGGCTTTGCTCATTTCTTTTTATTCTTTTTTCTCTAAACTTCCCTTCTCGCTTCATTTCATTCATTTCATCTTCCATCGCTGATACCCTTTCTTCCAGTTGATCGCATCGGCTCCTGAGGCTTCTGCATTCTTCACGTAGTTCTTGAGCCTTGGTTTTCAGCTCCATCAGCTCCTTTAAGCACTTCTCTCTATTGGTTATTCTAGTTATACATTCTTCTAAATTTTTTTCAAAGTTTTCAACTTCTTTGCCTTTGGTTTGAATGTCCTCCCGTAGTTCAGAGTAATTTGATCGTCTGAAGCCTTCTTCTCTCAGCTCGTCAAAGTCATTCTCCATCCAGCTTTGTTCCGTTGCTGGTGAGGAACTGCGTTCCTTGGAGGAGGAGAGGCGCTCTGCGTTTTAGTGTTTCCAGTTTTTCTGTTCTGTTTTTTCCCCATCTTTGTGGTTTTATCTACTTCTGGTCTTTGATGATAGTGATGTACAGATGGGCTTTTGGTGTGGATGTCCTTTCTGTTTGTTAGTTTTCCTTCTAACAGACAGGACCCTCAGCTGCAGGTCTGTTGGAATACCCTGCCGTGTGAGGTGTCAGTGTGCCCCTGCTGGGGGGTGCCTCCCAGTTAGGCTGCTCAGGGGTCAGGGATCAGGGACCCACTTGAGGAGGCAGTCTGCCCGTTCTCAGATCTCCATCTGCGTGCTGGGAGAACCACTGCTCTCTTCAAAGCTGTCAGACAGGGACATTTAAGTCTGCAGAGGTTACTGCTGTCTTTTTGTTTGTCTGTGCCCTGCCCCCAGAGGTGGAGCCTACAGAGGCAGGCAGGCCTCCTTGAGCTGTGGTGGGCTCCACCCAGTTCGAGCTTCCCGGCTTCTTTGTTTACCCAAGCAAGCCTGGGCAATGGCGGGCGCCCCTCCCCCAGCCTCGCTGCCGCCTTGCAGTTTGATCTCAGACTGCTGTGCTAGCAATCAGCGAAACTCCGTGGGCGTAGGACCCTCCGAGCCAGGTGCGGGATATAAACTCGTGGTGCGCTGTTTTTTAAGCCGGTCCGAAAAGCGCAATATTCAGGTGGGAGTGACCCGATTTTCCAGGTGCGTCCATCACCCCTTTCTTTGACTCGGAAAGGGAACTCCCTGACCCCTTGCGCTTCCCAAGTGAGGCAATGCCTCGCCCTGCTTCGGCTCGCGCACGGTGCGCGCACCCACTGACCTGCGCCCACTGTCTGGCACTCCCTAGTGAGATGAACCTGGTACCTCAGATGGAAATGCAGAAATCACCCGTCTTCTGCGTCGCTCACGCTGGGAGCTGTAGACCGGAGCTGTTCCTATTCGGCCATCTTGGCTCCTCCTTATTTGGCCTTTTCAAGGTAAACAGTTATATTGTCTCTTCCTTCCCAATATTTGTATTTCTTACTTTTTGTCTCACTGAATTGGCTTGGACCTCTAGTATAATGCTGAATAAAAACAAAGATAGTGGGAATTTTTTGTTTCCGTAGTTTAGGGGAATTTTTCGTTTCCGTAGTTTAGGGGAATTTTTCTGTTCCACCATTAAATGTGATTTTTTTGCTGTAGATTTATAGTAGATATCTTTCACAAATTAAGAATATGTTATTCTTTTCCAACTTTACCTAACATTAGGAAGATGCTGTTAATTAGGTCTATGTAAAACACTCATGTATGTTCCTGAAGATTCAGCTGAATCTAAAGTTTCATGAGATCACTCTAGCCAATGAATTTCCAATCATTCAGTGATTGTGATTATATTAACATTTATGCAAACTGTTTTTTAAGAAGTGATTTTTAGCATGATTCTACTCATTCATGTTTGTATGCATTTGTTAATCACAGATTCAAAAGTTCTAAGAATGAAAACATGCTCAAATTGTATATATGAACTCTGAGGAACAACAGAATAAATGTTAATAAAACTTTAGTGGCGAGATCAAATAAACTAAAATATAGAAACTAAACTTCAAATCAATAAAAAAAACAAAACATTGGAAAAATCAAAGAGTGAAAATCCTTAAGATTAATTAACGGGAAGTATCAGATTCAAATTTGTCAGTGAGGTGTAATCAACAACGAAGCGCATAACCTGGGAAAAATGTGTTACAACTGTAAGCTCAGTCTGCTGACTGAAAACAGTAATGTTTTATCAATACTAAAATAAGATCTGCTAGAATGGTGTATGTTATGTTGAGAATAGCTAGTTTCATGAAATAATTTGAGGCATCTATTTAGGTGATTATATAATTTCTATATTTTAGTATGTTAATGTAGTGAATTACATTAATAAATCCTCTCATATTAGGTCATATTTATTTCATGGGAAAAGCCTCATTGGTCATGGCTCATGATGTATTTTTTAATATACTGCGGGGTTCAAATTGCTTATATTCTATTGAGCATTCTGAATCTATCTTTGTAAGTGATATTGGTCCCATAGTTTTCTTTTTTCTGTTGTTTGCCCAAATTTTTGGCATCACAATTATGCTAGACTTGCAAAATGAGTTGAAAATATTTCGTTGTTTTTCTATGCTCCAGAATACTTCTGAGAGCATAAGAGTGATTTGTTTCTTGAGGATTTGATAGAATTTGTCTATTTCAATTTTTGGGCCCCATGCCTTGTTTTAGGGATAAATCTATGACTACTTTTCTGATTTTTGGTCAGTTCAGATGTTCTACCCCTTCTTCAGTCAATTTTAGCAATTCATGTTCTCCTATAAAGTAATTCATTAAGTACTGATTTTCAAAATTTTATGGTCATAAAATTATACATAATTACATTTAATGGAACATTAAATATCTTCCACATATGTAGTTATTTTAACTACTGTTCTAAGCATTGTTGACTTATATCTTCTATCTGTTTTCCTTGATCAGACATCCCCATAGGTTTAGCTATTTTAGTAGTCTTTTCAAATCAATTGTTTCAGTTTTTATCCATCAGCACTACCCTTTGTTGTTTGTTTGGTTTTGTACTTGTCAATATTTGTTTAATTCATGCTTTTATATTTATGTTCACTTTTACTTTCTCTGAGTTAACCTTGTTCTTTTTCTAACATCTTGAGTTTCTCATAAATTTATTTAGGCTATGTATTCTTTGAGTGCCATTTTGGCCATGCTCCATAAGTTTTGCTGTACAGTGCTATCACTCTTGCTCATTTCTAAATAGTTTGCAATGTTAACTTTAATGTTTTTCTTTGACCTGGAGCCATTGAGAAGGAATCGTTTAATAATTATGTAGAAATTCTTTATAATTTTTTGGTTAACCATTATTGCTAATTTCTAGTTGTGTTAATATGTGTTCAGTGTATGCAGCCTTAATGTTTTATGCTTTTCTGAATTTGCTGAGATTTCCTTTGTAATTTTATACCTAGTTATATATAGTCAAATTCTGTGCATGTCCCATATATGTTTACAGACTAACTATTCTCTGCTTGTTGGATGCATTCATGTACATAGCTATTGTATGAAACTCATGAATTTTGTTCCCCAAATTCTCTTCATCTTTATTCTTGTTTCTACTTGACCTGTTGTCAGGTTTCTGAGCGAGAGGTGTGGCAATTTTTTCATTAATGTTGTGGGTTGCCATTTCTTCTTGTTTTCTTGTTCATATTTATTTTCTTTATTTCAAAACTGTGTTCTTATGAATAATCTAATGATTGGTGTATCTTCCTAATGGATTGTACCAATGCGAAATATCACTCTTGTCCCTTTAAATTTTTGTCTTGTTTTATTTTGCCCCACATTAATATCGCTACATCTACTTTATTTTTGTTGGCATTGTCATCTGTTTTTCTCAGTTCATTTATTTTCAAGTTTCAAGTGTCATTTTGTTTAAAGTGTGTCTCTTTTAAACAGGATGTGTTTCAATCTCGTTATTTGTTCAATCTGAGATTATCTTTTAGTAAGGAGATTCAACCCATTCTGGTTTAATATTATTGTTGATACTTATGATTATCCCTGCCATCTTATTTTACCTTTTCTATTATCATGATTCTTGTTGGTTTTCTCTTTCCAGTAATTTATGGGATTGGTGGTGTTTCCGTATTTTATTTTTTGTTCTCTAGTAGTTTTTTGGAAGGTTTATATTATATTTCGTATTCCAGTGGCAATGCTTAATTTCTTCAAATTTACTCAAAGATATATTCTGCATACATTTCTAGAATTTATGATTATTTATATACTTATCTGAAAAAGGCAACAACCATTGCAATATTTTACCTTCCTTTTTTCTTTTCTCTTAAACCTCTCAAGTTTTCATGTTGAGATCATCTAGGATTTAGTCCATATTGCTACTATTTTTTTACAATAATAATTATTTAGATTTAGTTACAGTTTTTTACGGTTTCACTGTTCGCCATTGTTTCTTTTACTCCACATAATCCCTTCAGATTCAGTTTTTATTTTGCTAGAGTACATCCTCTAATAATTCACTCAAAGATGAATAATGGTTGGTGAAATATTTGTTCTTGCATGTCTGAAAAATATTTTCCTTTTGCAACAACCCTCAGCCTTCCAACTTAAATTTTAGTCTTTCTTAGTATAGTATTCTTGCTTCCAAATTATTTTTTCTCATAAATTTGAAGCTAATCCATTACTATTTCTGAACATGAGTATTGCTAATGAGCAATCGATACTAGCCTGGTTCTCTTTCCTGTGCAGGTAGCCTGCTCGTTGCTTTGGAAACTTTTACAAATTTTGTTGTCTTTATCCTTGGAGTTCTCATATTTCACCAATATGTGTCTTAGGTACAGATATCTTTATATTAAACTATCTTTTTCAGTGACTGGTATGTGATTTTTATTTGAAGACTTTTGTCTTTCTTCAACTTTGAGAAATGGTGTACTGTTATCGATGTTTTAGGTCAATTTCCCTTTCAATTTTTCTTTGTTCTTCTTTAACTCCTAGTTACTCTGCTTCCTTGGGCATTAGTCCTGATTCGTGAGTTTGGTGACTCCATTTTATGGTGCTGGTTTTCCCCAAATGTTTGTGAATTTTATGTTAGTGCTCATCATGGGTTTTGAGAACCTCTGTTTGCTTCTAGATGACATTTCTGTTTCTCACAGCCTGCACACTCATCAAGATTTTGAGAAAGGACAGGCCATGCTGCTGAGTGGAGTGTATAAGTAGTTCATCTTCTGGGTATGAAGGCTTCCTGTTTCTCCTAGGTGTGGCCAACCACTTGGTCTTGCTTCTGCAACCTGCTTTGCTTTTCCAGCCCAAGCATCCAAAATACTTTTTCTAGCCTGAGAAACCATCTATGCTGCCCACTACCTGACACAGTTAGGCAGAGGAGAATGAATAAAATCAGTCAGCTGCTCAAAATGGGGTACCCTAATAATGATTTTCCTGTGGCTTCCATATACCACCTGTTTCTCCTGTCTCTGGGTTGGGAGATCATATGGAGTCATAGCCTCCTTATTCAGTCATCCTCTACTACATATGTTTTAGGCTGTGCTTTTCTCCATTAATTTTATTCCCTTTACCTTTTGACTCAAAAGGATTCCTCAAAATGTATGACAGGCATATATATTTCTTATTTTTAATTTCTGTTGTGAATATATTAATTTTGAATATATATTTTCTGTCATTTATAGAGATTAGGGGCTGGAGAGGAAAGCAGCCATGTGAGCCTATTCTACCTTTAGTCACTTTCTACAGGGATAGGCCTGCTATAGTCATACTTTCTTTCTCCTTAATTAGGGAAAAATCTGGAATACACGCCGGGCGTGGTGGCTCACGCCTGTAATCCCAGCACTTTGGGAGGCCGAGGTGGGCAGATCACGATGTCAGGAGTTTGAGACCAGCCTGACCAACATGGTGAAACCCATCTCTACTAAAAATACAAAAAAAATTAGCCGGGTGTGGTGGCGCATGCCTGTAATCCCAGCTACTCAGGAGGCTGAGGCAGGAGAATCGCTTGAACCCAGGAAGCAGAGGTTGCAGTGAGCCAAGATCGCGCCACTGCACTCCAGCCTGGGTGACAGAGCGAGACTCTGTCTCAAAAAACAAAAAAACAAAACAAACAAACAAACAAAAAACACCTCCAATACAGAAACAACTTTATGGGAAGTACTTCATACAAACTATGAAATTGTGAGCAAAGTCTAACATCCCATAAGATGATGGTTTGTGAGGAATGCCCTGGGCCCAAAGGGAGTGATCCTAATAGGCCATAAAAAAAAGAACTACAATCACTTTTAAAGTTTGCTCATGTTAAACCATGAATCCACATACAGTGCAGAATGTACTAAATTCTTGAACAACATTGTAGGCTGATTGTTTTCATAGAACATTGACTTAAGATACCTAAGTTTCAAGCTGGGCATGGTGACACATGCCTGTAGTCCCAGCTACTCAGGTGCCTGAAGAGGGAAGATCACTTGAGGCCAGGAGTTTGAGGCTATAGGGCATTGTGATCATGCCTGTGAATAGTCACTGAACTACAGCTTGGGCAATATACCGAGACCCCATCTCTATTAAAAATAAATAAATATATACACAAGTACATAGATAAATAAATAAATAAATGGGCCTATGTTTAAAGCTTCTGCTTGAAAGAATAAAGAAAAAGGTAGTTTTAAAATGGAAAGTCATAAACATCCAAATCTTAAAAATTCATGAATTTAGATCATATTGGAAGTAGTACTGGTCAGATAGTTTGGTGGAGATGGAGAAAGAGTGTTTTGCAGTGTCAGAGTGGCTTCATTAAACACAAAGGGAGAAGTGATTTGCAGCTGGAAATTTCAGATTCACCATAAAATTAACATACATGCCCGATGGGTTCTCATCTAATAAAACTGAGAGAGAGTGCTTGGTATCCTAAAGGCAAAACAACTTAATAAAATTAATCTATCGTGCTCCTAGTGCTTAGGTACTGCAAGGCTTCAATGATGCATTTTTCATTAAGTGACTGGGTAAATATAATTCTCTGTGTTAGAAAGTCTGAGTCCTTATTCTAATTTATTGAAATTAGAAATAAAGAACTTACTTAATGACTCATCAGTGTTGGGAAGACAAAGGGGAGGGCACCGTTTTATGGTGGCCCCTATGACTAGAAGAGGGGTAGTATGAATTTTTATTGGGCTTGAACCAACAGGACTCTTCCGGGACTCATTTATTCTTCCCAGACACCTTTGTCCCAATTTTAGGGGCTAGACAAACTCCATACTACCCTCATTTAAATCTTCTAATGTGCATTGAACTCTCTGCCTTTATGTAAGGGGCAGACTGAGCCAGGAAAAAGGAGCTAAGCTAGAGCCTGACCTTTGTATTTCTGTCATGTTTTACAGAGTAATCCCAGCAAGGGAAAGAACTGACTCAGGGCAGGTTCAGCCTAGCTAGTGTTATCTTTGTGTGTGTTGGAAGGAGCAGAGAGGGCTAATGAGAAGGCATCTGCTTGGGTTGATGTGAAAAGAACCCTGGGACAAAGGTCTCTTATCCCAAAAGATATACCTCACCTGCCTGCCCCTTTCACCATAGGTTTCCAACATAGTTAGTCATTCAGTCCCTTGAAAAAATAGAAGTCTTCTTTTAACATGCAAGCGCTCTCAGGAGGTATAAATTGTTCATGTTTCACAAGTCCTCTCAAGCGCTGGAGTCAAATAAGACTCATGCCCCCAATTGTCACTTATCTTAGGTAAATTCTTAATCTGTCTTAGCCTCAGCTAAACCATCTGCCAAATGGAGATGATAATCTCTACCTCAAAGGTTGTTTTGTTAAATGAAAAGCAAATGTGTAAGTACCCAAGAAAGTGCCTGACATGCATCAGATGTGTCCTTACCTTCTGTCACTTGATCTGTATCAGTCAACTGAGGGGGGAGGTGGCAAAATGGAGTGTAGAAGTGGGTCCCAAAGAATCTAGAGGAGTAGGCCCAGGCAGGAAAAGCAAAATACAGAAAGGCCAACTCTGACTCAGAATTATGTCCAGGGTTGGAATTTCTGTGCGTCAAAGTGCTGAAATAACATGCAGTAGCAGTTCAAGCCTGCTGTTAAGTAGCACTAGCACGATGGTTCAAAAGAGGGCTTTGTGACTCAGCCTTGGTTCTCAACATAGTGGAGAAGAACTCTGCTTATCATTTATATGACACTGGGTAAGTTACTAATTTGGCTGAGCCTCAATTACCTCCTCTGTAAAATTAAGAGTATAATAGTGCTTTCCTTAGAGTTATTGTTAGGCTTAAATGTGTTACTATGCATACAGTGGCTGGCACAAAGTAAATGTTCAGTAAATGTAACTTGTCATTAGTATTACCAGTAACTCTACTATTACTATTATTTTATCTTCCAGAGTTAATAAATTATTTGTAAGTTCCAGAGCACTTAGTCCTAGGACCAGATTTCAGATGAATTTGGGAGAAAACTAAAGATTTTTTTCTAGTGTTACCCTACTTCTTATTTCAGAGTCTTTTTAGGCCTGGTGGCAGCCCCCCACCCTAAAGGGTTCAGTGTCTTATTCCCTTTCTATTATTTGCCTTTTCATAAGCTCTGCCCTCAGAGTTTCTGGAGGGAAGACTCCAACACGAATTCTTGCTATTATATGAATGGGTGTTAACTCAAATCCTGCACCTTCCATTGAATTTACACTTTTAATAAAGGCAGTCTCTTAATTTCAGAGACCATTAGTTATTTTATTCCCTTCAACTCCAGGGATAGATTAGCAATAAACAAGTGGCTCATGTACAGACTTTTATGGTCAATTTTTCATACAAACTAGTAAATGAAAAACAGCTTGTGATGGAAGAAGCTCAGACCAACTTGATCAGGGCATGTGAGGAATGACTTGGGCCCAGAGAGAGAGATTCTAATAAACCAGGAAAATGACTTTCTTAACCCCCATTGTTCATTGACGTCAAGTCCAAAATGCACAAGCCTGGGTGCTGAGCAGGCTTGCAAGTTTACTTGTCAGACCAATTTAAGACCCTTGACATTTGGGTTTCTTTTTAGCCAGGCAAAATAGGGGAGAAGGAATTTTACAATATATATTTTAAAACATCAAATCAGAAGGATGCTGAGATTCATCTTGGCATTTTTATTTTACCATTTGCTTCCCCAAAGTACTTTTAATCGGGTGAATGTTAAGTTTGGGGTCAGTAGAGGACGAGAAGGCATGTTGGGCACCAGAATCAACTATTAGATTTTTTTTAAAAGGAAAACATAATATCCAAATGCTCTTTCAAGCTACAATTCTCGGAGATACTCCAAAGAAAATAGCGCTTAATTGGCTCATGTGATCTTCCCTAAGTAGTTATCTACAAATATATCCAATAGGTCCAGAAAGTTTAGACTGCTGAGGCTGAGAAGAGGTGAGTGGGATGATGTATTTTGTGATTAAGCAGCTTGGTATATTAAAGTGTCATTGTTAGAACATGAGTTGTAAGTGCTCTTCTCCATGCGCCCCTCTCACTCCTTGTTCCCCAGTGATCCCTCTTGTGCCCCTGGATGGTCTTTACTTCTTTCTGGCCTTCGTCTCAAAACTTGTTTTTATAGACGCGCGCGCGCGTGTGTGTGTGTGTGCACACTTGCATTTGCATTGAATCGGACAACAAAAATTCCCACTGTGATGTGAACGAATAAAAAAACCCAGCTCAACAAGATATTTGCATTTTAATAAAGAATATAAAGTCCTAAAGATAGAATTTCAGGCACTAGTAATTATGGAGTAAGGGGCTTCTTGGCCAGATGGAGCTTTATTATGTTTCTTTTTACCATGTGCCTGCAATATTTAATTAGGCTCTACTCACATCTATCTGGCCTTTGTAATCATCTGGCTTGCATAAGAAGTTATAGGTAGCAGGCAGTAGCTGATGTGAAGAGACCCACTGGGTTAGCAGTAGACTTAGCAAAATGTGGCACATATAGGCTACTAATTTTATTTAAGTAGGCTTTGTTCACCAACAGAGGAAGTTGAAACAGTATCTGGCATTCATTCCACATTCTGGCATTCTATAATAGCAAGTGCTATCATGTATCAAGCACAGTGTTAAATGTTGAGCTCCAATCAGTAATAAGATATGGTTATTTTCTTGGAAGAACTCAGAGTCCAGTGGGAAAGACAAGTAAACATTAAAAAATACAAAGTGATTGGACAACTGGCTAGCTACTTGAATAAAATATCTGGATCCCAAGTGACTCTTCACCGAAATAAATTCTGGATTGATCAACAATTTCAATATTAAAAGATGGAAAAACCATAAGGTACTAAATGAAAACATGGTGATTTCTTTTATAATCTTGCAATGAAAGAAACCTTTCTAAGTAAGCATGCTACAAAAACTGAATATATATATATATATAGGAAAAATTTGATACAGTTGACTACATAAATACTATCATTTCTGTATGGCAGTAATAAATAATTAAGCAAGTCAAAAGGCAAATGACAAACTAAGAAAAAAATATGTATTACAAAAATGACAACAGACTACTTTAAAAAATATACCTGAAGCATTTACAATTCATGAAGGGAAAAGACTAGAAATTGGATAAGGAATCTTAACAGAAAAAGAAATATAAATACCCAATGGATATAAAAATTCTGCTCAAACTTGCTTTTAATTGTTTAAAGACAAATCAAAACAATGAGTTATAATTTTCCCCTATCACATTTAAAATTTGATGAAGTTTTATAGAACAAGGTTTCTGAGGCTATAGGGATGCAGTAACTCTCATGCACAGTCAAAGTAAAACTTGGAGCTATATATTTGGAGGGCAATTTGACATATTTATCAAGGTTGTAAAAGGCCATAATCTTTAACCCAGCAATTCCAGTTTTAAGAATTTATCCCTAGGGCACATTTACATAAACAAGCAAATATACATTTATAAAAGGATGTTCATTATAACATTCTTTCTAATAGCAAACCAAAACAAAACAAGCACAGCAGTACCAAACCAAAACAACAATAGAAAAAAAAGACAGTCTCCTCAATAGGTAAGTGAATCACAGTACATCCATCCTTTGAATATTATGTAGCAAATTAAAAAAAAGTATATATATATATATATATATATCCTCTGATATGGGAAGCGCTCCTAGATACATTGAATGAAAAAAGCAAGGTACAGAACAGTATGATCTGATCTATGTGACAACAAAGCATATGCAGATATTCTTGCATATGCATTAAACAATTCTGGAAAAATACACAAGAAACTGTTAACAGAGAGCTTACCTCTGGAGATTAAGACTGTGGTGGGAGGCTCCGATATGGACATATTCTACTTTTCAATTCATAATCTACTGTACTGTTTGCATATTTTAACCATGTGCATTTATTATTATTACCGTTCTTTATCACTAAATAAATACTATTTTATATGTAAGTGAAATATAATACCAACTCCAATTATAACATATATAATATGTATACATATATAGATAGAAAGCTAGACTACTATACAGGCTACTCTAATAGCATAGGAGATGGTCACCTAAGCCAAATAATGTCACTGTCATGGTTGGGGGTAGGGGGAGGCTTACTGAAAGAAGGTGATAGCCGCACTGTATTTTGATTGATGACTAAGAATTAGGTGAAGAAGAGAGTTGTAGGGGTTACTCCAAGAAAATACATATTATTCTATATTCTATATGTTATTGTAGAGAACAGTAACATAAAGAAATTATTGATTGGGAGCTGCAGTATGGTAGGGGATGTTAGGCTGGAGAGTGGGAGCAGTTGAAGTTGGAGATAGAGACAGGGACTAGAGACTTTGAAGGGCTTTGCCTGCCATGCTAACTACATTAGACTAAAGTCTCAGGGACTAGTTTTCTTGAAAACGATGAACTAAAAGATTCACACTGTGATGTAAATAAATAAAAACAGGTATTTGCATTTTAATAAAGCACAGAATGTTCCACAGGTCCAATTTCAAGCATTGGTAATTAGGGAAGAGGAATCTCCCTCATGTCTCTCAGTTCACACATTTATGAGAGGATGACACACCTGGTTGTCTGCATACCAGACTGTTCTACTCAGTAGGGAACTTGCCACCCTTCTGGAGGTGGGGGAGGATTCTATTTTCCAGAAACCCCCTAGTCCATCACTGGTAATAAGAAACTAGGGATAGAGGGTGGCTCCCATGGCAACCAGTGCCCACAGCCCTGTAAACACTTATAGCTGAGAGGGACTGGGAGGCAAACAGGTGTTCTAACCAGCTGGGTCTGCTGGTTTCTTTCCATTGGTACCACATGGTCCAGGGGAAAGTGCACAGATTCTGGAGTAAGACAAACCTGGGTTTTCATACTGGCTTTGTCACTCATTAGCTCTGTGACTCTGGGCAAGTTACTTAATCTTTCAGCATTGCAAGTCTCTTGTAGGGTTGTGTGAAATAATGTATTTTAAGCACTTAGCACAGTGCCTGATGTGTAGGAAGAAACTGATGAGTGTTAGCTTTTGTAATCATGATTATTCCCACTTCCGCATGAACCCACTAAGGATTGCTATAGTCTTTGCCATATTTATTAAATTATCATTATCCATTCTTACCCATGAGTCTTCCAAGAACTTTTGTCCTCTTTCTCCAAAAGTCCACCAAATATTATTATTATTATTCCTTCTTCCCTATGAGCCCATTGTCGATTATTGTTCCGTTGTCATTATTATGAAAGTCACTGATGATGTTATCTCCCCTTCCCTGTGAGCCTCCTGACTCCACCTTATGACTCCTGACTCCACCTCGTGACTTCTCCAGGCCCCACCACTGGAGGGAGCAGCAGAGCTGAAGCGCTGTTCCTGCCTTCCAGAGCCGCCCTGCTTGCTTTTAGCATGTGAAGAGGGCCAACAAGGCAGAAATGAATGGATTTCCAAGCTCTGCCTCCTCTCCTACCTTTCCTCCTATGCTCGCCAAGGTCCCAGCGTCTCCTACAGTTTGGGGTTTGTGTTCTCTCATCTTTTCTTCCTTGTTGGAGTGATTGAAATAAATAAGTTCAACCAATAGGTGGAAACAAGTCAGCTTGAGTTTCACCAGAAAGCGTAGGAGGACCTAGGTATCAAGAGAAGGTGAAAGAATTCTTCAGATGTGGATGGAGTCTACGAACCGCAGACCCAGAATTTCTAAGAAGATATGAATGTGAGATAATGAAAGTTACTTCTTTTTCCTGAGCTCTTACACTGTGCTAAGCACATAACATCCTTATTGCACTCATAAGAGTTTGACACTCATTATTCTCCTCCTGCAGATGAGGACGCCGAGGCGGGAGAAATTAAGGGACTTGTCTAAGGTCACAGGCTTGTCTGCCTCCTGGGCTGGGGACTTTAATCTCTACCTTAAGCTGCAGTTTAAAGAGAAAGAAAAAGAAAACAAACTTGAAGTTGAGCAAACATGGGGCAGAGACAGCTCAAGGTTATTTCTCTTCATATTTCAATGATAACCTCAGGTTGTGATTTTTAGAATTTTTCTCTTGTATTTTCCTTTTAAATTTGTTATGGCTTTGTAGCCTTTAACTTTTGTTTGCAGTTAGTATCCTTTGAACTTCATTATCTGTTTTCTCTATGATTTCTAAGAGAAAAATCTGCAGAAAAAAATAATTACAGCTACCATTTATGGATTACCTTTTGCATGCTAGGCAATTTACAGACATCATAGCGAATCCTCTAACAACTCTCAGGATTAGGTCTATTATTATTCACTTCAACTTTACAAAAAGAGAGGCTGAGACTCAGAAAGTTTTCATGGCTTGTCCAAGGACATGCAGTTGGTAAGTGGCTAAGTGGAAGATTCAAACCCTGGGCTCTTTCGCTCCAAAGCTCATGTTCTTCCCCATACTATAAAACTGACTGTTTGTGTACCACGCTACCTCAAAAGGGTTTATGGCTTGTTTTTGGTCAGACAAGGAAAAAAGAAAAGAATCTCTGTGTGTTAGCCTTGGGAGGAGGATGAGTGGGAGCTGTTTAACAGAGAGCACAGAACAATGCCCAGGGCCCATGGAAGACAGAGGAGAATGGTGAGCTGTTGGCAGAGTAAGAAGCATCCCCAGGAATTTGTGTCAACAAACCCCTCACCCCGAAGTTGTTGCCTTCAGTAGTGTGACCCTTCAACCACTGAGTGGCATCTGGAACTAAGATGTGATACCAGATGGGTTATTTTCCCTCTCTCTCTGACACAACTAGGCTGACAGAAGGTTTAGAATAAAATGTTGGAACCATTTTGCGAGGTTTGAAGGGTGTGAGGAGTAGGGACAAGCTCATTTCTGAAGAAGGGGAAGGTAAATGAAATCTCATGTTTTCTTTGTCTTCAGGAGGTCTCCAGGAGGGGATGAGTCACTGGAAAATCTTTTGACAGAGCCTTTAATGAAAAGTACTCAGGAACTTCTAATGCTCCCTACCAGGTCTTCCCTTATTAAGTCCCCTAATGTGTGACCAGTGTGTAAAGCAAAGGGATTTGCCCCAAGTTGACTCTCTGATGTTGTAAAATGGTCAGTAGTGTAATAATGGTGACCCTATTAACAGACAAAGTGGCCCTTTTCCATGTTGTCCCAAAGGATTGTCAGGCCTGGCGCCAGCAAGAATTGCTACTGAGGGAGGAATCTTGCCTAGAACTTTTTTGAGACCTGCCACCATCCAGTCTGCTCTTTGTTCCCCTTTGAGCCTGGCCTCATTTGGCTGTTCTCCCTCTGGTATGCCCCTAGCTAGCGTGCCAGCCAAGCTGTTGCCCTTCACACACCCCGCCCGCAGACCGATATGCTTGCTCCCTTTGCTTGGCTGCCAGGGAGAGGATTTATATCAAGATTGCTCAACTAGGAAATGCCGAGTTCCATACAATTCCAATGCTTGCTTTCTGTCACATTTTTGTTATTTCATAGTCTTGACCTTTAACCTTTATGTCGAGAAATCCTTGTGGATGAGTCTACCTTTGAATGATTTGTCTTGCAGCCTCAGGTTTAATATTCTGTGTCTCGAATTATTTTAGATGCCTGGGCTAGTCTGCCTCTGCTCTCATTGACCCGCTATCAATAAACACAGGGTTTGCTTAACAATAAGGCATATTCTGTTTTATGTGTGTACTCACTCTGATCAAAATAGAGATGTTTATAAATGGAGTTCTCTATGGAGGTCTAAGCCAAACCACAACCTGGGCATTTCTATAGTACTTTGTAAATTGTTGTGCAAGTGGTAGTGTTAGATAAAATAACACACTGAGGGGAAAGTGAGTTTTTATTGCTATAAAACTACTTTAACCTAACCTTCTTCCCACACATTTCACCCTTCTGGCCCCTCAATTATGGTAGTAGGGAGCAGTAGGAGAGCAAGAGTAACCCTAAAATCACCAACATTGAAATACAGTCTCTTAAGTCAATACTCTTAGTCAACAACATTTTAACAAAAAAGATTGTCTTTACGCATAGGCCTGTAGTAGGCAGGTGGGAACCTACACTTCAGCAGTTGTATGAGCCAGGGGGTAATTTTTGAGGTCTAGCTTTAGAAGAGTGTGCTCAACCTTGGCTGTGCATGGGAATAACCTGAGGACTTTAGGAATACTAATTCCTGGGTCCCAACCTCAGAGACTTTGATTTAGGTAATCTCGGGGGGTGGGGTGCAATCTGGTCATAGGGATTTTAAAGAGCTCTTTTGGTGATTCTTGTATGTAGCCAAGGTCTAGAACCATTAATCTAGAGCCTTGTTGCACAAAGTATGATATGTGTGCCAATAGAATGAACATTACCTAGGAACTTGTGAGAAATGCAGATGATCAGGCCCTGCCCCAGACCTACTGAATCAGAATCTATGTTTTAACAGAATGCCCTGGTGATTCATATGCACATTAAAGTTTGAGAGGCACTGCTCTAGAAGTGTCATCTCTTGAAAAGCACACTCTGGAAAGAACACTAGCATAGTCAACCAACATGCCCGCTGGCATTCTGGGTTTTTGAAAATATGACAAATAAACCCTATGACATCAATTGCAGAGGGAGTATCTACATCAGTCTAAGAAAGATGAACTCTCCCACTACAGAAAAATGAGAGGAAAAGGTAGACAACTTAGCATGTAGCACTGTTTCTTTCTGGTCTATCTTGTAAGCTTGGATTCTTCTGCTGGTAGTCTTCAAAGACTCATGGATATGGAGAGAGGTGCCAAAAGACTAAATAAAACAATGATTTTCCCCCCAAAGCAAGGAGAATCTACAAATGGTAGCCTAGTGAGTTTGACGTTGTTCCCCAGCAAACTTCTAGAATAGATTATTAAGAAGATGATTTCTGAGCCCTTAGAAAGAGACTTACTAATCACTAGAAACCAGCATGGGTTCATTAAGAACAAGTCATGCCAGACTAAGCTCATTTCCTTTTGGATGGGCTTACAAGAAGAAGCTGCAAAAATTATTTACCTGGGCTTCAGCAAGGATCTTGACAAACACTTCTGTGATGTCCTTTCAGACAAGGTGGAGAAATGGGGACTAGCTGAGAGCATGGATAGTTGAAGGTTCAACTCGTTAAATGATCATATACAAAATGTATGGATTTAATGAATTATTGTAAACCCAGAAAGACACTTGGATCAGGTTAAGATGTTGACCAAATTTAGAACTAAGACCAAGCTTGGAGGGACATTTGTATACATTGTATAACAGAAAATAACAATGTTCATTGTTGTCATCTTCAGGCCTTACACTGGCATAATACTTTTCTAATTACAGAGCACTTTCACATATGTTGTTTCATTTGATCTTCACCACAACCCTGCAAAATTAGAATAGTGATTATGTCCATTTTACAGATAGGAAAACCGAAGTTGAAAGATTCAGTGATTTGCCAAGTGGACAAATACCTATAAAGATACCACATGTTCTCACGCATATGTTGGTGCTTAAAAAAAATTGAAATCACGGAGATAGACAGTAGAATAATGGTTATCAGAAGCTGGGAGGGTAGTTGGGGGTGGGGGGGATAAAGTGGAGGTAGCTAATGAGTACAGAAATACAGTTAGATAGAAGGAGTAAGATCTAGTAGTTGGTAGCACAATAGGGTGACTATAATTAACAATAATTTACTGTATATTTTAAAATAACAGGGTGAAATTGGAATGTTCCTAACACAAAGAAACAGTAAGTGCTTAAGGTGATGGATATTCCAATTACCTGGATTTGATGAGTACACATGGTATGTCTGTATCAAAACATCATATGTACCCCATAAATATATACAACTGTTATGTACCCATAATAATTAAAAATAAAAATGTAAAAAGAGTTTTAAAAAATGAACATAAAAAACCCATATATTTGAGGCAAATATAAAGTTGTATGTTTCAGCTTCAAAACTAACTGCATGAACTCAGAGTGAAGGCAAGTCTTAGCAGTAATTCTATAAAGGGCATGGTAGTTTTAGTTAACTTCAAACTTAGTATGAGCCCACAGTGTTAAGTGGTTGCTAAATATGCTATTGAGATCTCAGGGGTATATTAATGAAAGTACAATGTCCATCACATTGGAGGTGATAGTTTCTTTGTTTCCAAAGTTGATCAGAACATCTCTAAGGTACTGTTTTACTCTGATTATTGCATTTCCAAAAAAAAAAAAGATGTTTTATCCGGAAAAATGAAGACTTAAGGAAGAATTTTGTGTTACACATTTTCTGTGGGTCAATGGGTATACAAGCTGGAATAAGGCAGCTCCCAGGACACTAAAAAATTTCCTGACCATTATAGTTACCTGATAATTGAAGGACAACCATTCTTTACAGTTAGTAAAGCCCCTACCCCTCCCCCTCTAGAAGAGTTCAAGCAGAGGCTGGTCAGCCGCTTGTTTGGTATGTTGTAGAAAGTTTGTGCATTGTATCATCTCTGATGGCTCTTCCAATTCTAACATTTTCCAAGTCTAGAATTCCTTCACTGTGTCTGGATAAATATGGTCAAGTCCAACTTTGGGTCATCAGTTGATGAATTCCCCAAGACTGACTGTTGGGGTCAAAATGGAGCAATGGCTTGAGTAATGATTCTGCAAATTAAGGAATCATTGGCTAGTTTTGACAGGTTTCTTGCCAAGTGCCACCTTTTACAGGATTTGTCTCAAGCTCAGAATTAATTTTGGCCTCTGCTAGCCTGTGATTTCACGTAGATTGTTCCTGGACCTTTTGCATATGGTACCAAAGATGGCCTTCTAAAGTAACCAGGGATTTCACCACAAAAGCCATCCTTTGTAGGCCAATAACTCATGAATGGCTTGAATTTCTCCACAAATTCTTACCACGCCCAGTTGAAAGCATGACTCTAGCCAGGATCCTGCAGAGTTAATTTACCACACAATATGATAGTTTTGGCTTAGGGTCCATTGTTTGGGGTGGGAGGGGCCTGAGGGAATATCTTTCTTCTCCAGACCTGTTGCCACTAGTCATGTGGTTTCCTTTTCAGGGATTTCCCCAGAATGGGGACCATCTCATCACATTGGCCCCCTCCTCAGCTTTGGAATCACTTTATCTCTCTCAGGGAGGGAAGTTGAAAGAATTTTCAACTTCTACAGCAGAGCTGAGTGGCTTGGACTTCTGGGAGGGAAGGGGAGAGATCGGGTCTAAATTTGGGAATGCATGAGTCTTCCTTCTCAATGATCCTACAGGCCAGCTTCCATGCATAAGTGGGGCCTGGACTAGATTTCCACAGGAGGACTGCAGGTTTTGTTGGACAATGATGATGAGTTAGGCCAAGGCACCTCCTTCCCTTGAGAGTTGCAAGGTCAGGATCTCAGAGAAACCTGAGAGAGCATAACTTAGTGGTTATAAACACAATCTTTGAAGCCAGACTGGCTGGGTCCAAATCTTGTCCCTAACACTTGCTAGCTGTGTGACCTAGGCAGCCTACTTAACCTCTATGTGCCTCCATTTCCTTTTTTGTAAGGAATGTGAATGGTGATAGTACCTACCTCATAGATCTGTTGTGAGGATTAAGATGCATAATAAATGTAAAGCACTAGAACAAGGTCTAACAAACATAAGTGTATGTGAGTGTTTGTTCAATAATATACATCAAAGAGTAGGCTGAGAAGGTGGTCAATTTAGTAAAAATATTTATTGAATATCTACTATGTTCCAGATACTCTGCTCACTGAGGTTTAGCGTGGGAGAGTCTGGCTTTGGAAGCAGGCAAACTTGAACTCTAATTCTAGCTCTGCCCTTGCCTATGAGCTTGGTGACCTGGGAGGATGGTACTTAATCTCCCTGAGCCTCTGTTTTTTCATGTGTAATATGGGGATAATAACAGCAAGGAATCTTACACAGTGTTGTTGTTAAGAGAAAATGAGACAGTGCCTATAGATCTGACACATAGAGAGGAGCTCACTAGGTGGTAATACATGACTTCTGTAAGCTGGGATCCATATGATTAAACCCAACAAAAATAAATGGCAAGTCTACATTTTAGTTAAAAACCCAATTTCAAAATAACACATCACTTGCACAAGTAAAGGACAAGAAAGGATTGAATTGGCAAGAGCTTGTGTGAAAAAGAGCTGTGGATTTTAGTTGACCACAAGTTTCCTGCGAGCCAACAGTGTGATCTGGCTGCCCAAGGGCTAATGTAATTTTAGATGGCATTAATAGAAATGGTGAGTTGAGATTCCGGCCAGTGATGGTTCCCTGTCCTCTTTACTCTGTGCTGGTCAGATTGCTGCAGATGTACAGGACTTTATCCTACTTACAATATTCCTGGATGGGCAATGACAAGCTCATTGACAAACTGTCCAGAAGTAGCGACCTGGGTTGGGGGGAATTGGCAAACTCTTTCTTGAGGATGAGATGAAAATAATCTGAGGAGGGAAACACTAAGGCAATATTTGAAACAGTTCTTTCTTCTAGTGAAAATGTTTACAGAACACACCCCACATCCAATCTGTCAGCAAATTCTGTTGGCTCTTTCCTCAAATTATATCAATATTCTGACCATTTCTCATTGCCTCTTCTGCTACCATCCTGACCTAAGCCAGCCTGTCTTGCCAAAATTACTACAATAGTCTCCCAGTAGATCTCTCTGCTGTCACTCTGGCCCCCTCTGTCTGCTCTCCAAACAGAAGGCTGGAGGGCCCTATTTAAATATATCTCCAGTGGCTTCCTATTTCATTCAGAGCATAAATCAAAGTCCTCATAAAAACCTACAAGGGCTTTCTGAGCCTGGTTCCTATTACCTCTGTGACTTCAACTCTTACTCTCTTCCTTGCTTACTATGCTCCAGCCACACTCCTTTACTCACATTCCTCAAACCGGCCAGGCATTCTCCTGTCTCAGGGCTTTTGCATCTGCTGTTCCCTCTGACCAGAACCCACTTTGCCTAGATAGTTGCATGTCTTGCTCCTTCACGTCCTTCAAATTGTAATTCAAGCATTACCTTCTCAATGAGGTCTTCTCGATCACCCTTTATAAATTGTCACAATCTCCCCCACAAAACACATCTCTGTATCTCCTTTCTCTGCTTCATTTTTCATTACCGCACTTATCATCATCTAATATTCCATATACTTTATTACTGACTATATTAATTGTTTGTTTTCCACACTAGAAGGGCAGGGATTGTTGTTTGTCTTTGTCACTACTGTAACCAATGCCCACAACAGTGTTTGGCATACAGACAGCAGCCAATAAATATTTGTAGAATAAACAGATATATAAAATATATCAAAGAGGTGCTCTGTTTAAATCTGATAGGGGTAGGGTAGGCATGAACTTTGCCATCTCTGGAACCTGAATAATTGAGAGTTAACTACATGAACACATTTGCACATGAATGCTGGCCAAACTCTAGAAGCACCACTGAGTGAGCACTACAGGACATGGGGGAGACAACTCCCATCTTCCAAACTTTGGAGGATTATTATGTATAAGAAGTAGATTTCATCGGGGTTGCAACTTGAATCAGAACTAGAGCCAGTGAGTATGAAGGGAGTACACACAGGTAGATACGGAATCAATAGAATGATTTGAGATTCTCAGGTTGTCTGATGAAGTGGTAAGCTCTCTAGCTTTGGAAGTGTACAAGAAGAAGCTGTATATCTCTCTGTTAGTCTTGCTATAAAAAATTTTCTGAAGTGGCCGGAGGATTGATTGGTTCATACCACCTTGACAATCTTTGTAGCTCTGAGATGCTACAGCCAAAAGTCAAAAGTGTGTGAGCCCAAGGATGAGGGGTAATATATGTTTGTTTTTTACAACTTGAGAGAGGTCTTTGGCCTTTCTTCCTGGAATCCCAGAGACAAATTTTCCTTGCAAAAGTTCATTCCATCCTAATTGCGATTCCATTTCCCAGAAATTACCTGATGCTGGGCTGATGATTAGTGGCCAGCCAGGGGTAAAGGGACTGATTCCCATGGCAACCAGGTTGAAAAAACATACCATGTGGAGAATTGTCAGCAACGAGCTACGTTTGCATTATAAATAGATATTTAATTCATTGAGATAGTTTGTGACAACTTCTGCATTATAAATAGGTACTTAATTCATATAGATAGCTCTGACAGCAAGTAGGAAAGTTAAACCCCAAAGCCACTCTTTGTCTTTAAGTATTTCAGAGTTAATTGACAACCATTTTTTTCCTTCTAAAACATGTAGAACTTGGCTAAGTGGGAGAACGGTATATGTGAGTGTTTTTAGAAAGCCAACTAATAGTCCAACGTCACAACATTTCTCACTATTTGTTTCTCACTGAAAGATTTTTCAGAATTTTCCCTGAGTGCAAGAGTATCTCTCTTTGAATCCTTTTGACACAGGAGACCCCAGGTTCAATGTCTGGATTTCACAAGAGTTATTTCCTGTCATGTTTGTCTCACTGTCACCCTGCTTTTCTAACTCAGAGGCATCTCAAAATTTCAGTACTTGGCCCTCTGCTCTTATCTTCCCATTTCTCTTTCCCTTGGTGAAAGCTAAAGCAATCACGTTATCACTTGCTAACTTACACAACTTTACTAGCCTTGACAATATACACTTTGGAACACCCAAAGGTTGGAAAACAGAATCAGATCTGATCAAAGGACGTTTATCCTAAGACTGAGGACCAACTCTTTCCGGTGTTCAAAATATACTGCTTGATTGAGGGTTAGGGATGGAGAGTTTGAGGGCAAAAAGTGGTGTTCAGCAGCAAGCAGCAATTAAGTTTGGCTAAACTCAAATGTAAAAGTAATTTTGAAATGCAATTTTTACAAATACTATAGTAAATTAGTATAAGGGACTAATAGAATCTCATCAAATGGAAATCAGAGTGGGACTTTGTACTTCTACATTCCAAAGAGCTTAATACAAATTAGTCTATAATACTCAGAGTGTTTCATTCTGTAAGGATTAAGGTAAATGGGATGCTTTTTTTTTTTCATTAACTTGCTGTGTAAATATGCTTCCTAATGCAACCATATAGAGGAGTTGCTTTCTAAACTTTATTATAACCAGGGTTAAATAACTCACCAGGTACTGTACCCTTGTACATTGCTCTATTGAACAGTGTTAGCTTAGAATTAAACACTGCTGGGAGGCAAGTTTAACTTCTTTAGGGTCAGATTTGAAGGGGTCATGACCCCCTCTCAGACCTGTAGGTCACTTTTTCTGAGGTCTTTAACAAGCTTTGAGGAACTAGGTAAGCCACCCACCCCATTCCAAACGGCCTAATGGCCTAATGTGTACTGAATTCCCACTCATGGGGCAAGTGGCCTTCTAATCCAGGGGGAAAGATCAGTGGCTGAGAATGGGAGCTAGCCCCCCGCCCCACCATTTCCCCATTTGGAATCCTGGGAGGCGACACTGGCAGGTCCCCTGTTCCAAACCATCCACCTCATCTGCTTACTGGCTTCTTGAGATCCCACCATTACACGCACATTCCTTTGGGAAAATGGAACTCTCTTTAGAGAGGGACAAAGTATCAGATTTGATTAATTGTTCTTACTTAAGAGTGAATTCATTTACACCCTGTGATTGCTAGGTAAGGGTCACAAAGCGCGCTTTTCCAGTTTCAAAGTGCTGCTGAGGGCCAATCCCACTGTTTGAAAGTGGATGTACTATGGACCCAAACGTAACACAATGAAATGCATGTAATGTCTGTGTTTTCCCTCCTCAGGCTCAACTTGGAGAGAGTGTTGCCATTCATTCATTCATCTATCCCATGGAAGGGCAAAAGAATACTCTGGTCAGTGACTATGTGTCAAACCAAATTGGGAAGTAGCTATTTTGGAGCCCCCTCCCCACGCCCATCCTTGAACAACTTTCTCTTTTCTCGTACCCCTGCACTCTCTTATTCTGCCATCGAGATCAGCTCCAATACATCATTTCTAAATTGTTAGTGGAAAACAGACCAATAGAAGACCACAGCCATAGTTTTTGAAGTTAAATAGTGAATACTCTTTTTATTCAGAAGAATGCATTTTTAATAGAATTTCATGCGCCAGTAAATCAGTACAGTGAGGAGTTACAGGGGTGGGGAACCTCTCTTCAGGAAACATCTCACCCTGGCAGAGCTCTCAACTCCCAGAATCCCCTTTACCCAGCTCAGGTGATTAGAGACCAAGGAACAGCAGATGGGGCTGACTTGCAGGGTAACTGGTTGGATTTATAGGTCTCTGAGAGCAAGAGAGAGGAGAGGAAAGCTCTTGTAAAGGAGGAGATTATTATATTGGAACGGGCAGTTCCACAGAGATTCTCTGAGAGGTTGATGAAGGAGAATTGGCAGGGGTGCCTGGTTCTCCTTCTTGGTTACACTCTTCAAGGGCAATGGTCTGGTCTCTTCCGTCTGTCTCTGAGCCTCTATGTAAAGAAAAAGACATGAGTAAGGGAGGACCCAGAAACTGAAAACAGATTGCACGGTGGGGCTCAGATACTAGGGGAGCATTTGTATGATTGTTTTTCTAGCACCACCTGGTTCACAGAAGGGGGCCATAATGAGGCATTTATTTACCTGGTTCGCAGTCGAGGCCACTTCTTCCACTCTATGGCTAGCACTACCCCCAAGGCTACAACAACCACCACGATTAGGCTACTTCGGACAATGTTCCCTACAGTGCACTCCTGAGCAACAGGCCCTGTGGTGATGAAAGAGGAGAAACCGAGGCCATGGAGATTAGCGTGTGTATGTTCCCCTTGATCTGGTATTGCCCCACACTCTGGCCTTCTTTAGGGTTCACGTGGGAGCCATCTGTTCAGACTACAGAGGGGGTGGGCAGTGGCAGAGTTTATGCTGAAGCAGAAGCAGCCCTCCTTTCCTTGGGGAAAAGAGGCCTGAAAAGAAACCCACTCACTATCTTCAAATATATTTAAGGTCCCACCTCCTCATCATCCTTAGGAGAAAGATGACACACTTCAGGTCCCTGGCTCCAAAGCTCCTCCATTCTCCTGATTTGGGATGTCTCCATGGGGACTGTCCCTGGGATCCCAGGTGTGTCACACCAGGACCATGGAGAGATTATTCTCTTACCTGCTGCCCCCACCAGCTCCAGGGGATCACTAGGCTCTGACCAGATATCAGGGTAGGCCTGGAGGCGGTAGCTGCAGCTGTAGTTTCCAATGCCTTTTCCTTCTACGTTGTTGATGACAAAGTCTCCATCCTCTGAAAACTGCTGAGGTGCTTCTTCTCCATCATGTTCTAGGACAAATTCAACACCTGGCAGGGGTCCTCGGCACTGAAGGGTGATGTCCTTCCCTAACTTGAACATGGTGCTGGGCCAGGCTGACAGAGAGGGTTTAGGGGGCTTATCTGCAACCAACAAGGACACAGAGTTAAAAGAAATGATCCTGAACTTAGCCTTTTACCCCCTTATTGCTTACTGCTAAAAACTACAAAATCGTGACTTGTACTGAAGTCTCCAGGACCTTACCAGTCACCCAGATCTCCAGGGAGTCACTGTGATTTGAAGCTGCAAAGGGAGTAGAGTCCAAATAATAAACACAGCTATAGATCCCAGAGTCTTCACCTCTCACTGCTGGCATCCAGAAGTCAGCCCTGTACCCACTTGGCCTCTGTTGCTCTAAAGGCTCCTGAGCCCCCTCCTTCAACAGGACAAATGTTGAGTCTGGCAGTTCCCCTTGACACTGAAGAGTCATATTTTCGCCAGGGGCCACCATGGGACCAGGCTGGGCTAATAGGCTGGGTTTGGGGAGTAAGCCTGGAAGAAATGAACTCCTGGTCAAAGAGAAGAGGTCACTTTCCAGTGCATCACCCCTGGGGTCTCTGCTCAATAAAGAGGAAAGGCAATTGGTTGCCTCTCCTCGAGCTCTCTGAAAACTATCTCCCATGAACTAGTCTATTCCCTCCTTTCTACACTTCCATGCCCACTCGACAGCCTCTTCCCCTTACCTGTGACTAGGAGTTCCAGGGTGTTGCTAGGTTGTATCTTGATAGAACTGGTCCAGTCAGGGTGGTAGCAGCAGCTGTAACGCCCCATGCTAGTACCAGATATATTGGTGATGGGGAATGCCCCGTCATTACTGGTGGATCCCCAGAGCTGCATTGAAGTGGCTTCTCCTTCTTTGTGCAGAATGTATCCTACTCCATGGACCGGCCCTCGGCACCAGAGAGTAACATTCTGCCCCATGGGAACCACAGAACTGGGCTCAGCAAACAACCATGGCTTAGGGAATGTGTCTAGAAAGAGACCAAGGTTGTAAAGTGGTGACTATAGAAACTTATGAGTTCCTGCTTAAATTAACACTCTATCTTTCTCCTCTTGGGCACGGTAGTTCCCCTCCGTGGCCTAGCCTAGCCTTCCAGGAGGAATTACTCTCCCTAACCCCTTCTCCAATGATCTCCATCCCAGTCCCATGTCCGGTCGGTCCTTACCAGTCACCCAGATCATAAGGGGCATACTGAGATATGACCCCCTGTTTGACATGGTTGTCTCATAGTAGATACAGCTATAGTTCCCAGAGTCCTCTGCTCCAACAGTGTGGAGAAGGAAGTCAGCTGAGTTCCCTGAGACACTCCGAAACTGTAAGGGAACATGGGCTCCCTCCTGCAAGAGGGCGAACCTCATGCCCTGGAAAGTCCCTTGGCAGCGCAGGATCACACTCTTCCCAGGAAACACCACAGGACCTGGCTGTGCCAGGAGAGTGGGTTTGGGGTAGAATTCTGAAATTAAAGAGACCACAGCATGAGATAAACCCAGCCCTCACATCCTGCAAATAGCCTTTTAAAGTGTTATTGTAAGACACAATATATGTTTGTTGTTAAAAATTAGAAAATATAGAAAAAAAAACTAATGAAGGAAACACAATTCTACCACTCAAAGATAAATATTTTTAATATTTAATTGCCATTTATTCTTTCCATATATTCCCATGTCCATGTAGCTATAACTGTTTACATAATTGGGACTCCACTTATGCACAGTTGTGTAGTTGTGTAGTATGCAGCTGACATTTCAAGGTCTTCTCCCTTTCTCTGAGAGCCATCCAGCCCACCGGTCTCTGACAGCCCAGCTAGAGAAAAAGTGGACATTGAGCCTAAAGCTCAATGCCAAGCCATAAAAATGTGCAGAAATAGGGCAAGTTGAACCGAGCTCTTGGGATTAGACACCCCCATCTACCTCATTTATTTCCCCAGAAGTGAATTGCTTGCCTCCCCACTGCCTTTGTTTCTTGTTCCTGTAATAATAACATGAGCAGCTGTGCATCATGGACTGGTCACTATGGGCCAGCCGCTGTCCTAAGCACGTTCTCAGTGTGTTTTAGAAGAAACATTTCTTCCTCTCCCACTGACAGCCTTCCACCCACCATCCCAGGGTTGGCACCACCTCTACCTGGAGTCCCCCCTCCTAACCTGTCACCACGAGCTCCACAGGGTCGCTGGGCTCAGACCAGATAGAAAAGTCATAATATCGGCAGCTGTAATTCCCTCCATCACCAATGCCCACCGAAATGATTAGAAAGTGAGCTGCACTGGCCCCCGGACTTGCCCAGGACCTGTCACTGGATGCTATTTCACTTCCATCTTTGTAAAGAATAAAGCTCATATGCTGGTGGGGGGTGGAGCAATTGAAAGTCACTCGGGCACCAGGGGTGACCACAGGGCTGGCCCATGTCTTGAAGAAGGGCTTAGGGTACATTTCTAGAAGGCAAAAAACAAAAACAAAAACAAAAAACAAAATACAACACAAAACCAAATTAAGAACAAGAAAGAGAGAAAGCAAATATAGCAAATATTGGTTCTCGGAGGCTTCTTTGCTTTTAAGTAAGTGCATTTAAAAAGTAAGGTAAATCCACTTTGCAGATGGACTTCTCACACAGGGACCCTTCAACCCCACCCCTCACTACCTCCAGATGAGTCCTCAGTGTGATCAGGGCAGGCAATGGAGGCTAGTAAAAAGGTAGAATTTTTCTTGGGGTTCTGCTGATTCTCTGAGCCTCAGTTTGCCCATTTGGACAAGGGGAAAATGGTACCTGCTTCACCCACCTTGAAGAGTTGCTCTATGGTGAAGTGAGATAATTGATGTGAAAATAATTAGAAAAATTAAATCACCCTCCACGAACCAAAGCTATTAATAACGATTATGGCTATTAATATCGTGCAGCCAGAGGCCCTGGCACTCCCAGCGCCACGCCTGCCTGGCTCTAAGATTGGACACAGGCTCTCAGGACCAGCAGCAAAGTTTGCTGCAGGGAGAGGAGTGTCTGACCCAGGGCTTTGCCTTTCCCTCCACCCTGCCCCCTTTCCTCCCACACCCTTTTCAGCTCTACCTTTTATGACAAGCTCCAGCGGCTCACTGGGCTCAGACCACTTGAAGGGGCGTTTTTCAGTGTGAGTGCGGCAGCTGTAATTGCCTTCGTCTTTATCCTCCATTCTCTGGATTGTAAAGAAGGCTTCTCTTCCAACAGCACCAAGTTGCTGGACAGGTTCTTGCTCTCCCTCCTTATACAGAGCAAACCCCATGCCTGCCAGCCATCCTTTGCACCGGAGTTGTAGTTCCTGGCCCCGGATTGTGGGGGAAGCAGAAATGACAGGTTTGGGGAGGATGTCTGGAAAACAGAATGGGGTGAAAAAGGAGTCAGAAGTTTGCAGTTGCCCAGATGGGATACTCAGGGTCACTTTGTCAGCAAATAAAGACATTCATTCTGGGCTGGCCCTAGGCTCTTCCAGTCAGTCTCCTCACACTCTCTTTCCCATTCCGCCCCTCCCCCTACCCCATAACCCCCTACCATTTCAGTGCCCCTCCTCTCCTACATGCAGCACGAGCCCCTTGGGCTCCAGGGTCCCTGTGAGTTCATTCCCTCACTCCCAGGAGCAGTGTTGGAGTCCCAGGGGCACTGGGGATAACTCCCGGAGACCCTCTACATTTTCTTACCTGTCCCCACCAGCTCAAGTGCCTCACTGGGCTCCGATACAGCCATCTCCTCCCATGAATGGCAGTGGTAGCTCCCGGTGTGGCTCTGGGTCAGGGCGCCAAGGGGGAAGGCAGCCCGGACCTGCTCTGAGGCCGGGCGAGTGGCGATCCACCCGGTCCCATCCTTCAGCAACACAAACTCCTTAGTTGAGCCAGAAGGGCTTCTGCACCAGAGGGTTAAGTTCTTCCACGGGGCCAGAGGAAAGTTGGTCTCTGCCCACAGCTCAGGCTTAGGGGTTGGCATGACTATTTCTAGAAACAGCAGAATTAATGAAGCCATCCTCCCGCCTCCCTTCCCCTCCCTCCTCCTTGCCCTTGAACCCTCTACCCAGATCACACTGCCCACCTCCCCTTGCAACCCAAATCCAAACCCTTTCCTTCTTTCCTTCCTTCCTCAGGTGCTGGGGAAAGGGGAAGCTGGTGTCTTATAGCTGAGCCTCAGAAAAGTGCAGAAGCTTGGAGGAAATTTTGCAGGCAGAAAGGCAAAGTTGGAGGCTGAATTTTGCCAGCAGCTTTAGCAAGTGCCCCTTCCTGGCTGCCCTTCCCTCCCAACCAGCCACTCCCTGGCCAATGACACTGACGCTCTGTAGTTATTTCGGATCTCCAGGGAGGAATGTCCCAGTCTGGAGCAGGAAAAACTCACCAGTCTCTTCTATCAATACCCCATTGCACAGTCCTGCAAAAGAAATTGCTGCCAGGACTCGGCCCCCTCCCCCACCGGGACTTCACCCCGGCCTTCTGCCCGGGGCCCCTTCCCCCACTTGTACTCACCACAGCAGAGAAGGGCCGTGACTATGAAGAGCATGGTGACCCCTTGAGCTGTTCCCAGCAACCAGGCTTCTCTAGTGAGACCAGAAAAGAGATGAGAGGAGTTGCTGGGATGAGGGGGAGGGTGGAGGAAAGGGGGCGGCAATTTATGTCATTGGCTTACTCGCTACCCAATGGGGACTGGATATGGCCAAGATAATGGGATATAATCTTATTTGACATCAATGACTTTTCTTTTTGAGGGCCTTACCACCTACAAACCTCTTGCTCTTTCATGACCCACGTGTCCCCCCCGCCCCCTCCCCACTCCGCAGCCTATATCATATGTCAGCTCCCCATGGCCCCTGATTAGGTTGTTGCTGGAATTGAGATGTCAGATGGGAAAATGCTTTTATATTATTTGGAGCTCTCAGAACCCCTGGAGCTCATTGTGATCGGCAGCTCTGGGTGGTGTGTGTGGGGGTGGAGGGAGAAACTGTGAGTATTTCTCAGTCATCAAGTTTAAGTTCGGAAGCAGTTGTTGTGGCAGTATTGGTCCTCAGACCCACCTGCCTCACCTGCCTTTGTTATGGAAGGGTTGCCTAGGCAGCTGTGATGAATTACTAGAAGATTGGCAGTGCCGAGCCAAGCTTTTCAGAGAGTAGAAACTCTCCCCTCACCCAGATTATAACTAGAAATGTGCAGCAGCTTTGGGTCATGAGTCTTGTAGTATTAGATGATATTAACCCAAAATCCATCGGACAATTTTTACTTAGAAAACACTGACCATCCTTCCTGGTGAGGAAAACATGATTTTCAAGCTGCTTTCTCTGAAATCTGGTTCCTGATCTTATTCTTTGATGCAGTGTTGCTGGGCTGGGGTGGGGCACATAAAGCTACATTTTTTTTTTTTTCTAACCACTGGCTTGGAGATTACTCTAATGAGTACGGGACCCAGGTCAGGTTCCGGAAAGAAGTAGAACTTGACCCCTGCTGAAACTTTTTGAAAACTCAAAGGGTGGTGGTTTTTGCAGAAGGCTTAGGTGGCTCCCTTCTGATTGCCCAAGTATTCTGTCCCTCAGATTCCAGTGGAAAACACAGACACATGTAATCATAATCATAATCCATTGTGCATTGAATACTTCCAGACACACTGACCACAGTTGCAGGGCGGGGGGTACAGCCAGAAGCAGGGAGTAGGGGGAAGTAGACAAGGTATTCAGGAGCTAACATCCCTACTGGGTCAGAAGTGGTCATTTCTCTCCTTGTTCCCAGTAGAGTAGCCTGAGCACAAGCCATGGGGATGAGAGAGGCAGATGGCCCAGAGCACACCACAGAATCAAAGGAAATGGCAGGAGAATCTGTTTGGCCTGTGAGTTTGTGAGTCAGAGGAAACAGTCTGATTCTGTTGCCCCGTCCAATATCACATCAGATGGCCATCCAGGTCAAGTCTATATTCCCAGAATGCTCTGCACAGGTGGTTGGAGGCCACAGTGTCAGAGACTGGTTACTAAGGCAACTAGGATGCGTCACAAGGCTTAATAGCTCCTGAGAGCTAGGGATAAGGGTGAAAAGTTGGGATAGGAGTTGGATAACAGTCTGGGAGACAGGACAGCATGGCTTCTTACAAGAGGAAAAATCCAGAACAAGTTAATGAGGGAGACATCAATCATCTCTGAGGGCAGGATGGTTTGTGGGCGAGATTTGGGCACCCTCCGGGGGGGATGTCAGTGAATGCAGTTCTGATTACTCCTCTTGCCTCTGAGAACTATGCATTTCTCCACCCGCTGGCTTGAGTGCTGACCCCTCTGTGAGGCGAAAGAGACAGGTGGGGTGAGAAAGTCTTGTTCCCTAAGCCCAGAAGATAGGGGTTCTATAGGGTTTGCCTCTGTGGCTTGTCTCAACTAGGGCATGACTCATTCTTCAGACTCTGTTAGGTTGGGGAACAGGGGGCTGGGACAAGACAGTTACCTGATTCTGAGTCTCCGACACTTCCACCTTATCCACAGCACTACCAACAGCAAGGCAACAAGCTGCATGATTAGAGACAACCTGATAGCTTCATTCAGAACGTAATTCCAGGTGAGATAGCCTGTGGCCAGAGAAGACCAGAATCAGAGGCCTTGATGGGGACAGGGGCAGGTGAATACATTCATGGGGTGAGGACAATCTGGTTACTGACAGTGCTTATATTGAGAAGGTGAGGCAGAAGTGGCCTTCTTTTTCATGGAGAATGGGAGCCTTGAAATTATCCTGCTAACTGCCTTTGAGGAATTGTGAGACCACCCCAGGGGAAGGGTGCTGAAACCCAAGGGCTCTGATTTTCAGGCCTCTGACTCCCTTTCCCATATCTTTCTGGGCACTGATCTGGGATCCCTGGGGTATGGAGGGGCATTCCTCTGAAGAGTTATCCTCTCACCTGCTGGCCCCATCAGCTTCAGGGGCTCACTGCGATGTGACCAGATGTTAGGATGTGTCTCTACGCGATAGCTGCAACTGTAGGTCCCTGTGCCTTTCCCGTCAACATTACTGATGATGAAGTCTCCGTTTACTGAGAATTTTTGGAATGTTTCTCTTTCTTCCCATTCCAGAGAAAATTCCAGTACTGGATGAGATACTCGGCACTGAAGGGTGATGGCCTTTCCTAGCTTGAACACAGTGCTTGGCCAAGCTGACAGGGAGGGTTTGGGGGGCTTATCTGAAACCAATCCAGAGACCAGAGTGAGAAGTGACCTCAAACCCAGTACCCTCTCCCCCAGAAAATGTTTCTGAGCTCCCCATTTGATCTTCTCTTCCTTTCCACTTCCACTTGGCCAGTGGCTTCAAGATTTGACTGTGCATTAGAATTCCTTTGCCCACCCCTTGGTGATCTAAAGATTCCTGGTTCCTTACCTTCAATCAGGAAGACCTCATACCTGTAAGCTTCCTCTGGCCTAAAGAAAAATAATTTTCCCAGGGGTTACAATGGGGCTGTGCCATACTGAGAGGTGGAGCTTGAGGAACAATCCTGGGAGACAAGGTCCCTAAAGTTTTGGAAGAAAGTTCTACACCACCTTCCTAGTGCGTGTGTGTGTGTATGTGTGTGTGTGTTTTGCTCATAGCTCTCAGAGGATATGAGGCTACTAGCTCCTTCTTACAACACCACAATGATGATAAAAACAAACAGGTTGATAATAAAAACAGTTGTTAACACTTGCCTACAACCATAAGCTCCACAGTGTTGTGTGATGGCATCCTAATGGAGGTCTTCCAGGTGAGAAGATAGTGGCAGCTATAGATGCCAGTATCACTGTAGGTTACATTGTTGAGGAAGAATGATGTGTTGTCATCGATGCTGGTGGCATCCAAAAATTGAAGTGGTTTGTCTTCTCCTTTCTTATAGAGTGCAAGACCCACTCCATCCACTGGTCCTCGACACCGTAGGCTCACATTCTGACCCATTTGGACCACAGCACTGGGCCGAGCAAGTAGCCAGGTCTTGGGGAAAGTGTCTAGGATGAGACCCAGAATAAAAAGCACTAGTGATTTCACTTCCTGCTCCCACTCCTTAAGATTCTTTTCCTTCTCTTCCTCCAAACCACCCTTGGAAAAACCTGCCTACACCCAGTTTTACAAATTCTGCTCCCTTCTCTACTGTTAACCCTGGCCACAGGATTAGGTTCTCCAGGGAGCACAGAGGGAGATTTATATCCTTAGCCGTTAACCTAAGTTTCATGGCATACCCGTCTCTTACCAGTCACCCAGATTTTCAGGACATCACTAAGGAGTGAACCTCTATATGATGCGTCATAGTAAAAACAGAGGTAATGTCCAGTATCTTGGATCTTCAAAGACTGGAAGAAGAAATTTGCCTCATTTTTTATTGTCTTCTTGTGGTAAAAGGACTTCTCCAAGTCTTCAACCCTCATTAGAGCAAAGGTCATTCCATAGATTGGCCCTTGGCACCTGAGATTCAGGCTTTCTCCAGGTGCCATGATGGGCCCAGGATGGGCTGTCAAAGTTGGTTTGGGGTAGAGTCCTACAAACGGAAGAGACCCTAAAGTTAGAGGCAAGATGATTCTTTCCTGTTGTCTTCTGTTTTCTCTTTCTTAATTTCTTTGAACAAGAAGTGGTAGCTGAAGTTTACCTTCTCTTCCCTATCCCTTCCTTGGATCTCTGCCTCTGTAACATAATCAAGGGTAGATTCACTTATGCCCCTGTTCTCTCTCAAGAATCTGCCAGCTTCACTGAGCTCTAACCATGTGTAGGGGTGTATCTCAGTGGAAGATCTACATCTATAATTCCCTGTATCTTTAGGCCCCTGAAATGCCAAATGTAGTTCTTTCAACCACCAGAAAAACCAAACCTCTGAAAATAACATTGTTTTCATCTTTGCAGAGCATGAATGCCACTGAAATATTAAGGAGAGCTTTTGAATACATTAAGCTCATTTAAGACCCTACTTCTACAACAAGACTGAAAGAAGCCAATAAAGAGGGTTTGGCCAGTAAGTCTGCGACCCAAATAAATCTTTGTTATGGGGCCACACATTCCTTTCCATGAATTGTTTCTCCAAGGAGATTTTACATGAAAGTGAGGGCAAACCTCACCTCCTACCACTCCTTCCTACCCCCACCCCAATGCCAGGCACACTTATCTATTCATTAAGGAAGGATCAGCTCTGTCATATGCTCACTGAGCATTTAGTATGCATCAAGCGTCATGTAGGTCTAGGTGTGTATGAGTAAAGAAGACACAGTCTCCGCTAGCAAAAAGCTCATGAACTGGTTGGTGGGGGATATTGGTGAACAGGTAACTACGGAAGTGTATTTTAGTGGAATCTATGCTGAAAGGGCATGAGTACAACAAACATTCATACACTCAGTTCAAACAGGCAGTTTTTGTTCTTTGATCCTCAATAAAAAGCTATACTAACAAAATTAATATCTACCATTTATTGAGAACTTATATGCCAGGCACTGTACATATATATTTAGGCAAATCCTCACAACAACCCTGTGAGGTAGGCATTATTATTAAACCAATTTTGCAGATCAGGAAGCTGAGGCACAGAGAGAAGCATTACACAGTAGATCAGATAGATACTGTTATCCCATTTTTAGAGTAGAGGAAGCCAAAGCACAGAAAAGTGAAGTGACTTGCTCAAGACCACACAGGGAGGCAGTGTCAGAAATAGAACTAGAAACCAGTATTACTGCTTCTAAGTCTAGGGTACTTTCTGTAGCACCACAGCTTTCCCCAAGCCTATTTAGCTGGATAGAGAGACTAAAGCAAATGTGGCCAATTCCATCTAGAAACCTCCAGGCCATGGGGTGGGGGAGTTCGGGCTGGGACATGTCTGGCATTTTACATTTTGGGGAAATTTCTTCTATATTTAGAGATTGGTGCTGCCTTACTAGCTCTACTGATAGGGAACCAAGGTGATTTATAAAGCCATTTCTAAAATATGAGCTATCACATTCTTTGTCATTTGTTTTTTTTTGTTTTTACTCACCAACACTAGCAATCCATTCTGTTTTCCACACATAAAAATAACAATTACAAATAAAATACATTTGCAAATTTAAAACTCCATTTATAAGATTGCAGTGGCAGTGCCTGGCACATATTAGGTGCTCAATAAATACTGGTTGAATTAATGAATGAATGCATGATATTCAACAAGTTGAGAACAACAAAGCTGTGATGAGCTGAAGCTGCTGGCCAGTTGGCTGGGCTCCTTTACTAGCCAAATGATTGGCTCCCATACATCTGCCTTGCAGCACATGCCATTCTAATTTATATCTCAGTAAAACTTCAAACGACTGTAGCTCATGGGGCCTTGCAGGGCCTAGAAACTGGCTGAGGAAAGTAAAATCAGAAACCCTAGCTCAGCCAGCCATGATACCTGGGACAACAATTGCCAGATGCCAGCAGCCATAGCCACACCCACCTGCTACAACCAGCTTCAGGGGGTTGCTGGGCTCTGACCACAGGGTGGGGAGCATCTGGATATGAGTGCGGCAGATGTAAACCCCTTCATCCTCAGGTGTCAGGTTGTCAATGGAGAATATGGCCATTGTCCCAGTTGGGACTTGGTAATCCACAGGCTCTGCATATCCCTCTTTAAACAGCATGAATACCAAATCCTGCAGCCAGCCATGGCAGAGGATGTTAACATTACACCCAGGAAGAGCGGGGGTCTCAGCCTGAATCCAGAAGATGGGCTTGGGCAGTTGGCCTGGAAGGATAGAATGAACTGGAATTAGGTAAAGCAAGGATAGTACTGTCTAGGGAGCAGCAGAGGAGAGCTCTACTTTAATTGAGGTTTCCCTGTATGATCCTTGTTTGCCACCCCTCCTTCTCCTATCTCTGCTCCAGAGTCTGCATCCCCCCTCTGCATTGCCCAATACAAAGTAGGCCCTTATTTACTAACTGTGGGATGCATGCTTGCATGCATTTGTGAAACAAACTCTCCCCTGGAAGGCAAGTTTGAATCTCAGGAGCTGGAGTTGATTCTTGAGTATCACTGTCATCTTACCTGGTGCCTCCAACTCTAGAACTTTACTGGGCTTTGACCAGCCTGTCTCCTTCCAGTAGCAGCACCGGTAAAGACCTGCATTGGACTCAGTAAGGGCACCTATAAGGAATGAAACTTGGAAGGTCTTGTGGGAAGGGCGGATCCAGGTCATCTGTGTCTTATCCTTCAGCAGCAGGAACTTGCTTGATATCCGAGAGGGGCTTCGGCACCAAAGCGTGATGTTCTCCCAAGGGGCCTGGGGGTAGTTGGACTCTATCCACAACTCTGGTTGAGGGTCCATCACTGTTATTCCCAAAGATCAAAAAGATATGAGCAGTCCAACCCTCTCCCTCCCATAACATGTCCCACAATGTCCCTTAAAATTAGCCCGGACCCAGATCCCTCATTTTGTCTTCCCTTGGGGACAGGAGTGTGCTCCTGTGGGGCATCGTATAAGAACCCCAAGATATTTTGTCAAGGGGTCCAAATGAATTGGAGAATAAAGTCTGATGGTCTCTTTTCCATCTGAGATAAAGCTTTTTCACCATGCCATAGGAAACCAAGTCCTCTGATTCCCAATCAGCCCAATCTATCTCTGGAATCTCAAGGCATTATGTCCAAGGTCATGGAGACACGCCAGCATCTTGGATCCTTTAGGAAGGAGGTGCCTGAGAGGGCAGGACTCACTTACCTATTGATGTCATACCCAGACTCATCCCTGAAAAGAGAGATTATGGTAAAGGAGAGCTCCCTTGTTGTCTCCATCCTGTGCTCAAACCTCAATACTTTCCTCTCCCACCCCTAATGAGTGGGTACCTATGACAGGGTCACTTGCCCCTCACCCCTTCCTTGTACTCACGAATGCAAAAGAGCAAAACAGTGAATGTCTTCAGCATGGTGGCCCCCTCCCCTGGTCTGTCCAGGGTCATGGGGCCTCTGGTGCTGGCTGTGTGCTCTGAGTCTTGAAGAATTTTTCTCCTCAGCAGGTGGTGGGATCTAAAAGCAGAATTGTTTTTACTCAGAGGACTTGTCCTGCTCCTTAAAGTTTAGTTTAGATGGCTAAATTGCACTTGACAACCCTACATTGTACTTCCTCACAGGCATGCAGGGTATTACAAGGTCACCTGCTGCTTCCTCTCCTTGCTCCTTTCCCTCACTTCCCTATCCTGCTCAAGGTCTTTGTTGGTATCAAAGATGTCAGATTTGTTGAAATATGGATTTGTCTCTGGGATCTCAGAAGCCCAGAATAGCCTGCAGAAGCTCCACAGGATGGGGGAGATGGGAGGTGCAGAGTCACCTTTTCAGATATGCATATATATATATATACGTATGTTTATATACGTATATATATGTGTATATACATGTATATATATGTGTGTATATATACGTATATATGTGTGTATATATATACGTATATATGTGTGTGTGTGTGTATATATATATATAGAGAGAGAGAGAGAGTCCTCCAACAACTTAAGAGAGGGGGCATTACTACCATCCCCATTTTACTGATGAACAAACTGAGGCTTAGAGAGGTTATATAATTTGCCCAAAGTCAAAAGATATTAAATATTAGAGCCCAAATTAGAATCCATGTTTAACTCCAAGGCCTATGGATCTAAAACAATGATTTAAACTCCCAGAGGTACCCTTCACTCCCTCTTCACCCTCCCTTACCCCTCTCACTTGATCCCTTGGATATCCTTCCCTTCCATAGAATGCTTTAGATCCAATATTACTCTCATTCTTGTCTCCTACCCCTAAAAGCTCAATACCCCAGTGTCAAGCATGTGTTAGAAAATCAAGCTGCTTGAGTTAATTTACATAAGGTCTAAATGATTCTTTCGTTGCCCTTAACTTCTAAACAGTTTTGTTGATTGCCTCTAAGGGAAATGGAATTGTTTGAATCTCAGGAAATACGGCAAAGATATTTGAGTTCAGGGAGGCTTTCCATTCTCCCTGACCAAAGTCATTATTTACCATAGGCCTTGCATATACACAAGGTAGACTCTTGAGCTTTCATGCCTCTCTCCACCTCCCCCCACAGTAACCTTTCACCAAGGGAAGGTATGTCCCAGCCACGCAAACTCAAGCTAATTCTCTTCCACCAACTTTCTACTGGGAGTCTGAAGTCCTGGCTGACTCCAGCTGTTATTAAATCTTAGCTCAGAAGAGTGGGGAAGAGGCAGCTCCCAGAATAGAGAAAGGAACTGATTTTGCTTTTCCAGACTGACCTTGGACCTCAGCCTCAAACTTGCCCCAGTGCTAACACTGGGTAGGATGGAGGAGCAGGAAGAGGAGGATATTTCGTGTTCAAAATATCTGGACTGTAGGGAACAAGTGGACAGTGAGAAATCCAAGGAAGCATAGGTCCATTGTACATTTTTCACTTTGTATCAAAGGATTTTCAGATTACCCACTCTGAATTTTCCTTATCTGTAAAGTGGAGGAGTAATATCGACCTAACATTATTGTTGTGTTGGGTTAGAGATAATACATGTACAGTGCCAGGCACATAGTGAACATTACATTTTAAAAAGATGCTTATTTTTTCTTCTTTTCAAAGGGGGCATCCAACTGGTGTAGGGCCCTAAAGATGCCCTTTCCATCTCAGTTCCTACAGTCCCTTGCTCCCACTCCTCTCAGGGCCAGGCCAAAGCTTGGATGCTACCCTGTTGCTTTGTTACCCTGGGGCTTTGGGCCAGGAGTTTTTGGGGGAAGCCAGGTTCCACTGCCAAGGGAGAGGTTCAACCTGGGATTACACCCAGGAAATGCCATCTGAGGTTTCAGCCTTGCCACTTGGACCCCTAAACCAGGATCTTTGCCTACTGGGGGATTGAGGGGAGTCAGGGAAGCTGGGCTTTTTGGCATGGCTGACCCCTCCTCAATCACTAAGGAAATTGTACCATTTATATTCAGCCCAGATGATGAATCTTATACCGGGGGAACATGAGAACAGCCCCAAGCCTTGGGTTAGTTGGCCACGCCCATTTTGGCCTTTCACCCCACCCCCACCCCCAACTTTGGCTGCCTAGCCGTTTTACCCTTCCCTCCTACTCCACCCCAAGCACTTTCCCCACCCTTAGGCAGCGCCGCAGTGCTTTTGAGGGTGACATATCTGAAATGTCTAATGGCTCGCCCCCTGCATAGCTTTGAGGGCTCCAGGAATCAAAGGGGTTGGGCTCGGCGGGGTGCCGGGTACATGCTCAGCTGAGGGTTTGGAGGGAAGACTGAGAAGGAAAAGGGGAGATATCTACAGTGCCCAGAGATTCTCACCGAGGCAGGTCTGGGATCCGGGAAGGAAAGGAGAAAGGCAGGAATGAAGCGGGTGGGGGGACAGACTGGGGAGCAGTTTGATTTACGGCAATTAATTACAGCAAGGAGACTCTTTCGGGGTTTTGTTTAGGATCCGGTGGCCAGTATTTAATATTCAGCCACTGAACTATGCGCTCATTTGTAGGTACTTACGGTAGTTGAAGGCCCGCTCCGATGTTGGAGATTCTCCAGTGAGCTCCTCCAGATGCAGCAAACTGCCCGGCATGAGAAGAGCTGTCTAAGGACAGCCTCTTCGGCTCTGAGCCCCGCCTTCCTCTCTCCCCCGCCCGCCTGCCGGCCCGCCCCAACCTCCTCCCCTCCCTGCGCCGGGCTCGGGGAGCCCACCTACACCAACTCTGCCTGGCACCTGCAGTCCTCTGACGACGGGGATTTCTACGCCCCTCCCAGCTCCCCGCCTCTCTCCGGACTCCCTGCAGAGGTTGCTGGAGCCAAATTCAGGCCCCTGCCCCCTCGCCTGTCTCTCAGAGTTTCACTGGGTCACTGTATTGTGGGGGGGAGAAGGCCAGCTCTCAAGAAGATTTGTAGATCCTTCTCTCCAGCTCCCCAATACCTTTATCGGGATCTCAGATCTTCCCCTGCCCATTTTAACGCCCCATTTATGCATAAACATCACCACAGTTTAAGTGCCTACTGTGTGCCCCTGGGCCCTGGGATCCATTATTTCTCATCTTCAGAGCAACTCTGCAAAATAAGTGTTACTCCCCTCAGTTTTACAGATGAGGAAACGGAAACTCAGAGAGGGTTAAGTAACTTGGACAGCCTTCAAAGTCCATCTTGGGGTAAAAGCCCAGGCTTTAGAGACATACAAATGTATATTTTAGTCCACATTTTACATTCAATAGTTGTGTGACCTCAAGCAAGTGAGTAAACTCTCTGAGTCCCAGGTTCCCCAACAGTAAAGTAAAAAACAAACAAACAAACAAAAAACAGCAGAACCTATTTCACAAGGCCTCAATGGGATGATGTAAGTAAAACTAACAGCACAATAGGCCTAGCATGTAGTAGGTGCTCAATAAATGGTAGTGGTTGCTGCTGCTACCACTACTACTACTACTATTAATCTGTAAGCCCTTCCCCAAATGTCTTAGAGTAACATGATTTTAATAATATAGAGCAACCTTTCACAAATGTTGATTATGAAAGACTTTTTATAATGATAATGTATGAATAAGACACTAATCAAAGCTCCTGATATATAACATATGATGAGATTAAAGTATAGCATCCAATGGGCTCACAGACTAATTGATAAGAAATATCAACATGATAGACTAATTGGCTAAAAAATAGACAAATTTTTCTTTATGTACATTTCCTTTTTTTTAAGACAGTCTCACTCTGTCGCCCAGGCTGGCGTGCAGTGGTGCGATCTTGGCTCACTGCAACCTCCACCTCCCAGGTTCAAGCAATTCTCCTGCTTCAGCCTCCCGAGTAGCTAGGATTATAGGCGCGCACCACCACACCCAGCTAGTTTTTGTATTTTTTAGTAGAGACGGGGTCCCACCATGTTGGCCAAGCTGGTCTGGAGGCTCAGCCTCCTAAACTGCTGGGATTACAGGCGTGAGCTACCATGCCCAGCCTTTTATGTACATTTTCTACCTGCATAAAAGATTTCAAATTATCTAATGAAAAACACTTTAATTCAAGAACAAACTGTGTAAAAATAAAGTAACAGCTCTTTTACAGCCAAATTGATTATCATATCTTCATGCATCAGGTGATATCAATTGTGGCTTCCATTATAAACTATAGATTATTGTGTAATGAATAGAATAGGCATATGAATAAAAAGATGTGTTTCTGGGCAAGTTATTTAGCCTCCAAGCCTCAGTTTTCTTATTTGTAAAATGGGGATAATAATTGCACTTACTACAATGAAGGGTTTGGGGTAGGATTGAATGGAAACCTTCCTGTAAGCCACCACATAGCACCTAGGACACAGCAAGCAGCCATTGATTCAACACAAATGTTAAGTACTTTCTTTGTGTCAGGGATTGTTCTAGATGCTGACAGTTCAGAAAGGATGACAGTTTCTCTTCTTAAGGAGTTTGTAGTCTAAGGATAAATCATACTAGAGAAGAAGTAGGAGGCAGCCAGAGAAGGAGGAGCCTTGAGAATCAAAGAGGATTGCAATAGAAAAGATCATCAAGTAAGTCATGATAGTATGTGTTTGGATAATTGCAAGCACTTTGCTTGTACTGTGTGCCTAAACTAGGGAGCAGTAGCAGAGAAGGAGGGGAGGGTCAGAGTTCCCAAAACATTGAGAAGGCAACATTAGACAAACTTGATGGTTGTTTGGAAGACAACAGTAATAGTTATTATCTGTCAGGGTGAAAACATCCATGCCAATTTTCAAAACATTTACAGTATAGAAGAGCTTCAAGAAAGTGGAGCTTGAAGGATAGAGGTGAAGCACCAAGGTTCACAGGGTGTTGTGGGAAGCCTTTCTCCATAAGCGAGTCTAATGTAAGATGATGATATTTTTTAAACCTAACTCTGTTTTATATATCCCAAACAGGAGAAGCCCAGGGCAAACCTGATCCCTTCCCAGTGTTGTACTGATGTTGGCTAGCTCTGTATGGTTCAGGAGAACCCAATGTGCACATCTTATCTCATCCCAGCATTCAATGACATAATGGTAGTAGCTTGAAAGTGGCCATGGTCAGAGAATTTTCACCACAGTCAGGGAATTTTCACAACTGAAGAAGTAAATGCTACAAATCAAGTTTCTCCCAGCAACCTTCACATCTCTGGAGCTGTTTTTAAACATTTACTAGCAAACCACTTTTTTTCCAGTTTTATGTTTTAGGACAGTGATTTTTACTGGGAAACAGGAAGGTTTCCAAACTGCTCAAGGATCCTGTTAAGTTTCATACACTCTCAAGAAAGTTATGAGCACTGTGCTCCATTCCCCTGTCCCCAACCTCACTACTCTAGTAAGCCATCTGAGGACTGTGTCAGATCTCTGGAGAGGTCTGTGCATTCAAAGTTTGACTGTGTGTTTTAGCATCCCACCCCACTCCTCAGCCAGTCCCAGGCCCCATCCCTTTCTGCAATGGAGAAGCAATGTGGAGTATACCAGTGAGGAACTCAGCTGGGACTAAGCAAGTGGCGTTCTGGGGCAGGGAGGAGGTCCAACCAGACAGATTAGGTTCCAACGGCAAGACCTGATGAGGAGGGGGTTAGGCTTTGGAGGTGGGGAGGTCAAAGCTGCAAAGGAAAGCTGGGGCCAACTCACAGAGCTTGAATTTCAACTTATCTTTTGTCAAGCACTTTAATTATTAAGGGCAGAGTTTGGGGCACTAAGTCATTTCCAGAAGCTATAACTGAGGGCATTTTCAGGAGTGTGCAGGAAGCTTCCTAGAATAAACCAAATTCAAGTGATGAATTAGAACTAAAACTTATTTAATCAAAACACTCATAGTGGGGCATTAGACATTAGATAGAGGCCTGGATGATCAGGCTTCTGGGTGCTTGTCACAAAGCAAACCAACAATGTGAATACCTAGGTGATTTTAACAAGTTTAATGGGTGGAGGGAGAAAATGAGGATTTTTGTGTGTGTGTTTCAGTGTTAGCAGAATCACAAAGTTCTTTTTGGTTTATGTACCATTTACCAAAAAAGGTAATCTACTAGTCCACTGTCTCCAAATGACAATTCTCTTAGCATCACAATATGGCTTTTGTTTATACGAGGAACAGTGTGTATCTGAGTACATGGTGGGGGAGGGTGTTCAGAGACAGATATCCAAAATGCAGGAGAGCTCCGAAAGTGGGCTTCAAAGTGTTTCAGTATTCCCTTTTCCTGTGTTGGATGAAGTTGGTGGCTCCAGAATGAAAGGAGGTAGGCTCAGCCTCACTGCCTAGAGCAGGCAGGCACAGGTTCTATAAGCAGTTTAGGCCTGATCCAGGAAGGATGCTTCCAGATACCAGTGCCAGGAAAGCCTTTTTCTGTCTCAGAGTCTGACTTGCCCCCAGTGTGTCCAAATTGTAGGCATTTGCATGGTGGGGCAGGGGTGGGAATGGGTGTGTTGTGGTGGGGGGATGGGGGGGGAGGGGGGAATGCCGCTTGGGAAGGCACAACTGGTCTCTCTAATATTTATTTACTCGTAATCACTTGTCCAAAGGAAACTATAGAAGTCAATAATTTGGTTCTTTTATTCCTACGTATTGTATGATTAAACAATTATATGATTAAAATTAAGTAAAGATGGCTAAACTGCAAGAGCAACACAAATTAGCAATTTAAAAACTCATCATTGCAATATTACCAACTGTTTATAATCTGTTCCTAAAAACATCAGTTTACAGGCAATTATTTAAATATACATGCATCTCTTCCAATTCTACTTGTTTTGTGATCTAGGATATGGTCAGACTTTCTGAAAGATTCATGTACCCTTGACAGAAGATGAGGAAATACTTTCTCCATAAAAGTCTGTTAAGTTCATATAATTGATTGCTTTCAGGTAGACAATACAAATTATTTTTTTTCTTAATCTATCATATTTCAATGTCTCCCTATCCAACTCATGCTTAATTATTATCTTGCTGTTTTCATTTTCTCCCTCCCGTTTATCCCTCCTTCATTCTTTCCCATTTTCCTTTTTGAACTTTCCTTATCATCCTTTCCCATGCATTCTGTGTGTGTGTGTGTGTGTGTGTGTGTGTGTGTGTGTGTGTATAGCTATAGATATACACACATAATAACAACTTGGTACAACCGTAAATTTTTACTTCCTTTTCCGCTAATCACCCTGGCAAAAACGCAATTAATTATAAAAATAAGATCTACACTCTCTTAAGAAATGTGGCTTTGAAAGTGAATTTAGTCACTTATCTCCGCGAGTATCTTCTCCCTGGGCTGCAGCTGTTTTCAGCAAAACCAATAGTTTGGGAGTTTTACTGACAAATGCCTTGAAGTCATCTTGACTGCCAAAGATTTTCCTCTCATCTTGAAATAAGAAAGATAGCTTAGCTGAATGGTTCACATGGGGCTTCAAGCCCAGGAACTTCAACTAGTAGATTTTGCTTCAAATTGGTCTCTCATCCACTGTTACTAAGGTATACTCAGGTGTCAGTCCTATATTTATCTTGTTGAAAATCACTTCTTTTTTGAGCAGCTTCTGAGACAATTTCTTTATCTTTCAAGTTTAAGAATTGTACAATAATATGCTTTGGACTTTTAGTATGAGAGATACATTTGAGTGGGAACTTATAAATTTTCTCTGTATATAAGTCGAGATCTATGTTTAGCTCTGGGAAATTTTTATCAACAGTTTCCTTAATAATGGTTTCAAGGCTAATCTCTTTATTTTCTGCACCTTCAAGGATGCAAGATACATAAATATTGTACCACCTTGATGTGTTTTTGAGATCTATCATGTTTTCTTGCACCATGAAGAACTGTTTTCTTAGATGTTTTATCTTTTAAGACTGAAGCTCAATTTTGTCCTCATTTGTACTGATTCTCTCTTCCATGATATTTATTCAGCAATATTTCTTTCTTAGGGTTTCTTTCCATTCTTTGGCCTCACTAGTAGTGCCCCACAGTCTTTGCTGAGCTTTTTCTGTGTGCTTTTTAAAATGTCCACATGGTCTTGCATCAACGCCCTCACCTCGGCCCTTTGTCTGGGTTCTGCCTGCTGCTCCTCCAGGACAGCCATATCTCCTGAATTCTCTGGGCTTCCTGGTTCCTCCTCAGCATCACAGTACTTATTGGTTGCTACTAAACTTGTTTTTATCATTTTTCTCATTCTAGATCAGGTAGGTTTCATTTTCTTTTTGTGCTACTCTCATAGCTGAGGTTTCCATTGGCTTTGTCAGTGTTCCCAAAGCCCAGCAATTTGGTTCGGAGCACAGCTGCTCCTTCTATCCTCTCCCCGAGAAGCTCAGGAGCTGAGGTCTTTTTATTGAAATGCAAGACCTATTTTAAGCTGAAATCCTCAGAAATGCTATAGGAAATTAAGATATCATCAACTGATGTTCTCATCTAACAGGATTAGAAGTAAGAGCTTCATAACCTTACAGATAAGGTAAAGAAGTACATAAGTGCATAAATAAAAATAAACACACACATATAAATATGTAAGTGCACTAACTACCTGAATACATAAATATACAAACACACAAAAGTAATATAAATGAACACACAAGTGCATAGACATAGAAATAAATATGAACGTAAAATGAGTCTCATATGTTCATAATATTTAGCTTCTGCCTAGCTGAGAGTTCACAGAATATGTTTGTGATTAAGCAACGAAGTATATCAGAATTATAAAGCAGGGAATGAGAGGAGTTTACCTACATGTTTCAGTGTTTGTGGAAAGGGATTTTGACTTAGTGTCGGGGGTCGAATTTCAGTCCTGGCAGAGCCACTTACTAGCTGGGTAATAGTGTGACATTTGGCAAGCTACTGAAAGTTATTTGAGTCTCCATCTCCTCATCAGTCAAATGAGTATTCAATAACTGTGAGCTAAATCTGAATATAGAACTTTCTGTTTGCCTCATCCTAATCATTACTTTTTAAATATATCTTTTTACAGTGAATATCTGGGATTTTGATTGGTGGGAGTGGAAATAGGACTTGATAGGGAGGGGGAACCTGAAAAGGTCCCAAATGGATACCATCTCAGTTCCCAGATTCTTTTTGAACAATTAAAGAGTAAATATTCCATTTGACTATACCCAAAGTATTATAGAAAGATGGAAAAATACACTCTATCTTCAAGGTTATGAATTCGTGGGAGATATATTCATATTCACAGCTAAGGACGATATAATGCAGAACACAGTATGGAGCGTGAAACAAAGCATTGTCATAACATAGAGAGGAGAGCATTTAATTCCAATTTGCAGTGCTTAGAAGTTCTTCGTTCAAGTCCCCCAGACTCAAGCATCTCTATCATTGAGCATGGTGAGGTCACCTTTATGGCCTCCTGCTCCAAACCATCTGCTTCACCCACCTGATGTCTTCCTGGCATCCCACCATATGATTCACATCTTTGGGAATACAGAGCAAGGAATCACAAAGTATTGTAGTGCATGGTGTGTGGAGATAGTGGCAGAAAATGAGGTTGGAGACCTGGACAGGAGCCAGAGCATTACAAACCATGTGTGCCCTAATAGCACTTTTTAGTACAATTTCATATTTGTGCCAAATGAAAGGCCAGGTCATGATCTAGGTCCAAACAGAGGGCTTTTAACCAAGCAGAAAATGACCTTCTTTAGCTCCTAATGCTCTCCCTGATGTTAGTTATGCTATCCTGGGCACAGATCCTCAGGGACAGGACTCAGAGGCCACTTTCTGAGCTGACAGTCCACCTGTTCCTCTAATTCAGTCTCCTAGTAGTTCAGGTTTCTGTTTCAAAAGAAAACAAAAACTGGAGATGGGACAGTTTACAATTAGAGTCACATGTATTAGACACCCATGTTTGAAAGTGTTGACCCTTTTCAAAGCTCTAATAATTTTTAAATCAGGCTCTGTCTTAGACTTCAATGTATCCAAGCAGATAACGTTTAATGGGGTTTGTAGGAGAACATTTTAGAAGAGGAGATAGTGTGTAGGGAAAAGAAAATTGAAATTAGGTCTGGTAAATTCAAATGCAAAAGGTGATTTAATCTGATTCTCATCTGTGTTCTCAGAAATACTCAGAATTCGTATGGAAAATTAGTATAAGCACCTAATAGGATTAACCTAATAAAAATTAGAACAGGTGCTTGGTATTTCTACATTCAAAACAACCGAAAAATAGTCTTTAGTGCTTGGAGTGCTTAGGAACTGTGAGATCTTAGGAAAATGGGATTTATGTATTCCTGCATTTATTCAAAAATATTAATTGCACACCTACTTTGTTTTCTAGTTCTGGAGATATATCAACAAAGAAAACAGAAAAAAAAACCATATATCCATCTATAAATATTTGTCGTAGGTATCTGAGTAAATACATTTTCTAGTGTTTGAATATAAGGGGCTATTTTTATAACTCTACTGTTACTAAAGATACAGAACTGACTTTTGCTCCAAACTATAACAACAAAATTCTTGGATGTCATTTAGCAATGTCTGGGATTGGTTTGGGTGTAGATGACTCTAAAGAGATTTTTGAATGGCCCTATCCAATTTTCTTTCCCTTAAGCCATTTGTTCAGAATCAAATGAGAAAGTAAGGCAGGAATGGTAGAAGTGTAGAAGAAAGCCCTTAGCATGTTTAAAAGGGGGTAGAGGAAAAGGCCATTTGGCATTAAATATCCTTTTGATTAGCTATGTGACCTTTACCTACAGAAAATTTCTTCTTAGTGTTTTTAGCAAGATCTTCAGAAACTTAGGATGGCATAATCCAGTTGAGGAATTGCAGTGCCAAGGAAATCTACTCTACAATTGTTGTTAGGCACCATGATGTTAAAAATACATATTAACTAATGGAAATAGTGCTGGACACTAATTAAAGTATCCAAATGACTTTTCATTATTAATAACCCTGGATTTCAACAAGGAGCACTTGCTGTGGAAGTTCTGTGACTATCCTGGGCACAGTATGACAATATTTTAAAAATATGTACACCATGAAAGAATCCCACTTGAAATAGCTGTAAGATGGCACCAAAAAATTACCAAGTGGAACTTAGCATAGACTTAAAATGAGGTGGAAATTTATTCTTATGACTTCTATCTAAACTAAAAAGCAGTTTAAATTTTATATGCTTTGCAAAATATATGGCAGACTTAATACCATATGCTTTCTTGAATTTCAAATGGTTAACTCCAATACTCACTTATTTAGCCAACCTTTATTAAATGCCCATTATAAACAAGGAACACTTAAATATTTGGTGGAATAAGATGGGCAAAGAATGGATGGAAGAATGGATGAAAGAATGCAAAACGCTCTAGGCATACATTAGCAGCTAAAAGATTAACAAAATATTTTCACTGCCCTTCTAGTAACTAAAAGACTAGAAGAGGAGCAAAGACATGTAAGCAGATAAAAATAAAAATGTGCTAAAGTTTGATAAGAAAAGTGGAGAGAAAGTGGTCATGGAAGTTTAGCAAAGAGCAATATTCTCATCTGAGGGGATCAGCGAAAGCCTTGTGGGTAATGTCACATATGAACTGAAGTATGATTGGATTCATCTGGCAGCTGTAAATACTACATGGTTACTTCTCTGACAGTAGAGACTTATTCATCTGTGTATCTCCTGTGCCTAATACAGAAATAATGCTAATAATAGTTAGTACTTATGAAGTGCTCACTATTTGCAAGGCATCACGTTGAGCATCTTACAAACATTGTCACATTTTCTTTCACAACACTCTGGAGCAGTGCTTATAACAATAGCAGTAGCAGCAGCAGGGGCAGCAGCAGCCACAAGAGCAAACAATATTTGTTGAATGCTAACTATGAGCCAGGCACCAGTTTAAGAACTTCCTATAGCTATTAGCATCCATTTCTTACAGATGAGATAACTGAGGCTCAAAGAGGTTAAGCAACTTGCCCAAGATAATACAAGCTAGTCAGAGGTAGACCGGGGGCAGTGGCTCACGACTGTAATCCCAGCAGTTTGGGAGGCCGAAGCGGGAGAATTACTTCAGTCCAGGAGTTCAAGACCAGCTTGGGCAACATAGCGAAACCCCGTCTCTACAAAAAATACAAAAATGAGCCGGGCGTGGTGGCGTGTGTCTATAGTCCCAGCTACTCATGAGGCTGAGGTGGGAGGATGGCTTGAACCTGGGAGGTCAAGACTGCAGTGAGCCATGTTCACACCACTGCACGCCAGCGTGAGAGACAGAGCAAGACCCTGTCTCAAAAAAAAAAGAAAACATTAGTCAGAGGTGGAGCTGTAATTTGAGCCCAGGTCATCTGATTCTAAAACCCATGTTATTGTGGCTCAATACCTGTTGCTTAGAATAAGTAAATGAAAATGAAAAGAGGAAGAAAAAGAGATATTGTGAAGATAGAAACCATTGAATCTGCAAACTGTTGGGGGAGAAAGAGTAAGACCAAGAGCAAGACTGAAAGAGAGAGAGAGCGAGAAACTGTCACTGTATTTTCAGTCTAAGCTAAGAAATGTAAAGATTTTTCTCCTGTAAAAGACAAGCTCTCATATACTGGATTTTTAAAATTATTTTATAAAGTATTTGAGAAATGTTAAGATTTTTAAAAATATCTAGAGTAATATCCCGTAAAGGTTACCTAGAAAAAACTTCAAAGAAGACACACAAAATGTACATGTTGGTTATTTTCTATGTAGTGAAGAATTATTGGAGGTGCTCTTTTTTCTTCATCCCTGTATTTTATATTGCTACAACAAATAATTTATGATTAAAAAAACAAAATTTGAGAAGTTGGGTAACAATTTAGGGCAGAATTTTTAAATAATCAAAATTATTTGTTGTTAAGAAATACACAATAGGCCAGCACAGCGGCTCATGCCTGTAGTCTCAGCACTTTGGGAGGCTGAGGTGGGCAGATCTCTCAGGCCCAGGAGTTCAAGACCAGCCTGGCCAACATGGCGAAATACTGTCTGTACTAAAAATACAAAAATTAGCCTGGTGTGATGGCATGCACCTGTAGTCCCAGCTACTCGGAAGGCTGAGAGGCAGGAGGATCACTTGAACCCAGGAGGTTGAAGCTGCAGTGAGTGGAGATGGCACCAGTGCATTCCAGCCTGGGTGACAGAGAGAGGCTCTGTCTCAAAAACAGAAAAACAAAACAAAAACAAACAACAAACAACAAAAAGACACATTTAAATATTTAGAAATTTATGTTAAAATGAGAAAAAATACACTGGTTTGAATAGGTAAAGCAAAGCAGCAGAAAGAAAATGTATATCTATACAGTGTGTGTAAGTGAATAGTTTATAGTTCATATGATGAGTTACATTTCATATATACATATCATAATTTTAGAAATAATTTTTTAAAATCACCAGAATAATAAAGTCTTTACTCTTCCTGTAGCACTTATTTCTGTTGATTTTCCTTCTTTTAGCACCAATGCTGCCTAACTGTCTTTCCTAAAGTTGCCATTTGCACCCAAAGAAACCCATTCCTAGTTTACATAACTGATCATATTACTGATAATATCATTTGAAGAGTTCACTTCTGCCCAACTTCTTAAATATCATCTTGAAATGATCACATCTTAATGTAATTACACTATTTTTACTGAGCTAACTAGCTGTTTAGTTGAATTGACTTGGATATTTGGTTAAATGGAAAGTCGGTAGGGGACTTTTGAAGAGTCAGGTAAAGAGAATTGGACAAATGGGAGGCTAATTGCCCAAAAAAGGCCCAAATTGTGGGCCTCATATGAAAATATGGATTGCCATGGGAACCAAGGAAAAAGAAGAGGAAGAAGATAGTTATTAGCGTTTTTGAAATTGCTTTTAGTTCTGCTGTCCAATTTTCATTAGGTCAGATCTGATGGCTGTTATTATTTTTATTATAATTCTTTGTCTATGTATAGCACCATTGTTTCTTTTCCCCCAAAGTGCTCATAGATCCATTTTGCTCATTTTCCTTCACAACAATGCTATTATGTAGAGCCTGGGTACATGGGGCCAATGCTTATTTTCTTAGCTAGCTTAGTGTACAGCACCTAATTGCAGAAAAACAATCTGTTCAGAGGTAATAGTGCTTTTGGACTGAATGTTGATACGTCATATATAATATAGCCATTATAATTGATAATGGACATAACAGCCTTATGATACTTTTGAAAGATGCTATGAATAGTATTCTTAGCAGCTATAAAGGACTAGGCATACATTGAGGAGAACTGGAAATATACTAATTATGTATCTGGATTGAGAAAGTTTTCTTTAAATTTGTGTTCCCTCAGAGTTTAGGGAGAGTAATAAAAGCAAACAACAATCTAAATTTTCTCTTAAAATGAGAAGACCATTCTGTGATTTTATAAATCTGTCACCTTATAACTTGAGGTCATCTGCTAGAAATCATTCATGTGGAAAACATCAACAGAGAGGTTTTTCTAAGACTCATGTTTATCACAAGGTAATAAGGTTAGATTGAATTTTTTAATGTAATTTTAATTTCAGCTCTAAATAATTTGTATCTTTTTCAACATTAAAAACACAAAAAGTACACATAAACACCAAGTAAGATCTAAAAATTTCCTGAAGTACATTAGCCACCCCATTTATATAACGAATATCTTCTTTGTTTGTGACCGTCTCAGCATTAAGCTAGATAAGTAGATGCAAAAACGAAGAGAGTTTGATTTGTGACGCTGTCCATTGCCCAGCAACGAGGGATTATGGTTGTTTTTGCAGCATTGCACCATTTTAGGAGGCTGGGGACAGTCTAGGCATATGCCACTTTTTTTCCACCTTGCCTGAAACAAACAGCAAAATGAAAAAATTTAATGTATTATTTATCAACAGGTTAAATTTGAGAACATTTACATTTTAAAGATGAATTATGAAAATCTAAATGTCCTTGAATGCTTAATTATCTGTGCCTTCTTTCTGAAAAAATTAATTATCAAAATGAAAACAGAACAAAATGGTACATTTACATGACTATAAAACTGATGAGAGTTATTCTCAAAAATCTCTGAAATAAGCTTAATAATGCATCAAAAATAATGTTTAAATGTTCACAAATATGGAACATAAATGTAAAATCCTGCATTTGGATCCCAAAATCACCAGATGCACAAGCAGAGGATGAGATGTGACTAAGTAGCAACATGCGTAAAAAAGATTTAGGGGCTTTTAGGGACTGTAAGCTCAATATTATTCAGTTGTGTGTTGTGGCTGCATAGAAAACCAAATCCATCTTCATCTGCATTAGTAGAAAGATAGAGTCGGAAACAAGGGAGTGATAGTGCATCCCAGCTCTGTGCTTGGCAGACCTGTACTTGAAGTATTCAATGAAAATAGCAGGATGGGGGGAACATATGGGTAGCAGCCAGAAGCTACAAGGCATCTAGAAGGGAGAAAGCAGGTTGCCTAAGAGTCTGGAAATCATTCTGGTGAGGGGCTGCTGAGAGACTTGGGCTTATTTACCCTGGAAACCTCTCCACTCCCTAACCTTTTCTTTTCTCTCTCTTGCCCCTATTTCCCATCTTCTCCATTTCTTTCTCCTATCCTTCCTCCCTAAATAGTTCCCTCTCTAAAGCTATTTACCAAATTTGGCTTTTTGAGACTGGTATTATTTCCATGCATACCCTAAACACCACACTTCCTGCAGCCCTTTTTTCTTTCTCCCTGGTTCTTCTGCCTCCTCAATCACAGCCATCAGGACTGAACCACAGTAAGTCCCTTCCCCCTCCTCAACCCTTCTTTTTAGAAAGGGCTTCATATCCCTGGGAAAGGAAATAGAATATGAATTAACTAACACAGACCCTTAAGCTGAGGCCTTGTAAAAAAATGGCCCAGGTTCAAAAGAAGCAATTCTAATAAAGCAATAAAATGAACTTCTTTAGTCCCGCTAATACTTGTTGGCATTAGACATGGGAATTTGAGCACAGCTCCTCATGGGTGGGCCGAAAGTGCACCTGTAACACTAATCTAGGATGCTTAAATATCAGGTTCCCATTTACCAAGAAAAAAGGAGGGGGGAGTTTGTTAATACAAAAGCTTGAACATAGAACATTACCGCCTGAATGATTAAACCTATTTCAGAGGGCTGAAATCCTAATGACACCAATTTGTCAAAACATAAGAGTTTTAATGGGGAGCAGGAAGGGTAGGCAGTGGTATGCAACGTAGGAATCAACAACTGCGTACTTTAAAACAAAACATAAAAGCTCTATCTGGCTGAAATTCTCAGAATCACTATGGGAAATTAGGTGTAATTGACTGATGTGATATCATGTAATAGAAATAGGACTGAGTGCTCAGTATCCTCACAGTTAAAACAAGTAAATAAAATGAGTTGGCAGTGCATAAAATGCTTATGGTGTGTAACAGTTCATGTAAATTGTCTACATCCTTGATTTAAACATTTTTGTAAACATAAATTTCTATGCTAGAAAGTTACAGATGGAAGAGAAGATGAAACAATAAAATAGAAAGGGCACGTAAAAAGGGAAGGGAAGGACAGATGGAAAAGAGAGGGAGGGGAGAAGGGGACAAAAGAAAAAGAAGAGGGGAAAGGAGGTACAAAAATAGAGTAAAAATAAATTTAAATGGGAAAATAAGAAAACAGGAGAGAGGGAGATAAGACGCAAATATTTGAGTGACTACGTCTCCATTTTCATAAAATCATCAAAGAAGTGAGAAACTACAGGGTTGTTTTTCGAATTTTGATCACAACAAATCCTTGTAATAGTGCTGATAAATTAGACTGGGTGAAAAGGGAGAGAAGTGTGAGTCCTGATGAGTTCTTGGTCCAGTCATCTCTTCCAGGACCCGTTCATCTCTTTCCAGGTACACTTGCTCTGAGTAGAGGGGCTAGGCAAGTACACCAGCACTGCTACTCGAATGCTCACAGCAACTTTATTACAATAGCCTTAAACTGGAAACATCTCAAATGCCCATCAACTGAGGAAAGAATAAATTGTATTACATTCAAACTACAGAATACTACTTAGCAAGAGAGAAAGAGGAGAGAGAGAGAGAGAGAGAGAGAACAAACTACTGATACATACAAGGACTTCAATGAATCTGAAAGAAATACTATGTTAAGTGAAGGGAGCCAGATCCAAAAGCTTATATATTGTATAATTCCATTTATGTGGCATTTTAAAAACGGGAAACTATAGGTAGGAGAACACACTGGTGATTGCCACTGGTCAGGGTTAGAAGTACACAATTTCTGCAAAGGGAAATGAGGCAACTTTTGGAGGAAAAGGAAATCTTCTTTTTCTTGATTCTGGTGGTGGTTATATGTCTATGTGTGTTTGTCACAACTCAGAACTGTATGCTTACAATTGGTGAATTCTAAATTATACATCAATAATGCCAATAAAAACAAATAAACAAGCAAAAACAAATGTCCTAGGTCAATATGCTACTAGTGGTGTTGCCCTTACTTCTTTCCCCTCTCCAGGATGTGTGTAGAAAGAAGATATCTAGGGGCCCAAAATAGAGATTGGAGATTTAAGGATGCTTGTTCACAGAATTCTTCATTGTCTTATTAATCAAGTTGAGATTTCTTACTCTAACATTCAAGGTCCTCCATAATGTACCCCACTCTGCCTCTCCAACCTTGACTGCCAACATTCTTACATGCATCTTCTTGACTATTATCAGGCAGTTCTGCTCATTTCATACAACATGCCCTTCCTGCCTACTTTCCTATAATACACATACTATGTTTATTTCAATCAATTTGCCTTGGTTGATGCTGGTTTCCCTCCATGTTCTGGCATGTCTTACCCTTATTTATTCAACAATTTATTGAATGCCTACTATGTGCTAAGTAAAGTGCTAGTAACTGAATATACATTAAAAAGTCTGTCTAAACAAATTCGCTAAAGTCTCTGCCTTCACAGAACTCACAGGCAATTAAGCAGGTCATTACACTGTAGTTTGGAAAGGGCCATACGATAGCGGAAAATACAGGATATTAATAGTCTGGACAAAAGGAAGCCATGCAGACTTGGAAAGATAATCAGGACTTGATTCTCGAAGGAAATAACATCTAAGAAGAGACTTGAAAGATACTTTGGGATGCTCTGGGCACAGTCGGGAGAGTACTCCATGTAGAAAGAGCTACAAGGCAGAAAGGTCTGAAGGTAAGTGAGAGTATGGGAAGAAATTTCAGCATTTAAAATAATTTAAGTACATCATGAACATAGAAGATAAAACAAACAAGACAATGATAGTGGATAGAGATGCTTGAGCCAGGTTACAAATGGCTTTTAACATCATATCAAGGAGTGTGAAATGGAAGAGTGGTATCCTCATGTTGGAGTTGAGAAAGATTATTCAATCTACAGTGTGGAGAATGAATAGAATAAGGAGAGGCAGGGAGACAAGTTAGTAGATGAGGCATTTTTCTAAGCAACATTGACTACAGTGGTGGCAGGTGTAATAGAAAATATATATTTAAGAGATGGGAGTAAAATTGGCATTATCTATCCATAGATTTGATAGTTTCAGTAGAAGAAATAAGGTGGTATCAAGGATGACTCTCAAGTTTCTGTTTGGAAACTTGATGCATAGTGGTACCATTCGCTAAGTTGGGGACACAAGAAAGAGAAGCAGATGATAAATACAAATTCACTCTTGGACGTATCAGCTCATGTTTTTTACCCTTGACCACTCTTGTTCACATCAACCTCCCCTATGGGAAATCCTAGAGCCTGGGCCGTTCCCTTGAGCCTTTGTGTTTGTACAGACTCCTGAAGGAGAATGGAAATCCTTGGGGACAGGGTTTCTGTCTGAGACTTCTATCACCTCACAGGCCCTATCCAGTGCTAAGCATAGAATGAGTTGTCAAAAACACTTACTAATCAATTGAGCCCTGTCACGGGGCAATAAAATGTGATGTGCAGGTGGGCTTGTGTCATACCCACTACTGAAAATGGTTAGCGATAAAGAAGAGTTTCAGTACAAAAACCAAAGAAACATAGCAGGGAAGGTTTAAGAAGTGCCTCAGTTTACCCAATTAGAAAACAATTTCATATTAAATCCAACAGAGTTACTTAATATTTAAATAAGAACTGTTGATAGATTATTTTGTAAAAGAGACAATCCTCTGGTGATCTTAAGAATCATACCCTTTGAGAATCTTCAAGTTGGAAGAATTCTGCAAGGTTTACTAGTCCAACCCCCAGTTGTTACCACAATTCCTTCTATAATATCCTTGCCTGTGGTCATCTAGCTGGTACTTATATACCATTAATGAAAGAGAACTCATTATGTTCAAACTCAACCCATTCCATCTTCAGATAGCTCTGACTGAGTGTTCTTGTTTATAATTAACCTAATTATGTCTCCAAAATGAAAGTTTCATTTATGTATTATTCATATGTTTCAATGCAGAGCTTATAAACCTTTTAGTTTTCCGTTCTTTAGGTCAGCTCTTACCAGTTTCTTCAGCTATTCCTTATATGGTATGGTTTTGCATTCCTTACCCCCCCTGGTCACACATCCGGGTATGTGGCAGTTTATTCATAACTTTCATGTATTCTGGCCCCAGAAATGAGCAAAGTACTGTATTCCAGGTGTCATCTTGAAAGGACAGAGAGCAGCAGGGTTATTGCCTCCCTCATTTTGGAAATTTTTCTCCTGTAAATATAATCTAAACAGATAGCAGCTTTTTTATCTATGGCTAATTGTGGATACCTATTGAATGAGTGTTAACTTCAAACTGTCTTTTACATACACTGCTGCTAAGCTATGATCTGTGGGAATCAAGTAAAAATCTCAAAGTGCAGTTTAAGTTCCCTCTCTTCCCATTTATTTTATCAAATTTTAAAGTGAAAATTAATAGATTACATCTCTCCTCACTGAGGTTCATTTGCCTTTTTCTGTTGGGTACATGAAGATTTTATGTAACAATGATTCTTATATTTATCTTGGAGCTTGCTATGGAGTGAAAATTTTTGTCTCACTAAAATTCATAGGTTGAAACCCCCAATGTGACTGTATTTTGAGATAGGGCCATTATGGGAGGTAATTAAGGTTAAATGAGGTCATAAGGGTGGGGTCCTGATCCAGTAAGATTTGCATTCTTATACGAAGAGACACACTCTCTCACCCTGCAACATAATAGTGAAAAGGCAGCTGTCTGCAAGCCAGGAAGAGAGCCCTTGCCAGAAACTGACCATGCCAGCACCTTGATCTTAGACTTCTAGCCTCCAGAATTGTGAGAAAACAAATTCCTGTTGTTTAAGCCATCTAGTCTGTGGTATTTAGTTATGGCAGCCTGAGCAAATGAATACAGAGCACCAGCTTAGCACAGGGCTTGACATGTTACCAGAGTTTAATGGAAGTCTGGCTATTTAATTGAAAGATGGACATTGTCTACAAACAGTAAAAAGTGAAAATTACTTTACTCATACTTATCGTGCTTTGACTTTTGGCATCTGCAGTAATATGGGACCCTATTATTGGTCATATGAAAGCCAGTTTGGGATCCTGAAATCACACCCAAAAGATCACTGACTACCTTGCTTCACCTTTGAAGGACAATTTCACTGGATATAAAATTATATATTGGTAGAAATTTCTTTAAACAGTATGAAGATTTCACTTCACTCTCTTCTCACTTGTATGGATTCTGACAAGTCTACTATAAGCCTTACATTTTCTTCATCTATAGATAAGGTGTTTTGCCTCCCTGCACTTTGTCTTCACTCAAGATTTTCTCTTTGCATTTGATTTTTGCAGTCTGAATCAAAATGCCCAGGGGTGTGTGTGTGTGTGTGTTCGGTACTTATCTTTCTTGGTGTTCTCTGAACTTACTGGATTTGTAGTTTGGTATCTGTCACTAATTTGTGATGTTCTTGGTCATTTAATGCTTCAAAAATGTCTTATGCTATCTTTTCTCTTTCTTCTCTTTCTGGGATTCTAACTAGATTTTTTACCTCCTTTGATATTATCTTATAGTTATTGTATATTTTGTTCTTTTTCTCCCCTCCTCCTGTCAGAGCCACTGAAAGGATTTTCCTAATTCTCATTATGAGAATATTGTGCAATTCCTGGAGGAAAAGCCCACAAAAGTGTGGAGAGCCCCTCTATGATTTTCCCCCTCATAAACTTCTCACTCTCACACTAGTTCACATTTAATCTCCAGTAATTTTTCATAATTACTAGAGAATTAATTAAATAGTCATACTGTTTATGGTTTCCAGCAGGTCTTCATTAGATAAGCAGATATGAATGCGCCTATCTCTCCAGCTTTTGAGATGTTGGGTTGTTCTGCCATCTCAATTCTCTGAGGCTAAGAAAAGTCATCAGTTTTCTATTTACTGTCCAGCATTTTTTCATTGTAAGGATGCGAATGGCAACTTTCAAGCTCCTTACATGTTAGGGGTGAAAGTGGAAGTCCCCTTTATTTTTTTAATTAAGAGAAAAAAGTTTTTTGTATTTGCTAAGATCTCTACCCTTTTCAATAATCTTCATTTATTCCAAAATATCTGAGTTTCTAACTGGTATTATTTCTACTCTGCCCGAAGAAATTCCCTCAGTAGTTATTGTAGCGTAGGTCTGCTGGTGACTAATGTTATTACGGTACTGATGGATGGAAATATTTTCTATTTTGCCTTCATTCTTGAGAACTATTTTTGCTCAATGTGGAATTCTTGGATGAGTGTTTGCTTCTGTGTTTTAGTTCTTTAAGATGTCATTCATTCCACTGTCTTCTGGTCTCCATAGCTTCTGATTAGAAGTCCATGGACATTTGAATTGTTGTCCATCTGTATGTAAATTGTCATTTTTCTCTGGCGACTTTCAAAATATTTCTTCATAAAAAGCACCCAAATTTGAAAGGAAGAAGTAAAACTATCTCTAGCCACAGAAAATGTAATCTCATATACAGAAAATATAAAAAGGAAATATTAAAAATCTACTAAAAGCTATTAGAGCTAATGAACAAATTAAGATTAACACATGCAAGTTCAACACATAAAATTTGATGTATTTCTATATCCTTTCATCGAACACTATGAAAAATAAATTAAGGAAACTTTCTATTTATGATACAACAAAAAGAATAAAATACTTTGAAGTAAATTTAACTGGGTAATTTATAAAGGATGTAATAAACTGGGTAATTTATAAAGTCTTGTGCTAAGAAGTACAAGATTTATACAGTGAGAACTACAAAACATTGTTAAAAAATTAAAGAAAACTTTTAAATACATGGAAAGACATCCTGTGTTCATGGATTGGAAAACAATATTTAAAGATGACCGCTATGGTTTTTGTGTGTCCCCCAGAATTCATGTGTTGGAAATTTGGTCCCCAGTGTGATGTTGTTGGAAGGTTGAGCCTTTAAGGGGTGATTAGTTTGTAAAGAGGGAGTAAGGTTGCTCTCATGGGAGTGGTTTAATTCTCACAGGGATCAGTGAGTTCCTGCTCTCACAGAATTGGATTAGTTACAGCAAGAGCAGATTGTTATAAAGTGAGGCTGTCTCTTGTGTTTTGTTTCTTTTGCAGGCACCCACTTCCCCTTTCAGTTCTCTGTCATGTTATGATGCAGTAGGATGCCCTCACCAAAAACCAACCAGATATGGTCACTTGATGTCAGACTTCCTACCCTTCAGAACCATGAGCCAAAATAAAATTCTTTTAAAAAAATAATAACCCCCCTCAGGTATTCTGTCATAGTAACAAAAAATGGACTAAAACAATGAAAATACTATTCAAAGTGATCAACAGACACAACACAATCCCTACCACAATCCCAATGACTTTTTTTTCTTACAGAAAATGAAAAATGCATCCTAAAATTGATGTAAAATCTCAAGGAATACTGAACAGCCTAAAGACTTTTAAAATACAAGAAAAAAAGTTAGCTCACACTTTTTGGTTTTAAAACCCTCTTCAAAGCTATAGTAATCAAAATAACATAATTCTAAGGACAGATACATAGATTAATGGAATAGAATTGAGGCTCCAAAACTATATGCATACACTTATGGCCAATTGATTTTCAGCAGGTGTGCCAAGACTATTGAATGAGGGAAAGAGTAGTTTCATCAACAAATGATGCTGGGTGTTCTCTCTCATAGGTGGGAAGTGAACAATGAGAACACATGGACACAGGAAGGGGAACATCACACTCTGGGGACTGTTGTGGGGTGGTGGGAGTGGGGAGGGATAGCATTAGGAGATATACCTAATGCTAAATGACGAGTTAATGGGTGCAGCACACCAACATGGCACATGTATACATATGTAACAAACCTGCACATTGTGCACATGTACCCTAAAACTTAAAGTATAATAATAAAAAAAAATGATGCTGGGACAACTGGATATCCATATGCAATAGAATGTTTTATAGATATTGTCTAATCGATGGTAAAATTTATATGGAAATGAAAGGACCTAGAAAATTCAAAGCGATTTCAAGAAAAGAACAAAGTCAGGGGACTTACATAACCCAGTATCGAAACTTACTACTAAGCCATAGTAATCAAGAGAGTGTGTTGTTGGCACAAGGACAGGCATTTAGACCAACGGAAGCAAATTAAATTTTCAGAAACAAATTCTCACATATACCTCTTCAACAAAGATCCCAAGACAATTTGACAAGGAAAAGGGTAGATTTTTCAATAACAGATATTGTGACAATTATATACCCCAATACAAACAAAATGAAAAAAAAAACCTTACATACTTACCTCACATCATACAAAAAAATTAACTCAAGGGCATGCTAGTCCTAAATTTAAGAGCTAAAACTACAACATTTTTAGAATGAAGCATAAGAGAAAATCTTTCTATTTTGGGGTAAGGCTATGATTTCTTTGATACAACGCCAAAGACATGGAAAAAATAATTTGTGAATTTGCATTTTATTAAAATCGGCATTTGAACACCAAAAACCATTATTAAGAAAATGAAAAAACAAACCAGAACTGGAGGAAAATATTTGCAAATTGTACATCCACTAAATCTTTTTATCCAGAATTTATGAAAACTATAATATCTCAGTAATAAGAATACAAACGACACAATTGACCACTTAAAGATTTAAATAGAAAACTCACTGAAGAAAATAACCAAAGGGCTAGTAAGCACATAAAAAGATACTAAATATCATTAATCATCATGGAAATGCAAATTAAAGCCATGATAAAATACCAGTATACACCCTCTGGAATGTCTACCATCAAAAAAACCCAGACTATACCAATTGTTGGCATAGATGTGGAAGACAGTGTGGAAGTTTCTGTAAAGTTTACTGTAAAGTTATCATGTGACCGAACAATTCCACTCACAAAAATCTACCCAAGCGAAATAAAAACATATGTTCAGACAAAGACATATACAGCAATGTTCATAACATTGTTCATAATAGCTCCAAACTGGCAACATGGCAAGTGCCTATCAAGTGATGAATGGACAAAAGCAATGTAGTTTATCCACACATGAAAATGCTTTTTGGCAACTTAAAAACAAGCCACTGATATGTACTATAATAGGGATAAACCTCAATAACATTATGCTAAATGAAAGAAGCAAGACACAAAAGCTGCAGATGTATTATTCCATTCAACTAGAATATTTAATAAAAAGGTAAAATTTTTACAAACAGAAGGCTGGTCAGTGGCTGTCTAGAGCTTTGGGTAAGCGCTAAGATTAACATTAAACAAACACAAGAAAACGTCTTAGAGAGATGAAAATACTTTAAAACTGAACAGTAGAGATGGCAGGATAACTCTAAATCTAATAAAATAATTGAATTGTTACACTTAAACAATGGGTGAATTTTATAGTTTGTAAATTAAATCTCAATAAAACTGTAAAAAGAAAGCTAAAAAGAGGATATTATGAATAAATTTATGCCAACAAATTCAGCAGATTCCCTCAAAATAGAACTTACCAAAAACTAACTGAAGATGAAAAGATATGAGAAAAACGAGTTCGAGACCAGCCTGGCCAACATGGTGAAACCCTGTCTCTACTAAAGATACAAAAATTAGCCAGGCGTGGTGGTGGGCGCCTGTAATCCCAGCTACTGGGGAGGCTGAGGCAGGAGAATCGCTTGAATCCAGGAGGCGGAGGTTGCAGTGAGCCGAGACTGTGCCATTGCACTCCAGCCTGGGCCAACGACAGCAAGACTCCATCAAAAAAAAAAAAAAAAAAAAAAAAAAAAAAAGTCATCCAAGATGACTGGAGAACCCAGAATGGAATAAAGACTATGGCAAACGTATATAACTCTATTAGAAATATGATATACCTTAATTGGAGAAGGTGGAGAGGGAAGAAGCTGACAATAACTTTGGGAAACTGGTTTGTCTTGTACTATTTTAAAGATAAAAACAAAAGTAACGACCTAAACACTGTAATCTAGTTAATAAACATATTTCTTTTATTGGCATGATTTAGCAATTCTGAAACTACACTATACATGTACTAGGGTTGAAAAAATAAGCAAGTATATTATAAATGGTAAGAGCCAAGTTCCTCTATCAGAGAAAGAAGTAACAAATAAGCAGTTCAAGTGTATTAGCTTTTTATTGCTGCTACAACAAATTACATAAACTTAGTGGCTTCAAATAATGCATTTTGTTTTATAGTTCTATAGGGCTAGAATTCCAACATGGTTCTCAATGGGCTAAAATTAAAGTGTCAGCACAATGCATTCCATTCTGGCGGCTTTAAGGGATAATCTGTTTCCATGCCTTTCCCCGATTTTAGAGACCGCTCATATTCATTGGCTTATGGCACCCTTTCTTTCTCTTCAAAGCCAGCAATGTTTTATCTCTCTGTGTCTTTCTTGCATAGTAGCTGACTCCCTGTTTGGCCCTCGTCATCTACTATTAAGGACGCCCTTGTGATACATTGGGTCCATCCAGACAACCCAGAATAATCTCCATATTTTATGGTCAGCTGATTAGAAACAATTCCACCTGCAATCTTAATTTCTTTTTGCCAGGTAAGGTAACACATTCACAGGTTTCAGGGATTAGGATGTGAACATCTTTTGAGGACCATTATTCTGCCTACTACTGGAGGAATAATAGAATAAACCCTGTATTATTGGATTAAAGTCAGAGATAGCAGTGTAAACTCAAGTTTGTTTTAATATATACACAAGTAGATACAAAATAAAGTATAGATAAGTGTATATATATACATAGATTTCCTAGCTCTTAGCACATAGAAGTAGTAACACCTCAGTAGTAACAAGCAAACTTAGTTCCAGATCTTGGTTTCTAAACACTATCCTCTAATAAAAGCAGTTAGGGTTTCTTGGAGAAATGGATGATTTTAGGGCTGATACAAAAGAGACATGGATTAACTTACAGTGGCTGAAAGTGCTCAAAAATGACAACCACAACCAAAAGGATAAGATGATGTCAAAAGGTTATAGTACCCAAGCTGAAAGAATCCTCAATGGTCAAACCTGAACAAATTGGAACGACAAATTAAATGATGATAGTATTGTATTTTAAATCAAAGGATAAATGAGTCCATACTGATATACATAAATAATTGAATAAATGAATGGGGGAATAAAAAATGATTCTCACTTATAGAAGAATTCCAGTTAATAATGGTAGGAGAAATGAGAGAAATAGAAAATCATAATTAGAATAGCAACATAATAATCTGCAGGCAAGCTCTGTTAATAAATGCTAAAATTAGTAGGTGAAATTTTAAGGAGACATAGGATATTTCCATCTCCCTCCCAAATATTATGTATTTCTGTGGTTTTAAAAGATATGTTAATAAACTCTTTTGTACTTCTTCTAGGAAGTGGAGTTAAATTCTTCTCTGTATAACTGTAGGCTAGACTTAGTGACTTGCTTCTAATGGAAAGACTATGAACTGTTACTGAGTATGTATTATGTATGTACTGAGCATATATATATACATATATATGTATGTACGTATGTATGTATGTATTACTGTGAAGACTAGTTTCAAGTAAAAACACCTATAAAACACCACCTTGACCAAGTGGCCAAGGTTAACATCACGAGTAAAAAATCTTATTTCCTGATATTATATACTGAGAAGGGCACTTCCACCTCTGTGATATTCTTCTTCTTAACATATGACCCTGGTCTAATCTGGAGAAAACATAAAAGTTAAATTAAGGGAGATTCCATAAAATTATTGACCAATACTCTTCAAAAGAGTCAAATTTGTGAAAGAAAAGGAAGACTGAGGACAGTCACAGATTGGCGGAGACTAAGGAGCAATGATAAAAACAATGTGGCATCCTGGATTTGACACTGGGACAAAAAAAAAATCCATTAGTGGAAAAACTGGTAGAATCCTAATAAAGTCTGTAGTTTAGTAAAGAGTCATGTGCCAAGGTTAATTTTTGGTAAATGTAAGCATCATGGTTATGTAACATGTTAACAGTAGGGGAAACTGGGCGAAATTAGACTGAAACTCTCTGTAGTATTCTTACAATTCTTCTGTAAGTCTAAACTTATCTCTAATCTTTTTAAGGGGGAAAAATGTGAACAGACATTTTCACAAAGGCAAATACATGAACGGCCAGTACACACAAAAAAGTATTCAATATCATTTTTATCAGAGAAAAGCAAATTAAAACCACAACAAGATATCAATACACACCCACCTGAGCACTGAAAATAAAGAAAACTGTCAACACTAAGTGTGGGCAAGGATGTGGAGTGATCAAAATTTTCCTACACTGTGGGAGTATAAAATGGCACAACAACTTTGAAAAACGTTCTGGCATTTCTTATAATACCAAATTATGACCAACTAATTACATGCCTTTATATTTAGTAAATAAAAAAATGTCAAAATAAAAAGTTGCACAGAAACATTCACAGAGGATTTCATCATAATGGCAAAAACTGGGAAGCAGCCTAAATGTCTATTAATATGAGAATAGATAAACAAATTTTGGTATATTCATAAAATAATTGAATACTATGCACAATATTAAGGAACAAACTAAGACTACTTGGAATATTATGGATGAATCTCAAAAACATTATTTTCTGTGAAAGAAACCTCATATATAAACATACTTACTGTCTTATTATGAGGTTTCAGAACAGATAAGACTGATGTACTGTGGGAAAAAAATCAGAACATGTTTGCCTCTGGGGGTATGGGGCAAGAATTGACTGGGTTGGGGAAGGAGAGGACTCTGGGATGATAGTAGCAATCTATATTTTGAAAGGTATTTAGGACATACATATATGCATTTGTCTAAACTCTGCAAATGTGGATTTAATGCTTTTGCATTTTATTGTAGATAAATTTTACATCAAAAGAAAATCTATAAGCAACGATTTAACTCTAGTTAATTATACGAATTCTCTAGTTAATTATACGAATTCTCTAGTTAATTATACAAATTCTCAAAGATTTAGTGAGGAGTATATTGATGTTTGCAATTCACTTTGAAATGCACCAAAAAACAAAATGGATTCATGGATGGAGAGAAGGATGGTTGGACTGATAAATAATTGATAAAATAACTGCAGTAAAACGTTAATGGTAGAATTGAGGTTGTATACTTATAGTTGTTTATTTTAAGTTATTTTCAACTTTTTTGTGAAAGTTATTAAGATCTTTGTTTAAAAACTGGAAATAACATACTTATAAATTAACCATTTTAATTGAACCAATCCATGGAGTATGAAAGAATGATTTTTTAAAAAGCAGAGTATGTTTTGGAAAAATTTGCATCAAAACAGATTAAAATTAAAATGTGGCACTTAAAAGCTGATCAAGATGGAATCAAGAAAACAGATAAGCCATGATGTATTTGCTAGCTGGGTGCCAAAGCCTTGGTGGTGGAGTGACTGGTGGGGAGAGGGCTTAAAGGTGGTAGAAACTTAAATAGTAGCTGTAGGCCTTATGGCTATTAGACAATATTCAGTTGTTACAGAACTACTGCTGTGTACAGTCCAGTTGACCTATCTTGAGGAAGAAATGCCTTCTTGGGCTAAAAACTGAATGGGTAGGATCAATGAGAGTGCTGAACTAGAAACAGATATTCAAGAGGCAGGAGTAGGACTGGAGTAGCAAACAAGACAGAAAAGGCTGTAGTTGGTTGCTATCACCATCAGCATCTCTACATCGTGTCTCAGAGTCCTAAGAAGGCCATCAGAAGCATTGGGGTATATTTTGGTTGTCACAATGCTTGGGAGGTGCTATTGACATTAAGTGGATGGAGAACAGTGATGCTAGCTGTCCTGAATGTCTGGGATAATCGCATATAATGAAGAGCTGTTCTCCTACACAGCTTTCAAATATTCCAGTGAGCTTTAATAATGTATGTGAGAAAACGGTTTATAGTTATCGAATTTTGTCTTAACAGTAGCTTTTATCCTACTGTTTCCTGTATCTCTCTCTGCCTTGTATGTTTTCCCATCTTTTATGTGATGCCTCCCAATCCTTTTACTTTTCTTAAATATGAACTTATTCAGTATAAGTTGGTGCAATCATGTATTTCATTATGTTGTCTGATGGAGTCGTGCCCTTGCATTTATATATTGAAATACATATCATTTTATTGTAAATTACTTTCCTTTCATTCCTCATTTATATTTCAGTTAGGTCACTGTATTGATTTTTTTGAAATTATGTATGTAGGTAAGTTATACTATCTATGTACTTCATTTAAGGATAGTGAAGAGGGAGTCACAAAATATTTGTTATTAAGAGGGAGTATTAGGTCTCACAGGAATGAGAACTACTGATCTAGAGTTAAGAATGAAAGATAAACATGGATAATAAGTGAGGCTTTAGGTTGTTGAAATCCTGACTCATCATTACCATAGTAGGAGGAACAAATATTCAGTATGAGTGAGCCACTGGAGCAGAAAGTTTCTGCCTGAGAAAAATCATTACCAGTGTGTGTCAGGCCCTTTTCATCAGCATGTCATTTTATCTTCACAACAATCCTGTAATATATGTTCTATTATTATCCCCATTTTTCGGATGATAATTGGACCTCAGAAAGATGAAATCAGTCCTAAGTTCTCTTAGTCGCTGAGTGGCAGAACCTGGAGTGGAACTCAAGTCTATCTGATACCAAAGCCCCATGCTTTCTATTATCCTACTCAGCCTCTACAAAAGCAAGCTAGGGAAGAAAGTGCCAGATGTTCCCTTCCCTCTACAGAAGCAGCAGCCTGTGAGGATCCATGAGTACTAATCTTTCAGCATGTATGGAGTGCTTCAAGCTGTGCTAGGAAATCAGAAAAAAAAATAACATAGAAGTCCCTTGCCCGCAATGAATTTCTTGTCTAACTGGATATGTAAGATGTATAAGTATAGTGTTAACTTAGAGGATAAAGAGAAAATGGTGATAGCTGAAGAAACAGCAAGGAAAGTGTGTGTGTGTGTGTGTGTGTGTGTGTGTGTGTGTGTGTGTCCCATTGTGTCTCATGTATGTCTAAAGGAAACCTCCACAAATATTTACTGAGTGTCTACCACGTGCATGGCAAAAAGCAGAGAAAGAAATTGAACGCATGGTGAAATGCTGGGACATCAAACCAGTCTTTGGGATGGTGGGAGGGGAAGAGCCCAGGGCACAGAGGAAAGGACATATCTGCTTGTCAGAGGCCAGCGCCCACAGGAGAAGGGGCCTACAACATGAAAGAAATTTGAGATGCCAGCTAGGGAGGCATTGGCCAGACCTGCTGTGCAAAAGCCAGGATGAGGTTATTCTTTTCCTTTGAGTAAGAGTTGAGAGCGGAGGAGGCAAGTTGAGAGGCCAAGGAGACCAGAAAAGGTTTGGGACAGGCTGTGGGCATGAATACAACCAAAGAATCAACAATAAATGAATAAAAGATTGTGGAGCTGCCTGCAGGGCTCCGGGGAAGTTAAGCTGCTGGGATTTATGCATTGGTTGATTATCCACTTTGTGCGCCACCCATAGTAAATATTCAACCCCAGGCAGCCGCCTCTGCACCTTCCCCACTCTTGGCCTGCTAGCCAATGTTCTGTCTCATTTATTTCTAACTTATGAGCAATCTAAGCAACAAATTATAAAGACAGAGCATACACACATAGGGTTTGCTGTTATAATTAAAATTTACAACAAAATTAATCTGACACATATTTAATGATATGCATAATTGTTATTGTACTGGGTGGCAATTAGGCATAAATTGTAAACAGTTCACATAAATGCCTGTAATTAGAATTACTTCCACACAGTTAAACCAAATTCTTAGTTTCTTTCCTGAGTTTGTCAGCCCTTGTATATCCCTCATCTGCATCTACGTCAGCAGTGCAGATACTGAGTTGGTGTGAATCATCGCCTTCTTCAAGCACTTGTTACCATTAGAGAATAAAATCTGGGGTCTTTTTGCTCAACAGTTTCCTCTGGCTGCTACCCACAGGGCCCTCTCACCTTAAGTGCCCATGAAGAGCCAGCTCTCTCTCGTGGTATCCTCTGCCAACTCAGGGGGTGCTGCCTGTCCTCTCCAGAGGGATTTCAGATGGGGACAATGAGGAAAACCCTGGCTAGTGATGGTAACATAGGGGAGAAAATTAGCTCTGAATTTTAGGGGGCAGGTGGATCACAGGGCAAGAAAATGACTGAGTTCAGCATATAACCCCCTTCCCCCTGTTCCTGATCCTATGAAATGACTAATACTGTCATCTTTATGAATGTCTTTAAGGGGATACATTCTCACTTAAAAGAAAACGCCATTTCATCCTAACCGTCAAAACATCGCTCCCTCCATTCCAATGAGGCTATTTCCTGAAATGCCTTTAAACTCCAGATAGGTGTTGCTTTTACTTTGCCATTAAAAATAAATTTTAAAATCCCAAGGGAGCCAGCATATCAATAGGAATACATACCTAAACTTTAGAGTCAGATAGATCTAGATGCCACAACTTGCTAGCAGTACAATTTTGGTATTTACCCTTTCTAAACCTCAATTTCCTCATCTGTAAAATGGTGATAATAATAGTGTCTATCCCATACAGCCATTGTGAAGATTTCATAGGATCACGTATATAAAACATTAGCACACAGCCTGGAGCATAGTAAAATTTCAGTAACTGTTGGATGCATTTATTACTATTGTGGCAATTGTTGCTTTTACCTGTAGCCTTAGCTTCCTCATTATTTTGATGGTCCCTTCATTTGTTTTCTTCTGTAGGAAGCAGAACTGCAGGAAATGTATGAAATGCTAGTGGTGAAATCTGGATGGTGAAGCCACCAATGACCTTAAATCAAACAGAACAGCACAGATGGCTCAGACTCTCATCTATATTCGTATTTGTTAGAGGAAGGTTGGTGCTGACCTGGAACATGGCAAGACCTGGCATTAAGAGAAAACGGAAGCCAGGCCAGATGACAGATGAAAATGATCATTAGAAACATTCATTTCATCACCAAAAATGTATTAGCAGAACCTCAGTGCCTTACCGATATAAGTGATTTAGGCAAGATATTTTAGAAGGGAAGAGAGCACATGTGAGTTAACATGTGCAACAGCATGACAAGGGCACTAATGGAGGGGTATCCTCAATACAGTGGTAACACCCAGGATGGAGGAAGTACTCCCTTCTGCTTGGGTGGTTCAGGGAAGCTTCTCTTTAGAGAAGCAAGTTTTGAAGTGAGTGTACAAATACACTAAATTGTATAATTTTTTTTAAGCCAGTGTTTGTCAAGAGGCATTTTCTCATACAGCTGAATTTTCTGAACTTACCTTGTGCCTCCTCAAATGACATGGATTTCATGGCCACTATCCCACTTACCATTCCTCCATAACAAGCCCCAAAATTAGTGGAATAAAACAATTGAATTATGCTCATGGATTCTATGGCTCAGGAATTTGGTCAGGTCATAGTGAGAATGGCTTATCTCTCTTTCACAATGTCGGGGACCACAACTTGGAAAATTTTGTGACTGGAGGGGACTTGACAGCCAGGAAGTGGGATCATCTAGAGGCATCTGTGCTCACATATCGGGCAGCTGATGCGGGTTGTTGCTGTTGCCCTCTGTTACTGTCCTGGTCATGCTCTATTGGTCAAAGCACAGCAATCCTTCTATATTAAAAAGGAGGGCACATAGATTCCACTTCTCAATGGGAAGAATATCAAAGAATTTGAAGATATGATATAGACCCTGTGGGCCTTAGATGGATATCACTTCTGTCTCCTTAGAGACTGTCAACTGGAACACCTCTACACAATTTGTCCATGTGACTTGGTCTTAACAGCATGGTGACTTCAGGGTAATTGGACTTCTTACGTGGTACCTTGGTGCTCCAAAAGCAAGTTTACAGCAGACAAGGCAATAGCTTCCTCATTTGGTATGACCCAGCCTTGGAAGTCACTCCCACCATTCTGAGTCCTACCATTATGCCTAGGAGACCCTTCGTTGGTACTCTTGTCATGCTCTATTGGTTCAGGCAGTCACTAGAGCATCTCTCTTTGATATTCAAAAGGAAAGAATATTGATCCCACCTATTGATGGGAGGAATATTTTAAAATTTGTGGATATGTTTTAAACTCTCCTTAGCCACCCATTTATCAGACCACAACCATTGAATATCCACCCATTGACTAACCAGAAGGTAAGAATGCCAAAGGCATTTGTTCATTCATTTATTCATTAAGTATGCATTGAGTACTTACGTGGGACAGGCACAGATGTTCTGGGAGACGGACATGTAGAACATAAATATACAAATAATTACATAATCACTACTTTGCTAGGTGCTAAGAAGAATAATGAAATATTGAAATAGAGCCTAACTAGGTGGGGGTGATGGTGTTGGCAGGGAAGTAAATTTAGAAGAGGTGGCCAGGAAATCTCTATCGGGTGTCAAATTTAAGGAGAGAGCAGAAGTATAAGGAGCCAACTACATCAAGTTTTGAGGAAGAACATGCTAAGCAGAGGGAATAGTATATGCAAACATTCTAAGGCACAAAAGAATTTACAAATTCAAGAAAGTGAAAGAGGGTCTCAAAGTGACCACACCACAGAGAGAGAATAATTGTACATGACGAAGTTGGAGTGGTATACAGGGGTCAAACTCTTAGCAGTTTAATAGGTCCATTCCCCCTTAGCCTGCCTTTTACTACTATTAAGCACCCCTTCATTTACCTTCACATGACTTGTTACAAGAACTTCAGTACGAAAAGCATAAGAATTAAGTAAAGAGAGAAGGAAATGTGGCTCTTGCAGAAAGAGCAAGATGCATCTGGTCTGGTCATATTGTTTGGGCTGCCATTAAAGGCCAGATATTAGACCAAAGGGTCCAACGTTTCCACAGAGCTGCTCAGTAAACTAACATATGAAAGACCTTGATACCCAGCTTGTGTCTTGCTTGCCAAAGATGAAAGTAAACTGATACCCTGGCAAAACCAAGAAGTCTCAGAAGCCCGGCCTCTATTTTTCTAGCCTCTACTTTCAGATCACTTCACAGTTATTCAGATACCTCCCTGGTCCATACTTCTTTACTATATCAAAACAAGAAAGGACCCAATGACATCCAATTATGATAATGATGATAGCCACTAAAATAATAATTAACGTGTATCAAGTATCTCCTGAGTGCTAAGAGTTTTACATGCATTATCTCTTTTAATCTTCATTTAACATCCTTGTGAGGTAATATAGTACTAGTATTTCCATTTTACACCTAAGAAATTTGAAGGTCAGGGAGGCTAAGTTATTTGCCTAAGGTTACAGAGCGAAGACTCACAAACTCTGTCTGAGTGGTGAACCCCCATTTTTAAGTACTATTGAATATTGTAACTCTTCCAGATAGTGAAATATACAGTCAGGTACCTAGAAATTTGGCATATGCAGTGCCCCTAAAGGTGAATATTTGCCTGAATTTTTCACCTGTATCCTGATGCTTGGCTTTATCTAGGCCAAACTGAACTGTGGCTTGTACAAAAATATCTTCCCCTTCTCAAGGCATTGCTTTCATGCTCTAATTTAGGTTTTTCTCAAATGAATTTTTATTTGCATTCTGGTTTAAGAATCAAGTCCTTAAACTTACACAAACTACCACTTTGATCTACAGTATCCTTGGAGAGCATAGCATTTAATCAGCTTCATTAAGTACTTTGAATTAAGTGATATGCAGAGAACAGCTTGCCTTTAATAGATCTCCTTACCTGATCTCAATGGGGCCCTGTCTTAGGTATTAAACAGGAGAAACCCAATTAGTTCTAGTTGTTGCTCTCCATGGATGTGTTGCCTTCTCATTGGCAGATGGCAGCTGGTGTTGTGAAGGAAGCAATGACCCTTAAATTTTCCAGGTGGAGACAGCCCTCCCTCTTCTTCTTCATGACACTTCTTTTTTTCCCCCAATACTTCATACAATCCACATATCTCCAAGACCTATAACTCCAGAGTTTGTGATCTCCTCAACAGAGGCCAGTTGTATTCCCAGACCACTTGATAATACCTTGGTTTGGCTTAGTTGAACAAACATTTATTGGGTGCAGGCTCCGTATCTGAGACCATGTTGGTGTTCCAGTGGTTAGACAGGAGAGTTTTGAAATTAAAGTCACATGATTCTTATTCTTTTTGTGCCTAGAAGAGTACTAACCAGTCAGTGTTTTTGCTTAAATTGATATTTAACATACTTATATGTTACATTTATATTTAACAAATATTTCAAGTGAATGAATGAATGCTTTAGGTCCCCTTTCCAAGGGTTCAAGATAATGCTGCTTCCTGACACTAAGAGGAAATTCTCAAGATTCTCCACCTGTCACCACAAATTCTGCTGTAAAATTTGCTCCAAGACAAATATCAAACTTCTAGAACCGGAATTATCCTTAAGACATTAAGTAGTTCAGCCTCTGCTTCAGGCAGGTGAACAACTACTCTACATGTAGGATAAACGTCAGCATGAATTCATTATTAGGTGAAGAGGCAGGCATAAATTCAAAAACTTACTGTACAATGTAATTGGTGTAAAATATAAATATGTACAAAGTGCTTTAATAGCATAGGAAAAAATAGGGCCTAACTTTAGAGGGATGTTGAAGGATCAGGGAGTGCTTCACTGAGTGTGTGACACTTTGATATTTGACGTTTGATATTTTAAGGATGAAAAGGAGTTAACGTGAGAAAATGAGGCAGAGGCAAAAGTAGAAACAGCATGTGTAAAATCACAGAGTCACAAAGAATATGAGACCCTTATTCTGTTCCTAATTGTGAGTCATTGTGGCAGAGGTTGATTAAACGCCAGAGGGATGCAGTCATGTTTTCCTGATAGGAAGTTCACTATGGTGATAATGTAAGAAAGAGCCCAGAAAGCCATTCTTAGTTCATGCCAGCCCCTTGCTAGCCTTTATGATTGCTATGGATGGAAAAGCATCAGAGATACAGCTAGCACTTTTCTCCCTTGGGTTTTTCACTCTAGAAATGGAAACACACCAAGTTATTGGAAATTGTTATGCTCAGTGGATGTTGAGCTATGCTGTGTTGGATGATAGCACAAGTGTTAAGTCAAACATCTATGCTATACACTTTTTTTTTTTTTGGCATTTAAGGCACTATGAGGGAAGTATAGAAGCAGTAAGTGACAAGATCCTTGCCCTCAGAGCTGATAACTTGCCTGTGAGAGAAAAGAAGCTTCCCAAGTATCTAGAAGTGCTTCCACACTGGTATATAAATGTGGGTTGTTGAACATTTCTGCTTTTTGTACAATTTGCAATAATTTGTTAAACTTTGATTACTTTTCAATAGGTAATTTATTTACATAATTCCCACCTCAAAAGGTACACCTCCCCTCTATTTAGTTTCTCTACCAAAAGGCACCCAATATCACCAAATTCATATATTTCTTTCTAGAACAGTCTATTAATCTATAATTAAGTTTTAAATATTTTTCTTTTACTGTTTTTGCACAACTTGTGCCACACTGTGCACATTGCACTAACCTTGTATTTTGCACTTGCAATAGATTATGGAGATCTTTCCATATCAACACATGAAGAGCTGATTTGTTCTTTTTTGTTTGTTTGTTTATGGATGTATTATATTCCATTGTGTGAATGTGCTTTAATTTATTGGACTAGTTAGGTTGTTTTTAATCTTTTGTTCTTACAAATAATCTTTAAAAAACTAATTTTAATCTTAGGACATTTTTTATCTCATGCATTTTCATCAAGACTTTAGGTGAAGAAAGGAGAGAGACTAGGATTTAAATTGCATTATTTTATTGTATTACTTTTTTTCCCTTCTTCTCACCTCACATTAACCCATGTTCCCCTATAGAAAGTTATCTGCAGTAATGTCTTCTATGATCCAAGAAAGCCATTTTGGGCAATCCAAGATTGTGGGCTCCCCCCATTTAGTGAAAAGATCATGGGTTTGATGTTAGGCAAACCTTGGGATCAAATTCAAATTCTGGTTTCACTATTTTCTAGCTGTATGGTCTTTAGCAAGTGAGTTAATCTTTGCATCTCAGTTATAGCATCTGTAAAATGGGGATAATAACAGTAGCTACCTCATGGTGTTGCTGTGGGGATTTAGCATGACAATCCATGCAAAGGACTTAGCATAGTGCCTGTCACCTACGAAATGTTCGACAAATGAACATTTAACACTCTTCTTATTCACTAATGTGGAGAAAGTTGATAGAACAAAGGAAAACTCATCAATTTCACAGTAACGATTCTTGACACTATAGAAACATTTCCACTTTTTTGAGGTTTTTCAGAAGGTGCCAAAAGCCACTAAAAATTTCAAACTCTTTTTGGACCAGTTATATGTTCCTTATTGCACCAATTTTCTCAGAACTACCTTCCCATCCTTGTTCCTTAAGGTGTAAATGATATGGTTGAGGGCAGGGGTAAGCACTGTATACAGAATAGAAAGTAACTTCAATAAGTCTTCATACAAGACTTCAATAAGTCTTGATGGGAAGCCATAAACAATGCTCAGTACCCCATAATAGAGACTAACTACAGTCTGATGGGAGGAACAGGTGGAGAAAGCCCTCTGCTTTCCTGTGGCAGAAGGAATCCTCAGAACGGCAGTGATGATGTGATCATAAGAAGCCAGGGTCAGCAGGAAGGGGCCAAGGACAAATAAAGAGGTGCATATAAAAGAGGTCATCTGAGCTACTTCAGTGTCAGTGCAAACCAGTTTCATGATGGGCTTCAAATCACGGAAGTGTTCGACCACATTGGTGGAACAGAATGTTAAGTGAAAAATGAGGACAATGAGGAGAGTGAATGCCAGAAATCCAGCCACCCATGAGGCACTAGCTAGCTGTAAGCAACTCCAGTGGTCCATGATGCTGAAGTATTGCAGTGGGTTACAGGTGGCTATATAGCAATCATAAGACATTACAGCCAGGAAGAAGCATTCTGTAGCCACCAAGGCAAAAAGTAAAACTGGGAAACACAGGCTAGAAAGTAAAAAGGCATATGAGCTGATGGCAGTCCTCAGCCTCATGGGCTCAATGGTACTGGTGCAGCCAATCTCTAGGAAGAAGTGACCAAGAAAGAAAAACATGGGCGTGTGAAGGAAATGATTAGCTGACACCACAGGATCGCAATGTTGCCCATTACAGTCACCACATAGATGGCCAGAAATATCCCAAAAAGAAGAAACTGAAGGCCATGGAGATCCCCAAAACCCAAAAAGATAATTTCTGAAATTTGAATCGTGTTTTCTTCTTCAGTTCCAGCCATGATTTGGATCTAAAAAAAAATAAATATTTGAAGAATAACCATTGATCTGATACTTTTTTTAGAAAAACATCAAACTGCTTTAAAGTGTCACACATACCGAGCATAATTGGCTTCTTTCTGGAAGTCCAGGATTATTACACTTAATTAATAAATTTGACTCCAGTCCTCCAGGGGCCATTTGGAAAGTTAATCCATGACTTCAATTATCCCATCATATTTAGAATGTATAGACTCTTAAAACTGTAACTGTGACACATAAATATGTACATTTTTTCCAATATGTATTTTGGAAAATGCTCGATCCTTTCAGATCTTAACTGGTTGTTCCTACTGCTGTGCTGGTGTTATCATCAACAATGAATATTCCTAATTACCTGTGTGTAAATTTCATAAGAGCAATGATTAAATCTGTTTCTTGTTTTAGAAATTCTATACCAATTGAATTATATTTTTATTTGTGGTAAAATTATAGTGCTTTATTTCATCATAACAAAGGATGTCTAATCCTTAAACTTGTTTGATAGAAAATTCGTTAAACATTAGTAGAGGAGGCACAGAAGAGCAAGGGTGAACTACTGATGGTGGGGAGATGGTATAGCATAGCGGAAAAAGACATGCCTAAAGTCAAATCCCAGCTTTGCCACTTACTGGCTGTGTACCCTGGAGCAAGTCACATCACTTCTCTGAAAGTTGGTATCCTCATCTATAGAATAGTATATGAATTCGATGTAACACATTTTGCACAATTACTGGTCCATATTAGGTACTCAATACATTCATTCATACATTCAACAAATATTTACTAAATGCTTACTCTGTGCCAACTCTTAGGTGCTTAGAATAAAATAGTAAAAAAAGTCAATACTTTTTTAACACATCAGGAATACCCTCTACATTTCATGGAGTTAGCATTTCAGTGAGAGAGAAAGAAGAAAGACTAAAAACAAGGAAAGAGACCCATAAAGAATTGTGAATTGTTTACTATGAATGTAAACAAACAAGGACCCAAAATATAAAATATGCTCTCTCTGTGTGTGTGTGTGTGTGTGTGTGTGTGTGTGTGTGTGTGTGTGTGTTTGGGAGAGGGGTATTTTGTTCGGAGTGGCCAAGAAAAGCCTAAAAATTTGAGACCTAAAAAAATGGGAAGGAGATAATAATGCAAGAATTAGAAGTGGGGGTGAGGGAGAACATTCTAGGCAAAGGGTATAAGCCATGAGCATGCAAACATTGAGTGTTAGAAAAACTAATATAAACTTAAAAAGACCAGCATATTGTGGAGAGACAGAGAAGAGAGAGAGAGAGAGAGAGAGAGAGAGAGAATGAGAGAAGATAGAAAAAATAGGAAGGGCCAGATCATTCAGGTTCTTGCAGATCATGCTAAAGAATTTAGATGTTTTTAAAGACTGTAGGAATCCACTGGAGGATGTTAAGCAGTAGTGATGAAATTTACAGCTGAAAATCATGTTTCCTGCTATCTGATAAATGAATTAGAGAGAGAACTTCATGGGTAGAGTAAGACAATTAAAAAACTACTTCAGTGGAACAGGTAAGAGGTAATAGTAAACCTGAATAATGTTGTTGCAGAAAAGATAGAAAAAAGAGAGATTCAAGACATATTTGGGAGGTAAAAATGTCAGGACTTACTGACATATCAGATATGGAGAGTAATGAAAACTGACTATCAGAGATGACTCATGGGTTTCTGGTTTGAGTAAGTGGTGCAATTTACTTGGATAGTGAGATTATATAAAAAGAAAATTTAGGGGAAACATAAATTCAATTTGTATTGTTTGAGGTGTCCATGAGAATTCTGGGTAAAAGGAAGAAACAGACAGCTAGATTTGAAAGTATGTAGCCCAGAAGAGAGGGCTGGACTAGGGTATAAGTTTAGGAGTTATCTGAATATAGATAACATTGAAATCCATGGGAATGGAGATATTATAGATAAAGAAGTATGTGCTGCACTAAGCTTTAAGGGTCTCTCTCGAGGTGAGGGGCGCCTCTGCCCGGCCGCCCCTACTGGGAAGTAAGGAGCTCCTCTGCCCGGCCAGCCGCCCCGTCCGGGAGGGAGGGGGGGGGGGTTAGCCCCCCGCCCGGCCAGCCAGGGAGGGAGGTGGGGGGGTCAGCCCCCCGCCCAGCCAGCCACCCCGTCCGGGAGGTGAGGGGCGCCTCTGCCCGGCCGCCCCTACTGGGAAGTGAGGAGCCCCTCTGCCCGGCCAGCCGCCCCATCCGGGAGGGAGGTGGGGGGGTCAGCTCCCCGCCCGGCCAGCCGCCCCGTCCGGGAGGGAGGTGGGATCAGCCCCCCGCCCGGCCAGCCACCCCGTCCAGGAGGTGAGGGGCGCCTCTGCCCGGCCGCCCCTACTGGGAAGTGAGGAGCCCCTCTGCCCGGCCACCACCCCGTCTGGGAGGTGTGCCCAGCGGCTCATTGAGGGCGGGCCATGATGACAATGGCGGTTTTGTGGAATAGAAAGGGGGGAAAGGTGGGGAAAAGATTGAGAAATCGGATGGTTGCCGTGTCTGTGTAGAAAGAGGTAGACATGGGAGACTTTTCATTTTGTTCTGTACTAAGAAAAATTCTTATCCTGTTGATCTGTGACCTTACCCCCAACCCTGTGCTCTCTGAAACATGTGCTGTGTCCACTCAGGGTTAAATGGATTAAGGGCGGTGCAAGATGTGCTTTGTTAAACAGATGCTTGAAGGCAGCATGCTCGTTAAGAGTCATCACCACTCCCTAATCTCAAGTACCCAGGGACACAAACACTGCGGAAGGCCGCAGGGTCCTCTGCCTAGGAAAACCAGAGACCTTTGTTCACTTGTTTATCTGCTGACCTTCCCTCCACTATTATCCTATGACCCTGCCAAATCCCCCTCTGCGAGAAACACCCAAGAATGATCAATAAAAAAAAATAAATTAATTAAAAAAAAAAAAAAGAGTCTCCCTTAGGTCTAACAGAATAGGAGAAGGCAGGAAAGGAGATAAAAAAGGAGGATTCAGTGAGATTGGATGAAAACCAGGAGGAAATCAAATAACAGAATCCATGTTTCAAGAGAATTGTTGACTGAGTTAATAAAAGCTGTTGTGAGATTAAGATGAAGACAAAAAACAGTCTCTTACATTTAGTTACAAGAATAATAGATTTAGTAGAGTGATGAGTGATGGGGACTGAAGGGGAGCAGAGAAATTGGGTGGTAACTATAGAGAGATGAGCATTAACCCTACCTTTTGTATGCTGATGAGAATGACCCAGCATAGAGGGGATATTGATGATGCATATGAAAATAAGAAATAAATTTTTGGAGCAAAATCTTTTAGAAAGTGAGAGAGGATGGGATACAGAACACAAGTCAAGGCATTCACCTTTGGTAAAAGCAGAAACACTTCATCCTTTTAACAGGAGGAAAGCCAGAGAAAACAGATGCCATTGTAGATAAGTTGCAACATTTAATCTTAGGAAGATGACTGAGTTTGCCTCTATGGCTTTTGTTTCCTCAATGAAGTACGAAAAAAGGTCATGATATAAGAGTGAGGGGTGGGGAGGGCATGTTGGGAGTTTGAGGGCAGAGGGAAAACTAAAATAGTCATATCTGGAAGTGAGAAGGCTTTACTACTTAGAACAAATACTATGATTTTCGGGTAATATTGAGAGGAAATTTGATCATTGAAATCATGAATTTAAGAAGGTGAAACCAGATTGCTTTCTTGAGTGGTCTTCTTTGGCAATGTTTAGCTAACAGGGTAGAGTAAGTAGATATCGTTGGTTTAAAATCAAGTTTGGGATTTGCCAAGTTAAAACAATGGAAGAAAAGGAGGACAAGAAAATTGAGATATTTTCACAAAAAAAGTAATAATGAAAGACTACATGATAAATATGAGGTCTTTCCCACTTCCACTGATTATGAAGTCATAGGATATTAAAGACGGAAAGGACTTTTAAAGTTTCATTTGATAAACGCTTAAGTTTTATAACTGAAAAAGAAGATTCAAAGAGGTAAAGTGTCTTTCTTAGAATCTCAGATCCAGCTAGTAATGGCAAGAACTGACACCCAAGTCTCATTTTCCAGTTCTTGCTCCTTCCATTACAACATGCTGTAATATTTTTTACTCACTTTTCATCTCCTTTCAGTGCCCTGAACAAGGATCTTAATGTATACTACATAAGTCTGTGAAGGAAGACTTACTTCTCTTTTAGTAATTTACATGTCTGGAGCATAATACTTTTCAAATAACTTTCAGATCCATTATTATTTTTAATCTTCCAAACTATCTTGTGAGGTATTTGAGAATAGGTCTTTGATTTGTCTCGCTGAATTTACAGATGAGAAATCTGATAATGATGATTACTACAGCAGCACATTGTACTTGTATTTCAATTTTAATTTTTTTTCCTGAAGATAAAAAGTTAATCTTATGCATGTTGATGTAATTTTGAATTTACAAGATGCTAATTATATTACGAGCCAGGAGTTTTTGTCAGGTAACTGGATAATAGGAGCCATATGGAGATTACCACCATCTGAACTGAACAACAAATGAAAGAAATTGAGGTAGTTTCCATGATGGAGATGTAACAAAAAAAACTTGCTTTAGGAAAAAGGGGTTTGGAGGGCAGAATGAAATAAACTGTTTCAGAGCCATGGTGGGTATCTAGCAAAAGTAGAACCTTCTTAGGAGAAGAAGAGAGAGAATATTCCATGGAGAGAGAATAATGGTCAAAAGGGTCCAGTAACTTGAGGACCATGTCAGCCATTGATTTTGGAGTGTTTGGACAAAATGAGTAGGGGGCAGATGACAGGAAAGGCAGGGAAACTCATATTTTTTTGGAGAAAAAAAGACTAGAAAGATTTTCCAAAATTGTGTCATAGAAGTGGGAGAAACAGAGAGTGATGTCATAGAGTCCAAGGGAGAAGTGGAGCCATCAGAATTGTTAATAAAGAAGGTGCCATGAATATTGGAGAGCTGGGGCAAGAATCCCAACTGAAGTGAGGTTGGTGGTGGGGGGATAAAGGGAAAAACAACAAATGTGGGTTATAATTTCAAGAAGATTGTTGATGAAGTAAAGGAGGCAGAGAGAGCACCAAAAAGCTAAGGGTGGAAGAGAGGACAGAGAGTATTTTTATTCTTGTGTTTTGGGTCTTAGTGAAGAAGAAACTTGGCCAAGATGCTACGCAAAGAATCTAGGTCCAGAGAGAAGGAAATATGAAATACATGCAAGAGGATGAATGATGAAGCAAAGGGAGTCTCTGAGGAGGTTGGAGGGGACGGGATGGGGAAATACACAAGTGGAGGCGTTGTCTTCAGGCAGAAAAGAAAGGTCATCATTTAGGAAAAAGGAAAGAGAGTAAACATGGATGTGGGGATTGATTATGAAGATAATTACCTCATCATTTTCCTTCCACTTGAGTTTGGAGATTTAATGAGCCCATGGTAGAGATGTTCACTTTCCTTCCTTAGAGCCTGGCTTCTTATTCCATTGATATGTGTGAAGCCCCAAATACTTAGCCTCCCCAAACTATTGCTTGGAGCTTTCAGCAGCCTCTGGAGGCCCTGGCCTAGATGGATCGTGGCTCCGACCCATGTGACATGTCAGATACCCCAGTGTCCAATTTCACACCATTAGTCAGCAGTCACTGAATGCTCAGTCAGGATGTCATGAGAACCCAACATCGATCTCTCACTTAAAAAGCAAAGCTCCCCTGGGAGCCAAACTTAAAGATAATTGGTTTTCTAGTGGAGCCCAAAGTGAGTTGCTAAGACAAGTAGCTGGTTAGCTGTACCACTACTGTGTTGTTTGACCTGAAGTAGATCCAGCAACAGCATGACAGATTATCTTATTATATATTCTTTACAAAGATCACTCATGACCTTAACAATCATAGTTTCCCAATCTTTCCTTTCATACCTGCACAATTATTATTTTCTCTCTGACTTCCCTGGAGCTCAAAAGGCTTCTACAAGGAAGAACTAAGAGTATGTCACCCAAAGGCACGTTTAGTTTTCACATGGTAGTGGCCGAAGCAATTTTAGCCCCTACAGCGCCTCCTTTGGGTTTAGAAGGAGCATAATGCTTGCCACTTTATTTATCTTTTAAGCGCTCCAACAACCTTCTGCAAGCAGGGACTGGCACATACAGTTCAAACAAGAAATCCAATTATCTTTAGGTTTGTCTCTCAGGGGAGCTTTGCTTTTTAATTGAGAGATCGATGTCAGGTTCTCATGACATCCTGAACGTCCATTCAGTGACTGCTGACTAATGGTGTGAAATTGGATATTGGAGTATCTGACATGTCAAATGGGTCAGAGCCACGATCTCTCTAGGCCAGGGCCTCCAGAGGCTGCCGAAAGCTCAGAGCTATAGTTTGGGAAGTGTACCATGTGAGAAGTACTGAAACTAGTGGCAAAAGAATCTAGGTTCTAGACCTAGATCTCCCACTGCCTGTGCAATTTGGTGTCACATATCTTCACTTAGTCCCAGTTTTTCTTGCTGTGAAAGGGGGCAATAACTCCTGCCTTGCTGACCTCACAAGTTTATTGTAGGACTCAAATGAGATGCTGTATGGGAAACCACTTTATTAACTACAAAGCTTCATGCTTCATGCTAGGAACATACTTGATGAACATGAGAATTATGTTGCTGACATCCACAGAAGTTGAGGATAGTTTTGTCTTAGGGTTCAAAGAGGCCTGGACTCCTAGAACTGGAAGTAGAGCTCTTACTTTTTTACATCATTAAATATACCCTAAAACATCCAAATCCCCTTACCTCAAAGCCTTCAGTCAACCTTAAGTGAATTGCACATCTAATTAAAAGCACAACTGTTATAGTTTGGTTTTTATAATCAAATTAAAAGTCTTCTTACACAAGCTGTCAGAGGCAGTTTTCTGAACAGTTACCTTGTCATTTTTCCATCCTTGGTAGACAGATTGCATCTGACCTCCTGGGTAAGTTTCCTCAGTGCTGGTTTTATATGCTTTCACTACTTTCCAGGCTGTACAGAAATGGTTGGGGAGTGGAACCTTTCCTTAGAGCTCTTAGTGAGGCTTCTCTTTCTTTGATGGCTGTGTGAGCATCCTGTAAAACAGAGTACTTGCACAGATATGACTGTTATCTCTGTTATCTCAGAACATCACCATTGTCGCCATTCAGTTATAGCATTCACACACAATATCAGGTCACTCCACTAGGTCAGGCTCAATGTCTAGCGGAAATGACAGACATGTAAATGAACAATCAAATTGCAACATCACAAGTGCAACAACAGGACTCTTTATAACATGTAGGTGTAGCACAGAGAAAGGAATTTCCGGATCAGTTTGCAGGGAGGTAGTGCCAGTGAAGACCTATTGGAGAGGACTGCCATTGGCATTGTTCTTGTTTATTTCCCCAAACAATTTCCCATTTATTATTTTATTAATCTTTATGATGCCTTGGGTTTTGAAGGAGGAATAGAAGTATGTTAAACCAACTAGAGACAGAAAGAGTTTCAGTCAGAAAGAATAGCATGTGCTACTAAGAGGCAGGAGAGAAAACTAGAGAAATAGGCAGGCACCAGATGATCAGGAGCTGTGTACACCATCCTAAGGAGTGTGGACTTTATTGTGAGGTCAGTGAAGAGCCATTAAAGAGTTTCAAATCGGGAAGTGGAATAGTTATGTTTGTGTTTTATTTTTTACTTTAATTTTTAATTTAAAATTTTTTGTGGGTACACAGTAAGTGTATACATTTATGGGGTACATGAGATGTTTTGATACAGGCATGCAATGTAAAATAATCACATCATGGGGAATGGGGTATCCATCCCCTCAAACATTTATCCTTTGTGTTACAAATTGTCCAATTACACTCTTTTAGTTATTTTTAAATGTACAATTAGGTTATTATTGACTATAGTCAACCCCGTTGTGCTATCAAGTAATAGGTCTTATTCTTTCTACTTTTTGTACCCATTAACCATCCCCACCTCTCCCCAGCCCCGCACTACCCTTCTCAGCCTCTGCTAACCATCATTCTACTCCTATGTCCATGAGTTCCATTGTTTTGATTTTTAGATCCCACAAAAAAGTGAGAACATGTGATGTTTGTCTTTCTGTGCCTGGCTTATTTCACTTAACATAATGATCTCCGGTTCCATCTGTGTTGTTGCAAATGACAGCATTTCATTCTTTTTTCTGGCTGAATACTATTCCAGTGTATATATGCACCACGTTTTCTTTATCCATTCATCTGTTGATGGACACTTAGGTTACTTCAGAATCTTGGCTATTATAAACAGTGCTGCAACAAATATAGGCATGCAGAAATTTCTTTGACACCCTGATTTCCTTTATTTTGGAAATTCCTCAAAAAACTAAAAATAGAGCTACTATATTATCCAGCAAGCCCACTGCTGGGTATGTTTTGTTTTAGAAAGCTATATACTTTTGGTGGCTATGCAAATAAGTTATAAGTAAAGGAAAAGATTTGAGGCAGGCAGTTCAGTGAGAAGGTTGTGGCTTCAATCTAAGAAAGAATGGTGGCTATTGGGAAGGGAGAGGAGGAAACAGCTTCAGATGGTAGTTATATCACTGTCATTGTCACTAAGACCATCTTCTCCTTTCATTACAATCAACTTTATCAAATGCAATTTCTGGAAGAAAATAGTTTTACTGAGTATCCCCTAATATACAGATGGATCGTAACCCTGAAATTCGTATGCGATTTGGTTATTCTATGTCAACTCACATTTCCCATAGAAATAACAGCAATCCCAAATCCCTGGCCATCCCAGAGAAACCCATAGAGAGCACAAGGTGCTTGAAAAATGGTTGAGTTTGCAGTAAAATATAGTTGTTCTGTAGTAACATTTGTTGTCTGAATGCATAGGTGAACAAATTAAGGAATAAACACATGAGAATAGTTTACTAGCACAGGCAAGGCTCTGTACTAGATACAGTGGGAGATGCAAGGATGTCTCAGATATAACTCTTAACCTTGAAGGAAATGAGAAAATCTTTCAGCTTGTCAACCCCTCAAAGTGACATCTCCTGCCTAATTGTCAGCTTGCTGGTCTTTAAGCTTCAAAATTAACTTTGATTAAAAGAAAATCCAATAAGTGTCATGTAATGTTCCATATGCAAATAATACTAACCTAAAGATCACACAAGGTGTCGTCTTTGATTTTAAGCTCATGAACTTTTAAAAAACTAAGTTGAATGCACAATGCATAATTTGCACGTGGTGAATAATTAAAACAGTATAACTAAGCCTCCCTCCAATCCCAGACCTCCAGTCTCTCTCTCTAGAGGCAAGTACTAAAAACAGTTTGTTGTGGGTGCTTTAAGAAATTTTGTATGCTTATACCAACGTTTATATACATTTATATTTTTCCATATTTATATAAAAATGATCATACTTTTTCACTTAATATATTTTATGGAGCTTTTTCATTTAATATATCTTGGTGATTTTTCTGTATCTGCACATAGAGATCAACCTCATACATTTTGACAATTGCATAGTGTTCTAGCATATGGATGGGCCATTATTTATTTATTTTTAGTTCAGAGCTTGTTTTCTGAGAAATAAAACATTATAGGTACAGTAAAATTTCCTTTCGTCCCCAATCCCATGTCTTCTGAGCTCCGGGGGCAACCACTACCTTAAAAGACGATATGTGTCCTCTATGTTCATGTTTTTTATCCTTCTATTACATATGACTCTATCCATAAACAATATGTGGTAATATTACATCTGTTTTAAATTTTGCACAAATGAAATAATAGTTTTTTGCAACTTGCTTTGTTTTTCTATTTCACATTTTGTTTTTAGACCTAGCCCTGTTGATACATACAGTTCTCATTCATTCATTGTTGATTTACCTTGCTCCTCATTATACTGAATACTAGTGGTTTGTTTGTTTTTCCTTATAGCATACTTGCTAAAAATAACAGTCTTACAAGTGTAATTATTTTTCTCAGATCCTTTCTTTGAGGTTGCACTGGATACATTAATAGAAGTGTGGGAGATTCTTATAAATTGAAAGAGAAAATAAATTGAAAACATGAAAAAATTTTGGTGGTAGAAAATTATAGACTTTTTTATGTTAACATATTTTAGCCAGTACAAGTGTTGTAAGGAATGTCCTTGAACTTGTTTCCAGTATTTCTTTAAGGTACCTAAGAGTTAAATTGCTGGCTCAGAGTGTATACATATTTTCAGTTTCACTAAGTACTGCCAAATTCTCTAAAGTGGATGTATAAACTCACATTCCCAAAAGCAGTGTATAACAATTTCTGTTTCCTCACATTCTTGTTGGCATGTGGTATTAGCAGATGTTTTTATTTGGGGCAATCTGATGGCTATGGAATAGTATCACTATGCTAGTTTAATTTGCATTTCCTTGATTATTTATGAAGATAAGTATGTTTTTATCTACTTACTAGCCATTCAGATTTTCTCTTCTGTGCATTGTTCATTAATATATTGCCCACTGTTAATTTAGGTTGGTTGTTTTTTAACTAAATGGAGTACTTTATGTCGTCCATATTGATTTGTTATATATTTGTTACAAATGTCTTCTCTAAGTCTGTCACTTGTCTATTATCTTTATCTTATAATACAGAAAGACAGAGGCTTTATTTCCCTATCAATATGCTCTAATTAATCTGTAATTTACAATTTGTGTTTTTTGTGTCTTATTCAAGAAATCCTTTCCTACACTGAGATCATATTATTCTAAGTATCTTTTAAATTTTAAAAGTTGTTTTTAAGATTTAGTTTTTAAATCCATCTGAAATTGATTTCTATATGTGATATAGTAATCTAATTGTATTTTTTCTGATTTGAATAAACAATCATTCTTACCCCATTTATTGAATAATCCATCCTTTTCTCCCATGATTTGCAATGCCAATTCTGTCATATACCAAGGCTCCTTATATTCTCTGATTTGTGTCTAGGTCTTTCCTTTCTCCCACTGATCTGTTTGTGTCTCTCTGCATAAGTACTATACTGTTTCAATTATTACAGTTTTCTAAGTCTTGATAGCTGTAGGACAAGTCCTTCCTACTTGTTCTTCTTCATAATTATCTTGAATATTCTTGGTCCTTCAATTACTCATATGAATTTTAGGATCAGCTTGTTAAACCTCATTTGAAATTACGTCTGGAATTGCATTAAATTTATAGATTAGTTTTTGGGACATTGGACATCTTTAAGTTGAGTATTGCTATATCTGAAAATGGTAGGCTGGGCACGGTGGCTCACACCTGTAATCCCAGCACTTTGGGAGCCCGAGGCAGACGGATCACCTGAGGTCGGGAGTTTGAGACCAGCCTGACTCAAGAGAGAGAGAGAGACAGAGAGAGAGAGAGAGAGAGAGAGAGAGAGAGAGAGAAAGGGAGAGGAAAGGAAAGGAAGAAAAAAGAAAAGAAAAGAAATGAAAATGGTATCTATCTCCCTTAATTAAGGTCTTCTTTAATATCCTTCAGTAATACATACAATATTTTCCATAAATACTATGGGCATCATTTGTTAGACTTATGTACTTAATAGTGCTGCTTCTTATTGTGAATGGGAGCTTTATTTTAATTAGCTTTATTGAGGTATACTTTACAAACAATTGATTTTATGAGTTTTGGCAAATGTATGCAATTGTGTAATAGTCATTATGATCAAGATGCAGAACATTTCCACCACTCCAAAAACCCCATTCTCCTTGAAGTTAGTCTCATTTCCCATTGAGTCCTTGGCAATCACTTTTATGTTTCCTGTCACAATACTTTGCCCTTTTCTAGAATTTCATATAAATTAAGCTATATGACATATAATCCTTTGTGCCTGTTGTCTTTGGTGCAGCACAATGTTTTTGAGACTAGTCTACCTTTTTGTTTGTATCAGCAGTTTCTTTTTGTATTGCTGAGTAGTATTCTATTGTATGGATGTACCCAAGCTTGTTGATCCATTCACTAGTTCATGGTTGTTTGCAGATTTTGGCTATAATGAGTAAAGTTACTATGAACATTCACATACCAAGTCTGTGAGTGGACATGCTTTCATATCTCTTGGGTAAATTCCCGAGAGTGGGATTGCTGGGTTATATAGTAAGCGTATGTTTAACTTTATAAGAAATTGTCAATCGCTTTTACAAAATGACTGCACCATTTTGCATTCCCACAGCAGGGTATGCAAATTCTTGCAGTTTTCCCTTATCCTGAACAACACTTGATATTACAGGCTATTTATTTTATTTTTAGCTAGTTAATAGTAACTTTCTAAAAAGTTATATTTTCTAATTGCTTTTCTACTGTTTAAGAATATTATTGATTTTTAAAACATATCTCCCATGCATCAATATTGATGGACTTTCTTAACAGTTAAAATAGTTTTTCTGAAAACTCTTTTTAGCTTTCTATGTAGTCAACCAAATTATTCATGAATAATGACACTCTCGTCCTTTCCAGTGCTTAAATCTATTTCAGTTTCTTGTCTTAATGAAATAACAATGATCTCATGGATACAATGTTAGATACTAGTTTTGAGAGTAGATATCTTGTCTTATGACTCTAATGAGAATGCTTTTTAAGCTTCTACATTAATTATAATGTTAATTATAGGTATTTCATATATATCCTTTGTCAGATTAAATGCTTCCCTCTATTCTTGATTTGTTTACACTTTTTTACAATACAGAAGTGTTGAATTTTATTTAATTTTTCTGTATCTATTGAGGTTAGTATGCATTGCTTTCTCTTTAATTAGCTTAAGCAGTGACTTGTAATAAATTTTCTAATGTTAGACTGTCCTTTAATTCCTGGAATCAAGCTTGTTTGGTCACACTGTATTTTTTTTGTAGATTTGCTGAGTTCAATTCACTAATATTTTAATTAGGACTTTTTAAGACTTTTTATGAAGAATGATACTGGTGTATAATTTTTCATCTTTCTAACAAGTTTATCTGGTTTTGGTATCAAGATTTCACTAGCCTCATAAAATGGGCTGGGCACATTTTCCTTTTTATCTGTTCTCACACCAGTTGGAATGGTTATTATCAAAAAGTCAAAAATTACAGATTTTGGTGAGGTTGCAGAGAAAAGGGAATGCTTATAGGAGTGTAAATTAGTTCAGCCCCTGTAGAAAGCAGTCTGGAGATTTCTCAAAGAACCAAAAGTAGAATTACCATTCAACATAGTAATCCAACTACTGGGTATATTCCCAAAAGAAAATAAATTATTCTACCCAAAATACACCTGCATTCACATTTATCACAGTAGTATTCACAATAGCAAAGACATGGAATCAACCTCGGTGCCCATCACTGATGGATCGAATAAAGAAAATGCAGTACCTATACACCATGGAATACTATGTGGCCATTAAAAAAGAATGAAATCATGTCCCTTGCAGCAACATGGATGCAGCTAGAGGCTATTATCCTAAGAGAATTAACACAGAAAGGGAAAATTAAATTCTGCATGTTCTCACTTATAAGTGGGAGCTAAACATTGGGTAGACACAGACATAAAGATGGGAACAAGAGACACTGGGGATTCCAAAAGTTGGGAGGGAGGAAGGAAGGGAAGGGTTGAAAAACTACCTGTTGGGTACTATGTTCACTACTTGGGTGATGAGATCAATAGAAGTTCAAACCTCAGCATCACATTTAATATACCCACGTAACAAACCTGCACAAGTACCCTCTGAACGTAAACTTTTTTAAAAAAAATTAAACTGAAGAAAAAGAAAAAAAATTATGCTTTGGCTTGATAAAGCATTTTTATTTTTGTTATTGTTTCCTATTTTATTAACTTCCGTGTTGATATTTATTTCCTTTCTTTAACTTTCTTCTGGTTGGCTTCCTGGTTATTATTCTAACTTCTTGAGTTGAATGTTCAGCATATGAATATTCAGTTATGTTGTTTCATATTTCATGGATCATATTTTCTTATAAATATGACATTAGTTGCACCCTACAATGCAGTATATGTCATTAAGTAATATTTATAATTTCCATTATCTTTTCTTTATTTTGTTTAGAAGAGTTTTTGTCCAAATTTATGGAAATTTCTTAGATTAAAAATTATTTTTGATATTTTCATTAATTTCTATCTTATCAAAGTTTGATTAAAATGTTATTAATATGATAGTGAAGTAGCTTCAAGTACATATTCACAGTACTTGCAAAGTCATCATTCTTATTATGAACAGCATATATCGAATGTCAATTTGTTTCCAGGCAACTAAGGTGGTTACACAGGTCTGAGACATGTTGGTCCTTCACTCAAGGCATAAAATCTAGTAAAGGAGGCAAAATAAGGATATAAGAAAAGTAAAATAGAATAAAGCACAATAGGAGTATAGAATGATTGCATGCTGTAATCATTGGTCCTAAAGTTCCAAGAAAAGAGTGTTTAGAATGTTCATAAGGCAGCAGTGTGGAGGATGAATAAATAAGGGACAAGTTTGGAGGCAGTGAGACTAGTTAGGAGGCTACTGCATAGTCCAGGCAAGTGACAAAATAGAGAAAAGCCTCCTCTCGGACAGAGGAATCTCTAACAAGGAAGCCAGCAGCAGGAAGTAAGATCCTCTAGTAGTGGGGCTAGATATACCCTACCCACCTAAGTCTGGCTGCCTTTAGACTTGAAGCTACTTCACTTAGACACACTTGCTTAGATTCTGCCCAAATGTACCCTGGCATGAGTTTTGACTCAGGAAGTAATTTCCTGATGGCCTCTGTCACCAAGGGCTCAAATTTGCTGGTCATCTGGTCAATCTGAAAAGTCTGGACTCTAGACAGAGAACAGAGTAAAGCCATGGGTCTTGGTCTGCACAACACATTACTCTTACCACAACTCTAAGTAGCCATATACTCAAAGCCATCTTGGGTCAAATTAGGGAAACTAGGAACCAGTTAAGATCCTTTTCACAAATGGTGGTAAATAGTGAGGTCTATAAAGAAAGTTACTGTAGATATCAGCCCTAGGCAACCATCTCCTCATTTCCTCAGTGTCTTTTACTTCTAACTATGCCTTCCGCCCTGCTCTAGACAAACCAGGCCTCTATGCATCTAAATCCTTCTATCTCAGCCTATGATCTCTATTTCCCCTTTTTCTCTTCACTACTCATCTCCAAGCTGATCCCTCTTCACTTTTTCTAGATTTTATTCAAGCCACCTACCTCTTCATAAGTACTCTCTTATGAACCCAATCTATCTTATGTCCCTCCTCATGAGTCCCAGCCTCACAGTTTAAATCTAGGAGGTGCTTGCTGGTTGGCACTTCAATAATCCAGGAGGTGATACACCAGAGTGGAAAGAACATGAGCTCTTTAGACAAACAGATCTGGATTCAAATCCTGTATTCACCATTCACTAGCTGTGTGACCTTGAGTGAGCTACTTAACCCTTCCTAACTACAGCATTCTCACTGGCAAAAATGGAAGAAATAATAGCAACTACCTCACAGAGTTCCTGGGAGGATTAAATGAGATAACTGATTTAGCATTTAGCACATAAAAAGCATTAAATCCATGTTAAATAAAAGGTCATAGTTCAGCTTTCTTATGGGTGGGATCTTCACTAGTCCCTAAATGGGTTGGAAGTTGACAAAAGGTAGTGACCACAGCTTTCTTCTTCCTCATCCCTCTTCAACTTTGCATCTGGTGTAGGGTTTTGTATACAATAGGTGTTCAATTTATTTTGTGGCCTGGTTGGGCATGATCTAAAGCCGCATGTAGGAACCAACTATGGGAAAGGGAGTGGGTCTTAGGAGGCTGAATTTATTATAATTGGAGAGTCTGGACTGTTAATTCTCATGATTAAAAAGAGACCAGGATGATTGTCAGGGATACAGATACATGAAACCTACTATAGGCAAATTTCTCAGAGGGAAAAAATGTGGAAATCATGGACCCTAAGAGTATGGAGAGAGGGTGGCATCTTGCCTTATACTGAAACAGGGATATGTAATATAAAGGGAGTTACAGAGTCAAATAGTCCTGAATTGAAATCCAAATTCTACTGCAGAGAATTTGTGCGACCTTGGGCAAATCACCAAATCTTTCAAAGTCTCAGTTTCCCCATCTCTAATGTGGAGATAATAACTCTTGACTTCTAGAGTTGTGAAGAAAATTCAATGCACGACCTGTTTTAAATTCCTAGAATAATGTCTGAGACACATTTGGCTACCAAAATATATCACTTCCATCTCTTTCCCTTCCCTTACCCTCCTTTACTATTTTGGACAGCGTGGGGACCTGGGCGTGGGGAAGGAGAGGAATTGTAAACCTTCATGAGGAAGTCCCAAATGTTTTCTTCACATCCTTGTTCCTCAGACTTTGGACCATGGGGTTGAGCATGAGAATAGCCACTGTGTAAAACAGAGACCAGCATATCTCTGTCTGGTGAACACTTCAAGGATAGGTGCAGGTGAAGGAACACTGTGGTTCCATAGCACAGGCTGACTGCTGTCAGGTGGGAAGCACAAGTGTTTGCCTCAAACCGAGGGCATTCTCATAATTAAATGGAGACAAGGAAGATTGTCCGGGACACCGATACATTAAAGCTACTAGAGGCAAAGGTAAGAAGTTGAAGGCCTTGCATGTCAGAGCAGGAGAGTTTTTAAAGCCTCGGTGGGGGAGGAAATAACAGAATTAATGAATGATGGCACAGACTTACAGAAGATCAGATGAAAGATTGTGCTACTAGGGAGCACCATGTTCATAGCTGGTGGCCACCAGCTGCAAGCAGAGCTTTGGGGACATGGTGATATGGTAGAGCAGAGGATTGCAGACGGCCTCTTAGCGGTAATAGACCATGGAGGCCAGGAGGAAGAACTCGGTGTCAGCAAATATTTTAAAAGCAGCTTAACTGGGCCATGCAACCAGAGAAGGAGAAGACTTGGCAGTCAGAAAAGAACCCCATTGATATTTTTGGGACTGTTACTGAAGAATAACAGAAGTCAACAGAGGACCAGTTGCTGAGGAAGAAATACATGGGGGTGAGGAATTGGGGACTGACCACAATGAAGGCAAGGAGGCCCAGGTTTCCATCACCATGACTACATAGATGGGGAGGAAGAGGGCAGAGAAGGTGGGATGAAGCTGAGGATCATCAGTCAAGTCCATGAGGAAGAATTCACAATGCATCACAATGGTGAGACACATAGAGCTCAAGTCTTTAAAGAGAGACCTATGGGGGCTGGGCCTTGCTTTCCAGGCCATGACACGTCATATGTGTTTACTATGGCAAGTGCTGCATCTGGCTCACTCTTCTCTTGCCACCCTCCAGCCTATTGGCTACAAGGTTTAAAAGCATGAGGATGAACTTTGGAGTCAGAAGAATGGATCAAAATCTCATCTTTGCCACTTACTATCTGCAACCTAGGGCTGCTATCTTAATCTCTCTGAGTCTTCTCTGTAAACAGGGATAAAACACCTATTTTGTAAGACTGGTTGTGAGGATTGAAGGTGGTGGTGAGTGTATGTAAAATGTCTAGCATGGCATGAGAAGAAGAGCAGGTTTCTCAATGAGTTCTAATTATCTTTTTCTTTCCACACTCTCCTTCATCCCAACATTGAACCTGTCCTCAGGTAATGCCCAGCCTAAACATAAAGTCAAGGATACAAATATTACACATAGGAAGGACCCTAGAAACTTCTTAGTCTTTTCATTATCATATTTCATATTGGTTGGCAGGGAGCAGGGGGTAGGTTGAAGGGCAATATCAAATACTATAGTACAGAAGTAAAAGGACAAGCTCGAAGGTCAGCCATGTGTGGGTTAGAATCCATTTCTAACTTGCTAGCTGTGTGACCTTGAGCAAATGACAACCTGTGTGAGTTTCAGTTTCCTCATCTGTAAGATGCGAGTACCAAGTATTTCCTATTTCATTAATTTACTGTGAAGATGAAACGAGATTATTTGTGTAAAGCACTTAGCAAAGTATCTGGAAAAAAATTGCCCACAGTTTCCCAGGGGGGTTTGTGGAGTGCCAGAAACTGCAACCCAGGTGCCCTGACTACAGTATTCTTCACCCTAGGGACCACAGCCTCCGACTTCTCTTCTTTCAGAAATATGGAACCTTTGTCCTCACCAGAACACAGGGGGCTGTTTCACCCATGGTTTCCTAAGAAATAGCAATCATGAATTCTGCTTAAGGTCATGTCTACCCTTTCTCTTAATCAAGGAGAATGCCAATGTACTTTATAATTTTTTTTATTATACTTTAAGTTCTAGGGTACATGTGCACAACGTGCAGGTTTGTTACATATGTACACATGCGCCATGTTGGTGTGCTGCACCCATTAACTCGTCATTTACATTAGGTGTATCTTCTAATGCTCTCCCTCCCCCCTCCCCCCACTCCACGACAGGCCCGGTGTGTGATGTTCCCCTTCCTGTGTCCAAGTGTTCTCATTGTTCAATTCCCACCTATGAGTGAGGACTGTACTTTATCTTAATGTTTTTTTTCTGTCAGAACGTGGGGTAGGGAAGGACACACTATAGCACTGCAAAAAGGTTTTATATCATTGGATTTAGAGTCAGAACACCTAAGTTTGAGTTCCGATATATACTATTTGAGCTCTATAGTGCTTAGTAAATTCTATCTGAGTCATAGGACCTTCATCTGTAAAATAAGAATAATAACACTTGCCCTCTAATCTCACAGGTTTGCTGCAAAGATCCAATGAAAGTCTCTAGAAAAATGCTTTGTAAACTATAAATATAGTCAGAGCAGATACTCAGAGAGTATTACTGAGAACCAAATCACCTTTAGAAAACTTTCGATGACAATTGTTAAATTACTGCTCTTCAGCCCTCTCCTTCCTGGCTGCTTCCCTGGTACCTGCCAGCCCATTTTGGATTTCATAACACTGGCCTCCATCTTCTTCTGGGCTCCTGGTCAGACTATAGAAGATAAAATTAGATTGTTCTCTGGAAATTTTGGGTGCCCCTGTCCCTCTGAGTCTGTGATTGCCTGTTTTTGGTTGGTGTTCTATTACAGTGACCTTTACGGCTGCCTTTGGAAAGTGAAGTTTCCACAGAGTATAATACTGGTTGTTAAAAACTTACATTTTATCCTGAATGTAGAAATTGCTACCATTAATAAAGTACCTAATAGGTGCCACACATTATATTGGGCAATTGCCACAAATCATTTTATTTAATAATCCTAACAACCTTAAGAAGTAATTACTATTATCACTACCATCTTTCAAACCAAGCAACTGAGACTTAGAAAATTCCAGTGCCTTACTCAAGGGCTCATAGCTGGGTGCATGTCAGAACTGACATTTAAGCAGACGTCTGCAACATTCGAATACTATTGTTTTACCCATGTTGACTTTTCTGAACATAGTGTCATACACTTAAGGATTATGAAGGTTTTTTTCAAGAGATTTACAAATTTATCCTTTCTTTTTATCATGCTAATCTTGGAAATAATCAAGTGGTTTCTATTAATTTTACAGATGATCAATCTAAGCTACAGAAAGTTAAATGCGTTGTCCATGGGCATACATACATTCACTCATTCAACAAATATTCACTGGGTCCTTGGTGTGTGCCAGGCAGTGCAATAGGCACTAGGAGTAAAGGAGTAAACAAGACTGATCAAGTCTCTATTCTCTTGGACTTCACAATCTAAAGGAAGAGATAGACAACAAACAAATAAAGAAATGCTTTTACATCTCAATAAAATTGCAAAGAAAGTAAAACAAGCTAACAAACTAGAGAGATCTCAGGGTTTCAAGAGCAACATTAGGTAGAGTGGGAGGGAAAGACTGAGGAGGTGACATTAAAAGCTGAAATCTGAATGGTGAGGAACTAGCCATAAAAAGATCCAGAGTATGCATAAATGCTTAGTGACGAAGTCAAGGATAGAGCCCAGGTCTCCTAAATTCTACACAGGGCCACTGTTCCCAATTGGAAGTGTGGCCAAAGTAGAGGTTGACTAGGGGTATGGAATATGTGTGACATTCAAACTCTTGTCTACAAGCATTCCTTTCCTTTATCACCCACCTTCCTTCTTTGAATGTCTCTAGAAGTTATGAGTATTCACTAGCCACTTTCTTGTTTCTGTACTCATCCAAAATGCTTCAGGCCAGCTTCAGTAGTTGGGCTTTTTCCAGATGTTCTCTTGGCAGGCACAGAAAAGTTCATGTGCCACAACAGTAAAGCCTCTGGAACTAAGCTCCAATGTATAATCCTTCCCCATTTCCTCCTCCAGGCTTGGCCATTTCCCTGTAACTGGCAGAATCATTAATATAGCAAAGTTTCTGCCTTCTTGACTGGTCTACTGGGATGCCCAGAAAAGTAAGCCCAGGGGCTGAGCAGCTGTGACGTCCAACATGGCTGGAGCATTAAGCAGAGCCATCCCCAATGGGGTGTTTTCACTGACTCATACTGAGAGTGTGGGGACCTGTAGTCACCACTGAGATGTTTTAGGAACAGTTGGAAGAATAAAATTGAGTATGAGATATATTGTGATATAAACTTTTTATCTAAAATGCCTTCTTAGTCATATTAAAAAGTCTCAGCCACAATTAAAATACCAGCTCTCTTCCCAAACATAGGGATTCTAGGATTTATGTGCAAAATGGCCAATACAGAAGATCTACTAAGAATATATTTCATTTTATGACCTCTCATATCACCTTGTTTATGCAACCCTTTATAAACTGTAAATTACTTTTAAGCATCAAAGAATTATTTAATTAGTTTTCATGAGGTCAGTAAAGTTCCTCAGTGCCACTCAGTGTTTTAATAAATATTCTTGTACTTCGGGTGTATGTGGCTGCCAGTTGCCTTGTACCATCCTTTTCCATTTTTCTCAAATCAGATTTGAGTTGTGCAAGACTTATTTCCATGCATTTGCTTTATTTTGTCAATTAAATCCATGTTTATTAACCATCTCTCATGTACTTGTTATTATTCTAGGAGCCAGGGATACAAAATCAAAAGTAAATTAATTTGTATCTCCTATGTACACTCCATTTTCACTCCTAAGTACATGCCTGCATGCACACACACGTGCATAAGTACACACACACACACACACGCACACACACAACATATACACACAAAGTCTTTTGTTTTTTGAAAGGCAAAAGCAGCCTCACTCTAGTGCTAGGTCATTAGCAGCTTTTGTAGAAAATATCAAGTTATTATGCATTTTAAGGGCTCGAGCTATTGATTTTAAGGCAAGAAAATTGCTTAAAAAGTGGACTTTATAAACATCTCTCTTGTGGACCAATTCATTTAATTCTATTGCTTGGTTATGCAGAATTTTGTAGCCCTTTTAAGTAGAGAAATTATTCTTTTTCTCAAGTTAAATGTAGTACATTAGGTGATATTTGAACCAGTTTATGGGATTCTGCTGTGGCATGATGAGCTGACTTTATGTATTGAAGAACTCTGTCCCCAAATTTAATTATCTTGAGACATCACCACCACATAGGATAAAATGAGCCATTTTGTTCATTGCATCAGCAGCCTTTGCTGAAATGGAGGTGATGGGATAACAACTTAAAGGCTAACTCATTAATGCTCAGGGATGAATGAGGTAATGTGTCAGCAGACCAAATTGGTGCCCAAATGTTTTCATCTAGAGGCCCGTATCTCTTTCCCGCATTGTGATATATTAATGGGGATGTCTTGATCCGTTGTCGCTGCCTGTAGACATTTGAATAACGTAGAAGTAATACCTTCTGGGCACTCAGGCCTGTGCGCTATCAATTTTTCAAACTCCAAAGGTCTCTCAGTGGATAGAAGCAAAATTCTGATAGTGCCATAAAGTGCCTAATTTATAAAGATTCAAACCACGGCATCAGTGCAGTCCCTGCTTTTTTCTGATAGGTGTTTTCTACTGAGCACTGCACCATTCCTAACTATTTGGTGGGGGTAGTGGAGCAAATTAGTCCTCCAAATTGTGAAGCCTGTGGATTTATGCATAGTTGAAACCATTTCCGTTCTAGCAATGTCTAAGTGGGTGACCTTTCTGACGTTAATTTGTTTCTCCATCTGTGCCATGCATTTTGAGAGGACGTGAAGAATAGGCTTGATGATACCCAAATGCATTTCCCCCTATTTTGTATTGCTGTGCTGATGGCTTGAAGGAGGAGTTACCTATACTGGGGACAGATTCTGGAGATGTCCTTTCACCAGTGTGCATTGAATGAGGCCAGAAAATTCATCTTCATGGAGCCTGGAACATGGAAGGTTTTACTGTCCTCCTTGAAATGAATGTCCTCTCTTAGTTATGATGTCATCTGGCCATTTGCTGTCCCAAATTAAATTTTCTCCTACTCTTCCCTGGCTCCTGAATGTGTTTTGTGTAGCTTGGAGGTTACAATTTCATGTTACATATTTTTAAAAGATTTATTGAGCCAGTCAGTAGAAGGAATTGTACTAAATTTAATCACAAAATTTCATGTTATTCTTACAACAACCCTATGAGATAGGTACAATTTTATTTCTATTTTACAGATGAAGAAAGTGAACCAGATAAAGTAAATAATTTTCCCAGGATCAAATGGGTGGTATGTAACTAAGCCAGGAATGATTATTGAAGTCCTTCTGACTGTACAACGTATGCTATTTCTGCCATAGAACACTGAAATCATCTTTTAAGAAAATGTATTTGCCAATCTACTCAGCATTTTTCTTTAAAATGAATAGTTCTCAACACTGGGTGCACATTAAACTCATCTAAGAGCTTAAGAACATACTGTACACAGGTTCCATTTTCAGATTCTGCTGTCTGGTTTGGGGCATGGGCATCCATATTTGTAAAAAGTTTCCCAAGTGACTCTAATAAATTACCAAATTGAAAACTGAATTTAGAGTTTGGGGTAATGAGTTCCTTTTCCTGTTTCCTGTTCAGAAGGAGCATATTTAGCCCTAGTTGCTTAATTCCTCACAGGATCTGAGCAAGAATTTGTAGCTTTTACTCAATACGACAGTCAGGGAGTGGTCTTTTCACAATGGCTAGGGACTGTTATCTTTGCATTCTCACAAGTGCCTCCTTATCTATAGAATCTTGGCCATCATTGAAATGGATTGAAATAGTGACCTGCAACACAGGACAAACTCATGGAATCTTATGAAGTAAAAGGCATTTCAGGAGTGACTGTAGGCACCATCTTCATCCCTTCCCCACAAAGAGGTTAGGAGAGATACACGCTCTATCATAATTTTCAAAGATATGTGGTACCTTCATTGAGCGGTACTTTCTGTTTCTTTTATGTAACAAACTTTTATCAAATGTATATGTACCAGGCACTGTTAGTTGTTCTTGGCTGAGGTGATATTCCCCTTATAAAGGATGTTTGGAATTGTGTCGAATTTTTTTTGATTGACAAAATGATCAGAAGAATTATTATTAAACCACAGCTGTCCAGGGATGCTAAATGTTCCATAGTGCTCAGGACTGTCTTGAGCAATTCTTATAATAAGAGTGATTTCACTCCACATGGCAATAACACCTTTATTGAGAAACAACAATAGATAATCTGGATCTGGAGTTCAACATGTTGCCCCTTCAAGGACACTGGCTACAATCACCATCATCCTGCTCCCGCTGAGGCTTTTGGAAGGACTTTTCCGTCAGTTTTTCAGTCAGCAACTATCAAGTCCTTACTGTACATTGAAGCCTTAACAGGCACTAAGTAAAAGGAAAAAAAAGACAGTCTTTCTTTAACTTCAGAGAGCTTACAATCTAAGTGGCAAGACAAAATATACACTTATGAATAAGATGAAGAAGATTCCCTAAACAACATGCCAGCTAGTACATATACCAAGCCAAAAGTGGGTGGTATAATGAAAAGAACATAATATTCAGAGTCCAACAGAACTTAGATCAAATATTGGTCTCAAAGTCTTATTTTTGTCCTATCTTAGGCATGGTACTCAACATCTCTGAGTGGCAGTTTTCTAATCTGTAAAATGAAATATTTACCTTGTAGCATTTAAATAAGTATTACAAATAATGCATGTAATTATCTAGTACAGCACTGGTAACATAGAAAGTACTCAGTAAACAACATTTTCTGTTAAGATCATAATATAATAAAATGTATTTGACTGAATAACATCATCAGCTAAGTGGAACTAATTGATATTTGTAGAGCACTCCATCCAACAATAGAGGGATACATTTACCAAAATAGGCTATATCTGAGATCATACACCAAACCATAACACACTTGAAAATAATTGAAATTACATATAGTATCTGACCATAATTGATTTAAACTAAAAAGCAATAAGAGAAAGATAGCAAAAAAATCTTTAATCACTTGGAAATTAAGCAACATCCTCTTAAACAATCCATGAATCAAAGAGGCAATCTCAAAGGGAATTAGAAAATATTTGGAATGGAGTAAAAAAGAAAATATACCATATCAAGAAACAAAAGATAACAAGCGTTGGCAAAGATGTGGTGATACTGAAACCCTTGTACACTGCTGCTGTGGATGCAAAATGGTGCAGCCACTATAAAAAACAGTATGGGAGTTTTTCAAAGAATTAAAAATATAACTACTATGTGATCTAGCAATCCCACTTCTGGGTACATATACAAAGGAAATGAAATCAATATGTCCAAGAGATATCTGCCCTGTCATGTTCATTGCAGCACTATTCATAATAGCCAAGATATAGACAAAACCCTAGTGTCCATTGACAGATGAGTAGATAATGAAATGTAGTAGTATATCTATGCAATGGGATATCACTGAGCCTTAAAAAGGAAGGAAATCTTGCCATTTGTGACAACACGGATGAACCTGGAGTATTTTGGCATAATGAAGCACACCAATAAGTTAAGTGGCATATTTCGTGAGATAAGCCAGTCACAAAAGGACAAATAACCATGTTTCCACTTATATGAGGTATCGAAAATAGTCAAACTGATAGAAGCAGAGAACACAATAGTAGTTGCCAGGGGCTGGGAGGAGAGAAAAATGGGGAATTGTTTAATGGGTTTAAAATTTTATTTATATAAAGTGAGAAAGTTCTAGAGATTTGCTGTACAACATAGTGCCTATAGTTAACAATACAATATCGTGCACTTCAAAATTTGTTAAGAGGGTAGATCTCATGTTGAGTGTTCTTATCATAACAACAAAAGCAAAAACAAAGGGACACAAAGAAACTTTGGGAAGTGGTGGATATGTTTAATACCTTGATTGTGGTGATGGTATCATTGGTGTTTGCATATGTCTACATTAATCAAATTATGCACATTAAATATGTGCAGTGCTTTGTATATCAGTTATACCTCAATAAAGCTGTTAAATGATAAAATTTTAAAAAATTAAATTAAATTAATAGAACAGAATAAAAGAAAAAAGAGGGAAGGGAATAAAGGAAGGAAGGAAGAGGGAAGGAAGGACATACTGATAGAAAAGGAAGAAACTGTCTCTATTTGCAGACAACATGGTTGTCTATGTAGAAAATCCAGGGAATGTAAAAAGAAGACTTCCTAGAACTAATAAATGAGTTCGCAGTGTCATAGGATGCAAGGTCGACACAAAATTTAATTGTATTTCTAAATACAAGCAATGAACAATTGAGAATCAAAAGTATAACAATATATATGCACCACCTTTTAAAATGGCTCTAACAATGAAATAGTTAAGTATTAATGTAACATAATTTGTGCAAGATCTGTATGCTGAACACTATATAATGCTGATGAAAGATATCAAAAAAGACCTAAATAAATGGTGGGACATACCATGAGTATGGATTGGAGGATTCAATGTAATAAAGGTATCAATTATCTCTAAAGTGATCTATAGATTTAATGCAATAGTAATAAAAGTCCCAGCAGGTTTTTTGTTGCTATTGTTGCTGTAGACAACAGGAATTTCTAAAACTCTAAATTATAAAATTTGTATGAAAGGACAAGAAAAATAAAATAGCTAAAACAATTTTGAAAAAAAAGAACAAAGTTGAAGGACTCGTACTACTCATTTTAAGACTTACTATAAAGGTACAGTAATGAATACAGTGTGCACTGACAAAGAAATAAACACATCAATGGAAAAGAATGGAGAGTTCAGAAATAGACCCATACAAATATGGACATTTAATCTTTGAAAAAGGTGTAAAAGCAATTCATTGGGGAAAGAGTAGTCTTTTCAACAAATAGAACAAGTAGTCATTCATACACAAAAAATCGAAAATGAACCTTGACTTTAACCTCACACTTACACAAAGATTAATTGAAAATGGTGGATATATATAAAAATCAAACCCAAATCTTTAAAACTTTTGGACGACATAGGTAAAAACCCATATAACCTGCATTTGGATGAAAAATTCTTAGAGAGAAAATCAAAACACAATACCTAAAACCAAAAAAGTAGATAAATAATTCTTTGTTAAAATTAAAACCTTTTTCCCTTTCAAGGGCACTGTCATGAAAATAAAAAGGGAAGCTAAAGACTGAGAAAAAATATTTGCCATTCATATATCCAACAAAGGATTTTTATTTAGAGTATATAGATAACTATGAAAACTCAACAGTAAAATCATCAAATTAGAGAATGGGCAAAAGGCATGAACAGACATTTCACTGAAGAGGGTATACAGATGGCAAATACATGCAGGAAAGGATGTTCAACATCATTAGCCTTTAGGTGAATGCAAATTAAAAGCAAGATAAGGTAACATTATGCAACTATTAGAATGTCTTAAAAATACTGGAGTACAAGAGCTGGTGAGGATGTGGAGCAACTGGAATTCTTTTACATTGCCGCTGGGAATACAAAATGGTACAGCCACTCTAGAAAATAGATTGGTAGTTCCTTGTTATGTTAAACATGCACTTAACCATATGACCAAGTCATTGAATTCTCAGTCATTTTTCCCAGAGCAATAAAAACATATATTCAGAGAATAACCTGGACATAATTGTTAATAGCAGCTTTGTTCATAACAGTGAAAAACTGGAAACAATCTAAATGTCCTTCAAAGGGTGAGTGGTTAAACAGACTGTGGTACAACCATATATTGGAAAATACTCAGCAAAAGAACATTTATGCCTTGGAGGCTCTTAAAGCCTCAGACAAATGCACATAAATGTAAAAGGTATACAGATAACAAAATAAAGGTATTTGACTAATTCAAGGAAAGTCAAGGTGATTCTACTGCCATGTTGTGGATGAGGACTTCTAGTGGTGGAATGGAAGGGCTTGGGAAATAGAGAAACATGATTCAGGGAGGCAGTCATTGGACATTTATTGAGTGCCTTCTGAGCTATGAAGTGCACTAACACAGCAATGGGGACTAGTACGCTTAAGATTTATTATACAACAAGGAAATGTGTAAGTAATTGCAATAGGAAATCAGGTCCCAGTCATGCAGGGCTTATAGATAAAGTGCATTCATAACAAGTTGGGTGTAAAGAAAATAGCCTGCCATACATAAAATCATATTTTCTGACTGACTGCCATTACGACTGGAGAGAGGTAGGATTTTTATTTCACTCCAGCTAACATAAACATCACATTCCAGGCTGCAAATTGTTGATTCAAAAAACATGCTGACTTTGTTGCTACATATAAGGTTTAAGTCTCTCATAATCTCTGTCAGAAGCAAGTCAAATGGTCAATCAAGCCACTTTAAATTTCAAGCTCTTTTAAAGCACCGTAGGATGATATACCGCCAAGCTAATTCTCATTTAATAGGAATCTCCCTGATCTCAGGTCACAAATATATAGTGGAAAAGGCACACGCTCTGGAAATATACATAGGATCCCAGTGGTACTGTAGCTCCACCATCATACCATTTGTGTGACCTTGAGATTTAACCTCTCTGAGCCTCAGTTTACTGTATGATGGACTTTGTTTCATGGTATCATGATATATAAGAAATCAGCTATGTCACTGAAGAAAATGGTACAAGTTTGCACCTATGCAAGTCATGCAGAGATTTCTGAGATTCAGTAAAAACAATAAAGTAGGCCCAATTTGCATATTGACATTTTAATAACCAAGATTTGAACATGCCTCTTATTATCAAGTAAGTCTTCCATTGCTAGTAGTGTATTAAATTTAATGCTTGTAAAATGCATAAAGAATCTGCATTAAGGGAATATGTACACAATGTTTACTTTTAATGAACTAGTCAGTGATACCTCAAATGGTTTAATAAACATTTTCATCTGAACAGAAAATAAAGAGCAATGAGTGGAATTCTGAAAAAAAATGATTATCAATAATTTGTTTTTCAGATTAGTTATGGGATGATAATGACCTTAAAATGATGGGGTAGCAGCAGATGGTTGGACAGCACAGGCTTACTAAGTTCACATTGGAGTTAGAGAAATCAGGGAGTTTAAAGTTGGGAGTCATGTTTCAGAGGACAACTTGACCCAGAAAGTAATGTCACTGAAGTGAGCACAAGTGGGAATTGAAGAAGGGGAGGTGGAACGGAAGAGTTGAGGGGAGGGCTGAGGTGAAGGCTCTAAGATACAGTTTTTCTCAAACAAATGCCAGTTGAGTCTCAAACTGGTGAAAGGGTGGAATAAAGGTTCACAAGTGGCAACATTGTCATCATAGGCCATTGTGGCCAAGGGAAAGAACTCTGTGATACACAAGATGCTGAAGAAGTTAATCTGTGCTTCAAGACTCCAGAAAGAGAAGGGCAGCACTGTACTTCAAAAACATTTTACTAGGACTCTGAGCATGGAAAAAGTGAATAGCAGAAATCTAGGCGAGACAGACATATAAACCGAGACTGATCCCAATGAGAATGACCGTGCCCAAATTCCCTATCGTAATGATAGTATACAAGAGGATTAACAGCCTGAAGAGAGGGAGTTAAGCTAAAGATAATGGTGAGAGGAATCAGTCATCCCTTGAAGGCACTTTTCTGCTACACTGGGATTTCTCTCCCATGATTTCCAAAAGGCATCTGGGAGAGAACTCCCAAGTCACAGACTCAGAGATCCAGATAGAAATCTAATTTGAGAGATCTTCTTGTCTTTAGATTGGTGAGGGTCTCAATTTATGATTGTCAATCCTAATTCTAATGTCTCTGTTCAACCTCAGTGATCTCTTATGGCATAAGAATGTTTTGAACTCCACATTTATTTATATTTATGGTTTATTTTTAATTCCTTCTGGGAAGGGCAGGCCATAAAATTATGGGAGATGACAGTGAAATTGAGTGAAGCTGGGAGAAGACTGCAGAGCCCAGGAGGCTGTAAAGAGACCAGATATACTGCATCCTCACTCTTGCCTTTCTTCCTTGCTGTAACTTCTGTCTTGACATAGATAGCAGGAAAGGGGTCAGATCTGGGGCCCAGTCTCGCTGTGGCTTTCATGTAATAATCCAAACCTAAAAGTTAAGGACCCTCAAAACCAAAGTTTCCCAGTTCTAAATCACAGTTCTCACTGTGCCATTTCCTTCTCAATAGAATTCAATGTCTCCCCACTCTTACAGGATCAAGTACCAATTTCACAGCCTGACATTCAAGGCTCTCCTTCCACAACCCTTTCCAAATTATTTCCAGCCTTGACACTTACTGCCCATATTTAGAAACCTAGAGTGGGGATTTCAAGCAGTAAGAATTGTATTCGCTTTGGCTGAGGGAGTGCAATAATTAAGGCCTGAGGGGTAAGAAACTCCACTATCCTGACTCTGTGTACCTATCCCTGGGGTAAATGTTGGGGAGCAGAGCCTGGTGTGAGAAGAGAAGAACAGGATTCTAACCAATATTACAATCTTCTGTTGATCAGACTGGGACATTAGGACAATGATGGTGCCACAATGGGTCTGCCTGGTTGTATGCGAGGTTTTCCTAATCCAAATATTAAGGAAGTTCCAACTTCTTACTCTCTTGAGTCAATTCCAGCCTCTGTGCCTTTATGCGTACCAATTCACTCATCTGTGTTTTCCTTTTCTTTCCTCTCAGCAGTTCAAGCTTCTCCTCCTTTAAGTTACAGTCAGAATGCTCTCCTTCAGAGGAAGCTTCTCTGCTTGATGCTGTGTCAGTATCCCTTCTCTCCTTTCATTATTGTTTCTGGAGTTTATTAATGATCATGTTAATTGTATCATGTTAATCATGTATGCTGCTATCATGAATGACTGAATTCAGGCCCTTAACTAGATCCCAAGCCTCTTAAGGCAATTGTTCATTGCCGTTTTATTCTTCTCTTCATCCAATTCTAGTCTCAAAATTTTATTCTCCCTTGGCATGCACAACTCCATTTCCTGTAGGAGGATCTACTTCTTTCATTGCCCTTTCTCAGTCTTTTTCTGGCTCCTCTTCTACTCAATCTTCAATTGTTGGGCTTCTTTTATTCACTCATTTGTACATTAATTTAATTTACAATTGCATTTGTTGTATACCTACTACGTGTCATAACGCAGTCTATGCATGTTGTCCATGACTGCTTTCCCTTCCCTTCCCTGCTTTTCCCTTCCAATCCCCTTTTCTCCCCTTTGCTTTTCTCCCCTCTTCTCCCCTCATCTCTTCTCTCTTCTCTATGCTTCCTAAAACAGACTCAGTATTCTCTTTTAGTTTCAACCAAGAGCTTATCATTTCAAAACTCTTACTTTTACGAAATATTCCTTTTCAACTTCAGTACCATTTCTAGCTGTACTGGACTTTCTTTCTTGGATATTATAGAATCATCTCAAGATCAGTGTATCCCAAGCCAAATAGCATCTACCTCCTTCAGCCTGGTCTTCTTTCTGGATCTCCACTTTCATTAACTGTCAAATGTTTTACCAATCTGACATCATCATTGACTTCCTTATGTTTAACCCATATGTCTAATTGGTTACAAAGTGTAACTTACTCAGCCTTCCAAAAAGTTCTCACGTTTGTTTATACCCATGCTTGCATATTTCTACTGTTATTGCCTTACTTCTGGCCTTCATTTTCTCTCATATGAGCTACTACAATCCCCACTTTAGTGATCTTTCTTCCCAGCTCCCCCCAGTTGATCCTCCACCTGCTTCTAGAGTTATCTTGTTAAGAAGATTTGACCATGCCATTCCTCTGCTTTAGAAATGTTTATAATTCTCCACTGTATACAGCACAAAGTCCACCCAATTTGGCATAGCACAGTCAGACCAACAAAATCTGGGCCCAAATCAATTTTCCAGATGTACTTCCCATCATTCTCTCCATGTGTCTTATACTTCAGCTCCAGTTAAAATACAGTTCTTTACCACATAAGTATGTAACATAATGTGAAGACCCCTATTTTAACCCTGACTGCACTGTTTCAAGGTATTTATAAGCATCTTTAGGGCAAGGACTATGTATTATTCATCTTTGTAGCTCTGGTGCTTACCATAAGTAGATCTCAATAAATATTACATAAACTCATAAAGGAATGATGACCTGGATTCATAGTTTTATATTCTTACATATTTTTATTGACACATAATAGATTTACATACTGAGTTTCAATTTCATTTCTGCCATTCCTTAGCAATGTGACTTTTGTTCAGTTCTAAGCCTTAGTTTCCTCATCTGTAAACTGGGCTTAGCAATAATTGCCACCTAGCCCTATAGATTTTGAAGGGAATTTTCATGTTCCTTTTCTGTCTTGTCTTCTCAAGCTTCTCAGGGCCCTACCCTGACTTTGGCAGACAGTGGCAAAAGGAGTGAGAAGAGGGCTGTGGGGCCAAGCTCCGAGCAGCAGCTGCAGTGGGCCTGCCTCACAGCTGCTGGCCAGGCTTTTGGGAATTTTGCACTGTTAACCCTTTGGGTCTAGTTCTTGAGAACCCTATGGATTATTCAGCCTTTAACTCAGCTTCTTGTTTTCTGGGTAACAGACACAGATTATTTACCTATGCACCTGCTTCTCCCTTTCTGAGCAATCCTTCTCATGCAGACAAGTAATCAGACACAACATTCTCTCCCATGTCTAAAATTGGATGACTTCTTAAACTTTCCCCATCTTGTTGACTCACTTGTCAGTAAGTTCTCCTCTTTCGGGGAATGCAGTGTTCCAGGTATGGCTTGACCTGCAGGACAAACTGTTAGACTCAAATGTCTATTGTTTTGGACATTCAGAGTCTATTGCTGATAGCTCAACTTGTATAGCTTTATTTAGCAACTGTGTCACACCCTTGCCTTACATCAGGCTCAGAGTAAGTGAAAAGCCCCAGGGCATTTTCACACCGATTGCTGGCATGACAAACCAACCTCTACATGTGCAGTTGATGTTCTAAACCTTTAAGCAAGACTAAGAAATTGTTCATTTCCACTCATCATACCAGTATGCTGATATTCTTTAGAATGATGATTCTATTATGCTGATATTCTTTAGAATGATGATTCTATTATCCACCTTTTCCATTCCCATCCATGTGTTCCTCTCTTTTCATACCCAGCTTTGGGTCATCAGCCCATTTGCTCATTTGTCCTTGTCTTCATCAACATAATCTGTATTTCCAAATTTTTTATTGTGGGAAAATACATATAATTTAAAATTTACCATTTTAAACTATACAGTTCAGTGGCATTATCAACATTTTATGTTAAAAATTTTCAAACCTATGGAGAAGTGCAATAATGCCCATATACCCTCCACCTAGAGTCACTCTTTATAAACATTTTACCATGTTGCTTTCTTGCTTTCTCTCCCCTCACCTCTCTCTCTATATATATATCTATATATCTATATCTATATCTATCTATATCTATATCTATATCTATATATCTATATATATCTATATATCTATATCTATATCTATATATCTATATATATCTATATATATCTACATATCTATATATATCTATATATATATCTATATATCTATATATATCTATATATATATATCTATATATATCTATATCTATATATCTATATATAGAGATATATAGATATATATATATAGAGAGAGAGAGATAATATATATATATTCCTATTTACTGGAGGTGTGACATTTAAAAATATACTATGGCTCTTGTATACACCAATGGATTCTAGGAAGGAGACATGAAATCACACTTAGCAGTATCCAAGTGAGTGGAGCAAGGGAAACAACAAAAAAAATACCAGTGGTAAGTGGTTAGTGTTTATTGGTTATCAATCTATTAGAAAGTTTTTATTGAGTACCTACTATAGTTATAAGCCCAACACTGAAAAATTATGAAATATAGTCCGAGTCTTTATGAAGCTAATGATGTGTTTGGGGAAGGTAACAATTGATTTTTTTTAACATGTCACCACCTTTTTGTCTGCTTACTTCTAGCCTTGCCCTTTCTGGAACTTCAATGCATCATTCATAGTATCATCAAAGTTATCTGTTGAAAACTCTACACTCATTTTCTTTTTCTTTTCCTTTTTTTTTTCTTTGAGATGGAGTCTTACTCTGTCGCACAGGCTGGAGTGCGGTGTCGCATTCTTGGCTCATTACAAACTCCGCCTACTGAGTTCAAGCAATCCTCCCACCTCAGCCTCCCAAGTAGCTGGGAGTCCAGGCGCACATTACCACGCCCGACTAATTTTTGTACTTTTAGTAGAGACGGGGTTTCACCATGTTGACCAGGCTGGTCTCGAATTCCTGACCTCAGGTGATCCACCCGCCTTGGCCTCCCAAGGTGCTGGGATTACAGGCGTGAGCCACAGCGCCTCATTTTCTTAACCCTGGATTCACCTTAAGAATGCCATAGGACAATTTTAAAAAGCCAAAATATTTGCTTTAACACAGATTGGTTATGTAAGAGTCTCATGGGTAGGCCCTGAACATCATATTTCTGAGGATCCCCAGGTAATTCTTATGCATGGTGAGGGTTGACAGCCACTGCCGTGGACTGATTAAGCCTCTCTCTTTTTTGAAACGCTTACTGTCTTGTCATTCCCTATATCCACACCCATTAGCATAGCTACAGTGACTTCCATAAAACTGGCCTGGACTTCATCTCCTAACACTCCTTCCATAACTCTTCATAATCTTGCTACACCCAGTGCTGCTTCACAACTTTGTACCTTTTCATACCTTGTATCTTCTGTATGGAATATCCTTATCTTCCTTATCTGCCTATCAAAATATTATACATCCTTTAAAATTTGAATGACATCTCCTTCAGGAAGTTTTCCTGAACTTACTGTTTCCTTAGCTTGTAAACACTTTTATTATTATCCTTATCACACAAAATGAATCATAAACATCTGTTTATGCATCTCTCCCCTACTCAACTGTGAAGTCTGAGGGCTGGGAATGTACATTATTTACCTCTGTATCCCCAAAACTTAGCCAACAGAACTGGCAAACAGTAGGTGCCCAATACATATTTGTGGACTAAGTAGATTAATGAATTTTTAAAAAATGTTTTAGCATCTCTAAGACAAAAAAATGTGCAAGAAGGAACAAGGCAGATTCAAAAGAAGAGGTCTGTCAGTTGAATACTCGGTGAGATATCTGTCCTTGGAAAGAAGGGATTTTGTCTGGAGAAAACTAGGCTGTGCTAAGAAGAATAACTAATTCTATACAGACAGGCAGCCAAGAACAGGCTGTGGCCAAAGTGTTGATGGATGACAGCTGGAAGTATGGCTTGTGAACCAACTAAAAACGACACATCAATCTGAGCTGCAAATAAATCATTGGGACTCCAAAGGCTTTTGTTCACTTTAAAATCTCACTCTACATGAACATTTAATAAGAACACTTCAAATTGTTATAGCACTTTACTACTTTACACTTTACACATTCACATACATAATCCCCTGTAAACTTCCCAACACCTGTTACAAGAACAACATTATCAACCCAATTTTAGGATAGAAAGCTGAGGCTCTAAAAATTTCATTAATTAACCCAAGGTCACACAGATGATAAGTGGTAGAGGCAGAGCATGAATAGATTTTGAGATAAGAAAAGGAGAAGGAATAAGAAAGCCACAAAAAAAGTGAGCAAAAATAAAGAAAAAAATCTACAATATGCACATTATGTTTCATTCTGGGCTTTATTAACTACAAGTTTTTGTTGTTCTTTTCTCAATAATAGTAAAGGGGTTGGATCAGAGAAGGGGGCACTCCTAGGTTAAGAGTTGTTCATCTATAATGTATGAGGTATGGTGCAAGTCACTTTACATTTAGTATCTATAATAGCCCTATACGGTAGATGATGTTATCCACACTTTCAACATGTAGAAATTGAGATGCAGAAGATTTAATCAATTTGCCTAAAGGTCTGTAAGAGTTGGAAAAAAATTTGCACCCGTTTGACTCTAAAACCAGTGTTATTTGTATAACATCATATGCTTAATTCCTGTGTTGTGTTAGTTACATGTAAGAAAAATGTTGTAATGAAAGTATTATTTAGAATGTCTAATATATTTTTATGAAAATAAGACAGAAAGAGAAAGAAAAAAACGGTGTTTGAATAAGGTTGAAGTAATCATGAAAGTCAACTTGGAAGAAAAGTGAGACTTGACTTGAGTCTTAAGAGATGGGTAAAATTTGAAGCACCAACTAGGCAAGGGAGGGCATTCTAGAAAGGGATAAGAACATGGAGAAAGGCACTGAGGAGAGTGGCATCTGCTGGAAAGTCAGAAAAGAACCCAAGAACTGTGGGTGTGGGAGTTTGCTACCATCGAAGAAGTGCAAAATGTCCTAAACTTCACTGTTGGAGGGATATATTCTTCCCCCTAAGATTTTCGGGTTGGAGGAAGTTACATTCTTGGATGCGAACATCAACTGAGGGCCTTTCTGGTACAAGGAAATTGAATTGCTGATTGCTGGGATGTGTTATGAAAGGGAGCAAGCCACCAGTTATCATCAGCTCCCTGCGGGGCCCCACTGTCGCAACAGTGATAACTGGGAAATAGATCTTGAGATAAGAACAAGAGAAGAAATCAGAGATGAGTTCAGCAAGCTTAAAAAAAAGACCCCAAGTAGGTATCTTTTATAGATTAGGTTTTTTATTGAAAAAGTAATACATGCAATTCATACAGAAAGCTTCAGAGTACAAAAGGATATAAAAAAGCCAGTCTACTTCTGCACATACAAACATATGTACATATATGCATCTTTCCTTATTAAAAAAGGGCATTCACCTGCACACCATTGTGAGTCTTTTAAAAATTTCAACAAATTAAATTGGGAAATAATTTTATTTCCACACATGTGGATCAGTTTTATTTTTTAATTGACAATATTATTTCAATATATGAATATGCACTAAATTTTTTATCCTATCTCTTATAATAGACATTTGCCTTAGTCCCATTTTTCATTAACACAAATAATACTGCAATGGACACCCTTATACTTGTATACATTTGCATACTGTGCAAGTATTTTCATAATATACATTTCTAGAATGGGAATTACTTAGTCAAGGATAAATACATTTTTCATATTAAAAGATACTGCAAAATCGTGCCCTCCAAAGACGTTGCACCAATTTATAATCTCATCTACAAGTTATGAAATGCCCATCTCTCTATCCCCATCAATACTACACATTATCTAGCTTTTAATCTTTTTCAATATAATGAAGGGAAATGATGTTTCATTATTGCTTTAACTTGCATTGCCTTAATCATCAGTGAGGTTAAGCCTCTTTTTCTGTGTGTTTATTAACTTGTATGGCTGTTTTTCAGTGAAATGTCCATTTATAGCCTTTACTCATTTTTCTATTCATGATTTTGCTTTTTTTCTATTGATTTGCAAGAGATTTTTACATATTAAATAACTTAGTCCACCCTGAGTGAGATAAATTGAAGATGTTCCCCTAAATTGCTTTTTGACTGCATTTATTATATTTTCTACATGAAAAAAGTTTTGAAAATTATATGTAGCTAGATTTATGAAATTTTTCTTTTTACTTCCTGGATTTTGCATCTTCCTTAGAAAAATCATTTTCACTTCAAGACTACATATAATTATTCCATGCTTTCTCTTGGTGTCTTTACAATTGCATTTTCCATTTGACTCCTTTATATTTCTAGAACTTATTTTGGGGTAAAGAATTGGGTAATCTCTATTCTGTGGTGTTAATTTATCTACTCACATACTAGAACCAAACTGTTTTAATCAGTATAGATTTATAATACCTTTTAATACGTGGTGGGTAAAGTTTCTCCCAACACACTCCTTCCCACCTCCCACCACTGACTTTTCGTTTTCAAAATGGTCCTGGCTAGTTTCACACTAAATTATGTATATATATATATATATAACATAATACATAATTATATATACGATAGAGGACACATTGATAACCAAAGTGATAGATGGCTGTGGTCTCAAGAGTGAGAGATGCTCCAGAACCTCCATTCTGAGAGGCACGCGCGCGTGCACACACACACACATACACACCACAAAACATACAAATAATGTATTTGAAAAATATAATAGTTTAGAGGTGAAGTCCTGGGAATACCCACAATGGATCAAGAATAGGGTTGCCAGATTTAGCAAATAAAAATACAGGATGTCTAGTTAAATGTGAATTTCAGATAAATAATTTTGGGGGTATAAGTATGTCTCAATTATTGCAGGGGGCATGCTTATGTAAAGACTATTTGTTGTTTATCTGAAATTTATGTTTTACTGGGTGTCCTCTGTTGTATAGGCAACCCTAACCAAGGGGAAAATGAAGAGTAGCTTAAAAGTACAAAGGAAAATTGTGTGCAATGATGAATTAACACATTATGGTCAGTGGGAAGCCCTTAATACAGGCACTTAGACATTGGCTTGAACAGAGAAATTACAATTCTGGGGTGTGAATTAAATAAGCTTGTTTTGTCTTCCCAGCTTTGGTTTGAAAAATGAAACCTCTTAAATAAAATGCAAGAGGCTCAATTGATTTGAAGGCTTTTTGGCTTTCTGGCTCCAGTTTAAAAGAAAAATCAGTTTAATAGAAATTGGAAATTAAGATTCTGTTTTATTTGTGCCATACTATGAAGACTTTTGATATATAGATTTTCTTTTTCAGATTAGTGTTTCAAGTTTAAATTATTGGGAAACTTCCCAAATTGATTTTTTCATTTGGGGTTGGTGGGGAAATGTCATTCTTATTAATCACTTTAGATAATAAGTCAAGTAGAATCCCTTATGATTTATTGTCTTTTATTTTTAAGTGACCAAGTGATTTGGATCTGAAATTAAAGACATTCTCTAATTCATGAATATTTGCTTACCTAATTCTTTCCTAAAAATTAACTTGACTTTTGGAGCAAGCTCCTGTGCTTGCTCCTGTGGCATATTAAGAAAAGCTTTGGCTCTGGAGTTAGAAAATCTGGATTCAAGTCCCAGATCTTTGTAGCTCCGTGCTGTAAATGTGTGGCAAGTGGCTCAATGTCTTTGACTCCTAGCTAGTTCATCTATAAAATGGGCGTAGTAATTCTTACTTCACAGGGTTGTTGTGAGAATTAAATGAGATATACAGGTAAAGTGCATGGCACTTTACAGGTATTTAATTATTATCAATTTTTTTGTAGATACTTACATATTGAAAAGTATATATATTTGCAAAATCATTTTCATTGATGCTTTTCTAGAGGGTGAAATTTTGTGTGCATTTGAGTTCTTTTTAAAGGCTGATGAGTTCTCTATTTCTATGAATATGGGAGAATGCTAGATAAATATAATATTGATATAATGTTGGTATGCTCAGTATGAAACAAAAGAACCCAAAATATACAACATGTATCAATGGGGTTCCTTATGGAAATTTACTGAATTGTAATAATAATGTTTGCCTTTCTGTTGGAAAGAATAAGATGCAAATAAAGTCCTTTTAACTGCCTATGGGCGGGATAAGCACCAGCTAGTCTTGGAGGGGTTGAGTCTTACGACTATTCTATGGTGCACCCTTTGAAATAAGCCTGTTCTTGGCCACATCAATTCACAGATGGAGGGTGTATGGTTTCTGCTATTTTTTTCCACTGGAAATTTGTCAAGGATTTGTTATATGCTGCGGAATGGTTAGATGTGGGAAAAAAAGCCCAAGCACCATGGCTGGCCCCAGGATTTTGGGACAGGTGTTGATAATCTGTAAGAGTAGGAAGGCTGCTGATGAGAGTGCGTGATATCCAAGAAACAACCAGAAAAAGGCAACTAGAGACAGGAGTTTGAATGTTCCATAGATCATCCCTTGTCCTTTTCTCCTTTATGGGCTCTCCTCACAATAATTGGTAGGAAGTTAGAAGACCTGGGTTCTAGTCATTAATTGTCTGTGAGTTCTGGAGCAAGTCATTTCAGTTTGCTGGACCTCATTTTTCTGATCTGTCCAACTGAGTTTGGGGGGAGGAGATGCCTCAAATATCTCCAAGCCTGGTGTGAGAATCAAATGTGAGAACAGACTTGAGTGTTCTTTGAAAAAGCACGCAGTGCTGTATGCAAATGCAAGTGTAGAGATTATTATTTATCATCATTTACAGTGAAAGCAAGGATAATGTGATAAGGACAAGCAATCGTTCTCTCTGGTTTAGATAGAGGAGAGTGGGAATGGCCTTAGGAAGCATCCAAACCTGGAATTTCTCAGGAGACTGAGAAAACAGCAAACTCCTCCTTCAACATCTCTTCTTCTCCCACTTTTATCCGGTCAGTTTCATGGCCCAGACCCAGTCAAGAACTCTTCTTCTCTGCTAGTGTTTCTCATAAGGGTATAGTTGTCTGCATACCAATAGCTGGATAAACACTAAAGCTCTGTTGAGAGGAAACGTGAGGGAAGTTTAAAACCATGAATAATATGGAGAAGATGAATATTAACTTTTACATTTAATTTAAAAGTAAAACTCTACTTCACAATTAAAAGAGAAATCTTAGGAGGAAACTTAGGATCCATGAAAGGAAAGTCGTGTCATCAGTCAAATGAAAAGCTTGGACCATCAGATTATTTTTAAAGGTCCCTTCCAGCTTTGACATTTTAACTGAGAGTTCTTGTGACAAAATCTCAGCTACCTTTCCAATACAATGTCCCTACTACTCCCAGCCTCTCGGTGTAAGCTAATTTTTCTGCCTTTCCTTCCTAGCCTGTCTCAGTTGCTCTTGGCACTACCTTCAAATGCAAACTCTATCCCCTTCTCCTTCACCTAGATAAAGCCTATCGAGCCTCCTTTGACACTGAGTTACCAATGATGAAAGGGGTAATTATTGACACAGCAATATGCTAGGTGTTTTATGTAATTTTTAACCCTCACATAAGCCTTTTGAAATGAACTTTAGTCTTCCCTGTTTATAGGAAACTGAAGCTCATAAAGTTTAAGTAACTTGCTGAAGATCACACAGCTAGTGCCAAAGTTAGGATTTGAATTAAAATCTGTCAGACTCCAGAGTTGGGCTGTCAAGTTCAAGACTCACCTCACCCAGCCCCAAAGACCTTCACTCTCCTCAGACAACTTCCAAGTCTTCAAACCAAGCCCTGCATTTAATGCTATCATGTCGTAGACTTACTTGATTTCATATCTTCTTTTCCCAATTCATTTTTTGGTTCCTCACGAGAAAGGACCATAGCAAATTCAACTCTCTATACTCAGTGGTTAGTTCTCTGACTTGCACACAGTAGGAGCTTAATAAATATTTGTTGATGAGTAGACATCACATTAATTTGCTGTTCAAAACCTGTGTTTGAGTATTAAATATGTTTTACCAGCGGAAGAAAACCATAGCTAAGGTAATTTGTGAGCCGAAGCCATTGTTACTTCTGTTGCTAAGGGAAGTCAGTTACCCTGGGATACTAATTAACTGCAGCTATTGTGGAAATTAAGCCAGCAGCCCCCAGCGAGTTCAGAGAGCTGATGGGAGGAGGGAATCTAGAAGGTGTCAAGTAAGAAAGTATATTTTCTGATTTGAAGAAAAGTGACCAAGGGAGGGGGTAGCTTGTACACTTTCAGCACCATCACACCTCTGTGAAGCCTATTTCTCTTCCTTAGTGGGCAAAGAGGTTGTTCTCTATAATTAGCTCAAACAGTCGAGGCAAGGTGAATAGACTGCCTGTGACTGAGACCTACACTTCAGGCTTTGCTAGCATTGAGAGATACGCATCTGAGGGGCTTTGACGTCAAAGTAGCTCCAAGGCTGAATGAAAAGTACCGAAGAGACTCTTGATGCTAAGTTAAGATTCCAGTTGAAATGATGAAGGGAAATGAAGAGATCAATAAAGAAAGGTAACAGACTCTACCTGGGGTGCTCGTTGCATTTAAAAGAATTATCTACTCTGCTGTCTAAATTGGAGTTCAACAGTTTTAATAAAGGGACTTATTTATGATTCTAGAAAAAGTCTGAACAGTGCACTTATTTATCTGCAACATAGCCAGAGCTCAAACTTGGACATAAGTTGCTCTAACAGACTAGTTCCACCTAGTGATAGTGTACCTAAATTGCAGTTTGTTTTTCTGAGAAAACGAAAACATGGCCTTTACAAGTGGTCACTGCAGCACTGAAGTCATGACTTTATTCAACAGCTGAGCACCAGCTTCGTGAGAAGCCCTGGGCTAGAGACACTGACGCGTGTCTGGGGAAGAGGGAGTGAGTGCTTTGCAGATTGGCTAAGCGAGGCAATAATAAAACTTCTGATTAACAGCAGGAGGTGAGAGCACCAAGCCTACAGGAAGCATATGAAATAATATTTAGAGACCAGGGCAGGTGGGATTAACTCTGTCTCTACTGACTCATGCTGTTGAGAGATCTGTATACGAACTCAAAACCTCCCTTCTGCATGACAGAAGGCCATGAAAGGGTGAGGAAGAAAATTCCAGGGAGGTTCTGACCAGAAGGACAAGAGGACACAATAAAATTCAGCAGCAACCTGGTACCCTTGTCTTTTCATGCAATAATTCTATAAGGAGATTATCCAACTTCACCAGAGCGACACTGAAATCTTCTTGGCTTTAGACTCACATATCCAAATGCCTACTTAGTTAAGCACCTTCCACTCTGAGCATCCAAAGCTATGAAAGCAACAGGTAGGCCAAAATACAGGTCTACAAGTCTGGCAAACCCTAATCAGCGCTGCCCTGCCCTAGGAATTAGTAGAGCAACCACACCCATCAATGCCAGAGATATGGCAGCAAGTGCTGAGCCTAAAATGTTCTGGTGAATCAAGCCATCTGTGATTCAGAGAAAAGCAAGTTTGATAGCACATCTTGTGGGCAGGTTTCATCAAGCTCACTGGCTTGCATGTGGAGCTGTTGCACCGATATTTGGGTAACAAGACCCTAAAAATACTCCCCAAAATTCACAAGCCTTTTATTCTATTGTGGATAGATGCAGCTCCACTTGAGGCACAGATGTTTACCCATCCACTATTCCCCACCTCCACATCACTCTCCTTTGCCCCACAGTTTGCTGCTCATGCCAAGACTCCACCTCCAACTCATCTCTGGGATAGCCAATGAGCACCTGGGGCCTTCGTGCTGTGTCCCAGGTTTTCTATCAAGGAACCAAGCTTCTAGTGACTACACAGATTTCAGAGTGAATCTTTTAGATTCCTCCTAGATTACAAAGGTTAGAGAATGAAGGAGTAAAGGCTTGGGAATCTGTATCTTAATGAAATCCCTACAGTTTGTTTTGATTCAGCAAATCGGCAGACAAGACTCCAGACTGGATTTTGTCCCAGCATTTCCATTTCCACCTCCTCTAAGAAGTTTCCCAGTGTTGTCAGCCCTCATTGATTTTCTCCTCCTTTTGAATTCATGTAACATAAAAGCAAAAATTGTTTGGGAGGCTGAGGTGGGTGGACCACCTGAGGTCAGGGATTCGAGGCCAGCCTGGCCAACATGGCGAAACCTCGTCTCTACTAAAAATACAAAAATTAGCTGGGCATGGTGGCGCATGCCTGTAATCCCAGCTACTCAGGAGGCTGAGGCAGGAGAATCGCTTGAACCCAGGAGGCAGAGGTTGCAGCAAGCCCAGCAGCCTGGGAGACAGACTGAAATTCCATCTCAAAAAAAAAAAAACAAAAAACAAGAATTGTGTGCTTTTAAAGGGCTCCCAAAAACCAATCAATACAAATGGTTACCTGGAGCAGGAATCCCCTTCACAAAACCCCAGTACATGCTTATCTAACACCTGCCTGGCCAGCCCTCCCCACTTTTTATAGAATATAGAACCCACCACCCACCAGGCAGCTATTTCAACCCCCATCACCTTTCTTAGGAACGCTAGTAGCCAGAAAAATCTCTTCCATCTCACTGATCCCAAATCTTCCCATGTTGCAGCCAGAAACCACCTGGGGGATTGGTAACATTTAAAAAAGAACTGTTTAAAACATTTGCAAAGTTTTCTGTTGTAAAAGTACTGTCCTTTGAAAGTGATGCTCTCTCTTTCAGAAAACAGTTCGTAGAGATTCTTTTGCTAAAGCAGTTTGTAGTTGCTCCCCTGGGTGTGTGTCTTCTATTAAGGCAATGATCTCAGAATTCTTGCTACAAAAGCCCAAACAAAATGCTAAATCCCTTCAAGCATCCCTGAACAGGCAGATATATTGGTGGTCAGCTGCTGAGGGCAGCTTGGAAACTAAAATCAATCTGCTTTAGCTTCTGTGCTTTAGCAGTATTTTCTTAAATTGCTCTTCGCTGTTGCTAGTTGCTTTAAGGCACCTTCTGTTGAAGGGAAAATTTGTGCAAGTAAGCCCCAAGAAACCCCTACCTAGTATGGAAGGCTGGAATCAAAAATTCATTTCAAAGGAGGAAATAGGGGAGAAATTTGTGAATGAAAATAATTCTCCCTTTTACCTTGCAAAAGTCACCAGGCAGAGTCTTCACTTAGGCTGGTATCAAATAATGATTCATTCATCAGGATTGAATTGAAAACTCTTGAGTGCCAGAAAGGATTCCTGAAAAAGGAAACGGACGGTGACTGCCATGTTTCATAACTCCGGTGGGTGCCACTTACAATTGGAGGGACATGGAGAAGGCTCCAAAGGATGGTTCCCTGGTAGCAAATAAAACAGGTGGCAAAGAGGAGGTCTAGCAAACATGTTGAAACCAGAGTAGGGCATGAATTTGCTCTGGATAATAAAATTAGGTAGCATTGAGGGTGCGGGTGTCTGTTTGGAGCTCCAGTTCTGCAAGGTCTAGGAAAGCAAATCCAGCAGAAGACAGAAAAACCCAGCTCAGTCCCGGGTACTGATATATTGCTAAGGAAGGAGGGGATGTTGATAGGAAGTTAATATAGGGACTTGGGGACTCCATACCATAAGACCAACTTATAATGAGGGGACTAGAGAGAAAAGCAAGTCTGGAGTGGAGAAACTGAGGCAGAGCTTGCAGATGGGGGATTTAGTTGTCCTAGCTGGAGGAGCAGGAAAAGGTCCAGGTATTGAGTTGGGAGCTTATGGGACTGATGCTGCTTGCATGTCTCAAAATCCTATTGTACTTCTAACAAACAAGCTTGAAAACCTGGAATTTTCAACTTTTTGACAATAGAAAGTACCAAACTGACTCCCAGAACACATAGACAATATAATCAAACCAATTACCAAATAAGAAATTGAGAAAATTGTTGAAGACAAATTCTCCCCTGAAAGCACCAGGCCCAAATTGTTTCTTGGGGAAGGAGTGGGTTAGAGAAATGTTGGTAAAATGATACAAAATTCCAGTTAACAGGAGGAATTAGTTCAAGAGATCTATTGTACAGCATGTTAACTATAGTCAATAACAAGTACCAGATTCTTGAAAGTCACTGGGACTGTAGATTTTGAGTGTTCTCACCACAAAATAATGATAAGTATGTGAGATAGTATATACGTTAATTAGTTCAATTTAGTCATTCCACAATTTATACGTATTTCAAAACATAATGTTGTATATAACAAATATGTACAGTTTTTATTTGTCAATTAAAAGTTAATTAATTTAAAAGGAAACATAAATTATGTGAGTACAGTGAAAGGCAGAAATTGATAAATCTGTAACACATGTGGAATTAAAAATGTACAAAGGCCTAAAACAGGGAGGAAGATCCCTTCCAATGAAAGACCCTTGGGGATGTTTCATTAACAAACTAACGTGTGGTATTGGTTATTGATTCAACAACAGCAAAAAATATTCTGGTTTTACCCATTCAGAGCTCTTTTAGTTGGCTCCCATGTCCCCTTGACATATACCCATTTTTTTAGGGATTTTTAAAAGCACTTTCCTATTTTCTGACACTGCAAGATGCTTCAGTCTCATTTTATATAATTCCTGCCTTGGTCCTAGAATCAGCAATTTCTTCAAGGAGTCCTGATTCCTTTTACTGGAGGATACTAAAAGAAACCATTGACAAATCCCAGGTCATGCAGATTTCCCCATTTGCTTCTAAAAGTTTTACAGTTTTAGCTCTTAAATTTAGGTCTTTGGTTCATTTTGAGTTAATGTTGTTATGAGATTAAAGTTAAGGGTCAAACCTCATTCTTTTGCATGTGAATATTTCAGTTTTCCAGCACTTTTTGTTGAAGACAATTGTTCTATTTCCATTCAATGGTCTTGAAACCCTTGTCAAATATAAATTGATATAGATGTGAGTGTTTATTTCTGTGCTCTCAATTCTCTTCCATTGGTCTATATTTTTGTCCTTAGGCCAATACCACACCCTTTTGATTACTGTAACTTTAAGTAAGTTGTAAAATCAGGTAGTATGAATGTTCCAACTTTGTTTTCTTTCTCAAGATTGTTTTGGCTATTTTGTCACCCTTGCAATCCCATATTAATTTTAGAATCAGCTTCTCCATTTCTGCAAAAATAAAACAAAACAATAACAGGGCATTGAGATTAGGTTTGAGACGGCATTAAAACTATATTTTTTTTAGGTAGTATTGTTAACAATATGTAGTCGGCCAATTCTTGAACCAGGTGTCTCCCATTTATTTAGGTCTTCTTTAATTTATTTCAGCAGTGTTATGTAGTTTTCAGCAGGCAAGTCTTGTGTTTTCTTGGTTAAATTTATTCCTAAGTATTTTATTCTTTTTGATGCTATCGTAAATGAAATTGTTTTCTTAATTTCCTCTTTGAATCATTCAATACTAGTGTATAGAAATATGCTAAAATCACCCAATACATTGTTACTGTTATTACTGGGAAAAATTTTAAGTCTATTAGGAAGTGATGACTTTCAAGCTCTTTAAATATTGGAGCTGAAACTACAAGTCTTCAATTCTATTCGATTTTAAAGGAACAGAGTACTTTAATGCTATTTAATCTGTTTCAGAGCATAGAGAAAGAAGAAAAGCTTCCAAACAGATACCAAAAACTGACAAAACTATGCCCAATTCTCAATTATTAACACTAATGCAAAAGTACCAAATTAGATATTAGCAAATAGAACCCATCAACTAATTAAAAGAAAAATACACCAAGAAAGTGGGTTTTATACCAGAAAGTCAAAGAGATTTCAATATTAGGAAATCCATTAACACAATTAAACATGGAAAAAATGTATAATCATTTCCATAAACAACAGTATTTATTTTATGAAATTAAATGGTCATGCTTGATTAGTAAATGGAAGCTATTACTAACAAGACAAAATAAACTGAGAAAGATTGAAAAAGAAACAGAAAGTGAGGAAGGAAAATACTAGCAACCTGCTAAATGGCGAGATACCAGAAGTATTACTATTAAAGTCTGAAATAAGGCAAGGATATCCACTATCATCTCTATTATTTAACATTATTTGGGGGCATTTCCTAGTACAAATAGATAAGGATTTCTAAAAATGCCATCAACATTGGAAAGTAGTTAAAATTTTCATTTTTCATAGATGATATAATTGTTTACCTTAAAGCAACAGAAGAAATACATGTAAATCATTAAAAACAGTAAGAAAATTCTCTTCTTTTTCCTTCCTCTTCTCTTGGAGTTGGTGGTGTAATAGATTTAGAAGGTGGCAAAGTGAGGAGGCAACAGGCTGAGGAAATGGCAATAGGTCCATTAGCTGAGGAGGTCACTAATGTAGTCAGGAGATTGATTATATACAAGAGTATTGAACATATTAGTAAATATATTGAGAATAATAGGAGCTAGCTTTCTCGCTGTCAGAAAGTGATTTACAAATGTAGGGAGGGAAAAGGCTAGAAAGATTCCTGGTGTTTGGGATTTTAATTGGAGCTATCGATATGTACTCATGCTTTACACACATACACATACACACTCACACACACAGAGAAATATAGATATGTGTGCAGTGTGAATGTGTTGTGTACTCACACACATATACAAACACATATTTCCTATGTCTGTTAGAGGCCACTAAGTGAACAGATCTTGGGTTCTAAATATCACCCCCTCTAAAAGGACTCAGGGATCCTTGTAAAATGATTGATTCTAGAACTGGAGCAGGGAAAGTACATGATCCTGGAACATGTTGTTGTTTTTGAAAGTAAGGAGGAGATCAAAGAATGATAGGGATGTGTGTAAAGAACACTGGAGCAGGTCTGAAAGGTCTCTCACTAGCTCCTATATCCAAATATAGGATAATTTTAGTGTCAAAATAAATAATGTTAGTAAAGGATAACAATCAAGTGAATAATATAGGAATCCATCCATGAGTCCATATCAAAATTTCAAAATGAAAGAAATAAAAAGAAAATGAGGACGTGAAACTTCCTTAGAGTAGAATGTTAACTAATGAATGTAGAAGGAATGATATAAAGATAAACATGACCACTTAAGAATGACCATAGTAGTGGTTGATTTAGGCAGCGATCATCAATGAATGCTAAGGCAGGTGAGTGGGTGTTTGAAGAACAGAATAGTAGAATAGACTCAGAGGATCTTCTTACAAAATACATAACAATTACAAGGAGAAAAAATGTGACTCCTTGTTGGGGAAACATGGCAGACACCACCTTGCCCAGGTAATGAACATTATCATCATCACTGGTGGAACAGAGTTGCCATAATACCCCCCTTGATGCATTACTCTGCTTACAGTATGGCATTATTACTACAGTCTTCTTGCCAGGAATACATGACCTGAGTTTGGACAGGAGTAGTTACCAAATAAACAAGGGTTGAGGGACATCATACAAAATGAAAGACATGTACTCTTTATACTGTCAAGATCATGAAAGTCAAGAAAGACTGAGGAAATGTTCCAGACTTTAGGAGACTAAAAATACATGAAAATTAAATGTAACACGTGACTCTGGATTGGATCCTGGACCACAGAATAGAAAGAGACATGGTTGGGATACTTGGAAAAATTTGAATAAAGTCTTTGGGTTGGGTCATAGTGCTGTATCAATGTTTATTTGCTGATTTGGATATTTCTATTTGTGACTATGAAAGATAATGTCCTTGCTTTTGAGAAGCACACAGTGGCATATTTTGGGGCAGTTGGGCATAATGTCTGAACCTTGCTCTCAATTCAATTAGTTTTTAAAAAGAATATTTTTAAGTGAGTAGTGGTTTTGTTTGTTTGTTTTTTAAAGAGCAGTAGTACTCATTTTAAAAGGGTTGTGTGTTTGTGTGTGTGTGTGTGTGTGTGGAGAGAGAGGGGGAAAAAGAGAGAGCAAATATGCTAAAATGCTAGCAATTGTCTAATATGAGTAAAATAATATGTGAATTTTTTAGTTTTTTCAATTTTTAATAAGGTTGCAATATTTCAAAATAAATTATATAAAAAGCCCCACCACACAACGTTGTAATTTAGACCTAAGAAAATCATTGAAATAAATATACTGTAAGTAGAAAAAATGATTACTATAAATATTTTCCTAGCACAAAAGGTGATTATCATTTTAATATTAAGATTTTAATATCATTCAAAATTAATCCAAATAAGCTGAATGCAGTGGCTAATGCTTGAAATACCAGAAACTCAGGACCCCATCTCTTAAAAAATATAAAAAATTAGTTGGGTGCCTATAGTCCCAGCTACTTTACTTTGGAGGCTGAGGCCAAAGGATCACTCACTGGAGCTTAAGAGTTCAAGGCTGCAGTGAGACATGACCGTGCCACTGCACTCCAGCCTGGGTGACAGAATGAAACCTTGTCTCCAAAGAACAAAAAAAATAAGAAATTAATCAAAATGTATAGTTTATTTATGTAAGATATAGGCTTATATATATATTTAGTTCTTTCTTTTTTTTAGACAGGCTCTCACTCTGTCAATCAAGCTGGAGTGCAGTGGTGCAATCACAGCTCATTGCAGCCTTGACCCCTCAGGCTCAAGTGATTCTCCCACCTCAGCCTCCCGAGTAGCTGGGACCACAGGCGCATACCGCTACAATTGGCTAATTTTTTTTAATTTTTTTTTGTGGAGATAGGGTCTTGCTATGTTGCCCAGGCTGGTATACTTAGTTCTTTAAAGGATAGCAGAAATTAGTAAGATGGATGACATAAAGATAAAAATTTAAAAATGCATGTGTTGCTATATAAATACATTTTTTAGATGTCATGAAAAAAGACATTACATTTACAGTTGCAACTGTAATAGCAAACACCAAAAAAATGAACTCTAGGAATAAAGCTACTGAGAAATGTGCAGGGCCCACATGAAAAATATTTAAAACATCAGGTTGTGTCATAAAACTACATTTAAGTAAATGGAAAGATATACTTAAAATTTAATTATAATATTAATGTGATCCTATTAAAACAGGTAACATTTTAAAAAAAATTAATCAAGCTTATTTAAAAATTTCTCTGGAAAAAACCTGAAGAACACAACCAAGGCCTTTCTACCAAAAAAAAAATAATGAAACAATAATGAAATACAACATTTCATGTATAATAAGGTAAAGGTAAAGCAAATCTCAACGACACTGGTTCATGAGATCAATGAGACGAAATAGAGAGCCAAAAAGAAACCCAAGTCATGTTAGAATTTGGTATATGAAAAAGACGGCACTTAAGTAAGAAAAATAATAGATGGCTTTATCAACAAATGTTGCTGAGACAAATGGATTTTCCAATGGAAAAAATAAAGTTGGCTCCCAATCTCACTCCATACGCCAAAATAAATTTGAAGTGGATCAAAGGTGTGAGTTAAAAATGAAAACAAAGTACTAGAAGCCAACATGGGGTATCTTGTCTTCAATTCCAGAGTGGAGAACTTTCTAAGTATGATACAAACCCAGAAGCCATAAAAGACAAGACAGATAAATTAATTATTCAAATATGTATGAACTTCTTCTGGAAAAATGGAATGTATGTATTGTTTCCTATTTCTCCTGCAAAGTACAGATAAAATCCCTGGAGATTATATATGAAACAACCACAAGAAGACAGAAAGGTGAAAAGAAAAAGGCAGACAAGATAGAGACCTCAGGACCAAGGAATGGCATTGTGGTGAGTTCCTTGAGTATTCTTTTTGCTTCTTATTTCCAATCCAGGTAACAAAGACACTGTAAATATAAAATCATCAAAGGCCACTACCAAAGAAAGAAGTGGTAAGAAAAGCCTATTCTCTCTAGCTAAAAAAGAAAACTTTTAGACAATAAGCACTCTCTGACCACAAACCACAGAAAATGTTTGACCCATTCCCACTCCTGGAGCAAAGACCAAATGAAGAACTTAGACTTGCACCTTCCCCGCACTAAAACAAGGTGCCCTGACATCCTTGTCAGGGTGATGTCATAGGCCAGTGGGAAGTAGAGACTTCCACCACTGTTGGCAATAATGAGACATAATGATAATATTGGCCACATAGGGAGTAGTAATGAGGATCTCTTCTACATACTACCCTATGCCAATAAAGACCAAATGAAAACCTGAACTTCCACCCTAACCTAGCAGATGTCAGAGGAAGTCAGTTAAAACGTAAAATTTAAATAAAATCAAGAATATCATAACAACTGAAATATCCAGATTTCAACAAAAAATTATACCAAGAACTAGAAAAATCTCAACTTGCAAAAAGTAAGACAATCAAATCAACAGATACCAATCCAATGTCGACAGATATATAATTATCTTATAGGGACTTATCATCATACATTATAATAATGTTTCAACACAAAATTACAAACACACGAAACAAATAAAAAAGTAGAAAGTCTCATCAAAGGAATAGAAATTCTCAGCAAAAATTAAAGATATAAGAAACAGCTCATGGATATATTAGAAATGAACAATACAATAGCTGATTTTAAGAGTTAATGGGCTCAGCAGCAGAATAGACAGGACTGAGGAAGAAATCATTAAACTTGAATATAGAACAATAGAAATTAATCACTTTGAATAACAGGGGAAAAATGAAAAGAGTCCAGGGACATACGGCACTATAAAAAAAATAACTAGCATTCTGGTCATTAGAATCTCAGAAGAGTGGGGAAAACTTTAAAAGTTTGAAGTTTTAGGTAAAAAGGAAAAAGACTGAATATATAATGGCCAAGAATTTCCCAAATTTGGGCCCAATGTAGTGGCTGATACCTGTAATTCCAGCACATTGGGAGACTTTGCAGGAGGATCAATTGAGGCCTGGAGTTTGAGATGAGCCTGATCAACATAGTGAGACCCCATCCCTTTCTGTAAATTATATAATATATAATAAAAATTTTAAAAGAATTTCCCAAATGTGGCAGAAGACACAAACCAACAGATTCAAGAAGTTGAGCACACCCGAAACAAGATAAATTCAAAGGTGCACATCATAATTAAACTTCAGGAAACTAAAGTCAAAGAAAAAAATTAAAAAGCCACTAGAGAAAAATGACACCTTATCTAGAGGGGAATACCAATTAGAACTAAAGGGAGTTCCTCATTAGAAACTACTGAAGGTGCAAGAAAGTGGCACAATATTTTTCAAGTGCTGAAAGAAAAGAACTGTCAGCTCAATAATCTATATATAGTAAAAACATCCTTCAAGAAAGAAAGAGAAATCAATACCTTCTCAAATAAAGAAAACCTAAGAGATTTTTTTTTTTTTACCAGACCTACCCTAAAGAATGGCTAAAGAAGTTCTCTAAAAAGAATAGAAATGATTTTTTTAAATCTTGGACTATCAGGAAGGAAGAAAGAATAAAAAGAGGGAATATACGGATAAATATAATTGAACACTCTCAAATGTGTTTGTGGTGTAGAAAACATTTAAAACAATTATATATTATATGGAGGAGGATCAAAATATGTGAACAGAGGTAAATTTTCTATACATCACTTGAACAGGTAAAATACTGGCACAAGTATAATTACGTAAGTTATGTATATATAATGTAATAACTAATGCAACTAGTGAGGAAGTTATACAAAGAGATACACTCAGAAACACTATAGATACTACACTTGATCTTAGCCAAAAGGCCAAGAAGGGATAAAAATACTACAGATAAATAAAAATTGAATTCTAAAAAAAGAGTAAAAAGTTAAATAAACACAAAGGAAGACAGTAAAAAGAAAATAGAGAAACAAAACACAGAGAGAACAGAAAACCAACAGTAAAATAGCGTAATTAAGCCCTAACATAGCAATAATTACATTCAACATAAATTGTATAAATACACTAATTAAAAGAGATTTGCTAGTGGATTTTTATTTTATTTTATTATATTTTATTTTATTTTATTTTATTTTATTCAGATGGAGTCTCACTCTGTCACCCAGGCTGGAGTGTGGTGGCCTGATCTCAGCTCACTGCAACCTCTGCCTCCTGGGTTCAAGTGATTCTGCTGCCTCATCCTCCTGAGCAGCTGGGATTACAAATACATGCCACCACATCTGGCTAATTTTTTTTTTTTTTTGTATTTTTAGTAGAGATGGGGTTTCACCATGTTGGCCAGGCTGCTCTCGAACTCCTAGCCTTGAGTTATCCACCTTCCTCAGCCTCCCAAAGTACTAGCGTGTTTTTTTAAATCCTCAATTACATGCTGTTTAAAAGACACTCACTTCTCCTGTAGTAGTATAGGTAGGTTGCAAGCAAAAGGACAGAAAATATTAAGCCATGCAAAGATTAATCAAAAGAAATCAGGAGAAGCTATGTTAATATAGCCTCAGAGCAAAGAAAATTACCAGTGACAGAGACGGACATTGCATAATGATAAAACTGTCAATTCACAAGAAAAATGTAACAATATTACATCTATATACACCAAATAACAGAGATACAAAATGTGTGCAGCAAAAACTATAGAATAGAAAGGAGAAATAGTCAAGTCCACAATTGTATCTGGACATTTCTTTTTTTTTTAATGTTTTTTATTTATTATTGTTATACTTTAAGTTTTAGGGTACATGTGCACAATGTGCAGGTTAGTTACATACGTATACATGTGCCATGCTGGTGCGCTGCACCCACTAACTCGTCATCTAGCATTAGGTATATCTCCCAATGCTATCCCTCCCCCCTCCCCCCACCCCACAACAGTCCCCACAGTGTGATGTTCCCCTTCCTGTGTCCATGTGTTCTCATTGTTCAATTCCCACCTATGAGTGAGAATATGCGGTGTTTGGTTTTTTGTTCTTGCGATAGTTTACTGAGAATGATGATTTCCAATTTCATCCATGTCCCTACAAAGGACATGAACTCATCATTTTTTATGGCTGCATAGTATTCCATGGTATATATGTGCCACATTTTCTTAATCCAGTCCATCATTGTTGGACATTTGGGTTGGTTCCAAGTCTTTGCTATTGTGAATAATGCCACAATAAACATACGTGTGCATGTGTCTTTATAGCAGCATGATTTATAGTCCTTTGGGTATATACCCAGTAATGGGATGGCTGGGTCAAATGGTATTTCTAGTTCTAGATCCCTGAGGAATCGCCACACTGACTTCCACAATGGTTGAACTAGGTTACAGTCCCACCAACAGTGTAAAAGTGTTCCTACTTCTCCACATCCTCTCCAGCACCTGTTGTTTCCTGACTTATTAATGATTGCCATTCTAACTGGTGTGAGATGGTATCTCATTGTGGTTTTGATTTGCATTTCTCTGATGGCCAGTGATGGTGAGCATTTTTTCATGTGTTTTTTGGCTGCATAAATGTCTTCTTTTGAGAAGTGTCTGTTCATGTCCTTCGCCCACTTTTTGATGGGGTTGTTTGTTTTTTTCTTGTAAATTTGTTTGAGTTCATTGTAGATTCTGGATATTAGCCCTTTGTCAGATGAGTAGGTTGCAAAAATTTTCTCCCATTTTGTAGGTTGCCTGTTCACTCTGATGGTAGTTTCTTTTGCTGTGCAGAAGCTCTTTAGTTTAATTAGATCCCATTTGTCAATTTTGGCTTTTGTTGCCATTGCTTTTGGTGTTTTAGACATGAAGTCCTTGCCCGTGCCTATGTCCTGAATGGTAGTGCCTAGGTTTTCTTCTAGGGTGTTTATGGTTTTAGGTCTAACATTTAAGTCTTTAATCCATCTTGAATTGATTTTTGTATAAGGTGTAAGGAAGGGATCCAGTTTCAGCTTTCTACATATGGCTAGCCAGTTTTCCCAGCACCATTTATTAAATAGGGAATCCTTTCCCCATTGCTTGTTTCTCTCAGGTTTGTCAAAGACCAGATGGTTGTAGATGTATGGTATTATTTCTGAGGGCTCTGTTCTGTTCCATCGATCTATATCTCTGTTTTGGTACCAGTACCATGCTGTTTTGGTTACTGTAGGCTTGTAGTATAGTTTGAAGTCAGGTAGCGTGATGCCTCCAGCTTTGTTCTTTTGGCTGAGGATTGACTTGGCGATGCGGGATCTTTTTTGGTTCCATATGAACTTTAAAGTAGTTTTTTCCAATTCTGTGAAGAAAGTCATTGGTAGCTTGATGGGGATGGCATTGAATCTGTAAATTACCTTGGGCAGTATGGCCATTTTCACGATATTGATTCTTCCTACCCATGAGCATGGAATATTCTTCCATTTGTTTGTATCCTCTTTTATTTCCTTGAGCAGTGGTTTGTAGTTCTCCTTGAAGAGGTCCTTCACATCCCTTGTAAGTTGGATTCCTAGGTATTTTATTCTCTTTGAAGCAATTGTGAATGGGAGTTCACTCATGATTTGGCTCTCTGTTTGTCTGTTGTTGGTGTATAAGAATGCTTGTGATTTTTGTACATTGATTTTGTATCCTGAGACTTTGCTGAAGTTGCTTATCAGCTTAAGGAGATTTTGGACTGAGACAATGGGGTTTTCTAGATATACAATCATGTCGTCTGCAAACAGGGACAATTTGACTTCCTCTTTTCCTAATTGAATACCCTTTATTTCCTTCTCCTGCCTAATTGCCCTGGCCAGAACTTCCAACACTATGTTGAATAGGACTGTGGAGAGAGGGCATCCCTGTCTTGTGCCAGTTTGCAAAGGGAATGCTTCCAGTTTTTGCCCATTCAGTATGATATTGGCTGTGGGTTTGTCATAGATAGCTCTCATTATTTTGAAATATGTCCCATCAATACCCAATTTATTGAGAGTTTTTAGCATGAAGCGTTGTTGAATTTTGTCAAAGGCCTTTTCTGCATCTATTGAGATAATCATGTGGTTTTTGTCTTTGGTTCTGTTTATATGCTGGATTACATTTATTGATTTGCGTATATTGAACCAGCCTTGCATCCCAGGGATGAAGCCCACTTGACCATGGTGGATAAGCTTTTTGATGGGCTGCTGGATTTGGTTTGCCAGTATTTTATTGAGGATTTTTGCATCAATGTTCATCAAGGATATTGGTCTAAAATTCTCTTTTTTGGTTATGTCTCTGCCCGGCTTTGGTATCAGGATGATGCTGGCCTCAGAAAATGAGTTAGGGAGGATTCCCTCTTTTTCTATTGATTGGAATAGTTTCAGAAGGAATGGTACCAGTTCCTCCTTGCACCTCTGATAGAATTCGGCTGTGAATCCATCTGGTCCTGGACTCTTTTTGGTTGGTAAGCTATTGATTATTGCCACAATTTCAGATCCTGTTATTGGTCTATTCAGAGATTCAACTTCTTCCTGGTTTAGTCTTGGGAGAGTGTATGTGTCGAGGAATTTATCCATTTCTTCTAGATTTTCTAGTTTATTTGTGTAGAGGTGTTTGTAGTATTCTCTGATGGTAGTTTGTATTTCTGTGGGATCAGTGGTGATATCCCCTTTATCATTTTTTATTGCGTCTATTTGATTCTTCTCTCTTTTTTTCTTTATTAGTCTTGCTAACAGTCTATCAATTTGTTGATCCTTTCAAAAAACCAGCTCCTGGTTTCATTAATTTTTTGAAGGGTTTTTTGTGTCTCTATTTCCTTCAGTTCTGCTCTGATTTTAGTTATTTCTTGCCTTCTGCTAGCTTTTGAATGTGTTTGCTCTTGCTTTTCTAGTTCTTTTAATTGTGATGTTAGGGTGTCAATTTTGGATCTTTCCTGCTTTCTCTTGTGGGCATTTAGTGCTATAAATTTCCCTCTACACACTGCTTTGAATGCGTCCCAGAGATTCTGGTATGTTGTGTCTTTGTTCTCGTTGGTTTCAAAGAAGATCTTTATTTCTGCCTTCATTTCATTATGTACCCAGTAGTCAATCAGGAGTAGGTTATTCAGTTTCCACGTAGTTGAGCAGTTTTGAGTGAGATTCTTAATCCTGAGTTCTAGTTTGATTGCACTGTGGTCTGAGAGACAGTTTGTTATAATTTCTGCTCTTTTACATTTGCTGAGGAGAGCTTTACTTCCAAGTATGTGGTCAATTTTGGAATAGGTGTGGTGTGGTGCTGAAAAAAATGTATATTCTGTTGATTTGGGGTGGAGAGTTCTGTAGATGTCTATTAGGTCTGCTTGGTGCAGAGCTGAGTTCAATTCCTGGGTATCCTTGTTAACTTTCTGTCTCATTGATCTGTCTAATGTTGACAGTGGGGTGTTAAAGTCTCCCATTAATAATGTGTGGGAGTCTAAGTCTCTTTGTAGGTCACTCAGGACTTGCTTTATGAATCTGGGTGCTCCTGTATTGGGTGCATATATATTTAGGATAGTTAGCTCTTCTTGTTGAATTGATCCCTTTACCATTATGTAATGGCCTTCTTTTTCTCTTTTGATCTTTGTTGGTTGAAAGTCTGTTTTATCAGAGACTAGGATTGCAACCCCTGCCTTTTTTTGTTTTCCATTTGCTTGGTAGATCTTCCTCCATCCTTTTATTTTGAGCCTATGTGTGTCTCTGCATGTGAGATGGGTTTCCTGAATACAGCGCACTGATGGGTCTTGACTCTTTATCCAATTTGCCAGTCTGTGTCTTTTAATTGGAGCATTTAGTCCATTTACATTTAAAGTTAATATTGTTATGTGTGAATTTGATCCTGTCATGATGATGTTAGCTGGTTATTTTGCTTGTTAGTTGATGCAGTTTCTTCCTAGTCTCGATGGTCTTTACATTTTGGCATGATTTTGCCGCGGCTGGTACCAGTTGTTCCTTTCCATGTTTAGCGCTTCCTTCAGGAGCTCTTTTAGGGCAGGCCTGGTGGTGACAAAATCTCTCAGCATTTGCTTGTCTGTAAAGTATTTTATTTCTCCTTCACTTATGAAGCTTAGTTTGGCTGGATATGAAATTCTGGGTTGAAAATTCTTTTCTTTAAGAATGTTGAATATTGGCCCCCACTCTCTTCTGGCTTGTAGAGTTTCTGCCAAGAGATCCGCTGTTAGTCTGATGGGCTTCCCTTTGAGGGTAACCCAACCTTTCTCTCTGGCTGCCCTTAACATTTTTTCCTTCATTTCAACTTTGGTGAATCTGACAATTATGTGTCTTGGAGTTGCTCTTCTCGAGGAGTATCTTTGTGGCGTTCTCTGTAATTCCTGAATCTGAACGTTGGCCTGCCTTGCTAGATTGGGGAAGTTCTCCTGGTTAATATCCTGCAGAGTGTTTTCCAACTTGGTTCCATTCTCCCCATCACTTTCAGGTACACCAATCAGACGTAGATTTGGTCTTTTCACATAGTCCCATATTTCTTGGAGGCTTTGCTCATTTCTTTTTATTCTTTTTTCTCTAAACTTCCCTTCTCACTTCATTTCATTCATTTCATCTTCCATCGCTGATACCCTTTCTTCCAGTTGATTGCATTGGCTCCTGAGGCTTCTGCATTCTTCACGTAGTTCTCGAGCCTTGGCTTTCAGCTCCATCAGCTCCTTTAAGCACTTCTCTGTATTGGTTATTCTAGTTATACATTCTTCTAAATTTTTTTCAAAGTTTTCAGCTTCTTTGCCTTTGGTTTGAATGTCCTCCCATAGCTCGGAGTAATTTGATCGTCCAAAGCCTTCTTCTCTCAGCTCGTCAAAGTCATTCTCTGTCCAGCTTTGTTCCGTTGCTGGTGAGGAACTGCGTTCCTTTGGAGGAGGAGTGTTGCTCTGCTTTTTAGAGTTTCCAGTTTTTCTAGAGTTTCTGTTTTTTCCCCATCTTTGTGGTTTTATCTACTTCTGGTCTTTGATGATAGTGATGTACAGATGGGCTTTTGGTGTGGATGTCCTTTCTGTTTGTTGGTTTTCCTTCTAACAGACAGGACGCTCAGCTGCAGGTCTGTTGGAGTACCCGGCCTTGTGAGGTGTCAGTCTGCCGCTGCTGGGGGGTGCCTCCCAGTTAGGCTGCTCGGGGGTCAGGGGTCAGGGAACCACTTGAGGAGGCAGTCTGCCCGTTCTCAGATCTCCGGCTGCGTGCTGGGAGAACCACTGCTCTCTTCAAAGCTGTCAGACAGGGACATTTAAGTCTGCAGAGGTTACTGCTGTCTTTTTGTTTGTCTGTGCCCTGCCCCCAGAGGTGGAGCCTACAGAGGCAGGCAGGCCTCCTTGAGCTGTGGTGGGCTCCACCCAGTTGGAGCTTCCCAGCTGCTTTGTTTACCTAATCAAGCCTGGGCAATGTCGGGCGCCCCTCCCCCAGCCTCGCTGCCGCCTTGCAGTTTGATCTCAGACTGCTGTGCTAGCAATCAGCGAGACTCCGTGAGCGTAGGACCCTCCGAGCCAGGTGCAGGATATAATCTTGTGGTGCGCTGTTTTTTAAGCCGGTCGGAAAAGCGCAGTATTCAGGTGGGAGTGACCCGATTTTCCAGGTGCGTCCGTCACCCCTTTCTTTGACTCGGAAAGGGAACTCCCTGACCCGTTGCGCTTCCCGAGTGAGGCAATGCCTTGCCCGGCTTCGGCTCGCGCACGGTGCGTGCACCCACTGACCTGCGCCCACTGTCTGGCACTCCCTAGTGAGATGCACCCGGTACCTCAGATGGAAATGCAGAAATCACCCGTCTTCTGCGTTGCTCACGCTGGGAGCTGTAGACCAGAGCTGTTCCTATTCAGCCATCTTGGCTCCTCCCCCTGTATCTGGAGATTTCAACACCTGTGCCAGTAATTGATAGAGCGAGCAGGCAGAAAATCAGTAAAAATATAGATGATCTGAATGGTACTATCAATTTTATCTAATTGATATATTTTTTTTGTTTTTGTAAGTTTTTATTTTGAAATAAGTTTAGATTCACAAAATCTTACCAAAATATTCCAGAGTTCTTGAATGCCCTTAACCCAGCCTCTTCCAAAGATAACAACTTACATAAGCATAGTTCGTTACCAAATACAGGAAAGTGAAGTTGTTACAATACTGTTAACTACAGAATTTATTTGGAAATCACCAGTTTTAACATGCATGCATTTTTGTTTGTTTTTTATATGTAGCTTTAAGAAATCTTAACACATATATTGATTCATGTCACCACCACCGTAATCGAGATTCAGAATGTTGCATCAATGCAAACTCCCTCATGCTACTTTTTCATAGTCACAACCTCTCCTCAGCCCTAACCCTTGGCAATCAGAAATCTTTTCATCTTTAGTTTTGTCATTAGTAGCATGTTATAAAAATGGAATCATACAGCATGTACCCTTTTGGTATTGGCTATTTCAACTAAAGCAAATTAACCTGAAATCCATCCAAGTTGTTCTGCGTATCATTGTTCTGTTTTTATTGGCCACTAATAATCTATGATACGAATATGCCACTATTTGTTTATTCACCCACTGAAGGACATCTAATTGATATTTATAGAGTATTCCACCTAACAACAGCAGAATACACATTCTTTTCAAGCACTCATGGAACATTCACCAAGATAGACCATCTCCTGGACCATAAAACAAATATTGACAAATTTTTAAAAATTGAAATCATACAGTATATGCTCTCTTACCACAATGGAACATAGAAAAAATAACAGCAAATTTTCAAAACACATTGGAAACTAAACAACATCTTTCTAAGTAATTCATCAGCCAAAAGAAAGCCTCGAGGGAAGTAAATAAATGCACTGAAGTAAATGAAATGAAAATACAATGTATCAAAATTTTTGGGATGCAGCTAATGCAGTGATAAGCAGGAAATTTACAGCAGTAATTTTTTATTTTAGCCAAGAGGAAATAGTCTCCAATCAATAACTTAAACTCCCACCTCAAGAAACAAGAAAAAGAAGAGCAAAATAAATCCAAAGCAAGCATAAGGATGGAAATAATAAAGGTAAGAGCAGAAGTCAATAGGGTTGACAAGAGAAAAACAATACAGAAAATCAATAAACAAAAATTTATTCTTCGAAAACTTTGAAAACTCTTCATAGAAAAAGAAACTCTACTGTAATCAATGTTGAAAATATAAAACTTTGGTGGGGGGGGAATATCTGCAACACCTATTACAAAGACTAAGTTTCTTAACATATGGAAAGTTCCTAGCAGTCAATAAGAAAAATGACCAACAGCCTATTCAAAAAATGGGCAAAAGAAAATGAGCAACAGTTCACAGAACACTGAACATGTCTTTACATACTCCAAATGTTAAGATTAAGAGGTTTGATAATATATTAATTTATGATAATATAATAAAAATATGAGAAAATAACCTCATATATTGTTGATGGAGCTGTAAACTCTCTGAAATCACATTTTATTTGGTCCAGCAACTCCAGTTTGATGAATTTACACTACAGATATACCTACACATATTTTAAAATACTTATACAAAAGGATATTTATTGTACATTGTTGCAGTAGCAAAAGATGGACTATAACCTAAATGTCCATCAATAGGAGACTGATTCAATTATTGTGCATTTATGCTATGAAATATCATGCAGTCATTAAACAAAAAATATTTGATGTGGTGGATTGAAAACATGTTCACAAATCCTTGCCACTCCAATCAAGATGTGGAGTCTGACTGTTTACTACCATTTTAAAATGTTTTCTTACATGAATGTGGTATTTAAACACAATTTGGAATTTTACCTTGTATAACTTAAGAAGCAGAGAGAGTTTGTTTAGGGGGTAGATCTTCCTTCTATGAAGCAAATGTTCCATTATTTCCTTCTGGTTAGAAGTATCAGTCCCAGAGAATGATTCTATGGCTCCTAAAATAACACTACTTATAATGACACCTAGTCAGAGCTAGATTGACTGATTATTTTCTTAGATAACAGCCTTTTTGAGAAAGATCACATATTTACATCAAACCTGGCTGTTTACATTGTACAAGTTAAAGGTTTTTAGTATATTAACAGAGTTGTGCAACCATTACCACAATCAATTTTAAGATATTTTTAACATCCTTCCCCAAATCTTACATCCTTTAGCAGTCACTCCTAATCTCTTCTTCCCTAGCCCATGGCAACCACTAATACACCTTCTCTCTCTATGGATTTACCTATTCTGAACATTTCGTATAAGTGGATTCATACAATGTGTGGTCTTTTGTGTCTGGCTTCTTTTACTTAGCATAATGATTTCAGGTTTATTCATGTTGTAGCACGTAGCAGTACTTCATTTTTTATTGCCAAATAATATTCCATTTTATGGATATGCCATATTTTGGTTATCCATTCATCAGTTGATGGACATTTGAGTCATTTTTGCCTTTTAATTACTACAAATAATGCTGCTATGAGCATTTATGTACACGTTTATGTGTATATCTATGTATTGAATTATTTTAGATATATGCCTAGGAGGAGAATTGCTGGTCCACATGGAAATTCTGTTGAACCTTTTGAGGGACAGTCAGGCTATTTTCTGAAGTGGTTGAACCATTTTACATTCTCACCAGTAATGTGTGAGAGTTCTGTTTCCTCCAACTCCTTGCCAGCACTTGTTATTATATGTCTGATTATAACCATCCTAGTGAGTGTGAAGTAATATACCTCATATACCTTTATATATTTTGGATATTTATAAGAGCCTGATCAGACATATGATATTCAAGTTTTTTCTCCCATTCTGTGAGTTTTTTTTTTTCATTTTCTGTTTTGTAGCAAATTATATAGTTTGCTTTTTAAGGAAATCTAATTATTTATTTGATAATTGTGCATATAAAAGTTAGAAGTGAGAACATAACGAGTTAGGAGTGCAGCCTCTGAATTCATATATATCTGGACGTCCAAACTTAACAGACTTTTTCCTGCTTAAAATCATGAAAGTAATTTTGTTTAGGTAGCCATTCTGGCATGTTTGTCCAACCATACTCTTAAGGGAAACCTTAAATATTAATCCAGTCATAGTGACTCAATTCACATTGCCATTGATTGCTAACAGTGATGATGTGACAATTCTTTTTCCTTTAATAGATTTATTGAGATAAAATTCACATGCCATAAAATTCACCCATTTAACGTATACAGCCATTTAACATATAGATTTTACCTATTTAACGTAACACCCATTTAACGTATAGATTTTTAATGTATTTACAGAACTGTGCAACCATCACCACAATTTAGTTTTAGAACATTTTCACCATCCCAAAGGGAAGCCCTGTACCCATAATCAGTCACTTCCAATTCTCTCCCTGCCCTAGCCCCTGGCAGGCACTAATCTACTTTCTGTCTTTATAGATTTACCTATTCTGGACATTTCACATAAGTATAGAGTTATACAATATGCAGCCTTTTCTATATGGCTTTTTCCATTTGGTATGGTGTTTTCAGGGTTCATCTATGTTGCAGGATGTATCAGTACTTCATTCCTAGATATGGTTTGGATTTGTGTCCTCGCCCAAATCTCATGTTGAATTATAATCTCCATTGTTGGAGGAGGGGCCTGGTGGGATGTAATTGGATTATGAGGGTGGATTTCCTCCTTGCTGTTCTTGTGATAGTGAGTGAGTTCTCATGAGATCTGGTTGTTTAATGGTGTGTAGCACCTCCCCCTTGGCACTCTCTTCCTCCTGCTTCTGCCATGTAGGACATGCCTGCTTCCCCTTCACTTTCCACCACGATTGTAAGTTTCCTGAGGCCGCCCCAGCCATGTTTCCTGTACAGCCTGCAGAACTGTGACTCAATTAAACATCTTTTCTTTATAAATTACCCAGTCTCAGGTAGTTCTTTATAGCAATGCAAGAATGGACTCATACATGCGGCATGTATCAGTACGTCATTCCTTTTCATGATTGAATAATATTCCATTGTATGGATGTACCACAGTGTGTTTATCCATTCATCCATTGATGGACATGGATAAACATGTTGGGTTCTTTTCAACTTTGGGCTATTTTAAATAATGTTTCTGTGAAAATTATTGTACAATTTTTTGTGTGGACATATATTTCCATTTTTTCTTTGCTAGATACACCAGAAAGGAAATGCTAGGTCACATTTTAACCATGTTAAATTATAATCAACATGTAACCTTTTGAGGGACTGTCTGTTTTATACAGTGGATATACCGTTTTGCATTTCCACAATGGGAAATTGAACTTTCCAGTTTCTCCACATTCTTGCTAATAAGCTGATTCTTTTTTTTTTTTTTTTTTTAGATGGACTCTCGCTCCTTCACCCAGGCTGGAGTGCAGTGGCGTGATCTTGGCTCACTGCGGGCTCTGCCCCCCAGGGTTCACGCCATTCTCCTGCATCAGCACCCCGCGTAGCTTGGACTACAGGTGCCCGCCACCTCGCCTGGCTAATTTTTTGTATTTTTAGTAGAGACGGGGTTTTACCTTGTTAGACAGGATGGTCTCGATCTCCTGACCTCGTGATCCACCCGCCTCAGCCTCCCAAAGTGCTGGGATTACAGGCATGAGCCACTGCGCCCGGCCAATAAGCTGATTCTTAATGGAGATGACAGGAACCTAGAAACCAAAGAGGATCATGAGAAAGAGAAGTAGTCAGGGAATCAGGTCAGAGACAAGGAAACAAACAAAGGATTGGAAGGCTCATGGATTCATAGCAACCAAAACTTCAAGTAGTTTAGATATTATGCCTGCCTAGATTCAGAGCCCCTGCTCTTCCCACTGTATTATATTTCTCTATGAGAAATTTTTAAAATGGAAATGAGGGAAAAGTGAGTTAGAGGAAGAGGATAGGAAAGCACTTAATGAGATTGAAAGCTACCAAAATTATCCTTTCTCTGTTGAAGCAGAAATAACAAAGTCCCAACTTCAGGCACTGAACAATGGAAGTCATATCTGATCCTTGAAGAGGATGGCTCTTCCTTTACCCTGAATTGAATCTATGTTCATCTGCCACCACTGTGCCATTTATCACTTCCAATCACATTCAAAGAAGTAGCGATATCTCATTCCCAAGGTTCTGCATCCCCCTGTTTAGCCTTTCCCACCCACATGGGCTCTGCGGTTTTGAAGATGTCTTGTTGGTTTTTCTGCAGCCTGGGACCAGGACACCACACGCTCAATGGATGTTGTAAGGAATTACAGGTGATGTTTGTGTCTTGTGAGTATGGATGTGGAGATCATACCCTTCAGTTAAGAATAATTCTAATTCTACTATCCACTAGTCTTTTTCATAAAATGGAGTTGCAAAGCCTCCCAAAGCTGTCTCCTGTTAGTGGTCATTATCCTTATTGCATTCTGTTTTTTCCACTATTTAAATGAAGACATACTGCCCGGCATCTCCCCCAGGCACAAGTTCTACTAGTAATGACAATTTTTTCATTAATACCAATTGTATACATAATCTTATTGAGTTTCCACAATAACCTAGAGAGAAAGAAACTGTGATTACCTTTAGGTTTTATATGAGGAAACTGAGACTATCGTGCCTTTGGATTGATCAGAGGCTGAATTTAAAGATAAGTGAACATTGTTGGACAAACAAAAGACCTCCCAGCTCTCAAAACAATATCTACTGGAGGTAGGTGGAAGAGAAGGTGGGTAGAATTAGGGTTTTCAATGTGGACAATAATCAAGTACAAAGGAGACAGTTATCTATCCAGATGGTTTAGACTAATGATTCCCAACATGCTTCATGTTGTGACATGCTAATTTTGTCTAATTTTATTAATTCCCTGAAGCAATATGTGGGTTCTTAAAAGTAATTAAAGTAGAATTAAATGTTATGTTAATTAAACATGGCTTTAAATGAATTTGAGATGATGTGAATTGGTTTTGCCCCTTGGGATAACTGCAAAGTGCCTATCCTGATTTTGTGACAACTCAGAGTATTAGGAACTGAAATCTTCAGAAACTTGAAAGAGGTGACTGAGCCAGAATATCTATCAGGTCCCTGAGTTTGCATCTTAGAAGTTTTGTCCTAGTTGTCATTTGGTACCTGTGGGAGGTAATTCCAGTGTTATGGTAAAGTTCATTCTAGAGATGAATAATCCTCCTCAGATTTACCTTTCTTTTTATCTTTTTCTTTTGGGCTGCTCCTTCTCCTTCATGCTATCACTATAGTAAGGCAACTGGACCGCCATGCTTTTTGGATTCACTCCCCATTTACCTCTCTGTCCTGCTTAGATTTCTCCCACTTTCGGTTCCCATGGCCAGGGTCCTGTCTAACCTATTTTCCAAGCATCAAAAGTGTCTTTACAAATCTGTTCTGCAACTCCCACTACTGATGACTTCTGTGATATTCCTCCTTTGGTCAAGTTGGTCTTCTTTCCTCCTCCTCTGTGACTTGGAAGCCTTTAGTTCCCACTATACCATATCCATAAGGATTCATTATTCTTAACATTGTCAGTTGGCCCTCTGCTCCAGATCATGCACATGTCCTTCTACCCCTCACCTCCCACCTGACTGCTCTCAGCCTGTGCTATAGACTCAGGGTGTTTGCCTGATTCCCCTTGACCCCCATCCTTGGGGTAGACACTTACTGGGCTGAGATAGGCTGGTTTCAGTGCCCGTGCCAAGGTAGTCTGCATGTTCCACTGCATAATCTGAGGACAAATGTCTGGTAAAATCTTTCAGAATTCCAGTCATTTCTCCTGTCCGCCTGTTCAAACTGAAGTTTCATTTAAAGCCTTTGTGTTTACGAGAGGTTTGATCATAGAAGGCAAATCTTCCCAGTAATGTCATTTAGCCTATGTTTTTATTTCTGCATTTAATAAAATGCAGTCAAATTCCAAATTGTGTATTTCACTCTTGCTTGAGCATATTGATAGAAGCTGTTGTCAGCTATGTGTTCTTCCTATCAATCAGTCTTTTCAAAGTTCTTTGTTAACAATTAGTCATCAGGGTTCATCCATACATTGTTGTATTACACAATCAATCATTAAACTCAAGGGGAAAAATGCTTATTGATGTGCATATTTTTCCCGATATATTTTAAGTGAAAAGAGCAGGGTAAAAAACCGTATTACATTATTATTCTATTACAAACACATTTACACACACACACACACACACACACCCCCCATGAATATATTTTAAATGGAAGATTAAAAGGACACCAAAGTGCTAACAGTGATTGTCTCTAGGTGCCAAGATTGATCAATTTATATGTTCCCCTTCCTTCTCCATATTTTCCAATTTCTCAATAATGAGTGTGTAATTCTTTTATAGTCAGGAAAAAGTAATTTTAGATAATTCAATTAGTTATCAAGGTCAACCAGCATGTGTGGAAAAGGTGACAATTCTTACTGAAGAGAAATTAACACCTTTATTGTTATGAATTGAGGTTACTTTTTAAAGTAGGAACCTATCTCTAAAATTAAAATGGAAGTGGAAACTTACTGAGTTTGAAAGAATCATTTTACATATCACTTTTCAAGTAAAACCAATTTCTATTTTGCTTTTTCTTCAAGTGCTTAAACATTTTCTCTTCTGGGGCCCTTATTTTATGCTCCCCAAGAGAAAGGGCCATGTCTCCTATTTCCTTTGGCATCTCCCACCCCCTCCCCACTCTCTTTCCTGTACTGCTATACACCCAAGAATAAGTCAGTGCACACGATGTGCACGCAGAAAATGTTTGTTAATGGACTTGGTTATTTCCGTTTTCTACTAAATCTCATCCTAGTCATGTTTTCAGAATCATAGAACATGGCTCCTTACTCCTCAGAAGCCTGGTATCTCTCCCTACTGCTCTTGCTTAGTGCCCTGGGTCCCAGAACTCCACCCTTAGATCTTCACTCTTGCAGTGTGAGGTAGACCCCAGCCAGTTCCGAGCTCCAGGGCCCTTGCAAGGATGCCAGGTTTACGCCAGCCATTTTCCCTGACTCATGGGGGCTTGGCCAGCAGGTCAGTCACTACCCAGGAGGCCAGTCACTACCCAGTCTCGAACATTCCTCCCTGAATCAGATGCTGCTGACTGGATACCTCCAAGAATCCCAGTGGGTTGACAGAAGTGTCAGCTTTAGGCCAAAGGAGTCTCTGGGATGTCCTTGCCTTGGACAGAAGCTGGGGACCACACAGCCAGCTGACTCTGCTGCCCTGCCTTTGGGGTTATAGCATCTTGCCACTGGGCCCCCCAAACTATCCTTTCCCTCAATACCTGCTCATTTGCTCAGGTCCCCGGATCCAGCCTAGGGACTGTCTCGGCAGGGTCCTTCTATCAGAGAGCCCAGGACCAGATGCTGCTCTGAGCACCACCACCCAGAGCAGCACCAGGGAGGGATGCCCAGCCCAGAATAGCTGGAGCAGCCCCCCTGCCCCCACCCCCTGCCGACCAGGGAAGCTGACTGAGCTCACCCTGAGTGTGCTGGGGGGCAGAGGAGACCATGCAGATGTGCTGAGAGCTCCCTGGAAAGCAAGGCTCAGCTTCTTCTGCTACTGTCACCAGCAGATGGAGAGAGGGGTCAGTATTTATCCTCTTGTAACACCTGAGGGGACAGAGTTGCTGACATGTCTCATAGAGTCCTTGTCCCCCACCTCCCTCACCCATTGCCCACACTCCCTCATCCTCTCACTTCAAGAGGCCTTGTTACCCCCCTAAAGGCCTGGATTAGGCTCCACTGGTTAAAAATCTTGTTCTAACTCCAAGTCCCCTAGAATGTCCATACCTTTAAGGGCTGGCACTGGTGCAGCAGGACTGAGGTAGAGACCCCAGAGATTCACTTACATAGCTGTTTCCAGTAGCCAAATGACCAGGGACCACTATTTATGAGACAATAGGATATCCCTTTCCTGAGAACATGTTGGCCAAGCAGCAGAAGTGGGTGTGTTGTCCCTGAGGCTGAATTTGGTGGTCTTGAGACCTAGCATAGTGAGGCCAAACACTGACTTGGATGGGTGCTGAGCCTGTGAAGGAAAAAACTCTACCAGAGAAACCTGACTGGGTTCGCTTTGTTTGTACAGATCTAGTGGAGTTCCCCTTAAGCCTGAGAGGCCACTGGAGCCTGAGAGGCCACTGGAGACCAAGTCTGGTTATACGCTGTAGAAGCTGGGTAAATACCATTTGGAGCACAGGTCTGCAGCAGATCCAGAGTAAATAAAACCTGATACCTGCATTGGACATCTAAAAAATGTTGAATCTGGCAAGCTATAAATGATAACATGAAACAGTTATTGAGTGTGTGCGATGTCTGGATACTATTCTAACCAATGTGAATGCATCATCGCATTTAAACCTCGCAGCAAATTTAAGAAGTGAGTAATGTTATTATTCTTATCTTACAAATAAGAAAACTGAGAGATAAAAAGGTTAAGTAACTTGTCTAACATCACAGAATTTGGAAGTAAGAGAAATGGGTTTCAAAGTCTGGCAGTCTGATTCTAGAGCTTGTACTCCTAACCACTACATTATACTGCCTGACAAAGATAAAAGAAACCCCTCTCTGTGAGCAGGGCTGGCTTCATGAGCATGTGATTGTACAAGACCTTGAGCTTAGGAGTGCTCTGCACTTAAAGTTTAATGTCACTGTCTTGAAATTTTAAATAATTTGAATATTAGCATAAGTGAAATGCAAAATCCAATGGGACAATCGAGTATTCACTGGGAGTTTGGAATATCTGATAACACACAGTCCCACTTTTCACCACCTCTCCACTTCCCTGGGGTAGGTTTTTAGCTGTCACTCGCTTCTTTCTTAGTACTCAGGACCCCATCCAGCCTCCCCTTCTCTATCCTGCCCAGTAATAGCTACAACCCTCCACACAAGGGAACTGAGCCAGGGCACAAGGAGAATTGGGGTCATACACACTCTGCAAAATCTCACAGTTGGACATGATAACAGCAATCTGGCCCCAAGTGAGCAGTGTCATGGTGCATTTGGCAGGTTATCCAGCAGAGCCTATTGCCCACTCCAATCCAGACACCTAGTGCATACTGTGCAGAAGTTGTAATACTCTTGGTGGTTGCCTGACCACAGTGGGTTGGGGCAGCCTGCCCATGGGAACGGGATATACCTGGTTTCACTTCCTCCATGCTGAACAGAGCATGATGCACCTATCTGTGCAGAAGCTGATATAAGGAAAAATCCAGTAACAAGTGAGTCATGCACATGGGCAGCGAGTCACTGGGCAGAATCACTGCCCACTTATGAAGTTCTGCACTTGCTCCACAAATATCCCTGTGCCTGTGCAGGTGTGGCATTAAATAACAAAAACAGCATGGCAGGTTGAGAGAGAGACTGCAGAAGAGAGAAAAACAAAGCTTTATATCTGAGCACCTTTAATAGCACTTCTTCCTGTTTTTTTCAACATGGAGCTTCACATTTACATTTTGCATTGGGCCTACAAATTATGTAGCTAGTCCTGCCTACAAGGACACTCTATTACTAAAGAATTTTGCTATCCTCTGAGATCTACCATTTCCCATATAGAAATGGTGAAGGCTGATGAGGCTGTAGTTGTCTCTGGTATTTCTAGGGCTGTTTGGAGGGTGGGGGACACTTCAACTAGCCAAAGAGATAGATGCTAAGTCAGTGTCTGCAATTCAGTCTGATAAGGCCCATTTTGTTCACCCTTCCAGCTTGTTAAGCATCACACAACATGAAAGGGCTGTAGTAGACAGTATTCTAAGGTCGTGAATCAGGAAATCTGAATGCTAATTCTGCCTCTGCCACTGACTAGCTGAGTGATCTCCAGAATGGTGCCTTTCCTTGGGGATGCTGTTTTCTCATTTGTGAAAAAAAGCAGATTTGATTACTCTAGTGTTTTCAAACTGTTCTTGAGTTTCTGTAGAGGTGCCTCAGGGATGGAGAAGTGAGTACTAGGCTATGGGTGCCCCATACTTTCTTCAGCCAAACATCTTCCACTTTCATGTTTTGTAAATTTTTGTTCTGTATTTAAAATTATTTTTAAAAAATCATTCCAATGCTTAAAAAATTAAAATCCATCAGTCTAAATTCTCACTATGGGCCCTTTCACCTCTGACTTCAGATTCTGAGAGTTTCTAATCATGAACCTCACAAAGGAAACAAATGCACTTTTATTCCAGGAAAAAAATCTTCCATGTCCTTGAGCCAGTTACCAGAGAAGAGCAGAAATCCAGGGAGGACAAGGGATTGACCTGGGTAGTATTGAGCTGGAAGGTAAAAGCAATGAACAAAAAGAGGTTCAGATTCCTTATTTTGGAGCGACAGTGTCAACAAGAAACATCTGCCAAACCACAAGGACCATGTAGAAGCTGGTGTCCCAGGAGGTAAGATTTTCTACCTTTCCTCCATTGCACAACAAGCTATAACCATGCCTGGTGGAGAAAATGGATGAATAAGGAAGGTTAGCTGTGAGTGAATTTCAATTCTGCTAATGTTTTTTGAACCATTACCAGATAACCAGGCCCTGTGTGGGACCTAGGTGGGAGCCAAAAAAAAAAAAAAAAATGGCTCTATCCACTTAAAGGGTTTCAATCTAGGCAGACAAAACAGAATATCAGAAAATTGCACAAAGAATTTCATAAGAAGGGCAAGCGTCATAATGCTACAAAAGGCATGCAAAGTGCAATGGGAGAACAGAATATGCACACTCAGTTTCCTCTGAAATGTCAGGAAAAGCTACCTAGAAACGAAGATAGGATTTAAATTTGGATTTAGTAAATGAATAGAACTTGGACAAACAGGGCATGGAGAGATTTACATATCATATTTACGAGTTTCAAATTTATCTTATAGGCAAAGAGAGACGTGGAAATTTTAAGCAATTTGGAGGGTAGAAGAAGGCTGATGTGGTCGGATTTACATTTAAACCTCTGTGGTTGTTGTGTGAAAGTAGATTTCACAAAATCCGGGATGGATTCAGGGAGAAGGGTTAAAGGACCATTTAGCTAATCCTGGCAAAAAAAAAAAAAAAAAAAAAAAAAAAAGAGTGTGCCAGTGATGGTGGAGGCATTTGTGAGGGAGAATTGACAGGATTTGGTGATTGACTGAATGTAGCGAGTGGAGGGAAAGGAAGTGTTAAGGGTTGACTCAAGTTTAGGGCTCAAAAAACTGGATGGTGCCATTCACATAGGTAGGGGACAAGGAAAGAAGAGCATCAGGTTTAGAAGGGTTCAATTTTTGAGATAATAAATTTGAAGTGCCTGAGAAGCTACCAATTGCAGGTTCCAACTGGTAGTTGGATATAAGGATCTGAAGCTCTAAGGGAACTGGGTTTCACATGGCTACCAAGTAAACCGCACTGCCACACTCAAAACTAGGGTTTAGGGTTTTTTGGAAGATGGCTACTAGGGCTATATAGTTTCTGGGAGTAGTAGAGGCAGAAGAAAAACTATTCTTAGAACTCAAAGATCCCTAGATTATAGATTAGGCACTAACCTAGATATAGATAAATGCTACTTTCTGCTTTTCCTTGCAGCTTGACCAATTTGATTATTTCTCTCCAACTAGTTGTTTGATTTTGGTCACCTTCTCTTCTTTAGGCATTAGTTTTCTCATTTATAAAAGAGCTTAAGGTTTTGTATTATTCATATATAAGATTGTAAGCTTATAAAAATATCTTGTTGTTCAATATATTTACACAAAATAGCAATATCCAGGAATTTCATGCAACCTTACAAATTCTGAGAATGAGTTAGCCATGGACTAATGAATTAATTGGGGTTTTATTTACACTTGCATTGTATGTTAGAAGTATATTCAAGAATAGCAATGGACTTGGCCCTGGTCCACTCAGAATTTGCATATAGAAAAATTATAGCTGCAATTCCGGCCTGGAGTTCCTACTAACCAATGATTCATTGTTCTTTACAAAGGATTTGCAAACTCTAATTAGTGAGCCCAATCTATTATTTAGCTATCACCCTATTTAAGATTCACCCCTACAAATCTCAATAATTGCACATGAGAATTCATGTATATGCTTACATTTTTAAGTCTCACAGTGCAGTGGTGGTAGAGCATTTGGAATAGAAACATTTAGAAGTGTCCTGAATCTTTATGACAGACACGTACTGAACTTAATTCAGTCTTTGGAGCACTAAGTAAATCCTCAATATAAGGACATGCATGGTACAGCAAAGTTATTTGCATCCCAGTTGTCATCCATGTTCTCTTCTATAACTTACAGTCAAATTATATAGTTTCCTAACCTTGTTATCTTGGAATTATTTTAACTCATGACTAGGGTTATCACACAGGCTTACCACTCAAACTGACATATTTATACTCACATACATATTTCCCTCCTAAATATTTCTTATCAGACAATTGTTTCATAAAATATATATTATTTTGTTTATATAATTTCTGCCTACGGTGTTGCTGTTGATCTAGACAACTACTTTTAAACAATTAGTTAGAGTAATTCAGTTTTTCTTAAGAAGACTTCATTTGCAGGCAAGAAAAACACTGTGAATAAAACCGTGAGCAAGTCTTCACAGAATATTTTGCATTTTTGAGACACTCAATAGAAGATTAAGGACTATGTCTCAATGTTTTTCATAGGGCAACTTTCACTTCCTCATTTCTCAAACTATAGATGAGAGGATTTAACATGGGGATCACCATTGTATAAAATACTGACACAATCTGATTTCCTGCCCCGGATCCATGTCGCGAGGCGGGCAAGTAAGTGTACATAGTTGTTTCATAGTACAGGCTAACAGCAGTCAAGTGGGAGGCACAGGTGGAGAAGGCTCTCTGTTTTCCAGAAGCTAAGGGAATTCCTAGGATAGTCATGAGGGAAGACATGTAGGAGACAAGGATCACCACAACAGAGGTGACCAGGGTGAATCCCCCACAGCCAACCACCAAGATCGGGAGGTGATCCAAGGATCTGAGCAAACCAGTACCAACAATGAGGGAATGTCACAGAAGAAGGCAGGGAGGACACATGGTTGACAAAGCGATAGTTGTGTGATGGAAGTTGTCACAGTGACCATCTTAACTAACCCACCAAGGTAGCATCCTGCTACCAAGAAAAGATAATGGCCTCTTGACATGGTAATGTGGTAGAACAGTGGGTGACAGATGGCAGTAAAGCGGTCATAGGCCATGCAAGTTTAAAAAATTGCATTCAGCAGAGGCAAAGATTACAAACAAGCTCATTTAAGTTATACGGGAAAAGGAAAGAAACATACTGCAGCTTAGAAAACAAATGTGCTAAATTCTGTGGAATTGTAATGGAAGAGAAACAGACATCAAGGAAGGACTGATTAGAGAGGAAAAAGTACATGGGGTGTGGAGGCGGGAGCTGACTCTGATCAGAACCACAAGGCCTAGATTCTCCAACACAGTGATGATGTAAGCAATAAGAAAGACTCCAAATAGCAGGACTTCAAGCTGAGAGTTATCTGTCATGCCGAGAAAGATGAAGTCAGTCACCATGGGTGAATTTTCCACTGGCACAAGCTGAGAATTATCCTTAAGTAGTTAAAAGTTCTTTAGACACTCTTTAAGCGAGAAAATAAGAGAAAACTGGATGATATGGATAAAATGATACCACACAAAACACACAAATCCACAAAATTCTCCAACCCTGCCTCTCATCTACATTCTTACTTTAAATAACTTCTCAAATATTATCACCATTTTCCAGGTATAACATTGAAAATGTAAATGCTGAAGGAAAAGGGGAGGGTGGGGAAAGAAGGTAAAAAAAAATTCAGAAATAAAAGGAACAAAGGGAAAAAAGTAAAAGTCTAGTCTGCAAAAGGTGTTTGATAATATTTATTGAAGGAATGAATAAGTGAGGGAGAAAGAAAATGGGTGTCGTCAAGAGATGCTCTTTACTGAAACAGGACTACAAACTCTTAGAAAAAAAACAATCCATGCTATGGAATTATATATCACTCTCTCTCCCTTTTCCAAATCATGCCCAAGGAATTATTGAAAATGAGGTAACAATAGGGCAAAAATGTTAACTCATTCCATCTTCACAGATAGTTCCCCCCCTTTGAGTATTTGTGACATTATTTCTGAGACAGCAGAAGTCAATACTCACTATTCTGCTTGACCAGTAGAGTGCTTTCCAAGATCTTGATCATCATTTCACTGGTAGATTATTGCAGAAACCCTCATGCTCCTAAACGACCATAAGAAACTGAGCTCAAATTTGAAGGCATCACTTGTATCCTGTGAAAGAGAAACCAAAGAATGACCAAACCCCTCAGAAATTATGTAGCTCCTGGCTGATCGTCACCTGCTGATTCCTCTAACCATGCTTGGGGCAAAGGTAATGCAGCTGTAAAACTGACTGTGAATTCTACAAGGACTTATTGAGCAGACATGTCTGAGCAAAGGACCAGATTGCACAATGGTTGGCATCAGGTGCCACTGGGGCTAAGTGCATGGTCACTGTTCCTCTCTTCTATAGTGATAGATTATCTCTGATGCTGGCTTGCTGCCTCGAACAAATGCCCTGAGTGAAGTGCCAGATAAGAGAAGGGATGAGTCCACCTCCATTTATAAAATCTAAACTAACTCCGAGCCCCTATGGCTCACTGGACAGCCATCGGTAAGTGGTGTCTAGAAGGGATTGCTGTATTTGGCTATAGGTAGACGAGGGGACATTTGAGTCTCTGACCATTGGTTAAAAGGGCAATCTTGGAAACAACAGACACTGGGGACTCCAAATGTGGAAAGGAAAGGATTGGAGCAAAGGTTGAAAAACTACCTATTGCATACGAGGTTCACTAACTACATGATGGATTCAACTGAAGCCCAAACCTCAGTGTTACGCAATATACCCATATAACAAATCTGCATATGTACCCCCAAATCTAAAATAATAAAAAAAGAAAAGAAAGCCATTGCTGTTTCCATTCACCATAAGACACAGGTTCTTTACTTGGCAGTAAAATAACCAATTCTGGAGCTATAAGAATCTCTTTGAATCCTGGATCGGGAGATCACTGGCTCTGTAACCTAGGACTTAACCTATCTAAACTTGAATTTACAAATCTGTAAGGGAGGGGCACTAGTAGAACGTATGTCACTGGACAATTGTGAAGATTGAATAAAGTATTGTAAGTAAAGCACTTGGCACATGTTAGATGCTCACTGATTCCTACTTTCTCCATTCCTTCATGACCACTCCCATTTACTACTTTTTTTCTCCCTATTTTACCAAATGGAAGCAGAGGTATTATGTGTCCACATTATTATTATTTTAGATGGACAGAAGTGAACCTTTGACAGACTAGCTGAAGTATACTGAAGTATAATTTCCATACTCCACTCCCTATTACACACACGCGCGCGCGCGCACACACACACACACACACACACACACACAGAGAGAGAGAGAGAGAGAGACTTTGCTCAGAATGGATGAAAGAAGGGTCTTTCACTTGTGATGGTAATTCACTCATTTTTGCTCTACCCAAACTGTGAGTGTTAACTTCCGCTGCCGCTGCAGCTGCTCCTGCTGCTACTCAACACAGCACCCCACCCAGGGGAACATTCAGCAACTTACACGATTAAATGGAAAGACTCAGGGAGAAAATTTGGGGCTGAATGAAGGTTATGGAAAGAGAACTGTTTTCAGAGACAAAGACATGAGTTCTAGTCCTGGCACTAATTAATTTGTATTGTCATTCAGCTATAGAAAAGCCACTTAACCTCTTTGAGCCCCATATTTTCTCATCTAGAAAATGGTAAAAAAAAAAAATACCTACTATGCCTCTCTTTTAGGGTTGGCATGATAAGATAATGAATGTGAAAGCACTCTGTAAACTCTGAAGGGTGATACAATACACATGGAATGGATCCCTATTATTATTCCATCATGGAAGGTGGGAGAGGGAGGAGGAAGATGGCAAGATGATAATTTTCTGTTGCCTCCTCCAGTTCCTGCTTACAGAGTTGCACTCTTTGCCCTCCCACACACCCCCTACACACACATCATCTGCTCTGCCTCTCTACTGTGAAAGTTTCAACCTGGGAGGCTTGAAACAAACAGCTCTAAGCTGTTCACTTATATTGTATCGTAAAAAATAATTTTTAATGTTAGTTTCATGTTCTTGTATCATTTTAAAAATTTCCCATTTTAGGATAACTCTATTTCTTGATGTTCCCATGCTCTGCAGGTATTTAATAAATAAATATTATTTCAAAGAGTAAGTGACTCTCTATTAGCCCCTAAAACATGATGAAATCTTTTTTATAAGACAGAATTTCTTGTTCTTCCCAAAGGAAATAAACAGACAAAATTATGACTTTATGAAGGAAATGATTTGATATTCCCATTCCCATGTGCCACTGCATTCACTAGTGTCATGATAGCAGCCAGAACAGTTTTATTATTATTTTGGCTAATGTATCTTGGATGTTTACCTGTTGGAAATAATCAAGCACTCCTATTTATTGAAGAAGTGACCCTTCATGTTTTTAAAAAGTGAATTCATGTATTTGTCCCTGGAAGCAATTATATTATTTTCAGTACTGGTTCTTAAAAAAAATTGATTACCCCTTTATCAGTTCTTTAGTTATGTAGTTCACTGTGAATCTTCTAAAAATAGCCTAACATTTAGAATTTAAGTAAAGGTTCACTTATTTACCTATTCAATAAAATTTCTTCAGTGGTTAATAAATGTCAGGCTTCCAAAATATCATCTATTCCTATCCGCCCATTTCCGGGTGAAGAAACAAACAAGTCCAGAGAGGTCAAGGGACTTGCTGGAGACCTCACAGTGAATTAGCGACAGAGCTGGTGTTGGAACCCAGATCTCCTGACCTAATTCAGTGACTTTGTAACACTATCTCTCTTCTTTCTTATTTTCTGAAGTTATTCTGGAGCGGACTTTCACCTTTGGTATATTTATTCTTCCAATAACAGATAAAAGGTCATTCTCTGTCACTGTGTTTGAGCTATATGATCTTGAGCAAATTGCTTGCTCTTTTTGGGTCCTAGTTTCTTCATCAATAAAATGGAGCAACTAGACTAGGTGGTCTCTGAGGCTCTTTCCAGCTATGAGCTCTAATTTCCTATGGCTCTGTGAGTCATACTGTACACAGATCACTGATTATTCTCAACACCTAATAGAGAAGCTGGGAGAGCAAATTTCTGTGGTCTATGCTATACAAACCACTCCACCTTTCTCTGCTCTTTCAGCCCTCACTGCATCAGAAATGTCATATTTACTTTCGGTCTCTGTTCAAGGAACTAAAGACCACTGAGGGAAGAGCATGGGAGGGATGTTTTCCAAATTTCCTAACTACCTTAAGGCAGAAAGAACATGGTCAAAGATCTTGTCAAAGCATCCAGGCACATCCTAATAGTATGATTGGGCAAACTGCTCAACCTCTTTGCCATCAATTTGCTTGTCTAAAATGGAAATAATGTTACCTAATTTACACGATTATTTTGATGATTAAATAAGACAAAATACATAAAGTGCTTAACTGATATCTAGGTGCTTAATAAATGTTGCCTTTGCTGCTCCTCCATTTTTATGGTATGATTCAACTTAGATAAAATGTCCAGAAATAGACAAATCTACAGAAACAGAAGGCAGATTAGTGGTTACCAGGGTCTTGAAGAGTGGTACAGGAATGGGTGGCATGGAATTTCTTTTTCAGGTGATGAAGATGTTCTAAAATTGATTGTGATGGTGGCACACCACTGAATATACCAACAACTATTGAACCACATACTTTTTTTTTTTTTTTTCAGATGGAGTCTCACTCTATCAATCACCCAGGCTGGAGTGCAGTGGTGTGATCTCAGCTCACCACAACCTCTGCCTCCTGGGTTCAAGTGATTCTTCCACCTCAGCCTCCTGAGTAGCTGGGATTACAGGTGCCTGCCACCAGGCCAGCTAATTTTTGTATTTTTAGTAGAGGTGGGGTTTCACCATGTTGGCCAGGCTGGCCTCAAACTCCTAACCTCAAGTGATCCACCCACCTCGGCTTCCCAGAGTGCTGGGATTACAGGCGTGAGCCACCACGGCTGGCCTGAATTGCATACTTTAGATGTGCGAATTGTATGGTATTTGAATTATATCTCAATAAAGCTGTTACCAAAAAAGAATCATGATGAATATTGGGGGAAAAAAGGGTTTATTATAGATCAGTCATCCTTGGATACATCTAATCTACTGACCTACAGCAGAGTTCTGGTAAGCACTGAATGAGATTATCAATTTAAGAGTACTTTGAAAAATTTAACACTGACAAAAGAAATGTATTCAGATGATAAAATCATAATTGGAGAAATAAAGAAAGACATGAATAAATGGAGACACAGTACTCCTGATGGGCAAGGCTAAAACTGTGAGAAAGACAGACAATACTCTTTAAGTTAATGTATAGACTTAATGCAATACCAACTAAATATTCTACAGGATACTTTACAGATCATGACAAACTTATAGTGAAATTCATCTGGAAGAATAAAAAGACAAAGATGCCAAAATATCTTCTTTTGTGTAATGATGGTAGATAGTCTCTCAGGTTTTAAACTTTATTACAAAGCCACACATATACAAAGACTCTTTGGCATTGGGTCAAAAGCAAAAATTGATCAAGGAATAGTGTATTTTAGAGAAAGAGAGCCAAACTCTTATATTAAAAAAATTTTTTCTGGTAGGCTAAAACACACACATAAAGGGAGCAAAAACAAGTAAATGCTATTGGGAAAATTAGTAAGAAAAGTGAAGCTGAATATGTAACACATCATATGCTTTAATAAAATTCAGATAGATTAAAAGTTAAACATAAAAATCTAAGCGTGAAACTAGGAAAAGAAAAACATAACAGCATTGTTTCTCTAGCTATTGTGGCCATTGAAAAAAATGAGGTGTCATCAAAGCCAGAATGATGTGTTCAGAACCAGGATGGTGGGTTCAAATATATGACTAAAAATCTTTTGCGTGCTGTACTATAGTAAAATGAAGATCAAAAAAGAAATAATCAAAAGGGAAAAATATGCTGTGAGCAGAACTTTTATTAGGCTGGTGCAAAAATAATTGTGGTTTTTACCATAAAAGTAATGGCAAAAACTGCAATTGCTTTTGCACCAGCCCAATAAAACACACTAGTCAAAACAAATAAAGAAATAATAAAACATATAAGATCAATGTATGAAGCTCACTTGATACATTCTCATGGTCAAAGAGAATGGATAGCATGCGCAGTAGAGAACGCATTGAGTATAAAATTACATAACAAAACATACAACTTCAGCAAAACACAAATTAAAACACAAAGCTTTCCCCAACTTGGCAGGCATGTATATAATAAAGACAACTGTTTGTTAGGAAATAGGTAACCATGTAAATTATTACTGGCAATGTTCATTTCCAGAACATATTATAACAATTTGCCCAGGTAATTTCATTTAGATATTATATCTTTCACTTCCAAAGATATAAAATAAATGAAAATAAGTTATGCAAAAATGTTCATTATGTTGCTATTTAAATATTCATCTACTGTATACATATATCTGTAAATCACCATGTTATATGCTTAGGGGATTCATTTATGTATAAGGCACTGCAATCACTGCCCTCATGGAACCTATAATATAACAGGAAAGGCAATGTATGTTTAACTTTTTCTTTCATGGAAATAAAGGCAAAGTACTACAGGAACAAAGAAGAGGGACTGGGGAGTGGACCAGGGTGGGGTGGGGAGAAGAAAGGTTTCATGGAGGAGGTAGCACTGAACATAGGCCTTGAAAGGTGAGTAGAGTTTGATGAAGGATGAGAGTGGTTAAAAGAGGAAAGTTCATTCCATGAAAAATTCCAAATACCTAATAACTGGGGGATGGATAAACACACTTTTGGATATTAACAGACTAGATATCTATGTAATCACCAGAAACAACCAAAAAAAAATATATTTGTGAACTAACTTCAAGACACATAAAACCATGTCTGTACATTAAAAAGGTTAGGCGGGCACTCAGCATGCTGGATATCCACAATGTTTGATTCAGTAAGGTTGCTCAAGTTCCAAAATTTTAAAAAGTCAACAACACTATATAAAGGTGAGTGCTAAGTCAAACTTACAGGCATTTGCTCTGATCTTTCTCTGGGATTAAACTCTCAGGGTCAGGAGCGCTGTGAGCACTGGGTTCCTGCAATGTCTTCAGAAAGTAAGAGTGGTAGTTGCTTGTGGTTACCGCAGGGGGCTGTATTCTGTGCTTCCTCCGCTCTTATATCTCATATGAACACAAGTTATCTGCTTGATGGGTCACTTTCTCCCCCACCCCACCACACCTTCAGCCTCTCTCCCCCTCACACCCTAGCCCACTAAATCCTCTTCTATTTCAACAAAACAATCGCAATGTCTAGTTTCCCAAATCCGTGCGTAATGGTACAGGAGTTAGGAGTGCTCAGAACATCTGTCTTGTTTTACTAAGTCTACTGACGGGGAAAAAGAACAGCAGCCGGGATTGGGAACCTTAGTTTATGTAACCTTGGAATTCATCGGCTCTGATTTCTGCCTGCTACATTCTTACCCAAATTTATTGTGTGTTCCCTCTGCAAACATAAAATAGAAATGTGAAAAGCAATTTAGGATTACTCAAAGAAAAACTTGTCTCTCTGCCTGAAGTTTTTCAAGTTATAGGTCCCAGTCAGACACGTGAAAATAGACCAGTTTTTATTGTATGGTCAAAATCAGTGGCTGTCAGTGAAAAGGCCCATCCCACTGTTGATGCCGCCTCCACACTTTGTGGGATTTCAACAAATTGCACAAGGCTATCATACTCATCTACAATTTCTTGTTATTTTTTTAAGGAGATCTTCAGCATTTCACCCATCTCCCCCAATTATTTCTCCTGGAAAGACTGAGGCATTTAGCTTCTTGGACTTCTCTCCATATAAATGGCCACTCATGGGCCAACTAACTGTGTGGTGTTCAAGACAAACAATATACATCATGTAATAAAGAATCATTCTCCCCTGAGGGAATCTGAGACTAATTGAAAGGTTACTGTGTAATAGGCTCCATTTTCTTAATCATATCTTGTGTTTGTGCAAATGTTAAAAAAAAAGCCTCCCACCAATGTATTTTTATCCAAATGCTGCTCAATTCTATTATAATAATTTTATTGTCCTAACATCCCTGTGAAATCAGTAAACCAGTGATGGAACAAACAGCTCTGCGTTGGTTTGAATCAGGCACTATGTTCAGGTTCCCAAATTAGAAGGAGCAGTGGTCAGATTGTCTGAAGAGATGGACACTGGCCGTGGCACTAACTGGTTATCTAACCATTGTCTAATAATGGTCCTCATTTCCTCTTTTGTAAATCAAGAGATTGGAGAGACAATTTGCAGAAGTTTTTTTCCACTTCTAAGATTCAATGAGTCAAAGTTTGGAGACTTATTTCAGAGGCAACCAGCTATGTACAAAATATAGCATTACAAAATAGAAAATATGTTGGCTTTGTAGCAAAAATACTTGGGCCTGAATCTTGGATTTACCACTAACTAGTAGTGTTACTTTGGCCGAGTCACCCTCTCTAATCCTCACCTTTCCTCTATAAAATGGAAATAAAAAGCCCTTATATGCTTATTGCGATGATTAAATAAGAAAACATACATAAAGCAAATGGCATGTGACGGATTCTCAATAAATGGTAGCCACACTTAACTGCTTCATAGGCCAACTGGAGCATTGTCTCCAGAACATATTTGTACATTTCTTACCTATAAATATTCTTTCTATATCTAAAAATAAACATGGATCTTCTCCACTTTTTCAATTAAAGAATGGATTATCAAGAGTGTAATTACTATATTAACAACTCGATTTTACATATGAGGAAAATGAAGTTTATATGACTAGTCCGAAGTCACACAGAGAGTTAATGACAGAGCTGTCTAGGATCCAGGTCATCAAATCCCAGGATGGTATATTTTACACACCCAACTGATACTCTTTCCAATAGGCCATGTTGCTATTAACAGTTTGTGGTGTCAGACAAAAATAATAATGATTTTTATACACTATATTAGCTAAGTCTATTAAGAACAGAAAAACAGAATACTGGAAATCTGAGTAACTCAAGCTAAAACACTTTTTCTAAATTTCAAGACAAAATAACTAAACAAACAGAAACATTTGAGTAATCGAGGGAGCAGCAAGACAGATGAATGTCACTATTTGTCTCCCCATATCTACCTTTGTCTCCCTTCAAGTTAGTCTGATCATCTGAATGAAGGGTACCACTGTTTAGCCAGAAACCTACAAGAAATCCTTAATAGCTTTATATCTCCTTCTATTTCACCTCCTCCCTTACCTAAATGTAACCAAGTCCTTCTAATTCTATCTTCTAAATTCCTCTTAATTCTGGTCAATTCTTTGTACCTCGCTTTAACAGGTCATAATCTTTTCTCACCTGGACTACTACAACAACCTGTTACTTCGTCTCCATTTTTTGGCTGTTCTTACTACCTAAAAATCAATTATGTATAGCTAGTTGATCTTTTTAGATGTAAACAAGAATATGTACCAAAACTTGAAATTTTATGTAGTAAAATTTTATTTGTGTAACTTGTCTTGTACACCACTTTTCTTCGAGTTGCTAATTATCTCATTTTTATTTGACTAACTTGCTATATGTATATATCTATTTTTCCACAAATGCTATCAGATGTTATGACTACAAATATATTTTTCAAAATAATAAAATATGCAAAATTAATTTATTCAAAAACTTACTGGATGTCTATTATGTCCTAGACACTAGGGATGTATAGTCAACAAGACAGACAATGTCCCTATTCTCATAAACATGTATACTAGTGGACAGAGAAAGATAATTAGCAAACATATAAATATATAATACAATGACAATGCTATAATGAAAATGTTAAAGGCCATGATGAAAAATAAATAAAAGTTTATAGTTAAAGAGAGTGAACCAGGCACTCATACTTATCTATAAATGACATAAGATAATTATTTTAGTGGCATAAACCCATGAGGAAAAAGAAAAACAGGAAAGAGTATGAGACAGCAACTTTTAGGAATAGAAAGGCAAAAGAGCAAATATCAGCTGATTAGCAGGCCTAATAAACTGGAATCTTAAACCAGCATTGAGGAAATTAAGAACAATTTGCACCAAGGAAGCATCAGGTACTTCCGTAAGTGAGGGCGAAAGTGGAGCTGAAAACAGAGGGATTGGTTGAAAGATGGTTTAAGAACCAATAAGCTTCCAATTCCCCTCCTTCATTATTCACAGCTCATCATTACCCTACATACTTCTCTCTTACAGAAGAGTGGAGATTTAGTCTCTGATAAATAAAATACAGAGTGTTAGGATTGGGTGTCTCATACAGAGCTGAGTGTGAGATTAAGTGAACATCTAGCTATATACTACATATTGAGATCACCAACCGTCTTTTCTTACATGGCTCCCAAAAACCTAGAACCAAGGTCTATATTTCCCACAAGGAAAAGTGGAAGATTATTTACTGAGAAAATCTGAGCAACTTTATAGTAAATTATGTAAAAATAATTAGAAGATCACCAAAGGAAGAGAGCCAGCTAAATCATCCTATAGTGACACTCACCATGACAAAAACTTTTAATCAGCTTTTTTGTGTCCCATTCAAACATAACCAAACATCTAAGGATTCCCAGATGTGATTTTTAAAAATTCTATGATGAAGACAAGGAAATAAAACAATTTAAGAAAAGAGATTGCAGTGAAATGATCACTTACAAATCATTAGGATTATTAGAAATATGAAAGAAGACATTGTAGTCATTAAAAAGAACAGTATACTATTAAAAATGAACATTAAATAAAAGAACTCTTAGATATTTTAAATGAGAGCAGAAATGAAATTTCACTAGAAGTAGTGAAATTTTATGGAAATTTTATGGAAAAACCAGACCAAAGAGACAAAAACATAGAAAATAAGAAATAAAATATTTTTAAAATTAGAGAATCAAACCAGGAGGTCCAACATAGGAATTGTAGGTTTTCATGAAAGAGAAGAGAGCAAATGGAGGAGACAAAATTATGAAATAAATCAATCAAAAAATCCCAGAACTGAATAAATGGTTTCTAGATTAAAAGGGAAATTGAGTTCCTAACAAAATTGATAAAAGTTGACCCACACTAAAACACACCATGTTTAAAGTTAAGAACATTGGACACCAAGCAAAGATTATATTTGAATGATGGAAATTGAGCAGAAAGGCAAAGGTAAGTAAGGGCCAGAGATGACCATAATTGCACGGGAATGTGTACCACTACTATATCTAACCCATCGAAGTTTACCTGCTTTACTCTAAAAGGATATTCAGTATTCAAAGGCTTCTCTCTATTTTCACTGTTCCATCTTAGTCCAATCCACTATTATCTTTCTCTTGGATTACTACAATAGCCTGTAACTGGTCTCTCTGCCTTCACTCTGGTTCCCTATAGCCCATCCCCCAGACAGCAGCCAGAAGTGGAAATTGCAGTGTAAATCAGACCCTTTCTCTCCTCTTCTTAATCTCCCAATGGCTTTTCATTTCATCCAAAATTAAATCCAAATTCTTCACACTCGCCTTCTAGACTCTCCATAATATGGCCCTTGACTGCCTTTTGACCTCATCATTAGTCTTTTTCACTACTTTTAGCCACACTGATCTTCTTCATGTTCTATGTACATGCCCAGCACATTTACAACTTAGGGCTTTTGCACCTGCAAGTCTTTTCCTTAAGATCTTTTCATGGCTTGCTCCTTCTCATAACTTAGGTCTCAGCTCATTTGTCACTTTCTCAGAGAAAAATTTCCTAATCAGCTTATCTAAAGTAGTCACTGAGAATTCTAGCAGGGGCTTCAAGATAGCTAACTAGAAGCATCTTGTGCTCACCTCCTCCACTAAGAAGAAGGAAAATAATGAGTAAATTGTCACATTTCAAATAAATCATCCAAGAGAGAATGCTGGAATTCAACAGAAAAGTGATAGGAAACACCTAAAGCAAGGACAGAGAGGAAAGCAAGGCAGCCTGCTCAGTTGAGATTGGCTGAAAGCCTAGAGATACTCCCCAATGTGTGGAAAGAGTAAGTGAGGGACCCTCAGCAGACTACATTCCCACTGTGAACTCCTGAAATCCTAGCCACAGAAAAACTCCTAGACTCTCACGGGCCTGAAATTAACATAGGGAGCTGCCTGTAGACAACATGAAAGCATTGTTTTAGGGAATGAGCTAGTTCTGGGTCCCACAATCACCCCAAATCCTAAGCAGCTACAGCAAGGAACCATTTTCAGAGCACAGTCTCTTTAATAAATTGTGCTGGGAAAATTGGATTGCCATATACAGAAGAATGAAACTGGACCTCTATTATTCACCATATATAAAAATCAACTCAAGATGAATTAAAGACTTGTATTAGTCCATCTCGTGTTGCTATAAAGGAATACTTGAGACTTGAGACTAGATAATGTACAAAAAAAAGGAGATTTATTTGGCTCCCAGTTCTGCAGGCTGTACAAGCATTTCACCAGCAACTGCTCAGCTTCTGGTGAGGCCTCAGGAAACTTTTACTCATGGCAGAAGGTGACTGGGGAGCAGGCAGGTCACATGGATCATCTCCATGATTCAAACACCTTCTATTAGGCCCCATCTCTAACACTGGGGATCACATTTCAACATGAGATTTGGAGGAGACAAACATCTCCACTATATTAAGACTTAAGTATAAGACCCAAAACTATAAAACTATGAGATGAAAACATAGGGAAAACACTTCAGGAAGTTACCCTATATGGGCTAAAAAGGGGAGGAGACTTTTCTGGAAGCTGCCCACCCCTTTCCCAGAAAACTCATGAATAATCCACTCCTTGTTTAGCATATAGTCATGAAATAACTATAAATATAATCAGTTGAACAAACCATGCCACTGCTCTGCCTATGGAGTAGCAATTCTTTTATTCTGTTACTTTCTTAATAAACTTGCTTTAACTTTAAAGAAAAAAAACATTTCAGGACCTTGGTCTAGACAAACATTTTATGCCTAAGACCTCAAAAGCACACACACACAAAACAAAAATAGGCAAATGAAACTATATTAAAATCAAAAGCTTCTGCACGGCAAAGGAAACAATCAACAGGGTGAACAGACAATCTGCTGAATGAGAAAATATTTGCAAACTATCCATCTGACAAGCAACTAATACCCAGAATATACAAGGAACTCAAACAACTCAACAATATGAAAACAAATAATCCCATTAAAAAGTGGGCAAATGACATGAATAATTTGTCAAAAGAATACATATAAATGGCCAACGGGTATATAACAATATTCAACATCACTAATCATTCAGGGAAATGCAAATCAAAACCACAGTGAGATATTGTGATACACCAGTTAGAATGATTAGTATGAAAAAGACAAAAAATAACAGATGCTGGTGAGGAAAATGGAACTTATACACTCTTGGTGGGAATGTAAACTAGTACAACCATTATGGAAGACAGTATAAATTCTCAAAAATCTCAAAATAGAACCACCATACAATCCAGCAATCCCACTACTGAGTATTTATCCAAAGGAAGAGAAATCGGTATGACCTACACTTGCATGTTTATTGCAGCTAATAGCAAAGACATGGAGTCCACTACTGCAATTGCAGTGGTACCACTCTAACAGCACTCGGGCTGGGGAAGGAACAAGAGGCCTAGTCAATACGTTGGTACCTCCAGCACTCTGTAGCCACCATATAGAGACGAGTTCAGCCCCTTTTCATTGAGAACCCCTACCTCCTACTCCAGCTGGCAGGGCCCCTGGCTCATGACCACAGAACTGTCACCCCAACCATGGCTGAGCATACCCACTGGTAGTGGCCTGGAGTTTCCCTAGGGAGAGGTTTTCAGAGGCATCCAACAGCCCCTCTGCCACTGCCACAGCAGCATTTCCTTCCCTGCTGCAATCATTCTGGGAAAGAAACAAAGAGCCTGAGGGTTGGCTCTTTTCAAATATTTTTTGAAATCTTTGTTCCCCTGCCAGCTGTCTTTAAGGACAGCATGCTCCCTAAGTCCCACATCACAATAAATATTATTTAACACAGACCAATAATTCCATATCACATTTGAAAATACACCTGAGCATCTAGCGTGCCGCAGTCACCATATGAAGAGGAGACCAATCTCTCCTCTCTGTGAGCCTTCAACACCCTACTCCCCAACAAGCTATGAGCAGTGCAGCTACCCCACCCCACTGACTGAACACTCCCAGTAACTGTGGCTCCATGTTTCTTAGAGGTGGAGCCCCTAGGGGACACGAAAACCTCTCTGCCACTGCCTCTGCAGTGGTACTGCCCCTGCTGCCCTCAGACACTGTTCAGAAGAAGATATACAAGCAGCCAACAGGCATATGAAAAAAAAAAGCTCAACATGATTCGTCATTAGAGAAATGCAACTCAAAACGGCAATGAGATACCATCTCAGATCAGTCAGAATGGCTATTGTTAAAAAGTCAAAAAATAACAGATGCTGGTGAGGTTGCAGAGAAAAGGGAATGCTAGCCAGGCGCAGTGGCTCACTCCTGTAATCTCAGCACTTCGGGAGGCCAAAGCAGGTGGATCACTTGAGGTTGGAGTTCGAGACCAGCCCGGCCAACGTGAGGAAACCCATCTCTACTAAAAATACAAAAAATTAGCTGGGTGTCATGGCAGGTGCCTGTAATCCCAGCTACTTGGGAGGCTGAGGCAGGAGAATCGCTTGAACCCGGGAGGCAGGGATTGCAGTGAGCTGAGATCACACCACTGCACTCTAGCCTGGGTGACAGAGTGAGACTCCTTCAAAAGAAGAAGAAGAAGAAGATGGAGAAGGAGAAGGAGGGGAAGGGGAAGGGGAAGGGGAAGAGGAAGAAGAAGAATAAGAAGAGGAACAGGAAGAAGAAGAAGAAAGAAAAGGGAACGGGAGCATTTACACACTGCTGGTGGCAGTGTATATTATAGTTCAGCCACCATAGACAGCAGTTTGGAGATTTCTCAAAGAACTTAAAGCAGAACTACCATTCAACCCAGCAATCCTATTACTTGGTATATACCCAAAGGAATATAAATCATTCTACCATAAAGACACATGCACGTGCATGTTCATTGCAGCACTATTCATAATAGCAAAGACACGGAATCAACCCAAATGCCCATCAGTAGTAGACTGAATGAGAAAATGTAATACATATACACCATGGAATTAATGCAAATGCCCATCAATGACAGATTAGATAAAGAAAATGTGGTACATATACACCATGGAATGCTATGTAGTCATAACAAAGAACAAGATCATGTCTTTTGCGGGAACATGGATGGAGCTGGAGGCCATTATCCGTAGCAAACCAATGCAGGAACAGAAAACCAAATATCTCATGTTCTCCCTTGTAAGCAGGAGCTAAATGATGAGAACCTATGGGCACATAGAAGGGAATAACAGACACTGGAACTTACCTGAGGGTGGCAGGTGGGAGGAGGAAAAGAAGCAGGAAAAATAACTACTGAATACTAGGCTTAGCACCAGGATGACAAAATAATCTGTACAACAAACACCCATGACACAAGTTTACCTATATAACAAAACTGCATGTGTACCCCTGAACCTAAAGTAAAAAAATTAAAAACGAAGTCACGGAGTCAACCTAAGTGTCCATCAATGGATGGATGGATAAAGAAAACATGATGTTACACAAAGTGGAATACTATTAGGCCATTCAAAAGAATGAAATCATGTCATTTGTAGCAACATGGATGGAACTGGAGATCATTATGTTAAGTGAAATAAGCCAGACAGAAAAAAGACAAATACTGCTTACATGGAGGTTAAAAAAGTTTATCTCATGGAGGTAGAAAATAGAATCATAGATACCAGAGGCTGGAAAGAGTGTGTGCATTGGAGGGTAGATGGAGAGTTTGGTCAATGTGTACAAACATACAATTAATTATATAAAAGAAATAAGTTATAATGCTTGATAGGAGAGTAGGGTATTATAGTTAGAAACAATGTATTGTATTTTTCCAAGTAGCTGGAAGAGAGGGCTTGATTGTTCCCAGCACATAGAAATGATAAACACTATGGTGATAGATACCCCAAATATGCTGACTTGATCATTATACATTATATGCATGTAATGAATATTCACTATATGGAATTAATAACGTGGATTGCCCCTGCAAAAGAGACCCCTGGAGATACAGACTCTCCTGGATTACCAAGAACACTCAGATTGGTAATAATAGATTTCCTTTTCTTACAGGTCTTATGACAGGCCTTGTTAGGGAGGTAGTAATTGTCTTAGTCTACTTAGTTGGGCTGCCATAACAAAAATACCATAGATGGGTAGTTTAAACAAGATAAATTTAGTTTTGCAGCGTTCTGGAGGGTGGAAGTCCAAGATCCAGTTGCTAGCATGGTTCCTTTCTGGTGAGGGTTCTCTTCCTGGCTTACAGATGATCACCTGCCTTCTCATTATCATTATGTCCTCCCCTGGTTGGGGGGTAGGAGGGAGAAGAGAGAGCTCTCTAGTGTCTCTTCTTATAAGGGCACTAATTCTATCATGAGTGCCTCACCCTCATGACCTCATCTAAGCCTAAACAAACGTTCCAATCTCCAAATACGATCATTTGTGAGGTTAGGGCTTCAACATTTGAATTTGAGGAAACACAATTCAGTCCACAGCAGTAAGGAAACTGATAGGGGAAAGTGGCAACATGGCAGGCAGGATTATTAGGGGATGCAATTGACTGAATAGAGGTCCTAATCACATTTTCTTCTAGATTTGTGTATCTGTGGAGCTCACTGAAGAACTCTTATGTTTCCAATTTGTCAACTCCCAGCACTCCCTTCTCCATTCTACTACCCTCCCAAACTACTCTGTGATAAATCAAGGATTGTCATATTCTAAAGTGTTCCAATGGGATTAAGTTCCATAGACAGGGAAGGAATTTCTTCGTGTTTAATAGATAAGAAATCTAATACCCATCGTAGGGAAGTAATATGCTCATAGTCTCACTGAAAACAGTATTTCAAGCCAGATTTGCGACACATAGTTCTTATCTTCCAGCAGAAAGCTTTTCCTTCTGAGTACTTGTCTATTTTCTGAATAGACCCAGGCCTCGGGTTGGTTATGAGATAATTCAACAGAGATTTATAGGCTGCTAAAATGCTGGGTCACTGTAATCCATACTCTGTACTTCACTGCTATTTCCATCTTTCTGGATACTCTATCCCAGTAACTGAAAATTAGAAAGAGGCCCCCTGCCCCCAACCTTGTCCACCAACCTCCAAACATCATTAGGGAAGAAGTACACTGTGTACTTGTTCCCTTGGCACTTCAGGTGGCAAAATTTTATCCTTTCTCAGGCCAATTAAAAGTTTGCAAGCACTTTGTTCCCCTGCCAGATGTCTTTAAGGACAGCATGCTCGCTAAGTCCCACATCACAATAAATATTACTTAACATAAACCAATAATTCCATAGCACATTTGAAAATATCAAGATTACTGCTGAGATTGAAACATTGACTAGAAAAGAGCCCCAATGATTTCCTGATTATGAAGCAATTATGGATGTGGAAACTGTCACCTTCCCAAAACTCAAGTCCTCCAGGAAGCCTTTCAGGATTAAAAACCGACCCAACATTGACTACTCAATTGCTCCACTTTGCATTCTATTGTTTGTTCTTGTTTAGTTGTTGCTTTGAAAACACTATTTTGGGATGCAAAGTTGTCAATGTGCATGTGTATGCTCTCTCCAACTAACTTGTGTGTTCCATATAGCTGCTTCTCAGTATAGTCTTGACCGCCTGTGCTTTATGTGTTCTAAATTTCATTTTCACACGTTTCTTTTCACTGATACAATAATCAGAAGTTGTGGGGAAGCGTAAGAACTAAGGTTTGACAAAATATAGCTCATGCAACAATTAACACATGCTGAATAGTAAAATGTGATAATTCTGCAACACTGGGAGCTAAATGGTTTAACTTTGATGCCCAAATATCTCGCTTCTAAATACCCTTTAATATTTCCCCATGTCCCAGTTTCTCCCTTATGTTGATGCCAACAAAACCTTAATAAAGTGATCATTGAGGTATTGACCTCAGAATGAAAGAAAATATGATTCTTCTCAAGGACATCTACATATAAGAACTCTTTTATAGGAGATGGTAAGCAATGAACTTGATGTGTGAGATTAGATGGAACAGGGATGCTGTAAGTAATCTGGTCTTTGCTGTCCCACTCTTCCCAGCATTTTCTTTCATTGTTGTTAAGGATGTTTGTGGGAGAAGAAGAGAAAAAAGTAAGAAGGGGCATCATTGGGCCCTTGGCTGCCCTCTGCCAACTGTGTGAGAATTGGAGGAGAGAGGAAACCTATAGGCTGCTTCTCTCATTTCATTTCCTTTTCCCTAATCCTGAAGAAGAACTGCAATATTGTCTCCTTCTCTCATTAATGAAGCAATGAATAAGTGGATAGCCTGGTGGCCCACCTCAGAGAGGTTGCCAATGAAGCAGTAGAGATTGGCTTCAATTTAGTTGACAAGCTGTTAACTGTTTCTAGTGTTTTTCACAAACTTTTATTAGACAGATTACTTAAAGCTGTTTTATCCATTTTCTCCCTATTTTCTCATTTCTTGATCTCAAACAAGAGGGTACCTCCACCACTAACTCCAGGTGACCTCTCTTAGCTAAACACTCTTCTGTAATAAGCCCCTTACCCACACATACAACATAGGTGAACCGATTCGTCAGAATGTAATTTTATTGTCATGAACTCTCTTAGCTGGAAATTGGGAAACTTCATGAATTATATATCAAAACATATATACAAAATACACTGTATTCATTGAAAAGAAATTGTACTATTTCTACTACCCACCTTCAAGTCATATGCAATCACATTTCTGCCACAACATGCATAAATGTATCCGACTGGAAATCATAGAATTGTCAAATATCAGAGCAGGAAGGGAATGTAGAGATAATTTAGCCTAACCCTCTGATTTTACAGAGGATGAGGTGAATAACCAGAGAGAGGACTTTACAAAGGTCACTCAGGTAGTTGAGAACAGAAGTGAGACTAAAACCATGGGCATGTTTATGAGTCTCTGTGTCAAAACAAACATGTATTCAACCAAAAACTCAAGAACTACCAAATGAGGAAGCACCAATCTTTTCAAAGCAACAATGATCTCATTCATCATGTTTGAATGTCCCTTTTCCTTTCTGAACTGTTTTGCTGCTTGTTGTCAATTCCCAGGACACTTCCCTTCCCCTGCTTCTGAACAGCCCCCACAAATGAGCAATTCCTAAATGCATTTGCTATGACGTATGCAAAGGCTGCCACTCAGAGAAAAGGTCAGTGTCAGTGTCCTCTGTTTCCAAATATGCCTCTTTTTAAAAAATCAGGCATAGCAATACTGAATACCAATTGCCTAAAGATTCACAAATCTCCTCTAGGAAATTTCACGGCTCCTAAAGAAATGGCAAATCCAATGAAAGTTGTTATGTGATTTACCAAGCTTAAAAAGGAACATAAAAGGGGCATGAATAGACACCATTTTTCTACTGGCCCAGGGAATTGTGCTGACGGGTCTGCAAGAGTCAGACATGATGCCTCATTCCTCTGTCTTTATACTCAGCCATCTCTCTAGTGCCTTAGAATGTCAAGCAGGTCCCAGGCATGCTCTCAGGTCACGAGATATAAGGAGTCAGGTCTCTAGGGAGCCTCCAAAGAGAGAAGTGAAGACACTAAGGAAAAAAGTAATTATTTATGGCCATTTTGCTTTGTATTTCTGATGTTAGTCCTTTACTGGTACTTCTCAGTCTGCTCTGAATTCTGAATTTTCCACAACACAAAATAATACTTGCTGTTTTTTTTCAGATGCTACCAGATATCATTAATCAGATGGTTCACACAGACTTTCCTGTCATGAACACATCTTGCTAGTCTTACCTTCCACCACCCTCTTCTGTGCTATAGCCATACTGGACAATTCTAAGTTCCTGCATACATCTTGTACTTTGAGGCCTCAAAATTTCTACCACTGTATCTTTACAAATGATTTTTCTAATTCTAGAATGCCCCCAACCCTTTTATAATTCTTCAAGACTCAGTTCAAAAGTCATTTCCTCCTTAAAGTCTTCCATGATCACCTACTGCCACCCCAGATTAATTCTTCTATGTATAATTTCTGTTCTCCTGTTAATTAAATTATTCACAAATTATTGAGTACCAATTATTTTTCAGGCACTGTGGTAAGCATTGGAGATACAGCAGAAGAAAGACATGGTCCCTATCCTCATACAATTTACAAAATAGTAGAAAAGATAAGTAGTTGACATAAATATTTTTTGTAAGAGATGTATAGGTGGCTATAGGATGTCACTGCAAGTGATCTAACCCAGTCTTGAGAGGTCAGAGAAAGTATACTCAAAGAGGGAGTATTTAAATTAAGACCTAAAGTCAGAACATGAGTTAGCAGATGAGGAGTTATTGCCTTCCAGACAGATAATACAGGCATAGAAAAAAACAATGAGGCAAGAAGAGACTTGAGGCTCTCAAAGAAATCAAAAGAAGGAGAAAGTACCACAACATAAGGATTCAGAAGAAGACCAGGCATTATAGGCTTCTTTAATAATTGAGGATCTTTTGATTATTAAAAACTCAAAAACAACAGATGCTGGGGAGGTTGTGCAGAAAAAGGAACACTTTTAGACTGCTGGTGGGAGTGTAAATAGGTTCAACCATTGTGGAAGATGGTGTGGTGATTCCTCAAAGCCATAGAGGCAGAAATACCATTTGACCCAGCAACCCATTACTGGGTATGCCCAAAGGAATATAAATCATTCTATTATAAAGATACATGCCTGTGTATATTCATTGCAGCACTGTTCACAATAGCAAAGACATAGAATCAACCTAAATGCCCATCAATGATAGACTGGATGAAGAAAATGTGGTGCATATACACCATGGAATACTATGCAACCACAAAAAGAAATGAGATCATGTCCTTTGCAGGGACATGGATGGAGTTGGAAACCATTATCCTCAGTAAACTAATGCAGGAATGGAAAACCAAACATTGCATGTTCTCACTTACAGGTGGGAGCTTAACAATGAGAACACATGGACAAAGGGAGGGGGACAACACACACTGCGGCCTGTGGGAGGGGTGAGGGGAGGGACAGCATCAGGAAAAATAGCTAATGGATGCTGGGCTTAATACCTCGGTGATGGGATGATCTGTGTATCAAACCACCATGGCACACATTTACCTGTGTAACAAACCTGCACATCCTGCACATGTACTCCTAACTTAAAGTAAAAGTTGAAGAAGAAAAATAATGAAGGACCTTAAACTACAAGGAACAGGAAGTCACTGAAAAGCATCAGCATAGAGACTGTTTGGAAGGAAGAAAAGTACAAGCAGAAGCATCATTGGTGGCTTGGAATACAATGATGGAGAAAAGTGACTACATTTGAGAGATATTAAAGATGGGGAATCTATAGGACTTAAATAATTGCATCTTAAGAAAGAAAAATGGGAGATGTCAAAAATGACAAAAATTGATAGTGCTATAATTCTCTGAGGCGAGGAAAAATTGAAGAGGGCCAAGATTGGTTTTAGGCAGTGGGATGGGTAGATAACAAGTTTGGTTTGGAAAATACTGAATTTGAGGTGCTTATGAGATATACAAGTGAAGATAACAGCAAATAGTAAATTAGGTGTATGGCTTTGAAGCTCAGAAGGGAGAGCTAAACCAGAGATAAGAAACTGAGAGTCGTCATCATAAATATGGTAATTGAAGTCATGAAAGTGGATAATTTTATTCTAAGGAGAGTAGAGTGAGCAAGGAAATCTCTTTGAAATCAAAACAAACATTTAAGAGTTATATAGAAGAGCCACGAAAAGAGGTAGAGATAGAATGGTAGAAGAGATAGAAGGAAAACCGGGGGAGTAGGGTTTGCAAAATCAAAGGAAAGAGAGTATATTAAGTAGGAGACTAATCATCTGAGGTGAATGCTGTTGAGTTGCCAAGAACGAAGAATTTAGCAATGTGAGTGTCATTGTGACCTTATCAAGAGCTATTTCAGTGAAGTTGTGTGGGGCAAGCGACAGATTGGAGTGGGTTGAAGTGAAGAAATGGAAACAGAAATGTAGACAATTCAAGAAATTTGTGTTTAGTGGTAGCAGTGCAATTGTTCAGTAACTGAAAGGGCTAAAGAATCCAGAGTGTTTTGTTTGTTTATTGGAAATACTAGAAGATGTTTAAAAGCCTAAGCAAGAACCCAGTGGAGAAATATTGGTTGAAGATATAGACAAGCAAGAAGTTAACTGATAGCATAAGTCTTTGGGGAAGGCAAGAGGGTATGGGATCTAGAATATAGGTGGAGGGATTGTCTTTTAATAGAAGGAAGTATTTACCTCCTTGGTAACATGAAGGAAAAAGAGAATAGTCAAAATGTCTACGTCTAAATTTGGAGGTAGAATTGTCTCTAGATTTAGTGGTGGAATTTTGGAGGTAGAGTTGAGTAGGTGGTAAAGCAATTTGCTGAGATTGGAGGGAATGAGAATAAAATGGAATTTCGAGAAGATAATTTTTAGCCAAACTCTCTGGATGGAATTTTTTTTCTAGAACTCCCTCCTGATTATTAAGAGATAGTTTAATACAGTGATTAAGAACCTAGAAGGCCTTGGGTAAATCACTTAACTTTTTTCTATCCTCAGTTTCTTCATTGTGAAAAAAGGATCATAATTTTACCTACCTCATAATTTTATAACAAAAATAAATTAAATGAGTTATTACACATGAAGGGCTTAAAACAGTGCCTGACAAATAATAAGAACTCTTGTGTTGCTTTCATTCTTTTTGTTTGTTTGTTTTAAGACAGAGTTTCGCTCCTGTTGCCCAGACTGGAGTGCAATGGTCTCGGTTCACTGCAACCTCCACCTCCCGGGTTCAAGCGATTCTCCTGCCTCAGCATCCCAAGTAGCTGGGAACAGGCACCTGCCACCACACCCGACTAGTTTTTATATTTTTAGTAGAGACAGAGTTTCACCATGTTGGCCAGGCTGGTCTTGAACTCCTGACCTCAGGTGATCTGCCAGCCTCAGTCTCCCAAAGTGCTGGGATTAGAGGCATGAGCCACCGCACCCAGCTGCTTTCATTCTTAATGCTCTCTAAATATTACCTGAATCAGTTTGCTATTGGATTACACGGAGATGCTAAAGACAAACTATTAGGCATAAAGGAGGGTGAAATTTTTCTTTGAATGTTGATGTTTTAGTTTTCTAACTAAAGTATAAATGTAACAGAGATACAAGGTTTGCTTTTATTCTTAGTTACATATATTTTTTACATCTCAGGAAATCAGTGAATACCAATATATCCCAGTAGAGAGGACTTGGTCCATAGAGGATGGAGTTGAGAGTTGTTTCTAATAAGGAGCCCTGAGGCTTCTGTTCTAAGTCCTAGGGTGATTCTTTTTCCAAATTAAGGTGCAGAGACAACATAAGCAGTTGAGGTTTTCAATCCTGTTCCAAACCTCTTCTCTGTCTTTTTCTGTATTAGAAGGAGGAAAGGTTTACATCCATAGCTGGGAAAATCAACAACGATTTTTTTAAGCCGAGGAAGTGAAACTGTTTCGTAGCTATTAGCTACAAATATTAGTACAAATAGCTATTAGCTACAAAACATCTGGAAAGTTCCATAGGAGGGAAACCTCAACCCCAAAATACAAACATTTGCTCCCCACATTCATTGCAAAAGTATTGTGCCAACTTAGTGACCTGAGTATAAAGGTTGAAAGACTGAAGATAGACACACACTTAATTGTAAAAGATGGTGTAAGTTTGGGCAGAGTAGATGAGAACAATCAAATGAAACTAGCTGATATGGTGCCTTGAAGGTCGGATCAGGAATGTGGGCTGCCATACTTTGCTAACACAATCTACATTAATGAAAAGCCTGGATTACATGTACATAATAATATGCCACTTTATTATTTTCAGTACATTCTGTACAGACAAAATGGCTAAGTGTTGCCAAGCAGAGGTCCCACCAGACCTGATCCTGCCTGATTTATAATTAGCACATTTGTTTGTTAGTATGCAAATGAGTACTGCTATAGTTCTTAGAAAAAAAATGCGCCATTGAGTAAGTGCAACATTCTTCCAGCAGTCTTGCTCTAACCATTCATTAGTGCTACCAACCTCTTTTATCATAGAAGGTACGAAGTAAAACAGCAAACTTGCAAAAGTATGTGAGTTTATACAATGTCAGTTTAGTGTTAGACAGGGAAGGCGGTATGAAAACATGGCAGGCCTCTGTGTAAGTAGCCATTGTATAAAACGGATCTCACAGTAGCATATAAAACAATTTAGATAAGGTACAAAGTGGAATAAGTAAAGACAAACCTTCCCGTTTGTAAGCCCATTTGCTCTAATTCGGATTTATACAGATATGGCAAAAACACCTTCAAGTTAAGATTCAAAGCCTAGCTCCACCACTTACTAGTTTTGCGACTTTGGCTGAGCATGATTTCATGTCCTAGAACATCAGTGATTCTCAACAAATATTATTTATTGACCCCCTCCTTCACATATCTGAAGACACAGTAGTACAGTAGCAATATAGCAATATAACAAAGTAGTTCAGCAAGAGAGCTCTGAAATTAGACTGACTGAGCTCAGAATCCTGACTCTACTACACTGACTATATATCAATTTAATGAACTTATTCAGCCTCTTTAATCCTTGATTTCCTTATCTGTAAATTGAACGTCTTAGTAGTCCTACTTAACTCATAAGGTTGTGGTGAATATTTGATAAGGTAAGCCATGTAAAGCATTTAGCAGAATGCCTACAACATAGTAAGCCCTCAATAAACACCTAACTCTTAAAGTGTTAACCCTAAGCTTTCTTCATTTTGGTTTATCCCCAATGAACTCCCTACAAATGGTCTTGTTAAGGACACTAAGCCCTACCTGTATGTTGCCTAATTCAGTGGATATTTTTATATTATTTTTCTGCACCATTTAATAGAGATAACTACTTTTTCCTTGTTGAAATGAGAAAACAAGGAAGACTTCAGGAAGAAGTGAAATTCATACATGATAAAATTTTGGATCAGATGCTGGAAGGGGATTATGGAGTCTCTGTGTCTGGAGCACTAAAAAGTGATCAGCAGTGTATTTGGGCACTCACATGCCCAAAGGCAGGGGCTGGTTCAGATCTTCTCTGGAGATTTATTTTTGCCTTTAGGGTCTGTGATTCTCCTAAATTAGAGAATGATAGCAGCTACTATTTGTGCAGTAATAGCTAAAATGCAGGCCTGGGCATTTTACACGTGTCCTTGCAATGCTCACAAAACTCCTGTAAAGTAGATATTCTCCACACTTTAAAATTGATTAAATAGCCTTAGAAAAGCACAGATAACAATGTCATGAAGATAGTGAGCTATAATTCCAGAATATTCTTTTTTTCATTTATTCACTCGTTCTTGTATAAATCAATCAATATTTATTGATCACCTACTATGTGACAGGCACTGTCTTTAGTACTAATGTACAGCACTGAACATAAAAGATAAAATCCATGCCCTTATGCAACTTGTATTTTAGTAGGGGGATAATATGACCCAAGAGTTTCTGGTTCCAAGGCCTCATTCTGTTCTATAAGGTAGTATAATACACTGATAGGCTTTCATGTCATGTTACCATTTTACAATGAAGTTGAACTTTTTCCCCTTTTAGACACAGCAGAACCATGCACCAAGGAAATTGAACTACTGTCTCTAAATTCTTTCTCCTGGGAATCACAACAAAGCCTAAAGAGCAGCAGTTTATCTTCATGCTGTTTCTATGCACGTATCTGGTCACTATGGTAAGAAATTTACTTATCATCCTGGCCGTTGTCAGTGATGCTCACCTCCATGGCCCCATATATTTCTTCCTTGCCAATCTATCTTTCACTAACGTCTGCATCACAACCACTACAGTCCCCAAAATCTTGGCAGATATTCAAAGCCAGAATTCAACCATATCCTTTGAAGGATGCCCTGCACAAATGTAGTTTTAAATATTCCTGGTGGATCTGGATAATTTCCTATTGGTAGACATGGCATATAATTGATACATTGCCATCTGTCACCCATTACACTATATGTGGTAGTACTGAGTCCCAAGAACTGTGCCCTGTTGGTTGTGACTCCATGGGTTATCTCCAACCTTGTCTCAATACTGCATCTCAGTCTGCTAAGCCACTTAACTTTCTGTGATTTCACATATCTTCTATGACCTGGAACCCATTTTAGGGCTTGCTTGCTCAGACACCCAAATCAACAACTTGATAATTACTGCCATTGGGGAAGTAGTTATCTTCATCCCCTTTACCTTCACATTCTTGTCTCCTATGGCCTTATTGGCAGCACTATGCTTGGAGTTCCATCAGCCAAGGGGAAGTAGAAAACATTCTCTACATGTGGTTCCCATCTCTCAGTTGTGCCCCAGGTCTTCTATGGGTTCATCATTGGAGTCTACTTTCTCTCCTTTTTTGCCTACTCAGCAGAAAGGGATGAGGTAGCTGCTATCATGTATACAACTGTAACTCACTTGATCAAATCATTTATCTGTAGTCTAAGGAACGAGGACATGAAAGGAGCACTGAGGAGACCACTCAGCAGACAAGGTTTTTCTGGAGTGGTGAGCCCTGCCATAGAGATTCTCGTATTAACCTTTTAGATTTGGATGAGCACAGAGAGGATCCAGAGTCTTAGGCTAGTGTGCTTCCTTGGCAGTTTCCTTCCCATCCATTTCCTGCCCCTAATCCAGACCCAAGACTCTAGATCAGACTCATTTTCCCATTTAAAAAACACAACAACAAAACAAAACAAAATGCTCCTTTATTTCACAGTCTTCACCACTCACATACAGAACTTTCCCTGAATAAGCACATGGTTGTATCGTGCTTAACAATTGTTCTCTATTTTTTAGTTTCTGTCTCCTCCCTCTACCAAACCCTACATGCTAGATTATAGATAAAGAAAGAAGGAAGGAAAGAAAAAAGGAAGGGAGGAACTGATGGTGATATCTCAAAATAGCTTTTAGATAATACCATGTCAAAGTTCACAACTTCCAACCTATAACTTAATTCTCACAATAACACTTTAAAGTAAATATTATACTGTTCCCACATACTAGGCAAGAAAAATGATGTACTAGAAGAATAAAAAATTAAGGTGAAAACAGTCATGTCACTTGTCTTACTCTGAGCCCTACTGAGGCTCCCCACCAAAGTCAAAGTTCTTCAGCATTGAAGATCCTCTATCACTTGGACCCACCTATATTTTCAGGAGTATGAATCATCACTCACTAACTCCCACCATCCTTGGTACATCCTACTTTCTAGCTACACTGAACGCTTTGTCATTCCTTGAGCAGTCTATGAATTTGCTATGAATTTTTAGTCTACATGTTATGTCCAGTCCCTGTTCCACTCTCTCTTCCTACAGACATTCAACACTTTCTTTAAGGCTCCATCTCAAGTGTTACATCCTCTGTGAATTCTTCCATAATTCTCACATCTTTCTAGGTAAAATTACTTACTTTTCTCCTCTATAGCACTTTACTTTGTTATTATATAGCTTAGCAAATGAATTATAATTATCACGATATGTATGGTGCTATCCAACATGCCCTGAGCTGTTTTGGGGAATGATGCAGAACTATGTTTTATTAATCTCTGTGGTTCTAGTCTGAGTATAATGCTGAGAACAGAGTGGGTGCTCAGTAAGATAAATTGAATTAAAAAGTTACCATTTTTCAGAATGAAAATATTAGCTTCCTTCAGAATGAAAATATTAGTTTCATTGCCTATCTGTTAAGTTATCCTAGATGAGTAATTAATGTCACTGTCCCACTGATATAATCCATGACTTAGTTATACTAACATCTGCCTCCCAGCTGCCCCCATTGGCCATATATCTAGGACACTCTGGGGTTAAAACCTTTTGAGACAGGAGGCTAAAAAAGTGACATACTGGGTAGGTACAAGGAGTCCAAAATAATCAAGAGGGACAAAGAAAATAAGTTACAAAACATACACAAGAATAGAAGGGCTTGAGGTACATAAGGATTTTTGTATGACTATGGAAGTTAAGGCATGATACCAGGGCCCTTTTATGCCATATCTGTATAATATCCTAATGTTTGGTCATGGAGGATGTTTTAGGCTATTCATGCACCTGGTACCACAAAGACATATCCCACTGAGTTATACTGCCCAGGTTGAAAGAACCTGGCTCATTGTTTATGACATCTTTCAGGGCTGGATTCAGGGTTTTGTGATTATACAGGCACCACATTGGGTCTACCCAGTGCTACTCAAAGTGTAGTTTGCAGACCTACTCCAACCACACAACTATTTGTTACTGGCCAATAGAGATATTAGGTGTGACATAAGTTTAGAAACTGAGACTGAGCATTTAGAAACAGAGAGATTTCACTTTCCCTGAAATTTTTATTTTATAAAAGCATTCATCTATGAAAACTTGAAAATTTTAAAAAGCTAGTCATCTCATACAATTAGAGAAACACTGGATGATTCTTCTATTTCTTCTTCTCCTCCTCCTCTTTCTCCTCCTTCTTCTTTTTCTTGTCCTTCTCCTCCTCCTTCTCTCCTCCTCCTTCTCTCCTCCTCCTCCTTCTCTCCTCCTCCTCCTTCTCTCCTCCCCCTCCTTCTCTCCTCCTCCTCTCTCCTCCTCCTGCTTCTCTCCTCCTCCTCCTTCTCTCCTCCTCCTCCTTTTCTCCTCCTCCTCCTCCTTCCTCCTTCTCATCCTTCTCCTTTGTCTTCTTCAAGATAAAATCTTAAGCAGGACTCTGCCTTATGAATGAGTTTTTAGCTAATTCAATCAGGATTTGATATTGCTTAGTTAATTTTAAAAGTCAACTAAAGCAAAGAGTCATTAAACCTCCTTACACACATACCGTTAATACTTTTTTCAGAATATGCTATCTTGACTTACTCCATGTAAAGTTATATTCCTTAGCTAATCTTTGGATGTAGGGCCAAGACCTTTTCCTTGACTATGGGTCAACTGATTGAGTTCTGCATAACCATTTCTACATAAATCCCCCCCATAATATATTATTCAAAATGCATCAGCTTTGGCTTCCAGTTTCAATGTTTTAACAAGGGAAGCAAGAACTTAAAGACAATCACAAAGCAAGCTAAATGTTTAATCCTCCTTAGGTAGTTTTCAACTTTGTCTTCAATCTTTCACATCTAATTTAATACAATATTTTTAGTGACCTGCCTATTTTGAGTCTTTTCAATGCATGCAACTGTTTTCATAGAAATGACTTTCTTTCGTCTTCATATTTTATTGTTTCATATAATTTTAATTAAACTTAATTTAGGTTTAATTAAACTTATGGGGGGTGGCTGGCTATACGGCTGAATAGGAACAGCTCTGGTCTGCAGCGAGATCAATACAGAAGGTGAGTGATTTCTGCATTTCCTACTGAGGTACTCGGCTCATCTCATTGGGACTGGTTAGACAGTGGGTGCAGCCCACAGAGGGCAAGCTGAAGCAGGGTGGGGTGTCCCCTCACCTGGGAAGCACAACGGGTCAGGGAATTCCTTCCCCTAGCCAAGGGAAGCCATGAGGGACTGTGCCATGAGGAATGGTGCATTCCAGCCCAGATACTACACTTTTCCCATGGTCTTCACAAACTGCAGACCAGGAGATTCCCTCAGGTGCCTACACCACTAGGGCCCTGGTTTTCAGGCACAAAACTGGGTGGCCTTTTGGGCAGACACTGAGCTAGCTGCAGGAGTTTTTTTCATACCCCAGTGGCGCCTGGAATGCCAACAAGACAGAACCGTTCACTCCCCCGGAAAGGGGGCTGAAGCCAGGGAGCCAAGTGGTCTAGCTCAGCAGATTCCATCCCTATGGAGCCTAGCAAGCTAAGATCCACTGGATTGAAATTCTCGCTGCCACCACAGCAGTCTGAAGTCGACCTGGGATGCTGGAGCTTGGTGGGGGGAGGGGTGACCTCCATTACTGAGGCTTGAGTAGGAGGTTTTCCCCTCACAGTGTAAAAAAAGCCAACAGGAAGTTCGAACTGGGTGGAGCCCATCACAGCTTGGCAAAGCCACTGTAGCCAGACTGCCTCTCTAGATTCCTCCTCTCTGGGCAGGGCATCCCTGAAGGAAAGGCAGCAGCCCCAGTCAGGGGCTTATAGATAAGACTCCCATCTCCCTGGGACAGAGCACCTGGGGCAAGGGGCGGCTGAGGGCACAGCTTCAGCAGACTTAAATGTTCCTGCCTGCTGGCACTGAAGAGGGAAGTGGATCTCCCAGCACAGTGCTTGAGCTCTGCTAAGGGACAGACTGCCTCCTCAAGTGGGTCCCTGACTCCCGTGACTCCTGACTGGGAGACAGCTCACATCAGGGGTCGACAGACACCTCATAGAGGAGAGCTCTGGCTGGCATCTGGCGGGTACCCCTCTGGAACGAAGCTTTCAAAGGGAGGAACAAGCAGCAGTCTTTGCTGTTCTGCAGGCTCCGCTGGTGATATCCAGGCCAACAGTGTCTGGAGTGGACCTCCAGTAAACTCCAGCAGACCAGCAGCAGAGGGGCCTGACTGTTAGAAGGAAAACTAACAAACAGAAAGGAATAGTACCAACATCAACAAAAATGATGTCCACACGAAAAGCTCATATGAAGGTCACCAACATCAAAGACCAAAGGTAGATAAATCCATGAAGATGAGGAAAAACCAGTGCAAAAAGGCTGAAAATTCCAAAAACGAGAATGCCTCTCTTCCTCCAAACGATCACAACTCCTCGCCAGCAAGGAAACAAAACTGGACAGAGAATGAGCTTGACGAATTCACAGAAGTAGGCTTCCGAAGGTGGGTAATAACAAATTCCTCTGAGCTAAAGGATCGTGTTCTAACCCAATGCAAGGAAGCTAAGAACCTTGAAAAAAAGGTTAGAGGAACTGCTAACTAGAATAACCACTTTAGAGAAGAACATAAATGACCTGATGGAGCTGAAGAATACAGCACGAGGACTTCGTGAAGCATAAACAAGTATCAATAGCCAAATCGATCAAGTGGAAGAAAGGATGTCAGAGATTGAAAATCAACTTAAGGAAATAAAGCATGAAGACAAGATTAGAGAAAAAATAATGAAAAAGAATGAATAAAGCCTCCAAGAAATTTGGGACTGTGAAAAGACCAAACCTACGTTTGATTTGCGTACCTGTAAGTGATGGAGGGAATGGAACCAAGTTGGAAAACACTCTCCAGGATATTATCCAGGAGAACTTCCCCAACCTAGCAAGACAGGCCAACATTCAAATTCAGGAAATACAGAGAACACCACAAATATACTCCTCGAGAAGAGCAACCCCAAGACACATAATCGTCAGATTCACCAAGGCTGAAATGAAGGAAAAAATGTTAAGGGCAGCCAGAGAGAAAGGTCGGGTTAACCACAAAGTGAAGCCCATCAGACTAACAGCAGATCTCTCTGCAGAAACCCTACAAGCCAGAAGAGAGTGGGGGGCAATATTCAACGTTTTTTTAAAAAGAATTTTCAACCCAGGATTTCATATCCAGCCAAACTAAGCTTCATAAGTGAAGGAGAAATAAAATCCTTTACAGACAAGCAAATGCTGAGAGATTTTGTCACCACCAGGCCTGCCTTACAAAAGCTCCTGAAGGAAGCACTAAATATGGAAAGGAAAAACCGGTACCAGCCACTGCAAAAACCTACCAAATTGTAAAGACCATCAACACTACGAAGAAACTCCATCAACTAACAGCATCCTAATGACAGGATCAAATTCACACATAAAAATATTACCCTTAAATGTAAATGAGCTAAGTGTCCCAGTTAAAAGACACAGACTGGCAAACTGGATAGAGTCAAGGCCCATTGGTGTGCTGTATTCAGGGGACCCATCTCACATGCAAAGACACACTTAGGCTCAAAATAAAGGGAAGGAGGAATATATGCCAAGCAAATGAAAAGGAAAAAAAAACACAACAGGGGTTGCAATACTAGTCTCTGATAAAACAGACTTTAAACCAAGAAAGATCAAAAAAGACAAAGAAGGGCATTACGTAATGGTAAAGGGATCAATGCAACAAGAAGAATTAACTATCATAAATATGTATGCACCCAATACAGGAGCACCCAGATTCATAAAGCAAGTTCTTAGAGACATACAAAGAGACTTAGACTCCCACACAATAATAGTGGGAGACTTTAACACCCCACTGTCAATAATGGACAGATCAATGAGACAGAAAATTAACAAAGGTATTCAGGACTTGAGCTCAGCTCTGGACCAAGCAGACCTAATAGACATCTACAGAACTCCTCACCCCAAATCAACAGAATATACATTCTTCTCAGCATCACATCACACTTATTCTAAAGTTGACCACATAGTTGGAAGTACATCACTCCTCAGCAAATGCAAAAGAACAGAAATCATAACAAACAGTCTCTCAGACCACAGTGCAATCAAATTAGAACTCAGGATTAAGAAACTCACTCAAAACCGCACAACTACATGGAAACTGAACAACCTGCTCCTGAATGACTACTGGGCACAGAACGAAATAAAGGCAGAAATAAATAAGTTCTTTGAAACTGATGAGAACAAAGACACAATGTACAAGAATCTCTGGGACACAGCTAAAGCAGGGTTTAGAGGGAAATTTATAGCATTAAATGCCCACAGGAGGAAGCAGGAAAGCTATAAAATTGAAACCTTAACATCACAATTAAAAGAACAAGAGAAACAAGAGCAAAGAAATTCAAAAGCTAGCACAAGATGAGAAATAACTAAGATCAGAGCAGAACTGAAGGAGATAGAGACATGAAAAACTCTTCAAAAAAATCAATGAATCCAGGAGATGTTTTATTGAAAAGATTAACAAAATGGATAGACCATTAGCCAGACTAATAAAGAAGAAAAAAGAGAAGAATCAAATAGATACCAAAAAATATGATAAAGAGATATCACCACTGATCCCACAGAAATACAAACTACCATCACAGAATAGTATAAACACCTCTATAAAAATAAACTAGAAAATCTAGAAGAAATGGATAAATTCCTGGACACATACACCCTCCCAAGACTAAACCAGGAAGAATTAGAAACCCTGAATAGACCAATAACAAGTTCTGAAATTGACACAGTAATTAGTAGCCTATCAACCAAAAAAAGCCCAGGACCAGAAGGATTCACAGCCGAATTCTACCAGAGGTACAAAGAGGAGCTGGTACCATTCCTTCTGAAACTATTCCAATCAATAGAAAAAGAGGGAATCCTCCCTCACTCATTTTATGAGGCCAGCATCATCCAGATACCAAAACCTGGCAGAGACACAACAAAATAAGAAAATTTCAGGCCAATATCCCTGATGAACATCAATGCGAAAATCGTCAATAAAAAACTGGCAAGCCAAATCCAGCAGCACATCAAAAACCTTATCCACCACGATCAAGTCGGCTTCATCCCTGGGAAGCAAGGCTGGTTCAATATACACAAATCAATAAATGTAATCAATCACAAAAACAGAACTAATAACAAAAATTACATGATTATCTCAATAGATGTAGAAAAGGCCTTCAATAAAATTCAACAGCCCTTCATGCTAAAAACTCTCAATAAACTAGGTATTGATGGAATGTATCTCAAAATAATAAGAGCTATTTATGACAAACCCACAGCCAAGATCATACTGAGTGGGCAAAAGCTGGAAGCATTCCCTTTGAACACAGGCACAAGACAAGGATGCCCTCTCTCACTACTCCTGTTCAACATAGTATTAGAAGTTCTGGCCAGGGCAATCAGGCAAGAGAAAGTAATAAAGGGCATTTAAATAGGAAGAGAGGAAGTCAAATTGTCTCTGTTTGCAGATGACATGGTTGTATATTTAGAAAACCCTATCGTCTCAGCCCCAAATCTCTTAAAGCTGATAAGTAACTTCAGCAAAATCTCAGGATACAAAATCAACATTCAAAACTCACAAGCATTCCTATACGCCAATAATAGACAAACAGAGAGCCAAATCTTGAGTGAATTCCCATTCACAATTGCTACAAAGAGAATAAAATACCTAGGAATCCAACTTACAAGGGATGTGAAGGACCTCTTCAAGGAGAACTACAAACCACTGCTCAAGGAAATAAGGACACAAACAAATGGAACAACATTCCGTGCTCATGGATAGGAAGAATCAATATCGTGAAAATGGCCATACTGCCCAAAGTAATTTATAGATTCAATGCTATCCCCATCAAGCTACCATTGACCTTCTTCACACAATTAGAAAAAACTACTTTAAATTTCATATGGAACCAAAAAAGAGCCCATATAGCCAAGAAAATCCTAAGAATCCTAAGCAAACAGAACAAAGCTGGAGGCATCACAGTACCTGACTTCAAACTATACAAGGCTACAGTAACCAAAACAGCATGGCACTGGTACCAAGACAGAGATATAGACCAATGGAACAGAACAGAGGCCTCAGAAATAGCTCCACACATCTACAACCATCTGATCTTTGACAAACCTGACAAAAACAAGAAATGGGGAAAGGATTCCCTATGTAATAAATGGTGTTGGGAAAACTGGCTAGCCATATGCAGAAAACTGAAACTGGACCCCTTCCTACACCTTATACAAAAATTAACTCAAGATGGCTTAAAGATTTAAACCTAAGACCCAAAACCGTAAAAACCCTAGAAGAAAACCTAGGCAATACCATTCAGGACATAAGCATGGACAAAGACTTCATGACTAAAACACCAAAAGCAATGACAACAAAAGCCAAAATTGACAAATGGGATCTAATTAAACTAAAGAGCTTCTGCACAGCAAAAGAAACTATCATCAGAGTGAATAGGCAGCCTACAGAATGGGAGAAAATTTTTGCAATCTATCCATCTGACAAAGGGCTAACATCCAGAATCTATAAGGAACTTAAACAAATTTACAAGGAAAAAAAACCTGTCAAAAAGTGGGCAAAGGATATGAACAGAGACTTCTCAAAAGAAGACATTTATGTGGCCAAACAAACATGAAAAAAAGCTCATCATCACTGCTCATTAGAGAAATGCAAGTCAAAATCACAATGAGATACCATCTCACGCCCGTTAGAAGGGTGATCTTTATAAAGTCAGGAAATAACAGATGCTGGAGAGGATGTGGAGAAATAGGAATGCTTTTACACTGTTGGTGGGAGTGTAAATTAGTTCAACCATCGTGGAAGACAGTGTGGTGATTCCTCAAGGATCTAGAACCAGAAATACCATTTGATCCAGCAATCCCATTACTGGGTATATACCCAAAGGATTATAAATCATTCTACTATAAAGACACAGGCACACATATGTTTATTGCAGCAGTATTAACAATAGCAAAGACTTGGAACCAACCCAAATGCCCATCAATGATAGATGGATAAAGAAAATGTGGCACATATACTCCATGGAATACTATGCAGCCATAAAAAAGGATGAGTTCGTGTCCTTTGCAGGGACATGGATGAAGCTGGAAACCATCATTCTCAGCAAACTAACACAGGAACAGAAAACCAAACACCACATGTTCTCCCTCATAAGTGGGAGTTGAACAATGAGAACGCATGGACACAAGGAGGGGAACATCACACACTGGGACCTGTTGGAAGGTGGGGGGCTAGGGGAGGGATAGCATTAGGAGAAATACCTAATGTAGATGACGGGTTGATGGGTGCAGCAAACCACCATGGCATGTGTATACCTATGTAACAAAACTGCACATTCTGCACATGTATCCCAGAACTTAAAGTATAATATTAAAAAATAAATAAATAAATTTTAAAAAATAAAATAAAATTATGATTAAAAAACAAATGCAAGTAACAAAAACAGGTTTTGGGAAAAACACAATTGTTACTTTGTAAAGTAAGACAGGATTGGTGGCATAGGACCATAATGATGTGGGCATATTAGAGGATAGCCAACGGGCTGGACGCAGTGGCTCATGCTTTTAATCCCAGCAATTTGGGAGGCTGAGGTGGGATGATTGCTTGAAGCAAGAGTTCGAGACCAGTCTGGGCAACATGATGAGACCCCATAGCTACAAAAAATAATAAAAAAAAAATAGCCAGGTGTGGTGGCAGACACCTATGGTCCCAGATACTTGGGAGGCTGAGGTGGGAGGATTGCTTGAGCCCAGGAAGTCAGGGCTGCAGTGAGCTGTAATCATGCCACTGCACTCCAGCCTGGGCAACATGGCAAGTCCCTGTCTCAGAAGAGAGAGAGAGACTAGCCAACTAGTTACAATTATTCACTGGGGTATTGCCACTGGCCTGAAAATTTTTCACAGAGAATGGATAGTGTCTTTAATTTAGAGCGTTTACATGAAGCTCAGTTAAGGGAAAAGTTAGTGCATATTAAAAAGATAGAAGCAGAGCTGTTGTGATTAAACCTGAGGGAAGGGACCTGGGCGCCTGCCCTTTAGTCTACTCCTCACTTTAACTTTGGTCATATGTAGAAATTTGGTCTCTAATAGGATGCAAGAATTTATAGTAGTGATGACTACAGGTTGCCCATGCCCTAAGGAAGATCTCCTCTCCTCCCTAGCCCCTTCTGAACTACTCAAGATTCTTGTTGTAGGACAAACATATGCAGTTTCTAAACTCACTTACCAAGTTGATGACAGACAAGCAAAAATAAAGGTATACAAAAAAAGGAAGTAAAGAGGTGGACTGTTGCCATGCCAAGAAAATAAGATTTCAGTTCCCAGGACCTATCATAAGGCCAGAAGAGGCCAGAGCAGATCGTGTTCAGCCTAAGATGTCGGTGAGATGACAGAAAATCCTTTTCTGTAGTGCCTGTATTGCAAATGAAAATACCAAAGAAAAGGCCCTGCCTCTATGCTGCTGATTTTGCCATTTTGGAGGGAAGGGAGCATTTCTGAACATGTGGCTTCCAGAAGACAGAGACTATATCTTCTTCATTTCTGAGGCCCTACTTTCCATCCCGGACCTTTTCACAGAGTAGGGGCTAAAACTACTTATGAAATGAATGAATAAAAATTTGCCCTTAAGTCCAAGATCTTGGGCAGAATTATGCCTGATCTGGGATTTTAGATAAATCAATCACCTGATCCCAAAATATCTGGATCTTCAGTAGATCTGATTGCATATTCCATAGCCAGAACAAATTCATTTATAGATTAAGCCAACAGTTGCCTACAGCATGTAATTTGAGATTCCTCAAAAATATAAAAAAGAAACATGTGACATACTTATGCGATTTTGTATGAAGAAATGAGGAAACTCGATGCCTTTATTACAGGTGTATCTGCTCATGATGCTCTCAACACCAGATAAGGAAGATAGCTCTTGTCCCTGAGAGCTTACAGTGTAATGTAGTCTTCTATACACCATTTAGCAACCAAAGAAAGAAACACATAAATACATTGAAAAATGAATGATGCTTTTGCATTTTGAATGAGAACAGAATGAAATGCCTAATGGAAATTATGGAGAAGCAGTTTTTGTAGGGTAAATTGATAGACACAGTATCTGACAGACCTGGTTTTAATTCTTAATTCTTTATTTCTCAATCCAATTTTTACCTGTATGACCTAGGGCAAATCATTTCATTTATTTGGTCCTCAATTTCTACATGTGAAAAGTGAGGTTAGTAATAACTATCTCAATGATTTGTTTTATAGGCTAAGTAAAATATTGGGTATAAAGTGCCTGTCACATAATACATTCTTATTACGTGTGAGCTTCCCTCTCTGTTTCCTTCCTTTCTTCTTTACATGTTTAGATGCTGAAGGTCCAAAAGGACATTACCTATATTGCAAGTCATCTGGAAGTTTACCTCAAGAAGGATAGGGATTTAAAACGCTGTCCAAAAGAAGTAAAGAAAATAATTTGAAAATAAATACAGATGTGGAAAAAACTAAAAGAGTATGAGAATTCAAAGGAAAATTTCAGTTCAAAGTAATTTACTTATGTATCAAACATTTTAAAAAATAATGTTTCTTAAGCATCTTCTTGTGTAGTTCTTATGAAGACTGGCCTTGAACTTTATAAAGGAGCATTTTCTTTCTTTTTTTTGGGTTTTGAATTTTTTTATTATTATACTTTAAGTTCTAGGGTACATGTGCACAACGTGCAGGTTTGTTACATATGTATACATATGCCATGTTGGTGTGCTGCACCCATTAACTCGTCATTTAGCATTAGGTATATCTCCTAATGCTATCCTTCCACCCTCCCCCAACCCCACAACAGGCCCTGGTGTGTGATGTTCCCCTTCCTGTGTCCAAGTGTTCTCATTGTTCAATTCCCACCTATGAGTGAGAACACGCGGTGTTTGGTTTTTTGTCCTTGCGATAATTTGCTGAGAATGATGGTTTCCAGCTTCATCCATGTCCCTACAAAGGACATGAACTCATCAAAAGGAGCATTTTCAAGAAAACAAATCACTTGCATTTTTATTAAACAATAGATAATGGGGCTTAACAAAAGAATTCTTACCATGTAGAAAATGGATACAGTCTGGTCTTGGTTCAGAAAATAGTTGGAAGAATGTCACATATATAAATATAATGTCCCCATAGAAGAGAATGATAGCAGTTAGATGTGAAGAAAAAGCAAGAAAACCTTTAGATTCAACTACAACTGAGAAGATCCTCAAGAAAGTGACAATGATGAACATGTGGGAGACAAGGATGACTGGTCAAGAGCTCATCCAAATGAAGCACCCAGTGAAAAAGAACAAAGAATTCATTATGTAGGTGTCTGAGCAGGAGAGGACCAAGAGTGGGAAACTGTCACCAAAAAAGCTGATGATGGTTTGAACTTACAAAAGGCAAATATAGAGATTGAACCTCCTAAAAACATAGTATGGATAACTCCATGCCCGTAACATGAAGCCACTAATTGGATACAACAAACTTGGGACATAGTGACAGGATAGAGCATGGGTTGTCTGATTGGCATATAAATGTCCTTGCCCAGGGAGGCTAAAAGATTGCATTCAGTAGTCACAAAGAACAAAAATACCAGCATTTGTATCACATAATAGGAGAAGGAAATTGTCTCTGCCAAAAATTTCACCACTGCCTTGGAGACTGTGGCTGGGAACAAACAGAAATGTCTGAAGATAATTTTTCAACCCCCACTCTCTCAACACCCTCCCCCATTTTGGAGTCACCAGTGTCTATTATTTCCATTTTATGTCCATGTGTACCCATTGTTTAGCTCCTTGAATCCATAATAGAACATATATTTTGAAATATAATAATATAATTTCAAAAAAACTAAAAAATAAATCTATGAAGGATAAACTTTAGAGGACAAAGTACATGGTGGTATGGAAATGGGACTAACTCTGATAAAGATCAGGAAGCCAGTTTCTTACAAACAGGACTGCATAACTATTCATAACAGCAAAGACATGGCATCAACCCAAATGCCCATCAATGATAGACTGGATAAAGAAAATGTGGTAAATATACACCATGGAATACTATGCAGCCATAAAAAGGAACAAGATCATGTCCTTTGCAGGGACGTGGATGGAGCTGGAAGCCATTATCCTCAGCAAACTAACACAGGAACAGAAAACCAAACACCATGTGTTCTCACTTATAAGTGGGAACTAAACAATGAGAACACATGGACACAGAGAGGGGAACAATGCACACTGGGGTCTGGGCAGAGGCAGGGGAAGGAAGATAATCAGGATAAATAGCTAATGCATGCGGGGCTTAATACCTAAGTGATGGGTTAATAGGTGCAGCAAACCACCATGGCACGTTTACCTATGTAACAAATCTGCGTGTACTGCACATGTATCCCAGAACTTAAAAGAAAATAAATTTTTTAAAACAAAGAAAAATAAAAGTCATCTTAGTGCACAGTTATACAGGAGGCATAGTCATTAAAATTTTGGCAACAAATGATCGAAGAATACAACTCATAAGAGAGTATATATAAGAACGCAGAAATGCTCTGCATTTCTACAGCAGTAAATTTCAATGTTTCTAGACATGAAAAATACTTTCTCTTTTTTCTTTTTGAGACAGGATCTCACTCTGTCACCCAGGCTGGATTACAGTGCAGCCTCGACTTCCAGGGTTCAAATGATCCTTTCTCCTCAGTCACCTGAGTAGCTGGGACTACAGGCGCTCATGACCACACCCAGCTAATTTTAAAAAATTATTTTTTGTAGAAATGCAGCCGCACCATGATGCCCAAGTTCGTCTTGAACTCTTGAGCTCAAGGGATTCTCCCACAGAAAAATAACTGCATATACCAAGACAAATGCCCAAAGGGGATCACTTGTATTTGTGGATCGTATGTGATTCCAGATGAAACAAATTTTGTCATCAAATTTTATTAGCAAACTGTGATTCTTTAGTGCATCCCTGATCACAACTGCCGCATCTTATTAGCTCAACAGAAGAATGTTCCATTGGTAAAAATAACAACAGTTAGAATTTCTGTACACACACAGTAGTCAGTGGAGATATGGAGTTATTACCTTGGAATATGGAGTGTTAAATACAAGAATGCAAGTCTTTATTTTTAGAAGCCTGGAACACAGACCTTCCTTCAGATCTCATCCGGGAAAACAGTGATTAACCTGGTATGTGACGTCAGCCAGATCATTTCATTGTCCCAATACATTAACTCCATAGCCTCTCACTACTCCTACATAGAACATTGCCTGATATTTTGTATGCAGTAGATGCTTTGAGACATTTTCATACTCTTTAGTTATGCAACAACTTTGAAGAAAATAACCCAAAAAATAACCCAAAAGAAAGAAATAGTGTTTAGAACAAAAGCATTAGTTGTGAAGGTCACTGCATTTTCTATATTTTGTATAGAAATACACTGTATTTTGTATATTTCAGTATGTAGTTACGAGTGTTTGGCTTCTGAAGTTCATTAACTCATTCTATGACCTAGGACCTTGGCTACGCCACGCAATGTTTTATAAACTGATGACACAGGTATGAAATATATAATTCCTGTCCTGAATGAGCCCACAGGTTAAACGTGAAGATAGTCTCAATACAGGGTAAGAAGTACATGTAGGGAACTGAGTACTGAGTCCAGATAAACGCTGAATACATCTACAGCTCCTGGGTGGGACTTTGGGACCCAGTGACTTAAGACTCCTCAAGATCTCAAGCTGACATTCTCAGTGCTTTGGAAGGTACCATTTTGAGACAAAGTATTATATCTGCTAATTCAACAATACCATAGAATTGAAATTCCCAATGTCCTCTAAGATCTTGTCTCACTTTGCTTTCCTAGACAGTCAGTACCCTACTTACTTATGCTGACATCTTACACTTTCCAAAGATGCGAACTTGCTTAAAATTAGGCATTTCTTGCACACCCAAAGAAAGTGTCCTTCAAGCACTCAGCACTCACTTGTGTGCTTTTTTAGTAATAAAGGCAGTGATAGGAACACAAAGCAATGGAGATGAACCAATAATCCAGGACAGAGAAATTGCTTACATTCCCGGGAGGGGAGCACAAAACTAAGAAAAAAATATATATATGTTCACTTTACATTTCACAGTCATTAAAGAAATTTTTGCTAATACTATCAAGGCAGGTCAATTAATTTAAACATGCCATTGAAAATGGTATTTTATAATGTTATTTGAAATGAAGGAGATAAAAATGCTTGATCTGAAACCTTACATGTCAATTACAGAAAGCTCACCTTAGACTCTAGTATTTACAAGAGAAGTTCTTAACCATGGTTTCTCATCTGAATCTCATATGTTGATAGTGGAAACCCATGCAAAATCCACTTAGCCAGAACCTCTGCATGTAGGCCCTCATCACATGCTTTTTTGGTTTGAGAGGTAATCAACTTTATTGAAGTATAATTATCATCTAAAAATGCACCCGATTTAAGTGAAAGTTCAAGGAGCAGGGACAAATATATACGCAACTAAATATAGAACTATTTCCACAACCCCAGAAAGTTCTCTTCTGTCCCATTCGAGTCAATTCATCCCATTTTTGGTCCTAGACAGTCACTGATCTGCTGTCTGTAACTATAAATCAGTTTGCCTCAAATTTCATATCAGTGAATGAATTCATATAGTACCTAGTACGTATGATCTTTTAAAGTATCCATGAGTGATTCTGATGGAGTCAATGTTGGGAACCACTGATATAGAGGCTCCATAAAGGACAGAATGAAAGATGACCATCATCAGCTGAATATAAACCAAAAGGTTTAGATTCTAGAGCATGTGTTTAAATCATGCTTACAAAATTCCTATAGTTCAAAACTGAGGTCCATGAAAATTTTTTGGATGAAGATTAAGATTGATATTAAATTACAGTTTGGAATCCTGTTACATGTCTATAGCTACATAGCTAAGTGAAACACTTGTCTCTCAGATCCATTGTCAAATCCAAAATCCCCCTCTTTTAAATTTTGCCTCAAAGTGAAGTTAACCAGATACCAAAACATATTATTTAGCAGTGTGAGTCTACAGTGTGAAAGAGGAATGAGGACTGGGGCTGAGGAAGCATTTTAATAAACTTGACCATGAATACCATAATAGGGCTTATTGGCATAACCTGAATCAGTACGTATGTACACAAGGCCAATGACTCATTGTTATGGAGCAATGGTCTGGACTTTGCCACTATTTTCATGACTGCCTTCTCCTTTGTTCTCAAGATTCTCCATTTGCAAAATAAGGAGCTTAAACCATATACTTTCAAAGGCGGCCTCTGACCTCAACATTCTAGGGTTCTATTTTAGTGAATTTGTCAATGAAAATATTGCTTAACACCAATGCTTAATGTTAGTCTGCAACATTTGTAAGAGTAAGCTAAACAAAAATCTCATAGGAAGAGTTTGTGTATTAAGGTTATTCCAGGATGACCACAACATTTGAGTCAGGAATAAGACCTTAAAATGGACTCTTTCTTACAGAGCTAAATGTGTTTAAACATTATGTGGTGTATTATTTTAATATTCTTTTGGGAGTGAGACAGAAAGCCAAAAAAGAAAGCCCCTGACCCAGGTCCTTCTTGTTCTCTGTTCCGAAGAGGAACCCAGTGACATCATGTCCATATCTTCAACTTTATCTGAAGAAATTGTACCATCAGGCAGTTACCTTGGCTTTACATCTTTTCCTTGTTACCATGAAAAAATAAGGAAAGGTCTACAGAAATAATGTTAGTTCAACGTTTTGAATGTGTATAGGCAATAGCATTTTTCTCTTTTCTCCATAGTGAAGCATAGTGAACCACTTACATAATAAACATTTTACACCTAAATCCAGATTAATTTAATACAGATCTTCTTAAAGTATTCAGTAATTCACTGGGCCATAAAATTTGCTTATTTAAAAAAAGTCTATGTAACCTAAAAAACTATGCCTATATTTAGGCAACCATCTCAGAGATGTGTGTTCAGAGTAAAAGAAGGGGCTAATCTAGAGAATTTGGCTAGCTTTTGGGGGAAAAAATCTCATGTGTGCTTAAGTCACAATGTAAAAAATGCATTTCAATGATAGTGGTATTACAACATTTAACTGTATTCATACTGATGAGAATATCTCACAACTATCAAAATGAAAAAAACATTTTGTGGAATACATCTCAAAAATGCTTTGTGGAAAAACAGTAAAATATGATGCCATTGAAAACTGTTGGAAATACGATAAATATTTATAAATCTAACTTGTTAGGATATTAAATACCTGAAATGCAGGGAATTCAGAAACATTTGTTGTGAAATAAGACTTCCCAAGTAAAAGGACATCAAAAATATCACGGAAGGTTAATTATAAACATGGACACCTCCCCACATGTATGGAATGTGAACCAAAAGATTAAGGGCAGTTTCCACTCATATACGAAAAAATAACAAGTCATGCATTTAAGCTTAAAGAACACCCCAATTAAAGACACAATTGAAAAACAAATGTATATATGAAGGGAAAATAAGGCCCCTAAGGAAGAGGAATTGGAAGAAGGGGCCAAGGCAAGAGGATGAAAGTGCTCGGCGCTGGTCCCAGGTAAAGTTATGACTCTGGGCAGGTGGTCTGAGGATTGCCCATTTGCAGCTCCATACCCATTTCCCTCTGACATCTCTCCCTGCCCACTCAGGCTCCTGCTCTGACCCTAGCGAAACCCTGCTTTTGGGTGAAAACCTCTAGATCATGCTCACCACAGTACAAAAACTAATCCAGCTCCATGGGCTCCTGGGAGTGGCTGGGGCTAAGCAGGGGAGAAGGGGAGGAAGATGGTGTGCCTCTTCATGGCTATCACACCAGTGAGTTCACTTAAAGGAGTCTGGTGCCCCTGGGAGAAGTTGCTGTATGATGCCTCCCCTCCCTTCCTAGATCTGAGTGGGGCTGTGCCTGGTGATGGCCCATCTCTGAAAAAAATGTACTGTTGAGAACAAACGCCAATTTTCTGGCTACGCTAATAAGAGCTAAGTGACGCAGTGGACAAAGCAATGATGCTGTTCCTGGCTCAATCTCTCTCTTCGACAATGATAATTTGCCACATCAAGTTACCTTCCCAGACACAAAGCATCAGAGGATTAGCTATTAAAAGAAAGACATTTTCTCGCTCATTACAGCCTGCAATGTAAAATGTCCAGAAATACAAGGAGTCCTGTTTTCACCATTAAAGTAGAAATTATTTCCGGCAGCTTTGGGAGAAAATGCAATTATTTTCCTTCCTGTCACAGTGTTTTCAAACTCACCTAGAGATGAGAGCACCCTATTAAAATGGACTCATTGTTCGAATGATGCCAGTGAATGCGCTTCTCTGACCTGGGGGTGGGAGACTGGCTCCTGAGTCCTCACCCCTTGGGATTCAGGGTCACTAAGGGCAGAGGTAATTAGACAGTGCTGAGCCACTGCCACTTACATGCTAGTCACAGGAAGAGGAAACTTTTCAAGGAAGAAAGTGAGCAGTTCAGGTAGAGCCCACCCATTTTGCTAATAGCCAGAGCTCACATTGCCAGTTTGCTGCAGACTTTTTTGGTTGCTCTATTCCTGGAAGTCCAGTGGCTCCCTGCCCCTTGCGAAACCTCACAGTTTGGATCTGCTTAGCCATGGGTCTTTCTCCACTTGCCTGTTGCCACAGGGAAAGAAAGACACCCCTAACTCCATCTGCACTGAAACTGAGCTCATTGGCTTTGGGCAGAGCTCTCAACCAATTTGGCTGTTAAGCAAAGTTGCTCGAGGTGGCAGGTTGCCTCCCTGCAGGGTCCACTAGACTTTGTTCTTGTCACTGGGCTGGTCACAGTCTCAGTCTCTGACCCAGGTCCACTTGCTCTCTGTTCCTAAGAGGAACCCAGTGAGATCATGTCCCTATCTCAGTACAATCTCCTTCTCCGAAGTCAACATTCTGAAGATGACTTCGGAGAATGAAGATGACTTCGGAGATGACTTCAGAATGAAGAAGAGTCAACATTCTGAAGATGACTAATTGACACCATCTGGCCTCATGAGCTATCATATCACCATCCAAGATGAATATCCAGAATAAATGAGTAAGGAGAGCCCCCCCCGCCACCACCACGTCACATACCTTCTCACTATGTTTTCACTTTAGTATTGCTTCTATAGTGCAATGGGAATTCACTGCTATAATATAAGCATACCACTGATGAACTCTGATTTATAATTATTTAAAGATTGTTCTTGTTTTGGAGTGGAAAACAGATTCAAATAGAAGGCAAGGGAAAATGAGAGCTTCAGTGGTTGGGGTATAGATAATAGTGTGAGAGAGGTAATAAGAGAGGAACATAGAGAGACGTACAAGAGAAATTTTACGTGTAAATACGCAGTGTTTGTTAACGAATTTCAAATAAGGAGTAAAGGCAAAGGAGGGTAAAAAGATGACTCCCAGTTTTCTTGCTTGAATAACTTACTTCATGAGAGTTTCCTTGACTGAGATAGGGAAGACTAAACTTGAGAACAGAGTTTGGGGGTAAATCTGGAAGTTTCATGAAGCAAATCGCTTTCTGGCCATTCCTCTCCACTCTCTCCAACTCTCTGATTTGACCTGGTAGAAATCAAATCTACCCGGTCAACCTTATCTTGTTAAGGCCAGCCAAGCACGACTCAGTGTTCACAAAGGGTAGTTCTGTATTCTTATTTTAATGTGGACCCAGCATAGACTGTGAAAGGAATCGGTTACCGTACTGGTAATTCTTATACAATGGCAAATATCTTTTTTTTTTTGAACATTTAAAAAACTATATTTACTTTTTAAAGGCAAAATGGTGACATTTTTGTATATACAAAGATAATTTGTCACCAACAGAAATATTCTGTAAAATATATTCAAGGAAGTTCTGCAAGAAGAAAAATAGCTGGAGGTCATTATCCTTGCAGACTAACACAGGAACAGAAAACCAAATACCTCTTGTTCTCATTTTTATAAGTGGGAGCTAAATGATAAGAACACATAGACACATAGAGGGGAACAACAGACATTGGGCCTATAGGAGGGTGGAGGGTAGATGGAGGGAGAGGATCAGGGAAAATAACTAATGGGTACTAGGCTTAATACCTAATAGTCTGTACAACAAACACTCCTTGATACAAGTTTACCTATGTAACAAACCAGCACATGTACCCCTGATGTTAAAATAAAAGTTTTAAAAAAGACAAATGTCTTGATGCGAAATTGAACCTACCATCCATAAATTTTCTTTTTCCTTTTCGTTCGTTCTTTCCTTCCTTCCTTCCTTCCTTCCTTCCTTCCTTCCTTCCTTCACTCCCTCCCTCCGTCCCTCCCTCCCTTCTTTCTTTTTCTTTCTTTCTTTCTTTCTTTCTTTCTTTCTTTCTTTCTTTCTTTCTTTCTCTTTCTTTCCTTCTTTCCTTCTCTCTCTCTCTCTCTCTCTCTCTCTCTCTCTCTCTCTCTCTTTCTTTCTTTCTTTCTTTCTTTCTTTCTGACAGGGTTTTGCTCTGTCACCCAGGCTGGAGTGCAGTGGTGCAATCTTGGCTTCCTGCAACTTCTGCCTCCTGGGTTCAAGTGATTATTGTGCCTCAGCCTTCTGAGTTGCTGGGATTACAGGCACGCGCCACCACACCCAGCTGCTTTTTGTATTTTTAGTAGAGATGGTGTTTTGCCATGTTGGCCAGGCTGGTCTCAAGTTCCTGGCCTCAAGCAATCCTCACGCCTTGACCTCCCAAAGTGCTGTGATTATAGGAGTGAGCCACAGTGCCTGGACCAGAAATTTTCAATTAGAAAATCACAGATGTGTAATTCATATATTTAGATGTTTGAGATTTTTCTCTTTCGATCCAGATATTTCATATCCTGTTGACCACATCTTGAGCTCACCAAAGAAACTGAAGAATTGCGTGGTCATTCTAAAGACCACTTGGTGAGGTGATGTTTTCTTCCTGGGACTCTCATATAGCAAAAGATCGGAGTTATTTGACCACCTGCTTCATTGGTGATGCAAGTGCCAGAACCTTAGGCATCTGAGAACATTATTACACTTTTCCCTGTCAAGGGAGGATTTGTCATGGCTGTCATTCTTGAAGACATGTAATAAAAATGTCATGATCTGCTTCTGTCTTAAGAGAGAGACAAAGCCTAGGTTGCCATGACACCAAACAATTTAATAACAAGTGGAAATTTCAATCAATCCATTGATCAGTCAATCCTTTCATTTCCAGAAGGAACAGACAATATATCCAGAATAATATGCCTTTTTTAATATCTTGAAAGGACAACCAAAACATTTTCATCAACTTTCCATACAATGTTACAAATCACTGAAGCAATTATCCTTCCAGTTTTTCATTTAACTGGATAGTTCAAACAAAAATGTTAATTTTGTTGAAATGAGTTGACACATGTTCTGAAATCCCCATATCACCTGACACCTCTGGGCAATTTAAGTTGCTTTCATATTTCAAGCTCATAATACTAATGGAAATCATACCTACAATAACATAGATTAACTTTCAGCCCATAAGAACACAGCTTCCCATCACTGATAAATAGGGTATAAGAATAATGACTGTAGGACATGTGTGTGAGTTGTAACTCCTGCCATGTACATTTTTTTTTGTATTGAGTCAGTCATAGACTCTTTTCATCCCTTTTGGGAAACAGTATAAATTTGTGAAATGCTTTTGTGGAGTAAGAGTAAGTTGGTGGTCGGCATAATGAATGGCTGTGATGTCAAGGCCAGGATCTGTTTGTCCACCAATCTTTCCTACTCCTAGATCAGTCTATTTATCTATTATTATATCGCTGAAAGTTGTTTGAAGCAGATTACAGAGCTAAACATAATGCAAGATACACATAAAGACATGAGTGAGGTTAATATGCAAGTTTATATAACAATCTATGTACAATGGTAAGAAATGACCCACAAATTTAGCTTGGATCTACACAGTAGCAAAAGCAAAGGGGCAAATACAATTAGAGACAAGAGCCCCAGTGTTCACAAAAGTATTATGAAACAAAATTTTCATCGGAAACAGTTTTCCTGGTATAAAATGCGGGGAGAAATTTGTGTGGTAGGTCTTTAGAAAATTGGAAAATGTGTCATAGAGAACAATCCTCAAAAGCATTCTGCCAGTAAAGTACAATAAGTAGCTAGTTTCTTGGAATCGTTTTAATGATATACTTCAGTGTAGGCTGAGAGTATATGTCAAAGGGTAATTTCATTAAAGTAATTCTAAGAAAAGACAAAATAATGTGGTCTAAATATACATCCCTCTGATGATTCAGTTTGATTGCTAAAATACAAATCTGGAGAGGCAAACGTAATATATTTCATTTAAGCTACTATACATATCACTTTTCCCTCTCACACCTCAATTTTAGGTAAGATATGAACAGCAAAAATTAAGACTGTAGTCTCTGATGACCAATTGAGCTAAAGATTTTCCAGGTTGCCAATTAAGGACCACCTCTTAAATGTTAATAGTTTCCTAACTAGCTTTGAAGTAGCTATCATGTCATGAAAATTACGTAGATTACTTAATTATTTCTGAATGGATGGCCACATATTGCATATTCTCCAAAATATAAGCAAATGGGCTGACAAAGTCCCAAAGTTCTATGACATAGCCCAATATATTTCTCTTAATTTAAAAAAAAATAACCTGTACCATTCCGTGGTTTTAAATATATTCACGAGGTTGTGTGACCATCACCAGTATTTAATTTGACAGTATTTTCATCAACCCAAAAGCCACCCCAGACACATTAGCAGTCATTCTTTATTCCGCCCATCCTTCCAGCCATTAATCTACTTTCTGTCTCTATAGATCTACCTATTCTGGACACTTCATATAAATGAAAGAATATAATATCTTGATTTTTGTGACTGACATCTCATAGTATTCACACGTATTCAAGGTTTATACATCTTGTAGCATACACCAGTAATTCATTTCTTTTTATGGCTGAATAATATGCCATTATATGGATATACCAAATTTTGTTGATCCATTCATCACTTGATGGACATTTTGATTTTTCCCAATAACTAATATTATTATGATTAATACTACTATAAACATTCATGCACAAATTTTTCTGTGAACATATGTTTTAAATTATTTTGTGTATATACCTAGAAGTGTAGTTGCTGAGTCCCGTGATAACTTTCTGTTTGACTTTTTGGGGAACTGTCAAACTATATTCTAAAGTAAATGTACCATTTAATATTTCCACCAAAAATGTACTGGGTTCCAATTTCTCCACTCTTGCTACCAAATGTTATTGTCTGTCTTGTTATTATAGTCGTTCTAGTAGGTGTGAAGTGGTATCTTGTGGTTTTTATTTGCACATCCCTAATGGCCAATGATGTTTAGCATCATTTCTTGTGCTTACTAGCCATTCACATATCTTCTTCAGAAAAATGTCTACTGAAATCTTTGGCTTATTTATTTTAAGAGACAGAGACAGGATCTCACTCTGTTGCCCAGGCTGGAGTGTAGTGGCATGATCATACCTCACTGTAATCTCAAACTCCTGGGCTCAAGTGATTTTTCCACTTCAGCCTCCGTAATAGCCAAGACTACAGATGTGTGACACCACACCTGGCTAATTTTTTAATTTTTTGTAGGAGACGAGATCTCCCAATGTTATCCAGGCTAGTCTCAAACTCCTGCTTTGCCCATTTTTTTATTTTAGTTTTTATTTAAGCTTCAGGGGCACATGGACTGGTTTGTTATATAGGTAAACTCGTGTCATGGGGGTTTGGATGGCCCATTTTTAATTGGGGTATTTATCTTTTTATTATTGAGTTGCAAAAATTCTTTACATATTCTGAATACAAATTCCTTTTCAGATATATAATCTGTTAATATTTTCTTCCAGCCTATTCATTGTCTTTTCACATTCTTGATAGTATTCTTTGAAGCATAGCTCCAACTTTGACAAAATGGAATTTATCTTTTTGTTGTTGTTATTGTTGTTGCTAGTGTTTTCAGGGTAATGTCTAACAAACCATTGCCTAACCTAAGGTGATGAAGATCTACACCTAGGTTTTTATTTAAGACACCTAGGTTTTATACTTTTAGCTTTTATAATAAGGCTTTTGATCTCATTTGAGTTAATTTTTGTATATGGTGTGAGGTAAGAGTCCAACATCATTCTTTTGCACGTAGATATCCAGTTGTTCCAGAACCAGTTATTGAAAGACTACTAATAAGAGCTATTTATGACAAACCCACAGCTGGCACAAGACAGGGATGCCCTCTCACACCATTCCTATTCAAAATAGTGTTGGAAGTTCTGGCCAGGGCAATCAGGCAAGAGAAAGAAATAAAGATATTCAATTAGGAAAAGAGGAAGTCAAATTGGCCCTGTTTGCAGACAACATGATTGTATATTTAGAAAACCCCATCATCTCAGCCCAAAATCTCCTTAAGCTGATAAGCAACTTCAGCAAAGTCTCAGGATACAAAATCAATGTACAAAAATCACAAGCATTCTTATACATCAATAAGAGACAAACAGAGATCCAAATCATGAGTGAACTCCCATTCACAACTGCTTCAAAGAGAATAAAATACCTAGGAACCCAAATTACAAGGGATGTGAAGGACCTCTTCAAGGAGGACTACAAACAACTGCTCAACAAAATAAAAGAGGACACAAACAAATTGAAGAACATTCCATGCTCATGGATAGGAAGAATCAATATCATGAAAATGGCCATACTGCCTAAGGTAATTTATAGATTCAATGCCATCCACATCAAGCTACCAATGACTTTCTTCACAGAATTGGAAAAAACTACTTTAAAGTTCATATGGAATCAAAAAAGATCCTGCATCGCCCAGTCAATCCTAAGCCAAAAGAACAAAGCTGGAGGCATCACACTACCTGACTTCAAACTATACTACAAAGCTACAGTAACCAAAACAGCATGGTACTGGTACCAAAACAGAGATGTAGACCAAAGGAACAGAACAGAGCCCTCAAAAATAATACCATACATCTACAACCATCTGGTCTTTGACAAACCTAACAAAAACAAGAAATGGGGAAAGATTCCCTATTTAATAAATGGTGCTGGGAAAACTGGCTAGCCATATGTAGAAAGCTGAAACTGGATCCCTTCCTTACACCTTATACAAAAATTAATTCAAGATGAATTAAAGGCTTAAATGTTAGACCTAAAACCATAAAAACTCTAGAAGAAAACCTAGGCAATACCATTCAGGACATAGGCATGGGCAAGGACTTCATGACTAAAACACCAAAAGCAATGGCAACAAAAGCCAAAATTGACAAATGGGATCTAATCAAACTAAAGAGCTTCTGCACAGCAAAAGAAACTACCATCAGAGTGAACAGGCAACCTACAGAGTGGGAGAAAATTTTTGCAACCTACTCATCTGACAAAGGGCTAATATCCAGAATCTACAAAGAACTCAAACAAATTTACAAGAAAAAAACAAACAACCCCATCAAAAAGTGGGCAAAGGATATGAACAGACACTTCTCAAAAGAAGACATTTATGCAGCCAAAAAACACATGAAAAAATGCTCATCATCACTGGCCATCAGAGAAATGCAAATCAAAACCGCAATGAGATACCATCTCACACCAGTTAGAATGGCAATCATTAAAAAGTCAGGAAACAACAGGTGCTGGAGAGGATGTGGAGAAATAAGAACACTTTTACACTGCTGGTGGGACTGTAAACTAGTTCAACCATTGTGGAAGTCAGTGTGGCAAGTCCTCAGGGATCTAGAACTAGAAATATCATTTGACCCAGCCATCCCATTACTGGGTATATACCCAAAGGATTATAAATCTTGCTGCTATAAAGACACATGCACATGTATGTTCATTGTGGCACTATTCACAATAGCAAAGACTTGGAACCAACCCAAATGTCCAACGTTGATAGACCGGATTAAGAAAATGTGGCACATATACACCATGGAATACTATGCAGCCATAAAAAATGATGAGTTCATGTCCTTTGTAGGGACATGGATGAAGCTGGAAACCATCATTCTCAGCAAACTATTGCAAGGACAAAAAACCAAACACTGCATGTTCTCACTCATAGGTGGGAATTGAACAATGAGATCACACACCAGGGCCTGTCATGGGGTGGAGGGAGGGTGGAGGGATAGCATTAGGAGATATACCTAATGTAAATGATGAGTTAATGGGTGCAGCACACCAACATGGCACATGTGTACCTATGTATCAAACCTGCACATTGTACACATGTACCCTAGAACTTAAAGTATATAAAAAATTTTTGAAATCTAAAAAGGTAAGCCTCTAACCTTGTTCTTTTTCAGGTTGTTTTGGTTGTTGTCGTCCCCTTGTACTTCCATGTGAATTTTAGATCAGCTTTCCAATTTCTGAAAAACTGGTAGGTGAAATTTGATAAGTACTGTGCTGAATCTGCAGATCAGTTTGTGAAGTATTGCCATTTTAATATTAATTTTTTTTGAGGCAGAGTTTCACTCTGTCACCCAGGCTGGAGTGCAATGGCAGGATCTCAGTTCACTGCAACCTCCGCCTTCCAGGTTCAAGCGATTCTCCTTCCTCAGCCTCCTGTGTAGCTGGGATTACAGGCATGAGCCACCCAACCCAGCTAATTTTGTATTTTTAGTAGGGACGGGGTTTCACCATGTTGGTCAGGCTGGTCTCGAGCTCCTGACCTGAGATGATCCACCCGCCTCAGCCTCCCAAAGTGCTGGGATTACAGGGGTGAGGCACCACGGCTGGCTTAATATTAATATTAAGTCTTGCAATTCATGAACCATTTATTTAGGTCTTTTAACATTTCTTTTGGTGATATCTTACAGTTTTTAGTATATAACTCTTACACATATTTTAAAAATTACTCCTAACTATTGTATTCTTTTGATACTATTGCAAATGAAATTGTTCTTATTTTGCTTTTGGATTTTTATTGCTAGTGTATAAATATACAATTGATTTTGTATATTGATGTTGATAGTCATAACCTTGCTGATCTTGTTTACTAGCTTTACTAGTTTATGTGTGTGTGTGTGTGTGTGTGCGCACGTGCGCGCGCGCATGCGCGTATTCCTTAGTATTTGCTATATAGATTATATTGTTCGTGAATAGAGTAGTTTTGCTTCCTCTTTTCCAATCTGGATGAGTTTTATTTAATTTTCTTGTCTGAATGCCATGGCTAGAATCTAGACTACAATGTTGAATAGAAGTAGTGAGAAGGAACATCCTTGTCTTCCTGATCTCATGGGAAAAGCTTTCACTCTTTGATCATTAAGTATGATGTTAGCTATGGGTTTTTTGTAATGACCTTTATTAGGTTAAATAACGTTCCTTTCTATTATTATTTTGTTTTATTATGAAAGGCTGTCGAATTTTGTCAAATACTTTTGCTGTGTCTATTGAGATGATTCTATGATTTTTTGGTCCTTTATTCTTTGAATATGGTATACTATGTTGATTTATTTTCATATGTTGAAACACTCTTGTATTTATACAGTAAGCCTAACTTGGAATGATACATAATCCTTTTTGGTATTGCCAAATTTGGTTTGCTAGTATTATGATGAAAATTGTTTCATCCATATTCATAAGTGTTATTATTAGTCAGTAGTTTTCTTTTTTATGATGTGTCGTGTCTGCTTTAAAACCAGTGTGATACTCCCCTCAGAATAAGTTGGACAATCCCTCCTCTTCTACTTTTTGCAGAATTTGTCAAGGATTTATGTTAATTTTTCTTTAACGGCTTGGAAGAATTCACCTGTGAAGGCACTAAGCTTGGGATTTTCCTTATGGATAGTTAATTGATTGCTATTCATTGTAAGTCTATTCATATTTTCTATTTCTTCTTGAGTGAGTTTCAGTAGTTTGTACTTTTCTATTAATTTGTCCTTTTAATCTAGGTTATGTAACTTGCTGGTGTACAATTGTTAATAGTATCCTCTACTAATTATTTTCATTTCTGTAAGGTTACTAGTAATGCCACCCCTCTAATTCATGATTTTAGAAGTTTTCTCTTTTCTTGGCCTGTACACTAAACTTTTGTCAATTTTGTAATATTTTTGAAGAATCAACTTTTGGTGTCATTGATTTTCCTCTTTTGCTTTTCTATTGTCTATTTCATTTACTTCTGTATATTCTTTATTATTTCCTTTCTTCTGCTTGCTATGGGTTTAGTTTGCTCTTCTTTCTCTACTTTCTTAAAGTAGAAGTTTGGGTTATTAATTTGAGGTTCTTCTTTGTTAATATGGAGATTTACAACCTTAAAATTCTAAATACAACTTTAGCTGCATCATATAATTTTGGCAGGTTGTGCTTTTGTTTTTATTCGTCTCAAAGTGTTTTCTGATTTCCTTTGTGACTTTTTTTCTTTGGCCTATTGGAAAGAGACTGTGTCATTCAATCTCTACGTATTTTTAATTTATAAACTTTTTTGCTATTGAGTTCTAATTTCATTCAATGGTGATCAGAGAACTTCATATTACTGCAGTATTTTTAAACTTGGTGAAACTTTTTTTATTGGTTAGCATATAATCTATCCTGGATGCTGTTTGATATGCACTTGAAAATATTTTGTTTTCTGTTCTTGTTGTGTGGAGGGATCCATAGATATCTGCTAGGAATAGCTGTTTTGTTGTGTTTCAAGTCTTCTCTTTCTTTACTTTCTGTACAGTTGTTGAATTTATTATTGAAAGTAGACTATCGAAGTCTCCAACTTTTATTTTTAAATTGTCTGTTTCTCCCTTCAATTTTGTCAGTTTTTGCTTCATTTATTTTGGGGCCCTATTAAGTGTACATATACTTACAATCACTATGTCTTCTTGGTGGATTGATCTTCTTATCATTATAAAATGTCCTTCCTCATTTCTAGTAACAATTTTCATATTAAAGCCTATTTTTTCTGTGAACATTTTCATAGTGTACCCATTCTAGTTTGATTATTGTTTGTGTAGGGTGTCTTTATCCCCTTTTTACTTTTGACTTATTTGTGTTTTTGATTTAAGATGTGTGTGTGGTGCGGGTACTCTTTACATGCTCTGGCAGCCAGTTTACAACATTTCTTTACCTTTTAATTTCATACTTGTGCAGAGCTTTCAGGTCTGCCAGAAGTGTAAGTTTAGGGCCTTCTTAGTCTTCCCTGGGCATGGACACGGTTCTACACATGCATATGATCTTCTAGAATTCTAGGAATATATAGGAGCTTTTGGATGCCCTGCGACCCAGTTTTTCCTTTTAAGACTTTTGATCAGCTTTTCATTTGCCCCAATTTATATAATCATCTCAAGCAGTAGCAATGTTAAACAATTGGTATTGGTTGTTTTCAACAATTGTCTTGTGTACGATGCTGTTCACACAGAGGTGTCTTTGAGTCAGATCAAATAAAGAAAAAGCCTGTGGGTAAAACTTTTCAAAGAGCTGCAAGAAAGTCCAAATAGTGAAATCTCCCCTAGAATTGAACTTTTAGAGAAATCCAAAACCTTTCTCTATCCCTCCAGTTACTTTTAGGCTGCTGCTTATTACACCTACCATGATCATGAGACTGTTGATTTTCAAGACTACAGAGAAATTAGAGAAAAGGGAATGTGACCAAGGTAAGTTAAAATGGCACAAACATTACTATTCTTAATGACATTCTTCTATCTTTTATTCTTCTTTTTTCTCATGTGGCAAATCCTCAGATGAGCAATAATCTTCATTTTATAATGCAATTTGAGGGCTTCTATTTTCCAATCTGACATGTAAGTAATCACTCCCGTCCGCACAATAAGAAAAAAGCTGAACAAACTAAAATCAACAGCTCTTCTTAGATCCATAAGAGCACTGATATCACAGGACAAATCAATAATCCCAAAATTAGAGAGCCAGGCAAGCAGATACAGAGAATCCCAGCTTACTGGAGCAGAAATCTCCATGGGAACTAGTACTGGGGCAGATAATCTTAAACTGTAATTAGTGAACTACTGGAGACTCAGTGTAAGTATGTTTGAGAATGAAAAATTCACAGGGCTAAGTCCTTGTTGAGGGGTCGGGGGCACACTTTTGTAAATTTTACAGTTACAAGCCCTACCATGTGCTCACAGTGAAGATCTGAGAAAAATTCACTTGTGCCTCTGGCAGGGACAGGAGAAAAGTCATTTTATAATATTCCCAGAGCATTTTGTTCTTTTTAACAAGGCCAACCTTCAAGGAAAACTATTTTTCTAAAGCTTAACCGATTGGAGATTTACCAGAAACTAACCAAACTGGGGGAAAGGAAATATCCAACTTAATCCCCACCTAGACACTCTGTCTCACCTAAAGAAGGTAGGACTAACTGAAAATCAATTTTGAAGGTCAAATTCCAGAGACACTGGCTCACTAAAAGACTGAGATTGCTATGGTCTGAATGTTCGTGTCTCCTCCAGATTCATATGTTGACACCTAACCCTCAAGGTAATAGTATTAAGAGGTAGGGCTTTGGGAGGTGACTAGGTCATAAGGACTCTTGCCTGATGGATGGGATTAATAATTTAATTGTTTAAAGTTAAAAGGAGCTTGTTTGTCCCTTCTGCCATGTAAAGACACAGCTAGAAGATGCCCTCTGTGAGTGCACCCTCACCATACACTGAACCTGTTAGCAAGTTGATGTTGTACTTCCCGGTCTACAGAACTGTGAGCAACACATTTCTGTTGTTTATAAATTACCCAGTCTAAGGTATTTGCAGCCCAAATGGACTAAGACATACTCAGGATTATACCAAACTTTGCCTCCATTCACACTTTACCTCCACATCAATAGGGTTAGTGCATATTTACAGAGAACTACAATGGAAAGAACTACATGTCACAGACCTTATTTTAAAAGTCTCTAGAGAAGTCCAAAGATAATAGGAGCCACAAAAACAAAGATGCTAAATAAAATTTGAGCCTCTGACATTTACAGCTCCAGAAAACGGTTAATACAACCTGACTCCTATCAAGATAAATATCAAAGCTCACACTAAAGGCCGGTTTACCTTAGCTCCTTTAAGCAAGTACATCATATTCAGCTTTCAACAAAAAATTACAAGGCATACTTCAAAAATTTTTTTATTATACTTCAAGTTCTGGGATACATGTGCAGAACATGCAGGTTTGTTACATTAGGTATGCACACGCCTTGGTGGTTTGCTGCAACCATCAACCCGTCATCTACATTAGGTATTTCTCCTAATGCTATCCCTCCCCCAGACCCCACCACCTAACACGCTCTGGTGTGTGATGTTCCCCTCCCTTTTAACAAAAATTTATGAAAAATTATGAGACTAAAAAACACAGGTTGAAGAGATAAGATAGTGCATCAGAAACACTCAGATATGGCAGAGATATTGGAATAATCACACAAGGAATTTAAAACAACTATGATTAACATGCCAAAGGCTTTATATGGAAAATAGACAATATGCAATATTAGATAGGTAATGTAAAAAGAGAGATGGAAACTCTAAGAAAGAATCAAAAGAAAAAGTTTGAAATCAAAAACACTAGAACAGAAGTAAAGAATCTTTACTTCTTGTTGATTGCCCATCTTTGGTGGGCTTATCAATGGGCTGGACACAGGCAAGGAAAAAAATGATGTGCTTGAAGAATGATAATAGAAGTTTCTAAAATAGAAATGCAAAGAGAAAAAGACAGAACACGTTATTCAAAAACTGTGGGGCAACTAGTAAATGTGCAATATATGCATAATAGGAATACAAGATAGAGAAAAATGATAGAAAGAACCAGAAGAATTATTTGAAACAATAATGACTAACAATTTCCCCCAAATTAATGATAAACACAAAACCACAAATCCAGGAAGCTCAGAGAACGACAAGCATGATAAATACCAAAAACATTTAGATGGATCACATTTAATCTGAAGAAAATCAATGACAAAGAGAAAATCTTGAAAGAAGCCGGAAAGGGCTAAAATAATCTACCTTACCCACAGAGGAGCAAGGATAAAATTACATTGAACTTCTTTTCAGAAACCATAGAAACCATACAAGCCAGAAGAGAATGCAGTAAAATATTTAACATATTGAGAGAAAAACACCACCAACCTAGAATTCTGTAGCCAGAATAACTGACTGTCAAAAGTTAAGGGAAATAAAGACTTTCTCAGGCAAACAAACATTGAGGTAATTTGTTGCCAGTGGAACTGCATTGCAAGAAGTATTAAAATAATTCTTCAGAAAGAAGGAAAATTATATAAGTCAAAAACTTGGATCTACATAGAGAAATAAAAAAATTACAGAGGGAATAAATGAAGGTAAATAATATTGTTTTTCTTATTTTTATTTATCAGATAACAGTTTATTCAAAAAATTATAGCAGTAATGTATTCGGTATTTATCACTTATGAAATGTGAAATGAATTTTGGTAATGTTATAAGGTAGGGGAGGAAGAAATCAGAGCTACTTTGTTATATAGTATTTTCTTTAAATGTGGAGTGGTATATGGTTATTTAAAAGAGGACATGTAAAATTTATATTACAAATTCAAGGGTAATTGCTAAAATGGTTTTTGCAAAGAATTATAATTGATGTGCTAAGAGATGAGAAAAAATTGAATTATATGAAAAAATCAAGCCAGAGAAGACTGAAAAACAGTGGAAGATAAAAAAGAAAAAACGAGCAAGAGTGACCAATAGAAAACAGTAACAAATATAACAGATACTAATCCAACTACATCAATAATTACTTTGTATGTCAATAGTCTAAATATACGAATTAAAAAATGAAGGTGTCAGAGTTGATTAAAAAAAACAAGACTTGACTGTGTGCTGTCTACAGAAACCCACTTTAAATATAAAGGCACAGATAAAAGTAAAGTGATGAAGAAACATATTAATATGGCTTGGCTCTGTGTCCCCACCCAAATCTCATTCTGAATTGTAATTCTCAATGTTGGAGGAGGGGCCAAGTGGGAGGTGATTGACTCATAGGGGATCCCTCTTGCTGTTCTTGTGATAGTGAGCGAGTTCTCCTGAGATATGGATGCTTAAAAGTGTATAGCACTTCCTGCTTCACCCACTTTTCCTCCTCCTTTGGCCGTGTGAAGATGTGCCTCCTTCCCCTGTGCCTTCCACCATGATTTTAAGTGTCCTGAGGCTTCCCCAGCCATGCTTCCTGTACAGACTGTGGAACCATGAGCCAGTTAAACCTCTCTTCTTTATAAATTACACAATTTAGGGTTGTTCCTTAAAGCAATGCAAGAATGGACTAATACACATATCATGCAAACACTAATTGGAAAAAGCTGGAGTACTTATATTAGTTTCAAGCAAATCCAACTTCAGAGTAAGAAAATAGTCGGAGGTAAGGAAGGGTATTACATAGTGATAAAGGGGTCAATTTTTCAAGAAGATATAACAATCCTTAACGTGTATGTACCTAACAACAGAGTGTCAAAATATCTGAGGTAAAAAACTTGATAGAAATGTAAGGAGAAATAGATGAATCTACTATTATAGTTCAACATGCCTCCATCAGTAATTGACAAATCCAGCAGACAGAAATTCAATCAGAACATAGTTGAACTGAATGGCAAAATCAATTAGCTGGATCTAATTGCAACCTAAAGAAAACTTTACCAAATGAACGGTTCTTCTTTAGCTCATAAAGAATATTTACCAAGTTAAACGACAGTCTGAGACATAAAATACAGCTTAACAAATTTAAAAGAATAGAAGTTATACAACACATATTCTCAACCACAATAAAATTAAACTTGAAATCAATAGCAGAAAGATAGTTGGAAAACCCTGAAATACACGGAGATTAAATAACATATTTCTAAATAACACAGGGATCAAAGAAGAATTTACAAGAAAAGTTTAAAAATATTTAGAAGTAAATGAACATACAACTTATAAAAATGTATGGGATGCAGCAAAAGTAGTGTTTAGAAGGAAATTTATAGTATTTAATCCATCCATATATTAGTAAAGAAGAAATATCTAAAAATCAATAATCTAAGCTGTCATCTTGGGAAACTAGAAAAAAAAGAGAAAAATTAAATTCAAAGTGAGCAAAAGAAAATAAAAATTAGAGCAGAAATCAATGAAATTAAAAATAGGGAATCAACTGAGAAAATCAAGGAACTCAAAAGCCAGTTATTTAAAAAGATGAATAAATTTGGTAAATTTGATAAATGATACATTTGATAAGTAGTATGGATAAAACATCATCCAGCTCAACTAAGGAAAGAAAGGAGGCACAAATTACCAATATCAGAAATGAAATGGCGGGGGGAAAGGGGCCCGGTGGCTCATGCCTGTAATCTCAGCACTCTGGGATGCCAAGGTAGGTGGATCGCTTGAGGTCAGGAGTTCGAGACCTGCCTGGCCAAAATGGCAAAACCCTGTCTCTACTAAAAATACAAAAATTAGTCAGGTATGGTGGCACAGGCCTGTAATCCCAGCTACTTGGAAGGCTGAGGCACAAGAATCACTTGAACCCGGGAGGCAGAGGTTGCGGTGAACCAAGATTGTGCCACTCCACTCCAGCATGGGTGACAGAGTGAGGGTCTGTCAAAAAAAAAAAAAAAAACATACACACAATTAAATGAAATAGGAGCCATCACTACTGATTCCACAGACTACTGATTCCAAGGATAATACAGGAATATTATGAGCAACTCACATCCACAGAGTTGATAACCTTGATGAAATCCACCAATTCCTTTAAAGATATAAACTACCAAAGATATAAACTACATTCAAAGAGAAAAAGATAATCTAAATAGGCCTAACCTATTAAAGACATTGACTCAATAACTAGTAGCCCTCCAAAACAGAAAGCACTAGGCCCATATAGGATCAGCAGTAAATTCTACCAATTACTTAACAAGGAAATTATACCAGTTCTCTACAGTCTCTTACAGAAAATAGAGGCAGAGGAAATACTTCCTAATCCATTGTATGAGGCCAGCATTACCCTAATATCAAAGCCAGAAAAAGACATTTTAAAAAGAGGAAAACTATAGACCAATATCTCTGATGAACATAGATGCAAAAATCTTCAAAAAAATTAGCAAATTGGATCTAACAATGTATAAAAACAGTTATACACCATAACCAAGTGAGATTTATTCCAGATACACAAGCCTGGTTCAAGATTCACAAAACATTGTAATTGATCATATCAATAGGCTAAAGAAGAAAAATCATATGATCTTATCAATATATGTAGAAAAAGCAATTGACAAAATCCATCATGGATTTATCATAAAAACTCTCAGAAATCTACGAATAGAGAGAACTTCTTCAACTTGAATAAACCTACAGTTAACACAAGACTTAATGGTGACAAACCAGTTGCAATCTTCCTATCACCAGGAACAGTTAAGGGTTGATCCCTCTTACCACTACTATTCAACATCATACTGGAAGTTCAACCTATTTTAATAAGAGAAGAAAGGGAAATAAAAGGTATACAAATTGGGAAGAAAGAAATAAAATTGTCTCTGTTTATAGATAACATGTTTGTCTATATAGAAAACCCCAAAGAATCAACCACAGAAAAGTCTTGGAAATAAAAAACCATTATAGCAAGGTTGCAGGATACATGGCCAAAATGCAAAAGTCAATTGATTTCTTATATTCCAGCAATAAAAAATTAGAATTTGAGATTAAAAACACATTACCATTTACATGAGCATAAAATAATGAAATACTCAGGCATGATTCTACCAAAATATGTACTAGATCTATATTGGGAAAACTAAAAAGCTGATTAAGCAAACTGAAGGAAATCTAAATAAATGGAGATATTCCATGCACATGAAGAGGAAAATTCGATATTGTCAAGATTTCAATTCTTTCCACCTTGATCTAGAGATTCAATGCCTCCCAATCAAAATCTTAGAAAGTTATTTTGTGAATATCAACAAACTGATTCTAAAGTTTATATGGAAATAGAAAGGATTCAGAAGAGTCAACACAATATTGAAGGAGAAAAACAGTAAGAGGACTCATATTACCCAAATTCAAAACTTAATATAAAGCCACAGTAATTAAGACAGTGTGGTATTGGCAAAGGAATGAACAATTGATTAATGGAACAGAATAGAGAGCCCTGACATAGACTCACATGAATATAATCAAGTGATTTTTGACAAAGGAACAATACCAATTCAATAAAGAAACTGCAGTCTTCACAAGAAATGATGATGGAACAACTGGACAAACACCTGCCCCCCAAAATGAACCTAGACACAGATCTTAAACACTTCACAAAAAATGACTCAAAATAGCTCATGGAGCTAAATGTAAAATGCAAAACCATAAAACATCTAGAGGATAACATAAGAGAAATTCTAGATGACCTTGGGTTTGGTGATAACTTTTTAGATACAACAGCAAAAACATGATCCATGAAAGAAAAAAATAATGAGGTGGACTTCATTAAAATTAAAAGCTTCTACTCTGTGAAAGACACTATAAAGAGTGTGAAAAGACAAGCCACAGATTGGGAAAAAATATTTGCAAAACACACATCAAATAAAGAGTTGGGGGTTCCAAGATAGCCGAATAGGAACAGCTCCAGTCTACAGCTCCCAGAGTGAGTGACGTAGAAGAAGGGTGATTTCTGCATTTCCAACTGAGGCACCAGGTTCATCTCACTGGGGCTTGTCAGACAGTGGGGGCAGGACAGTGGGTGCAGCCCACTGAGCATGAGCCAAAGCAGGGCGAGGCACTGCCTCACGCAGGAAGCACAAGGGGTAAGGGATTTCCCTTTCCTAGCCAAGGGAAGGGGTGACAGACAGCAATTGGAAAATTGGGTCACTCCACCCTAATACTGTGGTTTTCCAAGGGTCTCAGCAAAAGGCACAGCAGGAGATTATATCCTGCACATGGCTCTGAGGGTCCCACACCCACGGAGCCTCACTCATTGCTAGCACAGCAGTCTGAGATCGAACTGCAAGGCGGCAGCGAGGCTGGGGGAGGGGACCCCGCCATTGCCCAGGCTTGAGTAGGTAAACAAAGCGGCCTGGAAGCTCGAACTGGGTGGAGCCCACCGCAGCTCCAGGAGGCCTGCCTGCCTCTGTAGACTCCACCTCTGGGGGCAGGCCATAGCCGAGCAAAAGGCAGCACAAACCTCTACAGACTTAAATGTCCCTGTCTGACAGCTTTGAAGAGGGTAGTAGTTCTCCCAGCACGGAGTTTGAGATCTGAGAATGGACAGACTGCCTCCTCAACTGGGTCCCTGACCCCGAGTAGCCTAACTGGGAGGCACCACCCAGTAGGGGCAGACTGACACCTCACACGGCCAGGTACCCCTCTGAGACAAAGATTCCAGAGGAACAATCAGGCAGCAACATTTGCTGTTCAGCAATATTCACGGTTCTGCAGCCTCCGCTGCTGATACCCAGGCAAACAAGGTCTCGAGTGGACCTCCAGCAAACTCCAACAGACCTGCAGCTGAGGCTCCTGACTGTTAGAAGGAAAACTAACAAACAGAAAGGACAACCACACCAAAAGCCCATCTGTACGTCACCATCATCAAAGACCAAAGGTAGATAAAACCACAAAGATGGGGAAAAGACAGAGCAGAAAAACTGAAAATTCTAAGTATCAGAGCACCTCTCCCCCTCCAAAGGAACGCAGCTCCTCGCCAGCAATGGAACAAAGCTGGATGGAAATGACTTTGACAAGTTGAGAGAAGAAGGCTTCAGATGATCAAACCTCTCTGAGCTAAAGGAGGAAGTTCGAACCCATCGCAAAGAAGCTAAACACCTTGAAAAAAGATTAGACGAATGGCTAATTAGAATAACCAGTGTAGAGAAGTCCTTAAATGACCTGATGGAGCTGAAAACCATGGCAGGAGAACTACGTGATGAATGCACAAGCTTCAGTAGCCGATTTGATCAACTGGAAGAAAGGGTATCAGTGACTGAAGATCAAATGAATGAAATGAAGCGAGAAGAGAAGTTTAGAGAAAAAAGAATAAAAAGAAACGAACAAAGCCTCCAAGAAATGTGGGACTATGTGAAAAGACCAAATCTACGTCTCATTGATGTACCTGAAAGTGACAGGGAGAATGGAACCAAGTTGGAAAACACTCTGCAGGACATTATCCTGGAGAACTTCCCCAATCTAGCAAGGCAGGCCAACATTCAAATTCAGGAAATACAGAGAATGCCACAAAGATACTCCTCAAGAAGAGCAACTACAAGAAACCTAATTGTCAGATTCACCAAAGTTGAAATGAAGGAAAAAATGTTAAGGGCAGCCAGAGAGAAAGGTCGGGTTACCCACAAAGGGAAGCCCATCAGACTAACAGCAGATCTCTTGGCAGAAACTCTGCAAGCCAGAAGAGAGTGGGGGCCAATATTCAACATTCTTAAAGAAAAGAATTTTCAACCCAGAATTTCATATCCAGCAAAACTAAGCTTCATAAGTGAAGGAGAAATAAAATACTTTACAGAGAAGCAAATGCTGAGAGATTTTGTCACCACTAGCCCTGCCCTAGAAGAGCTCCTGAAGGAAGCACTAAACATGGAAAGGAACAACCGGTACCAGCCACTGCAAAAACATACCAAATTGTAAAGACCATCAATGCTAGGAAGAAACTGCATCAACTAACGAGCAAAATAACCAGCTAACATCATAATGACAGGATCAAATTCACACATAACAATATTAACCTTAAATGTAAATGAGCTAAATGCTCCAATTAAAAGACACAGACTGGCAAATTGGATAAAGAGTCAAGACCCATCAGTGTGCTGTATTCAGGAGACCCATCTGAAATGCAGAGACACACATCGGCTAAAAATAAAGGGATGGAGGAAGATCTACCAAGCAAATGGAAAACAAAAAAAGGCAGGGGTTGCAATCCTACTCCCTGATAAAACAGACTTTCAACCAACAAAGATCAAAAGACACAAAGAAGGCCATTACATAGTGATAAAGGGATCAATTCAACAAGAAGAACTAACTATCCTAAATAATAATGGAAGACTTTAATACCCCACTGTCAACATTGGACAGAACAACAAGACAGAAAGTTAACAAGGATATCCAGGAATTGAATTCAGCTCTGCACCAAGCAGACCTAATAGACATCTCCAGAACTCTCCACCCCAAATCAACAGAATATACATTCTTCTCAGCACCACATCACACTTATTCCAAAATTGACCACATAGTTGGAAGTAAAGCACTCCTCAGCAAATGTAAAAGAACAGAAATTATAACAAAGTGTCTCTCAGACCACAGTGCAATCAAACTAGAACTCAGGATTAAGAAACTCACTCAAAACTGCACAACTACATGGAAACTGAACAACCTGCTCCTGAATGACTACTGGGTACAAAATGAAATGAAGGCAGAAATAAAGATGTTCTTTGAAAACAATGAGAACAAAGATACAACATACCAGAATCTCTGGGACACATTTAAAGCAGTGTGTAGAGGGAAATTTATAGCACTAAATGCCCACAAGAGAAAGCAGAAAAGATCTAAAACTGACACCCTAACATCACAATTAAAAGAACTAGAGAAGGAAGAGAAACACATTCAAAAGCTAGCAGAAGGCAAGAAATAACAAAGATCAGAGCAGAACTGAAGGAGACAGAGACACAAAGAACCCTTCAAAAAAATCAATGAATCCAGGACCTGGTTTTTTGAAAAGATCAACAAAAGTGATAGACCGCTAGCAAGACTAATAAAGAAGAAAAGAGAAAAATCAAATAGATGCAAAAAAAAAAATGATAAAGGGGATATCACCACCGATCCCACAGAAATACAAACTACCATCCGAGAATACTATAAACACCTCTACAAAAATAAACTAGAAAATCTAGAAGAAATGGATAAGTTCCTGAACACATACACCCTCCCAAGACTAAACCAGGAAGAAGTTGAACGCCTGAATAGACCAATAACAAGTTCTGAAATTGAGGCAATAATTAATAGCTTACCAACCAAAAAAAGTCCAGGACCAGACGGATTCACAGCCGAATTCTACCAGAGGTACAAGGAGGAGCTGGTACCATTCCTTCTGAAATTATTCCAATCAATAGAAAAAGAGGGAATCCTCCCTAACTCATTTTATGAGGCCAGCATCATCCTGATATCAAAGCCTGGCAGAGACACAACAAAAAAAAGAATTTTAGACCAATATCCCTGATGAACATTGATGCAAAAATCCTCAATAAAATACTGGCAAACCAAATCCAGCAGCACATCAAAAAGCTTATCCACCATGATCAAGTGGGCTTCATCCCTGGGATGCAAGGCTGGTTCAACATATGCAAATCAATAAACATAATCCAGCATATAAACAGAACCAAAGACAAAAACCACATGATTATCTCAATAGACGCAGAAAAGGCCTTTGACAAAATTCAACAGCCTTCATGCTAAAAACTCTCAATAAACTCGGCATTGATGGGACGTATCTCAAAATAATAAGAGCTATTTATGACAAACCTACAGCCAATATCATACTGAATGGGCAAAAACTGGGAGCATTCCCTTTGAAAACTGGCACAAGACAGGGATGCCCTCTCTCACCACTCCTGATCAACATAGTGTTGGAAGTTCTGGCCAGGGCAATCAGGCAAGAGAAAGACATAAAGTGTATTCAATTAGGAAAAGAGGTAGTCAAATTGTCCCTGTTTGCAGATGACATGATTGTATATTTAGAAAACCCCATCGTTTCAGCCCAAAATCTCCTTAAGCTGATAAGCAACTTCAGCAAAGTCTCAGCATACACAATCAATGTGCTACAGTAACCAAAATAGCATGGTACTGGTACCAAGACAGAGATATAGCCCAATGGAACATAACAGAGCCCTCAGAAATAAAACTGCATATCTACAACCATCTGATCTTTGACAAACCAGACAAAAATAAGAAATGGGGAAAGGATTACCTATTTAATAAATAGTGCTGGGAAAACTGGCTAGCTATATGTAGAAAGCTGAAACTGGATCCCTTCCTTACACTTTATACAAAAATTAATTCAAGATGGATTAAGGACTTAAATGTTAGACCTAAAACCTTAAAAACCCTAGAAGAGCACCACTGCACACCAGCTTGGGTGATAGGGCCAGACTCTGTCTCAAAAAAACAAACAAACAAACAAAAAAAAACCCCTAGAAGAAAATCTAGGCAATACCATTCAGGACATAGGCATGGGCAAAGACTTCATGACTATAATACCAAAAGCAATGGCAACAAAAGCCAAAATTGACAAATGGGATCTAATCAAACTAAAGAGCTTCTGCACAGCAAAAGAAACTACCATCAGAGTGAACAGGCAGCTTACAGAATGGCAGAAAATTTTTGCAATCTACCCAACTGATAAAGGGCTAATATCCAGAATCTACAAAGAGCTTAAACAAATTTACAAGAAAAAAACAAACAACCCCATCAAAAAGTGGGCAAAGGATATGAACAGACACTTCTCAAAAGAAGACATTTATGCAGCCAACAGACACATGAAAAAATGCTCATCATCACTAGCCTTCAGAGAAATGCAAATCAAAACAACACTGAGATACCATCTCACACCAGTTAGAATGGCGATCATTAAAAAGTCCGGAAACAACAGGTGCTGGAGAGGATGTGGAGAAACAGGAACACTTTTACACTGTTGGTGGGACTGTAAACTAGTTCAACCATTGTGGAAGTCGGTGTGGTGATTCCTCAAGGATCTAGAACTAGAAATACCATTTGACCCAGCCATCCCATTGCTGGGTATATACCCAAAGGATTATAAATCGTGCTACTATAAAGACACATGCACACGTATGTTTATTGCAGCAGTATTCACAATAGCAAAGACTTGGAACCAACCCAGATGTCCATCAATGATAGACTGGATAAAGAAAATGTGGCACATATAACCATGGAATAGTATGCAAACATAAAAAAGTATGAGTTCATGTCCTTTGTAAGGACGTAGATGAAGCTGGAAACCACCATTCTCAGCAAACTATCGCCAAGGGCAGAAAGCCACACACCGCATTTTCTCACTCATAGTTGGGAATTGAAAAATGAGAACACTGGGACACAGGGCCAGCAATATCACATACCGGGGCCTGTTGTGGGTTGGGAGAAGTGGGAGTGTAACAAACCTGCATGTTGTGCACATGTACCCTAGAACTTAAGGTATAATAATAATAATAAAAAGACTCAATTCTACGTATAGCTTATCTTGGGCTAGGTGGAATCTGTCATTTACAGAGTGATCATCCTCATCATGAGTCCTATTATCCATAGCTCAAGAAACCAGGAGGTGTAATGGTTACTAGACAGGGTCCTGTGTAAATTTTCATCACCTCAAGAATGACTAAATATAGCTGGTTGTTTACTCTTCTAATTTTAATTCTGTTGGTTTAAAACGTGAGGAGAAAGCCTCCACACAGCACATTCAATGTGCTCTGGTGTATGGCCACAGACTCCCTTGATTTTAGATTATTCAATCCTCTTAATTTACACTGTATTGGTAGTACTCTTTCATGTTGTACAAAGGATTTTATAGTTCCAATTTTGAAAAGCACCTAATGAAAATTCTTAACTCCAAACTATTTAAATATTACTCTGAATAATGGTCTCGAATACTTGCAATTTGTTTACTCTTACAATTGTACTACTAAAGTCTCATTTTTGAACTCAGAATATAGACTATTAAATTATTTTAAACAGGCAACTTCATTACTCCACCCAAATGATAGACCTTATTAACCATCCATCATTAATGCATGCCAGTCTCCTTGACAAAATGCAAATCTTGGATTCTCAAGCAAATGTTTACAAGATGGGCAGGTAGGATCTCAGAATGGCAATATGCTAATGAGAAATTTTATATTTCTATCATCTTGTAGGATTATCCACTGGGAAAATCATAAGATCATTTGTATCTCTTATTGACTATTATTTGATATTTGATGTATGGAAACAAGTTGTATGAGTATATGAATACAGTATGGAATGCTGGCTAGTGATTCTTATATAGAACCTCTACTGTAGTACCACGAAGAGTCATTAGATACACAGTTTTTAAAGAGATACAGAACAATTTTGAATAAAGTGGCATGTGTTTTGGCCACTCTTTCTTTTAAAATTTGTTTTGATGACTGGAGACCACTTTGGACAATTTGGATTCACAAACTCTGTCATAAAAAAAGAAGGATAAACATTCTTCTATATGCAGATGATTTGATTTTACTGCAGAAAACTAAGATTAATTTCAAAAGACACTGTCCCTGCCGTCTAAATACTGTCAGTGCTAATGGCTTCAGATCAGCTCTCCCAAAATCCAAACCATTATTTTTAGTAGAAATCTTCCAATATTTAAGCGGCTTATGAATAACAGCCTTATACAGCATGACCATGTATTTGGTTATGACTATGTATTAGTTACATTGTAATCATTGGCATATGTATTCTCTCTGTAAATTCACCAAGAAATTACATTGTTTTGCTTTTGCGTTAAATGAGATGTTCTATAATTGCTTTGTTGAGGTTTTTTTAAAATTACTATAGTGGGTAATTAGTAATACTTGCTTTAGAAATATTGAACACTAGAATAATTGCAGATATGCCATATAAGTGTTGTTTTTAAATTATATGTTTTTAAATTAATAGACTATTTTTAAGAACAGTTTTAGGTTTACAGAAACAATTGAACAGAAAGTACAGAGAGTTCCCATATACTTCCCTAGCCCCCTGAGATAATTTCCCCTATTAGCATTTTGCATTAGTATGGTACATCTGTTATAATTGATATATAAATATGGATGCAGTATTAACTAAAGTTCATAGTTAGCATTAGAGTTACTCTTAGTGTTGTACATTCTACGGATCTTGACAAATGTATACTGATATGTATCCACAATTACAGTATAACACAGAATAGTTTTATTGCCCTAAAAAATCCTCCTTACTCCATCTGTTTATTCCTCCACCCCTTTCCTCCAAAGCCTGGCAACCACTTATATTTTTACTGTTTTCATCCTTTTCCCTTTCCAATAGTGCTGTATAGTTGGAATCATAGTGTGTTGCCTTTTCAGATTGATTTCTTTGACTTAACAATACGTTCTTAACATTCATCTACGTTCTTTAGTAGCTTGGCATCTTGTTTCTTTTTATTGCTGAATAATATTCTATGGTATGTATGTATCACAGTTTGTTTATCCACTCAACTATTGATATTGAAAGGCATCTTGGTTGCTTTCAAGTTTTGGCAATTATGAATAAACATGCTGTAAAGATTTGTGTGCAGGTTTTTGTGTAAGCAGTTTTCTTCTTTTTTTAAAATTGTATAAATGTAAGGGGAACAAGTTCAACAACTAATTTTGGTAAGTACTAAGAGATACAATTGCTGGATCATATGGTTAAGAATACATTCAATTTTGTAAGAAACTGCCAAACTGTTTGCCAGAGTGACTATACCATTTTGTATTCCCAGTCAGAGTTACTGTTGTTCCACATCCTCATCAGCATTCAGTATTGTGTTATAAATTTTAGCTATTTTAATATCTGTATAATAAGTATCTCATTTTAAATTGCAATTCCCTGATGACTTGATATTGAGCATCTTTTCATATGCTTGTTATTTGTGTATCTTTTTTACTTTCGTTTTTTAATTTTAATTTTCTAACTTTTAATTAAAAATAAAAATTGTATATATTGTATATGGGTTACAACGTGATGTTTTGATGTATATTTACATTATAGAATGACTAAATCAAGCTAGTTGACAAATCCATCACCTTACATACTTCTCATTTTTTTCATAATGGAAACATTTAAAATTTACTTTTAGCAGTTTTAAAATATACAAATGCATTATTATTTATTATAATCACCATTCCGTATGATAGATCACTAAAGCTTATTCCTCCTGTCTAACTGAAATTCTGTACCCTTTGATCAACACATCTCCTTTCCTCGCCTATTGCCCTCTCTCAGCCTCTGGTAATCATCATTCTACCCTTTCTTTCTATGAGTTTCACTTTTTTAGATTGCACATTTAAATGAGATCATGTGGTATTTTTATTTCTGTGCCTAGCTTATTTAGTGTAACATAATATTCTCTAGTTTCATCTATGTTGTCGCAAATGACAGGACTTCATTCTTAAGGCTGAATAGTATTCCATTGTCTATATATGCTATATTTTCTTTATCCATTCATCTGATGACAGACACCTAGGTTGATTCCTTATTTTAGCTATTGTGAATAATGTAATGAACATGGGGTTGCACATATCTCTTTGACATACTGATTTTATATTTTTGGGATATGTACCTAAAAGTGAGATTTCTGGATCATATGGTAATTGTATTTTTAATTTTTTTGAGAATCTTCATAGTGTTTTTCATAATGACTGTATTGATTTACATTCCCACCAACAGTGCACAAGTGTTCCCTTTTCTCTACACCCTCACCGGCACTTGTTATGTCCAGTCTTTATGATAATAGCCATTATAACAGGTGTGAGGTGATATCTCATTGTGGTTTTAATTTGCATTTCACAGATGATTAATGATGATGAGTATTTCTTCATGTACCTATTGGCCATTTGTATGGCCTCTTTTGGGAATTGCCTACTTAGGTCATTTGCCCATTTTTAAATTATGTTATTTCTTGTTGTTTGCTATTGAGTTGAGTTTCTTATATAATTTTAATATTAGCTTTTTATCATATATATGGTTTGCAAATATTTTCTTTCAATCTGTGGGTTTTCTCGTCACTCCTTTTTTTTGCTGTGCTGAAGCTTTTTAGCCTGATGTAATTTCATTCATTTAATTTTGATTTTGTTGCCTGTGCTGTGTATCTTTTAAGGTGAGGTATCTGTGCAGATCTGTGTTTTTAAAATTTCATTGGTTGTATTCTTATTGTTGAGTTTTAAGATGTCTTTGTATGTTTTGAATACCAACTCTTTTTTTTTATACTTTAAGTTCTAGGGTACATGTGCACAACGTGCAGGTTTGTTATATATGTATACATGTGCCATGTTGGTGTGCTGCACCCATTAACTCGTCATTTAGCATTAGGTATATCTCCTAATGCTATCCCTCTCCCCTCCCCCCACCCCACAACAGGCCCTGGTGTGTGATGTTCCCCTTCCTGTGTCCAAGTGTTCTCATTGGTCAATTCCCACCTATGAGTGAGAACATGCAGTGTTTGGTTTTTTGTCCTCGCGATAGTTTGCTGAGAATGATGGTTTCCAGCTTTATCCATGTCCCTACAAAGGACATGAACTCATCATTTTTTATGGCTGCATAGTATTCCATGGTGTATATGTGCCACATTTTCTTAATCCAGTCTATCATTGTTGGACATTTGGGTTGGTTCCAAGTCTTTGCTATTGTGAATAGTGCCGCAATGAACATACGTGTGCATGTGTCTTTATAGCAGCATGATTTCACTCTGCTGGTAGTTTCCTTTGCTGTGCAGAAGCTCTTTAGTTTGATTAGATCCCATTGGTCAATTTTGGCTTTTGTTGCCATTGTTTTGGTGTTTTAGACATGAAGTCCTTGCCCATGCCTATGTCCTGAATGGTATTACCTAGGTTTTCTTCTGCGGTTTTTATGGTTTTAGGTCTAACATTTAAGTCTTTAATCGATCTTGAATTAATTTTTGTATAAGGTGTAAGGAAGGGATCCAGTTTCAGCTTTCTACATATGGCTAGCCAGTTTTCCCAGCACCATTTATTAAATAGGGAATCCTTTCCCCATTGCTTGTTTTTGTCAGGTTTGTCAAAGATCAGATGGCTGTAGATGTGTGGTATTATTTCTGAGGGCTCTGTTCTGTTCCAATGGTCTATATATCTGTCTTGGTACCAGTACCATGCTGTTTTGGTTACTGTAGCCTTATAGTATAGTTTGAAGTCAGGCAGCATGATGCCTCCAGCTTTGTTCTTCTGGCTTAGGATTGACTTGGCAATGCAGGCTCTTTTTTGGTTCCATATGAACTTTAAAGTAGTTTTTTCCAATTCTGTGAAGAAAGTCATTGGTAGCTTGATGGGGATGGCATTGAATCTATAAATTACCTTGGGCAGTATGTGTCCTCTTTTATTTCACTGAGCAGTGGTTTGTAGTTCTCCTTGAAGAGGTCCTTCACATCCCTTGTAATTTGGGTTCCTAGGTATTTTATTCTCTTTGAAGCAATTGTGAATGGGAGTTCACACATGATTTGGCTCTCTGTTTGTCTGTTATTGGTGTATAGGAATGCTTGTGATTTTTGCACACGGATTTTGTATCCTGAGACTTTCCTGAAGTTGCTTATCAGCTTAACGAGACTTGGTGCTGAGATGATGGGGATTTCTAAATATATAATCATGTCATCTGCAAACAGGGACAATTTGACTTCCTCTTTTCCTAATTGAATACCCTTTATTTCTTTCTCTTGCCTGATTGCCCTGGCCAGAACTTCCAACACTATGTTGAATAGGAGTAGTGAGAGAGGGCATCCCTGTCTTGTGCCAGTTTTCAAAGGGAATGCTTCCAGGTTTTGCCCATTCAGTATGATATTGGCTGTGGGTTTGTCATAGATAGCTCTCATTATTTTGAGATGCGTTCCATCAAAACCTAGTTTATTGACAGTTTTTAGCATGAAGGGCTGTTGAATTTTATTGAAGGCCTTTTCTGCATCTATTGAGATAATCATGTGGTTTTTGTCTTTGGTTCTGTTTATGTTATGGATTACATTTATTGATTTGCGTATGTTGAATCAGCCTTGCATCCCAGGGATGAAACCCACTTGATCATGGTGGACAAGCTTTTTAATGTGCTGCTGGATTTGGTTTGCCAGTATTTTATTGAGGATTTTCACATCAATGTTCATCAGGGATATCGGTCTAAAATTCTCTTTTTTTGTTGTGTCTCTGCCAGGCTTTGGGATCAGGATGATGCTGGCCTCATAAAATGAGTTAGGGATGATTCCCTCTTTTTCTATTGATTGGAATAGTTTCAGAAGGAATGGTACCAGCTTCTCTTTGTACCTCTGGTAGAATTCGGCTGTGAATCCATCTGGCCCTAGACTTTTTTTCGTTGGTAGGCTATTAATTATTGCCTCAATTTCAGAACTTGTTATTGGTCTATTCAGGTATTCAACTTCTTCCTGGTTTAGTCTTGGGAGGGTGTATGTGTCTAGGAATTTATCTATTTCTTCTAGATTTTCTAATTTATTTTTGTAGAGGTGTTTATAGTATTCTCCGATGGTAGTTTGTATTTCTGTGGGATCGGTGGTGATATCCCCTTTATCTTTTTTATTGCATTTATTTGATTCTTCTCTCTCTTCTTCTTTATTAATCTTGCTAGTGGTCTATTTTGTTTATCTTTTCGAAAAACCAGCTCCTGGATTCATTGATTTTATGAAGGGTTTTTGTGTCTGTGTCTCCTTCAGTTCTGCTCTGATCTTAGTTATTTCTTGCCTTCTGCTAGCTTTTAAATTTGTTTGCTCTTGCTTCTCTAGTTCTTTTAATTGTGATGTTAGGGTGTCGATTTTAGATTTTTCCTGCTTTCTCTTGTGGGCATTTAGTGCTATAAATTTCCCTCTACACACTGCTTTAAATGTGTCCCAGAGATTCTGGTATGTTGTATCTTTGTTCTCATTGTTTTCAAAGAACATCTTTATTTCTGCCTTCATTTCATTTTTTATCCAGTAGTCACTGAGGAGCAGGTTGTTCAGTTTCCATGTAGTTGTGCAGTTTTGAGTGAGTTTCTTAATCCTGAGTTCTAATTTGATTGCACTGTGGTCTGAGAGACAGTTTGTTGTGATTTCTGTTCTTTTACATTTGCTGAGGAGTGCTTTACTTCCAACTATGTGGTCAATTTTGGAATAAGTGTGATGTGGTGCTGAGAAGAATGTATATTCTGTTGATTTGGTGTGGAGAGTTCTGTAGGTGTCTATTAGGTCCGAGTCTTAAATATGTATGTGTGCCATTAAAAAATTGCTGACAGTAGCAAATTATAATGGACAGATAGAGAAGTCTTTGTGCTTCCCTTCAGCTAACTAAATCTTTATATTGACCACAATGATAAAATTATGGGGACCAGGACTATGATCAGGAAGCTGAGATGGAGATCAGAAACTCACAAATGTGCAGGATAAATCTAAGAGCAAGAGAAGATCAGAGAAGTTGTTCACCACATTGGATCTGCCAAAGAAGAGCTAAGACATAGTGTTTGATGTTGTTATTGAAATACATACTCTCTTATTGTAATGAGCCGTCAGAATTGAAATTAAAAGCTTTTAATGTGAGAATTGGGTAGAGAATGGGTTACAAATAATAATATAGCAATGGCAGATCCTGGAGGCCAAAAGCTAAAATTCTGCAGTAACAACAAAAATGAACAAACTGAGTTTTGACCCATAACAAAGCAATGAGATAACCTTAAGCAGAAATAGAATGTTTACTGTCCTCCTTAGGAAAATTCTTGAGGAATAATACATGCAGGAAGAGACAAACAGGAGTTTCTATGTCTTGGATATGTCAGAAATTCCTGAAAGTACCAAATTTCTTTTACTCCTTCCTATCAGGTCAGGATGCTGTGTCAGACAAAAAAAAAAAGATTGTCATTCTCATCAATAATAATAAGATGAGAATGTAGGCACTCAAATCAGCCAGGTGAATATATAATTTCTACTTTCTCTACCTTCTAAGTGTGGTCTGTGGTTATCTCATCTGCAGAATGAGTTTGACAGGTTACGGTAAAAATTAAATGAGATAATATATGCAATATTCTTTGAGTATTGCCTGGCACAAAGTAAGTTCCAAACCAGTTTCTGTGAAAAAAATTTATCAGCATCATTTTATTAACATGGTTTTCTTAATAATAATAAAAAAAAGCAGAGAAGCACTCAATGACCAAAAATGGACCCTGTAAAAAGGGTGTGAAGTCTCTTGCCCTCAAAGAGGTTCTAGGTTAAGACACTATCACACTGATACACAGAACCTTAAGGAAGATTGACACCAGAAATTACCATCAAGTGCAGTTTTTCAAAGAAACTAGGCTACCAGCACAGTGACTCTTGCAATGCCTTTAACCTGTGCTTCTAGGTGAAGTTAACTACCTTGTATTATTAGACCTTTATGCCCTATTAGAACTGTCTTGGTGAGAGGCAAAATACAGCTTTTGGTGTACTGCAGCAAAGTGTAATGGATGACATACAAAAACTGCGCTTAGAAGCTAGGAGACAATGAGGGAATAGTAGATTGTAGAACTAATAACAAATAGCTCCTCCTAGTAGTTAACTCTTCCACTGTGTTTATTCCATACCACTAGCTGTTAATATCACTAGATGATTTTAACGAATACTTTGATAAACGTTCGTTGATATTGAAGGTGTCTCTTTGCAGAAACATAGCAAGTCCTCTTCCCTGCTGCTATTCATTTGCATTTATAATGCATTAATTGAATATTTATTTTTGTAAACCACTTGGCTAGGCACTGTGGCAGGTTATGGGAAGAACATGACATTGATCCTGACTTTAAGGGCCTGAGAATTAATAAGGGGAGGTAAGACATGAGTGCAAAGCTCACCAGGTCAGAGTAAAGAATGGAGAGGTTCTAATAATGCGGCTGAAGCACATGGTGAATGATGAGAAAGGACGAAAGGGATTTAGAAGTCCTTGAAGGGAGTTAATATTTGCATTTGTGATTATTTGAGAGGAGTGCTTTAGACATGAAGAAAAACACTGCAGCAGTAAATTTTAGGAAATGTTTGGAAAATAAGAAAATAATCTCATAAGGTTGAAAGGGCAGGTGGGAAGAGACTCTGAGTGACATGTCAAAGGTTGCTTTTAAAAACATGTCAGAGGCTCCTGAATGTCATGACAAAGAATTTAAAAATGTTTTTGTAGGCAACAAGTAGCCAGAGAAGATTTCTGAGCAGAAAATTGTACAGCCAGACATATGCTTTAGGAAAGCTAACATACTAATAACAAGTAGAATGGATTGGGAGCCAGAAAGTCTGGAGGCAAAAACAAACAAACAAAAACAAAAAGCAAAACACAAATTGCATGATGACTTCAACAGTCTGATGAAAGCTTACTAGACTGTGAACAAGGAGATTAGAAGTAGGAAAAGAAAGGAGATGACAAAGTCAAGAGATGTTGAAAATGTGTAATTGCTAGGCTTTCATGATGGATGGGATGTGAGGAACATGAGAGATGGAAGTGACAAATATGACTGTCATATTCAGTCTGGCTGACTGGAAAGATTGAAATATCATTAATGGAGACAAGGAACACAAGAAGAAGAAAAGGAATGGAGGTGTTGATGATGTGTTTGATTTTTAAAAACAGCTCTGAAGAGGAGGACTTCTCAAACTTTAAGGTACATGCGAATTACATGAGGATTTTGCTAAAATGAAGATTGATTCACTAGGTGAGGAGCAGAGTTTGAGATTCTACATTTATAACAAGCTTACAAGAAAAGTCAATATCACTGGGCCTCAGATCACACTTTAAAGCAGCAAGGCTGCAGAGGATAGCAGGCTCAATAGTCAGGGAGAATTTTGGTAGAATAAGGCAGGCCTGCCCAGTAGAAGTGCCAAGAAATATGTTTGAGCAAAATACTAATTTAAAAATCTATATAAAAGGAAAAAACATACTTTAGGCCAAATACATTTTTTAATTAGCACATTTAGTTTTAAAGTACTTGTAACTGTTTTGCTACTTATTCAAAGTATCCATATGCATGTATGCATACTCATTCTTCAGCTTCACACATACAACAAACATATACAATTTTTTACTCATTACATAATTTTATTTCATAGAAATTCCTAATAAACACCTAAGTGTCTTGGGGAAAGCCAATATCTACGCTGACAAATTAAGATGGAGAACTAAGAAATTAATCCTTTTTTATCATATCATTTTTACATAAAGGACTCACAAAACGGACTCTAAGTTGCTCTCTCCATCCCCACACATTCAGAATAAATGTAATCATATGGACAAATAATTCTTTCATCTTGTAATTCTAAGACTGAAATGTGAATTACCTTTATATGGTACCTCATCACTAGTCAGTAAGTGAACATTTTGGTCAGATACAATATTTAGCATGATGTAATACAAATTAAATATTTCATTAATTTTATATCTTCTCTAAAGAATTTGGCTAATTCGACCCATATCTGGAGATGCAGATGGATCTTATTTAATAGGCAGGGAAGGTACATTGATATAACATTAATACTTGACTGTGTACAACTTCTCAGGGAAGTTACGCATTTACTTTTAACCAAGAAGTTGGTTTCTCTATTGTTGAAAAGAAAGAACATCAAAACAGCCAAGATACCTGCTGTGGAAATGTCTCTTTCATTGGTCTCTGAAATCTCTATTTTACGCTGACTTTCATAAGAAGTATCTAGTCTTCCCTACTCGGTCACCTGGGAAGCTGTGATGTTAACTGCCAAAGACCCGTGTGACAAAAAAAAAAAGAAAAGAAAAGAAAAATACTGAAACTAAAGGACAAGAAGAGGCTCCACATGAATCAGCAAGCAGGGTCAGTGTGAGTCCCATCCCAGGTGTGCCTTGTGAATTTGTAAGAGGAAATACAGAGCCTTGCAGGTGGCATTTCCCCTGGCAATTAGTTTTCAAAAGGTCCCCTGCAAATTCTCAGCAGGAATGATGAGCCTATTTCCAAAGCCCTTTCCAACAACCTTCAGATTTCCGGCATTCAGATTGCACTTAAAAATAACAATCAACTTGCCAATCTTTTTTAGCAGCCTTCTAAATAGGTTGCTGTTCAAAGAAATAATGGGAGAGGCAGGGTGAGAAAACAGCAGGCACTTGATAAAGGCTACTATGAATGAGTGAGTGAAATGAATGAATGTATAAGGGCATGAATGAAAAGCCTACAAATGCCATTCTAAATCTGTAAATGATCAGAAAAGTATTTTTCCTAAGGGAATTATTTCATCTCAATTTGGAAATACTAGTTTCTGGACTCAGAGAGTGCATATAATCTATTTTCTCTTACAGTTGATTTGCATTTATAAAAGTAGGGTGTTTTTTTTTTTTTTTCAGACAAAGCACATTATAAGAAAAAGAAAAAAAACTGATAACTTTGTTATGTCCTCAGTCTAAGCCTTTGAATCTCTTTGGTTGAAATGAGAAACCTGTTCCTGCTGGCTTTCATCCAGTGTTGCAGCATTTCAAGGAAGTTTCAGCTGCATTAGACTTGCTCTCAACCCATTAAAACCCATAAAACCTAGGGGGAGTTCAGAGGGACCCAAAATAGGAAGAAGAATAGGTCCTCCTCTGCTGCTGTCCAAACCCATTTCCCACAGTCAGTATGATTTACACAAAGTCAATTTGTTTTCTTTTTTACCTTTTAAAAGGAACTTTATTTTATATTTTATTACCTATATTTAATGTGTAAAACATGGTTTTTGAATATCTGTATATATATATAGTAAGATGATTACTACCATCAAAAAGATTTTCATATCTATCTCCTCTCATAGTTATCCCTTTTTTGTGGTTAGTGATATGGTTTGGCTATGTCCCCACCCAAACCTCATCTTGAATTGTAGCTCCCACAATTCCCATGTATTGTGAGAGGGAGCCAGTGAGAGGTAATTGAATCAAGGGGGTGAGTCTTTCCCATGCTATTCTCGTGATCATGAATAAGTCTCATGAGATCTGATGGTTTGATAAAGGGGAGTTTCCCTGCACAAGCTCTCTTCTCTTGTCTGCCACCATGTGAGACGTGCCTTCAGTTTCAGCCATGATTGTGAGGCCTCCCCAGCCACATGGAGTCATGAGGCCATTAAACCTCCTTCTTTTGTAAATTGCCCAATCTCGGGTATGTCTTTATCAGCAGTGTGAAAATGGACTAATATGCTAAGGATACCTAAAATCCAAAAAAAAATGGCAGATAGGAGGCAGGACAAAATGACAGCTCCCACTCACACAGACAGAGCAGTGTGTGGAGACTCACATCATAAACTTTTGCTCCAAGAACTACTGCAGGAATATATCAGGAAAGCCAAGAGAATCCATGGATCCTATGAAGGAGGCAGATTGCTCCCACAGAACCTGGGAGACAGCACAAATACTGTGAATTCCCAAACTGTGAAAGTGGGAAAGGGGGATCATCCACCCCTGAACACACACCATCACTGAAGGTGCAGATCACAGGAGAAGGATTTGACCTTACCTGGAGCTAAGATAATTTAGAGAGCTGAGTGAAATACAGGGGTAGAGGAAGAAGCAGGAAAAGACCTGTAGGTACTCTTGGTCCCCAGGGAAGCCATTTCTGACTTGTCTCTCAGGGGTCCTTGGGGAAGGCTGCCAGAGGAACTGGGAAAAGACCACAAGGAGAAGGAAACCTCCAGCTGAATTGTGTAACAATTCCAAGTGAACATGAAGTTTCCTGACCAGAACTTGGGAGAGGGCATGAATATGGTGTGCAGACTCGACAGGCAGGGAGGTGCGAAAGCCCTGCTTGCTTTCTCAGCTTGGAGGCTGGTATCCTGGGGCAAGTTCTCAGCCCTGCCTACCCACTGCCTGGAAACAAACTCGGTGCTGTTAGGGGGGTGTAGGGTGGGAATGAGACCAGCTTTTTAAGTTGCACGTGACCTGGGTGAGGCTTATACTGCGGCAAGCCAACCCAAAAAGAGTCTGAGCTCAGCCATGCCTAACCCTGCCTCCATTTGATGGTTCTTCCCTACCCACCCTGGTAGCTAAAGACAAAGATCATATTTTCTTGGGAGTTCTAGGGCCCGACCCACAGTCTGATCCTCCCTATATTACCACACCTCATGCTTTCTTGAAAGTGCCAATTCCTAGCAGGAGGCCATCCAGCATAAAACTAGTGCAATAAACAACAATAATACAACTAAGGACACTCACAGAGTCCATTTCACTCCTCTGCCACCTCCACCAGAGCAGGTGCTGGAATCCACGGCTGAGAGACCTGAAGAAAGCAAGACATCACAGGACTCTGTGCAGACACCTCCCAGTACCAGCCGGTAGCCTGGTAGCCCACTGAGTGGCTAGATCTAGAAGAGAAATAATCACTACAGTAAGGCTCTCAGCAAGCCACATCCCTAGGAAAAGGTTGGGGGGAGAGTAAAACATCAAGGGAGTACCCCATAAGACAAAAGAATCTGAACAGCAGTCTTGAGCTCCAGATCTGTCCTTTGACATAGCCTACCCAAATGAGAAGGAACCAGAGAAAATTCTGGCAATATGACAAAACAAGGTTCTTTAATACTCCCCCAAAATCACACTAGCTTGCCAGCAACAGATCCAAACCAAGAAGAAATCCCTGAATTGCCAGAAAAAAGAATTCAGGTCAATTATTAAGCTACTCAAGGAGGCACCAGAGAAAGGTGAAGTCCAACTGAAGGAAATTTAAAAAAATGATACAAGAAATGGGGAGAAATCTTCAGTGAAATAGATAGCATAAATAAAAAATAATCACAAGTTCAGGAAATAAAGGACACACTTAGAGAAATGCAAAATATACTGAAAAGCCTCAGCAATAGAATCAAAAAAGCAGAAGAAAGAACTTCAGAGCTTGAAGACAAGGTTTTCAAAATAACCCAATCTACAAAGACAAAGAGAAAAGAATTTTTAAAATGAACAAAGTCTCCAAGATGTTTGGGATTATGTTAAACAACCAAACCTAAGAATAATTGGTACCCCTGAGGAAGAAGACACATCAAAAAGTTTGGAAAACATATTTGGGGGAATAATAAAGGAAAACTTCCCTGGCCTTGCTAGAGGCTTAGACATCTAAATACAAACCCAAGGAACACCTGGGAAATTCATCACAAAAAGATCATCACCTAGGCACATAGCCATCAGGTTACCTAAAGTCAAGAGAAAGGAAAAAATCTTAAGAGCTTTGCAGCAAAAACACGAGGTAACCTACAAAGGAAAACCTATCAGGTTAACAGAAACCCTACAAGCTAGAAGGGATTGGGGTCCTATCTTCAGCCTCCTTAAACAAAACAATTATTAGCCAAGAATTTTGTATCCAGTGAAACTAAGCTTCATCAATGAAGGAAAGATACATGCTTTTTCAGACAAACAAATGATGAAAGAATTCACCACTAACAGGCCAGCACTACAGGAACTGCTAAAAGAAGCCCTAAATCTTGAAATGAATCCTGGAAATACATCAAAACAGAAATTATTTAAAGCATAAATCGCACAGGACCTATGACATGCTGTGGCTGTATCCTCACCCAAATCTCATCTTGAATTCCCATGTGTTGTGGGAGGGACTCAGTGGGAGGTAATTGAATCATGGGAGCAAGACTTTCCCGTGATGGTTCTCGTGATAGCGAGTAAGTCTCATGAGATCTGATGGTTTTAAAAATGGTAGTTTTCCTGCACAAGCTCTCTACTCTTGTCTGCCTCCATGTGAGATGTGCCTTTCACTTTCCACCATAATCGTGAGGCCTCCCCAGCCTCGTGGAACTGTAAATCCATTAAGCCTCTTTCATTTGTAAATTGCCCAGTCTCAGGTATGTCTTTATCAGCAGCATGAAAATGGACTAATACAGTAAAATGGTACCCATAGAGTGGAGGGCTGCTGAAAAGATACCTGAAAATGTGAAACTGACTTTAGAACTGGTTAACAGGCAGAGGTTGAAACAGTTTGGACAGCTCAGAAGAAGACAGGAAAATGTGGGAAAGTTTGGAACTCCCTAGCAATGTATTGAATGACTTTGACAAAAATGCTTATAATGACATGGATAATAAAATCCAGGCTGAGTTGGTCTCAGATGGAGATAAGGAACTTGTGGGGGAACTAGAGCAAAGGTGACTCTTGTTATGTTTTAGCAAAGAGACTGGTGGCATTTTACCACTGCCCTAGAAATTTGTGGAACTGTGAACTTGAGAGAGATGATTTAGGGTAGGTGGGGGAAGAAATTTCTAAGCAGCAAAGCATTCAAGATGTGACTTGGGTGCTGTTAAAGGCATTCAGTTTCAAAAGGGAAACAGAGCATAAATTTTGGAAAATGTGCAGCCTGGCAATGTGATAGATAAGAAAATACCATTTGCTGAGGAGAAATTCAAGCTGGCTGCATAAATTTGCATAAATAACGAGGAGCTGAATGTTAATCATCAAGACAGTGGAGAAAATGTCTCCAGGGCATGTCAGAGACCTTTGCAGCAGCCCCTCCCATCACAGGCCCAAAGGTTTAGGAGGAAAAAGTGGTTTTGTGGGCCAGGTTCAGGGTCCCTCTTCTGCATGCAATCTAGGGACTTGGGGCCCTGCATCCCAGTTGCTCTAGCCATGGCTGAAAGGGGCCAATGCAAAGCTTGGGCTGTAGCTTCAGAGGGTGCAAGCCCCAAGTCTTGGCAGCCTCCATGTAGTGTTGAGCCTGTGCATGCCCAGAAGTCAAGAATTGGGGTTTGAGAACCTCAATCTAGATTTCAGAGGATGTATGGAAATGCCTGGATGTTCAGGAAGAAGTTTGCTGCAGGGGCAGAGCCTTCATGGAGAACCTCTGCTAGGGCAGTGTGGAAGGGAAATGTGGGATTGGAGCCCCCACACAGAGTCCCTACTGGGGCACTGTCTAGTGGAGCTGTGAGAAGAGGGCCACCGTCCTCCATATCCCAGAATGGTAGATCCACTGACAGTTTGCACCATGCCCCTCAAAAAGCCGCAGACACTCAATGCCAGTCCATGAAAGCAGCCAGGAGGTGGGCTATACCCTGCAAAGCCACAGGGGCAGAGCTGCTCAAGGCTGTGGGACCCCACTTCATGCATCAGCATGACCTGGCTGTGAGACATGGAGTCAAAGGAGATCATTTTGGAGCTTTAAGATTTGACTGCCTGGCTGGATTTTGGACTTGTGTGGGGCCTGTAGCCCCTTTGTTTTGGCCAATTTCTATGATTTGGAAGAGCCTTATTTACCCAATACCTATTCCTCCATTGTATATAGGAAGTAAGTAACTTCCTATATGGCCTGTAATATAAAAAGGCTCCTAAGTAGAAGGGATTTGCCTTATCTCAGATGAGACTTTGGACTGTGGACTTTTGAGTTAATGCTGAAATGAGCTAAAAGTTTGGGAGACTGTTGGGAAAGCATGATTGATTTTGAAATGTGAGGACGTGAGATTTGGGAGGGCTCCGGACAGAATGATATGGTTTGGCTATGTCCCCACCCAAATCTCATCTTAAATTCCCATGTGTTGTGGGAGGGACCTAGTGGGAGGTAATTGAATCATGGGAGCAGGTCTTTCCCATGATGTTCTCATGATAGCAAGTAAGTCTCATGAGGTTTGAAGGTTTTCAACATGGGAGTTTCTGGGCCAGGCATGGTGGCTCACACCTGTGATCCCAGCACTTTTGGAGGCTGAGGTAGGTGGATCACCTGAGGTCAGGAGTTTGAGACTGCAACCCGGGAGGCAGAGGTTGCAGTGAGCTGAGATAGTGCCACTGCACTCCAGCCTGGGCAACAAGAGAGAAACTCCATCTGAAAAAAACAAAAACAAACAAAAAAATGCGAGTTTCCCTGCACAAGCCCTCTTCTCTTCTCTTGTCTGCCACCATGTGAGATGTGCCTTTCACCTTCCGCCATGATTGTGAGGCCTCCCCAGCCACATGGAACTGTAAGTCCATTAAACCTCTTTCTTTTGTAAATTGCCCAGTCTTGGATATGTCTTTATCAGCAGCATGAAAATGGACTAATACAGACTGTAAAATAAAAATACAATAAATAAATAAAAACCAAGGTATTCAGGCAACAAATAGCACAACGAATGGATTACTACTTACATCTCAATAATAACTTTGAATGTAAATGGCCTAAATGCTCCACTTAAAAGATGCAGAATTGCAGAATGGATAAGAATTCACCAGCCAAGTATCTGCTGCCTTCAAGATACTCACCTAACATAAGGACTCACATAAACTTAAGGTAAAGGGTGGAAAAAGACATTCCATGCAAATTAACACCAAAAGCTATCAAGAGTAGCTATTCTTATATCAGATGAAACAAACTTTAAAGCAACAGCAGTTTAAAAAGACAAAGAGGGACATTATATAGTGATAAAAGGCCTTGTCCAACAGGGAAATATCAAAATCAAAATCCTAAATATATATGCACCTAACAATGGAGCTTCCAAATTTATAAAACAATTAGTACTAAACCTAAAAAATGAGATAGACAGCAACACAACAATAGTAGGGGACTTCAATACTCCACTGACAGCACTAGACAGGCCATCAAGACAGAAAGTCAACAAAGAAACAATGGATTTAAACTATACCCTAGAACAAATGGAGTTAACAACAGATATTTACAGAACATTGCACTCAGCAACCACAGAATACACATTCTATTCATCAGCACATGGAACTTTCTCCAAGATAGACCATATGCTATGGCACAAAACAAGTCTCAACAAATTTAAGAAAATTGAAATTATACCAAGTATTTTCTCAGACCTCAGTGGAATAAAATTGGAAATCAACTCCAAAAGGAACCTTTAAAACCATGCAAATACATGGAAATTAAATAACCTTCTCCTGAATGATCACTAGGTCAACAATGACATCAAGATGAAAATATAAAAATTCTTTAAACTGAATGATAATAGTGATACAACCTATCAAAACCTTTGGGATACAGCTAAGGTGGTGCTAAGAGGAAAGTTAATAGCATTAAATGCATATATCAAAAAGTCTGAAAGAGCACAAATAAACATCTAGGGTCACACCTCAAGGAACTAGAGAAACAAGAACAAACCAAACTCAAACCCAGCAGAAGAAAAGAAATAACCAAGGTAAGAGCAGAACTAAATGGAATTGAACAAAAAAATACAAAAGATAAATGAAACAAAATGCTGCTTCTAAGAAAAGTTAAATAAAATTGTTAGACTATTAGCAAGATTTACCAAGAAAAGAGAGCAGATCAAAATAAGCTCAATTAGAAATGAAATGGGAGCTGTTACAACTGAAACCACAGAAATACAAAATTTTATTCAAGATTACTATGAACACCTTTACACACACAAACTAGAAAACCCAGAGGAGAAGGATAAATTCCTGGAAATATACAACCCTCCTAGCTTAAATCAGGAAGAATTAGAAACCCTGAACAGATCAATAACAAGCAGTGAGATTGAAATGGTAATTTTAAAATTACCAACAAAAATAAGTCCAGGACCAGACGGATTCACAGTTGAATTCTATCAGAACTCAAAGAAGAATTGGTACCAATCCTATTGGCACTATTCCACAAGAAAGAGAAAGAGGGAATCCTCCCTAAATCATTCTGTGAAGCCGGTATCACCCTAATACCAAAATCATGACAGGACATAGCAAAAAAAAGAAAACTGCAGACCAATATCCCTGATGAACATAGATGCAAAAATCCTTAAGAAAATACTAGCTAACCAAAACCAACAGCATATCAAAAAGATAATCCACCATGATCAAGTGGGTTTTATACCAGGGATACAGGGATGGTTTAACATACACAAGTCAATAAATGTCATACACCACAAAAACAGAATTAAAAACAAAAATCACATGATCATCTGAATAGATGCAGAAAAAGCATTTGACAAAATACAGCATCCCTTTATGATTAAAACCCTCACCGAAATCAACATCCAAGGGACATACCTCAATGTAATAAAAGCCATCAATGACAAACCCACAGCCAACATAATACTGAAAGGGGAAAAGTTGAAAAAATTCCCTCTGAGAACTGGAACGAGACAAGGATGCCCACTCTCACCACTTCTATTCAACATAGTACTGGAAGTCCTAGCCAGAGCAATCAGACAAGATAAAGAAATAAAGGGCATCCAAATTGATAAAGAGGAAGTCAAACTGTCACTGTTTGCTGATGATGTGATTGTATATTGTATACCTAGAAAACGCTAAAGACTCCTCCAAAAAGCTCCTAGAACTGATAAATGAATTCAGCAAAGTTTCAGGATACAAAATGTATGTACACAAATCAGTAGCTCCGCTATACACCAACAGCGTCAAGCCGAGAATCAAATCAAGAACTCAACCCTTTTTACAATAGCTGCAAAAAAATAAAAACTTAGGAATATACCTAACCAAGGAGGTGAAAAACCTCTACAAGGAACACTACAAAACACTGCTGAAAGAAATTGTAGATGACACAAACAAATGGAAAAACATCCCATGCTCATGGATGGGTAGAACCAATGTTGTGAAAATGACCATCCTTGTAAGTTGGATTCCTAAGTATTTTATTCTCTTTGAAGCAATTGTGAATGGGAGATCACTCATGATTTGGCTCTCTGTTTGTCTGTTATTGGTGTATAAGAATGCTTGTGATTTTTGTACATTGATTTTGTATCCTGAGACTTTGCTGAAGTTGCTTATCAGCTTAAGGAGATTTTGGGCTGAGACAATGGGGTTTTCTAGATATACAGTCATGTCGTCTGCCAACAGGGACAATCTGACTTCCTCTTTTCCTAATTGAATACCCTTTATTTCCTTCTCCTGCCTAATTGCCCTGGCCAGAACTTCCAACACTATGTTGAATAGGAGTGGTGAGAGAGGGCATCCCTGTCTTGTGCCAGTTTTCAAAGGGAATGCTTCCAGTTTTTGCCCATTCAGTATGATATTGGCTGTGGGTTTGTCACAGATAGCTCTCATTATTTTGAGATAGGTCCCATCAATACCTAATTTATTGAGAGTTTTTAGCATGAAGGGTTGTTGAATTTTGTCAAAGGCCTTTTCTGCATCTATTGAGATAATCATGTGGTTTTTGTCTTTGGTTCTGTTTATATGCTGGATTACATTTATTGATTTGCATGGAGAACTACAAACCACTGCTCAATGAAATAAAAGAGGATAGAAACAAATGGAAGAACATTCCATGCTTATGGGTAGGAAGAATCAATATCGTGAAAATGGCCATACTGCCCAAGGTAATTTATAGATTCAATGCCATCCCCATCAAGCTACCAATGACTTTCTTCACAGAATTGGAAAAAACTATGTTAAAGTTCATATGAAACCAAAAAAGAGCCTGCATCGCCAAGTCAATCCTAAGCCAAAAGAACAAAGCTGGAGGCATCAAGCTACCTGACTTCAAACTATACTATGAGGCTACAGTCACCAAAACAGCATGGTACTGGTACCAAAACAGAGATATAGATCAATGGAACAGAACAGAGGCCTCAGAAGTAACACCACATATCTACAACTATCTGATCTTTGACAAACCTGAGAAAAACAAGCAATGGGGAAAGGATTCCCTATTTAATAAATGGTGCTGGGAAAACTGGCTAGCCATATGTAGAAAGCTGAAACTGGATCCCTTCCTTACACCTTATACAAAAATCAATTCAAGATGGATTAAAGACTTAAATGTTAGACCTAAAACCATAAACACCCTAGAAGAAAACCTAGGCATTACCATTCAGGACATAGGCATGGGCAAGGACTTCATGTCTAAAACACCAAAAGCAATGGCAACAAAAGCCAAAATTGACAAATGGGATCTAATTAAACTAAAGAGCTTCTGCACAGTAAAAGAAACTACCATCAGAGTGAACAGGCAACCTAAAAAAATGGGAGAAAATTTTCGCAACCTACTCATCTGACAAAGGGCTAATATCCAGAATCTACAATGAACTCAAACAAATTTACAAGAAAAAAACAAACAACCCCATCAAAAAGTGGGCAAAGGATATGAACAGACACTTCTCAAAAGAAGACATTTATGCAGCCAACAGACACATGAAAAAATGCTCATCATCACTGGCCATCAGAGAAATGCAAATCAAAACCACAATGAGATACCATCTCACACCAGTTAGAATGGCAATCATTAAAAAGTCAGGAAACAACAGGTGCTGGAGAGGATGTGGAGAAACAGGAACACTTTTACACTGTTGGTGGGACTGTAAACTAGTTCAACCATTGTGGAAGTCAGTGTGGCGATTCCTCAGGGATCTAGAACTAGAAATACCATTTGACCCAGCCATCCCATTACTGGGTATATACCCAAAGGACTATAAATCATGCTGCTATAAAGACACATGCACACGTATGTTTATTGTGGCACTATTCACAATAGCAAAGACTTGGAACCAGCCCAAATGTCCAACAATGATAGACTGGATTAAGAAAATGTGGCACATATACACCATGGAATACTATGCAGCCATAAAAAATGATGAGTTCATGTCCTTTGTAGGGACATGGATGAAATTGGAAATCGTCATTCTCAGTAAACTTTCACAAGGACAAAAAACCAAACACCACATGTTCTCACTCATAGATGGGAATTGAACAATGAGAACACATGGACACAGGAAGGGGAACAACACACTCTGGGGACTGTTGTGGGGTGGGGGGAGCAGGGAGGGATAGCATTAGGAGATATCCCTAATGCTAAATGACGAGTTAATGGGTGCAGCATACCAGCATGGCACATGTATACATATGTAACTAACCTGCACATTGTGCACATGTACCCTAAAACTTAAAGTATAATAATAAAAAAATAAAAAATAAAAAATAATAATAAAAAAAAGAAAAGAAAATGACCATCCTGCCAAAAGCAATCTACAAATTCAAGGCAGTTTCCATCAAAATACCACCATCATTCCTCACAGAACTAGAAAAAAAAAATCCTAAAATTCATATGAAAAAAAAGGAGCCCGTGTAGCCAAAGTAAGACAAAGCAAAAAGAACAAATCTGGAGGCATCACATTACCTGACTTCAAACTACACTATGAGGCCATAGTCACCAAAACAGCATGGTACTGGTATAAATATAGGCACATAGACCAATGGAACAGAATAGGGAACCCAGAAGTAAGCCCAAATACCTACAACCAACTGATCTTTGACAAAGCAAACAAAAACCTAAAGTGGGGAATGGACATCCTATTCAACAAATGGTGGGATAATTGGTAAGCCACATGTAGGAAAATGAAACTGGATTCTCATCTCTCACCTTATACAAAAATCAACTCAAGATGCATCAAGAACTTAAGTCTAAGCCCTGAAACTATAAAACCTCTAGAAGATAACATCAGAAAAACCCTTCTAGACATTGGCTTAGGCAAAGACATCATGATCAAGAACCCAAAAGCAAATGCAACAAAAACAAAGATAAATAGGTGAGACTTAATTAAACTAAAGAGCTTCTGCACGGCAAAAGGAAAAGTCAGCAGAGTAAACAAAGAGTGGGAGAAAATTTTCACAGTCTATACATCTGACAAAGGCCTAATATCCAGAATCTACAAGGAACTTAAATTAGCAAGAAAAATGAAACAATCCCATCAAAAAGTGGGCTAAGGAAATGAAGAGACAATTCTCAAAAGAAGATACACAAATGGCCAACAAACGTATGAAAAAATGCTCAACATCACTAATGATTAGGGAAATGCAAATCAAAACCACAATGCAATATCAACTTACCCCTGCAAGAATGGCCATAATCAAAAAATCAAAAAATAATAGTTGGTGGTGTGGATGCAGTGAACAGGAAGCACTTTTACACTGCTGGTGGGAATGTAAGCTGGTACAACCACTACGGAAAAAAGGGGAGATTCCTTAAAGAACTAAAAGTAGAACTACCATTTGATCCAGCAATCCCACTACTTGGTATCTACCCAGAGGAAAAGAAGTAATTATACAAAAAAGATACTTGCACATGCATGTTTATAGCAGCACAACTCACAATTGCAAAAATATGAAACAAGCCCAAATGCCCATCAATCAACAAGTGGAAAAAGAAATTATGGTGTGTGTGTGTGTGTGTATGTGTATATGTATATATATATATATATATATATATATATATATATATATATATATATAATGGAATACTACTCAGCTATAAAAAGGAACAAATTAAAGCCATTCACAGCAACCTAGATAGAACTGGAGAATAATATTTCAGGTGAAATAACTCAGGAATGGAAAACTAAACATCATATCTTCTCACTCATAAGTGGGAGCTAAGCTATGAGGATGCAAAGGCATAAGAATGATACAATGGACTTCGGGGACTTGAGGGAAAAGGTGGAAAGTAAGTGAGGGATAAAAGACTACAAATTGAGTTCAGTATATACAGCTTGGGTGATGGGTGCACCAAAATCTCATAAATCATGGCTAAAGAATTTACTCATGTAACCAAATACCACCTGTTCTCCAAAAACTTATGAAAATAAAAAAAATGAAGAAAAAGAATATCAAAAACCTATTATCTTAACAAATTTCTACCATACAATACAATATTATTAAGTATACATCTCATGCTGCATATATGATCTCTAGACTTATCCATCCTACCTAATGGAAAATTTGGGCCCTTTGATGTATATCTTCCTACTTCCTCTCCCTCCCTGGTCTTGATAACCACCATTCTACTCTTTGTTTCTATTTATGCAATTTTTTTAGATTCTACATACCAATATTTTTCTTCACTGAGCAATGGGCTTGCTCTTCCAATAAATTATACTCTAATATATAGAATTCCCTAAATAATCAGCTTTAATTTCTTCAAAACAAAATGAGGAGTTTCATAAGATGACCTTGGAAGTCTTCTTTTATAAATATTTTTAATGAACTTGATAGACTATTTTAAGAAAAAAATAAAATAGTGCCTAAAAATTAATTTTCATTTATAACTTTGGAAAGAAAACTGAAAATAATTATGCACTCTAATATGACTGTCTTGAAAAAGGATTCGTGTTAACAACTGAGTAGAGTATATTGCAACTAACACCATAAAAAGCAATCCTGGAAAACAACATATGATGAACGATTCCATTGAAAACTAATGAAAATATGGCAAACCTAAACTTGTTAAGGTGATAAATACCTGACATGCAGGGCATAAAGAAACATTGCTTGTAAAATAAAACTTCCCAAGTAAAGGGGAACAAAAAATATCACAGGTGGTTTGTGATAAATGTAGACACATTCCCACATGTATGAAATGTGAACCAAAAAGAAGGTTAATAGCAGCTTCCATTCATATAAGAAAAAAGAACAAGTCAGCATTTAAGCTTAAAGAACACCCCAATTAAAGATACAGTTGAAAAACAAATGTATCCATGAAGGGAAAATAAGGCCCTTAAGGAAGAGGAATTGGAAGAAAGGGCCAAGGCAAGAGGATGAAAGTGCTCGGCGCTGGTCCCAGGTAAAGTTATGACTCTGGGCAGGTGGTCTGAGGATTGCCCATTTGCAGCTCCATACCCATTTCCCTCTGACATCTCTCCCTGCCCACTCAGGCTCCTGCTGTCTCCCTAGCAAAACCCTGCTTTTGGGTGAAAACCTCTATATCATGCTCACCACAGTACAAAGACTAATCCAGCTCCATGGGACCCCTGGGTGTGGCTGGGGCTAAGCAGGGGAGAAGGGGAAGAAGATGATGTGCCTCTTAGCGAAGGTCACACAAGGTTGGGGCAGGATGCCTCCCCTCTCTTCCTAGATCTGAGTGGGTCTGTGCCTGGCAATGGCCAATCTCTGAAAAAAAATGTACTGTTGAGAACAAACGCCAATTTTCTGGCTACGCTAACAAGAGCTAAGTGACGCAGTGGACAAAGCAATGATGCTGTTCCTGGCTCAATCTCTCTCTTCGACAATGATAATTTGCCACATCAACTTACCTTCCCAGACACGAAGCATCAGAGGATTAGCTATTAAAAGAAAGACATTTTCTCGCTCATTACAGCCTGCAATGTAAAATGTCCAGAGATACAAGGAGTCCTGTTTTCACCATTAAAGTAGAAATTATTTCCGGCAGCTTTGGGAGAAAATGCAATTATTTTCCTTCCTGTCACAGTGTTTCCAAACTCACCTAGAGATGAGAGCACCCTATTAAAATGGACTCATTGTTCGAATGATGCCAGTGAATGCTCTTCTCTGACCTGGGGGTGGGAGACTGGCCCCTGAGTCCTCACCCCTTGGGATTCAGGATCACCAAGGGCACAGGTAATTAGACAGTACTGAGTCACTACCACTTACATTCTAGTAGCAGGAAGAGGAAACTTTTCTTTTTTAGAGTGCTCTTTTTATTATCCTTGTGAGAAAGTACATATAGTGATCTGAAGTGCAAGAGTGACTTGTGCAGAATCTCCTATAAGCAGCGAGAAAACCAGTGTGAAGTCCTACCTCTTGACACCAAGTCTAGCGTTAACATTACCCTCTGACCTGCATTAATACGATATGTTATAGAGAGACCAGATTCCCGCTTCCTATGTAATTCGTAGAGTCATCCCAGTCTGCTTAGCAAAGGAAGTCATAGCACAGGGGTGCCGTTGCCCCGGAAGCATTGCAATCAATCATCAGTTTGGGATTGTTTTCTTTCACTTCCACCAACAGCTTCTCGATTTCCAAATTAGTTCCATAGGTCTTCAACTGTAGGTGTTTTAGATTACAGTTTGGGTTCTCTAACGCCTTAAAGAGAATCCGTAATCCACGAGCCATGTGATTGAGACTCAGGTCCAAGTTTGTGAGGACTTCTTGGAGTAGCTTTGAGAGATGTCTGCAGCCACGCTTGGTGATATTGCATTGCTGTAACACCAACGTCTGCAGTTTACACTCAGGGTAACTCAAACCCTCACCCAGAAGCTTCACCCCTTTATCCCCAGTGGGGTTCTTGGCCAAGCACAGTTGTGTCAGCTGCTGGCTGACAACCAAAACAGCAGCAAGGTCCTTGCAACTGGCTTCTATAAGATGACAGTTTTCCAACGACAACTTCTGCAAGATGCTATTTGGGTGTCTCACTGTCTCCTACAGCAACTTGGCACCCTCATCCAGGACCTCATTGGCTGAGAGGTGTAGGTACCTCAGGGACTGGTGGGTCTTGAGTGCAAAGGGGAAATCAGCCCACTGCCCCATGGTGGAAGAGGAAATTTTTCAAGGAAGAAAGTGAACACTTTAGGGAGAGCCCACCCATTTTGCTAATGGCCAGAGCTCACTTTGCCAGATTGCTGCAGACTTTTTGGCTGCTCTATTCCTAGAAGTCCAGTGGCTCCCTGCCCCTTGTGAAACCTCACAGTTTGAATCTGCTTAGCCACGGGTCTTTCCCCACTTGCCTGTTGCCACAGCGAAAGAAAGACACCTGTAACTCCATCTGCACTGATACTGAGTTCTTTGGCTTTGGGCAGAGCTCTCAACCAACTTGGCTGTTAAGCAAAGTTGCTCCAAGTGGCAGGTTGCTTCCCTGCAGGGTCCACTAGACTTTGCTCTGGTCACTGGGCTGGTCACAGTCTTAGTCCCTGACCCAGGTCGTCTTGTTCTCTGTTCCTAAGAGGACCCAGTGAGATCATGTCCCTATCTCAGTACAATCTCCTCCTCAGAAATTCAGAGTCAACATTCTGAAGATGACTAATTCACACCATCTGGCATCATGAGCTATCATATCACCATCCAAGATGAATTTCCAGAATAAATGACTAAGGAGAGCCCCCCTGCCAACCGCCACCACCTCACACACCTTCAAACTATGTTTTTACTTTAGTATTGCTTGTATAGTGCAATGAGAATCCACTGTTATGATATAAGCATTCCATGATGTATCCTGATTTATATTTTTAAGATATCATTTTTGTATGTCATGGATATTGTTTTTAATGTGTATGCTGATACGTGTTTTCTTTGCTTTTTGGTTGTGTTATGTGCCATAGGCTACACGACATCTTGGGCAAGCCCAAAAATTGAAGCAGAAGTTAACAGTAAAGGAATGACTTCTGATTCCCTCATCATGTCTACCTAGGTCCTCTAAAGCAGTCATTCAATAGGTACATAAAAATTATACTCTTGACAACACTTTGAGGTATACTCAGTCTCAAAATTTTTAAGGTAGGTTTCCAAGGACCAATTCCTCCCCAAAGAGCAACTGTGGGCTAAGCTGTGGGAAGCCTAGAAGGGCAGAAGGCTTTGTGAAAATATTCCTTTAACACTAGCACTATTCGAATTCTCAGCTTTGGGCTAATCATGTGATAGGAAATATGAGCCTAAGGCTAAATCATTGAACTGAGAACCTTACAGTGGGGCTAACATGACCCTTGGACTGTGGTATTCACTAGCTACCAATGGTAGCAGAAGCAAATAAGAAAATAAATATTTGGAGCACAAAATTCTCACAAAATAAGATGATAAAATGAGTTTACAATTAAATATCACTAAGTGTAAGAAAAGGACACAATAAGTAAGAATAAGGAAAAGCATCAAACATTGGATTTAAATTCACAAGGATTTAAGATATTACAAGTGTTGTCCAATGTTTGCTACTGTTGAGGACAGTTAAACTAACAAGAGACTTTACAACAGATATAATGAAAGACAGAGGATGTCAAATGTTGTGAGAACACAATTGTCAACCTCAAATTGTATAGTCAACAGTTATTTAAAGAATACAAAAGTAAAATAAGAATACTTACAGATAAATAAAAACTGTAAGAGTTTACCGCTAAGAAGACCCAAATGAACTTCTAAATAATATGTTACAGGAAGAACAATTATTTTAGAAGGAATGTCTGGGATGCAAGAAGTAATGGTGATAAAATAAAATGTTAGCAGTATGTGCAAATACAAGCAAGCATTATCTTTACAAATGATAACAAGTAGTACTATTTCATGGGATTACAAAAAAATCAGAAATAAAATACTGGTCAATAATAGTGAATAAGCTGTAGAATAGGTAAGCAGAGTTAAAGTTTATTGTTTAGGAGAATAATTAAGATTTTTAATGTAAGATTTTGTTAAAGTAAATAAGCATGGGAAAATTTCAAAGTAACAGTAAATTGATGAGAATAGACTTATAACTTCCAAACAAATGGAAATAATAAAAATGGAATAAGGGAAAACATGAATACCCAGTGTTATAGTTTGGATGTTTGACCCTTCTGAATCTCATGTTGAAATTTGATCCCCAATGTTAGATGTGGGGCCTAATGAGAAGTATTCAAATCATAGGGGTGTATCCCTCATGAGTAGATCAGTGCCCTCCTTGGAGGTGGCAGGAATTAGTGAGTTCTTGCTCTATTATTTCCCTGGAGAGTTGGTCATTCAAAAAGATCCTGGAATCTCCCTCCCCTCTCAATCTTGCTTCCTGCCTCACCATGTGATCTCTACACACACTGACTCTTCTTCACCTTCTGGCATGAGTGGTAGCAGATTAAAGCCCTCACCACAAGCAGATGCTGGTGCTGTGCTTCTTGCACGGTCTGCAGAGCTGTAAGCCAAATAAACCTCTTTTCTTTATAAATTATCCAGCCTCAGATATTCTTTTTATAGCAACACAAATGGACTAAGACATAGAGAAACATTTAATAAAGACACACACATAGCAGTAAGAAACAAGAAAATATGAAAAGTAAAACAAATTGAAGTAAAAAAGTGAGATTGTATAAACAAGTCCAAACATATCAATAATTACAAAAAACTTTACATAGATCAAAATTGTCACCTAATAGAGATTTTCACACTGGATACAAAGACCAATAAAACCCAGATATATGTAGTTGCAAGTCACACACCTAACGCATGAGGGCATGGGGTTGAAGGTAAAATGGTGAGAAAAGATAGACCAGGCAAATACTAACCAAAATAAAACATATATCTATATTACTATTTGAAAACCAAAGCTTAAGACAAGTGAAAATCATCACTAGAGAAATAAAAGGTTGCTACATAAAAAAACATTTAGTCTACCAGTGCAGTAAACAATGCTGAGGTTTTCAAAACAAATTAGCTTCAAAATGTATAAAGCAAAGTGTATAGATTTACAGGAGACATTAATAATCCTGACATTTTACTGGTGAGATTTCAACACAACTTTTCTTGATTATTTACAGGTCATTTAGATAAGAATTAATCATTAATGATTTGTAAACTGCAATTAATAAGCTATAATGTACATAAATTGAATTCTGCACCCAACAATTAGAGAATACCAATTATCCTCATAAATACATGGAGTATTTACAAATATAGATTATAATAAAGGGTAAAAGAAGTCAAGTTTTCAGAGAACTGGAAACTGACTAAAACATAATTAAGTTAGATGTCAATAATAAAAAGACAAATTTTTTAGTTCCTATACATTTAGAAATGTAGAAGCAAAACCTTAACCAATGGATTGAAGAAGAAATAACAATAGAACTTTTTTTTTATTATTATTATTATACTTTAAGTTTTAGGGTACATGTGCACAACGTGCAGGTTAGTTACATATGTATACATGTGCCATGTTGGTGTGCTGCACCCATTAACTCATCATTTAGCATTAGGTATATCTCCTAATGCTATCCCTCCCCCCTCCCCCCACCCCACAACAGTCCCCAGTGTGTGATGTTCCCCTTCCTGTGTCCATGTGTTCTCATTGTTCAATTCCCACCTATGAGTGAGAACATGCGGTGTTTGGTTTTTTGTCCTTGAGATAGTTTGCTGAGAATGATGGTTTCCAGCTTCAACCATGTCCCTACGAAGGACATGAACTCATCATTTTTTATGGCTGCATAGTATTCCATGGTGTATATGTGCCACATTTTCTTAATCCAGTCTATCATTGATGGACATTTGGGTTGGTTCCAAGTCTTTGCTATTGTGAATAGTGCCACAATAAACATACGTGTGCATGTGTCTTTATAGCGGCATGGTTTATAATCCTTTGGGCATATACCCAGCAGTGGGGTGGCTGGGTCAAATGGTATTTCTAGTTCTAGATCCCTGAGGAATCGCCACACTGACTTCCACAATGGTTGAACTAGTTTACAGTCCCACCAACAGTGTAAAAGTGTTCCTGTTTCTCCACATCCTCTCCAGCACCTGTTGTTTCCTGACTTTTTAATGATTGCCATTCTAACTGGTGTGAGATGGTATCTCATTGTGGTTTTGATTTGCATTTCTCTGATGGCCAGTGATGATGAGCATTTTTTCATGTGTCTGTTGGCTGCATAAATGTCTTCTTTTGAGAAGTGTCTGTTCATATCCTTTGCCCACTTTTTGATGGGGTTGTTTGTTTTTTTCTTGTAAATTTGTTTGAGTTCTTTGTAGATTCTGGATATTAGCCCTTTGTCAGATGAGCAGATTGCAAAAATTTTCTCCCATTCTGTAGGTTGCCTGTTCACTCTGATGGTGGTTTCTTTTGCTGTGCAGAAGCTCTTTAGTTTAATTAGATCCCATTTGTCAATTTTGGCTTTTGTTGCCATTGCTTTTGGTGTTTTAGACATGAAGTCCTTGCCCATGCCTATGTCCTGAATGGTAATGTCTAGGTTTTCTTCTAGGGTGTTTATGGTTTTAGGTCTAACATTTAAGTCTTTAATCCATCTTGAATTAATTTTTGTATAAGGTGTAAGGAAGGGATCCAGTTTCAGCTTTCTACATATGGCTAGCCAGTTTTCCCAGCACCATTTATTAAATAGGGAATCCTTTCCCCATTGCTTGTTTTTCTCAGGTTTGTCAAAGATCAGATAGTTGTAGATATGTGGCATTATTTCTGAGGGCTCTGTTCTGTTCCTGTGGTCTATATCTCTGTTTTGGTACCAGTACCATGCTGTTTTGGTTACTGTAGCCTTGTAGTATAGTTTGAAGTCAGGTAGCTTGATGCCTCCAGCTTTGTTCTTTTGGCTTAGGATTGACTTGGCAATGTGGGCTCTTTTTTGGTTCCATATGAACTTTAAAGTAGTTTTTTCCAATTCTGTGAAGAAAGTCATTGGTAGCTTGATGGGGATAGCACATCACTGGACAATAGAACTTTTAAAATACTTAGAACTAGATTATTTTTTAAATGCTTTGTATAACAATCCTTAGATGTAGATAAACTAGTACTTAGAAGGAAAATTACTGCCTTCTAATATTTATTGAAATACTAATTTATCTCAATATTAATGTGCTAAGTATCCAATTTAAGAAACTTGGATATAGAACAACCAAAAATACACAACAAAAAGAAGATGTAGCTTTTCATATGTCAATTATACCTCAATAATGTTGTTTTTTAAAAAGGTAGGAGATAAGGATAAGAATAACAATCAATGAAACAGAAAACAAAGAGACAAAAGGAGAGATATACAAAACCAAAGACTGCTTTTTTGGGAAGATTAACAAAATTGGCAAATCTTTGGTAAAACTTATTAAAAGCAAAACGGATGGCAAAAACTATAATTCTAGCAATGAAAAGTGGATCATCATTACAGATACAGCACAGATTAGAGTATAAGGTACTACTATGAACAAATTTATGTCAAAAATTAAAATCTAGACAGACAAATTTCTGGTCACATGTAAATTACCAAAACGTATTAGAATATACAGTCTTAGTAATTGTATGAGTCCACTCTCATGCTACTATGAAGAACTTCCCAAGACTGAGTAATTTATAAAGGAAAGAGGATTAATTGACTCATGGTTCTGCAGGGCTGGGGAGGCCTCAGGAATCATGGCAGAAGGCATCTCTTCATAGGGCGGCAGGAGAGAAAATGAGTGCCCAGCAAAGGGGGAAGCCCTTATAAAACCATCAGATCTCGTGAGAACTAACTCACTATCAGGAGAACAGGATGGGCTAAACCACCCCCATGATTCAATTATCTCCAACTGGTCCCTCCCACAACATGTGGGGATTATGGGATGTACAATTCAAGATGAGATTTGGTTGAGGACACAGCCAAACCATATCAGTAATCCAATAACTATTAGCAAAATTGAAGCAGTGATTAAGAACTTTCCCAAAAAAGAAATACAAGACCAAAATGATTTTGCTAGTGTTTTCTCTCAACATATCAAAGACCAGATTATTTCCATATTAAATAACCGTTCTAAAAAATAAAATAGGAAATACTAGCTAAATCATTCTATGAAATTATTAAAAGCAATGGCAAAAAGCAATTACTTTTGCACCAACCTAATATTGTAATCTTGCTATCCAATCCAGAAAAAGACAATATGAGAGGAGAAACCATAGTTTATTCTCACTCGTGACCCAGATGTAAAAAATTCTAAAACTAAAAAAATAAATAATTGAATTCAACAATATATAAAAATAAATAGACAGTGACCAGGCTGGATTTATCCCTAGAAGTCAAGCATGATTGACCTTAGAAAATGAGTAAATATTATTATATTAATGTTTTACTAACAAGAAAAAATGTAATAGCCTTACTAGACACAAAAAAACACATTTGGTAAAATTCAATGCCAATGTATAATATAAATTTTTAGCAAATTAGGATTAGAAGGAAAATTCCATAATCCAATAAAATGTATCTAGCAAAACCCTGATCAAACATTATATTTAACAGGAGGACATTAAAATTATTCCTTTTACTATCAAAAATTTTAAAATGATGCTATCACTAACTTTATTCAACACTTTCCTAGAAGTCTTGGTATTTTCAGTAGGACAAGAAAAAGAAATTAAAGGCATATGAATGCAAAATGAAAAAAACAAAAATGTTATTATTCACAGATTATATGATTGCCCATATAGGAAATTGAAACAACTATACATAAAAATTCTTAGAAGTAATAATTTAGCAAACTGAATAGCTATAATATGAGCTTTAATATATCTATTGCATTTCTATACACCCAGCAACATGTAAAAAATATAATTTTGTTTTAGACAGTTTCTCGCTCTGCTGTCACCTAGGCTGAAGTGCAGTGGTGATCATAGCTCATTGCAGCCTCAAATTCCTGGGCTGAAGTGATCTTCTTACTTTATTTATTTATTTATTTATTTATTTATTTATTTATTTATTTATTGGAGAGACAAGGTCTCTCTATGTTGCCAAGGCTGGAAAAAATGTAAGTTTACAAAGACACCATTTAAAATAGAAGGAAACTATAAGGTAACTAAGACTAAATATTGCAAAAAATGTGTAAGATCTGTAAGTAGAAAATTATAACATTTATAGTGAGATATTAAAACAAATAGTTGGAGTGGGTCATTTATAAAAGAAACTTAATATCCAAAGGATATGAATTCTTCTTGATTCATAAATCCAATAAATTTCCATCAGAATTCTAAAATGATTTTTTAGGAATTTGATGAGGTACTTCTAAATTTTATATGGAAGTACAAAAGGATGAAAATAGCCAAGAAACATCTGAAGAACGTGGAAAATTGACCATCCCAAATAGCAAAGTATTTTATAAAATCATATTAATTAAAGCAGAGTGTTATTGATGCAGTGATATACAACATGGATAGGAACAGACACATACAAATATAGAACTTTTATGTGTAACATAGGGGGCATATATCACATGTAGACATCTACAGGAAATGGCTGGGCACTGTGGCTCAGATCTGTAATCTCAGCACTTTGGGAGACCGATGCAGGTGGATCACTTGAAGTCAGGAGTTCAAAATCAGCCCGGCCAACATGGTGAAACCCTGTCTCCACTAAAAACACAAAAATTAGCCTGGTATGGTGGCGTGTGCCTGTAATCCCAGCTACTCGGGAGGCTGAGGCAGGAGAATCGCTTGTACATAGGGGGTGGAGGTTGCAGTGAGCCCAGATTGCGCCACTGCACTCCAGTCTGGGCAGCAGAGTAAAACTCCGTCTCAAAAAAAAAAAGAAAGAAAGAAAGAAAAGAAAAGAAAAGAAAAGAAAAGAAAAGAAAAGAAAAGAAAAGAAATCTATAGGAAAATAAAACTGGATCTTTCTCATGATACCTAAAATGCAGAAAAGTAAAGATCATAAAATTTTAAATAAAATATAAAAGAATATCTTTCTGATACAGAGGTAGAAATAATTTATTTAACACAACACAAAAAATAGCCATCTAATAATATATTAACACAGGCAGCTATATTAAAAGTAAGAACTTCAGTTTAGATACAAACACCAAGACAAACTACAACTGGAGAGAAGATATTCATGACGCATCCAACCAATACAACATTTGTATTGAAAATACACAAAAAAATCCACATATTAATAAGAAAAAGACAAACAACCCAATACAGGTTGAACATTCCTAATACCAAAATCCAAAATCCAAAACTTTTATAGTGCCAACATGATGCCACAGGTGGAAAATTCCACACCTGACACCTTTACCTTCTGATGGTTCAATGTACACAAACTGTTTCATGCACAAAATTATTTAAAATATTATATAATATTACCCTCAGCTATGTGTATAAGGTGTATATAAAACATAAATAAATTGTGTTTACACTTGGGTCCTACCCCCAAGATATTTCAGTATGTATATGCAAATATTTCCAAATCCAAAGAAATCCAAAATCCCAAACATTTTTAGCCCCAAGAATTTCAGATAAGGGATACTCAATCTATCATAAATGGATAAAGAATTTGAAGAGGCTTTTCATAGAAAAGAAAACTAAATTGCCAAAAATATATAAAATTATGCTCAAATTTTAGATATATAAAGTGATTAGGGGAATGAAAATTGTGATTACAATGACATTGTTTTAAAACCAAAACTTTAGAAATCTGAGAATACCAAGTGTTAGTATGCATACCACAGAGAAACTCTTGCACATCTGCACCAGGAAACATGTACAGGCACTGTTTATAATATCAAAACTCTGCAACTTAGACATCTGAATTAGTCAGAGTTCTCTAGAGGAACAAGAACTAATAGGATGGATGTATACATAAAGCAGAGTTTAGTAAGGAGTATTGACTCACATGATCACAAGGTGAGGTCCCACAATAGGCCGTCTGCAAGCTGAGGAGCAAGGAAGCCAGTCAGAGTCCCCATACCTCAAAAGCAGAGAAACTGGTAGTGCAGCCTTCAGTCTGTGGTCGAAGGTCCAAGAGTCCCAAAGCTGAAGAAGCTGGAGTCTAATGTTTCCGGGCAGGAAGCATCCAGCACAGAAGAAAGATGTAGGCTGGAAGACTAAGCCAGTCTGGTCTTTCCACGTTCTTCTGCCTGCTTTTATTCTGGCCACGGTGGCAGCTGATTAGATTGTGCCCACACAGATTGAGGGTGGGTCTGCCTTTCCAAGTCCACTGATTCAAACGTTAATCTCCTTTGGCAACACCCTCACAGACTCACCCAGGAACAATATTTTGCATCCTTCAATCCAATCAACTTGACACTCAATATTAACCATCACAACATCTATTAGCAGAAAATGGATAAATACGTTGTATAATCATATAACAAGTTACTATGCAACAGCAAAAATGAGAATGAACAATGTTAAGTGAGAAAAGTCTCAGAAAACTGTATACAGTATGATACCAATCTTAGAAAGCTTAGAAAAGAGTAAAAGTAAATAATATACTATTTAGACATACATATACAATGTGATAAAACTGAATTTCAAAAAGCAAGGAGGATGATAATATAATCTGAATAGTGAAAAAGTGAATTATCATATTCACTTTCCAAACTACCAGGGGCAAAATCTTTTACTTTCTCAGACAGTAAAGTTATTTGACTGCCTGCTTTACCTGCAAGTACCATAACCTCAGGCACCTGGACACATAATTATAAGAAAAGATGTGTTGATGCTATCATTCTTGATGAAATGCACTGAAAATGTCATGTTCCCATTCCTCCTTAAGTAAGAAACAAAACCGACATTGCTATGACACCTAACAACTTAATACAAGGTAAAAAATCAAACAATCAGGTACTATTCTGTTGTTTACCAGAATTATCAAACAGCTAAGAGTGGTGTGACTACTTTTTATTTTTATTTTTATTTTTTTTGGTCAGATGGATACAGCCAGACACATTTCAGTGACTCTTGAAATGATAATAAAAATAATTTAAGCAAATATCAACCAGCTTTCTCATTTAACTGCATATTTAAAGTAAAAGTGTTCATGTTAATTGAATAGATTTGAGAAATGTCTCCAAATCCCCACATCATTTTTTCAAAAATTCTGATCAACCAAGTTGCCTTCCTGTTGTGCAAATGTGTTTTTCTCATTTTTCTCCCACTTATTTATTTGCTTAAATGGTTCGGTTCTCAACAGGCATACAAGTTACATGAACAATGTACCATAACCACCAGGTGGAAAATGAAAAATTCATCCCGAGCATGTATATGACCCCATGTGGAACAAATTTGCCTCACATTGACATTCATTTATTCAACATTTAAATATATTTAATGAATACACTCCATTCCAGGGATTGTGCTTTGAATACAGTGGTGAATTCAGTTTCATTGAGGAGATCATCACATGACTACATCATTAAAATATAACATGTGATATATATATAATGCTAGAGATATGCATGGTATATTTTAATAAATAGGGCAAAAAGGATATCTAACCCAGTTGTCAAGAAAAAGTAGCCACGGAAGCCATGTTTGAATTGGTGGTGCCTAAATTGAAACTTAGTTGGGAGGAGCCAAGATGGCCGAATAGGAAGTCAAATTGTCCCTGTTTGCAGACGACATGATTGTATATCTAGAAAACCCCATTGTCTCAGCCCAAAATCTCCTTAAGCTGATAAGCAACTTCAGCAAACTCTCAGGATACAAAATCAATGTACAAAAATCACAAGCATTCTTATACACCAACAAAAGACAAACAGAGAGCCAAATCATGAGTGAACTCCCATTCACAATTGCTTCAAAGAGAATAAAATACCTAGGAATCCAACTTACAAGGGATGTGAAGGACCTCTTCAAGGAGAACTACAAACCACTGCTCAAGGAAATAAAAGAGGATACAAACAAATGGAAGAACATTCCATGCTCATGGATAGGAAGAATCAATATCATGAAAATGGCCATACTGCCCAAGGTAATTTACAGATTCAATGCCATCCCCATAAAGCTACCAATGACTTTCTTCACAGAATTGGAAAAAACTACTTTAAAGTTCATATGGAACCAAAAAAGAGCCCACATCGCCAAGGCAATCCTAAGCCAAAAGAACAAAGCTGGAGGCATCACACTACCTGACTTCAAACTATACTACAAGGCTACAGTAACCAAAACAGCATGGTACTGGTACCAAAACAGAGATATAGATCAATGAAACAGAACAGAGCCCTCAGAAATAATGCCACATATCTACAACTATCTGATCTTTGACAAACCTGAGAAAAACAAGCAATGGGGAAAAGATTCCCTATTTAATAAATGGTGCTGGGAAAACTGGCTAGCCATATGTAGAAAGCTGAAACTGGATCCCTTCCTTACACCTTATACAAAAATCAATTCAAGATGGATTAAAGACTTAAACGTTAGACCTAAAACCATAAACACCCTAGAAGAAAACCTAGGCATTACCATTCAGGACATAGGCATGGGCAAGGACTTCATGTCCAAAACACCAAAAGCAATGGCAACAAAAGCCAAAATTGACAAATGGGATCTAATTAAACTAAAGAGCTTCTGCACAGCAAAAGAAACTACCATCAGAGTGAACAGGCAACCTACAAAATGGGAGAAAATTTTAGCAACCTACTCATCTGACAAAGGGCTAATATCCAGAATCTACAATGAACTCAAACAAATTTACAAGAAAAAAACAAACAACCCCATCAAAAAGTGGGTGAAGGACATGAACAGACACTTCTCAAAAGAAGACATTTATGCAGCCAAAAAACACATGAAAAAATGCTCATCATCACTGGCCATCACAGAAATGCAAATCAAAACCACAATGAGATACCATCTCACACCAGTTAGAATGGCAATCATTAAAAAGTCAGGAAACAACAGGTGCTGGAGAGGATGTGGAGAAATAGGAACACTTTTACCCTGTTGGTGGGACTGTAAACTAGTTCAACCATTGTGGAAGTCAGTGTGGTGATTCCTCAGGGATCTAGAACTAGAAATACCATTTGACCCAGCCATCCCATTACTGGGTATATACCCAAAGGACTATAAATCATGCTGCTATAAAGACACATGCACACGTATGTTTATTGTGGCATTATTCACAATAGCAAAGACTTGGAACCAACCCAAATGTCCAACAATGATAGACTGGATTAAGAAAATGTGGCACATATACACCATGGAATACTATGCAGCCATAAAAAATGATGAGTTCATGTCCTTTGTAGGGACATGGATGAAATTGGAAATCATCATTCTCAGTAAACTATCGCAGGAACAAAAAACCAAACACCACATATTCTCACTCATAGGTGGGAATTGAACAATGAGATCACATGGACACAGGAAGGGGAATATCACACTCTGGGGACTGTGGTGGGGTGGGGGGAGGGGGGACGGATAGCATTGGGAGATATACCTAATGCTAGATGACGAGTTAGTGGGTGCAGCGCACCAGCATGGCACATGTATACATATGTAACTAACCTGCACAATGTGCACATGTACCCTGAAACTTAAAGTATAATAAAAAAAAAAAAAAGAAACTTAGTTTAGTGTGTTGGTCGTGCGAGGGAGAAACAGCATGAGAGAACACATTACAGTGAGAAACCATATGATGTGTTTCATATGGGGTGATATTCCATTCATTATTATTGGAGTTCCAAGTGTAACACACTGAGCAGTAAAAGTGGTGTGTGCGGAAACATCTCCTGGAGAGTCTTGTCAGTAATATTGAGGAATTCGGACTTTATTCCGCTAATGTTATGAATCGTATTAATAGATTTCTTAACATTGAGCCATCATTGCTTTCTGGGAATGAGCTCCATTTGTGCTGCTTTATTCTATTTGCTAAAATTTTATTTAGGGTATTTGAGTCAATATTCATGAGTAAAATTGATCTGTTGGCTTTTAAAAAAATAATATATTTGTCAGGTTTTGGTATTGGTGATATTTTGCCTTTGTAAGACATTGAAAACTGTCCTTTCCCATCTGTGTCAGTGGTTCTCAAACTTTTATGCACATAAGAATGACTTGAGAAGCTTGATAAAAATGCACATTCCCAGACCTCACATTCACAGGCTATAATTTGACAATTCTGGATTACAAAAGCAAATTTGAGCACCTCAGGTGCTCCTGAATCAGATAATTTAGGAGCAGACTTTTTTGAGAAACAATGTAATATGCTCTAGGCCAGTGTAAATAGCATTGGAGTTACTCTTCTTAAAATGTTTCATGGAATACATTCATAAAAACACTCAGACGTTTCAAGAGGTGAACTCTTCAACAACTAAAATTTTTTTCTATATAACTTTTCTGTCTAGATTTCCTATGTCTTCTGGGCTTAATTTTTTTAATGTATATTCTCCAAGAAAATAATCCATTGCATTCAGGTTTTCAAATGTAAACACAAGCTAAGAGTTGTGCTAAGCATTATTATAATTTTGATTTCATCAATATCTGCAGCTATTTCTTCATTCTAGTTCCTAATTTTGTCTGATTTTACTACTGTTAGTTTCTGGACATTATAAGATTTTGGTTTTTTGTCTTTCTTACAAGATGTTGAAGAAGTTTATTTTTTCAACTTTAATAAACATTTATAATGTAGTTTAACATATTACAGAAAAAATTAGACTCATAAGCATACATTTGGTAAATTTTCACAAAGGGAATACACTCATTAACCCATACTACATCAAGAAATAGAACATTAAGCATATCCTAGAAGTCCCTGTGTGTTTTTTCCTAATCAGTATATTGTCTCTCCAGAGGCAACCACTGTCCTGACCCCCAACACCATACATGTATCTACTCTTTTGTGTCTGGCTTCTTTCATTCAACATTATGATTTTGAGGCTCATCCACATCTTTGTATACAGCAGTGTTTCAATTTCCAGTGCTATATGTTATATTGTATGAAATACACTTTATATTTAATATCCAATTGAATATTTTTGTAGTTTTATTAATTTTTGGTTTTATCATTCTCTAATTTGAATATGATCTAAATTATTTCTGTTTTAAATTTACTAAGCTTTTTTTAAATTGAGTTATTGCAAATTTACCATAGTGAAATGAAAAGAAGCTATATACTATTTACAATGGCAAAGTCATGGAACCAACCCAAATGCCCATCAATGATAGACTGGATAAAGAAAATGTGGTACATATACACTACGGAATACTACAAAGCCATAAAAAGGAATTAGATTATATCCTTTGCAGAGACATGGATGAAGCTGGAAGGTATCATCCTCAGCAAACTAACACAGGAACAGAAAACCAAACACCACATGTTCTCACTCATAAGTGGGAGTTGAACAATGAGAACACATGGATACAGGGAGGGGAACGACACACACCAGGGCCTGTTGTGGGATTGGGGGGCAAGGGGAGGGAACTTAGAGGATGGGTCAATAGGTGCAGCAAACCACCATGGCACATGTATACCTATATAACAATCCTGCACGTTGTGCACATGTATCCTGGAACTTAAAGTAAAATAAAATAAAATTTAAAAAGAAAGGAAGCTATATTTTCTGTTTTCAGGGTACATAGTTCAATGCTTATTTTATTAATGTACCTTTAAAATTTTGAAGTTTTATAGGTCACCTGTATTCTTTTTTAAAATAACTTTTAAGTTCAGGGATAGCAGGTTTGTTACATAGGTAAACTGCATGCCACGGGGGTTTGGTGTACAGATTATTTAGTCACCCAGGTAATAAGTATACTACCAGATAGATATTTTTTCCTGATACTCTCTCTCCTTCCACCCTCCACCCTCAAGTAGGCCCTGGTGTCTGTCATTCCCCTCTTTGTGTACATGTGTTCTCATTGCTTAGCTCCCACCTATAAGTGAGAACAACCGGTATTTGGTATTCTGTTTCTGAGTTAAGTTGCTTAGGATAATGGCCTCTACCTCCATTTATGTTGCTGAAAAGGACAAGATCTCATTCTTTTTTATGTCTGTGCAGTATTCCATGGTATATATGTACCACATTTTCCTTATTCAGTTTATCGTTGATGGGCATTTAGGTTGCTTCCATGTCTTTGCTATTGCAAATAGTGCTGCAATGAACATACACATGCATGTCTTTATGGTAGAGCAATTTATAATGTTTTGGGTATACACCCAATAATGTGATTGCTGGATCGAATGGTAGTTCTGTTTCAAGTTTTTGGAGAAATTGCTATACCGTTTTCCACAATGGCTGAACAGTTCCACTAGCAGTTTATAAATGTGTTCCTTTTCCTCTGCAACTTGATTTGACATTTCTGATTTGGCTCTCAGTTTGGATGCTGTTGGTATACAGGAGTGCTAGTGTTTTTGTACATTGATTTTCTATCCTAAAACATTGCTAAAGTTGTTTATCAGATCAAGGAGCTTTAGAGCCTGGAATATGGGGTTTTCTAGATATAGAATCATGTTGTCTGCAAACAGGGATAGTTTGACTTCCTGTCTTCCTATTTGGATATGTTTTTTTTTCTTTTATTTTTATTTTTATTTTTTTTTCCTTGAGACAGAGTCTTGCTCTGTTGCTCAAGCTGGAGCGCAGTGGTGCGATCTCAACTCACTGCAACCTCCACCTCCTAGGTTCAAGCAATTCTCCTGCCTCAGCCTTCCAAGTAGCTGGGATTACAGGCACATGCCACCATGCCCAGCTAATTTTTGTATTTTTACTATAGACAGGATTTTGTCATGTTGGCTAGGCTGGTCTGGAACTCCTGACACCAGGTGATCTACCCACCTTGGCCTCCCAAAGTGCTGTAAAAGTGGTGTGTATAATCCCAATGAATGGGATTACAGGTGTGAGCCACCACACCCGGCCTTTTATTTCTTTCTCTTGTCTGATTGTTCTGGCCAGGATTTCCGCTACTATATTGAATAGAAGTGGTGATAGAGCACATCCCTGTCTTGCTCCGGTTTTCAAGGGGAATGCATCCAGCTTTTGCCCATTCAGTATGATGTTGGCTGTGGGTTTGTCATAGACGGCTCTTATTATTTTAAAGTACGTTGCTTCAATGCCTACTTTATTGAGGGTTTTTTAAAACGAAGAGATGTTGAATTTTATCAAAAGCCTTTTCTGCATCTATTGAGATGATCATGAGGTTTTTGTTTTTAGTTCTGTTTATATGATGAATCACATTTATTGGTTTGTGTATGTTGAACCAATCTTGTATCCCAAGGATAAAGACTGTTTGATTGTGGTGGATTAGCTTTTTGATGTGTGGCTGGATTCTATTTGCTAGCACTTTTGCATCTATGTTCATCAAGAATATTGGCCTGAAGTTTTCTTTTCTGGGTGTCTCTGCCAGGTTTTGGTATCAGCATGATGCTGTCCTCGTAGAATGAGACGACCCCTCAATTTTAAGGAATAGTTTCAGTAGCAATGGTATCAGCTCTTCTTTATACATCTGTAAGAATTCAGCTATGAATCCATCTAGTCCTAGGTTTTTGGGATTGGTAGGCTTTTTACTACTGATTCAATTTTGGAACTCGTTATTACTCTGTTCAGGGTTTCAATGTCTTCCTGGTTCAGTCTTGGGAGGTTATATGAGTCTAGGAATTTATCGATTTATTCTAGATTTTTTAGTTTGTGTGCATAGAGGTGTCACAATAGTCTCAGGATTTTTTGTATTTCAGTGGAGTAAGTGGTAACATCTCCTTTGTCATTTCTAATTGTGTTTATTTGGATCTTCCCTCATTTTCTTTGTTAGTCTACCTAGTGGTCTATGCATCTTACTAGTATTTTCAAAAAAAGTCAACTCCTGGATTCGTTGACCTTTTGTATTTTTTGTGTGTGTGTGTGCTTCAATTTCCTTCAGTCCAGTTCAGTTTTTGGTTACTTTCTTGTCTTCTGCTAGTTTTAGGGTTGGTTTCTTCTTGCTTCTCTACTTCCTCTAGTTGTGTGTTAGGTTTTTAATTTAGATCTTTCTAACTTTTTGATGTGGGTGTTTAGTACTGTTAACTTCCCTCTTAACACTGCTTTAGCTGTGTCCCAGATATTCTGGCATGTTGTATCTTTGTTCTCATTAGTTTCAAAGAACTTCTTGACTTCTGTCTTAATTTCATTATTTAGCCAAAACTCATTAGGAGCAGGTTGTTTAATTTCCATGTAACTGCATGATGTTGAGTGATTTTCATATCATTGATTTCTATTTTTATTGCACTGTTGTCCTAGAGTGTGTTTGGTATGTTTTCAGTTTTTTAAAATTTGATGTTGAAGGTTTTATGTCCAATTGTGTGGTCAATTTTAGCATATGTGCCATGAGGTGATGAGGAGAATGTATATTCTGTTGTTTTGGGGTTGAGAGTTCTGTAGATGTCTGTTAAGGCCATGTGGTCAAGTGTTGAGTTCAGGTCCTGAATATATTTTGTAAATTTTCTGCCTTGATGATCTAACACTGTTAGTGGGGTGTTAAAGTCTCCCACTATTATTGTGTGGGAACCTAAGTCTCTTTGTAAGTTTCTAAGAACTTGTTTTATGAATCTGGGTGCTGTGTTGGATGCATATATATTTGGGATAGTTAGGACTTCTTGTTGAATTGAACCTTTTACCATTATACAATGTCCTTCTTTGTTTTTTATTTTTTATCTTTCTTGGCTTAAAGTCTGTTTTGTTTGAAATTGGGATGACAATCCCTTTTTTCTGTTTTCCATTTGCTTGGTAGATATTTATTCATCCCTTTATTTTGAACGTGTGACTGGCACTGCACATGAGATGGGTCTCTTAAAGATAGTATATCATTGGGTCTTGCTTTATCCAGCTTGCCACTCTGAACTTTTAATTGGGGCATTTAGTCCATTTACATTCAAGGTCAGTATTGATATGTGTGGATTTGATCCTGTCATTGTGTTGTTAGCTGGTTATTATGAAGACTTGTTTGTGTCATTACTTTATAGTGACACTGCTCTGTGTACTTAAGTGTGTTTTTATATTGGCTGGTAATAGTCTTTCCTTTCCATATTTATCACGCCTTTCAGGACCTCTTATAAGGCAGGCTTGGTGGTAATAAACTCCCTTAGCATTTGCTTGTCTGAAAAGCTTCACTTATGAAGCTTGGTTTGGCTGGATACGAAATTCTTGGTTGGAAATTCTTTTGTTTAAGAATGCTGAATATAGGCTCCCAGTGACTTCTGGCTTGTAGGATTTCTTCTGAAAGATCCACTATTAGCCTGATGGGGGTCCCTTTGTAGATGACCTGCCCCATCTCTATAGCTGTCTTTAACATGTTTTGTTTTGTTTTTTTCCATTTCGACCTTGGAAAATCTGATGATTATATGTCTTGGGAGTGGATTTCTTCTGTAGTATCTCACAAAGGTTCTCTGCATTTCTTGAATTTTAATGTTGGCCTCCTTAGTGAGGTTGGGGAGGTTTTCATGGACCATATCCTGAAATATGTTTCCAAGTTGCTTGTTTTCTCCATGTCTCTTTCAGGGACACAAATGAGTCATAAATTTGGTCCCTTACATAATCCCATATTTCTTGGAGGTTTCGTTCATTCTTTTTTATTCTTTTTTCTGTATTTTTGTCTGACTGAGTTATTTCAGAGAGCCAGTTTTAAAGTTCTGAGATTCTTTCCTCAGCTCAGTCTATTCTGTTGTTAGTACTAGCAATTGCATTATAAAATTCTTGTAGTGTGTTTTTCAGCTATATTAGATCAGTTTGGTTCTTTTTTATAATGGCTATTTCTTCTATCAGCTCCTGTGTTGCTTTGTTGTAATCCTTAGATTCCTTGGATTGGGTGTCAACTTTCTGCTGAATCTTGATGATCTTTATTCCTATCCATATTCTCAATTCTATTTCTGTCATTTCAGCCATTTTGGCCCTGTTAAGAACCCTTGCTGGGGAATTAGCCTGGTTGTTTAGAGGAAAGAGGCCACTCTGGTTTTTAAGTTCCCAGAGTTCTTGCTGTGGTTCTTTCTCATCTGTGTGGGCCTGTGTTCCTTTAACTGTGGTGTAATTTGAGTACAGACAGTAGACTTCTTTTCTGGACGTTTTCAGAGTGTCAAGGCTTTGTGCAGGGTCTTTATTTATAGCTGAATTGTTGTCCTTGATTTCACAAGGGGGGTATATTAGCAAATAATTTTTGGTGTTGAAGTTTGGCCTTTAATCCATCTTGAATTAATTTTTGTATAAGGTGTAAGGAAGGGATCCACTTTCAGCTTTCTACATATGGCTAGCCAGTTTTCCCAGCACCATTTATTAAATAGGGAATCCTTTCCCCATTGCTTGTTTTTCTCAGGTTTGTCAAAGATCAGATAGTTGTAGATATGTGGCATTATTTCTGAGGGCTCTGTTCTGTTCCATTGGTCTATATCTCTGTTTTGGTACCAGTACTATGCTGTTTTGGTTACTGTAGCTTTGTAGTATAGTATGAAATCAGGTAGCGTGATGTCTCCAGCTTTGTTCTTTTGGCTTAAGATTGAGTTGGCAATGTGGGCTCTTTTTTGGTTCCATATGAACTTTAAAGTAGTTTTTTCCAATTCTTCAAGAAAGTCATCGGTAGCTTGATTAGGATGGCATTGAATCTATAAATTACTTTGGGCAGTATGGCCATTTTCACGATATTGATTCTTCCTACCCATGAGCATGGAATGATCTTCCATTTGTTTGTATCCTCTTTTATTTCATTGAGCAGTGGTTTGTAGTTCTCCTTGAAGAGGTCCTTCTTCCTCAGGGATCTAGAACTAGAAATACCATTTGACCCAGCCATCCCATTACTGGGTATATATCCAAAGGATTATAAATCATGCTGCTATAAAGACATGTGCACACATATGTTTATTGCGGCACTACTCACAATAGCAAAGACTTGGAACCAACTCAAATGTCCAACAATGATAGACTGGATTAAGAAAATGTGGCACATATACACCATGGAATACTATGCAGCCATAAAAAATGATGAGTTCATGTCCTTTCTAGGGACATGGATGAAGCTGGAAACCATCATTCTCAGCAAACTATCACAAGGACAAAAAACCAAACACCACATGTTCTCACTCATAGGTGGGAATTGAACAATGAGAACACGTGGACACAGGAAGGGGAACATCACACACTGGGGCCTGTTGTGGGGTGGGGGGAGGGGGGAGGGATAGCATTAGGAGATATACCTAATGTTAAATGACAAGTTACTGGGTGCAGCACACCAACATGGCACATGTATACATATGTAACAAACCTGCAAGTTGTGCACATGTACCCTAAAACTTAAAAGTATAATAAAAAAAAAAAAAGTTTTGGCCTGTGATCCAATAGGTGGTGCTTAAGAAAAACAGTCTGTCGGTAGGCTCTTGCTCAGCCAAGTGGCTCCTCTGTATTTCCTCATGATTGCAGCTGGACTCCCTCTCCGTGCTCTGAAAGTGTGTGCTCCTCTCCCACTTGAGTGCTGGCTGCAGATCTCAGCTTGACACTCCCAGGTTGCACACCACAGCTCTGGGGTGAGCTCAGGCTTTATGCTCTCTCCCCACCTTGGAGGCAGCAGGGGAAGGGGCCTTAGCAGTGGTTGTGGCAGAGGGCCTTTCACTTGTCTCTTGGGGTTTCGCCCCAGAGACATGTGGAGCTACCATCAATTGGTGCAATGGGCCCAGGATGGGGTGGCTGCACTGTGGGCCCAAGCTGGGGGGTAGAGGAGGTGAGGGGGCCTGCCTGGTAACAAGCGGGCGGTGCATGTGGGTAACAAGGGAGACAAACTGGCCTCTTCTCTTGAGAGGAACTGCAGCTTGCTGGAGGTGTGGTTAAAGCACTTAGGGTCTTTGCTCCTTACCCAGTCCGAGGGCAGCAAGGGCAGTACCACTGCAGTGGCAAAAGCCCAGAGGGGCTTTTGGTTGCCTCTGGGAGCTCCACCTCAGGGAAATGCAGATTGTTCAGCCAGGGGGTGGGGCGACTGCACTGTTGGCCTGAGCTGGGGCCCCACTTGTTGAGGAGCACGGGGTCAAGGGCTCACAGGGAGTAGAGACTGAACTCCTCTCCATATGGTGACTGTGGCCTATTGGGAGGTTGGGTGAAACTCTCAGGCTCTTTGTTTCTTCCCCAGACTGAGGACAACAGGGGCAGAACCATTGCTGTGGTAGTAGCAGACGGGCTGTCCGTTACTTCTGGGAGCCCCTCCCCGGGGAAACTCAGAGCCACTAGCAGTGGGTGTGCTCAGCTGTGGGTGAGGCAGTTGATCTGTGATCCTGACCAGGGGCCCTGCCTGGTGAAGAGTGAGGGGTGGGGGCTCACAAGGAAAGGAGACTGGATTCCTCTCCATATGGTGGCTGCAGTGTGCTGAAAGAGCCAGCATAGTGACTAAACCTGTTGTTCCTTCCCTAGCCTGAGAGTGGTTATGGCAGTACCACCGCAGCTGCAATGGCAGAGGGGTTGTGGTTTTTTCTGGGATTTCTTCTTTATAGAACTGCAGAGCTACCTCCAATTAAAGCGTTCAGGTGAAGGCAGTGTAGTTGTGCTGGAGTCTCAGGTTGCAAGGGCTCGCCTAGTAAGGAGAAGTGTGAACAGGGACCCATGTGGAAAATGGTAAGGTCACTTTTTCCATGAGGCGTCTGGGTTGTGCTGGGGATCTGCACCAGTCCCTAGTCACCAAGCACTCCACAGCCTGAAAGCAACAGCGACAAGGGCTGTGAGACAGCAAAAATGGCAGCTTACCTCTGCCTGTGGGAGCTTCCATCCCAGGGAAATGGAGAGTTGCTATCAGCCCGAGATCTGCCACAGTGGGTGGCAGGGGGTGGCTGTAGTCCCAGGCCAGTAGGATTTAATCCTTGGAGGTACAGTAGAGGTGAGGCGTGCAGTCAGTAGCTGCTCAGCCAACTGGATTCAGCCCCTTTCCTGGGGGCATGCAAGGGAACCTGACCTCCCCCATTGACGGAGTTACAGCCACTATTGCAGGGATCCAAGCTTCCTGGGACTCCATATGTCCTGAGCGGCAGCTTTGCCCAAATTCCCTGTAGCCCTGCATGACAGTCTGAGAGCTACAGACTGTGGAGTGGGCTCACAAGGGGATGTCCTGAGCCCAGGGTTGCAAAGGTCTGTAGTATAAGTATGGGTCCCCGGGGACTCTAACTCATGCGCTATTTCCGGGTAGTGGGGAACTCTCCCCTGGCTCTACGCCCCTCATGGGTGGGCAGTTGTCCTGTGTGGCTCCTCTCCATTCTCTGTGGGTTGTTTCCTTGATGAATCCCAATGTGTACACCTGGATGTATCAGTTGAGGAGCTAGGATTTACTCACCACCTTTTATTCTATCCATGAGCTAGAAGTACACTAGCTGCTTTTAGTCAGCCATCTTGAGAAGAATCCATTTATTACCTTCCCTCCCCCGATATTCTTGCCTTTTGTTTGTCATCCATCATAGGCTGAAAGAAACATGTCAAATATATAGATTAAATATTCCTAGTGTTTTATACATTCCACTTTGCACTTTGTTCCCTATAATTTTTGCTTTATACATTCTGATGATAGTTTATTTTGTGCATAAAGATTCATGGAAATTAAACCCACATTGTCTTGTTTACAGCTTTTTGTCTGATTTCATACTTCTATGATGATAATAGCATGCTCCTCTTTTTAATTTGCATTTTATTACTATGTTTTTGTCCATCTTTTTTAGTTTCATTCTTTCTTTGTCATTTTTATCAGCTTTATTCATATAAAATAAACTGAACATATTTAAAGTGTATAATTTGATCATTTTGAATTACATATACACCTGTAAAACCATCAAAGCAATGAAGACAATGTACATATTCATCACCTTCAAAAGTTTTCTCACCCCTCTTGGTAATCCCTGCTTCCAGTCCAAATCTTTCCCACCCTGTCACAGGCAATTACTGTTCTGCTTTATTTCACTAAAGGCTAATTGGCATTCTCTAGATTTTTATATAAATGGAATCACTCAGTAGGAAATTTTTGCTGTCTGGCTTCTTTCATTCAGCATAATTATTTTGAGATGTATCCATGCTGTTGCATGCATCATTAGTTCATTCCTTTCATTCCTTTTTATTGCTGAGTAGTATTCCATTATATACGTATAGCACATTTTGTTTATTCACTTGTTGATTGACATTTGGGTTGTTTCCATTCCAACGTTGATGGACATTTGGGTTGTTTTGTCCATTACAAACAAAGCTGCTATGAATATTAGTATATGAGTATTCACATATACATATATTTTCATTTCTTTTGGGAAACTAGGTAGCAGTGAACTGGCTGGATCATATGGCAGGTATATATTTTCAGAGACTGCCAAACTTTTTTCCAAAGTTGTTAATATCTAATTTTACATTATCAGTAGCCATGTATTTTACTTTGTTTGGATGCTGAATACTTTTGTATTCCTTTAAAGTTTCTTAGCTTTGTTTTTGACACAGTTAATTTCCTTGGAAAGAAATTTAATCCTTTGGGGGTCTTATAAGTTTTGTTAGGCAAAGACAAGAGCAGTATTTATTCTAGGGCTAATTTTGCTCCTTGATGGATGCAAGTCCTTTCTGAGGAGTATTCTACCTAATATTACTGAAATATGAACTTTTCCAGTTTGTCTGGTGGAAAGAGTTATTCCTAGCTCTTTGTGAACTCCAGAGATAATTTTCCCTGACCTTTTCCGATGATTCTTTCCCCAGCCTTGGGTAGTTTCTTTATATGCGTGTGTTTATCCGTTCTCTCCTGAATATTCAAGAAGGACCTTCTGCAGTTTTCTGAAGTTCTCTCTGTGCAGCTCTCTCTTCTATACTCTTTTCTGCTAACTCTAGCCGTTTTGGTCTCTCCAAACTGCCAATTCTGTCTCCACAGCACAAGCATCTGCCAGGTTCTAAGTGAGTTTCCCCTCAAGTCAGTAAGCTGGGACAATTGTAGACTTCAACACAGTTGTTTCTCACCATTTAGAGATCACTGTCCTTTGTTGCCTGCATTGGTCTGAATGTTTGTGTCCCCTTCCTCCAAATTCATGTGTTGAAAGCTAATCCCCAATGTGATAGTCTTAAGAGGTCAGACCTTTGGAAAGTGATTAGGTCATGAATGCAGAGCCCTCAGGAATGGGATTGGTGCCATTATAAAAGAGGTTCCAGAGAGCTACCTTGTCCCTTCCACTATGTGAGGACACAGTGAAAAGGAGCAGTCTATGAACCAGAAAGTAGTCTCTAACCAAACACAGAATCTACTAGGGCCTTGATCTTTAACTTCACAGACTCCAGAACAGTTGTGAAAAATAAATTTCTGTTGTTTATAAGCTACCCAATTTATGACATTTTGTTATAGCAGCCTGAATGCACTAAGACATCACCTAAGTTCCAGTACCTTGAAAAGTATTTTATATATTTCAGCCAGTTTGGTTGTTTCAGAAAGGGTAGTAAATGTAGCACCTGCTACCCCATCTTATTTTTAGTGCAACTCTACACACACATACACATTCGTATTCAGCTAAATGTCTTTCTCTTAATGGGTAAATTATCTCATTTCTACTTATTGACATGCCAATTCTTGCTTTTATTTGTTGTTTCATGCTATGCTTTGTTTATAATTTCTTTTGTGTTTTGTCTTTTCCTTTATTATCTACTTTTCCTTTGTTTAATTCAATTGTGTCCTCTGAAGTTGATATAGTTTTTAGTTCCAAATTCTATGTCAATAACTATAGTTTTATACAATAAATTTAAATTATGGTTTATTTATCAACTGTAGAGAATACATTAGTGACCACCCACTATAACGGATGCAATAATTACTACATAATACTTCCCAAAGTTGCCTCCACCTCCTGATTTCAGTTGTTTGTGTTCACATTTTTAGCTCTTCTGACAGTTGCATATTATATATATATATATGATGAAAAAGTCTTATTTCATTGGCTTTTTAAGCAGTTACTATGAAAGGTAAAGGAATAATATACTTAAATATTCTCCCAACTTCGCTCTAAGTTTACAATTGCTAATTTAGATCAGAAAGAGTAGTTACATCAGGGCCAGGTGCGGTGACTCATGTCTGTAATCCCAGCACTTTGGGGGGCCAAGGCAGGTGAATCACTTGAGGTCAGGAGTTCAAGACCAGCCTGGGCAACATGGTGAAACCCTATCTCTACTAAAAAAAAACAAAATTAGCTGGGCACAGTGGTGCATGCCTGTAATCCCAGCTACTCAGGAGGCTGAGGCAGGAGAATCGCATGAGCCTGGGAGGCAGAGGTTGCAGTGAGCCAAGATCACACCACTGCACTCCAACCTGGGCAACAGAGTGAGACTCCATTTCAAAAAAAAAAAAAAAGAGTAGTAACATCATTATTTCTATATCATTAAAAGTTATTGTGGTAGAATGTGGATATATACCAATCTCATGATCTCTTCTTAGGAACATGGAAAGTCTACATTTTCCAGCCTCCCTTGCAGCTAGATTGGCTCATGTAACCAATTCTGCTAAAGGAATGTGAACAAAAATGATGTAAACAACATCCAGGTTTGGCTTCTAGAATTTCACATGAAAATCTTCCCTTTCTGTCTCTCTTGTGCATTCACTTGAAAGTAAAGAACTGCAAGACAGTAGAATCAAACATTGGAAAGCGCCTTGGATTCCTAAGTCACTGTGTGGAGAGTAACCACTAAAGAAAGTGACTAAACTTTCAGCAGTGACGTGAACAAGAAACAACCATTTAGTGAGTTAAAGCTTTGATATTTTGATGCTGCTTATTATAGCAACTACCAATAATTTTCCTAAATAGTACAATTGTTTTTATTCTGGTATGTAACCATATATCCCACATTCTATTTTAAAATGTGTTCCATGTTTATCACCAATCCTTCTATTAATATTTCTTCACATGTATCTTAATTGGTTGAATTTTCACAGAGAACACTTTTCAGAAATTTTGTTATCTATCCTCATAGGACAAATAATGACCCCTTAGAGATGTCCAGACACTAATACTGGAATCCTGGAATCCTGGAATCCTGATAATATGATGTATGAAATTGCAGGAGAAACTTAGGTGACAGAATTCAGGTTATTAACCAGCTAACATTAAGATAGGGAGATTATCCTGGGTTTCCAAAGAGGGACTAGTGTAATTGCATGAGCCTTGTGAGACTGTAAGCAGGGAAACCAGCCAAGCTATGAAACCAGCCCAGACTTCTGAACTACAGAAACTGAAATAATACATTTACGTTGTTTTAAGCCTTGAAATTTGTGGTAACTTGTTACAACAGCAATAGAAAACTGTTACACCTGCCTTCTTGCACATGTCTGTGATCATAATAATTGAGTGACAACTTGACTGTGTAAAATTTTGGTTGGTCTTATTTTCTTCTCCTTAAGACATTGCAGGCACTTCTTCACTATTTGTTTTCTAGTATTGACTATCATTGTATAGAAGTCTGATGCCAGGCTGATTTTTTTTTTTTTGGCCCTTAGAGTTGATTTGATGGGTCGGAGGGTAGCCTGGGCACACACAGGCTTCTTTTATTTAGAATAAGTGGAAGTAGAGTAATGTTAAGTAGAAATAGAATAATGTTAGCAGACTATGTCATGGTATTGATATTTTTATATGACACAAAAGGCTAAACCAAAGGACAAGAAAAGACTGTATGTGAAAAAGAAAGTATGGGCAGTGCATATTCCATCCCAGGCATGCATTGTGAATTTGTGAAAGGAAAAGTAGAGCTTGCAGGTGGCATTTCCCATGACTCTCAGTTTTTAAGAGGCTTTCTGAAAATTCTCAGCAGAGACAAGCTATGCACTTCAATTATGCAGGTTATGATCTTCTTTTATTACTGCTCTTTGTTTTGTTTCATTTTCTGTTCTCTTCTTCAGAAATATTAATTGCACATTTGTTGCATCTTTGTTATTTTCCATATTTAAATTTTTCCCCAGGTTTTTTTCAGATCTGTTTTCTTTTATATTTCAACTCTATCATTTTTCAAGCCACCCAGGTGGATTTCTATACAATGATTATGATTGTATGTTCAGCAGTACCTAACCTCATTTAACATACAATGATTATGATTGTATGTTCAGTAGTACCTAAGCTCTCATTTCTATTATTCTTATTGTGCTTTTCATTTCTCTAAAAAAAAATTTATTCTTTCCTGTTACATATTGATATGGTTTGGCTGTGCCTTCACCCAAATCTCAACTTGAATTGGGTCTCCCAGAATTCCCACATCTTGTAGAGGGACCCAGGGGCAGGTAATTGAATAATGGGGGCCAGTCTTTCCCGTGCTATTCTCATGATAGTGAATAAGTCTCATGAGATTGGATGGGTTTATCAGGGGGGTTCCACTTTTGCTTCTTCCTCATTTTTCTCTTGCCACCACCATGTAAGGAGTGCCTTTCACCTTCCACCATGAATATGAGGCCTCCCTAGCCATGTGGAACTGTAAGTCCGGTTAAACCTCTTTTTCTTCCCAGTCTCAGGTATGTCTTTATCAGCAGCATGAAAATGAACCAATACAGTAAATTGGTACCAGTAGAATGGGGCATTGCTGAAAAGATACCCGAAAATGTGGAAGTGACTTAGGAACTGGGTAACAGGCAGAGGTGAGAACAGTTTGGAGGGCTCAAAACAAGACAGGAAAATGCGGGAAAGGTTGGAACCTCCTAGAGATTTGTTGAATGGCTTTGACAAAAATGCTGATAATTATATGAACAATAAGGTCCAGGCTGAGGTGATCTCAGAGGGAGATAAGGAACTTGTTGGGAAGTGGAGCAAAGTTGACTCTTGTTATGTTTTAACAAAGAGACTGGAAACATTTTGCCCCTGCCCAAAGGTTTGTGGAACTTTGAACTTGAGAGAGATGATTTAGGGTATCTGGTAGAAGAAATTTCTAAGCAGAAAAGCATTCAAGAGGTGACTTGGGTACTGGGTAAAAGCATTCCATTTTAAAAAGGAAACAGAGCATAAAAATTTGGAAAATTTGCAGCCTGATGATGCAGTACAAAAGAAGAACCCATTTTTTTGAGGAGAAATTCAAGCCTGCTGCACAAATTTGCATAAGTAGCAAGGAACCTAATGTTAATCCCCAAGACCATAGGGAAAATGTCTCCAAGCCATGTCAGAGACCTTCACAGCAAGCCCTCCCATCAAAGGTCCGAGGCCCAGGAGGAAAAAGTGGTTTCGTGGGCCTAGCCCAGGGACTACATGTTGTGTGCAGCCTAGGGACTTGGTGCCCCAAGTCCCAGCCACTCCAGCCATGGCTGAAAGGGGCCAATGTACAGCTTGGGCTGTGGCTTCAGAGGGTGGAAGCCCCAAGCCTTAGCAGCTTCCACATGGTGTTGAGCCTGCAGGTGCAAAGAAGTCAAGAATTGAGGTTTGGGAATCTCTGCCTAGATTTTAGAAGATGTATGGAAGCACCTGGATGCCCAGGCAAAAGTTTGCTGCAGGGGCGGGGCCCTCATGAAGAACCTCTGCTAAGGCAGTCTGGAAAGGAAATGTGGGGTTGGGGCCCCCCACAAAGAGTCCCTACTGGAGCACTGCCTAGTGGAGCTGTGAGAAGAGGGCCACTGTCCTCCAGACCCCAGAATGGTAGATCCACTAACAGCTTGCACCATACGCCTGGAAAAGACGGAGACACTCAATGCCAGCCTGTGAAAGCAGCTGGGAGGGAGGCTGTACCCTGCAAAGCCACAGGGGCAGAGCTGCCCAAGACCATGGGAACCCACCTCTTGCATCAGCGTGACCTGGATGTGAGACCTGGAGTCAAAGGAGATAATTTTGGAGCTTTAAAATTTGACTCTGCTGCTGGATTTTGGACTTGCATGGGCCCTGTAACCCATTTGTTTTGGCCAATTTCTCCCATTTGGAATGGCTGTATTTATCTAATACCTGTACCCCCATTGTATCTAGGAAGTAACTAGTTTGCTTTTGATTTTACAGGCTCATAGGTGGAAGGGACTTGTCTCAGAGGAGACTTTGGAGTGTGGACTTTTGGGTTAATACTGAAATGAGTTAAGACTTTGGGGGACTGTTGGGAAGGCATGATTGGTTTTGAAATGTGAGGACATGAGATTTGGAGGGGCCAGGGGTGGAATGATATGGTCTGGCTATGCCCTCACCCAAATTTCAACTAGAATTGTATCTCCCAGAATTCCCACAAGTTGTGGGAGGGACCCAGAGAGAGGTAATTGAATCATGGGGCCGATTTTTCTCATGCTATTCTAATGATAGTGAATAAGTCTCATGAGATCTGATGGGTTTATCTGTGGTTTCTGTTTCTGTTTCTGTTTCTTCCTCATTTTTCTCTTGCTGCCACCATATAAGAAGTGCATTTTGCCTCCCACTACGATTCTGAGCCCTCTCCAGCCATGTGCAACTGTAAGTTCAAATAAACCTCTTTTTCTTCCCAGTCTTAGGTATGTCTTTATCAGCAGCATGAAAATGACCTAATACATATGTCTTTCTGGAGCTCTGCTAGTACACTTGTCATTTCTGGTGTCTTGTCTCTTCTTTGAATTTGTGTACATCATCTTTGAGGTCCTGTTTCAGGCATCCCATATTTTCTTTAATTTATTCCATTTCAGAGAAAGATCTTTGTTCAATGTTTTCTGATGCTTTGTGGCGTATTTTTTGATGTATATACTTCAACTACCTCTGACTTGTCATGTTTCTTTCCTTATTTCCACTGCTGGTTCCTTTTTTTTAGTTGTTACTCATCTTTTCATTGGGATTAATCTTTGGTTAAGAACATACCCTAAGGAAAGGAGCTAGGATAATAAGCTTAGATAACTGGAAACTTGACTTCTGTTTTAAGAAAACTTTGTAACTTTCTGTACTGGGGGTATGTATCTGCTCTGAAGAAGCAAAAAATATCCATATGCCACATATCCTACATGGAATGGTTTCATATTCATTTCTCTTTTATTGGCCCAAGATTAAAAGCTACAGAGTAGATTACAAAAAAATGTAATAAATATCCACCACATCCATCTTCTGTTCTGTGGTCATTTCTGAATATAAACCCCTTTAGATTTTTTTTTTTTGAGATGGTATCTCCCTCTGTCACCTAGGTTGGAGTGCAATGGCACGATGTCAGCTCACTGCGACCTCTGCCTCCCAGGTTCAAGTGATTCTCCTGCCTCAGCCTCCTGGTAGCTGGGATTACAGGCGCTTGTCACAACGCCCAGCTAATTTTTGTATTTTTAGTAGAGATGAGCTTCGCCATGTTGGCCAGGCTGGTCTCGAGCTCCTGACCTCAGGTGATCTGCCTGCCTCGGCCTCCCAAAGTGCTGGGATAACAGGTGTGAGCCACCGCACCCAACCCCATTTTAGATCCTGAGCACTGGGTTTCTCCAGGATTTCATGGGGTGGAGGAAAGCAATAATTACATTGCCAGGTGCCCTATCCATTTCCTAAGACTTCAAGATCCTTGTCTGTTTTTACTTTCATCATGAACTTCAACCTGGATATTTTTATTTTCCCAGATTATTCTTAAATTGTTTGGTCTCCTAATAGTTTTCACTTCTGAAAGCTTTATTCTCTATTCATCTTTGCTACTGTAGTATTATTCTTGCTTTTACAGTTATTCTGACATCTTGATGGTGTTTGAAAAATATGATGAAGTGTCATCAAGGACTCAATTTTCCATCTTAAATCAAAAGAGTGTCCAATGGATTTATATATTTTCTAAACAATTTAGTTGATTGACCTATATGTGGAGACACAGATAGATATTATTTAATAGGCAGGGAAGGTACATTGATATAACATGAATACTTGGCTGTGTACAACTTCTCAGAGAAGTAATGCATTTACTTTTAACCACGAAGTTGGTTTCTCTATTGTCAGAAAGAAAGAACATCAAAACAGCCAAGACACCTGCTGTGGAAATGTCTCTTTCATTGATCTCTGAAATCTCTATTTTATGCTGACTTTCATAAGAAGTATCTAATCTTCCATACTCGTTCACCTGGGAAGCTGGGATGTTAACTGCCAAAAACCTGCATTGCAAAAACAAACAAACAAACAAAAACAAAGAAACTGAAGAACAAGAAGAAGCTCCATGTGGATCAGCAAGCAAGGGCAGTGTGAGTCCCTTTCTAGGTGTACCTCATGAATTTGCAAGAGGAAATACAAGCCTTGCAGATGGCATTTCCTTTGGCCATTAGTTTTCAGAAGGCTCCCTGCAAATTCTCAGCAGAGGAAATAGCAGGAATGATAAGTCTATTTCCAAAGCCCTTTCCAACAACCTTCAGATTTCCCGCATTCAGATTGCACTTAAAAATATCAAACGACTTGCCAGTCTTTTCAGCAGCCTTCTAAATACGTTTCTGTTCAAAGAAATAATGGGAGTGACAGGCTGAGAAGTCAGGAGGCACTCGATAAATGTTTCTATGAATGAGCGAGTGAAGTGAATGAAAGTATATGGGCATGAACGAAAAGCCTACAAATGTGAGTCTAAATCTGTAAATGATCAAAAAAGTATTTTTCCTGAGAGAATTATCTCATCTCAATTTGGAAACACTAATTTCTGGCCTCGGAGAGTGCATATAATCTATTTTCTCATCCAGTCGATTCACATTTATAAAAGTAGGTTTTTCTTCCAGACAAAGCACACTATAGGAAAAAGAAAAAAAAACTGATAACTGTGTTATGCCCTCTGTCTGAGCCTTCAAATCTCTTTGGTTCAAATGGGAAACTTGTTTCTGCTGGCTTTCATCCAGTGTTGCAGCACTTCAAGAAGTTTCAGCTGCATTAGACTTGCTCTCAGCCCATTAAAACCCATAAACCCTCCAAGATGGCCGAATAGGAACAGCTCCAGTCTACAGCTCCCAGCATGAGCAACGCAGACGAGGGGTGATTTCTGCATTTCCAACTGAGGTACCGGGTTCATCTCACTGGGGAGTGTCGGAAAGTGGTTGCAGGACAGTGGGTGCAGTGCAGCAAGCGTGAGCTGAAGCACAGCGAGGCATCACCTCACCTGGGAAGTGCAAGGGGTCAGGGAATTCCCTTTCACAGCCAAGCAAAGCTGTGACAGATGGCACCTGGAAAATCGGGTCACTCCCACCCTAATACTGCACTTTTCCAATGGTCTTAGCAAACGGCACACCAGGAGATAATATCCCATGCCTGGCTTGGAGGGTTCCACACCCACAGAGCCTCACTCATTGCTAGCACAGCAGTCTGAGATCAAACTGCAAGGTGGCAGCAAGGCTAGGGGAGGAAAGCCCACAATTGCCCAGGCTTGAGTAGGTAAAAAAAGCGGCCTGGAAGCTCGAACTGGGTGGAGCCCACCACAGCTCCAGGAGGCCTGCCTGCCTCTGTAGACTCAACCTCTGGGGGCAGGGCATAGCCAAACAAAAGGCAGCAGAAACCTCTGCAGACTTAAATGTCCCTGTCTGACAGCTTTGAAGAAAGTAGTGGTTCTCCCAGCACGGAGTTTGAGATGTGAGAACAGACAGACTGCCTCCTCAAGTGGGTCACTGACCCCCGAGTAACCTATCTGGGAGGCACCCCCCAGTAGGGGCAGACTGACACATCACATGGCCGGGTACCCCTCTGAGACGAAACCTCCAGAGGAACGATCAGACAGCAACATTTGCTCTTCAGCAATATTCACTGTTCTGCACCCCCCGCTGCTGATACCCAGGCAAACAGCGTTTGGAATGGACCTCCAGCAAATGCCAACAGACCTGCAGCTGAGGGTCCTGACTGTTAAAAGGAAAACTAACAAACAGAAAGGACATCCACACCAAAACCCCATCCGCACATCACCATCATCAAAGACCGAAGGTAGATAAAACCACAAAGATGGGGACAAAACCGAAAAGAAAAACTGAAAATTCTAAAAATCAGAGCACCTCTCCTCCTCCAAAGGAACGCAGCTCCTCACCAGCAATGGAACAAAGCTGGACGGAGAATGACTTTGATGAGTTGAGAGGAGAAGGCTTCAGATGATCAAACTTCTCTGAGCTAAAGGAGGAAGTTCAAATCCATCACAAAGAAGTTAAAACCATTGAAAAAAGATTAGACGAATGGCTAATTAGACTAACCAATGCAGAGAAGTCCTTAAAGGATGTGATGGAGCTGAAAACCATGGCACGAGAACTACAGGACAAATGCACAAGCTTCAGTAGCCAATTCTATCAACTGGAAGAAAGGCTATCAGTGATGGAAGATCAAATGAATGACATGAAGTGAGAAGAGAAGTTTAGAGAAAAAAGTAAAAAGAAATGAACAAAGCCTCCAAGAAAAATGGGACGATGTGAAAAGACCAAATCTACATCTCATTGGTGTACCTGAAAGTGACGGGGAGAATGGAACCAAGTTGGAAAACACTCTGCAGGATATTATCAAAGAGAACTTCCCCAACCTAGAAAGGCAGGCCAACATTCAAATTCAGGAAATACACAGAACGCCACAAAGATACTCCTCGAGAAGAGCAACTCCAAGAAACATAACTGTCAGATTCACCGAAGTTGAAATGAAGGAAAAAATGTTAAGGGCAGCCAGAGAGAAAGGTCGGGTTACCCACAAAGGGAAGCCCATCAGACTAACAACAGATCTCTCGGCAGAAACTCTACAAGCCAGAAGAGAGAGGGGGCCAATATTCAACATTCTTAGAGAAAAGAATTTTCAACCCAGAATTTCATATCCAGCCAAACTAAGCTTCATAAGTGAAAGAGAAATAAAATCTTTTACAGACAAGCAAATCCTGAGAGATTTTGTCACCACCAGGCCTACCTTACAAGAGCTCCTGAAGGAAGCACTAAACATAGAAAGGAACAACTGGTACCAGCCACTGCAAAAACACGCCGAGTTGTAAAGAACATCAATGCTAGGAAGAAACTGCACCAACTAACGAGCAAAATAACCAGCTAACATCATAATGACAGGATCAAATTCACACATAACAATATTAACCTTAAATGTAAATGAGCTAAATGCTCCAATTAAAAGACACAGACTGGCAAATTGGATAAAGAGTCAAGACCCATCAGTGTACTGTATTCAGGAGACCCATCTCACATGCAGGGACACACATAGGCTAAAAATAAAGGGATGGAGGAAGATCTACCAAGCAAATGGAAAACAAAAAAAGGCAGGGGTTGAAATCCTACTCTCCGATAAAACAGACTTTCAACCAACAAAGATCAAAAGAGACAAAGAAGGCCATTATATAATGGTAAAGGGATCAATTCAACAAGAAGAGCTAACTATCCTAAATATATATGCACCCAATACAGGAGCACCCAGATTCATAAAGGAAGTCCTTAGAGATCTACAAAGAGACTTAGACTCCCACACAATAATAATGGGAGAATTTAACACACGACTGTCAACATTAGACAGATCAATGAGACAGAAAGTTAACAAGGATATCCAGGAATTGAATTCAGCTCTGCACCAAGCAGACCTAATAGACATCTCCAGAAATCTCCACCCCAAATCAACAGAATATACATTCTTCTCAGCACCACATCGCACTTATTCCAAAATTGACCACATAGTTGGAAGTAAAGCACTCCTCAGCAAATGTAAAAGAACAGAAATTATAACAAAGTGTCTCTCAGACCACAGTGCAATCAAACTAGAACTCAGGATTAAGAATCTCACTCAAAACTGTTCAACTACATGGAAACTGAACAACCTGCTCCTGAATGACTACTGGGTACATAATGAAATGAAGGCAGAAATAAAGATGTTCTTTGAAACCAGCGAGAACAAAGACACAACATACCAGAATCTCTGGGACACATTTAAAGCAGTGTGTAGAGGGAAATTTATAGCACTAAATGCCCACAAGAGAAAGCAGGAAAGATCTAAAACTGACACCCTAACATCACAATTAAAAGAACTAGAGAAGCAAGAGCAAACACATTCAAAAGCTAGCAGAAGGCAAGAAATAACAAAGATCAGAGCAGAACTGCAGGAGATAGAGACACAAAGAACCCTTCAAAAAATCAGTGAATCCAGGAGCTGGTTTTTTGAAAAGATCAACAAAATTGATAGATCGCTAGCAAGACTAATAAAGAAGAAAAGAGAGAAGAATCAAATAGAGGCAATAAAAAATGATAAAGGAGATATCACCACCAATCCCACAGAAACACAAACTACCATCAAAGAATACTATAAACACCTCTACAAAAATAAACTAGAAAATCTAGAGGAAATGGATAAATTCCTGAACACATACACCCTCCCAAGACTAAACCAGGAAGAAGTTGAATCTCTGAATAGACCAATAACAGGATCTGAAATTGTGGCAATAATCAATAGCTTACCAACCAAAAAAAGTCCAGGACCGGATGGATTCACAGCCGAATTCTACCAGAGGTGCAAGGAGGAGCTGGTAACATTCCTTCTGAAACTATTCCAATCAATAGAAAAAGAGGGAATCCTCCCTAACTCATTTTATGAGGCCAGCATCAACCTGATACCAAAGCCTGGCAGAGACACAACAAAAAAAGAGAATTTTAGACCAATATCCCTGATGAACATCGATGCAAAAATCCTCAATAAAATACTGGCAAACCGAATCTGGTAGCATATCAAAAAGCTTATCCACCATGATCAAGTGGGCTTCATCCCTGAGATGCAAGGCTGGTTCACCATATGCAAATCAATAAACGTAATCCAGCATATAAACGGAACCAAAGACAAAAACCACATGATTATCTCAACAGATGCAGAAAAGGCCCTCAGTAAAATTCAACAGCCCTTCATGCTAAAAAGTCTCAATAAATTAGGTATTGATGGGATGCATTTAAAAATAATAAGAGCTATTTGTGACAAACCCACGGCCAATATCATACTGAATGGGCAAAAACTGGAAGCATTCCCTTTGAAAACTGGCACAAGACAGGGATGCCCTCTCTCACCACTCCTATTCAACATAGCGTTGTAAGTTCTGGCCAGGGCAATTAGGCAGAAGAAAGAAATAAAGAGTATTCAATTAGGAAAAGAGGAAGTCAAATTGTCCCTGTTTGCAGATGACATGATTGTGTATCTAGAAAACCCCATCATCTCAGCCCACAATCTCCTTAAGCTGATAAGCAACTTCAGCAAAGTCTCAGGATACAAAATCAATGCACAAAAATCACAAGCATTCTTATACACCAATAACAGACAAACAGAGAGCCAAATCATGAGTGAACTCCCATTCACAATTGCTTCAAAGAGAATAAAATACCTAGGAACCCAACTTACAAGGGATGTGAAGGACCTCTTCAAGGAGAACTACAAACCACTGCTCAGTGAAATAAAAGAGGACACAAACAAATGGAAGAACATTCCATGCTCATGGATAGGAAGAATCAACATCGTGAAAATCGCCATACTGCCCAAGGTAATTTATAGATTCAATGCCATTCCCATCAAGCTACCAATGACTTTCTTCACAGAATTGGAAAAAACTACCTTAAATTTCATATGGAACCAAAAAAGTGCCCACATTGCCAAGTCAATCCTAAGTCAAAAGAACAAAGCTGGAGGCATCAAGCTACCTGACTTCAAACTATACTGCTAGTCTACAGTAACCAAAACACCATGGTACTGGTACCAAAACAGAGATACAGACCAATGGAACACAACAGAGCCCTCAGAAATAATACCACACATCTACAACCATCTAATCTTTGACAAACCTGAGAAAAACAAGAAATGGGGAAAGGATTCCCTATTTAATAAATGGTGCTGGGAAAACTGGCTAGCCATATATAGAAAGCTGAAACTGGATCCCTTCCTTACATCTTATACAAAAATTAATTCAAGATGGATTAAAGACTTAATTGTTAGACCTAAAACCATAAACACCCTAGAAGAAAACCTAGGCATTACCATTCAGGACATAGGCATGGGCAACGACTTCATGTCTAAAACACCAAAAGCAATGGCAACAAAAGCCAAAACTGACAAATGGGATCTAATGAAACTAAAGAGCTTCTGCACAGTAAAAGAAACTACCATCAGAGTGAACAGGCAACCTACAGAATGGGAGAAAATTTTTGCAATCTGCTCATCTGACAAAGGGCTAATATCCAGAATCTACAAAGAACTCAAACAAATTTACAAGAAAAAAACAAACAACCCCATCAAAAAGTGGGCAAAGGATATGAACAGACACTTCTTAAAAGAAGACATTTATGCAGCCAACAGACACATGAAAAAATGCTCATCATCACTAGCCTTTAGAGAAATGCAAATCAAAACCACAATGAGATACCATCTCACACCAGTTAGAATGGCAATCATTAAAAAGTCAGGAAACAACAGGTGCTGGAGAGGATGTGGAGAAACAGGAACACTTTTACACTGTTGGTGGGACTGTAAACTAGTTCAACCCTTGTGGAAGACAGTGTGGCGATTCCTCAGGGATCTAGAACTAGAAATACCATTTGACCCAGCCATCCCATTACTGGGTATATACCCAAAGGGTCATAAATCAAGCTGCTATAAAGACACATGCACACGTATGTTTATTGCAGCACTACTCACAATAGCAAAGACTTGGAACCAACCCAAATGTCCAACAATGATAGACTGGATTAAGAAAATGTGGCACATACACAGCATGGAATACTATGCAGCCATAAAAAATGATGAGTTCATGTCCTTTGTAGGGACATGGATGAAACTGGAAACCATCATTCTCAGCAAACTATCGCAAGGACAAAAAACCAAACACTGCATGTTCTCACTCATAGGTGGGAATTGAACAATGAGAACACATGGACACAGGAAGGGAAACATCACACACCAGGGCCTGTTGTGGGGTGGAGGGAGGGGGGAAGGATAGCATTAGGAGATATACCTAATGTAAATGACGAGTTAATGGGTGCAGCACACCAACATGGCACATGTATACATATGTAACAAGCCTGCACATTGTGCACATGTACCCTAGAACTTAAAGTATAATATATATATATAAAAGAATGCAGCCAAAAAAAATCCCATAAACCCTAGGGAGACTTCAGAGGGATTCAAAATAGGAAGAAGTCCTTTTACCAAGAAACTTGATAGAAGCCAAGATCTACATCCTCAGACAAAAGGTAAGTCTATAATGATATGGTTTGGATTTCTCTCCTCACCCAGATTTCCTGTCGAATTGTAATCCCCAATGTTGGAGGAGGGCCTTGGTGGGAGGTGATTGGATTATGGAGGCGAATTTCCCCTTTTCTTTCATGAGAACAGCAAGGGGGAATGCTGAGTGAGTGAGTTCTCATGAGATCTGGTTTTTAAAAAGTGTGTAGCAACTCCCCCTTCGCTCTCTTCCTCCTGCTCTGACCATGTAAAGACGCGCTGGCTTCCCCTTCACCTTCCACCATGATACCAAATTTCCTGGGGCCTCCTCAGCCATGCTTCCTGTATAGACTGCAGAAGCAGGAGCCAATTAAACCTCTTTTCTTTACAAATTACCCAGTTTCAGGTATTTCTTTATAGCAGCATGAGAACTAACTAATATTAATACATATGCCTTCCCTAAATTGCATAGAGATTGATTATTTCACTTCATGTTGGTAAAGAATTTATATAGATATTAAAACAACAACAATGACAAGTGTCTGGACATTAAGTATATTATTTATTTAGAAAATCCTTGAGGGCTATTATGAATATCTAAGGATGCTATAAAGAAAATAAAAATAATTTACTTCAGTCTCTAGTATAGGAACTTTCATGATTTGCTATGAACCATACCCATACTCCTATTATATTCTGAAATGAATGATTCATGGCATTGATATGGAGAAAATTTTAATAAATATACAAATGCTCGGTAAATTGTGCAAGGTTATACAAATATGTGTTGTCCTGTTGCTGGTATTCTTATACTTAGATGTCAGTAGTGGAATTAAAGTAATCTAAAGAATAATTAGAATCCCTTTGACTCAACTCTTCTCACAGATTAGCTATAACCTAACATTTTTTAGGGAAATAATGTATTAATTACTGATCTCTTGCCTTTTAAAACTTTCAGCTCAAACAGTTTTCTGGAAGATTTACCTTAAGTGTTTCCTCTCTTTCCAACTGGAGTAATGGTAACTCAGTGACAAAATGATGGACAGGGTGACTAAGTTCCTTGGCCCATCTCTATCTGCACCTTGGGAATGATCATATTGACTCCCCCACTTTTTTTTCAGTGATTCTGTCAAGAAAACTGTAAGAAAAGGTCTCCAACATCCTAGGAACAGAGAGATATAATCAATTTAAGGTATTCTACACATAACCCAATTTGTCCATACTGCCATCCCCCAGTAAGCATGGAGTATGATGAATTGATGATAATATTCATGCAAATGTTTGATCATGATAGAATTAATTTTGCTCTGATGTAGCCTGGTCCAAAGTCACTGGAGAAAATATTGCAGTGAAAAAACTTTACACATCAAAATGTTTGTCAATGTCCAACAAAGGGCTTAATGATTTCAGCAGTATTTGACACAATATTCTTAACAAAATTAGGATTTGGCACAGTCCCTAAAGTTTATTATAAGAAGATTTTAAAATTATGTTACTTAAAGTCCCATGTGATGAAAAAAAATCTTTAAATGTGCTCATCCAGCCTATGCACAAATAACAATAATAGAAATTTCATTAAAAGCCCTGAATATTCCTTTATTGAAAGCTTAGACTCCCTTTTATGAGAAAATTATCAACAAACTAGGAATAGAATGGCAATTCCTCAACCTGATAAAGGGAATCTATGAAAAACCCACAGAAAGCATCATACTTACTCATGAACAAGTAAATGCTTTCCTCCTAATTCAGGAACAAAACAGGAATGTCCAGCCTTGCCAGTTCTATTCAACATTGTACTGGAGATTCTAGACAGGGCAATTAGGCAATAAAAAGTAAAAGGCCACCAGATTGGAAGGAAATGGGTAAAATTTTCTCTACTTTCAAATGACATAGTCTTATTTATAGAAGATCCTAAGGAATTCACTGAAAAAGAGGGAAAAAACTATTGGAACAAATAAACAAGGTTGCAGGATACAAGATCAATATACAAAATTCACTTGACCTAAGCAACATGAAAATGAAGTTAAGAACAATATTCTATTGACAATAGCATCAAAAAGAATAAGCTGCTTAGGAATAAAATTCAAACAAAAATTGCCAAATTTATACTCTGAAAATGATAAAATACTGTTGAAATAAATTAAAGAGATCTAAAAAAGGTGGAAAAACACCCCATGTTCATGTATCAGAAAATTTAATATTGTTAAAATGGCAATATTCCCCAAACTAATTTACGTATCCAACACAACTCCTATCAGAATCCCAACTTTCTTCTTTATAAAAATTGACAAGCTGATCCTAAAATACATATGGAATTTCAAGGGACCTGGAATATCTAAAACAATTCTAGAAAGAACAAAGTAGGAGGATTCATGCTTGCTGATAAGACTCACTACAAAGCAATAGTAATTAAGATGGTGTATTACTGACACAAAGATAGGCATTATATATAGCTAGAATAGAATTCAAAGCCCCCAAATAAACTCTTGTATCTATGGTCAACTGATTTTTCAAGGGTGCCAACACCACTGAATGAGGAAAGAAAAATCTTCTCAAAAAATGATGGTGGGAAAACTAGATAGCCACATACAAAAGAATGTAGTTGAACCCTCACCTCATAACATATATAAAAAGGAACTCAACATGGATCAGAGACCCAAAAATAAGAACTAAAACTACAAACTCTTGGAAGAAAACATGTGGCTACATATTCATCATCTTGGGTTTGGCAAAAGATTCTTTGATATGACAAGCAAAAATATAAATAAGTTGAAACTTATCAAAATTAAAAACCTGTTGTTTCAAAGTGAAGACTATTTAAAAAGTGTAAACACAACCCACGGAATGGGAGAAAATATTTGCAAATCATATACTTGATAAGAGGCTATGAATATGTATTTCCCTTAAATAATTAAGTAAGCTATAGTAAGTTTAACCTAAAAATTAGACCTAATCCTGAGTTCTATAGGTTTGCTCTGATTTCATTCAGACCCTGGGTTTAAAAGAATCCCATGAATATCTCACAAGTGCAGGCAACCAAAACAAACATAGAGAAATGAGATTACATCAAGTTAAAAAGCTCCTGCACAGCCATGGAAACAATCGACAAAGTGAGGAGACAACCCACAGAACGGGAGAAAATATTTTCAAACTATCCATTTAACAAGAGATAATGACCAGAATATATAAGGTGCTCAAACAACTCTACAGGAAAAAAATATAATAATCCAATGTTAATATGGGCAAAATATTTGAACAGATATTTCTCAAATGAAGACATACAAATAGCAAATGGGCATAAGAAAAAGTGCTCAACATAATTGATCATCAGAGAAATGCAAATCAAAACTACAATGAGGTATCTCACTCCAGTTAAAATGGCTTTTATCCAAGTCAGGCAACAACAAATGCTGGCGAGGATATGGAGAAAAGGGAATTCCTGTACACTGTTGGTGGGAATGTAAATTAGTACAACCACTCTGGAGAACAGTGTGGCGGTTCCTCAGAAAGACTAAAAATAGAGCTACCATATGATCCAGCAATCCCACTGCTAGGTATATACCCAAAAGAAAGGAAATAAGTATATCAAAGAGATATCTGCACTCCCGTGTTTGTTGCAGCAGCTCTGTTTACAAAAGCCAAGATTTGCAAGCAATCTAAGTATCCATCAACAGATGAATGGATAAAGGGAGCACTATTCAACCATGAAAAGAATGAGATCCTGTCATTTGCAACAACATGGATGAAAGTGGAGATCGTTATGTTAAGTGAAATAAGCCAGGCACGGAAAGACAAACATCACCTGTTCTAACTTATTTGTGGGAGCTAAAAGTTAAAACAATTGAACTCATGGAGATAGAGAGTAGAAGGATGGTTAACAGACACTGGGAAGAGTAGTGGGGAACTTGGGAGAAAGTAGGGATAGTTAATGGGTACATAAGGTAGTTAAAATAAACAAGACCTAGATTTGATAGCACAACAGGGTGACTATAGTCAAAAATAATTTAATTGTACATTTTAAAATAACTAAAAGAGTATAATTGTTTGTAACACAAAGGATAAATGCTTGAGGGAATGGATACCCCATTTATCATGATGTAATTATTATGCATTGCATTCCTATATCAAAGTATTTCATGTAACTCATAAGTATATACACCTACTATGTATCCACAAAATTAAATTTTAAAAAGATAAAAGAATCCCATGAACTTGTCTATGTCTTAATATCTCCAAGCGTCTTTTGGATTTCACAAATAATTTGGTCCTGACAGCACTTATGTGCAGTACCTAAAACAGATTACTATTCACTATTGCACAAACAGAAATAGGTTAATAGACTTACTAAAGTCATAGGCAAGTTTGTGACAGAGCCAAGACTAGAACCTACATCTCCCTACAGGCCATTTACATTTTTATATTGAGGTCATCTGTGATAGAATTGTATTTTTAAATATGTGCCATTAGATTAACACATTTGTTGCAACTCTTGTGTCAAAGACACAAAAAGCTTTGGAAACTAAATCACATTGCTTGGCTTCTGTTTGCTTAGAACATTTTTTTTTTCACTGTTTTTAAGTCTTTAAAGTTCCTTCACTTTCATCTTAAGGAAGTGTTCTACTTTTTCCCTACTGTTTACAATTAATACATCATTATGGGGCTGGAAGTTTCAGGTGAAGTTAACTGCCAAGTCTGCCAACTTCTTAACAATGCCCAATGTGTCATCTTTGGGGGTTTGCAAGAAACAGTTTTTAATTGCTCAACTTTGAGCAGTGCACTAAAGCTAATCATGCCCCTAGAGCCTGGAAGAATCTCTGAGATACAAAGCTATCAGAAGTGTTCTGTTTGTCCAGCACCAACTAAAAGCAAGGCAGGCAGGAAGAACATTATTTCAACTTAACAGGGGAAACATCATTTTTCAATGTTGAGACAAATTTTTTTAAAAATCTGTTTAAAGGCTGTTAGGAGATGCTTGGCTGGTTAGTCCTCTCCAGCACCTCATCTCCCATTTTTTTTTTCTGCTAACCCATAGATCAGGACTACCTCATAATAGAAGGGCAGACTTGTCACTTGCTACTTTAGGATTATGAATTTGTGCATAACTCCATACAGGCACTCAAAGACTATGACAAGGAATTGTTTAGAGCACAGTTAGACCTTTGGAATAAATTGCACACTCTCTTTTTTGCTCACCCTCTAATAATTTTTCAAGAGTTCACCAAAAGCACATTTATTGAAGGAGATCTTCTACTAGTCACAGTCTTTCCAAACCAGTAAAATATATTCCCACCAGCTGGGTCCCCAACTTCTGCCACTTTCCCTTTGCCCACAGTGCTTCCTCCTATTCAGCATCCTAAGGCCTTAATTTGACTGTTAGGATACATCCCTGCACTAAGCTGAAGAATTCATTAGTGTTTCCGTTTTCCTCTTACTCAGATCTGCTCTAGCACCTTTTAGCTAGGTCCTAACACAACTTCCTTAGTTGTCTTCCATATACAAAAAAGATATTTATGATCTGCTTTCAATAGAAACAATTTCTCTAGAATTACGAATAAAGTAATTGGAATGGGCCTCAGAGATAGTCTATACAGCAAAAGAAACTGAAGCCCAAAAATTTGAAGTGACTTTCCCAAAGCCAGACAGTTTGTGAAGAGTTCATGCTCTCCTTACGTCCTCCCTTCTGGCAAATATGAGAAATGACATATTAGAGATGCATTTAGTGACCATGAGGCTGACTGAAGCTAAGCTATTCTCATAGGAACCAATCCTATATCTTAAATATTACTGTGTTATGATTGGCAGTGAAACAAGCCTTAGCTAAAGACAGATGTCTTAATGTGGTACCCATATCATGTCACTTTGAGTTATCCAAGGACCTGAACAAAATCTTGCTGAGTACAAAATCTGAGAAATTTGTCCTCAAAGCAAGTATCAAGCAAAAGACCATATGTATAATTTCCCAAAAGGCACTGGTCTGGAAGTAAGAAAATGAGTTTTCTATCCATCTCTGTTTCTAATTAATTATGTGACATTTGGCCAACTCACTTGATTGCTTTAGGCTTCAGTTTTCTCAGCTATAAAAACTGTAGGTACTAATTTATGTGAATGCATTGGGAAAAGTAAAAATAGCTAACATGCTAATATTTATTGAGATTTACCATGTGCCAGGCACTGTCCTGGGCATTTTATATGTATTTCCTCACTTCATAAACAAGGAAAATTAGGCCCAGATTATTCAGATTACCTAAAAAAAACTCCACAGAGTTAGTAAGTCCCTGAGTACACAACCTTAGCCATTACCCCAGACTGCCTCTCCTTACCCTATATTGTGTCTACTGCCACTACCACTAAAAGTGTTAAAAAGGCCAGGCATGGTGTCTCACACCTGTAATCCCAGTGCTTTAGGAGGCTAAAGCAGGAGGATCGCTTGAGACCAGGAGTTCAAGACCAGCCTGGGTAACACAGTGAAACCCAAGCTCTACAAAAAAAATAAAATAAAATAATTAATTAGCCAGGTGTGGTGGTGCGTGCCTATAGTCCTAGCTACTTGGGAGGCTAAGGCAGGAGGATCCCTTGAGCCCAGGAATTTGAAGTTGCAGTGAGCTATGATCATGCCACTGCACACTAGCTTGAGCAATAGAGCAAGACACTGTCTCTAAAATTAAAAAAAAAAAAGAGTTGAAGAAGTATAAAAACAATTATCTGTGCGCAGATTACTTATGATATAGTTTAAGGTTCGGGTAACATTGAAACACAAAAGAACCAAAGAATTAAGCTGAGCCTTGAAAGACAGATTGGGTAAGCTTTAGCTTTACAAATTAGTAGAACATTAGAAGCACTGGTGCAAAAGAAGTGGGAGTGAGCATGGGGGTACTCATGGAGCAATGAAGAAACTAACCTGACTCAAGTAGAGAGATTGTATTGAGGAGCCATGGAGACAGGGGCGAACATGGGAATCAATAAAACCCTTTATCACCATATAGTTTGCTTACATAGCACTTATCACAGGTGCATATTTGTATTTTTTTTTTAATTTTTGTGTTTGTACATAGTAGTTGTATATATTTATGGGGTACATGAGATACTTTGATATAGGCATGAAATGCATAATAATCACATCATGGGAAATGGGATATCCATCTCCTCAAGCATTTATCCTTTGTATTACAAACAATTCAATATATTCTTTCAGTTACTTTTAAAGGTACAATTAAATTATTTCGATTATAGTGTGCTAGCAAATACTAGGTTTTAATAATCACATCATAGAGAATGGCATAGGATATATTCTTGATTGTTAGTTAATGTTAATATCAATTTCCCCCAAAAACAGTAAGCTTCCTGAAGGTAAGAACCACTTTATTCAGCATAACACTGGAAGTCCTAGCTAGAGCAATCAGACAAGAGAAAGAAATAAAGGGCATTCAAATTTGAAGAGAAGACGAATGGTTTGTTGTTGTTGTTGTTGTTGTTGTTGTTGTTGTTTTGCACCATTGTATCCTCAGTGCCAAATACATTGCCAGACACATTGTAGGTGCTCATTAAATACTTGTTGAATAAATGTATTCATGTGTGAATGAATGAATGTTAAATAATAGATGAGGAATTGTCATACTTGACCTTGCATGTCAGATGAGGAAATATAGCCTTGACAGAGACTTTGATCAGGCTGGGGTGCTGGAAGTGGAACTGAAAAGCCAAACATAAAGGCTGTTTTAACATGGGGATCAATAACACAGTTGCTCTCTGTTGTGCACTCTCTATACCAGCTGTCCCCTGATAGACATTTCTCTACCAGTTGCAGGCTCTGTCATGACATCAGTTTCATACAGAAAGAATGTGAAGAAACTGTAGGCCAAAATAAAAAAAGAATTATTTCTTAGTTCTCTGGAAAGGCCAGTAGTGGTATACAAAAGTCCCACAGTCTCAAAGGTCTCCTTTCTCTTTTCTTTACTTGTTTTCCCTACACAAAATGCCACTTTGTGTTTTGTTTTGTTTTTCAAACAGCTCTGATTTGGCAAAACTTCATTGCCTGTTTGGGATGAGGTCCCTGAAGCTCTCAGAAGATAATTATTTCTTTCTGGTAAAGATCAGAAACTTTGAACTCTACTTGTGAGATAAATGGTCTGGTGGCACTTTGAAACTTCAACTTATTTAAGTTACTGAGCAGCTCATCAACTTACTTCCTGCATTTGGAATTGAATCTGAAAGAGAATTAGACCCCAGACATCTTGAGTAGGCCAAGTAGGTACAATTTATAGATTTTGTTCAGAGCCAAACATGCTCCCAGAGATAGAGGCCTGGTGACAGCTTCCAGATAAACATATAGATTGATGGAATCTACAAACCAAACTGCTCAATGAAAGGCAGGTTCTGGTCAGTTATATTTTCTAGGTAAATGAGGGGTATCCAGACATTTTTTGTTTCAACTCCATTATAATGCTTTTGAAATGCTGGAGTCTATTCTCCAGCCTTAGTGGGCAGGTAGAGTGACTGATATTCGATCTTTTTGCTGATTGAGGGATGCACAGGACCTTGTGGGTATGAAATTATACATTTTTACTACTGAGCACTGAGAAGAGGTTGTGGAGAAAGAGTAGGAAACTGGTAGGGTATGTACAGAGCCCAGGACCTTTCCTAGGCATCATCCAATTTAGTTTAAAGCCCTGGGTGCAGAATGTTTTGTTATTGTTTTCCTTTTTTTAAGAAAGTGACAATTTGGTTTAGTTGGATTCCATTTCACCAAGATAAGATAATACATAGATAAATATTGCCAAGAGGCAATGGATGTCTAAACTAGAAGGTTGCAAATTGAAATAACCTAAGGGTCTTGATGCAGAGCATTCAAATGACCTCAATCCTGTATATGTCATAACTTTTCTAGGGAAGATTGAATAAGGTTGTATGTAGGTCAAATGCCATTGAAAGAAATGTTTGTCTAAGACATTAAATAATTTAATTAGATACCATTACCAAGGGCTGCAGATCAAAGGGTTTGTTGATTGAGATTTGACCTAATCTAAAAGAATTTTCTTTCTTCAGGGGTTTCTAGGCATTTGTGAGTTTGAGAAGCTGGGAAGGCTTTTGAAATATTGCCAGGAAGTTTGCAGGGAGATCGTCACAGTGCTAAACCTGGCAACTCTTGGAGAATTGTTCTTTTGGGCAGCCCATTCTGTTCCATCTACTGATACTTGAGAGGGACCTCCACTGGTGAGTAGGTAACAGAACAGGTTTTAATTTATTTTCTTTTCTCCTTTCCTCCTCTTCTTGGGTCTTTAACCATCTATCTGGGATGGACAATCTCCAGGAAGACAAGAGGCAGCCATTAGTTAAAAGGAAAGTTATGCTATATCAATAAATAATTGCAGGTAACAGGACTAAGATGGGAAACATGCTGGGTTCAGTTTGCCAGAAATTTTTAATGGTAATTCTAGGATGAGGCAATCAGCACTGTCTCTGGAGGCCAGGGCCTAGACTAAATGAAAAATAGCCCCCCCAATTTAGATGCTGAGTAGCCTTTAAGTGTGAGAGGGAAATTGTCATCAATTTTAGTTCTATGGGTCCAAACATGGTACTAATGGGGGCAAGGTCATGAGTTCAACCCCAATCTCTATCAGCAAGTTTAACCCCATTTAAAAAATAAGTCGATCTCACAGCCATAGACTGATCACCAATTTTTAGTCAAATGGCTCATCAATTTATTCTACTGGGCTCATGAGGGACTGAGGGATAGAAACTTTATAAACCCTCCTTCAATACTGGAAAAACAAAATACATCCTGTGGCTCACTGGGAATGATAGATTCATATAAGGAGGAAAAACGTCTATTTTATCAATATTTAATATTTGACAGCAAAAGCAGTGTGTTTTATAGAGTTCTAGGAGGAACATATAGTTTTAAATGGCATAATAATCAGCCATCCACTTCAATGCAAAATCAGTTCACTCTCCCATCTGTGGCCGGCCCATTATCTCATTAAATATTCCACTGTGAAAGACCCATATGTAGATAATTGGGAGCTAAATATACTCCCAAATATTCAAAAAAAATTTAAGATATGACTATACCAACTTAAATATAAGAGGCTGCGGGTCATTGTTTCATGTAGCCATTTGACTCATATATTTGTATGTTCTCACTCTGTAGAGATGATTTTCTCTATTTTCACTTGGAAAGGTGGAGGCAGGCCAAGGCAAAATCTCTTTCTCGGGGTCCTATGATAAATGAAGACAGCGGCAGCGTTAGGTCTCTCAAGCTCTGAGGGCACTCCTGTGAAGCCAGGTCACCACCACCCTCTCCATCCCTTACATTTGTTTCCCTCTTCACAAATAGCAAACACTTTCCTGGATATATGGATTTACCTTTGTTGTGCACCTAGCCTATCTGATAGGCTGAAAAAGGTAGACAATGTGACACAGGGATAGCTTACTAGAAGGCCATGACATGGAAGGGAAACGTTAGGAAATTTTCTTTCTTAAAGACTTTTAAGGGCCAGGAGCCGTGTCTTACGCCTGTAATCCCAGCACTTTGGGAGGCTGAGGCGGGCGGATCACCTGAGGTCAGGAGTTTGAGACCAGCCTGGCCAACATGGTGAAATCCCGTCTCTACTAAAAATACAAAAATTAGCTGGGCATGGTGTCGGGCACCTGTAATCCCAGCTGCTTGGGAGGCTGAGGCAGGAGAATCACTGGAACCCAGGAGACGGAGGTTGCAGTGAGCCAAGACTGCGCCACTGCACTCCAGCCTGGGTGACAGAGTGAGAATCTATCTAAAAAAAAAAAAAAAAAAAGATACTTTTTAGGACAAGACAAGTGAGAGAGTTTCCCATTTCAGAGATGATTAGGGATACTTCATTTCTTAGAAAACCGCTTCTGTAGCCTACATGTCTCTCCAACAAAGGAGAAAAATGTAACACATTTCAATACTCTGCGGAGTGAGTTCTTTTTTTCTTTATCTGAGGGAAGTCGAGAATCCTAGCTTGTTAAAACTAGACGGGACCTTAGAGATAATTTAGTTTAACAAGATTGGAAATAAAAATTCAGGCACGTAAGGGGAAGAAACTTGTCTAGAGACATAGCAAGTGAGTAGCGGAAGCTGCAAGGAGGGGATTAGAAAGAAAATGGGAGTTAGTCTCATGGAGAAACACATATACATCAAAGGGGTGCTTAGCATAGAAACAGTAATGTCAAGGGAAGAGGCAGATGGAAAAAGAGAGGTTGCCTTTCAATAAGGAACAGCAAAAGAACTCCATTCACACATTCCTTCAGCAAATAATTATTGAGCTCCTATCTAGGTACTATTCTATATTTTGGGCACACAGCAATGAAGAAAACAGAAAAACCCTGACCTCACTGAGCATACATTCTAGTTGATAGAGACAAGCAATAAACATAATTAATAGATAAGCTATACAGTATGCTAGATGTAGTTCTAAGGAGAAAATAATGCAGGAAAGGGGGATATAAAATTTCAATGGCTAGAAATGAACTCCCAGACGAGGTGACCCAGAAAGGATGTAATGCAATTTCAGGGGCTGGAGATGAATTCCTAGATGACGTGACCCAGGAAGGATACACTGAAAAGATGCCTTGTAAGTAAAAACCTGAGGGAATTGAGAAGGTGAGCTGTGCAAGGATCTGGGTTTCATAAATATGGAGCAGAAAGTTTTTACAAATATAGAACAGCAGGATCAAAGGCTCTGTGAAAGGGATGGGCTTTGAGTATTTGAGGAATGGTGAGGAGGCTAGTGTGACTGGAGCAAAGTGAGCAAGGGAAAGGGTGGTAGGAGATGCGTTCAGAGAGGAGGTGATTGGGAGGCAAACCATATAGGGCCTCGTAGGTCATAGTAAGGAGATTGGTGTTTAGAGAGGCTGAAATGAGAATCTATAGTTAACAATATGATACTGTATACTTAAAATTTTATTAAGAGAGTAGGTCTTATGTTAAGTGTTCTTATTACAAAGATAAAAGAGAGAAGGAGGAAACTTTTAGGGATGTTTGTTATATTTACGGCATTATTTATGGTGGCCGTTTCATGAGTATATACTTATCTTCAAACTCAAGATGTATACATAAAATATGTGTACCTTTTTGTATATCAGTCATACCTCAATAAAAATAGAATAAATTTTTTAATGGAAGAGTGACCTGATTTCACTTACAGTTCAACTGAATCATCTGAACTGGATGGGAAGAAGACTAGAAACAGGAAAACCAATGACGAAGTTACTGGAAAAATCCAGGTGAATGATGATGATGCCTTGGAATAAAGAATGGCAGTGCAGGTGGCAAGAGGAGTAGGTAGATTCTGAATAACAGCTCTGAATGCTTAGGACTTTATATATTCATTTACTACCTATTGGGTTCTTGTGATCCCCCAGGTACTGTTCTATGTTCTAGGAATACACCAGTAAACAGCAGACAAGGGCCCTGTTATTAAATTCACATTTGAGTGAAAGACAAATAATAAGCAAGTAATCAAATTATTAATATAACTTCAGGTATTAGAATGTGTTATAAAAAATGAAGCAGGGCTAGGGGAAAGAGATGGGTGAGGATGGGATAAGAGAGCCTTTTCAGTGAGGCTACGTACTCAGACCCTCTCCTTACCACCCACACTTTTAGAAACTTCATGTTCAGTTTTCATACTCCTAACTGGGGCTCAACGACAACAGAATAGAAAATGTAGGAGAAGCTAGAAATGTAACTTCAGCAGGGGATATTAGAAGAGGGTCCTCCCAGACCTCACTACTACATCTACATAATATCAGCTCAGGTCAAAGAGCTACCTTGCACCCACTCTATGTCAGGCACCGTGGTAAATTCTGGAACTATGGAAAAATGAAGGCATGCACAATCTAGGAGTGAGAGACATCCCAAACATAGACAATATTTTAGCTAAGACATGTGTCAGAAGGTACCCTGTTGGTTGAGATTAATAACTCAAGCTAACTGAGATTCAACCATGTCTACATATCAGATTTATCTTGGAAAATGACGTGAGAAAGTCAGGAAGATGGCCTACCTTTCCTGTCTTCTTAGTTAGGAAAAATTATTCAAGAAGACCTCTAGTGGAGGAGGGCTGGAGAAATTTTCATATAACTATTTTCAAAAAGATAAGGAACTTTCCATTTTCTTAGGATTGAGGGAGGATATCTAGCTTTGCCTCTGTTCCCATTATAGATATCTATTCCATTTGTGTCCCATTCTTCTGAAAAGGACAAAGATAATGATCCTGCACACCCTAATTCTTTCCACCTTTCTCACACCCTCCATCTTTATTCCCATTCTTTCAGGTAACACTAAGTAGCCAATTGGCATCCATTTAATGAATAGTGGCAAGAGGGAAAGATGGCCATGGACAATGTCACAGCAGTGTTTCAGTTTCTCCTTATTGGCATTTCTAACTATCCTCAATGGAGAGACACGTTTTTCACATTAGTGCTGATAATTTACCTCAGCACATTGTTGGGGAATGGATTTATGATCTTTCTTATTCACTTTGACCCCAACCTCCACACTCCAATCTACTTCTTCCTTAGTAACCTGTCTTTCTTAGACCTTTGTTATGGAACAGCTTCCATGCCCCAGGCTTTGGTGCATTGTTTCTCTACCCATCCCTACCTCTCTTATCCCCGATGTTTGGCTCAAACGAGTGTCTCCTTGGCTTTGGCCACAGCAGAGTGCCTCCTACTGGCTGCCATGGCCTATGACCGTGTGGTTGCTATCAGCAATCCCCTGCGTTATTCAGTGGTTATGAATGGCCCAGTATGTGTCTGCTTGGTTGCTACCTCATGGGGGACATCACTTGTGCTCACTGCCATGCTCATCCTATCCCTGAGGCTTCACTTCTGTGGGGCTAATGTCATCAACCATTTTGCCTGTGAGATTCTCTCCCTCATTAAGCTGACCTGTTCTGATACCAGCCTCAATGAATTTATGATCCTCATCACCAGTATCTTCACCCTGCTGCTACCATTTGGGTTTGTTCTCCTCTCCTACATACGAATTGCTATGGCTATCATAAGGATTCGCTCACTCCAGGGCAGGCTCAAGGCCTTTACCACATGTGGCTCTCACCTGACCGTGGTGACAATCTTCTATGGGTCAGCCATCTCCATGTATATGAAAACTCAGTCCAAGTCCTACCCTGACCAGGACAAGTTTATCTCAGTGTTTTATGGAGCTTTGACACCCATGTTGAACCCCCTGATATATAGCCTGAGAAAAAAAGATGTTAAACGGGCAATAAGGAAAGTTATGTTGAAAAGGACATGAGCCTTCTTTGCTTCTAAACGTCTAAAATAACACAACGTCCCTGATGGAGAAAATGGTTTAAAGGATCTGACTTTATCTTTGGAAGTGATTGACATATGAGAAGCTTCAGGAAGTGCTCCCACCCCAAATATTATTCCTACTGAGACTTGAATTGCCATTAGAGGTATTATTTTTGCTCTTTCTTTACATAGAATATTGTTAGTGGCTACCCATTAGGTTACTCACCTTCAGGTAAATGAACTTATCAGAGTAATTTTCTCACTGACAGAAGAGACCTATACAGCAAGAGAATCTTCTGTAACTGTTGACAGCAGGTGAGGCATAACTGAAATTGGAAACTAAGACAAAGAATGGTATAATAAAAGGCCAGAAGACAAATGTCAGAAACTTTACAACTTTACTGAGGGTAAGCCCTGTTACGTAAGCACAATCTCCTTGTTTCACTTAATCTTGGAATCATGAGAAAAATTATCATAGCTATTTCCTACATTTGTGTAGAGTGTTTTATTTTTGCTTTTTGTTTTTCAAAACATCTTTCTAATCTATTAGTCTATTTTATATCCCTAATTTTCCTATGGAATTGGTAAAAACACCACCACAATTTCCCTCTGTATTAACAATGAGGAAACAGAGTAGACATTGAGACTCATCTAAAGTCATACATAATTGATAATGGAGTCAAAATTAGAATTTAGATCATATATATGCCACCTCCGAATTTGTAAAAGTAAGTCTGTAAAATTATTTAGAATCATAGAATTATAAATACAGCTACCATTTATTGAGAACTTATGATACGCTAGGGGTTGAGCAAAGCTCTCTATATCTATTATCACATAGAATTCACACAGTGGTTCAATGCCATGGCACTATTTTCCATCCATATTTAGAAGTGTGGAAACTGAGTGATTTGCCCATGGCCACAGAGCCAGTACTTAAATCTAGGTCTGGTTGATTCCAGATCCCACTTACTATATCTAAAGGCATAAGAAACCCTAGAGATGACTAATGTAGTGATATTTTAATCCACTTTATCATGACATAATTTGTATACAATAAACTTTGTCCAATTACAGTGTGCAATTCTATGAGTTTTGACAGATGCTCACAGCATCACCACAACAATCAGCTACCTAACAATTTCATCACCTACAGAAGTTTCCTTTTGCCTTCTTGTAACCCATCCCTTCCTCCCTCTACCCCCAATTCCAACCAGTGATCTGATTTCTTTCACTATATGTTAGTTTTTGTTTTTTTAAATATTGACTATAAATAAAATCATGCAGTCTGTACTCCTTTGTGTCTGGGTTCTCTCACTCAGCCTGCTCTTGAGATTCATCTATATTGTTGCATGTATCCGTAATTTGTTCCTTTTTATTGCTGAATAATATTTCATTGCACACATTTACCGCATCTTAAAACCCATTTTCTGTTGATGGACATAATGCAATGTTTTTCAAATCTTGATTTATATAGTTTTTAGGGACTCAATTGTGGTGCCTGGAGCCTGCTAATGGGGGGTCGTTTCCTGTGAGCTATTTCATTTGAAAAGGGAGTTCTAAAACTAAAAGGAACGGTTTTGATAAACAATGATCTATTACAGGTAACCGATTTTAGATGAGAAATCTAAGGCTCACTGAATGTGGAGTAAATTTCCCAAGATCATGAAACTGTTTGGAAGCAGATCTAGAACGAAGACCCAGATATCCTGTCTCCTGGTCTCACTTTACTTTGGGCCTCCACCACATATGATGAAGTCATCTCCCAAGAAGCCTTTTCTACCTGTTTGTGAGGAACCAGACACAAACAGGTAGAAAAAAATAAAATGCACAGTACCCAGCACTACTGAGCAAACAGATACTCAGTGTGTTCCTCTTACTGTGACTGCTGGGGGGCTGAAGAGACATTGTATGGTGTTGCAAAGGGAGTACCATGGATACAAGGAGACTGTCTTACGTGTTTACTAACTAAATGAAAAATAATTGAGGATGAATAAACTACTTATCAAAACAGCTTAATTTCAAAACAAGTGCAAGATTTATTCAAACCGTATACTTTTTTTTTAATTATTATACTTTAAGTTTTAGGGTACATGTGCACAATGTGCAGGTTAGTTACATATGTATACATGTACCATGCTGGTGTGCTGCACCCATTAACTCGTCATTTAGCATTAGGTATATCTCCTAATGCTATCCCTCCCCCCTCCCCCCACCCCACAACAGTCCCCACAGTGTGATGTTCCCCTTCCTGTGTCCATGTGTTCTCATTGTTCAATTCCCACCTATGAGTGAGAACATGCGGTGTTTGGTTTTTTGTCCTTGTGATAGTTTACTGAGAATGATTTCCAATTTCATCCATGTCCCTACAAAGGACATGAACTCATCATTTTTTATGGCTGCATAGTATTCCATGGTGTGTAAGTGCCACATTTTCTTAATCCAGTCTATCATTGTTGGACTTTTGGATTGGTTCCAAGTCTTTGCTATTGTGAATAGTGCTACAATAAACATATGTGTGCATGTGTCTGTATACATTTTTAAAGGTACATGGTACTCTTCATCTCTGAAATAATGTTTTAATATTGAGAAAGAAAAAAATTCAGAAAAAGGCAAATGAATTCAATCTTTAATTTATCCATTTAACAAACATTAGGTTTGTACTTTAAGGCAGGCACTATGCTAGGTATTAGGGTAAGTCTCATGCTTTGTGCAAAATGTTCCTTACTATCAAGATAAACCTTTCAAGCAAACATTGTGAAATAAACATAAACTGGCACAATCAATGAAATATTAAAAGAATCAAAGAGTGTCTTCGCACAGAGGAAAATTCAGAAATTAGGTGGAATATTAAGAGTATAGGTTTTAATGATTCTGCCTTTGGAGGGAAAAATATTTCACTCTCTATTACAGGTTGGTTTACAGCTTAAAATGGGATGCACATTTTCAATAATGGTCCCTCTACTACAAAATAGTATAGCTATGTCACTAGGTTCTTTCTCCCTTTATTGACTTGTTGGTATGGGCACAGCCTACAGACAGAGTGACATAGTGGAGTCTGGAGATGAAGGTTGTGGAATTGATTCTGCTACTAACAAGCTGTGTAACCTTAGTTATATCTCTCTCTGGCCTTTAAACTTGCTTATCAATATAACAGGAAGATTGTGTTTAGCTACCTAAAGACCTCTCTAGTTCTAACATTCTGCATCCGGGTGTTATTTTATATAGGGCTTGCTCTTATTTTCTTAAAAAATGCAAGCATATCATCAATTTACTCTGCAACTTGCTTTTTCCACTTGACAATATATCATGAACATTCCTCCAGATCAATATATATAGATCTATCTCTCTGACTTTAAATGTTAGCTTTGACTGAAAAAGAAGGCAAACACGGCAGCTAGTTAACACAGCTCTGGCCCTTCCAGCATTAACATTCAGTTTCTAGGCACTAACTCTAGAGGCTATCTAATTTTACATTGATATTAATTTATTTTAAAGATAAAAATGAACTCTGTGAGGGTGTTGTGAAATGAAATCAATGCTGGGCTTTTGAAAATTCCTGAGATTGAGTAGTGCTTCTCTGCCTGATCAATCACAAGGATCCTGTGAAACCTTCCACTGGACTCCTCCCTACTCCCCATCCCCAATGGCTGAGTAGTGAAGCTTACCTTGCTTCACCCTGGAAAGAAAGATGGAAAGACTGTGTTGAAACTAAGATGGTTCTGTCAAAAGTTGAGAAGAAAGTTTACAAACTGAAAAGCAGGCTCCAAATGATCATTTCCATGGAAATATTCATGGAGATTTCAGAAAAAGATACAGTGCCCCATTTATAGGATTTGGGTTTTCAGTTGAAGAGAGGCAGTGGAGTATAACTACTTAGAGCACAAGCCCTGGGGCAAAACTTGTTAGATTCAGTCCTTCCTTCTGCCACTTCTTCACTCAAGTTACCCCCTGCTTAGGTCTCTTCACCTGTAAAGTGTAGCACTCAGTTCGATCAGGCAAACAGAAACTACTCTATAGTTATTTCAGGAAGGCATTTAACACAGAGAATTAGGGGCCTACAAAGCCTTTGGAAGGGCTATGAGAGAAAAGGTAAGGGAACTACCAGCAAAATGAGACAGTTGTAGGAATTGCAGGAATCATGGGAAATTTTAGAGATTGTTAGGAAACTGCTGCTAATGACGTCACTGAAGCAGATGTTTCACAAGAGAATGCTCAGAAATCACTTAAATCTTTTCTGATCAAGCCCACACACCTAAACAAGACGTCAGGAAGAGCAGTGATGGTGTCTACTTCCCTTCTGCTTGCCAAGTTTCCTGCAAGTACCTCTCATGGGTGGAATCCAAAACTGAACTTGACTGACAAATGAGTGTGGGAAATGTAGCTTCCAAGCTTAACAATATAGGTGAGAGCTAGAAAAAGCAGGGATATGACTTAACAATACAGGTGAGAGCTAGAAAAAGCAGGGATATGAATATGACTTCATAGGTTGGTTATAAGAATATATATATGATTCAATTTATGTAAAATAAAACACTTAGAACAATGTTAGCTGTCACGATGGTGTCCAGATTATCTGCACCTAAGATGCCAGGAATTGAAGTGCCTACTTGCTTTTTAAATAGTGCATCCTGAGGCTGCTCCTTCAATTGTCCATTCAAGCATTCATACATATAGCATCCACTGAATACATATTTATCAGCTGTCTACCAGATAGTGGGTACTAAGCTCATCACTAGGGATGCAGTGGTGAAGGAAGGATACTTGTTCCCTTCCCTCAAAGAGTTCACCTCAAAGGTAGAGAGACAAACATGTACACAGGCAACATTATTTTGTAAAGCTATATCTTCCTAATTCTCATGTTGGTAAAGTGCTTTACAAACTTTACAGTTTATTTTATTCTTGAACACGTATTACCTCCTATCCTCAAAATAATTTAATGAGATAAGCAGATCAGATGTTGCTATAAATATTATTAATGTCATTTACAGATGACAAAAAATTTAGAGAGGCAATAATATTATCAAGGTCAACAGTTAGTAACAGGATTGGGGTTGGAATACAATTCTCCTAATACCTAGATTAATGATCTTTCTGATGAGAGCCTGATGCGTTCATGGAGTCCTTGGAAGAGGGGTAGGAAGAAGGCAAGATTGTTGCTGAGCAGAGAGAGGAAGACACTGTAGGTTCAGATTGTCTAGGTTCAAAATAGCTAGGTTCTGACACTTACTAGCTATACGACCTTGGGCAGCTTTCTGCCTCAGTTTCCTCATCTATAACAGGAAGACAATTATAGGACTGACCCTTGTAGGGTTCTTAAGAAGATTAAATCAGTTAATTTATCTAAAATGCTGAGAACTGTGGCTTGGCCATGGTAAGCCCTCAATAAACGTTAACTATTTTTATCATTATTACTGAAGTTGTTGTTATTATTGAATTCCCAATTGACGTAAAAGTAGTTGACCCCCATCTCACTGATCACCTTCTCCCTCTCCTCTTTTTCTCCACTAGTAATGTGCATAGTAACTGTTTCTGGTTAAGTGTGAACAGCAGGTCAAACACTTTTACAGTGCAACATCATGAGAGACTGGGAAAAAAACATGCTCAGGCGTCAGGAAGTCTGGATTCTAGTCTGGGTTCTGCCATTAGTGAGCTATGGAACTCTGAGTGTATCACTTAACCTCTCTGGACTGCATCTGTCATACAGGGGAAAATATATTCCTTAGCCTACCTCACAGAATGGTTGAAAGATCAAATGAGATCATAGATGTTAGATGTTAAAAAGTTAAAAGCACATTACAAATGCTGCATGATGGTATTATCATTATCCTCAGAGTTAATCTCTCCATCTCCTTCTCACTTACCCTTGACAACCACTCACTCACTGAATTTTATTGAGTCTTGTTCTGAAATATTTCCCCAACCCAACCCCTCTTCTCTGTCCTCAATGCGTCTGTCCTAGTTCACTGCTTTATCAATGCTTATCAGGATGACTGTAACACACTCCTAACTATTTTTCTCTAGCCCAGTATTACTTCCTTCTAAACTAGCCATCCAATCACTGTCTCCAGAGTGATTTTTCTAAAGGGAAAATCTCATCAATCTCATCTTGTCACTTCACCCCCTCTATAATCTCACTCCCAGATTAGAAATTTACAGTGGCTCCCTATTGCCTACAGGATATGTGGCATTAATGAAGCCTCTGCTAGTCTCTCCATCCTCATTATCCACCTCATCACCACAGACCCCACGCTCCAGGAAGACAATACTTTCTTTCCCTGAACCTTTTATGTAGCAGTGCTGCTATACACACTGTTCTCTCTGCCTGCAGAACCCTCTCCACTTTCTATGCCTGGGAAAATCTCAGTCCCCCTTCAAGAACAAAATCAAATGTCATTTCCTCAGTGAAGCCCTCCTCAAAGCTCATTCCACCTTGTTTAAGCCTAGGTACATTACGTAATTCCATTTCCTTTGCTTAATAGCATTTTGCTTGACTCGCAATTTGATACATTTCGTGCTGTTTTATAATAATGCTTGTTTTGGAGTGTTTATCCTTAATTAGATCATAAGCTTACTGAGAGCAGGAATTTTGTTTTGTTCATCTCTGTCTCCTTAGCATAGTTCCTGGCACAGAGTGCATGCATAATAAGAATTAATTAAATGTAAGTGCTCACAAATGTTGCTCAAACTATTTGTGGTAAAGGACAGTTTTTTAAAAAATTTCCAAGCTGTTGCAGGCTGATATTTGATAAAATATGATAAACATGTCACAGCAATATCAAATCACTTTGATAGTTACTAAATGTTCACTCTCAATTGTGTCCTTATCTCACTGCAAACATTTTGAGTAGCACTCAGGTAGACTTTTTGCAAAGATGCCTTGCTTCTGCCCCCTAAAATCTGGATAACTAATTTGGGAATTTTAACAAGCATACACATAAAAATAATAAACAAGTGTATCATATATTCAGAGCACAAACTGGGCAAGAAATCAATAAATAAAACTATTGTAATTAGATATATGTATAGATGTAATAAATTAACCGGGCAGTGAATGAAAGGGTGCAGGATTATATTTAGACAGCAACAGTTTGCATGGTACCTCAAAACTAATCTAGGAAAGCTTTAGGAAAAATTGGGATTTCCAGAACCTACTCAAATCAAAGATGGCTGAGATGGAGTGGGGGAAGTTGGGGAAAAGTGGAGAGAAAGAGGAGACCTCCAGTAAACACTGTTTGCAGAATTTTATTTACCTAAATGCTTAATTGAAAGTTTTCATAGAGTCTCAATAGATAGTGGCCACTACACCCACCCCATTCATTTATTACCTTCTTTTTAATTATTATTTCACTTCATGTTCTAGGATACATGTGCAGAATGTGCAGGTTTGTTACATAGGTATACATGTGCCATGGTGGTTTGCTGCACCTATCAACCAGTCATCTAGGTTTTAAGCCCCACATGCATTAGGTATTTGTCCTAATGCTCTCCCTCCACTTGCTGCCCACCCCCCGACAGGCCCCGGTATATGTTGTTCCCTTCCCTGTGTCCATGTGTTCTCATCGTTCAACTCCCACTTATGAGTGAGAACATGTGGTGTTTGGTTTTCTGTTTCTGTGTTAGTTTGTTGAGAACACTCATTACCTTCTTGAGCCATGTTGAGAATGCTCTCAAGAAACAGGGGACTGGGCTGGAGCCAAGATGGCCGAATAGGAACAGCTCTGGTCTACAGCTCCCAGTGTGAGCGACGCAGAAGACGGGTGATTTCTGCATTTCCATCTGAGGTACCGGGTGCATCTCACTAGGGAGTGCCAGACAGTGGGTGCAGGACAGTGGGTGCAGCGCACCGTCCATGAGCCGAAGCAGGGCGAGGCATTGCCTCACTCAGGAAGTGGAAGGGGTCAGGGAGTTCCCTTTCCTAGTCAAAGAAAGAGGTGACAGATGGCACCTGGAAAATCGGGTCACTCCCACCCCAATACTGCGCTTTTCCGACGGGCTTAAAAAATGGTGCACCAGGAGATTATATCCCGCACATGGCTTGGAGGGTCCTACGCCCACGGAGTCTCGCTGATTGCTAGCACAGCAGTCTGAGATCAAACTGCAAGGCGGCAGCGAGGCTGGGGGAGGGGTGCCCGCCATTGCCCAGGCTTGCTTCGGTAAACAAAGCAGCTGGGAAGCTCGAACTGGGTGGAGCCCACCACAGCTCAAGGAGGCCTGCCTGCCTCTGTAGGCTCCACCTCTGGGGGCAGGGCACAGACAAACAAAAAGAGAGCAGTAACCTCTGCAGACTTAAATGTCCCCGTCTGACAGCTTTGAAGAGAGCAATGGTTCTCCCAGCATGCAGCTGGAGATCTGAGAAGGGGCAGACTGCCTCCTCAAGTGGGTCCCTGACCCCTGACCCCTGAGCAGCCTAACTAGGAGGCACCCCCCAGTAGGGGCAGACTAACACCTCACACGGCCGGGTACTCCTGAGACAAAACTTCCAGAGGAATGATCAGACAGCAGCATTCGCGGTTCATGAAAATCCACTGTTCTACAGCCACCGCTGCTGGTACCCAGGCAAACAGGGTCTGGAGGGGACCTCTAGCAAACTCCAACAGACCTGCAGCTGAGGGTCCTGTCTGTTAGAAGGAAAACTAACAAACAGAAAGGACATCCACACCAAAAGCCCATCTGTACATCACCATCATCAAAGACCAAAAGTAGATAAAACCACTAAGATGGGGAAAAAACAGAAACTCTAGAAAAACTGGAAACTCTAAAAAGCAGAGCGCCTCTCCTCCTCCAAAGGAACGCAGTTCCTCACCAGCAACGGAACAAAGCTGGACGGAGAATGACTTTGACGAGCTGAGAGAAGAAGGCTTCAGACGATCAAATTACTCCGAGCTACGGGAGGACATTCAAACCAAAGGCAAAGAAGTTGAAAACTTTGAAAAAAACTTAGAAGAATGTACAACTAGAATAACCAATACAGAGAAGTGCTTAAAGGAGCTGATGGAGCTGAAAACCAAGGCTCGAGAACTACGTGAAGAATGCAGAAGCCTCAGGAGCCAATGCGATCAACTGGAAGAAACGGTACCAGTGATGGAAGATCAAATGAATGAAACGAAGCGAGAAGGGAAGTTTAGAGAAAATAGAATAAAAAGAAATGAGCAAAGCCTCCAAGAAATATGGGACTATGTGAAAAGACCAAATCTACGTCTGATTGGTGTACCTGAAAGTGACAGGGAGAATGGAACCAAGTTGGAAAACACTCTGCAAGATATTATCCAGGAGAACTTCCCCAATCTAGCAAGGCAGGCCAACATTCAGATTCAGGAAATACACAGAATGCCACAAAGATACTCCTTGAGAAGAGCAACTCCAAGACACATAACTGTCAGATTCACCAAAGTTGAAATGAAGGAAAAAACGTTAAGGGCAGCCAGAGAGAAAGGTTGGGTTACCCACAAAGGGAAGCCCATCAGACTAACAGCAGATCTCTTGGCAGAAACTCTACAAGCCAGAAGAGAGTGGGGGCCAATATTCAACATTCTTAAACAAAAGAATTTTCAACCCAGAATTTCATATCCAGCCAAACTAAGCTTCATAAGTGAAGGAGAAATAAAATACTTAACAGACAAGCAAATGCTGAGAGATTTTGTCACCACCAGGCCTGCCCTAAAAGAGCTCCTGAAGGAAGCACTAAACATGGAAAGAAACAACCGGTACCAGCCACTGCAAAATCATGCCAAATTGTAAAGACCATCAAGACTAGGAAGAAACTGCATCAACTAACGAGCAAAATCACCAGCTAACATCATAATGACAGGATCAAATTCACACATAACAATATTAACTTAAATGTAAATGGACTAAATGCTCCTATTAAAAGAAACAGACTGGCAAATTGGATGAAGAGTCAAGACGATCAGTGTGCTGTATTCAGGAAACCCATCTCACGTGCAGAGACACACATAGGCTCAAAATAAAAGGATGGAGGAAGATCTACCAAGCAAATGGAAAACAAAAAAAGGCAGGGGTTGCAATCCTAGTCTCTGATAAAACAGACTTTAAACCAACAAAGATCAAAAGAGACAAAGAAGGCCATTACATAATGGTAAAGGGATCAATTCAACAAGAAGAGCTAACTATCCTAAATATATATGCACCCAATACAGGAGCACCCAGATTCATAAAGCAAGTCCTGAGTGACCTACAAAGAGACTTAGACTCCCACACATTATTAATGGGGGACTTTAACACCCCACTGTCAACATTAGACAGATCAACAAGACAGAAAGTCAACAAGGATACCCAGGAATTGAACTCAGCTCTGCACCAAGCGGACCTAATAGACATCTAGAGAACTCTCCACCCCAAATCAACAGAATATACATTTTTTTCAGCACCACACCACACCTATTCCAAAATTGACCATATAGTTGGAAGTAAAGTTCTCCTCAGCAAATGTAAAAGATCAGAAATTATAACAAACTGTCTCTCAGACCACAGTGCAATCAAACTAGAACTCAGGATTAAGAAACTCCCTCAAAACCACTCAACTACATGGAAACTGAACAACCTGCTCCTGAATGACTGCTGGGTACATAATGAAATGAAGGTAGAAATAAAGATGTTCTTTGAAACCAACGAGAAAAAAGACACAACATACCAGAATCTCTGGGACACATTCAAAGCAGTGTGTAGAGGGAAATTTATAGCACTAAATACCCACAAGAGAAAGCAGGAAAGATCCAAAATTGACACCCTAACATCACAATTAAAAGAACTAGAAAAACAAGAGCAAACACATTCAAAAGCTAGCAGAACACAAGAAATAACTAAAATCAGAGCAGAACTGAAGGAAATAGAGACCAAAAAAACCCTTCAAAAAATCAATGAATCCAGGAGCTGGTTTTTTGAAAGGATCAAGAAAATTGATAGACTGCTAGCAAGACTAATAAAGAAGAAAAGAGAAAAGAATCAAATAGACACAATAAAAAATGATAAAGGGGATATCACCACCAATCCCAAGAAATACAAACTACCATCAGAGAATACTACAAACACCTCTACGCAAATAAACTAGAAAATCTAGAAGAAATGGATAAATTCCTCGACACATACACCCTCCCAAGACTGAACCAGGAAGAAGTTGACTCTCTGAATAGACCAATAACGGGAGTTGAAATTGTGGCAATAATCAATAGCTTACCAACCAAAAAGAGTCCAGGACCAGATGGATTCACAGCCGAATTCTACCAGAGGTACAAGGAGGAACTGGTATCATTCCTTCTGAAACTATTCCAATCAATAGAAAAAGAGGGAATCCTCCCTAACTCATTTTCTGAGGCCAGGATCATCCTGATACCAAAGCCGGGCAGAGACACAACAAAAAAACAGAATTTTAGACCAATATCCTTGAAGAACATTGATGCAAAAATCCTCAATAAAACGCTGGCAAACCGAATCCAGCAGCACATCGAAAAGCTTATCCACCATGATCAAGTGGGCTTCATCCCTGGGATGCAAGGCTGGTTCAATATACGCAAATCAATAAATGTAATCCAGCATATAAACAGAACCAAAGACAAAAACCACATGATTATCTCAATAGATGCAGAAAACACCTTTGACAAAATTCAACAACGCTTCATGCTAAAAACTCTCAATAAATTAGGTATTGATGGGACCTATCTCAAAATAATGAGAGCTATCTGTGACAAACCCACAGCCAATATCATACTGAATGGGCAAAAACTGGAAGCATTCCCTTTGAAAACTGGCACAACACAGGGATGCCCTCTCTCACCACTCCTATTCAACATAGTGTTGGAAGTTCTGGCCAGGGCAATTAGGCAGGAGAAGGAAATAAAGGGTATTCAATTAGGAAAAGAGGAAGTCAAATTGTCCCTGTTTGCAGATGACATGAGAAAAACAAGCAATGGGGAAAGGATTCCCTATTTAATAAATGGTGCTGGGAAAACTGGCTAGCCATATGTAGAAAGCTGAAACTGGATCCCTTCCTTACACCTTATACAAAAATTAATTCAAGATGGATTAAAGACTTAAACGTTGGACCTAAAACCATAAAAACCCTAGAAGAAAACCTAGGCATTACCATTCAGGACATAGGCATGGGCAAGGACTTCATGTCTAAAACACCAAAAGCAATGGCAACAAAAGCCAAAATTGACAAATGGGATCTAATTAAACTAAAGAGCTTCTGCACAGCAAAAGAAACTACCATCAGAGTGAACAGGTAACCTACAAAATGGGAGAAAATTTTCACAACCTACTCATCTGACAAAGGGCTAATATCCAGAGTGTACAATGAACTCAAACAAATTTACAAGAAAAAAACAACCCCATCAAAAAGTGGGCGAAGGATATGAACAGACACTTCTCAAAAGAAGACATTTATGCAATCAAAAAACACATGAAAAAATGCTCATCATCACTGGCCATCAGAGAAATGCAAATCAAAACCACAATGAGATACCATCTCACACCAGTTAGAATGGCAGTCATTAAAAAGTCAGGAAACAACAGGTGCTGGAGAGGATGTGGAGAAACAGGAACACTTTTACACTGTTGGTGGGACTGTAAACTAGTTCAACCCTTGTGGAAGTCAGTGTGGCAATTCCTCGGGGATCTAGAACTAGCAATACCATTTGACCCAGCCATCCCATTACTGGGTATATACCCAAAGGGCTATAAATCATGCTGCTATAAAGACACATGCACACGTATGTTTATTGCGGCACTATTCACAATAGCAAAGACTTGGAACCAGCCCAAATGTCCAATAATGATAGACTGGATTAAGAAAATGTGGCACATATACACCATGGAATACTATGCAGCCATAAAAAATGATGAGTTCGTGTCCTTTGTAGGGACATGGATGAAATTGGAAATCATCATTCTCAGTAAACTATCGCAAGAACGAAAAACCAAACACCGCATGTTCTCACTCATAGGTGGGAATTGAACAATGAGAACACATGGACACAGGAAGGGTAACATCACACTCTGGGGACTGTTGTGGGGTGGGGGGAGGGGGGAGGGATAGATTTAGGAGATATACCTAATGCTAAATGACGAGTTAATGGGTGCAGCACACCAGCATGGCACATGTATACATATGTAACTAACCTGCACATTGTGCACATGTACCCTAAAACTTAAAGTATAATAATAACAAAAAAAAAAAGAAAAAAAAGAAACAGGGTACTCAGTAATTATCCTAGGAATGGCCCTACTCCTTGGTAACTCAAGAGCAGAAACGGAGTTAACAATGTTAGTCAAAAGTTTCATCATATAGTCAGTAATGAAGCCTTGGAATTAGTGAGCAAAAGCTACATGTAATTTAATGACATAAAAATAACACTCCCAAATGAATATACACCTTCAACTCAGTAGTGGGAATTAGTTGCCTTTTAGGGACCTGGTGCCTGAAGTCTCTTCAGTGAAACTGCTTCATTGAAGCCACAATGAATAAACTCAGAAGGTAGCATCAGAAAATGTTTAAGATTGTCCTCGCCTTCCATTGTTCATATTTTGGACCCATTGGTTCCTAAAATGCTGAGCAAAATCAAGACACAATTCACTGTAAAAGCAAGTGAAGAATCGTATGCCCTGGCAAGAAGGAAAGAAGCCATATTTGTTTCTTGGAACAAATCAGCATGAATATGTGGAATGGTCAGTCTTGACATGGATCTCCCACGATGCAACTGCAATTCACTCCCCTTGAAAGACTCTAACACCTCAGTGAGCTGACAATGTTGCAATATACAAAGGGCTATATTAACACAACTCTTAGAGAGCTTAGTAGATTTCGTCATATTTATTTATTTTGCTTTTTGCTATTCAGTTGAGTACAATACATTCAATTCCAAAAATATTTGGTGACTTCCTGCTATGTGCCAGGAAGTGAGCCACGTACTAGAGTTACAGAAATCAATAAAATGTAGGTTCTGCTTTCAGAGGGCTTATAATATAATCTGACCATAGTGCCTTGTTTGTATCCTCATTTATTCTTCTTTCTGCCCTCCAGAAAAGAAAGACAACCAAGGTGTTCACTTTCTCATGAGCGATACTTCCTAAGTGGGGCCTCATTTTAATATAATAATAGATAATACATATATAGCACTAAAATTCTATGATATATATACTGCAATTATCCCAATTTTACAACCGAGGAAACTAAGGTATAAACAAGTGAAACAAACTACCAATGTCACATAGTGTATCAGTGATGGATCCAGGATTCAAACACAGCTGCGGAATCCATTTTCTTAACCACCACTCTATACTGCATGATATGGATAATAGAAATTCCTGCCTGTAAGCACTATCCCTTTCATAAAGTATAGTTTGTGCTTTTGGGAGCTTTCTGAGGAGCTCAGGGAAAAAGGATGATACTCCACATGTCCCTTAATTTTAATATTGAAAATGAATCGAATCCTCCTGGGAAGCACACTCTTGTCTTGCATGGTAGGTGGGACGAGGAATGCCTGTTTTGAGAAACCTGTGTGAAGAAAAGCCATGAAGTGTACCCAAAATATTTCTAAAATTTAAAAAGCTGTGAATTTATGTGTGGGTATCTCTACATATGTCTAGTTAGTTTAGAAAGATTGTGGCTCTCACAGTGCTAAAACACTGAATTATTCAATAAAAAAAATATATGGTTAGTCTGGTGAGATGCATTTAAATCATATATATACAAAAATGTGTTATTTTCCCACTATTTATGCTGGCCTTTTTTTAGTTTGTTTTGCGATCTTTAGGGCTATAAGATGATGAGGACTGTAAGCCTAACTAAGGCTTTATGGTTAAATATGTCGTCATTCTAGTATGAAACTTTAGTACCCCTTGAAAAAGTATGTACCCTGAAAGTCCCATTCTTGTAACACTATTTGGAAACCAGAGTTGTGATGTCTAATGCACAAAGGCCAGATCAGCTGACTTTTGTCTCAGTTTCAGTCTAATAACTCTATTTCAAGAACCATTTTCCCTTCATATTTATTCTGTTTTCTGATTCCAAACCTGGGAATATCTACAGAACAAAAAGGAGCATTCTACTTCTCATTAAAGGACACCAAGGCTCTCCTTGTAGGATGACTCTGTAATGAGTAGAAACAACTTCAGTTAGATGTTGCACAGCAGTTAAGTAGTGTTTTTCAGATTGCCTGGCCTTGGTTCTTGATTCCTATTCAGAGTCTCCTTGTTCTGCATCAAATTTTATTGAGGATCCTGTTACAATCTATTACTTTACTTCCTGAATTACTTGTCCATAAAGGTCTTCTGCCTTCTGAGGCTTGGTGTATGTCTTGAGTAGAGAATCCAAAAAGATTATCTATGCCATTAACCTGGATGATACTTCCTGCTGCCCAGCTCCTAAGACAAACCTTTCCATCCACAGCCTGCTCTCACCAAAACCTGATACTTGCCTCATGAGTCTCTGTAACTATATACCATAAAGACCCAATATTCTGATTTGTGACTAGAACTTGATGGATGGATATTACAGAATATCCAGGAAAAAAAATCTTGACTTCAATAATGAGCTGGTCTGTGATAGGATTCATACTTAATAAAACCAGACCAAACAAAGTAAATAAAAATTTGGATGGATGAAAAGGTGTAAAGACACTTTGTTTCTGGCCGGGTGCAGTGGCTTACACCTGTAATCCCAGCACTTTGGAAGGCCAAGGTGGGCGGATCAACTGAGGTCAGGAGTTCAAGACCAGCCTGGCCAACATGGCGAAACCCCAACATGTAATTTTAGTCTCTACTAAAAATACAAAAATTAGCCATGCATGGTGGCACATGCCTGTAATCCCAGCTACATGGGAGGCTGAGGCAGGAGAATTGCTTGAACTGGGGAGGCGGAGGTTGCAGTGAGCTGAGATCGTGCCATTGCACTCCAGCCTGGGTGACAAAGTGACACTCCGTTTCAAAAAAAAAAAACACTTTGTTTCTGTTTCTAAAATAATCTTCATTTCCTCACTTCACTACACCACCTTCCCTCCATGCAAAGGGCAAACTGTAGGATTTTAAAAAGGCAAAGCATTGAAGTTTATTTCTGAGCTACAAGGCATTCATAAAACTGAAAAACATGAGATCCTGTTTCTTATCATAGACTTTTCACCCTCGAACATTTATTTTCTCCAGCCAATTTAATGCACTTTCAGTCAAATCAATTTCTTGACATTAGGTAAGACAGAAGAGTCAAATAACTGGCACTGATTCATTCCACAAACATGTATTAAACCCATATTTTGTGCCAGGCACTGTGTGAGGTGATGGAAATAAGCCAGTGCACAGGACAGTCGGGGCTTCTTCTGTCCCAAAGTTTATAATTTAGTAAGAATACAGAAATTAAATGTTACATCAATACATAAATACAAACAGTGATAAGGGCCATGCAGGACAAGTTCAGGGTGCGATGAACAATTGTAACAAAAAGATCTGATTTTGATTTCAAAGAAGGGGTGGTGTTAAAGAAGACTTTTCTTAAAAACTTCATTTTCAACAGAAAACCAAACGCTGCATGTTCTCACTCATAAGTGGGAGTTGAACAATGAGAACACATGGACACAGGGAGGGGAACAACACACACTGGGGCCTGTCAGGGTGTGGGGGTTGAGGGGAGGGAGAGCATCAGGACAAATAGCTAATGTGTGCAGGGCTTAAAACCCTATCAAACCATGACGGGTTGACAAGTACAGACGTATACCTATGTAACAAACCTGCACATTCTGCACATGTATCCCAGAACTTAAAGTTAAAAAAAAAGGCCCTTTTAAGCTGAGATATAATATCAAGGATTATTAAGAGTTCACAAAGCAAAAAAAGAGTAGGAAGAATATTTCCAGCACAGAGAACACAATGTGCAAAAGTCCTGAAATGTGAACAAGCTTGGAGTGCCTCATAAAGACAGTATGGCTGGAACACGATGAGAAAAGACAGTGCAAGATAAGGTTGGGGTCAGATCATTTAGAGTCTTGTAGGTTTTGGTAATAAGTTAGATTTTATTCTAAGTACAATTAGAAGCCCTCAAGTGGGTTTTAAGCATAGACAGGATATGGTTGTAATTGTGTTTATTTGTTAAAGTTGATTCTGGCTGCTCTGTGGAAAATAGACTATAGAGAGGCATGAATGGAAGTAGGGAGATCTATTAGGCAACTCATCTATTAGTACAGATGAGAGATAATGGTGGCTCTGACTACATAAGCATTATAGGTAGATTTGAAATATACGTAGGAGGAAGAGCCAATTGGACTTGGTGACTGATTGGATATTCAGGGTAAGGAAGAAGTGAGAGTGAACTGGGCACACATTTTATGTCATGGATGTGAATCAGCTAAAGACAAATATCCATAGTGGGAAAGGATAATTAGCAATTCTGTGATTCGGGAATCTGATTACATTTGAACAATAAGATAGCACCTTTTCTTTAAGAGGAGTGTTCAAAAGTAAAGTCCAACCTCCCTCATTTTAAAGATGAAGAAATTAAGACTCATAATGGATGTGCTACTTAGCAAATTAATCTTATGCTGTATATGAATGTTTTATCTCCCAAATTAAAACATAAAGATCCAAATGACATTACTTGTTTTGTAGACATCTCTTCCTAATAGCACCCAATATAGAGATTGAGGATATAGCAAATACTCAATAATTGCCTCTCAAATTAAAATGAATTGAATTCCTTCTTCTTTCTCGGCAGATAGAACAAAATGGATATTCTGGTTATTGATAATGGCAGTGAAGTGACAGAGTTCATCCTGGTGGGTTTGTACAACCATCCAAAATTTCAGATTGCCTTTTATCGCACCATGGTAGTGGTCTACCTGATCACATTTGTTGGTAGCAGTCTCATTATTGTTGTGGTTAAAGTTGATGGGTGGCTTCACACTCCTATGTGTTTTTTCCTAAGCAACCTGTCCTTCCTTGATATCTGCTACTCCAGCAATTCAGTACCTTTTTTGTTGTTCAATGGCTTAAGAGACTACCCCACCATTTCCTATAACAGCTGTTATGCCCAGATGACCAGTGCTTTTTTTCTGGGGATGACAGGGTGTCTTCTCCTTGCTGTCATGGCTTATGAGAGATTTGTTGTGATCTCCAATCCCCTGCGCTACATCATCATTATGAACAATAAGGTCTGCATACAGTTGGCCATGGTGACCTGGGCCAGTGCCTTCCTTATGTCATTAATACAATAATTGCAATAATACATTGCAATAATACATTAATTGCAATGATTGCATTGCAATTCCTGCCCATTTTTGTGGACACAATGTCATCAACCATTTTACCTGTGAGGTGCAGGAATTGTTGAAGCTTGTCTGCTCAGACATCCCAGGCAGCCTCATCCTCGGTCTAGTCATCGGCATATTCACCTTGTCCCTGCCCTTCACCTTGCCCCTGCCCTTCACCTTCATCCTCTTCGCCTATGCTCACATTGTGGTTGCTGTGCTGAGGATCAACTCTGCAGAGGCCAGACTCAAAGCTTTCTCCACCTGTGGATCCCATCTGACTGTGATCATCATATTTTATGGGACAGCCACCTACATGTACTTGAAACCTCAGTCAAGGGAATCCCAAGATGAGGGTAAAGTCATCTCTGTATTTTTTTTGAAAGTATTTTTTATTATACTTTAAGTTCTGGGGTACATGTGCAGAACGTGTAGTTTTGTTACATAGGTATACACATGCCAGAGAAGCAACATCAAAATGATAGCATCTCTGTATTTTATGGTGTTGTGACCCCTATGTTGAACCCCCTCATTTACACCTTGAGAGACAAGGATGCGAAAATGCTCTAAGAAAAATAATTAGGAAGAAAGAGTCCTAAAAGAATGTGAATATCGCATGGAGGCTCATCTAACCAACAGTTTGATATTGACTTGTAAAAATAACAAGGTAGAAATACTAAACAACATTTTATAAGATAATTAAAGTGTTTTCTCTATTTCCAACAGGCATGTAAAATCTTTCCACTGAGAAAAAAAATGTTAAACTTTTATAGTACCACCATTTAAGTAGTACACAGGGCAGCCTTGAAGGAGAGTTTTAAAATAAAATAATAATTAGTACATTGTAATCCTGAGCAGTTTGATTTTATTTTACTAAATTGGAAATATTCTATTATAATATAATAATAATATGCTGAGATTCCCTTTTTTAGGTGAAAAAGAGCAAAGTTGCAAAATCGACAATTCTTATCTCAATGTTTTTGGTGTAAAATGTGTCATAACCCACACTTTGAAGTGATGGAGGTGAGTAGAGAGAAAAAAATTACTTAACTACTACATAAGTGTCTGCATAGAAGGTCCTCTGCTAAAGCAAGGAGGCCTTCAAGACTGTGAACCTACTGAGAACTAGAACTGATAGACATTATGGAAAATGCAATTACATGTCTTGATCAGTAGATAGGGCTATATTTTCTCTATGAGTGTGCACTATTCCTTCCAACTTCCAAAGGTGATCTAAAGGTGTTGACCTTACAAACACAGCAAATTTAACTCAGGAGGAATGTCTTTTAAAAAGCAAATATATACAGTATTTTTAAATTATAATGTTAATTATTTAAAAGTAGATAAAACGGTAGAGAATAAATTTAAAAATCACCTATAATTCCAACACTCAATGAGGCTTGCATCAGTTTGGGGTTCAGATATGCATGTATTTAAGTCTGCTATGCACAATTATTTCAGATTCAGCTCATCACTTTCCATATTTACACCTCAGTTTTCTCATCTATAAAATGGGGATTATAAGAGTGCCTACCTCACAAAAGTGGTTTTGAAAATTAAATGTGATAATACAAGTCACATTTCTATCACAATGTCTAGCATATGGTGGACATTGAATATGTATCAACCAAAAAAATACCTGTCAATTTGCCCTTTAAAATCCACACCCATTGTATGAGTGGTCATTTGCCTATGTCTATACCAATAATGACTGTATCATTTAAAAATATTCCATGACAATATGACAGACTGAAAATTTGTGTTTATTATCTTATTATCTTTGAGGTTGGGTCAAAATGTCAGTGAGTCAGCCCAACTCTGGAAAAAAGAAAATACTAAACTCAGTAACGTATGACTAATAAAAGCTTCCAAACTTGTTTCAATCTAATTGACTCCACCATTGCTTCTGGATACATCCTGGCAGGTACACCCAAAGTTGGATCTATTCTATTTCACTCTGGTAAGCACTCCTGGAATTAATACTTTATCCATCAACAACAGAAGCTGACTGAAGACTATTGTAAGTGCAAACAAAAATGAGAAAAGCATGGGAACCCCAATAAAGAACTCTTTGGAAAAGAAATCTATGGTGCTATACAAATTTTGTCGTAACATTATCAATTTAATCCTGAAAAAATTCTCATGTAAGTTTAATTTCTGATGTTTTCTAATCCTTCTCATCTAACCTAACGCAACCCTGAAACTAGAAGGAAGGTACTATTAACTAACAAGAAGACACAGTGAGCAGATGAAGTCAAACACTAGAGGATGGAAACAAATATGATTTCTCAGATGTAAGGGGGAAAAAGGGAGGAAAACTGCAAGCCTAATACTTATTAGAGTTTGATCATTTTCATTAGGAACTAAGAGGAGGTAGAGAGGAACAAGAAATGAGATGTGCCTTGTGCTGACAGAGAGAAATTTATCGGGGAGAGGCAGGGACCTTTTTAGCTGTGAGAGAAAATTAGACAGGTAAACTAATTTCTTTCCTTTTGATTACCTCAAGGAGAAGTTAGACAAGACTCTCTCTAGAGAAATGTGTTACATCTGGAAGTGGAGAACAAGCTACAGGAAGCTTTCTAACATGAAGTCAAGACTCTGGATGAGTAGAAAATGTAAGAAATTATAAGAACAACTGTTCAGTTATAGTTGAATGTGTTAGGTGCCTTTATATTAAAAGTTTGCTGTGAAATTTGCCTTCTCCAAATCTTCCTTGTATTACAAAATAAACAAGTCTGAGTCATAATAAATAAGCAATACTTTAGAACTACCCTAAGCCTTGGGAAATTTGTTTAAATTTCTTATCTCTGCCAAACAGCAGTTATGACTCGTAGCTGATAATGGACAACTCTGCGTCTCTGCACACCATCTCCTCATAAGGTGTGCCAAAATCACAAAACAACATCTTAGAAGGTTGAACTGACCCCTTAAAAAATCAACATCGCTGAGAAAAGAGCTTCGTGCTGTGTACTGGCAGCAGCAGAGCAAACAAAATGCACTTGAGCACCATAACCACAACTTTTCCAGGAAGTATTTCACAGAAATAAATTTTAAAATTTGAAAAAAATTAAGAAGAAATCATTGAACTTTTAGTGAATTTGTCAACAATGTCAGTACTAAGTAGTAAGAAAATAAAATTAATTACCTACAGAATGGTCCTTTGGTTTTAACAAGTCATGAAAGCAGAACTAGTCAATCTACCATTTTCATCACGTAGAAAGGAGTACATAGAAAAGTGCTCATTTGTTCCTGCAATTTTTTGTTGTCGTTGGCTCAATTAAAATAATCATCAAATAAAGTTTTTCACTAATGCATTTGAGTCATGGCCCTGTATGCCCATATCTGCTTGTCCACATATATACATGGACATATACACACAAGCTTTATTGTCAGAAAGACCTGAACTTGGGCAATATATTTTAACCCCTCTGAAACCCTCATTATCAGCTATGTAGTATAGAATATAATAACCTCTACTTCATAGTGCTGCTTATGAGCATAAGATAAACAGTGTAAAACACTTAGTACAGTACTTGGCAAATAGTAAGCACCTTAAAATACTTTATTACTTTTACTATTCCCATTTTTATTATTTTTAATTGACATAATAATTGTATATATTTATGGGATACAGTGAGTATGTGATAATCAAATAAGGTTAATTTACATATTCATCACTTCAAACATTTATCATTTCTTTGTGTTGGAAACATTCAAAATCTGTTCTTCTAGCTATTTGAAAATATACAATAAATATTGTTGATTTCAGTCCCTCTTTAGTGCTACAGAACACTAGAACTTATTCCTCTTATCTAGCTGTACCTTTGTACCTGTTGACCAAACTTTGGCTATCCTCTCTTCCTCAAACCTTTCCCCATCTCTAGTAACCACAATTCTAGTGTCTACTCGTATGAGATCAACTTTTTTGCATCCACATGTGAGTGAGGACATGTGGTATTTATTCTTCCGTGCCTGGCTTTTTCCATTTTGCATAATGACCTCTAAACTCATCCATGTTGTTGTGAATTACAGAATTTTGTTCTTTTTATGGCTAAATAGTATTCCATTGTGTATCTATGACACATTTTATTTATCTATTCATATTTTGATGGCCACTTAGGTTGATTCCATACTTTGGCTGTTATGAATATTGCTTCAAGAAAACATGGGAGTGTGGATATCTTTATGAGGTGGTGATTTCATTCTCTTCGGGTATATACCCAGAAGTGAGATTGCTGGCTCATACAGTAATTCCATTTCTAGTTTTGTAAGGAATCTTTATACTGTTTTCCATAATGGCTGTTCTTATCATCATCATTAGTATTATATAACTCTAGTACCAGAGATGCCCTTATATTGAAAGGCTTAATTTATTCTATGTGTAGCAAGGTTATCACACTTTTCTTGACTAAAGCTCATACAGGGAATTATAGAGAGCATATACAGGCATGTGTGTGTGTCAGGATGTAAGTGTTGAAGGATGTTTCACACTTTGCCTCTTTTTGCACCTTACTTCACTTATTCAACCAATATTTATTGAATATATTCTATGTGTTAGGTGATTTGCTAGCACTGGGGATCTACAGGAAAAAAAGACAAATTTCTTGCTATTTGTTAGTAGGGACTAAATGTTTTAAAATACAGACATTAAGCAGGCTATCACATTTATAAGCAAAACAATTTGAGAGCATAAGAAGTACTCTGAAGGAAACAAACAGAAAGCTGGAGCAAAGAGCAATGAGTGAGACTTCCTTATGATAGAATTTTCAGGTAAGAGCTCTCAAAAGAAATTATATTTAAACTGAGACTGAAGGATTCACATTAAATGCTTAGTACAAATATTGAAGAGTGAGGAGATGAGTATACTAGAATGAAGGGGGAAAAAAATGTAAAGGCCTGAAAGAAAGGAAGAACTGAGCATGTTTAAGGAACAGGAAGAAGACAAATAAGTGTAAGTTATGTGAGCAAGGGGGTGGGTAGGTGGTATGTCATCCATTCCTTCATTCATCCATTCAACAAAAATAACAACTAAACACAAACACACAAATAACATGTGTGCATGCGCACATGCACTCACATAGTACACAGAGACAGAAAGAGAAGCCACTATGTGTGCCAAGCACTGTTCTTGGCTTTGGGAATACCTCAACAAATAAAAATGTCTCCAGACTAATGAAGTGGTATGTTATTGAGAAAGAGACTTAAACCATAAATATAAACCATATAGTATTTTTTTAAAATAAAAGCAATGGTAAGATATATAAGGAGAAATAGGTTAGGAGCTTCCATTTTAATTAGGATAATTTAAAATTTCCTACATATGTGAATATGTAGGACAATAATATTCCAGGCAAAGGCACTAAGACAAAAGAATGAAAAATGTATTTGAAGAACACCAGGGAAGCCAGTGTGATTGGAGAGGAGGGAGCAAAATAGAAGAAAGCATCAGATGAGCTGAGAGAGGAATGGGGACCAGATTGTTCAGGTACTTCTAGACCATTGTAGGGTACATCATGCAGGTACTTCTAGACCATTGTAAGGGTTTTAGTTTGTTTTATTTAAAAAAATAAAAAAGCTTCATTGAGATATAATTCACATACCATAAAATTCAGTATTTTAAATTGTACAGTTTAGTGACATTTAGAGCATTCACAAAGATGTGCAATCATGTTATAAATATTATTTGTCTATTCTTCAGTTGCTTGTCCCTATATTTTCAGATATAATAAGCTTTAGGATATAAATACAGATGTGTTTGCAAAACTAGAAAAAAAGAGGAATTCACGCCACAGCAATAGATGAAGTTTCCAATTTCTTCACATCCTAGCCAATGTTTATTATTGTTTGTCAAGTTTATTAGAGCCATCTTAGTGAGTGAAAAGTGGTATCTCATTGTAGTTTTGATGAGCATTTTCCTAACACTAATGGTGTTGCATATATTTTCATGTGCTTATTTGCCATTTGTACATCTTTTTTGGAGAAATGTCTTTGCATATCATTTGCCCATATTTAATTGGGTTATTTTTCTTTTTATTATTGAGCTGTAAGAGCTATTTACATCCTCCAAATATAAATTCCTTATGGGATATATGATTTGCAAACATTTTGTTCCACTTCATGGGTTGTCTTTTCAATTTTTTGGTAATGTCCTTTGAAGCACAAAGTTTTTAAATTTGATGATGTCCAGTTTGTGTTCCACTTCCTTTTGTGGCTTATAATTACGTTGTCATATCTAAAAACCATTGCCTAGTCTGATGTCACAAATATTTATCTCTATATTTTCTTTTAAGAATTACAAAATTTTAGCTCTTTCAGTTAGGTCTTTGATCCATTTTGAATTAACTTTTGTATATGATATGAGATAAGGTTCAAACCTCATCCCCTTGCATGAGGGAATGATGCAGTTCTCCCAGTATCATCTGCTGAAAAAACTATTACTTCCCCCATCTACTTGTTTTGGCACCTTGTCATACCATATGTGCATATTTATTTTTGGATATTCAACTCTACTTCACTCACTAATATGTCTGTCTTTAGGCCAGTACCACACAGCTTTGGTTACCCTATTCTTTTAATAAGTTTTGGAGTAGGGGATTGTGACTCCTCCAACTTTATTCTTATTTTTCAAGATAGTTTTGGCTGTTTTAGATCCCTTGCATTTTATATCAATTTTTGGTTTCTTGCATTTCTATATGAATGTTGTAAATTCCAACAGGGAAATAGATAGAGATTGTGTTGAGTCTGGGGATCAATTTGGTAAGTATTGCTATCTTAACAATATTAAGTCTTCTAAGCTATGAAAATGGAAAGTTTTTCCATTTACTTAGGTCTTCTTTACTTTCTTTCAACAATTTTTTGTAGTTTTCATTGTATGTATCTTTCACTTCATGTGTTAATTTTATTCCTATTTTATCCTTTTTGACACTATTATAAATGAAATCGTTTTCTTAGTTTCATTTGCTGGTTGTTTATTGCTGGTGTATAGAAATAACAGTGATTGTGTATATTGATCTTGTATCCCACAACCTTGTTGAATTTATTAATTCTAATAGTTTCTGTGGACTCTTTATGATATTCCATATACAGGATCATGACATCTGTGAATAGACCTAATTGTACTTCTTCCTTTCCAATCTGGATGCTTTTATTTCTTTTTCTTGCCTAATTGCTCTGGCAAAAAATTGTAGTACAATGTCACAAAAAAGTGGCAAAAGTAGAAATGCTGGTCTTCTTGATCTAGAGGGAAAGTCTTCAGTCTTTCACCACTAAGTTGATGTCAGCTGTGTGTTTGTCTATAATAAAAATATTTATCTTAAAGTCTATTTCATCTAATATTAGTTTAGGTCCACCAGCTCTGTTGTGGGTGCTTTCTACATACTATATATTTTTCCAAACTTTTATTCTCAATCTATTTGGGCGTGTGAATCTAAAGTGAGTTTCTTGCAGATAGCATATAGTTGGATCATGTTTTAATATTTTTTAATCCCTTTGGTCAATTTCTGTCCTTTTATGTAATTATTAATGATAGGATTTAAATATGCCATTTTTTCCTTTCTTTTCTGTATGCTTTATATCTCACTTTTTCCTGTATTTCTCCATTATTATCTTCTTTTGTGTTAGAGAGAAATTTTCCAGTATTTCATTTTAATTCCAATATTGTTTATTTTATGATATTTTTGAGCTATATACTCAGTGGTTGCATTAGAGATTACAATTAACATCTTAACATATCACAATCTACTTTGGATAAGTAACACTTAAATTCCAATAGTTATATATAAACTTAGCTTTTATATTACTCAGTTTCTTCCTCATTCCTTTGTCATAATGATGTCAGATGGATTTTATAAACCCATTAACACAGATTTGTAATGATTTCCTTAGGAAATTGTCTTTTAAATCAGGAAGGAGAAGAAAATAGTTAAAAATCATTTATACATTTTTATTCTATATTTATGTATGCAGTCATTTTAACAGTGTTTTTTATTTCTTCACATGGATTTGAGTTACTGTCTAGTGTTCTTTTATTTCAGCATGAAAGACACCCTTTAATATTTCTTGTAAGTCAGGGTTGCTGGCAACAAATTCTGTCAGTTTCTGATTATCTGGAAAATTTTTTATTTTCTCCTTCATTTTCCATCTAGCAAAGGATAGCTCTGCTAGATATAGAATTCTTCATTGACAGCATCTCTTCTGTATATTTTAAATTTGTTAATCCACTGCCTTCTGGGCTACATGATTTCTGATGGGAATTCACTTGTTAATCTTACTGAGAAACTTTTGTACATGATGAGTCACTCTTCCTCTTGCTGCTATTAAAATTCTCTCTTTGCTTTGGCTTTTGACATGTTGATTATGATTTATCTAGGTGTGGATCTCTTTGAATTTATCCTACTCAGGAAATGTTGAGCTTGTTAGATGTATACATTAATGTGTTTGGTCTTATCTGGAGAGTTTTCAGCCATTATTTCTTTAAATATACTTTTTCCTTTTATTTCTTCTTTTGGAACTTCTATTATGCATATATTGGTATGCCTGATGATGTCTCACAGGTCTCTGAGTTTCTGTTCATTTTTTTTGTTATTTCTTCCTGTTTCTCAGACAGTATACTCTCAATTAACACATATTCAAGTTCATTTATTCTGTCACCTGCTTTCTCAAATATGCTATTGAGTCTCTCTTATAAATTTTCTATTTTAGTTATTCTATTTTCAACTCCAAAACCCCTATATGGTTATTTTTAAATTTTCTATCTTGTTATTAATATTGGCTATTGGGTGAGATATTGTTATTACATTTTTCTTAATTCTTTAGACTTTTTTTATTTCTTTGAACATATTTGCAATAGCTAATTTGTAGTATTATCTGGTAAGTCTAACATCCGGGCTTCCTTTGGAACATTTCCTGTTGATTGCTTTTGTTTGTGTGTATAGAACACACTTTCTTATTTTGGAGGGGCTCATAATTTTTTGTTGAAATATGTACATTTTAAGTGATATAATGTAAAATTCTGGAATTCAAATTCCTCTCATTCACCAGGATTTGTTATTACGGTCTATTGCTTTTGTTCTTGCAGCTATTTTATTGTTAGTGACTTTCATGGATTATTTAAAGTCTGTATTATTTGTGCTGTTCAACTACTGAATTGTCTGCTTGGTTAGCTTAGTAGTCAGCTAATGACTGGACAGAGATTTAATTAAATGTCTTGAACTAATAAGTCTCCTAGCCGTGACAGAGGGGCTCTGTTTGCATATTGTGGCACACATTCAATGCTCTCTCAGGCAGTTTACAACTCCGGCTTAACCTTTATACCCTGCTTGCAGAGCTTCAAAGTGAACGACAGGCAAGAAATAGGATCTTCTCAGGGCTTTCCTGGACATTCACATAGTCTACATGTGTCCATGTGTGGCTTTCTAGATCCTATGAGTGTGCTAAAACTTTTCAAAGCTCTTTATGGCCATCTCGTCCACCAGTTTTTCTTTTTAAGTATTTTAGTCAGTCTTTTGTTAGTACCAACTGGTAACAACACCTCAAGTAGCTGCCCTGTTAAACAACTTCCACTGATTCTTTTGGCAAATGTCCTGGGAAAAGGGTTATTTACACAGTGACTTATTAGTCAGCTCAAATAAAAAGAACCCCAGAAAATGTGCTTTTCAACAATCTATTAGAAAAGTCAAATCGTGGCAATTCTGTGGGGAGGTGGTTTTGGGGAAAATTCAAACCTGTTATACCCTCTCCCATGGTGGCTAAGCTTCTGGTTTTCATGGCTGCTATCATTGTGAGGCTGTTGATTTTCAAAGCTATCATGGATTTAGGGAGAACAAATGGGATTCGGGCAAATTAAAACACCATGAAGGCCACTTCTCATTAAGATGATGTTTTCTTTCTTGAATAAATGCTTCTTAGATTATTGTAAATTTTTGATTAATTTCCAGAGTTCTAAAAAAATTTGCTTTGACAATTGTTGTCAGTGTTTCTATTACTTTTATAGAGAAGGAGATTTTTGGAGTTACTTACGTCCCATTTTGGAGGTTCTTCTCAAAGGCTTTAACTTTTACTTTGAAGGAAATGGTAGGTTTTTAAAGGTATTTGAGAAGTGGAGTATCCTGATTCAACTTACATTTTAAAAGGGTTACTCTGACTATTGTATGAAGAATCAACTTTAATGGGTCAAGGGCAGAGGCATAGAGACTACTTAGAAGAATATTTCAACAGCTTAAGTGAAAGTTGATGGTGGCCTAGAACAAGGTGGTAATAAAAAGTGGTGGGAAGTGACAGGATTTTGAAAATAATTTGAAGGAAGAGTCACTAAGATTTAATGATGGATTGGATCAGGTTGTGAAAAAAAAGAGTCAAAGATGACTCAAATGTTTGTGTTCTAAATAACTGGAATAGAGAATGGACATAATGAAGATGGGGCTATCAGAAAATATTTTGGAGAGAGGAGGTACGAAGACAGAGTGAGAGTTAAATTTTTCACGTTAATTTTGAGATATCCATTAAACCAAAAAAGAAGCAATGTTAGTTAAGAATTTGATTATTTGAGTCTGCATTTCAGGGGAGAGATGTGAATTGGAAATATGAATATGAAAATTGTCAACATATAGAGTATATTTAAAGCCACAGGACTGGATGAGGTCACTAAGGGATAAGTAGCTAGAAAAGACAAAAAGTCCAAGAACTGAGGCCTGAGGAATTCCAATCTTAGGAGGTTATGGAGAAAAAACAACCTTAAAAGAATACTGAAATGGAGGGGCTAGTTAGCGTAGGTAAATCAGGAGAGTGTATTGTTTTGCAAAACAAAGGGTATGAAGAAGAGTGATCAAATCTCTCAAATGCTGCCATTAGGCCAAGTAAGGGAAGAACAGAAAATTGACCAGATAAACTAGCATTTCCTATGAAGTAAAATAGGCATAAACATCATATTGTGTTTTGTTAACAGGTTACTGAGAGGCTAAGTGAGATTACATGGCTGTCCCCCATCCTGAGATAGAGTTATATAATATGTGGGGAGCTGCAGATAACTTTGACATCTTCTATTTTTGCTTGCAAACACATCTGCACATTTTATTCTGTGAGATGTGTCATGAAAAGTTTATTTTTTTCTCTTTTGAATGTTTTTTTAAAAGAGAACCAATTTGAGGTCTGGCAATGGCAGAGTGGCTTGTTTTGGACAATCATCTCACAGATTTACAAAACTCTGTACAAAATATTAAAAATGAGCTACAGTCAACTGCTGCATACCAATGTTTCGGTCAACCTGACTGAATATATAATCGTTGTCCTATAAGATTATAATGACACTGAAAAATGTCAGTGATATCAGAGCTGTCATGATGTAGTGCAACAGATTACTCACATAGTCATGGTGATGTATAAACAAATCTTCTGCACTAACAGTCATATAAAAGTCAAGCACATACAATTATGTGTAGTACATAATACTTGTTAATAATAATAAATGACTATGTTACTGATTTATGTATTTACTATACTATACTTAATTATCATTATTTTACAATGTACTCCTTCTATTTATCTTTGTAAGTTAACTGTAAAACAGCCTCAGGTAGATCCTTCAGGAGGTATTCCAGAAGACATTATTTTCATAAGACACGACAACTTCATGCATGGTATTGCCTCTGAAGACCTTCCAGTTGTCCAGCGGGACAAGATGTGGAAGTGAAGATGGTGATATTGATGATCCTAACCCTGTATAGGCCTAAGCTAATGTGTGTTTGTTTGTATCTTATTTTTTTAACAACAAAGTTTAAAGAGATTTTTTAAAAATTAGGTAGAAAAAAACTCATAAAATAAAAATATAAAGAAAATATTTTGTACAGTTGTACAATGTGTTTGTATTTTAAGCTGTGTTATGAGTCAAAAAGTCTAAAACATTTGAAAAGTTTATAAAGTAGAAAAGTTACACCAAATTAAGTTTGATTTACTATTGAAGAAATAAATTTTAAATAAATTTAGTATACTCTAAGTGTACAGTGTCTATAAAGTCTGCAGTAGTAAACAGTAATACCCTAGGCCTTCACATTCACTCAAAACTCAGTCACAGACTCACCCAGAGCAATTTCCAGTCCTACAAGCTCCATTTATGGTAAGTGCCCTATACAAATATACCATTTTTAAACTTTTATGCCATATTTTACTGTACCATGTCTATGTTTAGATATGTTCGTATGATTACCATTGTGTTACAATTGCCTACAGTATTCAGTAGAGTAACATCCTGTACAGGTTTGTAGCCTAGGAACAATAGGCAGTATCACATAGCCTAGGTGTGTAGTAGGCTATACCATCTAGGTTTGTGTAAGTACACTCTATGATGTTGGCACAACAAAAAAATCGCCTAATGATGCATTTCTCAAAATATACCCCCAATGTTAAGTGACCTATGATTGTATTTGAAGGTACTGGAGAGCACCCGAAAGCAGACAGAAACTGGACTGCATTCAACTGCTAATAGAAAGAAACCACACTGAGTAAGGTCCATATCTATGTAGTTTTCTCCTAAGGGCACTACCCAGGAAATTTGATGTGAGGTACCTAGAACGCAAGGAGAAATCTCAAGTCATATTGGTTTGAGGTATTAGAAAATGGGATTGGGACTTGCCAGAGCAGCTAAAAATTGAAGAGGAAAATCCCAGAAAGGGGAGTGTCACAGAGAAGTGAGTTCTAATTTTTATGTAAAATACCCTAACACAAATATGTACAGAAAAAACAATAAGAAAGCTTACAGAAAGCAACAGAAATAAGGCAAAAAAAAAAACTGAAACAGATATTTCAGTGTTTGCTCACCATAGGGAGACAGAGCCTAGTGTGAATTCCATTAATTTAGGAGACCTTGATAAATATCTTAATTGAAACAGGGTCTTGCTCTGTCACCCAGTCTGGAGTGCAGTGGCATAGTCAGAGCTCACTGCAGTCTCAAACTTCCAAGCTCAAGTGATCCTCGCACCTCAGCCTCCTGAGTAGCTGGGACCACAGGCAAGCGCCACCATGCCCGACTAATTTTTGTATTTTTTGTAGAGATGGGATTTTGCCATGTTGCCCAGGTTGGTCTCCAACTCCTGGACCAAAGGGATCCTCCTGCCTTTGCCTCCCAAAGTGCAGGGATTAAACAGGCATAAGCCACTGCGCCCAGCCTATAAATGTATTAGACTTTCTGTTAAAATTCTGGAAAGACCATACCTTAAGAATAAGGACTATCTCCAAAGGTTAAGGATCCCCTGTAAGCAAAACTAGTCAGATCCAGACTAACAAAGTATCAAATGAAGGCTCCAAAAGTTTAAGATAATCAGCCTATGATTTAAAAGTCAGCTGGAGTGAAAATCAAAACACTCTTAGAAGAAAATATAAGAATCAATAATCTCTAAAAAATATTATCAAGTTTCCACTACGCAACCAAATATCACTAGAGATGAATTTTCAAAAACATAAAATCATAAGAAAAAAGTTAATACAATGAATCTGTAATAATCCAGATGTTAAATTAGCAGATGACATTTTAAAAGCTATTATAAATATGTTCAAGAACTTTAAAAAGATAAGGTGGTCAAAACAGGTGGACAAATGGGTATACCAACAGATAAATCAAAATTATAAAAAAGACCAAATGGAAATTCTAGGACTACAACCTATGACATTTAACATGAAAACTGGCTGGCAGATAACAGGGGGAAAAAATTGGTAGTAAACTTGGAGACAGAGTGATACAAATTATCCTATGTGGGAAAAAAGTAAAGAAGATTTTTTAAAACATAATTAACCACATTGACTGAATTCACATTTCTAAAACACTGCTGGGTCATAAAATATGTCTTAAAAATTTCAAATATGGAAATCTAAATAATATGTTTTCTGACCACAAAGGAAATAAAATTAGAAATGAACAGCAGTAGAACATCTCAAAAAAACTCACATATTTGGAATTTAAATCACATACTAATAAGTAACACATGAAGAACTCACAAGAAAGATTAGAGAATACTTCAAACAATGAAAATGAAAATACAATACAAAAATTTGTAGGATACAGCTAAAACAGTGCCTCGAAGAATATTTATCACTTTAAATGCTCATGTTTAAAAAGAAGAAAGGTTTAAAATCAATTATCTACATTTCAACTGTAGAAAAGTAGGAAGAGACAAGCAGATTAAACCCAGTATGAAAAGAAGGGAAGAAATAATCTAAATAAGAATAGATACACATAAACAAGAAAACACAAAATGAGTAAAGCTAAAAGTGTGTTCTTTTAACATATTTATTAAATGGTTAAATCACAAGCAAATCTGATTGATTAGGGGAAAAAGAGACAGAGATGACTTTCACTTTTGGTAATAGCTGAGTAAGATCTTACTAGACCAACACTCCTGCAAGTAACAGCTACAAATTCCAGACATAATACAAAATACAGCCAACTGGAGACACTGGGGAGAAAATAGAAAAGAACAGAATCTAATGAAGAGGCTATACTTGGAAGAGAGGAGTTGCACAAAATGAGTTCCCATTTTCATGGTTTTAGCTTAAGGCTATGTGTAGGTAGCAAGGTGGGCAGAGTGGTAGTGGTTGGGGGAAGGCAGTCTTTCTCTTCTGGGGATACAGAAAACTGAATCTGGAGAAACAACAGTGCTGTAGAAAGAGGGAATATCCCACAAGGAAAACACCAAGGGAATGAATCCCTAAATTCTGTCTGACCATATGTTTGGGTGATGCTGAATCACGCAGCAGGTTTAAAGAAGTTCAGTTGAATATAAAAGATATGAAATAAGACTGAAGATTCCACCCAAAAAGCAGATTTTGCAGTCTGAATATAACTGACATAATTGCCAGTTAAAACAAAAGAAACGCTCATCAGAAAAAAGTAACAGAATTTATATACTCTACAATTTAACATTTATCATGTCTGTGATGCAATCGAAAATCATTCAACGTATAAAGAAACAGGAAAATGTTATACATTCTCAATACAAAAGAAAATCAACTAATACTCATCACTAGCTGACACAAATAACAGAATTGGCAGACGTATTTTAAAGCATTTTTCTAGCTATTCTTAGTGAAGTAAAAAAAAAAATACAGTCATGCATCGCATAATGACGTTTCAGAAAACAACAAACTGCATACATGATGGTGGTCCCATAAGATTATAATGGAGCTATATAATGGGGTAGGCTATACCATCTAGGTTTGTGCAGGTACACTCTGATGTTTGCACAATAAGGAAATGCCTGACAACACATTTCTCAGAATGTATCTCCATCATAAATGGCGTAGGACTATATTTGAAATGAATGTAAAGACAGAAAATCTCGCCAAGAAAAAAAAAGAAACAAAGAAAAAAAAGCCTAAATGGAATTACATAACTGAAAATACAATCTCTGAAATTAAATACACTGGACTTACTTAAAAGCAGAATGGAGGAGCCAAGATGGCCGAATAGGAACAGCTGCGATCTACAGCTCCCAGCGTGAGCGACGCAGAAGACGGGTGATTTCTGCATTTCCATCTGAGGTACCGGGTTCATCTCACTAGGGAGTGCCAGACAGTGGGCGCAGGTCAGTGGGTGCGCGCACCGTCCGCGAGCCGAAGCAGGGCGAGGCATTGCCTCACTCGGGAAGCGCAAGGGGTCAGGGAGTTCCCATTCCTAGTCAAAGAAAGGGGTGACAGACGCACCTGGAAAATCGGGTCACTCCCACCCGAATACTGCGCTTTTCCGACGGGCTTAAAAAACGGCGCACCACGAGATTATATCCCACACCTGGCTCGGAGGGTCCTACGCCCACGGAGTCTCGCTGATTGCTAGCACAGCAGTCTGAGATCAAACTGCAAGGCGGCAGCGAGGCTGGGGGAGGGGCGCCCGCCATTGCCCAGGCTTGATTAGGTAAACGAAGCAGCTGGGAAACTCCAACTGGGTGGAGCCCACCACAGCTCAAGGAGGCCTGCATTCCTCTGTAGGCTCCACCTTTGGGGGCAGGGCACAGACAAACAAAAAGACAGCAGTAACCTCTGCAGACTTAAATGTCCCTGTCTGACAGCTTTGAAGAGAGCAGTGGTTCTCCCAGCACGCAGCTGGAGATCTGAGAACGGGCAGACTGCCTCCTCAAGTGGGTCCCTGACCCCTGACCCCCGAGCAGCCTAACTGGGAGGCACCCCCCAGCAGGGGCACACTGACACCTCACACGGCAGGGTACTCCAACAGACCTGCAGCTGAGGGTCCTGTCTGTTAGAAGGAAAACTAACAAACAGAAAGGACATCCACACCAAAAACCCATCTGTACATCACCATCATCAAAGACCAAAAGTAGATAAAACCACTAAGATGGGGAAAAAACAGAACAGAAAAACTGGAAACTCTAAAAAGCAGAGCGCCTCTCCTCCTCCAAAGGAACGCAGTTCCTCACCAGCAACAGAACAAAGCTGGACAGAGAATGACTTTGACGAGCTGAGAGAAGAAGGCTTCAGACGATCAAATTACTCTGAGCTATGGGAGGACATTCAAACCAAAGGCAAAGAAGTTGAAAACTTTGAAAAAAATTTAGAAGAATGTATAACTAGAATTACCAATACAGAGAAGTGCTTAAAGGAGCTGATGGAGCTGAAAACCAAGGCTCGAGAACTACGTGAAGAATGCAGAAGCCTCAGGAGCCGATGCGATCAACTGGAAGAAAGGGTATCAGCGATGGAAGATGAAATGAATGAAATGAAGCGAGAAGGGAAGTTTAGAGAAAAAAGAATAAAAAGAAATGAGCAAAGCCTCCAAGAAATATGGGACTATGTGAAAAGACCAAATCTACGTCTGATTGGTGTACCTGAAAGTGACGGGGAGAATGGAACCAAGTTGGAAAACACTCTGCAGGATATTATCCAGGAGAACTTCCCCAATCTAGCAAGGCAGGCCAACGTTCAGATTCAGGAAATACACAGAATGCCACAAAGATACTCCTTGAGAAGAGCAACTCCAAGACACATAATTGTCAGATTCACCAAAGTTGAAATGAAGGAAAAAATGTTAAGGGACCAGAGAGAGAGACCAGCCAGGAAAAAATGTTAAGGGACCAGCCAGAGAGAAAGGTCGGGTTACCCTCAAAGGGAAGCCCATCAGACTAACAGCGGATCTCTTGACAGAAACCCTACAAGCCAGAAGAGAGTGGGGGCCAATATTCAACATTCTTAAAGAATTTTCAACCCAGAATTTCATATCCAGCCAAACTAAGCTTCATAAGTGAAGGAGAAATAAAATCCTTTACAGACAAGCAAATGCTGAGAGATTTTGTCACCACCAGGCCTGCCCTAAAAGAGCTCCTGAAGGAAGCGCTAAACATGGAAAGGAACAACCGGTACCAGCCACTGCAAAATCCTGCCAAAATGTAAAGACCATCGAGACTAGGAAGAAACTGCATCAACTAATGAGCAAAATGACCAGCTAATATCATCATGACAGGATCAAATTCACACATAACAATATTAACTTTAAATGTAAATGGACTAAATGCTCCAATTAAAAGACACAGACTGGCAAATTGGATAAAGAGTCAAGACCCATCAGTGTGCTGTATTCAGGAAACCCATCTCACGTGCAGAGACACACATAGGCTCAAAATAAAAGGATGGAGGAAGATCTACCAAGCAAATGGAAAACAAAAAAGGGCAGGGGTTGCAATCCTAGTCTCTGATAAAACAGACTTTAAACCAACAAAGATCAAAAGAGACAAAGAAGGCCATTACATAATGGTAAAGGGATCAATTCAACAAGAAGAGCTAACTATCTTAAATATATATGCACCTAATACAGGAGCACCCAGATTCATAAAGCAAGTCCTGAGTGACCTACAAAGAGACTTAGACTCCCACACATTAATAATGGGAGACTTTAACACCCCACTGTCAACATTAGACAGATCAATGAGACAGAAAGTCAACAAGGATACCCAGGAATTGAACTCAGCTCTGCACCAAGCGGACCTAATAGACATCTAGAGAACTCTCCACCCCAAATCAACAGAATATACATTTTTTTCAGCACCACACCACACCTATTCCAAAATTGACCACATAGTTGGAAGTAAACCTCTCCTCAGCAAATGTAAAAGAACAGAAATCATAACAAACTATCTCTGACCACAGTGCAATCAAACTAGAATGCAGGATTAAGAATCTCACTCAAAACCGCTCAACTACATGGAAACTGAACAACCTGCTCCTGAATGACTACTGGGTACATAACGAAATGAAGGCAGAAATAAACATGTTCTTTGAAACCAACGAGAAAAAAGACACAACATGCCAGAATCTCTGGGACGCATTCAAAGCAGTGTGTAGAGGGAAATTTATAGCACTAAATGCCCACAAGAGAAAGCAGGAAAGATCCAAAATTGACACCCTAACATCACAATTAAAAGAACTAGAAAAACAAGAGCAAACACATTCAAAAGCTAGCATAAGGCAAGAAATAACTAAAATCAGAGCAGAACTGAAGGAAATAGAGACACAGAAAACCCTTCAAAAAATTAATGAATCCAGGAGCTGGTTTTTTGAAAGGATCAACAAAATAGATAGACCGCTATCAAGACTAATAAAGAAAAAAAGAGAGAAGAATCAAATAGACGCAATAAAAAATGATAAAGGGGATATCACCACTGATCCCATAGAAATACAAACTACCATCAGAGAATACTACAAACACCTCTACGCAAATAAACTAGAAAATCTAGAAGAAATGGATAAATTCCTTGACACATACACTCTCCCAAGACTAAACCAGGAAGAGGTTGAATCTCTGAATAGACCAATAACAGGATCTGAAATTGTGGCAATAATCAATAGCTTACCAACCAAAAAGAGTCCAGGACCAGATGGATTCACAGCCGAATTCTACCAGAGGTACAAGGAGGAACTGGTACCATTCCTTCTGAAACTATTCCAATCAATAGAAAAAGAGGGAATCCTCCCTAACTCATTTTATGAGGCCAGCATCATTCTGATACCAAAGCCTGGCAGAGACACAAACAAAAAAGAGAATTTTACACCAATATCTTTGATGAACATTGATGCAGAAATCCTCAATAAAATACTGGCAAAACGAATCCAGCAGCACATCAAAAAGCTTATCCACCATGATCAAGTGGGCTTCATCCCTGGGAAGCAAGGCTGGTTCAATATACACAAATCAATAAATGTAATCCAGCATATAAACAGAGCCAAAGACAAAAACCACATGATTATCTCAATAGATGCAGAAAAGGCCTTTCACAAAATTCAACAACTCTTCATGCTAAAAACTCTCAATAAATTAGGTATTGATGGGACCTATCTCAAAATAATAAGAGCTATCTGTGACAAACCCACAGCCAATATCATACTGAATGGGCAAAAACTGGAGAAGCATTCCCTTTGAAAATGGGCACAAGACAGGGATGCCCTCTCTCACCACTCCTATTCAACATAGTGTTGGAAGTTCTGGCCAGGGCAATTAGGCAGGAGAAGGAAATAAAGGGTATTCAATTAGGAAAAGAGGAAGTCAAATTGTCCTTGTTTGCAGACGACATGATTGTATATCTAGAAAACCCCATTGTCTCAGCCCAAAATCTCCTTAAGCTGATAAGCAACTTCAGCAAACTCTCAGGATACAAAATCAATGTACAAAAATCACAAGCATTCTTATACACCAACAGAAGACAAACAGAGAGCCAAATCATGAGTGAACTCCCATTCACAATTGCTTCAAAGAGAATAAAATACCTAGGATGTGAAGGACCTCTTCAAGGAGAACTACAAACCACTGCTCAAGGAAATAAAAGAGGATACAAACAAATGGAAGAACATTCCATGCTCATGGGTAGGCAGAATCAATATCATGAAAATGGCCATACTGCCCAAGGTAATTTACAGATTCAATGCCATCCCCATCAAGCTACCAATGCCTTTCTTCACAGAATTGGAAAAAACTATTTTAAAGTTCATATGGAACCAAAAAAGAGCCCGCATTGCCAAGTCAGTCCTAAGCCAAAAGAACAAAGCTGGAGGCATCACACTACCTGACTTCAAACTATACTACAAGGCTACAGTAACCAAAACAGCATGGTACTGGTACCAAAACAGAGATATAGATCAATGGAACAGAACAGAGCCCTCAGAAATAACGCCGCATATCTACAACTATCTGATCTTTGACAAACCTGAGAAAAACAAGCAATGGGGAAAGGATTCCCTATTTAATAAATGGTGCTGGGAAAACTGGCTAGCCATATGTAGAAAGCTGAAACTGGATCCCTTCCTTACACCTTATACAAAAATCAATTCAAGATGGATTAAAGACTTAAACATTCGACCTAAAACCATAAAAACCCTAGAAGAAAACCTAGGCAATACCATTCAGGACATAGGCATGGGCAAGGACTTCATGTCTAAAACACCAAAAGCAAAAAGCAATGGCAGCAAAAGACAAAATTGACAAGTGGGATCTAATTAAACTAAAGAGCTTCTGTACAGCAAAAGAAACTACCATCAGAGTGAACAGGCAACCTACAAAATGGGAGAAAATTTTTGCAACCTACTCATCTGACAAAGGGCTAATATCCAGAATCTACAATGAACTTAAACAAATTTACAAGAAAAAAACAACCCCATCAAAAAGTGGGCAAAGGATATGAACAGACACTTCTCAAAAGAAGACATTTATGCAGCCAAAAAAACACATGAAAAAATGCTCATCATCACTGGCCATCACAGAAATGCAAATCAAAACCACAATGAGATACCATCTCACACCAGTTAGAATGGCAATCATTAAAAAGTCAGGAAACAACAGGTGCTGGAGAGGATGTGGAGAAACAGGAACACTTTTACACTGTTGGTGGGACTGTAAACTAGTTCAACCATTGTGGAAGTCAGTGTGGCAATTCCTCAGGGATCTAGAACTAGAAATACCATTTGACCCAGCCATCCCATTACTGGGTATATACCCAAAGGACTATAAATCATGCTGCTATAAAGACACATGCACATGTATGTTTATTGCGGCACTATTCACAATAGCAAAGTCTTGGAACCAACCCAAATGTCCAACAATGATAGACTGGATTAAGAAAATGTGGCACATATACACCACGGAATACTATGCAGCCATAAAAAATGATGAGTTCATGTCCTTTGTAGGGACATGGATGAAATTGGAAATCATCATTCTCAGTAAACTATCGCAAGAACAAAAAACCAAACACCGCATATTCTCACTCATAGGTGGGAATTGAACAATGAGATCACATGGACACAGGAAGGGGAACATCACACTCTGGGGACTGTTGTGGGGTGGGGTGGGGGGGAGGGGGGAGGGATAGCTTTGGGAGATATACCTAATGCTAGATGACGAGTTAGTGGGTGCAGCGCACCAGCATGGCACATGTATACATATGTAACTAACCTGCACAATGTGCACATGTACCCTAAAACTTAAAGTATAATAAAAAAAAAAAGCAGAATGGAGGTAACAGATGAAAGGTTAATTTAACTTGACGACTGACCAATGGAAACAACACAGAAAAAAAAAAATCACTGGTTAAAGAATGTATAAAGCCTCAGTAACCAGTTAGAGAATACGCAACAGTCTAACATAAGTGTAACTGTAATCCCAAAATAATAAAAGACAGAAAATGGGAGAGAAAAATAGTTGAAGATAAAGTGGCTGAAATTTCCCAAATTGAAACAAAAGCATAAATTTTACAAATTTAAGATGTCCAAATCATCAAGTAAAGTAAGCATGAAAAAGGCCATTCCAAGGCAAATCATAGTCAAATTATTGTCATCCAAGGATAAAGACCAAATCTCAAGAGCAGTAAGAGACAAGCAATATTATATGTATGTGTGTATATATGTATATATATATATATGAAATAATTATATTAATTCTCATCAGAAAATATAGAGGCAAAAATTGAGTAGAAGAATATCTTTAAAGTACTGAAAGAATAAAGCAAAACATTAACCCAGACTTCCACATGCAGTGAAAATATTCTTTAAGAATTAAAGAAAAATAGTGACATTTCAAGTAAAATGAAATAGAAGCTACAAAATTTGTCAGTTGCAGAACGTCATTATAAGAAATGATAAAATGAGTTCTTTATGCTGAAAGGAAATTTTGACAGATGAAAACTGAGATTTTCAGAATAGAATAAAAAGATTGAATATTATACATATCTGAATAAGTATCAAAACATTTTTTGCTCTTTTCACTGTAATTTTTTTGTAATTCATGCGATTGCTAAAGTAAAAAGTATGGCATTGTCTTATGGGATTAATATCACATTTAGGTGTAATAAATGTAACAATAATAGTATAAAGCAGGGGTAGGCAAACTTATTGTATAAGGGACCAGATAATAAATATTTTAGGCTTTGCAAGTCACATGGTATCCCTGTCACATGTTCTTTGTTTTTGTGTTTATAATCCTTTAAAAACGTATAAACATTCTTAGCTCAAGAATTATACAAAAACTGGTTGCAAGACAGATTTGGCCTATAGGCCACAGTTTGCTAACCCCTGGCAGATACCCATATGGAAAACCAAAATGAACCTTTACTATTACCTCACATGATACTCGAAAATTAATTGAAGATAGATCATAAAGCAAAAGTATACACTAAAACTACAAAGCTTCTAGAAGAAAATGTAGGAGAACATCTTTATGACACTGGCAATGACAAAGATTTCCTGGACAGAACACAAAATGCACTAATCATTTAAACATGGATAAACTAAACTTTATGAAATTTAAAAATGCCCTTCGAAAACACCATTCAGGAAATGAAAACACAAATCAGTAACAAAAAAAAATTCACGATGTTTATATTTGACAGAATATTATATTTGGAATATATAAAAACTCTTAAAAATCAATAACAAAAAGACAATCCAATAAAAATAGGCAAAGACGAGCATATACTCCACAGAGGAAGAAATATGAATTGACACTATACACTTGTACTCAGCATTATTTGTCATCAGGGAAGAGCAAAGTAAAACCACATTAGGAGGGTTGTTTGTTTGTTTGTTTTGAGATAGGGTCTTGCTCTGTCACCCAGGCTGGAGTGCAGAGGTGGGATCATAGCTCACTGTAACCTCAAACTCCTGGGCTCAAGCCATCCTCCCACCTCAGCCTCCTGGGTAGCTAGGCCTACAGGCTCATCCCACCATGACCAGCTATTTTTTTTTAATTTTTGTGGAAACAAGTTATCACTCTGTGGCCCAGGCTGGAAGGGGGTGATCTTAAGATGAAAAGTGAATGAGAACTCTCTGTACTATCTTTAAAATTTTTATCTAAATCTAAAGTTATTTCAAAATAGTTTTTAAAATTATATTCTACCATATACTCACCAGAATACTGAAATAAAAAATACCAACAACACCAAATATTGGCAAGGACATGGAGCAAATGGAGCTCGACTTTCCTATGTCACAGGTGGGCATGTAAAATTGTACAAACCTCTTCAGAAAACATTTGAAAACTTCTTAAAAATTAAGCCTATGCCTACTCTCTGACCCAGCAGCTAGTTTCCTAGATATTCCCCACTAGGAACTAAAAACATTTGTCCACAAAATGACTTGCACGTAAATGTTCATAGCAACAATATTCAACATAGCCCCAAATCAAAAATAACCAAGTGTGGCATATTCATACAATGAAATGTTACTCAGTAATAAGAAACAATAAATAACGAATATATACAATGACACAGATAAATCTCAAAAATGTTATGTTAAGTAAAAAAAAAAAGATAGACACAAAAATGCATAGTGTATGCTTCCATGCATAAGAAGTGCAAGAACTGGCAAAACTAATCTGGGGGAATAGCAAACAGAACAGTGGTTGTTGATGGGTGTAGAGATTGACCGGGAGAAAACACAAGATAACTTTTCAGAATTGTAGTCATGTTCTATATCTTTACTGAGGTTGTGGTTATATAGTTATATACATTTTTGGAAATTCATATATTTTACACTTAAGATATGTATATTTCACTATATGTAAATTTCACTTCAATATTAAAAAGACAGAAAACATAATCTCAAGGAGGCAAAATGGATTCCTCACAGTTGTATTTTAAATCCATGCAGGTGCCTTCAGATCTAGATTCCACTGTCTCAACAAACACCTTTATACTAGATAACTGATACTCCAACAATAAAAATGAACAATTCCATACTCTTAGCACTTCAAGTTCAGTATCAAATGTATGAAAGACCAACTCACTGTATCTGTTTCTCTTCTTCTTTCTTCAGATGCAGATCTCAGATATATTTTCAACTACGAATAGAATGTGAGTTCTTCATGGAACACTTCGACTTTGCTCTCCAACTTATCCAGGCCATATTCCCAATGGCAAGAATTATAAATGCATTTCAACCACCGCATTGGGTTTATAACATTTGAAGGAAAGGCCAAATAGGGAACTGTCAAGCTTTTGCTGGAGAACCAAAACAGTAAGACAGGCACAAGATATTGTACCCCAGTGCTTAGCCTGTCGTGTTGTAACATAACTAAAAGCTATTTTTCACTCGCTTTGCTTTAATTACCAAGGGTTTTGGTGTTCTAAATTGCTACTGTCCAAGCATCCCCTGATATAGCTGTAGTCCAAGAAGTTGAAGGGGTCCTAAGGGAATTAAGGGAATACAGCTGCAGCCCCCAACAAATACCTCAAATCCTAAAATATGCAAACTCTACAGAATGATTGATGGTATATTCTCAGTATTACTTCAAACTTCATAAAGTGCTTGCAAACACAATTATCACTTCAGCTACATCCTCCCTGCTTGTGAACTTGCTGAAAAAATCTGCTTCTTAATAATAGCAGCTACCATTTGTTAAACACTTTAATCAAGCACTGCTGTGTGTTGTTTTGTTTGATCCTCCCACAATAACCTTATTACATAAGCATTACTACAATCATATCCACTGCCAGATGAAAAAACTGAGATACAGAGAAGTTAGAAGTCACACAATTAGCAAGTGTCAGAGCTGAGATTTCAACTGATTGCCTGACAGCGGCACTCTCACTCAAACAGTAAGCTATGCTGCTTTCTTGCTAAATCTTTATCATGCCCATAGCTTGGGTTTGCCTACAAAAAAAAGTTTGAGCCATGAATACAGCCCTTGACATTTTATTGACCATGACAGAGGAAAAAAGGTGGCACATGATCACACTTACGAAATTGTTTCAAGGAAAGAAAAAGTAGAGAATCACAAGGACAATCTAGTTATGAAAATATTTACCTGAATAGTCTCTGTAATCATTGTAGAGCAGGCAAGAGAAATAATAAGTTATTGCCCAGGGACTCCATCCCCTGAGCATTCAAAAAGACAAGAACTCCTTCACAATTGAATTTATAGCCATTAAATGTTTTCATTGCAATGTTTGCTTTCTTATTCAAGTGACTGACTCCAGTTGGAAATATTTGGGGACCTCAAGATAAAGCCTTGATGGGAATGTGGCATGCCTTACAAAGTGTTACAAAAAGCAGGTCCAGGATATGAGACTTTATTTCTTCTTAGGCAATACACTGAGGTACCTCTGGGTCCAGCTCTTAAAAGCTAATGCTTCCGTTCTCAAGTAGGCAGTGGAGCCACTGTTTTCTCAGAATAAGAAGATACTTCTTTCAGTTTGTGTGACATTTGTGAAGAAGAATTTTTCAAGTTTTCCTGAACACTTTTCCATATTTGTTGCAATAATAGAAGACTATTCAAATTAACCTCATCCATTCAGGTATTTAACATCAATATATTCACATTCAGAGATAAAAGGAACTTTTCTATCTGGAGAGCTTCTTATTAACTGTTCTTATCTGGTCAAATTTCACTAGTCAGACCACAGGAAGTTGTAGATCCTAGCACTGCCCGGATATTGGACTTTCTCCCACATCTCTGCCTGGGAACTGCCAGCTGAGTTATTGCTGTCGGAGAAGTATGCAGTGTGTCTGGGCTTTGGGGTTATCTGATCAGCAGAGGCATCGGTGAGTAAAGTTTATTTTTTCCCCTAGCCAAAGAATTATAAACTCTGAGTATTAGGCCCGGAATAACCTAAAAGGTCATCTTGTCCAACTTCTAGTCAATGTCTGCATCACTTGAACAGCACATTTAGGCTCCTGGAATAATAATAGAGTAGAAATAAACTTGAGTGCTTACTGTATACCAGAGATGATGCTTTATACATAAACTCATTTAATATTCATAATATCAATCTGAATCAGAAATTATTTTGTAGATAAGAAAACTAAAGCTCTGAAATGTTAGACGTTTTGACCAAGTCCACATGGAAGTGGCAGGGCCAAGATTCAAACCCAGGTCTGTCTGCAGAGCCCACACTTTTAAACACCACATTGTTCTTCATAACTCAAATATCTGGGAAAACTCTGTCTAATATTCCATCGTGTTGTTTCTAAAAGTTGACTCATACTTGTCAGAATACTCATATCAGTGTCAGATTCAGAAAATTTAGTTACCATGCTTCTTCCTTCTTATTTAACCCCTTCCTCTCCCACCAATAGCAACAAATCTACTTTTATTTTTAATATTAGCCCTGTATTCCATGGTGAGAAAAAAAACTGTTGGTTAGCAGAAACATAAACCTGGTCATCAAATCATGAAATTCAAAGACAAAATAAAAGCCTTTCTTGAAAGAAAACAGGAAATTAAGAACTAAAGATAAACCTGCAATAACCATTAATAAGTAAGCAGCAGCTGGGCATGGTGACGTGCATTTATAATATCAGCTACTTGAGAGGCTGAGGTGGGAAGATCTCTTGAGCCCAGGAGCTCCAGGCTGCAGTGAGCTCTGATTGTGCCACTGTACTCCTGCCTGGGCAACAGAGTGACACCCTGTCTCTAAAAATAAATAACTAACTAAATAAAATAAGCTAGCCCCAAAAGTTCCACTGAGTTCCAATTTAAATAGACTAAAGATCCCCTGGTCAAAATGCATCTCTATTGTTCACTGGGTTCCATAACAGAGAGTGACAAGAATTATTTGTCTGGCTTGTTTAAAGTTATTTGTCTTCAGGCCGGGGGCGGTGGCTCACGCCTGTAATCCCAGCACTTTGGGAGGCCGAGGCGGGCGGATCACGAGGTCAGAAGATCGAGACCATCCTGGCGAGCACTGTGAAATCCCGTCTCTACTAAAAATACAAAAAAAATTAGCCGGGAGTAGTGGCGGGCACCTGTAGTCCCAGCTACTCGGGAGGCTGAGGCAGGAGAATGGTATGAACCCGGGGGGCGGAGCTTGCAGTGAGCGGAGATGGCGCCACTGCACTCCAGCCTGGGTGACAGAGCGAGACTCCATCCCAAAAAAAAAAAAGTTATTTGTCTTCAGAGCTCATGTCCCCTTCTGCTTGTTAGATGGTGGCCTCTTCTAGGGCAGGAAGTATGTCTTTATCTCTGTTTCCTTTCAAGTATCTATACATTTCTCTTTCCAACATTTATTGTGCACCCTTACTGTTCTTAATACTGTACTGAGTACTGGATACACATGAAAAAACACAGTCTCTGACTCAGTCTGGTGGCAAAACAGATCTCTAAACCAATAGCTGCAATTTAATAAAGAGTGTTCTAATATCCAATAAAAGTACGCTCAGAGTGTTGTAAGAACATAGCAGATAGCACAATGTCATGTCATGCACATTGCAGGTGCTTAATATCCATTTGTCCAATTTAATTTACTCAAAGAGAAGAAGAGCTTAGCTCAATAGAAGGGAACTATGACCTACGTGATAGATCAAGGCCACGACAAGTATCTAAAACCAACTCTCTCTCAGTTCAAGTTCCTTTATGTCTCACACTTAATTCCCCAAATTAAGACCAGCATACACAGAGTGTTCCAGCTATTAAAATGCAGAACCCAATTTTCTATCCTTAAATGTTTTTACTCCAGGATTTCACTCTGCAAGTGTAATATTGTATTATCATATGTCCCAGAAATAAGTTGTAAGTGGGTTGGAACTGACAACAGTGATAGAAGTGATGGAACCCAAACTTTCCTGTTAATACCGGTTAAAGTTTCAGAGTTAGAGAGGGTGTGGGCAGGGGATGTTTACCATGGGTAGATGAAAACTGACAAGATAGAAGATATATGCAGTTAAGAGCCTCTGAAAACAGGGAATAGACAGTTGTGTAATGCTGGCTGGCTGGAAATAGAAAGTAAATAACTGGTGTTGCCAGCACAAGTAAACAGCAAACAGGAATAAGTCATCAGTGAGCATTTGATGAAAACCAGTTATGGAAGTAGATTAGGGGTTATTTTGAATAGTTATTAGGAAAAATGTCTGGGTGAGGTACCAATGGGAAAAGAAAAGATCTGGAATCACTGCAGGAAAAAAGAACTGGACACGCATGTGATCTTTTTATCTCCGCTCTCTGCCTCCCTCTGTACCCGCTCTGTGCTCATGTTTCTTTCCTTTATTGCCCTGATCCTTCTCTTTGCGTCATAATTTCCATCAAACAAGTATTTATTAGTGCCTCCTATGAACGGAACATTGTGCCATATAAGGAGATAAATGATACAGGGTTCCTGCCCTCAAAGAACTAACAGTCTAGAGAGGCAGATAAATATGTACTTTTTATATGGAATTAACTACAATTTAATGATGAAAGTGGCATGTGCTCTAACAGAGGGGAAAAGAAAAACAAAATACTGTGAAAGAACATTGGTGAAAGATATTAATTCTGACTCGGGAGAAGGGCATCTTGAGGAGATTAAGCAAAGACAAAGAATGGCTAGAATTTTAATAGAATAAAGGTAGGTAGTCATTCTTGTCAGAGGGATTTGAGAAAAGTCATAAAACGTGGCATGTTTGAGGAATGGTGGGAATGGAATATGTAGGGAGAACAATGCATCCTAGCTTGCCAGGGATTTCCCAGGTTTTAGCACTGAAAGTGCTGTATCCTGGAAAACTTCTTAGTCCTGTGCAAACAGGGATGATTGGTCACCCTAAATATGCATGGGACATTGGGCATATGCATCATAGGGAGTAAAAAAAATGAAGGGAAAACCAAGGATCAGTGAAGACAACCCATAGGAAATTAGGTTGAAGACAGGACATGAAGAGTACCAAATGTCAGGCTAAGAAGTCATGACTTGTTTTTACAGGCAGTTGACAATGAAACAGAGGTTTTGGATAGGGGAGTAGTATAATGAAAACATAAGATTACTCTGGCAAAAATGTCCAGGGCAGATGAAAGGGGTAAAAAACTAGTTTGGAGCCTATTTTGAAAATCCTTGCAAAAGACACACAGAAGACTTTGACAAGGAAATCTACAATGGGAATGGAGCAGAGGAGCCATAGCGAAGAGACAGTGCAGTGGCAAAAATCACTGAACCTTACTGACTAATATGGGAAATTGTAGAAAGGAGGGATGATGACAATGTTTTCCAACCTGGTTTATTGGGAAAATTGAGGTGCCATTAGCAGGAATAGGGAAGTAGCAATGATAGTTTTAAATGGAATGGTGACAAGTTTATTTTAATTTAGTTTCCAACAATCTGGGGTTGGGAAGCCAAATAAACACGTGATTCATGAGCTAAAGAAGATGTCTGACCTCTAGTTATAAGCTTTGGGAGACATGAGTATAAGAATTAGACTCAGATATAAGTTTAATTATATATGAGAGGTCAGATATGACCATCTATGGAAAGAGTAAAGTTACAGAAATTAGTAAGAAATACATGGTGGTCATTAGAGCCTGTTACAGGTACTCCAGTTCTCACCTCCTTCCAGGTACATAACAACATTGCCATGTGATTGCTTTTGCCAACTAAATGTCAGTAAAAGTGACTTATTCACATCCAGGCAAAAGCTTGAAGAAGCCATACAGAATTCACTGTGCTTCTTTTATCCTGCTTCAGCAATCATTAAAGCAGGTGTCAAGAAGAATCCCCTATTCAGTCTGGGTCCTTGGGTCACTTCAATGAGCGGAGACAAATGTCATTACTATGTAGCATGAGCAAGAATTAAACCTTTGTTGTTTCAAGCCCCTCAAAGTTTAGGGGCTGTTTGTTGCTATAGAGTAAGCTAGCTTATCTTGAATGCCACTGAAAACTTAGAAATACATACATTTAGAAGTTAGAAGAAAGAGGGAACTGACAAGTGACTCTTTCATGGGGATGGCGTAGAAGAGCCATACTGAAGAGAGAGTGCAGTAGCAAAAGTCACTGAACCTTGGTGATTTTACAGTAAAGTATACAATTTACAGTAAAAGAATAAGCAGAGGTGAGAAGTACATAAAGCGAAAATGAATCTTAGAAGACAAAAGAAGAAAAATATTCAAGAAGTGAAGGTAGTAAGTAGTGTTAGATGAAATGAATCAAAGACTGAAAAAGAACATTGGATTTGGTCATTAGTAGTACATTGGGTTACTTTCTAATAAGTTCAGTTGTGTGACAGAAACAAGCAAGGGATTGAGAAGTTAACAGGGAGTGTGTAAATGGAGTTAATTAATGAGGGTAATCATTTTTAGAAATTTGGTAAAGAGAGAAAATTCCTTAAGCAATGTCCTACCTTCCGTTGGATAAGCATGGTTTTTTCTCTCTCTTTCCATCTCTTTGCTTACTCTGCTTCCTCCATATTATCCTGGTTCTCTTCTTCTAGATCTGCCTCTTCTCTGTCCTGCCTTCTCTATGCCCCTGTGTCTCTTTGCCTCTTTTTCCCTATGATGGCATGATAACTCTTACAGCTGAACAGAGTGGGCCTAGTTCAGCCTGTGGTCCAATACAGGAGACCCCTCTATTTTACTGCTGATCAGACTGAAATTAAATGTTGTATCACTGAAGGAGTTAGCTCACTAATTCATGGAACTGCCTATCCCGTAATTGTCAGATAAATCTAGCTATCTAGACAGAAAACTTGTCTCCTACTCAGCTGAACTCTGCCTCCCTTTAACTTTTTCTCAGTCCTAATTCTACGCTCCCTATACCACACCAGAAATGTTACTCTCTTTTGTACCTTGTACTTGATATTCATGCTCTCTTTTCTCTTTGCCCATTCCTTATCCTCACCTTTCCATTGTCTCAGAGATGACCCTCAACTATAAAGAAAATATTAATTTTCTTATTAATAGCCTCAGTTTCATCAAGTGGTTGAATAAATGGGCCTTCTAAAAATATACATAATTTAGATATAGATATATAGATATACTTTTATGAAGAACACTAAATTTGTAACATTGCAAACAACTTACGTTAAAGTGTATTTTCAACTATTCTGTGTATGTGTGTGTGTGTGTGCAGTGAGTCATATAAAGAAGTGCTAGCCTTCTTGTTTTGAAAAAAGAAGAATTTTTAAGTTTACAAGGAAAGAGTTAGATTGAGTATTTTAAAATCATCATATTCTTTTCTTCACAAACAAAACAATTAAGTTTTTAACTTTTTTTTACTTATATATGTCCACTGACTTATATGTGGGAGTTGGGTCAGTTATGCTCAGTAGTAAAAAGCTTCTTATACCTAATTTAGATAACTTCTAGAATGATAAATCCATATGGCTCAATTAAGAAAATAAAGGAGCTTGGCGGACATCACTCAGCCATGCACCCTCTTAAACTTTCCTTTGTATTTCTGTCCAACACTGAATCCTTAGCTTGAATAGGCTATTGCAATGCTCTTATGAGGGCTTATTGTCAAGAATACAGAGATGGTGGGAAATCAGTTCCAATGCTTAAAAACACTGTTTATAAAGCACTTCTCTGACTGAATGTTTTTCCCAGCTTTGGAGAGTAAGGAAAGGTGTAAAAATGCAACTACTGAATTCCTAGGCTCCCTTACACCTTAAAGAGAGGCAACAAGCTTGACTTCGGTGAAATCTTAGTTGTATTCCTTCTTCCAGAAACAACAGTCTTGTGTTTGCATATCTTTATAATTTTCACAGCATTTCCCCGACCATTATCTTGTTGGAATTTCACAATTCTATGAAGTAAGAAAGGCACGTAGTTTTCCTTATTCTATAGATTACGAAACTGCTGCTCCCTTGGGCCACATAGCAAGCAAATGGTTAATCCAAAACTAAAATGTCCTTACTCATTACTCATTCCTATGATTCACACTGGTTCTTTGAATAATAATTCAGTTACATGGTAGTATAGTTATGCTTGGCAAGGATTGCATGTGATTCCACAAAAAGCAAGACCCTTAGATGGCACAGAGCTGCCCTTGGCACATCCCTGACTCCTCTTCCTGGTCACATCCCTTTCTAAGTTCCTTGAGTTTTATGACTAGATCTTTGGTTTCTGCTGTATCTCTTACCTTCTTGTGCCAAAGAAACTGTTCTCTAAAAACAGCAGATGCTCAAGACCTGAAGTACAACTGGAAGCAAAATAATTTTGATTTTGTTACCTAGGCAAAGACAAGGGAAATGTTCTGTTTAGAATTTGAGTTACTTGCCCTTGTATCTAACAGCTTATAACATCATTCTGGGCCAAGTAAATGCCTTGGCAGGTGTGGAAATTTCTTTGAAGAGCTCTACCTCACCTGAATCTCTTATTATCGATATGGAATCAGGTATAGTCACGCAAACAAATCTCGATTTTAAAATGCCCCTTTTAATACAAAGAGTCTGTAGGAGGGTATGGTCCTACCTTTTCAAGTATGACTATTATGAGTAAGAGGAGGAGCTAAAAACAAGGTCTCTTTGACAATAAAGTTTTCCCTAACCACAACTATGAGAAGATTCAAAGGAATACAGTTAGACTAGCATAAAACATGTCTTCCTTTCCTGCCCTGGTGAAGTTCCCCCTTATCATTCAGCCCTGAACTTTCTCCAGTCCCATCTTAGGATTACATCACATTTGTCATACCTTTCCTTTTATCTTTATAGAAAGGATGATGATTTCCTCAGATGAAGAAAATGATACAAATATGATGGAATTTATTCTGGTAGGACTGTCCAGACAGCCTGCATCTCAGCTACTCTTCTTTTAGGCAATATTGTTCATCTACTCTGTCACCCTGGTTGGTAATATTCTCATCATTGTTATTATCCAGATTGATTCCCATCTTCAAACCCCCATGTACTTCTTTCTCATACAAGTATCCTTCTTAGATATCTGCTCCACACCCACGGTTCTGGTGAACTGCTAGAAGGACTTTCCAAGTGTATCCTATAGTGGCTGCTTATTCTAAATGACTATCTTTCTTTACTTAGGGGTGACGGAGTGTGTTTTTTTTTTGTTCTGTTTTGTTTTGTTTTTTGAGTCGGAATCTCACTCTGTCACTTAGGCTGGAGTGCAATGGCACAATCTTGGCTCCCTGCAACCTCCACCTCCTGGGTTCAAACAGTTCGCCTGCCTCAGCCTCCCGAGTAGCTGGGATTACAGGTGCCCGCCACCATGACCAGCTAATTTTTGTATTTTTAGTAGAGACGGGGTTTCACCATATTGGTCAGGCTGGTCTTGAACTCCTGACCTCATGATCCGCCTGCCTTAGCCTCCCAAAGTGTTGGGATTACAGGTGTGAGCCACCATGCCCAGCCGAGTGTTTTCTTATTGCTGTTATGGCCTATGACAGGTTTGTTGCCATCTCAAAACCCTTGTGTTACCCATTCATTATCAATAGCAATGTTTGCATCTGGATGGTGGCAGGAGTTTGGGCCCATCCTGGTCGCACCAATCCAATTCTGTGGCCACAATGTAGTCAACATTTTACATGTGAGCTCCAAGTAATTTTCAAACTCACTTGCTCTCCTGTACTAGTCAAAGAGATCCAGTGATTCATGATTCCAGGTTGTACATTATAGGCATTGTATCAGCATTAAGTGTGCTCCTACAGTTAAGCTCGCCAGCAAACCCATCCCAGGAGCTGAGAGGCATACAATTAGGGCATAAGGTGAGGTATTATCGGGGTACACTTACACAAAGTATGTTGAAACTCACACAGCCAATTGCCATAATGACCATTGAATTAGCACATAGGTAAAGCTGAGATGTGCAAACAGATACCTAATACATTTCCAGCACCTGAAGATGGTCTTTTGTCCTTGTGCCAGATCCACCCAAATGTCTAGGTATTCTAAGTCTTTTCCTTTTATTGCTTCTATCTGACATCTTTAATGAGCCCATGTCAAGACATATCAAATATCTATATGTCATGGGGATGGCTGGTTACAAATGAAAAAACATATGGAAAAATATTTCAACAGAGGGGAAAAGCAGTATGAAAAAAAGCAAGTTGGAAACAGAAACTCAGGCCCTACATACTGAGGTAGAACCACCTTTTTGGATGGTATCACGTTTTTATCAAGGAGGTACCTGGCAGCCAGAAATAAATAGCCCATTTTATAAGCCTGAATGACTTCCAGGATGTGGAGAACTGTAGAAAAGAGTTTTGCAAAGACAACTATATAAGCTGGTGCTGGTAAAATTTTTACTAGTTCATGTTGAAATGAAAAGAAATGAAGGTAAAGTAATGAACTGTTCATAGTTTAATTCAATCACAAAGAGTATTCTAAGGTAATTCAATGAAACACTATTTGCAGTATCAAAAGGTTGGAAATAATGGAAATGCCTATTAATAAGTGACTGTTTAAATAAATTTGATATATCCGTACAACAAACTACTATACAGCTGTAAAAAGATTTAAAAAGCTCTTCATGCACTGACATGAAACGCTTTTCAAGATAACCTTTTTGGAAAAAATGTGAACGGAATGCTACACACATACATACACTCCTCCACACAGACAGACTTATTTACTTATTTATACATAGAATATCTTTGGAAGAATGCCCAAGGAACAAATAACAGTGGCTGCCTGCAGAAAGGGAAACTGGGTGTTGAAGGGGCAGGGTAAGAGGGAGCCTTTTAATTGTCAATTCTTTTTTGTTTTTATTGATACATAATATTCGTAGATATTTATGGAGTACATGTGATATTTTGGACATGCATAGAATGTGTAATGGTCAAGTCAAGGTATTTAGGATATCCATCACCTTGAATATTTATCATTACTATGTGTTGGGAATATTTCAAGTCCTCTCTTCTAACTATTCTTTATGGTTTTGTACATTTTGAATTTTGATTAGGAATTGTTCTTTCCTTCTAATTTGTTGCCTAATTTTTGCCTTAAAATAGTATTTTAAAAGAAATAATAGGGTTAATACATTGTAGATATTTTGTTATTTCATTTTTAATTCTGTATATATTTACATAGCAAAATGAAAAGTTGGTGTATTAGTCTACTCTCATGTTGCTAATAAAGATATACCCAAGACTGGGTAATTTATAAAGGAAAGAGGTTTAATTGATTCAAAATTCCATATGGCTGGGGAGACCTCACAATCATGGTGAAAGACAAAGGAGGAGCAAAGGCATGTCTTACATGGTGGCAGGCAAAGAGACCATGTGCAGGGGAACTCCCCTTCATAAAACCACTAGATCTCATGAGACTTATTCACAATCATGAGAACAGCATGGGAGAAACCCACCCCCATGATTCAATTGCCTCCCACTGGGTCCCTCCCACAACACATGGAAATTATGGGAGCTACAATTCAAGATGAAATTTGGGTGGGAACACAGCCAAACTATGTCAGCTGACAAACTCACTTAAAAAAATAGGTACACATACGTAAAATCCAAAATGTTGGAACCACTGCTTTAAGGTCCCTTCTCTGGAATTCAACAACCAGTCTGTCTCATTGCTGTTCCCCTCTGACCTTGTGTCCCAGTCCTGAACCAGTGTCTCTGCCTTAGACACCTGCTTAGTATCCCACTCCCTCAAGGAATCAGACCTCACTATGCTATTGTCACTCAATGTCCTTCACCATCACCACCACCCATGGATTAGCATCCTATCCCTGAAATGGGAAAATGTGATGGGGGCCCTTCTACCAGCTGCTGGACCTCCCTGCTGGACACAACTTGATTCATTTGCTGGAGTGGAATGCTAAGAAGAGATTGCATCCCTGCCAAATTCATGTTAAAGCCCAAATCTCCAGTGGGATGGTATTTGGAGGTGGAGGCTTGGAAGGTAATTAGGTTTAGATGAGGTCATGTGGGTGAGGGCTCCCTTATGGGATTAATGACCTTATACAAAGAGAAAGAGACATAAGATTTCCCTCTGTATGTGTGCATCCACCAAGGAAGGCCAAGTGAAGACACAACCAGGAATAAGGCCTTCACCAGCATGCAATCATACTGGCACTTATATCTTGAACTTCCAGCTTCCAGCACAGCAGGAATTAAATTTCTGTCTTTTAAGACAATCATTCTAGGATATTTTTTATAACACCCTGAGTTAAGATAGTTTACTTTCTTTTTATGCTTAAGGAAGTAGGATTTTCTTTTTTTGTATGTCTTTTCCCACCCAGGTTTATTGAGGTATAATTGACAAATAAAAATATATATATTAGGGTGTACAAAGTGATGTTTTGATATATGTGTATACTGTGAAATGGTTACCACATCAAGCTAATTAACATATCCATCACCTTATATGGCTACTTTTTTTGTGGTGAGAGCACTTGAGATCTACTCCCGTGGCAAACTTTAAGTATACAATACAGTGTTATTGACTATAGTTACCATGATGTACATTAGATCCCCCAAAATTACTCATTTCACAACTGAAGATTTATACCCTTTGACCAACAACGCCCCTCTTACCCACCCCTTAGCTCCTGGTAACCACCATTCTACTCTCCATTTCTATCACTTCAACTATTTTCAAGATGGCGCATATAAGTGAGATCATGCAGTATTTGCCTTTCTGTGTCTGGCTTAGTTCACTTAGCATAATATCCTTCAAGCTCATCTATATTGTCACAAATGGCAAGATTTCCTCCTTTTTGAAGGCTGAATAATACTCCATTGTGTAAAGATATATATATACATGTATGTATATATATACACACATATGTATAGATACATATCTGTGTGTGTATGTGTATACATATATATATATATATAGTGTGTATATATACATATACACACAAACACCACATTTTCTTTTTCCATTCGTCTCTTGATGGACACTTAGGTTGTTTCTATATATTGATTACTGTGAATAGGGCTGCAATATGCTTGGGAATGCAGATAATTCTTCAGATAATGATTTTATTTCCTTTGGATATATACTAAGTAGTGGAATTGCTGGATAATATAGTAGTTCTATTTTGAATTTTTAAAGGAATCTCCATACTATTTTCCATAATGGCTGTGCCACTTTACAGTCTCACTAACTTTGTACAAGTGTTTCCTTTTCTCCATATCCTTGCCAATACTTGCTATCTTTTGGCTTTTTGGTAATAGCTATCCTAGCAGGTGTCAGGTGATATCTCATTGTGATTTTGAATTGTATTTCTTTGATAATTAGTAATCTTGAGCACCTTTTCATATACCTCTTGTCCATTTGTATATCTTCTTTGGAAAACTTTCTACTCAGATCTTTTGTCCATTTTTAAATTGGGTTGTTTCCTTGCTATTGAGTTGTATGAGTTCCTTATATAGTTTGAATATTAACCCCTTTCAGATATATGTCTTACTAATATTTTCTTCCATTCTGTAGCATGCCTCTTCATTTTGTTAATCAACAAAATTTTTTCTTTTACAACTTTTGTTTTGGATTTGGGAGTACATGTGCAGATTCGTTATAAAGGTATATTGCATGATGCTGAGGTTTGGGGTTTGACTGAACCCATCACCCAGATAGTGAGCATAGTACCCAATAGGTACTTTTTTCAGCCCTTGCCCGCATTCTTCTCTCCCACCTCTAATAGCCCCCAGTGTCTAATGTTCCCATCTTTATGTCCATGTGTATCCAATGTTTAGTTCCCACTTACAAGTGAGAACATGCAGTATCTGGTTTTTTGTTTCTGTGTCAATTCACTTAAGATAATGGCCTCCAGCTGCATCTATATTGCTGCAAAGAGCATGATTTCATGTTTTTTTATGGCTGCATAGTATTCCATTGTGTTTTTCTTTATCCAGCCTACCATTGATGAATACCTGGGTTGATTCTTTGTCTTTGCTATTGTGAATAGTGCTGCGAGAAGCATACAGGTACATATGTCCTTTTGATAGAACAATTTATTGTCCTTTGGGTATGTATTAGTCTGTTTTCACACTGCTATAAGGAACTACCTGAGACTGGGTAATTTATAAAGAAAAGAGTTGTAATTGACTCACAGTTCTGCATAGCTAGGGAAGCCTCAGGAAACTTACAATCATGGTGGAAGGTAAAGGAGAAGCAAGCACCTTCTTCACAAGATGGCAGAATAGAGATAGTGTGCAGGGGAAGCTGCCACTTATAAACCATCAGATCTCATGAGAACTCCCTCACTATCATAAGAACACATGGAGACTGCCTCCATGATCCAATCACCTCCCACTAAGTCCCTTCCTTGACATGTGGGGATTTCAATTCGAGATAAGATTTGGATGGGGTCACAGGACCAAACCTTATCAAGGTATATACCCAGTACCATTACTGGGTACTCGTGCTGGGATTGCTTGGTCAAATGATAGTTCACCACTTAGTTCTTTGATAAATGATATTTCACCACTTAGTTCTTTGATAAATCACCAAACTGCTGTCCATAGTGGCTGAACTAATTTATATTCCCACTAACAGTGTATAAGTGTCCCCTTTTCTCCAAAGCCTCGCCAGCATCTGTTATTTTTTTTGCTTTTAAATAGTAACCATTCTAACTGGTGTGAGTTGCTATCTCACTGTGGTTTTGATGTGAATTTCTCTGATGATCAGTGATGATGAGCATTTTTTCATACATTTGATAGCGACTTATATTTCTTCTTTTGAGAAGTACCTATTCACATCCTTTACACACTTTTTAATGGGGTTATTTGTTTTTTGTTCATTGATTTAGGTTTCCTATAGATTCTGGATATTAGACCTTTGTCAGATACCTAATTTGTAAATATTTTCTTTTATTCTATATGTTGTCTGTTTATTCCTTTGATAGTTTTTCTTGCTGTACACAAACTCTTTAGTTTAATTAGGTCCCACTTATCAATTTTTGTTTTTGTTCCAGTTGCAATTGCTTTTAAGGACTTAGTCATAAATTATTTCCTAAGGCTGATGTCCAGAATGTTATTTCCCAGATTTTTTTCTAGGATTCTTATAGTTTGAGGTTTACATTTAAGTTATCAATCCATCTCAAGTTAATTTTTGCTTGTGGTACTAGATAGGGGCCCAGGTTCATTCTTCTGCATATGGATAACCAGTTATCCCAGCACCATTTATTGAATAGGGAATCATTGCCCCATTGCTTATTTTTGTCAGGTTTGTCAAAGTTCAGGTGGTTGTGGATGTATGGCTTTATTTCTGGGTTCTCTATTCTGTTCCATTGGTCTATGTGTCAGTTTTTCCCCCAGCACCATTCTGTTTTGGTTACTATAGCCTTGTCATACAGTTTGAAGTTGGGAAATAGCTATTTGGGGACTTTTGGGGTTACATAAATTTTAGCACTTTTTTTTTTTTTTTTTTTTTTTTGGAGATGGAGTCTCGCTCTGTCGCCCAGGCTAGAGTGCAGTGGCATGATCTCGGCTCACTGCAAACTCCACTTCCTGGGTTCAAGTGATTCACCTGTCTAAGCCTCCTGAGTAACTGGGATTATAGGCGCCCGCCACTGCGCCTGGCTAATTTTTGTATTTTTAGTAGAGATGGGGTTTCACCATGTTGGCCAGGCTGATCTCGAATTCCTGACTTCATGATCCACCCACCTCGACCTCCCAAAGTGCTGGGATTACAGGCGTGAGCCACCATGCCTGGCCAGCATTTTTATATCTCTATGAAAAATTCTATTGGAATCTTGATAAGAATATTAATTTTTCAATCTATGAACACAGAATAGCTTTCCATTTATTTTGGGTCTCCTACAATTTCTTTAATCTATTTTTTTTTTTAGTTTTCATCTTCACCTCCATGGTTACATTTATTCCTAAGTATTTTATTGTTCTTGATGCTATTGTAAGTGGGATCATTTTTGGATAGTTTGTTGTTAGTGTATAGAAACACAGTTGATTGTTGCATGTTAACAAAATTCAATATCCTTTCATGATAAAAAAAATAATAAAACTCTTAACAAAGTGAGTATAAAAGGAATGTACCTAAACATAATAAGAGCCATCTATGGCAAGCCTGCAGCTAACATACTGAATGGTGAAAAGCTAAAAGCTTTTCTTCTAAGAACAGAAGCAAAACAAGGATGCCCATTCTTACCCCATCTATTAAACATAGAACTGGAAGTCCTAGACAGATCAACTTGGCAAAATAAAAGGAATAAAAGCCATCCAAACCAGAAATGAAGAAGTAAAATTGGCACCGTAGCCAGGGTGACAGAGAGAGACCCTGTCTCTAAAAATATTTTTAAATAAATAAATAAAAATAAAAATAAAGTTGTACAAGCATCTCTATCATTTTAAAAAAGGGAGTGAAACTGTCTATGTTTGCAAATAACATAATCTTATATATTGAAAACTCTAAAGATTCCACCCCAAAATTAATAAATTCAGTAAAGTTATGGAATACAAAATTAACATTCTTTCTTCCAGCTTTATTTATTTATTTATTTATTTTTTGAGACGGAGTCTCGCTCTGTTGCCCAGACTGGAGTGCAGTGGAGCGATCTTGGCTCACTGCAAGCTCCACCTCCCGGGTTCACGCCATTCTCCTGCCTCAGCCTCCCGAGTAGCTGGGACTACAGGTGCCCGCCACCATGCCAGGCTAATTTTTTGTATTTTTAGTAGAGACGAGGTTTCACCGTGTTAGCCAAGAAGGTCTCAATCTCCTGACCTCGTGTCTGCCCGCCTAGGTCTCCCAAAGTGCTGGGATTACAGGCGTGAGCCACCATGCCCGGCCTCTTCCAGCTTTATTGAAATATAATTGGTAAACAAAAACTGCACATAATGAGTGTATACAACTGACTGAGTTAATATCTATATATATGTATATAGATATATATACACATAAACATATACATATACATATATTCATGTTATCATCACTACAATCAAGGCAATAAACATATCTTTACCTCCAAAAGTTTCCTTCTGTTCCCTTTTTGTTGTTACTTGCTTGTTTTTGTTAAGAACATTTCACATGAGATCTCCCCTATTCACAAAATATCAAGTGCACAATACCTTATTGTTAATTATAGGCACTATATTATACAGCAGATCTCTGGAACTTATTCTGTATAACTGAAACTTTACGCCCATGAAAAAATAGCTCTCAGGCTGGACACGGTGGCTTACAACTGCAATCTCAGTGCTTTGGGAGGCTGAGGAGAGAGAATCACTTGAGGTCAGGGTTCAAGACCAGCCTGGCCAACATGGCAAAACCCCGTCTCTATTAAAATACAAAAATTAGCCAGGCATGGTGGCACATGACTGTAATCCCAGCTACTTAGGAGGCTGAGGCATGAGAATCACTTGAACCTGGGAGGTAGACGTTGCAGTGAGCTGAGATCGTGCCACTGCACTCCAGCCTGGGCAAGAGAGCAAGACCTTGTCTCAAAAAAACAAAAACAAACAAACAAAAAAACAGAAACTTCCCTCTGTTCCCTCTCCCCCTTGCCTGGTAACCACCATTCTATTGTCTACTTTTACCTGTTTGACTATTTTAGATGCCTTATATAAGAGAAATCTTGCAGTATTTGTCCTTCTGTGACTGACTCGCTTCACTTAGCATCATGTCTTCCAGGTTCATATATGTTGTTTGAAATGGTAGAATTTCCTTCATTTTTAAGGCTAAATAGTGTTCCACTGTGTGTGTATATATATATATATATATATACACACACACACACATACACATATATATACACACACAATATGTATACACACATATATAACTTTTTTTGTCTGTAGTATATATAAAGAAAATGCAATAAAATATTATACTACATATAAAGAAAATATGATACTTTATTACATTTTCTTTTTTAAAATAATTTTACTTTAAGTTCTGGGATATATGTGCTGAACGTGCAGGTTTGTAACATAGGTATACATGGTTATACATGCCACGGTAGTTTGCTGCACCTATGAACCCGTCATCTAGGTTTTAGGCCCCACATGCATTAGGTATTTGTCCTAATCCTCTCCCTCCCCTTTCCCCCTATTCCCTGACAGGCCCTGGGGTGTGATGTTCCCCTCCCTGTGTCCATGTGTTCTCATTGTTCGCCAATATTCTACATTTTCTTTATCTATTTATCTGTTGATGGACATTTGGGCTGTTTCCATATCTCGGCTGTTGTGAATAATACTGCAATAGATATGAGAATGTAGATATCTCTTTGCAATCCTGTTATCAGTTCTTTTAAATATATACCCAGAAGTGGAATTCCTGGATCATAAATACAGTAGTTCTATTTTTAATTTCTTGAGGAACTTCTATACTGCTTTCCATAATAGCTGCACCATTTTACATTCCTACCAACAGTGTGCAAGGGTTCACTTTTATTCATATCCTCACCAACACTTACTATCTTTTGTTTTCCTTTCTAATAGCCATTCTAACAGATGTGAGATGATATTGTGATGTTGATTTGCTTTTTCCTGATGATTAGCAATGTTAAGCATCTTTTCATATACTGTCAGTCAGGTACTGGCACAAAAATAGGCATATAGACCAATGAAACAGAATGGAGAGCCTGGAAATAAATACACACATATAAGGACAACTAATCTTTGAAAAGAGTACTAAGTATATGCAATAGGGAAAATTTGTGTCTTTTCAAAAAATGGTGTTGGGAAAAGTGGCTATCCCATTCAAAAAATAAAATTGGTCTCTTATCTTATACCATACACAAAAATTAGCTCAAAATGGATTAAGGACTTAAGTGTAAGATATTTTAACTCTAAAATAGTTAGAAGAAAACATAGGGAAAACGCTTCTTGACGTTGGTCTTGTCTATAGTTTCTTAGATATGACACCAAAAGCAGAGACAACAAAGGCAAAAATAGACAAGTGGAACTACATCAAACTAAAAAGCTTCTTTACTGGGAAGAAACGAAAGGCAACAGAATGAACAGAATGAAAGGCAACCTACGGTATGGAAGAAGTATTTACAAACCATATATCTGATAAGGGTTTAATTTCCAAAATATATAAGGAACTTCTACAACGCAATAGCTAAAAAAACAAAATAACTGGATTTTTTAAATGTCTGAGAGATTTGAACAGACGTTTCTCCAAAGAGAGTTTACTTTCTAAAGTTTACTCATTCCTGCATTTTTCTTTACTTTTCTGTAAGTGCCTGTGAAGCTTTCCTTGCCAACTCATACTTATTTGGTCCCTCTGATGTCCAGGGTTTGCATTAGAAAACCTCCCTTAAAATATCATGTTCTGCTTGCCAGATTGGAAGTCAGCCCAAGGATCTTCAAGACGATTCTTCTTTTCAGCTCTTCTTTACACCAAATGGCCCATATTGAGATTATGTCCTGTGGCAGAGATTGCTTGTTATCTACCCCATTATCCATTTTCTCGATCTTCTTTGGTAACAAATCACTGAATTTTATTCAGGTGGTAACATATCTAGCTAAAAGAATACAATTTTCAGCCTCTCTTGAGGCTAGGTGTGTTCAGTGACTAAATTAGTATTAAAATATAAGTCAAAATATTATGAGAAATTTCTAGAATGTCTTAAATAGAAGCAAATCAGTCCCCCCACCACCACCCCTTATTTTCCCCTTTCTCTATCCTGATGCCTAGAATGCAAATGCAAAAAGGACATGTATCTATCTGAAATGTTCATAGAAAACATATCTGGAACTCTACCATCCTTCTTGTTCTATGAGAATAAGGGCAGAATAGTTAACTGGAAATAATGTGAGTCTGTGAATATCAGAGAATTATCATAGCTGTTCTACACTTCTCATCTTCAGTTAAGTGATGTACAAAAATCATCCATCTTGTTTAAGCCACAATTATACTAGGTTTTCTGTCCCTTACAGCTGAACTTGATTCTAACTGATATATCTTACCTGTTATGTTTCCATGTCCCATTGAAGGTGACTAAGCCATGCCCCACAGTGTTTCAACACCCGACATATCTGAGTAATAACACCTCCCTACATATGTAAGGGACATCAGTATGAATAGAATTTTAAACCCTGCTCCTACTGTTGATTCTTTTGCTGCCTACATACCAATTTATTGTTATTATTTTGTATACTTGGTGATGATTGCTTTACAGTTGATTTAATTCTCACTCCAAACCATGAGGGGAGAGGAAGTCCCATGGCATGAGTGAGACATGCTGCTCTAAGACAATCAAAAGAGAAGACGTTGGACATGCCGAGTTCAAACTCATGAAACTGTCAAATCTTATTTAGAGTAATGACAACCAAAGTTCTATCTACAGCTCAGACATCTCTTCTCAGTTCCAATTACATGTGTTTGTGTAAAAAGTACATGTATCTATCTGAAATGTTCATAGAAAACATAGATTGAGATATTCTGAAACAGAAAGCTTCATCTTCATCCTAAAATCTCCTCTTCCTCCTGTTTATTGCATCAAATGGAGCCACCATCCACCTTGAAGACATCCCCTAATCCTCTTGTTCCCTTACTGCAACTTCCAATCATCCTCCAGGCTTTGCCTATCCTATTTCTGTGATAAATCTCATCCATCCCTAGACTCTCATCCCACTGCCTCTCCCTTAACTCTGGCCCTCATCATTTCTTGCTCTGACCACTGCAGTGACTTGAGATCTGGTATCCTTAGCAACACAGTCTAACACAGGCTTCACATTACGGTGCCACCCACTTTTATGAGACATGTCAGAGCATGTCACTCCCTTGTTTAAAAGTTCTTCATGATGTCCAGTCATGAAGGCAAAAAGTTCAACTCTTCAATGTGACATTTAAGACCTTCCAAGATCTGGACCCAGCCTATATGGCTTTTCTGACTCTTGCTGATTCAGCAATACAAACTTATTAACATTCCCATTAACATCTCCTTCATTTCCAATTCTGAGCACAGGATTGATGTGGTGTCTGTAAAATGCATGTGGTTCTCAACTAGTTAATCCAACCCAGGAAACCCAGCAAGAATGTTTCTAATATGAGCCTCCTTCGACCATCTTTTATCTCTGGGCCTAAAGAGTAAGTCCCTCCTTTATCAATGTCCCCCTGCACAAGTTTATATGTGCCTCCTTTGTACATCCCTTATACTTTGTACATGGCTGTACAATGTAATATTTCATGCAGCTAAACATCTTGGAAAGCAAGTGAGAGCGGCATCCATCTGGAACAGCACTAGGGTATATCCATGCTGCTGTGTGAATTTCTCCACATGTTTGCATAGATGTAGCGCCTTCAGAAGTCAACAGACCTGCTACCATCAAAAAGAATTCAACCTTTATGCTCATGCTCTTTTCATTCTACTAACTTCAGGGATGTTCTACATCCCCAAAACCCCAGCAGCCCCTTTGCCTCCTCTTCATGCCTGGTATCACCCAAGCTTTGTGCCTAGACTTTCTAGCAGGACCCAGGCTGTTCTTTCTGGACGTCCCTCTAAACCAGTGACTTTGTCTCTGAAGATATAAAATGAGTTTGAGCAGCCAGGCCCCTCAACATAACTGACCATTCCCAACTACTGAGGACACCCTGTCCACCTTTGCTTGGCCTGAATACTCTCATGTAGCTAGAACCTACTCATTGTAGCTAAATTCAAGATATCAGAGGAAATATTATCTGGAATTTCTTGTCTTCGTTTTTTTTTTTCTTTTAGAAAATATAATATCTCTGTCTGGTAGCCCTGCTTCCCTCAAAGCTTACAGTGAACTGAAATAAATGCAGGGAAGTGGTCCTATATTCTGTACACTTAAGAAATGGGAAATTCAATATTTGTTTACAATAACGGCAAAGTTAAAATAGCTCATGCTACATTGCCAAATGAAGAATAGCAGAGACATAAACACTGTCCTTAAAAAGATTTTTTTAGAAGAAAAGTATGAATCGAATCATTTACTGAAGTACTGTTTGAACAGATGGTGTGATTAACAGCTAACATGTAAGCCATCTTGGGAGTTTATGGAAAAGTAAACACGTGCAGCTAAAAAGAAATCACTTTATTCCCCAAAAGGTTCTTTCATTCATTTTACTAAGTAAATTGGAAAGCCTGGGTTTTGAAGGCTGCATTTCCTTGGGGGATGTTAGGAAGGAGCAGAGGAGAGTCTCTTCAGAGCAAGACCATGTCGATGCAGGGTCGAGCTCCAAACTCGCCTCCTGAGGGATGAAATGATCTGAGGACCTGGCCCCTCCCGTCAGCTGGCCCTTGACAACAACTGAAGATGCTCTGTTCAGCTTGCTCATCTCCAGTGGCTTCACGTGCCTGAGAGGAGGGGAAAGGAGTTAAGGTTTGGGAATCAGTTCCTGGCCCTCTGCTGGGCACTTTGCATGGACTGTTTCCTCTAACGCTAACATCCCTGGGGGTCACGTGTTATAAGGCCAACTTACCCAATAGGGAAAATGGGGTTTAAAAAGGAGGAAGTGGCCTGCCAAGGCTGTATAGATACTTCCTTCATGGAGCTGCCATTGAAACCCTGGCCTGTTGAGTGGGTTGTCAAGGAGAGTGTGGAACAGGATATCAGGGGACATGGGTATGAAAGTCTGCTCTGCTAGCGTGTGCTTTGGGGAAAACTGCTGTTCCCTTATGCGCCACAGCTTCTACATCTGTAACATGTGGGTGCCATACCGGATGGCCTTAAAGGTCCTCATTTGGATACAGAAATGGCATCAGGATATTAAGTTGGCTTCCAGCCCCATTCCTGATCATCCTCAACTGACATTAGGAATACATCCTTGGACACTTCTGTAGCTGAAGCCATGGTGCCACCTACTTAGGCAAACCTCTGAAGGACTGGCTGATCCTTGGCAGAGCTTTCTTGCCACTGCCTACACCACAGCACACCCCAATTGGTAATGGCTCATCCCCAAATTGCCCTGGTGTTCATTTATTCACCTAATATTTATTGAGTGTGCACTAACACTCCAGGCAAGGAAGTGTGGAAACATTGTGAGCAAGAGGGATTTGGTGTCTCTCCTTCCAAAATTAGACCCAGTAAGGAGACACAGAAGTGAACAGATAATTGAAATATAGAGGGATAAATGTGAGTATAAGAAAAGGGAACTTGACCTCTACCTGTGGAATCAAGGTATGCTACCTTGTTGATGGTAGTGATGATGACACCAAACTAATTTTTTAGTGGATTTTTTCTTTTCCCCTTCTTTTTCTTAGATCTACCTCATTTGTCATATACCAAACTAAACAATTTTTATCAAACATCTAGATATTTAGAATGATCCAGTTGACCGTTATAGATTTGCTTGCCTTTCATTCTGATATTGGTACTACTTAGATGCCCATGTTGGTTTCCCAGGCCATTTAGAGTCAAAAGTTGCCAGGAAGGCAATGAAATCACTTATGTTTCCAAAGATAGAGTGGCTTAATTAAAGAGGAAAGCAAATTTTCATGTTAATAATCTAGAAATAAAGCCCTTCTCTTGGACACGTCCCTGTAAATGCTTCTGAGCTCTTTCATGTGAAGGGCCTTCTAATTGCTTCTCTGGGACTTAGTCCTGGAAGCTTTGAAAGGGTTTCCCATTGCAATATTAGAACCACTGATACTGTGTCCCCTAGCAGGTGTGATTCCACTTCCTTTTGTGTGCATGTGTGTGTGTTATTATTATTATTTCTTTTTTTTTACAAAATCAACTTTGAGAATATTCTCCCCATTTAGTAAAGGGAATGCACCTTTTGAGTTACATTTGAATTTCACTCCAGGTCTCTACTAAATGGAATGAAAAAGCCTACTGTGCATTCTGTGCTGATATGTGACAGTCTTCAGAGAAAGGACTCCTTTCTTAGATGGCATGACCCATTAAATATTGCTCCAGGTCAACAGAAGAAGGAAATTGCTGTCCCGCCTCAGGTACCCATCTGCTATAACCCTTGGCCCTTTGCACCTCACTTTATAGCCACTTGAATCTAAGTGTCATCCTCACCAGTCCTATCCTACTGTGTGTTCCTGCAGATAACAATAGTGTCTTGGGCTTCCTGAGATGCCACTTGCTAAAGGCCAATGCCTTATACTTGGTGCTCATTCCATATTTGGCCAATGTCAAAACTTTCAACATTGCTTTATTGAGCTCTCGATACTGTTTTATTGGCATGTAAAGCCTGTCATAATTCATCTTCGAAGGCAGTCATCTTCATTCCTTTCCACATGGCACCAATGTCATTTCATTAATTTACCAGGTGGTAAAAACATACTCAAAACCATTCATTCTGAGGATCTTTTAGATTTTTAAATCTTTATATTTGTTCACCTCCAATAATATGTCATGAAAGCTAATTTCTGGCCTTACAGACCGTATGCTACTCCTAGGGGAGAGAAAAATGGCAAAATAAGTCCTTCAATTCACCATGCTGGACTTTTCCTTGGACAATAATCTAATAAAAGAACAACAAATGTCAATAAAGGATTGTAATATTTTTTCTAAGTCTATAATTATTTACTTGCACAGTTGTTCTATTTCGTTTTCACTGAAAGCTTTATCTTAAATTGTTTATTTGTTAAAAAATAAAATATTGTTCATCATGAGTTTTGATAGTCTCTGTATATTGACCGTGGGAAACCAAACATACTTGAAATCATAGAGCTTAGAAGAGTCATTAAAGATTTTCTGTTGCCATGGAAAAACGCTTGAGTGGGAAAGCAGGTCACAGCATTCTCTATAAAGTGACATAATGACTGCAGAAATAAGCATAAGAATGGGAAAAGAACCCAAATATTGTTTATGGTCATGGCTAACGAGTGGCATTCTGTTTGGCTTCGCTTCCATTACTAACAGTTTCCCGTGGCTTCCACGTTTTACTTCTGATTGAAAAAAAAAACCATACATTTAAAATAGTAATTGTCTAGTAAGATTCATTTGCTTCATAGATAAGAAAACAAAAGTCCGGAGTGTGTGGGAAAACGAGGAGCGGAAATCTTGCCTCAGGACTCTAAGTCTAACTTGTACTTTGAATTCTGATTTGGGAGAGACATTGATTTATAATTTCATTTGTCAATTCATCCAAAAGTTTGGGTACAATAAGAATCCTATGCATTTTAAAACCTGGCACACATTCTAAAGTTAAGTGGGAAACTATGGTTGTACATGAACAAGGGATGTGTTGACTAAGTTTCTTCTTTCTTTGAGATGGAGTAGCCATTTGGACTCATCGTCTTGTGGCAATGCCCCTTGCCCTACTCCCTAGTGCCTCCTCTCAGTCATCTCCTCTTCCCAAGTGCACATTGCCAATAGTAGCTTCAGTCATCCAGAAATGCTCATAACCTCTGGTGCAAAAGGAAATTAGACTGCTCTGGCAAATGGCTGTCACTGTGTCTGAGTATGAGTTGTTTTCACTAAAGGAAACCTGAACTTTTTGGTGCTAATTCCTGCTAATTGCTGACACCTCATAATTAAATTGGCAGAAATTTCACTCCAGGGTCATGGCATATAAAAACTGGCAGGCTTCTTTAAAGATGACTTTCTCAAAGGACTCTGAGACTGGGGACTGTGGGATCAACAGAATGTTTCCAGGACTTCATTCTATGAAGAATTCAATGGGCACAGAGGGCCACAAGGGAATGCTGTTTAAGGTAGGGCATAAGACTTGTGGATACCTAAGGAACTAGGGTTCATAGCGGCCAGTAGGGCATGGGTGGTCTCCAATTATTATAATGCGAAATGCAAATACAAAGTGGTATTCAGGCTCGGGCATATGATTTCAAGAATAATCACCATCCCTTCTAGATCAGCATTTGACAAACTACAACATGAAGGCCAAATCCAGCCCCCCACTGCCTGTTTTTACAGATAAAGTTTTGTTAGAGTACAGCCATACCCATTCATTTTCATGATCTTTATGGCTGTTTTTGTACTACAAGAGCAGAGTTCAGTAGTTGTGACAAAAATCAATGGTCTGCAAGAGCAAAAATATTCCTGAATACGGAAAAACTTAGCTTACCCTGTCCTAGATCATAAAAGAGAAAAGTTAGAAGAAATAATCCTAAAAGGAAACAAGTATAAAAGAAGAATTAAAGAGACTCCCAATCTATAGTGTGGAAGCTTAGCAATGAAACAGCTTGAAATAGAGATGAACGGATGGGAGAAAACTGTATTCCTGGAATAAAATATGCATGTGTGTGGACAGTTCTTTAAGGGCGGTTATGAATCATCTAAAGCTGGTGTTGACAAACTACAGCCTCCTGGTCAAAACTGGCCCACCATGTGTTTTTATAAATGACATTTTATGGGAATACAATCACACCCATTTGTTTATGTATCTTCTATGGCTGTAGCGTTACTACAAAAACCTTTAATAACAGAATGAGACATTTAACTCTTATGGCCTCAAGTGCCCTCCTCTTTTGGTCTTCCCCAACTTGCAAGACCTCTGAATCAGCTTTGCAGGCTCCTTTTCTTTCTCTAAGATTTGCTTATTGTTCTCCACCCATTCTGGCCACATTTCCAGTCTTATTACCCATTATCTGCAAGAGCAAATGGGAGAAACTTTACCTGGAGGCAGTATTTTGGCCCATGATTACATGTCATATCCCAAATCATGGGTAAAACACAAACTTGGAATTTTAGGACTTGGTATCTGCTTAAATAAATTCCTCCTAACATATTGATTAATGGATCAATGTTATGTTGGAAGAATGTCTCCAGTGACATACCCAGGGCCCTGTTCTGTTTAACATTTTTATCAAATGACTTAGATAAAAAGCCAGAAGGCAAATTTATCAAATTTTTGTTAACACAAAGAAAGCAAGAAGCAATAAGTAAAGTTTGGGATACCAGAATTAACATTCAAAAAGACCTCAGTGGACTGGAGCTCTGAGTCAAACTGAACAAGATGAAGCATTGCTTGGCAAATGGTAAAGCTCAGCCTTGAGGTTAAAAGAAAATCAATTGTGCAGTTACTGGAAGTGAACTAAATGGTTTGAGAGTAGTTTGTGTGCAAAATTCAATGTCAGTGGCCTTACTTCCCTGCTAAGTAAAATGCTAGTAAAAATAGCTGATTATCCTAAATGGCTTAGTACAGGAGTACCGCCACAGTCTGTCTCAGGAGCAGAACTGGGTTTGTGGTTGAGATATCTTGGAACTATATCATCTAAAATGAGGTGGAAAGACTATAGCATTCCTAGCATAGAGAAACATACTCTGACTCTGAGGTTAATTTTATTCACGAGTTTCAGTGGTAATCCCAAATCACATGCAGAGATTGCAAGGTTTCCCCTTACACATGACTTATTATGCTAACACTAGGAAAGTCCTGGACAAACTAAGACATTTGGTCACACTACATTATGCTTCAGCCACACTTAACTCCTATCTATTCAGCAAACAGTTTCAACTTGTTCTTGCCTTGGGGTCCGAGCACTTGCTGTTCCCTCTGCCTGGGAATATCTTCCCCTAGATTTTCACATGGCCGTTGGGACATTTTGGTCCCAACTGAAATGCCACCTCCCTTGAAACCTCACATTTATAATAACGATTTTGTTTCACCACTATCTTTCAAATTGCTCTGTTTTATTTTCTTCATAACAGTTCTTACTATCTGAACTTATTTTATTTGTTACTTGTTATTATCTTTCTCACCACATTAGAATATAGGTTAAAAAGAAAAGTTTTACCTCTTTTGCTCATTGCTCTACCCTCAGCAACTAAACCAGAACTGAACACATAATAAGAACTCAATAAATATTTGTTGAATGGATAAATGAAAGTGAATGATTCTGCATGGTATATATTCTGCATATATACACCAAAGTGCTCTGAAAAAAAAAAACCATAGGATAAGTCAAATCCAGAGAGCTGGCAAACTTTCAGATGAGGTCGCACAGGTCAGTATGCTACGGGGATGAGTCTAGTGTACTTTTATTACAAGCTGGGAAAGCTGATGTCAATTGGGACTTACGAGATTGCTATGTAAGTACTGTCTACACCCAGGAGAGCAAAGTCTGGGCCGTTTGCATGCTCTGTGCTGTGGTCTTGAAGTGAAAAATGTCTATTTTCATCTTAAATTTCTTGAGGCTCTCTAGCTCTGGTCAAATTATCATCAGAGTTTTAAGAAATTTCAAATTAGAATATTGAGAGAAAAATATCTATGGCCTCACAGCCAATTTTCCTTTTAGAAATATTGGCCATACAGTTTCTTTCTATTATGAACTCCCAGAAGATGTGGTTATTTTCTCCCAACATTCCAGTCCATTCCATCATAATTAGGTCCATAGCATCATTTCCCCTCAATGCTTCTTTAACCTTCTGAGAAATGAAATTGTCAGCAAGGCAAATCCCAAATTTATCAGATGCTCTGCTTTTAACAGAATGAGACTTCCATCAGATGCCTGGACAGCTAAATCCTTCCATTCCTGCTGTAGCTTCCCTCTATGCCAGTTCTGTAATCTTCATTATGGAAGCATCAACCATGTCCTCTGTGAAATATTTCCTTGATTGCACTGCAATTTCTCCCTATTTGTATGCTCCTGCAAATGTTCACCATCTTATTCTCCTTTACATTTTGTGTGAATTTTCACGGAGGTTTAATATGTTTTTAACATGCAGGATGAGATGGTCCCTAGGACAGAACCAGAAAGAAAGGGCAAATCTTAGTACCAACCCTCTATGGACAGATAAAAGGAGTGACTCACAAAAGTCCAATGTGAACTGACTATCTGGCTGAAAGTTCTCTTCTGCTGTCTTTCAACAGACCATTGCTCTATCAGTCAACATTTTTTGTACTAAGGAACTGAAGATTTAAAATTTCAGAAAAAAATGTTATTCAGAGTCCAATGGTCAAAAACAGTATGACTGAATGTAGCACAAAACTACTTGAATGGAAGAATCCATTTAGTCAAAGTGACATCAAGAGGATTTATTTCAGCAAGCATCTTTTAAGAGTTTCTTCTGTGCAAGGTAGAATACCAGAGAAAACAGATGACCTAGATTTGTTTGCAAAAATCAGGGGCTTACAGCCCCCAAAGTGTACACCCAGCTTTAAGTTTAGTTATATAGGGTCTAAAGTCCCTAAAGTTAACAAACAACTAAATAAAAATTAAATGATGCCCAGTCTCTGTTGGACTCACAATCATACTTGGGAGAGAACTTGACTGATCAACATAGCATATCATTCAGAGGACCCAGCAGACACAAAAGGTGTCACACAGTCCTACTGTGATATATACCTTGGTCTTCAAAATTCCTCAATATTAAATCTTCATAGTACTACTTGAACATTTAACTTGCAAGAAGAAAAAAAAATGAAAGAATGAAGAATTGCCCAGACAGAAGGAAGTCTCACTTTCTTCACCACAACCATGTTTACTGACCAGAATCATTGCTATCAGGAACATTCACTGAAATTCTCATTAACCAATTTGGAAGGAAAATGAACTTTATTTTAATGAGCTAAACATAGCAGATGTCTCCTCCTTCTTTGTTTTCTCTCTCTGTGTGTTTATATTGGGAGAGTTAATTGCAAAGCAGGGACATCCTATAAGTCCCCAAAGTGGAAACTTTTCTTCAAGACTGAGGTTATCAATTCTTAAACCACCACATGATTATCTACATTTCTAAACATTGTCTTACTCTTGCATTTGAATCCTGGCTTCTTTTAATGCTGCTGAAGTATTTTTGGTCTTGTACTTAGACTATACTTTGGCAAACACCAACATTTTTAAAAGATTTCAGTGTATTCAGAAAGGATATCTCCTCAATTTATTTTTCTGTAGCTGGGAACAAAGTAACAGAATTTAGAACACTAGAAGAAGAAATATCATTTTAATATTTGTACAGGCAAAGAAAAACTGCATGTCACGAACTGGCATCTATATTAATATTATATATGCGAGAAAATGAATTTTTTATTGTTTCTTGGACACCAACCTATCATGGTCGCCTTATTACATGCCACCTCTGTGTAAATAAAAGAAAAGGATATTTAAACAAGTAGAAATAATTGTGCATGATTCACCAGCACAGTTAACTTAAGATTTTGGAGCCTTATAACCACAACTGATAGGAAGATTTATTACCACAGCTGCTTGTATTAAACTTCTTTTCCTTGCAGTTGAAGGAATCAAATTTCTTCTTGGAGATTAGTCATTTGTGGGGGTGTCGCCAACTGCAAAATGCTTCTGTTATGAATGAGGTGCACTTCTCTGTTGCTGTCCTCCAGCCCTAAGTCAGTGAGTAATTTTCATCTCTTTATGTGTCTTTCCCGCCTACTATCAGGAACAGATTTTAATGACTTACACAGTCAAACTTTCTTTAGTTGTTGCTCAAACCTAAAACTTAAGATTGTATTGTTTCTGGTAATGTGATAACCTCACAAGGAAAGGTAGGATGGAATGACATTTTGGCACATGTTTACAAAATGAAGTCCAAACTGTAGGGAAGGTCTACATGGGGCATGAAAGCAGGAGTTAAGGTATCTTGGGTGGCTATAAATGTGCCGGGCACATTTACTTATTTATTTATTTGTAGAAATTATCTTATCTAATTCTTGGAACAATCCTGCAAGAGGCTGGGTGGTATTCCCATTTCACATATGAGAAAACTGACTTTCTCAAGACTGTGCAGGTTTTAGTGGCTAAACCAAAAGTTAAGCTTAGGTCCAGCTGGCACCCTTGCTTTCTTTCTGTATGTCAACAGTTTGCCTTTTAGTTATAAAGTTATAAAGAATTACACAATTATATACGGCACTAATATAACTATACAATATGGTGAGATTGACGCTGTGTCTAAATACGAAAATTCTAAAGCCAACAGACACTTCAATTGGTCATATCTTTCACTCCCTACTAAAACCATGTAAAACTGAAAAGGCTCTGTCTTTTCTTATTGAAAAATCCTGGAAACATGCATTCAAAATTTGCCTTGTCCCTTTTCACAATTGCTAGTAACTGTTTTCCGCATGAAATCCTTTTATCTATTAAGATATCCCCATCACCCTTTAAGCTCTTGTTCGAAACTATATGGAGATGATAGGATCTGCACATAGTAAGCTTCTGTCAGCCGAAGATAGATGTCAGAACAATTGAGCAAAGAGTAAGATTTCAGCAAATCCACCAATTGTTTGGTTTATTGCATGTCAATTTGGCTACTGGTGTTTTTCCATTGAATTGACTAGATGGTTTAGCTACATATACACTTTCTAATTCACCATATATAGGTGGTTCTAATATGACATATAAGGGGAAAAGAGGGTTGAAAAGTAAAGAAGTATTTCAAGCATTCAAAAGTGTATCCTTGAGTTTAAATTTAAAAATTATTATTAAAGAGGTGAATCAACTTAAATAAAGCTGGAAAACATTTTTATTGGGCAGATGTAGCTTATTTGCCCTTTTTTTGGTCAAGGGTAAAATCAATCATGTAGCTAAACCCCTTTATGAGAGTAATAATTCTATTTGACTCAATGTCAATGTAAGTACCTCTATTTGGGTTTTAACAGTCCATTCAACTAAATCAGTCTGTCCTAGGTCATATAAGTTTCTATAAGACAGAAAAGCAAAGAGAACATATATTTCCACCACTGGATACTTGAACAGTTGAACCTAACCCAGTAAAATAAATGGCATACAGCAATTAATTAGAGCTCCAGAACATGAACTATAACAGGCTACTGAGATGCTCTTCCTCTTCTTTCTTCATGTAGATGACATTGTTTTGTCTCTTTTCCCAACACTTGAGACAAGTAAATGGGTGGTCTAAAAAGAGACAATGCCTCTGAGATGACTGAACTCATCCTTGTTGGATTTGCCCAACACCCTGAAATCCAGACTGCCTTCTTCTTGGAACTACTGTTTTTCTACTAGTCACAGCGTTTGAGAACATCCTTATCGTTGCTGTAGTGAGATGAGATTCTCGACTTCATACTCCTATGGGATTTTTTTTTCCTCAGTACCTTATCCTCCCTTGAAATGTGTTACTCCATCAGCTGGGAGCTATAAGTCTTGGCTCAATGCATCAAGGACTTCCCCACCATCTCCTATAACAGCTGTTCTGTTCAGATGATCACACACCTCTTTCTGGGGATGACAGTGTCTCCTCCTTGCTGGCATGGCTTACAACAGGTTTGTTGAAATCTCTTATCTCCTCCATTACACTATTATTATGAGCAATCGGGTCTGTATACAGTTGGCCTTGGGAATCTGGACCCATGCCTTCTTAGTAGCAGTCACACTAATCATTGCAATTCCTGCTAGTTATTATGGACACAATGTCATCAACCATTTTACCTTGAGATCCAGGCCCTGCTGAAGCTCGTCTGCTCAGACACCCTTGTCAGCCTGATTCAGGGTCTGGTTATCAGTGTGTTCACACTGCCCCTGCCCTTCACATTCATCCTCATCTCCTAATTTTGCATTTTTGTTGTGCTGTGGAGGCTAGGCGTGAAGCTTTCTCCACCTGTGGATCTCATCTGACTGGAGTCACCATATTTTATGGGGCAGCCATCTGCATGTACTTGAAACCTCAGTCAAAGGGAACCCAGGAAGAGGATAAAGTTGTCTCAAAACTTTATGGAGCAGTTACTCCCATGTTAAATCCCCCAATTTACATTCAGAGAAATAAGGATATAAAAGGTGCACTTAGAAAGTTAGCCAAAGGAAATGAAAAATCCTAACAGTTCTCTTTAAACGTCTCCAAAGTGCAGGAAAAACAGTGAAAACTTGGCCTATTATTTCAATTTATATTTCTTTAAAGCAAACAACAAAATTTTAGTGAGCATTCTTTCCATGGTCCCCACTAGGCATTCATTAACAATTTACCATAAATATTATCACAAAATTTACCATAAATATTAACACTTTGTCAAGCCCCACATTAAGACCTAAAGCCATGAATGTGCCCAAAGTAGTTCACAGAGAGAATAATGGTAGTAGGTATGTGGAGGCAGGCGCAACAGCCATAGTAGCCTATCAGGGAGAGCCCTTTCTCTTGGGTATAAGCCATAAGATTTTTGTAACCAAACATCTTTGTACTTGCCACACAAAGTGGGAAAAATTCATATACAAGACAGTGGTTATACAACCACAATACAGCATTTGCCTCTCATAACACATTTTATAGGTGTGTACACCAATTTGAACCTAATGGACAAATGGCCCCTCAATTCTCCCATTTAGGTGATAACATTCCATGGCAAGAAGTGTCTTTTGTATGTAAAAGCACTTATCTTTTAATAAGTGCTTTTAAATTATATTTATAATTTCTTATTTTAAAGTAATCTTCTCTCAACCAACATTGTTTCTACAAATATTAAATTTCCATCGTATCAATTTCTTATAAAAATGTCTATACTGAAGTTGTTATTCTTTTGCCTTCTCCTGTTTCTCTGTCTCCTCTTCCATGATATGCTTTAGCGACCCTCTGGCCATTTCAACCCCCCATTTCTCATACACATTTATGAGCTTTAGTATTTCTGCTCTTCCCAAGAGTCTTCATGACCAAGATTGTGATTATTTTTCTCCTTTTTCTCCATTTAATAAGATGCTATATGCACTTTCTGTTATAGGCAGGCAACATTTATTATATACTTTGTGTCATAATAACTTGTTATTCTTTTTCTCATCTTAACTTTGACCAACTGACTCTAAAATTCTGCCATAGCACATTCAGAAGGTGGATATATATGTCTTCTTACTTCTAAAACCTTCTTTCCTCCCATGACTTTTCTTGGGTAGATGGCTTTCTGGTCACAATATTTTCTATCCTTGGCTTTTTTATTTACTTTCTTTCTGAGGATTGATCCTTTCTGGGTTCTTAAAAATACCTTACAAAATTGTCTCTTCCCATAAGTTTTCTGCCATTATCATGGGCAAATGGAGTGTGATGCTTACTCCTTGATTGCTGTGATTTGCTGCCAGAGATCAAGAGGCAAATTCATTGGGAAGAACAATTGTCCATTGATTCTGCCTGACGCTCCTTCATTAGGGATTTTCTTCTGAATCAGTTTTTCTAGGTTTTAAGAGGGCCAGGAAAAAGTCCCTGTCAGTTCCACACTGCACTTTGTTTGTGGTACCATGTATATATAATCAGAATATACATGCTTGGATGGTGGGCAAAGGAATCAGAAAACTTGAGTTTGAATTCGAGCTCCACATTTACTAGCTGTTCCATTACAGCTTAGGCAAGTTACTTAATTGCTCTGTGCATCACTTTCCCCATCCACAAAATAAAAATAGTAATAGTATTCCTCTTATAGTGTTGCTGGAAGGATTAAATTTATGGTTCATGTAAGGCCCTTATAACAGCCCTTGGCACAGGGTAGTCATTCAATAAATGTTAGATACAATTGCTATTTTCTATATTTCATCCAAATGCTCCTGTTCTTTTTTTTCTAAAGTCTATTTCCTTTATGAATCTTTCCCTCCAGACTTCCCAATGAGGAGCTTTGCTAGCCCATTCTCTAATTTTAGAAACACTGTAATATCATATTTCCCTTTGGCTTTCATTTTTATGGCTTTGCTCTTAATCTGGGTGACTCCTATTCCAGTTCCTCTGACCTATGCTTGATATATTTTAAGTAGAGACAGCCCCAAACTTAGGAATGAGTTATGTCCAAAAGCTAACTCATAAGTCATCAGCTTGGAACTCAGAGCACGTTTTCTCTACTGAGATAGGGTGGCTACATTCCAAGGGCAGCTCACCAACACCTATTTAGGTCATCACTTTATCATTAATAATACTAAAAGTCCTAGGACCATACTTTTTAAAGTATGTTTATTGGAAGATAGGTGTTGAGTCGCAATGTAGCATTCTAAAAACACTGACACTGTTAGATGGGATTTCTGATCCCCAAAAAATATTCCATGAGGGTCTCTGCCACCACACTCATGTCCTAGCGGGTATATGAGGAATTCTCACAGCAAGTTATAAGAGTGGGACTTAGAGAGCTTCTCTAGAGACTATGAAAATAATAACTCACTTCTGTGTATAAGTCATTCACAAGTCAGAGGACTTCTGATCCTCTCTTCATTTCTTTTTATGCTATTTATTACTTGTTTGGGATGACTTGATAACACTGTACCTCGGGCCAATCATTCCACAAACATTTACTACGTGTCTACTATGTGTTAGGGATGCAAATCCAAATAAGACATTTTTTACCTTTGAGATGATCACATTGGAGCTGGGAAGCAAATATGCACCAGTGAAGAACTACAGATACTGTGATCCACATTATTTATGAGGTACAGGCACCAGCTATAACTGGGCCAGTCAAGAAATATTTAATATTTTAGCAGTCTTGAGAGAGAGTTTGCCAGTTGGATAAGGGAGGACAATTTTAGTGGACATAATGTGAACAAGTACAGAGGTACGAAACCCAGCTTGGTGTACTTTCAGATACTGCCAACAATTCAACATTACTGCAGCAGAAGGTGTGGGAAGTGTTTCTGGCAATATGTACGACCTGAGAAAAAATCAGTAAGCCAAATTAGGGGGAGACTTGTTATTCTCTATTAAAGAGCTTGCACTTTCTTCATCCTAGAGATCAACAAATTACAGCCTGAAGGGCCAAATCCAGCCCTTGGCTTGTACAGCCCATGAGCTAAGAATGGTTTGCAAATTTCTAATGGATGTAAAAAAGGCAAAGAAAAATGTTTTTACAAAGACTGTATGTGTCATACAAATCCAGAAATCTTTACTATCTGGCCCTTTACAGAAAAAAAAATTGCAGACTCGTGCAGTAAGTAAGTGGTGGGTAATCACTGAAGGTTTTGAGCAAGTCAGTAAAATGTTCAGAATTGTGCTTTAGAAAGTTCACTTTCACAACAAGTGTGAACAATTGATTGAAGAGATGTAAGACTGGACATAGGGTAATATGATTCGAGCAATAATCTGAGAGCTGATGTGGACCTGAACTGTGCTATAGCAATAGAGATTTGGAAAAGACCTGTATCATAGAGTACCCCTTCCTTTTTTATTTTTACATGCAATTTCATGCACATTCCAGATACGTTTTCTCAAAAGCAGCACAGATATAATAAGGAGCTTCAGGGATAAGGCAATCTCACCTTCAACATCACTCATTTCTTTCCTAAAACTAAATGAGCACAGAGAGATATGGAGGGGGATAGGGTCTAAAGGCACATAGCTGTGTTTTATTCACATAGTGCAGCCCCTTTTCTATTCCAGAATAGCTCTGCATGAGTTATAAAATTGCATTTGGTTAAAACAGAGTGTTTTTGTCGAAAGATAATAAATATCCTCTGGCTTCTTACATAATCTCTGAAGTTCACTGATCACCTGTCACTCCTTTAGACATCGTTTAGATGCGTTTCATGCATTATGAATCATGCCACTATGAGTCTTTAATAGGAAGATTTCTAAAAGCATTGTTTAGAAATGTCAGTGACGTTCAGTTTCTAAGTTTTTCATTTCTCAAACATCACTCCCTCTCCTTGTTTTATCACATTGGTCATTTCCTTCTTAACCCATATACCAGAGAAATCCACAGATAAATGTTTGCTCAGCCTACCCCAAAAAGTCTTGGAATAATAATATCTAAATGTTGTTCAAGATATTTGCATAAATGTTATCTCATTTGAGCTTCATAAAAACGTGAAGTGTCTTTACAGATGCGTAATTTAAGAATCTGGAAGCTAAAAACATTTGTCCAGAGTCACATGGCTGTTTAGGTAGTAGAAGCAGGACTAAAAGTCACCTCTGACCACAAAGCTGGTAGATTTATCACTGTGCTGCATCTACAAGGGTTGCAGATCCAGATTTTCTCATCAACACCTTGTTCATGATGTTCACTCACATTTTCAGCTGTGAAGTCTGTTGCTGAGTCATTCCTTGATTTTCTGCATGGTTTTGCGTACCCCAGTATTAGCCTACATCCTTTCCTGTATTACAGCTCCATAAAGAATTCTCATAAATGACTTGAAGTCACCTTAACCTAACTGTCTAAAATCTCTCAAACACATGACAACTTTCTTCTCTTCCTGAACATGAGAAAATGTCAGTAGCCGTCCTCTTTGCTGCTTCCCACTGTTACCTTGACTCTTTCAGTCTACTGCAGATATTTGTCATTTGCCCTTTGATTTTCCCTATTTTGATTTTATTTATCTATTTATTTTTTTACTGTGCTCTCCATCAGTTTGTTCTGAAATTGAAAAATATCTATTTTTCTCTTCAAAGTATTTGGCTTCATTTCTTTCCTTGAGAGCTTTCCTCAAATTATTTTCTCATCTGTACCAATCCTCTCTGACAGCTTGGAATGAAAGTTGGGCTTCTCTCCTTGACCATTCCTCATCATTTTCTATGCCTTCTCTTAGTTACATGAATTTGCTCATCCTCCATTTACTTCTGCCAAATTTCCAAGCTTTTAAGAAATTAATTTCAGCTAGTACTATTGCATGATCAGAAAAAGCGCTATCTTTCATTTCATGTGTCGGACCTCTACTCTCTCTTGCATATAAATCCTGTCAGCCCTACTGGATCACTTCTTTTTTTATGTAAGCATATTGCAAACTGTTAGTATGCATTTCCAAATAATCTTCTTTCAAGTCTACATTTTTGCACACAATTTTCTAAATATTCAGCTTCACTGGTCAATTTCCAATTCTCTCTGGCTCTATTCCCTTTTCTGAGATGCAATTGAAATGTCTCTACTCCAACATAAAATAGAATGGTTTACTCTATTTTATGAAGAATGAAAAAACCACATCCTTAATTTACAAATCTGAGCTGTTCTCTTCCCTAATTGTCATCCTTGATCAAGTCTTCCAGTTGAGATCTCCTATCTATCATCAGACCTTTGCATGATAATGTTTAACCCAAAATCTTACCCCATTGTTGTACTCTCTTCCTCCTTTTCAATAACAAGAAACTTAAACTTAGCCGTTTCATTTGAATAATTGGCAAGTAGTATAAGCAAGCACTCTATGTTGTAAACATAAAGGAAATAGATAAATTATTTGTAGGTAGGAAGAAACGTGGAATACTTCTTTAAAATAGAAGAACTTGAGCAAGGTTAATGGAATATTTCTTTTAAGAGAGAAGAACTTGAGCACAGGTAGGATTATAATAATCAAAATGTAGTGTGGGATATGACTCTATTCCAAGTGGCAGGAAAAAATGTGCACAAGTTTAGGGGCATGCCATGGAGTTCATTTTCAGAATGGCTAGCTCCTGTTGGCTGAAAGATAGCCTGCAAGTGATATACATCAGGAAAGATAAGGTGGGGGCATGTTGTAGAGCATATTGCTAACCAAAGTAGTTTAGACTTTATTCTTTAGTAAAGAGTAAGCCATTGGAAATTTTAAAAACAAAAATAACATAGTAGACTCCAAAATCTTTACTGAAGGAGTAGGTGGATGAGTCAAAGATAAATCCAAAATGTTTCATTTGGGTGACTAGGAAGAGAGCAACACTCTAAACAAAGAAGGAAAGGAGGGGGCTTGCTGGCTTTGGTAAAAAGAAAATGGGTTCAGCTTTGGATATTACTGAACATAAGGTGTTAAAAAGCCATTCAAGTTGAGATAGTAATCAAATACATGGATATGCAGGTCTGAGAATTTAGATACACAGATAAATTTTGGAAGTCAACCACACAGAGGGGATAAGAAATGTTGTAGGTGTATGTAAAATCACCATGCCTGAAGTCAGAGGCAAGATCAGAAGGAGTGTCCATGGAGAATACCCACGCTTACAGGGTAGGAAGGGAAAGGGGCAGTTTAAAGAGAAGAAGTGGTTGTATGGAAGTTAGTGGAAGAACCCAAAGACTGAGCCAAAGGAAGAGAGAATTTAAAGAAGGAGGAGGGTGATTACCAATGTCAAATATTTCCAACATATGGAGGAGGAAAAGTTCTGAAAAGCATTCAATTTGACAATTAGAAAGTCATTAGAAACTGTCAAACAAGATGTGTGAGTAAAATGGAAGGTTCAAAAGCTAGAAAGTAGGCGTGAGAAAGCATAGGCAACAATGTAAACTACTTTTTTTTTTTTTTTTTTTTTTTGAGACGGAGTCTCGCTCTGTCGCCCAGGCTGGAGTGCAGTGGCGGGATCTCGGCTCACTGCAAGCTCCGCCTCCCGGGTTCACGCCATTCTCCTGCCTCAGCCTCCCAAGTAGCTGGGACTACAGGCGCCCGCCACTACGCCCGGCTAATTTTTTGTATTTTTAGTAGAGACGGGGTTTCACCGTTTTAGCCGGGATGGTCTCGATCTCCTGACCTCGTGATCTGCCCGCCTCGGCCTCCCAAAGTGCTGGGATTACAGGCGTGAGCCACCGCGCCCGGCCTGTAAACTACTTTTTAGTAAAGTTTGGTGATAAAAGAAGGTGAGAAATGAGATAGCTTATGAATTTATCAGGATTAAGAAATGCATGCTTTTAGAATTGAAGAATCATCTGTATGATTGCAGGCATAAGGAAAGGAGCTTGGTACAAAGTAGGAAATATATACATTTATGTATATATGTATATATTTTTTCATTAGAAAGGGAGGCAGGGAGGCAGGGAAGGGAAGGGAAGGGAAGGGGAGGGAAATATAGGGTAAAATATTTGTAGCATAGAAAACAAGGACAACTACTGAAGCAAGACCCTGAAAAAGCAACAGGTGGAATTAGCTAACCATGCACATGCTATGGGTAGCTCTGGCAAGAAGGGAGGTGGGGGCTTCTTTCTCAGAAGCAGAAGGAAAGGATAAGTCCAGATACAGAAAAGAGTTAAAGTTGAAAGGAGAGAAAGGACCAAACAGATTTTATTCCTCTCTGATCAATCTAAATTTCTATTACGCACGTTTCTATTCCTCCAACTTCTGTGACTGGGACTCCACCTTCAGGAAGCCTGTAGCATTTGTTTCCTTGCGTGTGTCTCTTTCATTCCTGTTCTGCAGATGTTTTCTGTAGCAAGCCTACATCACCATTTCTTTCAGTAGCCATTAGTTTACCCCAGCTGTTTCTTGCTGCCCCCTCAGTTTTACTATATTCTTTTATTCCTTTCTCTACCCCTACCTAACATCTATTTTTATTCTTCTCCATCACGTAAACCTCTCATCCACACATTTTACTGCCTGAATCTCTTAACTCCCTTTCATATAGACCCTTCCTGACTAGTAAATACTATAGCTAGCGATGACTACATTTTTCAGGAGGTTGAACTGTGATAGGAAATGATAGCCAGAGAAGGGATAGCATAGTGGGGGGAAAAAACCTTGAACAAGTTTACAATATAAAGAAAAGGAGTCAGTAGAAAAAAAAGAGGGAGATGTTAAAAACAAAATAAAGGAAATAATTTGATTCCAGAGCAGGTAGGAAGAAATGGAATCCAGAGCACAGGTAAAATGATAATCTTAGGCATAGAGACACTCCTGCTGAGGCGGGAAGGAGGAAGTAATAATAGGTCAAGTGCATACACATTTGTAGGAGGAGACATGAACTTTAAGAATTCCAACCTGATGACTTCTATTTCCTGGAGTAGTAGGGAGGCCAAGTACTGAGAATTAAAGTGGAAATGATGGAGTACTGATGGGAGGAGGCTCATGAAAATTTCAACATGCTTTTGTGGAAAATGGAAGAGAGAGTAGTCTAGGAAAAATTGAGATTATCAAACAACGTAGAGGATCCAAGCAAAATTGGAAGCAATAAATATGTAGAGGCATAAATCCACATGGATGTGAGACTGTTATCTTAGTAATACTTAGCAGTCTACATGTAGGGAAATATGGCCCAAATAAGATCTACATAGAGGAAAAGAGTTGAATTAATGTAGGTAAAATTGAAATAGGAATGGATTCCAATGTCCCAGGGGAGCATGCCATGCTTGAAAAACTATGGTAGTTTGCTATAGCTGGAAGCATAGTATATAAGACTAAAAAGTTAATCAAGGACCCAACAAATGATGTTTTTATACGCTTTGGCAATGGAAATCCACTGAAGGGTTTTGAACTGGAGAATGACTTGATCGCATCTGTGTTTTAAAAGCATTACTAGAAAATATCTATGGAGGGGGGAATAGAAGGAATAGACAAATGGCAAAGAGGCCATTTAAGAGGTTATTTAACAGTATAGATGGGAAGGCTTGAACAAGGGCACAGAAGTGGACATGAAAGGAAGAAATGGATTAGAGAGACCTACAGAGATGATTAGTTGAGGATAGATTTGTGAAAACTTGGTGACTAAATGGGATTTTAGGTTATTTGAATTTCATTTCTTCCTCACAGATTCTTCTTCCTTACTCCCCTCTGCAGATGACCCTTCCTTTGACAGAAGCCAAAAAGCTAGTACTAATTGCATATAAAACTCATAAAGTATTATTGAAAGTTGAACAGTATAATTGAAAGAGTATGGACTTAGGAGTTTCATGTTCTAAGCCCTACTCCACCACTTAATATCTTCATGATTTGGCACAGTTAACCTCACTGAGCTTCAGTTTCTTCCTCTGTAAAATGAGGATCATATCTATTTTCCAGAGCTATTGTAAGGTTTAATGAAATACTGCAAACACGTATAGAAAGTAGTTTGCTTGAATGCTTCCTGGTACGTAATAGATGTTCAAATGGTAGTTAGTTCTGTTTCCATTATTTTTATTACTCTTAGTATCTTTGTTATTATCTCAGTGTCCATGGAGTGCTTTTTCCAGATTCTGCTGTCCCCTCCAAGGCTGGTTTCATCATGTTTCATCCTGCCCCTGCCTTCTCTTCACTGAAGTCATACCAAGTCACACTGTAGATAGGTGACTCCCTAAATATTGCCCAACAAGCCACATAGTGTCAGGAACCCTCCCTGACTCCAGTCCAATCATTGAGCCAGCTGGCCCTAGGTTCACACCAATGGCAGAGGCTGTCCCTCAAATCAGGTCGAATTTGGCTGGACAAGGAAACCAACCACACAAAGATGGCCTCTCAGATCATTCGTTTAACTATTGCCATAAATGGACACATAAACCTCCTATCATTGCGTGTGTCATAAGTGAATATATTATATTCTCATATGCTATGTTCTCATACATTATATTCTCCCAGGCATGCCTCATGTCCAACTACCTGAAAACATGCCAACTGGAAGAAGCCCCTCAAATCTCAACACATAAGGAGTGCAAAACACAAAAACAAAATCTTAGCAGCCAAGGCCCCTCTGACTGAATCATGGCCAGCTGTCTTTAAAATAACGTATGCCAATTTTATGACTGCCTACAGAGATTGCCCTGCAAATAACCTTGGGTAGGTGGTTGTGCCTCTAATTATACCCCGTAAGTGACAGAAATCATGCTGCATCATGACTGTCTTCAAATTGCAGAAAAACAGACCTAATTAAAAGAGTTTCCTGATGGCCGGGTGCAGTGGCTCACGCCTGTAATCCCAGCACTTTGGGAAGCCAAGGTGAGTGGATCACCTAGGGTCAAGAGTTCGACACCAGCCTGACCAACATGGAGAAACCCCATCTCTAGTAAAAATACAAAATTAGTCAGGCATGGTGGTGCATGCCTGTAATCTCAGCTACTTGGGAGGCTGAGGCAGGAGTATCGCTTGAACCCAGGAGGTGGAGGTTGCAGTGAGCCTAGATCGCACCACTGCACTCCAGCCTGGGCAACAAGAGTGAAACTCTGTCTCAAAAAATATTAATAATAAAATAAAATAAATTTTTAAAAAAAGTTTCCTGTTTTCCTCTGAATAAGTCCAGTATGGTCCTTTTAACAGAAGCAGCATGTTTGAGGTTCTCTCCTCAAGAATCTACCAAGTTGTTGTTCAAAAGGATTATTTTCCCAGAACTAAGGATCAACTTTTAGTGATAACCTGACATGGGGGTACAAAACAAATCGTGCACAAAAGGAGACCAAAATGTCAGGCATTTTCCAGAATTTCCCTTTGGCATCAGCCCTATGGTCTTAAATTGATAAGAGCTCTAGTAAGACCTTTTTGGGTGCTCTTTACCCTACAATCTTCCTTTGCCCAAGCTAGAACTAGGGTCAGTGGCATTCTTCATGCTCACGTTTTCCTAATTATACTGTAGAACCACTACCAAATTGCTAGAATTGGGACCAAGTGGAATAGTGAGAAGAGGGGAGAAAAGTGGTCTATTTAACTTCATCTCACCCTTCCAAAATCCACAAGGCTTCTCTCATGGACAAAGATTTCACATAATGGGGACCTTTACAAAGAGTGAGCAGTCTGCTTGGCTATGATAGGAGCAAAGAGTTTTAAGCAACAGATTAGGAATTCACATTTGGGTAAAAGCAGGTAGAACCTCTGTTAGCCTGGAGACTTCAAGGACGTTGATGACAGCAGTACACATGCCTCTTACTATTTGAAAGGGAGCCGAATGTCTACGGAATGTAGTATTAAAAGAAACTATTTAGTAATTTTAATACATCTCTGTAAACACACGTAATTCCACAAGGCTACTCTCAGAGGCAAGGACGGGAAGCCGTAGCAAGGAATGTCTCTATTCTAGTCCTAAGAAGATTTGTGTCGCTTTCCCATAACCTCAAGTGTTTACTTGCTCTTGTAATAAATCAGGCCTAGACTATCACTGCCTAACAATTTTCCAGTACGCGTCACTTTCATTTCAGCTCCTGCTAGTGTACCATGCAAAGCACCTGTGCATAGTAATTAATTTTAAGCATTTATGCATGCTAGTAAACAATTCTAGCACAACTTTGTGGTTGTGTTTCACTATTAAATTAGCCCTTTTTGTTTTGCTGAAGTCCACATGTGTGTTTATGTATGCATGTGTTTACATGTATCTGTGTAAACAATAAGTAACAAGCAAAAACAAGCCAGTGTCCTACAGGAACGAGAGCAGTGAGTTTTTTACTATGTGTACCTGTTTACCCTCACTCCAGGCTAAATTGTGTGCCCCTGTGTTTTAAAGTTAAATAACTATAACTACCTATGAAATCACATAGCACTTCCACTTTAGGATTATCAAACGTCTGCTAGCATTTTCTTAATATATTCGATGCAGTAGCTGGATCCCAGGAATTCACCTATGAACACTGAAAGATTACTTCTGATGGCAGACATGAAATTAGTTGCTCCAATTTTTGAACTAGATGGAACCAACTGGAATAGACTACAGGGTGAGAATATACATGTGAGTTTGAGTGAATATGTCATTTAAACCTAATTTTTGTCTCATTTTCAGGCAGTTATATAGAATTTCGCTTAAGAAATACTGGAACATAACTGGGACCTTGAAGAAACTAAAGGGTTTGACAGCATAATTGAAATGGCAAAGTCTGCTTTCATCTTTAGTTTCTCTAGTGAAAGAAGTGACTCTATGTCTCCCTGAAAGCCCAAATTGGAGAACAACTAGGTCCCCCAGAACTGGTCCAGAAAATTAGGGATAAAGAAGTGCCATTTTTCAGTCCTACATCACCATTATTCAATTTCTAGTGGTTAGACAAAGTGTACCCAGCATGGAATTTTGAAAGGCAGGCAGATGAGCCTCCTCCACAGCTTTTTGTTGGTCTACCTCTCGTCTTCTAAAGAATAGTGTGCTGGGGGAAGTAGCTAAAAATGAAAAACATTGAACAAAGGGTCACAAGTTACAATTGTATTAAAGACTTTGAGTCAGATAAGGCCACTTTGAGTCAGATAAGGCCAAGTACTAGCTGGAAACAAAGAAAGTAAGAGACTGACAACATGAGCAGTTTACCATGACCTTCTACTTAGACTCTGGGATAAGGTCTCTGTGACGGGTACTCACTGAAAATTGAGAGACAAAGAAGTAAACAGTTATAATTTGGGGTGGAAAATGCTGTGAAGGAGGTAAATGCAGGATTCTACAGGATTACATTGACACCTACCACCAACTTAAAGAATAACGGTAAGCAGGGAGGGCTTCTTTTAAGATACGACATCTGAAATGAGTTTCTAAAGACAAATAGGATTTTTCCTGATGAAGCAGTCATTGCAGGCATTACACCTGGAGAGAAAATATTCTGTCCAAAGGCATGAAGGTATGAAAGAGGAGAAGCATGTGCTAACTGCAAGTAGCTCTGTTTGGCTGGACTGTAAGGTCTGAAGTGGTGAGGAAGAGATGGAAAGATAGGGAGGATAGTGCATAGGAAGGTAACAGGCTGCAGCAGTGAGCCAGAGCCGGATCATGAAAGGCCTTCTGTGACACTATACTGGGAGCTGCGTATAGGCCATGACTCTTAATAGCTAAGCTTCATGGGAACAGAAACTATGTATATTTCATTTGTGGGTTCATCCCCAATTTCTCTAACATTGTACATAGCACAAAATAGAGGTCCCAATAGCAGCATGAATGAATTCCATGCCAAAGCATTTAAACATCATCCTGAAGGCTAAGAAGATCATTCAATGGTTTCAAGCATCTAGGGACATCGCTAGATTTCAATTTTATATAGGCTGTGGTTGAAGGGTGGAGAATAAATGGGAGGGGTTAACACTGGATGTGAGAAGCAGGTCTATAAGGCTATTGTAGTAATCCAGGCGAGAGAAGATGGTGGGCAGGGATGGGGGATTTGGAAAATTGGGTAAATTTAGGAGGCATTTAGCAAATTGCATTAACAGGACAGGGTAACTGATGAGAAAGAAGATGGAAAGAAGAATGTGTCAAAGATGATACTACCAGTTTGATGATTTGAACAACAAGGTGGTACTATTTACTGAAATTGGGAATATTGGTAAATGAGTGAGTTTGTGAGGCAGAGAAGGGTATCATTGGTGGGGCTATGGCATCGGAAAGGGGTGTGGGAAAATTGGAGGCAAGGAGAGTAAGGAAAATATCAGTTTCATTTTGGAAACATTGAGTTTAAGGCATCTGAAGGATATTCAGATTACTGTGTATTCAGTACCCAGTTGACTATATATCTGAGGCTCAGAAGAAAAATCTGGAAATATAGATACGGGAGTTGCATATAGATAGCAGTTGAAAGTATATGTCCCTTTTGGTTGGCTCCTTTTTTGTTGCTGTTGTTTGTTTTGAGAAGAAGTCTCACTCTGTCACCCAGGCTGGAGTGCAGTGGTGCGATCTTGGTTCACTGCATCCTCCGCCTCCCAGGTTCAAGTGATTCTCCTGCCTCAGCCCTCCAAGTAGCTGGGATTACAGGCGCGCACCACTACGCTCGGTTAATTTTTGTATTTTTAGTAGAGACGAAGTTTCGCCATTTTAGCCAGGTTGGTCTCGAACTCCTATTCTCCTCCCAAAGTGCTCAGATTACAGGGGTGAGCCACTGCGCCTGGCCTGGTTGGCTCCCTTAATGACTCCTTTTATACCCCGGCCCAGTGAGCTCTGCCTAAAAGCTAATTCACCACAACTTGAATTCCTAATGAGTATTTAATCTTCTTCCTAATGTCTTGTAACCCAGCCCAGGCCCCAGCGGTACCATCTAATGAATCCCTCAGGAGACTAAGATTCCACATCCTAAAGTTAGTGCCGCTTGTAGCCACAGCTCTCAGCTTCTAACAGCACAAGGGTGCCCTCTAGTGTTCAGCATGATGCATACAGGGGCACAGAGAACTCTGAATTGTGAACCTCGCCTTTCAACCAGGATCACTGCCCTGCCACCTTCACTTCTGGGGAAATTCACTAGCCACATACAACCTCAAATTTGGAGGGACTCTAAGTACTTCAGATTCTAGCAGGGCATGAAGAGAGTCAGGCAAGCCGTACTCTCTTAAGGCAATGTATTTTTTCAGTTGCCCATCACAGTTAGGGAGTAGCCTGTAGTGTCATCTCTTGAGTAGAACCGTCTAGGTTCTCAGTAAGCCTCAGGGGGAAAACTACAAGATAGATTGGTCAGAGTTATACTATTATTTCAGAAATAATAAGCCACAGAGTGTAGATACATATGTGTCTACCAAACTAGAGAAACACAAGGACCCATGCCACAGGCCTCCTGGTTGCACTAGTCTCTTAATATATCCTACAGCAGGGTTAACCACTTTGTCCACAGGTGCCACTCCCATCACTAGAAACTTTTGTATACTAACCAGGGAGCCAGGGTGAAAGTGGAAGGATCATCTTTTACCCTTACCTACAAAGGGCTGTGGGAAGGGCAGTACATCATAAGGAATTCTGGGTGGTACACTCACCTTTACACTAGTGAAGAGATCCCCTTGTTCATATAGCAGATTAGGAAGAATAGAGATCCTCCTATAGGATCGGTGTGCTCATGAGATAACATGCAATAGGAATCGGCGTGCTCATGAGATGAGATAACATGCAACAAAACCCCAGTATTACTACTGTGTTACTGCTTCTACTCAACCCTCTACAGAGTGGAGATCCAAGTGCCTACCTCACTATAGCCTAAGAAAACCTATGCCCTAAAAAAGAACAAAATCATGTCCTTTGCAGCAACATGGATGCGGCTGGAGGCCATCAGCCTAAGTGAATTAATGTGGGAACAGAAAACCAAATACCGCATGTTCTCACTTATAAGTGGGAGCTATGCATTGGCTATACATGCACACAAAGATGGGAACAATAGATACTGGGGATCCCAAAGTGGGGGGAAGGGAGGGGGCAGGGGTTGAAAAACTACCTATTGGGTGCTATGTTCACTACTTGGGTGAAGAGATCATTAGAAGCCCAAACCTCAGCATCACGCAATATACCCATGTAACAAACCTGCACATGTACCCCCTGAATCTAAAATAAAATGTTTTTAGAAAAGAAGAAAAAAGAAAACCTATGCTTTTCATCTTATTTTGCAACTCTGCCTTAAGTTCTAATATGGCCCTCCACCATCTGTCATTTCCTTACCTAGGATTCCAAACAAATATGCCAATTACCAGAAGACATTTTCAGAACTGAAGGCAGAACTGAAAGTATGATTAACCTGAGTATGATGTCAAGCACTTGAATTGTTTCGCTAAGGCTAAGGTCAAGTCCTTTCAACAATATGTAGATAATAACTATGGCAAACTTACATCATGTCCCAGTACTAGACATATTTATTTATGAAATGGCTGCCTATTCCAATCATTACCTCAGCATCACAACAATAAAACTTTGCCCATACCTATTGACTCAGGGCCTCCCAGATCATCATGGCAAACCATAAGTTTGTTTTTAATCATTTTTGGAGTTTGTTTGCATATAATAACATTTACCCATTTTGAATGGACTTTATAATAAGCACTGACAAATTTATATACCTCCTGGAAATAACAACTGCCATACTCAAAATACAAAACACTGTCATCACCTCCTCCCAAAATTCACTTCTGCCCATCCCAGTCACCCAGAGACCCACTTCAAGCCTAAGGCAAGCAGTATTTTTTATTTTGTCATCAAGAATAGATTTGCCATTCCTGAAGTTTCATATAAACAGAAGTATACATGATATCCTCTTTTGTGTCTATCTTAATTTAACAAAATGTTCTTGAATTTCATGTTCAAGTTAAAGTTATATCCCACTGTGGTTTTAATTTGAATTTCCCAAATGACTGATGACGTTGAGCATCTTCTCATGCTCTCAGTGCACATTTCTATTTTTTTTTTTTTTTTGAAATTTTGAACCATTGTTTTTATGAAATGGATTTGTCTACAGCATGAATGAGACTGATGTGTGGAAGATGGTAGCTCACATGTGCCACAAGCAATATTTTTTTGCTGTTTGTCTTATTCAGTACCCTATATATTTTCAGAAACAGATGAATTAAATCCCATATGACCTCATCATGAAATCATGGTATCCTTTTTTTTTTTTTTGAGACAGAGTTACTCTCTTGTCACCCAGGCTGGAGTGCAATGGCGCGATCTTGGCTCACTGCAACCTCCACCTCCTGGGTTCAAGCAATTCTCCTGCCTCAGCCCCCCAAGTAGCTGGGATTACAGGTGCCCGCCACCATACCCGGCTAGTTTTTGTATTTTTAGTAGAGACGGGGTTTCACCATGTTGGCCAGGCTGGTCACAAACTCCTGACTTCAGGTGATCCACCCACCTCGGCCTCCCAAAGTGCTGGGATTACAGGCATGAACCACTGTGCCCGGCCAATGATATCCTATATTCTATTCCTTATAATGAGATTACAGAGTTTCCTGGCCACTTGATATAGCACCACTTTTGGAATAACCCTGCAAAAGGCCTACTTAAAAGTTGAAAGATAGAATTATTGGACCATGTTCTATATATTCCATATGATGAAGGCACATAATTGCCTATTATGCATCAATCACATTAAACTTAGGAACACTCCAGGTAAATGAAGTTTGTCCTGAGATTTCTGGCATTTATCAGGTTCTACCCACAGTTCATTACTTATGTTATTTTTCTAGTTAGCCTGATAACTGATTTCAAGAAAGGGACAGAATTTGTTTCATTGGCAATTTTACTTACTGGGCTGTAGGTTTGTGAAATAGTGATCCTCTCAGCCCTTAGAACGGCCATGAAGACCTATGGCATTCAGAGCATGGGGTAAGTTGCCTTCAACTTTGAATAATCTTGCCCATTTCCTTAGTATACCATGTACACACCATTTTCTATAAGTGTTAAAACATGAAATTTTGGGGAGCACTAATTTAGTCCTCTGTCATAGATGTAGCCATCCAGCACATGAAGGTACTATTTTCTACCCTAATTCTCTCTCCTACACCTAATCCTCCCTGGCCCTAAAACCAGCCTACTCCAACCTAGCAAATTCTTTATTTATTTAGTTTTTTTTTACTATTATACTTTTTAAGTTCTGGGATATATGTGCAGAATGTGCAGGTTTGTTACATAGCTATACATGTGCCATGGTGGTTTGCTTCACCCATCAACCCGTCATCTACATTAGATATTTCTCCTAATGCTATCCCTCCCCTTGCCCCCACCCCCTGACAGGCCCCAGTGTGTGACGTTCCCCTCCCTGTGCCCATATGTTCTCATTGTTCAACTCCCACTTATGAGTGACAACATGCAGTGTTTGGTTTTCTGTTCCTGTGTTAGTTTGCTGAGAATGATGGTTTCCGGCTTCATCCATGTCCCTGCAAAGGACATGGACACGTTCTTTTTTATGGCTACATAGTATTCCATGATGTATATGTGCCACATTTTCTTTATCCAGTAAAATATTGATGAGCATTTGAGTTGGTTCCAAGTCTTTGCTATTGTGAATAGTGCTGCAATAAATAGACGTGTACATGTGTCTTTATAGTAGAATGATTTATAATCCTCTGGGTATATATGCAGTAATGGGATTGCTGGGTCAAATGGTACTTCTAGTTCTAGATTTTTTTTTTTTGAGATGGAGTCTTGTTCTGTCACCAGGCTGGAGTGCAGTGGCGGATCACTGCTCACTGCAACCTCCGCCACCCAGGTTCAAGTGATTCTCCTGCCTCAGCCTCCCAAGTAGCTGGGACTACAGGCATGCGCCACCATGCCCAGCTAATTTTTGTATTTTTAGTAGAGATGAGGTTTCACCATGTTAGCCAGGATGGTCTCTTGACCTTGTAATCCACCCACCTCAGCCTCCCAAAGTGCTGGGATTACAGGCATGAGCCACCATGCCTTGCCTGTTTCCTGACTTTTTAACGATGGCCATTCTAACTGGCATAAGATGGTATCTCATTGTGATTTTGATTTGCATTTCTCTAATGACCAGTGATGATGAGCTTTTTTTCATATGTTTGTTGGCCGCATAAATGTCTTCTTTTGAAAAGTGCCTGTTCATGTCCTTTGCCCACTTTTTGATGGGGCTGTTTGGTTTTTTTCTTGTAAATTTGTTTAAGTTCCTTGTAGATTCTGGATATTAGCCCTTTGTCAGATGGATAGATTGCAAAAATTTTCTCCCATTCTGTAGGCTGCCTGTTCACTCTGATGATAGTTTCTTTTACTGTGCAGAAGCCCTTTAGTTTAATTAAATGCCATTTGTCAATTTTGGCTTTTGTTGCCATTGCTTTTGGTGTTTTAGTCATGAAGTCTCTGTCCATGCCTATGTCCTGAATGGTAATGCCTAGGTTTTCTTCTAGGGTTTTTGTGGTTTTAGGTCTTATGCTTAAATCTTCAATCCATCTTGAGTTAATTTTTGTATAAGGTGTAAGGAAGGGATCCAGTTTCAGTTTTCTGCATATGACTATCCTGTTTTCCCAATACCATTTATTAAATAGGGAATCCTTTCCCCATTGCTTGTTTTTGTCAGTTTTGTCAAAGATCAGTTGCCAACCTGGCAAATTCTTATACTGTGATGAAAAATGTCTCCAACTACATAGTGATGACCATCATATCCTCAGAAAATCCCTGATTTGGGGAACATCCACCTAAACACCTATTTGTTTAAGAAGTTAGCAAGACACAAAGTCAACCATATTTTATGGGAATGAGAATACTCACCACCAAGGCCTTCTTTGGGACTTAGAGGTGATACTACACTCAGAACTCCATAGCTAAGAGCAGCTAAGGCAAACCCAGAAGCTCAGTTTGTACCAGGTATTCATTCTAGAAGTATTACTAAGCGCTTAGAGTGTATCAGGCACTGGTGCAATGCTTGATGGACCACATTCACAGAATTTTTTGGTCTTACTAGGCTGCCCAAATCACCAGGTCTTGAGGGCAGATTATCTCCTTTAGCAAGTCCTCCCTGGCAGATTATCCAAACTATGAACTTTAAGGCCATCTATTTCCAACTATAATTAATCAGAATAATCTGGCAGAGGAAGTAGGCAAACACACAGGCATACTGATGCCAGACTGAAAGTCAAATATACCCAGAAACGATAATGTAAAGTACAGAATAACAGGCTGACTCCCATTTAGGGAGGCCTGTCCTTAAATACTGTGCCTATGCAAAGACATTTATGTCTGGTGATTATTCAAGATATTGATTAAACTCTACAGAGACTTTTGAAGGATTCATGTTTATTACTGCATCCTCCAATAGAATAGCATCTAGAAAACCTGTAGTTAGAACAAGAAATACCTTTAGCAATTCAGAGAAATAATACACCACTCACTGTCCCTATATGTGTCTCTAGGATTCCAGAACATTAAAATGTATCTTTAACTTGCTCCCTTTCCACTGCCATAACTTCAACCTGGTGATTATGTAATTATTCACTAAAATGGCACATTTTATCCATATGCTGGTTCTTTATCCATTGACATTAACATAATACTACAACTGAAATTAGTGAGCTATTTTGTTTTCAGAAACTCTGATGTTTTCAACTATGACACCAAGATTGAAGAATAATATTGAAGGCCTTTTGTAATTGCATCTACTATACATGGCTAAATGCAGCACAACCAGTTTTTTGAGGAATACTTCTTCTGTTCTGCTTACAGACAACTCAATAGTTCAACCTACTTCGTAGAGTTTGGCTGCAACATAAAACATTCACATGAAACATCCTCTTCAAAGAAACCATTATTATACTAGAAAAGAAAAAGAATCTCAGGAAAATAGAAATGGACAGGAACTTCCTTAACTTGCCAAACAATATCTTTGAAACATACAGGTCATATTATTCTTAATATTGAAAGACTGAATGCTTGTTCTTAAAAGCAACCTCAAAAGAAGGATAACTATTCTTGCCACACCTATTCAGCGTAGTATTGAAAGTTTTAGATAGTGAAATAAAGCACGGCTAGAAAATTAAATTTATGCATAGGAGAAAGAAAGAAACAAAACAGTCCTTGTTTGCAGATAATATGATTGTCTACATAGAAAATACCAAGGAAACCATAAAAATCTCCTAGTTAGTAAGTTGCAGGATACAAGATCAACCTACAGAAATCAATTGTATTTTTATATGCTAGATAAGAACAGGTGGATACGAAAAATAAAAAACATAATGCCATTTACAATTGCTCAGAAAGTGGAAGACTTAGGGGTAAATCTAACAAAACTTGTAAAGAAATTACAAGCTGAAAACTACACAATGCTGATGAAAGAAATTTTAAAAATCTAAGTGGATAAATGGAAAGACATAGTATGTTCATGGACTTGAAGACTCAAAGCAGATGTCAACTCTACCCAAATTGACACACATATTTAATGTAATTCCTGTCAAAATCCAAGCAAAATTTTGTATATATAGGTTATGCATATATATATGTATATACAATAGATAAGTAAATATGTGATAGAGATAGACAATATACCTACAAAAATGCCTGGATTTTGGTACGAATTATTGCAAAATTTGTATGAAAAGTCAAAAGACTCAAATAGCTAAAAACAGTTTTTTAAAAGTACAAAATGGGAAGACTCAGTGTACCCAATTTCGAGTTTATTATATAACTACAGTAATCAAGACTGCATGATATTGATAGAGTGATAGACACATAGATCAATGGTGCAGCACACAAAACCCAGAAATAGACACACACAAATATGACCATTGATTTTCGGCAAAGGTGCAAAAGCAGTTCAATGGAGGAAAGATAGCATTTTCAACAAATGGTATTAGAGCAATTGAAAATCCATAGGGTAAAAAGTGAACCTCAACCAAAGACTCATACCCTATACAAAAATTAACTAAAAATGTATTATGGACTTATGTAAAATGTAAAATTGTAGAACTTTTAGGAAAAAAGCACAAGAAAAGCTTTGGCATATAGGGTTGGGCAAAGAGTTCATACACTTGATACGAAAAGCACAATCTATAAAAGAAATTAAATGATAGTTTGGACTTCATCAATATTAAAAACTTTGGCTCCATGAAGAAGGATAAAAAAACTTTGGCTCCATGTTAAAAGGATAAAATACAGTCTATAGAGTAAAAGAAAATATTTGCAAATCACAAATCTGACAAAATACCTGATATCTATAGTATATATAGAAAAAATAAGCAATCCAATTAGAAAATAATGAAAAGACATAGACCTTTCACAGACAAGGATATACAATGGTAAATAAGCACATAAACAGATGTAAAACATCATTAGTCGTTAAGGAAATGCAAATTAAAAGCACAATGAAGTATCATTACACACCAATAAGAATAGATAAAATAAAAATAATTACAACTCCAAAAGCTGGCAAGGATATAGAGGAATTGGACCTCTCATGCATACTTGATGGGGATATAAAACAGTAGAGCCACTCTGAAATAGAATTTCAAAGTTTCTTAAAAATGAAACACAACCCAGCAATTGCCCTTCTGGGCATTTATCCCAGAGAATGAAGCCTTCTGTTATGTAGACACACACATGCACAGCTACTTGTACACAGGTGTTTGTAGTTAATTTGTTCATAATTTTTTAAAAAACTGAAAACAACCCAAATGTCCTTCAATAGGTGAATGCAATGAGTCAATGCAACGGGTTATGTGACTGTGGTGTATCCATAACATGGGATATTTCTCAGCAATGGAAAGGAACAAACTGATACACACAACCTGGATTAGCCTGTAGATAATTATGCCGAGTGAAATAACCATTCCCTAAAAGTCACATACTGTATCACTCCATTCATACAACAATCTTGAAGTGACAAATTATAGAAACGGAAAACAGATTAGTGGTTGCCAGAAGTTAAGGAGCTGATGAGAGCAGGACGGAAACTAGCATGACTACAAAAAGACAACATGAGGGATCCTCATGGCTATGGAAATGTTTCAAATCTTTACTATATCAATGCCAATATCCTGTTTCTGATATTATACTACAGTTTTGCAGGTTGTTACCATTGGAGAAAATTAGGTAAAGGATGAATGAGATCTGTATGTATTTTATTTTGCCACTGCATGTGAATCCAAAATTATTTCAACATAAATGACTTAATTAAAAATAAAAGTATCCATTAAATATCCATAAAATTGATACACCTTTAGCTAGACTGATCAAAAAAGAGATAATTCACAAATCACCAATGTCAGGAGTAAAAGAGGGAATATCTACCACAAAGGCCACAGACATCAAAAGGATAATAAGAAATATTATTGTCTCAGTAAGATTGGTTGAGCTACTATAACAAATTACCATAGACTGGATGGCTTACGCAATGAACATTTATTTCTCATAATTCTGAAGGCTGTAAGGTCCAAGATCAAGGTGCCAGCAGATCCAGTGTCTGCTGAGGGCCAGTTTCCTGGTTTGCAAATGGCCACTTTCTGCATATACCCTTATGTCTTGTCTTAGAAGAACACTAATCTTATTCAGAAGGACTCCACCCTTATAATTTAATTACTTCCTAAAAGCCCCACCTCCTAATATCAACACATTGGGGGTTAGGTTTTCAATATATTGATTTGGGCAGGACACAAACATTTAGTCTATAATATTCTATTCCTGGCTTCAAAAAGTCATGCCTTTCTGACATGCAAAATATATTCATTTCATCCCAACAACCCCAAAAGTCTTAACTCATTCCAGTGTCAACTCTAAAATCTGGAGTCCAGAGTCTTGCCTAAATATCATCTAAATCAGTTACGGGTGAAACTTGAGGTAAGATTCATCCTGAGGCAGAATTCTTCTCCAGGTGTAAACCAGTGACACCAAACAAGTTATGTGCATCCCAAATACAATGGTAGGGCAGGCATATGATAGACATTGACAAAATAGAAATTTGGTGGGGGCGAGGAAAATAAGAAGGAAGGAGTGATGGGCTCCAGGTAAGTCAAAAATCTAGCAAAGAAAACTCTATGAAGTCTTAAGGCTTGAGAATAATCCTCTTTGGTTTGATCCTCTGTCTTCTGGACCCACTGCAGCAATAGCCCTGCCTCCACAGCTCTGCTGAGTTGGAGTTAAGTGCCCATGGCTCTGCCTAGCAGATGTTATGAGCCCACAGTGAGATTATACGAACATTGGTTCAGCCCTTTGGGACTGAGGTGAAGAAGACCTGCCTCCCAGGCCTGTGCATTCTGGGCCTGTAGTGGGAGTCATAGCCCTGATGATCTCTGAATCACCTTTTGGGGTTTCTTTCCTTGTCTGAAGAATAATGCATGTCCACAGCTGGAAGAGATGTGTGATCTGGGTCTGTAGGCGCTAAGAAGTCTGACAGTCTTCTTTTACTTGGTCCTATTTTCTGTTTTCTTCAGTCAAAGCTGGCAGTGTTTCTGCTAACATAATGCCATCTCTATTCCTGGCTTCTGCTGAGATTGCTGAATAGGTCCATGTTTCACACCTGCACTAATCTCCTTAATAAATGATTGGTCTACCACACCTGTAGTGTTTTCTTCTGAACTCACTTTCTCATTTTTTGTTATGCACAGGCTGACAATTTTCCAAATCTTTAAGTTCTGATAACTTTTTGATAAGTAATTGTGTCTTCAATTCATTTCTGTCCCCTTGCATTTTACTATAAGCAATCAGGAGGAACCAAGCCACTCCTTAGACGCTTTGTTTAGAAATTTCCTTGGCTAAATATCCAATTTTATTGTTCACAAACTCTACCTTCCACAAAACGCTAGAACACAAACATAATTCAGCCAAGTTCTTTGCCACTTTATAACAAAAAAAATCACCTTTCCTCCTGTTTCCAATAATGTGTCCCTCATTTCCATCTCAGACCTCATCAGAATGGCCTTTGCCATCCACATTTCTATCAATATTCTGTTCATGATTATGTATACATTCTCTAAGAAGACAAAAGTTTTCTCTACAGATCTCCATTTTTCTTTCTGAGCTATCACTGGAATCATCTTTAAAAATCTCTTCACAGCAATTCTGGCTTCTTCTAGCATGTACCTCTAAACCATTCTATCCTCAACCCATTACCCAGTTGCAAAGCCACTCCACATTTTTAGGTATTTGTTACAGCAGCAGAACCCCACCTCTTAGTACCAGTTTCTGTCTCAGTCAGTTCAGACTTCTATACCAAATTACCATAGACTGGATGGCTTAAGCAACAAACATTTATTTCTGACAGTTCTGGAACCTGGAATGTCCAAGATCCAGGTGCCAGCAGAGCTGGTGCCTGGGCCCACTTCCTGGTTTGCAGACAACTGTTTTCTTTTTAGATCCTCACATGGCTAAGAGCAGAAAGTAAGAACAAGCTCTCATGTCTCCTCTTATAAGGGCACTAATCCCATTCAGAAGGACTCCACCTTAATGACCTAATTAGTTTCCTAAGACACCACCATCAGATAAATAGCAATCCCCCATGAAATGTTTCAAAAAAATTAGAAGTGCATGCTTTGAAATAATTTTATGAGTCCAACATAACACTGCAACTAAAATCAGAAAAAAAGGTATTTAAAAATGAATAAAACTGTAGATCATTTTGCACTTATCCCCATGTATACAATACTTTTTAAATACTGGCATATTATATACAAGAAGAAAGATAAATTACCAAATGAAGTATATTCAAGAAATGAAATATATGCTGGTAAGCAGGCTCTCTGGCTTTCAGACTTTGTCTTTATTTACTATCTAATCATGTTCAGTTTTTCAGTATCTTTCTCCAAAACATCAATAACCCCAATAATAATAATCCAATTTCTTAGCCTTCATGTTTATTATGTCCCCCGTGCCTCTCAAACATCAAAGACATTGTACCTACTAGTATATGCCTTGCATTAATGCTCCATCCCAGTTCACCACCAGTACAAGTTTCAACAAATGCATGACAGAGGATATTAGTGTTTTACCTACCATCAGTGAAGGGTCCTTCTTTGTCAGAAGGTCAGCAAGAATTAAGTTGGAAATCCCATTACAGTGCTGCTTCCCAAGTCTAACCCCCACAAGATGGGTGCCTCAAAAAACAGAATCTGAAAAAAGAATTTGCATATAAGAAATGTATTGGTGGCCAGACGCAGTGACTCACACCTGTAATCCCAGCACTTTGGGAGGCCGAGGTGGGTGGATCACTTGAGGTCAGGAGTTCGAGACCTACCTGGCCAACATGGTGAAACCACTTTCCTACTAAAAACACAAAAACTAGCCAGGCATGGTGGCGGGTGCCTGTAATGCCAGCTACCCAGGAGGCTGAGGTGGGAAAATTGCTTGAACCCCAGAGGCAGAGGTTGCAGTGAGCTGAGATCCTGCCACTGCACTCCAGGCTGGGCAACAGAGAGAGATTCCATCAAGGAGAAGAAGAAGGAGAAGGAGAAGGAGAAGGAGAAGCCTATCAATCCTATGGAGAGCTCTAGAACTGGGATGAATCTGGAAAGGTGACCCACATTGAGACAAGGGGGCTGGGCCTTTATACTTTTATACTCCAACTTGAACCAGTGAATGGATACAGGCTTCCCCTGAAAGGGAAATCATAATATTTGAAGAAGTGGCTCCAATTGTCTCAAGGAAATTTTTGAGGAGAGATTCAGAGATTCATCTATGAGCTGTCAGCATGCAACACTATTGGCAGCTGGGGTGATAGGTGTCTTAGTCCTGAGAGGGAAGAGAGGGCATATGGGCAGTACACACAGCATCCACTACTACTACTACACACACACACACACACACACACACACACGCACACACACACATATACACTGTATATACATAGTATACATATAATCATTGTATATGTATATATGTATACAATGTCTGTATGTATCACTGTGTATACTGTATATATATATACACACTGTATGTATAAATATAAACATATACTTTGTGTGTATATGTATATATTCAACAACATGCTTATTAGTGTAACAACCTGCTTCATCCCTTCTTCAATACACTTTTGCCCCACTTTCATTCATGTCCATATTTCTAGCCTCATATCCTGTTCTAATTCCTTGTTTATGAGCTAGTTCTGACTGCTTCCACATCAGATCTAAGATATCTCTGATTAATTGGGATCCATGGAGAGGGTGTCATCATCATTCTCGGAAGCCTTAGTAACATAGATAGGAATAACTCAAGTTTACATAAACCCCCCAAGATAGATGTCTACCAAAGTCCTGCCTTTACAAGTGCTCTATATGGGTTTGGAGTGAATCTAACAGAGGCCATATCCAAGAGACAGTATGTTTAATTTGTAGAGTTTTGAGACTTGTCTGGATCCAATGAGAGATTTACTCAGGGCAGCCTGAAGGAGAAAAGTGAAGAAGAGTTTAAACTATGGTCAATGAGAGAAGCTGGAAATCAGAAAAGCCAGAAAAAGCAGCACCCATAATTGAAACTGAGGAGTAAGGCAAGGTCACAAACATGAAAACAAAGGAAAAGTTTCTTGCAGTAACACCAGTTGGAACTTCTCATCATTAACTGTATTTTTCCTAGAAATTTCTACAGAAAATAAAATAAGAATGCTGTGGTCAAAAGGGCAGAGTATTCAAACAGAAAGCAGAAGAAAACTGCTTTCTCTGTCCAGAGAAACTAAGCTCCGTCACTTACTAATTATATCACATATGGCAAATCACTTAACCTATCTGAGGCCCTCATATTTTCTTCATATCTAAAGTGAGGATATGAATATAGGTACCCATTTCCTGAAAAATTTTTTTGAGACTCAATGAATTACCAAATATGAAGATTTTGGCTTCATAGTAATGTCTGCTTTCAGAGAGATCTATAAGATGCTTCTCGAGCAGGGGACCTGCTGGAGGACTCCCCTAAATGTCCCAAGGAAGCAGAAAACCCTGAAGGGGAGAAGAAGGAGGCAGCCACCTTGGAAGGTGAGAAGACACTTCTTGTGGAGGTGGAAAAGAATAGCACCCTCTCTGAGCCCGGCTCTGGCCGGGGGCCTCCCCAAGAGGAAGAAGAGGAGGAGGAAGAGGAAGAGGCTGCCAATGAAGATGCTGAGACCCCAGGCATCAGAGATCATGAGAGTCTGTAGCCACCAATGTTTCAAGAGGAGCCCCCACCCTGTTCCTGCTGCTGTCTGAGTGCTACTGGGGAAACTGGCCATGGCCCGAAAACTGGGAACCCCTTTCCCACCCCAACCTGCTCTCCTCTTCCACTCACTATTCCCACTCCAAGCCCAGACCATGGAGATTGACCTGGATGAGACAGGTCACCTGGCCCTCCCCTCTAGGTCCCCATACCCCTATTATCAGAGTCAGAGCCATGTCTTCTGCTCCCTGGGAAGAAATGAGGCTATTATGTTCCTTCCACTTGGAGCTATTCTCCAGGCTTCTGCTGGGGCCTGGGCCAACTGTTTCCACCTCCTGACATCCTTTCCCCACTCTCTTAGTCATTCTGGGACTCTGGGTTGGGATCAGGGGTGGGAATAGAAAAGATGGAGCATAAACAGCAGTGTGGGCTTGTGGGGCCTGGGAGGGGCAATCCTCAAATGGAGGATAGGGGTAGCACAGGAGGGTGGCATCTTCCTGAGCTCCTGTCCCCTGCTACACCTATTATCCCAGCTGCCTAGATTCAAGTAAAGTGGGACAGCTTGTAGGGGAGGGGCTCCTTTCCATAAATCCTTGATGATTGACAACACCCATTTTTTCTTTTGCCAATCCCAAGAGTTCCGGGAGTTGTAGTTTATCATCAAAAGATTTTGGGGCTTCCAAGTTGTTTGGGCCAAGGACCTGAGACCTGAAAGGTTGACTTTACCCATTTGGGTGGGAGTGTTGAGCATCTGCCCCCATTTAGATCTCTGAAGCCAGAAATGGGATGCTTGGGAAGGCCCCTAGCTGCCCTTTTCCCTCTCTGCACAGTGCTGAAGGCCAGCTTATAGTCATATATATCACTCAGATGTAAAGGAAAAGATACATTTTTTAGGAAATGTTTTTAATAAAAGAAAACTACCAAAAAAAAATGTAAAGACCCCTAACCCTTTGTGTGCTCCGCATTCTGCTCCTTCCTTCCCCATCGTTGCCCACATTTCTGAGGTGCACTGGGAGGCTCCCCTACTATTTAGGGCTTTATGACTTTCTTTTTGTAGCTGGGGCTTTGGTGTTCCTTCCAGTGTCATTTCTCATCCACATACGCTGACCTGTTCCCCTTAGTGTTGTCACCAGATCCGATTTGTAATCAACTGAGAGGACAGAGGGAAATAAGTGCCCTCTCCCACCCTCTTCCTAGTGGTCTCTCTATGTCTCTCTTCAGTATCTGGTCTCTTTTACCCTGGCACCTCTCCCTTGGGCTCTGATGAAAAATTGCTGACTGTAACTTTGGAAGTTTAGCTCTGAGAACTGTAGATGATTTCAGTTCTAGGAAAATAAAACCCATTCATTACCAAAAAAAAAAAAGAAGAAGAAGAAGATGCTTCTCAGCACATCGAATCACCCTGGGCCATCCACAAAAGGCACACCTTTTCAGTTTGCATTCATAAAAATTAATTCCTGAATGACTTCTATGCCTTTTTTTTTTTTTACTTTATTTCAGGTTCAGGGATACATGTGCAGGTTTGTTAATACAGGCAAACTTGTGTTACAGAGGTTTGGTGTACAGACCATTTCATCACGCATGTACTAAGTAGAGTACTCGATAGTTATTTTTCCTGATAGTTATATCTCCCTTCTGCCACCCTCCTCCCTCAAGTAGGCCCCAGTGTCTGTTGTTCCCTTCTTTGTGTCCGTTGGTTCTCATTATTTAGCTCCCACTTAATAAGTGAGAACATGCAGTATTTGGTTTTCTCTTCCTGAGTTCGTTTGCTAAGAATAATGGCCTCCAGCTCCATCCATGTTCCTGCAAAGAACATGATCTCATTCTCTTTTATGGCTGCATAGTATTCCATGGTGTATATGTACCACATTTTCTTTATCAAGTCTATCATTGATGGGCATTTAGGTTAATTCCATGTCTTTGCTATTGTGAATAGTGCTGCCGTGAACATTCGCATGCATGTGTCTTTATGGTAGAATGATTTATATTCCTTTGGGTATATACCCAGTAATGGGATTGCTGGGTCTAATGGTAGTTCTGTTTCTAGTTCTTTGAGGAATCATCACACTGCTTTCCACAATGATTGAACTAATTTACCTTCCCACCAATCATGTATAAGCATTGCTTTTTCTCTGCAACCATGCTAGCATCTGTTATTTTTCTACTTTTTATTAATAGCCATTCTGACTGGTGTGAGATGGTATCTCATTGTGATTTTGATTTGCATTTCCCTAACGATTCATGATATTGAGCATTTTTTCATATGCTTGCTGGCCACATGTATGTCTTTTTTTGAAAAGTATCTGTTCATGTCCTTTGACCACTTTTTAATGGGGATGGGTTTTTTTTTTGTAAATTTGTTTAAGTTCCTTATAGATTTTGGATTTTAAACCTTTGTCAGATGCATAGTTTGCAAATATTTTCTTCCATTCTGTAGGTTGTTTGTTTGCTCAGTTCATAGTTTATTTTGCTATGTAGAAACTCTTTCGTTTCATTAGATTCAATTTACCAATATTTGCTTTTGTCACAATTGCTTTTGGTGTCTCTGTCATGAAATCTTTGCCTGGTCCTATTCCAGAATTGCATTGCCTAGGTTGTCTTCCAGGGTTTTATAGTTTTGGGTTTTATATTTAAGTCTTTATTCCATCTTGAGTTTTTTTGGGTTTTGTTTGTTTCTTTTTGTTTTTGTTTTTTGAGATGGAGTCTCACCCTTGTCGCCCATGCTGGAGTGCAATAGTGCAATCTCAGCTCACTGCAACCTCCACCTCTTGGGTTCAAGCAATTCTCCGGCCTCAGCCTCCCGAGTAGCTGGGACTACAGGTGCCTGCCACCATGCCTGGCTATTTTTTTTTTTAATTTTTAGTAGCTACAAGGTGTCACCTTGTTGGCCAGGCTGGTCTCGAACTTCTGACCTCAGGTGATCCACCCACCTTGGCCTCCCAAAGTGGTGGGATTACAGACATGAGCCACCACAGCCAGCCCGTCGTGAGTCGTCTTGAGTTGTTTTTTGTATGTGGTATAAAGAAAGGGTCCAGTTTCAATCTTCTGCATATGACTAACCAGTTATCCCAGCCCCAGTACTTTCCCCATTGCTTGCTTTTGCCAGCTTTGTCGAAGATTAGATGGTTGTAGGTGTGTGACCTTATTTCTGGGATTTCTATTCTGTTCCATTGGTCTCTGTGCCTGTTTTTGTACCAGTACCATATTGTTTTGGTTACTGTAGCCCTGTAGCATAGTTTGCAGTCAGCTAAGGTGATGCCTCTAGCTTTGTTCTCTTTGCTTGACTTGTGTATCTCTTGTAGTAGCTTGGTCTCATGGTTCTATTAATTAACTCTTGTGGTGCTCTCATGAGGTCTTTTTCTGCTCAACTGCCTCCTCCCAGGCTCAGGCTGAATTTCCTTCTTTGGTGAAAGACTCTAGGAATCTCAGCCTGTTTTCTCATGTTCTCTCTCTCTCTCTTTCTCTCTCTCTCTCTCTCTCTCTCTGCTTCTATCTTCTATTTTCATGTTTAGAGTTCTACTGCCTTCCCTCCAAGTGTGGCTTTGATGCTTCAGTTTTCCCCTTTCTTGAATACAGGATCTTACTACTGTAAATGTTTTACTGAAGATCAGTGCAGAAAAATAAAAGACATGAAACATAATATAACTCGAGGAGTATCAGTGGATTACAAGCCACAGAATTCTAATAATCATTTCTCTATCATTCCAAACTCCCTTGTGGGTTGGGTGTTTTCTCCCAGTAAGTGGAGTTTCAGAGGTGCTTCCATCCTGATTGCCTGATTGCCACTTGAGGGTGCATCCTATGATGCTTGAAACCCCATCTTCTCATCTTGAATATGGAACACAAGCGTGTTCCCGAAACAAGATATCCTAAATATCCCTTTCTGCAGTAGGCAGCAGGTATCTCTGACCTCAGAAATATCACACAAGTAACCCATTGCTGACTAAGCCTGTAAGTATTTTATTGCTCACACTGCTACTCATAGCATGTGGCTTCTCTGCTGCTCAGTTTTTCCATTTTATAATAAAATTTACTCTTCTTTCTAGCTTTCAATCTTCCTGCTTTATTTTTTTATTCTGATTGGTGTCCTACTTCAATTCAGAAGAGGCTTGGCCATTTCAAAGACCAAGGCAAGCCCTTTGGCCTTTTCCATTCCTCTAGGTATTGTAGCACCAAAGAACAATTGGTCACAAACACAATTCTAATACATTCTCTGGGCACAGCCATGTACAAGACTTGAGCTGGCCTCACTGCAGCCATCTCCAGGGAAACCAGAAAAAAAATGTGCATTTTGAGAAGCTGGAGGTCAAGTCCCTCTGGCACATATTTTTTCCACAACGAATGACACAGGTGGAAGTGACCTAAGCAAAAGTCATATAAACTAAGTCTTAGATGGACCTGCTTCTCCCCAGCCTACGATCAAAGGTCACCCTGAGCTTTTTCAACTTCCCACACTACTACCAACTGACAGAGAGCTATCACAAACTTTCTTAGCCTCACTGCCCAGCTATCTAACTTTTTAAATTGAAATAACAGGTCTGCAGAATTGATGGACTTTTTTCTCCATCACCCAAGCATAAAATTCTCTGACCCAAGGGTCCATTCATACTTTCAAAACCAAAACAATATTATACCAAAAGAATTCACAGAATTGTGCACTGTTATGTTGTACTTGCCCCATCATATGTAAATATCCTTGGGATTGAGCTACAAAGTGCTATAAAAAGATACACTATTTGCAGACACTACATATGAAAATGCAATCAGAGATTCTTTCTTATATTTTATTTTTAATTTTTGTGGGCACATAGTAGGTGCATATATTTATGGGGCATGTGAGACATTTTGATACAGGCTTGCAATGCATAATAATCACATCATGGCAAGCGGGGTATCCATTCTGTCAAGCATTTATCCTTTCTGTTAGAAACAATCCAATTACACTCTTTTAGTTATTTTTAAATGTACAATTAAGTTATTGGCTATTTAGTCATCCTGTTGTGCTATTAAATAGTAGATCTTATTCATTCTTTCTATTTTTTTACCCATTAACCATTCCCACCTGCCCCCAACCCCAGCCCCCTATTGCCCTTCCCAGCCTCTGATAACCATCCTTCTACTCTCTATGAACAAGAGACGAATTTTGATTTTTAGATTCCACAAGTAAGTGAGAACAGGCGATGTTTGTCTTTCTATGCCTGGCTTATTTCACTTAACATAATGATCTCCAATTCGATCCATGTTGTTGCAAATGACAGGATCTCATTGTTTTTTATGGCTGAATAGTACTCTATTGTGTATATGTACCACATTTTCTTTTCTTTTTAACAGATAGTTTGAACTTTTATTTATGTTTAATTTTAATTTTTACAAGATGTCGATAGTAGCTGGCTTATTAATGTACATTATTCTTTGATATTTCAGGAAGGCACAGTGTTCAACTGTGAACTACAGAGTCCTGAAAGTTTAAAATCAGTTTGTTTCTCAACCATGTGATATCCAGGATTTTTTACAATTACTTTGAGATTTTTCCTCATCAGTAATGCAAAGAAAATTGCAATATGATTATACAATTTTTTTTATTTTTTGAGACAGGTTATCACTCTGTAACCCAGGCTTGAGTGCAGGGGTGTGATTGTAGCTCACTGCAGCCTCAAACTCCTGGGCTCAGACGATCCTCCCCCAGCTTCCCAAGTAGCTGAGATTACAGGCACGTGCCACCATGCCTGGCTAATTTATTTTTTGTAGAAAGAGGGGTCTCACTTTGTTGCCCAGGCTGGTCTCCAACTCCCGGGCTCAGGCAATCCCCTGCCTGGGCCCCCCAAAGTGCTGGAATTACAGGCATGAGCCACTGTGCCCAGCCTGATATACAATTTCTTTCTGAGACAGAGTCTCGCTCCGTCGCCCAGGCTGGAGTGCAGTGGCACAATCCTGGCTCACTGCAACCTGTACCACATTTTCTTTATCCAGTTATCTGTTGATGGAAATTTAGGTTGTTTCCAAATCTTACATAATGTGAACAGAGCTGCAACAAACATAGAAAGTCAGATATCTCTTTGATATAGTGATTTCCGTTCCTTTGGGTACATACTCAGTAGTGGGATTGCTGGATCATATAGTAGCTCTATTTTTAGTTATTTGAGAAACCTCCAAACGCATCTCCATAGTAGTTGTACTAACTTACATTCCCATCAACAGTGTTTGAGGGTTCCCTTTTCTCCACATCATCACCAGCATTTGTTATTCCCTGTCTTTTGGACTTAAGTCATTTTAACTGGAGTGAGATGATATATCCTTGTAGTTTTGATTTGCATTTCTCTGATGATCAGTTATGTTGAGCACCTTTTCATATACCTGTTTATTATATGCCTTCTTTTGAGGAATGTCTATTCAAATCTTTTGCCCATTTTTTGAAAGGATTATTATATTTTTTTCCTGTAGAGTTGTTTGAGCTCCTTATGTGTTACTGGTTGTTAATCCCTTGTCAGATGGGTAGTTTACAAATATTTTCTCCCATGTTGTGGGTTGTCTCTTCGTGTTATTGATTGTTTCCATTGCTGTGCAGAAGCCTTGTAGCTTGATGTGATCTCATTTGTCCATTTTTGTTTTGGTTGCCTGTGTTTGTGAGATATTGCTCAAGAAATTGTTGCCGAGACCAATGTCCTGGGAAGTTTGGCCAGTGTTTTCTTGTAGTAGTTTCAGTTTGAGGTCTTAGAATTAAGTCTTTAATTCATTTTGATTTGATTTTTATATGTGGTGAGAGACAGGGGTCTAGTTTTCTTCTTTTGCATAAAGATATCCAGTTTTCCCAGCACTATTGTATCAAAGAGACTATCTCTTCCTCAGTGCATGTTTTTGGTGGCTTTGCCAAAAATGAGTTCATGGTGGCTGCATGGATTTGTTTCCAGGTTCTCTACTTTGTTCCATTGGTCTATGTGTCTGTTTTTATACCAATACCATGCTGTTTTGGGTACTAGAGCTCTGTAGTATAATTTGAAGTCAGGTAATGTGATTCCTCCAATTTTAGTTTTATTTGCTCAGGATAGTTTAGGTGGTCCTGGGTTATTTGTGGTTCCACATAATTTTAGGATAGTTTATTCTATTTTTGTGAAGAATGTCTTTGGTGTTTTGATAGGGATTGCATTGAATCTATAGATTGCTTTGGGTAGTATAGATATTTTAACAACATTGATTCTTCCTATCCATGATCATGGAATATCTTTTCATTTTTTGGTGTCCTCTTCAATTTCTTTCATCAGTGTTTCATAATTTTCATTATAGAGATCTTTTACTTATTTGGTTAATTCCTAGGTATTTGATTTTATGTGTGGCTATAGTAAATCAGATTACTTTTTTATTTCTTTCTCAGATTGTCCACTGTTGGCATATACAAACGCTACTGATTTTTGTATGTTGATTTTGTATCCTACAACTTTACTGAATTTATTTATCAGTTCTAATTTTTTTTGTGGAGTCTTCAGTTTTTTCCAAATATAAGACTATATCATCTGCAAACAAGGATAATTTAACTTCTTTCATTCCAATTTGGATACCGTTTATTTCTTTCTCTTGTCTGGTTGCTCTAGCTAGGAATTCCAGTACTATGTTGAATAACAGTGGTGAAAGTGGGCATCCTTGTCATGTTCCAGATCTTACAGAAAAGGCTTTCAGTTTTTCCCCATTCCATGTGTTACTAACCGTGACTCTGTGGTATATGACTTTTATTATGCACAGAAATTCTGAGTGGTTTGCACCTAGTGCAATATGTTCAAGTATGTAGAAATTTATTATCCACATACCAGGAGGGTAAAGAAAGTCTATTGAGAACCAAAGACCTATGATACTCTCTTATGATCCCCAAGGGTTCCTGCATTATCGTTTCACTGGACTCTCTATTTTAATTCAGTCTAGGGCTATGTTCCACTTTTTCATGGCACATACACTGGTAAAGACTACGCTTTGCCTTTGTGTGTTATTTTATTAGCCAGGATCCTTGAGGAAAACAGATGCCACACATAGACTGGGTAATTTGATAACAGTTTAATAAAAAGACTTTTAAGGTAATTAATAAAAGTGTGGGAAGAATTTCTAATTAAGTATTCTGTTACGGACAACAGGGAAGAGCCATTACCATGCCTAGTTTGGAAGGGTTGGGGGGGGTGGTCACTGGAATCCAGAGAGGATAGCAAAAATGTAGGTAACATAACAAGAGCCATGACAGTCACCAGGCAAAATAAAGTCAACAATGATGACCCTTTAGGGAAGAATCCAGAAGAATAAATACTCTGACTTTAATTTTTCCCCACCTCCCAATATTGTCCCCATGGCTTCTGTTGGCCAAACCCAACCAGGGACAGAAAACCAATGAGGAAACATTGGACTTAAACTGTATTTTAGACCTAATAGATTGCTATGATTTCAAAGCCCCCTCCAAAACTCATGTTGAAATTTAATTGCCATTGTAACAGTATCGAGAGTAGGGGCCTTTAAGATGTGATTAGGCCATGAAAACTCCACCCACATGTGTGGGTTTAATGCCTTTAAAAAGAGGGCTTTTGAGAGTGAGTTCTTACTCCCTTGTTCGTCTGCTTTCCACCATGTGATGATGAAGCAATAAGGCCCTCACCAGATCTGAGCCCCTCAACCTTGAATTTCTCAGCCTCCAGAACTATAAGAAGTAAATATCTGTTTTTAAATAGATTACCCAGTATCAGATATTTTGTTATAGCAGCAGAAAACTGACTAAGACAGAAAATTGGTACAGACAATTTTATGTCAACAAAGTTAAGTTGTTATCATCTAAAAATACCCTGTTATAAGGTTTTTTATGTAAGGCTTGTGGTAACCACAAAGCAGTGTATTTTATGTAAGCCTTGAGGTAACCCAAAAGCAAAATCCTATAGTACATACCCAAAAGATAAAAAGTAATGAATCACAGCATACTACTAGAGAAAATTATTTAATTGTGAAGGAATACATCAAGATATGAAGAAAGAAATAAAGAATCTGCAAAACAACAAGAAAAAAATTGACAAGAGAGCGGCTGGCAATATGGCCAAATAGGAAGAGCTCCGGTCTGCAGCTCCCAGCAAGATCAACACAGTAGGCGGGTGATTTCTGCATTTCCAACAGAGGTACTAGGCTCATCTCATTGGGACTGGTTAGACAGTGGGTGCAGCCTACGTAGGGTGAGCAGAAGCAGGGTGGGGCATTGCCTCACCCAGGAAGCACAAGAGGTCGGGGAACTCTCTCCCCTAGCAAAGGGAAGCAACGAGGGACTGTGCCTTGGGGAACAGTGCATTCCTGCCTAGATACTACACTTTCCCATGGTCTTCAAACCCACAGACCAGGAGATTCCCTCAAGTCCCTACACCACCAGGGCCCTGGGTTTCAAGCACAAAACTGGGTGGCTCTTTGGGCAGACTCTGAGCTAGCTGCAAGAGTCTTTTTTTTTTTTTTTCGTACACCAGTGGCTCCTGGAATGCCAGCAGGACAGAACCGTTCACTCCCCTGGAAAGGGGGCTGAAGCCAGGGAGCCAAGTGGTCTAGCTCAGTGGATCCCACAGCCATGGAGCCCAGCAAGCTAAGATCCACTGGCTTGAAATTCTCGCTGCCAGCACAGCAGTCTGAAGTCAACCTGGGACACTCAAGCTTGGTGGGGGAAGGGGCATCCGCCATTACTGAGGCTTGAGTAGGCAGTTTTCCCATCACAGTGTAAACAAAGGCACCAGGAAGTTCAAACTGGACTAAGCCCACCACAGCTCAGCAAAGCCTCTCTAGATTCCTGCTCTCTCAGCAGGGCATCTCTGAAAGAAAGGCAGCAGCCCCAGTCAGGGACTTATAGATAAAACTATCTACAAGTTTATCAAAAAGTTTATTTAAAAGTTCCTGGCTGCTGGCTCTGAAGAGAGCAGCAGATCTCCCAGCATAGTGCTCAAGGTCTGCTAAGGGACAGACTGCCTCCTGAAGTAGGTCCCTGACCCTTGTACCTCCTGACTGGGAGACACTTCACAGCAGGGATCGACAGACACCTTACACAGGAGAGCTTGGGCTGGCATTTTGCAGGTGCCCCTCTGGGAAGAAGCTTCCAGAGGAAGGAACAGGCAGCAATCTTCACTGTTCTGCAGCCTCTGTGAGTGATAGTCAGGCAAACAGGGTCTGGTGTGGACCTCCAGCAAACTCCAGCAGACCTGCAGCAGAGGGGCCTGACTGTTAGAAGGAAAACTAACAAACAGAAAGGAATAGTGTCAACATCAACAAAAAGGACCTCCACACAGAAACCCCATCTGATGGTCATCAACATCAAAGATAGATAAATCCACGAAGGTGAGGAAAAACCAGTGCAAAAAGGCTGAAAATTCCTAAAACCAGAACAACTCTTCTCCTCCAAAGGATCACAACTCCTCACCAGTAAGGAAACAAAACTGGACGGAGAATGAGCTTGACAAATTCACAGAAGTAGGCTTCAGGGTGGGTAATAACAAATTCCTCCAAGCTAAAGGACCATGTTCTAACCCAATGCAAGAAAGCTAAGAACCTTGAAAAAAGGTTAGAGGAATTACTAACTAGAATAACCAGTTTAGAGAAGAACATAAATGACCCGATGGAGCTGAAAAACACAGGACAAGAACTTCGTGAAGCATATACAAGTATCAGTAGCCGAATGGATCAAGAGGAAGAAAGGATATCAGAGATTGAAAATCAACTTAATGAAATAAAGCATGAAGACAAGATTAGAGAAAACAGAATGAAAAGGAACAAATAAAGCCTCCAAGAAATACGGGACTATGTGAAAAAACCAAACCTACATTTGATTGGTGTACCCGAAAGTGACAGGGAGATTGGAACCAAGTTGGAAAACACTCTTCAGGATATTATCCAGGAGAACTTTCCCAACCTAGCAAGACAGACCAACACTGAAATTCAGGAAATATAGAACACACCACTAAGATACTCCTCGAGAAGAACAACCCCAAGATACATAATCGTCAGATCATCAAGGTTGAAACGAAGGAAAAAAATATTAAGGGCAGCCAGAGAGAAAGGTCGGGTTACCCACAAAGGGAAGCCCATCAGACTAACAGCAGATCTCTCTGCAGAAACCCTACAAGCCAGAAGAGACTGGGGGCCAATATTCAACATTCTTAAAGAAAAAAATTTTCAACCCAGAGTTTCATATCCAGTCAAATTAAGCTTCAAAAGTGAAGGAGAAATAAAATCCTTTACAGACAAGCAAATGCTGAGAGATTTTATCACCACCAGGCCTGCCTTACAAGAGCTCCTGAAGGAAGCACTAAATATGGAAAGGAAAAAGAAGTACCAGCCACTGCAAAAACATACCAAATTGTAAAGACCATCGACACTATGAAGAAACTGCATCAACTAACAGGCAAAATAACCAGCTAGCATCCTAATGACAGGATCAAATTCCCACATAACAATATTAACCTTAAATGTAAATGGGCTAAATGCTCCAATTAAAAGACACAGACTGGCAAATTGGATAAAGAGTCAAGACCCATTAGTGTGTTGTATTCAGGAGACCCATCTCACATGCAAAGACTCACATAGGCTCAAAATAAAGGGATGGAGGAATATTTACCAAGAAGATGGAAAGCAGAAAAAAGCAGGGGTTGCAATCCTAGTCTCTGATTAAACACACAATAAACCAACAAAGATAAAAAAAAAAAAAAGACAAAGAAGGACATTACATAATGGTAAAGGGATCAATGCAACAAGAAGAGCTAACTATCCTAAATATATATACACCCAATACAGGAGCACCCAGACTCATAAAGCAAGTTCTTAGAGACCTACAAAGAGACTTAGACTCCCACACAATAATAGTGGGAGACTTTAACAACCCACTGTCAATATTAGACAGATCAATGAGACAGAAAATTAACAAGGATAGTCAGGACTTGAACTCAGCTCTGGACCAAGCAGAACTAATAGACATCTACACAACTCTCCACCCCAAATCAACAGAATATACATTCTTCTCAGCACCACATCGCACTCATTCTAAAATTGACCACATAATTGGAAGTAAAACACTCCTTAGCAAATGCAAAAGAAGAGAAATCATATCAAACAGTCTCTTAGACCACAGTGCAATCAAATTAGAATCCAAGATTAAGAAACTCACTCAAAACCGCACAACTACATAAAAAATGAATAACCTGTTCCGGAATGATTACTGGGTAAATAACAAAATTAAGGCAGAAATAAATAAGTTCTTTGAAACCAATGAGAACAAATGGAGAATTGAAATATAAATAAGTTGATTTATTTCTTTAAATAAATAGTTATACGCACACGCACACACACACACACGCGCACGCACACACACACACTCTTTTCTTTTTTGAGACCAAGTCTCGCTCTGCATCAGGCTGGAGTACGGTGGCACAATCTCGGCTCACTGCATCCTCTGCCTCCCAGGTTCAAGCAATTCTCTTGCCTCAGCCCCCCAAGTAGCTGGAATTACAGGCACACACCACCACGCCCAGCTAATTTTTGTATTTTTAATATAGATGGGATTTCGCCATGTTGCCACATTGTTCTCAAACTCCTGACCTCAAGTGATCTGCTGGCCTTGGCCTCCCAAAAATGCTGTGATTACAGGTGTGAGCCACCGTGCTCAGCCAATAAATAGGTATGTTTTAGCAAGATGTAGATTGAGATTCCTATTGAGATGTAAAATTGCAGTATGACACAATACGTACCTCAGACGAAAGCTTTAGTTCTTTCTCCAGTGGGTCTTGAAGGTGGCAAGAAACATGTATTATGAAATAAATACTCCAGTTCAGTGTCTCTGATTATTCAGATGGAATGTAAATGTGTGGGAAATTGATGGGCTTGGGGAAAAGTGATTATAAGAAGTTAGGAGTATATATAAAGAAATGAAGAGCTGGCAGTAGGACGTAATAGGTTTTGTAACTTTCCTCACTTAGAAAGGGTGTAGGATTGGTTTTAGAGTTTCCAGCAGCCCCAGTTTTAAGGGATGTGTCAGAAGAACCAGCTTGCATCTTGTACTCCATGATTTACACTGGTTAGCAGTGCTAACCAGAAAGATCCAAGGACCAGAAAATTCAACTCAAGATCCTCCTGAAGATTATATACGTTCATCCTCGTATAGACCAATGCCTGATGTCAAAATGGCATTGGCTGGTATAGAAAATGCAGGGTTGAAATTCATAATGACTCTGAAAAAGGAGACCCTGTATGGACAAGTGAATGAAAATTTATAAGCTCTTTGAGTAGTATATTTAATTCATACACTTCCTCTGGAAATTGGTTTGAGGGTTTGAGGTCATGGATATTTAGATTTTAATTTGTAGGGCTTAAAAGTGAACCCCTCAAGCCAAAATAATTTCCATGTGATTCAGCCTAATGTAAACCCTGGTTCAGAAAGCAATACACTAAATATCAAAGAATTATAATATCTAGTGAATATGTATGAACAGAAACCAGGACAATATGAGTGAGAGTAAAGTGTTAAGATCAGGAGATGGCAGAATGTAAGTCCAGATATAAGAATTCATTGCCATTGGAGAATTTACCTAGGAATAGGAATATTTTTTAACTTTTACTTTGACGTAATTTCACACTTAACATGGGTTGGAAAATGGTACAGAGAATCTCCAGATTCCCAATATGTTAGAATGTTAATGTTTTTACCACATTGCTTTATCATTTACCCTCTCTCTTCCTCTCTATTCCTCCTTTCCTCCCTCTTTCTTTCCCTACACACACACATGCACATTAATTTTTCTTAACTGCCTGAGATTAAGTTGGAGACATAATACCATTTAACCCTAAATACTTCAGTGTATATTTCCTAAAATCAAAGTCATTCTCTTACACAATTATAGCACAATTAAAACAAAATGAGAATATTAACATTAATACAATGTTTTTAGTAAATCTATTCACCTTAACCAGAGTTAATCAGTTGTCCTAATAATCAATTGCTCCTTTACACTAAAAGAAAGTCATGGATGAAAAGTTGCATAAAGTTATCACATTCATTTAGCATACTTAACTGAAATTTAACATTCTGGCAAGGCTACCTAGAGCCAGTGCTAATATTTGCTTGGGATGGCTCCGTGAAGGTTGATAGCCTACTGTAACCCAGGTAGAGATACCCGAACTGTCTTGACATAGTACAAAAAAGTAAGTTTAAGGGATTAGCATTGAATTACAGTGCAAGACGTGAAAACCCATCAACTGACTGTACATCCATGTATACAAGGAGCAACGAAAGGCACTCTATTAAGTAATGTGCTAGTGATGGAAACACTAGTATCTTTGAGAGGCTTAGCAGTGGCTGCTGTCTGTAGATTGGGGTCAATGCTCTATTCTTCCATGGAACTGGGCTGTATAATATCAATGTGGATGTTGAGATTCTGGAATGCCAGAGGCCACATGGCAACACTGAGCCCTTAACCATAATTAATATGATGTGCAGCAAGGCTGGAATGGAAATCACAATGTCTTACTGCCCAGGAATCTATGACAACTGAAAACAGGCCATGGTGTTCTCAGGGGTAAGATAGATGGGTAGTCAACTTGCTATTCTTCAATTTTATTATGATTAAAAACTAGCTCTTGGTTATCAGAAGGTTGATATCAGATGCCACATGCAAAATTGCTCTTCTTCGTGCAGTTTCTAGATCTGAGTCAGTCCACAGACCCAAAATCCATTGATTCAAGTTGATGTTGGTTCACTTCAAGTATAAACAGTGAGTATTCCTTTGATGTTTCCCCCAGTGAGGGCTTCAGCCATTTTCCAAGTCAACTGTATGCTTTGTATGCTGTGAAAAAGGGAAGAATATTCAGACTTCTCTAGAAATATATATATACATTTTTTTTTTTGAGACAAGGTCTAGCTCCATCACCCAGTCTGGAATGCAGTGGCGCTATCTCAGCTCACTGCAACCTCTGCCTCCCAGGATCAAATGGTCCTCCCACCTCAGCCTCAAGTATCTGGGACTCGAGTTGCACACCTCGAGTCTGGGACATAGTGCACACCTCGAGTCTGGGACATAGTGGTGCACACCACTATGCCCAGCTAATGTTTGTATTTTTTGTAGAGACAAGGTTTCACCATGATGCCCAGGCTGGTCTCAAACCCCCGAGCTCAAGCAATCTACCCATCTTAGCCTCCCAAAGTGGTGGGATTACAGGAGTGAGCCACCGCACCCAGCCTAGAAATATTATATATGAGATCTGAACCGACACTATCACAGAGAATCTGAAAAGCATTTTCCTTTGATTAGTGTGGAGGATCATGGAATCCAGGTAAGAAATGGAGTTTTGGCTCAAGCCCATCTCATAAGGGGTCAAATGGATCCCCACATCTGCACTGTGGCTCTTTCTCTGGTCTTTGAGTGTATAATTGAAATGCACATTCTCAAATGCTGGAAATCTTCTCTCATTATTTTCCTGACCTGTGAATTAAGGACTATTATAATAGGAACAACCACGTGAAAGCTCCCCAAACCTCCAGAAATCTAAATCAGGAAAAATATCACATTGCTAGAGGCACTGCAAAACTTAGTCTCACCATCAAAAATTTAAAAGATGTAAGGCTAGCGGACCCGATCACATCTTTCTGAGTGCCCTCTACAAAATCAGGTAGTTCATGCCTCATGAGAGTGGACTACTATAAACTTAACAAATTGAAGTCCTGATTGAAGTTGCTATTCTGGTTGTAGTATTTTTATGAAAGATGAAAGCAGTTCAACAAAATTGTGGGCACTTAATATAATGCTATTGATTTGGCAGAATACTTTTTTCTTGATGCACATCAGCAGGAAACATTGAAAGCCATTCACTTTTGCATGTCAGAGATAGCAGAGTATATACCTTCTCTTGCCTGAATGCTATGTTAACTCTTTATTTGACATAATATCATCCATTAGGACATTGAATATTTTGAAATTCCTCAGAATATCATTCTGATCTGCTTCATGTTAATTGAACCTGTTGAACTAGAAGTGACAAATATCCTAGATGCCTGAGTAAGATACATGTGTACCAAAAGATGGGAGATAAATTCTATATTTGTCGATCTGCTATATTGTTGAAATTTTTAGGGATTTGCTTGTATGCCAAAAAGGAGGTAAATAAACTTCATAAAGATCCATGGGTCTGACATATTGGTGAAGTTTTGGCAGGATGGTCTTGGATGATACTGTGACATTTTTCTAAAGTAAGGAACAAGTTGTTGCTCCTTATCACTCTCACGACCAACAGAGAGGAACATTTATTTGGCCTCAAAAGGAAAGTCACAAGACAGACCTCCAGGACTGGAGAAAGAACATGCCCTCCTTGGTAGGGAATTACTCTGTTTGCAGACATTTTCTGCTTTGTTAATATATCCTAGTCCCAGCTACACGGGAGGCTGAGGTAGGAGAATCACTTGAACCCGGGAGGTGGAGGTTGCAGTGAGCCAAGATCGCACCACTTGCCGAGATCCCACCACTTCCCAAGATCGCACCTGTTGCCGAGATCGCACCTGTTGCCAGGCACTCCAGCCTGGGCAACAGAGCAAGACTCTGTCTCAAAATATATATATAATATAATATAACAAAATATATGTTATATATGTTATAAATTTAAGAGTCTGTCTGACCATAACAACATGGATTCTTTTTCAACAAGGTTAATCCTTCTGCAATTGCTGAATGTCCCAATCCTCCAGTAGTGGAGACAGACAATCAATCTCCAACATGGAACCTTACTTGCCAGACACCTGGTAGAATTTCAATTACATCAGACTCCTTTCAATTTTGGAAGAGCAGCAACTCATCTTTATCTGAATTGATACATACTGAGATATGTGTTTGCCTTCTTTGTCTGCAAAACCCACATCATCCCCACAATACAAGGGCTTAGAAAATGCCTAATCTTATTGACATTAAATTGTACACAATGATTTACTGTACCAAAAGGCCCATTATATTGCAAAGGAGGTGCAACAATGGGCTCATGAACAAGAGAATTCCTGGACTTACCATATCACTCAGAATCAGCAAGCTGAAAAGAATGGTGGACTGGGAGGAGGAGCCAAGATGGCTGAATAGGAACAGCTCCGGTCTACAGCTCCCAGCGTGAGCGACGCAGAAGACGGGTGATTTCTGCATTTCCATCTGAGGTACCGGGTGCATCTCACTAGGGAGTGCCAGACAGTGGGCGCAGGTCAGTGGGTGCACACACCGTGTGTGAGCCGAAGCCGGGCAAGGCATTGCCTCACTTGGGAAGCGCAAGGGGTCAGGGAGTTCCCTTTCCGAGTCAAAGAAAGGGGTGACGGACGCACCTGGAAAATCAGGTCACTCCCACCCGAATACTGCGCTTTTCCGACCGGCTTAAAAAACAGCGCACCACAAGATTATATCCCGCACCTGGCTCGGAGGGTCCTACGCCCACGGAGTCTCGCTGATTGCTAGCACAGCAGTCTGAGATCAAACTGCAAGGCGGCAGCGAGGCTGGGGGAGGGACGCCCACCATTGCCCAGGCTTGCTTAGGTAAACAAAGCAGCTGGGAAGCTCGAACTGGGTGGAGCCCACCACAGCTCAAGGAGGCCTGCCTGCCTCTGTAGGCTCTACCTCTGGGGGCAGGGCACAGACAAACAAAAAGACAGCAGTAACCTCTGCAGACTGAAAAGTCCCTGTCTGACAGCTTTGAAGAGAGCAGAGGTTCTCCCAGCACGCAGCTGGAGATCTGAGAACGGGCAGACTGCCTCCTCAAGTGGGTCCCTGACCCCTGACCCCCGAGCAGCCTAACTGGGAGGCACCCCCCAGCAGGGGCACACTGACACCTCACACGGCAGGGTATTCCAACAGACCTGCAGCTGAGGGTCCTGTCTGTTAGAAGGAAAACTAACAAACAGAAAGGACATCCACACCGAAAACCCATCTGTACATCACCATCATCAAAGACCAAAAGTAGATAAAACCACAAAGATGGGGAAAAAACAGAACAGAAAAACTGGAAACTCTAAAAAGTAGAGCGCCTCTCCTCCTCCAAAGGAACGCAGTTCCTCACCAGCAACGGAACAAAGCTGGATGGAGAATGACTTTGACGAGCTGAGAGAAGAAGGCTTCAGACGATCAAATTACTCTGAGCTACAGGAGGACATTCAAACCAAAGGCAAAGAAGTTGAAAACTTTGAAAAGAATTTAGAAGAATGTATAACTAGAATAACCAATACAGAGAAGTGCTTAAAGGAGCTGATGGAGCTGAAAACCAAGGCTCGAGAACTACGTGAAGAATGCAGAAGCCTCAGGAGCTGATGCGATCAACTGGAAGAAAGGGTATCAGCGATGGAAGATGAAATGAATGAAATGAAGTGAGAAGGGAAGTTTAGAGAAAAAAGAATAAAAAGAAATGAGCAAAGCCTCCAAGAAATATGGGGCTATGTGAAAAGACCAAATCTACGTCTGATTGGTGTACCTGAAAGTGATGGGGAGAATGGAACCAAGTTGGAAAACACTCTGCAGGATATTATCCAGGAGAACTTCCCCAATCTAGCAAGGCAGGCCAACATTCAGATTCAGGAAATACAGAGAATGCCACAAAGATACTCCTCGAGAAGAGCAACTCCAAGACACATAATTGTCAGATTCACCAAAGTTGAAATGAAGGAAAAAATGTTAAGGGCAGCCAGAGAGAAAGGTCGGGTTACCCTCAAAGGGAAGCCCATCAGACTAACAGCGGATCTCTTGGCAGAAACCCTACAAGCCAGAAGAGAGTGGGGGCCAATATTCAACATTCTTAAAGAAAAGAATTTTCAACCCAGAATTTCATATCCAGCCAAACTAAGCTACATAAGTGAAGGAGAAATAAAATCCTTTACAGACAAGCAAATGCTGAGAGATTTTGTCACCACCAGGCCTGCCCTAAAAGAGCTCCTGAAGGAAGCACTAAATATGGAAAGGAACAGCCGGTACCAGCCGCCGCAAAATCATGCCAAAATGTAAAGACCATCGAGACTAGGAAGAAACTGCATCAACTAATGAGCAAAATAACCAGCTAATATCATCATGACAGGATCAAATTCACACATAACAATATTAACTTTAAATGTAAATGGACTAAATGCTCCAATTAAAAGACACAGACTGGCAAATTGGATAAAGAGTCAAGACCCATCAGTGTGCTGTATTCAGGAAACCCATCTCACGTGCAGAGACACACATAGGCTCAAAATAAAAGGATGGAGGAAGATCTACCAAGCAAATGGAAAACAAAAAAAGGCAGGGGTTGCAATCCTAGTCTCTGATAAAACAGACTTTAAACCAACAAAGATCAAAAGAGACAAAGAAGGCCATTACATAATGGTAAAGGGATCAATTCAACAAGAAGAGCTAACTATCCTAAATATATATGCACCCAATACAGGAACACCCAGATTCATAAAACAAGTCCTGAGTGACCTACAAAGAGACTTAGACTCCCACACATTAATAATGGGAGACTTTAACACCCCACTGTCAACATTAGACAGATCCACGAGACAGAAAGTCAACAAGGATACCCAGGAATTGAACTCAGCTCTGCACCAAGCGGACCTAATAGACATCTAGAGAACTCTCCACCTCAAATCAACAGAATATACATTTTTTTCAGCACCACACCACACCTATTCCAAAATTGACCACATACTTGGAAGTAAAGCTCTCCTCAGCAAATGTAAAAGAACAGAGATTATAACAAACTATCTCTCAGACCACAGTGCAATCAAACTAGAACTCAGGATTAAGAATCTCACTCAAAACCGCTCAACTACATGGAAACTGAACAACCTGCTTCTCAGTGACTACTGGGTACATAACGAAATGAAGGCAGAAATAAAGATGTTCTTTGAAACCAATGAGAACAAAGACACAACATACCAGAATCTCTGGGACACATTCAAAGCAGTGTGTAGAGGGAAATTTATAGCACTAAATGCCCACAAGAGAAAGCAGGAAAGATCCAAAATTGACACCCTAACATTACAATTAAAAGAACTAGAGAAGCAAGAGAAAACACATTCAAAAGCTAGCAGAAAGCAAGAAATAACTAAAATCGGAGCAGAACTGAAGGAAATAGAGACACAAAAAAACCCTTCAAAAAATTAATGAATCCAGGAGCTGGTTTTTTGAAAGGATCAACAAAATTGATAGACCGCTAGCAAGACTAATAAAGAAAAAAAGAGAGAAGAATCAAATAGACACAATAAAAAATGATAAAGGGGATATCACCACCGATCCCACAGAAATACAAACTACCATCAGAGAATACTACAAACACCTCTACGCAAATAAACTAGAAAATCTAGAAGAAATGGATAAATTCCTCAACACATACACTCTCCCAAGACTAAACCAGGAAGAAGTTGAATCTCTGAATAGACCAATAACAGGATCTGAAATTGTGGCAATAATCAATAGCTTACCAACCAAAAAGAGTCCAGGACCAGATGGATTCACAGCCGAATTCTATCAGAGGTGCAAGGAGGAACTAGTACCATTCCTTCTGAAACTATTCCAATCAATAGAAAAAGAGGGAATCCTCCCTAACTCATTTTATGAGGCCAGCATCATTCTGATACCAAAGCTGGGCAGAGACACAACCAAAAAAGAGAATTTTAGACCAATATCCTTGATGAACATTGATGCAAAAATCCTCAATAAAATACTGGCAAAACGAATCCAGCAGCACATCCAAAAGCTTATCCACCATGATCAAGTGGGCTTCATACCTGGGATGCAAGGCTGGTTCAATATACGCAAATCAATAAATGTAATCCAGCATATAAACAGAGCCAAAGACAAAAACCACATGATTATCTCAATAGATGCAGAAAAAGCCTTTGACAAAATTCAACAACCCTTCATGCTAAAAACTCTCAATAAATTAGGTATTGATGGGACATATTTCAAAATAATAAGAGCTATCTATGACAAACCCACAGCCAATATCATAATGAATGGGCAAAAACTGGAGAAGCATTCCCTTTGAAAACGGGCACAAGACAGGGATGCCCTCTCTCACCACTCCTATTCAACATAGTGTTGGAAGTGCTGGCCAGGGCAATTAGGCAGGAGAAGGAAATAAAGGGTATTCAATTAGGAAAAGAGGAAGTCAAATTGTCCCTGTTTGCAGATGACATGATTGTATATCTAGAAAACCCCATTGTCTCAGCCCAAAATCTCCTTAAGCTGATGAGCAACTTCAGCAAAGTCTCAGGATACAAAATCAATGTACAAAAATCACAAGCATTCTTGTACACCAACAACAGACAAACAGAGAGCCAAATCATGAGTGAACTCCCATTCACAATTGCTTCAAAGAGAATAAAATACCTAGGAATCCAACTTACAAGGGACATGAAGGACCTCTTCAAGGAGAACTACAAACCACTGCTCAAGGAAATAAAAGAGGATACAAACAAATGGAAGAACATTCCATGCTCATGGGTAGGAAGAATCAATATCGTGAAAATGGCCATACTGCCCATGGTAATTTACAGATTCAATGCCATCCCCATCAAGCTACCAATGACTTTCTTCACAGAATTGGAAAAAACTACTTTAAAGTTCATATGGAACCAAAAAAGAGCCCGCATCGCCAAGGCAATCCTAAGCCAAAAGAACAAAGCTGGAGGCATCACACTACCTGACTTCAAACTATACTACAAGGCTACAGTAACCAAAACAGCATGGTACCAGTACCAAAACAGAGATATAGATCAATGGAACAGAACAGAGCCCTCAGAAATAATGCCGCATATCTACAACTATCTGATCTTTGACAAACCTGAGAAAAACAATCAATGGGGAAAGGATTCCCTATTTAATAAATGGTGCTGGGAAAACTGGCTAGCCATATGTAGAAAGCTGAAACTGGATCCCTTCCTTACACCTTATACAAAAATCAATTCAAGATGGATTAAAGACTTAAACGTTAGACCTGAAACCATAAAAACCCTAGAAGAAAACCTAGGCATTACCATTCAGGACATAGGCATGGGCAAGGACTTCATGTCTAAAACACCAAAAGCAATGGCAACAAAAGCCAAAATTGACAAATGGGATCTAATTAAACTAAAGAGCTTCTGCACAGCAAAAGAAACTACCATCAGAGTGAACCGGCAACCTACAAAATGGGAGAAAATTTTTTCAACCTACTCATCTGACAAAGGGCTAATATCCAGAATCTACAATGAACTCAAACAAATTTACAAGAAAAAAACAAACAACCCCATGAAAAAGTGGGCAAAGGACATGAACAGACACTTCTCAAAAGAAGACATTTATGCAGCCAAAAAACACATGAAAAAATGCTCATCATCACTGGCCATCACAGAAATGCAAATCAAAACCACAATGAGATACCATCTCACACCAGTTAGAATGGCAATCATTAAAAAGTCAGGAAACAACAGGTGCTGGAGAGGTTGTGGAGAAATAGGAACAATTTTACACTGTTGGTGGGACTGTAAACTAGTTCAACCATTGTGGAAGTCAGTGTGGCGATTCCTCAGGGATCTAGAACTAGAAATACCATTTGACCCAGCCATCCCATTACTGGGTATATACCCAAAGGACTCTAAATCATGCTGCTATAAAGACACATGCACACGTATGTTTATTGCGGCATTATTCACAATAGCAAAGACTTGGAACCAACCCAAATGTCCAACAATGATAGACTGGATTAAGAAAATGTGGCACATATATACCATGGAATACTATGCAGCCATAAAAAATGATGAGTTCATGTCCTTTGTAGGGACATGGATGAAATTGGAAATCATCATTCTCAGTAAACTATCGCAAGAACAAAAAACCAAACACCGCATATTCTCACTCATAGCTGGGAATTGAACAATGAGATCACATGGACACAGGAAGGGGAATATCACACTCTGGGGACTGTTGTGGGGTGGGGGGAGGGGGGAGGGATAGCATTGGGAGATATACCTAATGCTAGATGACGAGTTAGTGGGTGCAGCACACCAGCATGGCACATGTATACATATGTAACTAACCTGCACAATGTGCACATGTACCCTAAAACTTAAAGTATAATTTAAAAAAAATTTTAAGGAACAATACCTATTCTAGGCTCCCTAGAAATGGAAAAAAAAAATTTCAGAGAATAGAAAAGCTTTATAGCTTTCTCTTGGCACAGATTAAATACATTAAAATAAACAAATAAAAAAAGGCCATTAGGGGAAGGGTACATTTAAAAAAAAAAAAAAAGAATGGTGGACTGATGTGTTGAAGTCTTAGTTAAGGTACCAGCTCAGTCATAATATCTTGTGATGTAGTATAATTACCAAAACTGTAGCATATATATGGTGTTTTCCCGCATAGCTAAAAAATTGAGGTCCGTATAACCCCAATGATTGTCACTGCAGTGACCCACTTGTGGAATTTGGGCTTCCTCATTCCTGCAAACATAGGCTATGGTGGATTTGAGATACTGGTTTTAAGAGTGAGAGGTCCAGGACGGGCGCAGTGGCTCATGCCTGTAATCCCAGCACTTTGGGAGGCTGAGGCGGGCAGATCACCTGAGATCAGGAGTTCAAGACAAGCCTGGCCAACATGGCGAAACCCTGTCTCTACTAAAAATACAAAAATTAGCCGGGTGTGGTGGTGTCCACCTGTAATCCCAGCTACTCGGGCGGCTGAAGCAGAAGAATCGCTTGAACTCAGGAGGTGGAGATTGCAATGAGCCGAGATCGTACCACTGCACTCCAGCCTGGGCAAAAGAACAAGACTCCGTCTCAAACAAACAAACAAAGGAAGAGTGGGAGGTGCACTTCCACCTGATGACACAGTAAATGCTTCAATGAACCAGAAGCCTCTATCACTATCTTGCAACTTTGAGCTCCTGATGCCTGTGGAATAACAAGCAAAGAAAAATTCCTATATTTACAGAGGTACTCACCCTCATTTCTGTCAGCAGTTAAAGTTGCTGCTACATACAGAGATAGGGAGGATTATGTTTGAAACTCAGGGGATTCACTGAAGCATTTCTTAGTGCGTCTATTTTCGGTGATAACTGTGAACATCCAATTTCACCAACCATGGCCCAAAAAGAGATAGGCAACTGAATGTTTAAACCCTTCTGGGATGATCCCACTAGACAAGTAACCTAAATTAGCCAAGGTGTTAGCTAATTGTGAGGAAAGCATAAAAATGGTAGTTGTAGCCGGGCGTGGTGGCTCATGCCTGTAATCCCAGCACTTTGGGAGGCTGAGGCGGGCGGATCACCTGAGGTCAAGAGTTCAAGACCAGCCTGGCCAACATGGAGAAACCCTGTCTCTACTGAAAATACAAAAATTAGCCAGGCATGGTGGCACATGACCGAGACTGAGGCAGGAGAATTGCTTGAACCTGGGAGGCGGAGGTTGCGGTGAGCCGAGATCGTGCCATTGCATTCCAGCCTGGGCAACAAAAGCAAAACTCCGTCAAAAAAAAAAAAAATGGTGGTTGTAGAGGGAGATGAGTAATATAAACTATGGTGCTGCAATGAGAACACATGGACACAGGAAGGGGAACATCACACACCGGGGCCTGTAGCGGGGTGGGGGGCAAGAGGAGGGAGAGCATTAGGACAAATACCTAATGCATGTGGGGCTTAAAACCTAGATGACAGGTTGATGGGTGCAGCAAACCACCATGGCACATGTATACCTATGTAACAAACCTGCACATTCTGCACATGTATCCCAGAACTTAAAGTAAATTTTAAAAAATAAAAATAAAAAATAAATATAAATATGTAAACAATATGGTTCTGGGACACAGTATAGTAACAGGAACTTTATGTTGGCATAATAATCCTCATTCAATAAGCCTTTTTAGGAGAGTGTAACTGGCCACCAATTTGAAGGATTGCTTCTTCATCCAAGAAAAGAAATGAGGACATGTTGTTCTCATAAAATGATGGCTCCAAATTATTGTATCAAGGGGTAGACTGCGTCAGCCTGAATTTATACCCCTATTCTGTTTACACAAGAGGAGTCCTTGGCCTGCCAGACCCTTGGCTGCTTGCTCAAAAGAGATGTCTGGCTGTCACCACTATCACTTTGTCTCCAAATATCAACAACGCTCATGGCCTCTCCTGGGCTGAGATCCAAACTCCCTCCAGCAGATCCTTCTTTATGCAGCTTCAGCACAAGGTCTGGCTTTTCCACTTCTTCCAGCCTCAAATGAAGTGCCATTCCATACACTGCAGGATGTGACTTTCCGTGGATTACTGGAAATGGTGAGGTGAAACAATCTGGAAGTTCAAGAGAGTTAATCAGCTGAACCAAGGTATGGTGGTTTCACAGTGCTTATCTAGACATATCCAAGGCGACGGAGCAGCCAACTATGTTTTCTCATGAAGCTGTAGAAATCTCTGTAATGTGCTACTTTATATTTTCTATCTCATCCCTTGCCACATTGCCATTTTCTGTCCAAACTGCTCTGTAATTGCAGCCCTCAATAAACCCTTAGCACAAAGCTTTGCTTCAATCTCTGTTTTCTCAAAAAGTCAGGCAAAGTCACACTATGTCTCTTGATCATCAACACCATATTACATTTCCATAGGTCACAAGCCTGAAGATTGTTCCTAGATGCATCCCTCTCCTTTCTACTTTTATATCTACCTCCATCACCTACCCAGCAAAGTTTAAGCACTGAAATATGATGCACAATGGCCTCTGCGATGCAGCTTCTATATCTCTTCAACCATTCCTCTTGGGGTTTTCCTCCTTATGTGGTTATCTCCAGCTACAGTGATCTACTTGCAGGATGTTATATGCCTCCGTCTATACCTTTTCCTCATGATACCAAATTCACCCATCTCTGCTCACAGCATCCTCGGTGTTCCCTATGTTCATTTGGTTAAAAAAAAATGTAGCTGGGTGGGGTAGCTCACACCTGTAACCCCAGCACTTTGGGAGGCCAAGGCGGACAGATCACCTGAGGTCAGGAGTTCGAGACCAGCCTGACCAACATGGTGAAACCCAGTCTCTACTAAAAATACAAAATTAGCCGGGCATGGTGGCACATGCCTGTAATCCCAGCTAGTGGGGGGGGGGGGGCGCTGAGGCAGGAGAATTGCTTGAACCCAGGAGGCGGAGGTTGCAGTGAGCTGAGATCGCAACATTGCACTCCAGCCTTGGCAACAAGAGCGGGAGTCCATCTCAAAAAAATTAAAAAATGCTACACATCACTCAAAATGGAGCTCATGGGTCATATCCTCTATGAAGCTGTACCTAACACTCCTGCTAAATATATAAAATAAAAAAATACAGCTAACACTTATACAGTAGTCCTTACTCTGTGCCATGTACTGTCCTGAGGGCTTTGCATGGAATGTGCTTACTTAGTTGTTACCACAACCCCATAAATTTGGTACCATTACTATCTGCATTTCACAGATAAGGAAGCTGAGGTGCAGAGGATTTAGAACACATAGGTATTCTGGTGCAGATGCTCCTGGACTTTCTTACCATTGTAAGTTGAAAATATCAGAAATCAAAATGCATTGAATACATCTAACCTACCGAACTCCATAGCATGCCCAGAACATTGACATTAATGTAACATTGGGAAAAATCATCTAACATGAAGCCTGTTTTATAATAAAATGTTAAATATCTCATATAGGGGTATGAGTTGTGTACCCTCATGATCACATTGCTGCCTGAGAGCCGCAGCTTGCTGCTCTGCGCAGCAGGGCAAGAATCTGGTACCGCATATCACTAGCCTGGGCAAAGGTCAAAATTCAAAATACGGTTTCCGCTAAATCCACTAAGTACGTATCACTTTTGCATCACCATAAAGTCAAAAAATCTTAAGTGAAATCATCGTAAATAGAGGACTATCTCTATTTAAATGAACATCTATGCTCTTCTTAATCACCCTCTCTTGCCTCTCCATTACACTAGTCAGCCTGGCCGCTCATGCTGCCGTCTCTATGGTCTTCCATCAGAGCACTAACCATGTTTGCATCTCTTCTTTGTTCATATGTATGCCTCTTCAGTAGACTGAGTTGCTAGAGTTGAATATGTTGATATCATTACTGTGTGCCTAGCACAGAGCACAGGATCTAGTGCAGAGAAGGTATCTGATAAATGTTGGATAAATAAATGTTAATTAATCTGGTACAATCTTGAGAATGACAGAACTTAGACCTAAGTTTGTCATTTTACAAAACACTCTCCCAAGAGTTATCTTCTTTTGTCCTTTCTATATTTTGGTAAGACATTTATTCTTAGCAAGGATTGAATAAAAATATTTGTACACAAATCCCTATGCTTTACCTAAGTGTATGTATTGGCTCCTCTGGTGGTCTCTCTGTGACATTAAGAGACACATTGGAAACAATTACAAATTTTCTCAATCTTCTGTCCCACAAGCTAGGTAAAACACCTATATCTGTGGAATTCTTTAGACAGATAATCAGGCTTAGGCAGAATTTTATAGGCCCAAAATTATGTTTTATCAGAGTAGATACATTGCAACAGAAAATAAGATTAAACACGCCATCTAATGTAAAGAAAAATTATGAGTTGTACTGGCTAATATATACAAATGTACTGGGTCTCCAATAGTTAAAGAGAATAGTACTAAGCATTGCAAAAGTCCTTACTTTTAACGTTAAAGATCCTTCACCTCCCTCGGTAACCCTAGAGCAGAAGCTTTTGAAATTACCCTTTGTAATCCTCTTAGCAGGATTTACTAACATTTAAATCTATTACCTATATCCTTTAGTTGAACTGTTTAAGCTCACTGAAAGTGTTATTATTTTTCACTCAGGCAACTTAATGGAATGGGCCAGAATTAAAATCATCGTCACAACTTGAAAATGTGAATGTCACATCCTGAAAATTACCATCTTTCATATAAACGAACAGTCGTGCAAACGTTGACTAAACTTCTAATATGTACTAGGCACTGTGCCTATCCAGATGGAAACAAAATAAACTCCATGTGCATGAGGATGCTCTTTAACTCACCATTGTTTACACATAAATTAGCACTATGCTTGGCAAGTTGGAGACACTCAAAAATACTGACAGAATATATAAGTAAAATATGACAAATGCATTGTCCCTGCCCTTGAAAATATTGCAGTATACAATATTTGAGACACACGAGAACCTATCTTGAGCCCATGGGCAAGCTCATGCTCCACAGTTGTGCATGAGCATGTGTGGAGCTGCAAGTCCACCTCAGGAAAGCTAATTAGTATAATGGGATGTGGAGAGCATGCGGTCATGATGGAACATGTTAAGGGACACGTTCTTTTTAAGGGTTTTTTTTGTTTTGTTTTGTTTTGTTTTTGACGGAGTCTCACTCATTCGCCCAGGCTGGAGTGCAATGGTGCGATCTCGGCTCACTGCAACCTCTGCCTCCAGGGTTCAAGTGATTCTCCTGCCTCAGCCTCCCAGTAGCTGGGATTACAGGCACCCTCCACCACACCCAGCTAATTTTTTTGAATTTGTAGTAGAGACTGGGTTTCACCATGTTGGCCAGGTGGGCCTTGAACCCCTGACCTCAAAAGATTCACCCGCCTCGGCCTCACAAAGTGCAGGGATTACAGGCATGAGCCACCGTGCCCAGCCCGGGATTTCATTTCTTTAGTTTGTCCCTTTTGAGAAAAAAAATCAGGTTGTGGGATGTGGAAGCTGCTCATTTGTGAAGAGTTCAGATCTTGCATCTTGTAGTTTGAGTCATTCTGTGAACTCTGTCACTCAGAGGGAGATCCTAGCACAGGGCCATGACATAGTAGGTGCTTTGTATGTATAGTGGAGTGAGGAAAATTGAGTTAAATGAAATAGCTGCCCTCAAACTCAGGAGTCAAAGAGGAAACGTCCAGGCAAGCTCTCTATCACCATCTTGTGGTCTCTACCAGCATCTTATGCTTGTACAGTACACCCAACCCCACATTACAGAGGGGAAAAGAGGTTTGGTAATAGTGTGGGGGCAGAAAAGGTCAGAAATGTTCTCTAAGGGCAGGACTGGCTCCCACTTTGGTGAATCTACCCAAGATTTGGTGGGTACACTGACCCACAAGCAAGGGCCTTAGGAGTCCATTCTCTGTTTACAAAGGCACATCTCTGGGATGGAGGTAGGCTGAAAAAGTGACTTATTCTGAGATATCTAGGTCATCCCAGGACTAGAAGAACACAGTCCAGGAAAGTTCCTGGCATGTCTTCCCAATGGCAAAGCTAAGCAACTGGGGTGAAGGTGAGAAATTGAGTGCCACATCACAACTGTGTGAAAACAAAAGGAGGCTCCTGATCTGAAAACGGCAAGATTAGGAGAACATGTGGTCCTGGTCCTGAAACAAAAGGGACATATTGTATAAAGACTTGTTATCTCAATCCTGGAATGTTACATTTGCCCCACCTATTCATACACCTCAAAAAGACAGGGATGATATATTACATTTTGTTTATCCATTTATCAGCCATAAAAAGGAAGGAAGAAAAAATATTGATACATGCGATTACATAAGTGGACCTTGAAAACATCATGCTAAGTGGAAGAACTTAGAAACAAACTGCTACGTACTGTATGATTCCATTTAAGTGAAATACACAGAATAGGTAAATTCATAAACACAGAAAATAGTGGTTGTCAGGGGCTGGGAGTAGGAGTCGGGAATGAGCAATAACTGTTTGATGGGTATGAAGTTTTCTTTTGAGGTGATGAAAATGTTCTGGAATGAGATAATGGTGATTGTTGCAAAGCTTTGTGAATATACTAAAAAAAACACTAAATTGTGCAGTCTAAAAGGGTGAACATTATCATATGTGATTTAGATGTCAATTTTTGGAAAAGATAAAAAAGAAAATGTAAGACAGATACAGGAAGGAAATTCCGGAGCAACATGAATATTGTGCACAATTCTCTGTGGCAGGTGAGCCATTGGGAAACCATGGAGCCTGTCACTAGTCATTATCAAGTAGTATCATATACTTGAGTGGGCACAAGATTTCCTAGGGAAAGCTTAGCTAGTGTCACCTGGGCAGCATTTTCTGCGTGGTATCTGATTCTGTGCTCCCAGGATCAAAGATTTATGCCAGAGGGGAAAGTTTTTGACCATGAATTGAGGGATTAGCTTCTACTGTCCCAGTTCCAGGAGAACACTACAACTCCAGAAATATACTGTTAAGGCCTATCTCAACCAGTGCATAGTAATAAAATCAACACTAAGACTTTGTAGAAAACTCAGACCAAAAAGCAGTTACCAACTGCCAGACATAGTTGATGACACCAGAGATACAGTCCATAGTCAAAACCTAGGAGCTCAAGATGGGAAATGCCAAGAAAAACAGATAATGATTGAGGCCTTACTCTGCAGGCCAAGATGACAAATTAGAATAGCTAACATACATTGGGTGCTTGGTTATGTGCCAGGCATTGTCATAAGTGTTTTAGAGATATTCATTTATTTCAGCCTCACAATAACCTCATGACATAGGTACGCTATGACAATCCTCATTGAGTACGTAAGGAAACCTGAGCAGAGAGAGGTTAACTAACTAGCTCAAAGTCAAACCGCTACTAAGATGTGACACCAGTCCTCAGCTAAGCCTACAGTACTGTTAGTTGTTGGCATCAATTATGCTGAGGTCAAAAGAGCAGCTGAACCCCCAGTCCCCTACCACGTGGGGAGGGAGGCAGTAGGTACAAGAAACACGGGGACAGCCAAAGACAGCGACATCCCCAGCGCCTATGCTATCCATGTTATTAGTGGAAATGCTCAGTCACACTGTGCGATCTGGAAAGGGAGAGGACTGTAAAGGGAGGAGTATCCCAGGTGGCAGCAGAAAGTAGTTTCCAGCCTTCATTCCTTCTCACATTCCTGTGAGAGATATGGGGGCGCTGGTTGGTCCTGGGCCCTAATTTCACCCATTGAACAGGAAAAACAGCCCTGAAGAGGTGACGGGTGCTGCCAAGACCTCTTTCGCCATCTCGTGGCCACTGGGACGTATGACACCCGACGCAGAACCTGCCAGGGGGGAAACTCCCAGGTGGGAGGCTGAGAGATGTGGGGAGCAGGGGCTCCTAACCCGGGGCTTGGTAGGGGAGGGGAGGGGAGGGGAGGTTCTGAGAAAGCAAAACTCCTAGAATCCTCTGTATCAGCAATTCTAGTGCATTTTCCCGCAGCTGCCATAAGATCCGCAGTGGGTTTTGGAACACACACAATGTAAGGGCCACAGCTGGAGGGTTGGGAAGTGGTGGCAAGAGAAGCCTGCTCCTGTTGCGGGTGGCTCTGGCTGAGGGAACTCCACCCACGAGAACTTCTTGGTGGAGTTTAGGCCGTCTTGGCATGGAGAGGACAGGGGCGGCCCCTTCCCTGAGAGAATCCTGTTGAGCCCCTTACCTTTTGTTGGCCATCAGGGCCTGGCCTGGGGCCCCCGGAGTCCTCCTTCTGCCCAGTAGCCTGGGTTCCCTCTGAGACCAGGCCCAGCCCATCATGCTCTCCTTTCTGCCCTCTGGAGTAAGGCCCCGGTAGCCTGCCTGCTCCCCTCTCCATAGCTGCCACCTCCTACTCCACCCTGTGGGTTCAGCTGTCCCTCAGGAACATGGCTGCGAAGGGGGCCACAGCCAGCCCAGCTCCTCCCTTGCCTGGGACCCAGATGGCCGGCCCTGACCCTTCCTGATCATAAAGGCTTCACTGCGCTCCTGCTCTGGCAGGGAGGCATTCAGGGCACACACAGCCAACTGACACCTCCGGGGTCACAAACAGCAAAAATCCTTCCAGAGGGCTCACAGTCACCACCACTGGCCTACAGGTTCCTCCCGCCTTTTGACTCAGAGATGCCATGTGTAATCTCTCTATATGTCAGAATAGCAGCCCCCCCACTTTGTTCCTGACCCCAATCCATCCTACTATGCACTGCTTATCTGAAGCAATATGTATTCCTTCTCGGCACAACCCTTATCCTCACACTTGCTTCCACCTCTCCTTCCACCCCTAACTTGACCTCTATCCCTGATTCCAACCTAATCCCTTACCCTATGTAAAATCGGTGCTTCCTATTATCAAGGAAATGAAAAACAGACATCTTCAACCCTCACAAAATTCCCAATCCATCCCGTCCCTAACTATGATCCTAACACTCAGAATAATTGCAAAAATCCTGCATTGTGGACACACCTGACCCTCGCTCACCCCATCTCTGACTCTCACTTGATCCCTGACTGCTACCAAGACCCCTTTCACCTATAGATCACTCTTTTTCTACATTCACGTGATTGCCAAAGCACACATCCCTGGTTTCATCCTGTCATTGGTCCTGACCATCTTTAACTGTCAGCAACTAGTAGACACACACCTAATCCTTTATCCTTTTTAATGCCAATGATTATGTGCTTATCAAGTAACATAAGTAATATTCCCAAACTTTAATCCGTCCCTAACCATCATCCTATTTAAAATTATTCTTTTTATTAAGTTATGGGGACACAACTTTGTTCCATAAATGGAAACAAGAAAAAAATCATCATTTTAGGAGAATGAGATGAGAGTTGAGGTTGTTTGTTTGTTTTTGAGATGGAGTTTCACTCTGTCGCCCAGGCTGGAGTGCAATGGCGTGATCTAGGCTCACTGCGACCTCCGCCTCCCCTCCCAGGTTCAAGCAATTCTCCTGCCTCAGCCTCCCCAGTAGGTGGGATTATAGGCACCCACCACCACGCCCGGCTAATTTTTATATTTTTAGTAGAGGTAGGGTTTCTCCATGTTGGCCAGGCTGGTCTGAAACTCCTGACCTCAGGTGATCCGCCAGCCTGGGCCTCTCAAAGTGCTGGAATTACAGGCATGAGCCACCATGCCCGGCCGAGAGTAGAAATTTTAATGAATGAGAGAGACAGAGAGAGTATGTGTAGGGGAGTTCCCGCTTTCTTCCTCTCTCCTCCTTTCTCTACCGCCCAACTCATCCTCACCTTCTCTGCGAATTCTAACTGTCCTTTGTCATTTAGCACCCTCATCTTCCAAAGTCTGGCTGCAGAGGAGGTACAATAGCCACTCCCCACTCCCGCCCCCCTTTGAGACCCCAGATGGCCAGCACCTAGAAAGTTCTTATTTTGAGAATGTGACTATTGACCCTGCAGGACAACATTCTGAGCATAAAAGCACTATCAGATGCAGAAAAAAGGGTTTAAAAGAACCTAACAGAGGTCGCAAAACCAACATCTTGGGTCATAGGTTCCGTAGTTTCCAACTTCATTTTGATGGCAGGATAGTCCTGACCCAAAATCCCAGTGGTCTCTCGCATGCTCCTCTATTTCCCCTCCTCTCACCTTGCTGTCTTTTAAGAAATCAAGACTGGAAGATACATAGTAGTGAGAAGATGTCCAGGAGGTGCCCCCTTGATTCTGCGGTCTGGGAGGTCCTCCAGAAAGGGTGAACCTTCGTGCCCACCCACGCACCCCGGCTCCAACCCCATTTCCTAGGCCTCTGCCTTTCACTGAGGAATGATTTCCACTGGTTTCCTGTAAGGCCATGTCGCAGATACGGTTAGAACTTGTGTCTGGATCTCATTCTACTCTGCTTCTGGGGCCTGGCCTGACATGAAATGCTAATCTGGTCCGGCTTATGTTTATGTCAGTGAAGCCATCCTCATGAAGAGGACGTGCACATTAGACCACAGTGGGGTTTCTAGAACATGTCCTGTCCCTACATAGGAGAAACTATGGGTCAAGGTATCTTTGGTCCTAGATGCAGAGAATAGCAGACTCTTTCTGTAAAAGGCCTGATGGTGAATGATTTAAGCTACGCAAGCCACAGGTGGCCTCGGTCACATAGCCTCCATTTTTTCAAGCAAAGCTTTAAAAATGTAAAAATCACTCTTAGCTTTCAGGCCTTACAAATACAAGTCACTGGCCACATCTGTTCTGTGAGTTAGCTTGCCAACCCCTGGCTAGACATTCATTCTCACCTCTCAAATCCATCAAAGCCCTCCCTCCTCTCCTGGGCTTTCCATAGCACAAGTGCAGGTTTATAATGAATTTCCTCACCATGAGTACCTGAAAAGAGACTATGGAATTGAGTTTTGTGTACACTGTGAGGGAGAAGTAAAGTTTCATTTGCACGCACGGATGCCCAGTAATCCCAAGACCACTCATTGAAAACTCAGTCATTCCCCCACAGAATTGAAATGCTGCAGCTGTCATATATCACATGTTTTATTTTAAAAGCTATGGCTTTCTCATCAGTGACTATGGAGGCTACAGGACAGTGTCACGTCCTCTTGAAAGTGCTGATGGGAAAAAAAATCAACCCAGAGTTCTCCATCCTTGAAAATATCTTCACAGATGAAGGTGAAATAAATGTTTTCAGACAAAAGACAACTAAGATTCTTTGTCACTGGTAGGCATACAATAAAATAAATGCTATAGGACATTCTTCAGGTTGAAGAAAACTACATCAGGGGAAAATACAGATCTTCCAGAGCCAGAACATGTTCCAGAGTAAAGAACATCAGAAATGTTCAGTGTCTGAGAATGTACAAAAAAAATTTTCACTTAGTTCCTTTAAAATATACTTGAATGCTTAAAGCAAAAGTTCTAACATCATTTTGCTGTGTTTATAATGTATGTACATAAATTACAAATGACAATAATAGTATAAAGGACACTAAGGAATAGTAAAAGTATGTATATTGTTATAAAGATTTTACATTCTGTATGAGGTGGTAGAATAAAACTCTAAGTACATTATAAAAAGTTAAGGACACATTTCACCATGTTGGCCAGGATGGTCTCGATCTCCTGACCTTGTGATATGCCCACCTTGGCCGCCCAAATTCCTGGGATTACAGGGGTGAGCCACCGGGTCTGGCCAGCTTCCCTACTTTATGAGGTTTTGGGACTCGGAATGGCTTCCTGGCTCCTCAGCTTGCAGATGGCCTATTGTGGCACTTCACCTTGTGACCGTGTGAGCCAATTCTCTTAATAAACTCCCCTTCATATATTCATCTATCCTGTTAGTTCTGTCCCACTAAAGAACCCTGACTAATAGATATGCCACATTTTGTTTATTCACACACCTGGCAATGGAAGTTTGGATTTTTTTCCAGATCGAGGCTGCAATAAATAATGCTACTACAAATATTTGTGTATGTCTTTGTGCAGACATATATTTTCATTTCCCTTGGATAGTGTCACATTTAGAATGTGTCCCCCAAAATTCATATGTTGAAACGTAATCAATAGTATGATAGTATTGAGAGGTGGGGCCTTTAGGAAATAATTAAGTCACAAAAGAAGAGCCCCAGGGACAGAATTAGGGCCTTTATGAAATGATTTGAGGGAATGGGTTCATCCCTTCCTGTTGCTTCCACCATGTGAGGACACAGCATTTATCCCTTCCAGAAGATGCAGCAACAAGGCAACAGCTTGGAAGGTGAGAGACTGGACCCTCGCCTGATACCAAACCTGCCAGTATCTTGATCTGGAACTTTCCAGCCTCCAAAACTGTGAGAAATAAATTTCTATTGCTTATAAATTACCCAGTCTGTGGTATTTTGTTATAGAAGCGTGAGTGGCTTAGGACAGGTAAATACCTTAAAGAAGACTAGCTGGGTCATATCTTGAGTTTATGTTTTCTTTTTAAAGAAATTGCTCATGCCTGTAATCCCAGCACTTTGGGACGCCAAGGCAGGCAGATCACTTGAGGTCAGGAGTTCGAGACCAGCCTGGCCAACATGGCAAAACCCCGTCTCTACTAAAAATACAAAAACTAGCCAGTCATGGTGGCGGGCGCCTGTAGTCCCAGCTACGTGGGAGGCTGAGACAGGAGAATTGGAAGGCTGAGACAGGAGAATCGCTCAAACCTGGGAGATAGAGTTGCAGTGAGCCAAGATCATGCCATTGCACTCCAGCCTGGGCAACAGAGCAGTACTGTCTCAAGAAAGAAAAAGAAAGAAAGAAAGGAAGGAAGGAAGGAAGGAAGGAAGGAAGGAAGGAAGGAAGGAAGGAAGGAAGGAAAGAGAGAGAGAGAGAGAGAGAGGGAGGAAGAGACAGAGAGAGAGAGAGAGAGGGAGAGGGAGAGAGAGAGAGAGAGAGAAAGAAAGAGAGAAAGAAAGAAAGAAAAATAGTCAAGCTTTTTTCCAAAATGGTGAAAAAATTTTACATTCTCACTGGCATGTCTGAAATTTCCAGTGTCTCTACACCGTCAAAAATGTGAAATTGTCTGGTTTTCTTATTATAGCCATTGTAATGAGTGTAGTTTTATTACCTTATGGTTTCAATTTGCATTTTTTTAATGGCCAATGATGTTTGGGCATATTTTCATGTATTTTTATACATGCATGTATCTTCTTTAGTAAAGTATCTATTAAATATTTGGCTCATTGTTATGAACTGAATGCCTCCTAAATTTGAATCTTGTAGCCTAATTCCCAATATGATGATATTTGGAGGTGAGCCTCTGGGAGTTAGTTCATGAGGGTAGAGCCCTCAGGAATGGGATTGGTGTCTGAGACGAGACATGACAAAGATTATCTCTCTCTTAGCCATGTGAGAATATAGTAAGATGGAAACTGTCTCTAAGTCAGGAAACAGGCCCTCACCAGACACCAGTTTTGCTGTCACCTTGATCTTAGACTTCTCAGCCTCCAGAACGGTGAGGAATGAATGCATGTTGTTTAAGCCACCCAGTCTATGGTATTTTTGTTACAGCAAATCTACCTATTTTAATTTTTTTAATTATTATTGAGTTTTGAAAGTTCTTTATAGAAGAACTTGCATACAAGTCCTCTAACAAATATGTTTTAGAAATATTTGTATAAGCCATGGCTTACATTTTCATTCTATTAACAGTGTCTTTTGAAAAGCAGAATTTTATAATTTTAACTATGTCCAATCCAATTTGTCAATCTTTTGTTTATGGATTAGCCTAATCCAAAAACAAAGATTTTCCCCCATTTCCTTCTAGAAGTTTTCTAGTTTTTGCTCATATACTAGGGTCTGTGTGGCCAGGTGTGGTGACTCACACCTGTAATCCCAGCGCTTTGGGACGCCTAGGCGGGTGGATCACCTGAGGTCAGGAGTTCGAGACCAGCCTGGCCAAAATGGTGAAACCTCGTCTCTACTAATAATACAAAAATTAGCTGGGCGTGGTGGCACATGCTTGTAATCCCAGCTACTTGGGAGGCTGAGGCAGGAGAATCACTTAAACCCGGGAGGCAGAGGTTGCAGTGAGCTGAGATCACACCACTGCACTCCAGCCTGGGTGACAGAGCGAGACTGTCTCAAAAAAAAAAAAAAAAAGTTAAGGTCTGTGATCCGTTCTGAGGTAACCTTTATGTGTGATTATGTGAGGTAACGGTTTAAGTTCACTTGTTGCATACGGATAGCCAGATGTTCCAGCACCATTCCCTGAGATCCTCTTTTTTCTTAATGATTTGTGCTAATATCTTTGCCAAAAATCAAATGAATACAGATGCAAGGATTTATTTCTGTACTCTCCATTCTGTTCCATTTATGTATATGCCTATACTTTTGCCAATTCTCTACTGTCCTGATTACTATGGTCTTATGGTAAGTTTTGCAATCAGTTAGCATATCTTTCAACTTTGTACTTTTGCAAAAATTGTTTTGGCTATTCTAGGTTATTTGCATTTCCATATAAATTTGAAAATCATCCTATCAATTTCTATTGGAATTTTGATGGGGATTGATTTGAATTTATAAATAAATTTAGGTACAATTGCCATCTTGACAATAATGAGCATTTCGATTTATAAACATAGAATGTGTCTCTGTTCATTGCCTTCTTTGGCTTCCATCAACAGTGTTCTCTCAACTATAGTTCATGGACAAGTCTTGTGCTTCTTTTGTCAATTTTTTTTTTATTTTGAGACAGAGTCTCACTCTGTCTCCCAGGCTAGAGTGCAGTGGCATGATCTTGGCTCACTGAAACCTCTGCTGCACTGGTTCAAGCTATTCTCCTGCCTCAGCCTCCCCAGTAGCTGGGATTACAGGCACCTGCCACTGCACCCGGCTCTTTTGTCAATTTTAACCCTAAGTATTTTTTTCTTGTTGATGCTGTGGTGAATGGCATTGTATTTTTAATTCAATTTTCTGATTAATTGCTAGTATATAGAAATATCAATTTTGTATATTGATATTGTGTGATGTAAATTTATAAAACTCAATTACTAGTTCTAGTAGTTTTCATGCATTCCTTGATGTTTTCTAGAAAAAAAAAAGGCAGTTTTAATACTTCCTTTCTAATCCAGATGCATTTAATGTCTCTTTTTGAACTTGATTGCACTGGCTAAAAAATCCAGTAAAACGTTAAAAGAGAAGTGGCAAAAGTGAACATCTGTGCCTTGTTAGTAATCTTAGGAGGGAGGAAACAATACATTTCTTCAACATTACATATGATGTTAGCCCTGGGTTTCTCATGGATGCCCTTTATCAATTTGAGGAAGTCTTCTGCTCCTAGTTTGTTGAGGCTATTTATCATAAATGTGTGTTCCATTTTTATAAATACTTTTATGCATCTACTGAGAAAATTATGTGATTTTAATCCTATGTTCTACTAACATTGTGCAGTACTTAGTTGACTTTTGAATATTAAACCAACCTGGTTTTCATGGGATTAATCCCACTTGGTCATGACATATAATCCTATTTATATGTTGTTGGATTAAGTTTACTAATATTTTAAGTGTTATATCCATGACCATGAAGGATATAAAGGGTCTATAGTCTTCTGTTATTCTGATGTCTTTTTCTGGTTTTGGTGTCAGAATAATACTGGCTTCACAGGATGAATCAGAAGTGTTTTCTCAGCCTCTATTTCTGAAACAGTTGTGAAGCACTGGCATTATTTCTTTTAAAAATATTTAATAGAATTCACCAGCGAAGCCAACTGGGTTGGGATTTTTCTTAGTGTAAGTATTTTTGATTATTAATATATTTACTTCTGTCGTAGGTCTAGTCAGATTTTTTACGGTTTTTTGTTTGTTTGTTTGTTTGTTTGTTTGTTTTTTCTGAGATGGCGCCCTGCTCTTGTCGCCCAGGCTGGAGTGCAATGGCACGGTTTCGGCTCACTGCAACCTCTGCCTCCTGGGTTTAAGTGATTCTCTTGCTTCAGCCTCCCGAGTAGCTGGGATTACAGGCACCTGCCACCACACCTGGCAAATTTTTTTTTTTTCTTTTTTTGTATTTTTAGTAGAGATGGGGTTTCAGCATGTTGGCCAGGCTGGTCTCCAACTCCCAACCTCAGGTGATCCGCCCACCTTGGCCTCCCAAAGTGCTGGAATTACAGGTGTGAGCCACTGCACCCAGCCAGATTTTTAATTTATTCTTAAATAAGTTTTAATAATTTGTGTCCTTTGAGAAATCTGACCACGTCATCTAAGTTGTGTAATTTTCTGTCATGTTCATAATATTCCCTTACAATCCTTTTAATTTATGTGGGATCAGTAGTATCCCAATGTCCCATTTTCATCACTGATTTTGATAATTTGTGCCTGTTCTCTTTTTTAAATTTCTTTTAAAGAGATTGCGGAGGGGGGTCTCACCCTGTTGCTCAGACTGGAATGCAGTGAGGTGATTGTAGCTCACTAAAGTCTCAGACTCCTGGGCCCAAGTAATTCTTTGCCTCAGCCTACCACATAGCTGGGACTACAGGCACGTGCCACCATGCCTGGCTAATTTTTAAATTTTTTGTAGAGACAGGGTCTTCATTTGTTACCCAGGCTGGTCTCGAACTCCTGGCTTCAAGTGATCCTGCTGCCTTAGCCTCCAAAAGTGTGTTTTTTCCCTTGGACTTTTAAATAAATATTTTTTTGGCAGGGCGTGATGGCTCGCACCTGTAATCCCAGCACTTTGGGAGGCCAAGGGGGGCAGATCTCTTGAGGTCAGGAGTTTGAGACCAGCCTGGCCAACACGGTGAAACCCCGTCTCTACTAAAAATCCAAAAATTAGCCAGGTGTGGTGGCACGCACTGGTAGTCCCAGCTATTCAGGAGGCTGAGGCAGGAGAATCTCTTGAACCCGGGAGGTGGAGGTTGCAGTTAGCTGAGATCATGCCATTGTACTCCAGCCTGGGTGACAGAGCGAGACTCCATCTCAAAATAAATAAATAAATATTTTTCAATTTTTGTATTTTTTTCATAGAATGAATTTTGATGTTATTGACTTTCTTCTCTTGTTTTACTGTTTTCTATTTCTTTCATTTCTATTCTAGTCTTACTGATTTACTTTCTTCTGCTTGTTTTGGACCTAGTTTGCTTTTCTTTTTCTAGCTTCTAAAAGGGCAAATGAGGTTTGAAATCATTCTTTTCTGATATAGAGTTTAAACCTATAAATATCTTTGTTATTGACTTAGCTGCAGTCAATAAATTTTGATATGTTGTTTTAAATTTCATTCTACTAAAAATATCTCCTAATTTACTTTATGATTTCTTCCTTGACCCATCCCATTTGTTATTCAGAACTATGATGTATAATTCCGTGGAATTTATGGATATCCAGATTTTATTCTTTTATTATTTTCTAATTTACTTCCATTCATACTTTGTAAGACAGGAATCTTTAAATTTCCTGAGGCTTGTTTTATGGTCCATCACATGTTCTGTCATAATGATCCATGTGTACATGAAAAGCGGGTGTATACCACAGGCTTGTGTGAAGTGATTTTATACATCAGTTAGGTGAAGCTAGTTGATGTTGTCTTTTCAAGTGTTATATATTTTTGCTGGTTTTCTGTCCACTTGCTCTACCAGTTATTGAGAATGAGGAATAAAAATGCCCCCCGTCCCTTTTTTTTTTTTTTTTTCCGGATGGAGTCTCGCTCTGTTGCCCAGGCTGGAGTGCAATGGCACAAACTTGGCTCACTACAACCTCCACCTCCTGGGTTCAAGTGATTCTCCTGCCTCAGCCTCCTGAGTAGCTTGGATTACAGGTGCCTGCCACCATGCCTAGCTAATTTTTGAATTTTTAGTGGAGATGGGGTTTCACCATGTTGGCCAGGCTGGTCCTGAACTCCTGACCTCAGGTGATCCACCCGTCTCTGCCTCCCAAAATGTTAAGATTACAGGTGTGAGCCACTGCACCCAGCAAAATGCCCCATTATTATTGCTGAATTGTGTGGTCCTTCTTTTATTTATGGCACTTCTTGCTTTATGTATTTTGAAGCTTTGTTGCAAGCATGTATACATTTATAATTGATCTAGCTTCTGGATATATTAACTCTGACACTATTATGTAATTTTTATCTGTGTATTCCATAATATTCTTATCATGAAGCCTTGCCATAAATCTATTTCTTCAGATATTAATGTAGCCACTCCAGCTTTCTTATGATTACCATTGACACCATATATCTTTTTTCCATCCTTTTACTTTCAACCTATTTGGGTGTTGATTTAAGACTCATCTCCTGTAGGTAGTATAAACTCAGATCTTGCTTTTTTATCCACCTAATGATCTCCATCTTTTAATTTTGGTGTTTAAATTACTAAAATTTAATGTAGTTTTTGATATAGTTGAATCTAAATTTGCCATTTGGGTATTTGGTTTCTATATATCTCCCGTCTGGATTTGTTCCTCTGTTCCAGATTGACTGCATTCTTTTGTGTTCAGTAAATATTTTTAACTTTTCACTATATATTCACTAAATATTTTTATGTACCACTTTAACTTCTCTTTGAATTTTTAATTATGCTTTTGATTTATTTTAATAGTTGTTCTAAGGGTTACAATATACATTTTAACCTATCAGAATATACATCAGCTTAATACTAACTTACTTCAAGTAAAACATAGAAACTTTGCTCATATTTATTTCCAAACCCCTCCAACATTGGTCTGTTATCATATAAATTACAGTTATATATTTTAAAACCAACAGTACAATGTAATAATTATTACTTCACATAATCTTAGGTCATTTAGATAATATAGAAAAAATGAAAAAACAATACATAGAGTCTTTTTTATATTAACCCAGCTATTTACCATTTCCTGTGCCCTTCATTTATTCTTGTGGATTCAAGTCACCATATAGAGTCATTTCCTTTTAGACTGAAGGACTGTTTTTAGTTATTTCTTGTAATACAAGTTTGCTAGTAAGGAATTTTATCAGTCTTTATTTCACCTTGGCAGAATGTCCCTATAGATGGACCTAGGAAAGAGAAATACGGAAGCAGCCACAGGCCAGACCAAAACAGGGTTTGTATTAGTGCATTTTTGCATTGCTATTAAGAACTACCTGAGACTGTGTAATCTATAAATAACTTATAGATTGTAGCTAAGGAAGTTGTTACAAAGATATTTATAGGTTTAAAGACTAAAGACGTTTAATTGACTTACACTTCCACAGTCTGTACAGGAAGCATGGCTGTGGAGGCCTCAGGAAACTTACAATCATGGTAGAAGGCAAAGGGGAAGCAGGCAGGTTTTACATGGCCAGAGAAGGAGGAAGAGAGCAGGGGGAGATGCTACACACTTTTAAACAACCAGATCTCACGAGAACTCACTCACTACATGAGAACAGCAAGGGGGAAATCCACCCCCATGATCCAATCACTTCCCACCAGGCCCCTCCTCCAACACTGAGGGTCACAATTGCACAAGAGATTTCAGCAGTGACACAAATCAAAACCGTATCAGAGTTCAAACTTTCTTGCCCAAAGTTTAACATTGTTGTGCACATTTAATTTCCAGAGCACAGAAATGGTTGGTTTTGTCCATTTCATAGTTGTTCTTTGGCGAGAGGATTTCCCAACATCTTCACATGGTCACTTGAGAAACGCCTTTCTCAAACATAATCTTTCATGTTTTATGAAAAAAGTCAACAAAAAAGCCAAACTCTGTAAAATATTGAAAAATGTTTATTCTGCACAAAATACGACTGACCATGGCGCAAGGCACAGTCTCAAGACGTCCTGACCAAGGTGGTTGGGTTACAGCTTTCTTTTCTATGTTTTAGAGAGACAGAAGACATCAATCAATACATGTGAGGTATACATTGGTTTGGTGCAGAAGGGTAGGACAACTTAAAGCAGGGGAAAGTGGGTGCTTACAGGTCATAGGAAGATGCCAAGGTTTTCTGTTTGGCAATTGCTTGGAGGAGTTAAGTTATTTTCTAAAGACCTGGAATCAATAGAAAGGAGTGTCTGGGTTAACATAAGGGGTTGTGGAGACCAAGGTTTTTATTACATAGATGAAGTCTCATAAGTGGCTGCCCTTAGAGATAATAAATGGTGAATGTTTCCTATGTAGACTTTAAAAGGTGCTAGAATCTCAGTTAATCTCTTCAGGTTTAGGAGGGCCTGGAAGGGGAAAGATCTAGTTATGTTAAGGAGATGCTTTACAGATGCAAAATTTCCCCAACTGCCTTGCAGGGCCATTTCAAAATATGTCAAAGAAATCTATTTTGGGGGTAAAATATTTTTATTTCCTTTTTTATCATGTGAAGTTATACCTGAGTCAGGTTGAAATTTGGTATCTTATTGCTACAAAGAATCTGTTTTGTCAGTTTTAAGATCTGTTTTAATGTCAATTGTCATGGCCTGAACTAGTTTTCAGGATTCTTTAGAATCCCCTTGGCAGATGAATGGAGGGGAATTCAGTTGATTGGGGGAGTTAGAATTTGATTTTTCTGGTCAGGATTGAGCAGAGGAGGCCAAGCGTGGTGGCTCACACCTGTAATCCCAGCACTTTGGGAGGCCAAGGCAGGCAGATCACCTGAAGTCAGGAGTTCGAGACTAGCCTGGCCAACATTGCGAAACCCCATCTCTACTAAAAATACTAAAATTAGGCCAGGCACAGTGGCTCACGCCTATAATCCCATCACTTTGGGAGGCCGAGGCAGGTGGATCACGAGGTCAGGAGTTCGAGACTAGCCTGACTAACATGGCGAAACCCCATCTCTACAAAAAAATACAAAAATTAGCTGGGCCTGGTGGTGCATGCCTATAATCCCAGCTACTCAGGAGGCTGAGGCAGGAGAATCACTTGAACCCGGGAAATGGAGGTTGCAGTGAACCGAGATTGTGCCACTGCACTCCAGCCTGAATGACAGAGTGAGACTCTGTCTCAAAAAAAAAAAAAAAAAATTAGCCAGGTGTGGTGGTGCACGTCTGTAATACCAGCCATTTGGGAGGCTGAAGCAAGAGAATCACTTGAACCCAGGAAGCAAAGGTTGCAGTCAGCCTAGAACACACCACTGCACTCCAGCTTGGGCAACAGAGCAAGACTTCGTCAAAAAAAAAAAAAAAATTTCCCAGAGGCAACATCAATGGCCAAACTATCATTTTGTTGCATACCATTGCTGGGGTGGTGTGGCTATGTGCCCTGGGTCTATCCTATCCCTTGGTGGGGACTCACGGCCAACAGATGTAGAGCCAAAAGACTTATAGCCAATTTAAATATCCTAGGCCAGATGGGAATGGAAGTGGAGCAGGCATTTATCAAACCTTAAAATTTTGTAATGTAAGCATCAAGAACCAAAAGTCAAAAGGCAAGGTTACAAAATTGACTTAGCTATAAATTCTACGCATTAAGCTAGAATATCCTCACTTGGCCACTTGAGAAGTGTCTTTCTCAAACATTTTACATTTTATGAAAAAGCCAACAAGAAAAACCCAACTCTGTAAAATATTTTTAAAATTTTATTCTCAGCCAAATATGAGTGACCATGGCCCAAGGCACAGTCTCCAGAGGTCCTGAGAACATGTGTCCAAGGTGATTGGTTTACAACTTGGTTTTATATATTTTAGGGAGACCTAAGACATCAGTCAATACATGTTTTAGTTATAGACTTGTAGCAATTAGCTTGCAAAAGATAAGTACTTTGTTAAAACTTTTTAAGCTACAGAATTTAGAGACTTTTGTTGTGTCACAACGCTTTTAGCAGTCTTTTTAATAGTTTGTCCTAAGGTGCTTGATTTAAAAAAACTTTATATAACAATCTGCATAAATCTCATAACTGGGAGCACTATACCCAGGAGGTTTTCTTACCAGAAAAGTTCATATCCTCTTTGCAATTTTCTTTTAATTCTACAGGAAAGAGGAAATTATGGTTGGGATGGATGAAAAAGGTCCACATACTGGTCCAGGAGGTAAAGTATCTTATTTTGCCAACTGTTTGGGCATCTGTGTGCCCATTTTTTATTTGGAAGATCTAAATTAATTTTGTTGCTCAAAAATCAACCTTTACAATCTTACACATTTACCTCTTCCAAGATAGTGCCTGAGCCTAGAGGGAAGATGCTTATATAGTTTTAGCAGTGGAGCATTAGCATTGAAAATAGATCGGGCCCAGTGGGATTCTGAATAGTTTTAAATTTCAGAGATATTAAGCAGAGAGAGAGTGAAAAAGTAACCTTTGTTGTTTTATCCAATTTTGCAAGCTATGTATAGAGTTAGTAATGTTTAAACGAAAGGGACTTAAGCCCTGCCTAGCTCTGACAATGGCAGGAAAAGAAAACTCACAGGTAACTAAACATTTATCTAGTAAGGCATAGAACAAATTATATTAAGATAGATAGATGAAACATTATTCAATGATTACTTATGCCTTTGTATATAGGCCTGGTCCAGTGTCACATGAAAGCAGTTCATTTTGACTGTCATCTTCTCCCAGGTCTGAAGATGGAACTTTGGTCAACTTGAATTTGATGCCAGATATCAATATTGACTATTAAGATTCAGTAGGCGTCAGGATTCCCTTTCAGATGAGATACATGTACCCAGGAGTCAAAGCCCTGCAACTTAACAGCACAAGGGTTAGTTAATAACATTTCATAAAGACCTTTTTTAAGTGGGGCTAGAGGGAGTCTCTCAACTGATGTCTAATCATCAGGCTGGTGGTGGTGATACTGGAGTTTATGACTTGTTGGCAGCTGTGGAAAGATTCTATATCCTTATAGTGATTAATTTTTATAGTTTTAATAAGCCTCCAGCAATAAGTCAAGTCAGAGACTTAATTTGGGATTTGATTTTGAGGATATTTGTCAAAAATGTTAAAAGTCTCAAAATATTTTATTAAAACAGAACCATACAACATTATAAAATAATAGTTAATCATTTAACAAGAGTCACAATCAAAAGACTTCAACAACAATATAGGAAGTTACACAAATATAAAAACATTAACCCTTTCAAAGTTTGTTTTTTAAGTATTTTTTAAAACCTAATTAAAACAACACAGGAATTATTTTGATAAAATGTAAAATCACTGTTCCTTACGCTAATCACCAAAAAAGTAAAACAACAACAACAAAAAAGACCTATGGTAGCAATTATTTTTCCTTATGGGAAGCTTATTTGAATAACCTGAAAGTCAAACCTGCATCCCAGGACTTCTCAAAGACAGAAAGGCTAAAAACAGCAGAGTACAGCAGAATTTGAACTTCTAAGATAATCTCAGAAATTTCAAGTTTAAAAAAGAATTACATAATTAAAATTTAAAAATTTCTTGCAATTTCATTGAATAAATCAATATTTTAAGAAAATCTAGTCTACCAAAACTTTAGTTTTATATTAGTGTATTTTTAGTATCAAAGCACAATTTCTAGAAGATGATTAAATAATTTCCTTTCCAGTATAGCCAACTTAATCACACACAAAATTTCTTTTATAAATTCTGTTTTTTACAAACCCTATTATGACTTTCACATACTATTTATGACATGCTTGAACTTTCTGTTTTATTCTAGGACAAAAATTTATCATACAAGATTCTTTTTCACACAAAATTATTTTCCTTTTAAACTCTATTACCAAAAAATACTGCTTTTATAGCTATAGCTTTCTTTACATTTCTTTTACTTACTATCAGCTCATTTTACCCTGTTTCAAAGTAACCCTTGAATTAGACAAAAATTATTTACTTTTATTAAGAACACATTTTTATGTCTTATAATTTTTCTTATTTTCATCAGAATATATCTTTTTTTGGCATGTTTTACATGTAGAATTATATATTAAATTCAATTTTTATTTTTAGTAACCTTACTTTTTTGTGAAGACCTAGTAAATAGGAAATCTTAAATTGTTTATCACATGAGCATTTTATAGATGAAAACCATTTTATAATTAATTTGTTTGAAAATGTTTTTGTATATATAATCTTTTAAAACAATTGGATATGACCCACATATTTAATAATTATCTCTTATTTAACTTAACATAACTTTAAGAATTTAAAATTACAGGACAAGTTTATTTATAAACATTTATTCCATTGCATTTATTTGACTATTTATTTATTTTTAATATTTTACCTAGAGTACTTATGAAAACTGTGATGTTAGACAAAGCTAGTCATTATTTAAAGTTATTTCTCTGTTAACCAATTTTACAGCATGTGAATATCAGGTGTTTAACTAAGTATGAAATTTACAGTTAAATAAATGTTTTTTTTTTTTTGCTGATAACTCAGGATTTATCTGTTTTCATTAGACCAACAATATTAAATGCCTTATTTATCAAAAATTACACAAAGATCATAGATTTGGGGCTGAGTTTATACTTCTATATCCTTTGTGCCAAACTTTAACACCTTATAAAATATCTATAAGAGATAAACACAAAACCACCTGACCAGTAAATCTAGACAAAATGTGTGCTGACAATTCTGAAGACATTTCTAATTTTATTTTACCAATAATTTTAAAGTCAGCTTATTTGTTAAAGATTTACTTAAGTCACATGAACTAGAAAAGCACTGGGCTTATTTACTTAATTTATGAGTACTCCTTTATTGTAAAGCCAATTTGGTACTTTGTGGTCACAACACATTAAAAAAAATGGATGTACGTACATACAAACACATCTAAACACATACACACACATACAAACAAAGATCTTATAGCTTTTATTTCAGAACTCTAACCATGAGATAAATACAAACTCACCAGTTTGAAAAAAAAAAAGAAAGAAAAAGAAATGGTTGGATGCAGACAGTGGTTTTTATCTCAACTCCAGTAGAAAAGTAACAACAGATTTAAAGCAGGCAGAAAAGAAAATAGAGAAATACACATAAAACTTTAAAGACTCTATATTCGCAGGTTGACTTTTGACCTCTGAATTTTTCTTGATGTAATTTAGCCACAAGTTTAAAATGTGCCCAAGAATAGACCATAATATGTAACCAGCTGGAGTATTAGAAAACCTGGCATGCCTTCAAACTTTTCCATTTACACAAATGCTTGCAAGTAGAGGCATCATAAAACCAAACAACGTGCCCAAAAGGGGGTTGTTATCTTTGTATCTCCTCATTCTTTGATTATTTGTTTCCCTTTTTTTAATTTTCTTTAAGGGAGGAACCAAACTGTAGTCTGCGTTTCAATGGAGTGGAGCTGAGAAGTTCAGTCTCTCGTTGATTCACACAAGGGACAGTTCAGTTTCTCAAGCAAATGCACAAACAAGCCAAGTGAGATTAATTTGGGGAGAAAGAGGCAATGGAAAAGATCCTTCAGAATGCTTTCTGAATCAAAATTAGGATCCTGAACAACAACTTCCTAGGAAAAGAACCAGCTCAGAATAAAGCAGAAGACTGTCAACTGAGCAGGAGGTTCAGGGCTGAGGAGGACTTACCAGTTTCACTCAAGAAGAAGCTTGGAGTTGGGGGGCTTTCAATGGGCCCCTGCTGGTACCTTAGCTCTGGGTTTGGGTGACTCTTTCAGGGTTCTGAGTCTTCTCTGAGGCCCCATATGTAGGGTGCCAATTAATATTGACTAAAAAAGCCAAACTGTAACATATGTGAAGAGGTTTATTCTAAGCCAAATATGAGTAGCCATGGCCCAAGGCATGGTCTCAAGAGGTCCTGAGAACATGTGCTCAAGGTGGTTGGGCTACAGCTTTCTTTTCTATGTTTTAGAGAGACATAAGACATCAATCAATACATGTGAGGTATCCATTGGTTTGGTCTAGAAGGGCAGGACGACTTAAAGCAGGGGAAAGTGGGTGCTTACAGGTCATAGGAGGATTCCAAGATTTTCTGATTGGCAATTGCTTGAAAGAGTTAAGTTATTTTCTAAAGACCTGGAATCAATAGAAAAGAATGACTGGGTTAACATAAGGGGTTGTGGAGACCAAGGTTTTTATTACATAGATGAAGTCTCATAAGTGGCTGCCCTTAGAGATAATAGATAGCAAATGTTTTCTATTTAGACTTTTAAAAGGTGCTAGATTCTCAGTTAATCTCTTCAGGTTTCGGAAGGCCTGGAAGAGGAAAGATCTAGTTATGTTAATGAGATGCTTTACAGATGCAAATGTTTCTCAATGGCTCTGCAGGTCCATTTCAAAATAGGGCCAAAAAACATACTTTGGGGTAAAATATTTTTATTTCCATTTTTATCATGTGAAGTTATACTAGAGTCAGGTTGGACTTTGGTATCTTATTGCTACAAAGAATCTGTTTTGTCAGTGTTAAGATCTGTTTTTTTTCTTTGTTTTTGTTTGTTTGTTTTGAGAAGTGGTCTCACTTTGTCACCCAGGCTGAAATGCAGTGGCACAATCTCAGCTCACTGCAACCTCTGCCTCCCAGGCTCAAGCGATTCTCCTGCCTCAGCCTCCCAAGTTGCTAGGACTAAGGTGTATGTCACCATGCCTAGCTAATTTTTGTATTTTTGCAGAGACAGGATTTCACCATGTTGCCCAGGCTATTCTTGAACTCCTGACTTCAAGGGATACGCCCACCTCAGCCTCCCAAAGTGTTGACATTATAGGCATGAGCCACCTCACCAGGCCAAGATCTGTTTTAATGTTCATGCTGGTCAGTTATGCCTGAAATCCAAATGGGAGAGGGTATAATGAGGCATGTCTGACCACCTACTTCCTTCCCTTTATGGCCTTAACTAGTTTTTCAGGTTTCTTTGGAATCTCTTTGGCAGAAGTGTGGGATCCATTCAGTCAATTGGGGGGTTAGAATTGCATTTTTGGTCATGAAACTTGACCTTGAAAGTTATTTTATGAATATGAACCATTTTCTTTTTTTTATTATTATACTTTAAGTTTTGGGATACATGTGCAGAATATGCAGGTTTGTTACATAGGTATACACATGCCATGGTGGTTTGTGGCACTCATCAACCTGCCGTCTACATTAGGTATTTCTTCTAATGCTATCCCTCCCCTAGTCCCCCACCACTGACAGGCCCCAATGTGTGATGTTCCCCTCCCTGTGTCCACGTGTTCTCATTGATCAACTCCCACTTATGAGTGATAACATTCAGTGTTTGGTTTTCTGTTCCTGTGTTAGTTTGCTGAGAATGATGGTTTCCAGCTTCATTCATGTCCCTGCAAAAGACATGAACTCATCCTTTTTTGTGGCTGCATAGTATTCCATGGTGTATATGTGCCACATTTTCTGTATCCAGTCTATCATCAATGGGCATTTAGGTTGGTTCCAAGTCTTTGCTATTGTGAACATTGCCGCAATAAACATATGTATACGTGTGCATGTGTCTTTGTAGTAGAATGATTGATCATCCTTTGGGTATATACCCAGTAATGGGATTACTGGGTCAAATGGAATTTCTGATTCTAGATCCTTAAGGAATCGACACACTCTTCCACAATGGTTGAACTAACTTACACTCCCACCAACAATGTAAAAGCTTTCCTATTTCTCCACATTATCTCCAGCATCTGTTGTTTCCTGACTTTTTAATGATTGCCAAATACCTAATGACTTTTTAATGATGGCCCCAAATACCTAATCCTGATGGTAATGGTATTAAGAGGTAAGGCCTATGGGAGGTGATTTGGTCATGAGGCTCTACCCCCATGAATGGGATTAGTATCCTTAAAAATGTGGCCTGAGGGAGCTCTTTTACTTCTACTACCATATGAGGACATAGCTAGAAGGTGCCATCTTTGAAGCAGAGATTGAGCCCTCATTGTTCACCACATTTTCTGGCACCTTAATGTTCGAAATCCCTGACTCCAGGACTCTCAGTAAATTACGTTTTTAAAAACTACCCAGTCCAAGTTACATTGTTATAGCACCCTGAAAGAATCAAGGTATAAATTGATAGCAAGAAGTGGTGTGCTGCTCTAACAAATACCTACAAATGCGGATGCAGCTTGGGAACTAGGTAATGGGTAGAGGCCGTAAGAATGCAAAGGATCAGGCTAGAAAAAGCCTACATTTCTGTGAGCAGAGTGTTAAGAGTGATCTGGTTATGGCTCAGAAGAGGAGAGCTGTAAACAATGCCTAATCTTCTTAGAGATTTCCTAAGAGGTCATGAACAGAATTTTGGTATAAATCTGGATGGTAAAGGCCATTCTGATGAAGTCTCAGGTGAAAATGAGAAATGTTATCAGAAACTGGAGGAAAAGCCATCCCTCTTATAAAGTGGCAAATAACCTGGCTGAACTGTGTATGTATCCTAGGGCTTTGCAGAAGGTAGAACTTCTGAGCAATGATAGTATAGTTAGTGAAATAAATATCTAAGCAAAGTGTTGAGGGTGTGTTATGGCCTCTCTTGAATGCTTGTAGTAAAATACAAGAAGATAGAAACAAATTAAAAAGAATTTATAATCAAAAGGGAAGCAGAATGTAAAGATCTGAAAAATTTTCAGTGTGGCTATGTTGTGAAGAGTTAATGAAAAAGCATATTCAGAAGAGAATACTAAAGGTATGACCAAGCCACCATTTGATAAGAAGATTAGTAGGGATAGAAGGAAGGCAGATGCTATTCTGCATGACAATAAGAGAATGACCCTAAAGGCATTTCAGAGACCATCCAGCCTGCCACTCACATCACAGGCTCAGAATACCAAACCTGGGGCGTAAAATGAGGTCAAAAGAGGGACCTTGGGCATCCAAGGAACCTCAGTGCTTGCTGCCCTGAACTACCTCAAGTCTCTGCTCCCTACATTCTGGCACAGCATTTTTCAGCTCCCTCTCTCATCAGATGTGTCTCAAATGGGCCCAGATGTGGTTCAGGCCACCACTCTAAAGTGCACAGGCAGTAAAAATCTTGGCAGCATCAACACAGTGCCATCTCCACAGGAGCACAGAGCAAAATGAGCTGTAGAGACATGGCTACCTCCACCTATATTACTAAGGGTACTCCCAGAGAGCTGCAGGGCATGGACAAAGATGTCCCACAGGAATAGGACTACAATAAAGAGTCACCATTGGGGCAATGTCTATTAAAGCCATGGAGGGACCACCATAAAGGCAAAGTCTGGTAAAACCATGAGGGCAGGGCCATCCCAGAGACCTCAGATTGGTAAAGCCACCAGTGTGCAACTCCAGCCTAGGACAACCACAAACACAAGACTCCAACACATGAGCACTGTGGCACGGGCTATGCACAGAAAAGTCATTGGGAATGGGACCAGTTAAAGCCTTGGGGGCCCAATCCTCATCCAAGTGTGTGTGAAAGGCACAACACTGAGTCAAAGAAGATTATTCTCCAGCCTTAAGTTTTAATATTGTTTGTGCTCTTGGGTTTTAGACTTCCTTGAAACATATTACCCCTTTTCCTTTCTTCTCTCTCCCTTATGGAATGGGAATTTCTAACTTATGCCTGTCCCACCACTGTATTTTGGAAACATAAAACTTGTTTAACTTCAAAAGCTCAGAGTAGAAGGGGAATTTGGCTCAGAATGAATGATACCTTGAGTCTCACCCAAATCTAACGTAGATGATATTTAGATGAGACTTTGAACTTTAAACTTTTGAGTTGATGCAAAAACAGGTTAAGAATTTGGGGGCTATTGACGGGCACGGTGGCTCACGCCTGTAATCCCAACACTTTGGGAAGCCAAGGTGGGTGGATCACGAGGTCAGGAGTTCAAGACCAGCCTGGCCAACATATTGAAACCCCGTCTATACTAAAAATACAAAAATTACCCAGGCATAGTGGCACACGCCTGTAGTCCCAGCTACTCAGGAGGCTGAGGCACGAGAATCACTTGAGCCTGGGAGGTGGAGGTTGCAGCGAGCCAAGATTGCACCACTGCACTCCAGCCTGGGTAACAGAGTGAGACTCCGTCTCAGGAAAAAAAAAAAAAAAAAAAAAAAGAATTTGGGGGCTATTAGGATAGGATGAATATATTTTGCATGTGGGAAAGACACAAATTTGGGGGGCCCAAGGGTGGGAAGGTATGTTCTAAAAGTCTGTATCCCCCAAAATTTATATGTTGAAACCTAACCCCCAAGGTGATATTATTAAGAGATGTAGCCTTTGGAAGCTGATTAGATAATGGAGGGTCAGTCATACTGAATGGGATTAGTTCCCTAATAAAACAGACGTGAGAGAGCTTGTCACCTCTTCTGCCATGTGAGCATATAGATAGAAGGTGCCATCTTTGAAGCAGAGAGTGAGCCTTCAACAGATAATGAATGTGCTGGGGCCTTGATCTTGGACTTCCCAGACACCACAACTGTGAGCAGTAAGTTTTATTATTTATAAAAGATTATAAATCACCTAGCTATGGTATTTTGCTACAGCAGCCTGAATGGACTAAAATAAGGCTGATATATTTTACTGATAATTTCAAAGAATCTGTTTAAAATTCATTGATTATTAATTTTTGGCTTTCTATTCCTGTGATTTCACTTTCAAAATGATTGAATCAATTCTTCTCATTTGCTTGGATTAATTATTTGTTTATTAACATTTGGTAAGATTAGTTCATTCTTTTCGGTCTTATTACCTTAATTTTCAAAACTGTTTTATATAACACTTGGTTGAGCTTATGATAATAAATAAATAAATAAACATTTTAATAAAGTCATTAATGGATAAAGGCTTTCCTCTGAGAAAAGCATCTGCAGGCATAATAGGATTTGACTTGATGTATTTTGCCTTTAATTATTCTCTGGATATTATGTAAGTTCCCTTTTTATTTCCTATTTGAGTAAAAGAGAATCTTAAACGTGTTTATTAATTTCAGATTGGATAAGATTTTGGTAATGTTTCTTTACTTCCAAATTTATTGAATAGACAAATGATATGGATGGATAAATGCTTACTATTTTAATACATTAAATGATTTTAAGCCAAAAGACTGATAAACCTATTAAAAATTCTCATTCTTGCCGGGCACAGTGGCTCACACCTGTAATCCCAGCACTTTAGGAGGCCAAGGTGGGCGGATCACTTGAGGTCAGGAGTTTGAGACTAGCCTGGCCAACATGGGGAAACCCCGTCTCTACTAAAAAATACAAAAATAGGCCGGCGTGGTGGCAGGCACCTGTAATCTCACCTACTCAGGGGGCTGAGGCAGGAGAATCACTTGAACCTGGGAGGTTGGAGGTTGCGGTGAGCCAAGATCAGGCCACTATACTCCAGCCTGGGCGACAGAGCCAGAAGTCCATCTCAAAAAAAAAAAAAAAAAAACAAAACTCATTCTCTAATTGTGAGATGTAAAGTGTTATATTTAATACGTAAATTGTGTTTATTGATTGAATAATTCAGTTCTTTATGTCTTTTACAGGAATTTAAAGACTGATTTATGCATAAAACAAGAGAATCAGAAGTATTAAATTTAATCAGTGCTTATTATGGCATGGTCCATTTATATCAGTGTTTTTCTTTTTGAGAGTATTTCCTTATTTTCTGAATCCATGTATAAATAAAAGCTATTTTCTACTAAAAAAAAACCATGGTAACATGGATCAATAAATAATACAGATCAAAGCAGAACTAAACAAAATAGAGATGAAAAACCAACACAAAGGATCAACAAAATGAAAAATTGGTTCTTTGAAAATATAAACAAAACTGCTGGGCGCGATGGCTCACTCCTGTAATCCCAGCACTTCGGGAGGCCAAGACGGGTGAATCACTTGAGGTCAGGAGTTCGAGATCAGCGTGGCCAAAATGGTGAAATCTCATCTCTACTAGAAATAAAAAAAGTAGCCAGGCATGGTGGCGCACGCCTGTAAACTCAGCTACTAGGGAGGCTGAGGCACAAGAATCGCTTGAACCCAGGAGATGGAGGTTGCAGTGAGCCAAGATCACACCACTGCACTCCAGCCTGGGTGACAGTTTTATATTTATATATATATATACACACACACACACACATATGAACCTGATAAACCACTAGCTAGACTAACCAAGAAAAGAACAGACCCAAATAAACAAAATCAGAAATGGCAAAGGAGAGATTACCACTGATACCACAGAAATACAAAAGATCATCAGAGAGTATTATGAACGACTATACACTAACGAACTGGAAAACCTAGAATATGCAGTCTATATATACAAAATGGAATACTCTTCAGCCATTAAAAAAATGAAATGATGTATTTGCAGCAACTTGGATGGAACTGAAGATCATTATGTTAAGTGAAATAAGCCAGGCACAGAAAGGAAAATATAGCTCTCATTCATCTGTAGGAGCTAAAATACTTGTTGGCATGGAGGTGGAGCGTGGAATGATAGATACCAGAGACAGGAAAGGGTGTATTTGCGGGAGGGCAGTGGGGCTGAAGAGAGTTGGTTAATGCGTAGAAACATACAGTTAGAAAAAATAAGTTCTAAACTTTGATAGAAGAGTAAGGTGACTATAATCAACACTTTTCTGTAGTTTTAAAATAGCTGGAAGAAAGGACTTGAAATGTACCCAACACATAGAAATGATAAATACTTTGTTGATAGGTAACTTAAATATCATGAATTGATTATTACACATTGTATGCATGTAACAAAATTTCACATGTACCCTTAAATATATACAAATATAATGTATCAAAAAATTAAAAATAGAAAATTAAGAAAATAAATAATAAATTAAAAAGCTTAAAATATGGAAAGTAAAAAGCTGTTTAATAGTATTGAAAAGTGCTTCTGTTGCAATCTTAAATGAGGTCCACAGCAAGCATACATTACTTTTTTTGTTTTTTTAAGTGTCTGTTATGGAAGGAGAGTATAGAAATGTGTTACTCTCTGTAAGGCAATTTCTGTAATATACAAATTATGCCTAACTACCTCTATTGGCTATGCTTAGAAAAGGATTGTGGCAGACCAATTCTCCCTGACAATCACACAGACAGGCCTGCATGACAGTCACACAGGCAGGCCTGCATAGCACCTCAGTTACACAGACAAATTTCTACAGAGTGGCCTTAACATTGAGCAAATAGTTTAACCGAGGGAAATCGATGCCCAGACATCAAAGCTAGAAATAAAACATATGGTCAAGGCCGGGGGCGGTGGCTCACGCCTATAATCCCAGCGCTTTGGGAGGCCAAGGAGGGCAGATCACCTGAGGCCAGGAGTTCGAAACCAGCCTGACCAATATGGAGAAACTCTAACTCTACTAGAAATACAAAATTAGCCGGGCGTGGTGGCGCATGCCTGTAATCCCAGCTACTCGGGAGGCTGAGGCAGGAGAATCGCTTGAGTCCGGGAGGCGGATGTTGCAGTGAGCGGAGATCGCGCCATTGCACTCCAGCCTGGGCAACAACAGCGAAACTCCGTCTCAAAAAACAAAAGAAAAGAAAGAAACATATGGTCAGTAGGAACCTTGCATGGGCTTCTCTGGAACAAGCCAAAAGAATGGAGACAGTCTTACATTCCTAGTGCCAGGACCCATCTTGGGTCAATGAAATCTGAGACGAGTCAAGGTAACAGAGGCAGCTGCATTGGAGAGTCCAAGGCAGCTCTCCGGACCAAGCTGTAAAGGAGATAAGATAGAAATAATCATTCCGGTACCACAGTAGACAGGCTTTGAAGGTACTGGGGCCCTTTTAATTGGACTTAGCAAGCATTTTTTTTGCCTCTGACATTCTAGTTGAAGCAAATTTAGTTACCAATAGACATAGGCGAATGCTATATTGCAGTAGGCACATAACCCCAACCTATATAAGCACTAAGAAAATTGTAACACTTTGAGTTGGTCTGGTGGAATTATCTCCAGCGTTCTTCCTGTATCCAGTTACAGCAATAAATTCCTGTGTTTCCTAGTTTGCCTGCTTTTCCGTACTAGGCCTCTAGAAAATGCAGCGGGCCGGGCTTCGTTCCTGGAACAGGAGTAACTCCCAAACAAGTATTAGTGTAGGACTGAAAATAAATGCAGACTATCTTGAGAGTCTCAAAGGAAAATAGGGTGGCTAGAGAGGCCTTTCTCTAAGTCTTGAACTTCTAGCATTTTATTCTCTCTCTTAAGCTTGGAGACTTCACACTTATCCTTTCAGGTAGAAAATCTGATACTATGGGAAAGTACTGGATATAGAATGTTGAGCAGAACTGCACAGATTGCATATAATGAAAGCAGAACTCCATAGACAAAGTCAGGTGTCAATTAAATTTCTGAAATAACAATATTCCTGATGAGGGTGAGTGGTTTTAGGTCTCAGTTTGATTCACATGGAAAACAAAAGCGGAAGTTGAGTAGTAAGGCAAGGTTGCCCCCAAACTGGACAAAACATAAGGCAGCCATGTTTGCCGGAGTTTTTTCAGACACGAGGGGCGGGAGAAGAGGGATCTAGACACGGCTTCTTGGCGTTTCTGGAGCACTACTGCCATCGTGAGGATGAAGTTTCATGAAACCCTACGCCATTACACTGTTCTCGAATTCTGGAGAACAGTATTTTTCTCTCTGTTGGGGAAATTCTGATCTGTGGGAAGGAGGAAGAGGCGTGGGGCTCCAAGCTAGGTCTTCTTGCCTTCTCCTCTAAGACCTTAAGATAGACCTGGACATTGGCGGTATCTTGGTGTAGAACCTGGAGAGTGAGGACTTAGAATGAACCAGCCCCTGCCGGGCGGTCCTGGCACAGAAAGTCGTGGGGCGGGGCCTCGGTTCCTCCTCTGGGCAGGACTGCAGGAACCCGCTCAAAGACAAATGCAGGCTCTTGTGGGCATCTGTCTCCTGTTCCTGCCCCTTGGAGCAAAAGTCAGTAGGTTTTCACATGGTATTATCTTACTACGGGTCTTTGGCTCTCTTGTGGCATCAGTATCCGCGCACAATAAACAACGTTCTTCCAGGGGAGGTTTACAGGATTTGCTCTTAGAACCTTCACTCTCCAGGTTCTATACCAAGGTACCGCCAATGTCCAGGTCTCTTTTAAAGCCTCAAACGAGACTAAGCAAGGACTCCCAGCATGGAGGCGAACCCTCTTCCACCTTTTACCAGACCACACCTGCCCCAACAGGTAGTCCTCACTAGAACTCTTTAATGGCGTAGGGTTTCGTTAAACGATATCCTCACGATGGCAGTAGAGCTCCAGATATGCCAATAAACCTCACCTTGGAGGACTCTACTCCCGCTCTTCTTGTGTGAAAAAACGCCACCCATAGACAAAGGCGCCACCAAACATGGGTGCCTTGTATTTTGCCTTCTTTGGGTCCACCTGGTCTTACTGCTGCACTTTTGCTTTTGTTTTGTTTTTGCTTTTGTTTTTGTTTTTCTTTTGAGACGGAGTCTCGCTCTGTCGCCCAGGGTGGAGTGCAGTGGCACGATCTCAGCTCACTGCAACCTCTGCCTCCCGGGTTCAAGCAATCCTCCTGCCTCAGCCTCCCAAGTAACTGTGATTACAGGCACCGCACCCAAGTCGAGCTAATTTTTGTATTTGTAGTAGAGACGAGGTTTCACCATGTTAGCCAGGTTGATCACGAACTCCTGACCTCAGGTGATCCGCCTGCCTCGGCCTCCCAAAGTGCTGTGATTACAGACGTGAGCCACCCCACCTGGCCTTGCTTTTGTCTTCCGTTTGAAATCAAACCAAACTCTAAACCATGCACCCTCGTCAAGAATCTTATTATTTCAGAAATTAAATGTCTTCTTGATCTAGTCTATATGGGTATGATTTACGTTACAGAATTATATGTCCAGTACTTTCCAAGGCATCAAACTGTCTCCTTCAGGGGATAAATTCAATGGATGAGGGCACAAAAAGGAGAAAGTTGCTAGAAGCTTAGAGATTTTCGCTGGCAAACAATTTACAAATCCTGGTGGTCTCTGTTCTGGCTCCCCTCCCAGACAACCAGGGAGTTCTTCATGTTGTAGCTCATGTGTTGCATTGTAGGCAACAATGTGGCATGCATGAATCATAGAGAAGGGACCAGATAGCTGTCATTACTGCATGTCAAATATGTTCCGCATGGCAAGATACTCATAGTACATATGTTCAATTCCTGTCCAGGTTACTCAGTGTTTCATCTCGGGGTCTCATCATCTAACATCAAAACACAGCATGTTCCCATGCCATTACATATTCTTCAGGTATTTCCTGAGACTTTATGGTGTGTGTGTGTGTATGTGTGTGTGTGTGTCTGTCTGCATTTTATAATTTGTCTTTTAGGTATAATGTTTACAGTATTCTCCCACTAATTAATTAAAAAATAATGGCTGCCAAAGATTCGGAAAAATCCACATACTACTAAAGAAGAAAAACACTACCATACAACGTGTCAAGGCAACTAACCTTTTGGATCATTTCTGTGTATATCTTTCAATATATATATACATTCTTGATTTCATGTAAAAAATAAATCTGTATTAAAACTGGATTATAGGCTGGGCACGGTGGCTCACACCTGTAATCCCAGCACTTTGGGAGGCCAAGGTGGGCGGATCACCTGAGGTCAGGAGTTCGTGATCAACCCGGCCAACACAGTGAAACTTCATCTCTACTAAAAATACAAAACTTAGCGGGCACCTGTAATCCCAGCTACTCAGGAGGCTGGGGCAGGACAATCACTTGAACCTGGGAGGCAGAGGGTGCAGTGAGCCAAGATCATGCCACTGCACTCCAGCCTGGGCGACAGAGGGAAACTTTGTCTCAAAAACAAAACAAAACAAAACAAAAAAACTGGATTACATTGTACATTGTGGATTGAATCAGACCAAGTATGTATGTTAACAAAGGTTTGAGGAGCATGAATTAATTTGAATGTCATCAATATTATATGTCAACATTTTAAGCCTTCATTATAAACAAAGGTAAATCTTAAACTATGCCCTCGAAAACATTGCTTTAGAAAAGTAGACACTATTTTTTGTTTGAATTTTTACAGATACATCACAATGTGCATATTGGCTCTCTAGAACACATACATGATTATATATTTGGTTTAAGGTTATCACATTTTAGAAGTAGAGTAAAATATACTTTACTTTGTCATTTACCGTGTGGAAGGGTTTAATCCTCAAGGTTCAATAATTTACTTTTCTCACTAAATCAGACACAGGGAATGGCTGCTTATGAGGACATAGAATGCAATTAAGATTTTGTGAGGACTAAAGGGATTACCTGGTGCAGATGAATGACATGTATCCAACCTAAATGGGAATGATAGGCTCATTGCCCCTCCACACTATCCTCCCTTGCAGAAGAAACCAATCAACCTCCTGTCACTACCACTGGGATTCAGCTAGGTGTGATTTCCTTACCAGGCTTCTATCCACTGCCTAGGCACACAGCCTCTATTAAAGATAGTTAGCAAGGAATGAATAAACAATTCTTTAGCCTAAGGAATTCTAGGTCTGAGACCAGCAACTTTTCTAGCTTTGTTACACTAAGTAGCTAGTCAGGTATAAGCAGAGCAGGTGAGGCTCTCCCCACCCACCAGGAATGTCAGGCGACCATCAGGTGATAGTCAAGCAGTTGTCACACTGCCTCTCTAAAATAATAACTGGGTGCACCCTGCACCAAGAAGCAGTTTCCCAATAGATAAAAACACCTGAAATTGGTAATCAGCAGCTTCCAGTAAGATCTCAGGAATTGGTCAAGTGGGCTTCACATTAAGAGGCAAAATGGTGGAATTTAACTGGTATATGGCCTTCCAGGGATATTGCACGGTAAAGGGAAGAATGCCTCACCTGAGCACGTGTACAGCTTCAGTAAATACACTGCGCATGCAGGCAGCCTGCCGCAATGGAAGAATCAAAAGAAAAGGGACACAAGATGCCGGAAGTAGGCCACCATATAAAATCCTAGGTCCAAGGTCAAACGGAGCACTTGACCAAGATGTCTGCTTGGCCCTCTTCCAAGTGTACTTTACTTTCTTTTCATTTCTGCTCTAAAGCTTTTGAATAAACATCACTCCTGCTCTAAAACTTTCCTTGGTCTCTTCTTCTGCCTTATGCCCCTCAGTCGGATTCTTTCTTCTCAGAAGGCAGGAATCGAGGTTGCTCCAGACCTGTTTGGATTCAACGCTGGTAGCACAGATAACTTCAACCGCTAATATATTTATACAAACACAACCCAAAGAAAGCCAAACACCATTTCATAGTTGACAGTGTTTACTGTATGATTGTTATACCAAATAGGCCAAATATATCATGTTTGGACTTCAGAGGACTTAATATCTAAACTAGTAATTATGTCAGAAAAAAATATAATTTATAATTTAATTTTGGAAGCTTTGTCAAATATCAATGGTTTAAAACACTTGATATTATAAAATCAAATCCCAGGTCACCATGAGTCATTTAATTAGCCAAAACAATAACTCAAAATGTTTTAAAACGGAAAAAACCTTTACTCATTAAGAGGGAGACTTAGCTCTCCAAACAATCTGTCTTTTTTTCTTTCCCTTCTTCTTCCTACAGTTTATTCAAAAGGCAAACAAAAATCTTTCATCATTTCTTAATATCACATGAAAATCTTGTTCAAGAGAGAAAGCCAAATTTCACCATTGTATTAGTGCACTATTGATGTCAAACCCAAATCTTAATGAAACCTTATGGACAAATCTATCCAATTTTAATGTCTGACCATAAGGTAAGATTCTTATAAATCTTTTATAATTCTTTGCCAATTTTTGTTAAAGAGCAAATTAGTGCTGTAAGAAAACTCTGTTGTACTTTTTTTTTTTTTTTTTGAGACGGAGTCTTGCTCTGTCGCCCAGGCTGGAGTGTAATGGTGCTATCTCGGCTCACTGCAACCTCCACTTTCCAGGTTCAAGCAATTCTCCTGCCTCAGCCTCCTGAGTAGCTGGGATTACAGGCGCCCGCCACCACACCCAGCTAATTTTTGTATTTTTAATAGAGATGGGGTTTCACCATGTTGGTCAGGCTGGTCTCGAACCCCTGACCTCGTGATCCACCTGCCTCAGCCTCCCAAAGTGCTAGGATTACAGGTGTGAGCCACCATGCCCAGCCAACTCTGTTGTACTTTTATTCCAATGTTCAATTTATGGAAAAATTAAATAGTACCCCTTTAACTTTAGCTAATATGTTCACACACAGAATTTCATTTACAATTAATTTGTCACAAGCCTTCCATAAGTGTTCAAACCTTCAGATTTTTCTACCTAACTTAAAACATTATTATTTTAGAGAGGCAGTGTGACAACTGTTTGACTACCGCCTGATGGTCAGCTGACATTCCCAGTGGGTCGGCAAGAGCCCTCTCCTGCCCTGCTCATATCTGACTAGCGACCTACTATAACTGCTTCAGATATGGGACACTGTCTCATATGTAGGGCTGCTCTCTTCCACAAAAATGGTCAGACCAAGCTATTTCTCCAGGAGGTAGTTTAGCAGTCCCCAGCCTTTTTAGCATCAGGGATCGGTTTTGTGGAAGATAAATTTTGCACAGTCCAAGGTTGGGGATGGTTTCAGTTAGATTCAAGCTCACTACATTAATCATGCACTTTATTTCTATTGTTATTACACTGTAATATATAATGAAATAATTATACAACTCACCATAATGTAGAATCAGTAGGCACCCTGAGCCTTGTTTTCCTGCAACTAGATGATCCCATCTGGGGGTCATGAGAGACAGTGACAGATCATCAGGCATTAGATTTTCATAAGGATAGCCCAACCTAGATCCTTGCATGAACAGTTCACAATAGGATTCATGCTCCTATGAGACTCTAATGTTGCCAATGCTGACAAGAGGTGGAACTCAGGCGGTAATGCAAACGATGGGGAGTGGCTTTAAATATCAGTGAAACTTTGCCTGCTCCACGCTCACCTCCTGCTATGCAGCCCAGTTCCTAAGAGACCACAGAACAGTACAGGTCCGTGGCCCAGGAACTGGAGACCCTTGATCTAGCAGATATCTAAGTCTACGTTAGGTGAAACAGCGTGGGGAGTCTAGATGTCATTTTGTCATTTCCAGGAATGGGGGTCATTGAGAAATGCTTCCCAGAGGGTCGTTAAGACACTTCTATTTTTGTTTTGTTTTGTTTTGTTTTGAGACAGGGTTTCACTTTGTCTCCCAGGAAGAAGTGCACTGTTGCCCACTGCAACCTTGACCTGCAGGGCTCAAGCAATCCCCCCAGCTTAGCCTCCTAAGTAGCTGGGATTATGGGCAGGCACTACCGTGCCCAGCTAATTTTGTGGGGATTTTTATACAGACAGAGCTTCACCATGTTACCCAAGCTGGTCTCAAACTCCTGAGCTCAAGCAATCCACCTGCCTCAGCCTCCCAAACTGCTAGGATTGCAGGCATGAGCCACCGGGCCTGGCCGAATCTTTAAAACATTCCTGAATGCCAATAGCATCTATGTCTACAGACCATCAATCAACTCTAACCAGCTTGAGGGAGAGCTAGGTACAGTCAAGGATGTCACAAAAGCCAGGTCCCTTACCCTGGAATGCCTGCCTGAATCTTCAGAGGCCAGGAGAAGTCCTACCTGAAGAAGATCTTGAAGCACTGGAAGGTCACACTACAGTACCAGACTAATATTACATCCTTTTTTAAAAGATTCAGATACTGAGATAACAAACAATGAAAAAGAATGTCATGGGGAACAAGTCACCCATACAATTTTAGCCACCCTTGTTGATTTTTCAATTATGAGTCATGGAGTATCTGGAGGTCTCCACACCTAAGGGTGGATATCTTCATGAAGAACTAGCTTTGAAGCTGGTACACAGAACGCTCGCTAGAATGAGATAAATACTGGTTTCCTCAGGACTAAAAAATGCCATCATTCTCAGGGAATGTCCAACGGAAAAGAGCCACCTATCTGCCCTCCTTGAGAGAACTGAGATTACCATCAGTGTCCTAGTATGAGAAAAGACATTCCCATGAACTTATAAAGTCACAGATAATCCTGGCTTGTGGGCTTAGATAATTGCTTAGGCTTTCCATTACATTCTTGCTTCCTGGAAGCAGCTAGCTCAGTCCTGGTCCCTCACTCACCAGATACTTCACTAAGACTTTGCATTTGTCCATTGATTGTGCCAGGCCTCAGAGAAAAGGGTAGGAATGCCAACTTGTGTCTTGGGCCTGTTCAGCCTCCACTGGCTTTTCCTTCCGCGACGGCTAGGGTTTACGTGGAGGAAATGCTCACGGCTTCGGATGCTATGAAACTACTTCCGCATGATGGCAGTATTGTCCCAGAAAAGCCAAGTAGCGCTAGGCGCTCCTCTCCCGCCCATCACGTTTGAAAAAAATGCCATGAAGGGACAAAGACAACAGAAACTAAAACTATCTAACATTTTTGCTCAACTTGCATAAATGTATTCCACTCTTGGCATTTTGCTTTTGGCTTCCATTGTTTTTTTTGTTTTTGTTTTTTCTTTTCACAGACGGAGTTTCGCACTTGTTGCCCAGGCTGAAGTGCAGTGGCTCAGTCTTGGCTCACGGAAACTTCCGCCGCCCGGGTTCAAGTAACTCTCCTGCCTCAGCCTCCCAAGTAGCTGGGATTACAGGGACGCACCACCACGCCCGGCTAGTTTTTGTATTTTTAGTAGAGACGGGTTTCACCATGTTGACCAGGATGGTCGTGAACTCCTGACCTCAGGTGATCCACCCACTTCGGCCTCCCAAAGTTCTGGGATTACAGGTGTGAGCCACCGCGTCTGGCCCCATCGGATATTAAACTGAGATCTAATCCACTCACCCTCATCAAGCATCTCCTGTTTTCAAGAACTCAGTATTGGCCAGCCAGGATTGCTCCAGTGCACTCCAGCCTGGGTGACAGAATAAGAGTCGGGCTCAAAAAAAAGAAAAGAAAAAGAAAGAAAAAAAGAAAAGAAAAGAAAAAGAACTCAGTATCCGCACAACCAAGTCTTTCCCTTTCTGCTTTTTCACTCAGCATCATATCTGAAGGGTTTTATTGTGATATCGAATTGTCTTGTAATATTAGGGACAGACCTCAGGGATCCATGCCTACGGAAACAAACAAACAAAAAAGCAACAACAAATGTTTACCCCTAAGGTCTTGGAGAATAGCAAAGCTAAGCACCAGGCCATGTGGTTCTTGTCCTGACCCTCTGTCAGGCCTCTGAGCCCAAGCTAAGCCATCATATCCCCTGTGACCTGCACGTACACATCCAGATGGCCGGTTCCTGCCTTAACTGATGACATTCCACCACAAAAGAAGTGAAAATGGCCTGTTCCTGCCTTAACTGATGACATTGTCTTGTGAAATTCCTTTTCTTGGCTCATCCTGGCTCAAAAAGCTCCCCTACTGAGCACCTTGGAGCACCTTGTGACCCCGACTCTGCCCGCCAGAGAACAACTCCCCTTTGACTATAATTTTCCTTTATCTACCCAAATCCTATAAAACAGCCCCACCTTTATCTCCCTTCCCTGACTCTCTTTTCAGACTCAGCCCGCCTGCGCCCAGGTGAAATAAACAGCCATGTTGCTCACACAAAGCCTGTTTAGTGGTCTCTTCACACGGACGTGCATGAAATTTTGTGCCATGACTCGGATCAGGGGACCTCCCTTGGGATATCAATCCCTTGTCCTCCTGCTCTTTGCTCCATGAAAAAGATCCACTTACAACCTCAGGTCCTCAGACCAACTAGCCCAAGGAACATCTCACCAATTTTAAATCGGGTAAGCGGCCTCTTTTTACTCACTTCTCCAACCTCCCTCACTATCCCTCAACCTCTTTCTCCTTTCAATCTTGGTGCCACACTTTAATCTCTCCCTTCTCTTAATTTCAATTCCTTTCATTTTCTGGTAGAGACAAAGGAGACACGTTTTATCCATGGACCCAAAACTCCAGCGCCGGTCATGGACTAGGGAAGGCAGCCTTCCATTAGTGTTTAATCATTGCAGGGACACCTCTCTGATTATTCACCCAGGTTTCAGAGGTGTCAGACCACTCAAGGACACCTGCCTTGGTCTTTCACCCTTAGCGGCAAGTCCCGCTTTTCTAGGGGAGGGGCAAGTACCCCAACCCCTTCTCTCCGTGTCTCTACCCCTTCTCCGCCTTTCTGGGTGGCAAGAAACCTCCAACCCCTTCTCCTTCACTCTTAGCAGCAAGTCCCACTTTTCTGGGGGAGGGGCAAGTACCCCAACCTTGTATCTCTGTGCCCCGATCCCTTCTTTCCATGCTCCGACCTCTTATATCTCTGCACCCCGATCCCTTATTTCTGCACCCCAACCTCTTATATCTCTGTGCCCTGATCCCTTATTTCCATGCCCCGACCTCATATCTCTGCGCCTCAACCCCTTTCCCGCTTTTCTGGAGGTTAAGAACCCCCGAACCACTTCCCTACGTGTCTCTACTCTCCCTTTTCTTTAAACTTGCCTCCTTCACTATAGGCAACCTTCCACCCTCCATTCCTCCTTCTTCTCCCTTAGCCTGTGTTCTTAAGAACATAAAACCTCTTCAACTCTTGCCTGACCTAAAACCTAAATGCCTTATTTTCTTCCACAATGCCGCTTGACCCCAATACAAACTCGACAGTGGTTCTAAATGGCCAGAAAACGGCACTTTCGATTTCTCCATCCTACAAGATCTAAATAATTCTTGCCGTAAAATAGGCAAACGGTCTGAGGTGCCTGACGTCCAGGCATTCTTTTACACATCGGTCCCTTCCTAGTCTCTGTTCCCAGTGTAACTAGTCCCAAATCTTCCTTCTTTCCCTCCCACCTGTTCCCTCAGTCCCAACCCCAAGCGTCACTGAGTCTTTCTAATCTTCCTTTTCTACAGACCCATCTGACCTCTCCCCTCCTCGCCAGGCCGAGCTAGGTCCCAATTCTTCCTCTGCCTCCGCTCTTCCACCCTATAATCCTTCTACCACCTCCCCTCCTCACACCCGGTCCAGCTTACAGTTTAGTTCCGCGACTAGTTCTTCCCCACCTGCCCAACAATTTCCTCTTAAAAAGGTGGCTGAAGCTAAAAGCATAGTCAAAGTTAATGCTCCTTTTTCTTTATCCAACCTCTCCCAAATCAGTTAGCGTTTAGGCTCTTTCATCAAATCTGAAAAACCCAGCCCAGTTCATGGCTCGTTCGGCAGCAACCCTGAGACGCTTTACAGCCCTAGACCCTAAAAGGTCAAAAGGCCATCTTATTCTCAATATACGTTTTATTACCCAATCCACTCCTGACATTAAATAAAACTCCAAAAATTAAATTCCGGCCCTCAAACCCCACAACAGGAGTTAATTAACCTCACCTTCAAGGTGTACAATAATACAATAGAGGCAGCCAAGTAGCGACGTATTTCTGAGTTGCAATTCCTTGCCTCCACTGTGAGACAAACCCCAGCCACATCTCCAGCACACAAGAACTCCAAATGCCCGAACCGCAGCTGCCAGGGGTTCCTCCAGAACCTCCTCCCCCAGGAGCTTGCTACAAGTGCCGGAAATCTGGCCACTGGGCCAAGGAATGCCCACAGCCCGGGATTCCTCCTAAGCCGCATCCCATCTGTGTGGGACCCCACTGAAAATTGGACTGTTCAACTCACTTGGCAACCACTCCCAGAGCCCCTGGAACTCTGGCCCAAGGCTCTGTGACTGACTCCTTCCCAGATCTTCTCCACTTAGCAGCTGAAGACTGACACTGCCCAATCGCCTCGGAAGCCTACAGGACCATCACAGACGCTCTAGGTAACTCTCACAGTGGAGGGTAAGTCTGTCCCCTTCTTAATCAATATGGAGGCTACCCACTCCACATTATCTTCTTTTCAAGGGCCTGTTTCCCTTACCTCCATAATTGTTGTGGGTATTGATGGCCAGGCTTCTAAACCTCTTAAAACTCCCCAACTCTGGTGCCAACTTAAACAATACTCTTTTAAGCACTCCTTTTTAGTTATCCCCACCTGCCCAGTTCCCTTATTAGGCCGAGACACTTTAACTAAATTATCTGCTTCCCTGACTATTCCTAGGCTACAGCCACACCTCATTGCTGCCTTTTCCCCCAGTTCAAAGCCTCCTTCACATCCTCCCCTTGTATCTCCCCACCTTAACCCACAAGTATAAGACACCTCTACTCCCTCCTTAGCAACCGATCACGCACCCCTTACCATCCCATTAAAACCTAATCACCCTTACCCTGCTCATCGCCAATATCCCATCCCACAGCACGTTTTAAAAGGATTAAAGCCTGTTATCACTCGCCTGCTACAGCATGGGCTTCTAAAACCTATAAACTCTCCTTACAATTCCCCCATTTTACCTGTCCAAAAACCGGACAAGTCTTACAGGTTAGTTCAGGATCTGCGCCTTATCAACCAAATTGTTTTGCCTATCCACCCCGTGGTGCCAAATCCATATACTCTCCTATCCTCAGTACCTCCCTCTACAACCCATTATTCTGTTCTAGATCTCAAACATGCTTTCTTTACTGTTCCCCTGCACCCCTCGTCCCAGCCTCTCTTTGCCTTCACTTAGACTGACCCTGACACCCATTAGGCTCAGCAAATTACCTGGGCTGTACTGCTGCAAGGCTTCACAGACAGCCCCCATTACTTCAGTCAAGCCCAAATTTCATCCTCATCTGTTACCTATCTCAGCATAATTCTCATGAAAACACACCTGCTCTCCCTGCTGATCGTATCCGATTAATCTCCCAAACCTCGATCCCTTACAAAACAACAATTCCTTTCCTTCCTAGGCTTGGTTAGTGCGGTCAGAATTCTTACACAAGAGCCAGGACCGCACCCTGTAGCCTTTCTGTCCAAACAACTTGACCTTACTGTTTTAGCCTAGCCCTCATGTCTGCGTGCTGCGGCTGCCGCTGCTTTAATACTTTTAGAGGCCCTAAAAATCACAAGCTATGCTCAACTCACTCTCTACATTTCTCATAACTTCCAAAATCTATTTTCTTCCTCTATCTGACGCATATACTTTCTGCTCCCCGGCTCCTTCAGCTGTACTCACTCTTTGTTAGGTCCCACAATTACCATTGTTCCTGGCCCGGACTTCAATCCGGCCTCCCACATTATTCCTGATACCACACCTGACCCCCATGACTGTATCTCTCTGATCCACCTGACATTCACCCCATTTCCCCATATTTCCTTCTTTCCTGTTCCTCACCCTGATCACGCTTGATTTACTGATGGCAGTTCCACCAGGCCTAATCACCACACACCAGCAAAGGCAGGCTATGCTATAGTACAAGCCACTAGCCCGCCTCCTAGAACCTCTCATTTTCTTTCCATCGTGGAAATCTATCCTCAAGGAAATAACTTCTCAGTGTTCCATCTGCTATTCTACTACTCCTCAGGGATTATTCAGGCCCCCTGCCTTCCCTACACATCAAGCTCCAGGATTTGCCCCTGCCCAGGACTGGCAAATTAGCTTTACTCAATATGCCCGAGGCAGGAAACTAAAATACCTCTTAGTCTAAGTAGACACTTTCACTGAATAAGTAAAGGCCTTTCCTACAGGGTCTGAGAAGGCCACCGTAGTCATTTCTTCCCTTCTGTCAGACATAATTCCTCAGTTTGGCCTTCCCACCTCTATACAGTCCGATAGCAGACCGGCCTTTATTAATCAAATCAGCCAAGCATTTTTTCAGGCTCTTAGTATTCAGTGAAACCTTTATATCCCTTACAGTCCTCAGTCTTCAGGAAAAGTAGAACAGACTAATGATCTTTTAAAAACACACCTCACCAAGCTCAGCCACCAACTTAAAAAGGACTGGACAATACTTTTACCACTTTCCCTTCTCAGAAGTCAGACCTGTCCTCAGAATGCTACAAGGTACAGCCCATTTGAGCTCCTGTATAGACACTCCTTTTTATTAGGCCCCAGTCTCATCCAGACACCAGACCAACTTAGACTGTGCCCCCAAAAAACTTGTCATCCCTACTATCTTCTGTCTAGTCATACTCCTATTCACCGTTCTCAACTACTCATACATGCCCTGATCTTGTTTACACTGCTGTTTCTCCAAGCCATCGCAGCTGATATCTCCTGGTGCTATCCCCAAACTGCCACTCTAAACTCTTGAAGTAAATAAATAATCTTTGCTGGCAGGACTATGCTGAATCTCCTTAGGCACTCTCTAATCAGATGTCCTGGGTCCTCCCAATTCTTAGACCTTTTATACCTGTTTTTCTCCTTCTCTTATTCCATTTAGTTTTTCAATTCATACAAAACCGTATCCAGGCCATCACCAATAATTCTACACGACAAATGTTTCTTCTAACAACCCCACAATATCACCCCTTACCACAAAATCTTCCTTCAGCTTAATCTCTCCCACTCTAGGTTCCCACGCCGCCCCTAATCCCGCTCAAAGGAGCCCTGAGAAACATTGCCCATTGTCTCTCCATACCATCCCCCAAAATTTTCGCTGTCCCAAGACTTTACCACTATTTCATTTTATTTTTCTTATTAATATAAGAAGACAGGAATGTCAGGCCTCTGAGCCCAAACTAAGCCATCATATCCCCTGTGACCTGCACGTACACACACAGATGGCCAGTTCCTGCCTTAACTGATGACATTCCACCACAAAAGAAGTGAAAATGGCCTGTTCCTGCCTTAACTGATGACATTGTCTTGTGAAATTCCTTTTCCTGGCTCATCCTGGCTCAAAAAGCTTCCCTACTGAGCACCTTATGATCCCCACTCTGCCCGCCAGAGAACAACTCCCCTTTGACTATAATTTTCCTTTATCTACCCAAATCCTATAAAACGGCCCCACCCTTGTCTCCCTTCCCTGACTATTTTCGGACTCAGCCCGCCTGCACCCAGGTGAAATAAACAGCCATGTTGCTCACACAAAGCCTGTTTGGTGGTCTCTTCACACGGACGTGCATGAAACTCTCTACCCAGGTTCCCTGGGAGTTCTACTCTATGTTCTGACCTAGACATTAGGTCTTACGTGTTGAGGGGAAGGCCGCTATTGCTAATTAGTGGAGCTCTAAGATAAGGGTCCACATAACTCTTAAACTTGACAGACACAACCCTTCTTGAATGTACACAAATACAGGAATGACTATAAATGCTAATCAGATGGATCGCAGGATTTTGTCTCATGGTTTCATTATTTAATATTGGTACAGAAATATTTTCCAGTGTCATGAAATGGCAATGGCTTAAGACCGTGTCCTATGACTTTGCTGTGTATGTGTCTTATTGTTTTTCCGTTAGGATTCAATCCTATATTTTCTCATTAGTAGAAAAGACGTGGAATTTGCAAAGAAGTAAAAAGAAACTATGTGCTGATCAAAAGAAAAGCAATGTCATAAAACTGTGTATTAAATACTGATAACTTTTTCCATATTTTGTCCCACTTTCAATACATAGATAAAAGTTCTACATATATGTATGCAAACACTACAATAAATTTACATTTAAATTGGATTTAGCTATACGTCATGTTTTAGAGTGAACATTTTCACATGTGATTCTTGAACAGTTTTTGACATTGTTATAAAAAAATTTGCAATATCTGGATTTTAAACAATAAAATATTTGCAAAGAATTACTTGATTGAACAAGTCGTTAAGAAGTTCTTGGCCAAGTACAGTGACTCACACCTGTAATCCTAGCACTTTGGGAGGCCGAGATGGGCGGATTGCCTGAGCTCAGGAGTTCAAGACCAGCCTGGGCAACATGGTGAGACGCCGTCTCTACTAAAATACAAAAAAAAACCCAGCCAGGAGTGGTGCGGGCGCCTGTAATCCCAGCTACGCGGGAGGCTGAGGCACAAGAATTGCTTTAACCCAGGAGGCAGAGGTTGCGGTGAGCCAGGACTGTGCCACTGCACTCCAGCCTGTGCAACAAAATGAAAATCTAAAAATCTACCTATACATACATGAACACATATATAAATACATATTACATATAATATAAATATATATTATACATACTTATACCTCAGAATTAGCTTTTAATTCTTCTCAAATTTTTATCCCTAATTCTTATCTTAAATTTTATCTTTAAAATCTCAAAAGAAATATAACAAAATTCCATAAATGATAGTTGAGATAGGCATCTCTCACATTCAGTCACCTAGATGTGTAACCTAAGAAAACTTTAAGATGGAAGTATTCACACCACTCACATGCAGCTACAATGTTTCATTAATGTGTGTCTTAATATAAATATGAATGATATAAATTTGTTGGCCAATACTATCATATTCAAACATGTACTCACTATAACACTGACCATGATTTAAAATATATGGCATTAGGCCAGGCATGATGGCTCACAACTGTAATCCCAGCACTTTGGGAGGCCGAGGTGGGCAGATCACATGAGGTCAAGAGTTCAAGACCAGCCTGGCCAACGTGGTGAAACCCTGTCTTTACTAAAAATTCAAAAATTAGCTGGGCGTGGTGGCAGGTGCCTGTAGTCCCAGCTACTTGGGAGGCTGAGGCAGGAGAATCGCTTGATCCTGGGAGGTGGAGGTTGCAGTGAGCCGAGATAGCAACACTGCACTCCAGCCTGGGCAACAGAGTGAGACTGTCTCAAAAAAAATAATAAAAAATGAAATAAAAATATATGGCATTGGCCAGGTGCGGTGGCTCACAACTGTAATCCCAGCAGTTTGGGAGACTGAGGCAGGTGGATCACTTGAGCCCAAGAGTTCGAGACCAGCCCAGGCAATGTAGTGAGACCCTGGCTCTACAAAAAATAGCCAGGCACGGTGGTGTGTATCTGTAGTTCAAGTTACTTGGAAGTCTGAGTTGGGAGGATTACGTCAGCGCAGGGAGGTCGATGATGCAGTGAGCCACGATCATGCCACTGTACTCCAGTCTGGGTGATAGGGTGAGAGCCTGTCTAAAAAATATATATATATGTCATTTTAAAACTGTGTATACATACAGACAGATATGATGCAGATACACAGTCCCACACACATTTTACTTTCAATATAATTCAATGCATACTGTTTGCAATTTTGTACAAAATCTTTAGAACACCTTATAATATCTGCATGAATCCATATCAATATATACTTTTGAGGGCTTGAGATTTTTGGATTTTACTCTAGAAGAACTTTAAGAAATTATAATTCAAAAAGTATATGGTAGGTCAAACATAGTGAGACGAAGTAATTTAAAATGTCTGGGCCATATATTATCATCTGTTGACGATGCACATATAATATGAACTTATAAGCCAATGTTCAAATTATCCTGTAGTGTAACTATTAAAACAAGTTATCTTCACTTACAAATTAAGTACTTTTCAAATATAATAATTAATTATTCTTGGAAATAATAATAGGTTTTAAAATATTGGCACTTTTTAGAACTGAGTTATGCTAAATTCTTTCCTTATTGTACTCTACTGGCTAAGGAACAAAAAGGCTCACCCGGCCTCCAGTTATACAGTTCATGGCTATTCTTATAAAGTTCATAGAAGGCTCTAGAGGGAACGCATGTAAAGCGGCACCGGTGCCCACCTAAGTAACGCCAGAGACGTCTGGAACTCTAAGTTTGGACCCCACAGGAGGATGCTCTGGAAGATCCTCCGTGCCTCAAATTCTCCAAAGAGGATGCTTTCTGCAGAGGTTCTAAGGTCTAGTATTAAGCCCTCCTTGGAATTTTCTCTCAGAGTTGTAATGTTCCTTGGCCCCAAAATTGTTTAGAATCTGAAGTTTATTGTCTAATGGGAAAGCCGGATGGTGTTGCATGTAACCGGGCTTTTGTGCTGCTGTTCTAAGTAGGGGGCCTCGTTAACGTGTGATGCCTTCCTTTGTTAGTTTGGCCCCAGTGATCCTTATTGGAGTCTGGGGAGGTTTAGACTTTAAAAATCAAACTGCCATGGAGACTGCTTACCCGAAATTTTGGTTCACAGCCTTCATTGGATTATCTGTTGGGGCAAAGTAAAACTGGCAAGCTTGTATTGCTATCTCATGGCTAAAGTTGCAAGCTATTGGAGCCTGCAGCTCCCACGCAAGGGGAAGAGGAGGAAGTCCTCCCCTACAAAGCGAATTCACAAACTTGAAAGAAGCAATTTACACAGGATGTGCAGATCTCAACGGAAGGACACCGGAAACATCAAAAGCAAGGAAACGGGATACTTCCAAAGGAACCCAGTAATTCTCCAGCAACAGATCCCTATCCAAAAGAAATTCAAGAAATGTCAGATAGAGAATTGTGCATACTGATTTTAACCAAGATTAGGGGATACAAGAGACTTCTGAAAAAGAAAGGAGCGAAATGACAGAAGCAATTCTGGATATGGTTGAGGTAATTACCAACCAGATACGGAGTTTTCCAGGGCACACAGCAAATGTGGAACTGAAGAAATCATAGGATGAAATACAAAGTACACTCAAAAGCTTCAATGATAGACTAGATCAAGCAGAAAAAACCCTCAGAACTTAAAATCTGAAAGCCTTTTTCTCAATTCAAAGATTTAAAGGGTTGTACTCTGGCCATTCACGTGAACAAAATCTGCTGGGTTAATTGGTTTGGTTTTTTTTCCTTTTTTTGAGAGGGAGTCTCACTCTGTCACCCAGACTAGAGTGCAGTGGCACGATCTCGGCTCACTGCTATCTCCACCTCCCAGGTTCAAGCAATTCTCTGGCCTCAGCCTCTTGAGTACCTGGGATTACAGGCACCTGCCACCAAGCCCAGCTAATTTTTTGTATTTTCAGTAGAGATGGGGTTTCACCATCTTGGCCAGGCTGGTCTTGAACTCCTGACCTCATGATCCACCCGCCTCAGCCTCCCAAAGTGCTGGGATTACAGGCATGAGCCACCGTGCTCAGCCACTGGGTTAATTGTTATAGTGGGGTCTTGGATAATCACTAAAGGTGAAATAAAAATTAAAAAAAGTATATTGGTGGAATAAAAATAGAAAAGCCTTCAGAATTGTTGACATACATTTTGTCTGAATTTTGTTTGTCTTTGCCAGATATTTTATTTATTTATTTATTTATTTATTTATTTATTTATTTATTTATTGAGATGGCGTTCTCTATTGCCCAGGCTGCAACGCAATGGTGCGATCTCTGCTCACTGCAACCTCTGCCTCCCAGGTTCAAGCAATTCTCCTGTCTCATCCTCCCAAGTAGCTGGGATTACAGGTGCCTGCTACCACGCTTAGTTATTTTTGTATTTTTAGTAGAGATGGGGTTTCACCATGTTGGCCAGGCTGGTCTGGAACTTGCGACCTCAGGTGATCTGTGGCCTTGGCCTCCCACTGTCTTTGCTGGATATTTTAAAATGTCAGTGTTAATTCAAGCTGGGGGCTTGGGCTGAGCCTGCCTCCCATTCCATTCAAAGTCTCACTGAGATAAATGCATATCTGATTGCTTCCTTTGGAAAAGGTAATCACAAACTCAAAGGATGCAACCCTTTGTCTCCCACCTGTGATCTAAAATCTCCCAAGCCGCCTCCTCTCCAGTTGTCCTGTCTTGTTTGTTTTACATATGTTGATTGATGTCTCATGTCTCCCTTATTAAAAGGAAAAATAAGTACGGTGAATGAGGTAAATGTTTTAGATAAATTTTTGTGTAAATTAAAATCTTAAAGTTATTTTTGATCCTCATTTAATATCTGGGTCATTTCCAATTAAGACAGGGTTGTGATACGGGGAAACATGTTTCTAAAATTGTGGAATTGTTCTTATCTATAAATGCCTATATCTGATAGTTCAGAATTTATTGCTGTTTAGGGTTTCACTGACATTTTACGTTACTAAGGATAAAAATTTTAGTTAACAAGTAATTTTGTATGCAAAATGGGCCAGAAAGGGTTACGTTATTAGTGGAAAAATAATAATTTTGTCTAATTCAGAAGTTATCTAAATTTTGTTCAAATTACAGTTTTGAAAAGATTATTTATGAAACAATGTAGTAAGGAATCATTATAAGTAGGGAAGAAAGTTGTGGAAAAGTTTAATTAATAAAATATTCTTTAAAACCTGAGAGAATTGGAGACATTTGGCTAATGAACATTCTCATAGTTAAAGTTCTTAGTCTTGATTAAAGTAAAATAAGAAGTATTATACAAATGTATCAGCAACCTGGAGCAGTGGCTCACGCCTTTAATCTCAGCCCTTTGGGAGGCCAAGGCGGGTGGATTACCTGAGGTCGGGAGTTCAAGACCAGCCTGACCAACATGGAGAAATCCCATCTCTACCAAAAATACAAAATTAGCCGGGCATGGTGGTGCATGCCTGTAATCCCAGCTACTCGGGAGGCTAAGGCAGGGGAATCACTTGCACCCGGGAGGCAGAGGTTTCGGTGAGCCAAGATCGTGCCATTGCACTCCAGCCTGGCCAACAAGAGTGAAACTCCGTCTCAAAAAAAAAAAAAAAAAAAAAAGTATCAGCAGTTTGACAATTTTTTTTAAAATATAGGTAAGCATGAAGCTGGAATTAGTGTGGAGCCAATTTCACATATATGCTTGCATTGCTTCACACTATGTTGAGGTGGCATCTGCCACCATGCCAGGCTAATTTTGTATTTTTGGTAGAGACGGGGTTTCTCCATGTTGGTCAGGCTGGTCTTGAACTCCCCACCTCAGGTGATCCACCTGCCTTGGCCTCCCAAAGTGTGAGATTACAGGCGTGAGCCACCACGCCATTTGACATGGATACTGTTGGAGTACATATTGGTCATGTGCCTAAAGTAAATTTCTTAATTGTACAGAATATATAATGATATTGGTGAACTTAAGGGTATTGAATTGTGTATCAGGAATTAATGGAGCACACCAGCTTTTTATCCATAAACTAACTTTTTGGATTTTAGGCTTCCTGATACTCTAAATGTGTTGAGTATACTCTCACAAATAGAATTTGAGTCATATTTCTCTCTCTCTGGCTAATTTCTCCAAATTTGTAAACTATGAATATTCTTAATTCATGGCAATGTGTTTCCTTGCATACAGTCAAGCATGGTCACCAGGGCCACTCAGGGAGAGACAATCCAGAAACCTGGCATGCAGCCAAAAGGGTAAGAATTTTTTACCAGTCAGTCTCTGGCCTCTATCTCTGTGTGCAAACTCGTTAATCTCCTCTGAAATTTTAAATTACTTTGTTTAATAATAAAAAGAACTTAAATCAAATATTTTGTCAGAAAAGTAGAGTGTAATGCCTTTTAGTTCACATAACTTTAGCAATCTTTGGGATATAAAGATGGTTTTATAGATTATTGGTAGGAGAGGTGTGGTGGCTCATGCCTGTAATCCCATCGCTTTGGGAGCCCGAGGCAGGCGGATCACCTGAGGTCAGGAGTTCGAGAGCAGCCTGGCCAACATGGTGAAACCCCGTCTCTACTAAAAATACAAAAATTAGCAGGGTGTGGTGGCGGGAGCCCGTAATCCCAACTACTCAGGAGGCTGAGACAGGAGAATTGCTTGAACCCAGGAGGCAGAGGTTGTGGTGAGCCGAGATTGTGCCATTGCACTCCAGCCTGGGCAACAAGAGGGAAACTCTGTCTCAAAAAAAAAAAAAAAACTGTTGGTCAGATGCAAGGTTTGCTAAGTGTTTTAATGTTACAAACTGCTTTTTGGGTTTTGAGAACTGTCTGTCTTGCCTGCTTCACACTTGGTGACACCTGGGGACATATGAAACTAACCACACCCTTAACTAAGAAGGCAAGGCTTGACTGCACTTAGCATACAAGTAAAGCAACTTACCGTGTTTTACCTTAAGGGTAAAATTGCTAGGAATTAATTGAAACTACTAGAAATAGATTTACATGCAAGGTGTGTAAAAACAGTAAAATGTATTTTTATAGTAAAAGGTTAAATGAAGGCATGGAAATGTCAAGTTTTGCCTAGGGTTAAAGGATTGTTTTGAGTTAAATTAGGAAAAAGCTGAAGGTTCAAAGAAGTGGTGGAAGAATTGTGGAAATTAGTCTTGCTGAAGAGGTTCTCTGTGTGAACATGTTGACTAAATTCAAAAGGGTTATAAAAGGTTTTTGCTTCTTTAAAATTTCTGAGCTATCATTTTGGCAAAATAAATAACTTGTAGTAATCTGGAATTCCCAAAATCAAACTTCAGTTTCAAAATTGTCTTCCCTGGCACCTGCCTTTTGGAATACTTCAGAGGGTCCCTGAAGTGTCCAGAAAAGAGAGGTAAACAGGATTAGGTACATGGTATTAAATACAGTGAGTTCTAAATTTTTCTTCAAAGAATCAGTATGTCAGTATGTTCAGTTCTTTGTTCCCCATTTTAAAGTTTAACTTCCTCATTCTCCTCGTCTCCTTGCCCCTGGTTTCAGTAAATGACCTTTTCCATCAGTTCTAATCAGTAGTTCACACCTGTTCCCCTGGTCACCTGCTCCATCCTGAGTCACCCCTGGTTACCCGCTCTGATCTGTCACATTTAGTCATGTGTTCCGTAACCATCCTTCCCACCAAAACTGCTCACCCCGCCATTCTGGTCATACCCCTGCTCTCTTTAAAATAGCCAATCAGAATTAGCTTAGACTGTGCAGTCCAACCCTAGCCTATAGGGCAACGACACAGCAGTAGGGGCTACCTGCATCAGGGATAAGAACCCCTTCCCCTCCCCTGTTCAGGTGTGCTCTCGCCATTGCTCCATCTGTGAGACGCACCCTTCTATAGAAGAAAAATTGCCTTGCTGAGAAAACTCATGTTCAAGTGCTATTTCTTTTGTGGCACTGAAAATTTATTTCTAACAATGGGATTGCCAAAATGATGCTTAATCTTCTTTAGGTTATATTTTTGTGAATAATACTAATATATATTCCAAAATTGTATGGGATTTCTAAAATTCTAATGTCTAAATATATGCTACCAATCACAATTATAGTTATTATGCTGTTATTGTAAATTACAGAAATAACCAAATTTCCTTGTATAAAGCTACTAACCCAAGTAAATCAAATAATTAAATATAAAGAAAACAGTGTTAAACCAGCTAATACTAAAATTGTTTAAAATAGTTTATAACCAATGCTTGATCCCATATTCCTAGGAAAACAATTAAAGTTTCAGGTACATTTGGCCACCTGGTTGGCCATTTAAACATTTTATAAAGGGATATCATTCAATTGTCATTTCAATGCATGTTTTCTGGTTGTATAAAAGCTTTCCTATGCAACAGAGCTGATGTTCTAATAGTAGATTATTATGCTACAGTGTATTTTCACCAGGTTAAAAAAAAGGCTTTTTATGGTTTGGATCTTCTGAGAACATCAGAAAAAGACTGTCCTTGCCATCCACACTACAACAAAACTTAGGGACCTTGAGCTTTGGGTTCATGGTCTTGCAACTAAGAAGGGTTCCTCCACACTTTTGGAACTGTGCACCCATTGTAACCCTTGAGGTAAAGCTAACCAGGGAAATTTCTCCCAAGAAGAAGATGGCATCCTTGATGTGAATATCTTTCCCAAGGTCACAGATTAAGACTTCTAGTGACATGAAACTCTTCTCTTTGAAAGTTTTTTTCTTGCTTATGTCTCTGTGAACAATAGAAGTGGAAAAGTGTCTGTTATGTGCACTAATAGGGTGTACTTTTATTTGTGAAGGAGCTTCCAGCCAGCCTGCAAGTGTAAGGTTACATGGATAAGCTTATACTTTGGTAGATAAAGGATAAAGGCCAATGTATGTAAGAAACTTTAATGGTACATGCATTGCCTCATAATCAGTCAAAAGCAGAACATTGGTTCATTCCTCTTGGCCCATTTCATTGGTTGAAGAGAACACTGCCAGAGGGCCTTCACTCTTCTCAAAGGGCATCATTTGTTAAGTCCTTTTTCCATGATTTGGAGTAAAAGAAGCAATGATTGGAAATATATCCCTCATGATAGGTTCTATAGCAAATTCTACTGTAAAGGCTGCAGTTGCACAGTGATTCTAAATTCTCTTGTGAAAGTTGGGATAGAAATGGCTAAACAGAAAAAGTATCTGTGCAGCTGCTGGCACTTGTGGCCTATGGGGAAATACATCAAATGAGGATTATAAAAATTCAGTAGTGGCCAGGCATAGGTGGCTCACGCCTGTAATCCCAGCACTTTGGGAGGACGAGGCAGGCAGATCATGACATCAGGAGATTGAGACCATCCTGGCTAACACGGTGAAACCCTGTTTCTACTAAAAATACAAAAAATTAGCTGGGTGTGGTGGCGGGCGCCTGTAGGCCCAGCTACTTGGGAGGCTGAGGCAGGAAAATGGCGTGAACCCGGGAGGCGTAGCTTTCAGTGAGCCGAGATCGCGCCGCTGCACTCCAGCCTGGGTGACAGAGCGAGACTCCATCTCAAAAAAAAAAAAAAAAAAAAAAAATTCAGTGATCGGGAATTGATGAAGAAATTGCTTCATTAAGTGAGTAAACTCTTTATCTAGCTCATTCTTTGATCTGTTTGGTTTTAGGAGGTTTGGTTTATGGAGATCTTGGGTAAGGGGCATACTCCAAATTCTTGGTATATCCTCTAATAATAGTCTCCCTGGTGTGCTGCGTTCTCTCAAAGGTTTTAAATGCTTGCATGCAGCCATCTCTAAAATGAAATATAGTTTCTTTTCAACTGGAATAACAAGAGCCAAAAGAATCTGCAACCATGAGGACACCGTAACCTATACCTGACGTGCTGAGAATGAAAACCCAAAATAATAGTAACCAAGAGTGGCACTAAGGCCCTAAGTTTTGGTCCCACTCTCACTCAAGTGAAAACCTGAATAAAGGGGAATTTTTTAAAGAAAATTATGGGAGGCCATTGTTTTGGACTGAGCTCATGCACTAGGCCCCTACAAACCAAACCAAACCAAACCAAAATGGAGTCGCTCGTGCTAAAACTTTAGGGAAACGCATAGATTCTACAAGAGACCAGGTTTTGTTTTTTTTCTCCTGCATATCTCTATAAAAAACATTTCTGACAGCATAGGTATCAACCCCCTGAAGTTCCCATTAAATCTTTTAGCCAAATTCATTTCCTCTCGCCTAGATAATCATCAAGCTTCAGATGATCATGCAACCACGGTTCCAGCCAGTTCCAGGTGAAGACACCACCCCTGGCCATCAAGAAGCTACCCTGCCTCCACGAGATAGAGCATGGCGAGAGTTCCGTGATTTCCAATAGGTAGGGACTATGCCCCAGGTCGGCATGAAGCAGTTACAGAAGAAAGCTCTTCAGTCCCTCTGCCTCACATAAAGATTTATGGGGATCAAGTCTCTCAGCGGGGAGATGAGGCAGGAGAATAGGGCCTGGAGGCAGGGGACCTAAGGCTGTTTTACGCTGACTTCCTAGAACTAAATTGAAAGGAAAACCCTCACTTTCAACGCCTAAGTAACAAAAGGACCAGAGGCTACTCCCTTTGACCTTTTCTGCACTACAGATGGAAAATTGGCTGTGGCAACAAATTAGGCTGACTTCTGGCCTAGTCTTCGTTTGCATACAAGTATAACTTTGTTAACTTCACCCTAGCCTCTGATTGGTTGCTTTTTGCAACCAATCAGATATTTGCACAGGAGTGTGACCTTTGTAACTTCAGTTTAGCCTCTGGTTGTCTCCTTTCTGCAACCAATCAGATTTATTTCGGGCGACCACTCCACTTACATGAGGTGGCCAATGGGAAACTTCTAGGGGGTATTTGAACCAAAGAAGATTCTGTATCCAGGCCCTTGAGCCTCTGCTGAGGCCATCTCCCACAGTGTGGAGTGTACTTTCGTTTTCAGTAAACCCTTGCTTTCATTCTTTTGTTACTTCATTCTTGCTTTGCTTTGCTGGGCATTTTATGCAATTATTTGTTCAAAACGCCAAGAACCTGGACAACTTGCAATCCTGACCCTCTACGGGTCACAAACCCAAGTTGCACCCAACTGGACAAATCTCCAGTAATCCATGTTCAGTGGCGCCTTTATCTCTGGAAGGCGTTTTTTCAAACAGAAAGGGCGGGAGAAAAGGGCTCCAAGACAGGGCTTGATTGAAAATGTGGAACCCTACTGCCACCGTGAGGAAATCGTTTAAAGACGGAATACGCCATCATGGCGTCCTTCTCGGAAAGCCTCCCTGTGGGGGAAAGGCTGATCTGTAGGCCCCCAGGCTATGTCTTCCTGCCTTTTCCTCTAAGGCCTGAAAAGAGACAGGGACATTGGCGGTATCTTGGTGTAGAATCTGGAGAGTGCGGGGTTTGGAGTGAACCAGCAGCTGCCAGGAGGTACTGGCACAGGAAGTCGTGGAGCGGAAACTTGGTTCCTCCGGTGTGGGGAGGACAGTAGGGAACCAGTCAAACACACATAGAGGCTCTTGTGGGCATCTGTCTCTTCTACCTGCCCTTTGGAGCAAGAGTCAGCAGGCTTTCACTTGCTAGCATCTTGCTATGGGTCTTGGGGTTTCTGGTAGCATCAATATCGCTCACAAGGAACACAGTTATTCCAAGGGAAGTTTACAGGATTTGCTGTTAGAACCTTCACTCTCCAGGTTCTACAGCAAGGTACCGCCAATGTCCACGTCTCTTTTAAGGCCTTAGACGAGAAGGCAGGGACTCTGAGCATGGAGCCCAAGCCTCTTCCACCTCCCCACAGACCAGACCTTCCCCAACAGGTAGTCCTCACAAGACGACCCATGTAATGGCGTAGGGATCCGTTAAATGACATCCTCGCGATGGCGGTAGTGCATCAGATATGCCAGAAAGCCCTGTCTTGGAGCACCGCCCCCTTCTCCTGCCCTTCCTGTCTGAAAAAACGCGACTCATAGACAAAGGCGCAACCAAACATGGATGCCTTCTATTTGCCCAGTGTGGAGCCTGCTAGTCTTACTGCTGCACTTTTTCATTTTGTTTTCCACTTGAAATCAAACCGAGGCCTAAAGCACCGGTCCTCATCAGGAATCCAGTTCTTCCAGAAATTAAATATCCTCCTGACCTACTCTGTGTGGGTTTGATTTACTTCAGAGTTACAGGTCCAGTAATTTCCGAGGCATCAAACTGTCTCCTTCAGGGAATACATTCAGTGGATGAACTCACAAAAAAGAGAAAAGGAGCCGGGCGCGGTGGCTCACGCCTTTAATCCCAGCACTTTGGGAGGCCGAAGCTGGCGGATCACCCGAGGTCAGGAGTTCGAGACCATTATGGCCAGCATGGCAAAACCCTGTCTCTACTAAAAATACAAAAATTAGCCGGGCGTGGTGGCACAGGCCTGTAATCCCAGCTACTCCAGAGGAGGAGGCAGGAGAATCACTTGAACCTGGGAGGGGAAGGTTGCAGTAAGCGGAGAGCGCACTATTGCACTCCAGCCTGGGCAACAGAGTGAGAGTGTCTCAAAAAAAAAAAAAGAGAGAGAGAGAGAAAAGGGCTAAAAGCTTGAAAGCTTGGAAAAGAACTCCAGCAAAAAATTTAAAAATCCCAGAGGTCTTCGCCCTGGCTCCCCTGTCAGGCATCCAGGGAATTCTTCCTATTCTAAGAGCCTTATGTGGTACATCATAGGCAACAATTTGGCATGAGCCATTAGAGGAGAAACCAGGTGACGCTCCTTACTGCATGCCATATATACTCCAAATGCCATGATACTCATAGAACATATGTTCAATTCATATCAAGGTGGCTCAGGGTTTCATCTCATGGTCTCATCATTTAACATCAAAACACAGCATGTGCCCGTGCCATTACATATTCTTCAAGTATTCCCTGAGACTTTATGGGGTGTGTGTTTGTGTTCGTGTTTGTGTGTGTCTCTGAGAGTTTTATAATTGGTCTTTTAAGTATAAGGATTACAGTATTCTCCAACTAGTAAATTAAAGAATAATGCTTGACAAAGATTAAGAAAAATCCATGTATTAACACAGAAAACCGCTACCATACAACTTGTCAAGGTAACTCATGAACTTATGGATTATTTCCATGCATCTTTCAAAATGTGCATACATTAACTTCATGCAAAAAAATAAATCTGTGTAAAAAGTGGATTACTGTGTACATAGTGGTTTGGATCAGACCAAATGTGTATTTTAATGAAACTTTCAGATGCATGAATTAATTCAAATGTCACCAGTACTAAGTCTTATATGTCAACATTTCATGCCTTCAATATAAATAAAGGTAAATCTTAACATACAGCCTCAGGAAAATTACTTTAGTAAAGTAGACAATATCAGCTCTTTGATTTTTTACAGCTACATCACTACACATTTCTAAAAAAAAGTTCATGAAGAGACAAAGACATCAGAAATTATGGCTACCTAACATTTTGCTCAATTTGTGTAAACAATTTCCACTCTTAACCATTTGCTTTTGGTTTCCATTGGATATTAACCTGAGATGTAATCCATGCACCCTCATCAAGCATCTCATCTTTTTAAGAACTCAGTTTCTGCACAACCAAATCTTCCCATTTCTACTCTTTTTCACTCTGCATCATATCTGCAGTATTTTATTGTGATATCAAATAGTCTTGTAGTAATGGGGAGAGACCTTAGGTTTCCATGCCTAAGGAGAGAAGAAAAAAAAAAGCTCACCTCTAAAGGCTTGGAGAAGAGCAAATCTAGGCACCAGGCCACGTGGTTCTTGTCCTGATTCCCTACTCAGGTTCCCCGGGAATTTTACTCCATGTTCTAATCTAGTCAGTAGGCCTTATACATTGAGGGGGAGGATGCTATTTAGTGGGGCACTAACATAAGGGTACGGATAGCTCTCAAGCCTGACAAGACACACACAGCCCTACTTGAATAGACACAAACACAGGAATGACTGTAAATACTAATCAGATTGATCACAGGATTTTGTCTCATAGTTTCATTATTTAACACTGAATTAGAAATATTTTCCAGTGTCATTAAATGGCTGTCACTTAGGACTGTGCCCTATGACTTTCTTGTGTATGTGTCTTATTGTTTTTCAGTTGGGAATCAGTCCTATATTTTCTCATTAGTAACAAAGACATGGAATTTGCAAAGAAGTTAAAAATAACCATGTGCTGATCAAGAGAAAAGCAATGTCATAAAACTGTATTAAACAATGATCATTGTTTCCATATTTCCTCTCATTTTTTCAACACTCAGATAAAAAGTTCTATATATACAGTCAAACACCACAATAAATTTACATTTTACTTGAATTTAGATATATAAATAAAGTTGAAGAATTAAAAGTTTCACATCTGATTCCTGAGGTTTTTTTATTCTCATAAGAAAGTTGCAATATCTGAATTTTAGACAATAAAATATTTGCAAAAACTTCTTGATTGGACTATTCATCAAAACATAAGTTCTCCATTTTCACTTTTATATCTAAAATATATGTATATTTATACACACATAAAATAGAAACACGTTTATATACAATAGAAACATATGTATTATACATACTTATACCTAGAAAATTAGGATGTTTAATTCTTCTCAAATTTTTATTCTTAATTCTTTCCTTAAAATTTTATCTTTGAAACCTCAAAAGAAAGATAGCAAAATTCAATAAATGATAGTTGAAATAGGCATCTCTCACATTCAGTCACCTGGAGGTGTAACCTAAGAAAACTGTAAGATGGATGCATTCACACAACTCACATGCAGCTAGAATGCTTTATTACTGTCTCTGTTTATATAATGACAAATTAAAGTTTTGAATTTGTTGGCCAAAAATACCATCTTCAAACGTATACTCATTATAACACCTACCATGATTAAATATATATAGCATTGGCCGGGCCCAGTGGCTCACTACTGTAATCCCAACACTATGGGAGGCCAAGGCAGGAGGATAGCTTGAGCCCAGGAGTTCAAGACCATTCCTGGCAATGTAGTGAGACCCCGTATCTACAAAAAATACAACAAATAACCAGGCATGGTGGCGTGCAACAGAAGCCCCAGCTATGTAGGAGGCGGAGATGGGACGACCACCTGAGTCCAGGGAGGTTGATTCTGCAGTGACCCATGATCATGCCATTGCACTCTCACCTGGGCAACAATGAGACACTGTCATATATATATATATATATATATATATATATATATATATTTTTTTTTTTTTAATATTGTTATATACCTACAGACAGATATAAATACACACACACTCAACACAGTTTAAATATAATTGGATGTATACTGTTTGAAATTTGTACAAAATCTTCAGCATTGTCTTATATGCCTTGAATATATCTACATCCATATGTACTTTTGAGTGCTTGGAATTTTTTTATATTTTACTCTAGAAGAACTTTAAGATATTACAAAGCAGAAAACATGCTGGGTCTCATATAGTGAGAAGAAATAATGACTTTTAAAATGTCTGTGCTAGGTATTATCATCTGTTCACTCTGCACATATAATATGGACTTTTATAACCTAATGTTCAAATTCCCCTATAGTACAACTGTTTTTGTTTTTTAATGTTGGATATGGGGTTTCCCTATGTTGACCAGTTTGATCTCGAAATCCTGGCCTCAAGCAATCCTCCCATGTCAGCCTCCCAAAGTGCTAGGATTACAGGCATGAGGCACCAAGCCCAGCCACCTCGTAGTATAACTGTTAAAACAAGATTTCTTCACTGATAACTTGAGTACTTTTCAAATATAATTATTCATGGAAATAATGACAGGTTTAAAATTATTGGCACTTTTTAAAACTGAGTTGGTAAAATTCATATAACATAAAATTAACCATTAAAATGTGTGAAATTCAGTGGCATTTAGTACTTTCACAATGCAGTGCAAGCACTATCTCTATCTATTGGCAAAGCACTTTCATTACCACAAAAGAAAACCCTGGACCCATTAAGCATTCCCCATTCCACTCTCTGCCCAGCCCCTGGCAAACACTCATCTACTTTCCCTCACTACTGATCATCACAATAAGTGGTCTTTTCCAAAGTCTTGCTTTTTTCACTTAGCGCGTTTCAAATTTCATGCATTGGTTATCTATCTTATTGACATCTACCTCTTGGATATGGATCTTCGCTATTGTACCTTCATCCACCCAATTTATCACCTGAAGGAGACAATTTGATGCCATGGAACTTGCTGGACCTGCAACTGTGTGAAGTAAATCATACCCAGATAGACTCAGTGAGGAGTATATTTAATTTCTGAAAGAACAAAATTCCTGATAAGCACGGGTGGTTTAAGCTGAATTTTGTTTTTAGTTGGAAAAACAAAACAAAACCAAAAAAAAATCAACAGTTAAGACCAGGTTGCACCAAACTGGACAAATCTCCAGGCAGCTATGTTTGGTGGCGCCTTTATCTCTGGTTTGCTTATTTCATAGACGAAGGGCAAGAGAAAGGCCTCAAACATAGGGCTTCCCTGAAAATGTGCAACACTACTACTACCGTGAGGAAATCGCTTAAAGACATAATACTCCACTAGAGCCTCCTTCCCAGGAAGCCTCGCTGTGGGGAAAGGCTGATCTGTTGGGAGGTGGGAGAGGCTTGGCCTCCAGGCGAGGTCTTCTTGCCTTCTCCTCTAACGCCTGAAGAGTGACATAGACATTGGTGGTATCTTGGTGTAGAACCCGGAGAGTGAGGGGCTTGGAGTGAACCAGCAGCTGCCAGGCGGTCCTGGCACAGGAAGTCGTGGGTCGGGGCCTCAGTTCCTCCTGGTGTGGGCAGGACTGCAGGAACCCACTCAAACACACATTGAGGCTTTTGTAGGCATCTGTCTCTTCTTCCTGTCCCTTGGAGCAAGAGTCAGCAAGCTTTCTGATGTTGGCATCTTGCTATGGGTCTTTGGGTCTCTGTGACCAAACAACAGGTTTATTCAAAGGGAAGTTTACAGGATTTGTTATTAGAAGCTTCACACTCCAGGTTCTATAGCAAGATATTGCCAATGTCCAGGTCTCTTTTAAGGCCTTAGACAAGTAGGCAAGGACGCCCAGCATGGAGGCCAAGCCTCTTTCACCTCTTACCAGACCACACCTACCCCAACAGGTAGTGCTCAGAGAACTCTGTAATGGCGTTAAACGACTATAATTCGTTAAACGTCTTCCTCGTGATGGCAGTAGTGCTCCAGATATGCCAAGAAGTCCTGTTACGTAGCCCTCTTCTCCCGCCCTTCCTGTCTGAAAAAACGCCACACATAGACAAAGAGCCACCAAACATGGATGTCTTCTATTTTGCCCAGTTTGGAGCCAGCTGGTCTTACTGCTGTGCTTTTTCTTTTTGTTTTCCACTTGAAATCAAACCAAGGCCTAAACCAACCACCCTCATCAGGAATTTTGTTCTTTAAGAAATTATTCTACTGACCTAGTCTGTGTGGGTTTCATTTACTTCAGAGTTACAGGTCCAATAATTTCCGTGGCATCAAACTGTCTTTTTCAGGGGATAGCTTCAGTGTATGAACGCACAAAAAGGAGAAAAGGGCTGAAAGCTTGGAAAGGAACTCCAGCAACAATTTAAAAATCCCAGAGATCTTGGCCCTGGCTCCCCTGTCAGGCATCCAGGGAATTCTTCCTATTCTAAGAGCCTTATGTGGTACATCGTAGGCAACAATTTGGCATGAGCCATTAGAGGAGAAACCAGGTGACGCTCTTTATTGCATGCCATGTATACTCCACATGGCATGATACTCATAGTACATATGCTCAATTCCTGTCAAGGTGACTCAGAGTTTCAACTCATGGTCTCATCATTTAACATCAAAACACAGCATGTGCCCATGCCACTACATATTCTTCAAGTATTCCCTGAGACTTTATGGGCTGTGTGTGGTTGTGTTTGTGTGTGTCTCTGAGAGTTTTATAATGTCTTTTAGGTATAAGAATTAACTAGTAAATTAAAGAATAATGCTTGACAAAGATTAAGAAAAATCCATGTATTAATAATGAAGAAAACCACTACCATACAACTAGTCAAGGCAACTTAAGAACTTTTGGATTATTTCCAGGAATATCTTTAAATATGTACATACATTGTTAATTTCATGAAAAAATAAATCTGTATTGAAAGTGGATTACTGTGTACACTGTGGTTTGGATCAGATCAAGTGTGCATTTTAACAAACCTTTGAGGAGGGTGAATTCATTTGAATGTCACCAGTACGAAGTCTTATATGTCAACATTTCATGCCTTCAATATGAGTAAAGGTAAACCTTAAAATAGGGCCTCACGAATATTACTTTAGAAAAGTAGACACTTATCATCTTTTTGTTTGAATTTTTAAAGATGCATTACTATACGTTTCAAAACAAAACGCCATGAAGAGACAAAGACAACAGAAACTACGGATACCTAATATTTTGCTCAATATGTGTAACCATTTTCCACTCTTAACCATTTGCTTTTGGCTTCCATTGGATATTGAACTGAGATGAGATCCACTCACCCTCAACAAGCATCTCCTCTTTTTAAGAACTCAGTTTCTGCACAACCAAATCTCCCCACTTCTACTCTTTTTCATTCAGCATCCTATCAGCAGTGTTTTATTATGATAACAAATAGTCTTGTTGTATTGGGAACAGACCTTAAGGATCCATGCCTAAGAAAGAATTAAAAATAAAGCTTACCCCCAAGGTCTTGGAGAAGAGCAAATCTAGGCACTGGGCCACGTGGTTGTTGTCCTTACTCCCTCCCCAGGTTCCCTGGGAGTTTTACTCCATGTTCTGACCTAGTCATTAGGCCTTATATGTTGAGCGGGAGGCCACTATTTAGAGGGGCTATAACATAAGTGCCCATGTAACTCTTAAACCTGACAAGACACACACAGCCCTGTTTGAATGGACACAAACGAATGACTATAAATGCTAATCAGATGGATCACAGGATTTTGTCTCATGGTTTCATTATTCAACATTGGAACAGAAATATTTTCCAATGTCATTAAAAGGCTATGACTGGCTGGGTGTGCTGGCTCACACCTGTAATCCCAGCAGTTTGGGAGGCCGAGGTGGGCAGATCACTTGAGGTCAGGAGGTCGAGATAAACCTGGCCAACATGGTGAAACCCTGCCTCTACTAAAATACAAAAAAATTAGCCAGGTATGGTGGTGCATGCCCATAATCCCAGCTACTTGGGAAGCTGAGGCAGGAGAATTGCTTGAACCCAAGGCAGAGGTTGCAGTGAGCTAAGGTCGTGCCGATGCACTCCACCATGGGTAACAAAGTGAGACTCCATCCGTCTCAAAACAAACAAAAAGGCTATGACTTAGGACTGCCTCTTATGACTTTGTTGTGTATGTGTCTTACTGTTTTTCACCTAGGAATCAGTCCTATACTTTCTTATTAGTAAGGAAGACATGGAATTTGCAATGAAGTTAAAAAAAACCCTTTGGGAGGTGGGGGCAGGTGGATCACAAGGTCAAGAGATTGAGACCATCCTGCCAACATGGTGAAACCCCATCTCTACTAAAAACACAAAAATTAGCTGAGTCTGGTGGTGCGCACCTGTAGTCCCAGCTACTCGGGAGGCGGAGGCAGGAGAATCACTTGAACCTGGGAGGCAGAGGTTGCAGTGAGCCGAGATCACCCCACTGCACTCCAGCCTGGCGACAGAGTAAGACTCCCTCTCAAGGAAAAGAAAGGGGGCGGGGGGAGGGGGGCGGTGGCTCATGCCTGTAATCTCAGCACTGTGGGAGACCTAGGAGGGCAGATCACCTGATGTCGGGAGTTCAAGACCAGACTGACCAACATGGTGAAACCCCGTCTCTACTAAAAATACAAAATTAGCCAGGTGTGGTGGCACATGCCTGTAATCTCAGCTACTTGGGAGGCTGAGGCAAGAGAATCACTTGAACCTGGGAGGCAGAGGTTGCGGTGAGCCGAGATCATGCCATTGCACTCCAGCCTGGGCAACAAGAGCAAAACTACGTCTCAAAAAAAAAAAAAAAAGGAAAGAAATAAAAATAAAAATAACCATGTGCTGATCCAGAGAAAACCAATGTAATAAAACTGTATTAAACAATATTAACCGTTTCCATATTTACTCCAATTTTTTACACACAGATCAAAAGTTCTATATATACAGTCAAACACGACAATAAATTTACATTTTACTTCAATTTAGCTATATATAAGGTTAAAGAACTAAAAGTTTCACCACTGATTCCTTAGGAGTTTTTGATATTCTCATAAAAAATTTGCAATATCTGAACTTTAGACAATAAAATACTTGCAGAGAACTTGTGATTGGCCTATTCATAAAAACATAAGATCTCAACTTGCACTTTTAAATCGAAAATATGTATGTATTTACACATACATAAACATATAAATACATATTTATATACAACATAAACATATGTATTATACATATTTATACCCCTGAAAATTAGGATTTTTAATACTTCTCAAATTTTTACTCCTAGTTCTTACCACAAAACATTATCTTTAAAATTTCAGGCTGGGCGCAGTGGCTCAAGCCTGTAATCCCAGGACTTTGGGAGGCTGAGGTGGGCAGATCACGAGGTCAAGAGATTGAGACCAACCTGGCCAACATGGTGAAACCCCGTCTCTACTAAAAATACAAAAAAATTAGCCAGGCATGGTGGTGCATGCCTATAGTCCCATCTACTCGGGGGGCTGAGGCAGGAGAATCACTTGAATCCAGGAGGCAGAGGTTGCAGTGAGCTGAGATTGAGCCACTGCACTCTAGCCTGGTGACAGAGCGAGACTCCATCTCACACACACAAAAAAGAAATTTCAAAAGAAGGATAACAAAATTCAATAAATGGTAGTTGAAATAGGCATCTCTCACATTCCAGTCACCTAGATGTGTAACCTAAGAAAACTGTAAGATGGATGCATTCACACAACTCACATGGAGCTAGAGTGCTTCATTAGTGTCTCTGTTTATATAACGATGAATTAAAGATATGAATTTACTGGTCAAAAATATCATCTTCAAACATATACTCACTATAACACCTACCACGATTAAAAAGATATGGCATTGGCCGGGCATGGTGGCTCACAACTGTAATTCTAGCACTTTGGGAGGCCTAGGCAGGTGCATAGCTTGAGCCTAGGAGTTCAAGTCCAGCCCTGACAATGTAGAGAGACCCCGTCTCTTCAAAAAATACAAAAAATAGCCAGGCATGGTGACCTACAATGGAAGCCCTAGCTACGTAGGAGGCGGAAATGGGAGGATCACCTCAGCCCAGGGAGGCTGATGTTGCAGTGAGCCATGATCATGCCTCTACACTCCACCCTGGGCAACAGAGTAAGATGCTGTCTAAAATATATATATATGCATATCTGTGTGTATATATATATATATATATGTGTGTGTGTGTGTGTGTATATACATATGTGTGTGTATATACATATATGTGTATATATATATGTGTGTATATATACATATACATATTCAGCATCACCTTATATTCTTTGAATATATCTACATCAATACATACTTTTGAGTGCTTGAAATTTTTTATATTTTACTCTAGAAGAACTGTAAGAAATTATAAAGTAGAAAACTTGTGGTAGGTCAAACATAGTAAGAAGAAATAATCACTTTTTAAAGGTCTGTGCTAGGTACTATGATCTGTTCCCTATATATACATAATATGGACTTTTATAAACTAATGTTCAAATTCCCCTGTAGTATAACTTCTTGTTGTTGTTTATTTTTTTTTTTTTGTATTTTTCATTTTAGATATGGGGTTTCACTCTGTTGACCAGGCTGATCTCGAACCACTGGTCTCAAGCGATCCTCCCATCTTGGACTCCCAAAGTGCTAGGATTACAGGCACGAGGCACCTTGACTGGCCACCATGTACTATAGCTGTTAAAACAAGTTTGTTTCACTGATAACTGGAGTACTTTTCAAATATAATTAATAATTCATGGAAATAATGATAGCTTTAAAAGTATTGGCACTTTTAAAAACTGAGTTTGTAAACTTCATATAACATAAAATTAACCATTAAAATGTATTAATTTCAATGGCATTTAGGACACTCACAATGCAGTGCAAGCATTACCACTATGTAGTGGCAAATCATTTTCACTACCACAAAAGAAAATCCTGGACCCATTAGTTAGTCATTCCCCATTCCACTCTCTGCCCAGCCCCTGGCAAACACTCATCTGATTTCCCTCACTACTGATCATCACAACAAGTGGCCTTGTTCATCTTGTTGTGGGAACCAGGAGACCAGAGAGACCAATGGGTGGAACAGGAGGATTTTACTAGGTGGTCACCGACTCAGCAGATTAACATCCAAAGGCTGAGCCCCAAACCAAGAGAGGGCTTGACTTTTATACATATATCTGAAAAGGGCCCAAAACCTGTAAGGCCGGTAAGCAAGCTTACAGCAGAACAAAGGCAGTTTATCAAACAGTGACAGGTTTTACAGTTCAGGCATGTCTTGTGACCTTTGCCATAACTGCACAGCTGGAAAACAGGAACTTACAAAATCCTTACAAGCTTGCAGAAACAGTTACAAAAATAGTTGTGAGAGCAGAACAAAGAATAATGGTATGGGGAAAGAATTTCAAAGGGGAAACTGATAAAAAGAACTTGTTTTTCTTTCTTTTTTTTTTTTAGATGAAGTCTTGCTCTTGTCCCCCAGGCTGGAGTGCAATGGTGTGATCTCGGTTCACTGCAACCTCCTCCTCCCGGGTTCAAGTGATTCTCCTGTCTCAGCCTTCCAAGTAGCTGGGATTACAGCTGCCTGCCAACATGCCTGGCTAATTTTTGTATTTTTAGTAGAGACGGGGTTTCACCATGTTGGCCAGGCTGGTCTTGAACTCCTGATCTCAGGTGATCCTCCCACCTCGGCCTCCCAAAGTGCTGGGGTTACAGGTGTGAGCCACCGTGCCTGGCCAAATAACTTGTTTTTCTTATCCCTGCTTCTAGAGCCCACTCCTTCTCGGCCCCCACTCTGCTGATAGTGCTATCAAAGTCCTGACAGAGCCCTACTTATCGCTGGGCCTTGGAGTGAGTCAGCCCAGCACAGAGAACCAGCTTTTCTCTCCCTTTTTTTTTTCTTTTACATCTCCTGCTTCAGTACTGCTTCTTTCACTTAGCGCTTCAAACTTCATGAATTGGTTTTCTATCTCTTTGATATCTGTCTCTTAGATATCTATCTCTTAGATATCTTTCTTTGTTTTTGTACCTTCATCCATCCAATGTATCACCTGAAGGAGACAATTTGATACCATGGAACTTCCAGGCCTTGTAACTGTGTGAGGTAAATCATACCCAGATAGCTTCAGTGAGGAGTATATTTAATTTCTGAAACAACAGGATTCTTGAGAAGCATGGGTGGTTTAGGCCTCATTTTGCTTTCAGATGGAAAAAAAAAAAAAGTAAAAATTCAACAGTAAGACCAGGTTGCACCAAACTGGACAAATCTCCAGGTAGCCATATTGGGTGGCATCTTTGTCTCTGGGTGGCGTTTTTTCAGACGGGAAGGGCGGGAGTAAAGGGCTCCAAGATAGGGATTCCTTAATAATGTGAAGCACGACTGCCACCGTGAGGAAATCCTTTGAAGACACAATACGCCATTACAGCGTCCTTCCCAGAAAGACTTGCTGTGGGGGGAAGTCTGAACTGTGGGAGGTGGCAGACGCTTGGGCTCCAGGCTAGGTCTTCTAGCTTTCTCCTCTAAGACCTGAAGAGAGGCCTTAACATTGGTAGTAGCTTGGTGTAGAACCAGGAGAGTGAGGGGCTTGTAGTGAACCAGCAGCTGCCAGGCGATCCTGGCACAGGAAGACGTAGGGCGGGGCCTCGGTTCCTCCAAGTGTGGGCAGGACTGAAGGCACCCATTCAAACACACATGGAGGCTCTTGTGGGCATCTGTCTCTTCTTCCTGTCCCTTGGAGCAAGAGTCAGCAGGCTTTCTCGAACTAGCATCTTGCTACGGGTCTTTGGGTCTCTGGTAGCACCAGTACCGCGCACAAACAACAGGTTTATTCCAGGGAAGTTTACAGGATTTGGTATTAGAACCTTCACACTCCAGGTTCTATACCAAGACACCGCCAAAGTCCTGGTGTCCTTTAAGGCCTTAGACGAGAAGGCTAGGACTCCCAGCATGGAGCAAGCCTTTTCCACCTCCCCACAGAGAACTTCCCCAACAAGTAGTCCTCAGGAGAACACCGTAATGGCGTAGGGATTTGTTAAACAACATCCTCGCGATGGCAGTAGTGCTTCAGGTATGGGACGAAGCACTGTTCCAGAGCCCTCTTTTCCCGCCCCTCCTGTCTGAAAAAACGCCACCTATAGACAAAGGCCCTGCAGAATGGGTGCCTTACATTTAGCCCAGTTTGCAGCCAGCTAGTCTTACTGCTGAGCTTTTTCTTTTGGTTTCCAGTTCAAATGAAACCAAGGCCTAAACCACCCGCCCTCATCAGGAATCTTGATCTGTGTTAAAAGTGGATTACTGTGTACACTGTGATTTGGATCACACCAAGTGTATTTTTTTTTTTTTTTTTGAGACGGAGTCTCCGCTCTGTCGCCCAGGCTGGAGTGCAGTGGTGTATCTCTGCTCACTGCAAGCTCCGCCTCCCGGGTTCACGCCATTCTCCTGCCTCAGCCTCCCGCCTAGCTGGGTCTACAGGCGCCCGCCACCACGCCCTGCTAATTTTTTGTACTTTTTAGTAGAGACGGCGTTTCACCGTGTTAGCCAGGAAGGTCTCGATCTCTTGACCTCGTGATCCGCCCGCCTTGGTCTCCCAAAGTGCTGGGATTACAGGTGTGAGCCACCGCGCCCACCCACCCCGAGTGTGTATTTTAACAAACATTTGAGGATCGTGATTTTATTAGAATGTCACCAGTACTAACTCTTTTTTTTTTTTTTTTTTTTTTTTTTTTGAGATAGAGTCTCGCTCTGTCGCCCAGGCTGGCGTGCAGTGGTGGGATCTCCGCTCACTGCAAGGTCTGCATCCCGGGTTCAAGGGATTCTCCTGCCTCAGCCTCCTGAGCAGCTGGGATTACAGGCGTGCACCACCACGCCCATGGAGTTTCACCATGTTGGTCAGGCTGGTCTCGAAATCCCGACCTCGTGATCCGCTGGCCTCAGCCTCCCAAAGTGCTGGGATTACAGGTGTGAGCCACCCCACCCGGCCCAGTACTAAGTCTTATATCTCAACATTTCACACCTTCAATATAAATAAAGGTAAATCTTAACATAGGGCCTCAGGAATATTACTTTAGTAAAGTAGACACTATCAGTTTTTTGTGGAATTTTTACAGATACATCACTACATGTTTCTAAAAAAAGGCCATGAAGAGACAAAGACACCAGAAACTATGGCTCCCCAACATTTTGCTCAATTTTTGTAAACATATTACACTCAGCAATTTGCTTTTAGTTTCCATTGGATATTAAACTGAGATGTAATCCACTCACCCTCATCAAGCATCTCCTCCTTTTAATAACTTAGTTTCTGCACAACCAAGTCTTCCCATTTCTACTCTTACTCACTCAGCATCATATCTATAGTGTTTTATTATGATATCAAGTACTCTTGTAGTATTCTGGAAAGACCTTAGCTTTCCATGCCTAAGGAGAGAAGAAAAAAAAAGCTTACCCCTAAGGTCTTGGAGAAGAGCAAATCTAGGCACAAGGCCACGTGTTTCTTGTCCTGACTTCCTCCCCAGGTTCCCTGGGAGTTTTACTCCATATTCTGACCTAGTCATTAGGCCTTATATGTTGAGGGAGGGGCGGCTATTTAGTGGGGCTCTAACATAAGGGCTCAGATAGCTCTCAATTCTGACAAGACACACACAACCCTACTTGAATGGACACAAATACAGGAATGACTATAAGTCCTAATCAGATGGGTCACGGGATTTTGTCTCATAGTTTCATTATTTAACATTGGAACAGAAATATTTTCCAGTGTCATTACAAGGCTATGACTTACAACTGTGTTCTATGACTTTGTTGTGTATGTGTCTTACTGTTTTTCAGTTAGGAATCAGTCCTATATTTTCTTATTAGTAACAAAGACATGGAATTTGCAAAGTGAAAAGTAACCAACTGCTGATGAAGAGAAATGCGACGTCATAAAACTGTGTATTAAACACTGATAACCGTTTCCATATTTACTCATATTTTTTTCTTTTCTTTTTTTTTTTTTTTTTTGAGAGGGAGTCTCGCTCTGTTGCCTAGGTTGGAGTGCATTGGCGCTATCTTGGCTTACTGCAAGCTCTACCTCCCGAGTTCACGCCATTCTCCTGCCTCAGCCTCCCAAGTACCTGGGACTACAGGCGCCTGCCAACACGCCCCGCTAATTTTTTGTATTTTTAGTAGAGACGGGGTTTCACCATGTTGGCCAGGATGGTCTCGATCTCCTGACCTCATGATCCACCCACCTCGGTCTCCCAAAGTGCTGGGATTACAGGCATGAGCCACTGTGCCTGGCCTACTCCTATTTTTTCAATACACAGATAAAAAAGTTCTATATATACAGTCAAACACCACAATAAATTTACATTTTACTTGAATTTATCCATACATAATGATGAAGATTAAGATTTCCACATCTGATTCTTAAGGAGTTCTTGATATTCTCATAAAAATTTGCAATATCTGAATTTTTTACAATAAAATATTTGCAAAGAACTTCTTGTTTGGACTATTCATCAAAACATAAGTTCTGAACTTGCACTTTTAAATTTAATATATATATTTATACATACATAAACATATAAATCCATATTTATATACAATATAAACATATGTATGTTACATACTTATACCTATGAAAATAAGGATTTTTAATTCTTCTTCAAATTTTATTGCTAATTCTTACCTTAAAATTTTATCTCTAAAATCTCAAAAGGATAAAAAATTTAATAAATGGTAATTGAAATAGGCATCTCTCACTTTCAGTCAGCTAGATGTGTAACCTAAGAAAACTGTAAGATGGATGCATTCACACAGCTTACATGCAGCTAGAATGCTTCATTAGTGTCTCTGTTTATATAACGATGCATTAAAAATGTGAATTTGTTCACCAAAAATGCCATCTTCAAACATATACTCAGTATAACATCTACCACGATTAAAAATTTATAGCATTGGCTGGGCGCGGTGGCTTACAACTGTAATTGCAGCACTTTGGGAGGCCGAGGCAGGTAGACAGCTTGAGCCCACGAGTTCAATACCAGCCCTGGCAATGTAGGTAGAACCTGTGTCTACAAAAAATACAAACTATAGCTGGGCATGGTGGGGTACAACAGAAGCCCCAGGTACGTATAGGAGGCAGAGGTGGCAAGATCACCTGATCCCAGGGAGATTGATGCTGCATTGATCCATGATCATCATGCCACTGCACTCCAGCCTAGGCAACAGTGAGACAGTCTCATATATATATATGGCATTTAAAATTTTGTAATATATCTCCAGACAGATATAAATACACACACACTTGATACAGTTTAAATATAATTGGATGCATAATGTTTGAAATTTGTACAAAATCTGCAGCATCACTTTATGCTCTTTGAATATATCTACATCAATATATACTTTTGAGTGCTTTAATTTTTTTGTATTTTATTCTACAAGAACTTTAAGAAATTATAAAGCAGAAAACATATGGTAGGTCAAACATAGTGAGAAGAAATAATCACTTTTCCCTATGCACATATAATATGGACTTTTTAAAACTAATGTTCAATTTCCTCTGTAGTATAACAGGTTTTTTACTTTTTATTTTAGATATGGGTTTTCGTTGCCGGGCAGGTTAGCTCACGCCTGTAATCCCAGCACTTTGGGAGGCTGAGGCGGGCGGATCACAAGGTAAGGAGATTGAGACCATCCTGGCTAAAATGGTGAAACCCGTCTCTACTAAAAATACAAAAAATTAGCCGGGTGTGGCGGCACACGCCTGTAGTCCCACCTACTTGGGAGGCTGAGGCAGGAGAATTGCTTGAACCCAGGAGGCGGAGGTTGCAGTGAGCCCAGATCGCGCCACTGCACTCCAGCCTGGGCGACAAAGCGGGATTCTGTCTCAAAAAAAAAAAAAAGATATGGGGTTTCGCTATGTTGACCAGGCTGACCTCGAACTCCTGACCTCAAGCCATCCTCCTATCTCAGACTCCCAAAGTGCTAGGATTATAGGCATGAGGTGTCATGCCCGGCCACCCAGTAGTATAACTGTTATAAACAAGTTTTCTTCACTGATAATTTGAGCACTTTTCTAATATAATTAATTATCCATAGAAATAATGATAGGTTTAAAAGTATTGGCACTTTTTAGAACTGAGTTTGTAAAATTCATATAACATAAAATTAGCCATTAAAATGTGTGAAATTGAGTGGCATTTAGTACATTCAAGATGCCGTGCAAGCATTACCACTACATAGTGGCAAATCATTTTCATTACCACAAAACAAAACCCCGGACCCATTAAGCAGTCATTCCGCATTGGGCTCTCTCTCTGCCCAGTCCCTGACAAACACTCATCTGCTTTCCCTCACTACTGATCATAACAAGTGGCCGTTTTCAACTTCCTTCTTTCACTTAGCTTGTTTCAAATTTCATGTATTGGTTATCTATCTCTTTGATATCTACCTTTGTTGTTGTACCTGCATCCACACAATTTATCACCTTAAGGAGACAATTTTATGCCATGAAACTTGCTGGACCTGTAACTGTGTGAAGTAAATCATACCCAGATAGACTCAGTGAGGAGTGTATTTAATTTCTGAAAGAACAAGATTCCTGATGAACCTGGGTGGTTTAGGCCTCATTTTGTTTTCACACGGAGTAAAAAAAGGAAAAATTCAACAGTAAGACCAGGTTGCACCAAACTGGACAAATCTCCAGGAAGCCATGTTGGGTGGTGCCTTTGTCTCTGGGTGGCGTTTTTTTCAGCCAGGAAGGGCGGGAGAAAAGGGCGCCAAGAGAGGGCTTTCTTGAAAATATGGAGTACTACTGCCACCGTGAGGAAATCGTTTAATAACGCAATACGCCATTATAGCTTCTTTCCGGGAAGCCTGGCTGTGGGGGAAGGTCTGATCTGTGCGGTGGTGGAAGAGGTTTGGGCTCCAGGCTAGGTCTTCTTGGCTTCTCCTGGAACTCCTGAAGAGAAACCTGTACATTGGCGATATCTTGGTGTAGAACCTGGAGAGTGAGGGGCTTGCAATGAAGCAGCAGCTGCCCAGCGGTCCTGGCACAGGAAGTCGTGGGGCGGGGTCTCGGTTCCTAGTGTGGGCAGGACTGCAGGAACCCACTCAAACACAAATGGAGGCTCTTGGGGGCATCTGTCTCATGTAATTGCCCCTTGGAGCAAGAGTCAGCTGGCTTTCATGTGCTGTCATCTTGCTATGGGTCTTTGGGTCTCTGGTAGCATAAGTACCGCGCAAAATCAACAAAGGTATTCAAAGGGAAGTTTACAGGATTTGCTATTAGAACCTTCACTCTCCAGGTTCTATACCAAAATATCGCCAATGTCCATGTCTCTTTTAAGGCCTTAGACAAGAAGGCAAGGACTCCCAGCCTGGAGCCCAAGCCTCTTCCACTTCCCCACAGACCAGTCCTTCCCCAACAGGTAGTCCTCAGAGAACGCTGTAATAATGGCGTAGGGATTCACTAAACGACTTCCTCGCGATGGCAGTAGTGCTCCAGATATGCCAAGAAGCCCTGTCTTTGAGCCAAGGTCTTCCGCCCTTCCTGTCTGAGAAAACGCCACCTATAGACAAATCACAACCAAACGTGGATGCCTTCTATTTTGCCCAGTTGGTAGTCAGCTGGTCTTACTGCTGCACTTTTTCTTTTTGTTTTGCGCTTGAAATCAAACCAAGGCCTAAACCACCTGCCTCCATCAGGAATCTTGATCTTTCAAAAATGAAATCTCCTCCTGACCTAGTCTGTGTAGGTTTGATTTACTTCAGAGTTACAGGACCAGTAATTTCCGTGGCATCAAACTGTCTCTTTCAGGGGATAAATTCGGTGGATGGACATACAAAAAGAAAAGGGCTTAAAGCTTGGAAAAGATCTTTCCAGTAAACAATTAAAAAATCCCAGGGGGAAGGGTGCGGTGGCTCACGCCTGTAATTACGGCACTTTAGGAGGCCAAAGCGGGCAGATTGACTGAGGTCAGGAGTTGGAGACCAGCCTGGCCTACGTGGTGAAACTCCGTTTCTACTAAAAATGCAAAAATTAGCTGGGGGTGGTGGCGGGCGTCTGTAATCTCAGCTACTCAAGAGTCTCAGGTAGGAGAATTGTTTGAACCCAGGAGACAGAGGTTGCAGTGAGCCGAGATTGTGCCACTGCGCTCCAGCCTGGGCGACAGAGCAAGACTCGGTCTCAAAAAAAAAAAAAAAAAAAAAAATCCCAGGGATCTTGGACCTGGCTCCCTGATCAGACATCCAGGGAGTTCTTCGTATTCTAAGAGCCTTCTGTAGTGCATTGTAGGCAACAATTTCGCATGAGCCATTAGAGGAGAAACCAGGTTACGCACATTACCACATGCCATATATATTCCAAATGACATGATACTCATAGTACATATGTTTAATTCCTGTCAAGGTGGCTCAGAGTTTCATCTCATGGTCTCATCATTTAACATCAAAACACAGCATGTCACCATGCCATTACATATTCTTCAAATATTTCCTGAGAATTTATGGGGTGTGTGTGTTCGTGTTTGTGTTTGTGTGTGTCTCTGAAAGTTTTATAATTTGTCTTTTAGGTATAAGGATTACAGTACTCTCCAACTAGTAAATTGAAGCATAATGCTTGACAAAGATTAAGAAAAATCCATGTATTAATAATGAAGAAAACTGCTACCATACAACTTGTCAAGGCAACTCATGAACTTTTGGATTATTTCCATGCATATCTTTCAATATGTACATACACTGTTAATTTCATGCAAAAAATAAATGTGTTAAAAGTGGATTACTGTGCACACTGTGGTGTGGATAAGACCAAGTGTGTATTTTACCGAATCTTTCAGATGTGTGAATTCATTTGAATGTCAACCGTACTAAGTTTATATGTCAACATGTCACGCCTTCAATATAAATAAAGGTAAATCTTAAAATAGGGCCTCAGGAATATTGCCTTAGAAAAGTAGACACTATCGCCGGGCGTAGTGGCTCACGCCTGTAATCCCAGCACTTTGGGAGGCCGAGGCGGGTAGATCACAAGGTCAGGAGATCAAGACCATTCTGGCTAACACGGTGAAACCCTGTCTCTACTAAAAATACAAAAAAAAAAAAAAATTAGTGGGGCATGGTGGCGGGCGCCTGTAGTCCCAGCTACTTGGGAGGCTGAGGCAGGAGAATGGCGTGAACCCGGGAGGGAGCTTGCAGTGAGCCGAGATTGTACCACTGCACTCCAGCCTGGGCGACAGAGCGAGACACTGCCTCAAAAAAAAAAAAAAAGAAAGAAAGAAAGAAAGAAAAGTAGACACTATCAGCTTTTTGTCTGAATGTTTACAGATACATCCCTACATGTTTCAATAAAAAGGCCATGAAGAGACAAAGACACCAGAAACTATGACTACCTAACATTTCGCTCAATTTGTGTAAACATATTCCACTCTTAGCCATTTGCTTTTGGTTTCCATTGGATATTAAACTGAGAGGTTATCCACTCACCCTCATAAAGTATCTCCTCTCTTTAAGAACTCAGTTTCTGCACAACCAAGTCTTCCCATTTCTACTCTTTTTCACTCAGCATCGTATCTGCAGTATTTTATTATGATGTCAAAGAGTCTTCTTGTATTGGGAACAGACCTTAGTGATCCATGCCTAAGGAGAGAAGAGAAAAAAAGCTTACCCTTAAGGTCTTGGAGAAGAGCAAATCTAGGCACCAGGCCATGTGGTTCTTGTCCTGACTGCCTACCCAGGTTCCCTAGCAGTTCTACTCCATATCTGACCTAGGCAGTAGGCCTTACATGTTGAGGGGGAGGCCGATATGTAGTGGAGCTCTAACATAAGGGTACGGATAGCTCTCCAGCCTGACAAGACCCACACAGCCCTATTTGAATGGACACAAATACACAAATGACTATAAATGCTAATCAGATAGATAACAGGATTTTGTCTCATGGTTTCATTATTTAACATTGGAACAGAAATATTTTCCAGTGTCTTTAAAAGGCTGTGACTTACGACTGTGTCCTGTGACTTTGTTTTGTATGTGTCTTATTGTTTTTCAGTTAGGAATCAGTCCTGTATTTTCTCATTATTAACAAAGCCATGGAACTTGCAAAGAAGATAAAAATAACCATGTGCTGATCAGGAGAAAATCGATGCCATAAAATTGTGTATTAAACACTGATAAACAGTTCCATATTATGGGCCGGACGTGGTGGCTCACACCTGTAATCCCAGCAGTTTGGGAGGCCGAGACGGGCAGAACACGAGGTCAGGAGTTTGAGACCAGCCTGGCCAGCATGGTGAAACCCCATCTCTACTAAAAATACAAAAAATTAGCCGGGCATGGTGGCGCATGCCTGTAGTCCCAGCTACTCAGAAGGCTGAGGCAGAATTGCTTGAACCCAGCAGGCGGAGGCTGTAGTGAGCCGAGATCACGCCATTGCATTCCAGCCTGGGCGACAGAGCGAGACTCTGTTTCAAAACCAAACAAACGAACAGTTCCATATTTACTCCCATTTTTTCAACACAGAGAAAAAGTTCTATCTATACAGTTAAACACGACAATAAATTTACATTTTAGTTGAATTTAGCTATACATAAGGTTGAAGAAAGTTTCACATATGATTCCTGAGTTTTTCATATTCTCATAAAAAATTTGCAATATCTAAATTTAAGACAATAAAATATTTGCAGAGAACTTCTTGATTGGACTATTCATGAAAACATAAGTACTCGGCCGGTCGCGGTGGCTCACGCCAATAATCCTAGCACTTTGGGAGGCCGAGGCGGGTGGATCACAAGGTCAAGAGTTCGAGACCAGCCTGGCCAATATGGTGAAACCTGACTCTACTAAAAATACAAAAATTAGCTGGGCTTGGTGGCAGGCACCTGTAATCCCAGCTACTCAGGAGGCTGAGGCAGTAGAATCACTTGAACACGGGAGGCGGAGGTTGTAGTGAGCAGAGATTGTGCCTCTGTACTCTAGCCTCTGCGACAGAGTGAGACTCCATCTCAAAACAAACAAACAAAAAATAAGTACTCAATTTGTACTTTTAAGTATAATATATATATTTATACACATATAAACATATAAATACATATTTATATGCAATATGAACATATGTATTATACACACTTATACCGCTGAAAACTGAAATTTTTAATTCTCCTTGAATTTTTATTCCTAATTCTTTCCTTAAAAATTGATCTTTGAAATCTCAAAGGAAAGATAACAAAACTCAATAAATGATAGTTGAAATAGGCATCTCTCACATTCAGTCACCTTGATGTGTGACCTAAGAAAACTGTAAGATGGATGCATTCACACAACTCACATGCCACTAGAATGCTTCATTAGTGTCTCTGTTTATATAATGATGAATTAAAGACACGATTTGTTGGCCAAAAATACCATCTTCAAACATATACTCACTATAACACCTATCAGGATTAAAAATATATAGCATTGGCCAGACACAGTGGCTCACAACTGTAATCCCAGCACTTTGGGAGGCCAAGGAGGTGGATAGCTTGAGCCCAGGAGTTCAAGACTAGTCCTGGCAATGTAGTGAGACCCCGTGTCTACAAAAAATCCAAAAAATAGCCAGGCATGGTGGCTTGCAATGGAAACCCCAGCTACTTAGGTAGTGGAGGTAGGAGGACCACAGGAGCCCAGGGAGGTTGATACTGCGGTGAACCATGATCATGCCATTGCACTCCAGCCTGGGCAACAGAGTGAGACGCTGTCTAAAAAAAAAAAAAAATATATATATATATATATATATATATATATATATATATATATATGGCATTTAAAATTTTGTAATATACCTACAGATATAAATACAGACACAACACAGTTTACTCTAAATATAATTGGATTCATATTGTTTGAAATTTTCTACAAAATCTTCAGCATCACCTTATACTCTTTGAATGTATCTACATCAGTATTTACTTTTGAGTGTTTGAATTTTTTTCATATTTTACTCTAGAACTTTAAGAAATTATAAAGCCGAAAACATATGATAGGTCAACCACAGTGAAAAGAAATAATCAATTTTCCCTATGCACATATAATATGGACTTTATAAACTAATGTTCAAATTCCCCTGTAGTGCAACTGGTTCTTTTTCTTTCTTTCTTTCTTTTTTTAAATTTTAGATATGGGGTTTCGCTATGTTGACCAGACCGATCTCGAACTCCTGGCCTCAAGCGATCCACCCAACTCTGCCTCCCAAAGTGCTAGTATTAGAGGCATGAGGCACCAAGCCTGGCTGCCTTGTAGTATATCTGTTAAAACAAGTTTTCTTCACTGAAAACTTGAGTACTTTTCAAATATAATTAATTATTCATGGAAATAATGATAGGTTTAAAAGTACTGGCACTTTTAAAAACTGAGTTTGTATAATTCATAAAACATAAAATTAACCATTAAAATGTGTGAAATTTAGTGGCATTTAGTATATTCACAATGCAGTGCAAGCATTACCACTATCTAGTGGCAAATCATTTTCATTACATTCAACTTGCTGGACCTGTAACTGTGTGAGGTAAATCATACCCAGATAGACTCAGTGAGCAGTATATTTAATTTCTGAAAGAACAAGATTCTTGATGAGCATGGGTGGTTTAGGCCTCATTTTGTTTAGAGATGGAAAAAAAAAAAGCGAAAATTCAACAGTAAGACCAGGTTGCACCAAACTGGACAAATCTCCAGGCAGCCATATTGGGTGGCGCCTTTGTCTCTGAGTGGCGTTTTTTCAGACGGGAAGGGTGGGAGAAAAGGGCGCCAAGATAGGGATTCCTTGAAAATGTGAAGCACGACTGCCACCGTGAGGAAATCGTTTAAAGACACAATACGCCATTACAGCGTCCTTCCTGGAAAGATTCGCTGTGGGGAAAAGTCTGAACAGTGGGAGGTGGCAGACGCTTGGGCTCCAGGCTAGGTCTTCTTGCTTTCTCCTCTAAGGCCTGAAGAGAGGCCTTAACATTGGCGGTATCTTGGTGTAGAACCTGGAGTGCGATGGGCTCGAAGTCAACCAGCAGCTGCCAGGAGGTCCCGGCACAGGAAATCGTGGGGCCGGGCCCCAGTTCCTCCTGGTGTGGGCAGGACTGCAGGAACCCACTCAAACACACATGGAGGCTCTTGCGGGCATCTATCTCTTATTCCTGTCCCTTGGAGCAAGAGTCAGCCAACGTTCTCGTGCTGGCTATGGGTCTTTGGGTCTCTGGTAGCATCAGTACCGCGCACATAGAACAGGGTTATTCCAGGGGAAGTTTATAGGATTTGCTTTCAGAACGTTCAATCTCCATGTTCTATACCAAGATACCGCCCATATCCAGGTCTCTTTTAAGGCCTTAGAGGAGAAGACAAGGACTCCTACCTAGCATGGAGCCCAAGCCTCTTCCACCTCCCCACAGACCAGACCTTGGCCAACAGGTAGTCCTCACGGGGAAGAACACTGTAATGGTGGAAGGGTTTTTTTTTAAACGATATCCGCGCGATGGCAGTATTGCTCCACATACAGGAAGAAGCCCCGGTTCAAAGTCCTCTTCTCCCGCCCTTCCTGCCTCAAAAAAAAGCCACCCATAGACAAGCGTTCCAAACCTGGATGCTTTATATCTTGCAGTTTGGAGCTTGCCGGTCTTACTGCTGCACTTTTTCTTTTTATTTTCAACTTGAAATCAAACTAAAGGCCGGGCGCGGTGGCTCACGCCTGTAATCCCAGCACTTTGGGAGGCCAAGGAGGGCAGATCACCTGAGGTCGGGAATTCGAGACCAGCCTGACCAACATGGAGAAACCCCGTCTGTATTAAAAATACAAAATTAGCCGGGTGTGGTGACGCATGCCTGTAATCCCTGCTACTCGGGAGGCTGAGATAGGAGAATCGCTTGAACCCAGGAGGCAGAGGTTGAGGGATCGCGCCACTGCACTCCAGCCTGGGCAACAAGAGAGAAACTCCGTCTCAAATAAAAAAAAAAAAAGAAGAAAGAAAGAAAAGAAAACAAATCAAACCAAGGCCTAAACCACCTGCCCTTGTTCTATCAAAAATTACATATTCTCCTGAACTAGTCTGTGTTAGTTTGATTTGCTTCAGAGTTACAGGTCCAGTAATTTCCGTGGCATCAAACCGTCTCTTTCAGCGGATAAATTCGGTGGGTGAAAACACAAAAAGGAGAAAAGGGCTGAAAGCAGAAAAGATCTTCTCCGGCAAACAATTTAAAAATCCCAGAGGTCGGCCGGGCGTGGTGGCTCACGACTGTAATCCTAGCACTTTGAGAGGCCAAGGCGGGCGGATCACGAGTTCAAGAGATCGAGACTATCCTGGCCAACATGGTGAAACCCCATCTCTACTAAAAATACAAAAATTAGCCGGGCGTGGTGGTGGGCTGTAGTCCCAGCTACTCGGGAGGCTGAGGCAGTAGAATCGCTTGAAACCGGGAGGTGGAGGTTGCAGTGAGCCGAGATCGCACCACTGTACTCCAGCCTGGGGACACAGCGAGACTCCGTCTCAAAAAAACAAAACAAAACAAAACAAAAAATCCCAGAGGTCTTTGACCTGGCTCCCCTGTGAGACATCCAGGGAGTTCTCCCTATTCTGAGAGCCTTCTGAGCCTTCTGTGGTGCATTGTAGGCAACAATTTGGCATGAGCCACTAGAGGAGAAACCAGGTGATGCTCATTACTGCATGCCATATATACTCCACATGGCATGATATTCAAAGTACATATGTTTAATTCCTGTCACGGTTACTCCGAGTTTCGTCTAATGGTCTCATCGTTTAACATCAAAACACAACATGTGCCCATGCCATTAAATATTCTTCAAGTATTTCCTGAGACTTTATGGACTGTGTGTGTTTATAATTATATGTTTCTCTGAGAGTTTTATAATTTGTCTTTTAGGTGTAAGGATTACAGTATTCTCCAAATAGTAAATTAAAGAATAATGCTTGACAAATATTAAGAATAGTCCATGTATTAATAATGAAGAAAACCGCTACAATACAACTTGTCAAGGCAACTCATTTGGATTATTTCCATGCATATCTTTCAATAAGTACATTGTTAATTTCAGCAAAAAATAAATCTGTATTAAAAGTGGATTACTGTGTACACTGTGATTTGGATCAGACCAAGTGTGTATTTTAAGAAACCTTTGAGGAGCGTGAATTCATTTGAATGTCCACAGTACTAAGTCTTATTTTTCAACATTTCATGCCTTCACTGTAAATAAAGGTAAATCTTTTTTTTTTTTTTTGAGACAGAGTTTTGCTCTTTCGCCCAGGCTGGAGTGCAGAGGCACGATCTCGGCTCACTGCAACCTCTGCCTTCTGGTTTCAAGTGATTCTCCTGCCTCAGCCTCCCGAGTAGCTGGGATTACAGGTGTGTGCCACCACACCCTGCTAATTTTTGTATTTTCAGTAGAGACGGGGTTTCACTATGTTGGCCAGGCTGGTCTCAATCTCCTGACCTCGTGATCGGCCCACCTTGGCCTCCCAAAGCACTGGGATTGCAGGCATGAGCCACTGCACCTGGCAAATAAAGATAAATCTTAAAATTTGACCTCAAGAATATTACTTTAGTAAAGTAGACACTATCAGCTTTTTGTATGAATGTGTACACATACATGACTACACGTTTCAAAAAGAAGGCCATGAAGAAACAAAGACACCAGAAACTATGGCTACCCAATATTTTGCTCAATTCGTGTAAACATATTCCACTCTTAGCCATTTGCTTTTGGTTTCCATTGGATATTAAACAGTGATGTAATCCACTCACCCTCATCAAGCATCTCCTCTTTTCAAGAACTCAGTTACTGCACAACCAAGTCTTCCCATTTCTACTCTTACTCAGCATCATATCTGCAGTGTTTTATTATGATGTCAAATAGTCCTGTAGTTTTGGGTACAGACCTTAGGTTTCCATGCCTAAGGAGAGAAGAAAAAAAAAAGTTTTACCCCTAAGGTCTTTCAGAAGAGCAAATCTAGGCACCAGGCTATGTGGTTCTTGTCCTGACTCCCTACCCAGGTTCCCTAGGAGTTTTACTGCACGATCTGACCTAGTCATTAGGCCTTATATGTTGAGAGGGAGGCTGATATTTAGTGGGGCTCTAACATAAGGGTTCGGACAGCTCTCCAGCCTGAGAAAACACACACAGCCCTACTTGAATGGACACAAATACAGGAATGACTATAAATTCTAATCAGATGGATCACAGAATTTTGTCTCATGGTTTCATTATTTAACATTGGAACAGAAATTTTTTCCAGTGTCATTAAATGGCTATGACTTAAGACTGTCCTATAACTTTGTTGTACATGTGTCTTACTCTTTTTCATTAGGAATAAGTCCTATATTTTCTCATTAGTGACAAGACATAGAACTTGCAAAGTAAAACAGTAACCATATGCTGATGAAGAGAAAAGCAATGTCATAAAACTATATATTAAACACTGATAACCATTTCCATATTCACTCCCTTTTTTTCAATACACAGATAAAAAGTTCTATGTATACAGTCAAACACACAATAAATTTACATTTTAGCTGAATTTAGCTATACTTAAGGTTGAAGAATTAAAAGTTTCACATCTGATTGTTGAGGAGTTTTTGATATTCTCATAAAACATTTGTAATATCTGAATTTTGGACAATAAAATATTTGCAAAGAACTTCTTGATTGGACTATTCATCAAAACATAAGTTCTCAATTTTCACTTTTAAATCTAAAAAATACAGATACATATATAAATATATATACATATATTAATTTTTTTTAGATGGAGTCTCACTCTGTCTCCCAGGCTGGTCTCGAACTCCTGACCTCAGGTGATCCGCCCGCCGCAGCCTCCCAAAGTGCAGGGATTACAGGCATGAGTCACCGCACCTGGCTAAAAAATATATATATATTTAAACATACATAAACATATAAATACATATTTATATACAATATAAACAGATGTATAATACATACTTATACCTCTGAAAATTAGAATTTTTAATTCTTCTAGAATTCTTATTCCTAATTCTTACCTTAAAACTTTATCTTTAAAATCTTCAAAGAAAGATAACAAAATTCAACAAATTGTAGTTGAAATAGGCATCTCACACATTTAGTCACCTAGATGTGTAACCTAAGAAAACTGTACGGCCAGGTGCGGTTGCTCATGCCTGTAATCCCAGCACTTTAGGAGGCCAAGGTGAGCGGATCACGAGGTCAGGAGTTCAAGACCAGCCTGACCAACATGGTGAAACCCCGTCTCCACTAAAAATACAAAAATTAACTGGGCATGGTGACGCATGCCTGTAATCCCAGCTACTTGGGAGGCTGAGGCTGGGGAATTGCTTGAACCGGGACGCAGGAGGTGGAGGTTGCAGTGAGCCGAGATCACGCCACTGAACTCCAGCCTGGGCTACAGAGCGAGACTCTGTCTCACAAAAACAAAAAACAAAAAACAAAAACAAAAACAAAAAGAAAACTGTAAGATGGATGCATTCACACCACTCACATGCAGCTAGAATGCTTCATTAGTGTCTCTGTTTATATAATGATGAATTGAAGATATGAATTTGTTGGCCAAAAATGCCATCTTCAAACATATACTCAGTATAACATGTACCATGATTAAAAATGTATAGCATTGGCTGGGCATAGTGGTTCACAACTGTAATCCCAGCACTTTGGGAGGCCAAGGCAGGTGGACAGCTTGAGCCCAGGAGTTCAAGGTCAGCTCTGGCAATGTAGTGAGACCTCGTCTATACAAAAAATACAAAAAATAGCTGAGCATGGTGGTATGCAATGGAAGCCCCAGCTACATAGAAGGCAGAGGTGGGAGGACCACCTGAGCCCAGGGAGGTTGATGCTGTAGTAAGCCATAATCATACCACTGCACTCCAGCCTGGGCAACAGAGTGAGACACTGTCTAAAAAATCATACATATACAGCATTAAAAATTTTGTAATATACCTAGACAGATATAAATACACACACACTCGACACAGTTTAAATATAATTGGATGCATAATGTTTGAAATTTTGTACAAAATCTTCAGTATCACCTTATACTCATTGAATATATCTACATCAATATATACGTTTGAATGCTTGTAATTTTTTCATATTTTACTCTAGGAGAACTTTATGAAATTATAAAGTAGAAAACATATGGTAGGTCAAACATAATGGAAGAAATAATCACTTTTGCCTATGCACATATAATATGGACTTTTATAAACTAATGTTCAAATTCCCCTGTAGTATAACTGTTTTTTATTTATATTTTTAAAAAAAATTTTAGATATGGGGCTTCGCTATGTTGATCAGGTTGATCTTGATCTCCTGGCCTAGAGTGATGCTCCCATCTCAGCCTCCCAAAGTGCTAGGATTAGAGGCATGAGGCACCGTGCCCGGCCACCTTGTAGTATAACAGTTAAAATAAGTTTTCTTCACTGATAACTTGAGTACTTCTCAAATAGAATTAATTATTCATGGAAATAATGACAGCTTTAAAAGTATTGGCACTTTTTAAAACTGAGTTTGTAAAGTTCACATAACATAAAATTAACCATTAAAATGTGTGAAATTCAGTGGTATTTAGTACATTCACAATGCAGTGCAAGTACTATCTCTATTGGCAAAGCATTTTCATTACCACAAAAGAAAACCCTGGACCCATTAAGCAGTCATTCCCCATTCCACTCTCTGCCCAGCCCCTGACAAACATTCATCTACTTTCCCTCACTACTGATCATCTCAATAAGTGGTCTTTTTAGTCTTGTTTCCTTCACTTAAGCTGTTTTCAAATTTCTTCCATTCTCTCTCTCTGTTTTTTTTTGTTGTTGTTGTTTAGATGGAGTCTTGCTCTGTTGCCCAGGCTTGAGTGCAGTGGTGCAATCTCGGCTCACTGCAACCTCCGCCTCCTGGGTTCAAGCGATTCTCCTGCCTCAGCCTCCCCAGTAGCTGGGATTACAGGCGCATGCCACTATGCCCGATAATTTTTGTGTTTTTTAGTAGAGACGGGGTTTCACCATGTTGGCCAGGCTGGTCTGGAACTCCTGACCTCATGATCCATCCACCTCGGCTTCCCAAAGTGCTGACATTACAGGCATGAGCCATCGCGCCCGACCATGATATCTTATCTCTTCGATATAAATTGGGTTATCTATCTTTTTGTTTCTAGGTTTTAAGAGTTCTTTATATGTACTGGGTATTAGAAGTTTCTAGATAATTGATATACAAATGTTTCCTCACATTGTGTCAATTGGCTTTTCAAGTTCTTGATAGTGTATATTGATGCAAAAAGTTTTTAATTTCAGGAAAGTCCAATTTATATTTTCTTTTGTTAATTGGTGCTTTTGGTGGTATAGCTAAAAAATCATTGCCAAATCTAAAGTCGTGACGATTTATCCCTATAGTGTCCCTGAAGGTTTCATAGCTTTAGCTCTTACATTTAGAAATTTGATACATTTTGACTTATTTTTGGATATAATGTGAGGCAGAGGACTAAATTCATCCTTTTTTTTTTTTTTTTTTTTGAGACGGAGTCTCACTCTGTCACCCAGGATCCTTAAATTTTTTCTTTCTTTTCTTTTTTTGAGACGGAGTCTCTCTCTGTCACCCAGGCTGTAGTGCAGTGGCACAATCTCCGCTGACTGCAAGCTCCGCCTCCCGGGTTCACGCCATTCTCCTGCCTCAGCTTCCTGAGTAGCTGGGACTACAGGCGCCCGCCACCACGCCCGGCTATTTTTTTTTTTTGTATTGTTTAGTAGAGACAGGGTTTCGCCGCGTTAGTCAGGATGGTCTGGATCTCCTGACCTTGTGATCCGCCCACCTCAGCCTCCCAAAGTGCTGGATTACTGGCGTGAGCCACAGCGCCCGGCCTAAATTCATCCTTTTGCATATGCATAACCAGTTGTCTATGTACTATTTGTTAAAGACTCTATTAATTACTCATAAAATGACCTGAATAACTTTGTCAAAAATGAATTGACCACAACGTCTGGGTTTATTTCCAGACTCTCCATCTCTTCCATTAATCACTGTGTGTATTCTTATTTAATTATCACACTGCTTTGATTACTCTAGCTTTTCTAGTAAGTTTTGAAATATAGAAGTGTGAGTCTTCTACCTTGGTTTTTCTTATTCAAACTTTACATTGGTTATCAGATCTCTGGCAATTTAATAGGATCTTTAGAATTTGTGCTCCTTTTTTACAAAAACAAACAATGCTCATTGGGATAATAATGATTGCATTAAATTTATAGATCTCAGTGGGTAGTATTGGTATGTTAAAAATATTTTGTCTTCCAACCCACTACCACAGGATGTCCTTTTTTAAAATCAAGGTTATCTTTAACTTCTTCTCCAATATTTTGTGATTTTCAATGTATAAGACTTTCATCTATTAACTATTGTCCTAAAAATATGATTCATTTTGATGCTATTGTAAAGGGAATTGCTTTCTTAATTTAATTTTCAGATTATTCATTGCTAGTGTACACAAATAAAACTACAACTGATTTTTCCGAGTTAATGTTCTATCCTGCTGTGCTTGCTAGATACTGTTCACTAGCTCTAATATTGTTGTTTTCTGGATTTTTAAGCATTTTTTACAAGATCATCGTATTTGTGAAGAGAAATAATTTCCATTTTTTCTTTTCAATTGGGATGTATTTTATATATCTTCATTGCCTGACGCCCTGGGCTAAAATTTTAAGTATAATGTTCAATACAAGTGGCAAAAGTAGGTGTTCTTCTCCTGTTCCTGATTTTAGAAGCAAAGCTTTCAGTCGTTCCCTCTTGACTATATTATTAGCTGTAGGTTTTTAATTAATGCCCCATATATCGTGCTGAGAAAATGATCTTCTAATTATACATTATTAACTGTTTTGAGTTGCTTTTCTGGAGAGATGGACTACAGAAAGTGTCTACTGCACCATTGTCATTGATGTCACTTTTGCCATCTGTTTTTGAATTTACTGAAACACTCATGCTTCTTCAAAATGTGCCTGACACAATAGTCATACATGAAAAAGTAAAGTTGTTACAGTTAGTTACATAGGCAATAAGCAGGGCAGGAAAGGACTCTCCCCCACCCAATAGAAATGTCACATGATGGTTCAGCAATGATCACATTGTCTCCCTAAAAATGATAATTTGGTAGCAAGGGAGAGGCAATCTCCTGATGGCCCACACCTGATAATATTAAAAGTGTGAACTGAATGCAGGCCCCAGGGAGAAGCAGCTTCTTGGGCATGCGTATTAAGACACAAAATGGCGAAATATGATGTTCCGGGTACATGCCACCAGAAAAAGGAAAAAAGCCTCAGATGGGCATGTGTATAACTCCCTAAACACACTGCACAGTGCTCAATTCCAAAGGGTAAGGAGGGCACTGCGCATGCGGAAAGCTCACCCTAAAGGAAGAATCATGAGCAAGAGGTAAGCCTATAAGGTCCCATGATCAAGGTTAAAAGGTCTTTTTGTTCTCTTGGCCACTCAGGCACCCACTTGGATCTCTTCCAAGGGTTCTTTCTTTCCTTTCTTTCCTGTTCTAAAGCCTGTTAAATAAACTTCCACTCCTGCTCTGAATCTTGCCTCAGTCTCTTTTTCTGCTTTATGACCCTCAGTCGAGTTATTTCTTTGGAGGAGGCAAGGACTGAAGTTGCTGTCGACCTATATAGATATGCCGCCTGTTACTCGGGGTAACTCGGTTCACTGCCACCGCTAACAAAGTGAGATCATGGGTAATGCTACCTCCCACAGACAAGCACTTTTAAAATGTGGATTAATTTTCAATCCTTTTCACTCCTTTTGTTTCCCATCCCTTTATGTGTAACAACTCCACTAAGAAAGTAAATAAACAAAAAATAAAAAGGAACGGCCGGGCACAGTTGCTTAAGCCTGTAATCCAGCACACTGGGGGGCCGAGACGGGCTGATCACATGAAGTCAGGAGTTCGAGACCACCCTGACCCACATGGTGAAACCCCGTCTCTACTAAAAATACAAAAATTAGCCAAACGTGGTGGAGCCCATCTGTAGTCTCAGCTGTTCGGGGGGCTGAGACAAGAGAATCCCATCAACCTGGGAGACGGAGGATGCAGTGAGCTGAGATCGTGCTGCTGCACTCCAGGCTGGGCGACAGAGCAAGACTCCATCTAAAAAAACAAAACCAAAAAACAACTCTACTAGAAAATGTAAAACTTTAGGTCCTTTCAGTCTTTAGACAACTAGATGCCCTTGAGACTATCAGCAAACATACTGGCTCCTGCTTTATCACACCTGGAACAGGCCTGTCTTTGGTGTTCTCATACTGCTGCAACAAAGGACTGTGATACAGTAACACTGCCTGAAAGCTTACTAACTCTTGCTCCAAGGGACAGAACAGAACACACACACCCATCCCCCCCACACACAGCATCTAATGTCTCAGGAAATCCCTGAAGAATATGTAATGCATGGGAACATGCTGTGTTCTGGTGTTAAATGTTGAGACCATGAGATGAAACTGAGTGATCTCGATAGGGACTGAACATAGGGACTATGAGGATCACGCCATGTGGAGCATATAGGCCAAGGAGTAATGACCAGATGGTCCTTACTCTATGACTTAAACCAAATTTTTGCCTACAATGCAACACATGAGGCTAGAACATGAACTCTCTGGTTGTCCGAGAGGGGAACCAGGTCAAAGACCACCAGGATTTGTAAACTGTTTGCCAAAGATCTTCCCCAAGTTTCAAATAAATTTTTCCTAATTGTACCTTCATCCACCCAGTTTATCACCTGAAGGAGACAATTTGATGCCATGGAACTTGCTGGACCTGTAACAGTGTGAAGTAAATCATACCCAGATAGTCTCAGTGAGGAGTATATTTAATTTCTGAAAGAACAAGATTCGTGAGGAGCATGGGTGGTTTAGGCCTCATTTTGTTTTCAGATGGAAAGAAAATAGCAAAAATTCAACAGTAAGACAAGGTCGTACCAAACTGGACAAATCTCCTGGTGGCCATGATCCGTGGGGCCTTTGTCTCTGGGTAGCATTTTTTCAGACAGAAAAGGCGGGAGAAGAAAGCTCCTAGACAGAGCTTCCAAGAAAATATGAAGCACTACTGCCACCGTGAGGAAATAGTTTGAAGACAGAATCCGCCATTACAGTATTCTTCCCTGGAAGCCTCGCTGTGGGGGAAGGTCTAATCTATGCTGAGGTGGAAGAGGATTGGGCTCCAGGCTAGGTCTTGTTGCCTTCTCCTCTAAGGTCTTAAGAGAGGCCTGGACATTGGCGGTATCTTGGTGTAGAACCTGGAGAGTGAGGGGCTTGGAGTGAAGCAGCAGCTGCCAGGCAGTCCTGGCACAGGAATTTCCGGGGCAGGGCCTCTATTTCCCCAGTTGTTTGCTGGACAACAGGAACCCACTCAAACACACATGCAGGCTCTTGTGGGCATCTGTCTCCTGTTCCTGCCCCTTGGAGCAAGAGTTGGCAGGCTTTCATGTGCTTGCATCTTGCTACAGGTCTTTGGGTCTCTGGTAGCATCAGTACCGTGTACAAGGAACAGGATTTTACCAAGCGACATTCACAGTATTTACTTTCCTTCACTCTCCAGGTTCTATACCAAGACACTACCAATGTCCAGGTCTTTTTTTTTTTTTGACGGAGTCTCACTGTGTTGCCTAGGCTGGAGTGCAATGGCGAGATCTCGGCTCACTGCAACCTCCCCCTCCCGGGTTCAAGCGATTCTCAGCTTCCTGAGTAGCTGGGATTACAGGCGCCTGCCACCACATCCGACTAATTTTTGTATTTTTAGTAGAGATGGGGTTTTACCATGCTGGCCAGGCTGGTCCTAAACTCCCGACCTCAGACGATCCGCCCGCCTCAGCCTCCCAAAGTGTGGTCTTTGAGGATAGGGCAAGGATGAGCAGCATGGAGCTCAAGCCTCTTCCCCCTCCCCACAGGCCAGACCTTCTCCAACAGGTGGAAGGACTGTCTTCAGGGGAAGGACATTGACATGGCTTAGGCATAGGGCGTAGGGCGTTGCTTAACTATGTCCTAACGGTGGCAGTAGTGCTCTAGATGTGCTAACAGGTGTCGTGGAGCCTTCTTCTCCCGCCCTTCTTGTCTGAAAAAACGCCACCCAAAGACAAAGGCACAAGGAAACATGGCTGCCTTGCTTTTTGCCCAGTTTGGAGTCATCTGGTCTTACTGTGGCAATTTTGCTTTTGTTTTCCATCTGAAATCAAACCAAGGCCGAAACCACCCACCCTCATCAGAAATCTTATTTGTTCAGACATTTAAAATCCTCCTAACCTAGTCTATATGATTACGATTTACCTCAGATTTATAGGTCCAGTACTTTCCATGGCATCAAACTGTCTCCCTCGGGGGATAAATTTGGGGATGAAAGCACAGCGATAAAATTGCTTGAGGCTCCGAGACCACCAGGATTTACAAATCCTGGTGGTCTCTATTCTGGCTCCCCTTCCAGACAACCAGGGAGTTCTTCATGTTTTAGCTCATGTGTTGCATTGCAGACAACAATTTGGCATGAACCATAGAGGAGGGACCAGATAGCTGTCATTACTGCATGCCATATGCGCTCCACATGGCATGATACTCATACTACATATCTTCAGTTCCTATCAAGGTTATTCACAGTTTCATCTCATGGTCTCGTCATTTAACATCAAAACTCGGCATGTTCCCATGACACTACATAGTCTTCAAGTATTTCCTGAGACTTTATGGGGTGTGTCTGTTTGTGTGTGTGTGTGTGTGCATGTGTATTTTATAATTTGTCTTTTAGATATAAGTCTTACAGTATTCTCCCACTAGTTAATTAAAGAATAATGCTTGACAAAGATTGAGAAAAATCAATGTACTAATAAAGATGGAAAGCACTACAATACAATTTGTCTAGGCAATAAATAAATAAATTTGGATTATTTCCATGCACTCCCAGGCTTATTAGGAAGAGGAAATTCCCGCCTAATAAAAGAATATATTTCCATGCATATATTCCCGCCTAATAAATTTTGGTCAGACTGGTTGATCTCAAAAACCCTGTCTCCTGATAAGATGTTATCAATGACAATGGTGCCTGAAACTTCATTAGCAATTTTAATTTCCCCTCGGTCCTGTGATCTCTCCCTGCCTCCACTTGCCTTGTGATATTCTACTACCTTGTAAAGTACTTGATGTCTGTGACCCACACCTATTCGCACACTCCCTCCCCTTTTGAAAATCCCTAATAAAAACTTGCTGGTTTTTGCAGCCTGTGGGGCATCTCAGAACCTACCGACATGTGATGTCTTCCCCAGAAGCCCAGCTTTAAAATTTCTCTCTTTTGTACTCTGTCCCTTTATTTCTCAAGCTGGCCGACGCTTAAGGAAAATAGAAAAGAACCTACGTGAATATCGGGGCTGGTTCCCCGATATATACACATCATTTTTTTTCTTTTTTGAGACTAAAACTCTCTCTGTCTCCCAGCAGGAGTGAAATGGCGAGATCTCGGCTCATTGCAACCTCCAGTTCAAGCGATTCTCCTGCCTCAGCCTCCTGAATAGCTGGGATTACAAGTGCATGCCACTAGGCCTGGTTACTTGGTTTTTTTTGTTTGTTGGTTTTGTTTTTTTTTTTTTTTGAGACGGAGTCTCGCTCTGTCACCCAAGCTGGAGTGCAGTGATGTGATCTCTGCTCAGTGCAACCTCCGTCTCCCAGGTTCAAGTGATTCTCCTCCCTCAGCCTTCTGAGTAGCTGGGACTAAAAGCATATGCCACCTGCCCGGCTAATTTTTGTGTTTTTAGTAGAGACAGAGTTTCACCATGTTAGCCAGAATGGTCTCCATCTCCCAACCTCGTGATCTGCCCGCCTAGGCCTCCCAAAGTGCTGGGATTACAGGCGTGAGCCACCTGGACCATCCCCAATTGTTTTGTATTTTTAGTAGACACAGGATTTCACCATGTTGGCCAGGCTGTTCTCCAACTCCTCACCGCAAGTGATCCAATCACCCTGGCCTCCCAAAGTGCTGGGATTACAGGTGTGAGCCACCACGCCCGGCTATATATACATTCCTAATTTCATGCAAATAACAAATCTGTATTGAAATTGGGTCACACTCTACACTGTGGTTTGGAGCAGATCAAGTGTGTATTTTAACAAAGCTTTCAGGAGGATGAATTCATTTGAATATCATAAATGGTAAATGTTTTCAACATTGCAAGCCTTCAGTGTAAATGAAGGTAACTCTGAAAAATATATGCTCAGAAACATTCCTTTAGAAATGTAGACACCATTCATTTTTTGTTTAAATTTTTACAGATGCATCACAACGTGCGTATTGGCTCTCTAGAATACATACATGACTATATGTTTGGTTTAAGGTTATGACATGTTAGAAGTAGAGTAAAATGCACTGGGCGCGGTGGCTCATGCCTGTAATCCCAGCACTTTGAGAGGCCGAGGCGGGCGGATCATGAGGTCAGGAGATCGAGACCTTCCTGGCTAACACGGTGAAACCTCGTCTCTACTAAAAATACAAAAAATTAGCCAGACGTGGTGGCTGGCGTCTGTAGTCCCAGCTACTCAGGAGGCTGAGGCAGGAGAATGGTGTGAACCCAGGAAGCAGGGCTTGCAGTGAGCCGAGATTGCGCCACTGCACTCCAGCCTGGGTGAAAGAGCGAGACTCCACCTCAAAAAAAAAAAAAAAAAAAAGAGTAGAGTAAAATACACTTTACTTTGTTATTTATTATTTATCTTATGGTGTGGTAGGTTTAATCCACAAGGTTCAACAATTTGCTATTCTCCCTAAATCAGAGGCAAGGAATGGCTGTTTACGAGGATACAGAGAATGCAATTAAGATTTTATGATGGCTAAAGGGACTACCTGGTGCAAATGAATGACATGTATCCAACCTAAATGGGAATGATAGGCTCATTGCCCCTCCACACTATCTTCCATTGCAGAATAAACCAATCAACCTCCTTGTCACTACCACTGGTACTTGGCTAGGTGTGATTTCCTTGCCAGGCTTCTATCCACTGCCCAGGCACACAGCCTCTATTAAAGATAGTTAGCAAGGGGTGAATAAAAGATCACTTAGCCTAAAGAATTCTAGGTTTGGGGACACCAGCATTTCTACCTTCAGATATGAGACACTGTCCCATAGGTAGGTCTGTATTCTTCCATGAAAATGGTCAGGTCAAACTATTCCTCCATAGGAGGTAGTTTAGCAGATGTCTAAGTCTACTTTAGGTGAAATACTCTGGGGAGGTAAGATATCAAGGGTCATGGAGAAATGCTTCCCAGAGAGTCTCCAAGACACTTGTGCATGCCAATAGCATTTATGTATGCAGATCATCATTCAACTAGACAAAGTCAAAGATGTCAAAAAAGCTAGGTTACCCTAGAATGCCTTACCCTGGAATGCCTGCCTGAATCCTCAGAGGCCAGGAGAGGTCATACCTGAACAAGCTCTTGAAGCACTGTAATGTCACAGTGCAGAACCAGACTAACATTAATTCCTTTCATTAAGAATTCAGATACTAAAATAATAAATTCTGAGGAAGAATGTCATGAGGATCAAGTCACCCATACACTTTTAGTCACCATTTTGATTCTCAATTATGAGTCATAAAGTATCTAGAGGTCTCCACACCAAAGGTTGGATATCTTCATTAGGAAATAGATTTGAAGCTGCTACAGAAAATACTAGCTAGGATGCAGTAGATAATGATTTGCTCAGGCCTAAACAATGCCATACTTACCAAGGACATCGAACAGAAAAGAGCCACCTATCTGCCCTCCTTGAGAGAACTGAGATGACATCGGCGTCCTATTATGACAAAAGACTTTCTCCTGAACCTATAACGTCACAGAAGCTGCTGGCTTGTGCGCTCAGATAATTGCTTAGGCCTTCCATTGCATTTTTGGCCTTCATCCTCTTTAGCATATCAGCTCTCCTAAAAGATGATCTGGCCCACATAGGCATCTCAGTGTATCCTTACTGCTCTACAGAGGTCCTTCTAGCTATAGGCAATGGTGGTTAGAATTTTAGTGTATTGAGGACCATGTGAGTGACGCTGACTTCAGATAGATGGTTCCTGGAATTGGCCTGTCATTGCCAGCCAACACTGCTGCTATAAATGTCACAGCCCCACAACACAAGGACAACCAGGTTGCCTAAAGCTCCCAAGGGCATATTCATAACATAAATGCCCCAAGGGTCTGTACTTGGCTGTATCATTTTCTAGCCTTGTCCCCACTATGAGAAAACAGGCCCTGTCCTCTACTTCCTGTGCCAAAACTTCCTGGAAGCAGCTGGCTCAGTCCTGCTCCCTCACTCAGCAGATACTTCACGGAGACTTTGCATTTGTTCATTGCTTCTGCCAGGCCTCAGAGAAAAGGATAGGAAGATCAACTTGTGTCTCGGGTCTGTTCAGCCTTCACTGGCTTTTCCTTCAATTGCTAGGGCTCACATGGAGGAAACGCTCACGGCTTTGGATGCTACGAAACTGTTTCCGCACGATGGCAGTATTGTACGGGAGAAGCCAACTGACTTTGCTCTAGGCGCTATTCTCCCGCCCATCACATTTCAAAAAAAGGCCAAGAAGAGACAAAGACACCAGAAACTAGAACTACTTAGCAGTTTGCTCAATTTGTGTAAACTTATTCCACTCTTAGCATTTTGCTTTTGTTTTCCATTGGATATTAAACCGAGGTGTGATCCACTCACCCTCATCAATCATCTCCTCTTTTCATGAACTCAGTATCTGCACAACCAATCTTCTCATTTATACTCTTCTTCACTCAGTATTATATCTGCTGTGTTTTCTTACATCAAATTGTCTTATAGTACTGGGGCAGACCTCAGGGATCCATGCCTAAGGAAACAACAAACAAACAAAGAAATGTTAACACCTAAGGTCTTGGAGAAGAGCAAATCTAGGCACCAGGCCATGTGGTTCATTTGTTTTTTTTTTTGAGACAGAGTCTTGCTCTGTTGCCCAGGCTGGAGTGCAGTGGCGCTATCTCGGCTCACTGTAAGCTCCGCCTCCCGGGTTCACGCCATTCTCCTGCCTCAGCCTCCTGAGTAGCAGGGACTACAGGCGCCCGCCACCACGACCGGCTAATTTTTTTTTTTTTTTTTTTTTTTTTTTTTTTTTTTTTTTTAGTAGAGACGGGGTTTCACCGCATTAGCCAGGATGGTCTGGATCTCCTGACCTCCTGATCCGACTGCCTCGGCCTCCCAAAGTGCTAGGATTACAGGCGTGAACCACCGAGCCCGGCCAGGCCATGTGGTTCTTGTCCTGACTCCCTACCCAGGTTCCCTAGGAGTTCCATTTCATGTTCTGATCCAGGCATTGGGCCTTATATGTTGAGTGGGAGGCTGCCATTTAGTGGAGCTCTAAGATAAGGGACCAGGTAGTTCTCAAGCTTGACAGAGACACAGAACCCGATTCGAATGGACACAAACACAGGAATGACTATAAATTTTAATCAGATGGATCACAGGATTTTGTCTCATGGTTTCATTATTTAACGTTGGAACACAAACATTTTCCTGTGTCATTAAATGGCCATGGCTTAAGACTGCCCTATAACTTTGCTGTGTATATGTGTTACTGTTTTCCAGTTAGGATTCAGTCCTATATTTTCTCATTAGTAACAAAAAGGTGGAATTTGCAAAGAAGTAAAAAAAAAAAACCCATGTGCTGATCAAGAGAAAAGCAGTCTCATAAAACTGTATATTAAACACTGATACCCTTTTCCATATTTATTCCATTTTTCAATACATAGATAAAAAGTTCTATATATAGTCAACACAATGAATTTACATTTAAATTGGATTTAGCTATGCACTGCATTTTAGTATGAATATTCCATAGTATGAATGAAGATTTTCATTCTAAAATTTGATTTCTGACCAGTTTTTGACATTGTCATATAAAATTTGCAATTTCTGAATTTTGGACAATAAAATATTTGCAAAGAACTATGTGATTGGACTAGTCATTAAGAATTAAGATCTCACCTTGCTTTTTTAATCTATAAAATCTATTTATACATACATAAACACATATATAAATATATATATTTTACATAGTTATGCCTCTGAAAATTAGGATTTTAAAATTATTCTTGAATTTTTATCTCTAATTCTTACCTTCAAATTTTATCTTTAAAATCTCAAAAGAAAGAAAACAAAATTCAATAAATGATAATTGAAATAGGCACATCTCATATTCAGTCACTTAGATGTGAACCCCAGTAAAACTTTAAGATGGATGTATTCACACCACTCACATGAAGCTATAATGTTTCATTAATGTCTCTGTTTATGTAACTATGAATTAAAGATATGAATTTATTGGTCAAAAATATCATATTCAAATGCATGCTCAGTATAACACTGACCATGATATAAAATATATGGCATTGGCCAGGCGTGGTGGCTCACAACTCTAATCCTGGCACTCTTGGAGGCTGAGGCAGGAGGATCACTTGAGCCTGAGAGTTCAAGACCAATTTAGTAATTAGCAATTTTGGCAATGTAGCGAGTCCCTGTCTCTAAAAAAAAAAAAAAAAAAAAAAAATAGCCAGGCATGGTGTCATGCACCTGTAGTCCCAGCTACTCAGGAAGTGGAGGTGAAAGGATCACCTGAGTCCAGGGAGGTTGAGGCTGCACTGAGCCATGATCCTGCCACTGCACTCCAGTCTGGGCAACAGAGTCTGATCCTGTGTAAAAAAAACATATATATGGTATTTAAACATTTGTATATGCATATGAACAGATATGAATACACACAGAGTACCGCACACATTTTACTTTCAATATAACTGGATTCATACTATTTGAAATTTGGTCCAAAATCCTCAGCATCACCTTATAATCTTTGAATATATCCATATCAATATATACTTCTGAGTGCTTGAGTTTTTTTATATTTTACTCTAGAAGAATTTTAAGAATTATAAGCAGAAAACATATGGTAGGTCAAACACAGTGAGAAGAAATAATCACTTTTAAAATGTTTGGGCTACGTATTATGATTTGTTCCTTTGCACATATAATATGTACATTTATAAACTAATGTTCAAATTCCCCTGTAGTATAATTGTTAAAACAAGTTGTTAAAACCCTGGACCCATGAAGCAGTCATTCCCCATGCCACTCTATGCCGAGCCCCTGGCAAACACTCATCTGCTTTCCCTCACTACTGATCATGACAATAAGGGGCCTTTTTCATTTTGCTTTTTTCACTTAGCATGTTTTCAGATTTCATCCATGTTGTAACTGATAACTTGAGTACTTTTCAAATATAATTAGTTATTCCTGGAAATAATGATAGGTTTAAAAATATTGGCACTTTTTAAAACTGTGTTGGTATAATTCATGTAACATATAATTAACCATTAAAATGTGTGAAATTCAGCGGCATTTAGTACATTCACAATGCAGTGCAAGCACTAACTCTGTGTAGTGGCAAATAATTTTCATTACCACAAAAGAAAACCCTGGACCCATGAAGCAGTCATTCCCCATGCCACTCTATGCCGAGCCCCTGGCAAACACTCATCTGCTTTCCCTCACTACTGATCATCACAATAAGGGGCCTTTTTCATTTTGCTTTTTTCACTTAGCATGTTTTCAGATTTCATCCATGTTGTAATATATGTCAGTACTTCATTTCTTTTTGTAGCTGAATAATATCCATATGTATATATCACATTTTGTTTATCCATTCATCAAGTGATTGATGTTTGCTTGTGTTCACCTTTTGGGTATTGTTAATAAATATATACAGTGAGTATATACATGTACTTTTTTGAGTATTTGTTTTCAATTGTTTGCGGAGTATACTTAGGAGTAGAGCTGCTAGGTCATACGGTTATTTCTATGTTTAAATTTTTGAAGGACTGATAAACTTTTCCATAGCAGATGCGCAATTTAGCATACCCACCTTCACTGCAGAAGGGTTCCAATTTCTCCGCCTCCCCACCCATATTTGTTCTTTTTAAGTAATATCCATTCTAGTGGGTGTTAAGTGGTATCATGAAGTGGTTCTGATTTACATTTCTGAAAACACTAATAATGGAAGTATGTTTTCATGTAATTGTTGGTCATTTGTGTATCTTCTTTGGAGAATTGTCTATTTAAGACCTTTGCCTATTCTTAAAATTGATGCATTATAGTTGTACATATTTATGGGGTACACATGGTATTTTGATGTATGCATAAAATGTGTGATAACCAAAAAAGGAAAACTGGGATACTCATTCCCTACTGCATTTATTATTTGTGTTCGGGAACATTTCAAATGTGTTTTATCTATTTGGAAATAACCATTAAATTATTGTCAACTATAGATGTCCTAACTGTGCTGTTGAACACTAGAACTTACTCCTTCTGTCTAACTGTATTTTTGTAGCCATTAACAAACCTGTCTTCATTCCCCTCTCTTCCTAACTTCTGGTACCCACCATTCTACTCTATACATACCATGAGATGGATTCCTTTAGCTCCTACATATGAGTGAGGACATGTGATAATTTGTCTTTCTGTATCTGGCTTATTTCACTTAACATAGTGTCCTAAAGTTCCATTCATGTTGCTGCAGATGACAGAATTCCATTCTTTTTTCTGGCTAAATAATCTTCCATTTTATATGTATGCCACAGTTTCTTAATCCATTCATCCATTAATGAACAGTTAGGTTGATTCCATATCTTGACTACTGTGAATAATGCTGCAATAAACATGAGAATGCATATATATATATATATAGTACTGATTTCCCAGCAGTGGGATTGCTACATCATATGGTAATTCTATTTTTAGTATTTTTGGGAAACTCCATCCTGTGTCTCATAGAGGCTGTATTAATGTACATTGCAGGCAACATTATACAAGCATTCCTCTTTCTCTGCTTACTAGCCAACACCTGTTACTCTCTGTCTTTTTTGTAAGAGTCATTTGAGCTGGGGAAATACGGTACCCCACTGTAGTTTTGATTTACATTTCCCTGATGATTAGTGATGTTGAGCATTTTTTCATGTATCCGTTAGCCATTTGTGTGCCTTTCTTTCAGAAATGTCTATTCAGATCATTTGCCCATTTGTAAATCAGATATATTTGTTTTTTTTCTATTGAGCTGAGCTTTTTTAAGTTTGCAAATATATTCTCTCTTACTGTAGGTTGTCTCCTCACTTTATTGTTTTCTTTGCTGGGCAGAAGCGTTCTAGCTTGATTTACTCTCATTTGTCCATTTTTGCTTTGATTGCCAGTGCTTTTTGAGGTCTCCCACAAAAAAATCATTGCCCAAAATGATGTCTTAAAGCATTTCCGCAGTCTCTTCTTCTGGTACTTTCATATTTTCGGGTCTTTTCTTATATTTGTTGAGCCTTGTTCTGTGGCCTAACACATGCTCTATACTGGAGCGTGTTCCATGTGCTGACTGATGACAAGAATGTATATTCTACAGCAATTGGATGAAACATTTTGTAAATGTCAGTTAAGTTCATTTGGTCTAGAGTACAGTTTAATTCCAATGTTTCTTTGTCTGGATAAGCTGTCCATTACTGAAAGTGGGGTACTGAAGTCTCCCACTATTGTTGTACACCTGTCTATCTCTCCGTTTAGATCTCCAAATGTTTGCCTTATCTATTTGTGTGTTCCAGTGTTGGGTACGTACATATTTTAAATTGTTATATCCTCTTACTGAATTGGCATCTTCATTTTTTGTTTTGTTTTGTTTTTTTTGTTTGTTTGTTTTTTGAGTCTGGCTCTGTCGCCCAGGCTGGAGTGCAGTGGCGCGATCTCCGCTCACTGCAAGCTCCCCCTCCCAGGTTATGCCATTCTCCTGCCTCAGCCTCTGGAGCAGCTGGGACTACGGGCGCCTGCCACCACGCCCGGCTAATTTTTGTATTTTTAGTAGAGACGGGATTTCACCGTGTTGGCCAGGAAGGTCTCGATCTGCTAGCCTCATGATCCGTCCGCCTCGGCCTCCCAAAGTGTTGGGATTACAGGCGTGAGCCACCGCGCCCGGCCGGCATCTTTATTGTTATACAGTGACCTTCTTTGTCTCTCTCTACAGTTTTTGACTTTAATCTAATTTATATAAGTCTAGCCTTTCCTGTTCTTTTTCCATTCCTGTTCATTTTCATGTTGTTGCTGATGTCCCGCTCTGGTTTGAGATCTTCTTTGCCTGAGTAAAAGAGAAGTCCCCAGATTTAATGCACTGGGGTTGCTAGCTTCAACTCCACTTTCAGTCTCAGACTACCCCCTCAGGGATTTTTCCTCCTACAGGCAGTCAGGATGCCTCCTAGGGATTGAGGCAAGAATAGGATCCCTGCAAAGGACACCAAAATGGGAGAGAAGCTAGCTCTCTGCCTTGATCTCACATTTTACAGAGGAAACTGTGAACCAAGGGGTACTTTTCTTTTTTTCTTTTCTTCCTTTTTTTTGGTGGGGGGGGGAGCAGGGGGATGGAATCTCACTCTGTCACCCAGGCTGGAGTGCAGTGGCGCAATCTGGGCTCACTGCAACATCTGCCTCCCAGGTTCAAGTAATTCTCCTGTCTCAGCTTCCCGAGTTGCTGGGATTATAGGGGCACACCACCACGCCCGGCTAATTTTTGTATTTTTAGTAGAGACGGGGTTTCACCATATTGGTCAGTCTGGTCTCAAACTCCTGACCTCAGGTGATCCACCTGCCTCGGCCTACCAAAGTGCTGGGATTATAGGCGTGAGCCACCGCGCCCAGTCAAGGGGGACTTTTCTACATGGTGCCTAGCAGCCTTGGGTTGGGGAGTCATGGAGAGAGAAGTCCATTAGTCTTTCTAGCTGCTCATACTTTTTCACTTCCTTATAGCCCCATGGATAGTCACAGTCTCAATGTTCAGTTCTGGAATATTGCTTCTAGTAATCTTGTCTCTACACAGCTGTTTTTACTTTTCTTTGAGGTAAAGTCAGATCACTTCTGCTATACCATGTTGGTGATATCACTCTCCCTTTGCCTATTTTTTAAAAATTGGGTTATTTGTCTGTTTATTGTTGAGTTTTAAGAGTTATTTGTTTTTATTGGATATTAGAAGTTTTTAGATAATTGATTTGGAAATATTTCCTCCCATTCTGTAAGTTGGCTTTTCAAGTTCTGAATTGTGTACTTTGATGCAAAAAGTTTTTAATTTCAGGGAAGTCCAATTTATTTTTTCTTTTGTCATTGCTGCTTTTGGTGGTATAGCTAATAAATCATTGCCAAATCTAAAGTTGTGAAGATGTATCCCTATAGTTTCCCTGAAGGTTTTATAGCTTTAGCTCTTATATTTAGAAATTTGATATATTTTGAGTTAATTTTTGCATATAATGTGAGGTAGAGGTCTAAATTCATCCTTTTGCATGTAGATAACCAGTTGTCTAAGTACTATTTGTTAAAGACTCTATTAACTACTCATAAAATGACCTTAATAACTTTGTCACAAATGAATTGACCACAGTGTCTGAGTTTATTTCCAGGCTCTCCATCTTTTCCATTAATCACTGTGTGTATTCTTATTTGATTATCACACTGCTTTGATTACTCCAGCTTTCCTAATAAGTTTTGAAATCCAGAAGTGTGAGTCTTCCACCTTGGTTTTTCTTATTCAGAGTTTACATTGGTTATTCAGATCTCTTGCAATTCAATAGGATCTTTAGGATTTGTGTTCCTTTTTTACAAAAAAAATGCTCATTGGATAACAATAAGGATTACATTAAATCTATAGATCTCTATGGGTAGTATTGCCACGTTAAAAATATTTAGTCTTCAGACCCATTACCACAGGATGTTCTTTATTAAAATTTAGGTTATCTTTAACTTCTCCATTATTTTGTGATTTTCAGTGTACAAGACTTTCATCTATTTAGTTAATTATTGTCCTGAAATTATGATTCATTTTGATGCTATTGTAAATGGAATTGCTTTCTTAATTGAATTTTCAGATTATTCATTGCTAGTGTACACAACTACTACTGATTTTTCCAAGTTAATGTTCTGTCCTGCAGTTGCTTGCTGGATCTTGTTCACTACCTCTAATACTGTTTTTCTGGGTTTTTGAGCTTTTTTTTTTTTTTTTGACTGGAGTCTTGCTCTGTCGCCCAGACTGGAGTACAATGGCACGATTCCGGCTCACTGCAACCTCTGCCTCCTGGGTTCAAACGATTCTCCCACCTCAGCCTCCCGAGTAGCTGGAATTACAGGCACCCGCCATCATGCCCGGGTAATTTTTGTATTTTTGTAGAGACGGGGTTTCACCATGTTGGCCAGGCTGGTCTTGAACTCCTGATCTTAGGTGATTCACATGCCTCAGCCTCCCGAAGTGCTGGGATTACAGGTGCGAGTCACTGCGCCTGGCAGCATTTTTTATAAGATCACTGTATTTGTGAAGAGAAATAATTTCCATTTTTTCTTTTCAACTGGGATATTTTTTATATATCTTCATTGCCTGATGACCCCAGCTAGATTTTAAGTATAATGTTTAAGAGAAGCGGCAAAAGTGGGCATTTTTCTCCTGTTCATGATTTTAGGAGCAAAGTTTTCAGTCTACCTCTTGACTATATTATTAGCTGTAGGTTTTAATAAATGCCCCATATATCGTGCTGAGAAAATGATCTTCTAATTACATATTATAGATTGTTTTGAGTTGCTTTTCTGGAGAGATGGACTACAGAAAGTGTCTACTGCACCATTGTCATTGATGTCACTTTTGCTACCTGTTTTTGAATTTGTAGGAACACTCATCCTTCTTCAAAATGTGCCTGACAAAATAGTCACATATGAAAAAGTAGTTACAGATAGATAGGCAATGAGCACGGCAGGAAAGGGCTCTCCCTGACCCAGTAGGAATGTCACATGATGGTTCGGCAATGATCACATTGCCCCTCTAAAAATGATAATTTGGTAGCCTGGGAGAGACAATCTCCTGATGATCCACATCTGTTAATATTAAAAGTACGAATTGAATGCAGGCCACAGGGAGAAGCAGCTTCTTGGGCATGCGTATTAAGACACAAAATGGCGAAATATGATGTTCCGGGTACATGCCACCAGAAAAAAGAAAAAAGCCTCAGATGGGCATGTGTATAACTCCCTAAACACACTGCACAGTGCTCAATTCCAAAGGGTAAGGAGGGCACTGCGCATGCGGAAAGCTCACCCTAAAGGAAGAATCATGAGCAAGAGGTAAGCCTATAAGGTCCCATGATCAAGGTTAAAAGGTCTTTTTGTTCTCTTGGCCATTCAGGCACCCACTTGGATCTCTTCCAAGGGTTCTTTCTTTCCTTTCTTTCCTGTTCTAAAGCCTGTTAAATAAACTTCCACTCCTGCTCTGAATCTTGCCTCAGTCTCTTTTCCTGCTTTATGCTCCTCAGTGAAGTTCTTTCTTCTGAGGCGCCAGGACTGAAGTTCCTCTGGACCTATATGGATATGCCGCCTGTTACTCGGGGTAACTCGGTTCACTGCCACCGCTAACAAAGTGAGATCATGGGTAATGCTACCTCCCACAGACAAGCACTTTTAAAATGTGGATTAATTTTCAATCCTTTTCACTCCTTTTGTTTCCCATCCCTTTATGTGTAACAACTCCACTAAATAAATAAATAAATAAATAGAATGGCCGGGCACAGTGGCTTACGCCTGTAATCCAGCACATTGGGAGGCCAAAACGGGATGATCACCTGAGGTCAGGAGTTCAAGACCAGCTTGGCCCACATGGTGAAACCCCGTCTCTACTAAAAATACAAAAATTAGCCGAACTTGGTGGAACCCACCTTTAGTCCCAGTTGTTCGGGAGGCTGAGACAAGAGAATCCCTTCAACCTGGGAGACGGAGGATGCAGTGAGCTGAGATCGTGCTGCTGCACTCCAGGCTGGGCGACAGAGCAAGACTCCATCTAAAAAAACAAAACCAAAAAACAACTCTACTAGAAGATGTAAAACTTTAGGTCCTTTCAGTCTTTAGACAACTAGATGCCCTTGAGACTATCAGCAAACATACTGGCTCCTGCTTTATCACACCTGGAACAGGCCTGTCTTTGGTGTTCTCATACTGCTGCAACAAAGGACTGTGATACAGTAACACTGCCTGAAAGCCTGCTAACTCTTGCTCCAAGGGACAGGACAGAACACACACACCCATCCCCCCCACACACAGCATCTAATGTCTCAGGAAATCCCTGAAGAGTATGTAATGCATGGGAACATGCTGTGTTCTGGTGTTAAATGTTGAGACCATGAGATGAAACTGAGTGATCTCGATAGGAACTGAACATAGGGACTATGAGGATCACGCCATGTGGAGCATATAGGCCAGGGAGTTATGACTGCTATCTGGTCCTTACTCTGTGGCTCATGCCAAATTGTTGACTACAAACAACACTTGAGGCTAGAACATGAAGAACTCCTAGTTTTCTGGGAGGGAAACCAGGTCAAAGACCATCAGGATTTGTAAATTGTTTGCCAAAGATCTCTTCCTAGTTTCAAATAATTTTTTCCTTATTGCACTTTTATCCACCAAGTTTATCACCTGAAGGAGACAATTTGATGCCATGGAACTTGCTGGACTGTAACTGTGTGAAGTAAATCCTATCCAGATGGAACTTGCTGGACTGTAACTGTGTGAAGTAAATCCTATCCAGATAGACACAGTGAGGAGTATATTTAATTTCTGAAAGAACAAGATTCCTGAGGAGCATGGGTAGTTCAGGCCTCATTTTGTTTTCAGATGGACAGAAAAATAGCAAAAATTCAACAGTAAGACAAGGTTGCACCAAACAGGACAAATCTCCATGCAGCCAGATTTGGTGGCGCCTTTTTCCTCTGAGTGGCGTTTTTTCAGACATAAAAGGCGGGGGAAGAGTGCGCCAAGATAGGGCTTCCATGAAAAATGTGAATCACTACTGCCACCGTGAGGAAATTGTTTAAAGACAGAATCCGCCATCACACACTCCTTCCCAGGAAGCTATGGGGGAAGGTCTCAATTGGGCCGAGGTGGAAGAGGATTGGGCTCCAGACTAGGTCTTGTTGCCTTCTCCTCTCAGGTCTTAAGAGAGCTCTGGACATTGACGGTATCTTGGTGTAGAAACTGGACAGTAAGGGGCTTGGAGTGAGGCAGCGGCTGCCAGGCGGCCCCGGCACAGGAAGTCGGGAGCGGGGCCTCGGTTCCTCCTGGTTTGGGCAGGACAGCAGGAACCCACTCAAAGTCGAATTCTTGCTCTTGTGGGAATCTGTCTCCTGTTCCTGCCCCTTAGAGCAAGAGCTGGCGGGCTTTCCCATGGTGTCATCTTGCTACAGGTCTTTGGGTCTCTTGCGGCATCAGTATCCGCCCACAATTGACAGGGTTCCTCCAAGGGAAATTTACAGGATTTGCTTTCCTTCACTATCCAGGTTCTATACCAAGACACCGCCAAAGTCCAAATCTCTTTTAAGGCGTTAGACGAGAAGGCAAGGAGGATCAGCATGGATCCCAGGCCTTTTCTACCTCCCCACAGACCAGACCTTCTCCAACAGGTAGCCCTCAGGGGAAGGACGTTGACGTGGCGTAGGGTGTCTTTAAACTATCACCTTACGATGGGACTAGTGCTCTAGATGTGCCAAGATGTGTCTTGGATTCCCTCTTCTCCCGCCCTCCCTGTCTGAAAAAACGCCACCCAGACACAAAGGCACAAGAAAATATGGCTGCCTTGTTTTTTGCCCAGTTTGGAGTCATCTGGTCTTACTGTGTCACTTTTGTTTCCCATCTGAAATCAAACCAAGGCCTAAACCACCCACCCTCATCGGGAATCTTACTCCTTCAGAAACTTAAAATCTTCCTAACCTAGTCTATATGATTATGAATTACCTCAGACTTACAGGTCCAGTAGTCTCCATGGCATCAAACTGCCTCCTCAGGGGATAAATTTGGGGATGAGGGCACAAGGATAAAACTGCTTGAACCTCAGAGGAGATCTTTTCCAGCAAACAAGTTACAGACCTTGGTGGTCTCTGACCTGGCTCCCCTTCCCGACAACCAGGAAGTTCTTCATGTTCTACCGCATGTGTTGCATTGTAGGCAACAATTTGGCAAGAACCATAGAGGAGGAACCAGAAAGCTGTCATTGCTACATGCCATATGTGCTCCACATGGCATGATACTCATACTACATATGTTCAGTTCCTGTCGAGGTTACTCAGAGTTTCATCTCATGGTCTCATCATTTAACATCAAAACACGGCATGATCCCATGACACTACATATTCTTCAGGTATTTCCTGAGACTTTAAGTGGTGTGTCTGTTTGTGTGTGTGTGTGTGTGTGTGTGTGTGTGTGTCTATTTTTAAATAATTTGTATTTTAGATATAAGTCTTACAGTATTCTCCTACTGGTTAATTAAAGAATAATGCTTGACAAAGATTGAGAAAAATCAATGTACTAATAAAGATGAAAAGCACTACGATACAATTTGTCAAGGCAAAAAATAACCATTTGGATTATTTCCATATATATAATATATATATGGAGTATTTCCATATATATAAAATATATATATGGAGTATTTCCATATATATAAAATATATATATGGAGTATTTCCATATATATAAAATATATATATGGAGTATTTCCATATATATAAAATATATATGGAGTATTTCCATATATATATAATATATATATGGAGTATTTCCATATATATATATATAGAAATATATACATATATATATACACATAGAGAAATATATACATATATATATATATATATATATATACACACATACACTTTTTCTCTTTGGGGGGAGCGAAACTTTTTCTGTCACCCAGGCTACAGTGCAACGGCGCAGTCTCGGCTCATTGCAACCTCCAGGTTCAAGCAAATCTCCTGCCTCAGTCTCCTTAGTAGCTGGGATTACAAGCGCAGGCCACCAGACCTGATTAATTGTTCTGCATTTTTAGTAGACATGGGGTTTCGCCATGTTGGCCAGGCTGGTCTCGAACTCCTGACCTCAAGGCATCCAAAATCCTTAGCCTCCCAAAGTCCTGGGATTACAAGTGTGACCCACTGCACCCAGCTATAGATACATTCCTAATTTCATGCAAATAATAAATCTGTATTGAAATTGGGTTACACTTTACATTGTAGTTTGGAGCAGATCACATGTATATTTTAACAAAGCTTTCAGGAGCATGAATTCATTTAAATATCATCAATACTAAGTGTTGTTTTCAACATTTCAAGCCTTCAATGTAAATGAAGGAAAATCTGAAAAATATATGTTCAAAAACATTCCTTTAGAAAAGTAGACAGTATTTATTTATTTATAATTTTTTTTTTTTGAGATGGAGTTTCGCTCTTGTTGCCCAGGCTGGAGTGCAATGGCTTGATCTCGGCTCACCGCAACTTCTGCCTCCCAGGTTCAAGCGATTCTCCTGCCTCAGCCTCCCAAGTAGCTGGGATTACAGGCATGCGCCACCAGGCCCGGCTAAATTTGTATTTTTATTAGAGATGGGGTTTCTCCATGTTGGTCAGGCTGGTCTCAAACTCCTGACCTCAGGTGATCTGCCCACCCTGGCCTCCCTAAGTGCTGGGATTAGAGGCGTGAGCCACTGCACCTGGCCAATTTTTTGTTTAAATTATAACAGATGCATCACAATGTGCATTTTGGCTCTCTAGAATACATATTTGACTACATGTTTGGTTTAAGGTTCTGACATGTTAGAAGTAGAGTAACATACACTTTACTTTGTCATTTATCTTACCGTGTGGTAAGTTTAATCCTCAAGGTTCTATAATTTTTCTTTTCTCCCTAAATCAGAGGCAGGGAATGGCTGTTTATGAGGCCACAGAGAATGCAATTAAGATCTTGTGATGGGCCAGGCACGGTGGCTCATGCCTGTAATCCCAGCGCTTTGCGAGGCCAAGGCAGGTGGATCACAAGGACAGGAGTTCGAGACCAGCCTGGCCAATATGGTGAAAACCCCGTCTCTACTGAAAATACAAAAATTAGCTGTGTGTGGTGGCGCATGCCTGTAATCCCAGCTACTTGGGAGGCAGAGGCAGGAGAGTTGGTTGAACCCGGGAGGCGGAGGTTGCAGTGAGCTGAGATCATGCCAGTGCACTCCAGCCTGGGTGACAGAAGGTGACTCCGCCTCAAAAAAAAAAATGTGAAGGATAAAGGGACTATCTGGTGTAGATGAATGACATGTACCCAACCTAAATGGGAATGATAGGCTCATTGCCCCTCCACACTACCTTTCATTGCAGAATAAACCAATCAACCTCCTTGTCACTACCACTGGAACTTGGCTAGGTGTGATTTCCTTTCCAGGCTTCCATCCACTGCCCAGGCACATAGCCTCTTTATTAAAGATAGTTAGCAAGGGGTGAATAAAAGACCACTTAGCCTAAAGAATTCTAGGATTGGCACCACCAGCCTTTCTACCTTCAGATATGAGGTACTGTTCCATAGGTAGGTCTGTATTCTTCCATGAAAATGGTCGAGTCAAACTATTCCTCCATAGGAGGCAGTTTAGCAGATGTCTAAGTCTATTTTAGGTGAAATACTCTGGGGAGGTAAGATATCCTTTTTGTCCTTTCCAGGAACAAGGATCATGGAGAAATGCTTCCCCTAGCGTCTCCAAGGCATTCATGCATGCCAATAGTATCTATGTCTGCAGATCATCATTCAACTCAACAAAACCAGCTAGAGAGAGAGCTAGACACAGTCAAAGATGTCAAAAAAGCCAGGCTACCCTAGAATGCCTTACCCTGGAATGCCTGCCTGAATCCTCAGAGGCCAGGAGAGGTCATACCTGAACAAGCTCTTGAAGCACTGTAATGTCACAGTGCAGAACCAGACTAACATTAATTCCTTTCATTAAGAATTCAGATACTGAAATAATAAATTCTGAGGAAGAATGTCATGAGGAATAAGTCACCCATACAATTTTAGCCACTCTTATTGATTCCTCAATTATGAGTCATAGAGTTTCTGGAGGTCTCCACACCAAAGGTTGTATGTCTTCATCAGGAAATAGCTTTGAAGCTGATACAGAAAATACTAGCTAGGATGAGGTAAATAATGATTTGCTCAGGCCTAAACAATGCCATCCTTCTCAGGGACATCCAACAGAAGAGAGCTACCTATGTGGCCTCCTTGACAGAAATGAGATGTCATCGGGGTCCCATTATGACAAAAGACTTTCTCCTGAACTTATAAAGTCACAGAAGCTGCTGGCTTGTGCGCTCAGATAATTGCTTAGGCCTTCCATCACATTCTTGGCCTTCATCCACTTCAGCAAATCGGCTCTGCTAAAAGATGATCTGGCCCACATAGGCATGTCAGTGTATCCTCACTCCTCTATAGAGGTCCCTCTAGTTGTAGGCAATGGTGTTTAGAATTTTTGTGTATCGAGGACCATGTGAATGACACTGGCTTCAGATAGATTGTCCCTGGAACTGTCCTGTCCATTGCAATCTAACGATGCTGCTATAAATGTCACAGCTGCATAACACAGGGACAGCCAGATTGCCTAAAACTCCCAAGGGCATATTCATAACATAAATGCCCCAGGGGTCTGCACTTGGCTCTGTCATCTTCTAGTCTTGTCCCCACTATGAGGAAACTGAGGCCCTGTCCTCTATTTCCTGTACCAGGAGTTCCTGGAAACAGTTGGCTTAGTCCTGGTCCCTCACTCAGCAGATACTTCACTAAGACTTTGCATTTGTCTATTGCTTATGCTAGGCCTCAGAGAAAAGGGTAGGAATGCCAACTTGTGTCTTGGGTGGCTTTTCCTTCCGCAACTGCTAGGGCTTACATGCAGGAAACGCTCACGGCTTTGGACGCTATGAAACTATTTCCGCACGATGGCAGTATTGTACGAGAAAAGCCAACTAACTTTGCTCCAGGAGCTCTTCTCCCGCCCATCACGTTTCAAAAAAAAGGCCAAGAAGAGACAAAGACACCAGAAACTATGGCTACCTAACATTTTGCTACATTTGCGTAATGGTATTCCACTTTTGGCTTCTGCTGGATATTAAACTGAGGTGTAATCCACTCACCCTCATCAAGCATCTCCTCTTTTCAAGAACTCAGTTTCCGCTCAACCAAGTCTTCCCATTTCTACTCTTCTTCACTCAGCATTGTTTCTGCAGTGTTCTATTATGATATCAAATTGTCTTGTCGTATTGGGGACCGACCTCAGGGATCCATGTCTAAAGAGAAAGGAAAAAAAACATGTTGACATCTGAGGTCTTGGAGGACAGCAAATCTGGGCACCAGGCCACGTGTTTCTTCTCCTGACTCCCTACCCAGGTTCCCTGGGAGGTTTACTCCATGTTCAGACCTAGTCAGTAGGCCTTGTATGTTGAGAGGGAGGTCGCTATTTAGTGGGGCTCTAACATAAGAGTCCAGATAGCTCTCAAGCTTGACAGACACACACAACCCTACTTGAATGTACATAAATACAGGAATGACTATAAATGCTAATCAGATGGATCCCAGGATTTTGTCTTACAGTTTCATTATATAACAGTGTAACACAAACATTTTCCTGGGTCATTAAACTGCAATGGCTTACAACTATGTCCTATGAGTTTGCTGTGTATGTGTGTTACTGTTTATCAGTTAGGAATCAGTCCTGTATTTTCACATTAGTAACAAAGAGGTGGGATTCGCAAAGAAGCTAAAAAAAATGTGGTGATCAAGAGAAAAGCAATGCCATACAACTGTGTATTAAACACTGAAGGCTGGGCGCGGTGGTTCACGCCAATAATCCCAGCACTTTGGGAGGCCAAGGCAGGCGGATCACTTGAGGTCAGGAGATCGAGACCAGCCTGACCAACATGGCGAAACCTCGCCTTTACTAAAAATATAAAAATTAGCTGGGCGTGGTGTCACATGCCTATAATCTCAGCTACTCGGGAGGCTGAGACAGGAGAATCGCTTGAACCGGGAGGTGGAGGTTGCAGTGAGCAAAGATCGCACCATTGCACTCCAGGCTGGGCAACAAGAGCGAGAATCCGTCTCAAAAAATAAAAATAAAAAACACTGATACCCTTTTTCGTATTTGCTCCCACTTTCAATACATAGATAAAAGTTCTATATATACAGTCAAACAGTCAAACACCACAGTAAATTTACATTTAAATTGGATTCAGGCCAGGAGCAGTGGCTCATGCCTGTAATCCCAACATTTTGGGAGGCCGAGTCGGGCGGATCACTTGAGGTCAGGAGTTTGAGACCAGCCTGGGCACCATGTTGAAATGCCGTGTCTACTGAAAATACAAAAATAAGCCAGGTGTGGTGGCGAGTACCTATAATCACACCTACTCGGAAGGTTAAGGCAGGAGAATCGCTTGAATCCGGGAGGCCAAGGTTGCAGTGAACTGACATCACACCACTGCACTCCCACCTGGGCAACGGAGGGAGGGCCTGTCTCAGAAAAAAAAAAAAAAAAAAAATTGGATTTAGCTATGTATTGTAAAGTAAAAATTTTCATTCTAAAATTTGGTTCCTGACCAATTTTTGACATTGTCATATAAAATTTGCAATTTCTATATTTTAGACAATAAATTATTTGCAAAGAACTTCGTGATTATACTAGTCATTAAAAAATAAGTTGTTTGCTCTTTTTAATCTAAAAATGTGTTTATATGTATATAAACACATAAATATTTACATATCATATAAATATGTATATTATACATACTTATACCTCTGAAAATTAGGATTTTAAGATTATTCTTGAGATTTTAGCTCTAATTCTTACCTTCAAATTTTATCTTTAAAAACTCAAAAGAAGCAAAACAACATCCAATACATGATAATTGAATTAGGCATCTCTCACATTCAGTCACTTAGATGTGAACCCTAAGAAAACTGTAAGATGGATGTATTCACACCACTCACATGCAGCTACAATGTTTCATTAATGTCTGTTTATATAACTATGAATTAAAGATATGAATTTGTTGGCCAAAAATATCATATTCAAACATATACTCACTATAACACTGACCATGATTTGAAATATATGCCATTGGCTGGGTGTGGTGGCTCGCGACTGTAATCCCAACATTTTGAGAGGCTAAGGCAGGAGGATTGCTTGAGCCCGGGAGTTTGAGACCATCTCGGGCAATTTAGTGAGACCCTGTCTCTACAAAAAATACAAAATATACCTGTGCGTGGTGGCATGCACCTGTGGGCCCAGCTACACAGGAGGTGGAGGTGAGAGGATCACCGGAGCCCAGGGAGGTCGTGGCTGCTGTGAGCCACGATCATGCCACTGCACTCCAGCCTGGATGACAGGGCGAGACCCTGTCTAAAAAAATATATATATGGCATTTTTAAATCTGTATATGCATATAAACAGATATGAATACACACAGTCCCACACACATTTTACATTCAATATAATTGGATTCATACTGTTTGCAATTTTGTACAAAATCTTCGGCATCACCTTATAATCTTTGAATATATCCATATCAATATATACTTTTGAGTGCTTGAGTTTTTTTATATTTTACTCTAGAAAAACTTTAAGAAATTACAAGCAGAAAACATATGGTAGGTCAAACCTAGTGAGAAGTAATCACTTTTAAAATATCTATGCTATGTATTATGATCTCTTTCCTATGCACATATAATATGTACATTTATAAACTAATGTTCAAATTCCCCTGTAGTATAATCATTGAAACAAGTTTTCTTCACTGATAACTTGAGTACTTTTCAAATGTAATTAATTATTCTTGGAAATAATGATAGGTTTAAAAATATTGGCACTTTTTGAAACTGTGTTGGTAAAATTCATGTAACATAAAAATAACCATTAAAATGTTCAAATTTGGTGGCATTTAGTACATTCACAATGCAGTGCAAGCACTACCTCTGTGTAGTGGCAAATAATTTTCATTACCACAAAAGAAAACCGTGAACTCATTAAGCAGTCATTCCCCATTCCACTCTCTGCCCAGCTCCTAGCAAACACTAATCTACTTTCCCTCACTACTGATCATCACAATAAGTAGCCTTTTTTCTTTCTTCTTTCACTTAGCATGTTTTCAAATTTCATCCATGTTGTAATATATGTCAGTACTTCATTTCATTTTGTAGCTGAATAATATCCATATGTATATATCACATTTTGTTTATCCATTCATCAAGTGATGGATGTTTGCTTATGTTCACCTTTTGGGTATTGTTAATAAATATATACAGTGAGTATATAAAAGTACTTGTTTGAGTATTTGTTTTCAATCATATGTGGTGTATACATAGGAGTAGAGTTGCTAGCTCATATGGTTCCTTCTATGTTTAAATTTTTGAAGTACTGATAAACTGCTTTCTGTAGCAGGTGCACAATTTAGCATTTCCACCAACACTCTAGAAGAGTTCTAACTTCTCCACCTCTCCACTGATATTTGTTCTTTTTAAGTAATTCCCATTCTAGTGGGTGTTAATTGGTACCATCAGGTGGTTTTGATTTACGTTTCTGAAAAGACTAATAATGGAAGCATCTTTCATAGAACTGTTGGCTATTTGTATATCTTCTTTGGAGAATTGTATATTTAAGAGCTTTGCCTATTTTTAAAATTTGCATATAATTGTACATATTTATGTAGTACATATATTTTCATGCATCCACAAAATGTGTGATAACCAAAAAAGGATAACTGGGATACTCATCACCTAATGCATTTATTATTTGTTTGTGTTGGAAACATTTCAAATGTTCTTTTAGGTATTTGGAAATAAGCATTAAATTATTGCTAACTATGGTCGCCCTAAGTATGCTATTGAACACTAGAACTTACTCCTTCTGTCCAACTGTATTTTTGTAGCCATTAACCAACCTCTCTTCATTCCCCTCCTTTCCTAACTTCTGGTATCCACCATTCTACTCTATAGTTCCATGAGATGGATTCTTTCAGCTCCTGCACATGAGTAAGGACATGTGATAATTTGTCTTTCTGCATCTGGCTTATTTCACTTAACGTAGTGTCCTACAGTTCCATTCATGTTGCTGCAGATGACAGGATTTTATTCCTTTTTCTGGCTCAATAATCTTCCTTTTTATATGTATGTCACATTTTCTTAATCCATTCATCCGTCAGTGAACACTTAGGTTGATTCTATATCTTTGCTATTGTGAATAATGATGCAATAAACATGGCAATGCATATATCTCTTTGCTGTACTGGTTTCCTTTCTTTTGAATATATACTCAGCAGCGGGATTGCTGCATCATACGGTAACTCTATTTTTAGCTTTTTGGGGAAACTCCATCCTATGTCCCATAGTGGCTGTATTAATATACATTTACAGCAACAGTATACAAGCATTCCTCTTTGCTTCCTAGCCAGCAACTGTTATTCTCTGTCTTTTTAGTAAGAGCCATTTGAACTGGGGTAATATGGTATCTCACATGGTTTTGATTTGCGTTTCCCTGACGGTTAGTGATGTTTAACGTATTTTCATATATCTGTTGGCCATTTGTGTCTTTGTTTCAGAAATGCCTATTCAGATCATTTGCCCATTTGTAAATCAGATAATTTGGTTTTTGGTTATTGAGCTGAGTTTGTTTTACATTGTGATTTGTTATTCCATTGTTAGATCAATAGTTTGCTAAGATATTCTCTCTTTCTGTAGGTTGTCTCCTCACTTTGTTGTTTTCTTTGCTGTGCAGAAGCTTTCTAGCTTGATTTACTCTCATTTGTCTATTTTCGCTTTGATTGCCAGTGCTTTTCAGATCTTATACAAAAAATCTTTCCCCAGAACAATGTCTTAAAGCATTTCCCCAGGCTCTTATTCTAGTAATTTCATATTTTCGGGTCTTTTCTTAAATTTGTTTAGCCTTGTTCTGTGGCCTAACATATGCTCTATACTGGAGAATGTTCCATATGCTGATGACAAGAATGTATATTCTATAGCAATTGGATGAAATATTTTGTAAAGGTCAGTTAAGTTCATTTGGTCTAGAGAACAGTTTAATTTCAATGTTTCTTTGTCTAATTAAGCTGTCCATTACTGAAAGTGGAGTACTGAAGTCTCCCAGTGTTGTTGTACGCCATTCTATCACTCTGTTTAGATCTTCAAATGTTTGCCTTATATATTTCTGTGTTCCAGTGTTGGGTACATACATATATACAATTGTTATATCCTCTTGCTGTATTGGCATTTTCATTGTTATACAGTGACCTTCTTTGCCTCTCTTTACAGTTTTTGACTTTTAATCTATTGTATCTAAGTATGACCTTTCTCTCTCTCTCTCTCTCTCTCTTTCTTTCTTTCTCTCTCTTTCTTTCTTTTTTTTTTTTTGAGATGGAGTCTCGCTCTGTGGCTCAGGCTGGAGTGCAATGGCATGATCTCGGCTCACTGCAATCTCTGCCTCCTGGATTCAAGGGATTCTCCTGCCTCAGCCTCCCAAGTAGCTGGGATTACAGGCGTGTGCCACCACGCCCAGCTAATTTTTGTATTTTTAGTAGAGACAGGGTTTCACCATGTTGGCCAGGCTAGTCTTGAACTCCTGACCTCAGGTCATCCGCCTGCCTTGGCCTCCCAAAGTGCTAGGATTACAGGCGTGAGCCACCATGCTGGGCCAGAGTATAGCCTTTCCGGTTCTTTTTTCATTCCTGTTCATTTTCATGTTGCTGCTGATGCCCTCTCTGATTTGAGGTCTTCTTTGTCTCAGCAAAAGACGAGTCCCCAAATTTAATGCACTGGGGTTGCTAGCTTCGACTCCACTTTTTGTCTCTAGCTGCCCTCAGAGATTTTTCTTCCTACAGGCAGTCAGGATGCTTTCTAGGGAGTGAGGCAAGAACAGCATTCCTGCAAAGGACACCAAAATGGTAGAGAAGCTAGCTGCCTGCCTGGATCTCACATTTTACAGAGGAAACCGTGAGTCCAGGGGGAATTTTCTACATGGTGCCTAGCAGCTTTGAGTTGGGGAATCACAGAGACAGAAGTCTATTAATCTTTCCAGCTGCTCATATGTATTCACTTTCTTGTGGACCCACAGATCGTCATAGTCTCAATTTTCAGTTCTGCAATATTGCTTGTGACAATCTTGGCACTAGACAGCTATTTTTAGTTTTCTTTGGGGTAAAGTCAGATTGCTTCCACTCTACCATTTTGGTGATGTCACTCTCCCTTGGCCTATTTTTTAAAAATTGGGTTGTCTTTTGTTGTTTTTAAGAGTCCTTTATATGTATTGGATATTAGCAGTTTTTAGATAATTGATTTGGAAATATTTCCTCCCACTCCGTAAGTTGGCTTTTCAAGTTCTGAATTGTGCACTTTGATGCAAAATTTTTTAATTCCAGGGAAGTCCAATTTATTTTTTCTTTTGTTATTGGTGCTTTTGGCGGTATAGCTAAAAAATCATTGCCAAATCTAAAGTTTTGAAGACTTATTCCTATAGTTTCCCTGAAGGTTTTATAGCTTTAGCTCTTACCTTTAGACATTTGATACATTTCAAGTTAATTTTTGCACATGATGTGAGGTAGAGGTCTAACTTCATCCTTTTGCATGTGGATAACCAGTTGTCTAAGCACTATTTCTTAAGGAGTCTATTCACGTCTCATTAAATGAACTTGATAACTTTGTGAAAAGTCAATTGACCACAATGTCTGGGTTTATTTTCAGACTCTTCATCTCTTCCATTAATCACTGTGTGTATTCTTATTTGATCATCAGCCTGCTTTGATTACTCTAGATTTTCTAGTAAATTTTGAAATCTAGAAGTGTGTCTTCCACCTTGGTTTTTCTTACTCAAAGTTTGGTTACTCAGATCTCTTGCAATTTAATAGGATCTTTAGAATTTGCTCTTTCTTTTTCCCAAAAATAAATGCTCATGGGAATAATAATTAGGATTACATTAAATCTGTAGATCTCTATGGCTAGTATTGCCATATTATAAATATTTAGTCTTCTAACTCATTACCCACAGGATGTCCTTTTTAAAAATCCAGGTAATCTTTAAGTTCTTCTCCAATATTTTGTGATTTTTCAATGTACAAGTCTTTCATCTGTTTAGTGAAATATTCTCCTTAAAATATGATTTATTTTGATGCTATTATAAATGGAATTGCTTTCTTAATTCAATTTTCAGATTGTTCATTGCTAGTGTACACAACTATAACTGATTTTTACGATTTAATGTTCTATCCTGTGGGGCTTGCTGAATATTGTTCATTAGCTCTAATATGGTTTTTCTGCAGTTTAAAGCATTTTTATAATATCATCATCTTTATGAAGAGAGATAATTTCCATTTTTTTTTTCTTTTTTTTCTTTTCAACTTGGATGCCTTTTATATATCTTCATTGTCTGATGACCCTGACTAGAATTTTAAGTGTACAAGAAAAGGGCAAAAGTGTGCATTCTTGCCTTGTTCATGATCTTGGGAGGAAAGCTTTCAGTCTTTCACTCTTGAGTATAATACTACCTGTAGATTTTTTATAAATGCCCCATATATCGTGTTGAGAAAATGATCTTCTAATGATAGATTCTTGATTGTTTTGAGTTGCCTTTCCAGAGAGAGGGACTACAGAAGTTCCCTAATGCATACTTTTCATTGATGTCACTTTCGCCACCTGTTTTTGAATTCGTAGAAACAATCATGCTTCTTGAAAACATACCTGCCACAATAGTCATACATGATAACGTGAAGTGAGATCACGGGTAATGCCATCTCCAACAAATACTATTAAAATGTAGATTGATTTTCAGTCCCTTTCACTGTTTTTGGTTTATGTGTTTATGTACAACAGTCCACTAGAAGAAGATGTAACTCTTCCTTGATTAGCTCAGTGGTTCAATTTCTCTTTATGCCCTTCTAGTCTTCAGACAATTGGGTGCCCTTGAGACCCTCAGAAAACTTACTTGCTCCTGCTACATCCCACCTGGAATTGGTCTGTCCTTGGTGTTCTCACATTGCTGCAACAAATGACTCATGCCTCACAGCAGAGTGACACTGCCTGAAAGCCTGCTAACTCTTGCTCCAAGGGAGAAACATAACGCACCCATCCATTCCCCACGTAGGCACCGTGTAAAGTCTCAGGAAATACTTGAAGTATATGTAACACATGGGAATGTTGTTATTTTGGTGTTAAATGATGCGACCATGAGATATAACTCTGTGTAACCTCGACAGGAATTGAACATATGCATTATGAGTATCATTCCATGTGGAGTATATGTGGCGGGCAGCAATGACAACTATCGGATCCCTCCTCTATGGCTGATGCCAAATTACTGCCTATAGTGCAACACATGAGGCTAGAACATGAAGAACTCCCTGGTTGTCTGGGCGGGGAGCCAGATCAAAGAACACCAGAATTTGTAAATTGCTTGCCAGAGAAGATCTCCAAGTTTCAAGTAATTTTCTCCTTGTGCCTTCATCCCCTGAAAAAGATAATTTTATACCATGAAGTGTACTGGCCCCTTAACTCTGTGAAATAAATCGCACCCTCAAAGTCTTGGACAGGAGGATATTTAATTTCTGAAAGCACAAGATTCTTAATGAAGGCGGGCCTTGTTTGATTTCAAGTGGAAAACAAAAGCAAAAGTGCAGCGGTAAGACCAGCTGGCCCCAAACTGGGCTAAATGCAAGGCAGCCATGTTTGGTGGCGCCTTTGTGGATGCGTGGCGTTTTTTCATACAGGAAGGGCGGGAGTAGAGGGCGCCAAGACCAGACTACTTAGCATATTTGGAGCACTACTGCCATCGTGAGGATGTCGTTTAACGAAACCCTACGCCATTACAGAGTTCTAGTGTGGGCTACCTGTTGGGACAGGTCTGGTCTGGTAAGAGGTGGAAGAGGCTTGGCCTCTATGCTGGGAGGCCTCGCCTACTCCTCTAAGGCTTTAAAAAAGACCTGGACATTGGCGGTATCTTGCTATAGAACCTGGAGTGTGAAGGTTCTAATAGCAAATCCTGTAAACTTCCCTTGGAATAACCCTGTTAATTGTGCGCAACACTCATGCTACCAGAGACCCAAAGATCCATAGCAAGATGACAGCTCGTGGAAAACTTCTGACTCTTGCTCCAAGGGGCAGGAACAGCAAAGAGATGCCCATAAGAGCCTACATGTGTCTTTGAGAGGGTTTCTGCTGTCCTGCCCACACCAGGAGGAACTGAGGCCCCGACCCACGACTTCCTGTACCAGGACCTCCTGGCAGCTGCTGCTTCACTCCAAGCCCCTCAATCTCCAGGTTCTACACCAAGATACCGCCAAATTCCAGTTCTCTCTTCAGGCCTTAGAGGAGAAGGCAACAAGACCTAGTCTGGAGCCCAATCCTCTTCCACCTCCTCACAGACCAGACTTTCCCCCACAGCGAGGCTTCCCGGGAAGGACGCTGTAATAGCCTATTCTGTCTTTAAACGATTTCCTCACGGTGGCAGTAGTGCTTCAGATTTTCAAGGACGCCCTGTCTTGGAGCAGTCTTCTCCCGCCCTTCCTGTCTGAAAAAACGCCACCCAGAGACAAATGCGCCAGGAGACATGGCTGCCTTGCATTTTGCACAGTTTGGGGCAACCTGTGCAAATTCCTGTACTTTTGCTTTTCTTTTCCATGTGAAATCAAGTCAAAGCCTAAACGACCCATCCTCATCAGGAATCTTGTTCTTTCAAGAAATTAAATGTTTTCCAGACTTAGTCTATGTGGGTTGGCTCAGTACTTTCACATGGTATCAAAATGTCTGTCTCAGGCCGGAAATTAGACCGATCAGAGAAGAAAAGCGATAATAAATGGTCAGAAGCCTGGAGATCATCATGAGCCACCAATTCACAAGTCTAGGTGATCTTTGACCTATTCCCCTCCCCAGACAACCAGGGAGTCCTCCTCCATTTTCTCAGTTTATGTGATGAATTGTCAGAAAGTGTTTGGTAGAAGTAGGAAGAGAAGGCCAAGACAGCGCACATCATTGTATGTAATACATTGTTCCACAGGGCATGATACATATACTTACATCTGTATAAACTCCCATTAGAAGTTACACAGTTTTGGGGCAGATGCAGTGGCTCACGCCTGTAATCCCAACACTTTGGGAGGCCGAGGCCGGTGGATCACTTGAGATCAGGAGTTTGAGACCAGCCCGGCCAACATGGTGAAACCCTGTCTCTACTAAAAATACAAAGATGAGCCAGGTGTGGTGGCCCATACCTGTAGTCCCAGCTACTCAGGAGGCTGAGGCAGGAGAATCGCTTGAATCCGGGAGGTGGAGGTTGCAGTGAGCTGAGATCACGCCACTGCACTCCAGCCTGGGCGACAGAATGAGTGAGACTCTGTCTCAAAAAAAAAAAAAAAAAAAAAAGATAGTTACACAGTTTTAAAAATTGTCCTCTGTTTAACAGTGAATAATTTATATTTCCACATGTTCCTATGCCATTAAATATTTTTCAGCTTCTTCTTGTGACTTGAGTGTGTGTGTGTGTGTGTGCCTGCATGTGTGTGTGTGTGTGTTACCTCTTATCTCTTAGGTATCAGTCTTACAATATCTTCTTATTAGCAATGGTGTTTGCAAGCCAGGTACAGTCTTGTGTTCTTGTAGTTTCAGCTTCTTGGAAGGCTGAGGCAGGAGAATAGCTTGGGCCCAGGAGCAGAGCAGCTTGAAGAACATACTGACACCTTAGTCTCTAAAAAAAAAAAATTAAAAAAGAATGATGTTTGCCATATAGTTCAAAAATAATCTTGTGTACATCAAGAAGAATAACACCATCATAAAATCTGTTAAGACAACTGATAACATTTTGGGTTATTTTCTTCCATACTTTTCAATGTATAGATACATACGCCTACTATATTTTGTTCACACAAAAAATAAATCTATATTAAAATTGGATTAATCTGTACATTGTGGTTTGGATCAGACCAGATGTGTATTCTGACAAAGTTTTGAAGGGAAAGTATTTGCTTGCATTAAATGCATGTACAAATTCTCCTTAACATCTTGTTTTGTATAAATAAGTACATACACACATACATACGGATATAGGCACAGATCATGGTAACTGAAATGATTACCATGACTAATCACTACCATGACTAATCACTACTATGGTTAGTAAACATGTGTACACAGATAGGTGTATAAATATCATAAATAAGTGGTCTCTCAATCCCAATAGGAAATGACTTTTAAAATGGTTTTATCACACATTCACGTCTTCTATTGGTCATATAAGAACTTCTCTATTTAAAGTTCCCATATATTTGTATGTCCAGTGTTCAAATATGTTCTCTACATTTATTGTAGCTTAAACATTTGCAAACTTGTTAAATATTCTTAAAGATTATTCTTAAATATTTTGTGGGATGCCAGGTTGTTTTTAAGAGTGCCTTCCTGTTTTTGGCATTTCTCGAAATTAGATCTGCTTATTTACAATATTTTCAGATACAGTAGCCCTGTTTAAAGAAAAGCAGGTAGGTCACAGTTAATGCCACCACCAAGAAACAAGTAATTTCAAAATGCGGATCTATTATCAGCATTCCCTTTCTCTTTCTTTCTTTCTTTTCTTTTCTTTTCTTTTTTTTTTTTTGGCAGTTTCTCGACTTTATTAGCCTGGAGCTCCTCTCCGACATCCCCAGGGGCTGGTCTCTGGTCCCTGGGCACAGTGAGCAGGACTGAGGTCAGACGGGTTCAGCCCCTGGCCATAGCAGCTTGGGACAGCTGGGCCAAGGGAACAACAGGTGCAAAAGTCCAAATGCTGGCACTTCAGGTGTGGCCGGCACCCAGCCAGGCGCAACAGTGGATGGGCAGGACGCCATGCTCCTCTCCTGGCGATAGGTAGACCATAGCAGCGCTCCCTCCCAGCAGCCGCTAGGAACAGCTGGTGATTCTAGCCAGGAAGTGCTGCGCCCACCACTCGTCCAAGTCAATGGGCACGAAGTTCTGCAGCCGGGGATTGGGGATCCTCTCCACTGCACAGGCCTTGTCCCGCCCTCACCGGCTGGGCCACCATCCAGCTGCTGCCGCACCTGCTGCCAGGCTTCGGACACAAAGCGGACATTCTCCTTGTGGGCCAGTGTGTAGGTCTCCTGGGTCCCCTGGAGGGATGGGGACTTGGAGGGGTCCCGCCGGCGATTCACACGATTGAACACAAGCCTTGGCCCTGCACTCGACAGGGGCCAGGGTCCCAGCGGCTGCGCGAAGGGCTGCGCCCGCTGGGGCTGCAAGGTCGGCGGCGCGGGCTGCCGGCTTTTCAGGAGCTCCTGGAGCTGGCCCTTCACCTGCTGCTGCGTGAGACCTGTGCGGCGCTGCGCGACCAACTTGCTGGGCCCGTTGATGATGGTGTACATGGCGCGCCGCTCCCAGACTGCCGCCGGCCCCCCACCAGATCTCAGTATTCCGTTTTTCTATGTTTCGAAGAAATATAAATTACTGAATTCCATCTGTGGTCAATAAGGATTTTGCACCAACTGTTTCAGTACACGTTTGTTCTTGATTGCTTCTCAAATTATGAATATCAGCTTTTTGAGAAATCTCTTAGAATATTCAAATCTGTGAAGGACAAGCAAAAACACTTCATCGTAAATCCCATTTTCATGAAGCAACCACCATCAGCAGCTTGATGGCTACATGCATTCAAATATTATAAATGGATTCTATGATTGTTCATGAGAGGTGATACTATTTAACTAAAGCGATAGAGGCTTATTAATATACTCCCTTATTTGCACAACAAAGTGTTCAACATACACACACAATCACATTAATTACTCCCTTCAATTCCATCCTCATCAAACTATAGGTAGTATTTAATGCCTTGAATATTTCACACAATATTAGGTAATGGGAAATTTCCAATGGCATGGAGTAACTAATAGTACTTTATTGCTAACTCTCATAACATTTCTTTATTGTTCAAAAATAACAATGAATCAACTAGTGCTCAAATCCTAAGGATGATATAAACACTTAGCAAAAAAATGAAAAATTGAACAATTATAGCAGAAGTTAATGAGACATATTCTCTATCACATAAACTCAATCAAAATTCAATTACTGTTTTTCTCAACTGCATTTAGCTCGTTCTTCTATTTGCATTTTATTGGGGGGGGTAGAGGGAATGTACATGTGCAGGAATTTTTTTTTGTTATAAACATCAAATAACACCCTTTATGTGAAATTTCCTTCTAATTTAATATTTTTCCTTCTATCATTTTTCTCAGGTTTTATATAGAAAGCCTACTTAAAATGTCACTAAACATACTTCAGCTAATTGGATTTTGTGTTAAATAATAATTTGTTAGAACTTTTTAATTTTCTTGACTAGTAAGAGCAAGACATTTAATCATCCCAGCATGTAAACAGTGCTGTTTATTTTTAAATAAAAACATGGTATTACTCAGAATGTTATCAGTACTAAGCCTTATTTGTCAATGTGTCAAGCCTTCATTATAAATAAAAGTAAAACTGGAAAATGTGCTCTCAAAAACTCAGCTTTAGAGAAGTAGACACTGTTAGTTGTTTTGTTTGAATTTTTTCAATTTACAGATACATTACAATGTGCATATTGGCTTTCTAGAATACATACATGTTTAGACGTTTGGTTCAAGGTTATCACATGTTAGAAGTAAAATGCCCTTGACTTTGCCATTTCTCTTACCTAGTGTTAGCAAACTTACATGGTTTGATCCCCAAGGTCCAACTGTTTGCTTTTCTCCCTAAATCAGAGGCAGGGAATGTCTCTGCCAATCAGGCCACAGAGAATGGAATTCAGACTTTGTGAAGGCTGAAGGGATTACCTAAGGAGCCTAACTCATCTAGTCAAGGCTTTCTGTGAGTGTTCTTTAGATGATATTTGAAGGGAAGGTTAGAGGTCATTTTTCTCTTTCACAAAATACCTGGAAGACCTCGTGCTTTGCTTCCCAGAGCCTCTGCAAGGCACTGCTGTGTGTCAGTACACCTATGTCCATAGGCCATCCTTGAAATCAACCATGATAAGTCAAAAAGAGAGAGGCACAGGCCAGGATGTCACAAAAGCCAGTTCCCTTCTCCTGGTACAGCATGGTCTACATGGTAGGTGATGGAATCTTACCTTTCAAGGTAAGATATATTTTTATATCTTTTAGGTCTAGTTGACTCATAACTTTGTTCACATCCTCTAATTCCTTAATGATCTTCAGTTTAGTTGTTTCATTCATTACTTAAGGTGGGGTATTGGGCTGGGTGACGTGGCTCACGCCTGTAATCCTAGCACTTTGGGAGGCTGAGGCGGGCAGACCACTCAAGGCCAAGAGTTCAAGACCAGCATGGCCAAAATGGTGAAACCCCTTCTCTGCGAAAAATAAACAAATTAGCTGGGCACATTGGCGCACGCTTGTAATCCCAGCTACTCGGGAGGCTGAGACATAGGTATTGCTTGAACCCAGGAGGCGGAGATTGCAGCCAAGATGGTGCCACTACACTCCAGCCTGGGTGACAGAGTGAGAGACTCTGTCTCTAAATAAATAAATAAATAAATACATAAAGTGGGGTATTGAAGTCACTAACTTACTTTTTAGAACTCTATTTTTTCCTTTAGTTCTGTTCAGTTTTTGCCTCATGTATTTGGGGACTCTTGTAAAATAAATATGTATGTTTAATTAGTACATCTTGACAGACTGACCTTATCATTATATAATGTCCATCTTTGTCTCTTGAAACAATTATTGTCTTAAGGTATATTTTGTCTGGTATCAGTACAGTCAGACCAATTTTCTTTTGGTTACTTTTTACATGAAATATTTTTTTCATGCTATTACTGTTAACCATTTGTGAATTGGATCTAAAGCCAACTCTTTTAGACAGCTAGAGTTGGATGTTCTAAAAAATCCATTCTGCCAATCTTTGCCTTGGAGTTTAATCCATTTAAAGTAATTACTGGTAAAGAGGGACTTATTCCTGCTATTTTGTTATGTATTTTCTGTATGTCTTATAGCTTTTTTCTCAATTCCATAATTCCTACCTTCTTTTGTGATTAATTGATCTTTTCTAGTGCACCATTTTTATTCCTTTCTATTTCTTTTTCTCTATATACTAATTTTTTTCTTTATGTTATCCTGCAGAATACAATTAATATCTTAATTTTAGAGTAATCAATTTTTATTAAACTACAAAGTAGTTTATATAGTACATAAAACCTACTCCTTTAAAGCTCTAATCCCTTTTGTGTTATTTTTACAAACGACATCATTAAACATTGTGTACCTATTAATGCAGACTTATAATTATTGTTTCATTCATTTGTTTTTAAAATCATATGGGAAGGAAAGGGAATTATAAACCAAAAATATAATTCTTCTGGCTTTTTTATGTATCTATGTAGCTACCCTTTTCTTTGTTCCTTATTTCTTCATATGGTTTTGAGTTACTATCTAGCGTATTTTCATTTCATCCTGAGAGACTCCTTTTTGCATTTCTGTTATGGGAGGTCTATTACTGGTGGAATCTGTAAGTTTTTTTCTATCTAGGAATGTCTTAATTTCTCCTTCATTTCTGAAAGTTAGTCTTGGGGGATATGGAATTATTGACAAGTTTGTTTGCTTTAGAACTTCAAATATGTTATCCCACTGCCTTTTGGCTTCCATGGTTTCTGAAGAAAAACTGGCTGCTAATCTTATTGAGGAGTCCTTGTATATAATTAAGCCCTTTCTCTTATGATGCTTTCAAGATTCTTGCTTTGTCTTTGTCTTATGACAGCAGGATTATAAGCTTTCTCATTGTAGATTTCTTCGGGTTTATCTTACATAGAGTTTGTTGAGCTTCTTGCATGTTTATATTCATGTGTTTCAATTGCTCTAGCTTCACATTCACTGACTTTTTTCTAACTGTTCTAATCTGCTGTTGGAAACTTCCAGTGATCTTTTTTTTTTCATTTCAGTTTCTGTACTTTTCAGTTCCAAAAGTTATATTTGTTTTTTTAAAAAATAATTTCTCTCTCTTTATTGATGTTCTCTACTTGGTGAGACATTATTCTCTTGGTTTCTTTTAGTTCTTTGTGTTTCATTTATGGTAACACTTTGAGCATATTTAAGAGAGTTGACATAACTCTTTTCTAGTAAGCCCAATGCCTGGGCTTCCTTCTGCACAGTTTCTATGAATTTCTCTTTTCCCTGTGAGTAGGCCATACCTTCTTGTTTTCTTTGCATGTCTTATGTTTTGTTTATCATTAAAAATTAAATGTTTTGGGCCGGGTGCGGTGGCTCACGCCTGTAATCCCAGCACTTTGGGAGGCCAAGGTGGGCGGATCACGAGGTCAGGAGATCAAGACCATCCTGGCCAACATGGTGAAACCCGTCTCTACTAAAAATACAAAAATTAGCTGGGTGTGGTGGCGCGTGCCTGTAGTCTCGGCTACTCGGGAGGCTGAGGCAGGAGAATGACTTGAACCCAGGAGGCAGAGGTTGCAGTGACCCGAGACCACGCCACTGCACTCCAGCCTGGTGACAGAGCAAGACTCCATCTCAATAAATAAATAAATAAATAAATAAAAATAAAAATTAGATGTTTTGATATCATACTGTATCAACTCTGGAAATTAGATTTCTAAACACACTTGCCTCCCCACCCCATGGGGTTAGTTGATAGCAGTTGTGTGTTGTTGTTTGTTATTTGCTTTTTTAGTAACTTTTCTTAAATATTTTTGTAAAGTCTGTATTTTTATCATTTGTAGCCACTGGAGTCAGTGTTCTGATAGCTTAGTGGTCACCTAGTACTCTGACAGTTTCCTTAAACACGTGGAGCCTAAGAAAGAAAGAAAAGTAGCTGGGTGCGGTGGCTCATGCCTGTAATCCCAGCACTTTGGGAGGCTGAGGCAGGTGGATCACCTGAGGTCAGGAGTTCGAGGCTAGCCTGGTCAACATGGTGAAACCCTGTCTCTACTAAAAATACAAAAATTAGCTAGGCATGGTGGCGCAAGCCTGTAATCCCAGCTACTCTGGAGGCTGAGGCAGGAGAATCGCTTGAACCCGGGAGGCGGAGGTTCAGTGAGCCGAGATCGTGCCATTGTACTCCAGCCTGGGCTACAAGAGCGAAACTCCGTCTCAAAAAAAAAAAAAGAAAGAAAGAAAGAAAGAAAGAAAGAAAGAAAGATAAGTATTCTCTAAGTCCTTGAAAACTGGCTCTGTGTGTTGGGGCACTCTTTCAACTAGCCAGGCTGTAGTCTTCACTTCTAGCTTGCAAGGGGCCTGAAAGCTAGTGAGATCTGAGACCTTAAGCTCTTCTCAGGCATTTTCTGCATAATTGTCCAGCCCTGCCCATGTGCATGGCTTTCTTATTTCTCTAGTGTATACAAGAACATTTTAAAGTTCTTATTCCCCCAAGTATTTCCTTTCATAGCCTCTTCCTTCCCATGCTTTTCCATCTGCTTATTGTTTATTTTAACTGTTGTCCCTTGCCTCAGATTCTTATAGCCAGTACTTGTGTCTTTAAGTTTTTTCAACACATGCCCCTCAGGAGTTGTTCCAAACTTGGAAACACTCCAAGTGAGGCAAAACAAAAAGCAAGCTCTTACACCAATCCTTTAGGGAGCCAAAAGACAGATCAAACTGGAATGCAACAATTCTTTGAGAATAAGTTCTGTATTATACCTATGCACGAGGGTAGGAGCTATACTGAAGGCACTGTGGAGGCTGGGGGATGGTAGACAGGTAATTTAAAATGCCGCAGCTCTCTTGCTCTCTCACCACAAAGCAGTCACTTATTTCTTCACCAAGGCTTCCCTGGGTGTTGTAAGTTTTTGACAAGCTCTAGAGTTCTGTAAAAGTGGATTCTGACACTTCTTTCTTTCTTTCTTTCTTTTTTTGAGACGGAGTCTCGCTCTGTCGCCCAGGCTGGAGTGCAGTGGAGCGATCTCGGCTCACTGCAAGCTCCGCCTCCCAGGTTCACGCCATTCTCCTGTCTCAGCCTCCCGAGTACCTGGGAGTACAGGCGCCCGCCACCAGGCCCAGCTAATTTTTTGTATTTTTAGTAGAGACAGGGTTTCACCGTGTTAGCCAGGATGGTCTCGATCTCCTGACCTCGTGATCCACCCGCCTCGGCCTCCCAAAGTGCTGGGATTACAGGCGTGAGCCACGGCGCGGGGCCGACACTTCTTTCTAGTTCATGCCTGGCTCTTGCTGCTTTTGTGGAGGGATGATGTGCCAACGTGTCCTCCTTCATGATCTTCAGTGACATCATTTTTGCCACCTGATTTTTGCACTTCTAGAAATAATCACATTTCTTTGCAATGTTCCTTCTACAACAGGCATGTATGAAGTCATAGAGTGATATCACAAGGAATGACACCTCTGGCAGGCAAGGACTTGGAAATATGTGTTCATTTTCAATCCTTTTCACTGTCTGTGTTGAAATAGCTTAGTCATATGTAAAACATCTAAATTAGATTGAATTATACTTCAGTTTTTGTTTATGCTTGGCTAACATATTTGGATTACTTCTTCTCCATCTGTTTTTTCATATCTACTCCTTTAGACGTTTCATTACTTCTTGGTTTGACTACGTGGCCCCACTTCTCCTCAATTCCTCCTGGCTGCAGGCAGTGAATCTAGATGTTTGACCTGAGATCTTCAGCAAGCACACTTGCCTCTGCAATGTCATCTGGAATTGGCCTGTTCTTTGTGTTCTGACACAGCTGCCACAAGAAACCAACGTCCCATAGCTTCTTTGAGGAGTCCTTGTATATAATAAGGCCTTCATCATAGGATGGTGGTACCACGTGAAAGCCTGCTAACTCTTGCTCCAAGGGGCAGGAATAGGAGACAGATGCCCAAAGAGCTTGCATTTGTGTTTGAGTGGGTCCCTCAAGTCCTGACCACACCAGGAGGAAGTGAGGCCCCGCCCCACGACTTCTGTGCCAGTACCGCCTGGCAGCTGATGGTTCACTCCAAGCCCCTCACTCTCCAGGTTTTATACCAAGATACCACCAATGTCCAGGTCTCTCTGTTAAGGCCTTAGAGGAGAAGGCAAGGAGGCTCAGCATGAAGCCCCAGCCTCTTCCACCTACCCACAGACCAGACCTTCCCCAACAGCTGGGCCTCAAGGGAAGAACGCTGTAATGGCGTATTCTGTCTTTAAATGATTTCCTCACAGGGGCAGTAGTGCTGCATATTTTCAAGGAAACCTGCCTTGGGGCACTCTTCTCCCGCCCTTCCTGTGTGAAAAAACGCCACTCAGAGATAAAGGCGCCACCAAACATGGCTGCCTTGCATTTTGCCCAGTTTGGGGCGACCTGCTCATACTGCTGGAATTTTGCCTTTGTTTCCATCTTAAATCAAACCAGGGCCTAAACTACCCACTTTCCCCCCCCACCCCCCACTAAACACTCAATAACTTTATTTGCCTTTGGTTGGCTCCTGGGTTTGGGGCGGGGTAGGGGTTGGCAGCAGCCCGGGCTTCGTGCGCCCTCTGGTGGACCTCAGAGGCAAGAACTGGAATCCCGGCCAAACCTGAGGACTTCACAGTCAATAGTTTAGGAGAGTTGCATGGTTCCTCAGGTCTGCAGTCCAGACCCAACAACAGTGGACGGGGCACGTTGGGAGGAGGCCCTGAACCTCTGGCTCTCATACTCGCCAGTGTTGGACACCCGCATGTTCTGCCGAGCCCTCATCTGTTTCACACGGTCCTTGTCCACTTCCTGCTTGGTGAGGATGAAGAGAAGGATACCACAAGGGAAGCCGATGGCCCAGGCCAGTCCCACAGCTTTCATGGGGTTCTTGCCCCTCTTTCTGGGAATGTATTACATCTCGGGGGATAGGAGTTCAGGTTCCTCCCTGCCTTCTTGGGAGCTGTGGGTTTGCAGTGCCTGGGTCCTGTTATGGGAAGCCTTGTTAGCTGTGGCTCCTGCGAGAATCCCCCGGAGGACGCGGGCATTTCTTGCCCTCCATCCCCCCGGCCCTTCAGCGCCTTAGCAGCTACCACCACCGCCATGTTCAGATCCCACCCTAAACCACCCACTTTTATCAGGCAATATTATCTTTCAAGAACTCAATTTCCACTTAACCTAGTCTTTGCAGTTCTGCTCTTAACTCAGTTTTACATCTCAAGCATTTTCCCTACATGATCAAATTGTTTACGTCTAGGGGCAAGTCTCAAGGAGCTAGGCCTAGGAGGAAGACGACAATTTTGAAAAATTAAGGGCAGGATTGGGGCATTTCTAGGCAGCAGGCCACATGTTCCTTAACTTGGCTTGCTATTGTTAAAGAGAAAATTATTCCAGCACCTGTTAAAGTGATAAGGAAGACTATTCAAGACTACTGCAATAGGGACATTGCAATAGGTGAGAAATAGATCAGTCTCCATTCTGAGCATAGCAAAGACAGCTGGAGATTTATAGTCAAGGAGCAGAGTGAGGGGGGTCAGTGCATGGAACATCACAGAGAGGAGACATCAAGGGTAGGGGAATTCTTGCCAAACTGAGTTAAGATTCTTATTAAAACTGGACTAGGCAAGCCAAAGACAGGACTCAAGAATGAGCTGTTAAAAAGAGGGCTCAGAGGAGCCTATCTACAATTTGGTCAAGGAGATAGCCTTTGTCAATATTCATGCCCTCAAGGAGTCTTTCTCCATTTACGGGGTTAGACTCTGTAAAATGAGAGGCAACTGTTTGCTTGGAGCCCTAAGAGGAAGGCTTAGATACCGCTCATCACTTCATGCCATAAATGCCCACTTTGAGTAGTATACATATATAAATACGTATAAACCCCTATCAGAAGTTACTAAAAGGTTGTCTCATGATTTCATCTTTTAACCTGGGAACACAAGCACTTTCTCATATCATTAATTTATTTCACTTTATTTTTGTTTGTTGTCATTGTATTTCTTCTCATTTGAAATTAGTTACTTAGTTTCCTCAGAAAGTTAAGGAAAATATTCATTGAAATAAATGACAAATATTACTGAACAGCTTAGTCATATTTCAACTTGTTAAATAGATTTAGGAGTAATTCAGTTTTTGTTTATGGTTGGCTATAATATTTGGACCATTTCTCCTCCATATCTCTCCAATGGAAACAAAATATATAGGACGAAATACAAAATTCTCCTTAAAAGTGTCAAAGAATTCACAAAAGAGAAAGTCTCAGATTAAAACTCTAATAGAGAGAATTAACGGGAACACCAGATTACCCAGTCTTTTTGGCCTTTTGGGTATTTGCTTACCTGGGTAGTATTGGCCTTCATTTTCAGGGACCTCACAGGTGGCAAAGAGCAGAAGATAGAAAAAGCCTGAAGGGAAGTATAACGATTAAAAAATAAAACACACTTAGGGATTTTCCTTTAACACAAGCACTTATCCCACATGGTTACAGGTTGGTTCTATGAATTCTTTTTCTTTTTTTTAAGATGGAGTTTCACTCTTTGTGCCCAGGCTGGAGTGCAATGGTGCGATCCCGGCTCACTGCAACCTCCACCTCCTGGGTTCAAGTGATTCTCCTGCCTCAGCCTCCCAAGTAGCTGGATTACAGGTGCATGCCACCATGCCTAGCTAATTTTTGTGTTTTTAGTAGAGATGGGGTTTCGCCATGTTGGCCAGGCTGGTCTCGAACTCCTGACTTCAGGTGATCCGCCCGCCTGGGCCTCCCAAAGTGCTGGGATTACAGGCAGGAGCCACCATGCCGTCCGGTTTTATAAATTTTTAAGCAAAAGATGATTCCAATCTTATTCAAAATATTTTAGAGGGGAAATAGAGATGAATTACTTCCCAACATATTCTGAGCAACTTTTATAACATTGGTACCTAAATCAAACATAGATTGTGACTGAAGAGAAAAATACAAACTCACTTCAATTATAAGTGAAGACTTAAAAATTGAAAGATATGAGCATATTTAATCCATAGTTCTGTAAAAGACAATAAACTATGATCAACTTGGATTTATCTCATGACTGAAAGGGAGTTAAAACAGTGCAAAAGGACTAAATGTCATACACCACTTTTCCAAATAAAGGAGAAAAGTATATGGTCATCTCGATGCAGAAAAATAAAAATATTTGGTAAATTCAACAGCACTTACAATATAAACTTTTAGGAAGCCACGAATATAAAGGAACTTCCATAATCTGGTTATTATATCATTTAATCATTGCTCTGTGAAAAACTATTTTTTAACTCAGTGGCTTAAAAAACAAGCACTTATCATAACTAAAAAATCTACAAGTAAGGCCAAGTGCGGTGGCTCACGCCTGTAATTCCAGCACTTTGGGAGGCTGAGGTAGGCAGATCACCTGAGGTCAGGAGTTCGAGACAGCCTGGCCAACGTGGTGAAACCCTGTCACTACTAAAATTACAAAAATTAGCTGGGCGTGGTGGCATGCTCCTGTAGTCCCAGCTACTCGGGAGGCTGAGGCAGGAGATTTGCTTGAAACTGGGAAGCACAGATTGCAGTGAGCCAAGATCATGCCACTGCACTCCAGCCTGGGCGACAGAGCAACACTCTGTCTCAAAAAAAAAAAAAAAAAAAAAAAGAATCTACAAATATACTGTGTTGTTGTTATCATGGTCTTGCCTGGATTGTCAAGCATCTGGCATCAGCACTGGGTCAGGTTGGCAGCTCTGCTAATGCTATCTCTTACATGTTTGGGGGTAAATTCACTGTAGAGACTGCTGGTCTCTCCTCCCCATCCTGCAACAGGCCAGCCTGAGCATATTCATACACTGGTAGCAGGTTTGCAAGGAAAAGTGGAAGCACACAAGTCTTGTGAGACTCAGAGCTGACACACCATGACTTCAGAATTTTATTAACTAAATCAAGTCACAAAGACAGCCCAGATTCAAGAAATAGGGAAAAAGAGTCCACCTTTTTCCTGGAAAAGGAACTGAAAATTCACATTCACCCTAGGAGGAGAATTTAGGACGTTTTCATGTTCAATTTAGTAGAGATATCTACAAAAACCTACATCTAACATAATGCTTAATGGGAAAATAGCTAAAGAATTCCTTTCACAGCCATGAATAATAGAAGGCTACTCAATTATAGCAATTCTACCAAAAAGAGTCCTGAAGGCAATGAAAAAAGAAAAATGAAATGAAAACAGGATTAGAAAAGAAGAAAAGTAAAATGTGATATATATTGTATAATTTTATACATGTGTAAAATAAGAGAATACATCAAACTGGGCATAAGATCAATATATAAAAGTAAACTGTATTTCTATATAGCAAAGGGCATTAGAAAACATAAATTTAAAGAAGACACCATGTGCAATAGCATCAATAACTATAAACGAACTAGGGATAGGCCGGGCTCGGTGGCTCACGCCTGTAATCCCAGCACTTTGAGAGGCCGAGGTGGGTGGATGACCTGAGGTCAGGAGTTCGAGATCAGCCTGGTCAACATGGGGAAACCCTGTCTCTACTAAAAATACAAAAAAATTGGCCAGGTGTGGTGGCAGGCATCTGTTATCCCAGTTACTTGGGAGGCTGAGGCAAGAGAATCACTTGAATCCGGGAGGCGGAGGTTGCAGTGAGCTGAGATCGCGCCATTGCACTGGGGCAACAAGAATGAAACTCCGTCTCAAAAAAACAAACAAAAATAAATTAACTAGGAATAAAAGATGTGTAAGACTTTTCATTTGAAAATCATATAAAATTGCTAAGTAGGCCGGGCACAGTCGCTCATTCCTGTAATCCCAGCACTTTGGGAGGACTAGGCAGGCAGATCACCTGAGGTCGGGAGTTCGAGACTAGCCTGACCAACATGGAGAAACCCCATCTCTACTAAAAATACAAAATTAGCCAGGCGTGGTGGCACATGCCTGTAATCCCATCTACTCGGGAGGCTGAGGCAGGAGAATCGCTTGAACCCGGGAGGTGGAGGTTGCGGTGAGCCGAGATCATGGCATTGCACTCTAGCCTGGGCAACAAGAGCGAAACCCTGTCTCAAAAAAAAAAAAATTACTAAGTAATAGTAAAGAAGATTGAAATAAATGCAGACACCATGATCAAACATAGGAAAATGCAGTATCATAAAGGTATCAGTTCTATGACAATTGATTTATTGGTTCAGTACTACTCTATTTATCATTGCAAAATGTCCGTCTTTTTATGTTTTAGTGCTTTTCACTTCAAAAGCGCATTTCTCTGATATTAATATTGGTACTGCTACTTTCCTTTGGTATGATATTTATTTGCCCCAACCTTAATTTTCAAAACTTCCTATAATTCTTGGCTTTAAGTGACTTAATTTTTAAAAGCACTGTATAGGGTTGTTTTTGTTATTGTTTTGCGTTTTGTATTTTAGCCCAATATAATGACTTCTGTCTTTTGAGGAGATAATTGTGTCCACTCACGTTTACTGTAATGAAGAAAACACTTAACTTTATTCCTGCCTTCCTACATTATGTTTATTACTTTTTTTTCCACTTCATTTCTGATGTTTGAGTTGTTGATTATATCTTTTTACCAATTGTTAATTTCCATTAATAGTTACCTTCATTTCTCCATGTCTACCAATAGCCACATATTTTTCTAATGTTGCCCGAAACAAAGTACTATAAAGTCCCCCAAAGCACACTATTTCTTAGCTCAAGGTACCTAATATTCTTCCTCAAAACTAACCCAAGATGTTGTGTCCATTAAAATATGTATTCCAATTCGTCCTTTTATATTTTCCCCACTTAAAAGATTTGTTAAAATTCTTTAATATTTTTATTCTGTACTCATGTTATGTCCTTTGCAGTATAGTCCCTCAATTATGACTATTTAGAGTGCTTATGTCTTCCATTTATGAAGAGTGTAAGGTCTTTATTCCTGTTTCTCCTTCTTCATCCACTTCAGTTCTCTTTTCTGGAATATTCATTTGGCTAGATTTCTTTTTTTTCTTTTTTTTTGAGGCAGAATGTTGTTCTGTCACCTGGGCTGGAGTGCAATGGCGAGATCTCGGCTCACTGCCACCTCTGCCTTCCAGTTTCAAGCGATTCTCCTGCCTCAGCCTCCCGAGTAGCTGGGATTACAGGCGCCCACCACCATGCCAGGCTAATTTTTGTAGTTTTAGTAGAGACGGGGTTTCACCATGTTGGCCAGGCTGCTCTCGAACTCCTGACCTCAGGTGGCCCACCTGCCTCAGCCTCCCAAAGTGCTGGGATTACAGGCGTGAGCCACCGCGCCCGGCCATGGCTAGATATTTATTCAAGTATTATCCTTATACAGGATATGTGGATGATATATTATCTGAAGGTTTCCATATGCACAAGGAACTTCTGTTCAGCCTGACTGATGAATAATTTCTTGGCTGGAGACACACAACGGTTATGTTGTATTCTCTCTCTCCTAATAGTCTATAGATGTTATTCCATTGATACTTGTTTGCCAGTGTTGCAGAGAAGTCAGAATGGAGTCTCATTCCAATATTTCTTTTGTAAGTTTTAATTTTTACCTGGGAAGATTATAAGGTGACTTTTTAATAATTCTAGTATTTTACCAACATATGCTTAGTGCATATCTTTATTCCGTTCTATACCACAGTGAGACTCTACAATCTGGGCCTTCTTCAATTGTGGGAAGTTTTCTTCTACTTGTTGCCTTAAATTTTGCCTTGTTTATTCTGTTTTTTCCCTATTGTAACATCTTTTAGTAATATGTTAAAACCTTAGATCTTTAAGGTTATTAACTTTTCCTTATTTTTCCCATTGCTTTATTTTTTCCTTTGTTTTGAGATATGTTATGCAGTTGATCCTTCTAGCCTGTCATTCAATGTCAGTTGATCTCCCTTTCAAAACTTTTCCTAATGGTTTAGCATTTTCCTAAATAAAGGCTTTTGGGAGGCATCTGAATCTTAATAATTTCATATTTGTTTTTTAATTCAAGTTGTCATTTTTCTCATCTAGCTACTGTATTTGCTGATTCAAAGGTTGGCTTGTTCAGAGGCTGTTAGGGGCCTAAGGCTGCTTATGCCTCTTAAGTGGGCTACAATTTATTTTGTTGGAGTTATTAAGTAACAAGTAGCTGAAATTCCACAAGTGGTAGAGTATAAAGTGTTCTTTACTCCTGTCAGCTACTGGAATACCACCATCAAGGACAATAGCTAACAAATATCGAACACTTAACCACATACCAGGGAATATTCTAAGGATCTGAATACAAATTCATATATTTATTCTTTACAACATCCTTCTAATGTAAGTAGTATGATTCTAGCCACTTACTTAACGAGGACAGATAGCAAATAAAGTTTTTTTTGTATTTGTTTTTTTTTGTTTTGTTTTGTTTTGTTTTTTTGCGACACAGTCTTGATCTGTTGCCCAGGCTGGAGTGCAGTGGTGTGGTCTCTGCTCACTGCAACCTCCGCCTCCTGGGTTCAAGCGATTCTCCTTGGGTTCAAGCGATTCTCCTTCCTTAGCCTCCTGAGTAGCTGAGGTTACAGGCAACTGCCACCATGCCCAGCTAATTTTCTTTTGTGTTTTTAGTAGAGACGGAGTTTCACCTTGTTGGTCAGGCTGGTCTCGAACTCCTGACTTTGTGATCCGCCCGCCTCAGCCTCCCAAAGCGCTGGGATTACAGGCATGAGCCATCGTGCCCAGCTGCAAAGAAAGTTTAAATACCTTATGCAAAGTCACAGAAGAATAGTTAGAAACAAATTTTAAAATCGGATTAGTCAGGCTTCAGAATTCACATTCTTAAGATCTAGATTAGGCAAACTGTCAGCTCACTTCCAAGGCACTTTGAGGAAGCCTCCCAACTTTTATTGGTTTTCTTGCATTCTCCAAGTCTCAGGTCCAGGGAGGACTCAGGTAACAAATTCAGTTCTATCTTGTATTCTTGGCATAGGGGAACAACTGGCAAAAATAAGTCCGACTCAGTTGACCTTCCAATTATTAGTCCACCTGTTTATCAGGCCAAGCCCTTTCCACAATCTGTTCCTTTTCATTGCAAGCTTTAAAAATTCTGGCCAGGTGTGGTGGCTCGCGCCTGTAATCCCAGCACTTTGGGAGGGTGAGGCGGGAGGATCACGAGGTCAAGAGATCAAGACCATCCTGCCAATGTGGTGAAACCCCTTCTCTACTAAAACAAATACAAAAATTAGCTGGGCTTGGTGGCATGCGCCTGTAGTCCCAGCTACTCAGGAGGCTGAGGCAGAAGAATTGCTTGAACCCAGGAGGCAGAGGTTGCAGTGAGCTGAGATAGCGTCACTGCACTCCAGCCTGGCGAGCAGCTCAAGGGAGAAATTCCCATAAAGACCCCACTTATCCCTAGCTACCTATAGGCCCAAGGACCCCTTTGGCTCAGAAAAAAAAAGATAAATTAGAGTTGGGAATGTAGAAATATACAGTCACATTCAGGTTCTAATGTTTTAATTTTTAAAAATGCCGACGTTGTTTAACTATATTTATGGGTATATGGGTATTCGTTAAGGCTGTTTGCCAAATATTTCAATTACTCCTCCTAGATACTGTTAAGATAGTGGTATTTGGCTAAGGGATGGAGTCAAAACCATAGATCTGATTAAATAAATACCTAACCTACTCCTGAAATCCTGCCAGAATCCTTTATAGGAGAACATAACCAGGACATAGAGCAAAACAGCCAGATTACATAGTCCATACAGATTAGCCATTTGATACACAGAGAAGTAGAGAAAAATGAAGAGTGGATTAAAGAGGAGAAAATAGAAATATCAGGGAAAAAAATCCAACATACGCTATTATGCAATTGGTGTTTAAAGAAAAAATACATACAGATTATAGTAATACGATAGGTCATTTTGTGTTCACTTATCTGAATTCCATATTTTCTAAATATTCTGTATTGAGTCTATTACTTTTAATTTTAAATATTTCTACTTATAAATATTTATATAAATAAAAATATTTCTATTTCTTATAAATAAATAGCTATTTTCATATTTTTAAATTATACTTTTGGATAACTAAAGTACAACTGTCAAAATGCTCATACTATAACCAAGAGAAAAAGTATAAAAGAAAAAATATGCAGGACAATGCCCAATTTTTGTAAACATGTATGTGTATATACAAATTAAAATTTATCGGCCAGGCGCACTGGCTCACACCTGTACTCCCAGCACTTTGGGAGGCCAAGGCGGGCCAATCACCTGAGGTCAGGAGTTCGAGATCAGCCTGGCCAGCATGGCGAAACTCCGTCTCTACTAAAAATATAAAAATTAGCTGGTCACGGTGGCACACGCCTGTAATCCCAGCTACTTGGGAGGCTGAGGCAGGAGAATCACTTGAACCCAGGAAGCAAGAGGTTGCAGTGAGCCGAAATTGCGTCACTGCTCTCTAGCCTGGGTGGCAGAGCAAGGCTCTGTCTCAAAAATAGAAAAAAAAGGCCGGGCACGGTGGCTCATGCCTGTAATCCCAGCACTTTGGGAGGCCGAGACGGGCAGATCATCTAAGGTCGGGAGTTTGAGACCAGCCTGACCAACATGGGGAAACCCCATCTCTACTAAAAAAAAATACGAAATTAGCCGAGTGTGGTGGCACATGCCTGTAATCCCAGCTACTAGGGAGGCTGAGGCAGGAGAATCGCTTGAACCTGGGAGGCGGAGGTTGCGGTGAGCTGAGATTGTGCCATTGCACTCCAGCCTGGGCAACAAGAGCGAAACTCCATCTCAAAAAAAAAAAATTATCAATATATTTAGGTAAATAAAGCATAAAGATGTGATCAGTGTTTGTCTCAAGACTGTGGAATGATAAATAGGGTGAACATTCCTTTCAGTGTGCCTTAGGAAGTCACGGTTCACACAGTTGTCCAACTTGGACAATAAATTATACAATTATCTAAGGAGGATACACAATGTACATTCTCTACCTAACTGCCCAATTAATTATTTAAAATGTGTTGTTTCTTTATTCATTCAAAGCATCGTGTATGTGAAAATTAAAACATGAATATATGAGGCATAAAAATATAAAAGTGTAAGAAAAGGTCATACGATAAAGTTGATAATGTTTTAACATATTAGTTCAAAACCTATGGAACAGCTTAACTCTGATGTCTTTAAATGATAATAGCTAAATATGAGTATTTATTTTGAACATCAAGTTTGAGCAACTGAAATATTTATTAGTGAGTTCTCCATCTGGAAAGACATTTAAAAAGAAGGATGCCATTTTGGTTACTTTCTAAAATATGTGAGCCAGAAAATGGAGTACGCCATAAGAGCCTGGGAAATGAGCCAGGTCAAAGACCACAACGTCTGATGGAGACAGATAGCCAAGCCTCATACAAGCTTTGGAGTTCCAGCAATATCTTTTCCTCATGCACGGACTCCTTGGGACTTGAACCTTGTATCAGAAAACTTGAAAATGGGGAAAATCCTGCATATCTAATGGTGACCGATGAGGAGATCTATGAAGCTGTAGTAGAGGAAACTGAATTACTGAAAAGAAAAGATGCCTAATGAGAGTGGGTGGTTTTAGGCTTCAGTTTGATTGTATATGGAAAGCAAAAGCAAAAGCGCAGCGGTGTGAGCAAGTTTCTTCAAACTGGGCAAGACACAAGGTAGCCATATTTCCTGGTGGCTTTGCCTGTTAGTGGTGGTTTTTTTCAGATGGAATGGGAGGGAGAAGAAGGCCTGGGGGCAGGGTTAGTTGGCTTTTCTGGGCCCATACTGCCATCGCGAGGAAGTAGTTTGACAAAAGCAAAAGCTTCGGGTTTGAACTTCCCTCCTATCTAGCAGTTAAGAAAGATGTAGCAAATTCAAAGGTTCAACAGGGCCTGACCCCAAGATGGGCCTTCTCAACTTCAACTCTTAGGCTTTCCAGGAGTTCAGTCTGGACAAAGGCAAAATCTCAGTGAAGAAGCTGCTAAGTAAGGTACCAGGACTGATGCAGGGCTTTGGTTTCCTCTCACTGTGGGCAGGACTATGGAAAAACTACAGTCTACACACAGCTTCTGGGCATTGGTCTCCTGACCCTGCCCCTTAGACCATGAGACATTTGGGCTGGCACAAGATATCCCTGTACTTTGGGGTATGGGCCCCAATGTTAGCAACGTTAGAATGTGAGGAGGGGGAAATGAATCTCATTCGAGGTGGCATCTAACAGCAGCTGGAGGTCTCAGGGACACCAAAAGTCTGGTGCCTCTGTTGCCTAGAGCAAGAAGGATCTGAGGAAAAGGAGCATGTGTCACTGTGCCAAGTCAATAAATTCCAGAACATCAATAAGAGTGCAGATATACACAACCAGAAGGCCTGGAGGTATTCTCTGAGCCCAGGAGTTAACAGCTGTAGTGGCTTTGCAGCATTTTTTTCTAGGGTCCATTGTGAAGGCATACCCACGTGGAGGGATCTGCTCTCATTTCATCTCTCTTAATGGGACAGAAATGGTTTCTTTAGCTTTCTTCTAAGGAAGATGAGGCTTTTAAGGCTCAGGATCTAACTGTTCATTAAGATTAGCAAGTATTGTTCTCTGTGCCTGCTCCTTAGCCTTTTTCTGATGAAGATTCCTTGTAGGCCTGACAAGATATCCTTCAGGGAGTTGAGTACATCAGGACCCCCAGAAAACTTGCCTCTTTAGTACCACTCTTTCGTACCAGGGATGATCTCTGTACATGATCCTTTAGAGAAAATGCTGAGCAGTCCATGAAAACAAGCATGAGTATTTTGATATTCTTTCTTCTGCTCTCTTCTAAATCTATTCCATTTGAATATTTGCATGAGTACGTGTATGTGTGACACTCATGGGTTTGTTGGTATGACTTTAGGCTTCCCCATAGTTTGCAGATCTCCTTGGGTTTTGAAATTTTTCCTTTTCCTTTTCCCTTTTATTATAAGGCCACCGCATGGGTCATTAAATATCCTTCGGATGGTTGGATTTTGTGTTACTTATAAATTTGCCCAAAGATTTTTGTTTTCTTCACCATAAAAAGTGATTTTTTAAAATTTCCATATGTAAACAGAGCAATGTATAATTTTCAGAGAAACTGATTCTTACACTGAAGGCTATTTTAAAACCTGAAAGGTATACCTTTGTTTCTTGATTTCCAATGTAAACTTTGCTTGTTACTATTTCAAACGTGGAGACATGTATAACGTTAATACTTGAGGGCATGGCCTTAAAATAATTACTCCAGGAAGGTAGACACAATGAGTATCTTCGTTAGAAGACTGCAAATTCATTCTTTAGAATTCATATATATGCACTCAACTTACAGTAGTCATACATGGAATAAGTAGAGAGAGATAGACTTTATTTTTTCCTTTGTTTTCTCTTTTTTTTTTTTTTTTTTTTTGAGACGGAGTCTTGCTTTGTCGCCCAGGCTGGAGTGCAGCGGCGGGATCTCGACTCACTGCAAGCTCCGCCTTCCAGGTTCACGCCATTCTTCTGCCTCAGCCTCCCGAGTAGCTGGGACTACAGGCACCCGCCACCATGCACAGCTAATTTTTTGTATTTTTAGTAGAGACGGGGTTTCACCATGTTAGCCAGGATAGTCTCGGTCTCCTGAACTCGTGATCTGCCTGCCTCAGCCTCCCAAAGTGCTGGGATTACAGGTGTGAGCCACCGCACTTGGCTTGTTTTCTTGTATTAGTAAACTAGGATGGTTTGATCCCAAAGAGTCAATAATTTGCTTTAACCCCTAATCAAAGAGGTGGAATATCTTTACTGATGTGGACACTGAGAATGGAATTCAGTCTTTTCAAGGACTTAAGAGGACTACCTGGTATAGCTGAAACATGTGGAGTCAATCTACTAGAGAATAGGCCCTTTGCTCCTCCCCACTCTCTGACATTGCAGAGGAAAGCTGAATGAACCTACTCATCTCTGCACTCCTGTCTCCTATGGGAATGTGACCTTGACTCTGGACAAAGAGTGTGCTCATGTGAAAGGTTAAGTGATGCACACATATTGCCCACCAAATAGTTAAACCAATTGACAATGCTTCCCACCTCACGGGAACTTGTCCAATTCTACAAATGTTCACACAAACTAGGTGTTATCAGTGGTTTCATGTTCAGTAACTTACTTAGGGATATTTTGAAGAGGTGGGGAATGGTTGAGACTTTGTCATACTGTAATTTACTTGAGTATTGGTGAATTTGAGAACCTCTGCCAATGGACTTTGTTGTTCCATGGCCTTTTTCTTCTGCGAAGTTTGTGCCTGGTTCCTTTTCTCTTTCCTTGCTGAATTGTTTCTCTTTAACTTTTCATCTTGGAATAGCTAATGATCTGTAATGGATGTCAATGGTTGAAGGGCAGTAAATACTGACAAACAATTGCTTGTAGTTTCCTGTTTTTGCTGTTATTTTTATTATGCCTGAAACAATGAAATTGTTTCCATCGGCAATCAGGCCTGTTAGCCTCTATTAAGTATAGCCAGGTGAGGTGAGCACAACATTCTTGAGCCTGAGGAATTCCTGAGCTGAGGCCACTGCTAGTGCCATCCACAGTTCTGTCTCAACACATTTGTCTACCCTACTTCAAACATACGACCTAGTCAAAATGCAGCTCCAAGGCAGGCACGCTAACCCATCTAGTTCAGGCCTTCTCTTTCGGCTGTTTTAAGTGAGATCAGGAGATCAGCAATGACCTCTCACCTTCACAAGACATCTGGGATCATTAAGGGATGCTTTACCACATGTCTCCAAGACACTCCTGAGAGTTATTGACCCTTCTTGTCAGTTATCTATTGCCTCTCAGCTCTGAATGCATTCTTCAATATATGCTCTACAATAAATAGTGGGAATTTTCCCCCTGTACTCTGAGCTCCAACACTACTGCCAAATGGGGCTCATATCCCAGGCCCCAGTGTGCTAGAGGACTGTGTCCCAGACTGTCTGCCTCTACAACAAGGAGCAGGGGCAGGAGGCAAATGATCAGAAGCCCTGCACTTAGCAGTAAACTGCTTCCTCTAGTTCTTCCTGTACTGGGAGGACACAAAAGCCCCACCTCCAGGACTTCCTATGCATGAATTTCCTGCCTACTCCCCGGTCAGTTCTGGCCACTTCTACAACTATATCACACCTTTGTCCACAGATTCTAGAAGGTCTGAGAGATGAAGGCAAGGACATCACGCTTGAGGCCAGAAGCCGTCCCAACTTCCCCACAGGTGCAACCTTCCTTGACATCCTGGTTTTTTGGGAGGAATTGTTCATGGCTTGGATTTTCATCAACTGATTTCCTCACGATGGCAGTAGTGCTCCAGAAATGTCAACCAGCCCTGTCCCCAGGGCCTCTTCTCCCGCCCATCGAGTATGAAAAAACGCCAACAAAAGACAAAAGCACATGGAAACAAAACTGTTTCAATTCTTGCCCAGTTTGAGGAAACTTGTTCACACCACTGTGCTTTTGCTTTCTATTTCCATCTTAAATCAAAATGAGTCCTTAACCACCCCGCCCTGGTCAGGCTCTTCCGTTTTCCAGCATTAAATTTCCACCAGATCTTTGGCTTCACAGTTCAGCTCTTCTTCTCTCAACATTAGTTCTTCAGCATTTTCTCAATTTATTAAGTTGACTTCTTAAAGTTGAACAAGACTCAGGATTCCAGGATGAAATGGGAGAAGAAAACGCCGTAAGTTCCAGGCCTGGAAAAGGTCATCTCTAGTCACCTGGCATCATGGTCCTTGACGCAGCTTTCTAGGTTACCAGGGAATCTTCCTCCATTTTGTAGCAGACACTAATCTTTTTGTTTGGTGGAAGGCTGTTATTTGGCCGAATTCCTGAGATTATTTTCTTATAGCCTATATAGCTCTCATTGGTTTGACATGTCATATGTGACATACCAAATGTACCTTTATATTTATTTATTTATTTTCGAGACGGAGTCTTTCACTCTGTCTCCCAGGCTGCAGTGCAGTGGTGCAATCTCGGCTCACTGCAAACTCCACTTCCTGGGTCCAAGCGATTCTCATGCTTCAGCCTCCCAAGTAGCTGTGACTACAGGAACCCGCCACCACGCCTGACTAATTTTTGTGTTTTTAGTAGAGATGGGGTTTTACCATGTTGGCCAGGCTGGTCTTGAACTCCTGACCTCAAGTGATCCTCCCACCTCAGCCTCCCAAAGTGCTGGATTTACAGGCATGAACCACTGGGCCTAGCCTGTTCTTAGGAAACTCTTAATGAAGAAATGTATTAAACAAAAAGGTGAGTTCTTATCTAAAACCAGTTTTCAGATGTAACTTTTCTTTGCACTTTGGTGTATCTATTTTTTCATACACTTAAAAACATATAGTTATTCAGTACATCTGTCATGTGACCAATTTGTCTTTGTAATTATCAATACACTTCTTACAATGCTAAATGTGGAAGTCCAAACACACACACACACACACAAACACACACACACTCCTTTTTCACTTATGTCATTACACTGAATTCACAGGTTTGCATTTTACTATTTTATTTTCCTTAACAAAACAATAGTCAATATACGTTCTTTAAAGTTTGTAAACTGAATCTCCTACATTATTTTCTTAGAGGAAACCAGTTTTAATATTTCTCCATACTTGATTCTAGATGTTTTAGTCAGGGAGGGCTGCCATAAAAGCATCATAGATTTTTAAACAAACTATATGTATTTCTTACAGTTCTGGAGGCTGGGAAGCCCAAGATCATGGTGGCAGCCAATTCAGTTCCTGGCTAGGGTCCTCTTCCAGGTGTGCAGATGGACATCTTCCTGTTGCTCACAAGGCAAAGTGAGAAACCTCTGTCCCTTCATCTCCTTATAGGGGCACTAATCATAATGCAGGCTCCACCCTTATGACCTCATCTAAACCTAACTACTTCCCAAAAGTCTCATTTCCAAATACCATCGCACTGTGGGTTAAGACTTTCACATATGAATTTCGAGGTAACACAAACTTTCAGTCCTTACTAGGTTTTCTTTTTTTTTTTTCTTCCCTGTGTGTAAGCATTGTATTTATTATCTCTTGCTATGTAACAAATTACTTCAAACTTAATAGCTTAAAACGACATACATTTTTTTTATCTCAGTTTCTGTGAGTCAGGAGTCTGGGCATAGTTCAGGTAGGTACTCAGCTCAAGGCTGCGATCAAGGTGTCGGTTAGGGCTGGGGACTCATCTGAGGCTCAAGATCCTCTGGGAAGCTCATGTGGTTGTTGGCAGAATTCATTTTGTTGCAGCTATAGAACTCATAATTGCTTACTTCTTTGAGGCTAGCAAAAGAGAAGATCTCAGACCACCAGGCCCTCTTTTCCTGTCCTGATTAGATCAGGCCCCCCCAGGGTAATCTCCCTTTTGAGACCCTATCATTTTTGCCATATAATATAAAGGAATCAGAGAAGTGATAATCTATCATATTCACAGGTCCCACTCATACTTAAGGAATTATACAGGGAGATGGAATCATCTTAGTATTCTGCCTATATACCACAAGGATGGATGGATGGATAGAGAGATAGATAGATACAGTTTTTAAAGATTTTAAGTCAAAATTATACATGAACACATTTTTCAACATCAGTTATTTGTACAATACTTTACAAACAACATTATGCCATCTCTGACATTCCTCCGATATTGAAACACTTTTTTTTTTTTTTAAGACGGAGTCTCACTCTATCACCCAGGCTGGAGTGCAGTGGTGCTATCTCGGCTCACTGCAAGCTCCGCCTCCCGGATTCACGCCATTCTTCTGCCTCAGCCTCCTGAGTAGCTGGGACTACAGGCACCCACCACCACACCTGGCTAATTTTTTGTATTTTTAGTACAGACGGGGTTTCACCGTGTTAGACAGGATGGTTTCGATCTTCTGACCTCGTGATCTGCCTGCCTCGGCCTCCTAAAGTGCTGGGATTACAGGCGTGAGCCACCGCGCCCGGCTGATTGAAACACTTTTAACACTCTTAGCGAATAAGTTTTTACTAGCTTATGTATCCCTAAATAGAATGCCCATATTACCAATTTATAAACTAACCCATACATTCATAATATATACTCTTCCTTCTAGAAGAATATTTCACTTTCTTTGCCCTCACTACACTTCACTAATATCAATATTACTACTTCACTTAACATCCATCCTTTCTTCCCATCCTCCCAATGTAGCTATAATTGCTTGTGTCAATGTTTAATGCATACAATACTATGACAATGTAAATATCTTGAGATGATCCATGTACTAAATTGTGTTTGCTTTTCTTTTTCTGGACATCTTTCCTCTAGTCTCTGTCCCCTAGAATAATTTACTAGTCATTTCATTTGATGGTCTGTGTACTCATAGTTCATTCAAACACACACATATTCAAGTTGACTAAAATATCTCTCAGGAGTCTCATTCATATTACGGATCTTGATCAATTTAATTTTCCTCGCAAAATTTATCTCAAAATTTTCTGACCTCCTCCAATGTGTCCAGTTTCCCCTATGCCTGGTGCCCCAGCACTTTGGGAGGCCAAGGCGGGTGGATCACTTGAGGCCAGGAGTTCAAACCAGCTTGGCCAACATGGTGAAACCCTGTCTCTCCTAAAAATACAAAAATTAGCTGGGTGTGGTGGCACGCGCCTGTAGTCCCAGCTACTCTGGAGGCTGAGGCAGCAGAATCGCTTGAACCCCTGGGAGGTGGAGGTTGCAGTGAGCCGAGATTGCACCACTGCACTCCAGCCTGGCGACAGAGCGAGACTCCATCTCAAAAAATAAAATAAAATAAAATAAAATAAGCCAGGCATGGTGGCACATGTCTGTAATCCCAGCTACTTGGGAAGCTGAGGTGGGAGGATTGCTTGAACCTGGGAGGCAGACGTTGCAGTGGGCCAAGATCACACCACTGCACTCCAGCCTGGGCGAGAGAGCAAGACTCTGTCTCAAAAAAAAAAAAAGACTCTTACTATTGATGATACTTAATAATCTGGAATTGTATTTTTAAATATATTAAAACAATAGATGTTTCTTATCTTTTATAAAGCATCCTTTCATGTGAAAAATGTTTTTTAAAAAAGAGGCATGAGCACCCATTCATAAACAGTATGTGGTAGTACAGTAACTACTATTTGCACTTTGGTGTTTATCATCTCAGATCTCTCAATATGTAGAGGAAATCATACATTCCTTTAACCAATATTTATCTAGTTGCTGCCAAGTTCCGGGCACTGTTCTAAGCCTTGGGGATAAAAGAATACTAAATAGGATATTTAATTGAATAGAATCATTTAACTGAATAGAATTATTTAATATTTAACTTAATATAATTCAGTTATATTTATTTACTATAATATCAGTTATAATATTTAACTGAAATAATTAATATGTAATTGAATATAATATTTAAGTGAATAGAATTATTTTAATTGTGCACACACACACATTTACACATACATGTCTTTATATATATCTCTATATTTGTAAAATTGTATATAACTTAATGTGCATGCATATATACATAGTACATATAAATATATATATATAACAGGTATGTGTGCATAGATATAGGAATATGTGCAAATATTGGTGCATATATTTATAAACTAACACAGTATATACATAAACACAATGTGTGTAGGTAATTGGAACGTCGTAAACACTAGTAAAATTGAGTATCTTTTCATTTATTTAATAAACAGCTGGAGTTCTTCTTTTGTAAATTGCCTGTTTAATTCCTTTACCAATTTTGCCGTTGGTTTAAATACGACAGAAACAGAAAGTTTTAAATTTTTTAGTCACAGGACGCTTACGCGCAAACACACATACAAAAAATCATCTTCAACTACTCTATGAGGTCAAATGCTAACTGAGTGAGGAAAGTAGAAGAGGGCGCCAGAATGTTTCTCCATTATGCAATGAATCCCAAGTAATTCTAGACATTCTCCACCAACTTGGGAACAAGAAGTATGGGTTGTCAGGCTTACCAGGTATCCTCATCTGGAGCTTTTTATGAAGAAGTAACAGAGAAGAACAATTGTTATGTATGAGGAGAATCACTAGACTTCAAGGAGTTCAGCATCCTCTGGGAGAACAAATAAAGAGATGAGCACTCCTTCCTTCTTCCCCACCAACCCCACCAAGAGACCTGAGATGACGGCAAAACTCTATTAGGGGACAGGCCTTGGCTATAGGTGTAACATTTTTTGGCCTCTTAGTGTATGCCTCTGCTCTCTAAGCAGGAGATTTGGCCTTTTTTGGCTCGGCGGGATGGCTCCCAATGCTTCTTCATTTCCCTCCTTGCTCTAAGGCAATGGGGTCCAGACTTTTGCTGTGTATGAGATCCCCCAGCAAGCACAAATGCTGTTATAAGTTATCTCCTCAAATTAGCCTATTTTATGAGCTGTGATGCTGCTATCACAAGGAGCTCAGGTTCTATGGCTCCAGAACAAGGTGAATTGGCCTGAACCATCTTCTGAGGGACAGGGGCAGGAACAGGAGACAATGGGCACAAGCCCTGCACTGGGCCCTGAAAGTTTTCCTCAACGGAAGCCCCACCCGACAACTTCCTGTGCCCGGACTTCTGGCAGCTGTTGGCTCTGTCCGGCCTCGCCAACAACAGGTTTTTACACTTGGATATCACCTTTGTCATATTAGCATCAAGTCTTTGCCCAGAGCTCCCGGAATAATTCAGAGAAGTCAGGGAAGCCCAATTTCGGGTCAGGGCCTGTTCAATCTCTCCGCTGAACGGGCGTTTCTAAACCGAAAGACCTCACGGGACGGACGCTGTAATGGCGTAGGGTATTTTAAAACTATTTCCTCACGATGGCAGTCGTGCTCCAGATATGCCAACAAGTACCGCTCCCTAGTCCTTCTCCCGCCCTTTCTGTCCAAAAAAACACCAGCAAGAAAAAGGCGCCAGGAAACATGGCAGCCTTACTTTTGCCCAGTTTGGGACAATCTTATCACGCTGCTGCACTGTTGCTTTTGGTTTCCATTTGAAACGAAACTGAGGCCTTCTCTTTTTAAGAACTGCATTTCCAATAGGTTTAGCTTTCACAGTTGTGTTCTCGCTCACTCAGCATACATCTCCAGTATTTTCCCAAGTTATCACGTTGTCTGCTTCTGGATTCAAGACTCAAGAATCCAGGCCTAAGCAGAAAAAGAAAATGCTACAAACTCAAGGCCGGGAGGTTATCTCTAAGTACCAAACCACATGTCCTTGCCTGGCTCATCCATCTGTAAGGCTCCCAAGGAATTCTATATTTTCAGGATAGAGATCTAAGTCTTATGTGTTGACTTGTTGGCAGCCATTTGGCTGGAGTCTTAAGAGAAGCGCCCAAGTAGCTCCCATTCCAAGAGTTTTGTCTTGTGATTTCATTTACCATTTGAAGACACTTTCCGATGCCATTAAGTGGTCTCCAATTGCTTCCTACCACTTTATTGGATATGTAGGGACATGTGTGTGTGTGTGTGTGTGTGTGTGTGTGTATTTATCTTTATATCTGTATTTACCATTTATCTCTTAGAGATAAGCCTTAAAACCACTTCCTCATTAGTAATTAAGACATGATGTTTGCCAAGGATTCAGAAATAACCATGCACTGATAAAGAGTAAAGCGCTGTCATAAAATTGATTAAGACCACTGATAACTTTTTGGATCATGTCCTCTTACTCCTTTCAATACACACAGAGTTTTATATTTATGTTCATATGTGACAATGAATTTATATTAAAATTGGTTGTTTGTACATGATGGTTTGCCTAGGAGATTGCCACTCCTGATTCTCAGACAGTTTGGCCACATTACATAAAATTTTTGTCTTCATGTTTAGTAATCAAAACACTGCAAAAAAATGTTTCTTGGCTGGGCGCAGTGGCTCACGCCTGTAATCCTAGCACTTTGGGAGGCCGAGGCGGGCTGATTACCTGAGGTCGGGAGTTCAAGACCAGCCTGGCCAACATGGTGAAATCCCGTCTCTACTAAAAATACAAAAAATTAGCCCGGTGCAGTGGCGCGCGCCTGTAATCCCAGCTACTCTGGAGGCTGAGGCAGAAGAACCACTTGAACCCAGGAGGCCGGAAGTTGCCGTGAGCTGAGATCACGCCACTGCACTCCAGCCTGGGCTACAGAACGAGACTTCGTCTCAAAAAACAAACAAACAAACAAACAAAAATGTTTCTTATTGCTCCATTTATTATAGTTTAAATATGGCATATATAATATATAATATTGCTATACATATATGTGCACATTTATTTCACCTTAATTATAACTTGACTTATACTGGGCATAGTTTTATACAAAGTCTTCTGCACCAACTTACATAAATTGCATGTTTCCATATATCAACATCTATTTTCCCTAGCTGGAAATTTCTTTATACTTGATTGTACAAGGAGGTTTCTCTTCGAAGGAATTATAAAGGTAACATCTGCTGTTGGAAATCTGCTCATATTTTAAGAAATTACAAAGCCAAAAATAAATGGTATCTCAATGAAAACTAGAAGAAATAACTTTTAAAATGTCTTTGCCATACATTCTCTTATCTTCCCTATCCATATATAATGTACATTTTTTAACCTAAAATCCCAGTTACCTTGTATGTCAGACATGCTTTTCTCAGGACAGTTTGAGGTCTTTGGAAACATCATTAACTACTCCTTGGAATATGCAATATTTTTAAGGTTGCTTCTCATATTTTTGCATTTCCTAAAATTAAGCATACCTGTTTACAAAATAACCAGACACATTAGCCTTGTACAAAGAAGTGCAGTGAGGCCACAAGTAATGCCCACTGAAGCAGATAAGGATTTTTAAAATGTGGGTGTCTTGAATACACCTGTTTTCTGTGATCAGTTAAATATATAAATATATTAGGTCTCAAATAGCCAACAAATCAAGTTTTCACCAACAATTTCTTCTGCACATATTTGTTCTGGGTTGACTCTCAAATTACAAATATCTTATCAGCTTCTTGAAAAATCTCTTAGAATACACAATCTATGAAGAACAAATGGAAACACTTTATCACAAATCCCACTTTTTTGAGGCATCCACTATTAGCAGCTTGATGAGTATATTGGTTTAAACATTAAAAAAATGATATATAACTGTTCAATAAGAACTGATGTTATTCAGTGAAATAAATTTAATCTATATCTCATTAATATACTCCCCACATTCCTCAGCACAATGCTAGGCGCGCGCGCGCGCGCACACACACACACACACACACACACACACACACACACACACACTTCCATTTCTTTTCTTCAAATCCATCCTCATTGGTCCCACTACACATAGAATTTGGTGCCCTGAATTCTCAATTCAACACTAGAAAATGAGTACTCTCCAATATCATTAACTTTTCTTGAGGAACAAGATAGTTTTTTATGGTTAAATCTCATAGCATTCTTTTACTGTTGATCAAACCGTAAGAATTATATGCATCTGGAAAAAAATCAGTAAGTGGAACAAATATATAGCAGTAAAGAAATGATACTCTTAAGAAGTTTAATAGATATTCCATTGATGTTTGTTATATTGCATTCTGCTCTTTTTATTATATAATTGTACATGTGTGGGCACATGTGGACAGGTTGTCAGGATTTGGTGACTTTTTACTTACATGATATATGAGGAATATCCTTGCATGATACATGAGGAATATCCTTGCAACTTGAGTTGCTTCTTTCTATCATAGTTTTCTCAGGTCTCACATCACATAAGTCTCATCATATGTCGTGAAATATGCTTCAGAAAGCTGGATTTTCTGTTAAGTAAAATTTGGAAATAGAATTTCAGAATAGAGCCTTTAAATCTTGCATGTGTGTAGAAGTGTGTATGTTTTAAAGAAAAATACATCTTGTAATATGTTGTTTTCCTAATTATATATTGAGATGATGCTGGTTTCTTGATTTTTAAAAAACTTGCAAATGTAAGCTTTTCTCATTTTCAACATTTCAAGGCTTTGGACAAGTGTAAGTTAAAACGTGAAGGCAAGTCATTAGAAACATCACTGTAGAAAATTACACACTGTTAGTTGCTTGACTGGGGAACTTTCCAGATAACTTCCTTTCTGCCTATTTGCTTTTCTGAACCAATAGGTTTATGTGTTCAACTTGAATTAATAACATATGTAATTAAGAGAGAAAGAAAGACTTCATCTTTCATTTCTATTTCCTTGCTATTAGCCAACCAGAATGGTTTGATTCCCGTTACAACATTTCACATTTTCTTCCCTAAATCAGAGGTGTGGTCATCTCCCCTATTGAGGACTTGGCGAATGGATTTCAATCTTTCCAAAGGCTTAAAAAGACTACCTACTATAGCTGAACTTACTGTAGTTGAACTTGGACAATGGATGTTTTGCCCCCTCCCCACCGCCATCCTTGCAAAAGAAATCTCAGCGATCCTCTTTGTCCTCTCCTTTCTACTTTCCTGTGGGAGTTTGGCTGTGCGATCACTTTCAAGAGGTAGTCTCTGGACAAAGGGTATGCTCATGTGAAAGGTTAAATGATTTGGCCTGTTGACCTTCAAAGAGGTGTACCAATTAACAGTGCTTCTCACCTGGTAGGACCTTGTCCAATTCTACAAATCATTACACAAACACTGACATCAATGGATTCCTTTTCAAAGGCTTGCTCGGGGTTATGATGAAGATTTAAGGGCATTATGGAAGAATACAGTGAACTGCAATTTACTTCAGTACTGGTGAATTTGAGACTGTGATAATAGAGGTGCCTTATTCCTTTGCCATCTTTCCTGCTGAGTGGTTTTCTTTTTAACTACATTTTGAAACAGCTTTTGATCTGAGCTGACTGTCAATGATTGAGTGGTATTGAGAGTTGGCAATAGTTATAATCTCCCATTCCTGGTCACGGTGTCACGTTTGAATTCCTGGGACTCAGCAAGTTGCTGCTGCTTTAGGCCTCTATCCACTCTCTGACCAGATAGTCTCTTAATGTAAACCAAAATGTGTGGGAATACAAAATTCCTGACCCTGAGGAATTCTAGGGCTGGGGCTACCTCTCTGTCACTCACAATTCTAAGTTAAGTTATGGTGCACTGTCTCCACACATCTGGCTTTCCTAGTCTAGCATATGGTCAAGTCAAACTGTGACTCAACAGCAGGCAGCCTAACCCATCTGATGCAGGGTTTCTCTCAGTCACCTGCTTAGCTGAAGTAGGCTGAAAAGGTCAGAGGTCACCTTACACTTTCATAAGGTATTTGAGACCATTGAGACATGCTTTCTCAAATGTTTTCAAACCCTTCTTGGCTCATGTCAACCTATAACATCCTCAAGGACAGCTAGACCAAGGCATGAATAGCAGGAAAGTCAATTTCCCCAGGGACCCTATGGTCTTTGTAGTAGTTGCTAAAAACTTCCTAGTAGATGTTATAGCTCCACCCTGGGCAAGTAGAATTCAGGTGGTGACCATATGTTACAGCAGTGCATGAGAATAACATTCCTTTCTCTTCTGTAAGTGGTCAGCCACTGAATCCATCACTGATACACGAGAAAACTCTCACATGCAGTCAATCTTACAAAATTTTTGCCTTTTCTTGCTATGCTATGGGCAAGTGTCCTGAGGGTCCTGATGTGCTCAGCTTTTAGAGGGCTTACAAGGAATCTTCATTAGAAAAAGGCTAAGAAGCAGGCACAGAGAACAATACTTGCTAATCTGAATGAACAGTTAGGTCCCAAGTCTCAATGGCCTCATCTTCCTTAGGGGAAGGCCAATAGCTAAAGAACTCATTTCTGTTCCTTTAATAGAGCTAAGAGTAGGTTTCTCTAAATAGGTAGGCCTTCACACTGGGCCCTAGAAAAAGTGCTGCAAAGCCATGGTAGCTGTTACCTCCTGGCTTCAGAAAATACTTCCAGGTCTTCTGGTTGTGTATATCTGCACTCCTATTGATGTTCAAGGATTTATTGGCTTGGCCAAGTGACACACACTGCCTTCTCCTCAGGTCTTCCTTGCTCTAGGCAATGGGGGCACCAGACTTTTAGGTATCCTTGAGACCCCCAGAAAGCACGCTGGCTGCTGTTAGATATCATCTGGAATGAGATGTTTCATCTGCACCCTAACATTGCTTACACCTTGTGCCAACCCCCTACCTCATTGTTCAAAGGGCATGGCCAGAGGATATGTGGCCAGAAGTCCCCCCAAATAGGATCTGAGCCATTTGTTTTAGCCCCACCCTCACTGGGTAGATATCTAAGCCCCAATACTTCCTATACTCCACCTGCCTAGTAGCTGTCCCTTCAGTCCTCCCCCTGACCCCCCACTTATCAGCTTCTCCCCCAGGATCCTGCCTTTGTCCAGAGCTCCTGGAAGGCTTCAGATTTAAAGTGAAGGGGACCTACTTAGGGCTAGGGTCCACTCAACCTCACAAAAGGCCCAACATTTCTCAGTTGCTAAAACTTGGGGGGGCTCTAACAACTTTGGGTTTGTGTTTTGTCAAACTACATCCTCTTGATGGCAGTATTGCTCTGGAAAAGCTGATTAGCCTTGCCTGGGCACCCCACCCCCAGAGCCCTTCTCCTCTCACCCATTCAATCTGAAAAAAGCTACCAAGACAAAGGAGACAGGAAACAAAGCTGCCTTGCTATTGGCCCTGTTTGGGGAAAATCTGCTCTTTCGAATTTACTTTTGCTCCTGGTTTCCCTCTGAACTCAGACTGAAGCCTATACCACCCAGTTTCATCAGCCATACTTTGTTTAAAGAATCCCATTTCCGATAGCATTAGGAGATATACCTAATGCTAAATGACGAGTTAATGGGTGCAGCACACCAGCATGGCACATGTATACATATGTAACTAACCTGCTCATTGTGCACATGTACCCTAAAACTTAAAGTATAATAATAATAAAATTTAAAAAAACAAAAAAATGCCCATTTCCACTCTACCATAGCTTTGTAGGTCTGCTCTTCTTCATTCAACCTTGATCCCCAACAATTTCCCAAGTTATCTGCTTCAGTGGGAAATTCTTAGGGACCTAGGGCTAAGAAAGTGAAGAAAATAATGGAAATAACAGCCTAGAGAAGAACAAATCTAGGCACCAGGCCATGTGACTTGTTTCACTGCCAGGTTCCCTGGGAGTCCTCCATTTTCTGACCTGGGCACTAGGTCTTGTGTATTGAGTTGGGGGCAGCCATGTCAGAACCCTAATAGGAGGGTCCAGATAGATCTCAAGGCTGAATTCCATACAATATCCCTCTTGGGGTGACACACACACTCCAAACTTACAAAATTCCAGTAGAAAGGAACATGATTTTGTCTTATGGTTCCATCATTCAACATTAAAACACAAGCAAGTTCCCATGCACATCATTATTTGACTTTTAATGGCTTCCTATGGCTTTATTATATATGTGTGTGCCACTGCTTAAGCTTAGGAATCAGTCTTATGGTGTTTCCTCATAAGTAATTAAGACATGGTGCTTGTAAAGAATTTAGAAAATAACCATGTGCTGATCAAGAACAAAAGCACTGTCATAAAATCTTGTATTAAACACTAATAGCCTTTTGCATATTTACTCCCATTATTTCAACATGCACAGAGGTCTATATTTACGGTAATACACTACAATAAGCATATTTAAATTAAATTTATATATGCATCATGTTTTAGATGCAAACTTTTCACTGCTCATTCCTGGGTAACTGAAATTGTCATGAAATATTTGCAAGACCTGGATTTTAGATAATAAAATATTTGCAATGAGCTTCTTGATTGACTAATTCATTAAAGAATGTTAGGTTCTCAATTTTTAAAAAATTTATACACAGGACATAATACCTATAATGCCACCACTCAAGTATCTTAATTTTGATACCTGCCTTACCTAATCATTAGTATGCTGACTATATATATATATATATATACATGCTAACATTGGAACAGGCACTATGTGCTTATGCCTCAGAACATTAGGGTTTCTTTTGTTTATATTTTTCAAAACTTATACCAAAATTTTATCTTAAAATTTTATGTAAAATCTATAAAGTTGAAACGCATACTCACTCTAACACTGACCATGATTATGCATGATATGCATAATGCATATATATGTATAAGCATTAGATAGATAGGTCCAAGTTACCTGGTTACAGGCCTAGAGGGAAAAGAAAATGATTGCACCTATTATATATATATTTACTTCTCTTTATTTATTTATTTTTATTCAGCCTCTGGGAGCATGGACTATCCTTTTCTTTAAAGACAATTGAATGCAAACTGGATACAGTTTTGCACAAATTCTTCAACACCACCTTATACCATTTGCATACATGAATGACAATGTATATTTGAGTGCTTGGATTTTTTTTGTATCTTACTCTAGAAGACCTTTCTATTTCAAGAAATTACAAAAGTTACACCCACTGTTGGCACCGTTTAGATTTTAAGAAATTATAAGTAGAAAGTAAACGGTACTTCAATCACAACAAGAAATAGCCACTTAAAAATATCCTTGCCATACATTCTTATATCTTCACTTTGCACAAATAATATACACTTAAAAAATGTTCAAATTCTCTTGTACTTTGAATGCTAAAACAAGTTTTCCTCATTTGTAACTTGAATGCTCTTCAAATCTCATTAAGTATTCTTTAGAATAATGACAGGTTTTAAAATCTTGCCACATGTTTTTGCATTTCTAGAAATAATCATGCTTCTTTACAATGTACCTGCTATAACAGCCATGTATGGAGAAGTGAAGCGAGGTCACAGGTAATGCCACCTCCAGCAGACAAGAACTTTTAAAATGTGGGTTCATCTTCAATCCTCTTCACTCGGTTTTGGTTCTCATCTGTTTGTGCGTGGTCAGCTCTCCTAGCAAAAGTGCTAACCCTTCTTGGTTTGGCGGGCTGATCCCATTTCTCTTCAAGGTCCTCCTAGCTGCAAGCAATTTGGTTGCACCTGGGACCTCCAGCAAGCACATGGCATCCTTTTATAAGCAACCTGGTATTGTCTGGTTCTCTGCAGTGACTCTGCTACCACAAAGGTCCTAGGCCCCAGAGCCTGAAGGCACCACGTGTCAGCCTTTCCCAGACTCTCAGGGGCGGGGAGAGAGACGAATACCCACAGGCCCAGTACTTCGTTGGTTGGTGGCTTCCTCCAGTCCCGCCCATACTGGGAGAATACCAAGACCCCACCCTACAACTTCCTGGGCCTGGACTTCCTGCCAGAGGCCGACTTAGTCTTCCCTCCCCACGGGCCAGTTCCTACACCTGGACCTCACTCTGTCCAGAGCTTCAGGTAGGCCTCAGGAGGTGGAACTAAGATCCAGCTCATGGTCCGAGCCTGCTCAGCCTCTAACAGAATGGAACTTTCCAATATAAGCCCTCTAAGGGATGGGGCTTTTTCCAGAAATTTCCTCACGATGGCAGTGTTGCTCCTGGAATTCTATCCAATACTGCCCCCAAGCCCTCTTCTCCCGCCCGTCTGGTATGAAAAAAAAATGTGACCAACAGATTAAGGCACCAGGAAATATGGCTGACTTGAGAAACTCGCTCATACTATTGTGATTTTGCTTTTGGTTTTTCATCTGAAATCAAACTGGCGCCTAAACCTACACTCTCATCAGGGGTCTTTTCAGTTCAAGAACTCAATTTCCACTTACCTAGTCTTCACAGTTCTGCTTTTTCTTCACCTAACTTTTTCTCATGGTACTAAATTGTCTTGGTGTATCAGGGGTCAAACCTCAGGGATCCAGGCCTAGAGGGAAAAGCAAATGGTTGCATCTAAGGGCTTGGAGAAGAGCAAATCCATGTTGTTCTTGCCTGACTCACTTCCCAGGTTTCCCGGGAGTCCTACTCAATTTCTGGCCTAGGCACTAGGCCTGTGTGTTGAGGGAGAAGCAGTTGTCTGGAACCCTAAGCTAAGTGTCTAGATGGTTCTCAAGACTGCGTGCTATACAGTGCCCATTTGGAAGGGTACACAAACTCAAATATGTATAAATTCCAGTCAGAGGAGACTGATACAGTCTCATAGTCAAAATAATTTAAAATCGGAACACAGGCATGTTCCTATGTTCTTATATGACTGTCAATGGTTTCCTGTGACTTTAGTGTGTATATGCTTATCACTTAGGGGTCAATCTTATGGTATTTTATCTTACGTAATTAAGACATGGTGCTTGCAAAGGATTTGCAAAGGATTCAGAAAAGAACCATGTGCTGACCAAGAGTAAAGCACTGTCATAAACAGTACCTATTAGTAATACTGATAAACATCTGGATTATGTTTTGTGAACTAAAAAGTGTCTGAGACAGGTCTCAATAGTTTCAGAAATTTATTTTGCAAGTTTAAGTACACGCATGCCTGGGAGATAGGTCCATGCCTTTCTTCAAAGATGATTTTGAGGGCTTCAATATTTAAAGGGGAAAGGGCAGATACTGGGGAAAGGGGAAGAAATTTTGAAAAGATGTGGGTAGATAAGAGGCAAAGGGTAGCATTCTTTTGAGTCTTTGATCAGCCCTTCATAGGCGAGATGAGGGTAGAGGAATAGTCACGTACACATTCATCTAGCTCAGTGAATCTGCATTTTTTACATAGGATAAAATAAACACAGGGCAGAGGAAGCAATCAGACATGCATTTGTCTCAAGTGAGCGGAGGGAAGACTTTGAGTTCTGTCTTTTGTTCCATACCTGTGAGGATAAGCCAAAATTTACATTGTCAGGGTGAAATTCAACAGAACTGTTTCAGGGTAAAAATCTTGGGGCTCACAAGGAATTTCCTAGTGGGCAAATTGTGAGGGAGATATGTAGCTTTTTGTTTTTGCTTTGTTCAATCATTGTAGCCATCTTATTTAGGAATAAAATGGGAGGCAGGTTTGCCTGACGCAGTTCCCAGCTTGACGTTTCCCTTTGGCTTAGTGATTTTGGGGCCCTGAGATTTATTTTCCTTTCACAGTTTCAACATACACATGCAAACTCATATACTCATGCACTCATTTCAATATATACACATAAACATTTATATTTCGTGTCATACACAATAGTAAGTTTACATTAAAATGAGGTTTATTTGTATGTTATGGTTTGGAGTATACTTTCACTTCTGTTTCCTGGGCAGTTTGTCATTATCATGAAAAATTTGCAAGACCTGAATTTTTAGTAAATGAAACATTAACCAAGAGCTTCTTGATTGCTACATTCAATAACAATATGGTCTCTGAAGACATGTTCACTTCATAAAACACTTATTTAACAACTGGAAATTTAATTCCTATGATGTCTCCTCTCAGGTATCATGATTTGAAGAGCTTCTAATCTTTATTATGCTAACATGTGTATACTCTAAAACAAATATTGAATCACAAGTATAACATGCGTGCATCAGAAAATATAGGATATTCCTTCCTTCTCAAAATTTTAACCTACAATTAAATCTAAAATTTCATCTTATTTTATTTATTTATTATTATATTTTTAGAGACTGGGTCTGGCAAGTCTATGCAATCATGGCTCACTGTAGCCTTGACCTCCAGGCTCAAGCAATCCTCCCACCTCAGCCTCTGGAGTAGCTAGGACCACAGGCACACACCACCACACCCAGCTATTTTTTTCTTTTTTATATTTTTTTGTAGAGAAGGGGTCTCCTTATGTTACCCAGACTGATCTCTAACTTGTAGGCTCAAGCGATCTTCCCAATTCAGCCTCCCAAAGTGCTGGGATTATAGGCATGAGCCACTGCACCTGGCCTAATCTTATTTTATTACTAAAAAAAATTAACAACAGATTGCATTACTGTATAAATAAAGTCTGTGTCCTCATCTCTTTAGCACTGTGACTGTGACCCAAACACGTACTCCATCAAAGGTTCAAGGTGAATGCATTGACATATTTTTATATTCATCTATAATCTTTTCTTAATGTTTCCCTTTAAATTTATTTATTTCCTAAAAATTAGGTCTTGCAAATTTTTCGTAATGACAAATTGCCAAGGAAATAGAAGTGAAAATATTATCCAAATCATGATATATGAATAAATCCCATATGAATGTAAACTTATTATTATATATGAAGCTAAATATCAAAGTTTCTATGTGTATACATATACACATGTACACATATACATACATATACAAACACACATTAATATACGGACAAAGAGAGTGAAATTTAAGTGCATTGTTACTATAATAATCATAATTAAAAATATACACTTTTTAGGGAGGCTGAGGCAGGAGAATCGTTTGAACCTGGGAGGCAGAGGTTGCAGTGAGCCAAGATCACACCACTGCACGCTAGCCCTGGAGACAGAGTGAGACTCCGTCTCAAAAAATATATATACTTTTTAAACATAAGTACACATATAGATGGATATGGAGTCATGCCTAATTTAATGACAGGGATACATTCTGAGAAGTGCATTGTTAGTTGATTTCATCATTGTGCAAACATCATAGTGTACTTACACAAATCTAGATAGTATAGCCTACTACACTCCTAGGTTGCAGAATATAGCCCATTGCTCCTAGGCTACAAAGTGGTATAGCATGTTGTTATACTGAATACTGTAGGCAATAGTAACAATGGTAAGTATTTGTGTATCTAAACATAGAAAAGGTACAATAAAAATACGATATTATAATATTATGTATGACATAACCATCATATATGCAGTCAGTCATTGACCTAAAGATCATTATACAGGGCATGACTGTATACTAATGTGTAGTTTATCTATCTTTAAACATAATTGAATGAATACCGAAGGTAGTTTTGAACAGAAACATCATCATTATCTCATACAATTTCCATGTTCCCATATACATATATGTACTTGGAGAACTTGAAATCTTTTTATTCTACCCTGGAAAGAGCCTTATTATCCAGAAAATTTAAAAAGCAATAGTTGCTGTTGGCAAACTGTTCAGATATTGAGAAATCATGAAGCCAAAAATAAATGATAGTTCAATCCCAACAAGAATAAAGACTTTTAAAATGTCATTCACCCAGACTGGGCAACATGGTGAAACCTGTCTCTACAAAAAAATACAAAAATTATCCTGGCAAGGTGGAGTGTGTCTGTAGTCCCAGCTACTTGGGAAACTGAGGTGCGAAGATCACCTGAGCCCAGGGAGGTGGAGACTTCACTGAGCCAAGATCGTGCCATAGCACTCCAGCCAGGGTGACAGAGCGGGACTCTGTCTCCAAAATAAATAAAAGAGGCCGGGCATGGTGGCTCACGCCTGTAATCCCAGCAATTTGGAAGGCCGAGGCGGGCGGATCATGAGGTCAGGAGTTGAAGACCAGCCTCACCAACATGGTGAAACCCTGTCTCTACTAAAAATTCAAAAATTAGCTGGACGTGGTGGCACATGCCTGTAATCCCAGCTACTCAGAAGGCTGAGGCAGGAGAATCGCTTGAACCCGGGAGGCAGAGGTTGCAGTGCGCCAAGATCGCGCCATTGCACTCCAGCCTGGGTGACAGAGCAAGACTCTGTCTCAAAAATAAATAATAAATAAATAAATAAATAAACAAAATGTCATTCTCATCTCTTATGTACATATAATAACATTAAAAATCATATTCAAATTCCTTTGTACCTTCAGTGTTCAGATACATTTTCTGTACATATTGTAGCTAGAGTACTTTCCAAACTTCATTAAATATTCTTTGAAATACTGATTATATTTTAGAGAGTAGCCTCTTACTTTTGGGATTTCACAAATCAGATGTATTTCTAAATAATGTGTTCAGGTACAACATCCATTTTTAAAGAAGCATAGCAAAATCATAGGTAATGCCACCTCAAGAGGACAAGGACCTGCAAAATATGGTTGTATTTTCAACCATATTTCACAGATATATGTTGTATACATTCAGAGATATAGATTCCTTAGGACTCTCTCATGTGTTCAACACAGCAAGTTTTCACCAATAATTTCTTTTGCACTTTTTTTTTTTTTTTTTTTTGAGACAGAGTCTCACTCTGTTGCCCAGGCTGGAGTGCAATGGCGCGATGTCAGCTCACTGCAACCTCCGCCTCCCAGGTTCAAGTGATTCTCCTGCCTCAGTCTCCCGAGTAGCTGGGATTACAGGCATGTGCCACCACGTCCGGCTAATTTTTGTATTTTTAGTAGAGAAAGGGTTTTGTCATGTTGGCCAGGCTGGCCTCAAACCCCTGATCTCGGGTGATCCGCCCACCTCGGCCTCCCAAAGTGCTAGGATTACAGTCGTGAGCCACTGCACACAGCCTTCTGCACATATTTATTCTGGATTTGTTATTGAATTACAAAGATAATAGAAGCATTATGAAAAATTTCATAGAGTGCACGAATCAATGAAAGACCTAAGGAAATACTTTATCCCAAATCAATCTATCCCAAGGGAACCACTATTAGCAGCTTAATGGGTACATGTATTCAAATGTTGTAAATAAGGTGTACAACCACTCATGAGAGCTGACATTATTTAACTAAATAAATATATCCTACTGCACATCAATAAACTCCCCTATTTGCTGACAAGATGCTTGGAGCATACATACATTCATCCAGGGAGGAATATACCATTTATTTTCTTCAATTACATTCTAGTTAAAATGTAGGTGGAGTTTTGTGTCATTGTTTCTTCATTCAACATTGAATAATGGATACTGAATAGCATATCTCTTCATGATAGTACTTTATTTTTAATCTCATACGATTGCTTTGTTGTTAAGTTCTTAAGGATAATAGATGCATCTGGCAAAGAAATGACAAATGAGTAATCGTAAAACAGGAAAGAGAGGATACTCTGAATCACACAAACTCAATTGATATTTCAATCTAGTACATTCCACCTTTTCTTCTATATACACTTTTGCATGGGAGTGTACAGGGGTTTTTTGGTATGAATTTAAATGGACATGACCTATATATGGAATTCTCTTTTTAATTTATTTTTCTTTTTTATGCTTTACTCAGGTCTTTTATAGCGAGGCCACTTACAATGCCATTAAGCATGCCAAAGAAGACTGGATTTTATGTTAAGTAATTATTTGCCAAAAGCTTTTCTTTCCATGACCATTAAAAGTAGGACATTAATCATTTCAATGTATATATAGAAGTGTGCCTATTCTTATGGAAAATAGAATCTGAAATAAAACAATATTGTATAACTTGTACCTTTATTAAATGTATACTAGGACCTTTTTTGGGTTTTCTGTAAATTTCAGAATCAACCCTTGCTCGTTTTCAACATTTCAATTTTTAAGACATAAATAGTTAAAACCTGTAGACTCTAACTTGTATTTTTGAGATACAAACTATACTAGTGTTTGATTAGAAGCCTTCCAGAAACTGTACTTAGTACATATTCACCCTCTAGAATCCGTATATGTTTATGGTTCTGTGTAACAGTAGAGAAAAACAGTCTTTCATAAGAGTAATCCTCATGATTTTGTTTTACACATTAGTTTCTTAGGGATACCAAAAGCATAGCCAACCAAAGAAAAAACTCGACAAACCAGATTTCATCAAGTTTTAAAAAAGTTGTTTCACAAATGATACCATCAAGAAAGAAAGAAAAAACTCACAGAATGGGAGATAATGTTTTCCAATCATATATTTGGTAAGGGACTTGTATCCAGAATATAAAAAACTCTTACCACTCAGTCATAAAAATATAACTCTTTTAAAAATGGACAAATGATCTGAATAGATATTTATCCAAAGAAGATATGTATATGGCTAACAGCATGTGAAAAGATGGTCAACCTCATTAGCTATTAGAGAAATGCAAATGAAAAACACAGTGAGGTACTACTTCACAGCCCCTAGGTTGTCTATATTTTAAAAAGACAGATAATAACAAGTGTCAGTAAGGATATGCATAAGCTGCAAGCTTCATATATGGCTTGTGGAAATATCACATGGTACAGTCACTTTAGAAGTAGTCTGGCAGTTCCCCAAAAGTTTGAAGATTCTATCATCATATGACTAATCAATTCCAAACCTATTTATCTACACAAGAGAAATGAAAACATGTTCACACAAAAAGTAGAAACAACTTAAATGTCCATCAACTGATGAATATATATAAAAATGTGGTATATCCATACAATGGACTGTTATTCAACCATATTGAAGAATGAATTATTGATACATTGTACAACATGAAAAATCCCTCAAAACATGCTAAGTGAAAAAAACCAGACACAAAAGACCATATCTTGTAGGATTACAATTATATATAGTTTCCAGAATAGGCAAATCCATAGACACAGAAAGTAGATTAGTGTTTGCCAGGGACTAGAGGAAGCTGAGAATGAGAACTGCTAGTAGGCATATTTCTTTTTGGAGTGATGAAAATATTCTAAAATTGATTATGGTAATGATTGCACAATTCTGTGAATATATTGAAAACCACCACATTGTACATTTTAAATTGGTGGAATTTATAGTGTGTGAATTCTATCTCAATAAAGCTGTTTTTAAAAGTTTCAAAAATTAACAGGTTAATTCACATTTATAAAATTAATAAGAAAAAGCATATAATCATCTGAAATTGTGTAGAAAAAGTATTTGACAAACATAAACACCAATCCTGATTTTAAAAAACTCTCACCAAACTAGAAATTGAAGAAAATATATCTTCAATATGGTAAAAATATACAACTAATGTCATACTTAACACTGAAAAAGTCAACACTGTTTTTAAGACCTAGAGCAACGTGAGGAATTCGTCTCTCACCTCTTCTATTCAACGTCATACCAGATTTTCTAAGAAGTGCAATTAGGCAAAAAAAAAAAAAAAAAAAAAAAAGAAAAAAAGATTACAGTTTGGAAAGAAAGAAGTAAAAGTGCTTTCACAGATGACAGTATTGTTTACATAGAATGATTCTTCAAAAACACTTCTAAAGCTGCTAAAGTCCATATCTTACAGACAAGGTATGATTGGTGTTGCTTTTGTATCTATTCAAAAAAACTGTGTCTTTTATGTGGAATGTTTAACCATTAACAGCTAATGTATTTACTGATAGGTTTTAATTTTGGGCTACAATTTTATAGTTTACATTGTTTGTCCTCATTAATTTGTATTCTTCCATTTCCCCTTTCCTTCCTTTCAAGTATTAGAACACTTTATCTTTTAGAATTCTATTATAATATGTCTGTTGGCCTTTTGGCTATACCACTTTGTGTTATTTTTTAGTGGTTATTCTTGCGATTGCAATATGCATCCTTAACTTTTTATAATCTTCTCAGAGTTGATATTTTACCGCCTCATACAGAATGTAAAATCCTTATAACAATATACATACTTTTACTATTCCTCGGTGTCCTTTATACTATTATTGTCATATGTAATTTATGTACATACATTATAAACACAGCAAAATGATGTTAGAACTTTTGCTTTAAGCATTCAAGTATATTTTAAAGGAACTAAGTGAAAATTTTTTTTGTACATTCTCAGACACTGAACATTTCTGATGTTCTTTACTCTGGAACATGTTCTGGCTCTGGAAGATCTGTATTTTCCCCTGATGTAGTTTTCTTCAACCTGAAGAATGTCCTATAGCATTTATTTTATTGCATGCCTACCAGTGACAAAGAATCTTAGTTGTCTTTTGTCTGAAAACATCTATTTCACCTTCATCTGTGAAGATATTTTCAAGGATGGAGAACTCTGGGTTGATTTTTTTTTTCCCATCAGCACTTTCAAGAGGACGTGACACTGTCTTGTAGCCTCCATAGTCACTGATGAGAAAGCCATAGCTTTTAAAATAAAACATGTGATATATGACAGCTGCAGCGCTTCAGTTCTGTGGGGGAAATGACTGAGTTTTCAATGAGTGGTCTTGGGATTACTGGGCATCCGTGCGTGCAAATGAAACTTTACTTCTCCCTCACAGTGTACACAAAACTCAATTCCATAGTCTCTTTTCAGGTACTCATGGTGAGGAAATTCATTATAAACCTGCACTTGTGCTATGGAAAGCCCAGGAGAGGAGGGAGGGCTTTGATGGATTTGAGAGGTGAGAATGAATGTCTAGCCAGGGGTTGGCAAGCTAACTCACAGAACAGATGTGGCCAGTGACTTGTATTTGTAAGGCCTGAAAGCTAAGAGTGATTTTTACATTTTTAAAGCTTTGCTTGAAAAAATGGAGGCTATGTGACCGAGGCCACCTGTGGCTTGCATAGCTTAAATCATTCACCATCAGGCCTTTTACAGAAAGAGTCTGCTATTCTCTGCATCTAGGACCAAAGATACCTTGACCCATAGTTTCTCCTATGTAGGGACAGGACATGTTCTAGAAACCCCACTGTGGTCTAATGTGCACGTCCTCTTCATGAGGATGGCTTCACTGACATAAACATAAGCCGGACCAGATTAGCATTTCATGTCAGGCCAGGCCCCAGAAGCAGAGTAGAATGAGATCCAGACACAAGTTCTAACCGTATCTGCGACATGGCCTTACAGGAAACCAGTGGAAATCATTCCTCAGTGAAAGGCAGAGGCCTAGGAAATGGGGTTGGAGCCGGGGTGCGTGGGTGGGCATGAAGGTTCACCCTTTCTGGAGGACCTCCCAGACCACAGAATCAAGGGGGCACCTCCTGGACATCTTCTCACTACTGTGTATCTTCCAGTCTTGATTTCTTAAAAGACAGTAAGGTGAGGGGATAAAGGATCAGGTGTGTGTGTCTAATAGTTGGTGACACTTAAAGATGGCATCAGGACTAGTGACAGGATGAAACCAAAGGTGTGTGCTTTGGCGATCATATGGACATTGAAAAAGAGTGATCTATAGGTGAAAGGGGTCTTGGTAGCAGTCAGGGATCAAGTGAAGATGGGGTTAGTGAAGGTCAGGTGTGTCCACAATGCAGGATTTTTGCAATTATTCTGAGTGTTAGGATCATAGTTAGGGACGGGATGGATTGGGAATTTTGTGAGGGTTGAAGATGTCTGTTTTTCATTTCCTTGATAATAGGAAGCACCGATTTTACATAGGGTAAGGGATTAGGTTGGAATCAGGGATAGAGGTCAAGTTAGGGGTGGAAGGAGAGGTGGAAGCAAGTGTGAGGATAAGGGTTGTGCCGAGAAGGAATACATATTGCTTCAGATAAGCAGTGCATAGTAGGATGGATTGGGGTCAGGAACAAAGTGGGGGGCTGCTATTCTGACATATAGAGAGATTACACATGGCATCTCTGAGTCAAAAGGCGGGAGGAACCTGTAGGCCAGTGGTGGTGACTGTGAACCCTCTGGAAGTGTCTTTGCTGTTTGTGGCCCCTGAATGTGTCAGTCGGCTGTGTGTGCCCTGAATGCCTCCCTGCCAGAGCAGGAGCGCAGTGAAGCCTTTATGATCAGGAAGGGTCAGGGCCGGCCATTTGGGTCCCGGGCAAGGGAGGAGCTGGGCCGGCTGCGGACCCCTCGGCAGCCACGTTCCGAAGGGACAGCTGAACCCACAGGGTGGAGTAGGAGGTGGCAGCTATGGAGAGGGGAGCAGGTAGGGTCCCCGGGCCTTACTCCAGAGGGCGAGAAGGAAAGCATGAAGGGCTCGGTCTGGCCTAGGAGGGAGCCCAGGCTGCCTGGCAGAAGAGACTCCGGGGGCTCCAGTCCAGGCCCTGATGGCCGAGAAAACGTGAGGGGCCCAACAGGGCTCTCTCAGGGAAGGGGCCGCCCCTGTCCTCTCCATGCCAAGACGGCCTAAACTCCACCAAGAATTTCCCGTGGTTGCAGTTCCCCCAGCCGGAGCCACCCGCAACTGGAGCAGGCCTCTCTGGCCACCCTTTCCCCACCTTCCAGCTGTGGCCCTTACATTGTGTGTGTCCCAAAACCCACTGCGGATATCATGGCAGCTGTGGGAAAATGCAGCAGAATTGCTGATACAGAGGATTCTAGGAGTTTTGCTTTCTCAGAACCTCCCCACCCCTCGCCTCGCCAAGCCCCGGGTTAGGAGCCCCTGCTCCCCACATGTTTCTGCGTTGTGTGTCATACATCCTATTGGCCACTAGATGGCGAAAGAGACCTTGGCAGGACGTCTCACCTCTTCAGGGATGAGGGCAACGTTTTCACAGGTCCAGTTTTTCCTGTTCCAATGGGTGAAATTAGAGCTCAGGACCAACCAGCGCCCCCATACTTCTCACACACATATTTGAGGGAATGAAGGCTAAAAACCACGTTCTGCTGCCGCCTGGGATACTCCTCCCCTTACCGCCCTCTCCCCTCTCAGATCCCACAGTGTGAATGTTCATCTCCACAAACAACGTGGGTAGGATAGGCGCTGGGGATGGCGCTGTCTTTGGCTGTTCCCGTGTTCCTTGTGCCTGCTGCCTCCCTCGGCTCAGCACAATTGACGCCAACAACTAACAATACTGTAGGCTTGTCTGAGGACTGGGGTCCCGTCTTAGTGGCTGTGTGACTTTGAGCTAGTTAATTAACCTCTCTGTGCTCGGGTTTTCTCGCGTATGCAATGAAGATTGTAATCGTGTACCTATGTCATAAAGTTACTGTGAGGCTGAAATAAATGAACATTTCTAAAACACTTATGAAAATGTTTGGCACATAACTGCACATCCAATATGTGCTAGCTATTCTAATTGCCATCTTGCCCTGCAGAGTAAGGCCTCAGTCATTATTTGTTTTTCTTGGCATTTCCTATCTTGAGCTCCTAGGTTTCGACTATGGACTCTGTCTCTGGCGTCACCAACTATGTCTGGCAGTTGGGAACTGCTTTTTAAAAACTAATTAATTTTGGCCGGGAGCGGTGGCTCACGCCTGTAATCCTAGCACTTTGGGAGGCCGAGACGGGCGGATCACGAGGTCAGGAGATCGAGACCATCTTGGCTAACACGGTGAAACCCCGTTTCTACTAAAAATACAAAAAATTAGCCGGGCGTGTTGGCGGGCGCCTGTAGTCCCAGCTACTCGGGAGGCTGAGGCAGGAGAATGGCGTGAACCCAGGAGGTGGAGCTTGCCGTGAGCCGAGATCGCGCCACTGCACTTCAACCTGGGAGACACAGCGAGACTCCATCTCAAAAAAAAAATAATAATAATAATTAATTTTTTCAATTTAAGGATAAAACACTGTATGTATTTATTAGGTACAGCATGTTGTTTTGAAAACGCATACATTGTGAAATGCTTAAATAGAACTAATTAATATATACATTATCTCACATGATTTTTAAAAATGAGAATACTTAAAATCTACTCTCAACGATTTTAAAGAATGTAATACATTGTTACTAACTATAATTACCATGTTGTACAATAGATCTCTTGAACTTATTTTCTCCTGTTTAATTGAAAGTTTGCATCCTTTGACTAGCATCTCCCCAACTCCCCCACCCTCACCCATAGTAACCACCTTTCTACTCTGTGCTTCTATGAATACAACTTTTTTCGACTGCACGTTTGAGTGAGATCATGTGGTATTTGTCTGTCTGCGTCTGGCTCATTTAACTTAGTATAATTGTCCAGGTTCATCCATGTTGTCACAAATGACAGGATTTCCTTCTTTTTAAAGGTGGAATTCCATTGTGTGTGTATGCCATATTTTCTTTACACATTTAGCCTTTGATGGAAACTTAAGTTGATTCCATATCTTGGCTATTGTGAATAATGGTGCTATGTACATGGGAGTGCAGATACCTTTTCGACATACTGATTTCATTTCCTTTGATATATACCTAGAAGCATGATTGTTGAATTATATGGTAATTCTAATTTTAGCTTTTTGAGAAACAGCCATATAATTTTCTGTAATGGATGTACTAATTTACATTCCCACAAACAGTGTGCAACGGTTCCTTTTTCTCCATCTCTTCAGCAACACTTATGACTTTTTGATAATAGCTATACTAACAAGTGTGAGGTGATGTCTCATTATGGTTTTAATTTGTATTTCCCTGATGATTAATTATGTTGAGCATCTTTTCATATACTTGTTGACCATTTGTACATCTTTTAAGGAATGTTTCCAGGCACGGTGGCTGACGCCTATAATCCTAGCACTTTGGGAAGCTGAGGCAGACGTATTGCCTGAGCTCAGGAGTTCAAGACTAGCCTGGGCAACATGGTGAAAACCCGTCTCTACTAAAATACAGAAAATTAGTTGGGCATGGCAGTGTGCGCCTGTAGTCCCAGCTACTCGGGAGGCTGAGGCAGGAGAATTGCTTGAACCTGGGAGGCAGAAGTTGCAGTGATCCAAGATCGCGCCATTGCACTCCAGCCTGGGTGACAAGAGTGAAACTCCGTCTCCAAAAAAAAAAAAAAAAAAAAATCCATTCACATCCTTTCATCCTTTATTCATTTTTTAAGTTGAGCTATTTGTTTTCTTGCTATTGAGTTCAGTTCCTTATATACTTTTGATATTAATCTTTTATGAGATTTATGGTTTGGAAATATTTTCTCTCATTCCATAGGTGTCTCTTCACTCTGTTGATTGTTTCCTTTGCTGTGCAGAAGCTTTTTAGTTTGATGTAATCTCATTTGTTTATTTTTGCTTTTGTTGCCTGTGCTTTTGAGGTCATATCAAATAAATAATTGTCCAAACTAATGTCATGGAGCTTTTTCCTTTATGTTTTCCTCTAGTAGTTTTACATTTCCAGGTCTTATCTTTAAGTCTTTAATCCCTCATTCATTTTCAGTTGATTTTTGCATGTGGTGTGAGATAAGGGTCTAGTTTCATTCTCTGGATGTGGATATCTAGTTCTCCCAGCATTGTTTATTAAACAGACTGTCCTTTCCCCATTGTGTGTGCATAACTCCTTTTTGATCTCAGTTTTTTGTGTTTTTATTTTGATTTTTTTAGAGACAGGGTCTCACACCATCACTCAGACTGAAGTGCAGTGGTACAATCACAACTCACTGCAGCCTTTAACTCCTGTGCTCAAGCGATTCTCTCAACTCAGCCTCCTGAGTAGCTAGGACTATAGGCTTGTGCCACCATGCCCAGCTAATTTTTAAACATTTTTTTCCTAGAGTCAGGATCCTGCTATGTTGCTCAGGCTGGTCTTGAATTCCTGGGCTCAAGCGATCCTCCTGCCTTGACCTCCCAAAGCATTCAGATTACAGGTGTGAGCCACTGTGTCTTTCTCTGGTCCTAGTTTTTTGTTGTGTTTTTTTTTTCTTCTACAGAGCTTTGGTGTTGCTGTTACTGCGTAGAGAGAGGCCTGACATTATGTTACTAGAGTCCCACTGTTCTCTGAGAACACTCGAGAAAAATAGAAATTTCTCTCTCCACCTACAGGTCGAAATCCTTCCCCGCTGATATAAATATTTGAGTTGGGGAGCAGAGCTTCAGGGACCATGAAGAAAATGCTGCTCTGGGGACACTAATTGAACTTTCATCTAGCAGGTCCTGTGCCCTACCTACTCAAGAACAAGTTCTGTTTGATGAAGAAGTTACACAGCTGCCAAGTTCCCTCATTCTACTACCTATCTACCCCCAAATTCAGGAATGTCTCCATATGTTGACTATGCTGACTTTTTCAGTGTCCTAGTGGAACCACAGCTTAAAAAATGGGAAATGGAGGCAGTCCCATATGGCAGAGTCTCCGATGTGGAATTAGGCATCGTTCTCCAAAAGCCAGCCTGCAGCCCCTTTGGAGAGCTTACTAAACTATAAATTGTCAACTGTATTACATGATAAAGCAGATGTGTCCATACAGTAACTCTTTTGCTAATAAATGAGGTCTAAATTCCAAAAATAGAACCAAGTGTTCCTAATGAGTGCATCACAAGAATAATTTCAGTGAATGGAAGAACAAGGCCCATTACCAAGGAAGGTGCTTGCAAGGATAAGACTATCCAGATAGTGTATAATCCAGCTGGACAGCTTCATTAACATTTCCCTCTCTGCCAGTGTCTGAGCTCATCCTACAAAAAACCATGACGCACTTCCAGATTTATGTAAAGATAGGCGAAGTTATTCATACCAACCCTGCCTCTGGAAACAACTTTTAAAAACCTAAATAATATGTAAACAGTGCCTTCTTTAAACAATTGAAGAGCTGAGAGGGGGGTAAGATGTTACCTGGCCAAAATAAATGGAAAATGAAGACGTAGGGAGATAAATGAGAACTGGAAGCTACTTTTGCCATGTGAATATTTGCCAAATCAGAAAATTGTAACTTTTGTTCTGATAGCCTCTTAGGGCAAGATAAATATTAAACTAAAAGCCACAATATATACAAAGTAGAGCCTTTCTTCAATAAGGTGGCCCCCAAAAAGGCTACACCACAGAGAATAGATGAATAGGATTTGGTTGAGCTCTCACACATAATTTCATCTTTTGTTCTATTTACCTAATAATCCAGGGAATCCCAAGCCTTAAAATTTAAGATCGTCCTCAACTGAGAATAACCCCAATAACTTGGCAGAGGCAAATGGAAATCTTCTCTGGAGGAAAGTGACTTCATCCTATCCTAAAGTCATTGCTACAGATAACAAAGTATGATGACAAAAATAACCAGGTCCATAAACAAACAAGACACAATGGGCAAGAACAGGCAGAATAATAGGCAAAAAAAGGCACAAAATTTCAGTTAATGGAATTATTAAGACACAGACCATAAAACAACTATGCTTACAATGTTTAAAAACATGAAAAAGGCAATCCCACTTCTAGTCACTCTGGAGAAAGAGACCAATTTGCCCTCATGCTTGAAATAACCAAAAACTACAAATATATGAAACAACAGTTATTGAGTTCCTGGATATCAGGTTACAAGGGATAATAACCCTTGGATATGGGCAGCAGATAATGTAATACCAACAAATATGTCAGCTTACTGACTTAAAATAGTTTCTAGGTTTCCAATGAGAACACATGGACATAGGGAGAGGAACAACATACACTGGGGCCTATGGGCAGGTGGGGTGGGGAGAGGGAGAGCATTAGGAAAAATAGTTAATGCTTGCTTGGCTTAATACCTAGGTGATGGGATGATCTGTGCAGCAAACCACCATGGCACACATTTACCTATGTAACAAACCTGCACATCCTGCACATGTACTCCTGAACTAAAAATAAAAAATAAATAAATAAAATAACAATTCTAACTAGTTTCCAAAAAGGTGAGGTTAAGAATATAAGACCCATTTTCCATGACCCCAGACTTCAAAATGTAGTATTTAAAAGAACTTCCACTTCATTTTTTTTTTTTTTTTTTTTGAGACAGAGTCTCGCTCTGTTGCCCAGGCTGGAGTGCAGTGGCACCATCTTGGCTCATTGCAACCTCCGCCTCCTGAGTTCAACTGATTCTCCTGTCTCAGCCTCCTGAGTAGCTGGGATTACCGGTGCGTGCCACCACGCCCAGCTAATTTTTGTATTATTATTATTTTTTTTTTAGTAAAGATGGGGTTTCACCATATTGGACAGGCTGGTCTTGAACTCCTGACCTCAAGTGATCCACCTGCCTCTGCCTCCCAAAGTGCTGGGATTACAGGCATGAACCACCACACCTGGCCAAAATTACAAACTTTGAAATAACATAGAAATCAAGGTAGAAACTCAAAGGGAAATTAGAAAATATTTTCAATGAAATGAAAATAAATTAACATGTCCAAATTTGTGGAATGTGACCAAATCAGTACGTAAGGGTAAATTTATAGCACTAAACCACCTATGTTACTAAAGACTACAGGCCTCAAATCCATGACCTCAGCTTCTAACTTAAGAATGAAAAAGATGAGCAAATTAAACTAAAGGTAAGCAGAAGGAAGGAAGTAATAAAAGTGGAGTTAAAGTGAAATAAAAAGAGAAAAACAATAGAGAAAAACCAGTAAAACAAAAAATTGATTCTTTAAGAAAATTAATAAAATTTTAAAACCTCCAATCAAAATAATTAGAAATAAAAGAGTGAAGGCCCCCAAAAACCTATATTAGGAATGAAAGAAAAGTCATCACCACAGATTATGTTTATTAAAAAATAAGAGGCCTGGTGCGGTGGCTCACGCCTGTAATCCCAACATTTTGGGAGGCTGAGGCTGGTGGATCACCTGAGGTTAGGGGTTCTAGACCAGCCTGTCCAACGTGGTGAAACCCTGCCTGTACTAAACATACAAAAATTAGCCGGGTGTGGTGGCGGACGCCTGTAATACCAGCTATTTGGGAGTCTGAGGCAAGAGAATTGCTTGAACCCGGGAGGCTGAGGTTGCAGTGAGCCGAGATCGTGCCACTGCACTCCAGCCTGGGCAACAAGAGTGAGACTCCATAAAAAAAAATTAATATTATTAACAACTTTATTTCATATCATATAGTTAAAAATTTAAATGAAATCGATAAATTCTTTGAAAGACACAAGCACCACAAACAAGGAAAACTCTCCCAAGAATGCATAGTCCTGTATCTTATTTATTTTTATTTTTATTTTTATTATTTTTTTTGAGTCAGGCTCTCACTCTGTCGCCCAGACTGGAGTGCAGTGGTGCGATCTCGGCTCACCGCAACCTCCACCTCCCAGGCTCAAGCGATTTTCTTGCCTCAGCCTCCGGAGTAGCTGGGATTACAGGTGCTTGCCACTATTGCCGGGCTAATTTTTGTATTTTTAGTAGAGACGGGGTTTCACCATGTTGTCCAGGCTGGTCTCGAACTCCTGACCTCAGGTGATCCACCCACCTTACCCTCCCAAAGTGCTGGGATTACAGGCGTGAGCCACCATGCTCAGCCATGCATAGTCTTATATTTGTTCAAGAAGTTGAATTTGTAGTTTAAAGTGTTCCCACAAAGAAGACTCCAGACCCAAATAACTTCACTGTTGAACCCTACCAAACATTTCAGGAATAAATAATACCAATTCCAAATAAGTCAAGTGAAGAGGATAATTCCCAACTGATTCTATATGGGCAGCATCACCTTGAAACTAAAATATATGTGGTATTATTATAAGACATACTATTACAGGACAAGAAAATTAAAGATCAATATTGCTCATGAACATAGATGCAAAAATTCTAAACTTCTTTTTAGGAAATCTAATCCAACAAAATATGCAAAGGACAATACTTCTTGACCATGTAATGTTTATCTCAAGAAAGCAAGGTTAAGTTACAATTCAAAAGAGCAGTCAATGTAATTCACTATGTTAACAATCTGAATAATTAAAATCATATTATCATTTCTAATGCAGAGAATGTATTTGAAGAAATCCAGCATTCATTCTTTTTAAAAAGTTGTATTGATAAATGATAATTGTACATATTTATGGTGCACATATGATACTTTGTTGCACGTATTGAATATGTAATGATCAAGTCAGGGTATTTGGGATATCCATCACTTTGAGTATTTATCATTTCTTTGTGTTGGGAACATTTCCAGTTCTCTCTTCTAGATACTTTGAAATATATGTCCGGGTGCGGTGTCTTATGCCTGTAATCCCAGCACTTTGTGAGGCCGAGGCAGGCGTGTCACCTGAGGTCGGGAGTTCAAGACCAGACTGACCAAGATGGAGAAATCCCATCTCCACTAAAAATACAAAATTAGCAGGGCATCTTGGCACATGCGTGTAATCCCAGCTACTCAGGAGGCTGAGGCAGAAGAATTGCTTGAACCCTGGAGGCAGAGGTTGCGGTGAGCTGAGATTGCGCCATTGCACTCCAGCCTGGGCAACCAGATCGGCACTCTGTCTCAAAAAAAAAATATATATATATATATATTTATAATATATATATAATATTTTGTTGCTAAATATATATATATATATAATATTTTGTTGCTAACTATAGTAAGCCTACTCTGCTATCTAACATTAAAACTAATACTTTCTATCTAATATGTTTTATTCTATTGACCAACCTCTCTTCATCCACCCTCCTACCTACATAATCTTCCCAGCCTCTGGTATCTACCATTCTACTCTCTATCTCTATGAGGTCAACTTGTTAAGCTCCAGTATGTAAGTGAGACAATGCAAAATTTTTCTGTGTCTAGTTTATTTCATTTAACATAATGACTTCCAATTCCATCCATGCTGCTGCAAATAACATGATTTCATTCTTTTTTATGGCTGAAGAGTATTTCATTGTGTGTATATATACTACCTTTTGTTTATCCATTCGTCCATTGATGGATACCAGTTGGTTCCATATCTTAGCTATTGTGAATAGTGCTGCAATAAACAAGTGAGCGCAGGTATCCGTTTGACATACTCACTTCTTTTCCTTTGAATAAATACCCAGTAGTGGAATTGTTAGACTGTATGGTATTTCCATGTTTAGTTTTTGAGAAATCTCCATACTGTTTTCCGCAGTGGTCGTACTGATTTACATTTCCATTAATAGTTTCTAAGAGTTTCGTTTTTTCTGCATCCTCAACAGCATCTGCTATTTTGTCCTTTTAATAATAGCCATTCTAATTAGGGTAAGACGATATCTCATTGTGATTGTGATTTGCATTTCCCTGATAATTCATGATTTTGATTTTGAGCATTTTTCACATAACTGTTAGCCATTTGTATTTCTTCTTATGAGAAACGTCTATTCATGTCATTTGCCCACTTTTTAATGAGATTTTAAAAAATTGTTGAGTTGTTTGCATTCCTTTTATATTCTGAATATTAGTCCATTGTTAGATGAACAGTTTACAAATATTTTCTCCCACTCAACAGGTTATCCCTTCACTCTTGATTGATTCCTTTGCTGTTCAGAAGCTTTTTAGTTTAATATAGTCCCATTTGTCTAGCTTTGTTTTTGTTGCCTCTGCTTTTGAGTTCTTCGCTATAAAATCCTTGCCTAGATCAATGTCCTGAAGGGTTTTCCCTACCAGCATTCATTCTTGATGAAACCTCTCAACAAAGGAATGAAAAGGAGCTTCTTCAACCTGATCAAGGCTTTTATGTAAAACTTATCATACTTAATGGTGAACAAATGAATGCTTTCTCCCTAACATCTGGAGGAAAACAATGATTTCTATTTCTACCATTTATATTCTAGTGTTCTGTAGATTTTAACCAGTGAGACAAGGCAAAAAATCAACAGAGGCATTCAGATAGAAAAGGAAAAAATAAAATTCTCTTTATTCACAGAGGAAATGATTTTGTAGAAATTCTGATGGAATCTATTTTAAAAGCCCCACGTGGACTAATACGTGAGTTTAGTGAGGTAGCAGTAAAACAAAATCAATATACTTTTAAAAACTATTTTCTTTCCATATACTCACAAAAATTGAAATAAAAAATGGAATATCAGTTATAGTATCATCAAAATATATGAAATACTTATGCACGAAGTTGACAGATGATGTCCAAGACCTATAAACCATAAAATATTGCTTGGAAAGATTAAAAAAGACCTAAATAAACGAAGAAATATACTGTGTTCATGGAAACTTTTCAGTCTTTCACAACTAAGTATGATGGTAGAATGGTAGACACAAGATTTTTTTTTTTTTTTGGAGCAACATGCTGTTTCAATGAGAGCCTGGGTGCAGGCCGGCTGAGGCCTAAAATGGCATCAGCACCAAATGAGGACAGGGCAGGGGTTTTATAGTCTCCTGTAAACAGGAAGTGTCCCAGTCTGATGTGACTGTTACGTAGCACCCGGACGGCCTCTTTCTCAATCTTCAGGGATACGTGTCTTCCGGTCAGGGTAGGTGTCTTCCGGCCCGCTCTCTTCCTGCTTCTGCTATCTTGCTGATGCACTCTGCTGATGCAAGTGGCCTTGTGCCTTGGGACTGGGCCTGAGAAGGGAGGAGTTACTCATCCCTTCAAGCTTGCAGGCCCCAGGGAGAATCTTTAATTCTTATTTGGTTATAGAAAAAAGGGAAAAGGGGCGACTTTCTCAATAACTACTTCAGACGTGACATAGTGGGTGGCATGGGCACCTTGGAAAAAGAAAACCTTAATTTTGGGCGTATTCTTGAGAGATGGGTTGGTATGCATTGTGTCGTTGTAGCAGGAGCATTGTCTGGATTGTCTGGCAGTTAACTGTAGTTTCAACAAGAGTTTTAATGGCTTTTATTATCAGTGGGATAACACAGGGGAGAAACAGGAGGAGCCCAGTGATGAAGATTACTGTCCTTACCAGCGTTTTAATCCTCTTAAATTAGAGAACCACCCTCCTAGAAGGTTTGCCCGGTCCCATTCTTTCCAGGTTTGGACTGGCACATGGGCTACTTTTCTTATATTTGAAGCGATTTCTAGAACTGCTTTTCCGTTATCGTCTATGTTAAGACAGCAATTAGAGATATTAAACTTACCACAGACCCCACCCTCTTCTGCTAATAAGTAGTCTAGTGCTAGCCTGTTTTGATAAATTGCCACAAGCATTTGGTTTTGTTGTTGCGCGAGCATTTCCAGGGCTGAGGCGGTTTGGTTAGTGATTATCTCTAGAACCACCTGTAGTGTAATTATTCTACTTAGCATATATATGGGAATGTGATAACCCCATGAACCATCCTCAGCTCAAGTGGCAGGTCCGTAATATTCGATGATATGTTGTGGAGGCCATCTGTCCTCTTGCCATCTTTGGCTTCCTCCTACCTTTAAGGATTGTTTTTCTCTGTTTAAGTTCATACACAGGGACTCCGAGGGTGTTGCCCGCTGTTAATGTTTTGGAGGAAGGAGTAGGCTTGGGGGTGAGCTTGACCCTGGTGTGATGGACCCCGTGCGGGAGTCTTTGGGCTTTCACTGCAGTTGGCATGCTGAGTATCACAGTGTACGGGCCTGTCCACTTCGGTTGTAGCTTTTATTGAGGGTCGGGCTGGCAGATAAACACATCTGTGCCTGCAAGACAGTTATGTTGAGAGGACAAGGAGGTGTCGACAGGGAGAGGCATGGCCTCATTTACTGCTTCACGAATAAAATACCGTGTCTGGATTAAGGAGGGGAGGTAACTCCCGAGTGGCTCAGAGTCTGCTAAGGGTGTAGGCCCTAAAACAAAAGTTCGGCAATACATGATTTCAAAGGGACTATAAAAAGAGGGTGGTTTTGGTGTTGCGTGGAGGGTAGGCACAAGATTTTCATATTTCCTTTTGGGAGTTTTCTGAGAGTTTTTTTTGTTTTCTCATGAGTTGGGGGAACTGTTGCCAAATTTTGACAAATGCTTTTTTTGCATCTATTGAGAACAAATGGTTTTTCTCATTAAGTCTATTAACGTGGTGAATTACAATAATTCATTTTCAAATGCCAAATTAAATTTTATTTATACAAGATGAATAAGTTCTAGAGATCTGATGTACAGCATGGTGACTATAGTTAACAACACTGTATTGTATACTTGATATTTCCTAAGAAGGTAGAGCTGAAGTGTTCTCACCATAAAATAGAAAAGAAAATGGTGACTATGTGAGGTGGCAGACATATTAATTAGCTTGATTGTTGTGATCATTTCACAATGTATTTCAATATCAATACGTCAATCTTCATACCTTAAAAATACACAGTTTGGGCCAGGCGCAGGAGCTCATGCTTGTAATCTCAGCACTTTGGGAGGCTGAGGCAAGAGGATTGCTTGAGCCTAGGAGTTCAAGAGCAGCCTGGGCAACCTAGTGGAACCCCATCTCCACAAAAAATTTTTAAAAATTGGCGGGTGTGGTGGTGGTGCATGCCTGTAGTCCCATCTACAGAGGCTGAGGCAGGAGGAACACCTGAACCTGGGTGGTCCAGGCTGCAGTGAGCCATGATTGCGCCACTGCACATCTGCCTGAGTGACAAAGAAGTCTCTCTCTCTCTCTCTCTCATTATCGTATAATAACAAATATATACAATTTGTTATTTGTCAATTATATGTAAGTAAAGCTGAGAAAATACTAAATATTGTATCCCTGGGGTAAACTCCATTATTCCTGATGTATTATCTTAGGCTTTTTCTAACTTTAGTACTGGCTTTAACATTCAGATATGAACATGATTGATAAAATTATGTTAAGGGTTTTTATTATCAATTTCTGATGATTGAGTGTCTTAACACAAATAGGCATTGGGTATGTCAAATGCTTTTTTTCTTCTTCTACATTTATGAGAAGGATCATAAATTTTTACGAGGTTCTATTAAAATGACAAATCATTTTAAAGGCTTTCCTAATATTAAAAACCCTTGCATTCCTAGAATAATATGATTAATCATGAAATACTTTTATTTTGCCACCGGTTTTTTAAAATAACATTTAATTTTTTGTGTCAATATAAGTGAGTTTTGTCTATAGGATTTGGGTTAGTTTGTTTGTTTTGGCATTTGTTTTTGTTGTTGTAGGATCAGTGTTGCAATTACTCTAAAATTAAATTTTATACGGGTATCTCAGTTAACGACAGTGCCATAAATCTGAATCTCTCAACATATCCTCTAAAAATTCAAACATAACAAAAGAAAAACGAATGAATATACAGAAATCCACATCCATAGCATAACTAAAAACATAGAAAATATCCAAACTTTGAAATCCGTACTTGGAAAAGTAAGCTTCAAATCTCGTGAACTTTCTTGTAAGGACTCCTATCACATTTCTTCATGGAAAACAGTCTGGGAAATCTGATTGGAAGAGAGAATAGAGGAGCCAGCAGTAGGCCTAAAATTGATCTAAAACCACCACTAGATAGAGAAATTTATCCTAAGTGCAAATCTACTATAAGAGTGCTAGTAGATTGGAGTTCTTATGACAAGGAAGGGGCTTAAAGGACAGATAAAATGACAAAAATCAACATCCACAACTTAATTAGAAGATGGACAATGCCCAAACTTTATTTAAGTTACCAGTAAATAGAGTAAATTTAAGTTATTTATTATTTAAGTTACCAGTAAATAGAAAATTCAACAAATCCCAGTGAGCTACCTCTCAAGCACTCCTGTCACATTCCTTCACAGAGAACAAGGACAATCTGGGAAAAACTACATGGAGAAAGAAGTGGGGAAGCATCACACCCAAGATGAATCTAAAGTATTTGTCACAAAGACTAAGTCATACTAAGTGTGAAAGTACCGAAAATGTCCTAGAAGACCAAACATTTTACTACAAGAAGAGAATTTAAAAGTGCCCTAAGACCAAAAGTCGTCACTTCTGGTAGAGAAGAAGGTGAAAAAGATGGGAGAAGTACCCTTTGAAGACTGGGTAGTGAAGAGGAAAGGAAGCAAAAGGGCAAAATATAGGACTTTGCAAAACAAAGAAAACCCAAATATGCAGAACACACAATCCCTCCTATTACCACCAAAAAGTTAAAAAAAAAAAGATGCCAAGCAAAACATTGAAAAATAAAACTCTACTCTGCCAACCAAACAGAAGAGGGTGCCCTTGAACTACAAATGTTATAAACTACTGCAAATTCATGAAATGATTAAGCAAAAATAAAGCTATTATAAGAAAAAAAAGAAAAAGAGAGAAACTCTGCTGATGAAATCTCCACCCCCAAAAGCTATGATGGTGAAGAAAATTAAAATAATACTCCTATGTAAGTTTCTTATGTTGTTGTAACAAATCACCTCTAGCTTACTAACACAAGTTGTTTGTTGGTTTAAAATAATGCAAATATATTATCTTACAGTTTTGGAGGTCAGAAATCTGAAATGGATCTTATGGGTAAAATTGAGGTTTTGGTAGTCATTCTGAAGGTTCTAGAAGAGAATCCATTTCCTTGTTGTTTCTAGCTTCTAGAGGCTGACTGCATTCATTGTCCTTTCTTCCATTTTCGAAGTGTATCAGATATTAAAGGGGGAACACTAACTAGCACCATGTTTTGTTAGATTGGTGTTAGAGGTATTAGTATGAAGTCATGGTGTGATAGATTAAGATGAACAGATAGATGCACAGATAAAATGACACAATTATAGATATGGAAAGAGATAAGTATATGTATATATTATGCATATACATTTATATATACATTTACATATACACATATTGATGTGCATACATGTATATACATGCACATATTTTCTAATTCTGTCTACTCAGAGATCCTAGAAGCAGTGACACCACAGTAGCAATAATCATGTTTAGTGCTCGGCTCTTAGTTGAGATCAAGTATTCTCCACTAAGAGGAATCAATTCTTTGGAGAAATGGCTGATCAAAAAGCTGAGACTAGACAAGTACATGATGAACTGTGAACACCATGTTGTTCAGAAAATAAGAAAGTGGCCAATGAATGGTATATACATGTCAAAAGGACAGAGAAACCAGATTATAGTGTGTACCAATGACCAAACGAGGGACAATTAGAACATCAGTATAAATTATGACAGTAACATTATAACTCATAGAAAAAAAGAAAGCACTATACTGAAATAAAGAAGAAATTTTAAAGGAGAAAAAAGTCTTCCTTATAGTGGTCTATGAACTAAGAATGTAGAAAGAATAATGAACATAAAAAAATCACCATTTCCAGCCATCATGGCAATAATTGATTCAGGCAATAATTAACAATAGATGCTAAAACTGGGGATAAACATTTGATGAGTAACCAATTAATTACATAGTCTCAAAGTATCTACCACAAGATATTTATTATTTACAAAGGGGAAAACTTTAACTTCACAGTGAGGAAACCTGGCAGACACCATCTTAACAAAAGGATCACATCAAATGCTAACAGCACTGGTAAAGGGACAAATTGACATTTTTTTTGTCTCTTGATATAATGCATTGTGAAGAACTTGTCATTTCTGTGATATTCTCGTCAAAAACACATAACCTGAAAATAATCATGAGGAAATGTCTGACAAACCCCAATTGAGGGACATTCTGCAAAATAACTGTTATGCACTCCTCATAAATGTGAAGGTCACGAAAGATAAAGAAAAATGAATGATTTTTTTTCAGGTTAAAAGAAACTAAAGAGACATGGCAATTGAATATGACTCATGAGCCAGAATTTTCTTTTTCTATAGAAGACATTATTGAGATAACTATTAAGATTTGAATAAAGTCTGTAGACAAGCTAATAGTACTATGTTAATGTTAATTTCTTGGTTTTTGTAATTGTGCTTTGGTTATGAAAGAGAATAATCATGTTTTTAGGAAATACAAACTACCGTGTTTGCAACTTACTTTCAGTGGGTCAGAAAACTATTATACCTATATGCAGATGAATACATATATAAATACACACAGAGAATGATAAGCAAATATAATAAAATAACTTTTTGGTAAACTTGTTGAAGGGAGTGAGGAAATTTTTTGTACTGTGCTTTCAACTCTTTAGTAGGTCTGAAATTAGGTTTAAAAAGTTTCTACAGCCAGGCACAGTGGCTCATGCCTATAGTCCTAGCACTTCGGGAGGCTGAGGCAGGCGGATCACCTGAGGTCAGGAGTTCGATACCAGCCTGACCAACATGGTGAAACACCACCTCTACTAAAAATACAAAAAAATGAGCTGGGTGTGGTGGCGGGCGTTTGTAATCCCAGCTACTCGGGAGGCTGAGGCACAATTGCTTGAACCCAGGAGGTGGAGGTTGCAGTGAGCCGAGATCGTGCCACTACACTCCAGCCTGGGAGACAGAACAAGACTCTGTCTCAAAAAACAAACAAACAAACAAACAAACGAAAAAAGTTTTCACCTCTGCACTCCTGCCTGGACAACAGAGTGAGACCCTGTCTCTAAAAAGAATATAATTTTAAAAAATTCATCATGCTTAACAAAATGAAAGTATTATTAGAACTCTTAGGTGAAAATTTCATGAGAGACAAGATATTTATACAGTGCCAAAATTTCTCCTCATAAAATAGCTATCACACAAAGGAGAAATAATACCAAGGAGAAAATACAGTAATAACCTTACAGTTGAGAAACTGGGCATGCACCAATATATAACCGAATGTTCAATGTTCACGTCATTAACAGTGGAACACAAGAGTGTCATGTACCTCCTGATATCATGCAATAAGGGCAAAATAACTTCTGTGGTGTCAGTATGAAAACCTGAGTCTAATTATGAGACAGTATCATGGGAACTCAAATTGAGAGGCCATTCTGAAAAATAACTGACCTCTATTCTTTAAAAAGGTGAAAGACGGTCAGGCTTGGTGGGTCACACCTGTAATCCCAGCACTTTGGGAGGACGAGGCGGGTGGATCACTTGAGGTCAGGAGTTTGAGACCAGCCTGGCCAACGTGGCGAAACCCCATCTCTACCAAAATTACAAAAATTAGCTGGGTGTGGTGGCACATGCCTGTAATCCCAGCTACGTAGGGAGGCTGAGGCTTGAGAATTGCTTGAACCCAGGAGGGGGAGGTTGCAATGAGCCTAGATCATGGCACGGCACTCCAGCCTGGGCTACAGAGTGAGACTCCATCTCAAACAAAACAAAACAAAACAAAACAAAACAAAACAAAACAAAAAAACAGTGAAAGTCATGAAAGACACAGTCTGAGGAACTCAGTGGATAAAGAGATATGACTACTAAAAGCAATGCATGACCCCAGAAAATAAATTTTTTGTACTCTTCTTGCAACATTTCTGGTGCCATGATTTTAGAATAGAAAGTGTATAAATTAATCTGAAAATGTTGTTTCTTTTTCTAAGCTCTCAGATTAAGTAGCATTGGAATAATATTATTTTTGAAGGTTTCGCAGAATTCTATGAAATCTTTTTAGTTTGGTGCCATTTATTGGAGGGAAATCTTTATCAAAACTTTTTTTTTTTTTTGAGATGGAGTCTTGCTCTGTCGCCCGTGCTGGAGTGCAGTGGTGCAATCTCGACTGACTGCAACCTCCGCCTCCTGGGTTCAAGCAACCCGGAGGGTTTTTTTTGTTTTTCATTTTGCCTACTAGACTTTCTGTCTCTACTGGAGTCAGCAGGGCAAGTTGAATTGTTCTAAAAATTATCCACATTTTCAACTTTATTTGCATAGAGTTGTCCAAAACAGTTTCTTTTTTCTGGCTTAAAACAATAAATATTTATTAATTTTTAACAATTTTGTGGACTGGCTGGCTGATTTTTCTGGTTAGGAGTACCTCAGCTGATCTCTGAGTTCTGGATGGTTTGGGAAGGCCTCACTCACATATCTAGTGATCTAGGATGCCTTTTGAAGGACCTCAGTTCTCCTCTACATGACCTCTTTAGTAGACTATTTAAGAATCATTCACATAAAAATGGCTTCAGAATTGCAAACTCAACAAGAGAAAGTGCCAATGCATAAGAATTTTGAATACATCATATTTGTTAAAGCACTGGTAGCCAAAGCAAGTCACATGGTCAAACCCTAGTCCAAGGAATGGAGTAACAGACTCTGCCACTTGATGAGGAGAGTGGGAAAGTCATGTTGCTAAGGGACATACATTTAGGAATGGGAAAAATTTGTGGCCATTTTGCAATCTATCACATCTTGTCTACCTAAGTATTGAGAGCCTTCTTTAAAGTGGATATATTCTGGTGGACATTTACCATTTACGCGGAACATAATTATATTCACTGCCCACTGAGAGGGGTCCATTTACACACCTTTTCTCCATACTTCCTAGTCACCAGTCTTCTAATATTGCTCTCTTCAAGTTTCTAACCAGTTGATCAAGCCATGCTAATGTCCATGAATAGATCCATATTCTAGGCCATTTCTTCATCAAGTGGACACTTGAATTCTGACCAGTCATACTATTTTATTACTGCCTTTCTAAGATAACCTTATGCGAGGCTGCAGTGCACCATCCATCCACATCTGGTAGCTCCAGCATACCATGATGATCTACATGTAAACCAGTTCCATTTATTTCTTCCCGTGTTAACTAGTCACAGGAAACTTTCCCTGAGGGCTGAGGAAAAAGCAGTGAAGCATGTACAGTGGAAGTCTGAGCCATCTTCTTAGGCAGTTTACTAATGTCTTTCATATTTATTCAGCTTTGTTCCTCTATATCATTTTCATTTTACAATCCAATACTGCCACATGTATCCAATGTTATGATTTGGTGGATTAACAACACTCACTTCATGATAAGAAATTCAGGTTAACTAGTTATTTGGTGTTCCATAATCTGATATTCAGTCTCTACTGGGGCACGGTAGGAGTTTCTTTTCTTTTCTTTCTTTCTTTCTTTTTTTTTTTTGACAAAAGGTCTTCCTTTTTTGCTCAGGCCGAAGTGCAGTGGCATGATCACGACTCACAGCAGCCTCAAACTCCAGGCTTAAGCGATCCTCCCACTTTAGCCTCCACAGAAGCTGGGACCACAGGCATGTTCCACCATGCCAAGCTAATTTTATTTACTTACTGTAGAGACAGGGTCTCCCTATGTTGCCCAGGCTGGTCTCAAACTTCTGGGCTCAAGGGATCCTCCCACCTTGGCCTTCCAAAGTGTTGGGATTGCAGGCATGAGCCACCTCACCCAGCCAGGAGTTGCTTTTCTAATAGTTGTTAGCAAAAGAGGGCATGCCTCACTCAAAAACCCTTGGAGTCTGTGCGGTAGTTCTCCAATTGAATCTTGCCAGAGACTACATAGAACATTTCTGTGTGCCATAGACACTTTGACACTTCTAATATCCTTGGATCTGTTGAAGCATAAGAGTCAAACAGTAGGGCAGTTTTTATCACAGCCTGTAACTGCTGCAGAACCTTTTCTTCCTTCTAGCCCATATTAGTTAGGGTTCTCCAGAGAAACAGAACGAATAAGATATGTAGATATATAAGAGGAGATTTACTATGGGAATTGGGTCACATGATTATGGAGGTCGAGAAGTTCCACAATGTATCATTGGCAAGTTAGAGACTCAGGAAAAGCAGTGGAGTAAGTCAGTTTGAATTTGAAGGCCTATGAACCAGGAGAGCCAAAAGTGTAACTCAGTCCAAGGTCAAAGGTCTGAGAACCTGTGGGGTAGGTTGTGGGGGGAACATTGATATAAATTCCAGAGTCTGAAGGCCCAAGAACCATGAGCTCTAATGTCTAACAGTAGGAGAAGATGGATGTCCCAGTTTAAGATGCAAGAGAGAATTCACCATTCTTCCTCTTTTTCATTCTATTCTGGCCCTAAACAGATTTGATGATGCCTGCCTACATTGGTGAGGGTGAATCTTCCTTATTCAATCTACTGATTCAAATGTTAATCTCTTCTGTAAACACCCTCAGAGGCACACCCCAAAATAATGTTTTACCAGCTATCTGAGCATCCCTTAGCCCCAACAAGTTGACGCATAAAATTAAACATAATAAGTCCACCCTTTATCAACTTGGTACCCATACACATCTCCCTCAACCGTACTTAATATCCAAATAATGGAAACAATGGGGATTTAATTCCCCCTAACATGATACAACTATCCTACATAAAGCAGCAAACACACTAATCCCTTCCTCAGTAGAGGAGGTAAAGCTCTGAGTGATGATTAGTCTTCTCCTGATAGCCCATAACTCAAATATTATGATGTAAAATTCACAGTACTTAAATACCAATGTAAAGTCAATACATCTTGTGTTACATGATTAGGGAATAAGAGAGGAAAAAAGAAAGATATTTGCTTACTATATGTATATACACACTAATATATTCATTAACAAAACAAAGAGGAAACATTCATAACATGGCTTTACTCAAAAATGGCAATATTATATATGACCTGGTAAATGAGTTGGAGCAGGCACAATTGAATGTGGTGTCTGCTCTCTCCAATATCCAAAGAAGCCTACCAAATATTGTACTCTTTTCTTAGTTGTGAGTGATGCCAATGTGTAGCAATTTGATTTCCAGACTACTGGACTCCTAATAACTTCTCTAATGAGTCAGGCCACAGAATTTGATGAGGTTTATCTCTCATGCTCTGGCACGCAAGTATCTTACTAAGGTATCTAGAGTGGCTTCTACTTTCTGTTCGTCAGCTCCATTAAGCATGATATCATCATTGTAAGTGGATTATGCAATGATTTGTGTGACATCAGGATGATTATGACTCCTCTGACTATCTTGTGAAAGAGCAAGATAATTGACATAGTACTGATGTAAGAAAGAAAGAAAGCGAAGCAGTTTCTCCAGTTCTTTAAAAGGCAGACTCCTTATTACCTTGATAGGGATGGGAGGCAAAGCATTTGCTAGGTCAGTATCCACAGAGTGATGAAGGAGACATTGACTTTCCAGGCCCAGAGATAAAGTGTGGTGAAGAAAGATCATACTGAAAGAGACATTCTCGCTGGGTTTCCAGGATTAGAGAGGAGTTCACTAGTTGAGAACCACGTGCATCTTACAGGCACTGCGTCAATCCTGTGCACAGAATTGGAAAGGAATGAGGTGTCTATGGGAACAGTAATAAGTTTATGTAGATGGATCAGTAAGAGTTAGGGCATGCACATAGGCTGGGTTTATATCTTGGAATGGCCCTAAGAAGGCCTGGAGAGTCAGCCCCTCCTTCATCGGTAGACACACACACACACACTTTCATGTGCCTCCTTTGCACATCGCTTACACTTTGTACATGACTGTACAATGCAGCACTTTTCGTGTGGCTAAAGGTCTTGGGAAGCAGGGGAGAGTGGCATCCCTCTGGGCCAGCACTAGAGTATACTCATGCTGATGTCTGAATTTCCCCAGACATTCACATAAATACAGGGTCATCAGAGGTTCACAGAGCAGCCTGGAACAATAAAAAGGCCACCTCTACTCTACTATCCCTCTTCCCTAAAAGCCCCAACAGCAATTTTGTCTCCTCTCCAGGCCTGGTATGACCCAAGCTTTGTGCCTGTACTTGCTAGGGGACCCAGGCTCTTCTTCCCAGAAGTCCCTCTAAACCAGTGACTTTGTCTCCTAAGTGATAAGATGCATTTGAGCAGCCAGGCCTCTCACCATAACTGACCCTTCTCAATCACTAAGGACACTGTTCACCATTGCTTGGTCTGAATACTTATGTAGCTAGAATCTACTCACTGTCACTAAATTCAAGATGTCAAAGGAAATATTGTCTGGAACTTCTTGTTTCTGTCTTTTTTTCCATATGAAAATACGATCTCTGTCCAGTTACACTCCCACCCCCAGCCTAAGCCTAGAGTGAAGTGGAATAAATGCAGAGAAGTGGTCCTGTTTTCTCCACAGTTCAGAAATGGAAAATTCAATATGTGTTTACAATGACAGCAAAGTTAAAATAGCTCATCTCATGCAATGTTGCCAAATGAAGGATAACAGAGACATAAACACTGTCCTTAAAAAGATTCTTTTAGAAGAAAAGTATGAATCGAATCATTTACTGAAGTACTGTTTGAACAGATGGTGTGATTAACAGCTAACATGTAAGCCATCTTGGGAGTTTATGGAAAAGTAAACGAATGCAGCTAAAAAGAAATCACTTTATTCCCCAAAAGGTTCTTTCATTCATTTTACTAAGTAAATTGGAAAGCCTGGGTTTTGAAGGCTGCATTTCCTTGGGGGATGTTAGGAGGGAGCAGAGGAGAGTCTCTTCAGAGCAAGACCATGTTGGTGCAGGGTCAAGCTCTGAACTCGCCTCCTGAGGGATGAGATGATCTGAGGATCTGGCCCCTCCCGTCAGCTGGCCCTTGCCAACCACTGAGGATGCTCTGTTCAGCTTGCTTGTCTCCAGTGGCCTCACGTGCCTGGGAGGAGGGGAAAGGAGTTAAGGTTTGGGAATCAGTTGTTCCTGGCCCTCTCTGGGCACTTTGCGTGGACTGTTTCCTCTGAGGCTAACATCCCTGGGGTCACATGTTATAAGGCCAACTTACCCAACAGGGAAATGGGGTTTAAAAAGGAGGAAGTTGCCTACTAAGGCTGCACGGACACTTCTTTCGTGGAGCTGCCATTGAAACCCTGGTCTATTGAGTTCCAGAGCTCTTAGGAGAGGCAGTGGATTGTTGATGAAAGAGCGTGAAAGTCTGCTCTGCTAGCTTGTGCCTTGGGGACAACCGCTGTTCCCTTATGCACCACAGCTTCTACATCTGGAGGCTTTGAAATGATTTTCCTTTGCAATATTGCAACCATTGATACTGTGTCCCCTAGTAAGTGTGATTCCACTTCCTTCCTCTGTGTGTGTGTGTTTTTACTGTTATTATATTATTATTTTACAAAACAGCCTTTGAGAATATTCCTCTCGCCATTTGGTAAAGGAGGTGCCCCTTTTGAGTTACATTTGAATTTCACTCCAGGTCTTTACTAAGCAGAATGAAAAAGCCTACTGTGTTTTCTGTGTTGATATTTGACACTCCTTAGAGAAAGGACTCCTTTCTTGCATGGCATGACCTGTTGCAACATTGCTCCTGGTCAACAGAAGAAATTTCTGTCCCACCTCAGATACCCATCTGCTATAAATCTTGGCCGTTTGCACCTCATTTTATAGACACTTGAATCTGTGTCATCCTCACCACTCCTATCCTACTACTGTATGTTTCTGCAGGCAACAACAGTGTCTTGGGCTTCCTGAGATGCCACTTGCCTAAGGCCAATGCCTTATATGTGGTAGGTGCTCTTTCAAAATTTGGCCAATGTCCAAACTTGCAACATTGTTTTATTGAGTTCTTAATACTGTTTCATTAGCACATAAAGCCTGCCATAATTCATCTTCAAAGGCAGCCATCTTCATTCCTTTCCACATGGCACCAATATTGTTTTATTAATTTACCGGGTGCTAAAAAGGTATATTCTAAACAATTCACTCTGAGGATCTTTTAGATTTTTAAATCTTTATATTTGTTTATCTCCAATAATTTGTCATGAAAGCTGACTTCTGGACTTACAGACCATATGCTTCTCCTAGGAGAAAGAGAAATGGCAAAATCAGCCCTTCAATTCACCATGCTGGACTTTTCTTTTGAGTATAATCCAATAAAGGAACAATAAATGTTAATAAAGGATTGTATTAATTTCTTTTCAGTCTATAATAATTTTTTGTACAGTTGTTACATTTAGTTTCCATGAAAACTTTATAGATTAACAATCAAATATCATTCACTATTGTTTTTCTTTATCCATAACACTAAGAAACAAAAAAAATAAGAAATCAAATGTACCTGAAAATCATAGAGCTAAAAGAGTTCTTAATGATTGTATAATGCCATGTGGGAATGGTTGAGTGGGAAAGCAGATCATATATTTTCTATAGTGTGACATAATGGCTATGAAAATATTTAGACATAAGAATGGGGAAAGAGGCCATATGATGATAGTGGTCATGGCTAAACAGTATGAATCTGGGTGGTTTTGTCCAATTGCCTATAGTTTGTTGTAGTTCCCACATTTTCTCTTTTGACAAAACGTTTATTAGAAATAGTAATTGTGTAATGAGATCATTTTGCTTTACAAATGAGAAAATTAAAGTCCAGGTGTTTTGAGAAAACCACCTCAAGAGATCTGGCCTCAGGAATTTAAAATTAAATTATACTTTGAATTCTGATTTAAGAAAGACAGAGATTTATAATTTCATTTGTCAATTCATCCAAAAATTTGGGTGAAATAAAAATTCTGTAAAATTTAAGAGCAGGCACACATTTTAAAGTGGGAAAACATGGTTGTACATGAATAAGGAATATGTTTACCAGGTTTCCTCTTTCTTTCAGATGGAGTAGCCATTTAGACTCATCAGCTTGTGGAAATATCTCTTGCCCTACTCCCTAATGTCTTCTGTCAGTTATCTGCTCTTCCCAAGTGCCCATTGCCAATAGCAGCTTCAGCTGTCCAGGGATGCTCACAACCTCTGGTGCAAAAGGAGATTTGATTGTTTTCGCAAATGGCTGTCAACGTGTCTGGGTATGAGTTGGTTTCACTAAAGGAAACCTGAATTTTTTACATGATGAGTGTTATTTCTGCTAATTATTAACACCTCAAAATTAGATTGGCAGAAGTTTCACACCATGTTCAAGGACTACAAAAACTGGAAGGCTTAAATGCAGACTTCTCTGAGGACATTGAGACTGGAGACTAAGATCAACAGGATGTTTCCACGTCTCAGTTCCAAAGAGAGATTTAGAGGGCACAAAGGACTCTAAAAGAATGCTGTTTTAAGCATTGTCTGTATATTTTGGATACAAGTCTTTTATGAGATATGTCTTTTGAAAGAATTCTCGTGGTCTGTGGATTGTCATTTCATCCTCTAAACTGCATCTTTTGCAGAGCAGACATTTTCATTTTAACGAAGTGTGATTTATCAAATTTATCTTTCATAGATCGTGTTTTTGCTGTTGTATCTAAAAAGTCATCTCCAAACCAAAGGCCACCTAAATTTTATCCTATGTTACCTTCTTGAAATTGCAGTTTAAAAATTTAGGTCTATGATCCATTTTGAGTTAATTTTTATAAAAGGTATCATGTCTGTATCTAGATTCATTTTTTTTGCATGTGGATATCCAGTAGCTTGAGCACCATTCATTGAAAAGACTATCCTTTCTCCACTGAGTTACCTTTGCTCTTTTGTCAAAGATAAGTTGACCATATTTGTGTAAATTCACTTCTGTGCTCTGTTTTATTCCATTGATTTCTTTGTCCATTCTTTTGCCAATACCACACTGTCTTTATCACTATAGTTTTATAATAAATCTTGATGTCATATATCAGTCCTTCCTTTGTTCTTCTTCAGTATTATGTGGGCTATTCTGGGTCTTTTGCCTTCATATACAAAGTTAGAATCAGTTTATTAACATCCACAAAATAATATGCTTGTATTTTGGTTAGGATTGTATTAAACCTATAGATCAAGTTGTAAGAATTGACATCTTAATAATATTGTCTTCCTATCCACGAACATGAAATATTTATTTATTTACTTAAGTTTTACAGTTTTGTTCAAATGTATGTTTCTTATACATATTTTATAAAATTTACTTAAGCATTTCTGTCTTTTTTTTGGTGCTATAGTAAATGGTGCTGTGTTCCTAATTTCAGACTCCAAATGTTTATTGCTGGTATGTAGAAAAACAATTGACTCTTGTAAATTAATTTATTATCCTCTAAACTTGCTATAATTGCTTATTAGTTTAAGAGATTTGGGGATTTTTTTGGAGGGGGTCCTAAATAGGCAAACATATCACCTGTGGAACAAGACAGTTTTATTTCTTTTTTCCAGATCTCTGTATCTTTCATTTTATTTTCTTGTCTCAGCACAAAGTCGAGTAGCAGGGATGAGATGGGACATACATGTCTTGTTCCTAATCCCAGAAAGAAAACATCTAGTTTCTCACCATCAATTGTGATGTTATCCGTAAGGGTTTTTTTGTAGATATTGTTTATCAAGTTGGGAAACTTCCCTTCTTTTCCTTGTTTTCTGAGAATTTTTATCATCAATAAATGCTGTATTTTATCAAATGCTTTTTTTCAATCTACTGATATGATCATATGATTTTTTTCTTCTTTACCTTTTGAAGTGAGCAATTATATTAATTGACGAACCAACCTTCCTTACTTGGAATAAATTCCACATGGTTGTGATATATAATTTTTTCATTCATTTGTGATATATAACTCTATATATAACTCAATATTTTGTTGAGGATTTTGGTGTCTATACTCATGGAAGATATTTGTCTGTAGTTTCTCTTTCTTGCGATGTCTTTGGCTTAGTATTAGGGTAATTCTGTCCTTATAGAGTGAGTTAAGAAGTATTATCTTTGCTTCTATTTTCTGCAAGAGATTATAGAAAATTTGTATCATTTCTTCTTTAAATGTTTGATAGAATTAATCTGGGAATGATGCTTTCTATTTGAGGTGGTTACTAATTGTTTATTTAATCTATTTAATAGACATAAGGCTATTCAGATTATGTATTTATCCTGGCGTGAGTTTTCATAGATCTCTGAGTCTTTCAAGGAATTGGCCCATTTCATCTAAATTATCAAATTTGTAGGCACAGGGATGTTTATAATATTCCTTTATTATCCTTTTAATGTCCATAGTATAAGTTGTGATGGCACCTCTTTTATTTACGATATTAGTAATACACCTCTTCTTTCTGATTTTCTTGGTTAGCCAGGGTTGAGGTTTATCAATCCTGTTGATCTGTTCAAAAAACCAGTTTTTGGTTTGTTGAATTTCTCTATTAATTTATTGTTTTCAATTTAATTGATTTCTACTTTAATTTTTATAGTTTCTTTTATTTTGCTTACTTGAGTTTAATTTGTTATTCTTTTTTGAGTGTCCTAGGATGAAAAGTTAGATTATTGATTTTAGATCTCACTTTTCTGGTATATTCATCAACACTGTAAATTTTCATCTAAATACTGCCTTTACTCCATTCCACACATTTTGATAAGTTGTATTTTCATTTCTAGTTAGTTCAAAATATTTCTAAAATTTCTTTTGAGTGTTCTTTGACTCATGTACTATTTAGAAGTGTGTTGTTTAATCTCTAAATATTTTGGAATTTTCTAGCCATTTTTCTGTTATTGATTTCTGGTTAAATTCCATTGTGTTATGACATCATACTTTGTACAATTTCTATTCTTTTAAATTTGATAAGTTGTGTTTTCTATCTTGGGGAATGTACCATGTGAACTTGAGAAGAACGTGTATCCTCCTGTTGTTGGATGAAATATTCTATAAATGTCAAATAGATTGAGTTGATTGATGGTGCGGCTCAGTTCTAGTATATCCCTATGGATATTTTTGCCTGCTGCATCTGTCAGTTACTGATAGAGGGGCATTAAAGTCTTCACTATAATAGTGAATTTGTCCATTTTTTTCTTACAGGTCTATTGGTTTTGCCACACATGATTTTCATGCTCTATTGTTAGGTGCATGCGTATTGAGCAACATTATGTCTTCTTGGAAAATTGATTGCTTTATCACTAGGTAATACTCTTTTTTATACCTGATACTTTTTCTGGTTCTGTAGTCTGCTTCAAGCAAAATTAATATAGCTACTCTAGCTTTCTTTTGATTATTGTTAGCATAGTGTATCTTTCTTCATCTCATTACTTTTAATCTGTGTCTTTATATTTAAAGTGAGATTTTGTAGATAACATATAGTTGGGTTGCATGTTTAATCCATTCTGATAGTCTGTATCTTTTAATTGGTGAATTTAGACCATTCATATTAAAGGTGCATATTGATATTGTGGGATAAATATTTATCATTTTTGTAACTGTTTTCTATTTATTGCCCTTGTTCTTTGTTTCTTATTTTATATTCCACTCTTTTTGCTTTGTTTACTCTGTTTTTTTCTAAATGATCTACTCTGGTTTTAATTGAGCATTTTAAATGTTTTCATTTTCTCTCCTATATTAGTATTTCACTTTTATCTATTTTTAATTTTTTAATGAATACCATAGAACTTGAAACAAACATTTATGACTAATCTAAGTCCAGTTTCAAATAACACTATACCATTCACAGATAAGGCAGATACCTTTAACAGAGTATTCCCAATTATTCTCTCCCACTCTTCATAACATTGCTCTCATACATTTCACATATCTATAAGCTATAATCTACCATATTGTTGTTCTTATTATTTTGAATAAGCTATTATCTGTTAGATCAGTTAAGAATGAATAAAATAACAACACATGCTCATTAAGTTTCTATTCAACAAGTGTTGAATAGAATGTGAAGAAATTGAAACCCTTGTGCACTTTTGGTAGGAAGGAAAAATCATGCAGCTACTATGGGAAAATGATATGGCAGTTCCTCAAAAAACTGAAAATGTAATAGCCATATATATCCAGCAGTTCTACCACTGGTGTTTGCCCAAAATAATTGAAAGCAGGGTCTTGAAGAGATATCTGTACACCAAGGTAGATAGCAGCATTATTTAAAACAGCCAAAAGGTAGGAACAACTCAAGTCCCTATTGACAGATGAATGGATAAACAAAATGTGGTGTGCACATAAAATGGAATATCATTCAGCCTTTAAAAGGAAGGAAATTCTGACACATGCTACAACATGGATAATCCTTGAGGACATTATGTTAAATGAAATAAGCTAGTCACAAAAAGACAAATACTGTATAATTTCTCTTATAGAGCTACCCAGAGTATTCAAATTCATGAAGAAAGAAGTATAATGATGATTGGCAGGGGCTGGGGGGAGGGAGGAACAGGGAACTATTGTTTAATGGGTATAGAGTTTCAGTTTTGCAAGATGAAAAAAGTTTTGTAGATTGGTTGCACAACAATATGAGTGTACCTAACACTAGTGAATTGTACACTTGAAGTTAAGTGTACAATTAAGATCATAAATTTTATGTGTGTTTTTCCATTAAAAGTTTGAAAAAAATTTTAAAAGATTAAGCCAAATAAAATATTTCATTTTTCCTTCCTTCATTCATTTTCAAACAATTTTTTCAAATTTGATCTATAAATTAGATGCCACCCCAAACAAAATTTCAGCAGACTTTTTGGTAAGAGATGACTAACTGATTGTAAAGTTCAATGGAAATTCAAAGTACCTAAAATAGCCAACAGAACTTTGAAAAAGAAAAATGTTTGAGACTAACACTCCCTGATTTTAATATTTATTTTATATCTCCAGTAAACAAGATGTGTATTAATGGTATAAAAAGCAAATCAATCCATGAAAGAGAAGCAAATCCAGAAGTAGATCCACATACTTATATTGACAACCTATTTTGGACAAGGGCACAGATGCAATTCAGTGGATTAATGATAGCCTTTTCAAGAAATAGTGGTAGAACAATTAGATATTCATATGCAACAAAAGAGCATCAATCCATATCTTGCACCATATACAAATAATTAACAGAAAATATGTTATAGACCTAAATGTATCACCTAAAACTATTAATCTTCTATATATAAATACAGGAGAAAACCTCTGTGACCTTGAATTAGGGAAAACTTTCTTAGATACAACACCAAAAGCATAATCCTTATAACAAACTAATTAATTGGATTTCACCAACATTATAAACTTCTCTCTTTGAAAGACACAGTTAAGATAAAGAAAACATAAGCCACAGACAGAAAAAAGAGTAATCTGATAAAGATTTATTCCAGAATATATAAAGGCTTACATTCCTGATATATTTATACCCAGAATACATAAATTGGATTAAAATTACCCAATTTTTAAAAGTAAGAAAATATTTGAAGAGGCATTTCACCCACAAAGACAAATGAATGGCATTAAGCACCTAAAAATATGTTCAACCACGTTATTCATCAAGGAAACGCAAACTATAAATACAGTGTGTGTTCCACTACACACCTATTTGAATGGAGAAAATGAAAAGATTGACCATATCAAATATTGGCAAGAACGTGGTGAACTGGAACCCTTATACACTGTTTGTGGAAATGTAAAATATTACAACGTTGGAAAACTGACAGTCTTAAAATTTAATCATACACTTGCCATAAGATCTAGCCATTCCACACTTAGATATTTACCTATGAAAAGCAAAAACACATGTTTGTACAATGACTTGTATATGAATGTTTGTAGCAGCTTTATTTATAATAGCCCAAATTTGTAAACAGTTCAAATGTCTATCCACATGCACATGTATAAACTGTTCCATTTATACAGTGGAATGCTACTCAGGAATGAAAAGGAGTAAACAATCAATACATGCTACAATGTGAATAAATTTCAAGGTAGTTATATTATGTGAAAGAAGCCAGGAAAAAAAACATACTCACTGTCCCATTTCCTTTATGTAAAATTTTAGGAAATTCAAGCTAATGTATATTAACGGAAAGCAGATATTTGATTTTCTGGGGTTAGGAGGGGAAGGGGAAGAATGGGAAAGAGAATATTAAGAGGCTCGTGGAAACTTTGGAGAAGTGATGGATATATTCTTTGTTTTGATTGTGGAGATAATTGCATGGGTCTGCATATATGTCAACTTATCAAACTGGACACTTTTAAATATGTGCAATTACAGCACAACAAAGCTATTCCTTAAAAGAAAGAAACAGGCTGGGCGCGGTGGCTCATGCTTGTAATCCCGGCACTTTGGTAGGCCGAGGCGGGTGGATCACCTTAGGTCAGGAGTTCGAGACTAGCCTGACCAACATGGAGAAACCCCATCTCTACTACAAATACAAAATTAGCTGGGCCTGGTGGCGCATGCCTGTAATCCCATCTACTCGGGAGGCTGAGGCAGGAGAATCACTTGAACTTGGGAGGTGGAGGTTGCAGTTAGCTGATATTGCACCATTGCACTCCAGCATGGGCAACAAGAGCGAGACTCCGTGTCAAAAAAAAAAAAAAAAGTAAGAAACAATTAGCATAAAGCATAATTGATACAATCCCATCTTTTGTTGCTGGTCACAAGGCCTAATTATAGCTTTCTTCCTTCACTACCTATCTGATGTTCCTCTTACACTCTGCCAAAATCTTGGCTCATTGATTTCTGCTTTTGTGTGTTGGAGTGATCCAAAATTTAATTCTCACTCAATCTAAGACCTCAGTGGTCCCATTTTTACAGAGTTGTCACAGTTTCTCAGCAAACATATATTTGGATATGGGAGTACTAAGAGGCATCTTATTAAATCTCTAGGGTTCCATGTTATTAAATCCCTAGGGTTCCAGACATAGTACTCTTGACCCTAATCTATAGTAGCAACCTAATTTCTTTCTTAGTAATTGAGACCAATCACCTTGACCAGCAGTGTAACCTCCCCTTCTTTGCCTGTTGGTTTAGCAGCATGAGGTGATCAAAATCCTCAGAGGGTAGTATCAGTTTCCAGTTGAACATAATAATGATCTTGATCTCTCATTGAAGCATAATTCCTTTGCTAGGATCTCCAACCACTGAGACCAAGGTTGCTGGCACAAGAAGCAAAAAATTATAAACCAATTATTAGGTGTAATAGTGAGATGGCCACTCTTACTTCCATCCTAGATGCCTGTAGTCTAAAGATGGAAGAAATGGCAACATTTATTAGACCCTGACTTAAGGCATATACTGCATCTTGTAAGATAGCACCCTAACCTTGCAGGTTATTTCACCATAAACTGCAACTAGGCCTTCAAAAAGTCATTTCTCTACTCTATCATTTGGGTAATGGAGCAAATCGTAAGATCAGTGAATTCTGGTGGTGTATGTCCATTGCCACACTACTCTCACTATAAAATGAGTTCTTTGATCAGAGGTAACATTGTGTGAAATGCCATGGCAACAAATATGGCATTTTTAAGTTCACAACTGGTGGTGAAAGCCAAAGATTTGTGGTCAATTGAAGGTCAATGAAGGTCAATGAAGATACATATCCAGAATATGTATCTATTTTTGTGAGGACATATCACTCCCTCTATATGATAGAGTCAACCTTCTCCAGATGACTGGCTAGTCTCCAAAGGGAATGGTGCCAAACTAGGGAGCAATATTTGTCCCTGCTCATATAATATTAGGAGCTCAACAGTGTTCGTAGCAAGATGAACCTTGATAAGAGGAAGTCTTTGGTTTTGACCAAAAATATGGCCTTCTTCACTACTGTCATTGCTGCTTTATACAATGGGTCATTGGGCAAGCTTCAGGATGGCACAGGTAAAGAAGCTGACTGATAGTCACAGATCATGTCATCTTGTCTACCTGATTATTGATATTGCAGTGCATGCCCTCTGGTTGGCAATTAGATGGGGCACTAGGATCATCACATCCTGTCCCCATTCAGAGAAGTTCATTCATTTACCTTTCCTAGAAACCTCTTTTTTCCCAAAATTTTTAATGTTATTTTTTTCAAATCCTTTTCCAGCCATCTAATTTGTTAGCCATTTCTCATGAAGCAGTATAGATTCATGTCTCTGGCCATTTGTCCTTCCAAACAATGTGGAGAAGCAAATATACTACCCACACTTCTACTCACTGGGAGGATTTCTATTTACTACTGTTTTATATTTTTAAAAAATAATTTCAATATTTATTATAGATTAAAAGGTATATGTGCAGGTTTGTCACATGGGTATATTGCGTGTTGCTGAGGTTTGGTGTACAAATGATCCCATCACCCAGACAGTGACCATAGTGTCAATAGGTGGTTTTTCAGACCATGGTCTCCTCCCCTCGCCCCATCTAGTGGTCCCCAGGGTGTATTGTTATCATCTTTGTGTATACGTGTATTCAATGTTTAGCTTCCACTTATAAGTGAGAACATGTGGTATATGGTTTTCTGTTCTTGTGTTAATTCACTTAGGATAATGTCCTTCAGCTATATCCATGTTGTTGCAAAGGACGTGATTCTGTTTTTTTATGGCTATGTAGTATTTCTTTCTTTCTTTCTTTTTTTTTTTTTTTTGAGATGGAGCCTCACTCTGTTGCCCAGGCTGGAGTGCAGTGGCGCAATCTTGGGTCACTGCAACCTCTGCCTCCTGGGTTCAAGCGATTCTCCTGTCTCAGTCTCCTGAGTAGCTGGGATTACAGGTGCATGCCACCATGCCCAGCTAATTTTTGTATTTGTAGTAGAGACGGGTTTTCACCATGTTGGTCAGGCTGGTCTTGAACTCCTGACCTTGTGATCCGCCTGCCTCGGCCTCCCAAAGTGCTGGGATTACAGGCGTGAGCCACCGCCCCTGGCCACTGCTATGTAGTATTTCATACTATATATGTACCACATTTTCTTTATCCAATCCACCATTGATGGGCATATAGGTTGATTCCATGTCTTTGCTATTGTGAATAACTCTTGCTTTTTAGGCCTGACACTGCATGGGGCTATAGTGCATTGCTGGTGCCTGTATACACAAATTCATGGGCCTGGTTCTGGAGTGGCTCTGCTAAGTGCCTAACGCTTAGGCCCATGAATTTCTTGTTATTGTACCTGCTTATAGGGTACTCCTCATGATGCCACAGGTTTTGGTAGAGAAAGAGGCAGCCAAGCAGCACGGGTAAATACTAGAGGGGTCTAGCCACCTGCTTGTATGGTTTCCTTACACCTTCTGGAACTACTCTCACCTGTTTTATGTACTGCATTTATATTTTATAGTGAAATGGTCCTGTGCACATTCAATTTCTTAGTTCAGTGGACTCTATAATACCCAACACAGAATGGTGAGCTGGAGTCATGTAGTCATTTGTTGCCCCATAGTCAGGTATTTGTTTCTACCAGGCCCAGTAACAAATCGGAAGCTGCTTTTCAAATGGAGATTACTTTGCAGACAGAAGAAGGTATAGCCCAACTCCAAACTACAGAAGCCTCTATTGTGATTCAACTACTAGGACTCCATAAACTTCTGTGTTTGCCACAGCTACCTCTAACATCATTGGGTCTATTGAGTCATAGGCCCAAGTGGCAGGGAAGCTTGCACTGCAGCTTGGATTTGCTGCAAAGCTTTCTTCCCCCTACTCTAAATCCTACTTAAAATTGGTATCCTAGGCCAGGCGTGATGGCTCACGCCTGTAATCCTAGCACTTTGGGAGGCTGAGGTGGGTGGATCACGAGGTCAGGAGATTAAGACCATCCTGGCTAACATGGTGAAACCCGGTCTCTACTAAAAATACAAAAAATTAGCCGGGCGTGGCAGCGGGTGCCTGTATTCCCAGCTACTCCAGAGGCTGAGGCAGGAGAATGGCATGAACCCGGGAGGTGGAGCTTGCAGTAAGCCGAGATAGCGCCACTGCACTGCACTCCAGCCTGGGCAACAGAGCGAGACTCCATCTCAAAAAAAAAAAAAAAAAGAAAGAAAAAAAGAAAAGGTATCCTACTAGGTTATCTGGTAAATGGATTAGAGTATCACAATTAAGTGTGATATATTTTGCCTCTTCCAAAATCCAAAGAGGACTATTTTATCTTGTGACTCTTTCTTTATGATGGATATATCATGAGTATGTAATGTGACAGCAAATTTTTGCCTCTCACTTTATAGGGTATAACCCTACATGCCCAGATCACCATACTCTTAAAAACATCGCCAAGTTGTTTAACAGTGTGTAGCACCTCCCTGTTCTATCTCTCCCTCCTGCTGCAGCCATGTAGAAAGTGCCTGCTTCCCCTTTGCCTTCCGCCATGATTTTAAGTTTACTGAGGATTCCCCACGCATGCTTCCTGTAGAGCCTGCAGCACAGTGAGCCAATGAAACTTTTTTCTTTATAAATTAAAAAAAAAAAACCATCAGAGTGAACAGGCAACCTACAGAATGGGAGAAAATTTTTGCAATCTACTCATCTGACAAAGGGCTAATATCCAGAATCTACAAAGAACTCAAACAAACTTACAAGAAAAAAACAAACAACCCCATCAAAAAGTGGGCAAAGATATGAACAGACACTTCTCAAAAGAAGACATTTATGTAGTCAACAGACACATGAAAAAATGCTCATCATCACTGGCCATCAGAGAAATTCAAATCAAAACCACAATGAGATACCATCTCACACCAGTTAGAATGGCGATCATTAAAAAGTCAGGAAACAACAGGTGCTGGGGAGGATGTGGAGAAATAGGAACACTTTTACACTGTTGGTGGGACTGTAAACTAGTTCAACCACTGTGGAAGACAGTGTGGTGATTCCTCAAGGATCTAGAACTAGAAATACTATTTGACCCAGCCATCCCATTATTGGGTATATACCCAAAGGATTATAAATCATGCTGATATAAAGGCACATGCACATGTATGTTTATGGTGGCACTATTCACAATAGCAAAGATTTGGAACCAACCCAAATGTCCATCAATGATAGACTGGATTAAGAAAATGTGGCACATATACACCATGGAATACTATGCAGCCATAAAAAAGGATGAGTTGATGTCCTTTGTAGGGACATGGATAAAGCTGGAAACCATCATTCTCAGCAAACTATTGCAAGGACAAAAAACCAAACACCGCATGTTCTCACTCATAGGTGGGAATTGACCAATGAGAACACTTGGACACAGGAAGGGGAACATCACACACCAGGGCCTGTTGTGGGGTGGGGGGAGGGGAGAGGGATAGCATTAGGAGATATACCTAATGTACATGATGAGTTAATGGGTGCAGCACACCAACATGGTACATGTATACATATGTAACAAACCTGCACGTTGTGCACATGTACCCTAGAACGTAAAGTATATAAAAAAAATCACCAGGGTCCCAGACAGCTGAACTTTCGCGGAGTTTATCTCCCACATTTTGACATCTGTGCCTTAGTAAGGGTATCTAAGGTAATTATTACTTCCGTATCAGTTCAATTAGCATAATTACGTCAGTGTAATAGACCAGTGTAATATTTTCTAGAATGTTGAGATAATCAAGACTCCCTTGGACTGATTGTATTATGACAGAGCAGGAAAATAGATTTTGGTCAATGTAAGACTGAGAAGGTGTGCTGTTGACATTAACAGGTAAAGATATACTGTTTCTGATGATTTTTTCTGATGGGAATTTAAAAGGATGCATTTGCTTGGTCAGTGGCTGCAAAACAAAGTGGCAGAGCTGTTTCAGTTTGCTACAATCTGAAGATACCATGTCTGAAACTGCAGTGGTGAATTGCATCACCCTTTTGTTTATAATAATCCACAGTCTTTTATAATACCCACATGACTTTTGCACTTGACAAACAGGTAAATTAAATGAAGTTGTTATAAGAATCAACATCCATGCATTTTTTGAGGCCTTGGTAGTGGCACTGATCTCTGTAGCTCCCCCCAAAGATAAGGTATTGATTTGGATTTATTATTTGGGTGAGGATATTGAGGGGAGAAACAAGTTAATAGGATCTTCACTCGGCCCTTTCTACTGCAAGAGCCCTCATTCCATGGTGATTCTGACAGTTTCTAAGTATACTTATTCCTGCTATATATCAAAGGACTGGGAAAATCATTACAGAGTGCATCTGTGGGACCAATGGATCCAACGTTAAATAAACTTGGGCCAGTGCTCGGTCTATCCCCTGAATTTCAGAAACTACCATTCTGATCAGTAGGCCATGATGGTATTTGGGATCTCCAAGTTAATAAACGGTACCTGATGATTCTTGGAAGAGCTGGAAATTTCTCTTTTCACAGTGCATAGTAGCCCTGGTAAAGGGTTGCATTTCTTTCCGGGTGAGATTTAAAGGAAGATTCACTGTACAGGCACATCTTGTTTAGTGGCGCTTTGCTTTACTGCACTTTGCAGATACTATGTTTGCTACAAATAGAAGATTTGTGGCAACCCTGCATTGGTTAAGTTTACTGGTGTCATTTTTCCTACAGAATGTGCTCACTTTGTGTCTCTGTGTCACATTTTGGTCATTCTCACAATATTTCAAACTGTTTCATGATTGTTATATCTTTTATGGTAATCTGTCATCAGAGATCTTTCTTGTTACTATTATAATTGTTTTGGGGTGCCAGGCATGCCCATATAAGACACTGAAGTTAATCAGTAAATATTGTGCTTATTCTGACGGCTCCACCAACCGGCCATTCCCCCATCTCTCTTTCTCTCCTCTGGCCCCCTTATTCCCTGAGATAAAACAATATTGGAATTAGTCCAATTAATAACCCTGCAATGGCTTCTAAATGTTCAAGTAAAAGGAAGAGTTGCACATCTTTCACTTTAAATCAAAAGCTAGAAATGATTAAGCTTAGTGAGGAAAGCAGGTCAAAAGCTGAGACAGGCTGGGAGCTGGGCCTCTTGTGCCAAAACAGCAGCAGGGTTTGAGAGGATTGACTCCAGTCTTGAAGGAAGTTCTACTGTGTGTAACATGCTATTAAACAGCATCACATGCTATAGAGAAATCTTTCATGAAAGGAAGGGTCAATCGATGTGGCAAACTTCATTGTTGTCTTATTTTGAGAAATTGCCACAGCCACCCTACCCTGATCAGTTAGCAGCCATCCACATTGAGGCAAGACCCTCTGCCAACATGAAGATGACGACTTGCTGAAGGCTCAGATGATCATTAGCATTTTTAGCAATAGAGTATTTTTAAATTAAGGTATGTACATTGATTTTTAAAGACATAATGTTATTACACACTTAATAGACTAAAGTATACTTTAAACATAACTTTTATATGCACTGGGAAGCCAAAAAGTATGTGTGACTTGCCACATTGATATATTAACTGTTTTATAGTGTTCTGGAACTGTACACGCCCTGTCTCCGGCATATACCTGTATAGACTTGTGGTTGCATTGTAAGATTCTTCCAAAAAGAGGCATTGCCTCCCCTACAATCAAGGATCTCTAGGCCTGTAAAAAGGAATAGGCTGGGAACCAAATAAGAGACCATTATGATTTCTTACTATGGCAACTTGAGTCAGGTTTCTACTAAAATGTTTCCTCTTGCACAGATTAATTGCACCTTAGTAGGCTACCTATCTCATTCATTTCTCTGAATCTTGTGATTAATTAGCTACCACACCGATCACTGCAGGCCAGAAAACATTCTATATGTGCCTTATTGTGGTAATTTGGCCATCTTGTCAATGATGGTTAAGCACACCACCTGGCCACACTTCTCTGGGATATAATTATTATTGTTCAAAGCTGGGCTCCCAATTCCATGTTGATAACTACCACAATAACCTTGGGATATGGAGGGAAACCACCATAGATCTTTCTTAGCACGGATTTTGTAATGCCTTCGTGAAGACACTGTCTTCTGGTCTCTCCCAAAGGCTGTAGTTAAGGCGTGACTGAGCAAGTTACGTGAAACAGATCTGTGACTTTCCCATCTTTCTTCTTAAATCTTTGTGTTCCTTTCTTAAAACTATACTAAGAAAGTCTGATACCTTAACCCAGTTGACTGTATGCTACAATTGATTTTAAATAACCAAGTCAAAAGACAGTTAGCAATACTCCCAAGTGCTCAAGTTAACAAATTAAATCCAGAATTTCAGATAAATACACCCATATCAATAAATTCAACCAAATACAATTTCATGTTTTTCCTTGTTGGTCTAATACTCTTTGTATACATTTCCATATCTGCCCTTCAAATTCCTGCTGACATAAATTAGCAAACCTTGCAACTCTTTTAACACATACATTATCTCCTCCCTGATCACATCTTGCATTTCTTCTGTGGTATATTGGGACCTAATTTTAAATCCTACATTCAATAAAGGATACTGACAATAGATTCTGAGAAGAATAAATATTTTTTGTGAGGCAACTTCCTCAGGTGAAGACATTGAAAAGACTTCATGCAAAGGAAGAATGGCACCCTCACATTAATGGGTTGGGGTGGATTGCTACTGCTTCTGGATCTGCCCAAATGTCCTCATCCCACAGCTTATGGTCCCACACTTTTCCTACTATTGCCCTTAACCTAGCATAACTTGGTGAGGTTGTGACAGTGCTACAACTTTTGAATTCTTACAATCAGGCCTTTGTCCTGCTTCTCAGCCATGTCTGCCCTTAATATAGGTAGGTTAATGAAGGGATTCTAGTTAAGACTGCCAGAGACTCTGATTCTCCATTCTCTGCTTTGATTTGAGAATTTAAGGTATTAGGTTTATCTTTTCGTCCTACTTCTCTGAACACTCATTCATGTTCTCCTTCAGATGCTTTCCTCCTCAATATAGTCATTAAACATTGGAGTTACTCAAGACTTGCTACTGGGCCCTCTCCTCTTCACATTGTATTCTCTCTCTTTGAGAAAGTATCCATTTCCAGTAGTTTCAATGATCATTTGATGTCTGTAGGCACCTCAAAATCTACATGTACAAAATGTAACCATTACTCCTTTAATATTTGCTCTTCCCCTTATGTTTCTTATTTCAGTGAATGGCACTGCAACCCACACAGTTGACAATGGCAAAATCTTTGATATCGCTTCCAATTTCTCACTCTCAATCATGACCACCCACATCCAACTTATCAATAATTATTGTAAACTGTATGTCCTAAAATTTTACAAAAAACTACATTCTAGACAAAAAAAACCTCCAGGAAGGTAGGAAGAGTATATTTTTCTCTACTGTTTCATCACCATGTGGCATGTAGTAGGTTGCTGATAAATATTGCTGTATTAATGAATCAATCCATAATTGAACAAATGAATGAGTATGCACTTTTCTCCTCATTTTCTTTGCTACTATTCTACTTCAGGTTACCATTACTTCTCACCTGACTTACCACAATGCCTTCTTAACTGGTCTCTCTAACTTTAGTCATCTGTGCTTTCATCTATCCATCATGCTGTAGTCAGATTTACCTCTCCATTCAGGCCATCTCTTTGTGTAAAAGCTTTCAATATCTTAAAGATGTAATAGTTGCATTTTTCTCTATTCCCCCTACTAAGTACAATGAAAAGCCCTGGGCAATATGTATAAAATAAACGTACAAAGATGCTCAAAGGCGAAGAGAAGAAGGCAGATCAGCTAGGGACCTTGACATGCAAAGAATGACAAGGTGGTGACTTCTCTGAGTTTTCTTTTTGCTTCATATATACAAGTCTGATTATGGAGAAGCTGGTAACTAGGAAACACTAATGGGATGCAGACAGAAAAAAAAAAAGCCGTAACAAAAGCCTGTTCTCTCTAATCAAAAACCCAGGAAAGGGACGGGTTAGCAAGAGAGAAAGCTTTTAGAAAATAACTGCTTTACTGCAGCCAAACACCACATTTAAAACCATGGCTCCAATCCCAAATCATGCCAGCAGAAGCCACATGGGGATCTAAGACTTCCACCCACACCATGCTGTCATGAGGTGCCCCAAATCCACACATCCCCACCACTGCTGGAATGGTGTCAGAGGAGGCTTAGTGGAGAGAGAGAGAGAGACAGGATTTTTTTTTTAAATTGAGACAGGGTCTCGCTCTGCTACCCAGGCTGCTGGAGTGCAGTGGTGGAATCACGGCTCACTGCAACCTCCACCTCTAGGGCTCAAGTCATCCTCCCACCTCAGCCTCCCGAGTAGCTGGGACTACAGATGCACACCACCACACCAGGTTAATTTTTGTATTTTTTGTAGAGATGGGGTTTTGCCATGTTGCCCAGGCTGGTCTCTCAAACTCCTGGGCTCAAGCAATCTGCTCACCTCAGCCTCCCAAAGTGTTGGGATTACAGGCGTGAGCCACTTCGCCCAGCCAAGAGTCGGGTCTCTCCCCATCACTCAGTGATAACAATGCGAACTTCCTTTCCTCTCCACAAAGTGTCAGTGGAGGTCATGTGAGGAGCAGTAATGAAACACCCTACTCCTCCCATTCAGGGACTTTTCAGTGGAAGCCTAGAGGACAGATAGAAATTCCACCTCTGCCCAGCAGTAGTGAAAAGGCCCCCTTGGGTATTGTAGAAGGTTAAATGGGGAAACTAGACTTCTACCTCCACCTGTCAGTAAAGATGATGTACTCCCTCCCGTCTGCCTCCAGAGCAGTGTAAAAAAATAAAAAACCAGTTAAACACAAGATTTAGAAAAGATCCACAGTCTCATCATAATAGTCAAACTGCATAAGTTTAAATAAAAAAATCACTCTGCATACCAGGAGCTAGAAAGGTCTCAAACAGAATGAAAAGAGATAATCAATAGCTGCCAATACAGAGATAAAAAAGATGTTAGATATATATGACAATGATTTTAAAGCAACTATCATAAGATGCTTCAATGAGCAATCACAAATATGCTGGAAACCAGTGAAAAAATAGAATTTCAGCAAAGAAACATAAAATGTAGAGAAGAACTAAATCGAAATTCTAGAACTGGAAAATATAACAACAACAACAACAACAACAAAAACACTGAAAGGATGAGCTCAACAGAAGAATGGAGAGGGCAAAAGGATCAGTGAGTTTGAAGATAGGACAATAGAAATTATCTAATCTGAACAGCAATAAAAATACCAAATAAATCAGGCACAGAAAGATGAATACCACACATTCATACATATGTGGAGGCTTAAAAAGTTGGTCTCATAGACAGAGAGAGTAGAATAGTGGTTACTAGAGACTGGGAAGGTGTGGGGAGGATAGCCAGAGGTAAGGTGGGTTAATGGATACAAAATCACAGCTAGATGGGAGGAATAAGTTCTAGCATTCTATAACACTGCAGGGTAATTATAATTAACAATTTATTGGATATTTTCAAATAGCTAGAAGAGCAAATTTTGAATGTTCCTGACACCAGTTACCCTGATTTTATCATTGTACATTGTATACATGTATGAAAATATCATGCGTACCCCATAAATATGTACAATTATTATGTATCAATTAAAAATAATAATATAAGGAAAAATAGACTAAAAAATGAATAGACTGAGGGATCTCTGGAATTATAACAAAAGATCTAACATTCTTCTCCTTCTTTTCTCCTTCTCCTTCTCCTTATACTTCTTCTTTTGAGATAGGGTATCACTCTGTCGCCCAGGCTGGAGTGCAGTGGCACAATCTTGGCTCACTGCAACCTATTCCTCCTGGGCTCAAGATATCCTCCAACCTCGGCCTCCTAAGTGGCTGGAACTACAGGTGTGTGCCACCACACCAGGCTAATTTTTGTATTTTTTATAGAGACAGATTCACTATGTTGCCCAGGCTGGCCTTGAGCTCCTGGGCTCAAGTAGGCCACCTGCCTTGGTTTCCCAAAGTGCTGAGATTACTGGTGTGAGCTGCTGCACCTGGCCAATCTAACATTCTTATAATCAGAGTTCTGGAAGTAGAGAAGGAGGGCGGGGACAAAAAAGTACTCAAAACAATAATAGCTAAAAATTTCCTAAATTTGGCAGCCATGAATCTACAGATTTAAGAAGCTGGGCAAACCTCAAACAGGATAAACACAAAGAAAGCCATACAAAGACACATCATAGGCCGGGCGCGGTGGCTCACGCCTGTAATCCCAGCACTTTGGGAGGCCGAGGCGGGCGGATCACGAGGTCAGGAGATCGAGACCATCCCGGCTAAAACGGTGAAACCCCGTCTCCACTAAAAATACAAAAAAAATTAGCCGGGCGTAGTGGCGGGCGCCTGTAGTCCCAGCTACTTGGGAGGCTGAGGCAGGAGAATGGCGTGAACCCGGGAGGCGGAGCTTGCAGTGAGCCGAGATCCCGCCACTGCACTCCAGCCTGGGCGACAGAGCGAGACTCCGTCTCAAAAAAAAAAAAAAAAAAAAAAAAAAAAAAAGACACATCATATTCAAACTTCTGAAAACTAACGGCAAAAATTCTTGAAAGGAGCTAAAGAAAAACAACATATTACAGGGAAACAATAATTTCAATAGCAGCAGATTTCTCATCAGAAACCATAAAGGCCAAAAGGAAGTAGTATATTTTTTGATTGCTGAAAGATAATAATGCCAAATGAGAATCCTATATCCAGTGAAAATATCCTTAATGAATTAAGAGGAAAATCAACATATTCTTGGGTGAAGGAAATCTAAGAAAACTTGTCACCAGCAGAGCTATCCTAAAACAATGGCTAAAGGAAGTTCTCTAAACTAAAAGGAAACAATAAAAAAAAAAAAGGAATCTGGGAACACTAGGAAGAAAGAACATGGTAAGCAAAATATATGGATAAACACAATAGGCTTTTCTCCTCTTGAGTCCTCTAAGTTAAGTCTAACGGTTGAAGCAGAAATTATGACATTGACTGGTTACAAATGTATGTTGGGGAACTATTTAAGACAATTAATTTATAAAAGTAGAAGGGTAAACAAATGTAAAGAGAGGTAAGATTTCTACACTTCACTCAAATTCTTAAATAACAGCAATAGACTGTGACAAGTTATATATATGTAATGTAATGCCTAGAACCTCTTTAAAAGCTATGGAAAGAGATAATATTCAAAATTGCTAGAGGTAAATCAAAATGATATTAAAAAAACTAAGTACACTCAGGAAAGCAGAAAAGGAAAACAGGAACACAAAAAACAGAGGGTACAAACAAAGATAATGACAATAATACTTTTTAAAATACCAAACTTAAGTTCCAATAGATCAATATTTGCATCGAATGTAAGTGATCTAAACACACCAATTAAAGACAGAGATTGGTGAAGTGGATACAAAAATATGACCTAAACTATACATTGTCTAAAAGACACTTACTTTAAACAAGGATATAGACAAATTGAAGGTAAAAGGATATAGGCAAATTGAAGGAAAATACATATCAGGAAAATGTTAAACAAAATATGGTAGAGTGGGTATATTCATATTAGATATTAGAGCAAAGAAAATTACCAGAGATAGAGAAGAATGTTATAAAAAGGGCAAGTTCACCAAGAAGATATAGCAATTCTAAATGCACCAAAGAGAATTGTAAAGTATGTGAAACAAAAACTGATATACTCGAGACCAACAGAGAATTCCACAATGATTGTTGGAGACTTCAATATCCTTCTCTCAGCAATTGATAGAACAACTATGCGCACACACAAAAATCACCAAGAATATAAAAGAACTCAACAACCCCGTCAACCAAGAGGATCTAATCAAAATTTATAAAACCACTTCACCAAACAAAAACAGAATACACATTTCTTACAAGTGCCCACTGAACATATACCAAGATACACCATACCCAAACCCATAATATAAGTTTCAACAAATTCTTAAAAAATTGAAATCATACAAGTGGTTCTCCAACCAAAATAAAATCAAAATAGAAATCAACAACAGAAAAACAATAGGAAAATCACCAAACACTTGAAAACTAAACAACACACTTTATTTTTTCCTTTTGTTATTTTTCAATCTTTTAGTTTAGTTTTAGGGGTACATGTGCAGGTTTGTTATATAGGTAAATTGAGTCTTGCAGGGGTTTAATGTACAGATTATTTCATCACCTAGGTAATAAGCATAGTATCTGATAGGTAGTTTTTTTGATACTCACCCTCCTCCCATGCTCCACCCCCAAGGAGGCCCTGGTGTCTATTGTACTCTTTTTTTGTGTCCATGTATACTCAATGTTTAGCTCCCACTTATAAATGAGAACATGCAGTATTTGGTTTTCTGTTCTGCATTAGTTTGCTTAGCATAATGGCCTCCAGTGCTATCCATGTTGCTGCAAAAGACATGATCTCATTCTTTTTTATGGCTGCATAGTATTCCATGGTGTACATGTGTATTTTCTTTATCCATTCTACCATCGCTGGGTATTTAGGATGATTCCATGTCTTTGCTATTGTGAATAGTGCTGTGATGAACATATGCAAACATATGACTTTATGGTAGAACAATTCATATTCCTTTGGGTATATACCCAATGGATTGCTGGGTAAAATATTAGCTCTGCTCTAAGTTCTTTGAGTAATCTCCAAACTGCTTTCCACAGTGGCTGAAGTAATTTACATTCCCACCAGCAGTGTATAAGTATTCCTTTCTCTGCAACTTTGCCAGCATCTGTTATTTTTTCTTTTTACTTTTTAATAATGGCCATACTAACTGGTATAAGATGGTATGTCATTGTGGTTTTGAGTTGTATTTCTCTAATGATTAGTGATGCTGAGTGTACTTTCATATGCTTACTGGCCATGTATATATCTTCTTTTGAAAACTGCTTATGTCCTTTGTCCACTTTGTTATAGGGTTGTTTGCTTTTTGGTTGTAAATTTGTTTAAGTTCCTTATAGATTCTGGAGATTAGCTGTTTGTTAGGTGCATAGTTTGCAAATATTTTCTCCCATTCTGTAGGTTGTCTGTTGACTTTGTTAGTTTTTTTTGCTTTGCAGATGCTCTTTAGTTTAATTAGTTCCCATTTGTCAATTTTCGTTTTTGTTATAATTGCCTTGGGCATCTTTGTCATGAAATCTTTGTCAGGGCCTATGTCCATAATGGTATCTTCTAGGTTTCCTTCAAGGGTTTTTTATAGCTTTAGGTTTTATGCTTAAGCCTTCAATCCATCTTGAGTTGATTTTTGTGTATGATAAAAGGAAGGGGTCCAGTTTCAATCTTCTGCATATGGCTAGCCAGTTATCCCAGCAACATTTACTAAAGAGGGAATCCTTTCCCCATTGCTTGTTTTTGTCAACTTCATTAAAAAATCAGATAGTTGTAGGTGAGCAGCTTTATTTCTGGGCTGTCTATTCTGTTCCATTGGTCCATGTGTCTGTTTTTGTACCAGTACCATGCTGTTTTGGTTACTGTAGCCTTGTAGTATAGTTTGAAGTTGGGTAATGTGATACCTGCAGCTTTGTTTTCTTTTGCTTAGGATTGCTTTGGCTATTTGGGCTCTGTATTTTCACACTACTATAAAGAATATCTGAGACTGGGTATTTTGTAAAGAAAAGAGGTTTATTTAACTCACAGTTCCACATGCCTGAGGAGGCCTCAGGAATCTTACAATCATGGCAGAAGATGAAAGGGAAAGCAAGGACCTTCTTCACATGGCAGCAGGACAGAGAGAGAGCAAGTGAAGCAGAAGTGCCACATTTTTAAACCATCAGATCTTGTAAGAACTCACTCACTCTCACAAGAACAGCATGGGGGACACTGCCCCCATAATCTAATGACCTCCTACTAGTTCCCTCTCTCGACACGTGGGGATTAAAATTTGAGATGAGATTTGGGTGTGGACACAGAGTCAAACTATATCAGGCTATTTTTTGGTTTCGTATGAATTTTAGAACAGTTTTTCTAATTCTGTGAAGAATGTCACTGGTAGTTTGACAGGAATAGCATTGAATCTGTAAATTGCTTTGGGCAGTATTGTCATTTTAACAATATCGGTTCTTCATATGCATGAGCATGGGATGTATTTCTATTTGTGTCATCTATGATTTTGTTCAGCAGTGTTTTGTAATTCTTGTAGAGATCTTTCACCCCCCTGGTTAGCTGTATTCCTAGGTATTTTACTTATTTATTTTGAACACAGTTTAAATAATCCACGAGTTAAAGAGGAAATCTTAAAGGAAATAAAAATATAATTGCGCCAATGCAAATGAAAATGCAACATATCAAAATTTGTAGGAAGCAGCTAAAGCAGTGCTGAGAGTGAAATTTATGAAATGAAGCACAGATATAAGAAAGGAGGAAAAGTCTGAAATCAATTCTATAGGCTCATATTTCCAGAATCTAGAAAAAGAGGAGCAACAAACTCAGTGTAAGCACCAGGAAGAAAACAAAAAAGATAAAAACACAGATTAGTAAAGTTGGAATCAGAAAACAGTAGAAAGCTGGGTGCAGTGACTTGAGCCTGTAATTCGAGTACTTTGGGAAGCCGGGGCAGGAGGATCGCATAAGGATTTCAAGACCAGCCTGGGCGGCATAGTGAAACTCCATGTCCACAAAATTAAAAAAAAAATAGCCAGGCATGATGGCATGTGCTTGTTGTTCCAGCTACTTAGAACGCTGAGGAGGGAGAATCCCTCAAGTTGAGGAGGTTGTGCTGCAGTGAGCTATGATCGTGCCACTGCACTCCAGCCTGGGTGACAGAGTGATACCCTGTAAAAAAAAAAAAAAAAAAAAGAAAGAAAGAAAGAAAGAAAATAACAGAAAAAAATCAACAAATCAATGAGACAAAGAACTGGTTCTTTGTAAAGAACCATCTTCTACCAAAGATGACAAACAAATAAGAGAAAAGATACAGATTACCAACTGCAGGAAGTAAACAGTCACTTATCACTAAAAATCCTCAGACATCAAAATAAGGGATAACTTATGAACAACTCCATACTAATATATTTAACAAGTTAGATGAAATGGACCAATTCTTCAAAATAACCTCGCAAGCTATTCTAATTCATCCAATATGAAATCACTCATTTGAATAGACCTATAATTATTAAAATAATTGATTTTATAATTTTAAAATTAAGTTCCCAATCAAGAAATCTGCACTCCCAGATGGTTTCACTGGAGAACTCTGCCAAAGTTTAAAGAAATATTTACATCAAATTTCCACATTCTCTTACAGAAAATAGAAGAGTAGGGAACACTTTTATATTCATTTTATGAATCTAATATTACTCTAATACCATAAATCACATAAAGAGAGTAAGAAACCCTACACACCAATAGATGCAAACATCATTAGCAAAATATTAACAAAGAGAATTCAGTAGAATATAAAAGAATTATACACCATGACCAAGTACAGTTTATTTCAAGAATACAAGGCTGGTTCAATATTTAAAATTCTATCAATGTTATGTCTATCCATCATATTAACAAATGAAAGAAAAAAATGATATGACCTCATCAGTCGATGCAGAAAAGATATTTGATGAAATTCAACACTAATTTATGATTTTTAAAACTCACAAAAATAGAATTTGAAAGGGATTTCCTCAACTCAGTAAAAAAATCTATGAAAAATGAACTATTAACATTATACTTAACGGTGAAAGACTGAATCCTCTCACCTTAAAACTGGGAAAAAGGCAAGGATGCCTATTCTCACCATCCTTATTCAACATAGTTCTGGAAATTCCTGCCAGTGCAATACAGCTAGAAAAGAAAATAAAAGACATGTAGATCAGAAAGGAATAAATAAAACTATTTTTATTTGAAGATATGATTATCTAAATAGAAAATTACAAGGAAACTATAAAATGACAATAAAACAACAACAAATGAACAAATTTCTAGAACAAATAAGTGATTTCAGCATCAAAATGTGGACATTTAAGATTAAAATTTAATACTATTTGTAATCATTCAAAAAGTGAAATACATAGGCATAAACTTAACAAAATACAGAAAGGAATGTACATAATGTCAACAAAAGAAATAAAATAAGATGTAAATAAATGGAGATGCATATATGTTCATGGATTGGAAAAGTTAACATAGAAAAGATGTCAGTTTTTTCCAAACTTATTTAACACAATTCCTATCAAAATCCCAGCAAGATTTTTTTGTAGATATACACAAGATTATTATAAAATCTACATGGAAAGGGAAAGGAATTACAATCGCTTAAACAATATTTTAAAAGAAGAGAAAAGGTAGAGGAACCAGTCTACTAATTTCAAAACTTATATACCTACAGTAACCATGACTGTGTGGTCTTAGCCAAGGTTAAGACACAGAGATCAACAAAATAGAACAGGCAATCCAGAAATAGAACCACATGTATATACCCAGTTGATTTTTGATAAAGATGCAAAAGGAATTCAATATAGGAAAGATAGCCTTTTCACAAAAGGATTCTGGATAATTTGGGGACATCCATGTGCAACAAAATGAACTTTAACATAATTCCCTCACCTTATTAAAAAACTAACTGAAGATGGATAATGGACATAAACATAAAATATAAAACTAAAACCCTTATTATTAAAAAATAGAAAATCACCAAGATCAAGAGATAAATACAGACTTTCTAGACTTGACTTGAAAAGCAAGAGCTATGACAGGAAAAATTGATAAATAGAACTACATCAAAATTTAAAATTTTGGTTTTTGAAAGAGTCTGTTAAGAGGATGAAAAAAGAAACTATAAAATGGGAGAAAATATTTCTAAGCTAAATATCCAACATAAAGCAGTTCCAAAAGGTTACATACCGTTCGATTTCATTTATATAAAAAACCAAAAAGACAAAATTGTAGAAATGGAGAATATATTAGTGGTGGCTAGGGTTTGAGGAGCTGGGGAGAAAGAGGGATGTGGAGGCGGCTATAAAAGGGCAAAATGCGGGATCCATGTGGTGATGAAAGGTTCTTTGTCTTTACTTTATCAAGGTCAATATCTTGATTGTGGTAACGTATTAAAGTTTTGTAAGATTTTACCTTTGGGGAAACTGGGTAAAAGGCATAGAAGGTCTCTCTGTATTATCTCTTATAACTGCATGTGAGCCTACATTTATATCAAAATAGAAATTAAATTTTAAAATACTATTTTTTTTTAAGTTCACTGTTTTTTCCCTTTTGCTCCTAAGGGAAAGACTAATACAGTAGCCTGCCCTGTAATGTCCTGCATTTTCTGACCTCTGCCTACTTGTCTAGCTTCATCATTTGCCATTTCCTCTCTCTCACTCAGTCACTCTGAATGTGTTTTTTCAGTTCCAGGAGTTCAACATGGTTTTCCCCTGTCCAGGACTATTTATCAAGTTCTTCTTTCTACCTGGATCATTTCCCCCTCCCCTTCTTAACTTGTTTGACTCCCATTCATCTTGTAGGTTTCAGGCTAGATGTCACTCTTGTTGGGAGCTTTTAATTACTCAACACATCCCAAATCTGGGTTAGCTGTCCCTCCTCTAATTCCCAACAGCATGCTGTGCTTGCCACTACCATACTACTCACTGTACTCTTTTGTAAATATCAACTTGTCAGACTCAGGCTCAGTCTTTTTCATTGGACCACAATCTTCATGAGAGCAATAATTATGTCTATATTGTTAATCAGTGCATACCTTGCACCTAGCACAGCACATGGCACATAGTGGGGTACTCAATAAATCTTTTATTTGAATGAATGAATGAATGAATGAATGAACGAAGCAAGCCTCAGTCCCAAATTACTAGTACTAAAACATGGTCCCTCCTAAACACTCTGTTGCTGTAGCCAAAACTCCCTTCCATCTTTCCTCTTCCTCCTCTGCTCACATCCATCTGTCAAAACATCCTATGGCTCTAGCTTAATTTTCTCACTATCTCTATTACTATCACCATATGCCAAACCACCACTGTCTCTTTATTGAACTACTGTAAGAACTTCTGGGCTGGTCTTACTCTTTACCATCCTAACTCATTGCCATAGCCAGGCTCTATGTGATCTTTCCTCAGAAAATTTACACATCTTCTCTGTGCAAGGCAGAAAGATTGGAATACACACACACACACACACACACACACACACACTATAAATACACATATATATGTATAGATAGATAGTTTTTTTTAACACAAGGGACTTAAAACCCTATATATATTATGGAAGCTAAACTTGAGTCTCTTAAAAAGAGAATGAAAATTAATTAGGTCTGTAAATTCAAGTTGCATGAAATTCAAAATGTATAAAACATATAGAGTCCAAATTAGTTTTCATTACACAGGGTCTAAAATCCCTCATTAAAAAAAGATAAATATTCTAACAGTTGAGCTAACACAATCATACTTTGGGGAAAATCTGATTGATTAATATAATACTACATTCTAGGGATTCAGAAGCTTTACAAGTTGAGCAAGTTTAGGCCAGCATATTATGGTGGGCCTCTAGATCTTTTAAAATCCTTAATTCAGGAGACACCAAGAGAGGTGATGTCAACAAGAAGGCGGAACAGAAATTTCCAATGCTTATCCACTCACAGAAACATCAATTCAAATAACCATCCACGCACGAAAATACCATCACAAGAGCTAAGGAATCCAGGTGAGAGATTGCTGCACCTCAGTGGAGCACAAAAATAACAAAAGATGTATTGAATAGGCTAGAAAAGATAGTTTCATTTTACTTGCATTGCCTTTCTTCCAAGCCCACACAGCAATATGCAGTGCAAGATACTCTGTGTGTTAGCGAAGCAGAGTGAAGTGTGCACCAGATTTTACTGCAGATCCCAGCACCAGACCCACCCCAGTGAACTCTGGTGCCAGACCAGCCCCCATGGACTCAGGCTGCAGGCCTGAATCTATGAACCCCAGTGATTGGACCCAAATTCTAGGCCCACCCCAGTGGCCCCAAGCTCCACACCAGCCCCTGTGGACCCAGGCACAACATCAGACCACCTGAGGACCCTATCAATCAGCCCACCGAGAATCTCTGGATGGGCTTTCCCTGTCAACATCAGTCTGTATAACTGGATGAGGTGCCTACTTCAAATGAGCAGACACCAAATGCAAGGCTACAAGGATCATAAATTACTTTCTCTTCTGTGTTCTTTGAGAATATTCGGACTCTTGTAACTCTTGTCAGGCCTGTCTCAATGCAGGGCATAATAGCAGCAACATCAATGCCAAGGCTTTGTAGAAAACTGGGACCAAAATGGATTTAGGAATACACAATATGGAAAGGATAGTCTCTTCGATAAATGGTGCTGGGAAACTGGATATCCACATGCAGGGGACGAAATTAGACCCTTATATAATACCAAATGCAAAAGTCAACTCGAAATGGATTAAATACTTATAGGTTAGACCTGACACTGTAAATCTACTAGAAGAAAACAAAGGTGGAAAGCTCAATGACATTGGTCTGGGCAATGATCTTTTGGATAGAACCCCAAAAGCACAGACAACAAAAGCGAAAACAGACAAATGGGGTTACATCAAACTAAAGAGCTTCTACACAGCAAAGAAAACAATCAATGGAGAGAACAGACAACCCAAGAAGTGGGAGAAAATATTTGCAAATCGTAGATTTGATGAGAGGCTAACATCCAAAATATATAAGGAATTCAAATAACTCAAGAGCAAGAAAACCAACAACCCAATTTTTAAAATGGGCAAAGGACTTGAACAGACATTTCTCAAAAGAAGACATATAAATTCTTAGCATCACTAATCATCAGGGAAATGCAAATCAAGACCATAATAAGATATTATCTCTCACCTGTTAGAATGGCAAAAAATCAAGATAGCAAGCATTGACAGTTATGTGGAGAAAAGAGAAACTTTGTACACTGTTGGCAGGAACGTAAATTGGTACAGCCATTATGGAAAACAGTATGGAGGTTTCTCAAAAACCTAAAAGTAAAATTACAATATTATCCAGCAATCCCACTTCTGGGTATATGTCCAAAGGAAATGAAATCAGTATGTCAAAGAGATAACTGCACTCCCATGTTTATTGCAATACTATTCACAATAGCCAAGATATGGAATCAACTTAAGTGTCTATCAATGGATGGATTGATAAAGAAAACATGGTATACATGTACAATGAAATAGCCTTCAGCTTCAATAAAGGAGAAAGTTCTGTTATTTGAGACAAGATGGATGAACCTGGTGGACATTATGCTAAGCGAAATAATCCAGGCAAAAAAGGACAAATATTGTATGATCTCAGTTACATGTGGAATCTAAAATAGTGAAACTCATAGAAGCAGAGAGTAGAATGAAGGTTGCTAAAGGACAGAAGATATGGGAAATGGGGAGATGTTGGTCAAAATTTATAAAGTTTAAGTTTTGTGAGATAAATAAGTTCTGTAGATCTAATGTACAACATGGTGGTTATAATTAATAATACTGTGCTGCATGCTTGAAATATGTTCAGGGTATATCTTAAATATTCTCACAACAAATAAAAGGTAACTATGGGAAGTGATGGGCATATTAATTAGTTTGACCATAATAATCATTTCACAATGTCTATGTATATAAAAACATGGCATTGCACACCTTGTGTACAATTTTTATTGGTCAATTATAGCTCAATGAAGCTGGAAAAAATAAAATTATTAATTCAGGTCCTCATATCACTACTTTAAACACTTAACTATCTCCCAGAGGAGAGAATAAATGAAAAATTGCCCACATGGAGAGGACATGAACAGATAGATGCTTCTCAAAAGAAGACATTCATGAGGCCAACAAACATGAAAGAAAAAAAGCTCATCATCACTGATCATTAGAAAAATGCAGATCAAAACCATAATGAGATATGATCTCACACTAGTCAGAATGGCAATTATTAAAAAGTCAAGAAACAACAGATGCTGGTGAGGTTGCGGAGAAATAGAAATATCTGTACACTGCTGTTCAGAATGTAAATTAGTTCAAACATTGTGGAAGACAGTGTGGTGATTCCTCAAAGACCTAGAAGCAGAAATACCATCTGACCCAGCAATCTCATTACTGGGTATACACCCAAAGGAATATAAATCATTCTATTATAAAGACACATGCATGCATATGTTCATTGCAGCACTATCCACAATAGCAAAGACATGGAATCAATCCAAATGGCCATCAATGACAGACTGGATAAAGAAAATGTGGTACATATACACCATGGAATACTATGCAGCCATAAAAAGGAATGAGATCATGTCCTTTACAGGAACATGGATGGGGTTGGGAGCCATTATCCTAAGCAAACTAATGCAGGAACAGAAAACCAAACACCACATGTTCTCATTTATAAGTGGGAACTGAACAAGGAGAACACATGGAAACGGTGGGGGTGGGGATGAACACACTCTCGGGCCTGTCGGGGGTGGGACATGGGGTGGGAGAGCATAAGGAAATATAGCTAATGGATGTTGGGCTTAATACCTAGATGATGGGATGATCTGTGCAGCAAACCACCATGGCACACGTTTACCTATGTAACAAACCTTCACACCCTGCACATGAACCCTGGAACTTGAAATAAAAGTTGAAGAAAAGAAAAATTGCCCACATGGAAAAAAAATTCTCTTAGATCAGATCTTGTTTCCCCAGAGTCATTGCTGAAGTAACAATTCTTGGAAATCCTTATCAAATACATTGACATGAAAATGAACATTACTTTTCATTAGCCAAATATAAAAACTGTCTACTTTTCCATTAGAATTGTATTCTTCTCTCTGCCTCCCGCCCCCGCCCTAACACAAATCCCTATTTTTTTAGGCAACTCAATTGCAAATCAGGGACATGTTCCTTTATGTTCCTAAAGTGGAAACAGTACTTTGAGACTGGGGTTATAAATATTTAAATCACCACAAGATTTTCCATAGTTGCATTTGAATTGTGGATTCTTTTTAATCTGGTTAAATATTTTGGGTCGGTCAGTAAACTATACATTTTTGGCAAAGGCAAATATATTTAAAATTTCTACATATAATCAAATAGTCCTTTCCTTAATTTATTTTTCTGTGGCTGGGATCAAGGCAACAATATCTTTACCACTGCAAGCAGAAATATTATTTTAATATTTGTACAGAGAAAGGAAAACTGCATGTCATGAATTGGGCATCTATATTATCATCATGGATGTTAGAAAATGAATTCCCTTTGGTGGTTTTCTGACACCAGTGTTTAACGGTAGCTTTATTATAAGCCATCTCTGTGTAAATAAAGGAAAAACATATTTAAACAAGTAGAAATAAATGTGCATGATTCACCAGCACAGTTAACTCAAGATTTTCCAGACTTACAACCACAACTGATAGGAAGATTTATCACCACAGCTGCCTGTGTTAAACTTCTTTTCCTTGCAGTTGAAGGAATCAAATTTCTTCTTTGGGATTAGTCATTTGTGGGGGTGTCACCAACTGCAAAATACTTCTGTTTTGAATGAGGTGCACTTCTCTGTTGCTGTGCTTCAGCCCTAATTTTTCACCCCCTTTTTGGGTCTTTCTCTTTTACATACAGACAAATTTTAATGACTTACACAGTCAAGTTTTCTTTAGTTGTTATTCAGACTTAAAACTCCAGGTTGCCTGGTTTGATGGTAATGTGGTTACCTTTCAAGGAAGGATGGGATGAAATGACATTTTGACCTATGTTCACAAAGATGAAATCTGGGCAAAAGAGAAATTATCCATGGAGTGTGAAAACGGGAAGGGAGCAAACATTTCTTGGGTGGCTATAAATGTGCCAAGCACTGTGCTAGGCTCTCTGTTGAAATTATCTCATCTTGGAGCAGTCCTGCAAGAGGCTAAGGTGATATTCCTGTTTCACATCTGAGAAAATTGGCTTTCTATGATTGTGCAGCTTATTAGAAGGTGAGCAGATAAAAGAACCCAGACTCAGTCAAGTGCAGCAGCTCACATCTATATTCTCAGTACTTTAGCAGGTCAAGGTGGGAGGATCGTTTGAGCCCAGGAGTTTGAGACCAGCCCGGGCAACATGGTGAGACCCTCCTCTCTACAAAAAAAACATTAACATTAGCCAGGCATGATGGCATGGCCTGTAGTCCTAGCTACTTGGGAGATGAAAGGCTCACTTGAGCCTGGGAAGTCAAGGCTGTAGTGAGCTGTGATCACGTCACTGCACTCCAGCCTGGACAGCAGAGGGAGATCCTGTCTCAAAAAACAAAACAAAACAAAACAAAACCCAAAACAACAATGACAACAAAAACTCAGACACAAATAACTCTAAATCTCTTATGTGTTTTTTTCTCCATTTGGCTATATAGCCTCTAGTGTCCTGGAATACAGTTAAACAATACATTTTGTTATGAATATACAAGTTAGAGAGATTTTAAAGTAACAGCTTTACTAGGAAATAATTCACATACCATACAATTCACCCTTTAAAATTGTACAATTTAATGGCTTTTTGTATTTTCACAGTTGTGCAACTATTACCACAGTAAATTTTAGATTTTCATCACCTCAAAAAGAAGCCCTGTGCACTTTAGCTATTACCTGCATATCACCATATCCCCCACTAGCCCTCAGATACCACTAATCTAATTACTGTCCCTATAGATTTGCCTCTTATAAGGACAATTCATATAAACGAAATCATACAATATGCATCTTTCATGGCTGGCCTCTTAGCATGTTTTCAAAGTTCATCCATTGCTACTCTATGGCATATATTAATACTTCATTCTTTTCTATGGCTGAATAACATTTCATTGTATGTATATATCGTGTTTTATTTATCTACCACTTATAAAGATTTGATGTTATGTTTGAAAAAGAAAATTCTAAAGCTGAAAGAGTCCTCAATGGTTCACCTATTATTTTATCTACCTCAATCATGCAACAGTTATTGGGTTTGTCATACTTTTTTCTAAGGGCTCCAGGGAACATGCATCCTGAAACTCGACTAGTATTACTTCATAATTTCTGGTAAGCTTTGACTTTGTGGAACCATTTTGATTAATCAGATTTTGTTTGGGCCTATATGGAGGTGGAGGACCTAAACCTGTTAAGTATCTGTCAATTGAAGAACAATGACAGAACAGTCGAGCAACGAGTGAGATTTCAGTAAATCCACTAGATGTTGGCTTTACTTCATGCCACTTTTACTAGTTTGGTTTTCATCGAATTGCCTGGTTGTTTTAGCATCATATAGTCTAATTTAGCATATTAGGTTGTATCTAAAATGACAGATGGAACAGCCCGTTAAAAAGCAAAATAAATTTATGGCCATTCACATGGCATCATAACTGTTTGATTTTAAATTTATCAAAAAAGTACAAAGTGTCTAGCCAATTTGCTTAAAAACTGGCAAAAATTATTTATGAGGAGATACAGCATAAATGCAAAAATAAGCCACTACTTCTTTCTGTCAAAGCTTCAGTCAATCACCCAGTTACGTTATTTATGAGATTAATAGACTATTTAATTATAAGTTTGACTATTGACCAGAAATGGACCAGAATCATTGACGTAATATAACCTAATATAAGCACCTTTCTTCAGGATCCAGTAGGCTACACAACTTTATCAGCCTTCCTTTGCCTTTATAGGTCCTAAATAAAAAGAGAAGAAGGCTCATATTTAAGCAGTTGTACAAATGTACGGTAGAGTCTAATACATTTGTACAAACTCTACAAAGTCATGGCTAGAGTTGAACAAGGATTTCTTTAGCATTTATCTTGATTAATTATAGAATATAAGCATTTTGGGAACCACTTTAAGCTCTAAAAACACAAGTGTGTTCAAAAATAAGTATACAAAGAGAGTAGTACTAACTAGAACCACCATAGCAGCTCCTTGGGAGAGGTTCTTTTTTAGGGTAACAACAGCAATTTTTTTGTGACCTACGCTTTGTTGGTACTTGTCACACAAGATGAATGGAATTAATACACAAGATAGGGTTTATGCAACTATCATCTAAGAATTCCTCCTCAGATCTCATTTTACAGGCAAACACCTTCTTTGAACTAATGTGCAACAGACCCTCAAATTCCATGTTAAGGTGATTCCATCTCATGATAAAAATTCTCTTTCATATGGAAAATACTTTATCATTTTAGAAGTATTATTGCATAAATTATTATTCCTTATACTCATAATTTCTTCTTTTAAAGCGTTTTATGTATCATAATAAATGTTTTTTCAACATCATTTCTGTAAGTATTGGATTTCCGTCACATCAATTTCTCATAAAAAGGATAAACTGGAAAAAGAATAAATTATTATTCTTTCCCATCTCCTGTTTCATTGCTTTGTCTTCCATGGTGTACTTTAACAACCCATCTGGCCATTTTTACTCCCAATCCTTACACACATTTTTGAGCTTAGCATATGTGTTCTCCCTGAAAATCATGGCCAAGATTGTGATTGTTTTTCTCCTTCTTCCCCATGAGACCCCATATACATTATGTAACTTATCTAATCCTTCTCATTGCCGTCTTGGCCAACTAGTTCCCAAAGTCTTCTAACACAGCACGTTTATAGGGTACCTGTAACTAGGTCTCTTCCTCTTCTGTCCTATCCTTCTTTCTCCTACACTAATCCAGTGTTTTCTTGAGTCGATGCTGTCTCTCTTGATCAAAACTTTTCAATCCTTATCTTGATTCCCCTTTGTAGATTTTCATGCCTTTCTCAGCTCTACTTTGCAAAATCTCCTCTTTTTGGGTTTTGGGTATACAGGGGGAAGCATGAAGAATAATTCCCAGGTGATAAAGATAAGGAGAGTGATGCCATAATGAGGCATGGAATACTTACTCAAATGTGTTCTGATTTAGCCAACATGTTTGCCTGGAGTTCTGGAGAGAGGCCTAAGCTGCTCATATAAATTTGGAAGGAAAGAGAAGAGGATGGAACCACAGAATCTTGGTAAACATCAACATTTATGGGACAGGCGGAAGACCTACTTCAGAAAGCAGTATGAATAAAGGTGGTTAGAGACATAGGAGGAAAGATTTTGCCTTTTCAGTAAGGCCTTTCCTGATGACTTATTTAAAATTTGTAACTCTCTCCCTGGCATTCTTGTCATTGGTGATTTGGAAAGATGGTTTCAAAGATGTATGGGGTAAAATAGATTTCTGTGAGGTGTGAATCAAATACTGGCGAAGAAGAACAAATAGCTAATGTAGTTCTCTTGGATATAAAACAGAAGAAGTTACAGGATCTGTTAGAGGGTGATATGGGGGACTTTTAAAGATAGGAGAGAATGGAGAAATTTATGGGGTAGGGACCAAAAATCAATAGATTCAAAGCTTATTCAGAATATAGTTGATTGATGGAGAAAGTCACTGAACAGAGGAGTTGCAACCCAGAATATCTATCTATCTATCTATTTATCTATCTATCTATCTATCTATCTATCTATCTATCTATCTATCATCTATCTATCGATTGAGAGAGATGGCTTTTCATTGAGTAGCTGAAAGGTGCCTTCTTCAATTGAAAAAAGTGGGTAGAAAGGATATAGTATGGCACAAAAGTTTTTTGGTAATGGCAATAGAAAGACTAGAAACCTCTGCTCTAAGGTCTAGATTTTTTGTGAAAATGAAGGAGTATGCAATGTAGGGGGTTTGAAAAGACTGACAAAAGTTTGAAATACGTTTTGAGAAAATGGAGGAAAGGTGTTGACAAGGCTAGACCTGCAGTGATCTCCAAACTTGAGCTTACATCATAATTGTATGAGGCGCTCATTAAAACACAGAATAGAAAGGACAGGATGCATTGAGAGACATTCTACAAAATAACTGGTCTGTACTCTTCAAAAGTGTTGAAGTCACAAAACTCTAAGAATGACAGACGAACTGTTCCAGGCAAAGGAGACCGAAGAGGCACAACGACATAATGCAAAGCCTGACCCAGGATTTTCTTCTGCTATAAATGACATTATTGGGACAATTGGTGAAATCTGCATAAAATCTGTGGGTTTGATAACAGTATTGAAATGGTGTTCATGTCCTGGTCTTCATAACTGTATTGGTTACATAAGAGAATGTCCTTGTTTTTAGGAAATACACACCAAAGTATTTAATAATGTAAAAAAAAACACACACACACACAGAATACTGAGTCCTACCTCCAGAGTTTTTGATTCAACAGGTCTCGGTGGGGCCCTGAAATGTACATTTCTAGCAAGTTACCAGGTGATGCTAAGGCAGTTGGTTCAGGGGATCACATCTTGAGAACCACTAGCCAAAGGAGATAGAGAGCAATTGCCAGTAAGTGTAAAGAAGGTTCAGCTGAAGTTGAATGCTAGCCAACAAGTTTTTGAAATTTTTTTCAAGTAGCTATCAGCAACCTGGGTATAGAGAGTCAGAGAAGGTAGCTGGTTGGGTTGCTGGGAGTGTTCTGATCTGCAAAGATGAAGAGCAAGCAAATTAAATTAAACGCAAATTAAAAGCAGATTAAATAAAATGTCAGCCTGGGAGGCACTTAGTTGGTGCTCAATAAATGGTAGCTGTTTTTCTATGCCCATGCAATAGCTTTTGCCAGATTCTGCTGCCCTCAGCAGGACTAGCTTCATAGTGATGCCATCTGCCCCTGTATTTTTCACTGCAGTCATACCAGGCAGGCCCCCAAATGTCACCTTAGACAGGTGACTCTTCAAATATTGCATATAAGTCATAGTGTTTCAGGTCACTCCACCAATGCATAAAAGCTTCCATATTAAACTAAATGGGCAACTGTTGCCTTCTGAATGCCCCAAGCCCCTTACTTGTACCTGTCTAATGTTAACTAAAGGTTGTTGCTTCATGGTTTTATTATGTATATGCTATGTCCTATGTCGTCAAACGCAGGAATCACATCCCATTTCCATTTGCCTCACCTGCGAACACTGAAGTCATCTGGTATAGGGGATCGCCTCTGATTCTAATCCCACTATTACATGAGCTCTCTTTAGGTTCACACCAAAGTCAAAGGCTGTATCTCAAACCAGACAGTATTTGTATAGCCAGTGAAACAAAACTGCATGGAGATCGCTTGTCAGATCACTTGTTCAACTGTTGTTATGTTTTATGCACAAATGCATCTCATATCTCTCTACATGTCATATGAGGATATGCCACATTCTTATATAGAGAGAATATATTATATGTTTTGTTAACCTGAACCCAGACCATGGCAGCACTTGCTCCCGAAATCACATTGTACTTCAGATACAGGGAACATGCTAGTCTCTATAGTGTTCCAATTTTAACACTGGTGCTGCTGGACTGAGCACAAACCACATTTAATGCACAGGGTGTGGGGTATGGCTATTTCCTATATATCTAAAGATAAAACCCCTCTCCCATCCCACTAATCTCACTTATGCCTCATGTCCTAGTAGCAAAAGCCCCTCAAATTTCATCACTAAAGCAACTCTCCCATAAGCAAAACCTTAGCAGTCAAGGCCCTTCAAACTTCAATATGTATAGAATGGTTATATACAGTATTTCTATGTGTAAGATTAGTCAGTAACAATAATTGAAGAACTAAGAACATCTCTGGGGAATTGCTTGAATGATTTCCAATTATTAACATGGAATAAGATGTCCAGGGTAACATGGGAAAATTATAAGATTTTTATGGAGAACAAAGAGGAGTATTGAGCTAATTTCTAAATAGCATGCATATAGACTTGTGGACATTGCATATTTTAGAGGCAGCTGTCACTGAGATCACACCTGCCACTTAGCTGCCTGCAGGGACTGTCCTCCAAATAACCCTGGGTAGGTGGCTGTGCATCCAATTACACCCTGTGAACCAGAGTCCCAGAAATCAACTATGAAAAGTCCCTCCTCAAGTTACACCATTTACAGATGCAATGGAAGCCTTTTACAGTTTTGTTCTAAGTAGGCCCAATAAGTCTACTTTAACTGAGACAGTTTGCAGTTGAGGTCATCTCCTCAGGAATTTGCTATGGAGTTGCTAAGGGGGATCAGTTTCCCGGAGCTAAAGTGAACTTTGCTGTTGTAACTTGAGTTGAGGCACATAAGACAGCTGGTGGTCTACCAAAAGGAAGGGAAAGCATGCTGAACAGAATAAAAGCAGCTGTGGGATTCCCAAACATAGAGTCTACCACATCTGGCACTGGCTGGACTTCCAAATTATCTGGAAGTTTTCCAGGCTGCTGTCTTCTGATTTCATGATCACCAGTGCTAAACCTCCTGGACCTGGTTCCTCTAATCTTTAGAACCACCAATTCTCATTCGTATGCAACGTGGTTGGTTACAGCTGGAAACTGCTTTTTCAAGATGTGCATATATGGGCCAAAGTCTCTAGAGATCATCTTACAAAAAGATTACCAACACTTCCCTGTTGGAGACATCTGTCTATGTTGACAAAGACAGGTCATGGTGAGCTAGGTTTGAGAAGGTAAGCAGTCTACAGTTATTGGAATGTTTTGGCCATGCAAACGTTTTACCATTCTTTGGGAGTTTTGTTACATGAAATATCAGAATGGTTAAATAAAACATGAATTTATGAATGCTTGAGGGTGGTGATGGTTAGGAGGGTTGCTACCATTTTGAAAACATGGGATAAAAAAAGTAAATCATCAAAATAATTACACTGTACTATGTATTTATGTACATAAGTGATTTTATAATGCATTTACCAGAATCTTAGTGATCCTGGAGATCCCATCAGCATCCTTTTAAGAAAAGGGGATAAGGGAGAACAAAGTGAGAATGACTCGGGATACTACATATGACACTCTACAGTTCTGTGTTGTCCAGTGTGGTAGCCATTAGCCACAGGTGGCTATGTAAATTTAAATTAGCATTAAGCAAAATAAAAACCAGCTTCTCAATCACACTGGCTACAATTGAAGTACTCAACAGTCACACGTTAGTGAGTATCATATAGGACATTGGAGAATATAGATTTAGAACCTTTCTATAACCTCATGAAGTTATATTGAACAACACTGCTACAGAATTTCAGCTTACATATATAGGATACATATATATTCCATAATATATATGTATCTAAAATATATATACATATTTGTGTCTATTTTTATATGTATATGTAATATATATATATATTTTTTCTCCTCCTTAGGCTCTGCACCGTTGGCCACTTTTACCCTAAAATGTCCCCTCCATCACCCCCAATCCCACCTGACTGATGTTATCTCCTTCTATAGACTAATCTGTAATTCTCTGTTCCAGAGAATTCCTGTAACTGTACTTGTTATGTGGTGTCCTTATAAGGCCAATCGTTGATGAACAATAAAACTCCAAAGAGTAGTTACAGATGTTGATGGTTTTCTTTTCTTGATGGAGGAAGAAAAATATATTAATGCTAGGGTCATACTTTCCCCTCAGTGTGGCCACAAATTTTATATAATCTTCACACACATACAAAAAGATATTCCTCAAGTGATGATTACTTGGCTTATTTAGGAGTTTACAATGTAATCACACTGAAAAGAGTCCTTCCATCTTCAGGTCCCTTCTCATTCCTGCACATTGTCTCTGTATTTCAAAACTTCTTACAACACACACATACACACACACACACACACACACACACGAACTCACCATGGGTACTAGGGTCTTAAATGTGATTCAAAGTCTTGGGAGCTAAGTTAAATTTGTCCAAATTAATATCTAAACTTCTATTTCTCCCAGTTCTTTTTTTAGCCAACTTGAAATCAATCCTTGCTCCCTGGCCCCTCTTCTGCTACACTACTCCAGATTGATGCCCTGTGTAACTTCCTTTACTTTCCTATATCCTAAATTTTGGCTAATGTTCTGCTTATTAATTAATCATTTCTTCTGAGTGGTAGTCTTATGGTTTGTATAGACTAAACATGGCAAATAGGTTACATTTCGTTGATTAACTCTGATCAATCACTAATAACTGCCTGTAGTGTTATGTTGAAAAGAATTCGGAGGCCATGGTCAAGCTCAGTGGGATAGAATGCAATAATTGATTAGTGATGTGTGCCATGGACATAGCAGATATATGCCATATATTGTCATCTCTGAAATAGATTAGCTCGCTTCTATGTCTATTCGTCTTCATACCAATCCATCAATCCTTACTCTCTTTGGCTCCTTTCACAATTCACCTCTCCAGTTTGATGCTCCTTTTATTTTTTTATTTTTTATTTTTTATTTTTATTTTTTGAGATGGAGTCTCGCTCTGTCTTCCAGGCTGGAGTGCAGTGGCGCGATCTCAGCTCACTGCAAGCTCCACCTCCTGGGTTCACGCCATTCTCCTGCCTCAGCCTCCGGAGTAGCTGGGACTACAAGCACCCGCCACCAAGCCCGGCTAATTTTTTTTGTTATTTTAGTAGAGACGGTGTTTCACTGTGTTAACCAGGATGGTCTTGATCTCCTGACCTCGTGATCCGCCCGCCTCGGCCTCCCAAAGTGCCAGTTTGATGCTCCTTTAACATCCCTCCCCCTGCTTAACAGGCATAGGCCCATGAGCTACCCATATTCCATAAATATTCTACCCAGGCTTCACGGTAGGCTTCTTGTAAACTGTTCTGCATTTGGATCCATCCCTACTGGGGCGAAAGGAGGGAAGAAGCAGTCTAATCTTTTAGGATTTATACAGCAAGTCCCAGTGCACCAGATCATTTCTCTTCCTAGACATGAATCACATTTTCTTTTAATCTAGCCCCCTACAAACACATTTTTGATGGACCTCCAGCAAATAGAAATTAATTAATTATAACTTTTATTTCATGGTACTTCATCATCATTACTCCATGTATGTATTTTTTCTATCTATCTAGCTAGCTATCTAATTATAACTGAACACAAATAAACCTACCACCCAAACAAGAACTAGAATATTAACAGTAATTTCCATCTACCTGCATTCTTCTTTTGTATCCCATCCTCCATCTGCCTCGTCAAAGGTCATCACTCAGTGTTACCACTAGCCCAAACAGCAGAGATTTTATGCAAATTAGAAAAAGATGCCCAGTCACCTGGTAAATATTTTAGTTAGCATATTATTTATTTATCTATCAAAAATATAAACATCATACTCATTCGGTATAAATTATACAAATTTATCTCATTCTTGTTTATGGTTGCACAGTATTCCATGGTGTATTTTCTTTATCCAGTCTATCTTTGATGGGTATTTAAGTTGATTCCATATCTTTGCTATTGTGAATGGTGCTGCAATGAATACACACATGCATCTGTCTTTATAATAGAATGATTTGTATTCCTTTGGGTATATACCTTGTAACGGGATTGCTGGGTCAAATGGTACTTTTGTCTTTAGGTCTCTGAGGAATTGCCACGCTGTCTTCCACAAAGGCTGAACTAATCTACACTCCCACCAGCAGGATATAACTGTTTCTTTTTCTCTGCCACCTCGCCAGCATCTGTTGTTTTGTGACTTTTTAATAATAGCTATTCTGACAGCTGTTAGATGATATCTCATAAAACCCAAAACTAAAAACCCTGGAAAGACAACTTAGGCAATACCATTCAGGACACAGGCATGGGCAAAGATTTCATGATGAAGATGACAAAAGCAATTGCAACAAAAGCAAAAATTGACTAATGGAATCTAATTAGACTAAAGAACTTCTGCACAGCAATAGAAACTATCAACAGAGTAAACAGACAGCCTATAGAATGGGAGAAAATTTTTGCAATCTGTGCATCTGACAAAGGTCTAATATCCAGCATCTATAAGGAACTTAAACAAATTTACAAGAAAAAAACAAACAACCCCGTTAAAAAGTGGGCAAAGGACATGAACAGATACTTTCAAAAGAAGACATACATGTGCCCAACAATCATATGAACAACAACAAAAAAGGCTCAACATCACTGATCATTAGATAAAAGCAGTTATTTTAGATGTTATTAGAATCAACAAAGTCTTTCAATTATCAAACTTGACTCTCAATTGTTGCTTTCAATGGAATAATATGTATCCATCATATTTGGAAGAAGGCACTTTGCTTCCAACAGAATGTCAAGCAATGTTTCTGCAGATATTGATTTTGTTAAAAACAAGTGTTTACCACAATGTGTGGACAATTGCTGAAATAAAGATTCAAATTACCTGTCTTTGGAGTCAACAATTTTATAATAAACATAAGAAAAACATCAAACATATAAGATGTTTAAGATATAAATGGTCTCCCCTTAGGTGCGATGCTTTTATGCAAGGAATAAACTTTGAAACTCTACTTCTCTTTGGTAGCTCTGAATTCTTTATCCTGAATTTCATGTTTAGCATTGCTTGGTGTAAGTTGAAGAAGAGGCAAAAATGCAACAAAGTCAGGTTACATGGGCATCTGGGCCACTATTCGTATAGTTGATTCATGCCTTCTAGACCTGCTTGAGCCAATTCTAAATTGATTACTTCATTGTACAGGGGATTAAATAGATAGCTGCTATGTCTACTTAAAGTTACGATGTGGTGGATCCAATAATAAACAGATCACAATGAGAATCTAGCTTGCAAATTATCTTGGTATCTTGTGCCCAGTCTCAACTAGGGCCCAGTAGCATATCAGATGACGATTTTCAAACAGAGAACATGTTTTTGCTATAAATGGCATGGCCTCCCTCTAGAGCCCTGAACTTTTGTACTGTTATACTTCTATTGGGGCCAAATTAAATGCTGTCCCTGTCTCTTGGTGGCAGTAGGTGCAACAATCTGTCTTTTACTTGGGAAAATATACCAGCAGGTTCCAGACCCTCCTTTAACTTCATCAATATGGCAGGGCGATGAATGTTTATGGAGCTTATCTTCCACCTTTTGGCATACAAGTATCTTATTGTGGAATTTAGGGGCATTGCTACATCCAGCTCAGCAGACTCAGTTAATATGATGTGAGAAAAACAACTTCTCAGAAATGTTGAGATGTTTAGGGTTCCTATGGACTATATTACATCAAAGAGCATGACTTAACAGCACTGACACAAGTGAGTGTTTGCAAGCTGCCATATTAACAAAGTAATTGTGAATTGCTTTCAATCCTCACTATATCTAGCACAGCAACTGCAATCAGAACTTCCAGTTGGTTAAGTTTACAGTAATCACTGTCATCTGTCATGAACCATCTGGTTTTACAGAGTTCAGATGAGAAAATTGAGAAAACAGAATATATCTTTTAAATCTTTGATGGTGACACTAATTTTTGCGGTGACTCTAGAAATATAATTTTTTTGTGATTTGAATGTTTGCCAGAAGGTTGGAGTGGTTTCACTTGTTTTTTTTTTTTTGTATTATAATGGTTTTCATCCACAGGTCATTGAAACAATAGGAGAAGTCTTTCATTCTTGGCGTCTAAGAATGCATCTCCAAATTATACACTCAGAGACCAGAGAAAAAGCCACAATGTGGGTGTGTGGACCCATTTGACCCAATATAAGATGGGCTTCAGCCAAAACTCCATTTCTTACCTGAACCTTAAAGCCTCCATATTAATCAGATGAACATGATGGTGTTTTAGGACCTCTGTGATCAATGCCACCTCAAACCGTATATATAACAGTATTAGAGTCTGAATAATTTCTTTTCCCCAGTCTAAAAGTATCCTGGACAAAGGCTGAAAAAAGAAACACTAAAGAAATATTCACTTTTTATACTTGAGGTGAATCAGCATGATCTTGAATCAATGGGTCTGTGAATGACATAGATCTGGAAACTGCGTGAGAAGTGCAATTTTCCATTTATGGCGTCTGACACCAACCTTCTAATCACCAGCTTTCTATTTCTTTATTATAACAAAATAGAGAAACAGCCTAGTTGAATCCCCATCTAGAAACACCATCGTCTATTTCAGTTGCTGTTTCTATGAATCATGGCATAGCAGTCAACAGTCAGTCCTTGCTACCTGCCATGTTAATAAGGGTTGGTGGCTGAGAGTTACCTTGTGGCCTCTGTAATTCCGGAATCTCTTCGCCCATGTTGGTATTGATGGCAGTAGCTGCGGTCATCATTCCGGCTGCAGCAGGGAGGTGCGGCTAATGCTGCACACTCCGTGGAGCCGGTGGGAGCCCCGCCCCTTGTGAGTTGGGACGGGAACTCCCCGTTTGTTGCTGCAGCTGCCCAAACCGCAGCTGCAGACCCAGGCCTCCTGCTCCACGGAGCACAAAGGAACCCCATCCTGCTGGGCCGGGCTACAGCCACCTAAATTGCGGCTGTGGATCCGAGCCTCCCTGTGCTATTTGGAGAGGGCTGGGAGCAGGCGGGATCTGCCATCCCAGGCGAGGCTGTGACTCCCAACCAGGTGCAGGAGCTGGGTGTCTCTGCAGCCTGTAACCTCGGGTGCCCCAGGAAGGACCTCCCCACCCCGTCCCTGCAGGCTAGGGGATGTCTTCTCATGCTGCCTGGCCTCTCTCCACTCCCTGCGCCTGCTCCGATCTCCGAGCGAGGGTTGGGGCGGAGCCCGGGGGGGACATGAATGGCAGCGGGATGCAGCTCGTGGTGCCTCTTCCAGCCTGCCATGGCCGCCCATGGACCATTGGGCATGCATTTCCTCCCCTGTGAGGCCCATAAAAGCCCTGGTATCAGCCAGAGTAGGAGAGAGGACGGCCAGAGGACGAAGAGGGCAGAGATGCAATGGGACAGGACGACCAGCTACAGAGGGGGAAGTACCCTTCCGCTGAATGCTGCAGAGATGACCTGCTGGCAGACAGAAGCTACGCTCTCTGCTGAGAGCTTCAGAGACGGGCAGAGAGGTCCGAATGGCTTGTCTGCAGAGAGGAGTTACTCTCTCCAGGGCCTCCTCTTTGCTGATAGCTGAACAGTCAAAGGGATGACTTGCTTACAGAGAGGAGCTACTCACTCCTCTGAGCTGTTTTTTTTGTTGTCGTTGTTGTTTGTTTGTTTGTTTGTTTGTTTTTTGAGACGGAGTCTTACTCTGTTGCTCAGGCTGGAGTGCAGTGGCACCGTGTCGGCTCACTGCAACTGTTCTAACACTAAATAAAACTCTTCTACTTCTTCACCCTTCATTTGTCTGAGAACCTCATTCTTCCTGGATGCAAGGCAAGAACTAGGGCAAAGGTGCGGCCACAGAGGTTTCCAGCCAGAAAAATCGACATCCCAGAAATCCCGTAACAGTATTAGAGAGCCAATTTCCATGGCAGAATCTCACAGTGTCAACCATAGCCTACAGATAACAGCCATCAGTGAGCTCAAAGATACTATTGTTTCCATCACTAGTGCATGCCTTGTAAAAGGAGTCACTTCTGGTTCTTCTGTGGTGCAGACTCAATTGGTGGGTTTTCAAGTCTTACATTATAAATCTATTTTAACCCTCTGAGGTTACTTTCTTAGTAGATACTATGCCAAGAAAGTTCAGATGGCTCGACCTTGGTTACTATAACGCATCAACATGATTGGGATTCAAGGAGCCCCTCAAATAAATATTAAGATCATCTCTAGGTAGCCTTGCCAGATCATTAAATTCAAATTCACACATAAAGTATACTAAAGGAATGTGGCAACTGCATGCCACTTGTGAGCTGCAATTTCATGTCCTTATAAAGTACATTATTAGGACAATTGGTGGACTTTGAATAAGTTTGATAGATGAGTAAAAATATTGCGTTAATGCCAATTTCTTCAATTTGATAACTGTATTGTCATTGTAAGAGAATGTCCTTGATTTTAGGAAACATACATTGAATTATTTAGGATTAAAGGGCATGACATCTCCAACTTATTCTCAAATAGTTAATATGTATTATGTGCTGAGGAAGATAATAGGGTGAGGAAGAGGAAGAGAGAGGGAGGAAGGGAGTTGGGGGAAGGAGATTGACAAAGCAAATATAGAAGCATTAACATTTGGGGAATCTGAAGACTCTTTGTACCATTTTTGAAACTTTTCCTAAGTTTTTACTTAATTCAAAACAAAAGTTTAAAAATGTTCTGATGCATAGGTGAATTTTCCCATAACAATAAATTCTTTTTTCAGACTTATATTCTGTCATTTCCTTAGGTCTTGTAATTCCTTTGATATTTAGGCTATTTCTCTCTGGATCAGGGCTGGCACTCAGTTGAATCACATAAAATTATCTTGGCTTGAAGGATACGCTTTTAAGGCACTCCAAATTCCAATCTACATATCAGTGACATCAACATTCTCAAACCAATGCCCCAGGAAAGGATGTGAAATAAATATAGTATTTGAAGAGCAAAGAAATTTCTCTGCACTTGTCCACAAGCAGGCTCTCTTTTAGGGCAATTACAAGTTTCACCCCTGTGTTTTCTGCACCAGCCAGCACACTTTTGACATTAGGCATTAGTCTATATCTGGAGGAACTACATCATTTATAGGAGGACCTTGAATTGGAGCAAGGATCATTCCAAGTGCTTCTCACCAAGGTAAACCACTGAGTGAGAGACCCAATCTGCTTCTTCTGTCACATCCACTTCACTTGATCCTCTGGAAAACTCAAGTACCAACCCCAGGCCAATTCCAAGTTAAGAAGGTTGCAAAACCTATTACTTCCACTTCCAGCTTCTCATTTCTTTACATTCAGCCCCCAACTTCTTATATTTACCCTTTCTTTAGCTCACTCATGTCCCATTCATTTACATTCCATCTGAATAATCAGAGACAATGAACTGAAGTGTTTATGGTACAATATCTTTGTTTCTCACCACTTTCTAGGCCAACTATACAAAGAACTATAATATAAATGGGGTGTGGGATTTCATGTGTATTCCTCCTATGCATGCTCTGAAGCACAATGCAACCTTCATTCAAGATATTCCATGTAGGGAAAATAATCTGAACTAATTTTTAGTGCTCTTTGCCTTTTCTAAAAGGTTATATCTAAGTTCGGAGGAGTGTACAAGGTACAAGGGCATAAAGGTCAGGGGTACAATGGGAATCTTGTCTTCAGTATTATCTGTCTCTGTATTATCTGGCATCACTGACATGTTAACTATTGCATCTGGTCCTTTGCCATTTGTCATTCAAGTTTTGCTGAATTGGCTGCCTGCCTGTCTGAAAAACCCTCTAGGTCTGGCAACTGTCACTGTTGCTTCTTTTTTCCTCTCCAGTGCCTGATAATTATTTTGTTGCTCCCATGATCAATAGAAAACTATGGTGTTATCTGAAACTCACAACTTTTTAGACACATAATGCTTACTCAAGTCCTGTTTTATTCCTACATTCTGGGAAATCATTCTACACTCCCTTGCTCTGCCTCAGGGTCATTCTTACTTAATTTTGTCCTATTTTAGTCTCTTACTAAGGTAGCAGATAGTAATCATAACTACCTCATAGGCTTGCTATACAAATTAAATGGGGTGATGTATGTAAAATATTTAGCATAGTGCCTATCATAGTCATTAGTCAATAAATAGTAATTGTTATTTTATTGCACTAATTTATTTGACCACTCACCCACCTAATCAAGTAAGGAGATGTAGCTATCTTTTGGACTCCGCAGTAATTGAGGCATTTCAGTATCTCCAGATGCTCTTCAACAAACTCTTCAATCACCCTGGATCACCCTAATCTAATTTGCCTTTACTAAATAGGGACGGATTCTTCTAACACAACACAGTGAGCCATCTTTCGGTGTATGAGAATCCCTGAGCAAAATATCTGGCCCAAATGCATGTTTATCATGGAAACTATGGTTGTTGTAGATGAAGGCAGAAATTAATCACACCACTTAAGGTAGTATTAAAAGTCTGGAGGAACCATCTTACCTCATGACTATAATTATGGAATTTGATTTTTGAGTCTCTGTTCTCTCAAAAAGGATTTTGAGTTGGCTCATCTTTTGGCTTTTAGAATCCCATTCTAACTCAGAAGGAAAATTTCCTGCTTTAACTCTTGTTCCAGAAACACATCTGTAGCCAGAAAACCAGATGACACATTGCTGGAGAGAAGACTAGCACTGAACATCCAGTCAATCCTTACTGTTAACCAAGCTAGAGGGTGTTTTAGATATCCTATTGAAGACAGGACAGCAGAAAAGTTTTTCTACCAGTTATCCTCTTTATATTTGTCTGATATTTTGGGCACTAAGCAGGACATACTGACTATGTAGAACATAGGCAGTGCTTCTGGAAGAAAGCCTAGGTAAATCTTAGGGCTCAGCTTCTTTAAGACACCATAAAGTTATGGATTGAAATATTGTATTTATCCAGGGCTGCAAATGATAGTTTAGCCTAAGGGAGAGTTCTAGTCATGATTAAGAGAGAAGCTATAGATGACACTGATATATCTCTTGAATATTCATTCTCAAGTATTCCAGCAATATCACTTCATCTTTTGCTTGATGACCCACTTTTGCCCTATTCTCAACTCATTTGGTTTGGTTGGAATTGGCCTCCACCCTCAGCTCTAGGAATAGACCTTATTTGGTCCAAGCAAGTCAGCACTCCCTGGCTATAGTGATGATCTTATGGATTGGCATGTGACTAGATCTGAACCAATGAAAAGCCATGAGAACTTTGCAGAGTATATATCCAAAGGATATGAAATCAGTTTGTTGAAGATATATCTGCATTCCTGTGTTTATTGTAGCATTATTCACAATAGGCAAGATATGGAATCAACCTAAATGTCCATCAACAGATGAATGGATAAAGAAAATGTGGTACATATACACATGGGAATATTATTCAGGATTAAAATAGGAAATTCTGTCACTTGTGACAATATGAATGAACTTGCAGGACATTTGTTAAGTGAAATAAGCCAGACATAGAAAGACAAATACTGCATGATATCAGTTATACATAGAATCTCAAAAAGCCAAACTTAATAGAAGTAGAAAGTAGAATGGGGGTTACCAGAGGCTGGGGTGGGGTGGGGTTTGGGGACAGGGAGATGTTGATCAAAAAGTACAAAGCTTCAGTTAGAGAGAAATACGTTTTCAAGATCTATTGCACAGCATGGTAACCATAGTGAATAATAATGTATTGTAGATTTAAAAATTGCAAAAAGGGTAGATTTTTAAATTACACTTTAAGTTCTAGGGTACATGTGCACAACGCACAGGTTTGTTACATATGTATACATGTGCCATGTTGGTGTGCTGCACCCGTTAACTCGTCATTTACATTAGGTATATCTCCTAAAGCTATCCCACACCTCTGCCCCCACCCCACGACAGGCCCGGGTGTGTGATGTTCCCCACCCTGTGTCCAAGTGTTCTCATTGTTCACTTCCCACCTATGAGTGAGAACATGCTGTGTTTGATTTTCTGTCCTTGTGATAGTTTGCTTGGAATGATGGTTTCCAGCTTCATCCATGTCCCTGCAAAGGACATGAACTCATCCTTTTTTATGGCTGCATAGTGTTCCATGGTGTATATGTGCCACATTTTCTTAATCCACTCTATCATTGATGGACATTTGGGTTGGTTCCAAGTCTTTACTATTGTGAATAGTGCCACCATAAACATATGTGTGCATGTGCCTTTATAGCAGCATGATTTATAATCCTTTGGGTATATACCCAATAATGGGATGGCTGGGTCAAATGGTATTTCTAGTTCTAGATCCTTGAGGAATCGCCACTCTGTCTTCCACAATGGTTGAACTAGTTTACAGTCCCATCAACACTGTAAAAGCGTTCCTATTTCTCCACATCCTTTCCAGCACCTGTTGTTTCCTGACTTTTTAATGATTGCCATTCTAACTGGTGTGAGATGGTGTCTCATTGTGGTTTTGATTTGCATTTCTCTGATGGCCAGTGATCATGAGCATTTTTTTCATGTGTCTTTTGGCAGAATAAATGTCTTCTTTTGAGAAGTGTCTGTTCATATCCTTTTCCCACTTTTTAATGGGGTTGTTTGATTTTTTCTTGTAAATGTGTTTAAGTTCTTCGTAGATTCTGGATATTAGCCCTTTGCCAGATGGGTAGATTGTAAAAATGTTCTCCCATTCTGTAGGTTGCCTGTTCACTCTGATGGTGGTTTCTTTTGCTGTGCAGAAGCTCTTTAGTTTAATTAGATCCCATTTGTCTATTTTGTCTTTTGTTGCCATTGCTTTTGGTGTTTTAGGCATGAAGTCCTTGCCCATGCCTATGTCCTGAATGGTATTGCCTAGGTTTTCTTCTAGGGTTTTTATGGTCTTAGGTCTAACATTTAAGTCTCTAATCCATCTTGAATTAATTTTTGTATAAGGTGTAAGGAAGGGATCCAGTTTCAGCTTTCTACATATGACTAGCCAGTTTTCCCAGCACCATTTATTAAATAGGGAATCCTTTCCCCATTGCTTGTTTTTGTCAGGTTTGTCAAAGATCAGATGGTTGTAGATGTGTGGTATTATTTCTGAGGGTTCTGTTCTGTTCCATTGGTCTATATCTCTGTTTTGGTACCAGTACCATGCTGTTTTGGTTACTGTAGCCTTGTAATATAGTTTGAAGTCAGGTAGCGTGATGCTTCCAGCTTTGTTCTTTTTGCTTAGGATTGTCTTGGCAATGCGGGCTCTTTTTTGGTTCCATATGAACTTTAAAGTAGTTTTTTTTCCCAATTCTGTGAAGAAAGTCATTGGTAGCTTGATGGGGATGGCATTGAATCTATAAATTACCTTGGGCAGTATGGCCATTTTCACGATATTGATTCTTCCTATCCATGAGCATGGAATGTTCTTCCATTTGTTTGTGTCCTCTTTGATTTCGTTGAGCAGTGGTTTGTAGTTCTCCTTGAAGAGGTCCTTCACATCAAAAGGGTAGATTTTAAATATTCTCACCACGAAAAATTATAAGTATGTGAAATGATGGATATGTTAATTAACTTGATATAATCATTTACAACGTGTACATATTTATCAAAACATCAAATTGTACCCCCTAAATACACACAATTATTATTTGTCAATTAAAAATAAAAATTTAAGTAAAAATAAAATATGGGGCTGCTAAAAGTCTTGATGACCTTAGTCTGTATATTGAAAGAGTCACAGTGCTGCTTTTATGCCATAAGCCCATGGGTATAGGTGTTCCCTGTTGGGAGTAAAGCTGTATAGAATCATCTTTATCATTATTTAGTACTTTCCAGATGAGATTATCTCTTTCACACGTTTGTTTACCAGACATATAAGATTTGATTGAATCAAAGCTCTGGCGTGAAGGTAGCTGGAGTCAGAGCCATCTTGGGACAACAAGAGCCACTATCACGAGGTCAGATTTCTTTTTGGGATTGGATTCAAAACCACAGATCAAGGTTGGGAATCTGAACAGATGTAAAGACATTAAGGAACTTGACTTGCTATTTTAAGGGCCCATATATTCTTTCATTCTTTTTAGTAAGTTTTTTACTGGGACTGTCAACACAGAGAATTATGGAATGAATTGTTGAAGCTTTTGTAAATTGGAGGGAGGAAGTATGATTCACTCCTCCATTCTGGTTTCCGTCTCATGCAAAAAATAGATATGGTGAACTAATAGCTAAATGAGGATCAGAGTATCAGCTTAATTAGTGAACAAGACAAGGGCTCAGTGATCCCAAAACATATGTTTCTCTTGCTAAAGCTGGATTAGAGAAATGTGGCTGTATATTGAGTCTAAAATAGCATCTTCCTATTTCCTTACTAAAATGAGATTTTAGGGCATGCCTGTGCAGAAAGTTGTGTCTATTGAGTATACACTGGCTTACAAAGCCATCTCCAAGGGTCACAGGTCTTCCTTACACACACAGTCACCAGCAAGAGCAAGAATAAAAGGAACAAAAGTGTATATGTGTGTACGTGTGTGTGTGTGTGTGTGTGTGTTTGTGTGTGTGAGAGAGAGAGAGAGACTGACCAAGTCTCTATATGGAGGGCATGCTACAGGCCCCGCCCCAAGTATGCTTACTACACATAAGTGCTTACACATAGGAGCAGACAACTGCTCACACATTTACCAGTATATGAGTAAGGCAGTGAAAAGGAGAAAGAAAAATGCTAATTTTATTTGGAATCACTGTTACTCCACCCATTTGCTGAGTATGGCTTATGGATGTCAGGCAACCTCCAATCATGTTAATTACTCTTCTTTCATTGGGCAAAAGCAAGTAACGGATGGAGAGAGGGGCAGAATTTCTGTCCTCAACACTATCTTTGAAAGGTAGAAGAGTTGATAGATGCTCTGTCTTCCATGGCCTGGGGAATGGTGAGGAAGTGTTCTGTTTATAATACTGTATAATGAATCTCAGAGAGTGATGAACATTTCTGATTTACATGAGAGTTTCCCACTGTAGACCCTCTGGGTCACTTTGTCCAGAATCATAAGACATCTTTGGCTGGAGATAACATAGGTAAGAAATTTCACTGGAGTTTATTCAATCATTATTTTATCTTTTTTAGTACGGGTTTTTTTGTTAACCCACAGAAGCAATATTATAAAGGCCTTAAATATTTAAAGTTTCAAAGATCCTTGCTCCATAAAGTTTATCCATGAAGATTAATAGGAATAAGTATAATTTTAAGACAGATATTGTGTAGAGACTATGATATTTTCATCAGAGGTGAAATGTCCATTTTTGTTTAGCGGGAAAGAGAAGCACTCCATGAGCTGGGTTCAATAAACTAGCAAAAGGTTTTGAGCCCTGAAGGCACACTAAACTTGACAGGAAAACAGACATCGGGCATCATATCAATTTGCTCTATTCATCATACAGGAGAATTTTCTTTCCATCATGTCCAAACCACTTCCAAATCCAACACAACATTTTTTTTTTTTTTTGGAATTCTAGACTCAGGGGCCATGTGAGGCAACACTAGGTGGTAAATGCTAAAATGTAAATGTAAACGTAGATGCAACTTTAAGGTAGGCCAGGTACCCAAGGCGTTCATTCTTGTGAAAGAATGATATTCACCTTCCAAGTCTTTCATGATCATGTAGACACCAATTGTCATTAGAAATTATCAGGTCCCCATCTCTCATAGGAGTGCTATGGTGAAATTTGTCAAGAACAAAAACAGAATGGAATATGCAAAAACTACCATTCGCTGAACACAGGCAGTTTTTAAGGTTACTGTCCATCTATACTACCTCATCACTGAACTTCCGGGCTATTACTAGGGATCTTGGGTCTTTTGACACCTCTTGAATACATTTGATCATGGTTAAATCAGGAAAGGTGACAGATAGAAGATGGCTTTCTGGAGAAGTTTCTCCGTATAAAAATACTACTGGGGAAGCAGGACTACAGGGATGATGTAATAAGGGGTCCAGCATACCCTCGCCCCAGCCAAACAACAGTTTATCTGATGAAAATTACTTTAAAAGCAATCATTCGACAGGGCATGGTGGCTCACGCCTGTAATCCCAGCACTTTGGGAGGTCGAGGCGGGCGGATCACGAGGTCAGGAGATCGAGACCATCCTGGCTAACATGGTGAAACCCCTTCTGTACTAAAAATACAAAAAATTAGCCGGGCATGCTGGCAGGTGCCTGTAGTCCCAGCTACTCGGAGGCTGAGGCAGGAAAATGGCGTGAACCCAGGAGGCGGAGCTTGCAGTGAGCGGAGATCGCGCCACTGCATTCCAGCCTGGGCGACAGAGCAAGACTCCGTCTCAAAAAATAAAATAAAATAAAATAAAATAAATTTTTTTAAAAAAGCAATCATTCAAAGTCTCCGAAAATTTTTCTAAGGACATGTAGAAAAGGGAAAGAAATGTCATTCAAAAGAATTCAAAAGAATCTACTAAACAACAGTAGGAACAGTGAGAGTCTATGGCATTTGAGCCACAACTCACTCCAGTACCTTTTCCCCTTTCTCCCAGCTCCGTGTTATGGAAGGTCTACCCTGGACATGTGTAATCAAGAAGACAGGGCTCTTTCTCTTCCAGTTTCCAGTCTCACCCAGGATACAGTTTCACCCAGGAGGAGCAGGCTGCTGGTGTTTCTCATTCCCCTCAGCACTGTGTTGAAAAAGCTATATTCCAGAAAGGTGTAACAGAAAGGACTGCATCTCTCTTCTCCCACCCAGCTCCACTCATATGATATAAACACTACTCCAGGTGTAGGAGACTGATAATACTGGCCCCAATCACCTCTTCCCTAGCTTGCTCATAGCACCAGTTTTTTCTGCAGGGAAGGATAAGCCGAGAAGACCAGCAGCTGCCACCGCCCTCCAGTGTCCACCATACACAGAAGGAGTGTCACTCTGTGACAATACATTGTACATTGAAATTATACAATGTATATTCTCCAACCAAAATAGAATGAAATTAGAAATAAATAAGACAACTAGGTTTGGAAAATTCACGAGTATGTGGAGATTCAACAGCACACTACTAAACAACCAATGGGTCAAAGAAGAAATCATAGGAATTTAGAAAATGCTTTCAGATGAATGAAAATGAAGACACAGCAAGAGGGAGTTGTAGCAAGATGGCACAATAGAAGCCTCCACTGATCATCCTCCCCATAGGAACACCAAACTTGACAACTATCTACACAAAAGAGCACCTTCATAAGAACCAAAAATCAGGTGAGCAACCACAGTACCTGTTTTTAACTTCATATTGCTGAAAGAAGCACTGAAGAAGGTAAGAAAGACAGTTTTGATTTGTCAACACCACCCCTCCCCCACTCCCCAGAAGTGGCTCTGTGGTGTAGAAAGAGAATCTGTGCACTTGGGAAGGGAGAGTGCAGCAACTGTGGGACTTTGCATTGGAAGTCAGTGCTGCCAGCACTGGGCAAAACAGTCCATGCCTACTGAGGGAGCATTTAGACCAGCCCTAGCCAGAAGGAAATCACTCATCCAAATGGTAAGAATGTGAGTTTTAGCAAGCCTCATCACTATAGGCTAAAGTGCTTGGAGGTCCTAAATAAACTTCAAAGGCTGTCTAGGCCACAAGGAATGCAACACCTAGGCAGGTCCTACTGCTGTGCTGGGCTTAGAGCCAGTGGACGTGGGGGGCATGTGATCTAGGGAGATGTCAGCTGGGGTGGCTAAGGGAGTGCTGGCATCACCCCTCCCCTAACCCCAGGCAGCACAGATCACAGCTCTAAAAGAGACCCATTCCTTCCACTTGAGAAGAGGAGAGGAAGGAGTAAAGAGGATTTTGTTTTTCAACTTAGATACTAGCTCAGCCATAGTAGGATAGGGCACTGGGCAGAGTCCTGAAGGCCCCATTACAGGACATAGCTCCCAGACAATATTTCTAGACACACCCGGGGCCAGAAGGGAACCTGCTGCCTTGAAGAGAAAAACTCAGTCCTGGCATGATTCATCACCTACTAAAGAGCCCCTGGGCCCTGAATAATCAGCAGTGGTAACCAGGTAGTACACATCGTGGGCCTTGGGTGATACTGAGACATGCTGGCTTCAGTTATGACCCAGCACATTCCCAGCTGTGGTGACTATGGGGAGAGACTCCTTCTGCTTGAGAAAAGGAGAGGGATGAATAAAGGGGACTTTTTCTTGTAGTTTAGGTATCAACTCAGCTGCAGTTGGGGGAAGAGCACCAAGCAGGCTCTTGTGGTCCCTGATTCCAATCCTTGGCTCTTAGACAGCTTTTCTGGACCTACCCTGGTCAGAGGAGAGCTCGCTGCTCTGAAATATGAGTCCCAGGCCTGGCAGCATTCACCACAAGATGACTGAAGAGCCATTGGGCATTAAGTGAACATCAGTGGTACCCTGGCAGTACCCACCGTGGGACTGTGGTTGTGATGGACATGGGGAGAGACTCCTCCTTCTTCTCCAGAACAGGGAGGAAAGAGTGGGAAGGACTTTGTCTTGTGGTTTTGGTGCCAGTTTAGCTGCAGTAGAGTAGAGCACTAGGCAGATTTCTAACATTTCCAACTCCAGCATCTTTGGACCTGCCCAGGGCCTGGGAGATCTCACTACCCTGAAGGAAAAGACACAAGATGGGCTGGCTTGACCACCTGCTGATTATAGAGACCTAGGGCCTTGAACAAACATAGGCGGTAGCCAGGTAGTGGTCACAGCAGGCCTTGAGCAAGACCCAGTGCTGTGCTGGCTTCAGGTCTGACACAGTGTAATACGAGTGGTGGTGGCCACAGAAGTGCTTGTGTCACTCTACCCCAGCTCCAGGAGGATCAGAACAGAGAGAGAGAGAGAGAGAGAGAGAGAGAAAGAGAGACTCTGTTTGTTTGGGAGAAAGTAAGGGAAGAGAAAGAGTCTCTGCCTGGCAATCCAGAGCATTCTTCCAGATCTAATCCAAGACCACCAAGGTGGTATCTACAAGTCTGCAAGAACTACAGTGTTACTAGGCTTAGGGTGCCCCCTAAGGCAGGCATGGCTTAGATCACAACACCCAGGTCCTTTTGAATACCTGGAAATCCTTTCCAAGAAGGATAGGTACAAACAAGCCCAGATGGCAAAGACCACAATACATACCTAACTCTTCAATGCCACAACACCGACAAACATCCACGATCATCAAGACCATGCAGGGAAATATGGTCTCACAAATTAACTAAATGAAGCACCAGGGGCCAATCCCAGAGAGATAGAGATATGTGACATTTCAGACAGAGAATTGAAAATAGCTGTTTTGAGAAAACTCAAAGAAATTCAAGATATCACAGAGAAGGAATTCAGAATTCTATCAGACAAATTTAACAAAGGAATTGAAGTAATTAAAAATAATCAAGCAGAAATTCTGGAGATGAATAATGCAATTGAAATACTGAAGAATGCATCACAGTCTCTTAACAGCAGAATTGATCAAGCAGAAAAAAGAATTAGTGAGCTTGAAGACAGGTTATTTGAAAATACACGGTGAGAGGAAAAAAAGAATAAAAACATTGAGGCATACCGACAAGACCTAGAAAATAGCCTCAAAAGGGCAAATCTAAGTGTTATTTGCATTAAAGAAGAGGTAGAGAGAGCATCAGGGGTAGAAAGTGTATTCAAAGGGATAACAACAGAGAACTTCCCAAACTTAGAGAAAGATATCAATATCCAAGTACAATAAATTTATAGAACACCAGGCAGATTAACCCAAAGAAGACTACCTCAAGGCAGCTAATAATCAAACTCCCAAAGGTCAACGATAAAGAAAGGATCCTAAAAGCAGCAAGAGAAAAGAAACAAACAACATACAATAGAGCTCGGATACCTTTGGCAGCAGACTTTCCAGTAGAAACCTTACAGGCCAGGAGAGAGTGGCATATTTAAAGTGCTGAAGGAAAGAAACTTTTACCCTAGATGAGTTTGTGCAGTGATAACACCCTTCAAACATTAAGGAGAAATAAACACTTTCCCAGAGAAACAAAATCTGAGAGATTTCATCAGACCTGTCCTACAAGAAATGCAGAAAGGAGTTCTCCAATTTGAAAGTAAAGGATGTTATTATGCAATAAGAAAACATCTGAAGGTGTGAAACTCACTGGTAATATTAAGTACACGGAAAAAACACAGAATATTACAACACCGTAATTGTGGTGTGTAAACTACTGATATCTTAACTAGAAAGATGAAAAGATAAACCAATAAAAAAATAACTACCACAACTTTTCAAGACAGACAGTACAATAAGATATGCATAGAAACAACAGACATACAGAACAATGGAACAGAGCCCAGAAAGAAATTTGTACATCTACAGTGAACTCATTTTTTTACAAATATGCCAAAAACATACACTGGGGGAAAGGACAGTCTCTTCAGTAAATGGTGCTGGGAAAACTGGATATACATATGCAGAAGAAGGAAACTAGACTCCATCTCTTGCCATATACAAAAATCAAATTAAAATGGATTAAAGACTTCAATCTAAGTCCTCAAACTATGAAACTTTTACAAGAAAACATTGGTGAAACTTTTACAAGAAAACATTGGTGAAACTTTCCAGGACATTGAACTGGGCAAAGATTTCTTGAGTAATACCCCATAAACACAGGCAACCAAAGCAAAAATGAACAAATGGGATCATATCAAGCTAAAAAGCATTTGCACAGCAAAGGAAACAATCAACAAACTAAAGAGACAACCCACAGAATGGGAGAAAATATTTGCAGACTAGCCATTTGACATGGTTAGGCTTTGTGTCCCCACCCAAATCTCATATTGAATTGTAATTCCCATAATCCACATAATCCCCAAGTGTCAAGGGAGAGACCAGGTGGAGGTAACTGGATCATGGGGGTAGTTTCCCCATGCTGTTCTCATGATAGTGAGTGAGTTCCCACGAGATCTGATGGTTTTCTAAGGGGCTCTTCCGACTTCACTCAGCACTTCTCCTTCCTGCCACCTTGTGAAGAAGGTGCCTTACTTTCCCTTCACCTTCCACCGTGATTCTAAGTTCCCTGAGGGCTCCCCAGCCATGCTGAACTATGATTCAATTAAACCTCTTTCTTTATAAATTACCCAGTCTCAGGCAGTTCTTTATAGCAGTATGAAAACGGACTAATACACCATCTGAAAAGGGATTGATAGCTAGGATATATAGGGAGCTCAAGCAACTCTATAAGAAAATAATCTGTAATCCAATTTTAAAATGGACAAAAAGATCTGAATAGACAATTCTCAAAAGGCATACAAATGGCAAACAGGTATATGAAAATGTGCTCAACATCATTGATCATCAGAGAAATGGAAATCAAAACTACAATGAGATATCATCTCACCCCAGTAAAAAAAAGCTTTTATCCAAAACACAGGTAATAACAAATGCTGGCAAGGATGCGGAGAAAAGGAAACCCTACCTAGTACACTGTTGGTTGGAATGTAAATTAGTACAACCACTTTGGAGAAAAGTTTGGAGGTTCTTCAAAAAACTCAATATAGAGCTACCATATGATCTAGCCATCCCACTGCTGGGCATATGCCCAAAATGAAGTAAATCAGTATATCAAAAAGATATCTGCCCTCCCATGTTTGCTGCAGCACTGTTCACAATAACCAAGATTTGGAAGCCACCTAAGTGGCCAACAACAGATGAATGGTTAAAGAAAATGTGGCGCATATACACAATAGAGTACTATTCCACCACAAAATAATGAGATCCTGTCATTTGCAACAATATGGATGGAACTGAAGGTCTTTATGTTAAGTGAAATAAGCCAGGCACAGAATGACAAACTTTGCATGTTCTCATTTATTTCTGGGAGCTAAAAATGAAAACAATTGGACTCATGGAAAGGGTAGAACGATGGTCCCTAGAGACTGCGAAGGGTTGGGTGGGGGGCAGAACAGCCCAAGTAGGAATGTTTAATGGGTACAAAAAATAGTTAGATTAAGTAAGATCGATTATTTGATAGCACAACAGGGTGACTACAGTCAATAATAATTTAATTGTACGTTTAAAAATAACTAGATTCAGGAGATCATGGCAGACTGGAGGCAGGACTAGATTGCAGCTCTGGACAGAGCACCATGTGGAGGCTTGCACTGTGAATTTTAGCCACAGATTAACTGCAATAACAAACCAGCAATCCCGAGATGACCCACAGACGCTCTGAAGGAAGCGGACTGCTCCTGCAGGACCCAGGAGACACCCCAAACACTGTGAGTGCCCCAACTGTGGAAGTGGGAAAGGGAGACCATCCTCTCCCAAACACATCCCCCACCGGGGAAGCTGAAGGTCTGTTTGTGGGAGAAGTTTCTGACTTTACCTGGAGCTGAGTCAAGTTAGAGAGCTGAGTGAAATGCAGGGGTAAAGGAAGCAGCAGAAAGGCCCTGGGGGCTCACTGGGTCCCCAAGCAGCCCATTCCTGCTTGGCACCACAGGCATCCATTGGGAGGGTGGTCAGAGGAGTAGGGGATAAACAGGGAGAAGGAATTCTTTAGCTGAACTTTGTAACAATTTGAACAGGGAAAGAAGCCTCCTGGCCAGAACTCAGGGGAGGGCACAAATATCACAGGTAGGGGAAGAACTAAATCCCTTTTCTCTTGCAGCTGAGAGGTGGATTGCCTTGGGCAAGTTTTCAAGCCCATTTTGCCCTCCATCTGGGAACAGACTCAGAGTTGTTGGGGAAGGGGGCACGGTGGGAGTGAGACCGGCCCTTCAGTTTACTTGTGAGTTGGGTGAGGCCTCTGACTGCCAGCTTTCCCCCACCTCCCTGACACCCTGCATGACTCAGCAGATGCAACCATAATCTTCCTATGTACAAAACTCCAGTGATCTGGGAATCTCACCCCTATCCTCCACAGCAGCCTCAGCAAGACCCACCCAAGGAGCATCTGAGCTCAGACACTCCTAGCCCCACCCCCACCTGGTGGTCCTTTCCTATCCACCCTGGTAGTGGAAGACAAGGGAGTTCTAGGACCCTGCCCACCACCAATTCCTCTCCACACTACTACAGCTGATGCTTTCTGGAAAGCTCCACCTCCTGGCAAGAGGCCAATCAGCACAAAGAACATTAAACCACCAAAGCTAAGGACCTTCACAGAGTCCATTGCACCCTCCGATATCGCCACTGAAACAGGCGCTGGTATTGCTGGCTGAGAGACCCATAGATGGTTCACATCACAGGACTCTGTGCAGACAACCCCCAGTACCAGCCCAGAGCCAGGTAGACTCGCTGAGCGGCTAGACCCCAGAAGAGACACAACAATCACAGCAGTCTGCTCACAGGAAGCCACATCCATTGGAAAAGGGGGAGAGTACTATATGAAGGGAACACCACGTGGGACAAAAGAATCTGAACTACAGCCTTCAGCCCTAGACATTTCCTCTGATTGAGCCTACCCAAATGAGAAGGAACAAATAAATCAACCCTGGTAATATGAAAAAAGGAGGCTCTTCAACACCCCCTCAAAATTATACTACTTCACCAGCAATGATCCAAACCAAGAAGAAATCCCTGATTTACCTGAAAAAGAATTCAGAAGGTTAGTTATTAAGCTAATCAGGGAGGGACCAGAGAAAGGTAGTCCAAAAAATGATACAAGAAGTGAAGGGAGAAATATTCATGGACATAGATAGCTTAAAGAACAAACAACAAAAAATTCAGGAAACTTTGGACACACTTTCAGAAATGCAAAAGACTTTAGAAAGTCTCAGCAACAGAATTGAGCAAGTATAAGAAAGAAATTCAGAGCTCAAGGACAAGGTCTTCAAATTAACCCAATCCAACAAAGACAAAGAAAAAAGAGTAAGAAAATATGAATAAACCCTCCAAAAATTCTGGAATTATGTTAAACGACCAAACCTAAGAAAAATCAGTGTACCTAAGGGAGAAGAGAATTCTAAAAGCCTGGAAAACATATTTGGGGGAATAATTGAGGAAAACTGCCCCAGCCTTGCAAGAGACCTAGACAGCCAAATACAAGAAGCACAAAGAACGCCTGGAAAATTCCTCGCAAAAAGATGTTCGCCTATGCACATTGTCATCAGGTTATCCAAAGTTAAGAAGAAGGAAAGAATCTTAAGAGCTGTGAGACAGAAGCACCAGGTAATCTATACAGGAAAACCTATCAGATTGACAGCAGATTTCTCAGCAGAAGCCCTACAAGCTAGAAGGGATTGGGGATTTATCTTCAGCCTCCTCAAACAAAACAATTAACTGCCAAGAATTTTGTATCCAATGAAACAAAGCATCATATATGAAGGAAAGATACAGTCGTCTTCAGACAAACAAAGCTGAGAGAATTCGCCATTACCAAACCACCACTACAAGAACTGCTAAAAGGAGCTCTAACTCTTGAAACAAATCTTGGAAACACACCAAAACAGAACCTCATTAAAGCATAAATCACAGAGGATCTATAAAACAAAAATACAAGTTAAAAAGCAAAACAAAACAAAACAAAACAAAAACCTCAAACTACACAGGCAACAAAGAGCATGATGAAAGCAACTATACCTCATATTTCAATAATAACATTGAATGTAAATGCTGTAAATGTCCCACTTAAAAGATTCAGAACAGCAGAATGGATAAGAACTCACCAAACAACTATCTGCTGCCTTCAGGAGACTCACCTAACACATAAGGACTCACATAAACTTAAAATAAAGGAGTGGAAAAAAGGCATTTCATGCAAATGCACACCAAAAGCGAGCAGGGGTAGCTATTCATATATCAGACAAAACAAAAAGCAACAGCGGTGAAAAGAGGGACAGTATATAATGGTAAAAGAGGGACAAAGAGGGACAATACATAATGGTAAAAGGCCTTGTTCAACAGGAAAATATCACAATCTTAAACATATATGCACCTAACAAATGGAGCTCCAAAATTTATAAAACAATTACTAACAGACCTAAGAAATGAGATAGACAGTAACACAATAATAGTAGGGGATTTCAATACTCCACTGACAGCACTAGACAAGTCATCAAGAAAGAAAGTCACCAAAGAAACAATGGGTTTAAACTATACCTTGGAACAAATGGACTTAACAGATATATACATAACATTTCATCCAACAACCGCAGAATACACATTCTACTCAAGAGCACATGGAACTTTCTCCAAGATAGACAATATGATAGGCCATAAAATGAGTCTCTATAAATTTAAGAAAATTGAAATTATATCAAGCACTCTCTCAGACCATGGTAGAATAAAACTGGAAATCAACTCCAAAAAGAACCTTCAAAACCATGCAAATACATGGAAATTAAATAACCTGCTCCTGAAAGAGCACTGGGTCAAAAACAAAATCAAGATGGAAATTAAACAATTCTCCGAACTGAATGACAATAGTGACACAGCCTATGATAACCTCTAGGATACAGCAAAGGCAGTGCTAAGAGGAAAGTTCATAGCCATAAACGCCCATATCAAAAAGTGTGAAAGAGCATAAACAGACAATCTAAGGTTACACCTCAAGGAACCAGACAAACAAGAACAAACAAAACCCAAACCCAGCAGAAGAAAGGAAATAACCAAGATCAGAGCAGAACTAAATGAAATTCAAAACCAAAAAAATACAAAAGATAAATGAAACAAAAAGCTGGTTCTTTGAAAAGATAAATAAAAAGGAAAGACCATTAGCAAGATTAAACAAGAAAAGAAGAGAGAAAATCCAAATAATGTCACTAAGAAACAAAACAGGAGATATTACAACTGACACCACTGAAATACAAAAGATCATTCAAGGCTACTATGAACACCTTTATGCACATAAAATAGGAAACCTAGAAGAGATGTATAAATTCCTGAAAAAATAAAATCCTCCTAGCTTAAATCAGGAAGAATTAGATATCCTGAACAGACCAATAACAAGGAGTGAGATTGAAATGGTAATTAAAAAATTACCAACAAAAAAAATCCAGGACCAGATGGATTCACAGCAGAATTTTACCAGACATTCAAAGAAGAATTGGTACCTATCCTTTTGACACTATTATACAAGACAGAGAAAGAAGGAACCCTCCCTAATTCATTCTATGAAGCCAGCATCACCCTAATACCAAAACCAGGAAAGGGCATAACCAAAACAGAAAACTATAGACTGATATCCTTGATGAACATAGATGCTAAAATCCTTAACAAAATACTAGCTAACAGAATTCAAAAACATATCAAAAAGATAATCCACCATGATCAAGTGGGTTTCATACCAGGGATGCAGGTATGGTTTAACATACGCAAGTCAATAAATGTGATACACCACATAAACAGAATAAAAAAGAAGAATCACATGATCATCTCAACAGATGCAGAGAAAACATTTGAAAAAATCCAGTATCCCTTTATGATTAAAACTCTCAGCATAATTGGCATAAAAAGGACATACCTCAATGTAATAAAAGCCATCTATAACAAACCCACAGCCAACATAATACTGAATGGGGAAAAGTTGAAAGCATTCCTTCTGAGAACTGGAACAAGACAAGGATGCCCGCTCTCACCACTCCTCTTCACCATAGTACTGGAAGTCCTAGCCAGAGCAATCAGACAAGAGAAAGAAATAAAGGGCATCCAAATCGGTAAAGAGGAAGTCAAACTGTCACTATTTGCTGATGATATGATCGTTTACCTTGAAAACCCTAAGGACTCCTCTAGAAAGCTCCTAGAACTGATAAAATAATTCAGCAAAGTTTATGGATACAAGATTAATCTACACAGATCAGTAGCTCTTCTATACACCAACAGCCACCAAGCAGAGAGTCGAATCAAGAACTCAACCCCTTTTACAATAGCTGCAAAACAATAAAATACTTAGGAATATACCTAACAAAGGAGTTGAAAGTCCTCTACAAGGAAAACTATGAAACACTGCTGAAAGAAATCATAGATGACACAAACAAATGGAAACACATCCCATGTTCATGTATGGGTAGAATCAATATTGTGAAAATGATCATCCTGACTAAAGCAGTCAACAAATTCAATGCAATCCCCATCAGAATACCACCACCATTCTTCACAGAATTAGAAAAAATGATTCTAAAATTCATATGGAACCAAAAAAGAAAAAGAAAAACACGCATAGCCAAAGCAACACTAAGCAAAAAGAACAAATCTGGATGCATCACACTACCTGATTTCAAACTATACTATAAGGCCATAGTCACCAAAACAGCGTGGTACTGGTATAAAAATAGGCACATAGACCGATGGAACAGAATAGAGAACCCAGAAATAAAGCTGAATACTTACAGCCAACTGATCTTTGACAAAGCAAACTAAAACATAAAGTAAGGAAAGGACACCCTTTTCAACAAAAAAAGAGAAAGTTTAGGTTATTAATTTGAGACTTTTCTTCTTTTGTAATATAGACATTTAAAGCTATACATTATTCTCCAACCACTTCATTAGATGCATTCCATAGGTTTTGAACTCTTATGTCGTTTTTTAAGTTTTAATTTCTGTGGGTACATATTACATGTATATTTATGGGGTATATGGAATATTTTGATACAGACATGCAGTGTGTAAAAATCACATAAGGGTAAATGGGGTATCCATCACCTCAAGCATTTATCCTTCGTATTACAAACAATCCAATTATATTCTTTTATTTATTCTTTTTTAAAAAAATTTTTGAGACAGATTCTCGTTCTCTTGCCAGGCTGGAGGGTAATGACATGATCTTGGCTCACTGCAACCTCCAACTCCTGGGTTCAAGCGATTCTCCTGCCTCAGCATCCTGAGTAGCTGGAATTACAGGCATGTGCCACCATGCCTGGCTAATTTTTGTATTTTTAGTAGAGACAGGGTTTCACCATGTTGACCAGGTTGGTCTCAAACTCCTGACCTCAAATGAACCACCCATCTCAGCCTCACAAAGTTCTGGGATTACAGGCATGAGCCAATGCACATGGCCTATTCTCTTTTAGTTACTTTATTTTTCTGTAAGTTATTGGGATACAGGTGGTATTTGGTTACATGAATAAGTTGTTTAGTGGTGATTTGTGAGATTTTGGTGCACCTATTACCCAAGCAGTATACACTGCACCATATTTGTAGTCTTTTATCCCTCGCCCCCTCCCACTCTTTCCCCCAAGTTGCCAAAGTCCATTGTATCATTCTTATGCCTTTGTGTCCTCATAGCTTAGCTCCCACATATCAGTAAGAACATACGATGTTTGGCTTTCCATTCCTGAGTTACATCGCTTAGAGTAAGTGCTGTTGGGGAGGTTGGCCAATGACTGCTCTAATTGCTTCCCGCTAAATTGGGGTGTAGTAGGGGTCGTGCAGTTGAGATTTCCTCGGAAGCCGTGCCTTCAATGTCATCAACATCAGAGCATGGGCTAGCAGGCCGGTCCAGGGGTCCGTGGTAGATCTTAGCCATGGACTGCATCTGGGGCTCTATTTTAAGAAGCATTTGTAGTTTTACAGCTTCGATTCTGCAAGAGACAAGCTTAACAAGGAGGTTAAAGATACAGGGATTGAAATGTATGGCCTGAAGTGCAGGGTCATATAGGTGTGGGTGGTGAAAATGGGGTTTCCTTTAGAAAAACTCCTATACGATGGGTCATCAATATTTCCAGGAAGCCGCATTCTCCATAGAAGCTCTTGGTAATGGGAGCTACTGGTAGTACAGTGGCATGGAGGGGGTTCAGTGAGAGTGAAAGGGGGTAAGAGAACAGTAAAGAAAAAAATATGACAAGGAGGGCCATGAGGATCTACGATTCTAGTTACTTTCCTCACGGTTGTCGCTTGAAGAGCAGGTGCAGATCCTCTAGAGGTTCACAGGAATAGCTAGCGTTGTCTCCTGGATTTTCGGGTTCCTTTGGCAGTATACAGAGTTTGACTCGAGTGTGATGTATTCAAGACTCCACTCCAGCCACTTTAACCGCAGTTGGGGTAGATAAAATGACTGGGTAGGGTCCTTCCCAGGATGTATCTAAGGATGGGGACTTAGAAGGAAGGGACTTGACTAATACCATGTCACCAGGGTGCAATAATTACTTTCCCTCTTCTCGGGAACAGGTTCCCTGTAATGTTTTAAGAACTTGTTGATATTTGGCCAAGGAGGTGATGTCTGCAACTAAGCTGGCCATCTCTCGGTCAAGCACAAGGTCCTTGGTTAGGAAGGGCCATCCATACAGCATTTTGTATGGGCTAAGTCCTGCTTTTTGGGGAGAGTTTTGGATTCTTAGTAAGGCTGTAGGCAACAGAGCAGGCCATGCAAGGTGGGTTTCTTGGGTTAGCTTTTTTAAATGTCGTTTGAGTGCTTCATTCATTTTCTTGACTTTTCCTGAGGATTGTGGCCTCCAGGCGCAGTGTAAGTGATATTGTATGCCTAATGCCTGGGATACTCCCTGGGTTACTGTAGCCTTGAAAACGGGGCCATTGTCACTCTGTAAGCCTCGGGGAAGTCCGAATCTGGGAATTATTTCATGAATTAGTGCCTTTATTACATCTTGGTCCTTTTCTGTCCTACAAGGGAAGGCCTCTGCCCAACCAGTGAAAATATCTACCCAGACTAGTAGATACTGAAATCCCTGAGATTTGGGCATGTGGGTAAAATCTAGTTGCCAGTCTTCTCCTGAGTAATGGCCTGTTCTTTGCTCTCCTGGAGGAGCTTGGTGATAAGGCAGGGGATTATTTATTTGGCACACTTCACAGGCCCTGACTATCTGCTTGATAGTTTTGAAAAGGCCTCGTCCAGTAAATAATGATTTGGCCATCTGATGGGTGCTATCAATGCCCAAGTGAAAGGTCTGGTGAAGGGTTTTAAGTAATTTCCATTGGTTAGCTGCAGGCAAAATTATTTTTCCTTCTTCAGTGGCTAGCCATCCTGAGGGGAGGAAACTATGTCTTCGTGAGGTTCCCCATTCTATTTCTTCTGCTGAGTACTGGGGCTTGGTCTCCTGGAGGGGATTACCCCATACTAGGAGTCCTTCTATAAGCATTTGTAATGGAGGGTCCCACCTTGCGGCTCTTTTGGCTTCAATATCCGCTTGGCAGTTCCCTTCTATTTCCCTTTCCTTTCTTTTCTGATGACCCAGGCAGGGTAAGACTGCCACCTCTTTAGGTTTCTATACAGCCAACAATAATCTCCTAATGGCTTCCTGATGTTTGATAGGTGTTCCCTTGGAAGTTAGGAATTCCCTTTCTCTCCATATTGCTGCATGGGCATGGAGGACTAGGTAAGCATACTTAAGAGTCTGTATTTATATTTACCCTTTTTCCTTCTCCTAATTCTAGTGTCCGAGTGAGAGCTATTGGTTCTGCCAGCTGAGAGCTAGTTCCTGGAGTGAGGGGATTACTTTCAAGTATTCCATTATCACGGACCACTGCAAACCCCGCCTTTCAAAGTCTTTTTTCTACAAAGGAACTTCCATCAGTATACAAGCTGTGGTCGGGATCAGTCAAGGGAACCTTTAGAAGGTCTCCTCAAGTGGTGTAGGTTGGAGCAATCACTTGACAGTTATGTTCTATCTTTTCTTCATTGTCTGGAAGAAATGTGGCTGGATTAAGAGTTGCACAAGTGCACAGTCACAGCAGTGGCCCTTCAAGTAAAAGAGGCTGATATTTAAGCAAATGATTGTCTGACAGCCACAAGTCTCCTTTAGCAGTGAGTACGCTGTTCACATCATGAGATTTCCACACAGTAAGATCTCTTCCCTGTATCATTTTAACTGCTTCAGAGACTAAGACTGCTACTGCTGCCACTACCCGTAAACAGTGAGGCCAACCCTTTGCCACTACATCCATTTCCTTACTGAGGTATGCCATGGGTTGCAAGCTGGCCCTCGGACCTGTGTCAGGACTCCTAGGACTCCTAGAGCTATTCCTGTTTTTTCTGTGACATATAAAGGAACGTCTTGTCCCATTGGCAAGCTTAACACTGGGGCTTGGGTTAGGGCCTCCTTTAGAGCCTGGAAAGCCACTTCTGCTTCAGGTGTCCATTCTACTAAATGGGTATCAGCTTTCTGAGTTTTCTTAATTAGTGTGTATAATGGCCTGGCTATTTCGCTGTACCTGGGAATCCATATTCGGCAGAAGCCTGTTATGCCAAGGAACCCTCTTAATTGCTTTGGGGTTTTGGGATGAGGATAAGCTGGTATAGGCTGAATACGTTCCTCACTGAGGACCCTGGTGCCTTTGGATAATTTTAGCCCTAAGTATTTAACCTTCTGTGAGCAGAGCTGAGCCTTTGGTTTGGAAACCTTGTAGTCACAGGTGATGAGGAAGTTTAAGAGTGCTTGGGTGGCTTGATGGCACAAGGTTTTTGAACGGGCAGCTAAAAGTAAATCATCCACATATTGAAGGACAAGACAGTCCAAGTATGAGAACTGGCTCAGTCTTGGGCTAATGACTGGCCAAATAGATGGGGGCTATCCCTGAACCCTTGGGGTAAAACAGTCTAGGTGAGTTGAGACGTTGGGTTCGAAGGATCTTCAAAGGCAAACAATAATTGAGAGTCAGGATGTACAGGGATGAAGAAAAAGGCATCCTTAAGGTCCAGAAGTGTAAATCACTCTGCTTCCTCTGGTATTTGGGAAAGCAGAGTATAAGCGTTAGGCACAGCTGGGTATACAGGGACAACAACCTCATCGATAATCCTGAGATCTTGCACTAACCTCCACTGTCCGTTGGGTTTCTGTACTCCTAAAATTGGAGTACTGCAGGGGCTATTGCATGGTTTTACTAGGCCTTGGGCTTTTAGGTCCTTAACAATCTTTTGGAGTCCTTGATCGGCCTCGGGTCTAAGGGAGTACTGCCTTTGGTAGGGAAAGGAGGCAGAATCCTGTAGTTTAACTTGAATGGGATGGGCATTCTTCGCTCGTCCATATTGTCCTTCTGTTGCCCAGACTTCAGGATTAATTCCTTCCTCAAGCAGAGGACAACAAACTTGTGTTCCTTCTCTTATGTTCAGGTGTATAATGGCCCCTGCTTTGGCTAGAATCTCTCTGCAACAAAGGAGTGGGTCTTTCAGGCATAATTAGAAAGCCATGTGAAAAGAGTAAACTTCCTCTTTTCTAAGAAACTAGGAAAGAGCAAAGTAAATCTAAATAATACAAAAAGAATGAAGAGTAGAGCAGACATAAATAGAATAGAGGACAGAAAAAAATAGATAAAGGTCAATGAAACCAAAAGTTTTTGAAAAAAAAATCAACAAATTTGACAAAACGTTAGCTGCAATGACCAAGAAAGAAAAAGATATAGGACTCAAATCACTAATATCAGGAATAAATGAGGGGACATTACTAATGACCTAGGAAATTAAAGATAATTATAGGGAATACCGTGAACAACTGCCTACCAACAAGTTACATAATTTAGATGCGATAGACAAGTTCTTAGAAGACGCAAATTACTGAAAGTGACTCAAGAAGCAGAAAAGCTGAATAGAACAATAACAACTAAAGAGATTGAATTCATATTTAAAAAAAAACTTTTTTACTAAAAATTCCATACCCAGATGCCCTCATTAGACAATTATGCCAAACATTAAAAAAGAGTTGACACCAATACTTTACAAACTCTTCCAATAAATAGAAGAAGATGAAACACTTTTCAATTCATTCTGTGAGGCCAGCATTACCTTGATACCAAAACTAGACGAAGACATCTGACGAAAACTACAGAATAATATCTTTATTAGTGCAGATGCAGAATACTTAACAAAATTCTAGCAAACTGAGTAAAGTAACATATAAATGGATTATAGATAATGATCATGTGGGATTTAACCCAGGAATACAAGATTGGTTATATACACAAAAATCAATCCATGTAAAATACTATATTAACTAAACAGTGAAGAAAAAAAATCATGATCACCTCAGTGGTCCCAGAAAAGCTTTGACCAAATTCAGCATACTTGCATGATTTAAAGAATCATCTCAACAAACTAGGGTACTTTCTCAATGTGGAAACTGCATCTACAAAAAACCCATCGAACATCATACTTAAAGAATGAAAGACTGAAAACTTTCCCTGTAAGATCAGGAACAGGACAAGAAATGTCTGGCTTTTCCACTTCTATTCAACATTATATTGGAGATTCTAGCCATGACAATTAGGCAAGGAAAAGGGTGGGGGGAAATTAATTCAGACTGGAAAGGAAGAAGTAAAACTATCACTGTTCATGCATGATATGATGTTGTATATGTGATTTTGAAATCAAACTTCAGAAGAACAGATCCCATGGTATTTCTAGGTTTCCAGAGGCCTCCAATAACTTTCATTTCATAATCACATGAGGTCTAATCTTTACATTTCAAAGATGGCCTTCATGATCCATAGCTTCTTCTCTTGTACTTAAGAGTTGAGGAAGTAGTGCTGAATGTAGGAGTTGATGACACTTTATTGGGGAACATAGATCTCAAAGTCAGAAACTGGGAAGATCAGGAATAAATTGGCAAGCAGAGGCCGAGGCAGTTTCGAGCAGGTAGTTCACTATAGAGTGGAAAACTGTGTGGGCATCAGAAGCCTGTTTTTTTATGAAGCCAATGGTGTGGTGTGAGAAAAGGCCCGATGAGTTACAGGAGAAAGGCCTAAGCATTAACCATGAGACCTTCTATCTCTAGATCCAACCTTTCATGACTGCGCGCCCAATACTTTATCAGTCTTCTTCCCTCTGGTCTCTATCTAATTCCTTTATGAACTCTTGTCTTCACAGTACTAGATATGGAAGTTGAATATTCCGCTTCCATACACACAGTCACACACACACACATATGTGCATATACACATATATGGATGTGTATATATATTTTCAGGCTGCAACAGACACTTACTGATGTTGAGAGAAACTCCAGTATCTGAGAGACTGGAAAGAATGTGGGACTGAAGAATGACCTGAAGATTTCTGCTCTCCTATCCAGTACCCTCTCCACTTAAAGATGAATATTTCCATGAACACTCAAGAAAATCTTGCTAAATAATTGGAATACAGGGATGAATATTGTAGTCCCTGGCTCTCAGGGACCTTACTCTCTAGTGGAGGTGGCTGGACATATAGCTAAGAACTGGGAGTGGGAAATTATTCAAACCAGCTTCTGAGTATCCACTCTTGATTTATAGGCCTAGTTGGCTCAGCCAATCTGGATCACATACATACTGAGTCCAATCAGGATATAATTTAAACACGTCTGAGTTCCAAGCAAGCTAGTAGCCCTCACATACCTTGAAGAGTGAGAGAATAGAAAAGTCAAATTACAAATCTGTTTGTTCCTCAGAAAAATTGATCATATAACCTTACCTTCCACCATTACTTCACAGATTGTCAGGAAGATTCACTGAGATTAAGCTCACCCTGCTCACCTCTGTAAGCATTACGAAATGTTGAACAAATCTCATCTCTAGGATCTCATGGTTGGGAGGGAAAATAACGTCCTTTCTGATATACAGTGCTTTCTTTCTACTATATCAGCTATATAATTTTTATTTTGAAAAATTCAACTAATAATCTAATCCAGAGGCTATGCCCAATGGAATGAATGCCTTTTAAGCTGAGTTGTAAATACCAAGTTTGTTTAAATTTCCTGTCCCCACTGTAAAATTCTTCTTATTTTTGAAGAATATAAATAGATAGTAGGTACTCACAGAGATACCTGCCAAATGCAACATTTTAACATTTGTCTGCCCCGAGTGCTGGCAATAATGTGATAAAGTGCCTATAGAGGATTTGAAACAAATAACATTGACTATTATTACAATGACTTTAACATTCTAAAAAAAAAATCAATGATAAAATACTCCTCCCCTCCATGGCAGACAACTCATACCATCTGACTGTTGATTCACTGCTGCACTTATATTCCAGGAACTTTAAAGACGTTATCTCATTAATCTTCACAACAACAATGAAGATATTATCTTTACTTTGCAAAGGAGAAAAATTGAAACTCAGAGAGGGTAACTCATTGAAGGTCAAAAAGATATTGAATGGTGCCAGCTTGCCTCAGTGCAAAGAAGAACTTTATAAGAAATGGACCTGAATAATTGGTACCAAAATTTAAGCCAATGTTGGTGTGAGTCCATGCTTTTAACCACTACATAATACCACCATTATAGAAGAGGATTGGTCTAAAGCTTTGGATAGCTTTCTCTGGTGTAGAGACTCTAATTATCTGGAAAGAATTGTCTGTCAAGGATGTAACAGAAACAGCACTGGATGTGTAGCTAACTTGATTAAGATTGGATTTTAACTCTACCACTTATGAGCTGTGTGACCTTGGGCTATGCATTTAACCTCAGTAAGCCTCACTTTCTACAGACAAACTTACACCTCCTTCACAGGGTTACTGTGAGGATTAAGTGTCTTCAAATATTGGAAAGTGCCTGGCACATAATAGGCATTCAACTAATGCTAGTTTCCTTCCCTAACATTGGGCCAATGAAAATTATCTAGAGTTATAACCAAAGTCCGTGTTTATAATTGATTCTCTGCCTCTGTAAACCTTTGTTTATCCGTTTATCTCAATTTCTAGTCCACTTGCACCAACCAAATAAAATGAGCCCTGAAATTCTCCGTAAGTGTCAGAAGCTTCACCTTAAGGGAGTAGACGGTTGTATTAGTATATCTTGGCTTGCAAGAAACAGAAAAGCCAACATAAACTGAGTTAAATAATAATTTTAATTTCACATGTCTAGAAGCCCCCAAATAGTTTGGATTCTGAGCATGGTACAATCAAGTTCCCAGTTCTATTTTTCTCCACTTCTCTCAGCTCAGTCCTTCTCTGTGTGTGTACACAGGTCCCAGACTGGCTTCCTTCATTGAAGATGACTTCCTAAAGCCACTGAGGAAATATCCTTCCTGTTCATTTTCAGTGACAGAGAGAGAAAAATGTTTCTCTCAGCCATAAAACAAAAAGTACTTCCCTTCAGTCCAATTAGTTCAAAGTCACATTCCACTGTATCAGTAATAGTTGCTAGGTGTATGGCATGCATTCATTAGCTTAATTTTTCTGTCTGAACTGGTCACTGTCAAAGAAGTTTGAATTACCTTGACTGGCTTAGGTAATCAAGATTCACTCCTAGTGCTGAAGAGAAGACCACTTTCCTCTGGGTCACCTGGGTTAGTGTGACTGGGGAGTGGATGACGGACATCTGAATAAAATCAGGGATGTGTTACAAAGTAGAAATGGAGATAAAGGGTGTTAGGTCCCCATTAAACTATGTCCACTACCATAATGTTTAAAATATGCATGTGTTTCTCTATTCCTCACCCCCAACCAGAGACTTCAAGGTCACCTATCAGAGGCATCTGTAACCATTTTTCTAATGAAAATTTGAATACAGGGTGAAAAATAGAGAATTATTACATTAATCCCAAAGTAGCTGTCCATCTGCAAAAAAAGTAAGCTTATTCTGTTAAGATGTAGAAAATTAGAAGGGGAACTTAGAGTAAGATGAAAATTCTAAGGAGTCCTGGCTCAATATAAGGAGAACTTACAAAGAAATGGAGCAGACTATAATCAAAACAGCCTGTTTTACATGTTAGTGAGCTCCCAGACATATCTAAGGACTCACTGAATGACCCTTAGGCTTGGAGACTACAGAGGAGATTTATCTGTTAGGTAGGAGGTTAGAAGAAAAGACTGCAAAGGTCACTTCCAACTCTACTATGTTATAATTCTATGATGGATCTGTGATTCAACTCAAAATAAATTGACAAACACCTCTCAGTAAACTAATGAAGGCATATTTTGAGAGACATAGTCTGTCAATGAGATAGATTAGATTCAGATTTGATGGATAACCAGTCAATGAGATAGACATACCTGTGCAATGGAGATGGATGGTAGAGATACTGTTGATGAATTCTAGCAGTGCCTAGGCCAGTGAACTAGACAGTTGGTCTTTGGGGAAAGGGAATTAAGAGGATGCTACCTTTCCTCCCCCTGTTTGTCCTTGAATTTGCTTTAGAATATAAAGCAAATGAATATGCCAATCTCAAGTTTCTCCTGAAACTTGAGAGGCTATGTACCCAAAAGATTTTCCTGTCTTGGACTTATTCTGTGTGCATCTTTAATCTCCATCTACAGGGTTGAATATCCATTCTCAAGTAAATTGTTTTGAGTTGCCTTCTCCATTTAGCAAAATAAGGGTTGTTATTTCCTCATAACATTCCTTTCTAAACCTGTTGTTCAAATAATTTTAAGCAATGGTCTTAGTTTCTGCCATGCATTCTTATTTGAAGCAGGAATCTAAGATTAAAGATAAATTCTGCTCAGACTAGTCTGTCTGGGAACATAGAATCATTAGGAGTACATGTCAGGATCTACTTGCATTGAAAACCAAGGAATGAACTTATCTTAAGGGCTTAAATCTATCCTTTTACTCTGTGTTCTACCTATGCACATACACTTTTTCTCTCCTTTCTTGCCTTATTATTTTAAATTCCTCTTTATCCCTGTATCAGATTATTAGTTATACATTGTTTTTTTTTGAGACAGAGTCTCACTCTGTCGCTCAGGCTGGAGTGCTGTGGCATGATCTCAGCTCACCACAACTTCCACCTCCCGGGTTCGAGCGATTCTTCTGCTGCAGCCTCCCAAGTAGCTGGGATTACTAAAGGCATGCGCACCATGTCCAGCTAATTTTTGTATTTTTAGTAGAGACAGGGTTTTGCCATGTTGCCCAGGCTGGTCTCAAACTCCTGGCCTCAAGTGATCTGCCTGCCTCAACCTCTCAAAATGCTGGGTTTGCAGGCATGAATCACCGCGCCTGGATTAGTTATACATTCATTTATTATTCTTTCAATAGTTTTTGGAGAGTAGTGGTACTCAAAGTATAGTATACAGATCTCTGCCGGTTCCTGAGACTCTATAAGGGGTCCCACAAGGTCTCCCATCCAAGTACTAACCAGGCCCGACCCTGCTTAACTTCCAAGTTCAGGCACGTTCAGGGTAGTATGGCCATAGATAAGGGGACTCACAAAGTCAAAACTATTTTCCTAATAACAGTAAAAAGTAAGTTGTATTTTTAACTGTGTTGACATTTGCACGGATGCTACAAAAGCAATGGTGTACTCGATGAAGCAGTTAATTTTTACCAAATATTAGTTTTCGAATACACATCTTAATAGTATCTTACCAAAACTGAGAAGTCCACATCAAGCACTTCTGATGTATTTCTAAGTATGATAATTGAATGGAGGAAAAGTATCGTACATTTGTTTGAGTTGCAAACTGAATAGTCTTGTTTTCCATAGAATGCCATTTTTAATTGAAAGAATGAGAGACAAACTATGGTTTATTCAGACTTGAGTATTATGCAGATATTTCTCAAAAATGAACAAAGTGAGCCTATCACTTCAAAGGAAACATCTGACAGCATTCATTGCCAATGATAAAATTCAAGCTTTCAAGCAAATATTGGATTTCTGTAAAACTTGTATTCACCACAGTGAGCATTAGAGCTTCCTAATACTTAAAGATTTGTGATGAGATTACTGGAAATATCAGCTAATTTGCTTTTTTTGATATTGTATCCTAAAATGTGTCATCATTTGGAAGATCTGCATAACCCCAGGAACCAATATTTTTCTTTCCTTTTCTTTTTTTTTAAGCATTAACAAATTTACTTAATTATTTGAGGCAAGGTCTCACTCTGTCTCCCAGGCTAGAGGGCATTGGTGGGATCACAGCTCACTGCAGCCTCAACCTCCCAAGCTCAGTCAATCCTCCCACCTCAGCCTCCTGGGTAGCTGGGATTACAGGCATGCACTACCACGTCTGGCTAAGTTTTTGTATTTTTGGTAGAGACGAGGGTCTCGCTGTGTTGCCCGGGCTGGTCTTGAACTCCTGGTCTCAAGTGATCCTTCTGCCTCAGCCTCCCAAAATGCTGGGACCACAGCATGAGCCACCATGCCCAGCCTAAAAGCATAACAAATGTATTAGTTTTACATGACAGCCGGGCATGGTGGCTCACACCTGCAATCCCAATACTCTGGGAGGCCAAGGCGGGTGGATCACCTGAGGTCAGGAGTTTGAGAGAGACCAACCTGAAGAACACGGTGAACCCCCCTCTCACCTAAAAATACAAAAATCAGCGTGGTGGCGCATGCCTGCAATCCCAGCCACTCAGAAGGCTGAGGCAGGAGAATCACCCCAACCCCAAAGGTGGAGTTTGCAGTGAGCCGAGATCACACCACTGCACTCCAGCCTGGGTGAGGAACCAATATTTTTCATAAGACCAGTGTGTGATGTTACAAAATCATACATGGGTTAAAAAAACATATTTAAAGGGCAAGATAGATTAATGGATTTTAATGTAACACAGTGTGGAAAGTTTATAGATATGGTTTCAGATTCCATGTTGCAAAGAAACTTTACAATATACAGGCAACCAACAGTCATATGAAAAAAGCTCAACATCACTGATCATTAGAGAAATGCAAATCAACACCACAATGAGATATCATCTCACACCAGTCAGAATGGCTCTAATGAAAAACTCAAAAGAAAAGCAGATGCTGGTGAGGTTGTGAAGAAAAACGAATGCTTATACACTGTTGATGGGAGTGTAAACTAGTTCAACCATTGTGGAAGACAGCATGGCAATTCCTCAATGACCTAAAAGCAGAAATACCATTCGACCCAGCAATCCCATTACTGGGTATATACCCAAAGGAATATAAATTGTTCTGTTATAAAGTCACATGCACGCATATGTTCACTGCAGCAATACTGATAATAGCAAAGATATGGAATCAACATAAATGCCCATCAATGATAGACTGGATAAAGAAAATGTGGTGCATATACACCATGGAATACTATGCAACCATAAAAAAGAACAAGATCACGTCCTTTGCAGTGACATGGATGGAGCTGGACGCCATTGTCCTTAGCAAACTAACAGGAACAGGAAATCAAATACCACATGTTCTCACTTATAAGTGGGAGCTAAATGATGAGAACACATGGACACATAGAGAGGAACAAAACACACTGGGTCCTACTTCAGGGTGGAGGGTGGGAGGAGAAAAAGGATCAGGAAAAATAATTACTGGGTACTAGGCTTTATACCTGGGGGACAAAATAATCTTTACAACAAACCGCCATGACACAATTTTACCTGTATAAAAAACCTGCACATGTACCCCTGAACTTAAAATAAATGTTAAAAAAAATCACCTTTTGCATTTTGGTGTCATATCTAAGGAAACTAGCAACAGTTATCAGATAAGCCTATTAGAACATTCCCTTGTTAAAACTACATCTCTACATGAAGTCAGATCTTTTTCATATTCTTCTACAAGGTCAATATATAGCAAGAGACTGAATGCAAAAGCAAATATGAGAATCCAGCTGTCTTCTGTTAAGCCCAATATTAAAGAGACTTGTAACACTGTAACACAATGCCACTCTTCAAAACATTTTTTTAATTTTAGAAAATACAGTTAGTTTTTGTAGAAATTTTATTTCTGTTGACATGAGTTCACAATTATTTTTAAATGACTTAATAAATCTTTTGAACATTTCTTTGTTTTAATGTCTAATAATATAAATATATATATATGTATATATATACATATATATAATCTGAAAAAAAGCTCTTTGATATCCTCAATTTTTTTCAAATGTGAAGTTTTTCTGAAACCAAAAGTAACTAAGAACTGCTGCCTGGGAGATTGCAAGATGCATTCATGACATATTAAAGTTTTATATAAATTGGTTTTATAAAGTACTTTTACCAGTTCCTGGACAATATAAGGACCTTAGAACATTTTAATTCCATTTATGCCCCTCCTTTCTCTCATGGTTCTGCCTTACTCCTTTTAAAAAGGAAGATCAAATATTTTTATTATATATATGGTTTAAACTCCACAAGTAATTATATTTACTTTTAACAAGTCAATATTTATGTAGGAGTACCTACATATATACCCTTTCCATTGCTCTTTATTCTTTCCTGCATTCCTTTGCTTCAATCAGCTATAATTTTCCTTCTACCTGAATAATTTTCTTTAGCATTTTTTTTTAGCATGGGCCTTCAAACATTGAACTCTGCCAGTTTTTGTTTGTCATAAAATGACTTTATTTTTCCTTCCTACCAGCAAAATAATTTCCTTGGCTCTTGAAATCTTGGTTGGCAGTTAACGTTCTTTCAGTCTGTTGAGAATATCAGTCCACTAATTTCTGGCTTCCATGGTTCTATTGACAAGGCAGCTGTTAGTGATACTGTTGCTTCTTAAAAGATAATGTCTCCCTCCCCATCCCAGATGTTTCTATGATTCTCTCTTAGTCTTTCGTTTTCAGCATTTATCATGGTATGACCATATGTTTCCTTTGTATTTATCCTGATTGAGAGCTTTTATTGCTTCTTTAGTCTTTAAGATGATTGTATTAATCAATCTTGTACAATTTTAGGCCATTATTTATTTAAATATTGACTCTTCCCCACTCTCCTTTTTCTGGAACATCAGTTATACATAATACTGTACGTTTAAAAAATCATATCCTCTTTTTTTTCCTGCATTTTCAATCGTTTCTTCACTTTCTGCTTCAGTCTGGCTCCTTTCTTCTGGCTCTTTTTTTCTTCTTTATTTTAGTTATTGCATTTTTCAGTTTCAATTTTCTATTTGTTTCATTTTATACATTCTAGTTAGAATGTGATATCTTCTGTTTTATTGTGTAATTTCTTACATACTTTAATCACAGTTATTTTAGGTCCAGTATCTATATCTCCTTTTGATCTGTTTAAAGTGTCCAGTTGCCTGGTTTTGATCACTTTGTCTTGTCTTATGGTATGATTAGTATATTTTATTGAATGCTTGACATAATGCATCAAAAACTAGAGATAATTTGAGTGTCTGGACCATGTAATTTTCCTGTAAAAAAGATTTGCTTTTACTAATGGCAGGTAAGGTGACGTTAAGGCTGAATTACCTTAATTCAATTAGTGATTCCGTTTATTTCAGACTGTGTTTCTACCTTTTCTGAAGAATAATTTATCTCTTACTCACACTTTCTCTTAAAAATGTAGTTCTTCCAGGGCACCAAGTGAAAGCCTGAAGTGGTTGCAAGGCCCTTCCTAAACTTCAGTTTACATCTCCCCGGCCATGTAAGTGGGCAAAACATTTTGCTCAGCTTCTCAGTCTCTTTGCTGATACTTAGGCTAGGGGTAAAGTTTGAGTTGATTCAAGGATAGGTTTCAGTCTTTATCTGGGCTACTCTATCTGGTTTACTCTTACTCCTGGGGTGTAGTCCTCTAAAGGCCACAACTGAAAGTCCAGGTGGGTCCTGCTATACTCTGACAGACACCAAACTCCAATTTTTGTTTCCCTAGCCCTATGAGGCTCTCAAAATATCTCTGCTCTGGTTCTCAGGCTTTCCAGCTTCTAATTGAGAGTCAGCAAATGCACTGAAGAAAAAGGAGGTGCTGAAAGTAAAGCTCACCTCTCTGAGCTTCCCTTAAGTCTTGGCTTAATGTATATATGTGTGTGTATATAATTTAAATTTTTCTGGTTGCCTTCCTTGGGAGGGTTGATCTGATATAAGCTTGTCTACTATTTCCAGCATTAAAAATCTGACATTGCCATATGGGAACAGAGAGTCAAGGCCTAAATTATTGATCCAAAGAAAACGCCTCAGTGTTGAAGAAAAGGAGAAAAAATTGTGAAAAGTAGAAGAGAGAGATTCTAATCGTAGTGGAGCATCTGTCACTCAGGATGTCTTCCATCACAGCCCCAGTGCTTTAAGGCTAATATTCAGCTATACGTAATGCTTGACTCTATGAGACCAGGCATTCTCAGTGTAAGTAGCTCTAAAATACCAGCAAAAGAAGTACTGGCAATGACAAAGGCACTGGCAACCCTTTCATTGTGTTCAATACTGGACATTGGTACATTTTGAGTAAACTTCAGTCGTCTTAGCCTTATATCCTAGAGTCTTAGTGTATATGTCAACAAAATAACAGCATTGGTGTCTTCAGGGGGCACTGATGGCATAGTTTTCAATGTTTAGCACTGCCAACTGTTTGCAACATTACCACATGAAGCAAAGCAGAAAAGATGGGAAATTACATGCATACATGACAACCAAGATGGCTCATTCTCTGGGCATAAATGAGATTCTTAGAAACTCCCTGAAATAACTGGTACTCCATAAATTTAAATGATACTGGGTTTCTCCAGAGTGAATAGAAGAAAAGTGATAGAAATGCTGTTTTTGTAGCTTTTGCACAATCCGATTCTTATCGCTAGGCTAGTGTGGCCTGGAAAACCTGGGCTATACATGTAAATAATTCAAGATATGTCTCATGACTTTCAGTTCTAAGAAACACTTAGCCAGTATCCTGGCATTATCTACTTTCCTGGGGAGAGGGGAAACTAAAGATCACTACCTACTTTATAGTCCATAAAATTGGCAACAGTTGTGAGAGTTTGGCATGCCTATTCAATGTAACCCTGAAAATTTGATTGTAAATTCTCTAATTATTTTACTGTTTCTCTTCTTCCCAATATTGATCTGTACTCTTTGAGCTACCAGTCTCAAATCTCAGAGAAGCACATGTGGTGGCCTTGATACTAATTACTTACTTAATGTAAGTGATTTTTACCTCACAAGTGTCTAACAAACCCAGTTTGAATGGGCTCTTGTGTCATATGATTAACTGTCAGGTAAAACTGCTTTGCATCATTTAAATTTCAAGCTACCCAAAAATGGTTGCCCTTCTCAGAGGCCTGAATAAAGAAAACTGGCATTTCATTCACCATCTATATTGGAGATATTTTTGCTAGTTGACGCCAGCATATTGTTACCTTATTCTGGTAATCATACCCCAATTTCTTTCTGCAAAACCACGACAGTACCCACTTTCCGTCTATGTGCTTCCAGTTTCAGAATTTCACCTCTTATTCAGGGATAACACTTGTGACCTGGACTTGCATTCTCTTGGTTACAGTAAATGGCTTAAGAATGATACGGGTTCAACTGATTAGTATCGTAGGAAAGAAACTCTTGTTCTTCCCCATTGGACTGAAACAAAAAGGATTTAAAGTCAGAAGCTGGGGAAGTTATCTTTAGACCTTGAGGTGAGAGCCTGAGAATGAAATCAACAAAGTTCATGGTAAAGCTGAGAGATTGCAAAGAATCAAGTTCTTATCACATTGCTTTACCCTGAATCCAGCTGTGGCTGTAATTAGACGACCTCTTAACCTCTCCATTTTGTAAGTCAATAAATTCCCCCTTTCCCATAAGCCTGTTTGTGTTGGTTTTTCTAAAACTGAAGGAGTTCTTACTTTTAACCAAGTAACTTCTAGGTCAGCAATGCACATATATTGCTAGCCCTAAGGCAGTCCCACGGACTTCTAACATTCTTGCATCATCATTTCAACACTGTGCTGAAACTCATTCAGAAATTAATCCTTTCCACTCTTCTCTGTATACAAAGAAATCAAAGTTAGGTTTTTCATGTTTGCCTCTTAGACTTACTTCTGTAATCTTCATTCCAGAGAGTTATTCTCTTTCGATAAATTTTGTTAAAGCTGATCCTTATTGGTGAATCATCAGAAAATGTCAGAAAAGGATACCTGTCACTTTTGTCCCCATCAAGATGCTCCCCCACCAACTATTCTGTATATACACACCCACATACACATCTTACCAAGGAGTAGTCATCACCAGGCACTGCAGTTTTTATCAGATCTTGACTACACCTCTGACTACAACAGCAATTTTCCTGCCTCACTCCCACATGTTTCAACACTAATTGTCCTTGTTCACTTTCTGTGGCAGAACAACTTGCCTTTACTTCATTTAACCCAGTAACCTCCCCAAGCGGTTTTATTCCTTTGATAGCCAGAAAGATGGCAAGGACTTGAGTAATAAATATGTAAAATATCAGCACGAACTTTACTTGAAGCTGAGTGCCTGTTAATCCTGGAGTATTTGTGATGTTGTGAAGCTGGGGAAATAGGGGCACAGAGGAAAAACTGATTGAGCAAGAACCCAAAGGTCACCGAAAGAAGTACAGCAGAGCTTTATTCCAGCTGCTCACTTTCCTAGGAAAAGGTCATTCATTCTAAGGACTCTTGGGTTTGAATCAACCCCAAACCTAAAGAATGAGCCACCAGCAAGTGAGTGAGTGCATCTCACATCTGAGCCTGTTTTAAAGGAATGCTGATGACCTCCTAAAGAGGGTCTTTGATGTATATTCAAAGGGAGGAAGAAAAATTATCAGATGTAACTGTAAACCAGATGCTGTGGGGGTGTGACATAAACAGAACAGTCTAGTAGAAGACATGACTAGTAATTCTTATGAAGAAAGAAAACAGAAAAGTTCTAGAAATCCTTTTAGACACAAATGTCTATATACCAATATATAGGGTATGGATAATGAATGTATGGCACTTGTAATTTTAAAACAAGAAAAAGTGACATGATAAGCATAATAAACATTTATGGGACAGAATTTCTGATAGTTACACATAATTTGAAGCTGTTGGGGGAGCAACGCTTATTCCCAATTCTTCATGTTTTAATGTGCATGGACTTTTATATTCAGATCAAAAACAGTTATCCAATTTGAAGAAAAGAAAAAAGAGATTGAAAAACAATAAATACAACTATAAGAATCAGTGAGGCCCCAGGGTTTTAACATTCATGTCATTAGAGTTTCAGAAGGAGAGGTGCTAAAGTGTAACGTGGAACATTTTGAGGAAATAATGGCTGAATATAAAAAAGAACAAGATCAAAATTAGCTGGGTATGGTGGCAGGCGCCTGTAATCCCAGCTACTCAGGAGACTGAGGCAGGAGAATCGTTTGAACCAGGGAGGTGGAGATTGCAGTGAGCCGAGATTGCGCCACTGCACTCCAGCTTGGGCGACAGAGCGAGACTCCATCTCAGAAACAACAACAACAGCAACAACAACAACATCATGTCCTTTGCAGGGACATGAATGAAGCTGGAGGCCATTATCCTTAGCAAACTAACACAGGAACAGAAAGCTAAATATCACAATTTCTTATTAGTGGGAGCTAAATGATGAGAACACATGGACATATACAGGGGAACAACGCACATTGGGGATTATCAGAGGGTGGAGGATGGGAGGAGGGAGAAGATCAGGAAAAATAACTAATGGGTACTAGGCTTAATCCCCGGGTGATGAAATAATCCATAAAATTAACCCCCATGACAGAAGTTTACCTATGTAACAAACCTGCACTTGTACACTTGAACTTTAAATAAAAGTTAAAAAAAAAAGAAATAATGGCTGAAAATGTCCTGTTATGGTGAAAGTTATAAACCCCAAAGCTCAGCAAACCCCCAAAAGGATAAACGCTGATACATCTATTCTTAGACACACCACAGTTAAATTACTAAAAACTAAAAGTAAAGAAAAAAAACCTTGAAATAAGCCCAAGAAAAACAACACATTACTTAAAGAGAAACAATTATTTGACAGACAGCAGATTCCTCATAGATACCATGGAGGCCAGAAGTAAGTAGCACAAAATTTTTTAAATGTTTGGCAAAAAAAGACCTGTTAACTCAGAATTCTGTCTCCAGCAAAAATATCTTTCAGAAATAAATGTATGGTAAATACATTCTTATAAGAAGGAAAACTAAGAGAATTCAGTGTCAGCAGATACGCTTGTAAAGAACTGCTAAAGGAAATTATTCAGACAAAACAGAAATGACCCCACATGGAAACTTAAAACATCAAGAATCAAGAAAGAATAGCACAAATAGTTAAAATCTGTGTAAATATAACAAATTACTAATCGCTTCTTGAGTTTTTAAAGATATGTTTCATGTTCAAAGTGAAAAAATATGATAATGTTTGATAGGATTTTCAATGTATGTAAATGTAACATATTTTTTAAACTACAATATAAAAAGTGGAGGGTAAAATAACTTAGATGTTTAGAAAGCTTCTACATTCAATTTGATGTGATAAAATATTGATTCTAAGTATACAGCCCAAATTTAAGTATGTTTAGTACAGTCCTTAGACTAATCATGAAAAAACGACAGTGTCATAGTCTGTTGTGCTGCTATAAGAAAATACTTGAGACTGGGTAATTTATAAGGAACAGAAATTTACTTCTCCCAGATCTGGAGGCTGAAAGTGTTGGCAGGTTCAGTGTCTGGTGAGAGCTTCTCTCTACTTCCAACATGGTGCCTTGTTGCTATATTCATTGGAGGGGACACATGTTATGTCCTCACATGACAAAAGGCACACAAAGGCAGGGCCTAAGCTAGTTCCTTCCAGCCCTTTTATAAGGCACTACTGTATGCATGAGTGCAAAGTTCTCATGACTTAACCCCTTCCCAGAAGGCTCCACCTCATAATAACAACACAGTGAGGATTAAGTTTCAACTTATTAAATAATTTTGAATTTTGAAGGGGACACATTCAATCCATAGAAATAGTACAATAAAAAAGAAAAAAAAAGAAAAGCAATAGATACATTTAAATGGAGTATTAAAAGTATTCAGATAACTCAAAATAAATAACTGAAAAGAAGGCGAGAGAGGAAAAACAAAGAAAAAAATTAACAGGAAAGTAAAAGAAAATAAATAATAAAATAGTAGAACTAAAGCCAAACATATAAATAATGACATAAAATACAAATGGCCTAAAAACATTCAGTAAAACACAGAGATGATCAGAATCAACAAAGAATGAATCAACTATATGCTGTCTCAAAGGAACTCACTTTAAATATAATGATATAGGTGAGTTTAAAGCAAAGGTTTGAAAATAATATATAATGCAAACTCTAATCAAAAGCTGAGGGGCTGTATTAATATTAAACAAAATATACTTCAGAGTAAAAAGGGTGGCAAGGGATAAACAGGGATATTACCTAATAATAAGAGGGTCAATTAATTATGACAGAAATATCTTGAATGTGTATGCAACTATTAGTTTGGTGCAAAAGTAATTGCAGTTTTTGTCATTGCATAGCAACAAATCTTCAAAGTATATGAAACAAAAATGAGAGATGAAATAAAAATAGTCCACAAATATAACTGGAGACTTCAAAACTCCTCTTTTAGGAATCAGTAGACTCAGATAGAAAATAAGAATATAGAAAAACTGAATAATACAATCAACCAACTGTATCTCATTGGTATTTATAGAACACGCCACCCAACAAGAACAGCAGAATATACATTCCATCAAGTGCACAAGGAACATTTACCAAGATATACCATATCCTAGATCATAAAAAGACCTTCATAAGCTTAGAATAATTTAAATATCTAATTATAATATAATTAAACTAGAAATCAATAACAGAGGTATAACAGGAACATTGACAAACACTTGGAAATTAAGAAAAAAACCTCATAAATAATCCATGGGTCCAAGAAAAAGACTCAAGAGAAATTAGAAAGTGTATTTAACAGGATGAAAATTAATAGATGACACATAAAAATTTGTGGGATATAAGTATGAGTGCTTAGAGATAAATTTATACTATTAAATGGTTATATTAGAAAAGAAAAAATGATCTCATACCAATTACCTCAATTTCAAACTTAAGAAACTAGAAAAGAAGAGTAAAATACACCAACTAAGACAAGACAGGCAGACACAGGCAGACACAAAGACCCCCATCCCAGAGCATTCATATAGATCCTGATGACCTCATGCCAAAGGAAGATAAAGAAAGAATGCTCTAGTGGTAATCTCTTATTATTTTGGGAAAGTATCCCATCCATCAAGCATATTAGAGCAGTGTTATTGCCTGAATTGTGTCTCTCTACCCGCTACCGAAATCCATATGTTGAAACCCTTACTTCCAATGGGACTGGATTTAAAAATAAGGCTTTTTAAGTAGGTGTGATGGTTAATACTGAGTGCCAACTAGATTGGATTGAAGGATGCAAAGTACTGATCCTGGGTGTGTCTGTGAGGGTGTTGCCAAAGAAGATTAACATTTGAGTCAGTGGGCTGGGAAAGGCAGACCCACTCTTCATGTGAGTGGGCACCATCTAATCAGTTGCCAGTGTGGCTAGAATATAAAGCAGGCAGAAAAACGTGAAAGGACTAGACTGGCCTAGCCTCCCAGCCTACATATTTCTCCCGTTCTGGATGCTTCCTGCCCTCAAACATTAGACTCCAAGTTCTTCAGTTTTGGAACTTGGACTGGCTCTCCTTGTTCCTCAGCTTGCAGACGACCTATTGTGGGACTTTGTGATCCTGTGAGTTAATATTTAATAAACTCATCTATCTATCTATCTATCTATCATCTATCTATCTATCTATCTATCTATCTATCTATCTATCTATCTATCTCCTATTCTGTCCCTGTAGAGAACCCTGACTAATACAGATTTTGGTACTAGGAGTGGTTTTAGAGGAACAGAATATTAAGGATGGAATTCTTTTGCTGGTTTGGGGTTTCTGGAGTTGGCTGCTTAATATGATTAGACCTAAAAATGCTAAGGACTCTACCTCTAATAGTATGGAGAACACTGACAGTTCTTGGTGTGAACTGTTTAGAGAGGTATGCAAAATAAATGCATTTGTCGAGGCAGGTGGATCACGTGAGGTTAAGTGTTCGAAATCAGCCTGGCCAACATGGTGAAACCCTGTCTCTACTAAAAATACCAAAATTAGATTGGGCGTGGTGGCACACACCTGTAATCCCAGGTACTCAGGAGGCTGAGGCGAGAGAATCACTTGAACCTGGGAGATGAAGGTTGCAGTGAGCCAAGATTGCGCCACTGCACTCCAGCCTGGGCAACAGAGTGAGACTCCATCTCAAAAAAAAAAAAATGCATTTGATACTCTTGACTCACCGGATGTGAGAGGCAAGGAGTTTATTGACTCTATACGTAATGCATTTGGACCATATGTGGAGAGCCAAGGAACATAATGAAGCTGGTTGGTTGCTCCTAACTTGAATGGACAAAGTGATGAAAGAAAATGATGAATTCAGGTATTCTGTCTCCCAGCTTCAGAAGCAGATACTGAACATTAAATCTGTTAAGATTGTCCTGAGTGAGAGTCTTATCTCCTGTAGAGAAAGAGCTGAAATTGTGGAAAAACAGACACAAGCTCTTATAATGTGAGTGGCTGACCTGCAATGAAAGGTGCATGCACAGTCTCACCAGGTGTCTACTGTTAAAGTGAGGGCATTGATTGGAAAAGAATGGGACCCTGCAACTTGGAATGGGGACGTATGGGAGGACCCTGATAGAGCTGGGGACACTGAGTTTGTAAACTCTGATGAAACTTTTTTGCCAGAAGAAACAGCTTCCCCATCCCCAGTAATGGCAACACCCCCTCCCTGACCCACACTGCCATCAGCCTTTCCACCTTTGTCTGAGGAGATAAACCCTGCTCCGCCTGAGGCAAGAGTGATGGTTTTCCCTGAGGCAGTTGTCAGGCAAGATAATGTTGATTCTCCTCAGAAGCCACCCCCGACACTCCTGTTTTCTTCTAGACACATAACTAGACTAAAGTCCTGGTGGGACTCTAGAGGTGAGGTTGAGAGTGTGACCCATGAAGAGGTGAGCTACACTCAAAAATAACTGCTTGAGTTTTCTAATTTATATAAGCAGAAATCTGGAGCCAAGTTATTAGGGTACAGGTGGTATTTGCTTACCTGAGTAAGTTCTTTAGTGGTGATTTGTGTACATCCATTACCCGAGGAGTATACACTGCACCATATTTGTAGTCTTTTATCCCTCACTCCCCTCCCACCCTTCCCCGCAAATCCCCAAAGTCCATTGGATCATTCTTATGCTTTTGTGCCCTCATAACTTAGCTCCCAAATATCAGCAAGAACAAACGATGTTTGACTTTCTATTTCTGAGTTACTTCACTTAAAATTATAGTCTCCAATCTCATCCAGGTCACTGCAAGTGCTGTTCATTCATTCATTCATTTTTATGGCTGAGCAGTATTCCTATATATATATATATATATATATATATATATTCCTATATATATATTCCTATATATATATGTTCCTATATATATGTTCCTATATATATGTTCCTATATATATGTTCCTATATATATGTTCCTATATATACATATATTCCTATATATATTCCTATATATACATATATTCCTATATATATATATAGAGAGAGGAATTGTTCCTATATATTATCTTTCAATGTTTAATAGAGTTGTTCCTATATATTATCTTTCAATGTCTAATAAAGTTGATAACTGTCTGATAAGAAACCCTCTGTAATTCATTCTATGAAGCCAAGATCACCCTAATACCAAAACCAGGAAAGGACAAAACCAAGAAAGAAAACTACAGACCAATATCGCTGATGAACATAGATGCTAAAATCCTTAATAAAATACTAGCTAAATTATATTTATATAATTTATATAATTATATTTATATAATTTATATTTATATAATTTATATATTTATATTTATATAATTTATATTTATATATTTATATAATTATATAATTTATAATTTATATAATAATAAATTATATATATAATTCCTATATATCTATATATATAGATATATATATATACATCTCACAGTTTCTTTATCCACTCGTTGACTGATGGGCATTTGGGTTGGTTCCATGATTTTGCAATTGTGAATTGTGCTGCTATATACATGCATGTGCAAGTATCTTTTTTGAATAATGACTTCTTTTCCTCTGGGTAGATACTCAGTAGTGGGATTGCTGGATCAAATTGTAATTTTACTTTTAGTTCTTTAAGGCATCTCCACACTGTTTGCCATAGTGGCTGTACTAGTTTACATTACTACCAACAGTCTGTAGAAGTGGTCCCTGATCACTGCATCCATGCTAATATCTAATATAATAGATATATTTCTATTTTTTTGATTTTTTGATTATGGCCATTCTTGGAGGAGTAAGGTGGTATCACATTGTGGTTTTGATTTGCATTTTCCTGGTCTTTAGTTGAGCATTTTTTCTTATGTTTGTTGGCCATTTGTATATCTTCTTTTAAGAATTGTCTATTCATGTCCTTAGGTCACTTTTTGATGGGATTTTTTGTTTTTTTTCTTCCTGATTTCAGTTCGTTGTAGTTTCTAAATATTAGTCCTCTGTCAAATGTACAGATTGTGAAGATTTTCTCCCACTCTGTGGGTTGTCTGTTTACTCTGCAGGTTGTCTGTTTACTCTGATGACTATTCTTTATGCTGTGCAAAAGCTCTTTAGTCTAATTAGATCCCAGCTCTTTATTTTTGTTTTTATTGCATTTGCTTTTGGGTTCTTGGTCATGAAATCCTAGCCTAAGCCAAAGTCTAGAAGAGTTTTTCCAATGTTATCTTCTAAAAGTTGTATAGTTTCAAGTCTTAGGTTTAAGTCCTTAATCCATCTTGAGTTGATTTTTGTATAAGGTGAGAGATGAGGATCCAGTTTCATTCTGCTACATGTGGTTAGCCAATTATCCCAGGGCCATTCGTTGAAAAGAGTGTCCTTTTCCCACTTTATGTTTTAGTTTGCTTTGTCGAAGATCAGTTGACTATAAGTATTTGGCTTTATTTCTGGGTTCTCTACTCTGCTCCAATGGTTTATGTGCCTATTTTTATGCCAGTGCCACACTGTCTTGGTGACTATGGCCTTATAGTGTAGTTTGAAATCAGGTAGTGTGATGCTTCCAAATTTGTTCTTTTTGCTTAGTCTTGCTTTGGCTATGCGGGCTCTTTTTTGGTTCCATATGAATTTTAGAATTCTTTTTTCTAATCCTGTGAAGAATGATGGTGGTATTTTGATGAGGATTGCACTGAATTTGTAGATTGCTTTTGGCAGTATGGTCATTTTCACAGTATTGATTCTACCCATACATGAGCATGGGATGTGTTTCTATTTGTTTGTCATCTATGATTTCTTTCAGTAGTGTTTTGTAGTTTTCCTTGTAGAGGTCTTTCGACTGCTTGGTTAGATATATTTCTAAGTTGTTTTTTGTTGTTGCTGTGTTTTTTTGTTGTTTGTTTGTTTACAACTATTGTAAAAGGGGTTGAGTTCTTGATTTGATTCTCTGCTTGGTTGCTGTTGGTGTATAGAAGAGCTACTGATTTGTGTATATTAATCTTGTATCCAGAAACTTTGCTGAATTCTTTTATCAGTTCTAGGCTCTTTCTGGAGGAGTCTTTAAGGTTTTCAAGTAAAGGATCATATCGTCAGCACATGGTAAAAGTTTGACTTCCTCTTTACCAATTTGGATGCCCTTTATTTCTTTCTCTTGTCTGATTGCTCTAGGACTTCCAGTGCTATGTTGAAGAGGAGTGGTGACAGTGGTCATCCTTGTCTTGTTCCAGTTCTCAGAGGGAATGCTTTCAACTTTTCCCCATTCAGTATTATGTTGGCTGTGGTTTTGTCATAGATGTCCCTTATATGCCGATTTTGTTGAGAGTTTTAATCATAAAGGATGCTGGATTTTGTCTAATGCTTTTTCTGCATCTATTGAGATGATCATGTGACTTTTGTTTTTAATTCTGTTTATGTGGTGTGTCACATTTACTGACTTGCATATATTAAATCACACCTGCATCCCTTGTATGAAATCCACTTGATCATGGTGGATTATCTTTTTGATATGTTGTTGGATTCGGTTAGCTAGTATTTTATTAAGGATTTTAGCATCTATGTTCATCAAGGATATCAGTCTGTAGTATTCTTTCTTGGTTTTGTCCTTTCCTGGTTTTGGTATTAGGGTGATCTTGGCTTCATAGAATGAATTACAGAGGGTTTCTTATCAGACACTTATCAACTTTATTAGACATTGAAAGATAATAGTCAAAGGTGTATGTCAATCAAACTACAGCTTAACCAGAAAAATGGCTACTGATATCTTCTTTAGGAGACCTTTGTGGCATTTTAACATAACTTGTCTAGTCCACCTCCCCAGGAAGGTAGCAGTATTGAAGATCGCAGCCTTTGTTCCTAGTGCAGGTTCTTGGTTCCAGATGAAGCACAGCTGCCCTTATTCCTAAGGAATTGTAGTTATTAGTTTATACCTAATTGGGGGCACTCTGAAAGACTGATAGAGGAGTTTGCCTTTGTTTTGCCTAACTTGGAACTTTCTTAATTGGAATTACAGCTACATGAAGCACTTTCCTTTAAAACACTAAAAGGCAAATGAACAAGCTGCTTATATGTGGACAAAACGTGAGAGTTGGAACAAGCAACAGGCACACAAGAAAGAAAACTGGGGGAATAAGATACTTTGGGGAAACGGAGCATTGAAAAGGTCCCACATATCCCAGGATATGTAGAAAGTCAAGTGCATACTCAGAACCAAGGGCATGTTCATATAAGACCTGAGAATACCTAATGCTTTCATCTCTTGCATGACCATTAGGCTCAGCACAACAGGAAATGAAGGATAAGGAAGAGTCTTTAATGACCTGGGCAAGCACTGAAGGAGTGTCACAACACAGGGCCAATCTGCAAAGACCTTAAGAGTCTTTTCTTTTCCTTTTTTTTATTTCTTTTTTTTTCTTGTCTCCAGGTGTTTAAGGAAATCTCTGTCAAACCAGTAGCTGACTACTAAACTAAAGAAAAGAGACTTCACAGATGACACATGGCAATGAATGCAATCTTTACAAAATTTTAGAGAAGTCACTAAATGAACAACCAAAACTCATAGAATGAGTCAACAAACTTTGGGGAGGGGAGAGAATCTGATTATCAGAGTTACCACATTACAATATTCATAATGTCCAGTTTTCCACAAAAAATAATGAGGCATGCAAGGAAACAAGAAGGTATTGTCAATACATAAGAAATAAATGAACAGAAACTCTCCCTGAGGAAAGGAAATGCACTCATTTGAAAAAGACTTTAATCAACTGTCTTAATTATGCTCAAAGAGCTAAGGAAAACCATACGCAAATAACTACAGAAAACCAGGAGAATGATTTGTCAACAAATAGAGCAATTTAATAAAGATAAATTATGAAAAGAAACTAAATAAAAATTGTGTAGCTAAAATGTACATGAATAAAATAAAAGTATTTCTACAGAAGCTCAAGAGGAGATTTGCACAGGAAGATAATAGAATCATTGAACCTGAAGATGGTCAAGTGAAACCATCCACTATGAGGAGTAGAAAGATAAAAGAATGAATAAAAATGAACAAAGTTCAACCACTTGTGGCACAGAATCAAGTGTACCAGTTTATACATACTGGGAGTCCCTGAAGAGGGAAAACAGAGAGAGGGGCTAAAACATTTAAATAAATAATTGCTGAAAACCCCCCAAACTGGATAAAATTCATGAATCTACATATCCAAGGAGTCCAAGGAACTCTCAGTACTTACAAGCACAAAGAGATCCATACCAAGACAAATTATAATCAAACTGTCAAAAACCAAAGGCAAAGAGGGAATCTTGAAAGTTAAATGAGAGAAGTGACTTACAAGGGGAACACAGTAAGATTAATAGCCAGTTTGTCATCAGAAACTATGTAGGCCAGAAGGAAATATGGCATATTGAAAGTGCTTATTGAAAAAATACACTGTGACACAAGAATTCCACATCTGGCAAAACTATCCTTTAAAAAGGAAGGTGAAATTAAAACATGCTCAGACAAAAAAAAGGTGAGAGTTCAATGCTAGTAGATCTTCCCTACAATAAATGCTAAAGGAAATCTGTGATTCAGAAATAAAAGTATTCTAGAAATTATCTTTAAGCCACCCTAAGAAATAAATAACATTAATAAAGGTAACTACATAGGAAATATAAAAGCCAGTATTCCATTTTTGGTTTGTAACTCCTCTTTTTTTCCTACACAATTTAAAAGACCAACACACAAAGCAGTAATTTACATATGTTTAAATGGGCTTGCAACATATAAAGGTATAATTTTTAACAATAACAACACACATGGAGAGGAATGAAAATATATAGAAACAAAATTGTTGTATACTATTGAATTCAAACTGGGTTGTTATCGGTTTAAGTTGTTAATTGCAATCCTCTAGGTAATGACTAAGAAAATCACTGAAAAAATACACAAAATGAAATGAGAAGGGAATTAAATGGTACACTATAAAAATAAACTAAATACAAAAGAAGACAGGAATCTAGGAATTGTGAAGCCAAAATATGACATATATAAAATAACAAAATGACAGCAGTAAGTTATTTCTTATCAATAATTAGTTTACATGCCAGTGAATTAAACATTCTGATTAAAAGACAAAGATTTGCAGCATGGATAAAGAAAACGATCAATCTATATGCTGTGTACAAGAGACTCACTTCAGACCCAATGACACTACTAGATTGAAAGTGAAAGAATGAAAAAATATATATATTCCATGCAAACAATCACAGAAAGAGAGTGGGGTAGCTATAGCAATATTAGGGAAAGGTAAATTTTTAAGCCAAAAAGTGTTATAAGAGATAAAGAAGAGCATTATATATTGATAAATAGGTCAATCCATGAAACGGATATAATAATTATATATATATACATACACACACCTAACAACAGAGACCTAAAATGTATGAAGCAAGAATTGACAGATTTGAATGGAGGAATAGACAGTTCTACAATATGTGGAGACTTCTATCCCTCACTTTCAATAATGGGGAGAGCTATACTGGAGAGCAATAAGAAAATAGAGCACTTGAACAACACCATAAACCAATGAGAACTAACAGACATGTGTAGAACACCTTCCCAATAACAGCTGACTACACATTATTGTCAAGTGCACATGGAACAATCTTCAGGATAAAACATATGTTGAGCCACAAAACAAGTTTTGATAAAATTAAGCAGACTGAAATCATACAAAGTATATTCTTCAATCACAATGGAATGGAACTGAACATCAATAACAGAAGGAAAACCAGAAAATTCATAAATATATGAAAACAAAAGAACACATTTTAAATAAACAATGATTCAAGAAGAAATCAAAAGGGAAATTAGAAAATGCTTGAAGACTAACACAAAAACACAAGATGCCAAAACGTTTGAGATGCAGTGAAAGCAGTGCTTAGTGGAAAATTTATGAATGGATGCCTACATTTAAAAAAAAGAAGAAAGGTCTGAAATAATCTAATTTTATAACATAAAGAACTAAACTAGAGGATCAAACTCAACACAAATCAAGCAGAAGTAAATAAACGATAAAGATTAGAGCACTGAGAAACAAAATAGAGAATAGAAAACATAATAATCAACAAAACCAAAAGTCGACTCTTCGAAGAGAGCAATAAAATAACTACACTCATGAAGAAAAAGGAGACAAGACTCAAATAAGTAAAATTTGAAAGGAAAGTGGGGACATTATTATTGGCTTAACAGAATTAAAAAGGATTATAAGAGAATACACTATGAATAATTGCATGCCAACAAATAACCTGGGTAAAATAGACAAACTCTTAGAAAGATACAAAGTACCAAAATTGACTAAAACAAGCAAACAAAAAGAACATCCTAATATACCTGTTACAAGTAAAGAGACTGAATTAATTATGTAAAAACTACCCACAAAGAAAAGGGCAGGACGAGAAGTGTTCTTTGGTAAGTTTACCAATGTTTTATCAAATATTTAAAGAATAATTGGCCAGGCATGGTGGCTCACACCTGTAATCCCAGCACATTGGGAGGCCAAGGCAGGAGGAGTGCTTGAGCCCAGGAATTCAAGACCAGCCTGGGCAACATAGGGAGCGCCCATATGCACAAAAAATTTAAAATTAGTTAGGCATGATGGTGCATGCTTATAGTTCCAGCTACCCAGGAGGCTTAGGTGGGAGGATCACCTGAGCTCAGAAGGTTGAAGCTATAATAAGCAGAGAATGCCACTGCACTCCAGCCTGGGTGACAGAACAACACCCTGCCACAAACAAACAAACAAACACAAATTAACATCAATTCTTCTGAAATTTTTCCAAAAAACAAAAGAGGAAGTAACACTTCCTAAGTCATTTTATGACGTCAGCATTATCCTGATACTAAGATATCACAAGAAAACCACATACCAATGTCCTCTATATAGATGTAAAAATTCTCAATAAAATACTAGAAATTAAATCCCAGCATCACATTAAAAGAATTCTACATCATAAACAAGTGGGATTTAACCAGGAATGCAAAGGTGGTTCATCATAAGAAAATCAGTGTATATAATACACAACATTAATAGAATGAAGGGGCGAAATCCACACAACTATCTCAATAGATGCAGAAAATATATTTCTCAAACTCTATACAGAAGAGACACAATCTTACAAATAAGAAATTTTAAGAATCCACAGAAACAAATTGAGTGAATAAACAAATTCAGCAAAGTTTCAGGGCACATATAAATAGACAAATATTAGCCATAGACAACATATATAATAGCAATAAACAATCTGAAACAGAAATCAAGAAAACAATTCCATTTATACTAGCATGAAAATAATAAAATACTAGCAACAAATTTAGCCAAGGAGGTACGAGACTCATGCAATGAAAACCACAAAACACTGCTGGAAGACCTAAATTAATGGAAACACATGTCATCCTCATGGGTTGAAATACTTGGTATAGTCAATGTAGCAATACACCTGAAATCAATCTCCAGGATCAATGGGATTCTGTCAATATTACAAAGGTTTTTTTTTTTTGCAGAAATAAAAAAATCAATCCTAAAATCCATATGGAATTGCAAAGGACTCAGAATAGCCAAAATAATCTTGAAAAACAATAATAAATTTGGATATGAAAAATCCACATTATACTGAACAGGGAAAAGTTGAAAGCATTCCCCCTGAGAACTGGAACAAGACCAGGATCCCCACTTTGACCACCTGTTCAACATAGTACTGGGAGTCCTAAGCAGAGCAATCAGACAAGAGAAAGAAATAAAGGGCACCCAAATTGGTAAAGAGGACATCAAACTGTCGCTGTTGGCTGATGACATGCTCATACACCTAGAAAACCCTAAAATACTCACCCAAAAAGCTCCTAGAACTGGTAAATGGACTTAGCAAAGTTTCCAGATACAAAATTAATATACACAAATTAGTAGCCTTGGTATACACCAACAGCAACCAAGCTGAGAATCAAGTAAAGAACTCAACCTCTTTTACAATAGCTGCAAAAAAAAAAAAAAAAAAAAAAAAAGAAATGAAATACTTAGGGATATACTTAACCGAAGAAGTGACAGATCTCTACAAAGAAAACTATAAAACACAGCTGAAAGAAATCATAGACAACACAAATGGAAACACATCCCATGCTCATGGATGGGTAGAATCAATACTGTGAAAATGACCATACTGCCAAAAGCAATCTACAAATTCAATGCAATTCCCATCAAAATACCACCATCATTCTTCACAGAATCCTAAAACCAACAAGAGAAAAGATGCAAATAACATATAAAGAAGCTCCACTTGATCTGGTAACAGGCTTCTCAACAGAAACCATACAGGCCAGGAGGGAGTAGAATGACATTTTCAAAGTGCTGAAAGAAAATATGAAATAGAGATAAAGTATTACCAAAAAAACAAAGCTGACAGAATTCACTACCACCAGACCCATCTTACAAGAAATGCTAAAAGGAGTTCTTCAATCTAACAAACAAACAAATACACAAAAAATTCCACTAACATGCACACAAACAATTAGGCACATAGACAAACCCAGAATACTGTAACACTGCAACTGTGGTGTGCAATTCACTTATAACTCCAGTATGAAGCCCAAAAGACAAATATACCAAATCCAATAATGGCTAGAGCAACCTGTTAAAAGATAGGTAATGCAAAAATATGTAAATTGAGATAATTAGAGTCAAAATGTGGGGGGAGATTAAGTTAAAGTATAGAAGTTTTAAATTTTTTTCTTTGTTTCTATTCTTTATTATCTAAGATAAAACTCATGATTTCTCCAAAATAACTTCATATATCTATAAGATGATTGTTGTAAGCCTTGTGGTAACCGTAATGCTAAAACCTATCATAGATTCATTAAAAATTGAAAACAACAAATTAAAACACACTACCAGGAAAAAAGTCACCCAACCACAGGAAAGACAATAAGAAAGGAAGAGAGGAGTAACAAAACAACCAGAAAGTAAGAAATAAAATGGCAGTCGTAAGTCCTTATTTATCAATAATAATATTGAATGTAATGGACTCAGTTCTCCAACTAAAAGGCATAGAGTAGATGAATAAATAAATAATTGAGTCTTATACAACTGAGACCACAGAAATACAAAGAATCATTAGAGATTATTATGAACAGTTATGTGCCAAAAATTTGAAAACCTAGAAGAAATGAATAAATTTCTGGATACATACAACCTACCAAGATTGAACCTTGAAGAAATAGAAAGCCTCAATAAACCAATAACAAATAATGGGATCAAAGCCATAATAAAAAGTCTCCCAACAGAGAAAAGCCCAGGATTTAATGGCCTCACTGCTGAATTCCACTGAACATTTAAAGAACTAATACCTTTGTTCTCATTGGTTTCAAAGAACATCTTTATTTCTGCCTTCATTTAGTTATGTACCCAGTAGTTATTCAGGAGCAAGTTGTTCAGTTTCCATGTAGTTGAGCGGTTTTGAGTGAGTTTCTTAATCCTGAGTTCTAGTTTGATTGCACTGTGGTCTGAGAGACAGTTTGTTACAATTTCTGTTCTTTTACATTTGCTGAGGAGAGGTTTACTTCCAACTATGTGGTCAATTTTGGAATAGGTGTGGAATATGTGGTGCTGAGAAGAATGTACATTCTGTTGATTTGGGGTGGAGAGTTCTGGAGATGTCTATTGGGTCCGCTTGGTGCAGAGCTGAGTTCAATTCCTGGGTATCCTTGTTAACTTTCTGTGTTGTTGATCTGTCTAATGTTGACAGTGGGGTGTTAAAGTCTCCCGTTATTACTGTGTGGGAGTCTAAGTCTCTTTGTAGGTCACTCAGGACTTGCTTTATGAATCTGGGTGCTCCTGTATTGGGTGCATATATATTTAGGATAGTTAGCTCTTCTTGTTGAATTGATCCCTTTACCATTATGTAATGGCCTTCTTTTTCTCTTTTGATCTTTGTTGGTTGAAAGTCTGTTTTATCAGAGACTAGGATTGCAACCCCTGCCTTTTTTTGTTTTCCATTTGCTTGGTAGATCTTCCTCCATCCTTTTATTTTGAGCCTATGTGTGTCTCTGCACATGAGATGGGTTTCCTGAATACAGCACACTGATGGGTCTTGACTCTTTATCCAATTTGCCAGTCTGTGTCTTTTAATTGGAGCATTTAGTCCATTTACATTTAAAGTTAATATTGTTATGTGTGAATTTGATCCTGTCATGATGATATTAGCTGGTTATTTTGCTCATTAGTTGATGCAGTTTCTTCCTAGTCTAGATGGTCTTTACATTTTGGCATGATTTTGCAGCGGCTGGTACCGGTTGTTCCTTTCCATGTTTAGTGCTTCCTTCAGGAGGTTTTTTAGGGCAGGCCTGGTGGTGACAAAATCTCTCAGCATTTGCTTGTCTGTAAAGTGTTTTATTTCTCCTTCACTTATGAAACTTAGTTTGGCTGGATATGAAATTCTGGGTTGAAAATTCTTTTCTTTAAGAATGTTGAATATTGGCCCCCACTCTCTTCTGGCTTGTAGAGTTTCTGCCGAGAGATCAGCTGTTAGTCTGATGGGCTTCCCTTTGTGAGTAACCCGACCTTTCTCTCTGGCTGCTCTTAAAATTTTTTCCTCCATTTCAACTTGGTGAATTTGACAATTATGTGTCTTGGAGTTGCTCTTCTCGAGGAGTATCTTTGTGGCATTCTCTGTATTTCATGAATCTGAATGTTGTCCTGCCTTGCTAGATTGGGGAAGTTCTCCTGGATAATATCCTGCAGAGTGTTTTCCACCTTGGTTCCATTCTCCCTGTCACTTTCAGGTACACCAACCAGACGCAGATTTGGTCTTTTCACATAGTCCCATATTTCTTGGAGGCTTTGTTCGTTTCTTTTTATTCTTTTTTTCTCTAAACTTCCCTTCTCGCTTCATTTCATTCATTTCATCTTCCATCACTGATACCCTTTCTTCCAGTTGATCGCATTGGCTCCTGAGGCTTCCGCATTCTTCACGTAGTTCTCGAGCCTTGGTTTTCAGCTCCATCAACTCCTTTAAGCATTTCTCTGTATTGGTTATTCTAGTTATACATTAGTATAAATTTTTTTTCAAAGTTTTCAACTTCTTTGCCTTTGGTTTGAATTTCCTCCTGTAGCTCAGAGTAGTTTGATCGTCTGAAGCCTTCTTCTCTCAACTCATCAAAGTCATTCTCCGTCCAGCTTTGTTCCATTGCTGGTGAGGAACTGCGTTCCTTTGGAGGAGGAGAGGTGCTCTGCTTTTTAGAGTTTCCGGTTTTTCTGCTCTGTTTTTTCCTCATCTTTGTGGTTTTATCTACTTTTGGTCTTTGATGATGGTGATGTACAGATGGGTTCAAACATACCAGAATCTCTGGGACACATTAAAAGCAGTGTGTAGAGGGAAATTTACAGCACTAAATGCCCACAAGAGAAAGCAGAAAAGATCCAAAATTGACACCCTAACATCACAATTAAAAGAACTAGAAAAGCAAGAGCAAACACATTCAAAAGCTAGCAGAAGGCAAGAAATAACTAAAATCAGAGCAGAACTGAAGGAAATAGAGACAAAAGAAAACCCTTCAAAAATTAATGAATCTAGGAGCTGGTTTTTTGAAAGGATCAACAAAATTGATAGACCGCTAGCAAGACTAATAAGGAAAAAAAGAGAGAAGAATCAAATAGACACAATAAAAAATGATGAAGGGGATATCACCACCGATCCCACAGAAATACAAACTACCATCAGAGAATACTACAAACAACTCTACGCAAATAAACTAGAAAATCTAGAAGAAATGGATAAATTCCTCGACACATACACTCTCCCAAGACTAAACCAGGAAGAAGTTGAATCTCTGAATAGACCAATAACAGGATCTGAAATTGTGGCAATAATCAATAGCTTACCAAGCAAAAAGAGTTCAGGACCAGATGGATTCACAGCCGAATTCTACCAGAGATACAAGGAGGAACTGGTACCATTCCTTCTGAAACTATTCCAATCAATAGAAAAAGAGGGAATCCTCCCTAACTCATTTTATGAGGCCAGCATCATCCTGATACCAAAGCCGGGCAGAGACACAACCAAAAAAGAGAATTTTAGACCAATATCCTTGATGAACATTGATGCAGAAATCCTCAAGAAAATACTGGCAAACCGAATCCAGCAGCACATCAAAAAGCTTATCCACCATGATCAAGTGGGCTTCATCCCTGGGAAGCAAGGCTGGTTCAGTATACGCAAATCAGTAAATGTAATCCAGCATATAAACAGAACCAAAGAGAAAAACCACGTTATTATCTCAATACATGCAGAAAAGGCATTTGACAATATTCAACAGCCCTTCATGCTAAAAACTCTCAATAAATTAGGTATTGATAGGACGTATCTCAAAATAATAAGAGCTATCTATGACAAACACACAGCCAATATCATACTGAATGGGCAAAAACTGGAAGCATTCCCTTTGAAAACTGTCACAAGACAGGGATGCCCTCTCTCACCACTCCTATCCAACATAGTGTTGGAAGTTCTGGCCAGGGCAATTAGGCAGGAGAAGGAAATAAAGGGTATTCAATTAGGAAAAGAGGAAGTCAAATTGTCCCTGTTTGCAGACGACATGATTGTATATTTAGAAAACCCCATTGTCTCCGCCCAAAATCTCCTTAAGCAGATAAGCAACTTCAGCAAAGTCTCAGGATACAAAATAAATGTACAAAAATCACAAGCATTCTTATACACCAATAACAGACAAACAGAGAGCCAAATCATGAGTGAACTCCCATTCACAATTGCTTCAAAGAGAATAAAATACCTAGGAACCCAACTTACAAGGGATGTGAAGGACGTCTTCAAGGAGAACTACAAACCACTGCTCAAGGAAATAAAAGAGGATACAAACAAATGGAAGAACATTCCATGCTCATGGGTAGGAAGAATCAATATCATGAAAATGGCCATACTGCCCAAGGTAATTTATAGATTCAATGCCATCCCCATCAAGCTACCAATGACTTTCTTCACAGAATTGGAAAAAACTACTTTAAAGTTCATATGGAACCAAAAATGAGCCCACATCGCCAAGTCAATCCTAAGCCAAAAGAACAAAGCTGGAGGCATCACACTACCTGACTTCAAACTATACTACAAGGCTACAGTAAACAAAACAGCATGGTACTGGTACCAAAACAGAGATATAGATCAATGGAACAGAACAGAGCCCTCAGAAATAATGCTGCATATCTACAACTATCTGATCTTTGACAAACCTGAGAAAAACAAGCAATGGGGAAAGTATTCCCTATTTAATAAATGGTGCTGGGAAAACTGGCTAGCCATATGTAGAAAGCTGCAACTGGATCCCTTCCTTACACCTTATACAAAAATTAATTCAAGATGGATTAAAGACTTAAACGTTGGACCTAAAACCATAAAAACCCTAGAAGAAAACCTAGGCATTACCATTCAGGACATAGGCATGGGCAAGGACTTCATGTCTAAAACACCAAAAGCAATGGTAACAAAAGCCAAAATTGACAAATGGGATCTAATTAAACTAAAGAGCTTCTGCACAGCAAAAGAAACTACCATCAGAGTGAACAGGCAACCTACAAAATGGGAGAAAATTTTCGCAACTACTCATCTGACAAAGGGCTAATATCCAGAATCTGCAATGAACTCAAACAAATTTACAAGAAAAAAGCAAACAACCCCATCAAAAAGTGGGGAAAGGATACGAACAGACACTTCTCAAAAGAAGACATTTATGCAGCCAAAAGACACATGAAAAAATGCTCATCGTCACTGGCCATCAGAGAAATGCAAATCAAAACCACAATGAGATATCATCTCACACCAGTTAGAATGGCAATCATTAAAAAGTCAGGAAACAACAGGTGCTGGAGAGGATGTGGAGAAACAGGAACACTTTTACACTGTTGGTGGGAGTGTAAACTAGTTCAACCATTGTGGAAGTCAGTGTGGCGACTCCTCAGGGATCTAGAACTAGAAATACCATTTGACCCAGCCATCCCATTACTGGGTATATATCCAAAGGACTATAAATCATGCTGCTATAAAGACACATGCCCACGTATGTTTATTTCGGCACTATTCACAATAGCAAAGACTTGGAACCAACCCAAATGTCCAACAATGATAGACTGGATTAAGAAAATGTGGCACATATACACCATGGAATACTATGCAGCCATAAAAAATGATGAGTCCATGTCTTTTGTAGCGACTTGGATGAAATTGAAAATCATCATTCTCAGTAAAAGATTGCAAGGACGAAAACCCAAACACTGCATGTTCTCACTCATAGATGGGAATTGGACAATGAGAACACATGGACACAGGAAGGGGAACATCACACTCTGGGGACTGTTGTGGGGCGGGGGGAGGAGGGAGGGATAGCATTGGGAGATATACCTAATGCTAAATGACGAATTAATGGGTGCAGCACACCAGCATGGCACATGTATAGATATGTAACTAACCTGCACATTGTGCACATGTACCCTAAAACTTAAAGTATAATAATAATAAAAAAAAACAAAAAGAAACAAACGAAAAAGCAATTAAAATAAAAAAATAAAATAAAATAACTAAAAAAGTAAGAAATGATAAATGCTTGAGGTGATACTTACCACATTTACTGATATTGGTAAATATGACTATTACACATCATCTACCAGTGTCAAAATATCTCATGCATCCCATGAATATACACACCTATTATGCACCCATAAAAAATAAAATCAAAATGTTTTTAAAAAGAAAGGAAAAAAAATAAAGAACTAATACCAACTTTGCTCAAGCTCTTTTAACAAGTTGAAGAGGAGGGAGTACTTCAAAACTGATTTTATGAGGCCAGGATTACCTTGACAGTAAAACCAGACAAGAATACAGAAAAAAGAAAAAGAAAGAAAAAGAAAACTATAGGTCAATATAACTGATGAGCATAGATACAAAAATTCTCAACAAAATACTAGCAAATGAAATTCAACAACATATTAAAAAAGATCATTCACCATGATCAAATGAGATTCATCCCAAGGATGCAAGGATGGTTTAACATATACAAATCAATAAATGCTATACGTCCCATTAACAGAATCAAGAATAAAAACATGATTATTTCAATAGATCTTAAAAAGCATTCTATATAATTTAACATCGTTTATGATAAAAAAATTATCAAACTGGATATAGAAAAGACATATCTCAAAATTATAAAGGCAAATATGACAACCCCACAGCTAACATTGTACAGAATGGGGAAAAATTGAAAGCATTTCCTCTACAATGTGGAACGAGGCAATGGTGCCCACTTTCACCACTTTTCTTCAATACAGTACTGAAATCCTGGCGAGAGCAGAGCAGAAAGGAGTAAAGGGCACCCAAATTGGAAAGGAGGAAGTCAAATTAGCCTTGTTTGCATGTGACATGAACTTATACTTTGAAAAACATAATAATCCCACCAAAAAACCTGTTATAACTGATAAACAAATTCAGTAAAGTTACAAGATACAAAATCAACATACAAAAATCAGTAGTATTTATATTCACCAACAGTGAACAATCTGAAAAACAAATCAAGAAATCAATCCCATCTGTAACAGCTACAAAGAATATAAAATATGTAGTAATCAATTTAACTAAAGAAGTGAAGGGTCTTTATGAGAAAAACTCTAAAAGTCTGATGAAAAATTGAAGAGGACACAAAAAATGGAAAGACATTCCATGTTCATGGCTTGGAAAAATTCATATTGTTAAGAAGATCATATTACCTAAGGCAATTTACAGATTCAATGCAATCCCAATAAAAAACCCAATGACATTCTTCACAGAAATAGAAAAAACAATCCTAAAATTTATATCGAACCACAAAAGACCCAGAATAGTCAAAGCTATCCTAAGCAAAAAAGGACAAAACTGAAGTATCACATTACCTGATTTCACATTGTACTACAGAGCTATAGTAACCAAAACAGCATGGTACTGGTATAAAAACAGACTCATAGACCAATAGAACAGAATAGAGATCCCAGATATAAATTCATGCATTTACAACCAACTCGTTTTTGACAAAGTTTCCAAGAATATGCAATGGGGAATTGCTAGTCTCTTCAAGTGATCATAGCTCACTGCAGCCTCAAACTCCTGGGCTCAAGTGATCCTCCCGCCTCAGTCTCCCAAGTAGCTGAGATAACAGGTGCACACCGCCACACCCGGTTAATTTTTTTTTTGTACAAACGGGGTCTCACTATGTTGACCAGGCTGGTCTTGAATTCCTGGCCTCAAGCTGTCGTCCCACCTCGACCCCCCAAAATGCTGGGATTATAAGCATGCGCCACCACGCCGAGCCTTGGGCAAAGATTTTTTGTGTAAGACCTCAAAAGCATAGGCAACCAAAGTGAAAATAGACAAATGGGATTACATCAAGCTAAAAAGCGTCTGCACAGAAAAAAGCTTCAACAAAGCAAAGAGGCAACCCATGGGATGGGAGAGAATATTTGCAAACTACCCATCTGACAAGGGATTAATAAGAAGAATATATGAAGCATTTAACCCAATAACAAAAAAGCGAATACTGCATTTAAAATATGGGCAAAAGATCTGATTAGAAATTTCTCAAAAGAAGACGTACAAATGGCCCGCAGATATACGAAAAAATGTTCAGCATCACTAACCATAAGAGAAATGCAAATAAAATCTACAATGAGATACCCTCTCACCCCAGTTAAAGTGGCTTTTATAAAAAAGACAGGCAATAATGGATGCTGGCAAGGATATGGAGAAAGGGGTGCTCTCATACACTGTTGGTGGGAATATGAATTAGTACAGCCACTATGGAGAACAGTAGGGAGGTTCTTCAATAAATTAAAAATAGAACTACCATAGGATCTGGCGATTCCGCTATTGGGTATGTATCCAAAAGAAAGGAAGCCAATATATCAAAAAGACATCTACACTTCCATATTTATTGCAACACTAACCACAGTAGCCCAGATATGGAATCAACATAAGTGCCTATCAATGGATGAATAGACTTAAAAAATTATGTGTGTGTGTGTGTATGTAATGGAATATTATTCAGCTATATAAAGAACAAAATCCTGTCATTTGCAGCAATATGGATGGAACTGGAGGTCATCATGTTAAGTGAAAAAATAAGTCAAGTACAGAAAGACAAATATTGCATGTTCCCAACTAGTATGTGGGAGCTACAAAATGAATCTCATGAAGACAGAGAGTAGATTAGTGGTTACTAGAGGCTGGGAAGGGTTGAGAGGAGCAGGGGAATGAAGATAAGTTGATTATTCAATACAAATACATGGTTTGATAGAAGAAATAAGACCTGGATAGATCAGTAGGACAACTATAGTTTAAAATATTCTATTCTATCACATATTTCAAAATAGCTAGAAGAGGAAAATTTGAATGATTCTAGTATAAGGAAAAGACAAATATTTAAGGTAATGGATATCCCAAGTACACTGATTTGATGTTTTCAAATTATATGAATGTATTAAATTATTGCATGTATTTTGAAACTATGTACCTATATTATGCATCAATAAAATATATACAAATAGTTTCATTTTAATAGGCAAAAATTAAATTTTAATTAATTTAATTAATTAAAAATTAGTAGGCAAAAATAAAATTGAACGGAAGCTACTTTCTTTCACAAGTATATATACATATCGGTTTTTTTTTCGGTGACATCAGAGTTTACTCTACTATTGTTTTCCAGCTCTTGCGTGCTCAAGTACACCCTTCAGTGGAATCAATATTCCATAGTTACGGGGGTTCTGTGGATCCTGTGAGTTCTGTTACTCCTTTGAATGTAAGTTTTCTCAATAAATCATATTATAGCTATAGTGTGTGTTGCTAGTGTTGTAGGTCCCCATTCAAATTGCAAGATAACAATTAAAAAATTGGGAGATACCATCAAAGAGAAGGACATCTGTAGAAAGTCATTTCAGAAACTTTGAACTAAATTGAGAGGAAAAGACAAGGAAGATCAGCATCAAATATTCTAATAATTATTCAATAAGTTTCAGGATGAAACAGCTTTTGTAGACAGCAATAAGTACTTGTCTGTATCCTTAAAGAAATACGGCAGCAAAATTTACGGGACTAAGGCTCTAAAGAGAGGCATAGCAAAGGTGAACCATGTTAAAGGGAATCCAGCCAGGGAAATAATAGAGTCTGGTCCTTAGTTACACGTTGCTTTGATGGGAAAATATCTCCTCCCTATGCAATTTAGAGAGGTGAAAGTGGACAAGATTTCTCTGCATAGTGGATGCTTTTGGAAGAATCACAACTTATGTTTCATATCACTCACTGAGGATGATGCCACAGGACAGAACCTAGCAGGATGTCTTTTTAAAAAATGTCTAAGACAGAAAGCAAAGAGAAAGTAAAAGGAAAGAAGTCACCCACACTCAGCACACAGATAAAGAGAAGGGAGAGAGAACTTAAGGAGAAAATTCAACTGTTAGAAACTTAGCCTTTCTGAAAGGACTAGAGAAGATGATGCAACACTCGAAGTGTACTCCACTACTGCAGAAAACATATAGCAATTCAAAACCTGGAACCTTCAAAATATTAGGTAAAAATAATACAGTAATTAACACAATCGTGAGAATTTTCTTCCAATTGAGTTGTTATTTATCCCTTTCAGTCCTTTGTGCTTTTGTTATCATATATTTTACTTCTACATATGTTATGCATCCCATTCTACAACATCAATTATCTTTTAAAGAGTTTTCAATAATAAGAAATCAAAATATCTTATATATTTACATTTACCCATTCTGTTACCTTTGTAGTGCTCTGCATTTTTTGTATATAGACCCATATTTCCATCTGGTATCATTTTTCCTTCTGCCTGAAGAAAATGCTTTAATATATCTTGTGGTGTCAGCTCTGGGTTAGACTGATTGAAGGATTTTCTTTTTTCTTCATTATGGGTTATATTTGCCTGTTTCTTTGCACACCTGGTAATTTTTTATTGAATGTCAGACATAGTGAATGTTGCTTTGTTGGGTACTGTATATTTTTGTATTCCTATAAATATTCTTGAACTTTGTTCTGGGACACTTTCAAATTACTTGGAAACAGTATCATCCTTTTGGGTCCTGTTTTTATGATTTGCTGGAGAGGTCCAGAGTACTGCTTAGTCTAGGACTAATTCTTTCCCATTGTTGAGGCAAGACCCTTCTGAATACTCTACCCAATGCCCTGCGAATTATGAGGCTTTCCAGTCTGGCTGGTTGAGAACAGGCACCATCCTCGCCCTGTGTGAGAACCAATCGCTATTACTTCTAATTCTTTCAGCTGGTTCTTTCTATGGTCTTTGTTAATTTCCTGACATGCAAGTGCTGATCAGTACACTAACTGCTAGGTAATCAAGAGAGACCCTCTGCAGATATTCAGTTCCTCCCTGCCCCACTGCCCCTCCAACCTCTCTGAAGCTCTCTCCTCTCCACTACACTGGCCTGCTACCTTGGTCTCCCAGGACTCTAAGCTCCATAACCTTAATTCAGGGAATCTGCCAGGCTCTGGCTGCACTCTCCCTCCTGGCACCATCTGGAAATGCTCTCATGGCACTGAGCTAGAGCAGTCATATGGCCCATCTCACTTGTCTGCCATCTTGCAAGGATCCCTGTCCTTTGTTGCCTGATGCCCTTTGTTGTGCAAAGCACTGTTTCATATATTTTGAAACATATGTTATATATTTCATGTATACATATATAGATGTATATATATTTGCCCCTCATATATATACACACACATATATACGAGGGGCAAATATATATACATATATACATATATATGTGTAAAATATCTGCTATGTGCCAGGAACTGAAGATGAAACAGTAAAGACAGAGACAAAAATCCCTGCCCTTGTGACTCAAGTAGCTTGCATTTTGGGAAGAGTAGTCAGAAAATGTTAATAAGTAGGACAAATTAGTAAAATATATAATGAGTTAGATTATAATAAATGGCAAGTAGAAAGAAGAACTGGGGGGAAATAGTTCCATTTTAAATATGGTGGTCAGGGAAGGCTGTACCTAGTAGGTGACACTTGAGCAAAGATCTGAAGATGAGTGAGAAAGAAAGCCAGGCAGTTGTCTGGGAGAAGAGTGGCCCAGGCAGAGGTAACACGAATTGCAAAGGAGTGGAGGTGAGGTTTAAGGTGTTTGAGGTACAGCAAGGTGGCCCATGTGTCTGGAGAAGAGTAACCAAGGGGAGGAGCCATCACAGATGATGGCAGAGAGGTAACAGGGAGTCAGATCATGAGGGAGATGGAAAGCCATTGGAAGCTTTGAGCAGAGGAGTGACATGATGTCATTTAAGTTTTAACAAGATCACTTTGGCTACTGTGCAGAAAATAAACTCTGGCAATGAGGGGGCAAGAGAGAAAGCATAAAGACCAGTTAGGAGTTTGTTGTAATAATCTAGAAGAGAAAAGATGGTAGTGTCAACTTGGATAGTAGCAGTAGAAGTGGTAAGAAGTGATTGGATTGTGGATATCTTTTGAAGGTAGAGTCAATGAAAATTGCTGATGAATTATTTTTGTAAGATGTAAGGGAAAGACAGGAATCAAGATGACTCCAAGTTGTAAATGCCTTGAGCGACAGAAAGAATTGAGCTACTATTACTGAGATAGAAAAGACTAGGAAAAGTAGATCAGGAGATTTGGACATGTTACCTTTGAGTTTTCAACTAGACTATCCAAGTAGAGATACCTAGTAGGTGGTTGGATATATGAGTGTAGAGTTCCACAGACAGGTCTGAACTGGATATATAAATGTAGGTGTTATCAGCATGAGTGACAGCAGTTACAAAAGAGAAGTGGTTCCAGGATTGAGTCTCTTGGAACCCCAATATATAAGGGCCAAGAAGATAAGGTGAAAATGAGCAAAGACATTTGAAAAATAACAGCAGAGAGGTAGAACGTGGTATCCTGCAAATCAAATGAAGAGAGAGTTCAAAGAGGAGAAAGCAATAAATGTCAAATGTTGATGATAAGGTAAAATAAGATGAGAACTGAGAATCAATCACCACATTGAGGAAGTCATTGATGACTTTGATAAACACTGATTGGAATGGGCTCATGAGAGAATGAGAAGAGAAGAACTGGAGACAGGGAATACAGATAACTCTTCCAAGGAGTATTTCTGCAAATAGAAGAGAGCTCGGGCAGTACATTGAGGGAGGTAGTACATAGAGGGAGGGGTTTTATTTTGTTATGTTTTTAGGATAGGAGAAATACTTGAGTATGGAAAAACTCCAGTAAAAAAAAAAACGAAAATATATGACATAGAAGAGAGAGTAAAGAAATATTGGGGTAATGTCCTTGAATAGGGGAGAGGGCATTGGCTCACATGTACAAGGAAAGTACCTTTGCTAGGAGCAGAAACGTGATGGCCATAGTAACAGGAAAGAAGGCAGGCCATAATGAATGGGCCAATAGGTGTATACATATAATGGTATGGGCTTATGAAAAATCTGAGTCCTTCTATTTTCCCAGTGAAATAACAAGCATGACCATAAGCTGAGAGTAAGCATGGGAAAGGAGTTGTTGCAGTGGGGAGAAGATAGGAATAGTTGTCTGCAAGAGTGGAAGAGTGAATGAGCTAGGGAAATGTGTCATGACTGGCAGCAGAGGTAAGGGCCCACTTGAGATTCACTGCCATGAAGATAAAGTGAGATAAGATGTGTTTTTCTCTAGCCATGTTCATCTAAGTTTCAGGCTTCATGAAATTAATGTATGGTTCTTAACCATTTCTAGAAGCAAAAAAAAATCTACTTTGCCCACCAGTAACTCTAGTTGGATATTCCCAATGAGACCTGGTACTGGGAAAGTGGCCTCATGAAGGAGGGAATCTCAACAGGCCATTGATCTCCTTTCCCAGAGTGGGAGTCATATCCCTGATTGGTCACATACTTAATGGTTAAAAGAACAAAAAGCTAAGGTAAGTTGTAGGGACACTTAATCCCCCACCCTTCATGGCTCCATGTAAAGAGATTTCTTAACCACTCCTAGCCTCTTTCCTCATCTTTTACTCATTTCTCCCCATTGGAGAAGTGACTTAATTAACTAGTAATGGATGATTAACTTGGGTATCTTTGCTTTGCCCTCCTCTTCTCTTTTGGGATCTGCCTGCCTGTGTGAAAGGGTACTATCTGGTCTGCTGGCTCCATGTTCCCAAAGGATCTGTGGGGCAGGATATGCCTCTGTGGAGTAGATCTGAAATTTTGTGGGGGATACTTTCAATTAAGGGAGAGAGGGATATATAGCATCGGTTAGGTCCTTAAAGCTAAGCTATGTTCTCTCAACAGCTTTAGAAGTAGTAAAGCTGATTATTTTGATTTCCACTTGTTTGACCCCTGGCTTTATCTCTCAGTTGGTTGTAATCTCAGGTAGGAAGCATAGAAATATTTATTAGTTCCCTCATAGCCCAACACAATTGTTTATGTGGTTCAAAATCAAACTGATTAGTTAAGGCAATGGGAAATCAATAAAACCATACATTGTGAAACTGTGTAACTATATGATAAAGTAGAAAATTACAAATCTGTTTGACACACAGTGGGTGCTCATTATATATTATTTTATTTTATTATTTCCATAGGTTTTTGGGGAAGAGGTGGTGTTTGGTTACATGAATAATTTCTTTAGTGGTAATTTGTGAGATTTTGCTGCATCCATCACCCGAGCAGTATACACTGTAACCAATTTGTAGTCTTTTATCCTTCACCCCCCTACACCCTTTCCCCCAAGTCCCCGAAGTCCATTGTATCATTCTTATGCCTTTGCATCCTCATAGCTTAGCTCCCACTTATAAGTGAGAACATAAAATGTTTGGTTTTCCATTCCTGAGTTACTTCACTTAGAATAGTGGTCTTCAATTCCATCTAGGTTGCTGCAAATGCCATTATTTGATTCCTTTTTATGGCTGAATAGTATTACATGACATATATATATATATATGTATATATAAAACAATTTCCTTACAATTGCAAGTTGTGCTGCTATAAACATGCTTGTGCAGGTGCCTTTTTCATATAATGACTTCTTTTACTCTGGGTAGATACCCAGTATGGGATTGCTGAATCTTCTGGTAGTTCTTTACTTTTAGGTCTTTAAGGAATCTCCACTCTGTTTTCCATAGTGGTTGTTCTAGTTTACATTCCCCCCAGCAATGTAAAAGTTTTCCCTTTTCACCGCATCCCCACCGGTATTATTTTTTGATTTTTTGATTATGGTCATTCTTGAAGGAGTGAGTTGGTATGGCATTGTGGTTTTGATTTGCATTTCCCTGAAATTATTATATATATTTTGAATCAATTTGGTATAGAGGTAGAGATAGTTCGACCAGCTCAAGATTTACTACAAGCCTCATTTTGGCTATGAACAAAGCTCTGGGGGTATATTTTTACCTTGTTGCTAAAAGTTTTGTTGCAAATAAAAATTATAAATAGTTTTTTCCACAACCTTACTTTATAGTAAATATATAATTAGCTATATGCCCACAAAGGGCCCTGATAATAATAGTGATGCTAGTGTTAATGAGAATCCTAGTAAGACCTAACATGTATTGAGTGCTTGTTTTATGCCAATGCTGTTTTCAGTGTTTCACGTGCATTAGCTCATTTAATTCCCACAACCACTACATGAGGAAGGTATTATCATTTCTATTTTGAAAATGAAGGAACTCACACAAAGATAATTAGTTTGACTAAGATCACACTGCTAGTAAAATGGCAGAGCAGTAATTCAAACTCAGGACCTCTATTCCAAAGCATGCCTTCTTAGCCATTAAACTATACTGTCCAATATATGCTTCCTAGTTACAGCAAGATTGCTAAAGTACATACCATGGGGAGTTACTTAAATCTGTAAAATCAAGTCCTGGTTTTCAATGGAATTCGTAATCTATGCTAAGCAACAGGAATGTACATTCCATGGATAACAAGACAAAGTATGCTCACGCTCACTCTGTCTTTCCTTGTTGGATAGGCTCAGAGATAAATATTTTTGACATGGATTTAAGGAGACTCTAACCTCTCACCTTTAGTCAATAAAGTGACTCCTAATCTCCTTAATTTATAAATCAGCAGGGACTGAGAGGGCAAATCCTAATCTTAGGATTTTGGTCAGCTGAAAGTACAGTTTACTGTACTGTATCTGGGAAAATATACTGAGACAGAAATCCTGTTAATGCTTCTAGGTCCGTGGCAACATGTTCCCAGAACACAAGCTCTTCATGGTCTAGAGTGTGCACTGCCTTTTGCACTTTCAGCAGTGAACAGAAGCAGCATTACTCTTTTAAAAAATTATTTTATCCTTTTTTTTTCAAAGTTCCGGGGTACATGTGCAGGATGTGCAGGTTTGTTACATAGGTAAACATGTGCCATGGTGTTTTGCTGCACCTAACAACCCATCACCTAGGTATTAAGCCCAGCATGCATTAGCTCTTTCCCTAATGCTCTCCCCACTACCGCCCTCCCCTGACAGGCCCCAGTGAGTGTTATTCCCCTCCTGGTGTCCATGTGTTCTCATTGTTCAGCTCCCACTTATAAGTGAGAACATGTGGTGTTTGGTTTTCTGTTCCTGTGTTAGTTTGCTGAGGATAATGGCTTCCAGCCCCGTCCATGTCCCTGCAAAGGACATGATCTCATTCCTTTTTATGGCTGCATAGTATTCCATGGTGTATATGTACCATATTTTCTTTATCCAGTCTATCATTGATGGGCATTTGGGTTGATTCCATGTCTTTGCTATTGTGAATAGTGCTTCAATGAACATATGCATGAAATATATCTTTATAATAGAATGATTTATATTCCTTTGGGTATATACCCAGTAATGGGATTGCTGGGTCAAGTGGTATTGCTGGTTCCAAATCTTTGAGGAATTGCCACACTGTCTTCCACAGTGGTTGAACTAATTTACATTCCCACCAACAGTGTAAAAGCATTTCTATTTCTCCACAACCTTGCCAGCATCTGTTGTTTCTTGACTTTTTAATAATAGTTATTCTGACTGGTGTGAAATGGTATCACATTGTGGTTTTGATTTGCATTTCTCTAATGATCAGTGATGTTGAGCTTTTTTTCATATGTTTGTTGGCCGCATGTATGTCTTTATTTGAGAAGAGAAGCGGCCTTATTTTACATCTGCAGACACTGCACAGGGATGTAGCACCACTATGACAGTAATTTATGGCCACAGAAAGAAGGGGAAAAGATAGAATGGGAAAAGAAGAGGAAAGTAGTAATTTCTGAGTTCCATCACTGTGCTAGATGTTTCTTTTATCCTCTCTCATTTAATGAAGGGGGTTTTATCTCTAATTTACAGATAAGGAAACTGTGGCTGAAAAATGTTAATTGATTTGCTCAAGATCACATGGCCACCAAATAGCAGAGACGTGAATGACATCTGCGTTTATCTGTCTCAGAGCCTGTATGTTCTCAAAACTGCCTTTTTGAAGGAGCCTAAGACCTAAACAGGTCCAATCCCCTTACTTTAAAAATAGAGAAATTGGGGCTCGGAAAGTGAGTCACCTTGCCCAGGGTCAAAAGTTTCACTAACTTTCTTGTGAGTATACTCTAGGAAGCAGAATGAGGACCTTGCCAATCGCTGCAGGGCCCTATGCAGTAAGAAATGTTGTCCCCTTCACGGAGTGCACATTAACTTCCTTGGCCACTAGAGTTAGAGTACAGTGGAAACAACACAAAGTATCTGAATGCCCTTTGGAAATAGTTTTTCACTGCATCATGATAAACACTTTCCATGTATGACTCACAGACCAGTATCTTTTCCTGAAAAGATAGTGTGTGACTTGAATCAAATTTTAAGTAGAGAGTCCTATTTAAACTGAATTCCCAAGCTATGGACATCTCTGAAAGACCAGAGCATGCAAGTTAGTTCTCGCTCCCAAACTGGAAGAGACATGAATGTCAATGTAGGGGTGCCCCTTCTTATTTCTCCCACTCCTCCGAGTCAAAATGTTTCATGCAAACAGTTTGCATGGGCCTTGCTGGAACATTCTTTGGGATTTGTGAACCTCTCTAGAAATGGATCTAGGAAAAAGGTTTTATAAATCTGTGCCAGGAAATTTTTTTGGTCCCCAGTGAGGACCAGGCTGATAAGTATCCATGGCTTCTTGTAGAAATCCCAAGATTCAATCGTTACTTGGGAACCAAGCACATAGCATGGTTCCCATTACATTTATTGGTAAGTGGACATATGGACTTCACAGTCAATGACCCAAAATGCATTTATTGAGTGCCTACTTCGTGCCAGGATCTATGCTAGTAGGCTCAGGTTATATGATGGTGAATATCACAGATGTGTCCCCACCATCATGGAGCTTCCTGTGTAGCATGCTCATCACCAGTAAGACAACTAGGAAGCCCCTTGCTTGAAAGGATGATGGAACTAAACTCAATGGAGGCCCATACAGAGAGATTAAAATGCTGTGCCGAGAAAATGAGGTCAATAAAAAGATCAAGAAATTGATTCAAGCTGGAATAGCTGGGGAAAGCAGTGAGCTAGGGATTAGCTCAGAAAGGCCTTAGAATAGGAAGTGGCTGCTGGAGGCAATTCCGGCAGGCTAAGAAGACTCTAAGAAGAAACTTGTTAAGAGATGCTGGCAGAAGTGTTGGAATGACACAGCCATGGAGTTGAGTTTAGCTTACCACCTAATGAGCAGTCTTGAACTGAAACTCAAAGGTTATGGCTGGAGCTGGCCTAGGAAGAAATGATGGGGCTTTCCCCAAAATTAGGAGTAAGCAACAGCCCACTAGCATGGGTGGGAGGGGTGGAGCTAGGTAAGTAGAACAAACTATTTATGGTCAGAACCTAATCACTATAACCCAAGCTAACCTGAGAGGGGTCAGGAGACACACTTGTAACTTGTTTTAATGGACTTTTTTCCGTTATCCCATCCCTCTGGCCCAGAGTAGCAAAGAGAATGGTCCTCCCCATAGTTTCATGAGTCAGAAAAGGTGTTAGTACTTGATATAAATAAAAGGAGATTAAAGTCCAAAGGTATGATGTCTTTTATGGAGAAACTTCTGGGTCCTCAGTGGAAAAGGAACCTTATCTGCAGGGTACCCTAGCTGTAGGTAATCTGGGTACACCTACACCTGGGAGGCAGGGAAGCAGGCTTCACTCCAGAGTCATCTGAATACTTCTGATAGTGTAAGCATTGTTTCACTTGCCCCAAGAATGATTTTGAACCACAGGCTGTCACAACTGGAGGGATCATTATAAATCATCTAGAAAAGTGGTTCTTAACCTAATGACTCTTATTGATTTTTTTTTAACAAAATGAACTCCTCCCATTATCCTGAAATGAAAAACATAAGTGATTCACCCTGTCTACACAAGTAATTTAAAAATAAAAATAAATAAATAATGGCCCGTGATTTACAGGAAGTAAAAAAGGAAAGAGCTTTATTATAAAACAATATTTATTTTTACATATAAAGGCTTGGCACAATGACAAGAGAAGACAAACATGCTCCCATAAATGTCCAAAGCCTCTTCTAAGGAGGAATACTGTTGAGAATCACTACTCTGGAACGACTTCAGTTCACACATGGACAAACTGCATCCCAGAGAATGAAAGGATCAAGTCATGCTGCCTTTCTTTCACTGGGCCACTGCAGCCTTTCAGTGGGGTCCACCTAGACTTTCCAACCAGAAGTGTTCTGGAACTCCAAGCTTAGTACCAGGAAGCTCATGCTGTCTTTGGCAACTCTCACTATTATATAGTCTAGTGATTAAAAGCATGGGGTTTAGAGGTAAAACGTTTGCATTTTGGATCTGCCGCTTGACAGCTGTGTGGTCCTATGCCAGATACTTAACTTCTCTGTCTCTCTGTTTTCTCATATGTAAACTGGAGTTAGTACTTACTCCATAGGACTAAGATAATACATGAGAGAGTCCTAATACATAGTAAGCCTCAAAAAATGGTAGTTATTACTATTAGTATTTCTGGCACACCATCAACTGCTTTCAATACTCTGTTAATGCAGTTGTAACCATTCCATTGATGCTATCATTGTCATCATAATTGCTACAGGGATCCTCAAAGGGGAGTATCCCTTCCCTTCAGTGAGTAACACTCTTGGTCAGCCCAATGTGATCTATTCTCATGTTCATACTATCCTTTATTAGGAAAGATACCCTGGCTATTTTGGTTTTGTTCTTCCCTTTCCATGGAACTTATTCCATAAGGTCTGAGGGACGAGGCCAGAGGGCATATGAGAGTCACCCTGTAGTCCCCCATCAAGTGAATTTCTCAGTGTCCCCAAACCACTGTCACAAGAAGGAACCCAGGAACCTCAGTTCTCTCTTAATTTCAAGTGAGTTTCTGTCAACCCCTGACATTAGCATAGCCGTTGTCTCCCCTTCTTTGTTCACATTTATCCCAGGAGGCCTATATGTCCTTATGCAAATAAGACTCCTGGTGGCCTACCCTTTTGATCACAAAGTTCCCGAAATAAAAAATTAAACGTGGCCCCATGGTGATGCTTGTGTCAGTAATTTGGATAAACTATATGGTTCCTTTATACAATAATGAACCTGCGATTTGGGGCTTAGCCAGCCTGCAAGCCTGCCAGGCACACTCTCACTAGTCTGGAGTCTCAAAACAATGGGAATTGGGGGCAGTACACTTAGACATATGTAGGAACCCTGTACCTTGGCAAACAACTGACTTCCATGAGCAGAGCATGTATGGCTCTCACACAGCTGTTGAGACAACTGAACACACACTCTTTTTCTCCTCCAACCCTTTCTGCCCCTCAGGTGAAAGCACATTTCCCCCAATAACAAATGTAAAAAAAGGGTCCTTGAGAAGTGTTTATAAGGAGTATGTGGGAGTGAGTTGTACTAGGTCTCATCCTTTCCAATTTATCCTGAGGTTAGATACCTGAGTGAATTTTACAGCCAGCTATATGATACCCCCTAAGGGCCAAATAGATTAAAAACAGGTTTTATTCAATATGATTTCTCAAGTTTCTTTTTCACAACTCTAAGAAAATCACACAGCTAGTAGCCCTCAGGGTACCTGCTGGCGTCCTGCTGGGGGCTGCTCTGTGATGTTTCAATTACAGCAAAGCACAGGAGGTGGGGGAAGCAAGCACATGTGAGCTCTTGAGCGAGCACAGGCAGACACACACACACATCCACACTCACACATTCAAAACCCAGCATAAAGCCATAGTTCTCAGGCCTATATCCAAAAGCAGCTTTACTAAATCCTTAGGAACTCTCAGACAAATGAACCTCAAAAGTCAGTTTTCTTACATTTGAAATATGAAAATCAGCATTATTAGAAACTCTTAAGCATGCAATGCCACATATATTTGAACCGAGTCTTCTTGAATATAATTTTCCTATCAATAGGCATATGTGCAACCAAAGAGAAATAAGCTGAGACACACTAAACAAGCACACATGTGCACACATGCACACACGCACACCCAAATTGTTACCTAAATTTTGTGCCAGTGGAACTCAGAACTACATGGGAGAATGTTTAAAAACAGAGAATTAAAGTTAATGTAAATTGTACTTGAGCAACCAGGAGAAGAACGTAACTATGAAGTCAAGACTCCAGTGAGTTTGGTAAAATGAGGACATCAACAGGAATATTGAAGAACATAATGGCAGGAGGTAGAAGAGCTGGCTCCTTTAAATCCATATCAGCCACAGAATAGCAATTGCCACTTTGGACTCAGCAGTCTCATCTCTAATCATGTCATTCTTCCATGCTGTCTCCATCACTCCTTGAAGTTACTGAACTGGTTCTTCACCCTACCTGTAATATCTAATCACCCAGTACTTCCCATTTCATTTGAATCATGACCACATGATATGGTCACAACAGCCTCTTTTCCTAGGTCACACTCTGTAGTTAGCTAATTTAATGGTGCTCTTCTCACTACCTTGGAGCCTCTTCCCATGACTTTCCACTAAGCTCATTCCAACAATTTAAATTCTTGGCTACAGGAAGCAGCAGCAGCCCAGCATGATGATAATGAGTTAAGGCTTTGGAATCAGACAGAACTAGATTTGAAACCCACTTGGTAGTTGGATGACCTTTGGCAAGTTACTTAACTTCTCCAAGCCTCAATTTTCTTTTCTAAAAAATGGAGGTCATAATAGCACTTAGATCACAGGATTGTTGTACCAGTAATGATATCATTCATATGAAGTGCCTGGCCTACAGTAGGCATCATTATCATTCCTGATTTCAGTGTGATGAAACTGTCCAGATAACCCTTACACAGAAAGCTCCTTCCGTTTAACTCCAGGACATTCTGCTTCTAACATTCGTAGAAGTAAAGAAGCTTCTTCCTTTTATCCTCTGATTCTAAGACTATAGATTCATTTAAGTTGCTATTCTATGCCCGGAGTTATGGTTATGCAAATCAATTCCCAAATTTTTCTGGCAGTGACTAGACAGGGTTGGGGAAAGCAAGGTTCTGGCTCCTTGGGACACTGTAATGAAAGGTAGGCACTGCCTCCCACTAAGATCACATACAATGCAGCAGTCCCCCAAAAGAAGGCTGGCAAACTACTAAGAAGGAGGAGTTCAATACTGGACAGAAAAACCATGGCAATTGTCTACTAATTAAAAATACAGTGTGAAAACTGCTGATGTAGATCTTAGGAACATAAATCTTAATGTTGGCCAACTTGTCCCTTCTTCCCACTATCCCTTATCCACATTGAAGAAGAAGAACACAGCAAAAGAGTCATGACCTTCTAGAATGCTAGAAGCCAATAGTCTGCTTCTTTCTTGTGATCTCCTCTCCCGGCAACCTCTCTTGCTTCCATGAGGTCAGATAGGTAACAACTCTGTTTCTGTTTGTCTCCTTCTTCTCTCTCTTTTGGCTTGTTTCCTTCAGTGAGGTAAGAAGGTAAGAAGAGAACAGAGATGCAGAAATACAGGGGCCAGTGGTTCTAGATATAGGGGAAAATGCTCTTGTTTTGATTCTCTGAACCTCTCTTTCCATTTTGCCCCTAAGATCACTCTCAGCTGTTAGATGTTACTATTCTGGTACCAAGAAAATACATGCCAGTGAGAAGAGATTAAAAGATTAAGACAACAGAGTAAGAGAGCCAGAATCAGAGCAGAGCTGAGCCCCAACCTTAGCCCAGTAACCCTGCATCCCATGGAATAAAAGCCCATTTGCACCTCTTTTGGTGTAACAGGTATTGTCAGAGCCCCACCCATATGCCAGGCAAATTCTAACTGCATTACTCCTTGCAGGTTCTTTTCCCAGAGCTGCAGAAATCTTTGTTGTCTATGTGTACAGCAATCTACAAATGCCAGTGAATTAACAGCCCCCAGGAGCAGTGAGATGTGATTCATGAGTTGATGTATAAATACCCAAACTCCAACCTGGGCAACATAGTGAGACCCATCTCTAAAAATTTCTTTTTGAAAAATTAGCTGTTCGTGATGGCACGCACCTGTAGTCCCAGCTACTTGGAAGGTGGAGGCAGGAGGATCACTTGAGCCCAGGAGTTGGAGGCTGGTGAGCCACAGTTGTACCACTGGATTCCAGCCTGGGTGAAAAAACAGACTCCGTCTCCAGAAAAAAAAAAAATTCCCAGCTCCCTTGCTCCTCAGGTGGGATAATTCTGAGGTGTGTGTTTTGCACCATTTCCCAGAGTTTCCACATATGAATGTCACTCCTTCACAGTGGTAGCTGGCTTAAAAGCACACTCTTTATTGACAGCCTTCCTTTTCTTTATTACTATTCTACCCGCTTAGAGGTGTTACCTGAAATTCTCAAAGAAATCATTTTCATTGAAATCTTTGTCTCAGGATCTACTTCCTTGAGAAGCCATACAAAGACACCATGTTAATCTTGGGTCAGTCCATAAGGAGCCCTGAATGCGACAGAAACTTTTTCAAAGTGTTTTTTGCCATTTGGTCTTACAATAATCTCTATAAAGAAACTTTGGTTCTTAGATGATAACCTAATGAGAACGTATTTGCCAAATGGGATACAGAGAGAGTAACTATAGATCAGAGATAGTAGAATATGCTTAAATACTTTCCTCTTGATGATAGCAATCTTCTAAATGCAAGGGATATGGAAAATCATCATTTTAGTATGGAGTAAAAATGTGAGGATCAGGGTCATTTTCACAAATTGAAAAATTAGAGGGATTAGGAAAAGCCACTCTGATCACTGAAAAATGTAAACATTTTCTGAATAATGCAAATGAATACTCAAATGCTTGCCAAGAGTTGTTTGAAAAAAATTAACGATTAAGATTTCTGGAACAAGCTGAATATATTTTTAAAAATTGAGAACAAAGACTTCTGGAAGAAGCTGAATACATTTAAAAACAATTAAGGATAAAGATTTATAGAACAAGTTGAACACAATTTAAAAGAAAGTATAACTAGAACAATATGCTCTCAGCTTCAACAATACATGAATGAGAAAATTAACAATAAAACTGTCATTTTTGAGTACTTATTTAAGTATAAACAATTTGCCGTATATTTTATGCACACTATCTCATTCAATCCTTACAATAACTCTGAAAGTTATTATTTTTATCCCCATCTTATACACAAGAAAACTGAGGCACAGAAAAGTTGAGTAATTCTTCTGAGGTCACACAGCTAGTACTTAGCCTAGATAGGGTTTGAAATCATGTTTTTCTGACTCTCAAGCTTATAGGTTTTCTACTTTCATATACATTTTTATTACTGCATTTTTATTTCTCTTGGTATGCACCTATTACTTTCAATAATCAGACCATGTGTCTAATCTGAAATTGATAAAATATAATCGTTATGTTGATAATGGGTCAACACAGCATCATATGCCCAATCAGGTCTATAGATTCTATGCACTTGGCTTTTTGACAGAATCAAGTCTAGCATGGTTTGCATACTTGATATGGCTTGTGAGTTCCAAATTGTCATTTTCTGATTCAGAACCTAGCAGAGTGCCTTGCAAATAGTAGGCTCTCAATAAATGAATAGAAATAAATGACTGAATCAAGTCCCAAGTTTCCTTCTGACTGGTTTCCAGGCTTAAGCCTCTCACTTAAGCTTGAAACTATAATTAACCCTATCACCAAGATTTGAGGTAATTGCTTCTTCCCTCTTAAGTCAATGATAAGAAGCTCTTTCCTTTACACCCACCCCATCCCCTTTGCAGCTTTGGACAATTTTCAAGGTGTTCTCCTGGGTCTTGACGCTTGATTCCTCGGTCATCAGGTTTCTATCTCCTCCTATTTTCCTGGGCATTGACAACAGATCCTCCTTACTCCTGAGAAGTGCTTCTTTCCTTCCTGCCTCTTTGCCTTTGTTCACAGTATTCCCTTGGACTGGACTGGCCCCCTCCCCCATGTCTTGGCTTCTGTCTGGCTCTAGTCTCAGATTCCTGAACCTTGCCTGAACCAGGTACAGATGTAATTCCAGCCCCAGTCTCTAGTCCCTGCTCTCTAGTCCACCTAGGGGTACTTGTTTCAGGCTGCTGGGGTCTCCAACCTTGAGCTGACCCCTCAGATCTGGTGGCTGGCCTGTGTGAGCCTGATAAGGAGGCAGAGAGACCCGAGAGGTCACCACCAGTCTGTCTTTGTCAGCTGGAGGCCTGGATTCCAGCATGTTCCTGCAAATATGTGACTTATTTACTCATCTTGCTTTTTGTTTGAGCTCTTTCAACACAGCAGGTTCCCCCAAATGATTTCAGACAGGACAGAAAGAGCCCTGCCCTCATCAGTCCATGAGTGAAATGACAAGTCGGGCTTGTAAACAGGATTCCAGCCTTTTCTGAGGCTCAGCTGCCTGTGGAGACATGCAGCCCCACAGCACATCCCCACAGAGACACGTGGTACCAACTAGAGGCAGTAAGATGAGTATTGATGTGGTTTGCGCACCTCTGGATGTATGATTCCATTTAAAATGGAGGCTAGCCTCTTGGTGAGAGTCCTGTTGACTCCATCAAGGAGAGCAGTGATGTGATGTATTGTAATGAGTGTCCTGCTTGATAGGTGGCAATTTAGGAAATCCAATCAGCTGGCCTGAACCATGCTAGCCCTCCACATACATTAGAAACACTTTTCACATTTTCTTCTTTTACTGTCTTCAGAAAACTGAGCATGCTTTATAAATACTTCCAGAATATAAAAAGCAAAGAACTTGTGTATTTGCCTGAGGTACATTTTCACCCATGGTCAATGAAAGATAAGTCTGAGACCCTCTTCTTGCTACACTTGCACCTTCAGCTGGAAATTAGAGCTTCAGGTGATTGGAACCCTAACCCTCCCTGTTAATGGGCCAGCAGAGCCCAGGAGAGGGGCTTCTTCCATTATTGTGCCTTTCCAGGAGTATATGTTATCACTTGCCTGGATGCTTGTTGTTTTGTAATTGCCTGATCCTGACTATCATCCTCTCCCTTCCTCACCAACTCTTCAGCCTCCTGCAGTCCTCACCATAGTCCAGACTTTCATCAGTGCCATTTCAAATGATGATAGCTCATATAAAATGGTTTCCTTCAGCCCTGTAGAAACATTTCTACAAGTAAACGGAGAATAGCCTTTGATTTCGTTTGTTTCCAATATGTTGGCATTTTTATTCAATACTCTCAAATCCTATTTGTTAATGCTGCATTATTGTCTTTATTAGAAATACCAGGAGGGCATGTTCCCTAAAGCATCCCTTCACACAGTAAAAGACAACTCAAATTGGATTAGTTTATTTAGCGAAGGTGTCAACTTTTCCCAGATACCAGTGCTTCTGAGACACCTCCTTCCATTTTAGGTTACCAAGTTTCTTTCTTCCTTTCATTTTTTGTCAACATGCAATAATATAATTATTATTACATGAAAATATATATAAGTATGTATAATAATATATACAATTATGTGTTATATTATATATTATGGTATATTGTATATGTTATATAACTCATATAAATGTGTATAATATTTATAGGCTACAGAGTGATTTTTTAATACTGTATATAATGTGTAATGATCAAATGAGGGTAATTAGCATATTCATCACCTCTAACATTTATCAATTCTTTGTGTTGGGAACATTCAAAATCCTCTCTTTTTAGCTCTTTGAACATATACAATAAATTATTGTTAGCCATATTCACCCTAAAGTGTTATAGAACACTAGAACTTATTCTTCCTACCTATCCGTAATTTTGTAAGTTACTGTTCTTGAGAAAGTTAAGATTCTTTTGAATAATCTGAGATGTGTGAAATAAGGTTAGTCACAGGATTTCCTGCCACAAGCGTTCACAAACAAACTTTCCTCACTTCCTCTTTTTTAAAGTTCAATTTAGGCTCACTGATCTAGTTGCTTTTGTTTTAGTGGTTACAGTCTCCACCCTGTTACCAATCGTTAAAAAGGGTCGACAGAGCCTCAAGTGCTTGCTGTCAGTCTCTGTTTCCCTCTGTCTCCCTCTCTCTTGTCTCTCTCTCTCATACATAAACACCCGAAAGGCTTATATTAAGATGGCAGACATTCTATCCACTAGAAACTTAGAAAACTTAGATTCCTGCAGTGTTAGTTTCTTCCTCTCTCCTCCTCAGACACTTTGTTATCTGTATTTTAATCCACAGAATCAACTGTTTTCCCACCCTAACCCTTCTCTTGCCATCTTTCTCCCACTTCCCCAAGTGCCTAAGTTGTTAAATTGTCATCCCCCACAGAGCTCCAGGCTCTGAACTTTTCTGAGCCCCCAGCAAATTCTATCTCTCTCTATCATCTTACCTCATTGCATCTACACTGCCTTACAAGACAAATATTTCTATACCATCCTCATCTAAGGCCATGGGCTCAGCTAAACTGCGAGCTTCTTGAGGGTAAGGATTAGGTTTTATATATATATATATATATGTGTCCCCTAACACAGTGCCAGACCCTCAATATTTGTTGAATAAATGACGACAAAACTAATGAATCTGAGAAAGTGTTAAATTCCTTCCAGGTAACAAAATCTTAGTTCAATCAAAATATGTGTTTTCACAAGGCTATAAAAGATACAATCTAAGTTTGGGAATTTAGACCCTAAGGAATGGTTTCTCCCTTTTGGTATATCACTGGTTCTTAATATGTCATGTGCGATGGGAAATCGAGATCTCTTTACTCACACTTGGAGGTTCCCTTTATTTACTACTTTGTCTGGATTTTTCAGTAGCATTCTTCTCCTTTCACCTTGTCAGCTGAGGACCAGCTTAACAAGTAATTTGGATTTATAACTAAATTTTTCTGCAATATAAAGAAATTCCAAGCTATGTAGCTATACAGTTTCTCCCAAATACAGGTCACATGACTCACTTTGCACAGAGATAAGCTCTGGGTGGAACCTATCTGGGATCTATCTTCTGGCACTCCTTTTTAATCATAGGCCTTAGAGTGATTGGGATTCTGGTTGGTTTACTTTACTTCCACCCTCTAGTCCAGGGTGGAGCTATTGTCTTTGGGTCTCATGCTGGTTGCTGGAAACATAAGGTTCTGTTTTTGTTTGAAACTTAGGTGGAAGACATTTGTTTCTAGGAGAACTCATTTCTGCCTATGCGGTCTGCACCTTCATCACCAACACAACTGATGCGTTCTGACTACTCTACTCCAGGAATTTTGCTTCTTTTCACCTTCCTGTCCCACCCTATGACACAGGTCTTGTTCTCTCTATGAACTTTCCTATATATCTTATACTTTTCTTTTTTTGAGATGGTCTCATTCTGTTGCACAGGCTGGAGTGTAGTGGCATGATCATGGCTCACTGCAGTCTCAACCTCCCGGGCTCAATCAATCTTCCTGCCTCCACCTCCAAGTAGATGGGACCACAAGTGCATGCTACCAAGCCTGCCTAATTAAAAAAAATTGTACAGTCAGGGTCTCCGTATGTTGCCCAGGCTAGTCTCAAACTCCTGGACTCAAGCAATCCCCCCACCTTGGTTGCCTAGAGTGTTTGGATTACAGGAGTGAGCCACTGTGCCTAGACTACTTTTCTATTTTAGGAAGTTTTGCCCAGTGTTATCCACTACTGTGTATCTAGGTTCCTCTGCTTTAGATATTCCTTTTTTTCTTTTTTTCTTTTTTCTTTTATTATTATACTTTAAGTTTTAGGGTACATGTGCACATGGTGCAGGTTAGTTACATATGTATACATGTGCCACGCTGGTCCTTTCTTAGCTCTTCAGCCATTCTCTTTCCCCCAGCCTACATTCTCCTATCATAGCTTGTAGGCTCTGTTAGTTTTCTTAAAATGCCTCAATTAATTATTTATAATGCACCAACTGGGGATTAACTTCACTACCTCATCCCACTCTTGATTTAGCTACGAGATCTCTGTACCACCTAACTGACAATTTAAGAGCAAGAGGTGGCTCTGTTCCAAGATGGCTGAATAGGAACAGCTCCAATCTGCAGCTCACAGCGTAATCGATGCAAAAGACAGGTGATTTCTGCATTTCCAACTGAGGTACCTGGTTCATCTCATTGGGACTGGTTGTACAGTGGGTGCAGCCCACAGAGGTGAACTGAAGCAGGGAGGGGCATCACCTCACTCAGGAAGTGCAAGCAGTGAGGGGATATCCCTTCCCTAAACAAGGGAAGCCGTGACAGACTGTACCTGGAAAAATGGCATACTCCCACCCAAATACCGCACTTTGCCCACAGTCTTAGCAACTGGCAGACCAGGAGATTCCCTCCTGTGCCTGGCTCGGCAGGTCCTACGCCCATGGAGCCTTGCTCACTGCTAGGCTGAGATCCACCTGCAAGGCTGCAGCCTGGTGGAGGGAGGCATGTCCGCCATTGCTGAGGCTTGAGTAGGTAAACAAAGCTGCCAGGAAGCTTGAACTGAGTGGAGACCACCACAGCTCAGCAAGGCCTACTGCCTCTATAGACTCTACCTCTGTGGGCAGGGCATAGCTGAACAAAAGGCAGCAGAAACCTCTGCAGACTTAAACGTCCCTGTCTGACAGCTCTGAAGAGAGCAGTGGTTCTCACAGCATGGCGTTTGAGCTCTGAGAATGGACAAACTGCCTCCTCAAGTAGGTCTGTGACCCCCATGTAGCCTAACTGGAAGACATCTCCCAGTAGGGGCCGACAGACACCTCATACAGGTGGATGCCCCTCTGGGACGAAGCTTACAGAGGGAGGATCAGGCAGCAATATTTGCTGTTCTGCAATATTTGCTGTTTTGCAGCCTCCGCTGGTGATACCCAGGCAAACACAGTCTGGAGTGGACCTCCAGCAAACTCCAACAGACCTGCAGCTGAGGGACCTGACTGTCAGAAGGACAACGAACAAACAGAAAGGAATAGCATCAACATCAAAAAAAAAGGACATCCACACCAAAACCCCATCTGTAGGTCACCAATATCAAAGACCAAACGTAGATAAAACCACAAAGATGGGGAGAAACCAGAGCAGAAAAGCTGAAAATTCTAAAAACCAGAGTGCCTTTTCTCCTCCAAAGGATCACAGCTCCTCACCAGTAATGGAACAAAGCTGGATGGAGAATGACTTTGACGAGCTGACAGAAGTAGGCTTCAGAAGGTTGGTAATATTGAACTACGAACTTCTCTGAGCTAAAGGAGCATGTTCTAACCCATTGCATGGAAGCTAAAAACCTTGAAAAAAGGTTAGACAAATGGCTAACTAGAATAACCAGTATAGAGAAAACCTTAAATGACCTGATGGAGCTGAAAACCGTGGCACAAGTACTTCGTGATGCATGTGCAAGCTTCAATAGCTGATTCGATCAAGTGGAAGAAAGGATATCAGTGATTGAAGATCAAATTAATGAAATAAAGCAAGAGGACACGATAAGAGAAAAAAGAGTAAAAAGAAATGAACAAAGCCTCCAAGAAATATGGGATTATGTGAAAAGACCAAATCTACATTTGATTGGTGTATGTGAAAGTGACGGGGAGAATGAAATCAAGTTGGAAAACACTGTACAGGACATTATCCAGGAGAACTTCCCCAACCTAGCAAGGCAGGCCAACATTCAAACTCAGGAAATACAGAGAATGCCACAAAGATACTCCTCAAGAAGAGCAAATCCAAGACACATAATTGTCAGATTCACCAAGGTTGAAATGAAGGAAAAAATGTTACGGACAGCCAGAGAGAAAGGCTGGGTTACCCACAAAGGGAAGCCCATCAGACTAACAGCGAATCCCTTGGAAGAAACCCTACAAGCCAGAAGAGAGTGGGGGCCAATATTCAACATTCTTAAAGAAAAGAATTTTCAGCCCAGAATTTCATAACCAGCCAAACTAAGCTTCATAAGTGAAGGAGAAATAAAATCCTTTAAAGACAAGCAAATGCTGAGAGATTTTGTCACCACCAGGCCTGCCTTACAAGAGCTCCTGAAGGAAGCACTAAACATGGAAAGGAAAAGCCAGTACCAGCCCCTGCAAAAACATGCCAAATTGTAAAGATCATAGATGCTATGAAGAAACTGCATTAATTAATGGGCAAAATAAGCAGCTAACATCATAATGACAGGATCAAATTCACACACAACAATGCTAACCTTAAATGTAAATGGGCTAAATGCCCTAATTAAAAGACACAGACTGGCAAACTGGATAAAGAGTCAAGACCCATCAGTGTGCTGTATTAAGGAGACCCATCTCACGTGCAGAGACACACATAGGCTCAAAATATAGGGATGGAGGAAGATCTACCAAGCAAATGGAAAACAAAAAAAAAGAAGGGGTTGCAATCCTAGTCTGATAAAACAGACTTTAACCAACAAAGATTAAAAGAGACAAAGAAGGCCCTTACATAATGGTAAAGGGATCAATTCAACAAGAAGATCTAACTGTCCTAAATATATATGCACCCAATACAGAAGCACCGACATTCATAAAGCAAGTCCTTAGAGACCTACAAAGAGACTTAGACTCCCACACAATAATAATGGGAGACTTCAACACCCCACTGTCAATATTAGACAGATCAACGAGACAGAAGACTAATAAGGATATCCAGGACTTGAACTCACCTCTGCACCAAGCGGACCTAATAGACATCTACAGAACTCTCCACCCCAAATCAACAGAATATACATTCTTTTCAGACCACATAGCACTTATTCTAAAATTGACCACATAATTGGAAGTAAAGCACTCCTCAGCAAATGAAAAAGAACAGAAATCACAACAAACTGTCTCTCAGACCACAGTGCAATCAAATTAGAACTCAGGATTAAGAAACTGACTCAAAACCACACAATTACATGGACACTGAACAACCTGCTCCTAAATGACTACTGGGTAAATAGCGAAATGAAGTCAGAAATAAAGATGTTCTTTGAAACCAATGAGAACAAAGACACAACGTACCAGAATCTCTGGGACACATTTAAAGCGGTGTGTAGAGGGAAATTTATAGCACTAAATGCCCACAAGAGAAAGCAGGAAAGATCTAAAATTGACACCCTAACATCACAATTAAAAGAACTAGAGAAGCAAGAGCAAATACATTCAAAAGCTAGCAGAAGGCAAGAAATAACTAAGATCAGAGCAGAACTAAAGGAAATAGAGACACAAAAAAAAACCTTCAAAAAATCAATGAATCCAGGAGCTGGTTTTTTGAATAGATCAACAAAATTGATAGATTGCTAGCAAGACTAATAAAGAAGAAAAGAGAAAATAATCAAATAGAAAAAATAAAAAATGATAAAGGGGATATCACCACCGATCCCACAGAAATACAAACTACCATCAGAGAATACCATAAACACCACTATGCAAATAAACTAGAAAATATAGAAGAAATGGATAAATTCCTGGACACATACACCATCCCAAGACTAAACCAGGAAGAAGTTGAATCTCTGAATAGACCAATAGCAGGCTCTGAAATTGAGGCAATAATTAATAGTCTACCAACCAAAAAAAGTTCAGGACCAGACAGATTCACAGCCGAATTCTACCAGAGGTACAAAGAGGAGCTGGTACCATTTCTTCTGAAACGATTCCAATTAATAGAAAAAGAAGGAATCCTCCCTAACTCATTTTATGAGGCCAGCATCATCTTGATACCAAAGCCTGGCAGAGACACAACAACAACAAAAAGAGAAATTTAGACCAATATCCCTGATGAACATCGATGTGAAAATCCTCAATAAAATACTGGCAAACCGAATCCAGCAGCACATCAAAAAGCTTATCCACCATGATCAAGTTGGCTTCATCTCTGGGATGCAAGGCTGGTTCAACATATGCAAATCAATAAACGTAATCCATCACATAAACAGAACCAATGACAAAAACCACATGATTATCTCAATAGATGCAGAAAAGGCCTTTGACAAAATTCAACAGCCCTTCATGCTAAAAACTCTCAAAAAACTAGGTATTGATGGGACGTATCTCAAAATAATAAGAGCTATTTATGACAAATCCACAGCCAGTATCATACTGAATGGGCAAAAACTGGAAGCATTCCCTTTAAAAGACAGGACAAGACAAGGATGTCCTCTCTCACCACTCCTATTCAACATAGCATTGGAAGTTCTGGCCAGGGCAATCAGGCAAGAGAAAGACATAAAGTGTATTCAATTAGGAAAAGAGAAAGTCAGATTGTCCCTGTTTGCAGAGGACATGATTGTATATTTAGAAAACCCCATCGTCTCAGCCCCAAATCTCTTTAAGCTGATAAGCAACTTCAGCAAAGTCTCAGGATACAAAATCAATGTGCAAAAATCACAAGTATTCCTATACATCAATAACAGACAAAGAGAGAGCCAAATCATGAATGAATTCCCATTCACAATTGCCAGAAGGAGAATAAAATACCTAGGAATCCAACTTACAAGGGATGTGAAGGACCTCTTCAAGGAGAACTACAAACCACTGCTCAAGGAAATAAAAGAGGATACAAACAAATGGAAGAATATGCCATGCTCATGGATAGGAAGAATCAATATCATGAAAATGGCCATACTGGCCAAGGTAATTTATAGATTCAATGCCATCCCCATCAAGCTACCAATGACTTTCTTCACAGAATTGGAGAAAACTACTTTAAAGTTCATATGGAACCAAAAATGAGCCCTCATTGCCATGACAATCCTAAGCAAAAAGAACAAAGCTGGAGGCATCATGCTACCTGACTTCAAACTATATTACAAGGCTACAGTAACCAAAACGGCATGGTACTGGTACCAACACAGATATATAGACCAATGGAACAGAACAGAGGCCTCAGAAATAACCAGACATCCACAACCATCTGATCTTTGACAAACCTGACAAAAACAAGAAATGGGGAAAGGATTCCCTATTTAATAAATGGTGCTGGGAAAACTGGCTAGCCATATGTAGAAAGCTGAAACTGGATCCCTTCCTTACACCTTATATAAAAATCAATTCAAGATGGATTAAAGACTTAAACGTTAGACCTAAAACCATAAAAACCCTAGAAGAAAACCTAGGCAATACCATTCAGGACATAGGCATGGGCAAGGACTTCATGCCTAAAACACCAAAAGCAATGGCAACAAAAGCCAAAATTGACAAATGGGATCTAATTAAACTAAAGAGATTCTGCACAGCAAAAGAAACTACCATCAGAGTGAACAGGCAACCTACAAAATGGGAGAAAATTTTCGCAATCTACCCATCTGACAAAGGGCTAATATCCAGAATCTATAAAGAACTTAAATTTACAAGAAAAAAAGAAACAACCCCATCAAAAAGTGGGAAAAGGATATGAACAGACACTTCTCTAAAGAAGACATTTATGCAGCCAACAGACACATGAAAAAATGCTCATCATCACTGGTCATCAGAGAAATGCAAATCAAAACCACAATGAGATACCATCTCACGCCAGTTAGAATGGCAATCATTACAAAGTCAGGAAACAACAGATGCTGGAGAGGATGTGGAGAAATAGGAACACTTTTACACTGTTCGTGGGAGTGTAAATTAGTTCAACCATTGTGGAAGACAGTGTGGCGATTCCTCAAGGATCCAGAACTAGAAATACCATTTGACCCAGCCATCCCATTATTGGGTATATACCCAAAGGATTATAAATCATGCTACTATAAAGACACATGCACACGCATGTTTATTGCGACACTATTCACAATAGCAAAGACTTGGAACCAACCCAAATGTCCAACAATGATAGACTGGATTAAGAAAATGTGGCACATATACACCATGGAATACAATGCAGCCATAAAAAAGGATGAGTTCATGTCTTTTGCAGGTACTTGGGTGAAGCTGGAAACTGTCATTCTGAACAAACTATCACAAGTACAGAAAACCAAACACCGCATCTTCTCACTCATAGTTGGCAATTGAACATTGAGAACACTTGGATACAGGGCAGGGAACATCACACACCAGGGCCTGTCGGGGGGTAGTGGGCTAGGGGAGGGATAGCATTACGAGAAGTACCTAATGTAAATGATGAGTTAATGGGTGCAGCAAACCAACATGGCCCATGTATACCTATGTAACAAATCTGCACGTTGTGCACATGTACCCTATTACTTAAAGTATAATAATGAAAAAAATGAAAAAAAGAGCAAGAGATGTGTTTTATGCTTCAATTTCTTGCACACAGCAATAAGCACAGGGTTTCCACATAGCCAGTACTCAATAAAGATTTGGTGATTTGGTTTTCTTGAATAATATCCCCTATATAGAGCTCCACAATGCACATCTGTGTGTCATTCTTTAAAAAAGGTAACACCTTTTGTTTTCTTCTGACTCCATGGGCCTAAAGCTATTTGCAGCAGGTGCTTAAAAATGATCGTGATATAATGATAATAGCAGAAGAAAATCAATGCAGATATTTCAAAATAGTTGCAGCCTCCAAATTACTTCTTTTAGAAATTGGATGCAGATGTTGCTCAGTTCCTTTTGCCAGAAATCTAGCACCAGTTTCATTCATTTCTCTATTCCTCTCATGTGTTTTTCCAAAATGAAAAAAAAAATCAGCAAATCCTATCTCTGTTACCACTTGTAATATTAAATATTCCTCCTCTTTGTCCTCAGCTCTATCACCCTGATGTAGATCATTCTGAGTTTTCCTGGACAACTACAACTGTCAGCTGTCTAGACTCCTTTTCTTCATCCTACTGCATTCCCAACAGTGTTTTAATGATAGAAGAACTTTGAGACCCTGAATGAACATGACATTCACCTGCTGCAGGCTACTCCATGCTCGTACACTAAAGAGTTGTCACTTCTTGGGTTAGTAGATGTGTTGCCTCATAAATATCTTGTATCTAATCTTGGAAAATAGGCCATAAATCTCAAGAAAACTGTGTGTGATAGGGTGTTGGTAATGTGGAGAATTAAATGTGATTAGGAGAACAAAATATTCTCTATGACCAGCACTTCATAATTTCATCAAATTGAATTTGACTCCTTGTAGGTGATTTTGTCTACTTTTTTTTTTTTACTTCTGTATAAGAGCAAATTTAACAGATGTTTAAGTAACATATAGGAAAATCAGTAATAAAAATTTGTGGAGAATGCAAAACACTTAAGCAAGTACTTTGCCTTTTACTGTACATTAAATGAATCCGTTAATATTCCCACTCTTCCATCTTAATTCAGGACTTATCCATTGGGTGAACTTAAGAGCTTAGAGATGCAATGTACCAATCCAAGCGATGCTCCTGTTTTACATTTCTATTTTAGGTTTGGGGGTACATGTGAAGTTTTGTTACATAGATAAACACATATTATGGGGGTCTGTTGTATTAGGCTGGTGCAAAAATAATTGCAGTTTTTGCTATTACTTTTAATGGTGAAAACCGCAATTACCTTTGCACCAACCTAATACATATTTTATATCACCCAGGTATTAAGCTCAGTACTCAATAGTTATCTTTTCTGTTCCTCTCCCTCCTCCCACCGTGCCTCCTCAAGTAGACCCTAGTGTCTGCTGTTTCGTTCTTTGTGTTCACACATCCTTATCATTTAGCTCTCACTTATAAGTGAGAACATGCAGTATTTGTTTTTCTGTGCCTGCATTAGTTTGCTAAGGATGACAGCCTCCAGCTCCATCTATGTTGATGCTCTCTTTTCGAGATGTAGAAATATATGTTAATAGAAATAATATGTGGAAATGAATAGGCAATTTGAGGTATCATTTTTATTTCTATAGAATTTGAAGCAATTATTCAATGTATACTAAACATTTATAAAAAGTCTGACATTGGCAAGTGTTGAATGAGGTTAAATGGAAAAGAATCAGAAGAAACATTGGACAGTGCACATACTCCAGGAATATATTTTTTACTTTAGCAAATTTTTTAAAAATTTAAAAGAGAGAGAGAAATAGAGAATGGGAGAGAGAAGAGGGAAGGAAGGAAGGATGAAGGAAATAAAGGCACAGGAACAGAATAGAAGAACATGATGGGGTTGATGACTTTTTTATTATTTATTCATGTACTTATTTATTTATTTATTTTTTACCGTATCGCTGTCTTTTATTCAGAATGGGTATAGTTGAAATCCTTTCTTCTATCATATATTTGCTTAAAGGAAAGAGCAGATTCAGATGTGTTATGTAAAAATGGTTTCGGATGGATACTGCACAGCCAAAGAGTAAAATATGGTCATGTAATCCTTGCTCTCCGTATCATATATATATACGTATATATGTATACATACATATATACGTATATACTTATACGTATACATGTATGTATACATATATATGTATACAGTATATATGTATACAGTATATATGTATACATACATATATATGTATACAGTATATATGTATACAGTATATACAGTATATATGTATACAGTATATAATATAATATATATAATATACTGATGTTTCCCAACTTACAATGCTTTGACTTACGATTTTTCAACTTTACAATGGTGTGAATGCGATACACATTCAATAGAAACCATACATTGAATCTTGAATTTTGATCTTTTCCTGGGCTAGCAATATGTAGTAGGAGACTCTCTTGAGATGCCAGGCAGCTGCAGCTCCCAGCAGGCACATGAACATAAGGGTGAACAACTGATACTGTACAGTGTACTGTGTTGCCTGATGAGTTTGCCCAACTCTAGGCTAATGTAAGTGTTCTGAGCATGTTTAATGTAGGCTAGGCTAAGCTAGGATGTCCAGTAGGTTAGGCATACTAAACGCCTTTTTGACTTATGATATTTTCAACTTACAATGGGTTTATTGAGACATAGCCTCATCATAAATTGAGGACCATTTGTATATATGTTATGTATCATATATATTTTATATATAATTACATATTTGATATATGGTATACTTTATATATAATAATATATGTAATATATATGTTATAGTTTCTCAGTTACATATGTTAGATTGGCATATACTGTTGATATGTGTACTACTTTAAGTTTAAATTTTATTGTGGTAAGAATATTGAACATGAGATCTACCCTCTTAACAGATTTTTAAGTGGACAACACTGTTCACGATAGACACAATGTTGTACAGCAGATCTCTAGAATTCACTCATCTTGCATTACTGAAACTTTATGTCCATTCAATAGCAACTCCCCATTGCCCCCTACCCCTGCACCTTGCAACCACACTGTTTTTCTCTCTGCTTCTATGGGTCTATTTTAGATACCTCATATAAGTGAAATCATGCAGTATTTGTCCTTCTGTGACTGGCTTTTTACACTTAACATAATATCCTTAAAGTCCATACATATTGTGTATTATAGCATTTCTTTCCTTTTAACAGCTGAATAATATTCCATTATATGGATAAACCACATTTTTAAAATCCAGTCATCTGTCAATGGACACTTATTTTGTTTTTATATTTTGGCTATTGTGAATAGTTTTGCAACGAACATAGGATGTTAATATCTCCTGATTTCAATTCTTTTGGATAAATACCCAGAAGTGGGATTGCTGGATCATATAGTAATTCTATTTTTAATTTTTTGAGGAACCATCATAGTATTTTCCACGGCAGCTGCACCATTTTGCATTCCCACCAACAGTGTATGTCAGTTCCAATTTCTCCACATCTTCTTTAACTCTTGTCTTTATTTTTATAACAGTTATCTTAACAGGGTGAGGTGATACCTTGATTTGCATAATTTTAATTTGCATTTATCTGATGATTAGTGATGTTACACAGCTATGTTTTAAAGACAATTTCAATTTACTTGAACTTTACTCGGCAAATACTTAAGGCCCCACACTTATACATGAAAACAACTACTTCCAACCCTCTGTATTGATGGTTGGGGGGCTGTTCACAGTCACTTTTGAGAGAAGTGTAGCTTCCCAGTTAGCTAACTGACAGTAAAGAGAAATATTTATACAGGTTGTGCTATATTCTTACAGAGAATGCAAGCCAGAAGCAGAAAAGCCACTGGCATACATTCTGCTTGAGTTCACTGGCAGTACTGACCTGGGAAATGCAGCCCAATGGGCACCACCAAATGTCCACCCTGATTTATTCAAACTTTAACTGGTTAAATGCAGCTTTATTCTCCTCAATGAAGATAATGAACATGAATTCCCTTAATAAATGTATTCCAACAATGTCACATCCCAGCCAGGTAGAATTATTTCTCCCAACACTAGGAGGCATGTACTTTCATTTTCCATGTACTTTTCTTGAGTCAGCCTCCTAGGAGATAGGACTCTCCTAGGGAGACTCCTAGGAGTTCTCCCTAAATAACATAAAACACCTTCACCTTTAAAAGGGCTTGGGTTTATTAAATCTGATTTACGATGAGTACTGTGACAGTTGCCAGATGGCAAATATTCAATTGCTGTTGGCCTTTCATCAGTAATCATCATTTCTAAAGGAATGAGGTGCCTTCTTAGTTTCAAATCTTCTGAACTGCTATAGACTTTCAGTCAGTACTACACAATCTCTCAATTATGAAATATTTTATGCTGTTCTTTAGCAAAATGAATTATATAATTCTCTTTTCAGTAAGGCTTGGGCCTACCTCACTACATTTTATAGAGCTGAGCATATAATAATAGGTAATTAATCATTGCTTATAAGTTTGATGTAATAAACATTTTTTCTTACTCTCTACTATGTTACAAACACTGTGCTATGCAGAAAGGCTTGCTATATGTTTCACAAAATATGTCTTTGACCCTTATTTCAGAGTCTTGTGGGTCAGATGAATATGTAAATCAATAGTAACAACTAAACCTGTGAAATGTCATAGCAGGAGTTTATATAAAGGTGAATGGAAGCACTAGATCAGGATGAGAAAATCTCACTAAAGACATTTGTTATAAACTGTTTCAACGAAAGAAAGTAGACAACAGGAGGAAGAAGTTTTTCCAGTAGAATGAAAAACATGGAAACAAACATCATGAGGTGTTTAGGGAAGAGAAGCATACTAGTTCTTGTCAGAGCATAGGGTGTGTAGGAAGAAGATGGGGAAAGGGATGAGGCAGGGCCATGTTAAAGAATTTGGATTTTATCCCAAAGAAGTTGGAGGGCCACTTAAAGGTTTTAAGCAAGAGAGGGTCATGTTCAGATTTGCACTTTTACATAGCCCACTCTAGCAGCAACATGGATCATAGTTCAGAATATCATGAGCAGACCAATTAGCAGACTATTGGAATAATCCAGGTGGGAAACAATGGTGGCTTACACTAGGGTTATGGAAGTAACAATAGGAAGTTCAATAGTGATAAATTTGAGAAGCATTATGGAAATGAAATAAACAGCATCTCATGACTAATAGAGGAAAGAGTTTGAAGGAGAAGTGAGACACAAGGTTTCTAGACTGGGAACCCTGGGAGATGGTGATGGTGTTAAATCAAGATTAGGTATGACGCCAAGAAGCCAGAATTTGTAGTATGAGCTGGAACATTCACAACTTACCAGCTACAAGGTTTGGAGCAAGTCTTTTCCACCTGGGAAACTCAGTTTCTTCACAGAAGGAAAAATAGCTACAACTTACCTCACAGGTCTGTTGTAAAAATTAAATGCAATCATGTATATAAACATACATCATATGCAGGAAGATGAAGATGCTATATACAAATGTTAATCATTATTCTGTTGACTTGAGAACTCACATTTCTTGAATCTAGCAGAACCAAACAATGACTTTGCTCCTAAGAACCAGTGACTAATACTATGTCTCTCATAATTAAATAAAATGTTGCGTATGTAGGACAGGTAGGCAGAAGGGATTATTCAAGTCATAATGATGAGTCAAAATGACAAGTCGATCACCCACACTCCCCAGCCCTCTTCCCTATGCTGCCAAGCAGGAAATGGTTGTCAGAGGTTATTGTGCAGGTGACAGTTAACAGCCGTACCTTTAACATTCCATCAAACCTGTTATTTCAACCTGCTTTTAGTCACATAGGTAAGGATTCTACTTATGTCCTAAAAAAGCAACAGTTGTAACTTGGTAATTTGAGATTTGTTTATACCTGCCAATCAGTGGATTCTGAGCAAGAAAAATGCCCTCAGGTTCAAGGAGGACACAAACACAAATGCTTTGAACACAAAATTCTTTGAACTGTCATCGAAAATTCTACATAAATAATAATTAACATGACCTTTGACTTGGTCATCAGTGATGTCTTGCCCTCAAACTTGTATTCTGAAAAGGTGTGTACACTTTCATTCTCTTCCTCTAAATTGTTTTGTGAAGGAAACAACATCTTGTTTTTACAGGTTGATCAGAGATCATGCACAGTTTCTGGGTGAATAGGTAAGATTTGCTTCTTTTTCCAGCTTTGTTTCATCTGTGGATCTTCTACACCCCTCTGAGTTCTCATAGTATTTATTCAGTTGCCAGCTATCTGCACTTGATTAGACCTCATATTTTCCATAGTATGACTTTCAGATCTTTGTTGGAACAAAGGGACCCTTCCATCTTCATGTATTTCTTGGGTCTATTTGTTATATTACTTTGGCCAGGATTATTTCCTTCAGCATCAGAAAAACTTGCTTAAGTGATTATTTTGAAGTAGCATAAATCTAACTCCACTGAAGCAATCTTTCACTAAAAATATATATACTCAAGAATAAGCAACCTTAAATTTCTATTTATATAGTAATAGCTAATATTTATTGATCACTTACTCTTTACCAGACATCCTACTAACTGCTTTACATGAACTATCCCATTTAATACTCAAGACAATCCTGTAAGTTAGGTACTTCTAGTCCCCTAAAGATCAGCAACTCAAGGTTCAGAGAGAAGAGTTGCCTAAGTCCACACAGCTAGACAGAGGCAGAAGTAGAATTTGAACCCAGGTCTCCCTGATATCAGAACTTGGCTTCTTAACTATTATAGGATACTGTCATTATAATACCATTTCATATATTCTTATTACTTCTGGCTTAAAGCCAAACAGGAATGTAAGAGAAGTTTGTCTTCTGGTACCATTCTACTTCCCTTAACCCCCGTGAGTCCTATCCCGTGCCTTTAGTGTGTCCTGTGACCAGTCAGGATGTAAGCTAAGTCTATTCTTAGTGAATATGAACATTTGCCTCCACTATATTCCTTTCAAAATATAGCAGTCAGGTGTCTCCTTAAGATACCACTTTTAGTTAAGTATTAGGTGAAGGGCTCTGATAAATTAATTCGTACCTAGATACTAATGACTGACAATGATTTGTTACTCCTTTCAGAAATAATTGCATACAAACAATTGATTCTTGTCTTGACCTAGATAAATAAGAGGGAATCTTAAAATTTCAGATCTGGGTCTTCTCAGGGCTACTACACAGGCAACTTGCAAGGCCATCTGTACAAAAAGTTAAACCTGATACTTATCACATCTTTGTGAATGAGAAAGCTGGTATAATCTGGACAATATTGCATTATTCGTTCAAAACAGGAAGTAGAAGCTAATAAGTAGAATTGTTATGGGACTTACCTGAAGCTACATTAGTAATTGTTACCTAAGTCATCAGTAGAGATGGAACTAGCATTATTAGATGAGAATTGTAAAACTAGGAAACTACTATTGGAATAAGATATATATGAAGCATTTTTGAGGATCCTCACAGTACCATTTTGGAGAAGCATGCCATCTCTTTTTGTCAAGATGATTGTTACTAAAAATTATTTGCGTAACTGCATATACAAAAACCTATACAACGTTGTGGAACTACAAGCATATTTACATTTTTCAGTAATAAAGATGGAGTCACTTTATAGACTTATCCATATTCTATTATTCAGGTTCCACTGGGACCTGCAATTGTAAAATAGCTGGCTGAGGTTAGGGTTACAGACTATGTCCACGAAAACTAATGTAACTAATTTAAACAAATGGGAATTGAACCACCAACTTTGACCTCAGTTACAACTTACCAAGTTACAGCTGTTGCTTTTTTAGGACATAAGTAGAATCCTTACCTATGTGACTAAAAGCAGGTTGAAATACCAGGTTTGATGGAATTTTGACTTTGACCTCCTAATATTTGCAGTTTAAATTTGTTTTAATTGCAAGCTGTAAACAACTGTGATGTACCAGTATTCAAATAAGACTTAATGAATTGATTCTTTGGAACTGAAAGTTTGAATTTTCTTTAGGAGTACTTAATCTATTTACTTAGCCAAAGACTTCTAATACATATTTAATGTTTAATATATCTACCTCTTAGTATGTATCATTTACTATAAATAAAAAGTACACTCCTCAAACATAGAGATAAAATAATATCTAATTCATAAAGTTTTTTTTTCTGTTGCCAGACTGGAGTAGTGGCACAATCTCTACTCACTGCAACCTCTGCCTCCCGGATTCAAGAGATTCTCCTGCCTCAGCCTCCCGAGTAGCTGGGACTACAGGTGTGCGCCACCATGCTCAGCTAATTTTTGTATTTTTAGTAGAGACAGGGTATCACCATGTTGGCCAGGATGGTCTCCATCTCTTGACCTAGCTTGTTGTAAAAAAGTTATATAAAAGCTGTGAAAATAATCTAAAGCACAATATAGATGTAGTAGATCAATATTATTGCCCTAATTAGAAGAATCTATCTTCTAAAAAAACCAGAATTATATATATATGATGACAACCAGTTATATACATGGGAATGAAAATTGTCAAGAAAGGGAATAACATGATCAGATCTGTATTTTAGAAAGATTACTTCTGGAACAGTGTGAAAAATGGATTGGCAGGGGATGAACGTCATGGAACAGCGGGATGGGGGAGAAGGAGAAACTGGTGTCAGGGACATTGGTTATTAGAACAGCTCAAGCAAGGGATGACGGGTTCATGAGATGTTACGGAGGGCAGAATTAATAAGTCCCAGCAATCAATCAATGGGTGGGCTATTGGAAGATGACTATGAAGGAGAGAAAGAAAGAAATAGTAATTTTTCAAATCAGAGAAGTAAGGACTACTAAATAGTTTATACTACAAAGCATCACCTTTTTTTCTCATGTACTTTAGAAAATATAGAAATTCAGTTGGCTCTTCTGTATACAGTGATTGGGCAACCAAATTCCTTCCTTTCCATTTGTCTTCTCTTCTTCCGAAAGTGGTATCAAGAGGCTACAAATCTCTCAAGTCAGAGTTCTGTTCCCAGGACTGAGTGTACCAGGCAGGGGAACCTTCCACAGGGAACTGTGTGAAAGCATTATGTCCCAGGAAACAGGCTGGTCCCGTTGGAGCACTCTCCCATGGATGACGGTAGTGTAGCCAACTGGAGAATCTGATTACTGGCCGAAGAGGACTGCAAAAGGTTTAAGTTGGAGAAGTAATACCAAGTGCCAGGCCCTAGCATGAGGCCAGCCAGTAGGAGGAGAAATGAGTCATGAGGTCAGAAATTAGAACAGACTGAAGAAGAGTTAGGAGTTGGAGTATGAGATAAGCTGGGGTGAATGGTTCAGGACAGAAGCCATGAATTCTGAAAGAATTCTGAAAGAATGAGGGAGGCCCGCTTTCATGTAATGTGGGCAGGTTGGTACAGGCAAACACCTGATAGCATAATGGCACTGAACAGGCCCAGGCACCTTATAAGGAATCCCTAAACCAAACTATCTCTGCCTCAGGAGCTTAAGAACCCTACATTCTTATAATTACAGCAGCTTCACATTTGTGTCTGTTTCCTAACATTTGCAGTTTAAATGTGTATTCTCATTAATATGTGATGCCACAAGTTCTTTCACCCCCTTGATATTCATGGGACAGATGATTTCTAATCCAGAAGCCTAAATCCAAGGCTATTTTTCTTTTTCTAATGGGTTACTATTTTCAAAGATAAATCCTCTAATTTATAAACACAGACTGCTTCATTAACTATGTTTAACAGGTAGCAGAGGCTTAGTTACTAACAACTGCCAGGCGGTGACTTGGAACACAGCTCTTGTTTTTCAAATTTGCTGTAACACGATATAGAGCACAGAGCACATACTTTACTTCAAGAGAGATGTCTAATTTTGCTCAGTTTTTTTAACTCAGACTGCCATAATCTGTGCATGCTGCTCTAGGCTCTCCAAGAGGTAGATGCTGGCTTTGAGGTTGACAAAGACTAAAACAAGAGAGTAGGAAAAGTACAACTAGAAAACATGATGAATCCTTCCCACATACACCCCACCCCCAAAATACAGTCGTAGGTATAAAAGGGATAAAAAGCTTAAGCAAGAAAAAGCTTGTGAGGGAAAATCCAGTCTTGGAAAGGCTCAATAATCACAGCTGTCTCTGATTCTTTTCGGTCTACGTTTTGCCCTTTGTTTTGCTCTAAGACCTCTACCTAGTCTTCCAGCTGGGTAGAGGTCACTATCATCCCTGGTTTTGAGCAGTCCTCTGATAGCTCTAGCTCTCCTGGACCAGTTATGGGCAATTTCCCTTATTCTGCCAAGACATAGGCGGCATTTTTAAAGTGGATTTTTACTAAGAAGGAAAAAGAACCCAAAAGAAAGGCAACTCTGATGCCTGGAACTGAACAAGACTGTAGTCCTGAGATTCTTTATTCCAAGACAGTGATGCTCAAAGGGGCCTTTCTAGACCAGCAGCATCAGCAACACCAGGGAATTTGTTAGAAATGCAAGTTCTCAGGCCCCACTCCAGACCTACTGAATCAGAAACACTGGGAGTGGGGCCCAGGCATCTATCTTTGAATAAGCCCTATAGAGGATTCTGATAAATGCTTGAGTTTAAGAACCACTGCCCTAAGTAAACTGCAACCTAGTCCTGGGTAGCCCTGATGGGTCCCACCTTGCAGAGGATATAGCCTCCGCTTTCTTTCCTTGTTATCAATCGTGTTTGGTTGTTTGTCTCCGGCCTAGTCACTAATGGCTAACTCTACCTTTGGGCCAGTGGACTCCATGCTCTGGGCTAACATGTGTGCCAAGTGTTACTATTACTACTAATCATTCCAGGAGCTTCTATATATTTTTTTGTTTCCCATGTGCTCTGCATTGCACTAACAAAGCACATTATATCTACTGTTGCACTTAATCCTCACAACAGCTCTATAAGCTAGGTGTTATCCCCATCTTCCAAATGAGGAAATGTAGATCCAGTGAAGGTGGCTTGCTCAAGGGATCCAGGTAATAAGGAGGAGAGCCAGGATTCATACCTGGGTTTCTGTGGCTCCAGAGTCTGTACTCATAACCTTGATCCCATACTACCTCCTCATAGCCACATGGCTCCTGTGCCTGGCACCATCGTCTGGGGAGCTTCTGTAACCACATGCCAACTCACTGTCTTGGCTAGCTGACTTTCCCCTTTATGCACTGGCCGTTTCACATATTATCCCAGGAGAAGTTACTTAACCTTGCTGAGCTTCAGTTTCCTTGTCTGTAAAATAGGAGTAATAATTATCTCAGAAGGTGGCTATGAAAATCAAATAGGCAAACGTATGTGAAAGTGTTCCAAACTGTAATAGAAGGGAAAGGTATGATCTTCAGTTTACAGATGAGGAAATGTAAGCTCAAAGTGGTTACCTGGCTTAAAAAAAACCTGCTGGCCTTTCACCTGTTATTTGAGGGTGCAAAGAGACTTCTGCCCCCATTATATCTCCATTGGCTACTAGAAGTAGAGAGCCATATTTAAGAAGTATTAACTTACTTTCTATTAAGATGAAAACGTTCTCAGTCCAGGGCAACAAAAGGTCACAACATGGATACATTTTGATAAAGAGAGGTGAGAACAGGCACTGCCTGGGGGAGTACTGACTTAGCTGCTATCCACAGAAATGGACTTTGGGTAGCCTAGCCAGAGGACCCAGGGTCAGAGTGAGAGGAGTGAGGGGAAGGCAGAGACTCTGCTCCAAGAAGTAGGAGAGCACAAGGACTGACAAGCTTCATCATTTTATGACCCAACTACCCATATTACCATTTAAAACCACATTTAATCCTATCTCCATTTTTCAACAATTTTTCAATTGAAATCTAACATGCTTACAGAGCAATCCTATCTCTTTTTTTAATTGAGACATAATTTGTGTACAGTAAGTTGCACAGATCTTAAATATACAGTTCGATGAATTATGAGAAACGTATAAAACTATGGAATCTACATCCTCATTAAGATAAAGAACATTTCCATCCCCCATAAATTTTCCTCATGTCTCTTTTCAGTGAATTCTTGCCTCCAGCTTATAAAACAGCTTCTTATATTAGGTTGGTGCCAAAGTAATTACTTTTTTTTAAAGTTCCAGGGTACATGTGCAGGATGTGCAGGTTTGTTACATAGGTAAACGTGTGCCATGGTGGTTTGCTGCACCTATCAACCCATCACCTAGGTATGAAATCCCGCATGCATTAGCTATTTATCCTGACACATAGAGCAATCCTATCTCTTCATGTGTCCTTTTTCCCTTCCTCTGGAGGTTTCTGAACTCTCCAGTATCTTTCATTTTTCTTTTCTTACTTCCTTTCCAAAGATAAGGTTAGTTCTCTGTGAACTAGATGGTCACTCTTGCTCTTTCTTCTCTTCTGTTTCTTTTTCATGGTTTGTCCAGAACACATACAGTGTTTCAATTAGGGTAAAGGTCACAAAGCCAAAGGAGGATGCTAGTGTATTTTGTGGAAACCACCAGTGTTAGAAAAACAAGACAGACGCTGCTTTGAGCAACACCAGATGAGTCTACCCTTGGGTTTCCTGAGGACTGAAGCCACTATGTGAGTTTTACATGGGGATTCTCTTTTAAGCTAATCTCTCCTATTTTCCTGACATGAAATGTATTTTCTCTGAAATGTAATTTCTTAAAGAAATATAGCCATGAAGTAACTCCAGATAAATGCTGACTAGATGATAGATGCCAAAGGGAAAATCCTCTACCTGCTTTCTTTGTGGCAATTCATTCTTCAGCAAGTCGTTTTTCTGAAAGATCCCATTTCTACAGAGTACAAAGCTTGCTTTAAATAGGCTTCTGTGGAATTTAGGCTATCAATTAAAACAGATTCAAGCAGAGCATAAATTACAACCATCTTGAGATACCCACAAAGAATTCATGTACCATTCCCCAACTTATGTCATAATTAAAAAGAAAAAAACCACACTTGGCCAAATTTCTGGTCCACCCAGCCCAGAATTTTTATAGGGGGACACAGAAACATGTTGGCAATAGGAGTGGAGAGGGTGTGGTTGTCCTCCTTAATGGCAACCTCAAAGGGTAAAGACATTTTAGTAAGATAGCTTGATTGTATCTTCTACAAATCTAGTCTGACTCCTTTTTGAATGTCTTTACAGATCGACTTCTAACTGTTGCTTGAGTTGGTGAGTTCTGTAGGTTTTACTGCCTACTGTATAAATCTCACTTTCTTTTGTTTGTCTTGGATTGGACTCTTTTGAGTTTAAAGTTCTGTGCTGAGCTCTAGCCGGTAAATAGCTCTGATCACTATTTACTCCATACATACCCTTCACGATGCTTTTATAATGAGGAAAATAGTGGGACTTACCTCATAGGGTTGATAGGTACTGAAGGAGGCAATGCATGTAAAGTGCTCAGACCTGTGCTGGGCTCAAAGGGAGTCCTACACAAGTGATCGTTATTAGCAGCCCTAGTATCAGTATTCACTTTGGCCATTGCCTCTATCTTCATCTCTTTGGTTTAATGAATGCTAATACTTTGAGTCTGTTTCTGTACAGCTCCTTCTCATTCTCTCATTTTTGCTGCCCATCTCTATGCCTGCTTGAGCTCCATTTTGTCTTTCTTGATTTGTGACCCCTTGAATTAAACATCATGTTCCAGATTTTAATCTTTTTTTCAAACATAGGACATGTCATATTATTTCTAGTCTACTTTCTACTTACGCACAGAATTTTGTTGACTTTTCTGGCCAAAATGGCACAGTAAGCTGAAATTGTTCCAGAAATAACCTACAACTCCTAGATTCACTTTCTGGAGCCATAAGTAACAACAGCTCTAATGATTTGTATTGTGCAGCTACTTTACTTAGTCTGCAAATGTTTTATCTTACTAAGATGATTCATTATTTCTTTTTCCCCACTTCCCCTATTTTGAGAGATTGTCTTGCCATTTATCCTATGTCAGTTTGACATCTCACTACTGAGAAGAGCCTACTTAGTGCCAGGTACAAACATAGAAATACCATTCTGTATTCCTTAGTGTACACCGCTTCAACAAGCCTGGGCCCATGGTAACCTTAGTGCTGACACTGCTCCATCCGGAGAAGCACCCACTTTTTCCTATCTTCCAATTAATTCCGTAAGTTAGCTTGCTTTCCATGAAAAAATGTTTCCCCCAATCCACAGAGAGTCATTGAACGACAACAAAAAAGTCAACAATATGAAAGCTTGTCAAGGGCTTTTTAAAAAGTCTTTGCAGAACTTAAACAAATTTACAAGAAAAAATCAAACAACCCCATCAAAAAGTGGGAAAAGGATATGAAAAGACATTTCTCAAAAGAAGACATTTATGCTGCCAAAAGACACATGAAAAAATGCTCATCATCACTGGCCATCAGAGAAATGCAAATCAAAACCACAATGAGATACTATCTCACACCAGTTAGAATGGCGATCATTAAAAAGTCAGGAAAAAAACAGTTGCTGGAGAGGAGGTGGAGAAATAGGAACACTCTTACACTGTTGGTGGGACTGTAAACTAGTTCAACCATTGTGGAAGACAGTGTGGTGATTCCTCAAGGATCTAGAACTAGAAATACCATTTGACCCAGCCATCCCATTACTGGGTATATACCCAAAGGATTATAAACCATGCTGCTACAAAGACACATGCACATGTATGTTTATTGTGGCACTATTCACAATAGCAAAGACTTGGAACCAACCCAAATGTCCATCAATGATAGAGTGGATTAAAGAAATGTGGCACATATACACCATGGAATACTATGCAGCCATAAAAAAGGATGAGTTCACGTCCTTTGTAGGGACATGGATGAAGCTGAAACCATCATTCTGAGCAAACTATCGCAAGGACAGAAAACCAAACACTGCATGTTCTCACTCATAGGTGGCAATTGAACAATGAGAACACTTGGACACAGGGTGGGGAACATCACACACCAGGGCCTGTCATGGGGTGGGGGTAGTGAGGAGGGATAGCATTAGGAGATATACCTAATGTAAATGACGAGTTAATGGGTGCAGCACACCAACATGGCACATGTATACATATGTAACAAACCTGCACGTTGTGCACATGTACCCTAGAACTCGAAGTATAATAAAAAAAAGAAATAAAAGTATTTGTAAATTATATTCTTTGGTTTCTCCCTGTCCATATGTTATTTACACTCTTGAGAAGGCTAATAGATTAGTCAGACATGATTTTCCCTCACGGAAACCCTACTGCCTTCCTTCCAAAAGGTCATGTTTGACTGTGACTCTAGATTTATTATTTGGCTATAAAACAGTGGTTCCAACATTCCCAGATTTTGCTTTTTAAGAATTGTTTTTTCATGGAAACACTAAATGTCAGTGCTGGCCCAATACCCTTCATTTTACAATAAGAAAACTGAGGCCCAGAAAGGCATCTGCCAAATTTGGTTTTCTTATTAGTTTGTTAAAAATTTGAGTAAAATTCTCATTCTGCGTCATGCTGAAATGTTTGGGCATATGTTTTCTTGGATGTCTCAAATGGAGTGTATTTTTCTTAGCATGGAATACACAACAGATATCATTTATGGAAGGAAAAATGATTCCTCAGGGATCTAGAACTAGAAATACCATTTGACCCAGCCATCCCATTACTGGGTATATACCCAAAGGACTATAAATCATGCTGCTATAAAGACACATGCACACGTATGTTTATTGCGGCATTATTCACAATAGCAAAGACTTGGAACCAACCCAAATGTCCAACAATGATAGACTGGATTAAGAAAATGTGGCACATATACACCATGGAATACTATGCAGCCATAAAAAATGATGAGTTCGTGTCCTTTGTAGGGACATGGATGAAATTGGAAATCATCATTCTCAGTAAACTATCGCAAGGACAAAAAACCAAACACCGCATATTCTCACTCATAGGTGGGAATTGAACAATGAGATCACATGGACACAGGAAGGGGAATATCACACTGTGGGGACTGCTGTGGGGTGGGGGGAGGGGGGAGGGATAGCATTGGGAGATATACCTAATGCTAGATGACGAGTTAGTGGGTGCAGCACACCAGCATGGCACATGTATACATATGTAACTAACCTGCACAATGTGCACATGTACCCTAAAACTTAAAGTATAATAAAAAAAAAGGAAAAATGATTCCAAGAACCTAATTTTTGAAAAAAAAATAGGCTTGTTACATTTAGCTTCATTGTCATAGGCTTTACCTCGGATATTTGCTTTTGTTTTTATTACTCTTGTTAACAATTCTACCCCCAAAACATACCTACTGTCTTGTTATTGTTAAAATCACATTGCCAAGCTTATATAGTGTTTACAATATGCCAAGCATTGTTTAAGCACTCTATGTAGATCCTCATTTAAAGTTCAAAAGTAGGCAATATGAATCTATGATGACTGAAGATAAGGAAGTGGATAACTTTGGGCTGGGGGAAGTAGTGACTGAATGGGAGCATCAAGATGACTTCTGGGTACAAGTTTCTTTTTCTTGATCTAGGTGATAGATACATGAATGTGTTCACTGTGAAAATTCATTGGGCTCTTGGACACTTATGATTTGTACAGTTTTCTATAGGTATCTCATGCTTTGATCAAAGTTTAAAGAAAAAAATAAAGTTCATTTAAGCCCTTAAATCAATTTGATTAGGTAGTTCCTTTTATCATTCTCTTTGACAGGTAAGGAAAGGGAGGTATAGAGAAGTTAAGCACTTTGCTGATGATCACAGAGCTAGTATGTGGACAAAACTAGGATTTGAACCTAAGTAGTCTGGATCCAGAGTCCATGTTTTTCACATGTACATTATATATCACCTCTCAGAATTGATTTTTTTCTGTAGCAAAGTTATTTGCCTTCTAATCTTATAATGACTTTGTATTTGGTCCTAACTGCATTTACTTCTGTATCTCCCCTCATTATACATCACCACCCCTTGCTTCAATGAACTTGCACACACATACATACTTAGAGGAGAAAAGTAAGCAAAATGCCTTAATTACATAATTTGCCTGCCCTTGGCATCTATTTTTATGTCTCTCTGTGTCCCTCAAAGATGTTCATGGTGAATTTCCCCATGAAACTAAATTGTATAAATATCAACCTGAAAGTCTAAGAACATTCTCAATGTTTTTTTAAAGGTACCCTGAAAAATCCTTCCTACTAATCTCTAAGAGCACAAACAACACTGTAGTCCTTTGTTCTAACCCAAACATTTTAGGGATTCAGAAAATCACAGGAGGAAAACATTTTAGGCACTCTGGATTCCAATTGACTTTACCCCTGATTGTTGTGTAACCTTTGGACAAGCCAGAATGCTTTAGTAAATAAGGGTTAGATTTTCGGAGACTCATGAGTGTTGCTCATGAATTGTGAGTAGTGGAGGCTCAGGAGAAGGGGCAAATAGACAGAGGAAAGGAACTACCACTATTTGTGAAGTGTCAAGTTTGTACCAGACATCATATTAGAGTGGTTTATATTCATTAACTCATTTAATCCTTACCGTCACCATTTGGAGTAGGTAATAATAATTCCCATTTTGCACATGAAGAAAATGAGCCTCAAACACCAAGGTTACACAGCTAATAAGGTCTGTCTGGCTCTGAAACCCATGTTTTTCCCCATGAAATTGTAGTATCTTTCAAAAGGTAGATGTCATGTTGCCTGTTTTAGAGTAAAAATATCAAACGAAAAGAGAAGACAACATGAGGAAAACTATGTTTTTCTTTTAAAAAGCTCTTATTGAATGAAAGCTTTATAAACAACATGTAGCTCTTTATAAACAACATGTAGCTGCTTTGTGATAATAGGAAAAGGTGTTTTGAACAACAGCACTGGTCAGTTAATTCCACTCATGACAATGGATCATTACAGTGAATCATACTTTTTCAGTAATCTCTCTCCTTGGAAAGCACTGAAGGCAAAGTTGATTCAAAACTATTATAGATCTTATCACTTTTAGAACAAACAACTCACTAAAAATACTGTGACCAAATGATATTAACAATTAGAGTAAATTAAAATAAATTCAAAGTTATTATAGACCTATGATCCTGCCCATGAGGCTTGACTGTTAGTTGTGATTTAAAAATAAAAAATACTCCAAGTATAGATAATGAAGCACTCAACTTTGCATTCCTTTTTTTTTTTTTTTTTTTGAGACAGAGTCTCGCCCTATCACCCAGGCTGGAGTGCAGTGGTGCGATCTCAGCTCAATGCAAATGCTGCCTCTTGGGTTCAAGCAATTCTCCTGCCTCAGCCTCCCAAGCAGCTGGCATTTCAAATGTGCTCTGCAATGCCCAGCTAATTTTTGTATTTTTAGTAGAGATGGGGTTTCGCCATGTTGCCCAGGCTGGTCTTGAACTCCTGACCTAAAGTGATCCGCCCTCCTTGGCCTCCCAAAGTGCTGGGTAAACAGGCATGAGCCACCGCCCTTGGCCTCTGCCCTCCATTTCTTATAATCAATATAGGTATAGGGGTTAGAGGCCACACTCTCTGGGTTCATATTCTGGCTTCACCCCTGAATAACTTTGTTACTTTGGCCTGTAAGATTGTCACATTTAGCAAATAAAAATACAGGGTGGCCACTTATATCTGAATTTTAGATATAATTTTAAAGCATAAATATGTCTCCTGCTGAATCATTCATTTATCTAAAATTCAAATTTAACTGGCATTATGTATTTTATCTGGCAACTCTACCTTGGACGAGTTATTTAATCTTTCTGTGCTTCAGTTTCCTCATCTCTAAAATGGAAATGATAGGATGATAGTGGTACCTAGCTCATGAAGTTGTAGTGAGAATTAAATGGGAATATATGTAAATTGCAACCATGCCTGACACACAGTAATAACTATATACACGATACCTATTATAATTAACTAATTCCTTTATTTGAATTAATTCAAGTTTGGTGGCTTGGGCTTCTGCTTTGAAAAAGAATTACTTTATATCTCATATGCTACGTGCAGAACCAAAGTAGAGAAGTGTCACTGAAGCATTTTGCTAGGTATACTCATTTTCCATACCTTACAATTTTACTAGGAAACATATTCAATAACCCAGCATTTTACAACCCAGAAACAGTTTCTTCTGCTATTGTTCATGTAAATGACCTTTCCATACAGCAATAACCTTTTAATGCTTTTAGAGTCTGGAAAAAATAGGAAAATGTATATTTTTAAAAACTATATTTCATGAACTAAATCCATCCTTCACAACATAGTAAGCACCCATTTCTCTATATTTGCATAGCAAGAATCTGTATATTGTCAGATGCTAAAGTTACATTAAAATTTAAGAGCTGGTACATTTCAGTTTCTTGTAACACTTGACAAAAACCCAAACACATAATAAAATGCAGTGTACAAAACATTTAAAATATAATTTATTTGTATCTGCTTTCATGATCTCATACTGTAAATGTCTACCACTATTTTCACAATTTATATGGAAAGCATGATTTATCTATGTTAATTTCAAGTTGGCATTTAGCCATTTGAATGCTTACCTTCACACATGGTAAACTATAAGAATGTGTGAAGTTTCATAAAAGGTCAACAGCACAGAAAGAATGGAAGAACCAGAACAGTATGAATGATTTCAAAAAATTGGAGGAATATTAACTAAAGTTGCTATGCACTTTCACAGCAGGCAAATATCATGGTTTTGCCAGTAATCTGTGCTTTAGATTGCAATAAATTGTTCCTGTTTTTCTTTCCATTGTAGAAGACACTAACTTGGCTTCGTGAAACCAGGCATGCATGTCATCTCCCACCTCATTTTCTTTTGAGTGTAGGAAGGGAAATATAATACAAACTCTTCTGGTGCACAATAATCTATTTTACAGTTGCAAGAAAGAAAACCATACCAGAAAAGCTGGCAATGTAGTATTCAGATTTCTTCACATCATTTCTGTTCTTTACTCCATTCTTTTCTTTACTGTCATTATCGTTCATTCAAAGGGAAATCTATGTATGCAGGAACACAGCAGAAATACTTAGTAATACGATCTCACAGACAGGAGGTTAACAATCATTACTTTGAAGGAAACGGTAGGCTTTCTGCAGATAGATGTGATGCCAGTAAACATAGGACACATTTGACTGGCCCAAAACATAGGACAATTATTTAAGAAGTGGTTTTCTAAATGGGAAGTGAACAGTTCCAACTTGGTTTCTATTTTTTATGTCCTTTATTGACACCTTGACACGAGGTTACAAAGGATTTCTCTGTGCAGTTCTCAAATCTATACTTGCAATCTGACCTCTCGCTATTTTCAACTGCCTTTTGGATATCCCCACTTAGAGGCTGTACAGACACTGCAGACTCGGTGTACCCAAACTGAATTCCTTATCATTTCCCCAATCCTGGTTCCCCTTCTACATTCTCTGGTGAAGTTCCAGGCATTAACATTTATCCAGTTCCCTAAGCTAGATGTCGCTGGTGTTTTAAACCTCTCCCTCTGGTGTTGTCCACATTCAATCAATTGGATGCTGTTGAGTCTAACCGTAATTTGTTTCTGGACTCTATTCCTTCCTCTTCATTCTCACAGCCATTAATTTAGTTCAGTCCCTCTTCTGTACTTTTACAATGGCCTCCTAATGGTCTCTTAATAGGTCCCTCTGCTTCTAATCTCCTCCATATTCTATCTATCCTTTATGTGCTAAGCAGAGTTTTATTTTGAAAAAACAAATCTGGATCAAATTCCTTTCTTCCTTAAAAACCCCAAAAGACTGCTGAGAGCCTAAGGGATCAAGTATAAACTCTTCAGAATGCCACACAAGTCTCGCAGTCTGTCCCTAATGGATCCTTCCAGCCTCACTGTTAGGACACCTCATGTACTCTGTGTTTCTGCCTGTAAAATCAAATCAAACTATCAGCTAGTTCTAGAGGTTCTTAACCAAGAGTACACAACATAATCACCTGGGGAGTTTTTTAAAAATAAAATACAAGTGCCCTTTGTCTACCTTGGATGGACAAATTCAGAACTGGATAAATGAATTGCAATAACTGTATTTTAACCAGGTCACCAGGTGATGGGGAAATACACAGGCCTTGTTTAGGCATTTGTTTATGCTGTTCCTTCTGCCTAGAATGGCTTCTTTTCTCCATCCCCTATCCTCAATTCTCTACTTGGCTATCTCCTTCTCATTTTTCAAGGTTTAGCTCAATATCACCTCCTCTGTGAAGCCTTCCAGGATATACAGAGGCAAAATGAATTGCTCTCTGGTGCCTGTTGTTGTAGTAATAGACTGCTATTATCATCATTTATTGCTGTGAATGCTCCTCCTTTTTTTTGTTGCATTCTCCTGTGGGAAAGCAAACTCCTTGCATTTCTTTATATTCCGAGCACTTAGCACAGTGCAAGAAATATGTGAGTAAAAAAAAAAAAAAAAAAAGAAGAAGAAGGGAGGAGAAAGTAAGGGAAGAGAAAGTAAGGGAAATAAGGAAAGGTGGTGTGGCCTAGGCTGGACCTGGGGCCAAAGTGAAAGTATAAAAAACATTCTATCTTCTATTTTTCAGCAAAAAACCCCATTATAGTTTACATTTGGACCCTTGTGGTGAGCCTCATGATATAACATACTGAATGTTAACTAATCTTAAAATATTGATGTGGCCCAGGATAAAAAAAGAGGATGGGAGCTTTGCTTGTTTACAATGTTGAGTTTCTGCCCCCATTAGAAACTTCTGGCAGTCCCTGATAACATTCCTGCAAGGGGTGCCTGTTATTCCCTCACTCTGTTCACGTTCTCTCAACTACTGCAGTAACAAAACCATGGAAGTTTTTACCACAGGGTGACAGAGCCTCAGCTAAGCAAGTTGAAGGGTGGTAATTTTACACAACTGCCTTTCTTAGAGGTCCTAGCAACTTCCTTTTCCTTGGTGTGAGCTGATGGCAAAGTCACTTCCTATTTGGTCTCAACTGCCAGTTTTTTCCTGTTTTTAACTGCCACCTTTGACTAGAACTATTTTCTTGAGAAGCCTACAAATGAAAGAACAAGTGGTCAATTCAATACATTTTAAAATGTCAACTCAGAGGGGAAAATATCACTCAAATGGGTTGTTTAGCATCATGACACATGAAAGGCTCTCCTGTGACTAAAAACTGCACCTTGGAGAGCACCTCATTACAAAGGTCCCAGGCTTCCAAAGAATCTCTCCCAAGAAACTCCCCAGTCTCCTCAGGTACCCATATGGCAAAATAAACTACCATTATAGGATGGCTGGTACAGTGGTTCTTTCAGCATTGAAGAGACTGTGAGTGAGCCCATGAATGTTTCTGAGGGCCTTCACCTTAGGTCCAAGGCATCTAAAGGTCAACAGTCTGATTCTGTAAGTGAGAGTTTAGGCAGAGGAGCAAAACTGGAATCAGGAAGGGAGCTCCTCCATCTTTTGACTCCTGCCGCTGCATGCAAATGAATGTCCAGGCCATCTTACCTCTCTTAGGTCTGTAACCAATTGGTAAAGGCCAGAAGTTATGAGCTTGATGCTTTTGGTACCTAAATGCAAACATTTCAAAGCAAGTAAGCATATATGTAAAGAAATGTTATAAGCAGGAAACTGCTTAAATGGCATCTGCTTCCACCTACCTCCTCCGTTGTTTTATTCCCCTCAGCAGCATCAGGAAGTAAAGCTAGAGAGAATATTCAGCAGGGATGTCTTGGATAGTATAGTTTCCATTATATATAATACTATGATAATATATTGTGCAAGCCACAAAAGGTGGAAGGTTATTCAGGAGAATTCGGAAGTCACACAGTTTTAATGTTTAAGGTTTAATGTTCCTTGACCAAGGTCTGATTCAATAGGTTTCTTCTTGGGATGCTATGCTGGAACAATAGCAACGATACATATGACATCTGCAAGAACTATCATAACATGGTTTCCAACTTGATGTCCAATGAGAGTAAACAGTAAATTTGAGGTATCATCTATGCTTTTATTAAAATAAAAAATGGCCCTTGAATGTTGTACTTCCAAATATCAGTAGACTCCGCAGCCTGAATCAAAATATTCCCATCACTGGATGGTGAGCTTCTAGAATTACCCAGATAATTTTCTTTAGTTTCAAATACTCAGGTAAGTATATCAATTTGCCATTATATTTCATACATATATACATTTTATCCATTTCATCATAGTCACTAGGCTCAAAATGTGTAAGTCCAAAATGTGAAATCCTACCTTTAAATTTTGTAAAGTAGAATAAGAGGTCAAATTTATCATGATGAGTTAACATATTTGAAGGCTAGGTAATGCCTGGTATATTAGAACATGCTCAGTAATTAATTTTTTTAAAAAATCATTATTTTTTTACTTAAAGTTATTTTCTGTTCAACACTATTTTTCATTAAGTTGTATTCACTTTTAGGGGGCAGATGATCTATGGTTCATTACAGAGGTAAAATAAGAATACTGCTTTGTTTCTATTACCCACTTGATGTGGCTCAATATCTTATGAGTCTTTTCTTTATTTGGTCCCAGCCACAACACTGAGCTAAAATCTTCAGAGAACAATGATTTTCAAGTCTGTTTCTTGGTTAGTAGCTCCTAATGCAAAAAGTGCGGAGCATGGTTTCTCAAACCTTATCATTATTGACATTGTGGACTGAATAGTTCTTTCTTGTGGGGACTGCCCTGTGCGTCGTAAGATGTTTAACAGCATCCCTGGCCTCCACTCTCTAGATGCCAGTAGCACCTACCTGCCTATTTGTGATACCCAGAAATGTTCTCCAGAAGGCATAATTGGTCCTAGTTGAAAAACATGCCCTTATTTCACTGCCGCCTGTATTAAAGTTTGGCTATTTCCATCTACCTACACTTTAGCTAAGAACCAGTCAATTCAGTAAATATTTGTAAACATGGGTAAAGTTAAATATTTAATACAGGTTGAGCATCCCTAATCTGAAAATCTGAAATCTAAAATGCTCCAAAATTGGAAACTTTTTGAGTGCTGACATGATATCACAAGTAGAAAATTCCATACCTGACACCTTTGCTTTCTGATGGTTCAATGTATACCAACTTTGTTTCATGTACAAATTAAAAATATTGTATAAAACTATCATCAGGCTATGTATATAAGGTGTATCTGAAGCATAAACGAATTTAATGTTCAGACTTGTGTCCCATACCCAAGATATTACGTATATGCAATTATTCCAAACTCCAAAAACATCCAAAATCTGAAGCACTTCTTGTCCTAAGCATTTTGGATAAGGGATACTCAACCTGAATAGAGGGTATGACAAATGTCAGGAAATTGAAACCAGGTGCCAAATGTAAATTATTAAGTTTTGAGGCCTCAAGAACACTGTCTAACTTGAAATTCACTAACCTTACCTAATCTGTGTATAATGTTACTCAAAACCTTACCTAATCTGTGTATAATCTTATTTTATTTATATGGTTATTAAGTATTCACAGCCATTCAGATCACATCAATCAAGCAGGTACCAAATCCTTTCTGAGGTGCTATGTTACACTCTACGTGTGACCAAAAAGCATAAGTTGTGTCTCTCCTCAAGAAACGTTTTCCATTAAACTACGGGAATACACTGTAATATATTTTCAGACTCTGGGCTGACTTTTTTTTTTTTTTTTTTTTGGAGATGGAGTCTCGCTCTGTGGCCCAGGGCGGAGTACAGTGGCATGATCTCAGCTCACTGCAACTTCTGCCTCCCAGGTTCAAGCAATTCTCCTGCCTCAGCTTCCAGAGTAGCTGGGATTACAGGCACACACCACCATGTCCAGCTAATTTTTGTATTTTTAGTAGAGATGGGGTTTCGCCATGTTGGCCAGGCTGGTCTCAAACTCCTGACCTCAGGTAACCTGCCCGCCTCGGCCTCCCAAAGTGCTGGGAACAGGGGTGAGGCACCACGCCTGGCCTGGGCTGACAATTTGAAGTAAAATATTTAAGTTTCCTTTGTGTGTGTGTGTAACAAAAGCGTACTTGAATTTCTTGTCATTTTATTTAAGAATTTGAGAAATAATCCAGTTCAAAGTGGAAAAAAAGTTTCTAATGCTCATAAAATTTGAATTGTTTTCAAATGTTGACACCTTCACAAGATTTAATTTATAGATACACACACACACACAGACACAGACACACACACACACACACACAGGAAAAATCATTTAAAAGCCCACAAGCAATCCCATGTAAAAACTCAAGTGATCTCTATCAATTATAACAACAACTGATGCTTTATTTAATAGCAGTAAACCTAAATAAAGGCTAAAAAGCTCACTAAGATCTCAAATGCAATGTCTTTCAGGAAATGTCTCAATATTCCAGGTCTCAGCATTAAGCTTTTATTCTTCCACATAGTTACATAACTCTGGCCCAGAATGATGTCAGAGAAAGTCATTTCTCTGATATGCTTAATTTACTTATCTATCAAAATTATACAACTGGCTCATAAGTAGTTGTGAAATTAAACTAGCAGGAAAGAATTTTGGAGACTAAATAATGAAAGATGTAACACACAATAAACTGAACAATTTAAATGTTCAGTAAGGGCAATGCCTAGGGGTTTAACCTGACATCAATAAAATATATAGTGTATACATTATGCACCTAGTAACCTCAGTGGAGAATTCAAAAGAAGTTCATTCATTCATTCAACAATTATTTATTGAGGGCCTACTACATGCCATGAACCTAGTCTCTGGGGATACAGCAATGGACAAAATGTATAAAAAGCTTGCCCTCAGACTCCTGCCATCCTACCTGAATCATTCTCATGTAAGAGAGGCTGGATCTCTGCCCTCAAGGACCTAATATGGGCACACAAAACAAATGAAATATATGAAATAAGAAGAAAGAACTACAGTGTGAGCGCTGCTCACATTGGAGGAGTTTGAAGGAGGGCTTGGAGCAACTAGGAAGGGTCAATGGAGGTGAGATTTGAGACAGGTCTTAAATGATGGAGCTTGATTCAGACCCTTGCGACTTAAAAGTGTGATCTAAACATCATCACCATGTGAGAGCTTGTTAGCATTGCAGAATCTTGGGCCCAGTCCAGACATGGGAGATAAAAATCTGCGCTTTTGAGGGAGCAAAAGAACCCTCGGATTTCTATGGACATTAAAAGTTTAGGTGGCACTGCAGGTTTCCGGTCAGGCTGGCAATGTTGTGAGCTGGGTTGGTGGGAAATCGAGACTAGATTGGAGCCTAACATTAGGTTAGAAATAGTGAAGGGCTGGACTTGGGGAACTAGGAGTAAGGAAAATGCAATTGTACCTTTTATCATCATTAAACACAAACAGAAACCATAGAGAAAGTAGTAAGTTTATCACCAGTCAGAGGGACCTGCGTCTGAATTCCCAGCTGTACCACTTCTTAATTGCGTGACATTTCGGTCAAATTATTTAACCTGGTTGAGCCTTTTTCTTCATCTGTAAAATGAGGGGAAATCAATAAGACTCCAGAAGGCCCTTGTACAGGTTCAGTAAGGTATTAATAACACATAGAAAGCACTTAGCAGTCCCTGGCACAATGAAAATAATATCCATTAATAATAACGATATTGATAAGAATTATATACTATTCTCTGAAAAAGATTTAAAAGGAAGAAGAGAAACTATCTTTTACCACTAGAGGCCCCCCACCGTGTGGTGCGTAGAGACCCATAACAAATTTCAAGGTAAGGAACTTCATCTTCATTTTAAACTGGCACTCGACTATTACTTTTTTAAAAAGTAATTAACCCCTTACGTGTTCCCAAAGGTGCCTTCATAATGAAATTCCTGTTACTATTATTACCAGTGTTACTGTCGCTACTGTTAGAGTACTCTCAAAAGAGCCTGTCTCCCTCTCCTGGAGTAGAACTTAAAATGGGGCGGAGGCAGGGAGTTACCAAAACCACTGCAGTGTATGCTGATTTCAATAACCTGTACTGCTAACGATCCAATCTCATTTCCCAAGCCTCTACTATCCTCATTAATTTTTCTGCCGATGTACCATCTGTTTTCCAATTTCCCTCTGCCTTACACGTGCAGAACTTGTGGTAGAGAGAAGCCCTAGTTTGGCCGTTCTGCAAGGGATAGCCCAGGAGGTAGGGGGAACCTTAAGTTGAAGTCACCTGAAGCATGTTTGGGGTCAGGGAACTCGGAAAGCAAGAGTGTGGCCACAGATCTGCCCAGAGGCGCGACCCCCAGCTGAGGAGACCAGATGGCGGGAAAAAGCGGGGGTCCACCGACTCCGCGGCTATCTGTAATCCTACCCTTGGCCAGGCCGGGGAGCCAAGAAAGACTTCCAACACTCCCCAAGTTTCAGCTCAAGTCGTCTCCGAGGCTGCGTGTGCCCCAGCCTCGCACGCCTCCCTGCAACGTGGCCGCATCTGGGGCGCCCTCATACCCTCAGGGTTTCCCAAACTCTTCCATTCTCTTCCCAGGCCCAGCCATGTCCCAGGTCTCCGGGTCCCCGGGTTCTCCTCTCCGCGTGCCGGGAGAGTCTCCAGCTTCTCAGACTCCAGCAACCCCAGCCAAACCTCTTCGCTGCCTGGAGCCTTGGCTCCCGCGACACCGCCCGGCTGCGGGGCGGGGGCAGGGCCAACGGCGGAACCGCCCCCAACCGCCTCCCAGGCCAGGCGAGCAGGCGGGTGGCTGGGGCGCCTCCACCTCCTCTTCCTAAAGCGGCGAGGCGCAGAGGAGCGGCATCACTCGAGCCCAGGTCCCAGCCACCACCACTCACAGCGCTCGGCGTTCAGGAAGAGGAGCAGCAGCGGAGGCGGCTGCTTCAGCGGCGGGCGGGCGCCAGAAAGGTAGACTGAGTCCCAGGGAGCTGCGCCGCTAACAGCCCACCTCCTAGCCCCGGGCTACGCGCCGCCAGCCCAGTAACCCCACTTTTGTGTGTCCTCCCAGGCCCCGATCGAAAAGCCTGGGAGGGCCGCCGAACTACCCCCGGAGGGAGGAGCCAGTCCGAACCCAAGGCGCCACCGCCGCAGAAGCGGAGCGAGGCAGCATTCGCCTCCATGGCCCACTCGCCGGTGGCTGTCCAAGTGCCTGGGATGCAGGTGAGGAAGCGCAGGCCGCCCCCGCCGCCCACGTGACTGCTTGGGAGCCCGGTGCGCCCTCGGTGCTGGGCACCGGCGACAAGGGACGGCCCCAGGGCTCCCCTGAGGGCAGGGCCGGTCACTATGGCCAGGTGACCTGGGAGTAGGGCTGGAGGTGTTTCCTGGTGTGTAGGCTAGGTAGTGCTCTTCGCTGGGAAGGCGAGGCGGGACTGGAGCGCGCAACTAGGTGGAGATTGAGGGCGGTTGGGGGTATAAAAATAGGCCAGAGCCACAGACACCTGCGCCTGCTGAGCTTGGCACGGTTGGGGATGGGGGGGCGGAACTTAACCTGGGAGAGATGGAAGTGCCTTGGAATTTGTGGGGTATAACGCGAGTAGTGAGTGCCCTACACCCCCCACCCCAAACACACACTCAAGTTGGGGCGGGGCAACACCAGGGGTGGCGGCGGCGGCGGCTTGAATTGGGCTCTTCCTGTGTGCGTAGGGCTAAGAGAGAGGTGACCTCTTTCTCCCTTTCGGTACTGCTGCTTAAGGGCAAAGTTGTAGCTTGCTCCCCGACCTAGCCCAGCCCATAGTGTGGCGTGAGAAATGCTGGTTCTGTTCAGAGTCACTGAGGTGATGACTTCTCAGCCCCCTCCGTGCCTTTCCCACAAGATGACTGTTACATGTGGTTAAAGGAAGCTTTTTGTCTTGGACAAGGGACTACTGCATGGGACCCAACTTGTTACTCGAAGTCTACCCAGCCCAACCCCCTCCCATTATATTTTCATTTTATTAAAGATAAGCTATGTCAGAAAACTTTTTATGCTGTTATGTTTTTAAATCGGTGCATTTTAGGCTATCTGCTAAGTGTTATCCAAATTTACTAACTTTTTAAAGCATTCATGTTCTATTTTTTTTTCCTTTGCTAGATGGCCTAAACAACCCATTTAGGGGCTAAAACCACTGAAGCCTCAGTCTTTCATGATCTAAAATGTGAAAACAAACTTTTTTGAAGTTCAAAAATAAAATGTTTATAGTAAATAGCTTATATTTCTAGTAGAAATCAAAGAGCTGTAGACTGGGGCCTCAATTTACTTATTGATACATGGAGTTTTTTTTTTTTTTTCAGTGTTCTCATTTTATGAATGTCCACAAAAGTGATTTTTAAATTCTTTCCCAAAATGGGATTTATTTGTGCACCTAGAACTCTTGGTGTGTCCTAAACACCAGACATTTCAGCTGCATTTAGGGCAAGTCTGGGTTGAGTCTCAGGAAGTTAGTGTATATTAAATAAAGAGAGAGAGAGAAAGGGAAATAGGAAATAGTAGGGCTTAAAAAAAAAGATTAATCCACTCAAGCCTTGCAAAATGCCTTAAACTTTCTTCCTCTCAGGCGGCCTCCCCTCTCCTTCCCTCCTTCTTTTCCCCACGCACCCTGCCCCACACCCCATTCATTCAGTTCTGCCTTTGATTGTATCAAGGGAATTCATAGTTCACAATACTAAGTACAGTTTTGCTGTTTGATCTGGGAAAAAGTGACATTTTCTCACCGTGCTCTTCTTTCCATTCTGTGGAGAGTAAAACGATGCACATGTGAAGTTTGTCTCTGAGGGTCTCCATGCTTCTCGCTCCATTGTGTGCGCGAGCCTGCGTGTGTGCGTCAGCAGAGTGAGTGCCTCCAGTTCATCAAGTTTGTGATTCTGGGGAACTCTGTGTGCTGAGGGGAAAATGGTTTCTGATTTTTATTTTATTTGTCTTGAACTTATTGAATTTATATGGTTTAGGAACTGCTTGCTGTTCAGTATTTCTGATTGCTCCCTGCTTTTAATTATCTGAGTTGCCTATCTCTTGAATTTTTAAATCTTAATTAATGTGGATTCGAATGTGAATCATATACTTTAAATTACAAATTCTGCCTTTCACTCTGTGCCCTCTGAGTTGTGATTACTTTGTCCCACCTAATTTGAGTAGGGCAAACATCTCAACGTTAGCAAAGAAGAGAGGAATCTTTTTTTTTTTTTTTTTTGGTCATTCTCTTCATCTTAATGAAATGGTAAATTCTTAACTTCTTATTTCCATTTTATTTCTAATGTAGTTCTTAAGCACTTTGTGCAGCACACAGTTTTTTCCATAGTTGAAAATGTACAATACCTTAATAATAAATTTGATAGCATGCAGTGTGACTCTTGAAGCTAGACTATTTTTATTATTGTTATGTAGCAAAATATTGCAGATGAGATGCAGAAATCTATCGTGAGCTTGTAAAATTCTCCTAGAGTTTTATGAAGGCGTTAGGAGCAACTTTTAGACCTTTAGAAAACTTCAGTTAGCCATGTGTTCTTGAAATTACTGTATAGTGTTTCCACAAATCAGGGTGAGGTAGCCGACCAGCCTATAACTTTTTAACAGTTTATTTTAGAGAATTATGAAGATTGATGGGAAAAATGATTTTTCCAGAAATACAAAGAAAATTACTTTATCCACAATTATTTTCTCCCTCTGAGGAGAGACGTGAAGTAGAAGCCCAGCTACCTGTTCTATCACTTAAGATTTCCAGCATTCCTGACTTTCAAACAAAGAAATTGCTGTTGCCACTAGTTTAAAATAGAAAAGAAACTTGGAGTGAAGAAAGAAAACCCAGGATTTCGTCCAGTTCAAACTCTTCCTTATGAATTAGTTATTCAAACTCATATTGTTGATATTTCTTAATATTGTGGTAACGAACATTTTTTGCCACGTTACACCAAATGTTGAGGGTATGAAGTTTTTTGTACTTAATTTGTGCTTACTTCTTTAGTGTGTAACTAGAGGAATTTTCCATACCAGTAGCTGAACTCTTGAAAATATTTAAAGTACAACTTAAAAAAAAACCAATAAACCTGTTTCTTTCCACTCAAATATTTACTCTTTAATGATTCAAACCCTGTTTTCTTTGAAGTTTTCAGTTATAAATCATACTTAAGTTTAAGATATTTCCCCTTAGAGCCTACAATAGTATTTTTGAGGACAAGTTTCATTTAGAATATTGTTGATTGTTAAATCTTTCGTAAGATGTAGGTGGAAGAATAAAGTTAAATGTTGAGTTAGAGTACTAAATGTTATGCTTTATGCTGTGCCTCTTGTTAAAGAACTTTTAAAGCTTCTGCTAAAGAACTTTAAAATTAGCCTTCATGTATCTTTAAATATGACCAAGGTGGTACAGTTTAAATCTAGTTGTCATTTGAGATGAGAAGTAGAAATGAAGTTTAACGATTAATGATCACTTTATTGAAGACTTTTATCTAAGTGGTGGGAAACACTGCCCGACATTGGTGAACATAATCACTGGGTTCTGGGAAGCATACTGACGTATATTACATGTTCCACCCTTAAAGATCTTAAAATCTTGTTGAGTTGTTAAAACTAGCACATGAAATATCAAATAATGCAAAATCTGTGAACTCACTGTAAGTATAATAGAAGTTTCTCACTGGAAGTGTTGAAGGCTTCCAGAAAGTAAGCTGACCCTAAAGTCTTGTTAGGATGCACACTGGGCAGGGCATTTCCAAGCAAGGAAAAATCCCCAGCAGAGGTAGACAGACTAGGATTTTTTGACTTTACAATGGTACTCACACAACCATTCTGTTTTTCGCTTTCCATACAGTATTCAGTAAATAACATGAGCTAGTCAACACTTTGTTATAAATAGGCTTTGCATTAGATGATTTTGCTTAACTGTAGGCTACTGTAAATGTTGTGAACACGTTTAAGGTAGGCTAAGCTATGATGTTCGGTAGGTTAGGTGTACTGTATTAAATGCCTTTTCAAGTTACAATATTTTCAACTTATGATAGGTTTATTGGGACGTAACCACATTTTAAGTCAAGGAGCATATGTATACAATATAGATAAGGAAAGGTGCACTGCATTTGTGAGTGCATGCACACACACACACAATCTTTGAGAACAGGATAAAGTCATTTGGGCTGTCATAGAGAATTCCTCTAGAAAAATGATACATGATAAGGTCGGAAAACTGGATTGAGTACAGATCATGATTGTCCTTAAATGCCAGGGAAGGATTTTGGCCTTTGAACTAGCCATTAAACATTTCTGAGTAAGGGAGACTCAATGTACCAAGTTATATATCGAAAGAGAAATCTCAAAATTGGATGAATGAATCAACTGGAGGATTGAGAGGGGAAGGCAGTTTGATCTACAGAGGCTATTTCTTCTTTTTTAATTTTTTTTTTTTGAGACACGGTCTCACTCTGTCACCCAGACTGTAGTGCAGTGGCGCGATCACAGCTGACTGCAGCCGCCACTTCCTGGGTTCAAGCAATCCACCCATCTCAGCCTCCAGAGCAGCTAGAACTACAGGTGCACGCCACCATGCCTGGCTAATTTTTATGGTTTTTTTTTTTTTTTTTTGGAGACAATGTTTAGTGGTTGTCCAGGCTGGTTTCCAACTCCTGGACTCAAGCAATCCATCCACATTGGCCTTCCAAAGTGCTAGGATTACAGGCGTGAGCTACTGCGCCTGGCTACAGAGGCTATTTCAATGGGTCAATCATAGTTATACAGATGCAATGGGCCTTCCATGGACAGGTTCCATGGACATATGTTTAGTACTATGAAGAAAAAATTAATTACCAGGCTTAATAATTAGCTAGTTTCAGAAGGAAAAGTTAAAGACTGTGGTGTTTAATAGGAGGGAACTGGGAGACTTATGATACATCTGAAAGAAATTGGAATGTAGTGGGGAAGAGCCAGATCTGGTAGGAAGTTAAGGATTTCTGTTCTAGACTTGTGAATTTTGTGGTAACAATGGGATGACAAAGTACATATGTCCAATAAGTAGTTGAAAATGTAGAACTGAAGCTTTGGTCATTCATCAGATATTTACTGAGCATCTACTCTATGCCGGGCACTTCACTTGAAAATGAAGGACTAGAGACATCAAGGAGGGAGAGGTTCATAATGCCAGAAAGAATATGTGGAAGTGAGGGCCCTCATGAGACAGGAAAAGTAAGGTTGTAAGAAAAGTAAGGGTTGTAAGAAAAGTAAGGGTGTAAGAAAAGTAAGGGTGGCTTTAAGATGTATGAAAGGATGAGAACGTGTGTCAAGTTAGAGAGAGAGTTAACTGGGGTGGGGGATGGGGGGATTCTTTACTTAACAGTCATCCGGAAACCTACATTGGAGAAAGAATTCAGGTTGGTACCAGAGTCCAGTATGTGGAGTTCTTACCTCCCTTACACCTCCCTAAGGGGATAATCAGATTTGCAATTTGAGGTTGAAAGCATTGCTTTGCATTGGTGAACCCGAATTATTGTCCTTGTTATTGAGTAGTTAATGCAGAGGTGTTGAATATGCTAATGATAATGGCAGAAGACCAGCTGGAACAAAATAATCAAAGACTGTTAGCTGAGAGAAGGCGGGGTTAGTTAGAACTTTTGACACTAGGGGAGTAGGGACTGTAGGGAGAATAAACAGGAATTGGGTATGATAGGACATGTGCCTTCAACAGTAATCAGAGTTTAGAAATGGCACTTGAGTACAAAGGTCCGTCATCATGTACTTCTCTTGCTTGAGTCACAGCAAATGAGAGAATATAATTTAGCTGGTACTTAGGAACAATTGAACATTGTGATATTGTATTTTTTATTCTGCTTTTCATATTCAGTGACCTTGAGCAAATCATCTACAAAATGGGGAATAATAAAAGCTGCATTTCCTTTGCCTCAATGAGAGGTTATTAGGATGAATTAACCATCATCTGTGGAGTTGGAGCTCCTTTGTAAAAGGTGTTATGATGTATGGGGGGCAGTTCATCCTGCAAAACAATGCTTGGCTAATCACATGAAAACACTGCCATTATCTCATCTCTCTCCTGCTTGATAACCCACATTTTTCTTTTGAAACCCAATCACCACCCCACACCACCCCAATGAGACACAAAGCCCTCTGCTCAGCTTTCCATACTTTCTGTTATATGGCTCCTCTCTGTAGATCTATACTTAGTTCCCACTACATCCCAACAAGAAATCCCTTTAATTCTACCATGCCAGTCACAGTTCAATAACCAGTGATTGGCCAAATTCTACCTGATTTTCAAGGTCCTCCATCTTAGCTTCTTCATGAACTCTCTCTGAATGTCCCAGGCTATAGAAATCTCTTCTATTTCCAAGCACCTATTCTGTCTATTGTCAGTAGTAGACAGTCTTGTCCTTAATGTATTATACTGCCTTAGATTTTCTCTAATTATATATGTTATACTTGCCTCCCAAATGAGGTTGTACATTTCTTGAAGGTGGGGACCATGTATTTCACTTTTCTTTATACCATTAGGTATGAATTATATGTAAAATCTTGGCTAATCACTATACTGTACAGTGGACTTTTCTAACTGTTTAAAATTCTGTTTCTTTAAAAATATTGTACAACACCTGAACTCTGTACACCTTAAAGACTAATTTATATGTGTACAATGTAGACTCTATACTTATTTAAATGATTTTCATGTATTATGTATAATATGTCTAGCAAAACATTCTTGTAACTAATCATCTGTCCACACACACTGAAGCTTTCATTCTCTTGTCTTCCACAGACTTTGAGAGAAAAATGAGCTTCATTGCTTTCTTGGTAACCATGGCTGATTTCAGGCAAATTTGTTTCTCCCCTCATCTCTTCTCCTTTTCTCCTTCCTTCTACTTGTACTTTCCCATGACTCTTCAGGGTCCTCTCACTGGTGATTTGGACCTATCTACCTCTTGTTTCTTCCCTCTTCCCTCCCACTCCCCAAAAAACAAACATAAATAAAAAACTGTTTTACTTCCTGTCTGAACTGTCACATTAGAAAGAATCTGATAATTTCACTCACACTAAGATGTTTTTGATTAATGGCTCAGTGCTTTACTTCTCCATGGATATTCACATTTTACAGAGAATTATACCTTAAGAAATGGAAATCTAATAGTAGAATTTCAGACAGCTTGATAGCAGTTTTTGACAAAGTTCTGTGTTCTGAAAGAGTGGTGGTTCTACTGTTTTTTTTTTGTTGCTAGAAAAATGGTGTTAGGCAAACAAAAAATAATAGTATTATTAGCTATAGTACAACAAACTCCTTTTCATTCCTTGTAATTAAGACTCGAAGAATTTCCACCACAGGTACATGTAAAACAATGTCTCTGAAGGAGTGGCAGAATGTAACTCATTTTAAAAAAATCAATTAAATACACAGAACTAAAATTTTGACCCCTTCTTTTTTTCTTTTATTTTAGTTGACATGTAATAATTATACATATCTATGGGATACAGAGTAATATTTTTTTTTGAGGCAGGGTGTCACTCTGTCACCCAGGCTGGAGTGCAGTGGCACAATCACAGTTTACTGCAGCCTCAACCTCCCAGGCTCAGGTGATCCTCCCACCTCATCCTCCTGAGTAGCTGGGATTACAGGTTGTCGCCACCATGCCTGGCTAATTTTTGTATTTTTTTGTAAATTTGGGGTTTCACCATGTTGCCTAGGCTGGTCTTGAACCCCTGGGCCCAAGCGATCCCCCATGCTTGGTCTCCCAAAGTGCTGGATTACAGGCATGAGCCATTGTGCCCAACCGAGAGTAATATTTCAATATATGGATATGATGTGTAATGATCAAATCAGGGTAATTAACGTATCTATCACCTCAAACATTTATCATTTTTTTGTGCTGTGAACATTCCAAATCCTCCCTTCTAGCTTTCTGAAAACATACAATAAATTATGGTTAACCATATTCACCCTACAGTACTGCAGAATAGAATTTACTCCTATCTAGCTGTTAATTTTGTGTTAGTTCACCAATCTGTCCACATCTTCCCCTCCTGCTTCCCTTCTCAGCCTCTAATACTCACAATTCTACTATCTGTTTTCTCATATGAGTGAGAACATGCAGTATTTGTCTTTCTGTGCCTGGCTTAATATAATGTCCTCCAGTTCCGTCCATGTTGCTGTGAATAACAGGATCTCATCCCTTTTTACAGCTGAATAGTACTGTCTTGTGTATACATACCACATTTTCTTTATCCGTTCTTAACCCTATCTTCTGTGCATTTCTTACTTGGTCATTCGCCATTTCAGACTAAAGTGTTAGATGGCAGGAACCACATCTTTGAATTAATGTTTGTAGAAATCAAATATTTATTGAAGATATTAACTAATTTCTCTCAATACTCCTATAACATAGAGTGATTCTGTAGGAAAATGCCTTCAAATTTGGATTTAAACATTAAACTAAGGGCACATTGACAGCCAACTCTACCCACGATCCCCTTTGTTGTCCCTCCCTAAAACCACATATGACTTAGGAAAATCACCTGACGCGAACATTCAGAGAAACCAGAAAACCTATATATGGAACATATCCTGTCCTCCATTCCTGCCTGCCTCTCCCCACCACCCCTCACTAGCTTATACCTTGCTGGGGATAGAGCTACAGGATGCATCTAAAAACTCCCCCTCAGGCTTTTCTGGACTTGTTCCAGCCTTCCCCTGACAGCAGCCTGCTGGCCTTTCTTTTCCTCCATTTATCATAGCATCGTGGATGAGAGTGATTTGTGTCTCAAAATATCAGGTTAACCATTGGTATGTCTTAGCTTTGGATAGTCTGGCAAAATTAGAACAAAACTGTGGTTCATACTTCCTGGGCCCCAGAGTAAACAAAATTGTAGATTGCTTAGATGAAAGAGTTGAAGATAGTCTAATTATCTTTTTTATATGTTCACTTTCTCTTTTTTGGTCAAGCATCTTAAAAAATGTGCCATTGAAGAAATCGAAGCCATTGTGTTTTTGCATTTTCCCCATGAAAAATGTTTACAGAAAAAGTTTTCAGCCTTTCTTTGTGATCCTTGTAACAGAGATTGTGTGTTGTCAGCAGTGTTTTAAATTTTTCCCTCTCCTTCTATTACCTCTTAAAGAAAAAGTGGGGAAAAGAAATCTGTACAAGTACAACCCTATTAACTTAAAATACAAAGGACTGAAATGCATTGAGTTCAATTCAACCATCAATGGGGTTTTTTTCAATTTGTTTATTATGGAACAATAGGGTGTCTAGCCAAAGAATTAATGGTTGCTTTGAATTATGGAAAAAGCTTCCCAGTATCAACTTAATGAAGTTTTACTGAATTTGAAATCCACACCACACTAGATGTGTTAGGAAATTTCTAAGCATGCTAGTGAATTACTCTACCAGGTTTCAATAGTGCCTGGTAACACAATCCTAGGAGTGAATTTTTGGCAGGTGGAGGAAATACTTCAAGAACATCTAGAAGCATCCAGATTTTTCTTTGAAAATGCATTTTTGAGTTGCTCTGTTAGTCCCTTTTTAACCCTTCTTCCCACCCCCAGCTTTCCACTAAACCATTTGCTTTGGGACATATCAATTTACAGTATATTATATTAAGCTAGGTTTGACTGCTTGATGCACTATAGTATAAATAACAGAGCAGTGGGTGGTGGGGGTGGGATGGGCAATATAGATAATCAGGTGGAGCATAAGCTGTTATTAATGCAAGACAATTTAGGGGAGCTGAGCCAATAGAAACCATAAAGTCAGAATTTCTTCCCAAAGCCTCTGCCTCATCATTATCGCTGCCCACTAGAGCTGGGAAAGTTTCTAAACTCCCTGATCTCAATTTCCTGCCGCCTGCCTTAACTTTTAGCAGAAGCACAAAAGAAACCAATCAGCAAAGCATGCACACATACTACTAAGTATGGTGACAGAAAATAGAACTTTGACCTGTTGTGGTTAAAGAGACTAAAGTCAATGTATCTGACAGCCTCAGGGAAATACGCATATTTCAAATTTATGTTTTTTAAGTGCTACTGACCCCATAGGAAGAACACTTGGCAAACTCATTAATTAGGATCCTGTTTGAGTTTCTAGTTTTAGTTCAAATCCTTTGTTTGAACTTAGTGGTGAGCTTTCTTATGTGCTTGTCAGTAAATGGTAATACATTGGACTTTACCAGCTTGGACAGTGGTGACCCAGGTTTTATGTTTTTACACACACAATCTACATGGTTTGATTTAAGCCAGAAAATTATTAGCAGCAAAGTTTGGAAGGCCTGCTTTGGGTAGGACAGAGTGCTTGCTGTCTATCTTTGAAATACAAAAAATATTAGAGAGTCCTTGAGCTCAAGAAGTTTATACTCTAACCAGAGTGACTAGACACCTACACATTTAGGAATCTAACAATGCAGAACAGTAGTAATGAATCCCAAATGAGATAGAATCTGATGTAGAAGCATCCATCCCAAGGAAGACTGGAGTAAGAAAGGAAACTATCATTTATAGAATACCTTTCTGCTAGGCATTCGTGTTTTGCTACTCCACTACCTTGCTTCTCGGCAGGATGGCCTTCAATAGACTTTTAAAAGAGAGTATGTATACATATGTAACTAACCTGCACAATGTGCACATGTTCCCTAAAACTTAAAAGTATAATAAATACATATATATATATATATAAAATAAAAAAATAAAAGAGAGTAGGAGGCAAGCAGGAGAAAAGGCCCAAGGGGACACACACAGGCTCCTTGTATAAGAGAGATTTGGTGTAGGTACCTATTGGTATGAATTGTGTTAGGGCTAGACTGTAAAGGGCCTTGAATGCCAGAATGAGACATTTATTCTTTTTTTTTTTTTTTTTTTTTTTTTTTTTTTTGAGACGGAGTCTCGCTCTGTCGCCCAGGCTGGAGTGCAGTGGCGCGATCTCGGCTCACTGCAAGCTCCGCCTCCCGGGTTCACGCCATTCTCCTGCCTCAGCCTCCCGAGTAGCTGGGACTACAGGCACCTGCCACTACGCCTGGCTAACTTTTTGTATTTTTAGTAGAGACAGGGTTTCACTGTGGTCTCGATCTCCTGACCTCGTGGTCCGCCCGCCTCGGCCTCCCAAAGTGCTGGGATTACAGGCGTGAGCCACCGCGCCCGGCCAGGAGACATTTATTCTTTACTCAGTCCATAACAAGGAGGTTTGGGTTTTTATTTTTTATTTTTTTAGCAATATAGTGAAATGATGAAATAACATTGTTTGTTTTGGAAGATTGCATTAGGCTGTTGGAAACCTAACAGGCTAGGCTGGAGATAAGGGAAGGCTTAATTGATAAGGGTTTAATCTAGGGCAGTGATGGTTAAACTGGAGCATGCATGGGAAGCACCTGGGGGGCTTGTGAAAACACAGACTACTAAACCTTAGTCCCAGAGTTTCTGATTGAATAGATCTGAGGTGAAGCCGGTGAATTTGCATTTCTCATGAGTTCTCAGCTGCTCCGCCAATTTGGGGAGCACTTTGAGCACCACTCAAGGATGACTTTAACAGACATTGGCGACCCCTTAAATATGAGAAGAAAGGAAACATGATGAGAGAGTAGAGTCAGAGATAAGGCTGAGTTTGGAAGAAAATTGGTACATTTTGGGGAATGTTGAATTTGAAGTGCTGGTCACATATCCAAGCAGAGGCAATCAGTAACACGTTTGTTGAAGAGAGGAGATGGAGACTGGCGAATCTTATGTGAAGATAGTAGAGGAAATTGTGAGAGATGAAAACAACAAGATTTCCAGTTATCTTTCCAAGAAGCTGAACTCAATTTTGTGTTAAGTTCTGCAGCTTCCAAAATCTCATGGTCACCCATGACTTCTGTTTTCCTTAATCTAGGCAGGTTTGCGACTTAGCAAACACCCATCCTCATCATTATATAGTTATCATTGGCCCATGTGTGCTGTTAAGTAACCTACTTCAGTTTTTATTGATTGATTTAATTTTATTATTGTTATATAATTTTATTATAATAATTTTTACAATAATTTTATTGTTTATTTTGTTATATTTATTTTTATTGTTTTGGTCTGGATAAGCCCCTTAGATGACAAATTCTTACAAATAGAACCTTTCTGTGGAATTATGTTACCATGCTCAGTATGGTTAGGTGTTTACTGTAGTAAACAGCTCATTAATGCTTTTATCTTCAAATGCAGACCCTTATTAAGAACATGAAATCTGTTTATGCTTATAGTTGCTAAAGTGCAACTTGGCTAAAGTGATATAAATGGCAGTATCTTAAATGCCAGTAAGTGGCAATATTTCCCCCACAGGTAGAGATTTTTAGACCTATTATTATGTCCCCCCCTCAAAAAAAAAAACAAACAAACCAGACTTAATAGCTCTGGCTGCATACACACACACACACACACACACACACACACACACACACACACACTCATTCACAGTCCTGACGTTTCAAAGCCAATTTGTATTTATATATGTAAATTCCTGGAAGGGAGAGGAAGTTACTTCTGAATCATTAAAGAAATATCAAACCACTTCCTAAATGGCCTTTCTGCTCTCTGAAATATTCTCTATACCTGTCAGATTCATATATTATCGTTTGCCAACAGGTACCCAGTAGGAAAGCTCTGAGTTTAGTTCAAACAAAGGATTAGAACTGAAAATAAGAGAAGCAAGTAGGGCAACACCAAACAATGTGAGCAAACTTGATTTACCTACCTCATTCACCAACTTTGGACCTAAATCACTTTTCAATTTCTAAAATGAACACACAACCAACAAAAACGAATCCATCCTTCAGAATCAAAGATTTGCCACCAATGAGGATGTGCAAAAGCATGTGAAGAAATATTCTCTTAAAAAATTTTGGCTGGGCTCCGTGGCTCACGCCTGTAATCCCAGCACTTTGGGAGGCCAAGGTGGATGGATCACTTGAGGTCAGGAGCTCGAGACCAGTCTGGCCAACATGGTAAAACCCTGTCTCTACTCAAAATACAAAAATTAGCTGGGTGTATTGGTGCACGCCTATAATCCCAGCTGCTCATGAGGCTGAGGGAGGAGAATCACTTGAACCTGGGAGGCGGAGGTTGCAGTGAGCTGAGATCACACCATTGCACTCCAGTCTGGGCGACAGGGTGAGATGCTATCTCAAAATAATAATAATAATTTAAGCCGTATTTAATTATCACTAGAATCCCTAAGCGACTTGCTTCCTCTTCAGGGAGTTAAATTTATTTGGATGTAAGAATGCTGATATGTTTACCTTATACCTTACACTTCATTGTGAGGATTTGCTGGGGAAAATGATAGATAGATAAATGGGTAGATGAATGAATGTATATATGCACCCTCAATGTGTATTGCACATGAAGTATATTTTACATTTGAAAATACTTTTAATCTGTCTTGTAAAAATAAGGCTTGACATTTGCCTATAGAGTTTTTAATAAACTATACTAATAGTAGTTACAACTATTTTTTAAAAGTAGAAAAATGCATTGTCAAAATAAAAATGAGTAACAGGATGGTCACTATGTTCAAGGAGCAGAAAAATATCATTTGAAAATGTCATTTAAGAAGGTCGGTGAATTAAGAGAAATCAATGTAATTTATGTAAAAAATATGTATTCAGTAAAAATTGTGGTGTCCATGGACTTGCTAAATATTTTTATTATATGAAAATGTATGGAAAATATGTAGAATTCTTTACCTCATTTAAAACCTTGTTTACTGGAAGGTAAAAACCTGTGAGTATGTACCTATGTCTAAATATATAATAGTATTGTCAGGATTTTACACATGATGCACTTTTATTGTAACACATGTTGCACGTTTATTGTGGCTAGTTCTTTCTACCTTTGATATTTAAATTCTTAGTATTCCTGAAGAAACTGAACTCACAACAGTCTGTAACATACAGAGTACAGACAATGGGAAATGGCTTTTAATGAAATTCAATACCAATATTAAGCAGTTTTAGCGAATTAGGATTGAATTGAACATTATCTAGGATTATATTTATCAAGATTTTCAATTCTTTGCTTAATTTTTCCTGTAGAATAGTTTTACAGAAAATCATTGCATTAAAGGAACTGCTTTTGATATATATTAATTTGTTTACCTGTTAGTAAAATCAGAGATATGTGGGCAGTAAACGAGTGACTTCTACTTCACAGAAACTTGTCATCATTGTCTAAGCTCTTATTTTGAAGCTCAAGTTGTTATAAGTACTTAACACTATAGATTCTAAGGGATAGAGAATGGAAGGGACCAGGCATTGAATTCTGTTTCTGTGACAAACAAAGTCTTGTAACCGGAGAGCTGCTTTTTTTTTTTTTTTTTTTTTTTAACTATTTATCTCTTCATGAAAAATGGTGACTGTCACTGAAAGATCTTTTTTACTCTGTCACAGGCTTCTCAAAGGGCACACAAAATGAAAACGTGGGATTCAACTAGTTAAATAATGAATCAATTTCGAGGTTTTAGCATAGGTGACACCTCCATGGTCGTCTTTTTGGACTGTGATTTCTGGTAATAGCAAGTGAAAAAAAACTATTACCGCTGTTGCTATGGATCTTCTATCTGCTGAGGTTCAGGCATCGTTTTTGGAGGCTGCGATGTAAACCCTGCTTAGGGAAGGTAGAATTTCATAATAACAGAGGATTACTGCTGCCTCATGAGTAAACAGAAAATGTAGGTGAGGGAAAAGGTGTTGGACTCTGGAAGAACAGAAAAACAGTATTTCCAAGGAAGGGGAAATCCTTTGCTTTAAAGATTGAGAATTCTTTCTGTATTTTTTTAGAATGGGAAATTTCTCTACTTTCTGCAGAGAGGAGAAAAAGCTAACAGAAAAGGAAATTGGGGAGGTAATAGTCATTTGTTTTTTCTTGTTGCGTGTGAGTTTTGTGATAAAAGTGACATTTACATAATTAATTTGCTATGGCAAGAAAATGTCTAAAGAGTCTTTTTCGTTGGTAGAAAGCTTGTGAAAGATCAGGGAAAAGATCTAACATAACGGGAATGGTGATTACAGCTGCTTTTCTATTTAAGATGTGCAATTTTGGTAGCATGTGTTTTGGGCCAATACATTGTTTCTAGACACTTGGAGTCATTTTGGGTGGCCTTTTTTTTTCCTTTGGTAGCCAAAATAAATATTTTTCATTAATAAAGAAAGATGCCAGAATATCTATCACTTGATTTTACTTGGCTAATTTGAACTGCTATTTTGTGGGGAGCGGGGGGCTAAAGAGGAGGCTCACTTTAAAATGACTGGACTTAATATCATTGTTATTTTTCCAGTAGGTTCTGGCATTAAAGGTCTCCCTTGGGGAATGATTAAAACAGTTCTGTGGAGCATTTCAAGGCTGAGTAGCATCTCATATATACTCTAAAATAAGTTTGCCTAATGACTTTTTAGCACCACTTGATTTATGTTTTGGCTAAGAGTTCTAAATAGTAGTAGTCCAATTACTTTTTTCTAGGAATATTTACAGACACTACATACTGTATTGTTTACATTATTGACTTTTAACTTTACAGTAGTTTAAAAGGTGTAAATGTCTTTATGCTTAAAACAAACAAACAAACAAAAAAACACTGTTTTCTGCCACTGTTTTCTCTATCCTGTTCCAGGATAGAGACAGTTCTCTCCCTTTGTCCACCCACATGCCTGGGTTCTGGGTCAATCTGTATAACTAGACGTATCTTAATTTGATTACTCTGGGGTGTATTTTTGATGGTAGTGCATCATGAAATTACAATATAGGTGTGATCTTGGTTGAAAGATAAAGTACATTTTAGATATTTTTAAAAAATTTCTTTAACTGAAAAGATTATCTGTTAATTGTGAAAGAATACTCTTATTTAATATGGCCAAGTGGTTCCAGAGCTTGATACTTTATTTTTCTTTTCCTGATAGGACACTAAATCATTTCCTCCTAACTACTAGAATGAATAAAGAATGTAGTGTATACTGTTCCACTATACTGTGAAATTGCCTGTGTGCCTTTCTGCAAATGTAAAGTAAAGAGATTGCATAGGTAATCCTTAAGCTCTAAAACTGAGTTTTGGAGATTCTACTCAGGAATTGGGACTAGGTTATTATTTGTAAAAGACAGCATACACGCAACATTTTATATATTGAAGGGATCAGGTACTCATTCCAGGCAAATTTTGAATTTGATGTAAATAATTTTTAACTGAAGCAATGAATGTGTAATTATGCTTTTACTGTGTGTATTTAATTTTCTGCTAAGAGGTAGTAAGGCTATAATATTTGGCTTATGCTTTGGACAAAAGGAAAGTTCTTTGAAATTTTGAATTTTTAGGTTCTCCCTGGCAAATATTTTGATTCCTTGTATTTTTGGAAAATAATAATCATCTACCATCTTCCAGTAGTGCTTTTGGAGCTTTTTTAATTGAATGCAGCCTTTCTCAACCAGAATTCCTCATCTGAACCATAAAACAGAAAATGATTTTGAGTTACTGTCTTCTCAATTCTCTCAAGAAGGACATATAAGGAAGCCCAATTCTAGATGCACCGGAGAGCAGTTAATTTTTTCATATAAGGATTCTTTAGGGTAGCAGTGGTCAAACTACATCTAAGGGCCAAATACTGTCTGTAACCTAGTCATGTGAGGCCTGCAAGCTAAAAATATTTTTTACATTTTAAAAGAGTTATTTAAAAAAGATGTGACAGAGACTCAGAGACTGTAAAGTGTACCTGACCCACAAAGCCTGAAATATTTAGCATCCAGCCTTTACAAGAAAGGTTTGCCGATCCCTGCCTTGGGGCATTAAGCCCGACTGAGAATTGCTGATGTAAAGAAAGGAAGCATTTTATAGTACTTTCACTGAGGTTGTGGATATAGTATGACAATAGAAAAGATTTTCACTTTACTAAAGTAACTGACTTGCCTATTGGTTCCATTATTGTGATGCTTAATTCAAGAAAAGCCCTCAGATCAGAGTAAATAGGCAGATATGTTTCTGTTTGCTTTTTAGAGATACACTTTAACCATGGAATTACATAGAATGTTGTATTGGTAATGACAATGAATGATAAATTACATTTATATGTTTGTGTGCAGATACATTTTAGTATTTTTCTCGGTTTCTAGAGAAAGAAAATAAAAATGGGAGCATTTTATAAAGTAATATAAGGGAGGACAGGGGAGAGGCTTAATTGCTTTTATCAGTATTTAAAATTAGATGGCCACATCTATTAGAGAAGGAAAGTGAATAGGGAGTGTTAAGTGTCAGATATAATCACATTTGTTTCCTCCTTGTACTGAGTAAGTGTCTTCACCCTACAATTAACATCTCAGGTAGCTTGTCTGAAGTAAGGAGAATAATACTTAATCAAAAATGCATTAAAATTATTAGATCATAGCATATGAAATAATCAGGCTTTACCAATGCCACTTGACTACTTGATTTAGTGGGGGAGGTACCATCCACCATAAAACACGTATTGGTATGTCACAATTGTCAAAGGAATGAAAATGACCATCAGGCATTATTTGTAATTTGCTGCTGATTTCCTTTATCTCCATATTCAGTTAATCATGAAGTTCTATCAGTATTTTTTTTCCGCAAAATATCAGACATCATCTCTTCTTTTGTCACACTATTCTTTTGTCATTAAGTAGACTCAAGGCTGCGTGTACAGATGATGCAGTTACTTAAAACACAACCTTTATTTTTTCACTCATCTGCTGAAAGCTTTCAGCGGCTGCCTACTAGCCTGACCAGAAATTCCAAGGAAAGATGAGTCAAGCCAGGCTTGCTGAGGTGGTCAGGAAAGGCTGTACTAGATAGCTGAGCTGGCTTTCAGACTGGGTGTAAATAAGGGAAAGAAAGAGGAGAAATGAAATTAGCCAAGGCAAGAAATAACAAAGGGAATTCTAAGGTTGCGTTTTCCAAAATGTTTTATAAGTCCTTTTGGGGTAGGCAGTGAGGATTTGTTTGATGAATAGTACTTTCTCCCTGGTTAGGGTTGTAAAATGATAGGGTACAAATGAACTCAAGTTGTAAATTACTGATCTTTTAGGGTAGACACTGTTCCAATCATTTTAATTACTTAGAATTGCTCATCAAGCAATTTAAGAACTAATTAAGAAACTTTGTCATTTATCTCCATCCTGAGGTTACTTATTTGTGATTACTCTCCCCACTCCACCCCCAGCTAGAAATCACTCAGTATAAAATTTAAAAAAAAAGCCAAGTGTTTCATAAGGGTCACTTCCAGTTCTAAAATCTTACTGCATTTTTAAGTTCCTAAACAGACTATATAGCATTTTTTTTTAAGGAAAAAGATCAACTTTTGTATATGTATTCAGATTTAGTACTAGATGTTGATTATCCCAATTGGAGAATTACAGTTTTGTTAAATTGATTTCTAAATAGACAAGGACTATAAATATCAACTAATATAATGCTTTATATTTATATTAGCAAAAATTAACTTAGTCATATCTGTGTTGAGAACATGGAAATAGCTTTATGTTTGAAATGATATTTGTTAAAAGATTCAACTCATTAGTAGATATCTCATAATTTCAGTAGCATTTTCTCCTCTATTTGAACATTTAATTTGTGCTTTGGTAATTTCAGCAATGTCAGCACAGATCAATGGGTGTAAAAACGGGTGAATTTGTACCTCTAGAGATAGGGATTAACATATTTACAAGTGCTATTGACAATGGGGACAATGGGGTAGGATGGAGATAGGTTTCAGAAATCTTAGTTCAAGAATATTTGGGGACCTTCAAGAGGAGATTAACTCACAACAAAAAGTAGAAGAGTCTTCTAAACTGAAAGTATTTGGGAAAGTGAAAATATGACAATATTTAGTGCTTTTTCCCCAAAATGAGTGGTATTCCCTATGCAAAGGAAAGGGAATAGCAATAATAAAATTGTCACTGAGATTGCTGAAATCTCAGCCCTGTATTGTTAATGTAAGCTACTTTCTCATATATATTAACTGTATCGTGGTGTACAGTATGGAGCTTTTATGCTCATTTGTAATAGTTCTTCTTAGGTTAGGTTTTCAGGTACAACTATTTCACACATACACACACACATACTTACCATTTTACTTGGTTTTTAAGTGTATTCTTATTTATTAATGCACTGTTCCAAATCTTTTAAAGAATTAGATAGAGTAATAAAAACTAACAATAAGCATTTGTTTAGCCTTGCACACATATACACACACATAAACACAGACTTTGATGATATTTTTCACTTTGGGAAAATGAAAAGGTGATTATTGAAAAATTAGAGACCATTCTTTTGTTCAATAACCTCCTCTCTTTTTGCCAAGATTAAAATCATTTCCTATTGATGCCATCATGCCATCAGTATCATTTTCTTTTGATCATAAAATGTTAAAGCCAGCAGGACCCAAGAGATAATTTTCCCTAGTCCTACGATTCCATTGGGTAACTCTTAATAAATACTATTTGATTAAATTCATTCAGAATATATATTTGATTAAGGAGGAAAATGTTGGAGGGAAATTATTCTGCAGCCACTTTCTCATTAAGAATGAAAAGGTAAGTCTATGTAAAATTCCACTTTTTCAATCAGTGTTAATTTTCTAAAAGAACTCATGGTGTTAATAATTTAGTGCTGTGCTTACAAGCTTCAAACATATTGATTTTAATTGGAGTTCCACATCTAGAAGAAAGATAGGCAGTGAGCAAATCAATTTTGTTTTAATCCAATGCATTTTAATAAGTGTGCTAAAAATTCACCATAACATTACCCATGATAGTTCGATATTTGCTATAAGGGGCTGCTGCCTTAAATTCTAACCAAAGGCATTTATTTCTGAAAGTACTAGAATGACATCCTTTTATTTTCCCTCTAATATGGATAGCATAAAATGAGGCTCTCAGCATCTGTCACTTCAAAGTGCCCTGTGTGGGTTTGGTTAAATAATGGCCTGAATAAATTAGGATACCTGTTTTATCATTCATGTATTAACAGAGTCTTTGTCTTTCTTTCATTGTATGGCCTTTTCCCCCTTTCCAAATGAATATTTTATAGTTAGGGCTTGTTATCAATCCCAGGCCATATTTATGTAACCTCCTGTTTAGTCAGTAATAATCTCTGTAATTTTAACATTAATGCTCCTGGTTAAACCTGACGCCTGGTTGAATTGTGTATTTCTATATGTATTTAGCACAATGAAATTAAAAGAAATTTACAGCAGAGTGGTATGCAAACTGTGGCTCTTCAAGGCCTCTAATCTTTGCATTAGAGTATGAAATCATCCTGGATGCTCCAGGACATACAGTAGACATGTGGTTCTGGTTAATAGTGATTGTAGATGTGCTTCTAGAATCAGATTTATATATACCACTGATATGCATCCTTGTGTATGTGGCTGCTACCAACTCTTCTTTGAGTATAGCTCCGTATTCTTTCGAGAATTGCTGTTTTGCAACACAAATAACTGTCTCCAGTTGAAGGAAAAAAATCTCAAAGTTGTGACTTCGCAAAGTTTTTATTATGTTAATCACATGAAAATAGGGATTGACTTAAAATTTCATACCTATGTTAACATCCGTCAGTTTACTGAATATAGTCTCCCTTTCACCAAAAGTCAGAAGTCAAGTTGCAAATGAAAAGATAATCACATGCCAAAGATTTCATTTTAGGAGGGACCCCAGGTAAATACCCTGCAAACATCCAACGGCCATGGTGTGTAAAGGGCCCTACTGGATACTGTGAGGATAGCTGGCACTGAGTAAGGCAGAGCCCTATCCTTAATAAGCCTGCTATTGAAAATAGAAAGTCATGGCAATGAAAGAGAATGCAAACATAGTAAAATGTGTGCTCTAATGGAGGCACAAGTAAAGTCCTGTGGGAGGGCAGAAGATGAAGCAATGGATTGGTTAATCAGGTTCCCCTAGGGGGATGATAAGGCTTGTTTTGTTTTTAATTAAAGATGCTGCGATTTTCAGAGATGGAGAAGGAGAGCAAGGTATTGTAGACTGAGAAAATGGCATGAGTCAAAGGCTCAAAAATTTAAAAATAGAGTCATTTCCTAATGGATCACTGTATTTAAGTTTGTATGTCTAAGGTATTACCTACTGAAGCATTGGGCTTGAAATATGTTCAGATATCCCTGGAATTTTCCCTTTGGAAACTTAGTTTCACTGGATGTTCAAATTCTCTCTCTCTCTCTCTCTCTCTCTCTCTCTCTCTCTCGAGATCTATATATATATATATATAGAGAGAGAGAGAGAGAGAGATCTATATATATATTTATATATATATAGAGAGATCTATATATATATTTATATATATATAGAGAGATCTATATATATATTTATATATATAGAGAGAGATCTATATATATATTTATATATATAGAGAGAGATCTATATATATATTTATATATATAGAGAGAAACGTATATAGATCTACATATAGATCTATATAACATCTATCTATATAGAGAAACATATATATATGTTACTTTCTGAGTACTACTTTATGTTCTGAGTGAATTTACTTCACAACTAGGAGAGAAAGACAAATAAAACTTTAGGTCCTGTATGAGCTGAACTTATTAGGTCCTTATTTAGGTCCTGTATGAGCTGTATGAACCCCTTGACTTCCTCCGGGATAGTCACGTGTATATAATGGGACATGGCCAGTGTGAAGGATGAGAAATCAGTCTGGACAATGACTCATTCTGCTGCTCTTTATCTATTCTTGGTGTCTAGGCCCACTTCATTACAGTGTTAGAGTGTTGGGGCTTGAATACGGTCTACTAGTGATTTTGAATTTCTCACTGGAACAATGGCGTGGTATATAATTTTCATTTGAGCTATTGTGTGCTGTTATAGGCTTGGCCACATGACCAGTACCAATGAATCCATTACCTTGTTTCAAAACTAGGGTTGGTGATTGCTAGTGATGAAGGAAGGGGAACAAAGGGACTTGGCTTCTAATACTTCACAGATTCACACAGCTTCAGAGCAGTAAGGGATTTAAAGATTGAATACACCTCTCTCCCTCATACAGATGGTGAAATCGACATTAAGTCACTGATTTCTTGTAATTTTCAAGATAAGCAAAATTAAGTCAATTTTTTCCTGACCTCTCTGCTCTCTTTACCTCTGTAGTACTTATGAGAAACCAGACCTCCTTTTTCCTTTGGAATGACTGTAAGGTCAGAGAGGAATTAGCTAAATGATGCAATGGAATTTGCATCCAGCATTTATTGTGATGATAGCCTTGACTTTCGGTTTATTGAGAGAAGAATGTGATTGTTTGCAGGATGTTTCCTTCCCTTTACCCATGGATATAATTAAAGGTTTAAGGGAACTTCAGATCCCAGAGAGTTAGTAAAAAACAAAAAACACAAAATTAGTTATTTCTTTTCACTTAAAAGGGCTTATATCCAAAGATGATTTACCTGGTTGAACAAAATAATCTGACGTTTCTACTTTTAATTAAAATAACAGGAATGTGAAGACCTCCATATTTGTGAAATGGAGCTAATGAAAGTGCTGCCTATTATGACTTTGGTTCTTGCTTGAGGATTTTTAAGATAAGGAAAGTTATTAAATTTATTCTCGTTCTTTCCATATTTCATTTTTCTTTGGAAAAATGTGATATGTGGTTAAGTGACAATAGAATCAAAGAAATGTCTCATTCTTCTTTACTCCATTGTAAAATGAACTGTCTTACAAACATGTAAAGAACAGCATTCTTCACATCCCAGAATGTATCCTGCTTGCTTTCTTGTTCTTTTCCTCTGATCTGAGCTGGGGTAAAAAGAGGAATGCAAGTTAGCAGGCAGAGGAAGCTCTTTTCCTATCCTCTCGTGAGTAGGAGGAATTAAGATGAAGGAATATTATCAATTATTCTTTTGTTCTTAAAGATGAATTAGACTCAAAATTATTAGTCAGGAGAAACTCCTCAAACTGCTATGTTATTCATACGCTATGTCAAAATCTTTTGTAATAATTTTAATGAAGTTATCCTTTACTAAAATATCTCATTCTAAGTATTTTTGCTAATGAGATGCATTTAAAAATAAGAATAATAAAATAAAGAGAAGATGAAAAAGTACCTATACAATTAATTTTATTTCTGCCTTATGAACACATTTTTCTTGCTGCTATGCACAAAATTGCTGAAAGTTTAAACAGTTGCCTTAATAGTATGAAATAATACTGTGTGAGACCTTTGACTTTATGCTTCACCATTGAGACCAGGGTTGGAGTGCTGTTGCCTCATTCGTCTCAAAACTGCCGTTTAAGTAGGTGGGTAAAGATAAGGAGTCAACTGTGAGTTGATAAAATGCTGTCTGATGACCACAAGGAAGCCCAGGGTTGATGTAATGACATATCCCTACTACATTTCATTTATCTCATTTCATGCATGTAAAATCTGGGAATTTGACTGCTACTTTATGTTGCAAAGGCAAGTTATAATAAACTTTGAGAAAGATGTAAAAATGTAAGTATACCATAAAAATAGGTAAGCTAATAACATTTTCATTGTACACTTAGTTAAAATATTTTGAGCCCTTATAAATATGGAAATACAAATTTAAATGACTGTCCACATAAAGAAATTTAACCTGAAGCCAAATTCTTCATGTTTAATTTGAAACATATACAGACATACTTAATTTTTATCTTAGTTCTTATTCTGTCATATGCAAAATACAGTGGAGCTAAGTATTTCACTTCAGAAATATAAATCACAGGGATCTCTAAAGAATTCCATAAAATTTTATCTGATAACTTGTAGTATGAACCTGAAGTTGTGCAAAGTAAAAAATTACTCTGCTAACATCACATTTTTCAAAGGTTGAGAAAATTTTGTGGGGAGTTTATTTTATCCTTCTGATTATTAAAGTAATCTGAGCATGCATGGTCATTTGAACAATTCTAGGCCTGCATAAACCTAGCACAAAATTAACAATTGATGCTAAATGTTGTTTTTTATTCCTGGACAATTTCATCAATTTGTGGGGGGTTTTAAATGAACAGAACTGGAAACCTTAGTATTAAGGGTTACTGAAGTATACAACAAATCACTGATAAAGCTGGAATTGGAGCTGTTGGATTCTTGACATTGGATCCTATGGGAATCATGATATGGAATGGCATCACTACTTTATCTCCTACACTCTAGAGGCTAGCCCATTCCAGCCTAGTTATTGACATGGAAAAAAAAATAGTCTGAGAAATGCCAGAAAGTCAAGATTACTTATGAATCATTTTTCTTTAAAATTGTAATATGAAATATTTGGTAGTTGTGCATACATATGAGGGCCAATCAATTGCATAGTGGTTCAACAATTATTAAAAAATTGCATCATTTTCACCAACATCTTTCCCACCAAACCCCAACCACCACAGTCTGGTTACCATTCTACTCTAGTTCTATGAGGTCAATTTTTTATATTCCACATGTGAGTGAGATAATGCAGTATTTGTCTTTCTGTGCCTAGCTTTCTTCACTTAGCATACTGTCTTGCAGGATCATCCATGTTGTTGCAAATGATTGGTAAAAGGATACAAAATTTTAGTTAGGAGGAATAGGTTCAGAAGATATACTACACAACATGGTAATATAATTAATAATAATACATTGTATTCTTGAAAAATACTAACAGAGTGGATGTTAAGTGTTCTCACCACAAAGATAAGAAATATAGCATGTAATGCATGTTAATTAGCTAGATTTAGTCATTTCATGATGTATATACTGTATATTTCAAAACATCTTATTGTATATGATAAATACATACAATTTTGTCAGTTTAAAAAATTAATAAAAATTATATCAGTTTAAATATAGAAAAGTCCTATTTTAAATTTTTTCAATTCTTTTAAGTTTACATTTTTCAAATTCTTTAAGCATTGGGATAGTACAGAGTAGACATTAGACAATTGTGTGATCTCTTTACGATGGAAAATAATTTTGCTTTTATAGCAAAAGGGGTTATAGTTTAAATTACAAATAAATCCTAGCTGTAGTGAAGGAACCTTAGACATAACAGTCAGGAGATCTGCGTTCAGATTTAAGCTTTGCCACTAGTTAACTACCTTTTATCTTTGAACAATTTGTAACCTCTCCAGGGTATAGTTTCCTCCCTGTAAAAATATATTTTGGACAAGTTTGCTAAGTTCCTGTTCATCTCAAAGATTATCTAATTCTTTTAATTTCAAGAGTCTGTATCTCTTCTTAATTTCTCTAAGACTTACCATTTTAACATAAATGGCCTTAAATTACATAGCTTCCATTTAGTGATCCTAGCCTAGGACAAAACGGGTATACAATAAATGCTTGTTGCTGATGGTGATGATAAAGAGTTGGATTGAATGACCTATATACATTTCCTTCCATTTCTAAAAGCCCGTGATTGAGAGAGCAGCCAATTGTATATGGATTATATCTGGCACTTAAAAAAGATAGTGTCCTGTTTTCTCGAACTCAGCACTGGTAAGAGTTATACGGCTGTTGACATTAAAATTCTGTTTTTTGTTTGTTTGTTTGTTTTGTTTTGTTTTGAGAAAGGCTCTCACTGTGTTGCCCAGGCTGGAGTGCAGTGGTGTGATCATGGCTCACTGTAGCCTCGCCCTTCTAGGCTCAGGTGGTCCTCCCACCTCAGTGTGCTGAGTAGCTGGGACTACAGGCACGTGCCACCATGCCTGGCTAATTTTTTGTATTTCTTTTTTAGTAGAGATAGGGTTTCACCCTGTTGCCCAGGCTTGTCTTGGACTCAGCTGAGCTCAAATGATCCACCTGTCTCAGCCTCCCAAAGTGCTGGGATTATAGGCATGAGCCAACTGCACCTGGCCTAAATCTCCTTTTTTTTAAAAAAATGATATCTTGATTAGGAAACATTCAGCAAACATTTTAGGCAATGTTCATAAGGGCAAGTGAAAAATCTTAACACAGGCAATCATAATAGAACAGTAATTTAATTTGAGGCTCATAAACCAACTAGAGAATGACTTTTATTTATATGCATTCTGCTTCTTAGATGACAGGAAACTGTATATACATGGAAGTAATCCAGAAAAACATTTCGTCTCTAGCCTGGGAGAACTGATTTGATCAATTTAAACAGGTAGCTAAATATCTCTAGTTTAGTACATTGTTAGGCTGAAGTTTTTAGTTGCTCTCTGTGATTGTCAGGGCACTTTGTATTCACTGCAAGTCACTCCTGGTGTTCCCACTTGAGGACTTCAAGGAAGTAAGAAATCTTCTTTTAAGCCTTGATATCATTAGCACATTATTTGCTCATTATTTCCTGTAACACTCCTCCTCATCAATGAGTCACTGATAGGCCTATATACAGGCCAGTCTTTGTAAAGTGCAAAAAGTTATTTTATAGCTACAGCATTCATAGTATGGGCTTTATTAATGTAGGAAGGCAGGTGCAAAACAATTCAACCTTACTCAGCTTGGTTCTTAGTTCTGGAAGATTCTTTTAGGATACGTGAGTTGAATCCTTCCAGGTCAAATCCTGTGAGAAATCTGCCTCCTCTTCCTTACATCTATTATGTTTTCACTCTCAGTCCCAGAGTCTTACTGGGGGTCTTAGTTAGGTAGTTCAAATTCAAAGAACTAGATTCTTTACCTTGGTTCTTTCCCACATTTTGCTCTCTAGGTCCCCATTCTGCGAGAACTCCAAGACTAATTCTAAATCCGTCTTCAATGTTCTTGTTTCTCCTGGCCACCAATTCCTAATGCCCCCCTCCACAAGTTGACCCATTTTCTACTAACTAGATCTAAAATTTTATCCTTCATCAATGTTGGCTGTTATCCTCAAAACTCTGTCATCAGTCACATCTTAACCTATTATAGGCCCTATCGACAATACATAGACTATATTGGGTATAAACAATGTTTAAGAATATGTATACAAAGTGTACGGGATATGTTGCTTGTGTTTTGACAAACATTATGTTTCTAATCTTGAGTCATCCCTCGGGATTCCAGGATACCTTCTTCTGCTGTGTATACCAAAATTGGTGCATACTCAAGTCATGCAGTCGACCCTGCGGAACCCACATATATGAAAAGTCAGCCTTCCCTATACATGGGTTTCACATTCTGGAAATATTGTATCTTTGATCTGTGTTTGGTTGAAAATAAATTCGTGTGTAAGTGAACCTATACAGTTAAAACCCATGTTGTTCAAGGGTCACCAGTGCTAATTTTAGAGACATATCCTTAGAAGAAGTATTGCAGACTTCATTTTTAAAAATATAGGTATGTATAGTAAATGCCAAAGTCCTCTTAGTTTTACTTTAATCTCCAACTTGTCCACTTTTAATGTACAGAATTAGATGAGACCCATATGCTTGCCTGGGAAAAATAAGGATAATGGGTTCCCTGTAATCAAGGATACAAATTTCACATCCATCTGCTTAGTGGTTCCCAAGTGCTGATGTCGAGACTAGTGTTCAAATGACTACACAGGAATCATTTGGGGTGCTTTTTCAGAAGTATTGGTTGCAAGGCCCCAGTCTCAGTAGGCTGAATCAGTAGTTTTGGGGTAAAGCCTAGGTATCCACATTTTAAAAGTGATATAGGTAGTTCTAATTTATAGCCAGGATTGGAGAGCACCTAGAGAACTTGTAAGAGTTCTTTCAGCTGTCTGTTTCTGTGGTTTAAGTATCCAAGAAGGCTTCTTCTATCTGCTCCTTACTTTGCACAGGAGACAAGCAAGATGTTCACCTAACATTGTTTCCTTTTGGACTTCTTCAGAGTATTTCCATACTAAATAGTTGTTGTTGTTATTGTTGTTTTAGTGGTAATGATACCTTCTGAATAAGACTTAAATTTCTAACAGTGTACTTATAGTTGAAGAGTGCAAATTCAAGTTAAATAACAGATAAAACAGGGCCAAGGAATAATCTGATTGCCCTGAGGAGGTGGATCTTTGAGGTTTTCATTTTCGTAGCCCTGTTTTGGTATGGCACGCGGAAATCATCTGTCATTAATAAGTCAATATGAGCTTAATTTAGCAGTTCCTCCTATTTGACACTACAGAACATAGAGCTCTTTTTTTGGGGCAGCTTTGAGAAGGCAATACAAATGCAGATAGAGTAATAAATTGTGATTTTTGCAGTAGAGGTAAGGAATATTTAGCCATTTCAGTATTTTTTTATTATTATACTTTAAGTTCTGGGGTACACGTGCACAACGTGCAGGTTTGTTACATAGGTATACATGTGCCATGTTGGTTTGCTGCACCCATCAACTCATCATTTATATTAGGTATTTCTGCTAATACTATCCCCCCCAAGCCCCCACCCCCTGGCAGGCCCTGGTGTATGATGTTCCCCTCCCTGTTTCCATGTGTTCTCATTGTTCAACTCCCACTTATGAGTGAGAACATGCAGTGTTTGGTTTTCTCTTCTTGTGTTACTTTGCTGAGAATGATGGTTTCCAGTTTCATCCATGTCCTTGAAAAGGACATGCACTCATCCTTTTTTATGGCTGCATAGTATTCCATGGTGTATATGTGCCACATTTTCTTTATTCAGTCTGTCATTGATGGGCATTTGGGTTGGAATTTCAGTATTCTTAAAAGAATATTTGATTTGGATGGAGAGGGAGCTGACTTTTCTTAGAGGTTCCAAAGAATGATGGGAATGATTAGGCAAACTAGATTCTTTGTTTAGGTGGCTTTTAATTGCATTCCTTGGGATGCTTGCTATTTATTTACTTGATCTTTTCTCTTGTGCTAAAAGCAGGAAGGAAACCTGTCTTAATAAAGACTTAGGATACTTTGGTTTAAAATGATGAAGGGGAAATTATAACTTTTGTATTATCTATCAGGGATTCAAGATTAGTAAATGGGGCAGGGGTCTCTATCCCTTAGCTAGTTAGGGAAGTGAGGTTATATTAGTGAAATCTTGTTTTCATAGTTCCCTCCACTCTGAAAGTTGGTGTTTTGTAGGAGCATTGTTAGATGCAAAATAAAAGAGTAGGAAGTGCAAACATTGTATAAATGATGGATCTTTCTCTTTTTCTGTGTCTAACTTGCTATTCCTCAATTTAAAATCTTAAACTATATCCATGGATTAGAGTTTACTTCAGTGCTTCTTTAAAATGCAAAATGTGACCTCGTTTTAAAATTTTTGATTTACATATTTGCAAGAACCCATTTATTGTAGGAAGCAAGGAACAGCCATATCCTCCCTGAGGTTGACTGTTTGAATCAAATCCTTTTAAAACACTAATTAGGAAGTTTAAGTGTTCATTTTTGTTCTTTAACAACAGAAGATTCTTGTTATAAAGTTAATGAATACATACACTTCCCAGAATGTCTTATCAGAAGATATATCCTATGTATCTTCAAATAAATGATACATTCCCAAATTTTAGAATTGTTTTATAACTGTATCAGGAAAACAGAAATATTTTTTTCTAAAGGAAGTTATAAGGAGGTGAACCCATCACCAAGCTATGTAGTAAGTATTTTTTCCACAAGGTATTACAAAGCCAAGGACCATCACCAAAAGTAGGAAGAGGTAACTGTGGGTTAGCCACTATGTATTAGTAGTCACAATGAAATACAATGTCTTGGTAAAAGAGGACACCAAGGAAATCAATAATGATGGCACTCAAGTTTTTGAGAAGGTATTATAACCAAATATGGGCATTAAAAATGCATTTGCAACCTACTGGAAGCCTAAGCTATTTTTAAAAGCCCATATGGAAAGCTCAAGATGTGTTTGTTCCATGTGGGTACTGGAGGTGGGTGGGGATACACAAGTAGCTTGCAGTCTCAGAGACTTCTATATGGAAAGCACAACTTTTAGAAATGGAAAAAAATCCAATCAGAGAGAATGGGGAAGCTTATAAGGTAAACAGGTCATGTACAAACTGTATTTTAGGCTGTGTAAAAAGAGAACTTGGTGAAATTCTTTAAAAGCAGTCATGAGTTTTGGAGTTACCTCAAAAGGTAGTGGTTTACTGGAGTAGTAGTGTGTCCATTTGGTGATCATGGTGCAATGAACTTGATAAGAGAAAAGCAATATTTTCAATGCCCTCTTTGTCTAATAAAGGAAGATAAAAGGGACATGCTAACTCCATAATTGTCTTCTGAAATTGATGATGAAGTGAAACTAAGTAAAACTGTAGTAAATGAACAGCTATTCTAGGTCCAGTTAACAAATTAGACATGATAGCTCACCAGAACTTGATAGAATCCTCTTATATTTTGAAGGAACTCAAAGTTTTTGATTAATAAAGCACTTAATGTGCTTTTGGCAGGGTTGGCAATCTTGAGTTTCTACTTGATCAGCAGTATATTTTCAGCAAGATGAATTTAAGTAAGTATATAAAGTTTGTCTTGGGGTAAAATTTTAATTCAAAATTGTATATTATAAGATACAGAATATTTCTGAATCAGGAAACAACAGTGAATTTATAAATCTACGTCATGCCTATACATTTGTTAACCTTGAAAGCCTATGCTTATTCCAGATTTTATTGTAGTGAAGTGTTAAATTATTCTGGATCTTCACTGTGACATGAGTTGTGAAAAGTTCAATGTGTTACCATTTTCTCATGATTACTAGCAATTATTACAAAGGTATAGAATCTTAGTTCAGCTATTGATGATAAGATTACATATAGATAAGATTCCAACTAATGAAAAACAAAGACCTGTAAAGCCTGGAGTCTTTTGTGGTCTGTGTTATTTAGATGGCGGTTTGGAAGTGTAGCTAAGATGATTGGGATATCCGAGTTGGAGAGAGAGGAGTGTTAAAAGGTAATATTGGCAGAATGTTAGAAACTTAAACAGTTCACCTTAGCTTAGGTTAGATATTCTCCCACTATTGCTACATTTGCATTAATGTGTAAACTGTGTATAATCAGCGGCTTTATTCCAAAAAGTGCCTGATGTTTTGGCATGCACTGGATATATTTGCTGTGTGAGAATGTTTGTGATAGCAGGATCAGCTAAGCTCAGTTAGTGTGTATGATTCACTAGAATATGGACTAGCTGCCTGTTTGGGATTACAGTTGTTCTAACAAAGCACATGTGGGGAGTCAGAGGAGTTTGTATGCTTTTACAAAAATGTGTTATTGTCTTATGTGATTTATTTTCCTTCATTAAAAAAATTTGATTCAAAACATTTGTGTTCTTTCTTTTTCTCGTTCCCCACTCCCTTCAGAATAACATAGCTGATCCAGAAGAACTGTTCACAAAATTAGAGCGCATTGGGAAAGGCTCATTTGGGGAAGTTTTCAAAGGAATTGATAACCGTACCCAGCAAGTCGTTGCTATTAAAATCATAGACCTTGAGGAAGCCGAAGATGAAATAGAAGACATTCAGCAAGAAATAACTGTCTTGAGTCAATGTGACAGCTCATATGTAACAAAATACTATGGGTCATATTTAAAGGTAATGTGTGTGCTGTATTATTTAAGTCATAAGGTATTTTCATTAGAAGTTTTTTAATTCTATTTTTTTGAAAGGCAATGTCTTAAATTAGGATTTGGCAGTCTATGGCTTCCAGGCAGAATCCAGCTCCATTTATAGTGCCAAATAAACCGTTGTTAGATTTAGCAGCTGTATTCTGAATGCATCCCAGTACTCAGCTGCACCCCTTTTCCACACCTGAACTTTTGGTTTGATGGAGGAGCAGAAATGCAGCTGGTCCTGGAGACATCTCCTTTGTCAGGAAAGAGCTATCCCCCTGGGTTTCCAGACACTATTCTCAATGGTCTTAACTGTCTCAACCTCAGAGCTGATGGAACATGTAAGTATGTCACTTATTTCATTGAGTTATGGTAGTTATTTACACATTTCTCTCCCCCACCAGGTTGTGAGCTCCTTCATAGCAGGGAGTTTAGCTTAACCAGTCCTGGTACTTACATTCCTTAGCACAGGGTATGGTACATCTTAAGCATGTGGTAAATATTTGTTAAAATGGAATTAAGTGGAATAACATCTGCCTCCCCCTCCAAATAAAAGTTGGATTTTTACTGGTTCCAGGATCATGGGATTAGCAGACACCTGAAGTTCCAGCAGATGGAGGTGTTACTACATAGCAGAAAACTGGTTGGTAAAACCCAGTGGTCCTTGGGTTCCAGAGTTAGAAGTCAGGATTCGTGTCTGTTGAAATGTGAATAATAAATAGTTGAAGAAAAGCCCCCATGAACTCTAGCTTAGTTTGGAGTTTGAATCATTTTAAAATTAAAATTGTTTATCCTTGTATTGCAGTTTTTCAAATGAAGGCTGTGCTAGATCTTTGCCATTCAGGGTTTAAAAGGAGGGAAGTGTTTGTTGTTACTGGTTGATCTATAGGCCAAAAAGAGCGTATCTATAACTAATTAAGCTGTTGGCCTGCGTAAAAATTAATGCTATCATTTTATCCTCTGCTGACCAAATAAAACTTCGGATATCCATCTATACCTTTACGAAATAACCTGTCTTCAAGTTCACAGATTCTTTCTTCTGTTTGATCAGTTCTGCTATTGACACTTTATTGTATTGTTTCATTTCATTCATTGTATTTTTCAGCTTTGAAATTTCTGAGTTTTTAAAATGATTTAATCTACTTGTTAAATTTATCATTTTGTTCATTTATTGTTTTCCTGATTTCACTTGTTTCTTTGTATTTTCTCGAAGTTTGCTGAGCTTCCTTGACACAATTATTTTAAATTATTTGTCAGGCAGTTTATAAATCTCCATTTATTTGGAGTCAGCTACTGGGAAACTACTGTGTTCTTTTGGTGGTGAGATGTCTCCTTGGTTTTTCATGTTTATTATTGCCTTATGTTGATGTCTCTGCAGTTGATAGAGCAATCGCCTCTTCCAGACATTACAGGTTTCAGTGTGAAAAGACCTTCTTCCTCTGTAGGACAGTGTGAGAGCAATGGCTGGGTGGGTTGCAGTGGTTCTGGCTCCAATGAGGGCATAGGAGTATAGTTCCTGTGCAGCTTTGTCACTTGAGATTAGTGTTGACAAAGATTGCAGGGATCCTCAGTGGTCAATACCTTGGTTGTCTACAACAGTGGTGAGGGCTGTTTGAGGTCTTTGGTGGCAAGAGCTGCTAGGGTCCCCCCAGTCTCTTTTTCTTCCACCAGAGAAATCATAGCCGAGTAGATCCCTTTTGGCATTGGGTCTGCTTGTGGGCCCACTTGAGGTGGCACTAGTGTCTAATGAGTGATGCCCATGGAGTGGCCACAGAACTAAGGCTTCAAGCATAGGCATATCTGGAGGGACATGCTCTGGGGCCCAAGCCAATAGTAATACCAACGTCCTAGGTACAAATACCCCCTACTGCTGCACAGAGCTACAGTGGCTCTGAGGGTGGCGTAGGGCCTAGCTATTTGTAACATCTGAGCTGATGTCTGGAGCATAGGCACGCTCAGAGGGACCTTGTCTCCAGAGCCTGGGATGTGAGCTAGCTCACTATGGCAGTGATTAGCTCAAGTGTCTGAGCTGTGGGTGGGTCCAGTGCAACCACTCAGCTGGTCTGGAGTCCAGAACACAGGCTAGCTTTCAGTGGTGACTGTGTGGATGTCTGGAGCATAGGCACACTCAGAGAAACCTTGGCTCCGGGGCCCTGGGGTGTGAGCTAGCTCACTGTGGCAGTGGCTCCAATGTCTGAGGTATGGTTGAGCTCAGTGAAGACGCAGAATCTGGGTCTGGAGTGTGGGCACTAGTGGAGTGGCCATGACTCAGAGGTCTGGAGCTGCATCAGTTTTCAGAGTGGTGGCTTCTTTCTCCATGTGGCTCAACAATGTCTTCTTCTTGAGATGAGAGAGTTTTGTAGTCATGTATTCCTCTTGGGGTTCCCTGGCAGAAATGGCTGTTGACTACCTCAGTAGCAAGAGATGCCAGTGTCCTCTGCAGAGCAGGCCACTGGGGACCATGATGGCTTCTACTGTGTAGTGATACCAATAGCCTCCACCTTTCATCTTTGTTCCTAGACATTTCCTGGCCTCTCAGGTATGCTGATCTCCTCAGTGATCCTTCCTGTGGAGTTATTCTTTCTTTTTTGCTCCACTGTGTTGCTGCAGATTGTTAAATAGGCCCTTGAATCCTTCCAGAGTTACTTGGGTTTGTGGATAGCTGTCTATATTTGGGGGCTTTTTATGTATATGTGGAGGGAGGGGATGATTAAAACTGGTATCTCCTCTGCCGTCTTGGTGACTTTGTCATCGCTTTCCATCTATCTGTATCTATATTGGTTAATACTGATATAGAAATTTATCACAAATTTCACTGCCTGTTTACAAAACCCGACTTATTCTAATATTGGATGTATGTGGTATGAATGCATAGTAGAATGAATCATTAAGCAGCCAAACAGCCACTATATATTACACACTGTATTAGGTGCTGAAGATATAAAAGTGAACAAACTCACTACTGCTGTCAAGGCACTCACAGTCCAGTTTTGCACTGAAATGATGCCAATTTTATGGTTAAAGTATGTACAAGGTATAGATGATGCACAAATTAGTAAGTAGTCACTTCTGTCCTTTTCAGGAGTGGCATGAATAAAAGGCCTCCAAAAGGAGGTGATAATGCTAGTAATTTCTATCCAATTTCAGCATTTACATCTAAGTGTTAGCTATTACTGTATTTTACTACATACATAATTATTTGCTCCTTTGTGTGATAATTTTGCTGTCATATTTGTTCCTAAAAAGCTAATTCAGCCCATCATATTCTTTTTTAGAGATCTCATGAGTGATTACGCAGTCTCAGTAGTTTTAGGTTCTCCTCCTAATTCCCATACAATTCCTTGGTGGTACATGTGTGTGTGTGCGTGTGTGTGTATGTGTGTGTGTGTGTGTGTGTGTCTGTGTGTGTATCATTTGCTCATTCTGGTTTACTCTTTCTGGACTGAATCCCGGTATTTCCAGACTCACTCTAGGGCAAAACTGAATCCTTGCTACTTTTAGGCACCTGTGACAAAAACACTATTTTTGGTTGCTGACCTAAAATATTAAATACGCCCTATTTAAAATGGCTATTCCATAATATATTGAAAATTGGTACTGATATGGTTTGACAATTTTATTGGTTGCTTATTTATTCATATTCAATACTCCCATGGAAAATGAGTGACAGCTCTATCTTCTTTTCCTAAGATTTCATATAGAGTGTTTTTTAAGTTGCACAGTAGTATACATGTACTAGTCACCCAGTATTTACTTAATCTTTAAATAATTAAAAACTAGTTTTTTGTTTGTCCCAAATTTTGATTGTAAAGTGTACTCAGACCAGCCAGTGCTACAAAACCATCGTCCAAGATAGCTTCTTAAGGGATTAAATCAAATTATTTTTATCTCCTTCACCCATCATTAACTAAACTCTATGATATAAAACACTACTTTGAAGAACATGTTGCTTCATGATAAAATTGTAGAAATGTGCAGCTGGCTTATGTTGATTATTTGTGTTCTGAATCTATTTAAAGTAAATAAATCTGTGTGTATATACATATGTCTTGAGACATATGTATATACACACAGAGAAAGAAATATTCTATAATCTTACAACGTTTTCATACCATGTATTTAAATCACTTTCTTAAATTGACCAACTCATTTATTTTCCATTTATATTACAACATAGTATGACTGTGTGGGTTTGTATTTTTTTCTAAACTAAAATCACGTCAAATATAACAGGATTCTGTTTCATGTAGTCAACATAAGTCAAGGCCACATCCTCTTTGTGCCATCAGGGAACTGTGTTATCAGTCAACTTACATACTTATTGTGGCCCATTGTTCCATTTCAGGTGACATGGAGGATTTTGTGAGTCAAGTTAATTGAGCAAACTGGGAAATGGGTTGTTCTTACACAGGATGTCATCCATAACTAAGACCTCACTGTAAGCTGGAGGAAAAGTTTATTACATTTGAGAGAAAATTATATGTTCTTTGAAACTGTATGCAGTTGTAGTGATTTCCTTGAGACATGCAAAAAATGTACTAGGTATTCATTTTGACTAAGCTCACTGTATAACTTCATTTTTGAAAACAAGAGTTAAAAACCAGACAAACACATCAGTATGACCACAGTGTTTTCCTTTAATTTTAGTTCACTGGGCAGATTTTCTTGACAAAGTTAGTCTTTATGAAGAGTGCTAAAATAAGCAAACCCTTCCCTTCTGATCTCATAATATTGGAATAATCTTTTATAATCTTTAAATATTTTTCTAGTTCAGTGTAAATCTTAAAATGACACTCAGGCATTGAATAGAATTTGAATCATGCCTTTATTTGCTGCTGAAAATTGCCTTTAGATTTCTGTGTATGTTAAGGAAATATTGCCTCCCACCCACCATCACCAGTATTTATGAAAAAAAAAAGAATTGAATGAAGTAAAATATTTCAGAATCATCTGTACGGCTTTGTGGCCTTCTCCTTATTTTTCACTGAAACTGTATGTGCTTACAGCCAGTTTATGTATGCTCAATGCCTCTGGAATATTCTTTTATTGTTAACATTTGTTTTGGAGTTCTCTTATAAAACTTGAAGAAAATGGAGGCTAGAAAGTTTGTTCCTTCTTAAAATGTTCTTTTCTCAAAATAGGAATAGCTTTAAACTTAATATAATACACCTCTAAGAAGCCCCATGTTAGATTCAATTCAACAGACGCTTATTTATTAATGCCTACTATGTGTATTCCTCTTCTTTTGCATATTGTGGTTAATCTCATCTACTTTCGTCTGACAACTTCTAAACTGATGTCTCTGGTTTCATCCTCTCTGCTCAGCCCCAGATATGTGTTTATAACTTGCTTCATATTAATAGCCTGCTTATCTGTGAGTACATCAAGTGCAATAACCCTCAAACTAGGGAGGTAGCATTTGAACTAAGTCTTGAGAATGATTTTGATAGGGGTTGGAAGGTGCAAGTGGGGTAGGGACACAGCATTCCAAGCTGGAGGAAAATGACTCAGAAGTGGTAAATTTTCTAGCCATATTCTTGGCAAGATGATCTCTACTGTCACTTCCAGTTTTATAAAGTCTTATGTGCTGTATGTTTTTTTTAATCAGGCAAAATATACTTAACACTAAATTTGCCATTTTAAGTGTACAGCTCTCTGGCATTGGCTACATTCACATTGATTTTGTGTTTTTTTTGTTTGTTTGTTTTTTGGGTGGTTTTTTTTTTGTTTTGTTTTTTTGTTTTGCTTTTTTTTTGTGACAGGGTCTCACTCTGTCTCCCGAGCTGGAGTACAGTGGCGCAGTCTTGGCCCACTGCAGCCTCCACCTCCCAGGTTCAATTGATCCTCCCACCTCAGCCTCCCGAGTAGCTGGGACTACAGGCATATGCCACCACACCTGGCTACTTTTTTGCACTTTTTGTAGAGATGAGGACTCCCTATGTTGCCTAGACTGCTCTCAGACTCCTGGACTCAAGCGATCCTCCCACCTCGGCCTCCCAAAATACCAGGATTACAGGCGTGTTGTGCAGCCCTCACCACCACTGATTTCCAGAACAAATAAGGATTCCTTATTTTCAGATCTAGAAATTGAGTAGTTGTAATTTTAATGCTTAATGGTATATACTACTTTGTAAAGTCACATTTCAAGCTTTCTATGAACACGTTTTACTGACAGACAGTTGGCAAGTTTCTGTTTTGAATTAGTACAAACAAAAAGGCACACATTGTTTTTAACTTGGAAAACAGGTGCTTTCATTCATGCAGAACTGCAAAATAGGCAGGCATGTTTTATAAGATCTTTTTCTTTTAAATGTCAGGTGAATGGGAAGCTCTCTGAATTCATATGATAGAGTATAGTACTTGTTAGAAACAAACTTGTGGCAGAAGAAACAATTTTTAACCTATCCACCATTGTAAGAACCACTTTTTTCTTCTCTTGAAAAAAGTATAAAGGTACATCAGAGTCACAATTCTCAGGTTGCGAGTGCCTAGGTTCTATACACAAATACAAGTTATATGAACCTTTCCTGGAACTCCTCTTCCCTCACCAGTATTGTGGGAATTTATTTCCTCTATTTCCTAATGTAGACTTCACTGCTAACCAAGACTCTCAGCTTTCTGCTCACAGTGCCTGCTGGCCATCTATGTCAGGACAGAGTGGATGTCAAGATTAGTGGAGGAAGTGGTAGGGGAATATTGTTCCTCCCTTTCTCTTACAAATTCTACATAGTGTCAGCATATGGAAAGGAGAATCATTTTGTCTTAATTAACTGAGCCCTCCCTTCATGATCGCTAACCCTAGGCCACATCCCATTCCCCACACTACAATGTCAGTTCCACTCTGATTCTTCAACCCTCTCCCATCCCCTAAGCACTCATCATCATGTCACTGGGTTCCATTCTCTGCCTTGATAAAGTCACATCCTCATGGAGATGCCTGGAAATTTTAAATTGGACTCCTGAATACCTCCCAGGGATTTTTGAGTTTGAGGGCTACTGGCAGTAGCTTGAGAATCTTCACCCCGCAGCTGGGGTTGTAAAGGTGAGAAATGTGTTTCTGGCATCCCAAGTTGAGGCACCATGCTGAATATATTTTCCTACTTGAAATATTGTTAAGATATAAATAGTAGTGAGTTTCTCTGGTACTTTTTATGCTATACTACGAATGAATACATTTGTGTGAAATTGTCTTTTGGGAGGACTACCCCAGGAACTTAGACATTATTTTTATGGGAAAATGCTTGCTTTTAAAATTCTGAACATCTTACTTAAAAACCAACTTTTGGAACACAGTCCAGTCACTACTTGGCTGCTGCCAGTATAGTAAAGCCAACCATTCTACTTCCAGTCAGCTCTTTGGTCCCACAAAAATTCAGAGAATACCACTCATGAAATGGTATGGAGAGAGAGGTGTCCCTTGTATTTAAGCTATAGCTAAAATAAAAAGGGTTTAATGGTTTATTCCAGTGTTTAACTGATGGTACTGAATGGTATGTGTGTGTGTACACCTGTTTTAGAATTTGTATACATATATTCCTCCCAGGAGCCCCATTTCCTCTTGTTCAGCTCACAGGGAAGTTAATTCCACCTGGAGAAAGCACAGATTTTTAAAGCTACACTCTCCCTTTTTCTTATCCATTTACATCAGAGGTAAAATGAACAATATTCTTTCTAGGTTCCGTGTGTGCCAAAAATGCCCATTAACCGTAGCTGATAAAAGTTTGAAGTACATCAAAACAAATGAAAGCCAACAACTGAAATAAGGCAAAATATCCATTGTCCTCAAACTCAAACCCAAAATTTCTACAAGCCCTCATTTACCTCCTCATTCTTTAATGTAACTATCTTTTCTTTCCAATATCATTCAAGATAATTATTTAAAGCTTTGTTTTTTATAAAAATTACTAATAGTTCAACAATAACAAACAGTACTTTTATTTGTTTAGCTATATCATAGGCAAAAAGGTATGCGGGTAGTCTAAGCTCAGAATTTTAATTTGGAATGTTCTATGGAAAAAATATATTCGGGGTTCCCAAGCAACCATTTTTAAACCTACATTTTAGAATCTGTTCTTTATTTTTTTAATTTTTAATTTTTGTGGCTACAAAGAAGGTGTAAATATTTATGGGGGTACATGAGCTATTTTAATAAAGGCATATAATGTATAATGATCACATCAGGGTACATTTACTCTCTGTGTTACAAACAGTCCGGTAATACTTTTCTACTTATTTTTAAAAGTATAATTAAATTATTATTGACTATAGTCACCCTGTTGTGCTATCAAATACTAGATCTTACTCATTTTCTCTAACTACTTTTTGTACCCATTAACCATCACCAACTCCCCCTCCCTACTATCCTTCCCAGCATCTGGTAACCATCCTTCTATTCTCTATCTCCAAGGGTTCAATTGTTTTAATTTTTAGCTCCCACAAATAAATGAGAACATGCAAATAGAATCTGTGCTTTAGTATGTGAGATTTAACATTTTTGCTAGTATGTTATTTTGGCTCAGGTTTGTAATTATTAAATTGTTTCATGGCTTTACAGGGGTCTAAATTATGGATAATAATGGAATACCTGGGCGGTGGTTCAGCACTGGATCTTGTAAGTATTTTAAAATAGTTACACACAGATGCAAATGTGTGCATATGCACATACCTTAATTTTTTAAATTGAAGATTAATGGCTTTTGAGCACGCTAAGTGGTTGCTTTAGTTAATATGTTCAAATTAAATTCTTTTTTCATGACCTCTACCTTATGTAGGTACAGATGTATTGTACGTTTGAACATGTTGCTGGCATTCTAAGACTATATAAGAAATGCAAATAGCTTAATAAAATAAAGTCTCCCAAATTAGAAGGGGATGTGTGTATCCATTGCTGTCAAAGTTTGACTTTTGCAAGCTTATCCCTGAAAAAACTGAGTTTTCTTAGATTTTTAAAAAATATGTAATTGAGATAACTGTCACTAAAAGTGTTTTTTATGAACTGAATGTTTGTGTCCCCCCAAAATTCATATGTGGAAATCCTAACCCCCAATGTGATGGTATTAGGCGGTGGGGACCTTGGGACCTAATTAAGTCATGAAGGTGAGTTCTCATGAATGAGATTCGCACCCTTACAAAAGAGGCCCCAGAGAGCTCTCTGACTTTCTTTCCACCACGAGAGGGTGCAGTGAGAAGAAGGCCTTCTGGAAACCAGGAAGAGTGCCTTTACCAGACTCGAATCTGCCAGCCCCTTGATCTTGGACTTCTTTCCCAGTCTCCAGAACTGTGAGAAATATTGTTTAAGCCACCCAGTCTGTGGTATTCTGCTATAGCACCTGAATTGACTAAGATAGTGGTACTAGGGTTCTAAACAAGGTTGGCCTACAGATCCAGTTCTTCACAGAGTTCTCTCTGCCCCTCTATAGGTTATTTGGAAATGTGATGGCATTTGGGTTGTCACAATGACTTAGAAGTGCTCCTGCCATTTTTGTGGTCATGGATCAGAATGCTAAAATCCTGCAGTGTGCAGGAAAATTCAACCCAATGAAGATGCATTTACACACAGAATGCCTTTGAGAAACACTGGTTGTTCCCCAATTCAGTGTGATCCTATCAATGTTGAGTTTCTTTCCCTTCCTTAAAAATCTTTATTAATATGATACTATGTTTTAAAATTCAGTATGACTTATGAGAGGCAACTTAGTGTAGTAGAATGACCACTGGGCTGGCCTGGGGTGTTTGAGGTTATAGGTCTGGCTCTGTGCCTGTGAACCAGACACAAACTTCCTGGACGTAGGTGTTCTATAAAACAAAGAAGTTGCACTAAGTTATTTCTAAGTTCCCTTCCATCTTTAATATTATATTTTTTTTATTTGCGTGTTTCTGCCTTAGAAATTATAGAGTATGCTGTTTCTAAGAAAGTGTTTTGATTAAAATAATCAAGTAATATTTTAATTCTTATTTTTTTAGGTGGAGATGAGTTTTCCTAACTGAAAGTGATTAAATATTTTTAAAAGGCTTTAACCTTGACTGCCAGTAACTCAAAGCTTCAAATAATTTTATGAACAGAAATGACTATAAGAGATTTTCTTTCCTTTAGGCAGAACCATATTTAAACCATTTTAAAGAAATGGTAATTAAACTTGATGGAGAGCCTCATCTACTACTAGGAATTCATGTCAGTTTAATCAGTTGCTGAATTTGGTAATCTTTCCTTGTGTCTAATCTAATTCTTATATCCTAAAGCCTGAGTTCATTTTTTTTCTCTCGTCTCTAGTGAGAGAACACCACTGATGTTTCTTTGTGTAATAATCCTTCATGCATATGGAGTCAGGCTTCATTCTCCTCTTGAAGTTAAATGATCTCATTTCTATTTGTCTTGTCACAGAGTCATATTATTCAATAGTTTTTTCATTAGCTCTACAAGAAGCCTCTCAATTGTTTCATGATCCTCCTTCCATTTTTTGAATATTAAGAGCCCTTTCCAAATTTATCAGTTGTCTTATCTGGTTCCTCAGGGTGCTCACCATATCTCTTCCCCATTTTGGAAGCACTGGCAAAGCTAGGCCACTCTGTTCAACAGGATCACTGATAGCAATGTTAAACAGTGAACACTGGCCTAACCCCAACCAATGACCCAAATCTGTGTCCCCTATTAGTAGTTTGGTCAGTTTTATGAAATCTCCAAGTTAAATGATTGTGAGATCTTAATCTCATCCTGCTATTCTGAACTCTACTTAATAAAACAAATAGCCATTAATAACAGTTTCAATGAATGAAAAATGTTGTTAGTACTGTATTGGTTAAGAATCAAAAGGCCTAGGTCATAAACCCAGTGCTAACACTGACTGCCTGGCAAATATTGGGCGGCCCTTTAGCCTCCTTGTGTCTTAATTTATTCACATGTTAAATGAAGAAATTGAATCAGTAATCTCTAATTTTGTGTTCTTAGCTCTAAAATTCAATAATATTGTGATTTAATTATAAAACTCATTTAACTAGACTTTACAGGGAGAGCAGATAATGAGAAAATGTGCTATTCCTTTTTCATGTATATTCCTGTACAAATAAATGCTATCATTTGGGGGAATCTAAGACAGGATTAGGTGTAGAGGAAGGCTCTGCTACTAAGAACAAGAGGAAATAAGAGGGATGTTTAGCAGAGAGTGTTTCTCACATTAAACTGGTGCCTGGTACCTAACTAATGGAATAACATAAGATTACAACTTGTCATTTATGTTAACATTATACAGTGTCTACCTTGAGTCACTCCCATTCTTGAAAAACAATTTATTGTATGTGAGCAGACTTTGAGTATATTGCACATCATTTTATTGAGTTTATTATGCTCCACTTCTTTCCAAAAAGAATCGTGGTGGCTTGCAACAAAAACACATATAATAAGATGACTAGAATAAAACATGAGCCCCAAGAAAAAAGAAACAATATGCTAACCATAAGAGAGGGCATAAAATAGCAGACTGCATTAGGGACTGGCTGGAAGTTAAATTGTGACAAAGATCCATGAGCTCACAAATGTACAGTCTTCGAAAGAGTCAAGGTCCCTCTCTTGCATATTCTTACTTGACAACAGAGGCAAATTACACAAGGCAAGTACACTGCCCTGGGACAGAGATATTATCTGTTAGAGACATGGCAAGTTCTTCAGTTATCGGAGAAAAGTTCAAATGGAGAAGTCTCCCTGCCACAGAGTCTTTCTTCCCATCCTCCTCTAGCACCCAGTTAATTGAGATTTCACTTTTATTGAATTTTAACATGAACCTAAAATATAGCAGATAAGCTCATGAATCTTTGGGATCCCCTTTTTGTTGTTTTTACTTAAATATTTTTAAAAACTTCTGTATTAGGTAATATACTGGCTTATTTATGTTACTTTTACATGTCCTTCAGAATGATAGCTAGTAGGTCGTACATTAATCTTGCCCAATCACTGAAATAACCAAGGATATACCTCCCCTGGTCTTGCCAATGTCCTGTGATCAGATGATACTAATTACTGATCTTAAGTAGTGTGACATTTGTCCTTTAGTTATTTTGTAGTACCTCAGAAGTTCATTGCCAGCCATCAACAAAATAGTATGCCATTTTCAACCTTTCTAGAAGACTTTAGAAACTATTTTAATCACTACTGTTTGAATAGAAACTTTGGGGTGGAAGTTGATAGATTTGAAAGTAAGTAGATAATGTTACCTAGGAAAGGGACCTATTGAATTACAGATATCCCTGGAGTATACTATATACCCAGACCACAGTTAATATTAGATGGTGAGACCAAAGTATGAGTTCTATTTTAAGCTGTTAAATTTCAACATGAAAGTGCCCTTTATTCAGCATAAATATGGCATTCATGAAAGATGAAATACACAAGGTGCCAAAGAGCTGTGGATCCCTCCCAGTGTGAGGCAGAGTGGGCAATGTTTGATTTTCACCACCTCTTCCCTCCTTCCAGAAGCAAACAGAACTCTACCTCTGCTCTGACTTTAGATTCCCACCCTTTCCTGTAATAATATTGTACAGTCCACTGTTTGTGCTTTATGAGGTACCAGAATTTTAAAATAACCATTTATTTTAAAGAGGGATTTTCAGATATTCCATTACAAGTTCTCCTGAAACCTAATCATTGCTTTCCTTGTATTCCAGTTGGAACTATTGGCTTTGGTACAGGGATGGGGAAATAAAGGGATATGTGTTACATTTATTTGAAAAACATTATCCCTCCATGATTTAATTTTTTTTTACCATCATAGTCTGAATAGTTTAATTATTATATTCTTGGCTAAATTTACAATTTGAGTCTCAAAAAGGCTATTCTTTGCAATATTATTAAAATACATAAATGCTGACTGATATGATCAAATAGTTGCTGTGGAAATCTTATGGATTCTCTGACCTAAAAATCAGTTTCGTGTCAATATGTAGTAACTTTTTCACAGCAATTGCCTGAATTTAAGTAGCTGATTTCTCTTTTTTTCCATCTAAAGAACAGATAGTTGGTTCTGTCATTACGTAAGCATATTTGTTTCATCTTTGATGTAAATATTCAGGAACCTCAGAATTTGAAGCCTAGTATATAGGTAAAAGGGCTCGTATTATCTTTCATTAAATTGAATCATTAAAAAACCTGTTCAGCCCTTTGACTGAACTCTTTTGCTTTCTTCCTTCACATTTTACATTTTTCCTTCCTTGTTTAGATATTGGTTTGATAAACAGAACGGCATCATGTGTCTAAGTGATTTCTTCATTTCAAAGGTACCAATTTTGAATTTTATGTTTCCAAACTTTTACACATATGTGTATGTGTGTGTGTGTTTTTCCCCTTAAGCTTCGAGCTGGTCCATTTGATGAGTTCCAGATTGCTACCATGCTAAAGGAAATTTTAAAAGGTCTGGACTATCTGCATTCAGAAAAGAAAATTCACCGAGACATAAAAGGTATACAAAAGTCTAATATGAACCTGAGAAAAATAGAAGCATTCTGAGCAAGCTGAGTTTTTTTTTGCTTTTCTTTTTTTCCTCCTAGCTGCCAATGTCTTGCTCTCAGAACAAGGAGATGTTAAACTTGCTGATTTTGGAGTTGCTGGTCAGCTGACAGATACACAGATTAAAAGAAATACCTTTGTGGGAACTCCATTTTGGATGGCTCCTGAAGTTATTCAACAGTCAGCTTATGACTCAAAAGTAAAGTATTACCTGTACAAACTGTTTTGGGCTTGTTAATAAATTATATATGGCACACTATCCTAGTTAATACACTGCCTTATTTTTCCTTGTTTCACAAGTGTTTCTTAAGCTAGAGTTATGTCATATTTTGCTGCTTAATCATAAATTCCCTCACAGCTAACTAATATTTGGACCCTATTCACTTCAATGGCTTTTCATCCCACGTGGAATAAAATCCTAAGTCCTTTCTGTGACATATAAAGCTCTACACAATCTGGCCATTATCTGCCTTTCCAGTCTTATCTCCTACCACTCTCTTCTAGATTATTCATCCACAGTGGCCTCATGGTTGTTCCTCAAACATAGCAAGTACACCCTGGCCTCAGGACCTTTGCATGCCCTTCCCTCTGTCTGAAAAAACCTTCTTCCCACAATCAGGTCTTTGCTTAAATATCACCTACGCAGGGAAGTCTTCCCTGGCCATCTTATGTAAATTTGCAACACCCTTCCCCCCATGATTCATTATTCTCTTACTATGCTTTGTTATTTTCTTCACAGAAGTTAGCACCGTCTGGCACCATATTATTTATTTATTTATTGTCTTTCTTATTAGAATGTAAACCCCTTAAGAGCAGGGATTTTTGTCTGGCTTATACACTACTGAAATCCTCCATTCCGAGAAGGGTACCTGGCACAAAGTATGGAATTCATTATGTTTTACATAAATGAATTCTACTAATAAAAATTTATTAACACCACATTTTCTTGAGAGACAAGTACTGTATAGCCATTAGGTTCCACAGACTATTTTGTGGTAGTATATTGGAATGGAGTTTCAAGGTGATATACATACATACACATATATATATATATATATATATATATATATATATATATATATTATTTTCTTTTTCCTTTTACGTTAGGCTGACATTTGGTCATTGGGAATTACTGCTATTGAACTAGCCAAGGGAGAGCCACCTAACTCCGATATGCATCCAATGAGAGTTCTGTTTCTTATTCCCAAAAACAATCCTCCAACTCTTGTTGGAGACTTTACTAAGTCTTTTAAGGAGTTTATTGATGCTTGCCTGAACAAAGATCCATCATTTGTGAGTATATATTGCTATTATTACTATTTGTTTTCTATTATTAGATCTACTTATAGCAAAGGCAGCTTTTCCTGCAGTAGGGAATACAGTGTATGTGAGAATTGTCTAAGATCCATCCAGGAACCTGGTTCGTCCTTCTGTATTGCTATTTCTATTGAGTTCTTAACCAGATTCTTCATTCTTTTTCTCCTTACCCTTCGTTTTTTTCTTGATCCTCAGCTTCCTCCTTATTCTATTCATTATTTCCTCTTTCAGGGGGAAATAAATTTGAGAAATAAAGTTAACTTTATATTATGTCATTATTAAAGTGTATGTATAAATACAATGATTTTTGTTCAACTGTTTTCATTTTTCATGAAAAGTTATATTTGGGTTTAACTATTTTTTTTTTTTGAGATGGAGCCTTGCTCTGTTGCCCAGGTTGGAGTGCAGTGGCATGATTTTGGCTCACTGCAACCTCCAGGTTCAAGCGATTCTCCTGCCTCAGCCTCCCAAGTAGCTGGGATTACAGGCACCCGCCACCATGCCTGGCTAATTTTTGTATTTTTAGTAGAGATGGGGTTTCACCATGTTGGCAAGGCTTGTCTCGAACTCCTGACCTCTAGTGATCTGCCCTCCTCAGCCTCCCAAAGTGCTGGGATTACAGGCATGAGCCACTGTGCCTGGCCAGGTTTAACTATTTTTATTTGGTGTTTAGAAACTTCAATGTGAAGTTGTATACTTTTCCTAGGCTAGTGAGCTCCATTCATTTACTTGGTGGATTCTATTACAGTTGTTTTACTGTTGTTGAAATAAAGCTGCCTTGTGACTTTTTGAGACGAGAAATACACAAGAGCAGTCCAAACTTGATATAACTATTTTTAAGTTGATGATAAACATTCTCATGTTAATAAAATGAAGGCGGAACATCCTCCACAGCACCTGGTGTTTGCATTTAGATGCAATAGACATTGATTTGTGATGGAGAAGGGATTATATGTGTAGATAATAACAAAATTACAGCCTTGCAAGTTTTCATCAGGTTTTTTCAAATTTACAGTAAATGTGATTAAAGTATTTTAGAACACTACTTTGAAATGTTTTTAAATGTTTACTTTCTAAATACTGTCATGTGTCTCTCTGCTTTTGAGAAGGCCCTGCCTGCCAGTTTGCTGGTGGGTAAGCCACCTGCTGCCCGTTGGGCTTTAACAAATTGGGACACCAAAGTAGTAGATTCAATGTGGTTGCCTTGAGCCACTTCAATAATAGAATTAGCTATTTTCCTACAGCATTTTAGTTGTTCTTATGTCTACAGACATACCTTTATACCTTTCAGCTTAATAATTCAAATGATTTTTTTTACCATTCCTTGTAATCATAAGAGTTCAACAATTGTCATATGCAGCCTTGATCTTTTTATCCTTAGCGTCCTACAGCAAAAGAACTTCTGAAACACAAATTCATTGTAAAAAATTCAAAGAAGACTTCTTATCTGACTGAACTGATAGATCGTTTTAAGAGATGGAAGGCAGAAGGACACAGTGATGATGAATCTGATTCCGAGGGCTCTGATTCGTATGTACAAATTATTTAATTTTTATGTAGGCAGCCTATTTAAATATTGTATATCTTTTAGCTATGCTCCAGTGTGCTTGTTCTAGCATAAAATATAAACCATATTTTGAAATTTCACCTTAGAAACTGTAAAAATCTTTTTCAATCACAGTCTGTGGAATACAATGGAGTTGGAAACATGTTTTTCTTGGAAGTGAATAGCTCTAGTTTTAAATGGTCTTGGTCTAACCCCTAGTGGATACTTGAGTATATTACAAAATTTTGGAACAGGATTCAATTAAAGGTGTTATATTAGTTTGCTCAAAGTAATAAGGAGCTGTGTTTTCTCATACTTTGATGGCAACCTGCAAAATCCCTCTAAAGAACTGACCTCCAGGCTTTTCCCACCTCTTGGCCATGTACCAAACCAAGATCAGACTGATACATTTAAATATTCATTTATGCATGATTTTTATTTCTTGAAAAAGTTGTAGGGTTTTATAACAGCAGCGTTTACATTAAAAATTCAGCCTCTAAGTCTGTCAATTAATTTAGACTAGGAAAGTCTGTATGCTATGCCAGAATTTAGTCCTCCACCAGCTGAACTGGCACAAAGGCAACACCAAATTTCTTTAGATACTACTCTGAGATTCTTCCATTTATGAGAAATTGTCCAATGTTGGAAAGGGATAAAAAATATCAGAATAATTTGTGCCCTATTCTAATGGGTGTTAGCCTTAGCTTCCCATAAGAGTCACTCATGGAACCTTAAAGCAATCACAAGCCACACCACTGGAGATCCTGATTCAATAGGTGGGGAGTAGTGAGGGACAGGTATTTATCTATGGTAGGAGGTCTCAATGAAGCACACACAGAGTTGAGAACCACTCCACTACTACTCTGTAGTAAAATGTAGTATTCGCCTGAAGCTGAGATCAGATGCTTTTTTGCATCATGAGTTTTTAAACATTGGGACAATTATCCCTTTAGATTCTACCTGCATTGATTTGGTATTTTTGCCAAGCTGAATCATTTGGGCACTTATAGAGGTATCTTTGGCAATCTCTTTAGGGAATCTACCAGCAGGGAAAACAATACTCATCCTGAATGGAGCTTTACCACCGTACGAAAGAAGCCTGATCCAAAGAAAGTACAGAATGGGGCAGTATGTATATGGAGACAATTACTTACTCTTCATACAGTTTTTCAAACCATGTAGTGAGATGATAATGGCCTAAAATTGTTAGGATTGAATACCCCTAAATGCCTGTCTGCCTCACTGTGTTTGTAGTATGCTTCATTTGTCATTAGTTTTGAGCTAATTAAGAAAAGTTAATAGAAGTTATTTAAGTGGCCATATTGGTATTTTTTAAGTGCATTTCACCTGGAGATACATAAGCCCAGGGAATCATAGGTATCTATTGTAATCCCAGAAGTTAGAGGACTTCTGGATGATGAATGAGAATGAATGATAGGAAGAAAGCTTAGAGACTTGCCTTGCATACAATCTTTTGTTTTCAGTAGGGGATTCAAATTAGTTCGTATTTGTTAAAGAATAAGAAAATCATGACACTTATTTTAATTTCATGTGTATAATCTATATTATTTGTTCAAAGGAGCAAGATCTTGTGCAAACCCTGAGTTGTTTGTCTATGATAATCACACCTGCATTTGCTGAAGTAAGTACAGATTAATTAGCCTTGGATATCTGTGTTAAGTAGTATAATATTTTAAATGTTTTAACTATTATTCTTTCTCAGCTTAAACAGCAGGACGAGAATAACGCTAGCAGGAATCAGGCGATTGAAGAACTCGAGAAAAGTATTGCTGTGGCTGAAGCCGCCTGTCCCGGCATCACAGATAAAATGGTGAAGAAACTAATTGAAAAATTTCAAAAGTAAGTTGGAAATGTCATTTTAAAAATTATTTTGCATTTTCTGTTGTATGTTAATTTATGATGCAATGTAATTCCTTTGATTCAACCATTCCAATTATTCCTAACAAAGTCACCTTTCAATACATAGTTGTATACTTAAAAATAGTTTTTGTCTGTTGTCTATCTTAAACATTAGCTTTTAGAATGATTATCTTTAGGCATGACAAGGTAGTTTTCCACTGCATGAAATGACCTGTTTTTCTTTCTCCACTAGTAGGATTATAGACAAAAGGTCACTGAGCATATTCTCATTTGAGCTCTTATTAATATAATTGTGGAATGCTTTCTTTCTTGCCACTACCCTCAGAATTTAACAAAACACCACTAGTTGCATAGTTTCCAGTGCTAAAGTTCCTACGTTTGATCTCCATATGAAAAGTTAAGGAAAAGGTAGAGGGACTCAATCCAGACCAAAAAAGGGCTCTTATGTTCAACTTCAGTTTCTATGTTGTCTCTTGAAATATTCATTTGATTTTGTTCGCATTCAAAAAAGTTCTTACATTTAATTTTTTAAAAAATTTTCAACAAGACTTTTGTATGCATGCACACATATACACTCCTTAGCTCAAGCAAGCTATAAGGTGATACTGATTTTAGCCTTGACCCTGCTATATCTCTTCTCAGTGCATCTTTATATTTCTTTGTGTTTGTGATGCCACTGGGATCGAGATGGAACAAACTCTGTGACCTGTGAAATCACACACTCTCAAAGATCTTTCTATCTGATAAGGCTCACTTGTACTCGCAAACCTAACCCCCTCTTAAAATCCCTTATATTTTAATGAAAACCCCCCATTTGAAAACAAATCAATCGGAAGTTGTGAAATCAGATGCAGAAGGGATTTTTTAACTTGTTTATATTTTAACATCTACATGATAAGATTCAATAGAAACAATGTATCCCTTTTGTGGAATCAGTTTCTTCATTGCAGAGTTCATACAAAGGAGAAATATAAACATGCATAGTTGTACATTGGTTTAAATTTTTTAAAAATTTTATAGGTGTTCAGCAGACGAATCCCCCTAAGAAACTTATTATTGGCTTCTGTTTCATATGGACCCAGAGAGCCCCACCAAACCTACGTCAAGATTAACAATGCTTAACCCATGAGCTCCATGTGCCTTTTGGATCTTTGCAACACTGAAGATTTGGAAGAAGCTATTAAACTATTTTGTGATGGCGTTTATCATTTTATATTTTGAAAGGATTATTTTGTAAGGAATAACTTTTAATACTATAGTTTCACCTGTATTCTAGTAAATGTTGAGACACCGTTTTGCTTTTAAGTATCCCTATTTCTTAAGTTACGAGGATGAATACCTTTCACATTTTGATCTTTAGTTGACTCTACAGTCATGAAACATACAGGTCTTTCAAAGTCATTCTCAATATTCAGCTTTTGTAAATTATCAAGCTTCAAAAAGCTTTTTTTTTTAAAAAAAAACATGCATATTCTAAAAATGACTATTGGTGGGGAGGTGTAAATAAGTCATACCTTCTTAAAACAGAAAATTTAAGTAAAGTCTTTTAAATGAAACCTGTAAAAGTATTGACTCTTCTACCAAGTTGGTATGATATTCCAGGCAGCTCAATGATTATCACATTTGAGACCCTGTGTTTGAAGCATTTACAGGCAATGTACAGCAACAGAGGTACCTCTTGGTGTATAGTATTTACATTCTCTTTTAGGTAGAAGAGGCAATTTTACCCTTATTTCACATGGTTAGAAATTTAAAGCAAGATCATTTACCCAAGGATAGGTGTTTGGTAATGTTGAAGGAGTTAGTCTGGCTTCATGTTTTACATCTTCAACTAAAATCCCATACTATCTGCTTGGATTTGGAGAGCCAAAAAATAAAGCTGATTGTCATGTGATTAAATATCTGATCAACAGGTATGAATATAACTTAAATCAGCATATTTTTGCCATGGTAATAAATTGTCCTATAAACTATTTATATATTTTTGTTCTTCATAATTATCACTAATAAGCATCAGTTTGTTGTTTTTAAAAGGATATTTAAGTGAGCATTTTCTAGTTCATATGAAAATAACCATAGTACAGGATGATTTCTGTCCACACAAAGGTTAAATTAGATTGCACAGTTAATTTTCACTTATATTTATGGTACTATTATGTGGGTGATGCCTTTTTCTTTTAAGCCCAGTACATATATTATGCCTGCCTAAGTTCTGAACTGGGGCTGTATTTCAGTAGTTGTAGAATTATTGATATTTAGTTTTGATAGCTAATGTTTAATTGTTTGGATCTGCACAGTTTGGTTTTTGCACAAAAGTCATTTAAAAAAATCTGAGTAATTGTCAAATATTAAAAGAAAGATATTCTTCCTGTAAGGAATACAGTTTTTAGTCAAAGTGGCCATTACATCCTCTTTTTAATTTACATAATACAGATACTTGAGAAAGTTGTTGTGGTGTTGTATGCCAAGAAAATTCTTTTTATTGGTGCCTATATTGTAACAATTATTTTTAATGCATTGTATTTTGAAGTAACGGTTCAGTTAAATTTTTCACCTGCTGTGTAACTGAAACACAATTACAGTTTATAATCATCTGTAGAAGTCTGGAGATAATTTTGCAACTCATGTTATGGGTTAAATGAATATTTTTGTAAAAGTAAAAGCAACAAATTTATAAATTGATTATTTGAAACTTTACAACACAATTGCATCCCAAATACAAATTGTATTGCTTATTCATTATAGCTATTCGTCCTGTAATCTGTTTCTAGGTGAAGCATACTCCAGTGTTTTAGGGGTTTTGAAAATAAATATTTAAATTTCACAGTCCTCAATGTTTGTTTTCCTTGAGTTGGGGGTGTGGTATGGGACTTCAAGGACTCCTTTGTCCTTTATTGTTCAAACACTAAAATCGAAATTTCTGTTGGAAACCAGAAGATACTTTTCACATTTCATTAAGCATTAATTATAGCTACAATGAACATCTGTCCTGATTTCTAGGCCTCCTGTCTTGACCAAATTATTAATAAAGTCCCCTTTCACTTGAAAGTGTCCTGGGTTGAACAATAAATTATATGGTCACCCTAATTATTATATTATTAAGAGATCATATACAGATATAAACTTAGTAAAGATTTTTAGAAATTGATATGAGAAATAGCATTAACATAAAGGAGTTTAAGTTTTTCCTAGAGAAGAGGTTGAGGGTGAACTTAGCATTAAGGATCTAGGGTATTAATATGTATTAATATATTAGTATATTAATTATATAATATCCTAATATTATACTATGTTATATTATTAAGCCCAGGTGATTGGGTTTCAATATATTCTTATTATTAGATAGCTACTCTAGACTTGTGAGTTACTGGATATGAGTCCAGAAGCAGACAAGAAAGTGCTAGGATGGAGGAAAGGGGTGGGATGAGGTATATTAAGAGGGATTTTTCTGATGTAAAGTTTAGGAGAGTAAGGAAGCTATTCCATTAGTTTTTTCTCCTTTAAGTTATATATAAAAATAGCTTGCCTATAGAATTGCCTCCTTTCTTTGAAGTTAGTAGTAACATTATCTTGTAAATATGTTGGACTTTAAAATCAAACAAAATAAACTTCTCAAATAGAATGCTATACCTTCTAGGAGGACCATTAGAGAAGTTCTGAATGGGTCAAAAATGGAATTTTGGTTCATTAACTCACCCTGGTATTAGTACCATCCTTCTTTGTTTCAGCTACCCTTCAATTCTACTACTTTTCCTCTCCCTGACCATACATTTTCACTTGCCTCCCTCCTTTTCCATGTTCTGTAACTGTCCCTTTCCTTAGTAATAGGCCAGAACCAATCACTTCTGAAATTGATTAAAACAAAAGGAAGAACATAGTTATAATTTATTTTTTAATTACCTGGATTTTCCATCACACTTTATTACAATAACATTCATTTCCTGGCCTGCATACATGCAAGAAGCTATGACAAAAAATAAATTCTGGCAGGAAATATTAGATAAACAAACTGACCTGATAATGTTTCTCTTTTACTAGATATAGTAGATAAGAATATAGAAGTTATAAGTAAAACAACATGATACTTTCATCTGGTTTATGTCTGGCTCTAGAAATTGATTTAATTCATGAATTTCCTAGGTTTAGAATTCTGCCAAGTCCTAGATTAATTCTAAACCTGTATTCTCTTGAGAGGATCTATGCCACCACCTCCTTCCTGAGGCTGTAGGAGGGCCATGCTCTGCTTTTATATGTTATAAAAATGGAAGTATTTAGCATATTACAAGACCATTTCTACTGGGCCCCACACAAATAGTAAAGACTGAAATATTTGTTCAGTGTTGTTTAAGAGCACAAAGATCAACACAGTCACAATCTACTAAATCACTAAATGCCATTAGACGCTAATTCCATATGCCAACCCATACTGTCACCATTCTTCAGCATTGAAGAGCCTGACCTTCACTCACAATGTCTCTATGAGGAAGTATGCAGTGGAGATGACAAATACCCACCTTGCCTTGCCACAGTGCTGGTGAGGAGAGGGCATGTTCTAAAGTCCCTTCAGAGGTAATGGAAGAGTGAAACTCAAGGAATGAGGCAACAGCTGGATCTTTCATAAGGCAGGCATCCAAAATGAGATTTCCTTAATACCAATGAATATGTAGTAACCAAGAAAATGGTTTCTACAACTTCATTATTTTCTGCCTAAGTCGGTAACATGGAACTGGCTCAGAAATGTCCATAGGTTCACACTTTTAAGCTAAAAAGTAATTACATGGTTTTAGTGAAGTCCTGTCTTCAGCAGTTGGTGTGTTGAAATAAGCATCTTCATCTTCTTCATCTAACTGTAGACTACCAGAAGACAGGCGGATTCTGGCCATGGGTGACCTTATTTCTTTGCCATACAAAGCATAGTAGTCTGGTTTAAGAATCTCTGATTCAGAATCACTGGATTCACTAGCTACATACCTTTCTGCTGTACTTTGATCCATTAGAACTGCTGGCAACTCCTGCTCTGCAAACATATCCGTAAACAGGTCTGCTTTATGACTGAGAGCAGGACAAGGCCCTAAAGGTCTAAATTCTGACCCAAAAGGAAAACGAATAGTTTTCATGTCTGATTGGCTCTGGGACCTTTTAGGGGTTTGCTCTTGAATGTTACATACAAATGCATCTTCCAAATTTGGGTCTTCCTCTTCTAGACCTACATTGATGTTGCTCCTACCGCTAGTCCTGGCTATAGCTTCTTGGAGTACTTGCAGGTCTTGCTGAAAGCTCTTCATTCTGATATTCCTTGGGCTTCTTTCAGCTGGCTTCATTGCAGTGGGCTCTACATAGCTATGTGGACTTGTCCTTTCCTCTGCTCTAATTGGGGACCATCTGGGCACCTGGGGTGGCTTGTCCACATAAAAAAAGACCTGGGGAGGCATAATACCAACCTGCTGACCTGTACAAGGAATATAGGGCACATCCGTGTAAGTTAGCTGCTTTGCTGGACGCACTTTGCTTGTGAGGCCAGAATATATGCTCATGTGATTACCAGAAAACTTACAGCTTGTTTGGAAGGAGCTTAGAGAACTCCTCTCTGAAAAAATGTCTCTGGGATCAGGGTTAGGATTGGGCTCAGTGTTAAAGACAGGGTCCATATAAATAAAAGGGAAAGAGGAACTGCTTTGGGACTGATGTAGCAATGTGGGATCCGCCTCTGGTTTGGAATGCTCCAGCTCAGTTGCAAATGTCACCTCCAATGCAGAATTCCTCCTCCTACTCTCCAGCACTGGCTCAGATGCGTGCACTCCATTCACATTTTGGTAGTAGCCACCACCATATGCTAGTCTCAAATCTTCCACCTTGAGAGAATGGACACATTGGTGAAAGAAGGAAAAGGCCATTTGGTTAGGGCTGGGGGAGGGATCTAAATTAGCCTCAAAGTTTGAAAGGTAGTTTTTCATAAAGTCATTTAACAAGATCCATGTTCTATTCTAGGGTAGATAAATATATAAAGAAAGGGTAATAACTTCTACTACATCACAGTGCATGTGTTAAAAAGTACATGTGACACTATTCTTTCTCAATGCCATCCTACTTCCAGACTCTGAGTGTATACACTACAAGCAGTTTGGTTTAATAGCTATATTAGTGAACCAGGAGTCCTGCCTGTTAGTCCTGGCTCTGTCTCTGATTTGCTGTGTGACCTTAGACAAGTCTCCTAACCTTGCTGCTCCAGCTTCCTCCCTATTTTCTGTAAAATGGTGGGAGGAGGGCTATGAATGGTATGAGAGGTTCATATACTAAATGGCTCCTTTCATCATTATGCCTCTGATGCCTTTTGGATAAAAACTGCCAGTGACTTGAAGGCATGAGGGTTTATGAGACCTATAATTATTTTTTTAGGGAGAGTAAAAGAAAAATAATTCACAATTTTCATACTAAAAATGTCAAAGGAAGCCATCATCTCACAGTTCCAAGGGAACAACACTTTGTCCTTAAGTTACAAAATTACACAGGAAAAATACTCTAAAACTTTAACCCAAGACCTTATACCTTCCTCTACACTTTAAGATTTTCATAGGTAAAAAGATGGAGCTTTCAGTTTTGAAAATTCAAAGCCATTTGGATCTGCATTTTGCAAGATGTTAGCAACACAGGTTGCAATTTGAAGATGTGCCAGTTCTCTCCAGTCTATAAGGTACACACCAGTGGTAGTTTACTAAATGATCTTCTATTGGCAGGAAAGACTGAGCTGACAGACCTCCCCAGGAAGCTAACCTACTCAAACAGAGTAACCTTTTTACACACTGGGATTCTGGCAGAATCAATTCATGGAAGCATTTGAAATTTGCACAAATTACATTTATCTAAAGAAGTAGAAATTTTCAGAAACCTTACTTGTTTTGACACATCAGAGAGGAGGTCTGGTGAGGACCTGCACTGTCGTTCATGGTACTGAGATGGGTAATGTTTCCTGAAATCCCCAAGCAGAGAAGTCATTGAAATGACCTTCATGTGAATACCAGGATACATAGAAATCTCCAAATTCAACATAAAATCAACACGAGCAAGAGAAACAAAATCATGTACCTTTCAAATGGCAAGCTCTTCAGCCTCCCTTTTCTCCCATATTCCAAAAGTTGCCTTTGGGTTCGTCCACTATCATAAGGAACAATAAAAATCCTTAGTTCTAGCCATAAACCAATAGGCTACTAAAACTTGAAAGCCTCGTTTATTGTTGAAATCAAAAGACTAGATGAATGACATATGTCATGAATCTTTGACCATCACAATGATAATACCCACTTATTCAAGGACCAGGCAGAGAACAACCTCAACTACTCAGAACGCAGGTAATTTTTAAAGGCCTCTGAACAGGGTTACATAACAGCTAAAAATTGTGGGCTTTAAAAATAATATACCTGGTCTGGGCATGGTGGCTCACACCTTAATCCCAGCCCTTTGGGAGGCTGAGGCAGGAGGATGACTCGAGCCCAGGAGTTTGAGACCAGCCTGGGCAACATAGTGAGACCTCATCTCTACAAAAATAATAAAAATTACCCGGCCATGGTAGTGCATGCCTGTAGTCCCTACCACTTGGGAGGCTGAGGTGGGAGGATTGCTTGAGCCTGGGAGGCAAGGCTGCAGTGAGCGGAGATCATGTCACTGCACTCCAGCCTGGGCAACACAGCGAGACCCTGTCTCAAATAATAATAACAATATATTTCCCTTTAAAGGCTTTTCCTCTACCTCCAAATCAGAGTCAACTGACTGATTTTCCATACTACTTTCAATGAGGTTACTTATCTGGTTTCCCAGTCCACAGCAGAAGAAAAGCAGCTAAATGAACAGTAGAAGAGGATTGTTCTAGTTAGGCATACACTAACAAAGAAAGTCAGATCACAGCCGGGAGAAACATAAAAATCAAAAAAAATCACAAGAATTAGCCAGGCACCATGGCTCACACCTGTAATTCGAGCACTTTGGGAGGCCAAGGCTGGTGGATTACAAGGTCAGGGGTCCAAGATCAGCCTGGCCAAGATGGTGAAACCCCGTCTCTACCAAAAATACAAAAATTAGCCGGGTGTGGTGGCCCGCGCCTGTAATTCCAGCTACTTGGGAGGCTAAGGCAGAGAATTGCTTGAACATGGGAGGCGGAGATTGCAGTGAGCCGAGATCGCGCCACTGCACTCCAGCCTGGGTGACAGAGCAAGACTCCATCTCAAAACAAAACAAAACAAAACAAACAACAACAACAAAAAAAAACACAAGAATAATAAAGTCTAAAGAGTCTGGATGATTTATCACCTAAGTACAGGGCCTTGACATGCATCCCCTGCCCTGAGGCCATTATTGCACTACAGCTGCCTGCAAAAGATCATATGTGATGTTTATAATAACTCAGGTCATTAAGAAAGGGGCAAAATATGCTCAGTATCATCTATTTAAGAAGGCAGGGATTCATAGAATACAGACTGGAAAGATTCAATCAGAAATATGTAAGTTTTAACAGATCTTAATTTTTACTGGGGTAGGATATCACTCTTTGGAAAAAATCCTGTATGGGGAAGCTTTTAATCAGAATTTTGTACCTAGCTAAAAGTTTTGAAAACTTCCTCCAACGGATTCCTAGGCTGACGTATTCAAGTAAAGACAAGATCTTTTTTTTTATTTTATTATTATTATACTTTAAGTTTTAGGGTACATGTGCACAACGTGCAGGTTTGTTACATATGTATGCATGTACCATGTTGGTGTGCTGCAACCATTAACTCGAAAGACAAGATCTTAACCCAACCTTGCTTCAATTCCTCCAAAGTGTGACCTGTAGTGAGGATTCTCTAGTGGCATATTGTTCAATCTTCTAAATCTCTTATCCCCTCCAGTGCTTTCTCATGCTAGCTTTTACAACCCAAAGGATGCTGTTGAGCTTTTTCTTTCCATGGTTTGCATATAAGTTAAATATAGGAGAAACAATGGGTTTATAGAACATGTATTCTCAAACTGCACACATCCGCCCATCCTTGCTGAGACTCTGATCCTACCCCTTAGGTAAGGTGCCCCCATCTTCCTCCCTCCTAGTTAGAAAACATTGACTTAATGTGTCATACAGAGAATGAGCAGGAAAGGGTGCAATCTTTGATGTGATTGAAATGGATTCTTTGTTGCTTCTAGAATGTGAACTCCTCCTAAGCCTCCTGTGTTATTGAAAAGAAGCAGTGTGAGCAGTTTGCCTATGTGCATTGTTTAATTACCTATAGCGGAAACTGGAACCCTTGCTGCAGAGTAGGGTTTTGGGCTTTGATTTGGGCTCTTCCGAAAGCCTGAAGAAAGCATGGTATTCCACACAAGTCTTCCAGAAAGCCTTGCAGGCATCTCGGCTGGCCATGGTGAACTCCAAGGTATCCTTGCACAACACCTGTATAAACCAATTTCCATTAAGTAAAACATCCTTCAAGAATATCAAAGACCTTCAAATCCCAATGCCTTCCAAACTATTGCTCCGTTGGCCCATGCAGCTTCTGATTTTCCACTTGGCTCCCTGTAGGTTTCACACCTGCTGAAACCTAATGATTGGCAACCTTGCGAGGAATAGACAGGGCCACTGCTCACAAACAGAGCCTTCTCTAAGAAGCAAATATTGCTTTGCACACTCCCCTCACCTTAAATACCTTTTTTACTCACTCTTCTCTGCCAGAAACATTTTTATGAAGTAAATTAGATTAAAATCATGTCAAAGGGCATCTTTTCAAGGTGAGAAGTTATAAATGACCAACAGGAAACAGGAGGGAGGAGAAGATTTCCTTATAGATGGAAGGGTTTATAAGATGATTACATGTACATAAGTCTGTTGTTTTCTTGAGACAAGGTGTCACTCTGTTGCCCAGGCTGAAGTGCAGTGGCATGATCATCACTCACTATAACCTCAAACTCCTGGGCTCAAGCAGTCTTCCTGACTCAGCCTCCTGAATAGCTAGAACTACAGGCATGTGCCACCATACCCGCTTAATTTCTTTGTAGTTTTTTTTGTTGAGATGGGATCTTGCTATGTTGCCCAGGTTGGTCTCAAACTCCTGAACTCAAGTGATCCTTCCACCTCAACCTCTTAAAGCACTGGGATTATGAACGCAAGCCACTACACTCAGTCCATGAGTCTTTTTAGTGTAACAGTTAGAAACACTTTTTCCTCTATAGGTTGTCTTGTACAATGCTCTATATTGCTCATCTAGCATATTCTAATCTTGGCTTTCCAGACCTAAAGTTCGAGTTTTCCCCATCTCCTGACACTATATGTACCCCTCACATGGCATGTTTGCAGCCCTGTTTTCAGCAGCCCCATCAACCCACTGCACTGACCCCACTTCTCTCATTCCTTTCCAGGTTCCTGCATGTAGCCTCTGGGGCTCTCCATGAGCTTCACACTAAGTCCAGTTTCTTGAACTGCTCAATGAACACTTTTCTATAAGGTCAAGATGCAGAGAATAAAATCCAAACTGCTGGATCTTCAGTAGGTCAAAAATTAGTTGATACACACTTTTTATTTTCTTTATGGTCATAAGAAAATTCCTTTCTAGACTAAGTGGCTCATGCCTGGTAACGTCAGCACTTTGGGAGGCCAGAGTAAGAGGATCATTTGAGGCCAGGAGTTTGAGACCAGCCTGGGCAACATAGTGAGACCTTGTCTCTACAAAATATGTTTTAAAAATTAGCGAAGTGTGGTGGCACATGCCTGTAGTCCTAGCTACTCAAAAGGCTGAGGCGGTAGGATCACTTGAGCCCAGGACGTTGAGGCTGCTCTGAGCTACATGTCACCACTCCACTTCAGTGTGGGCAACAGTGTGACCCTATCTCTAGAATAAAAAAAGAAGATCATTTCTAGCACCTTTGTCTCACCCTTTACTATGCAACCTTGCCCAAAAACTGTTTATTTTGCTTACGTGTATACCTGACTCCCACATCCTGCTTGTTTTTGGCATATACTAGGTGTTCAATAATTTTTGCTTAAGGAAAGTAATTGAAGATACTTTATAAAATGGAACAGATAACATCATATGAATGTATTCTTAGTCCTAGATCTGGTCACTCCCATTTGACTTATCAAATCCCTAAAAAGCAGTTTCCAGGGAGACTTGCCTTTCAGCCGAGCTGCCCCATTTTCCTATTACTTTGTTAACTCTAAACTGCCAATCAGATTTCTTAGTGTTTTGCCTTTAGTAAAAAATGATTAAAACTCTGGTTGATTTCTTCAAAGGCAAAAGAAAAGACACACCATCACTCAGGGCCAGCCGGCTTTTACAATTTACATTCAAACGATTTGCAGAAACAACCAAAAAAATTCCCAGTGAACAGAAAGTAAACGAATTTATTAGAAAGCTACTTACCAAGATATTGGCATGAAGTTTGATGAGAAAATGCTTTCTCTTAAAACTCAACTTGCGGATTTTAGCCCAGTTAAAAGTATTGATCTTTGTATTTCCCTACAATGAAAAATGTGGCAGATTTCAGAATGTATTAACAAGAGTTGGCTTGTAAGACAGTGCAAACCTGATAGAAAATGCACTTAATGAGAGGGACCGCCCTTGACCCATCTCTTGCACAGATTGATCCTGCTGCACTGGGTAGGAGCTGTGGTCAAAGAAGGCATTTCAGGTGGGATACAAGGATGCTCTGGAATGCAAGCAAGAAGGGGTATGCCTAGGGAAGTTTTCTGGCCAGCACAGGGAGATCACAAGAGGAAAGGATTACTACAATAGCTTTTCTAATCTCGCCCCTTTCCCATGTTTCCCGATTCATCTGCTAAAAACAATGTCCTCTTTCTCCTGACACCCCAATAGCTCAAACACCTTCAATAGCTCCTCACTGCCCACATCACATCATGGCCATATCTTGCTGCCTCATCTATATTGAATATATAACCTTTGTTCCCACTAATTCCAAAACACCCTTTCATCTAACTCTATACCTCTCTCCTGCAGTCTCCTCATTTTCCTTGCCCACAATGCCTTCCACATAGTCAAGCCTTCTTGCCAGCTCTGACAGACCCTTCTCTAGGCTATTCTGTTTAATTACTGCAGCCTACACCCATTTCCAACTCCTCTAAACTCCCTTGGCTTTCCTGGTCGGTCCAACCAGCTTTGCTTTTTTGCTTATTTGTTGTTTGTTCAACAGGTAATCTATTCGCGTGGTCTGAAAATCAGAGGTATACAAAAAGATATATATAGAAAGAAGTCTCACTCCCACCACTGTCACCCCTATTTCTGTCCCCATCTATCCATTCCCTGCAGTTAACTATGTTTATTAGTTTGTCATGTATACTTTTCATGCAACTACAAGTAAATATGATTGACCATTTCCCTTTCTGGCTGGTGATAATACTGAGGGGTGAGATCACCTTGGGAAAGGACACCCAAGTTTGAGCCAAGATAACCACCCCTCACTAAAGCTGAAGGGCTTGAAAGGAAAGAGATTTTACCCGTAACACCAGTACTCCCATGTGAGCAACAGCCAGGTGAATCTGCATCCCTTCACCATCACTGGCGGGGTGAGGCCTGATGCCATACATATCCAGCTTCCTTGCTATGTCCAGTAGCAGAATGTCAGATTCAGCTGGGCTCCTGCCACTGAAAGGGGAAAGAATTTATGAGCCTAATAAATGCCTCAAGAATGACATTTCCACCCTGAGAGCTCCATGAGGATCTCAGCGTTTCATGGAGCCTGAAACTTCTCAGGTTTAAGGGCTTGCTCTTAAGAGTCTGTCCCCAATTTTAGTGTTCTCTACTGGGGGAAGCAGGTGCCAGCTGAAAGTACTTACATGTGCTTCTGATGAAAGTGCATGATCTTGCCCTCTAAACAGTCTTGGTTTGGTAAGTACCGAGTTTGTGCCAGATGCTTCCTATCTGTTTCTTCATGAAAGTCTCCAAGTTCTGCTGCATGACAGGAAAAAGACATTTTTCACATTACCTTTGAGGAACTTAGCAATGGAGCATCCAGCATACCCTTGTCCTCCATCAAACAGCCCCTTCTTTGTAGCCAATGCAGTCCAAAGCCTCCAACCCCACGCTTTATGTATATTTATGTTTCTATAGGGGTGTGTGTGTTTGGGGGGGGCAATTGGCTCTTTTTCAATTTGGAAGCATTTCAGCCTTAGTATAGAAAGTCACAGACCAAATATAGATCTTAGGGGCTCCAAGATCACAGTTGAACATTTTGTTAGATTTTTCTTCTACCATATTGTATATATGATCTCTCTTACTTTCAATCAGCCACTGGTATAGGTGGAACTATGTCCCCACCCTCTGCCAAGTTCATATGTTGGAGTCCTAATTCCAGTAGCAGAGAATGTGACTATATTTGGAGATAGAGCTTTTAGGAGGTGATTGAGGTGAAATGACTCCATCAAGGCAAGCCTTAAACCAATCTGACTGGTATCCTTATAAGAAGAAGAAATTTGGACACACAGAGAGACACCAGGGATGTGAGTACACAGAAAAAAAGACCAAGTGATAACACAACAAGAAGGCAGCCATCTGCTAGCCAAGGAGAAAGGCCTCAGGAAAAAAAAAAAAACAACTGCTGACAGCTTATCTTGGACACGAAGCCTCCAGAATTGTGGAACATACATTTCTGGCATTTAAGCCATTCAGTCTCTGGTATTTTGTTATGGCAGCCCTAGCAAACTAGTACAGCCATCCAACCCCACTCCATCCTGATCATATATTATCAAGAAAGAGGAATATAAATGCCAACGACATTGCAAGCCAATTCATCACTCTGTACATTGGGAGTCTAGTAAATCCCCAGCTATCTGAAATCCCCAATAGATGAATCATCCTGAAAATCATTCTGGCTTTTCCAAATAGCTAGCAGTTTATCTATGATCATAATTTGCTCTTTTCTAGATGCCTCCAGTTTATTTTTATGAAACATCTATTACAGCACTATGTCTACAAAGGCATTTAGGACTATGTGCCCTTAACCTTAATTGCCTCAGATTGTTTTGATTTTTGGATTCTTTTTTCTTCTTTATAATTTGTATGCCTTTTTCCTCTCTGTCAGATTTATATGAATCATTTCCTGGTCACTGACTTCCCCTGAAGTCAAACTTTAGAATACTTGGTTCTAAAGTGAGACTTCTAGTCTAACATAAAATGAGAAAGCAAATATCCAAACCTGTTAGCATTCTATATACTGTAAGAGTAAATAGACTCTCCATGGAATCCTATGGTGCTCTTCTATTGGATAAGATACATGGACAATAGGATACCTATTTTGAGTGCTGGAGGGCTGTTTTTTTTCTCTTCTTTCTTGGTTTTCCATTTGTGTTTTAGACAGGTGGGTGTATATCTGTATTTCAAAAATCACAATATAATAAAAATCTCCATATAATAAACATTTTTTAAAAGACCAAAGAAATGGCTCATTGATTAATTTTTTTTGCCAATACTGATAAATGTACAAATCACATTGAAACCCAATAAGGCTCTGATGGTTTCACTGACTAATTCTATCAAATATTCAAAGAAGAAATAAATACCAATTCTTCACAAACTCTCCCAGAAAATAGAGGAGTAGATACTTAGCAACATATTCTATGAGGTCAATATTACCCTGATACCAAAACGGGACAAAAACATCATAAGAAATGAAGACTACAGGTCAACATTCCTCATGAATACAGAGGCAAAAATTCTGAACAAAACACTAGTAACCTGAATTCAGCAGCATATGAAAAGGATTATACACAATGAGTTGAATTTATCTCAGGATTGCAAGGTCAGTTTGACATATGAAAACCAATGACTATAATACACTATGATAATAGAATAAAGGACAAAAAAAAAATAACCCGCACATTATCTTCTCAAGAGATGGAGAAAAAGCATTGCACAAAGTCTAATACCCACTCACAATCAACAAAACAAAACAAAACACTTAACAAACAAGGAATATACCAAATGGTGAGAAACTAAATGCTTTCACTTAAGATCAGAAATCAGGTAAAGATATCAAGTGCCTGCCACATCTATTCAACATTGTACTGATGGTTCTAGTCAGTGCAGTCAGGCAAGAAGAAGAAACATAAAGAATTTGCACTGAAAAGAAGGTGGTAGAACTGTCTTTACTTGCACTCAACATGATCCTGCATGTAGAAAATCCCAAGGTTGAGCGTGGTGGCTCACGCCTGTAATCCTAGCACTCAGGGAGGCCAAGGCAGGAGGATTGCTTGAGCCCAGGAGTTCGAGACCAGCTTGGGCAACATGGCAAGACCCCATCTCTACCAAAAAATGTAAAAATTAGCTGGGTGTGGTGGCACATGCCTGTGGTCCCAGGTCCCAGCTACTTTGGAGGCTGAGGTGGGAGCATTGCTTGAGCCCAGGAATTCAAGGCTACAGTGAGCCATGGCCGTGCCACTGCACTCCAGGTTGGGTGAATGAGTGAGGCCCTGTCTCAAAAAAAAAAAAAGGAAAAAAAGGAAAGAAAAAAAATCCCAAGGAACCTATGAAAAACTACTAGAACTAATAAATGAGTTCAGCAAGGTAGCATGATAGAAGATCAATATATAAAAAGCAATTGTATTTATATATACTAGCAATGAATAATCTAAAAATGATATTTTAAAAAGTTCCATTTACAATAGCATCAAAAAAGAATAAAATACAGAGGAATGAATTTAATAAAAGAAGTGTAAGGCTTACACACTGAAAAGTACAAAATGCTGCCAAGGGAAATTTTTAAAAGATCTATATAAATGAAGAGATAGTTCATGTTCACAGACAAGAAGATTCAATATTGTTATGGTGGCAATTTTTTCAAAAAATAATCTATAAATTCAATGCAATCCCCATCAAAATCCCAGTAGGCTTTTAAAAATAGAAATTGACAAATGACCTTAAAATTTACATGGAAATGCACAGATCTCAGAATAACCAAACTATTTTGAAAAAGAACAAAGTTGGGCAATGTGTACACTTCCTTATTTCAAAGCTTACCTCAAAGCTACAGTAATTAAGACAGTGTGGTAATGGCATAAGAATAGAAATATAGATCAATGGAACATAAGTGAGAGTACAGAAGTAACTCCTTACATTTATGGTCAATTGGTTTTTGACAAATGTGCCAAGACAATTCAATGAAGAAAAATAATATTCTTTTCAACAAATGTTGCTAGGACAAATGGACATCCACACACAAAAATATGAAGTCGGACCCCTACCTCACACTATACTCCATGCAAGCGTACAAAAAAATAGCTCAAAATGGATCATAGATCTAACTATAAGAGGTAAATTTATAAAAGTTCTAGGAGAAAATCTTTTTGACCTTAAGTTAGGCAAAGAGTTCTTAGATACAACACCGAAAGAATGATCCACTAAAACTACACAGAAAGTGAAATTCCATCAAATTTTAAAACTGTTGTACTTCAAAAGATATCCTTACAAAATGAAAAGACAAGCCACAGATTAGAAGAGAAAATTGCAAATTGTATATCTTATAAAGACTTTTAATCAGAATTTATAAAACCCTCTTAAAACTCAATAATAATATAAAAACTCATTTAAAAATGGGCAAAAGATTTGACTAGGCATTTTACCAAAGAAAACATTGGAATAAGCACATGAAACTGTGCTCAACATCGTTAGTCATTAGGAAAATGCTAATTAAAATTGCAGTGAGATACTTTATACCCATTAGAATGGTCATAATCAAAAAGATATACAATACCAAGTGTTAGTGAAGGTATGAAGAAGTCAAAAACCTTGTACATTTCTAATGTTATTGTAACAATTTGAATTGGCAGTTTCTGAAAATGTTCAATATAAATATATCATAAGACCTAGCAATTACACTCCTTGGAATGTACCCAAAAGAAATGAAGACTTGTATCCACAAGAACACTTGTGTGCCAATGCTTATAGCATTATTCATAATAGCTAAACTGGAAGAAAATCCAAATGTCCACGACCAGGTGAATAGATAAACAAAATGTGGCTGGGCGCAGTGGCTCACTCCTGTAATCCCAAGCACTTTGGGAGGCCAAAGTGGGTGGATCATGAGGTCAGGAGTTCGAGACCAGCCTGACCAACATGGTGAAACCCTGTCTCTACTAAAAATACAAAAATTAGCCGGGCGTGGTGGTGCCTGCCTGTAATCCCAGCTACTCAGGAGGCTGAGGCAGGAGAATTGCTTGAACCCGGGAGGTGGAGGCTGCAGTGAGCATCTCAAAAAAAAAAGTGGTAAATCCATAAATGGAATACTGCTCAGCAAAAGAAAGGAACAAACTGTTGCAGCTCATGTTAGAGCATGCTTTAATTTAAAAATCATTATTTTGAGTGAAAAAAGTCAGATGCAAAATACCCCATATTTTATCATTTCATTTACATGAAATGTTCAGGAAAGGCAAATCTACAGAAACAGAAAGCAAATTAGTGGTTGCTTGGGGCTGAGCGTGGGAACAGGGCGTGACTGCAAGTAGGGATGAGAGATGTCTTTTGGTGTGATGGAAATGTTTTAAAACTGGATTGCGGTAATGCTTGCACAACTCTGTAAATTTGCTAAAAATCATTGAGTTGTGCATTTAAAATGGGTGAATTTTATGATGTGTAAATTATACCTCAATAGAGCTGTTTTTTTAAATAAATCACATGCACAAACACACACACCCCAATTTTCCAGTTTATTAACCACAAATCCCACGTTGACCCTAAGAAAAACAAAAGCACATAAGACTGTGCTTTTTTTTCTCTCCATACAAGACTATAGCAACCTAAGAATACAACTATGACATACGAATGAGTAAATAGCTCCAGTAACAGAAGGTGACAAATGTTATAAGCACCTTCACTGTTACCACGCTGGTCCAAACTACCATGGTCTCTCTCTCCTGTAATATCCTTTTATCTAGTCTCCCCACTTCCACCATTTCCTCTTGAGGTCTGTTTTCACCACAGCAGCCAAAAGGACCCCGTCAAAACCTAATTCAGATTATTTCACTCCTCTGCTTAAACTGCTTCGATGGCTTATCTGCTCATTTAGAGTTATGCTATAGGTCTTTCATATGCTTTTTTAAAAAAGAGATGGCCAGTCGGATATGCACTCCTGGCCTCAAGCGATCCTCCCACCTCAGTCTCCCAAAGTGCTGGGATTACAGGCATGAACCAACACACCTGGCCCTTTAATATGCTTTTAAGACCTTCATATTTATTCTCTTCCTCTCTTACTGAGCTCCAGCCAGCCATAAAAGCCTTTCTGATGTTTCTTGAACACCCCAGGCATGCTCTCACCTCAGGCCCTTTGCACTGCATGCTCTCTTTGCCAGGATTCTCTTTCACATGATTTTGTTGCATAGCTTACCCTCCCACCTCCTTCAAGTCTTTGTTTAGCTGTCATCTTCCCAGTAAGCCTACCCTGTCCACCTTATTTAAATATTTATGCTGGCTGGGCACTGTGGCTTACGCGTGTAATCCCAGCACTTTGGGAAGCCAAAGCGGGAGGATCACTTGAGGCCAGGAGTTCAAGACCAGCCTGGCCAACATGGTGAAACCCTGTCTCTAACTAAAAATACAAAAAAAAAAAAAAAAAAGCCGGGTGTGGTGGCATGTGCCTGTAATCCCAGCTACTCAGGAGGTTGAGGCAGGAGAATCACTTGAACCTGGGAGGTGGAGGTTGCAGTGAGCTGAGATCGCCCCACTGCACTCCAGCCTGGCTGATAGCGTGAGACCCCATCTCAAAAAATAATATTTATGCCGATGTTAACTCTTGTCCATAAAAGAAGAAAAGAATAAAATTTAAAAATATAAATATTCAGTATCTGCCCCCAGAATTCTTCCATCTCCCTCCTACGCTTCATTTTTCTCCATTGCTCTTATCACCTGCTACCATGCATTATATAATTTATTTACTTATTTTGGTCATTGTCTGATTTTCCCCCGCTGCCAAAATGTGAGCTCCACAAGGGCAAGGATTTTTGTCTGTTTATTGCTGTGTTCCCAGTGCCTATAATAGTATCTGGCATGTGGTAGGTACATGATACAATTTTCTTGAATTAACGACCAAGAAGAGTTACTGAGGGAGTTCATAAAAGAGGGACACTTCATTTGAAATGTTCAGCTTGTGTTTGGGAGGGAGTGTCTGGCTAGAATAGAGAGGTGTGTAAGTGTAAACAAAGGAGACGAGAAGGTTGGAATGTGGAGGTTCTTGAACGCTTAAAATATAGCAGGTATCCAACAAATATTAGATGAATGGAAAATTAGACAAATAAATGTGGAGGTTCTTGAACGCTTAAAATATAGCAGGTATCCAACAAATATTAGATGAATGGAAAATTAGACAAATAAATTGCACAACTAGAGCAATCTAGTTGTGTTCTGCATACTACGTTAGAGTTTAGTGAAATAGTCTCACTGCAATCAATTGCGAAGAACTACCTAGTTGGAACTTTAGCTTTTTTCCATGGAAAGAGTTTCTACTGACAGACAATATCCTCTAGAAAAGCTCAAGTGCTCTGTGCTATGCCTGAAACGGCCACTAGGGAATGCTCAAATCCATAAGGCAGAACTGTTAAGAATGAAATTGAGCTCCCCCGTCAGAGACTGCCTGGGAGCCCCAATCCTCTGACTGCTGCCTCAACAGGCAGCTAGTGGAGAAGGATGTCTTCTAGCACTGTTTCCTCTATCTGCTCTACCCTATGCTCCCACCCCAGTGCCAAAGTACAATACTGGACATGACGGTTAGTGTCCTCGGCATTCAAGACCCTTCAAAATGGTGCATTTTCCATCACCTCTTCTAAACAGGCCCTATGTTTGGGCTATACTGGGTCATTTTTCATCCTCTATATACGTCACTTCTTGTCTAACCACCATTTTTGTTTTCATGCTGTTTCCTTTACTGACAAGTACTTATCCAATTCCTATGTGTCCCTTTAAGGCCCAGCACAAAAGCCACCTTCTCCAACAGCCTTCCATGATTACCATTTCTCTTACTGCCCTCTGCCTTTCTGAGATCCTAGGGCTCTCATTGATTGTCCCTGCCAGGAGTCACTTGGTAAACACTTATTCAGACACTGTCCCTATCTAAGCACTGCATTCTGGGGCTCCCGGTGAAATTAGAAATCTGTCATTTCTGGACTATCAGAAAGGTAAGGTACAGAGGTCAAAAATGAACTTAAGATACAAAAAATGAAGTTATGATCCTGCAGGACTGGTAAGAAACAGCCTATTCTTTGGAGGCCTCTCTAGAAGGGAGAAAATGTCCAGCTGGCTTTAGAAGAGATACTATCTCCAGCTGCCTATACCCTGCCCTTGGGGCTGTAGCAGCAGCCTGGCCTGCCAGGCATCACCCCCTCCCTGGAAGGCCCCTGCTGTTCCCCAGACCACCTTCTACCTACCTTCGTTATGCAGCCTAGTCCAGCTACTTGTTGGTTGTTAGGATATGGGGAACGCTAATAGATGCCTGGGGCTTTTTTCCCTTTTAACCTCTCTCCACCTGCTGTACTCTGTGCTTTGTTCTCTGAAATCATGATAAAGAGCAACAGAGAAATCACAACAAACGTGACAATGTGCTACAGAGAGCATGTATCAGAGAATTATCCTGGGGTAAGCAGAGGGAGTGGGGACCTGTCTGGCAAAGCCCATGCCCAAATTAGCCCAAACCAGTTCCTGGACAGCTTTCCCAGAGGCGGTAGGAGGGGAAGGCTGGACTGGGGTAGAAGAAAATCAGCATTTACATTTAATCCACAGAACCAAAGGTATTCTTGTCACTATTTTAAAGACAAGGAAACTCAGGCTCAGGCCATGCTGTTTCTCTCTATCTTATCCAGGCTTTCTCTCCCCTGTAAACCCTAACACAGTGATGGGCATGTGTGGGGAGCTCAGCTCCTGTGCTTGGTTCTCTACCTGGCTGATAGGTCCCAAAGCAGACAGACATTTGCTACTTACATTGTAAGATGTGAGATACCATCAACGCTGTACAGTTGTCACTGCATGGAAGCCTTCCTAGAGCCAAATCCTTCTTTATTTGAAGAGTAAAAAGATACCTGCAAAGAAATTGGGGAGAATCTCTTGAGAAAGAAACAGAAATAAGAAAGAAGCATTTTCCTTCTCCCAGATCCAAGATGATTCAAGAAAGGAATGGTGCCCCCAGTCAGTCAGATGCCTTTTTGGGGGTGGTGAGTAATGCATAGGCTTTGCTTCAGCCCCAAACCAGACCCGGACCACAACTCAGCTGATTGAACACTTTGGCAGGCCTCACAGCCATTAGGAATCACCCTGGCCAAATCCTCCTGCCAAATTGAGAAAGTTGGCCAATCATCCTCTGGTGGTTTCTGCCACGTAGCAAAGCCACATTCCCAGCTAGAAAGAATAGGAGATCAAGCAAGAATAAATGCACTCAGGAGGCCAGTAGCATACTGTTTACAAAACACTATCAAGTACTCACTACCATAACAACTTAGGAGGTTGGTGGAGCAAGAAATGATCACTCCAGTTTACAGTTATAGAAAGAGAGGGGCTAGGTGATTTTGACAAGGTCATATCACCCAAGGATAGTGAATCTGTGGCTAGAACTTAGGTCTGCCCCTGAATTCAGGCTGCCTCCTATCCAAAAGACTGTGTTTTAGAAATGAAGAACTTGGGGCCCTGCTTCTGCCTGTTATTCCCTTGGCCTGGACCATCTTCTCTGTATCACCAGTGCCCAACACATCATTTTACACAGTTAGTGTAATTAATGTTTGCTGAAAAGAACTAAACCAAACTGCCCCTTTTCCCACCAAATGCTCATCAGGGACCTATGAAATGCAGCTTGGTATCTAGGGCTCTGCTAAACAGATAACATTTATCCCACACTTATGAAAAAGTCATTTTCAAAGGAGAATCAAATTTTGTAAAGAAATGTGCATAATGAAGACTACCTACCACTAATTACCTTCTTCCATGGTCCAAGATTGGTTCCAATATTTTATTTATTTATTTATTTATTTATTTATTTATTTATTTATTTATTTATTTATTGAGATAGAGTCTCACTCTGTTACCCAGGCTAGAGTGCAGTGGTGCAGTCTCAGCTCACTGCAACCTCTGCCTCTGGGGTTCAAGCGATCCTCCTGCCTCAGCCTTCCTAGCAGCTGGGACTACAGGCATGCACCACCATGCCCAGCTAATTTTTGTATTTTTAGTAGATACGAGGTTTCACCATGTTGGCCAGGCTGGTCTTCAACTCCTGACCTCAGTTGATTGCCCCACCTTGGCCTCTCAAAGTGCTAGGATTACAGGTGTGAGCTACTGTGTCTGGCCCCAATATTTTGTTTTATAAATTAAAACACTGAGTACTATGAGCATTTCCCTATAAAAATGTGATTTTCTAAATAAAGGTCTATGTGTACTTTTTTTAAAACCAATTAAGCCTTGAAGGCAATGTGGTGAATCAAAATTAATCGCAAGTGATATGTGAAAATCTAGATTGAAAAAGCAAGTAAATTAGCAGGTGATTATTCAGTTTACAAAAGCATTCATCATTATAATCTTTCAAATTATGAGCTCTCCTTATACATTAGAAACGATTCAATTAGAAAAATTACATTTGCACACCACTCTTAGAAACCCATGTATTAGCCTAGACAAGGCATCCTTGTAGACTCAACTAAAGTTAAGTATTATTTAAATGGACCAATGGGAAACAAATAAATGAAGCCTAACCTTTGTCATTGCCTGTTTTCAAATATAGTTGTCAATGAGAATAATCAGCTTTAGTTGCTAAAGGAAAGGTGAATTTCGTTTTGCTCCTAGCATGAAAGAAAGGGAACTTCTTGTCATTTGACACGTTCCTTGCTGTTAAGAAGGCAGCTGCCTGCTACAAATACCAAATCCTTGCTCTGAACAGCTGATGAATCATTTATCATCACATTGATTTTCCCATTCTTTTTTTTTTGGAGGTGGGGGGAGTTTATCTCCATCAAAATTGGTCACAATTTAAAACTCAACTGAAATGGGTTAGCAAACGCAAATACATATATATACCAAGGTATCAAGTTATTTGGGAAAGTGGCCTGTAGCTCACAAATGTGGAGAGAGAATTAGGAGAGAGAAAGACAGAAAGAGAGGCTTGTAAAAAGCGACTTTTGCAAAGGCCACTCAGAAAAGTCTTTATAAAAGGGGCAAAGATTGAACTGGCCATGAACTCTTTTGGGGGGAAGACATCAGGGAGAATAACTGGCAACCTTCTGTGATCTTGGACAGTCATTTTAGCTCCCATGACCTATCTCTTCCTCTGTAAACTAAGAGGGCTCGATTAGATTATCTCTCAGACCTCTTTCACGTATAGGAGTCTAAATCTAAGCCAGGTGTGGTGGCTCATGCCTGTAATCCCAGCACTTTGGGAGGCCAAGGCGGAGAATCATTTGAGCTCAGGAGCTCAAGACCAGTCTGGGCAACATAGCAAAGCCCCATCTCTAAAAAAAAAAAAAAAACCTTAAAAATTAGCCGGGCGTGGCGGCAAGTTCCTGTAGTCCTTGGCGGGAAGCAGGGCACAAGGACTGAGGTGGGAGGGTTGCTTGAGCCAGGGAGGTTGCCACTGCACTTCAGCCTATCCAACCTGAGGCAGAGCAAGACCCTGTCTCAAAAAAAAAAAAAAAAAAAAGTGTAAGTCTAGAAAGTAGAGTAAGGTTTTGAGGAATGTTTTGTTGACAACATATTTTTGCAGAAATAGGTTTACTTTGTAATTCTGAAGGACATTTTTTCATAAGTATTTATCATCATTACAGATTATTTTGTCTTCTGTGAGATACATTCACAACCCCCACATTTTCAATTTCCATGGAAATCGGCTGGTATTATACCCGTGCTGTTAAGCTGCCCTCTCTGACTGAAACACAGATTCATGAAGGAGAGCACATTCATTGTTGTAGTAGTTAATGGCATAACCCCCAAGTGGATACCCAGGCTTGAACTTCTAGAACACACCTCTTTCTTCCTGTAGTCTCCACCCTTTGGATGATGAACACCTGGGGAACCAGCTAGGCCCATCCTCTCTCCAGATCCTCACCATCTCCCAGACAGTGACTTAAAGCCAAGTTTTGTGAGAATGGCCAGAAGCACTTGCCCCCAATAAATGGAGAATAATGATTCTTAAGTAACATCATGCAGAGACACACAGGTAATCACTATACCTTGTAAGTTCTTCCCGCAGATGTCCAGGGTCCACTGGGAAAAATTTCACCATAAATTTGAAAACAATCTCCTTAGGATCTTAAAACACAATATCTCCATAAGTTTTATTTAAATGTCCATCACAACAGTTATAGGTACACACACACACACACACACACACACCCACACACACACCGCTCTCCTCTTCCGTCCCCTCCCCATCACTCCCTCCTACAGACTTCTGTGTTTCCATTTATCACATGTATAAAGTGTCACAATTTCTGGATTGTGTCTCTATGTATATAGCGATTGGGAAAGTTCTCCCACCCCTCTTTCTACCCTCTCTGCCTTCGAGTTTATTTGTATAAATGTGCCCCTTTGAGGCCTACTGTGTCCTCTCCTAAGTATCCCATTCAGAAAAATACAGCACTTGCTAGTTGGGATTCTGCATTCCTGACTGAGAGAAGGGCTCAACTTCAGCTGAGGCAGGTGTACATTACCAAGCCTAAGTATCTCATAAAGAGAATTCAAAGCATGATGGACTGATACCTCTATCTTATACATTAAGAAAACACATATACTTATCTTCACACCTGCTTGCATTTGAAAATTAACTTTTACACAAAACATAAATGCACACATGCAGCATTAACACCATTGATTCAGTAAATATTTGTTGGTGCCCATTATCTGCAAAGCAGGTATTGGGAGTAAAAAGACAACTAAGAGCTCACTGTCTAGTAGAAGAGACAGACATCTAGACAGTTATAACACTCTAAAATGCTATAAGCACTGAGTACTGGGGAAGCACAGAAGGGAGGAAAGAGTTTGGAGGAGGTCAAGGATGTCCTACCAGAGGACTTGAGACCTGAGTAGAGTGGCCAGATTTAGTGAATAAGAAGCACAGGATTCCCAGTTCAATTTGAATTTCAGATAAACAACAATTGCATGAGATGTGCTTATATAAGAAAATTATTCTTTGTTTATCTAAAATTACAATTTAATAGGGCATTCTGTATTTTATCTGCTAAGCCTCCATCTGAGATTAGTTTTGTCAAAGTCAGCAGAGGTAGGAATACGAGGTAGCTAGTAGCAAGGACAAGGCTAGGAAGGTAGCCAGAGTTCAATGCTTTGTGTACCATCCTAAGGAATTGGGACTTTATTCCTCGAAGGGTAGGTAGTAGGGAGCCAGGAAAGCATTTTAAGAAGAAGAGTGATGTGATCAGGTTGGTGTTTTCAGTAGATTTCTTTGGGAGTAATGTAGATGATGGATGAGGGGAATCAATTTGGAAGCTGTTGGAATAATGTGACAGGTGATCCTTATGCAGTGGGAACAGACAGAACTTTGGGAAGCACTAACATGTAAAGAGCAGGTAGAGGAAGAGGAACAGTGCAAAGTCCTGATAGAAATCCGCCTGCCTCAGAAACATCTGTGGAATTTTGTTTTCAATAGATTTCTTTGGGAGTAATGTAGATGATGGATGAGGGGAATCAATTTGGAAGCTGTTGGAATAATGTGACAGGTGATCCTTATGCAGTGGGAACAGACAGAACTTTGGGAAGCACTAACATGTAAAGAGCAGGTAGAGGAAGAGGAACCAGTAAAAGAGACATTAAAACAGTGCAAAGTCCTGATACAACTCCGCCTGCCTCAGAAACATCTGTGGAATTTTGTAAACATGCAGGTTATTGGCAACTCAGGAATAAGGCCCAGGAATCGGCATTTAACAAGAAACTCAGGCGATCCTAATGCACACTGAAATTTGAGAACCATCACACTAGATTGTAAAATATAGGGAGAAAATATTTCATACATATTAGGCACTTAAATATGAACTAAAGCGAGTGAATAATGCTTGTGACAGGATATAACTAAAGAATCTTCAGGCAGACAGTGAATGGCATTGCAGATTGACATCAAGGATGCTCGAAGATTTGCAGTGCCAGAAAATGAGATATATTCCTCAAACCAATCCAGAGTACTGTAATTACCAGAGTTCTTCAGATTTACTCAAAGATCCAGCAGCATGATTTCTTTCATCTCAGGCAAAATTAAAACAATTTTCTAAATTGCTGAATTTACTGGATGTATGAAGGGTTGAAATAATATCTCAAAGCCCTTTTCTCCCCTTATATTAAAATGAGAAATTGTGTGAGGTTGTTGAAACCTTTCTCAAGCTCTAACTGTGAACTCTCTTCCTTAAATGATTTTCCATACTTACTTTTTACCTGCTTTGTTATGGGCTTCAAAAGCTCCAGCCAAACCTGTAATAACATTAAGGAAAAAATTGGTAGAGCATGGCATTGAGCAGAGCTTTTTTTTTTTCGGTAATAGATAAAGATTAACATGAAATAAATGAGTACCAGGACTATTTAGACTTCTAAAGGTAGAAACAAACAGCAATGTCAAATAGGTGGCATACTACGTTTAATCTGCCCCCTTATATTTTCCCGATGACAGTGAACATTGTTGATCTATAAACTCTTTCTTGTTGACATTTGAATCACTGCTCCACTGCCTTAGTAGGATGACAGAGGTGTCACATACATGGCTCATTAGTTGCTACAAAGACTAATGAAGGCATTTGGCTCCACATTTGAACCCTCCAGTCCCCAAATGCCAGTCTAATAGACATAATGAGCCTTTCTGGGAAGATGCCAGATCACAGATATGCCAAGGCAGGACACAACAGAAGAATATCTGAACGTTAGGGTCTGAGAAAGGAGAAAGGAGATTCCTCTGAATATTCACTGGTGAGGTTAAAAGTCTTAATTCTGCAGGTTGAGGTCCAGGCTCTGGAAAGGCAAAATTGATAAAGCATGCATAGCTGCTCACAGAGTGACAAAACAGGAATGTGGGGTAAAAGAGTTTGTGTTTGGCAAATTGAGGTGACTTGTTGTTTTGAAACAGAGTCTCACTCTGTTGCTCAGGCTGGGATGCGGTGGTGCGATGCTGGCTCACAGCAACCTCTGCCTCCCAGGTTCAAGCAATTCTCCTGCCTCAGCCTCCCAAGTAGCTGGGATTACAGGCACACACCACCACACCCAGCTAATTTTTGTATTTTTAGTAAAGATGAGGTTTCACTATGTTGGCCAGGCTGGTCTTGAACTCCTGACCTCAGGTGATCCACCTGCCTTGGCTTCCCAAAGTGTTGGGATTACAGGCATGAGCCACCGCACCTGGCCAAGGTGACTGTTAATAAACAAAGAGGGAGGACAAAAACTAGTTATTAAATCTAATCATGTTGCAAGGGTGCACATAGTTTTTCATTTTTCAATCAGGGAATTGAACCCTACATACCTAGCTGCAAACTGCATTTAGAAGCAATGCTAGACACAAAGAACCCTATAATGAAACCAACTTACATTATTTCCAGAATGGCTGCAGAATTCTAATCCAAAATATTCCTTTTCAGCAAGATTTAGATGGCTGCAACTCAGGTTAAACAATGCCTTCCCGGATGACTTTTGCTAAACAAAACAAAAAGATGATAGCACAATTTGCATTCCTAACCTGATACTGCAGCACGGAATAAAGGGTAGAAGCCACAAGACTCTCTGCAAGCCCTGTTTCCTTTAAGCACTGTTTAGAGGACCTGCATCCTTTTCAAAGATGTTGACCTTTACAGATAGATCCACTTATCTGTCTCTGTGTTGTTTTAGCGACATCCCTAAGAAAGCCTTATAACAAACCACCTTGGAAAAAGAAATACTTGCACTTAACTATGGCTACATCTGCAAATTTACCCTTTCAATGGAATTCTTGAATCAGTTCATCCCATGGGCAATTTGAATGATTTCTTCCAAATTGACAGATAGTTTAGTCAAGATGTAAATCCAACCCTATTACTCCCCTGCTTGAAATCCTTCAGTGGCACCCCCTCAGGATAAAGCCTGTACTCCTCAGCACAGGAGACCCAGTTCTCTCTCCCTCCTGTGGCCATGCCTGCGCCTCCAGCCTCTTGCCCACCTCCTCCTGATACTTTCCTCTCTAATAACGGCAGCCTGCTCTTAGTTCCCCATACCTGTCTAGTCATTGCGTGCCTGCATGCCTCTGCTCATGTCATCCTTCTCCACCTATCGCTCTTTCCACATTTCTTTGGTTTGGCTTACTCCTACTCAGCTCAGATGTCATCTCCCCAGAGAAGGTTTCTTCAATCCCTATCAGCCGCAGGCTGAGCCAAGGGCAAGCTCCCCTATGCCTCCAAACACCCTCACTTACCTCAAGCATAGCACTTCTTGCCCTGGATGTCTATCTTCCCCATTAGACTGAATTCCTCCATAGCAGGGACTTTGCTTTATTTTTCTTGTTACTCACCAGTTCTAATTCAGAGCCTGGCACATAGTACTGGGCTCCTGAATGTTTGTTGATCCAACATGAAATTGACCATATGATTATATGAGCCCCTTGAGTAGATTTCATTTTGTAGCTTTGCCCACCAAATCTGCATACAGCATACTCTGTTCACATAAGGCCACAAATTTTTTTCTTCATAAAGCCCACACACACTGTGAGCACAAAACAGTCCCTTTCTTATGCTTCTCTGAGAACAGGAGCTTTGAAGAGCTCTCTGTGAAAAATTTCTTTGAGCTGAGTATGGCTGGGACTGATTTTCAGCCTGCCTCCACTATTGCTGAACCCAGGGATTGCTGTTGCAGGGAGGACCGTGATGGGAAAATTGAGCCCTGGCTGATAGGCACAAAGACTGGCTGCTGAAAACCCCTAGTTAAAGGCGAGTCACGCGGTGCCTACAGTGCTGCAAAGGAAGCCAGGCGCGGGGAAATGTAGTTGGAAATCACCGACCCATAGAATTAACAGCAACCTTGAGAGGTCAGAGAGTCCATCCACCACCAATTCCCCCCTCCCTCAAGGCAGCACCACACTGAACAGAGCCCACATCTGGGATTTAATAGTTTTCAGGAAGGCGGCCTACCTCACCCGCTTCCCCCACCGTCCAAAAATACACCCCTCTCCCCATGGACTTCTCTCTACTTGGTTTTACTGCCCAGAGCTCCACCGACTCAAGATTCATTTGGGTTAACCCCAGTCCGATTTTTAAATGAAAATAGGCTGCAAAGGGTGAAACTTATTTCATCCCTTGCACCTGGAGACAGAGCTGCTCTACCAAGGGAAAGGGGGTTTGATTTGATGTGGGAGATCACAATGGAGCTGTAGTCCAAGAAAAGGGGGTCAGTTCCCCTGGGGGGGGTGGCACCAAGGGAATGGGGTTGCCAGGGAGGGCCTGTTTATAGGGGAGAGGGGTACATTTTTGCCTGTGTGGCAACCTTGCCTAGGGCAAGTGCTGACACAGACCATTGCAGACACATGAAATTGCTCCTATTTTTAAAATCCTTCATAGACAAGGAGCTGCCATGGGATTTTTATTATGAAAAAAAAAAAGAATTTCTAAAGAGAGAGAGATGACAGCAATACTTTTTCCAACACCAAAGAAACACTTCAGTCATGAGGACCAAATTCCATCATACACTCCAGTTTTTTTTTGCAAGCAATTTAAGAAGCTCAAGATTTTCCTTTCTCCTTTTCATATTTTATTCTTATTTTCCATCAGGGCACTTAATCCTCCCTATCAACACTGCCATGTTCCATGTGTTTGTATATTTACATGTTTCTGCAATTACAAAGCATATGTAGCCATTCTTTTAAGGTTTCTAATTAAGGCCTTCGTTTTGCTTCCTTCCGTAAGATCCCATACTATGTTTATAAGAATAATTCCCTGATTCTTCCATCCCTGTAAGTGTTGCCAACTGGCTCTAAAAGCCTTTGGCATTTATGCTTTTGGAGGTCAGACACTCATGTGGCTCAAGCTTTCCACCCCATCTCCGCGAGAGGCATTTTCCTTCAGTCCTCCATAGTGTACGTTGAAATTGGCCAGCTTTGTGGAATGTGTTATGTAATAGGTAAGGTCTTGGTTCTGTCTCAACATGCAGCCTTTAATTTTTTCTACCATTATGATCGAATTTCTCAATTTTGGTGTTATGTTTCTCTTTCTTGTAATACTGCCTTATATACAAGCTTCCTGTTTTCTCTTTCTCTTTTCTGTTTTCTCTGGACTTCTGATTCTCTGTACAATTGCTTGGTCTTTTTTAAGCTGGTACTTTTCAATATCCTAATCAAGCTCCTTAGCAGATCTAAATTCTTTACCACCCGTCAGTCCTCCCACTGAAGGAATTGGAACTCCAATCCTGAATCCTGTCTCATCCTGATATCTGCCTTTAAATGTCTATCTATCTATCTATCTATCTATCTATCTATCTATCTATCTATCTCTATAATTTAAACAAATCATTCATAACTTGGATTTATAATCTTTAATTTATTGGGTCATAACAATTGAACACTGATTCCTGGGGGCTTCAAACTCATCTTCTCATGGAAACAATAATATTCAAAGTGGCTAGCTCTAAAAACAAATCTACCAAATTTTCTGTGCACCAACAATTGTTATATACCAATTTGTTAAAATAAATCGGGATTGTAATCTTGCTCTCTTCACTTACTAGCTGGACGAATTGGGGCAAATCATTTAGCTCACAGATTGATCTACCTCTTCTAGATATCTGAAGATAAAAACCACGTGTTTGAATTCTTGGAATTAAGTACAGTGCCTGGCAAAGTGGACATTCAATAAATGTTTACTGAGTAAGTGGATAAATGGACCCAGACATTTAACTTGATTCATGTACATTAGTATAATAGTCCTCTTAAGAGAGAGACAAACTAGTCATTATGTGACCTTGGGCAATTACTGAACTTTTCTGAGCCTCAGTTTACTAATCTGTAAAATAAAGATAATAGTGATATTATCTCATAGGGTTGTTGTGAGGGTTAAATAAAATAATTCACATCAAGGTCTTAGTACAGTGCCTGGCACATCATATGCACATGCACATATGCATATGCACTTCAGCAATGCACATGTATAGATATATGCATAGTAATAAATCTGGAAGAATATACACCAAATTGGTAACAACAATATTCCTGGAGAGGAGATAAAATAAGGGGGACTTTAACTTTTTACTCTGTACGTGTCTGAATTTTTTTTTTAATAAGCAAGGATGGTAGAAACTTTCTTAACCAACTTCCACTTAATAATGTGCATATAATGCATTCTATTCCCTCTTTAAAACATTGGCAGATGCGGGCTGGGCGCTGTGGCTTATGCCTGTAATCCTAGCACTTTGGGAGGCCGAGGTGGTGGGATCACGAGGTCAGGAGATCGAGACCATCCTGGCTAACACAGTGAAACCCCATCTCTACTAAAAAATACAAAAAATTAGCTGTGCGTGGTGGCGGGTGCCTGTAGTCCCAGCTACTCGGGAGGCTGAGGCAGGAGAATGGTGTGAACCCGGGAGGCGGAGCTTGCAGTGAGCTGAAATCGTGCCACTGCACTCCAGCCTGGGCGACAGAGCAAGACTCCGTCTCAAAAAACCAAAAAAACAAAAAACAAACAAACAAACAAAAAATTGGCAGATGCCCACATTGTGATGAAAACTCATGGCTAGTAGGTGACTCAAATACAATTGTACACTTTGACAGTGACCAATTGAGTCCCATGCTTACTAATGATTATGTTCTTGAAAATATTTTTGACAAGCTCTACTTATTATTATAATTACACCATTTAATTAAATGGTATGTATATCAAAAATTATTATGAGCACTAATGGCAAGAGTTGTTTCTATGAAACTTAAATTGATATTTTTGTAAAGACTCAATAAGGGGGAGTCCCCAAAAATGTGCTGTCAAATTAGTTTTGGATATGACAGCAATAAAAGATTGACGGAGGAAAGACATCAAAATCTGGAAAGATTCTGTACTCACTGCTTTGAAATCATTGTATTCTTGTTCCACATTAAATAAACCAAGACTGGAAATCATCGATGACAGATTATGGATGTGGTTTATGGAAGAAAGACAAAAGGGAATACAATCAGAAGTCCATACTAAAGAAAAGGTCTTGACCCTATATCAAACAGTTAGGATATGAATAAAATGTATACATTTTATGTTAAAATAAAAAATTTGAGATGTCTGTATATATATGTATATGATTTGTTATTAGTGTTTGCTTTAGCAAATTTTGTCAATTAACTGATCAACAACCACCTTCAACAACATTTGAAATAAGACATTCTCAGTATCATTAAAATGGCCATACTACCCAAAGCAATTTACAGATTCAATGCAATTCCCATCAAACTACCAATGACATTCTTCACAGAACTAGAAAAAAAATTTTTTTAAATTCACGTTGAACAAAAAAAGAGCCCAAATAGCCAAGGAAATCCTAAGCAAAAAGAACAAAGCTGGAGGCATCACGTTACCTGACTTCAAACTATACTACAGGGCTACAGTAACCAAAACAGCAGGGTACTGGTACAAAAGCAGGCACATAGGCCAATGGAGCAGAATAGAGAGTCCAGAAATAAGGCTGCACAACTACAGCCATCAAATCGTCGACAAAGCTGACAAAAACTAGCAATGGGGAAAAGACTCCATATTCAATAAATGGTGCCTGAATAACTGGCTAGCTATATGCAGAAGATTGAAGCTGGACCCCTTCCTTACATAATATACAAGAATTAACTCAAGATGGATTAAAGACTTAAATGTAAAACCCAGAACTATAAAAACCCTGGAAGACAACCTAGATAACACCATCCTGGACATAGGAATGGGCAAAGATTTCATGACAAAGACACCAAAAACAATCGCAACAAAAGCAAAAATTGACAAGTGAGATCTAATTAAACTTAAGAGCTTCTGCACAACAGAAGAAACTATCAACAGAGTAAATATACAACCTACAGAATGGGAGATAATATTTGCAAGCTATGCATCTGACAAAAGTCTAGTATCCAGAATCTATAAGAAACTTACACAAATTTACAAGAGAAAAACAAACAACCCCATTAAAAAGTAGGCAAAGAATATGAACAGACATTTTTCAAAAGAAGACATACATGCAGCCAACAAGCATATTAAAAAACTCAGTATCACTGATCATTAGAGAAATGCAAATCAAAACCACAATAAGATACCATTTCACGCAATTCAAATGGTATTAAAAATAATGACTATCATTAAAAAGTCAAAAAATAATAGATGCTGGCAAGGTTGTGGAGAAAAGGAAACACTTATACACTGTTGGTGGGAGTGTAAATTAGTTCAACCATTGTGGAAAGCAGTATGGCAATTCCTCAACAAGCTAAAAGCAGAGCTACCATTGGACCCAGCAATCCCATTATTGTATATACTCAGAGGAATATAAATTATTCTACCATAAAGACATATGCACACAAATGTTCACTGCAGGATTATTCACAATAGCAAAGACATGGAATCAACCTAAATGCCCATCAATGACAGATTGGATAAAGAAAATGTGGTACATATAGACCATGAAATACTGTGCAGCCATAAAAAAGAACAGGATCATGTCTTCTGGAGGAACATGGATGGAGCCGGAGGCCATTATCCTTAGCGAGCTAAAGCGGGAACAAAAAATCAAATAATGCAAGTTCTCAGTTATAAGTGGGAGCTAAATGATGAGAAATTATGAACACAAAGAAGGAAACAACAGACACTGAGGTCTACTTGAGGGTGGAGTGTGGCAGGAGGGAGGGGAGCAGAAAAGATCACTATTGGGTACTGGGCTTAATAGCTGGGTGATGAAATAATCTGTACAAGAAAATCCCTTGACACAAATTTACCTATGTAACAAACCTTCACATGTACACCCAAACCTAAAATTAAAAGATTTTTAAAAAGAGAGAAATTTTAATGTATCTTACATATTAATTGTGTGCTTTAAAAAAATACAGACTATACAATTAAGGTTTCAGGAAAAGATAGATTGGAAGGAAATATAGCATATCATTAATAGTAGCATAATGGGTTATTTTTACTTTTTGCTTATACTTGTTATATTTTCCAGAGAAATACAATAGATATTCTAAATGTTAAAAGCATAGTGTCATACAAAATGTCTTATAGATAGAGGCTTCCCCTGTTTCCAATGCTGACTCTGGCATTCAAAATATTTCTTATGACCCCTTCAGGAAATTATTCTCAAAGTCACAGATGATAATCATTCATTCTCCTGACTTTATGGTTATGCCTCATTTTTTATCCCCAAATATGACTGTCTTAGCCAGTTCAGGCTTCCATAACAAAATACCATAGAGTGGGTGGCTCAAACAATAGAAATTTATTTTCTCACATTTCTAGAGGCTGGAGACCTGGGATGAGGGTGCCAGTATGGTTGGACTGTGGTAAAGGCTCTCTTCTTGGTTTGTAAATGGCTGCCTTTTCACTATATTTCTACATGGTGGAGAGAGAGAGAGAGAGAGAGAGAGAGAGGGAGGGAGAATCTTCCTCTTCTTATAAAGCTAACAATCTTATCAGATAAGGACCCCATATTTATATTATTTAACCTTAATTACATCCTAAAAGTCCTATCTAAATAAAGTCACACTGAGGGTTAGCGCTTCAACATATAAATTTTGGGAGAATACAAGTCAGTCTATAGCAATGACCCAGCTTGATGGTCCACTTTTGTTACCATATTTGCTTTTTATGACTTTTGGCTCTTCCCAAACACTAAATTCCCTCTCAAATAATGAAGATTTGTGAGGCATTTTGGAAAGAATGTGCCCAGCTACAGAGGGCCAAAGAGGAGTTCCAAGAATGTGCTAAGCCCTTGCAATAAATATGAGGTGGCAGCACAGCATGGTGGCTAAGAATGTTTGCTTTGGAGCCAGACACACCTGGGCCTAGTTCTGACTCCTCTACCACTAGAAGAGTGATCGTGGGTAGGCTACTTAATCTCTCTGAGCCTCAGTTTCCTCAGTTGTAAAATAGAATTGTCAGAAGCCAGAAAGAAAAAGTCACATATTATGTGATTCAATTCCTATGAACTATCCAGAATAGGCAAATCCCTACAGACTGAAAGTAAATTAGTGGTTTCCAGCAGCTGGGTGGGAGTGAATAATAATGAGCATGGAGTTTCTTTTGGAGGTGATGAAAATATTCTGGGATTAGATGGTTGGGATAGTTGCACAACATAATGAAGATACAAAAAAACCACTGAATTGTACACTTTAAAAGGATGAATTTGATTAATTTACTGTTATGTGAACTGTATGTCTATCTCAAAAGGGATCACAGGGAGCTTCTAGCGAGAATATTCATGTAAAGTACTTTACACAGTGTCTGACACATAGGAAGAACTCAATAAGTGTTGACTACTTCTAGGTGACCATATAATTTATGAACCTAACCTGGACACTTTAGAGGATAACAAGGGGCACTTGTAATAAGGATATTATCACAACAGGCATAAACCAGGCCTGTCTTGGACAAATCCTGGTGTGTGGTCACCTGGTGTTATGGTTTGGTTCTGTGTCCCCACCCAAATCTCATCTTGAATTATAATAATCCCCATGTGTCAAGGGCGGGACCAGATGAAGGTAATTGGATCATGGGCGAGGTTTCCCCCATACTGTTCTCATGATAGTGAGCGAGTCTCACAAGATCTGATGGTTTTATAAGTGCCTGGCATTTCCCCTGCTTGCACTCATTCTCTCTCCTGTAGCCCTGTGAAGAGGTGCCCGTCCGCCATGATTGTAAGTTTCCTGAGGCCTTCCCAGCCATGCGGAACTGTGAATCATTAAAGCTCTTTAAACAAATGTAAATTGCCCAGCCTCGGGTATTTCTTCATAGCAGTGTGAGAACAGGCTACACCTAGCTATTAGCATTTGCACCATCTGAGGGGTCTATTTTGACAAGGGCAATATTTATTTGAATATTCAAGATCTGCAATATTTAGAATCACACACATAACTATTGGTTTTCTCTCAGATAAACCAGTATCAGCTGATCATCTCTCCAGGTGGCAAGTAAATGAATTACCTTTTGGTCATTTTAACCCTCTGATTCCACATTTTCATAGGTAAGTCTCAGCCATAACAGCCATACACAAAAACAGAGACAGAGAACTGTTTCATCAGTCTTAACCTTCTCCTTAATAAACACTTTAAAAGTCAACGCCTCATCTCTCCTTTAGTATGCTTTTTACTCTATTGTTTATTGTATTTTTCGAGCTCTTTTGTTTTCCTGTTTGTAATTTTTATCTGCCCAAACTCTGGGCTTAATTTTCATGTGCCTGCCCTTTCCTTTCCTTTTTGTGTATGCCATTACCCTTTTGTGATCCTTTCTACTGTCCCTTCAATTCAACACAGATTATTGAGCACCTGCTCTGTGCCACATACTCTCCTCGGCTCCAGGGACACTGAGATGAACAAGACACAGGCATTACCACCAAGGAACACATAGGCTGGCAGAGAAGACAGGCACATCCATGGTTAATCACAGCAGTTTGAGCTAAGTGATTTTGTGGAGGGATGTATGCAGGGGGTAATGTGAGATCACCTAACCCATAAAGATGGGTGAGGGCGTAGTAGAAAGGATTCCTAACAGATGGGACATCTAAGCTGAGGTGTGAAGCAAGAATTGGAGTTAGCCAGCGGAAAGAAGAAGAGTGTTAGAGGCAGAAGAGATTAGAAAACCTGGTTTGAACAATGAAACTGCAAGCAGTTTGGTGTTGCTAAAGGAGAAAATGAGACCCTGGGGCTGGAAAAGTGGGCAGAAGTCATACCAAGGGGAGTTGTTGTGGCATGTGAAGCCATGTGCCTTGAAGGTGAGGTACAGGGTGGGGTTAGGAGTAGCTGGATGATATTCAGCAGGGACTTGACAAGGTCAGAGTTGTGTCTTAGAGACAGCAGCCTAAAAGTAGTTAGGGCACTGCTGCCCAAGCTGTAAAGTGCATATGAATCACCTGGGGATCTTGTTAAAATGCAGGTTCAGATTCTATAGATATGTGGTGAGGCCTGAGAATATACTTTTCTAACAAGCTACCAGGTGAGACCGATGCTGCTGGTCTGTGGGCTACACTTTGAGGAATGATGGTTTAAGGGATAGGTGGAGGAGGGGGTAAAACAGGTGACAGGTAGTCAGGTTGGGGCTGCTATAATTCAGGTGAGAGAAGATGGTAGCCTGGATTAAGACAGTGGTAGTGAGAATACAAAGAGGTAAAGATAGGAGAGATGGCTCTGTAATAGGTGCAGTTGGACTTGGGGAGGTTAAGAGAGAGAGAGTGTCCTAGAGATTCCTGGTATTCTCTTTGCAGGTCTTACAGGCTTGCTCCCCTTTTGCCTTCTGCTGGGATAAGGGTTTGCGTCCATCATCGCTGAGTTTAGGCTTCATTTTACCGTCTTTCATTCACCTTTATGCATCACTTTGCTCATCCTTGACATTTGTTTCTTTACCAATTGGCCCACAGACCACATGCACAACAAGGGGCTACCCAAGCAGCTTGCCTCACTTACTCTCCATCCCTTGTTACTGAATTCTCCCCACACCAACCTATCTGAGAGTGGGGATGCTCAGAACATTCCTCACCAATGTGTGCACATATTTGAACCCCTCCTTCAACACTCCGTAGCCTTTGCACAGGTCTGAAAAGAAAATCATGGCTTCTCATATCAAAAGCTTTCTGCTGGCATTAACTTATGAAATCTCCTTCTGACAACCTATTTTGTTCACCAGTTCCTTTTAAAGTCACCCACCTGGGCCACGCACAGTGGCTCATGTCTGTGATCTTAGAGCTTTGGAAGGCCAAGGCAAGAGAACTGCTTGAGGCCAGGAGTTCAAGAGCAGCCTGGGCAACATACTGAGACCCTGTCTCTATAAAAATTAAACAATTAGCTGGACATGGTGGTGCATCCCTGTAGTCCCAGTGACTCAGGAGGCTGAGGTGGGAGCCCAGGAGTTCAACTGCAATGAAATATGATCACATCACTGTACTCCAGCCTGGCCAACAAAGCAAGATTCTGTCTCAAATAAAAAGAAAAATAAATATAAAAATTTAAGTCCAGCACCTGGCATTTTCTTTTTTTAATTTTTTAATTTTGTTTTTAAATTTTTTATCTATTTATTTACTTATTTTGAGACTGAGTTATAAGACTGGCTAATTTTTGTATTTTTGGTAGAGATGAGCTTTCACCATGTTGCCCAGGCTGGTCTAGAACTCCTGAGTTCAAGCAATCCACCTGCTTCAGCTTCCCAAAGTGCTGGGACTATAGGCATGAGCCAGTGTGTCTGGCCAACCATCTGGTATTTTTCTTCTGGTCTTTTGGTGAACCTCAGAGCTTCTCCATGTATTATCCCTTTTGTAACTTACCCCAATCACCCACTCTGGCACTGGCCCAGAACCAGTTCCATCTATAATAGTATAAGCACATTGTCATTCAGCATATTTGTGGGGACAACTGTGAACTAGTTCCTTCTGGCTAATTTCCATCAGTCTTTTACTCTTCAAATCCTGAACTCCGAATAGCATTTTGGAAGCCAGAACCAAGCAGAACACTCCAGTGAGAGGATTGGACTTGTGTTAATTAGAACAGGAAGTATGGAGATAGTTCTGCATTTTGACACCATTTAGTGCAATTCTAGGCTAAGCATGTTTTCAGTTATGCTGATTTAATTTTAGCCATCTGGTGAAATCTTGGTCTGCACTCCTTCACCTCGACTGAGCTCTGTTTATAAACATCAATAGGTGTGCACCTTATTTACAGAGAGCTTAAACCCCTCTGAAGGTAAGCCTTTTTCTGCAGGCTACATCCAGGAATCTCAGAACTTCTTGAGGAATAAACCCTAGGAGGGATTCTTTTTAAAGACTGTTTTACTTTTCGGTAAAAATGCAAATGTTCTGACATTTTTTTAAAAGGCTCATATTTTACACCTATACCAATATAGGCAGCTGCAACAAGTTTTCTAGGAAATAAGCTGAACATAATTTGAAAGTTTGCACTCAGTAAATCACCTAGGGAACGAGGAAAGGGAGCTCCTTCAGGGCAGAGGCAGAAGAAATTCATTGACCAAACTGTAACCCTTCCTGGGGTTTTAACTCCTGGTAAAAGGAAAACTGCTAAGAGTGGTGAGAGGCTAATTACCAGGTAGCAGCGGTTCCTTCTAAAATGGAGTTCTCTGCAGGCAGTCTAACCTTTTAGCATCTGGTGGAGAGCAAGGTGCAGTTAGACACATCAAAGAACAAAGAATAAGTAGGAAGGAACCAAGGCCCTTTCCCTAGAGCCCACAGGACTCAGCAATAAACCCTGGAGGGAAGCACAGTTTGACTGGGTACTTAAGGTTTCCTGGTGGGGGTAAGCAGAGAGAACAAGCCTTTTAGATGCTTGTGCACGTGTGAAATTCGCACCAAATTACAACTGGTTTTTATTTTATTTCTGAAAACATAAAGCAGTTCAAAGTGCTGCATGTGTGAAAGATGGAAGGCTTAACGTTTCTTAGGATTAACTGCCCAGAAAGATTTCCGGCCCACGTGACTATCCTGGGGGGTCCTGGAGAATCAAGCTGAACAGCTGCCTGACCACCACCCCCTATATCCACAGCCATGTTGATGCCAACCAAACCAAGCTAGGAAGAGAACTCTGGAATCAGATAGCTAGTCCGGTACCTGATAGATGATACCTTCTGTCAGACACCTTTTCAAAGCTACAAGGAAGTGATTATATATAATTGCCTGAGGCCTTATGCAGGCCTGACAATGACCTGGACAGGTTGCATCTGATTCACATTCTTTGGTGAAGTAACTGGATGGAGTCTAAGAGACTCTCACTGCTCAGCGTTAACCTTCACACTAAGGGGGGCAGGGGTGAAGAAAAAGATTACCAGTAAGATTATCAGCCTAATAGCAATCTTGTCCCCACTCCTGGGACATTGAAATTATCATGCCTAAATTGGAAAGACTGTTGAAAAGTGACAGTGTAATAATAGCATTCTTAAGACAGTGCTCCCAAGTCTTATAGAAATTACTAGCTACTCTGGGTAATTAAAACAATTATAATTGTTTGTCTCCACATAACACTTTAACATTAAATCCATGTGGTGTGCATGATACACAACCAAATTCTAAATGGTACTTGGAATTATATTTTAACGTGAAATTGATTCTGTATATACCTAGCAATATGAGATACCCAGGACAAAACAGACCATTAGATATCATGTACTCCAAGCCCATCATTTTACAAGTGGGGAGATTTAGATCCAGAGCAGGTAAGAGACTTGCCTAGGATCTTTCAGCAGGTTAATGGCAGACCTGGGAGTGGAACCCAGGTCTTCTGGCCTCCAGCAATGGGCTCATTTCATTATGCCAGGCTCTCCTTAAATGTAAAGAGAAAACTATTATCTAGGTGGATGAATGATAAGAGAGAGATAAACAGCTAGAACTTGTTTTTTTCATTCATTTCTTCCTGTCATAGTCACTCTGTTTACCTCACTTTACATTTTTTAATTTACGTGGGTACATAGTAGTCGTATATATTTATGGGGTACAGGAGATGTTTTGATACAAGCATGCAATGTGAAATAAGCACATCATGGACAATAGGGTATCCATCCCCTCAAGCATTTATCCTTTGAGTTACAAACAATCCAATTACACTCTTTTAGTTATTTTAAAATGTACAATTAAGTTATTATTGACTATAGTCACCTTGTTGTGCTATCAAATAGCAGGTTTTATTCATTCTTCTATTTTTTTTTCTACTGATTAAACATCCCCACCTCCCCCCAAGTCTCCAACCCCCCACTACTCTTCCTAGCCTCTGGTAACCATGTTACCTGACTTTATTATCTTTTCTCACCTTTGGACTCTATCCTTGACTCACTTTTCCCACCTTCTGCTTATGACTTCAATGTTTCACCTTCTCCTTTAGCCTCCCTTTTCTCACTTGCTCCCCGAGTCTGTCTCTTTTGTTCCTAGAATCAGTTTTACTCCATTTAGAAACAGTGCTCACTATGTTGCCCAGCAGGGCTGTGAGCAGGTTGGAAGCCATGCTGTTCTGACAGGTTGTGAATTTCACAGAAACCCTATAAAGAAGTCATCAAGGTATAATGCCTTATAAAACATCTACTTACTAAGAGGCCATGAAAGCCAGCATATTAGGGTTACTGTGGGGAATCTGCATTGACTGAACAGAAAACCTTTTTAAATATATTCAGGAAACTATTCCAAACTAAATGGAATGGGGAGGCACATGTGGAATTTAGGGGTCCATTAAAGAAGTAGAATTTCAATGTATAAAATGCACACCAAAATGTTAAAATCTTGGTGGTAGGATTATACTTGAAATTTATTTTCTTCATTTGTTTACCGAATTTTCTCATCTATTTATAATGAACTTAGGTTCTATTGTTTTTGAAGCTGGATATAAAATTTTAAATTAAAAATATACAACCTCTATAGGATTCAAACTGATTAGCAAAAATGAGATGTCATGTGAGCTATCACTCAAGCTGATCTCCCTGTCCAGGAGTGTCTCATTTCCCATCCTTTCCACATCTCCACATTAGCCAGGTGTGCTTGCTTGTTGACACCTGTGGACTACACTAAGGGACCAGTTCTGCCCTACAGCAGGAAACATACAAGAGGCCCCTGCCTCAGTCTTGACTTGGCTTCTTGCCAAGCTCCACCTTTGCAGCAGTCACTTAGGACCTGTTATTTCACTCTTCTTTTTCTACCCACACATCTATCCAAGTTCCTAACCCTGATGTTCACCTAGTCTCTTCACTTGGGTTCCTGCTGTTTGATACTAACTTGGACTTACAATGGCAACCAGCTAGATTCCACTTAGGTCTGCTCTCTCCTTGACCGATCACCACATATGTCGTGCACACTGTAGGTGATTCTCAAAGATTTGTTGAACTTAACTCCTGGGACTGCTTACAGCTCAGCAGTGTAACTTAACTCCGGGGCCTGCTTACAGCTTTCTGCCCCTTTTCTTTTAGCCTACACCAGCCTGTAGTCATCCCAGTCCTAAGTGCTAACTCACACTTGTGAGCCTTGGAGTGACTTGAACTTGTAAGCCTAGTGATTGCAGATTCTTCTCAGTCTGGATTAGTCTGGGGCTGGCCCCAGATTTAAGGACCTCTGCCATCCTTTCTCCTCAAGGCTATTTAAATATGGTGGCTCTATTTTTAGGGTATGCAGCATAACTCAAAACAGTTGTCTGGAATTCTCTAATTGTACCCAGGTACAAGTACAGCCAAACCCAGGACATTTTTAATTTCATGCATTTCTTTTAAGTACTACACATCTAAAAGACTAATGTACAAGAGAGAAAGAGAAAGCATGGTTTAACTTTCTAAATGTAAAATTGTGGGAAACCTGAGAAGGGAGTAGTGGTAGGATTTGTAACTTATTAGCAATCTTTAATGGGAAACTACATCCCAAGGGATACTAACCTTTGTGTCTTAAAATTAGTTGTACACTCCCAATGCAAGATCTTCCAATATTTTTCTCCTTTAATTGCTTAGGTGGAATTATTTGTACAGAAGGATCTGGTTAAGCTGACTCATTGCTATTTAAAAATCAAAACCAAAGATATTCTTCCCTTCTCAATGTCGAATTTGACATTTGCTTTTCTCAACTTAGGAGGCTCTAGTCCACATTCCTCCAAATGCAGAAATGAATAAACAGGTTCACGGTGGCTTCCACAGAGAAACCTGAGGAGTCTTTGTAGATTCCTAGGAATAGAGATGACCTCTCATTTGTTATACTTTGGGGAAGTCTGAGGCAGGGCGTTTCTCATTTCTTCTGGCAACCCCATTTCGAATAGTCAGTGAGGGCATACTGTGACCACACAGTTTCACATGTGTGCAGGGCTGGTCCAGGAAAAAAATTATTACTCTAACACATGAAATGTTTGCACCACACCCCTCCCGACTTAACACTTAACTTCCTAGAATGTTTTATCGACTGACATTATATCAGCTAACTCATTGGAGCAAGGATTAGCTGCCTAGCAGCTGAGAGCAAGAACAGAATCCACTCTTACATTGATTTAACAGATATTTACTAAGCATCTATTATGTTTCAGAGTAAGCAGTAACTATTCAACAACTATTGCTTGCCTTCTCAAAGTTAAAGGAACTTACTGCATCCTTTTGGCCTCATAACCCCACCCACTGAGCTCCAAAGAATGACCTTTCTTTCTGGCCTCATGATTCTCAGATGCCACGTATTTTTCTAACCTTGTCCATTTCTCTGAACCGTTTCCATTTTCCATTTGTACATGAAAGCTCTCTCAGAGCTCTTACAAGGCCCACTTCACCAGCAACTGCTGACCCTGTTTTTTACTCAACCACTCCCAACACAAATAAGAGCCGTTTAAGATATAACATGCTGAGATACAGCAAACTAACACAGGAACAGAAAACCAAACACCGCATGTTCTCACTCATAAGTGGGAGCTGAACAATGAGAACACATGGACACAGGGAGAGGAACAACACACACTGGGGCCCGTCAGGGTTGGGGCCGGCGGAGGGAGAGCATCAGGATGAATTGTTAATGCATGTGGGGCTTAATACGTAGGTGATGGGTTGATGGGTGCAGTAAACCACCATGGCACACGTTTACCTATGTCACAAACCTGTCCGTTCTGCACATGTATCCCAGAACTTAAAATAAAATGAAATCTAAAAATACAATAAAATAAATAAAATAAAATGCTGAGATAACTGCAACATGGTGGTTCTTGAAGGACTAGCTTCAAAGAGTGGATGGAGTGGTCAAGTGCATGGGCTCTTAATCCAGCTTGCCCCTGTTCAAATCCTGTTTGCACCACTCACTGTTCTGTGACTTTGGGAAAGTTACTTCACCTCTTTCCAGTTAGCACATCTGTCAAATGGGAATATTGGTAGCACCTACTTCATTGAGGATTTCAATGAGCTGATACATGTAAAATATTTAGACTAGTGTCTGGCACATAATAAACATTCTGTTGATATATATTAGCTATTACCATTACTATTTAGGTTGGAAAAGAGTAATAATTGTAGGCTAGTAGGGAATGGGGTTGATATTTTGGAGCAAGTGCCTAGAACCTATACATATCACATAATGTGGCTATGAGCATCTGGGAAAGTGTGGCCCTGCCGTCATGAGAAGAACCCCCTCTTTTGATTGCTTATGCAGGTAGTGGATCATGTACAGCAACTGTTTTTATTTATTATTTTTAATGGATGAATAAAAATTATATGTATTTATCATGTACAACATGATGTTTTAAAATATGCAGATTATGCAATGGCTAAATCGAGGTAACGTGCTTTACCTCACATACTTATCATTGGAACTGTGTTTTCAATGAAGATTCTTTTATTGTTTTCTCTTTTTTTGTTTGTTTTTTTGGCCTCATTCCAAAAGCAATATATGCTTATTTAAAAAGCAGGGAACAAAAGAAACAGAAAAGCAAGAAGAAATAAGGTACTCCTAATCCCACCTATCAAGAGACAGCCAATCTAAGGATCACAGAGTAAAGCTCAATGCATGTGATGTAATAACACCTTTTGGTGACCAACTTTTTTAAAAAAATGTAGTATTATATTGTGAATATCATCATTAGTTACTGTTATATGAAACTACCTTGTTGGACATGTAAGTTGTTTTCTCCCTTGAGCTATTGCAAACAACACTAAAATAAACATCTTAGTACACAAAGATGTACATGTATCTTTACATAAAATTTTATTTCCTTAGGATACATTTTTCCAGAAACTGAATTTTCCCAGCTTATTTGGGGTACATTTTTGGTTGTCTTATTTTTGCTTGAGACTTTGAATTAAATACTAAAATGTCTAATAATTTTTTGTGTAAAACTTTAATTAAATACGGAAATATGAATACAAATTATGGGAAGGAATCGTGGCAGTGGTAGTTCTTGCTTGGTAAAGTAGTGAAAGAATTATATGAACCCAAACTGTGCATCAGAATTCCAGAGGCAGCAAACCATAGGGGAGAGAGTTGGGGATTGGAATGAACGCATCTACTTTTAATTCCTGACTCAAGTACTTACTTGCAGTTGTATGACCTTGAGCTCATATTTAACCTTGCTGAACCTTGATTTCTTTATTTGAAAAATCTTTTTTATGACTTTGTGTTGCAGAATTTTGCTCCTTAGTTCAGCTAAAACCAGGTTCTTGTCACACGACCAGGAAAATTTAGGCACGCAGACGCATTGAAGAGTGAGTAGGGCAGGATTTTATTGGGCAAAAAAGGGAAAAAAGAAAAAAAAAAACTCAGCAAAGGGAGATGGAGCTCTTGCTAATAGGTCCCTGACCTCACAGATTGAATCCCAGGCCACCACACAGGAACTGGAGGCCAAGCTCCTCCCCCTGCCCATGGCTCCACCCTGTTCTCCCAGTGCGCATGTGGGCATGCTCAGACAAGGCACTGGGCAGGTTCCCCCATCTGCACAAAAGCATCTGATGTAAACACTTGTGGAGTGGGCCAGAGATTCTCTGGGGACCCCTTTTTATCTGCCTGGGCATTTAGCTGTCTCATCAGTTCCTGCTTGTCTCTCCTGTCTCAGCCCTCAGTCTCTCATCGCTCTCTCTCAGTCCCCTCTGCCCTCAAGTTTAAGATTCAATCAGATTAACCTACTCCACAGGCCTTTTCCTGCTTCTCCCTTTGTCTGGACCAACCTTCATCTCTGCTCCCCCACAGCCCCCCAACTCCCCAACACATACCTAAATAATTAGTACTGGCTATCTGGGGTTCAGATTAGACATCACCTTCCTTAGAAAAACCTTGCCTGTCCGTCCCCTCCACATACACACTTCAATCTAGGTTAGATGCCCCTCTTTTGCTGTGCTAGAAAAAAAAATTATCCTTTCCACTGTCATTTGTACACATCACACCATAATATACATACCTGCTTATATCTCTGATTCTTCCCCTAGCCCATGATCTCTTTGAGATTAGGTACTATTTCTCATTCATCTCTGCATCCTCAATAGCCAACACAGTGTGTGGATTCAGTGAGGACTTGTTAAGTGAGTGATGAATGAATGAAGGAGCATAATCATACCTATTTCACAGACGTATTAAGTAATGATTGTATGAAATAATGTAAGTGGAAGTTCCTGGCATGCAGCTAGGTCAGGAAATGAAATCTCATAGCATTAAAGGCAATTGACAGTAACTTTGTCACAGATCTCTTACAATCACTTAAAATGTTCTGAGTGTGAAGTTCTGGAGAATCTTTGTCTTTTTAAAAGTCTGTTGAAAGGTGAATTTCGTCATCATAGAAGGAATCTCAGAGGACAAAGGACCTCTTGTTTAAGACAACTAAGCCCAGCGATTAGTGGTGAAGCGCCATGCCTAAGTGCTTCCAGGGCCTGGGGTCAGCTCACCCAGCCAAACCTCCCCTTTCTGGCCCCACACCTTGGACCCAGAAGAGGAGGAAGTGGGTAAAGAGGCTGAGAAGGAATACAGAAAAAGGGGCTGAAATTAGATGATGTGGGGGTAATAATTGTAGCTTTTGCACAGCAGCTGTGTTTAGAACCAGGCAAGCTATATACATCAGAGAGTTCCGCAGCCCCCAGAAAAATGTTCCTCGGAACGCCTATCACCTTTCATTCTTCCTGAGCTTTGTAGCCTTCAGCAGGTCTTCTCAGTGGTGCCTTGCCCTAGCACCTCATTGGCCAGCTCGGCACTACCTCCTGGGGTGTAAATGAACTGTTAAGGGTGGTTCTCTCAGCAGTAGAACTGGTCTCACGGAATGTTTTTCCAGTTCTGACAGTCTGGCACAAAGCTGCTAAGAGGCACCTAGTATCACAAAAGCTAGGCACTGCTCCCTGCTGCTGGGCTGGCAGTCTCCAGGCTCTTTTAGGAAATGACTGGGCCAGTCCAGCCGCCTCCCAGATGATTTTCCCCCTCAGGCCATGCCCTTTTGACCCCAAGACAATTTGGACTCAGCTCAGTCAGTTTGAAGAATTTCTCCAAGTTGCAACTGACAGCTTCATTGTCCTAAGGCACAAATTAAAGTTAAGCCTTTATTAGAGTAATACATTTGTGTTTGTGACAGGTCAAAACAATGATGCAAATGCAGGGTATTTAAAAGCGGGAGAGAGAAACTCCTATAGAATTCAGAGGAATCATCTCTGGCGAGTCTAATTCGGAGGGAAGATCTGCAGATCGTTCTGGCTGCAGGGCAGTGAACCAACTTCTGCTACTCCTCCCCAGCACCAGGCAGCAGGCAGGCCTGCCCTGCGATGAAAGGTGAAGAGGCGGCAAGGCCCCGACTAACTGAAATTTTCCACAGAGATTCCCACGAGTGCAGACTTGAACAAACAGCCAAACGCCACCCACCTATAGCTCCAAAGCCAGTTCCCCAATCTCTTCCGCCATGGCCTCAAATGTTTTTGCGTTCGGGTTCCCTCCTCCTTTCAGCTGTGGGGATGGGAAGCCAAGGGGCAGGTAGGAGTGGGAGTGGGAAGGCTGGAGGCCCTGCCTTTGCTCTGAACTGGAGCAGGAAAGCAGCCTGGAAGCCATGTGACAGCAGGAGATGTGGGGCTCCCAGAGGGTGGGGCAGGCAGCACCCAAACCATGCTTGACCCACTGCTCAGCCTGGCCTGGGGCCAGAGAAAGCACAAGCACTTTTTTTCAGTTCAATTTATTCTCCAAAGCAACAAACCTCAGGATATGAACGACAGAGGAAGTTCAGTTTAAACAAAGGCATTCACCAAGCAGTATGGGTCCCCTGCAATGACAAATGAATCCCTGGCAAAGGGACAGCCAACATTGGCTAGATTGGAACGTTATGATTCCAGGATGATCTTTCTGACCTGGGTTTAGAAGCTCCTTCACTTGGCTTTCTTTGTACAGGCACGGGGTGGTGGTGAGCTGATCTGCTCAGTCTGTTGGTCAGTCTATCAACAAACATCGATTGATCCCACCTAGCATGGGGCAGGCTGTTTAGGCAGGCTGCTTGTGATGTATCTGCTAGAGGATACATCATAAAGTTCTGGAAAACCAGGAAGTTTCACTGCATATACAGAAATCACGCTTGAGTCAGAAGCCTACCATCTAATCAATGTCCAGACAGGATTTTGAAGCCAGACAAAGTGGGGCTTGAATCCCAGCTCACCTGTTAACTTAAATAGCCATATGACTTTGGGTAAGTCAACCTCTCTGTGCCTCAGTTCACATACTCATAAAATAGAGATAAACATAATATTTTAGGCCTAGTCAGCTTGGAGTATTACTGCTTGGACATAAGAAGCAGGACATGTGTTCACCATCTAAAATTGGAGTGAATTCCATGAGGCATGAGTGTAGCAAACACTTATATAGCACTTTCTAGTACTAGTCTGAGTGTTTTACATATATTAATTCATTTAACCTTTGTTAGGACCCTATGGAGCAGGTACTAATATTATCCCCATTTTATAGATTAAAAAAAAAAACCCAAGGCACAGAGAAGTTATATAAAAACCCTAGTCAGTGACACTTATTTGATGTGCATGAGACTTATGTAAGGTAGTGCATGGGAAATACATCTAGAAAATTGTTGATAAATGCTATTTGTGATTATTATTCAGTAATATTATTGTTATTATTATTAACTGTATTACCCTAACTGTGAATAATGACCATGGAACAATTTAGAATGTAGTAAAATGCAAAGGGTTTGGCTATTTCCATCTGCTTCCTTAAAGGAAGCCCTACATTATTTTAGGTAACTCTAGGGAGTTCTTATGGACCCTTCCAGGATTAATGACTCCAAAGGGAAGAGCAAATCTCTTGGGGCTGCTGAGTAAACAGAGGCCAAAGCATGCAAAAAGGCAGGGTAAATTAACCCTACAGGAAGCGCAGAAATGGGGGAGCACAGCTCTATTACCTGGAGGTGGGTTGCAAAATCAAGCATCATCAAAAGAAAGTCCAGTTGAAAGTGAAAGACTGTTCTTTGTTGGTTTGCAAAGTACAGAAATAAGGAGGTCTGTAAGCCAGGGAGAGGGGAATTAACAAATTTGAGCACCCGCTTTGTGTCAGGAACCTTATCCCTGATATCTCATTTATCATGACAATGATCTCATGAGGTAGATGCTAGGATCATCTCCACTTTAGTGATAAGGGCACATCCTCAGAGAGCTGAAGTGACCCACCTGAAGTCTCACACCTTCAAATTGTTGGGGTTTGGTCTAGAATTCAGGTCTGCCCTACTCCAGATGTATTTTTCCTTCCATAATCCCATCTATAAATCTCAAACAAAACCAATCATTATCCCTTCTAAACTTGCTCCTTCTATTCTGTTCTCTATCTTGGTGAATGGGGCCATCATCCCACCAGCCACTTAAGCTAGAAACTTGAAGGTCATTTAGATCCTTTCTCACATATCTCCCATATCCAAAAGTGTGGCATCAAATGGTTCTAGAAATTCTACCTCATTAGCATGTCTTTTATTCATCCTTCCTGTCTGTCTTCACCATTGACGAAGTTCAGAACCCTAGTAGGCTGCAATATCGATGTTTGGGCATATGTGTTTGGATATAGTTTGACCCTCTAAAATTGGATCCACTAAACTTGATGGTAACATTCAGATTCTACCTGGCATCTCTAGCACTTAGAACATATTTTTATTAAATATAGTCTGAATGAATAAATGCATAAATTAATGCATGATGAGCAGAGGCTAATGTCCCCACTTTTAAACCCTTCAGTGGTCTCTGCCACCTTCAGGATAAAGACCACACTTCTCACACTTCTTCACATATAGAATACATTGCCTGAAAGGTCTAGCTGCCAACCTCTTCTTCAACTTTGACCTCCAGTCACTGCCATTTTCCTTTCAATACTCCATTCTTCACTTAGATTGACCCTTTTGTTCTGTGAAAGGACCATGTTCTCTTGAATATTGGCCTTCGTTCTTCCCTTTGTGTAGATCACCATACTTCCCCCACAATCTACCTCTCGATCTTCACCTTCTTAACTCCTACTCAGCAACTTAAATGGTTTGTTCTTCTGGAAGTTTTTCCTGGCACCCCAAGTCTAGGATTTACAGTTGACAGAACTAAGGCTCAAATAGCCTAAGTGACTTACCCACGGCTCCACAGCTTGTCAGTGGCAGAGTCAAATCTATCCTGGTTTATCAGACTCCAAATATACATTACCTAATTTGTATTACTCCTCGCAACAACTCAGCAAGCTAAGGGGATAAGTGATTAGTCCAAGATTACATAGCTAAAGTGGTGGGTTTTTTGGTAGTTTTTGTAGTCCCAAATCCAGGTACCTTCTATTACACCAAAGCAATTTCATATCATTGAAGTTGGAAGAACTTTGCCTTATGAAGTGACAGAATCAGTTATCTATTTCACTGTTGACTAAACTACAAAAGATCCTTCATCATCGCAAATTTAAAAACCAACCCCTGGGCAAACATCCCAAGGGTAAATTCCACCACTAATAAATTTAAAAATCACTGTGCTTTGCTTTCCTACTTAACTTGAACAGTGTTCGGTCCTGGCACTGCCTCTCTGTCTCTTTCCAAAAATGAGGCCTAGTGGCCTTTATCATGGGCTCCCAAGGGAATCAGGTGAGCTAACTTACTATATTCTGTTACTGGGTACCCACTGCATGGCCAGTACAATCACTTAGCAATCAGGTAAATGTGAAAGTAGAGATGTTTTAACATCTCGTTTTGACTTTAGTCTCCAGAAACCATCAAAGTGAAACATCATTTTGGAAATTCAGAAATAACAGCTTTTACAAAGACAGAAATGCAGCAGGCAAAAAGGGATATCAGATAGAACTGTGTCAAATACGGTGATGGGATGACCATTTTGTACAACTCTCTATGTAACCTGAGATGAGCAAACAAGAGGTTGCTCTCCAAAGGCACTCATCACTACTACTGTGTGTGAGAGTGTGTGCACACATGCATGTGCATGTGTGTATATTGAAGAGATTGATAGTCAAGCTAGAAACTTGACCCTCTATTGTTTCTAATATCTCACAAAGCTTTAACTTTGGTCTTATCTTCCTTTTTTCCTTCAAGAAAAGTTCTAGTCTCCATGTTGAAGAAGCAAAACCAAATATACAATAAAACCTGCAATTAATTTGTAAATCATGACCTTATTCAATTTTTAGTCTCACTCACCCACTCCCATCATCATTCTAGAGAGCCTTCCTTGACAGTCTAAAGATAAGCTGTCCGTTGTAAGATCAGCCCTAAGAATAATGCTAATATTTGACAATGATCAGTTTATGAAATAAATATGAGGGCTTGAAAAGTAAGATGACATTTTCACTAAATTCATTTTCTTCATTGGATTGTACTTTAGTAGGCACATTCTAGCAATTGTGAAGTCCCATAACCTATCCTGCACCCCTAAACACTATTGGAAGTTCATGAAAGAAAAGGTTGACTAATATTTTCAGAGAATTTATCTATAAAATCAACACCAAGTGACTCAGAGCACAAATATGCAAAGAAACCTCAGGAAAACAAGATGTATTTGGGAGCAGCCACTCTTTCTAATAAACTAACTGAAAGTATTAACAAGTTAAAAACAGTAGGATGATCAGAAAGCGGAGTTGTCAATCATGCAATGACAGAAAAAGGAATAACCAAGGCCAAAATTGGTAGCATCCAGGCAGTATGTCCAGGCCAGAGTGTGCTCTTGCTCACGAACTTTACCTACCAATATAGCAGAGTCTACTGTTCCCAGAACTGGGCCTGGGACATATTAGGTCCTCAATAATAATTTGTTAACTAAATGAGTTAATTAATGAATACGTGACTAAAAGGTCTCAATGCCATGGCCTCTGTGGACACAGATGCATTACCAAGCCATCGAATATTAGGATCATATATCTAATTCTTCCAGATCTGGCTCTTCTGACATCATTTGGCATATAAATGATGAGAGGACCCCAGTGTCCCCAATCCCACTGTAAATGGTGACACTAGCATTCTAATTTTAAATGTCAGTCTCTGACTCCAGTTCTTGTGGAGTAGTGACAAAACAGGCTTCTTAGTCAGGAGGCCTGAGTTAGACCTTGGACACTGGCAAATTCAGGAAGATAATAGTACTGGGGGTGGAGAAAGGGTTCTGGATGTCAATGAGCTTTCTCCAGGTGACATTATTTTATCTGATCATGTGTCCTTTTTATATTTCTACCACTGCACTTTCTATAAAATCAACACCAATACCCAAGAGTCCACTATGTTCCCTTATGCAACCAATTATTTTCTTGAATCTTATCTTGAAGGACAATTTTCCCTGGTTATGATCCATGCCTCTTGAGATTTCAGTTTAGTATCAAAAGGTCCTCCATGTGGCCTTCCTCAGCTATCAATGGGTTCTCTTCATTATGGTTCCAAGCATTTCTTCATCAAATTTGGAATGTTAGTACTAATAAAATAGAGCATTCTTTAGGTTGCTTTTTTAAGTGTTTGAATAGGTGAAAAGATTCACACCATTGTCTCCCTGACCTTGAGGGAACACTGTCCCACATAATTCTTCAACCATGATTAAGAAAAGAAGGGTCTACTAACTGGTTCACAATAGTCATCAAAAGCTCACTGTGTGCCAAGTTCTATGCCTTGTGAGGTCATCAGAAAATAAATAATGTGCATCGGCAATACTGAAGGCTACTGACAGATGAGTCTACTGTTTACAATTGTATATGAAGGAGAGGGGAGAGTTCTGGATTGGAAGTCCAGCTCTGCAATTATATGCTGTGTGATTGTGCACACGTCACTTAAGTTCCCTGAGCCTCCATCTTTTAACTTACAAAATGGGAAAAGATCTTTTCCCTACCTTCACTCACAAGGCTGAATGGAAGATCAAATGAACTAATGGATGTGAAAGTGCTTTGTAAATTTTAAAGTGCTATCCACAGATGACTCACTACTGCTATCATCATCATCACCACCATTATCATCATCATCACTATCATCATCATCATCATCATCATCAATCTATTATTGTTAAGCAGAGAAGGTACTATTGGATGATTGAATGCTAACTTAAGCTTCTAACTCCTCTGGACAAAGCCACTCACAGTACTGCAGCCAATGCTATTGCCTCTCTGGGTAACACCATGGTTGCTACTTACAAAGCATTCTTCCACAGAGCAAAAGGGATCACATGCTTTGACACCTGAATTGCTGGGTATCAAATCTCTCCCATTATCTTTCCAAGGAACACAATGTGTTGCAGCTGGAAAGAGACAGTTTGACTTGAAGCCAAATCAAGTCTTCTAGTTGCTGGAAGTGGCTCTTCCGTAGGTGAATTTTGTGAAGATATGGTACTGTGTTCCTTACCCACCCTCCACCCCATTTAAATGGATCTGAATTAGACTGCACATTCAACAAACTCTTCTGTCACTTTTTGTCAAAGATTTCTCTTTGAGTTCCTTGAAATATCTATTAAAAACTTAGCCTAAAGCAATATCTTTTGAATACCCAGCTCACTAATTCAGGTACTGCAGCACTGTGAGCATACACCACCAGTCTGCAAATGGATAAACTACTCAAAAGATATTTTCCACCCCTTAAATATAGTTCCAAGAAAGAATAGGAAATGCCTCATACCTCTAATGGAAGCTATTTGCTACAAAAACAAATCATTCAGGTCCGTGGAACTAGAAATGCCTTTTGCGCATAAAACTGAAAGGAAGAGACAGCAAAACAGCAGATGAAGACATGAAGTCATCACTCACAAAGCACATGATTCAAATAAAAATAAAATACTCATTGGAAAAATGGGCTACCCACACACACAACATCATGGCTGAGCCACAGCAGTTGTCAGTTTATGTATAAAAGAAAAAAACCAACATTTTGTATGAATTTCAGAGAAAATAAACTATTTGTCTCTTGTTAGTGGCTAATGTAAATATCAGAGCAAATAGCATTTTTGGTTCCAATAAAAATGTAGAACTTTTCAAAATGCTCATACATAAATCCTGACATCAAAATGTACATATCTTAAGATGTTGGAACATGAGCACCAAATGATGTGCTTAATACATTTGTTCTTTCTTGAAGAGATGAGGTATAATTGTATGCAATCATCTTGTAGCTAGGAATTTATTAAGAACTCTGAACTATAAGTACTAAATCAAACTAAATAGTCTCTTATCCTATTTTTCTCTCTCATACTTGTCATTCCTTCCTGAAGTTCTCATTACAACTACATAATTCTACCCCTTATAACCCATAGGTTTTCTTCAGAAAAGGAGGATAGCTTCCCCCACTCCTTTCCCTCAGAACAACAGTTTTCTCCCCACAAATGCTCATGGGGTGAGACCCACAGACATAATTTCAATGAACAACAATACCTTATTGGGTAAAAGAACTAGTTTATTGCTGCTTTACTTTTTGCAAATAGTTATCCTGTCTTTAAAATTTGCTATTGTTGTCCCTTGAGAAAAGACAACTTGTTCTAAGAGAAAGGTTAATGGAAAAATATGAACTACATTGTGATGTTAAATACAGATTATTTTTCCAAAGCTAAAAATCACAGTCCTCCTTCATTCAGTCCTAAAGAAGACATAACATTGCTCTCTAATGGGCTGTTCACAAATGACAATTATTGAATGAATAATAAAGGAATAATAGCAATGTGATTTCCACTTACATCAACCACAAAAATCTTCTGGGAATCATCCAAAAACTGCACTTTTAAATGTAGCATTCTCAGCGAGGCCGTTGGGCTGCAAGCAGGCTCAGAGTGCTGTGGGTGCTTTCTCCAGGAATTTCACTCCCAGCTGGATGTGGTGCACTCGGGCCCCCCCACCCCCAGCCAGGCATTCCCACTGTCAGCGGGGCACACTTCCGTTTGCTTGAAGTAATGCACACCCAAGGGCATTTGTGCTGCCAAGTGCAGGGGATCAATAGCATCTGGGCAGTCTCCTGTTTGGTCAATATCAAATCTAACTGGACTTCCTCTAGCCTTCTTAAACTCAGCTCCTTTCTTCAAAGAAAAATATAAAGAAAGCAAGCATTTGTGGTCCCTGGGGATTTTCTTTATTTCACAAGGGCACAATTTGAAAACCCTAGATCAAGCTTTAATAAACTGAGAATAGCCATTCTCAAAAGTAAAAAGATTCAAGTTAATCTCAAATTGTACTAGAAATTTCATGGCCAAGCTAGGAAGCATCTATCTATCTATCTATCTATCTATCTATCTATCTATCTATCTATCTATGCTTATATATATCTATATATAATTATATAGATATAATATATCCATATATAATTATATAGATATAATATATCCATATATAATTATATAGATATAATATATCCATATAATTGCTATTATATAGAAACATATATAATATAAAATTATGCATAATTTTAATTATCTGAATTCACATGATTTAGAAATAAAAACTATATAAAAAGGTATATAGAAAACTTCACTTCCACTCCTGTTCCCTCTTTTCTGTGTTCCCAATACACCCCTATTGGTAACCAATTTTTTTTCTTTCTATTCCCATAGAATTTATGTGCTTACATCTATAAAGAAATGAAACAAGGAATACAACTAAGGTCGAACCCCATCTCAGCTGTAAATAACATTCATGTATTCTTGGATAAATGAACTAATTAGGATAAAGAACGTTCTAATAAAACAGTCATCAAAGAATTACATTAATATCATTTTCATTATATAACAATAATTACGATGACATTTATTCTGGACTGAGATAACACTTAAGGCAAGAACTAAGAAAACTTACCTCCATTTGTATTTTTTGTTGACAAGAAGATAATGGGTGAATGATTAAAAGATGCCAAGCACAGTAGATTACATTACGATAGGATTCTTGGCTGAAAGTGGTATGAAAATATAGAAGAAGAAAAGCCAATTTAAAATGTTCAACTACTAAAGAACTAGCTCGTTTATTTTTATAAATGAATAAAGGGTGTCAAATTGTTGTGATATTTAAATTGTACCGGATATGTTTAAAATAGTGATGTAACAGTTTTTATTTTAAAATACCAATATTTATATGACACCAGCAAACACATACTTTGTCAAGTATTTAACTTCCCATGAAAAATTTTAGATGTCAACTTAGATGGGTGAGGGGACACATGATTTTTCAAAATACTTTTGGGGGTCACATGAGCAGAATACTTTGTGGACCACTGCTTTAAAACACTATTTCTCTAAGTACGGTTGAGGGACCAACTTACAGAATCACCTGGGAAGGGTGGCTGACTTTTTAAAAATGCCGATACCTGAACCCCATCCCCAAATTGGGTTGTTAGGTTTGGGGTGGACCCCAAATAGATCAATTTTCAACATGCACTCCAAGTGGCTCTCATGCAAACCATTTAAGAAGCACTACTTAAAAAATAAAAACTAGCATTTTACAGTATTATAGCCATGGCTGAAGAGGGAAACAACCTCACATACATACCTGGACTGAGGATAGAATTGAAATAAAAGCTAAACAAGAGCCGGAGCTCTCAAAATAGCAGCACCCGTGGAGGAGGCTAGAAATAGGAAAAGGTCACCAGGGAAGGAAGGCACTTTTCCTGGAATTCCTAGTACAATCAAAGAATAGAATGGGAATGGAAGGGCTTAGGCAGGCTAAGCCCACTGTGGGCTTTCCACTGTGGTTGCACTTTGGGAGAAAACAGAAGAAAGTCCTTTCCCATCTTGAACCAGCCTGAGGAAAGCCCGTGTTTAGGAGGGTCGACCGTCACACCAAAACAAAACATGCCCTAACAGAAGCTGATTGCAAAGCAGGTGACAGAGAACACTTTGGGAAGCACTGCTGGAGGCTGGCAGAGGGGTAGTTGCCATGAAAATGCCCTTGAGAGCCTCTGAGAACACTGTTGGGATGGTTGAGGCACCTGTTCCCTTTTGGTCCCACCGGTGGCCTAAAATGTGGTCTCGGAGTACTTGTCGTCTGCCTGCTCACTGGGTGGAGCTTGCCAGCATCTGTTCTTTCTTCCTAGGATCACAGAAGAACTGCAGCTTCCTGGGGAGCAGTTTCACTTCCACAGGCATCGCTTCATACTCCTCACTGTCAATGCTAAAAGAGCTCCCTGCTCCCTTGGGGACAAGCAAAGTGTACTGGCTGGCTTGGAGACACTCCATGCCCTCAGTGTCCAGCTTGGCTTTTCTCACCTTTAGGCTTCCTATAGTTATAAAGCCTCCTTTGCTGACGGTGTCGGCTTCAATGCAGATGTTCATAAAATCTTTGCATGTTCGGTCAAGCTGATTGTTCCGTGTTGTGATGGACAGTTCAATGGTGGACAACTGCACATCTTTCCAGACCTCTCGGCTCACCTCTTGGGAAAGGGCATCCTGTGGTTGTGCCCAGTAAGATGCAAGCCTCCGTAATATTCTCCTGTACAAAGAAGGCCTTCGTACAGGGGTCTCCTCTGGTTCATTGGCAGGTCTCTCTGTAGGTCCTGTATACAAGATAGAAGTTTCATGAGTCTGAGGCCACTCCTTAAGAGTGCTGAAAAAGTGGGCTGCTTTGATTTTTAGAGACCCAAGATATCAGTACCTGCTAACTTTGATGCCAGCATCTCTGAGGGATCCCCACCAAAGGCCAGTCATTGCAAACACAGGCTGTTCCTTTTCACCCTTGATCTGCAAGACGTCAAATGGAACTGTCTCTCTGTTCACAATGGCAAGTGTAGCATCAGTAATATGTTGGACTCTGTTTCCACTTTCAGTAAAGAGGTTATGATTCAAACTACTGGTCTGTCCCAGTGGGATAAATCCAATGGGAATCTTACTGAAGGTAGCCTCATCTGTTCATCGAAGAACTCCAGTAACAACCTCCTGCAGTGTCCCATCTCCTCCTGTAACAATGATCACATATGTGTTTTCTATCAGTTCCAGGAATTTCTTGGCTTGTCCCTCATAATCTGTCTTAACACTAGTCACACCTATGCTGGGATAAATGTAAAATCGGGGCAGCATTTTTTTCAAATAGAATCCTGGCTTTGCCTTTGCAAGCTGCAGGATTGAGAAAAACAGTTTCCTTCTTCACTTGTGCATTGGGAGGAATGAGTTGATTGCCAAACACCTGAGCTTCTTCACAGGCTGCTCTCCTTAGTAGGTTATCACAGTGTTTTCCATAGAGCCACTGGCCTCCCCAGGTCAGCAGGAAGAGCCCAGCTGTAGTTTTCTTCCAATGATTTTGAAGTGTTTTAAAGAACACCGTCATCTTCTAGAGATTTGCATGGCTGGTCCCACTCAATAACCACTTTTATTAGCGTTTTGTTGTAGTTGTTCAGCCTTCAGTGTTTCCTTATGCAAATTTTATACAAGCAAATACAAATATATATATATATCCTATGTAGGTAGCATACTAGTATTACACTGTTTTGTGCATTCTTTTTCCTCATTTATCATGGAGATCTGCCCTTACCTGTGCATGGAGAACTTCCTCATTTCTTTTCACAGCTGCATAATTTTGCACTGTGTAGACAAACCAAAGTTCACTCAGCCAGTCTGAAATTAATATTTCAGCCTCAACAAGACTGAAATGAATATCTTCATACATATGTCAATTTATATGTGTGCAGATATATCTGTAGGATAGATTTCCAGAAGTAGAGTTGCTGGTCAAGGATAATGAATTGGTAGTCATGATAGCTATATTTCCTTCCATAAGGGTTAGTATGGGTTGAATTGTGACCCATAAAATTCATACATTGAAGTCCTGAGCCCTAGTAACTCAGAATGTGACTGCATTAGGAGAGAGGGTCTCTAAAGAAGTAATTAAGTTGAAATGAGGTCATTAGGGTGGGTCGTAATCCAGTTTGACTGGTGTCCTTATTAAAAGAGAGTAGGACACAGACATGTAGAGAGGGAAGACAACATGAAGACACATAGAGGAGAAGATGTACATCTATGAGCCATGGAGAGAGGTGTCAGAAGAAACCAGTCCTGCCAACACCTTGATCTCAGACTTCTAGCCTGCAGAATGGTGAGAAAATAACTTTCTGTTGTTTAAGCCACCCGGTCTGTGATATTTCATATGGCAGCCCTACCAAACTAATAAAGGTTGTGCTACATTGCAGTCCCATTAGTAATATATGAGAGTGACTGTTTTCTATACAGGCTTGACAGTGGAGTATCGAACTTTTGAATGTTTACCAAACTGATAGGTGAGAAAAAAAATCTTGGTGTACTTTTCATATTATGAGAGAAGTCAAGCATCTTTTCATATGTTTAAGGGCCATTACTTTTTTTTTTTTTTGAGATGGAGTCTCGCTCTGTCTCCCAGGCTGGAGTGCAGTGGTGCGATCTTGGTTCCCTGCAGCCTCCACCTCCCGGGTTCAAGTGACTCTCCTGCCTCAGCCTCCCAAGTAGCTGGGAATACAGCCATGTGCCACCGCACTCCACTAGTTTTTTTTTTTTTTTTTTTTTTTTGTATTTTTAGCAGAGATGGGGGTTCCACCATTTTGGCCAGGCTGGTCTGGAACTCCTGACCTCACGTGATCTGCCCGCCTCAGCCTCTCAAAGTTCTGGGATTACAGGTGTGAGCCACCGTGCCTGGCCCCAGTGCCATTACATTTATATTAATTTCTTTTTTGTGTGGATTTCTTTTATTGTGAAAGATGTGTTCATTTACTTCGACATTCCATTTTATTTTTCTTATTTAAAAGATTTTGTATAGCCCAGCATGAGCGACGCAGAAGACGGATGATTTCTGCATTTCCATCTGAGGTACCGGGTTCATCTCACTAGGGAGTGCCAGACAGTGGGCGCAGGTCAGTGGGTGTGTGCACCGTGTGCGAGCCGAAGCAGGGCGAGGCATTGCCTCACTCGGGAAGCACAAGGGATCAGGGAGTTCCCTTTCCTAGTCAAAGAAAGTGGTGACAGACGGCACCTGGAAAATCAGGTCACTCCCACCCGAATACTGCGCTTTTCTGACTGGCTTAAAAAACTGCACACCAGGAGATTATATCCTGCACCTGGCTCAGAGGGTCCTACGCCCACGGAGTCTCGCTGATTGCTAGCACAGCAGTCTGAGATCAAACTGCAAGGCGGCAGCGAGGCTGGGGGAGGGGCGCCCGCCATTGCCCAGGCTTGATTAGGTAAACAAAGCAGCCGGGAAGCTCCAACTGGGTGGAGCCCACCACAGCTCAAGGAGGCCTGCCTGCCTCTGTAGGCTCCACCTCTGGGGGCAGGGCACAGACAAACAAAAAGACAGCAGTAACCTCTGCAGACTTAAATGTCCCTGTATGACAGCTTTGAAGAGAGCAGTGGTTCTCCCAGCACACAGCTGCAGATCTGAGATCGGGCAGACTGCCTCCTCAAGTGGGTCCTTGACCCCCGAGCAGCCTAACTGGGAGGCACCCCCCACCAGGGGCACACTGACACCTCACACAGCAGGGTACTCCAACAGACCTGCAGCTGAGGGTCCTGTCTGTTAGAAGGAAAACTAACAAACAGAAAGGACATCCACACCAAAAACCCATCTGTACATCACCATCATCAAAGACCAAAAGTAGATAAAACCACAAAGATGGAGAAAAAACAGAGCAGAAAAACTGGAAACTCTAAAAAGCAGAGCGCCTCTCCTCCTCCAAAGGAACACAGTTCCTCACTAGCAACGGAACAAAGCTGGATGGAGAATGACTTTGACGAGCTGAGAGAAGAAGGCTTCAGATGATCACATTACTCCAAGCTACAGGAGGACATTCAAACCAAAGGCAAAGAAGTTGAAAACTTTGAAAAAAATTTAGAAGAATGTATAACTAGAATAACCAATACAGAGAAGTGCTTAAAGGAGCTGATGGAGCTGAAAACCAAGGCTCGAGAACTACGTGAAGAATGCAGAAGCCTCAGGAGCCGATGCAATGAACTGGAAGAAAGGGTATCAGCGATGAAAGATGAAATGAATGAAATGAAGCGAGAAGGGAAGTTTAGAGAAAAAAGAATAAAAAGAAACGAGCAAAGCCTCCAAGAAATATGGGACTATGTGAAAAGACCAAATCTACGCCTGATTGGTGTAGCTGAAAGCGACGGGGAGAATGGAAAACACTCTGCAGGATATTATCCAGGAGAACTTCCCCAATTTAGCAAGGCAGGACAACATTCAGATTCAGGAAATACAGAGAACACCACAAAGATACTCCTTGAGAAGAGCAACACCAAGACACATAATTGTCAGATTCACCAAAGTTGAAATGAAGGAAAAAAGGTTAAAGGCAGCCAGAGAGAAAGGTCGGGTTACCCTCAAAGGGAAGCCCATCAGACTAACAGCAGATCTGTCGGCAGAAACTCTGCAAGCCAGAAGAGAGTGGGGGCCAATATTCAACATACTTAAAGAAAAGAGTTTTCAACCCAGAATTTCATATCCAGCCAAACTAAGCTTCATAAGTGAAGGAGAAATAAAACACTTTACAGACAAGCAAATGCTGAGAGATTTTGTCACCACCAGGCCTGCCCTAAAAAAGCTCCTGGTACTGGAACAACCAGTACCAGCCGCTGCAAAATCATGCCAAAATGTAAAGACCATCTAGACTAGGAAGAAACTGCATCAACTAACGAGCAAAATCACCAGCTAACATCATAATGACAGGATCAAATTCACACATAACAATATTAACTTTAAATGTAAATGGACTAAATGCTCCAATTAAAAGACACAGACTGGCAAATTGGATAAAGAGTCAAGACCCATCAGTGTGCTGTATTCAGGAAACCCATCTCACGTGCAGAGACACACATAGGCTCAGAATAAAAGGATGGAGGAAGATCTACCAAGCAAATGGAAAACAACAAAAGGCAGGGGTTGCAATCCTAGTCTCTGATAAAACAGACTTTAAACCAACAAAGATCAAAAGAGACAAAGAAGGCCATTACATAATGGTAAAGGGATCAATTCAACAAGAAGAGCTAACTATCCTAAATATATATGCACCCAATACAGGAGCACCCAGATTCATAAAACAAGTCCTGAGTGACCTACAAAGAGACTTAGACTCCCACACATTAATAATGGGAGACTTTAACACCCCACTGTCAACATTAGACAGATCAATGAGACAGAATGTCAACAAGGATACCCAGGAATTGAACTCAGCTCTGCACCAAGCGGACCTAATAGACATCTACAGAACTCTCCACCCTAAATCAACAGAATATACATTTTTTTCAGCACCACACCACACCTATTCCAAAATTGACCAGATACTTGGAAGTAAAGCTCTCCTCAGCAAATGTAAAAGAACAGAAATTATAACAAACTATCTCTCAGACCACAGTGCAATCAAACTAGAACTCAGGATTAAGAATCTCACTCAAAGCCGCTCAACTACATGGAAACTGAACAACCTGCTCCTGAATGACTACTGGGTACATAATGAAATGAAGGCAGAAATAAAGACGTTCTTTGAAACCAACGAGAACAAAGACACAACATACCAGAATCTCTGGGATGCATTCAAAGCAGTGTGTAGAGGGAAATTTATAGCACTAAATGCCCACAAGAGAAAGCAGGAAAGATCCAAAATTGACACCCTAACATCACAATTAAAAGAACTAGAAAAGCAAGAGCAAACACATTCAAAAGCTAGCAGAAGGCAAGAAATAACTAAAATCAGAGCAGAACTGAAGGAAATAGAGACACAAAAAACCCTTCAAAAAAATCAATGAATCCAGGAGCTGGTTTTTTGAAAGGATCAACAAAATTGATAGACCGCTAGCAAGACTAATAAAGAAAAAAAGAGAGAAGAATCAAATAGACACAATAAGAAATGATAAAGGGGATATCACCACCGATCCCACAGAAATACAAACTACCATCAGAGAATACTACAAACACCTCTACGCAAATAAACTAGAAAATCTAGAAGAAATGGATAAATTCCTCGACACATACACTCTCCCAAGACTAAACCAGGAAGAAGTTGAATCTCTTAATAGACCAATAACAGGAGCTGAAATTGTTGCAATAATCAATAGTTTACCAACAAAAAGAGTCCAGGACCAGATGGATTCACAGCCGAATTCTACCAGAGGTACAAGGAGGAACTGGTACCATTCCTTCTGAAACTATTCCAATCAAAAGAAAAAGAGGGAATCCTCCCTAACTCATTTTATGAGGCCAGCCTCATTCTGATACCAAAGCCGGGCAGAGACACAACAAAAAAAGAGAATTTTAGACCAATATCCTTGATGAACATTGATGCAAAAATCCTCAATAAAATACTGGCAAAACGAATCCAGCAGCACATCAAAAAGCTTATCCACCATGATCAAGTGGGCCTCATCCCTGGGATGCAAGGCTGGTTCAATATACGCAAATCAATAAATGTAATCCAGCATATAAACAGATCCAAAGACAAAAACCACATGATTATCTCAATAGATGCAGAAAAAGCCTTTGACAAAATTCAACAACCCTTCATGCTAAAAACTCTCAATAAATTAGGTATTGATGGGACGTATTTCAAAATAATAAGAGCTATCTATGACAAACCCACAGCCAATATCATACTGAATGGGCAAAAACTGGAAGCATTCCCTTTGAAAACTGGCACAAGACAGGGATGCCCTCTCTCACCACTCCTATTCAACATAATGTTGGAAGTTCTGGCCAGGGCAATTAGGCAGGAGAAGGAAATAAAGGGTATTCAATTAGGAAAAGAGGAAGTCAAATTGTCCCTGTTTGCAGACGACATGATTGTATATCTAGAAAACCCCATTGTCTCAGCCCAAAATCTCCTTAAGCTGATAAGCAACTTCAGCAAAGTCTCAGGATACAAAATCAATGTACAAAAATCACAAGCATTCTTATACACCAACAACAGACAAACAGAGAGCCAAATCATGAGTGAACTCCCATTCACAATTGCTTCAAAGAGAATAAAATACCTAGGAATCCAACTTACAAGGGATGTGAAGGACCTCTTCAAGGAGAACTACAAACCACTGCTCAAGGAAATAAAAGAGGATACAAACAAACGGAAGAACATTCCATGCTCATGGGTAGGAAGAATCAATATCGTGAAAATGGCCATACTGCCCAAGGTAATTTACAGATTCAATGCCATCCCCATCAAGCTACCAATGACTTTCTTCACAGAATTGGAAAAAACTACTTTAAAGTTCATATGGAACCAAAAAAGAGCCTGCATCGCCAAGTCAATCCTAAGCCAAAAGAACAAAGCTGGAGGCATCACACTACCTGACTTCAAACTATACTACAAGGCTACAGTAACCAAAACAGCATGGTACTGGTACCAAAACAGAGATATAGATCAATGGAACAGAACAGAGCCCTCAGAAATAATGCCACATACCTACAACTGTCTGATCTTTGACAAACCTGAGAAAAACAAGAAATGGGGAAAGGATTCCCTATTTAATAAATGGTGCTGGGAAAACTGGCTAGCCATATGTAGAAAGCTGAAACTGGATCCCTTCCTTACACCTTATACAAAAATCAATTCAAGATGGATTAAAGATTTAAATGTTAGACCTAAAACCATAAAAACCCTAGAAGAAAACCTAGGCATTACCATTCAGGACATAGGCATGGGCAAGGACTTCATGTCCAAAACACCAAAAGCAATGGCAACAAAAGCCAAAATTGACAAATGGGATCTAATTAAACTAAAGAGCTTCTGCACAGCAAAAGAAACTACCATCAGAGTGAACAGGCAACCTACAAAATGGGAGAAAATTTTCGCAACCTACTCATCTGACAAAGGGCTAATATCCAGAATCTACAATGAACTCAAACAAATTTACAAGAAAAAAACAAACAACCCCATCAAAAAGTGGGCAAAGGACATGAACAGACACTTCTCAAAAGAAGACATTTATGCAGCCAAAAAACACATGAAAAAATGCTCATCATCACTGGCCATCAGAGAAATGCAAATCAAAACCACTATGAGATACCATTTCACACCAGTTAGAATGGCAATCATTAAAAAGTCAGGAAACAACAGGTGCTGGAGAGGATGTGGAGAAACAGGAACACTTTTACACTGTTGGTGGGACTGTTAACTAGTTCAACCATTGTGGAAGTCAGTATGGCAATTCCTCAGGGATCTAGAACTAGAAATACCATTTGACCCAGCCATCTCATTACTGGGTATATACCCAAAGGACTATAAATCATGCTGCTATAAAGACACATGCACACGTATGTTTATTGCAGCATTATTCACAATAGCAAAGACTTGGAACCAACCCAAATGTCCAACAATGATAGACTGGATTAAGAAAATGTGGCACATAGACACCATGGAATACTATGCAGCCATAAAAAATGATGAGTTCATGTCCTTTGTAGGGACATGGATGAAATTGGAAATCATCATTCTCAGTAAACTCTCACAAGAAGAAAAAACCAAACACCGCATATTCTCACTCATAGGTGGGAATTGAACAATGAGAACACATGGACATAGGAAGGGGAACGTCACACTCTGGGGACAGTTGTGGGGTGGGGGGAGAGGGGAGGGATAGCATTGGGAGATATACCTAATGCTAGATGACGAGTTGGTGAGTGCAGCACACCAGCATGGCACATGTATACATAGGTAACTAACCTGCACAATGTGCACATGTACCCTAAAACTTAAACTATAATAATAATAAATAAATAAATAAATAAATAAATAAAATCAATTGTCCATAAAAAAAGATTTTGTATAAAGTTTAAAGAGTACAAGTGCAATTTTGTTATCTGGATATATATTGAGTACTGGTGAAGTCTATGCTTTTATTATGTCCATCACCCAAATAATGTACCCATTAAGAAATTAATTGTACTGGTTAAGTAATCTGTCACCATCTACCCCCTTCCCATCCTCTCACCTTTCTGAGTCTCCAGTATCTACCATTCCACCCTTTATGTCTGCATGTATACATTATTTAGCTTATAAGTGAGAACATGTGGTATTTGACTTTCTGTTTCTGGGTTGTTTCACTTAAGATAATGGTTTCCAGTTCCATCCATGTTGCTGTAAGAGACACATTTCATTCTATTTTGTGGCCGAATAGTACTCCACTGTGTACACATACCACATTTTCTTTATCCAGTCATCTGTTGATGAACATTTAGGTTGATTCCATATCTTTGCTATTGTGAATAGTGCTGCCATAAACATATGAGTGCAGATATCTTTTTTAATATAATGATTTCTTTTCCTTGGGGGTACTCAGTAGTGGGATTGCTGGATTGAAGGGTAGTTCTATTTTTAGTTCTTTGAAAAATTTTCATACTGTTTTCCATAGTGGTTGTACTAATTTACATTCCCACCAACAATGGACGAGCACTCCCTTTTCTCTGCATCCTCACTGACAACTGTTATTTTTTTGACTTTTTAATGATAGCTATTCTCATTAGTATAAGATGATATTTCTTTGTGGTTTTAACTTGCATTTCTATGATGATTAGTGATGCTGAGCTTTTTTTTCATATGCTTGTTGGCCATTTATATGTTTTCTTTTGAAAAATGTCTATTCACATCCTTTCCCCACTTTTTAATGTGGTTTTTTTTTTGTGAAATTGTCTGAGTTCCTTGTAAATTCTAAATATTAGTCCCATGTTGGCTGCATAGTTTGCAAATATTTTCTCCCATTCTGTAGGTTGTCTGTTCGTGCTGTCGATTATTTCTTTTTGGTCTCCCTTAAAAAATGGTTTATTGTCTTTTCTCACAGATTTCTAGAAACTTTTTAAAAATTAGGGAAATTAGTCTAGTCCTTTGTCTGTGATATATAAGTTACAAATATTTTCCCTATTTCTCCTTTGTCTTTTGACATTGCTTATGGTCTCATGGGATGTGTGTGTTTGTGTGCGCTCACATGTGTTTGCCATGAGTTTTTCTTTTTTTGTGTAGCACAATTTGTCTATCATTTTTAAAAATGGCCTCTGGATTTTGAGTCGTAGTTAGGAAGACATTCACTTTAAGGCTTTTTTTAGTGCTTTTATGGTTTTTTTTTTTTTTAAATTTAAATCTTTTATCTATTTGGGTTTTATCCTGACGTATGGCATGAGGTAGAGATTCAATTTAATCTTTTTTAAATGGCTTCCCTCTTGTCCTAATGTTGATCAGAAAGCTTATTTCTACCTCCATTGATTTGAGAAGTTGCTTTTATCATATATTAAATCATCTTATGCACTTGGGTCTATTTTGGGATTTTTATTCTCTTCCAGTCATGCACAAATACCACACTGTTTTAATTTTTGAGGCGCTAGAGTATGTTTTAGTATCCAGTAAGGCTGCTCCACACCCCATTACTCTTTCGTTTTCCAGAATTTTCCTGACTATTCTTGTTTACTTATTTTTCTGCATACACTTATTCAGTTCCAGGAAACAAATGTTGGTGTATTTATTGAGATATGTTAAAATTATGAATTTGCTCAGGGATAACTGATATCTTCCTGACGGTGCCTATTTACGGGACATGCTATGTATGTTTATCTGTTCAGGTGTACTTTGTTGTTGTTGTTGTTGTTGCTGTTGAGACGGAGTCTTGCTCTGTCACCTAGGTTGGAGTCCAGTGGCATGATCTCGGCTCACTGCAACCTCTGCCTCCTGGGTTCAAGCGATTCTTCTGCCTCAGCCTCCCAAGTAGCTGAGGCTACAGGCATGTGCCACCACACCTGGTTAATTTTTGTATTTTTAGTTGAAATGGGATTTCATCATATTGACCAGGCTGGTCTCGAACTCCTGACCTCATGATCCTCCTGCCTTGGCCTCCCACAGTGCTGGGATTACAGGCATGAGCCACCACGCCCAGCCTCGGGTGTACCTTTATGTCCTCCTCTGGAATGTTGTTGTATTTAATACACATTTTTATACATACACAAAAACAAAGGGTATAGATAGTACAATAAACTCACATACACTCATTGTTCAAAATTTTTATGTCAAAGCCCTAACACCCACTACCTCAAAACATGGCCGTATTTGGAGATAGGCTTTTTAAAAAGGCAATTATGTTAAGATGAGGCCCTTAGGGTGGGCCTTAATCTAATCTGACTGGTCTTCTTGTAAGAAGAGGCTATTAGGACAGAGAAACATGTGCACAGAGGAAAGACCACTGAGGACTCAGCAAGAAGGTGGCCTTCCATAAACCAAAGAGAGAGGCTTCAGGAGAAACCAAACTTGCTGACATCTTGATCTCACACTTCCAGTCTCCAGGACTGTGAGAAATAGACTTGTTTTTAAGCCACGCAGTCTGTGGTATTTTGTTACAGCATCTGGCTATAGTTTAGATATGGTTTGTTTGTCCCTATGAAAACTCATGTTGAAATTTGATCCCCAATATGGCAGTATTGAGAGGTGGGGCCTAGTGGGGTGTGTTTGTGTTATGGGGGCAGATTCCTCATGAATGGCTTGGTGCTATATTTGGGGTAATGAGTGCTTGCTGTAATGATACTGGATTAGTTTTTGTGGGAATGGATTCATTCCTGAGAGAGTGGGTTGTTATAAAGCTAGGATGCCCTTCGGTTTTCCCCTCTCTTTGTATGTGCCCACTTCCCCCTTTGACCTTCTCTGCCACCTTGTAACATACATAAAAGCCCTTGCCAGAGATCAGAGTCATGCCCTGAACTTCTCAGCCTGCAGAACATGAACTAAGTAAATTTCTTTTCTTTATAAATTGCCCAGTCTGAGGTATTCCTTTATAGCAACACAAAATAAACTAAGACACACCCCTAGAAAGCTAATACAAATAATATTAAGATTTTTCTATTTCATTCTCTATCTTTTCCTCTCTCTCTACCTCCCACAAATGACTTTAAAGCAAATTCCAAGCATTATTTCTTTTCACTCCCTAAACATCTTTAGTATGTGTTTCATTAAAATGTGGAAATTTTCTTCTATAACCCCAAAGCCATTATCCTATCTAAGAAAATTATTAAACACTCTCTTATTATCATATACAGTTGACCCTTAAACATGGGTGTGAACTGCATGAGTCCACTTATACATCATTTTCTTCTGTCTCTGCCACCCCTGAGACAGCAAGAGTAACTCCTCTCCCTCCCCCTCAGCCTACTCAACATGAAAACAATGAGGATTAAGACTTTTATGATGATCCACTTCCACTTAATCAATAGCAAATATATTTTCTCTTTCTTATGATTTTCTTATAACATTTTTCTCTAGCTTACTTAATTGTAAGAATATAATACATATAGCATACAAAATATGTGTTAATCAACTGTTATGTTATTGATAAAGCTTCCAGTCAACAGTAGGCTATTAGTAGTTACGTTTTGGAGGAGTCAGTGTTGTATGCTAGTTTTCAACTGTGCGAGGGTCGGCACCACTAACCCTTGCATTATTCAGGAGTCAACTGTAATACATACTAAAAGTTTCCCAATTGTCTCAAAAAATCTTTTTTTTTTTTTTTTTTTTTACTGTTAATTAGTTTGCATCAGGATCCAAACAAGGTCCACACATTACATTTGGTTGTTATATCCATTGATTCTTTTTGAATCTAAAGCAATGTCCTTTCCCCCTTTTTATCCCTTCAATAAATCAATTGAAGAACCTGGGTCAATTGTCCTTTGGGATGTTTCATGTTCTAGATTTGTCTGCTTGCTTCATTGTGTCATTTAATTTGCTCTTCTATTCCTCATATTTCTCGAAGAGATTCACTTATTTGTTGAAGATATTTCATGGTTGATGCTGGGTACTTCATACTGGATCAGAAGGCATATGTCTGGTTGTTTCATTTTTAGTGATTCTAAGATTGATCAATGTGTTTAGGTGATGAATATCAAAGTGTTTGAAAGTATTCCTCATAAAAGTTTGTATATTTCTTATATATTCACTCCTATGTATGTAATATTCTTGGTTGCTTTTTAAAATGTGATCTTCCCTGCCATTATATCTTCTAATTGACGGTTGTTTGCATATGTGAAGGGAATTTATTTTTATACATTAATTTTATATTTTACTAATGTACTAAGTTTTGTTAAATGTTTGTAGTAGTTGTTTACTTGATTTTTTGGTTTTCAAGTAGAAGACGATTCTATTATATGTGAGTAGAAATGTTTTTATTGCTTTCTTTCCAATACTTATAATAATTATTTTATTCTATTGTCTAGTTAGGGTAGCTAATACCTTCAATGCATTGTTACATAATAGTGGCAAGAGTGAGCATCCTTTTTTCCCTCTTGATTTTAGTGGGAAGGCTCCTAGTACTTCCACATTGAGTAAAACAGTGGCTTTTGAATGAAACTTTTTAAAAAGCACATTTAAACTTGATTAGGCAAAAAGCCCAAATACCACCATTTGTCTATATTGAACCAACTTATTCTATGTCACTAAATAAATAGGCTGGTAAAATTAGACTAATTAAATGTTGTCATCTGATGGACAAGGGTGCATACCTTTGCTAATGTTTTGACTGCTTACAGCACAATCTCCACAACTTCAACTGGACAGGCAACTGCAAGGCTGGTAGAAAAAGCAGTAGCTCTGGTGACCAGAGTTTATTTGGAATCTAACCAACATTGTGACTTGGAGCAGGTCACTTCCGCTCCTTGCACCTCAGTTCTTGACCTATAAAGTAAGGTGGCAATTTTTTTTTGAGGTTGCTCTGTTGCCTCTGTCACCCATGCTGGAGCTCAGTGGCAAAATCATAGCTAACAGCAACCTTGAACTCCTAGGCACAAGTGATCCTTCTGCTGTGACTCCCCAAAGTGCTTGGAGTACAGGCACGAGCCACCACATCTGGCTGACAATTCTACTTAATAGGGTTGTTGTGAGAAAGAAAAGATGTACATTGGTGAAATCATATATTTCAGTGCCTGGCACACAGTACACACTCAACAAATGTTTGCTGAATAGGTGAATATTAAGAAAATACATATGTATAAATCACTTTTTTGCGAAAGTTTAAAATAGTAAATGAGTAAATGAAGAATGGATTATCCCTTTCCTCTCTCTTTTTCCACCTATACTTTATTCCTTCAGATTTACTGGCAAAAGTTTTACTAAATAGACTGTGATCCAAAACAGGAAACTGTCCTAAAGGGAATTTTCATATTCTACTTTAAAGTAAAAATCCAAAGTTGAGCTCACCCTTGGAAAAATTAGCCTGGCCAGTCTGTCTTCAATTAGTCTCTCCACACATAGGGAAGTGGAGCAGGAGAGATGGGCAAGAGGCCAGAATAGCGGCACAAGGAGACTGGGAAATGGATTCCAGGGTTTGTGAGCCGGATAGAAATAGAAGAGTGAGTCTACATAGATTTTACCATTATCCTTTAAAAATAAATAAAACAAACCTAAATAAAAACTAAAAAGCACCACACAAGTGGTTTTACCTAAGTTTCAAAGAGTAGTCTTTGACCACTGTGGTGTAACTTGGAAGTCATAAGTTAAAAATACTGATAAAAATTATGGCCCCAGTTCCTGGCATCTCTTCATTAGTGCCTTATTCCTTTTGGGGTTAGTCTGTTCACTTATAGGGTCCTTTATTAAACTGCCAATAGTCTTGGATGTTAGTCAACCTTATTAATATAATGTCAGAGCTTAAAGGGCCTTTCTTATGTGTATTTTTTTTAATTTCCTGTACCCCTATGAAAATTGCTTTTTTACTAATTATGTACAAAATAGGACAAATGCAGTGGCTCATACCTATAATCCCAGCACTTTGGAAGGCTGAAGCAGGATGATTGCTTAAGCCCAGGAGTTTGAGGCCAGTCTGGGAAACACAGTGAGACCCCATCTCCACAAAAAATAAAAAAACTTAGCTGGGTTCAGTGGCACGTGCATGTGATCCCAGCTACATAGTAGGCTGTGGTGATAAGGATCCCTTGAGCCTGGGAGGTCGAGGCTGCAGTGAGCTGTGATTGCACCACTGCACCCCAGCCTGGGTGACATAGCAAGACCCTGTCTCAAAAAATAAAAATAAAGTCCATTTTCAAAAAGTTTCATAACCCCAAAACATAAAGAATTAAGGTCACCTGAAATTAATGACACCAACCTGACATCTTGGTCATATATATATATATATATATATATCCCATTATACACAGTCATGCACCACATAATGATGTTTTGGTTGATGACAGACCACATATACAACAGTGATCCCATAAAATTATAATATGGTATTTTTACTGTGCCTTTCTATGTTTTGATATGTTTAGATGCACAAAAACTTACCATTGTGTTACAGTTACCTACAGTATTCAGTACAGTAACATGCTGTAAAGGCTTGTAGCCTAGGGACAATAAGCTATACCATATAGCCTGGGTGTGTAGTAGGTTATATGATCTAGGTTTGTGTAAGTATACTCTATGATATTTGCACAATGACAAAATTGCCTAACTTTGTATTTCTCAGAGTGTATCCCCATCATTAACTGACACATGACGGTATATGTATATGTATTACATGTATGCCATTGTATATATATATAACTATTGGTAACCATCATATATATGCATGTATGTAATATTATATTTATATAATGGTAACCATTATATATACATATATTATGTATTATATGCTGTTTTATTATAAATGCCTATCTGCTATTCCCCTTATACCTCTCCAAGTCATATTAATAATGTTATGTGTCTCCTTTCAAACTCCATTCCATTCACAGAACCCTACTGCCTCTGTGGCAGTACCTCCCATTGTAAAAGGACAGGCAGAGAGCATGAGTAACTTGGGATTCAGTACTACCACTCCTACTTCTACTGGACCAGATCAGATTTTATTTTATTCTTTTTAAATATTAGACTTCATGGAAAACACTTTTAAGAAAGGATTTTTTTTTAAAGTTTGAAAACCACTGATCACCTGTGGTCAGTTCAACCTTCCACATTTTAGAGACGAAGAAACTGAGGTGGAGAGACTTGCTCGAGGTCATTTAGCTAGATAATAGAAGATTTTGCCTTTGGCCACAGTTTACTATCTTCTTACAATTCATCATCTTTTCTTGTTTATCCAAGGATTATGTGTGTTTTTCAAAACATTGCTGGTCTATAAAAAATGTAAAGATAACATAATAATTAATGGTAAAAGACTGATTCTTTCTCTATAAGATCAGATAAAAAGACAGGTTGTCTGATCTCACCTCTCCTATGCAATTTAATACAGTAGGTCTCAGCTCATGCAGTAAGGCAAGAAAAAAAATAAAAGCATACAGAATGGAAAGGAGGAAGTAAAATTAACCAATTTGCCAATGGTATGATTGTATGCATAAAAATGCTAAGGAATATACAAAAAGCTATGAAAAGTAATAATTGAGTTTAGCAAAGCCAAAAGATAAAAGTCATTCTAAAATATCTATTATAGTACAGGAGTTCTGGCACGACAGGAGGTAGAGAAATTCTCTCCTCAAAAAGCAACTATAAAGCTAAACAAGATAGTGAAAAACAACCATTTCAACATTCTGGAATTCAAACAAAGGTACAAAGCAAACTGAGAAGTATTTATTTGTGAAAACTACTGAACTTTGTACAAGAGCAGCATGTTTCTGGTAGTTTTGCCTGGGGATAGTTCTAGACACCACCTCCCAGCTTTGTATGTGGTATAATGAAACCAGGGTGAGGAAGGCTGTGCAAACCAGCGGTTGTGATGCCTCAGTGGGAGGGGCTCACTTGATTGGCAGCATACATAGTTACAGTGGCAAACTAGGTAACAAGTGAATAGGAATAGCTAATGGCTCCATTAGCCTGAGGTTGTGTGCCTATTTTGGGCAAGCAAGATACCAGTGGACTAGCTGGGAATGTAACAAGGTTTTTGGGGAGGTGACAGTCATAGGATGCTGATATGTTTTTCACATATCCTGGCTTAATAAGAAGATGTGCACATGTGCAGCAGAGATTGGAGTAGACTTAAGCCACCCACACATACCTGGTTGATGGAGACAGTAAACACCCCCAGAGAAATCATGAAAAAGCCTGGCAAAAAGCAAAAATTTTGGAAGACTTCAAAACAGTCTGAAGTTTAAATGTTTTCCCAGTACACACAGAGATACATCAGCAGAGAGAGAAAATCTTTCTGGCATAAGATGTTTGAACGCAACTACTAACCAATATTTGGTCTATCAGAAGCTATGAAGGCCCAGTGATCACCCTTAAAAATCCAGATTTTAAAATAAAAACAAAGGGAAAAAACGAAATAAAGACACCAGTGGCTGTACATCATTGGGGTAACAGATTGTAAAGATTAAGCCCAGTCAACAAAGAAACAAAACAAACAAAACAAAACAGAACAACAATACCCTTGGGGTGGTCAGAATTCAGAAGTGCTATATTATATTATCCAAAATATCCAATATTAAACAATAAAACTATAAGACATGCATAAAAAGAAGAAAGTGTGACCTATACTTGACAGGGGAGGAATCAGTTAATAGAAACTGTTTATGAATATTCCCAGATATTAAATTTAGCAGAGAATACTTAAAAGCAGCCATCATGAATATGTTTAAAGAACTGAAGCAAATAACTTATGTTTAAAAAATTAAAGGAAAGTATGATGGCAATGACGCAGAAAATAGAGAATCTCAATAAGGACATATAATTTATACAAAAGTACCACATGCAAATTTGGGAAATGAAAAGTAAAATAACTGTAATGAAAAGTTCACTTTAGGGGCTCATTGTAGGTTTGAGCTGGCAGAAGAAAGAATCAGTGAACCTGAAGATAGAACAATAGAGAAGATGCAATCTGAAGAACAGAAAGAAAAAGGAATAAAGAAAAATGAACGGAGCCTTAGAGACTTGTGAAAACCATAAAATCTACTAACATATGTATAATGGAAGTCCTAGAGGAGAGGAGAAAGGAACAGAAAACATTTTAAGAAATAATGGCTGCAATTTTCCCAAATTTGATTTAAAAATTAATCTATACATCCAAGAAACTCATTGACCCCTCCAACCCCCAGCAGGATAAACACAAAGAGATCCACACCTAAAAATATCCTGAGCCAACTATAAAAAAACAGAAACATATAAAATATTGAAATGAAAGCAGCAAGAAAAACATCAGGTACATAAGAACAACAATATGATTAATGGTTGACTTCATATCAGAAATGATACAGACCAGGCAGTAATGAGATGACATATTCAAAACAGGTGAATAGAGGAGAGAGAGAGAGAGAGAGAGACTCTCAACCACCTATTCTGTGTCTAAGAAAACTATCCTTAGGAAATGAAGGTAGAACAAAGGCATTCTCAAATAAACAAAGACCGGGAGAATTTGTTGGTCACTAGCCTGCCTGAAAGGAAATTCTAAAGGAAATCTTCAGGCTGAAAGAAAATGACAGCGGATGATAACTTGAATTTCCAGGAAGAAATAAAGAGTTATGGAAATGGTATACCTGTTGGTAAATACAAAAGTTTCTATAAATATATTACTTCTAATTTCCTCTCAATTTTTAAAAAAGACATGCAATTGTATAAACTAATAAATATAACACTATATCATTGGGTTTACAACATATATCGATATACTATATGATGGTAGTAGCAAAAGGCAGGAGGAAGAAAAAGGGACATACTTGAGTAAAATTTTATACTAAAATTAAATTAGCATTATTCTCAGTCAACTGTAATAAGCTAAGATGCATATTGTAAATTCAAGAGCATTAACACATGGACACAGGAAGGGGAACATCACACTCTGGGGACTGTTGTGGGGTGGGGGGAGGGGGGAGGGATAGCATTGGGAGATATACCTAATGCTAGATGACGAGTTATTGGGTGCAGCGCACCAGCATGGCACATGTATACATATGTAACTAACCTGCACAATGTGCACATGTACCCTAAAACTTAAAGTATAGTAAAAAAAAAGTATAGCACATACAATGATGTATCATACATAATACTTGATAATGATAATAAATGCCTATGTTACTCATTTAAATAAAAAAGAAAATAATATAGTAAATAACAAAGCAATAGATAAATTAAAATTATACACTAAAAATATTTATTTCACCTAGAAAAGCAAGTGAAGAGCAACATATGCATAAACAAAATGAAACAGATGAAAAACGTGACAAAATTGCAGACATAAATCTAACCATATCAATGTGTATTAAATGTGCATGAAATAAACATCCCTTTCAGAAGTCAGAGATTATCAGCCAAGACAAACAAAAGCAAGCTCCAACTATATCCTGTCTAGAACAGATACCACTTAGAGTCAAATAAATACATAGGTTGAATGTTTATAAAATGATGGAAAAAATTATCCCACATAAAAACCATAAAAATGATATTGGTTTTATTAATATCATAAGAGACTTTAAGACAAGAAATGTTACTGGAAACAAAGAGAGACCATTTATATGATTAAAAGGTAGATCCATCAGGAAGATGTAAGGAATATGAACATATATGCACTTAGCAACAGGACCTCAAAATACATGAGGCAAAACCTGACAGAATTAAAAGGAGGAATAGGTAAACAGCAATAATAGTTAGATATTTCAATATCCCACTGCCCATAACTTATAGAAAATAAGCAAAGATACACAGACTTGTACATCACTATTAACCAACTTGCCCTAATTACCATTTTTAGAATGCTCCACCCATTGACTATGGAATACACATTCTTTTAAATGCATATAGAACATATTCTAGGATATACCATGCACTGGGCCAGAAAACAAGTCTCAATAAAATGGAAAAGATTGCAGTTATTTAAATATGTTCTTTGAGTGCAAAATAATTAATTTAGAGATCCACATCAGAAAGGAACCTGGGAAAAGCCCATATGTTTGAAAATTAAATAAAACACTTCTATGGATCAAAGGGAAAAATTAAGTCTCAATAAAAGAAGTCTCAATAAAATTGGAAAGATGTAATTATTTAAATAAGTTCTATGAGCACAACATAATTAATTTAGTGATCTACATCAGAAAGTACCCTGGGAAAAGCCCAAATATTTGAAAATTAATAAAACACTTCTATGGACCAAAGGGAAAAATCAGAAGAGCAATTAAAATATTTTGATTTTGGAGACAACAGCAGGAGTTGATTGAAGTTAAAAGACTGACAAGGCAGGACTAGAAAAGGGGACCACTGAGAGGAGGAGTCAGAGGACCTGACCACTGATTGCTAATCCAAGGCTGCATGCCCAGGGAAGAGGAATGGTGTGAAAGAGTCAGTGAAAACCCCAGCCAGACATACTGAATCATTGAGAAACAAAGAAGAGGGAGGTGTCCATCCCTCCTTGGTGATCAGAGAGCTGGAGGGCAATGACTTCATCAACTTTTCTTCTTTCCATCACAGTCCCAGGGTCAGACATAGAATAAAAAGTCGTGTGTCATGTATAATTGCTCTTCATTATGGATATAGGTGCCCATAAGAGGAAGAGAAGGTTTGGCGACTAGAGCTCCTGAAATGTCACTCAATACTCCTGCATTTTAACAGCCTCTATGTCTCTCTTCAGAATACTGAGGTTTCCACAAACTTTATAAGCATGATTTTCCAGGTTCATCACCCTATGGACATATGTAGACAGAAGGAGAGGCGAGATGGATGAACTAAAAGCTCATCTCTGGATTCTCAACATCTTGCACAGTGCCTTGAATACAATTAGCATGTGTTGGATAATTGATTAATAAAAATAACTAGGATTCTAAAAAATATATTTTGATTTGAATAAAAATTATTTAATATATTCAAATATTTAATATATGAGATGCAGTTAAAGCAGTGCTTCGAAGGAAATTTATGGCTTTAAACATTTGTATCAGAAAAGAAGAAAGATCTCAAATCGATAGCCTAAGCTTCAACCTTAAGAAACTGGAAAATGCCGAGCAAACTAAAAACCAAAGCAATCAAGAGGACACAAATAATAAAGATTATAGCAGGAATAAATGAAATAGAAAAAGAAAACAGAAAAACAACAGGGAAAATCTAGGAAACTAAAAGTTGGTTCTTTGACAAGATTGGCAAAATCGGCAAATCCTTGCTAAACTGATGAAGAAAAAAAAGAGAAGATCAGGAATAAAAGGGGCTATCACTACAGATTTTACAGAAATTAAAAAGATTATAGGTAGTATTGTAAGCCAGTTTATATCAATGAATTGGACAATTTAGATGAAATGAGAAAATTCTGAAAAGAGACGTAAATTACCAACACTGACTTAAGAAGAAATTTAAAATTTGAATAGACCCATAACTACTCGAAAATTGAATTAGAAACTAAATATTTTTCCATGAAGAAAAGCCCAGGCTAGGCAAATTAACTCAAGATAAAAAATCAATCCTTCATAAATGCCTTCAGAAAATTGAGATGAGAATATATTCTAATTCTTTCTAAGAAGCCAGTATAACCCTGATACAAAAAGCAAAGACACCACAAGAAAAGAAACCCTAGAGCAGTATCCTTCTGAAGAACATCAAACTCCATTCAACAATATAAAAAATGAATTATACGACATGACCAAGTGATATTTATCCTAATAATGAAAAGCTGGTTTAACAACTAGAAAATAGATTAATGTAACACAGGTGGTAGGCAGAATAATGGTTCCCCAAAGCTATCCATGTCTTAATCCCCAGAACTTGTGAATATGTTATACTACATGCCAAAGGGAAATTAGGTTGCAGATGGAATTAATGTTGTTAATCTGCTGATCATAAAATAGGAAATTATGCTAGATTATCCAGGTAGGCCCAATGTAATCATAAGAATCCTTAGAAGTGGGAGAAGGAGGGCAGAGAGGAAGTAGAATGATGGCCACATGAGAAGAACTGGACCTGTCACTGCTGACATTGAAAATAGAGGAAGAGGGTCATGAACCAAGAAACATGGATGGCCTCTGGAAGGTGTAAAAGGCGATGAAATGGATTATTCCATAAAGCCTACAGAAAGGAACACAGCTCTGCTAACATCTTGATTTTAGCCTAGTGAGATCCTTATTAAACTTCTAATGTACCACACTGTAAGATAATAAATTTGTGCTGTTTCAAGCCACTAAGTTTGTTGTTAGTTGTTACATCAGCAGTAGAAAACTAATATAGATTTTGATACTTAGAAGTGGGATGCTGTCATAACAAATACCTTAAAATGTGGAAGTGGCTTTGGAATTGAACAGTGGGCAGAGGCTGAAAGAATTTGAAAAGCTTGATTTTAAAAACTTAGATTGCCTTGACCATACTGTTAATAGAAATATGACATCAAAGATTCTGCTGATGAAGGTTCAGAAAAAAGTGAGGATTGTGGTAAAGAAAACATATATCATCTTAGTGACTACATAAATCATTGTAAATACACTTTTATTAGAAATATAGATGTTTCATGGACACATAGAGGGGACTAATACACACTGGGGGCTATTGGAGGGTGGAGGGTGGGAGGAGGGAGAGGGTCAGGAAAAATAACTAATGGGTACTAGGCTTACTACCTGGGTAATGAAACACGCCCCATGACACAAGTTTACCTATATAACAAACCTATACGTGTACCTGTGAACTTCAAATAAAAGTTTAAAAAATGAAAAAGAAAATAAATATGGATGTTTAAGGTGACACTAGTGAGGACTCAAAATGAAATGAGGAAAATGTTCCTGGAAACTGGGAGAAACAGGGTCCTGTTATACAGTGGAAGAAAACTCAGCAGAATTCTGCGAATTTGGACATTGCGCTGAGGTTTCCAAACCCAGTGTCGAAGGTACAGCCTGTCTTCTTGCTGGTTATAACAAAATATGAGAGGAAAAAGATAAACTGAGGGGGAAATTGTTACAATAGAACCAGGACTTGGTGATTTGGGAAATTCCCAGCCTATCCAGATTGCAAAAGATAATACAATTAAGAGATTTACGTATAGGAAAGTGTGTTCTAGAACAAAAGCTGAGGCTGTGGCTGGACAAATTTTTGCTCACACTGCAAAAAGATCAACAGATCAGTGTGTTCCACCACACTGAAGGCTCTTTGAGGAAATTAGAGTGTGACTTATAGATACCCTCAGCCATTTCTGCAAAAGCCAAAAATAGAGATAAGATAAATTAGAAAAGATCTGTGAAGGAGCCTCTTGCTTAGTGGAGTAAATCCCCATGACAAACATAGGAGATGCACAAGGTTTTTGAGAATTTTATACAAGGATAAACGCTGCCAGCTTGTACTGAAAAGGACAGAGTATGAAATTAAAAAAAGGGCTGTCAGAGCCCCAAAATTCTACATGCAAGAAACAGGCTAATGAAAGTAACCACCTGCAAACGTGCTGCACTTCATGAAAAAGAAAAGATGACTCAGAGCGTGGATGCATGAACCCAGAACTGCTTGTCCACTGGGTGAAGCCACTGGCTACAGAGGGTTATTTGCAGGTCTTTAAAGCAAATCACGTGTGCCTTTATTGATTTTGAAAATGCTTGAGACCAGTGACTCCTTTTTTAACTAAACTTTTTCCCTTTTTGAACAGGAATGTATATGACAGTTATTCCATACCATCATAATATTTTGGGAGCCAGCGTTTCACAGGTCCATAGATTGAAGAGGAATTGTGTCCTAGGATGGATTATACCCAGAACCTCATCTATACTTGATGTAGATTGTTAAGGTGATGAGATTTGGGACTTTTGAGCTGATAAGATTTAGATGTTCTTTAACTCTGAGTTAATAGTGCAATGGGATGAGACATTTGAAGACTTTGGGATGGGGTGAATGTATTTTACATATAAGATAAACATTTACCTTTCAGGGGGTCAGATGGCATGCTGTGGTAGGCAGAATAATGGTTCCCCCCAAAAATCCATATTTTTATTTCCAAAACCTGTGAATTTTTTACATCACATGTCAAAGGGAAATTGAGGTTGCAGATGTAATTAAGATTGCTACTCAGATGACCATAAAATCAAGGGATTTTGCTGGACTATCTAGGAAGGCCCAATGTAATCACAAGCATCCTTAAAAGTGGAAGAGGGAGACAAAAGAGAAAGGAGTCAGAATGATGCCATGTGAGATGGATTGGACCTACCTTTGCTGGCTTTGAAAGATGGAGGGTGAAGGACATGGACCAGGAAATGCAGGAAGCCTCTGGAAGGCATAAAAGGCAAGGAAATAGATTCTCCCATAGAGCCTTGAGAAAGGAATCCAGTTTTGCTAACATCATAATTTTAGTCCATTGAAACCTATGTTGGGCTTCTAATATACAGAACTGTAAAACAACAAATTTGTGCTGTTTCAAGCTACACGTTTGTAATAGTTGTTACAGCAGCAATATAAAATTTATATGCCATAAAAATAGGATAAAAGACTAGTAAACCACATGATTATCCTAATAGATGCAGAAAAATCCAATGCTCATTCATGATTAAAACTTAAAAATCCTAGGAATATAAAGGAAAGGTGGTTTCTCAACCTGATAAGAGGCATTTATGAAATACATACAACTAGTAACAGTGTTAATTGTGAAATAGTGAATTCTTTCCTCCCTAAAGTCAAGAAGAAGGAAAGAACGTCTATTCTCACCATTTCTATTCCACATTGTACTTCAGGTTCTAGCCAGCACTATAAGGCAAAAAGAAAATATAAATAATAAATGAAAGGAATTAAAGGAATCTAGATAGGAAAGAAAGAAATACAATTGTCTTTGTGCATAGATGACATAATTATTCATTAGAAAATCCTTAGGAATTAACAATAAAAGTACTAGAGCTAATAAATTTATCAAGTTTATAGGATATAAGAACATTATACAAAAATAAATTTGGTTTCTATATACTAACAGTGAAAAATCTGAAAATGAAATTAAAAAAACAATTTCATTAAAAATAGCATTGGAGCATGGAGTCTCATGCTTGTAACCCCAGAGCTTTGGGAAGCTGAGGCAAAAGGATTGCTTGAGGCCAGGAGTTCAAGATCCAGACCTGCCTGGGAAACGTAGCAAGACTGTGTCTCTACAAAAAATAAAAAATTAGCTGGGCATGGTGGTGCACACCTGTAGTCCTAGCTATTTGGGAGGTTAAGGTGGGAGGATCACTTGAGCTCAGGAGGTTGACGTTGCAGTAGCTATGACAGCATCATTGCACTCCAGCCTGGGTGACAGAGAAAGACCCTGTCTCAAGAAAAAAAAATGCATCAAAACTTAGAAATATATATATATTTTTAAGTCTATTGCCCAGGTTGGAGGGCAGTGGCATGATCTCGGCTCACTGCAACCTCTGCCTCATGGGTTCAAGCAATTCTCCTACCTCAGCCTCCAGAGCAGCTGGGATTACAGGTATGCACCACCATGCCCAGCTAATTTTTGTATTTTCAGTAGAGACAGGGTTTTGCCATGTTGGCCAGGCTGGTCTCGAACTCCTGACCTCAAGTGATCTGCCTGCCTCGGCCTCCCAAAGTGTTGGGATTACAGGTGTGAGCCACCATGCCTGGCCAATTTAGGAATAAATTTGACAAATGAAGTACATTATTTCTAAAGTTAAAACTACAGGATAGTACAAAATAAATTGAAATCAGATCTCAATAAATGGATAGACATTCTATGTTCATGGCTTGGAAGACTCAGCATTGCCAGATGGCAATTCTCCACAAATGGATCTATGGATCCATGGGATCAATGAAATCCCAGCAGACCTTTCCTAAAAATTGACAAGCTGATCCTTACATTTTTATGGAAATACAAAGGATCTAGAATAGGCAAAATAATTTTGAAAAAGAAGAACAAATTTGCAGGACTTACATTACCTGATTTCAAAATTTACTATAAAGATACAGTAATCAAGACAGTATAGTACAGTATTCATCTATGGGTAGACATAGATTAAGGGAACAGAATGGATAATTCCAAAATAAACTCTTACAAATGTGGTCAATTGATTTTTTTGACAAGGTACCAAAAGAATTCACTGGGGAAAGGATAATCTTTTCAATAAATAGTGCTGAAATAACTGACTATCCATATAGAAAACAAATTAACTTTGAACCTTACCTCACACTGTATGTAAAATGTAATAAACACTAATACCATAAAACTTATGTCATGCAAAAATTAATAAAAACTAATATCATGAGGAGAATCTTCCTGAATTTTCTTTTTTCTTTTTTTTTTTTTATTATACTTTAAGTTTTAGGGTACATGTGTACATTGTGCAGGTTAGTTACATATGTATACATGTGCCATGCTGGTGCGCTGCACCCACTAACTCGTCATCTAGCATTAGGTATATCTCCCGATGCTATCCCTCCCCCCTCCCCCCACCCCACCACAGTCCCCAGAGTGTGATATTCCCCTTCCTGTGTCCATGTGATCTCATTGTTCAATTCCCACCTATGAGTGAGAATATGCGGTGTTTGGTTTTTTGTTCTTGCGATAGTTTACTGAGAATGATGATTTCCAATTTCATCCATGTCCCTACAAAGGACACGAACTCATCATTTTTTATGGCTGCATAGTATTCCATGGTGTATATGTGCCACATTTTCTTAATCCAGTCTATCATTGTTGGACATTTGGGTTGGTTCCAAGTCTTTGCTATTGTGAATAATGCCGCAATAAACACATGTGCATGTGTCTTTATAGCAGCATGATTTATAGTCCTTTGGGTATATACCCAGTAATGGGATGGCTGGGTCAAATGGTATTTCCAGTTCTAGATCCCTGAGGAATCGCCACACTGACTTCCACAATGGTTGAACTAGTTTACAGTCCCACCAACAGTGTAAAAGTGTTCCTGTTTCTCCACATCCTCTCCAGCACCTGTTGTTTCCTGACTTTTTAATGATTGCCATTCTAACTGGTGTGAGATGGTATCTCATTGTGGTTTTGATTTGCATTTCTCTGATGGCCAGTGATGGTGAGTATTTTTTCTTGTGTTTTTTGGCTGCATAAATGTCTTCTTTTGAGAAGTGTCTGTTCATGTCCTTCACCCACTTTTTGATGGGGTTGTTTGTTTTTTTCTTGTAAATTTGTTTGAGTTCATTGTAGATTCTGGATATTAGCCCTTTGTCAGATGAGTAGGTTGGGAAAATTTTCTCCCATTTTGTAGGTTGCCTGTTCACTCTGATGATAGTTTCTTTTGCTGTGCAGAAGCTCTTTACTTTAATTAGATCCCATTTGTCAATTTTGTCTTTTGCTGCCATTGCTTTTGGTGTTTTAGACATGAAGTCCTTGCCCATGCCTATGCCCTGAACGGTAATGCCTAGGTTTTCTTCTAGGGTTTTTATGGTTTTAGGTCTAATGTTTAAGTCTTTAATCCATCTTGAATTGATTTTTGTATAAGGTGTAAGGAAGGGATCCAGTTTCAGCTTTCTACATATGGCTAGCCAGTTTTCCCAGCACCATTTATTAAATAGGGAATCCTTTCCCCATTGCTTGTTTTTCTCAGGTTTGTCAAAGATCAGATAGTTGTAGATATGCGGCATTATTTCTGAGGGCTCTGTTCTGTTCCATTGATCTATATCTCTGTTTTGATACCAGTACCATGCTGTTTTGGTTACTGTAGCCTTGTAGTATAGTTTGAAGTCAGGTAGTGTGATGCCTCCAGCTTTGTTCTTTTGGCTTAGGATTGACTTGGTGATGCGGGCTCTTTTTTGGTTCCATATGAACTTTAAGGTAGTTTTTTCCAATTCTGTGAAGAAAGTCATTGGTAGCTTGATGGGGATGGCATTGAATCTGTAAATTACCTTGGGCAGTATGGCCATTTTCACGATATTGATTCTTCCTACCCATGAGCATGGAATGTTCTTCCATTTGTTTGTATCCTCTTTTATTTCCTTGAGCAGTGGTTTGTAGTTCTCCTTGAAGAGGTCCTTCACATCCTTTGTAAGTTGGATTCCTAGGTATTTTATTCTCTTCGAAGCAATTGTGAATGGGAGTTCACTCATGATTTGGCTCTCTGTTTGTCTGTTATTGGTGTATAGGAATGCTTGTGATTTTTGCAAATTGATTTTGTATCCTGAGACTTTGCTGAAGTTGCTGATCAGCTTAAGGAGATTTTGAGCTGAGACGATGGGGTTTTCTAGATATACAATCATGTCATCTGCAAACAGGGACAATTTGACTTCCTCTTTTCCTAATTGAATACCCTTTATTTCCTTCTCCTGCCTAATTGCCCTGGCCAGAACTTCCAACACTATGTTGAATAGGAGTGGTGAGAGAGGGCATCCCTGTCTTTTGCCAGTTTTCAAAGGGAATGCTTCCAGTTTTTGCCCATTCAGTATGATATTGGCTGTGGGTTTGTCATAGATAGCTCTTATTATTTTGAGATAGGTCCCATCAATACCTAATTTATTGAGAGTTTTTAGCATGAAGGGTTGTTGAATTTTGTCAAAGGCCTTTTCTGCATCTATTGAGATAATCATGTGGTTTTTGTCTTTGGCTCTGTTTATATGCTGGATTACATTTATTGATTTGCGTATATTGAACCAGCCTTGCATCCCAGGGATGAAGCCCACCTGATCATGGTGGATAAGCTTTTTGATGTGCTGCTGGATTCGGTTTGCCAGTATTTTATTGAGGATTTTTGCATCAATGTTCATCAAGGATATTGGTCTAAAATTCTCTTTTTTTGTTGTGTCTCTGCCTGGCTTTGTTATCAGAATGAGGCTGGCCTCATAAAATGAGTTAGGGAGGATTCCCTCTTTTTCTATTGATTGGAATAGTTTCAGAAGGAATGGTACCAGTTCCTCCTTGTACCTCTGGTAGAATTCAGCTGTGAATCCATCTGGTCCTGGACTCTTTTTGGTTGGTAAGCTATCGATTATTGCCACAATTTCAGCTCCTGTTATTGGTCTATTCAGAGATTCAACTTCTTCCTGGTTTAGTCTTGGGAGAGTGTATGTGTCGAGGAATTTATCCATTTCTTCTAGATTTTCTAGTTTATTTGCGTAGAGGTGTTTGTAGTATTCTCTGATGGTAGTTTGTATTTCTGTGGGATCGGTGGTGATATCCCCTTTGTCACTTTTTATTGTGTCTATTTGATTCATCTCTCTTTTTTTCTTTATTAGTCTTGCTAGCGGTCTATCAATTTTGTTGATCCTTTCAAAAAACCAGCTCCTGGATTCATTAATTTTTTGAAGGGTTTTTTGTGTCTCTATTTCCTTCAGTTCTGCTCTGATTTTAGTTATTTCTTGCCTTCTGCTAGCTTTTGAATGTGTTTGCTCTTGCTTCTCTAGTTCTTTTAATTGTGATGTTAGGGTGTCAATTTTGGATCTTTCCTGCTTTCTCTTGTGGGCATTTAGTGCTATAAATTTCCCTCTACACACTGCTTTGAATGCGTCCCAGAGATTCTGGTATGTTGTGTCTTTGTTCTCGTTGGTTTCAAAGAACATCTTTATTTCTGCCTTCATTTCGTTATGTAGCCAGTAGTCATTCAGGAGCAGGTTGTTCAGTTTCCATGTAGTTGAGTGGTTTTGAGTGAGATTCTTAATCCTGAGTTCTAGTTTGATTGCACTGTGGTCTGAGAGATAGTTTGTTATAATTTCTGTTCTTTTACATTTGCTGAGGAGAGCTTTACTTCCAAGTATCTGGTCAATTTTGGAATAGGTGTGGTGTGGTGCTGAAAAAAATGTACATTCTGTAGATTTGGGGTGGAGAGTTCTGTAGATGTCTATTAGGTCCGCTTGGTGCAGAGCTAAGTTCAATTCCTGGGTATCCTTGTTGACTTTCTGTCTCGTTGATCTGTCTAATGTTGACAGTGGGATGTTAAAGTCTCCCATTATTAATTTGTGGGAGTCTAAGTCTCTTTGTAGGTCACTCAGGACTTGCTTTATGAATCTTGGTGCTCCTGTATTGGGTGCATATATATTTAGGATAGTTAGCTCTTCTTGTTGAATTCATCCCTTTACCATTATGTAATGGCCTTCTTTGTCTCTTTTGATCTTTGTTGGTTTAAAGTCTGTTTTATCAGAGACTAGGATTGCAACCCCTGCCTTTTTTTGTTTTCCATTGGCTTGGTAGATCTTCCTCCATCCTTTTATTCTGAGCCTATGTGTGTCTCCGCACGTGAGATGGGTTTCCTGAATACAGCAGACTGATGGGTCTTGATTCTTTATCCAATTTGCCAGTCTGTGTCTTTTAATTGGAGCATTTAGTCCATTTACATTTAAAGTTAATATTGTTATGTGTGAATTTGATCCTGTCATTATGATGTTACTGGTTATTTTGCTTGTTAGTTGATGCAGTTTCTTCCTTTACATTTTGGCATGATTTTGCAGCTGCTGTTACCGGTTGTTCCTTTCCATGTTTAGTGCTTCCTTCAGGAGCTCTTTTAGGGCGGGCCTGGTGGTGACAAAATCTCTCAGCATTTGCTTTTCTGTAAAGTATTTTATTTCTCCTTCACTTATGAAGCTTAGTTTGGCTGGATATGAAGTTCTGGGTTGAAAATTCTTTTCTTTAAGTATGTTGAATATTGGCCCCCACTCTCTTCTGGCTTGTAGGGTTTCTGTCAAGAGATCCGCTGTTAGTCTGATGGGCTTCCCTTTGAGCGTAACCCGACCTTTCTCTCTGGCTGCCCTTAACATTTTTTCCTCCATTTCAACTTTGGTGAATCTGACAATTATGTGTCTTGGAGTTGCTCTTCTCGAGGAGTATCTTTGTCGTGTTCTCTGTATTTCCTGAATCTGAACGTTGGCCTGCCTTGCTAGATTGGGGAAGTTCTCCTGGATAATATCCTGCAGAGTGTTTTCCAACTTGGTTCCATTCTCCCCATCACTTTCAGGTACACCAATCAGACGTAGATTTGGTCTTGTCACATAGTCCCATATTTCTTGGAGGCTTTGCTCATTTCTTTTTATTCTTTTTTCTCTAAACTTCCCTTCTCGCTTCATTTCATTCATTTCATCTTCCATCGCTGATACCCTTTCTTCCAGTTGATCGCATCAGCTCCTGAGGCTTCTGCATTCTTCACGTAGTTCTCGAGCCTTGGTTTTCAGCTCCATCAGCTCCTTTAAGCACTTCTCTCTATTGGTTATTCTAGTTATACATTCTTCTAAATTTTTTTCAAAGTTTTCAACTTCTTTGCCTTTGGTTTGAATGTCCTCCCGTAGCTCAGAGTAATTTGATAGTCTGAAGTCTTCTTCTCTCAGCTCGTCAAAGTCATTCTCCATCCAGCTTTGTTCCGTTGCTGGTGAGGAACTGCGTTCCTTTGGAGGAGGAGAGGCGCTCTGCTTTTTAGAGTTTCCAGTTTTTCTGTTCTGTTTTTTCCCCATCTTTGTGGTTTTATCTACTTTTGGTCTTTGATGATGGTGATGTACAGATGGGTTTTTGGTGTGGATGTCCTTTCTGTTTGTTAGTTTTCCTTCTAAACGACAGGACCCTCAGCTGCAGGTCTGTTGGAATACCCTGCCGCGTGAGGTGTCAGTGTGCCCCTGCTGGGGGGTGCCTCCCAGTTAGGCTGCTCAGGGGTCTGGGGTCAGGGACCCACTTGAGGAGGCAGTCTGCCCGTTCTGAGATCTCCAGCTGCGTGCTGGGAGAACCACTGCTCTCTTCAAAGCTGTCAGACAGGGGCATTTAAGTCTGCAGAGGTTACTGCTGTCTTTTTGTTTGCCTGTGCCCTGCCCCCAGAGGTGGAGCCTACAGAGGCAGGCAGGCCTCCTTGAGCTGTGGTGGGCTCCACCCAGTTGGAGCTTCCCGGCTGCTTTGTTTACCTAATCAAGCCTGGGCAATGGCGGGCGCCCCTCCCCCAGCCTCGCTGCCGCCTTGCAGTTTGATCTCAGACTGCTGTGCTAGTAATCAACGAGATTCCGTGGGTGTAGGACCCTCCGAGCCAGGTGCGGGTTATAATCTCGTGGTGCGCCGTTTTTTAAGCCCGTGGGAAAAGCGCAGTATTCGGGTGGGAGTGACCCGATTTTCCAGGTGCTGCCCGTCACCCCTTTCTTTGACTCAGAAAGGGAACTCCCTGACCCCTTGCACTTCCCAAGTGAGGCAATGCCTTGCCCTGCTTCGGCTCGTGCACGGTGCGCGCACCCACTGACCTGCGCCCACTGTCTGGCACTCCCTAGTGAGATGAACCCGGTACCTCAGATGGAAATGCAGAAATCACCCGTCTTCTGCGTCGCTCACGCTGGGAGCTGTAGACCGGAGGTGTTCCTATTTGGCCAACTTGGCTCCTCCTTTCTGCCCTGAATTTTCTACAGTCAAAAATTCATAGGTAAGTCTGATATGGTTTGGCTCTGTGTTCCCACCCAAATCTCATCTTGAATTGTACTCCCATAATTCCCACGTGTTGTGGGAGTGACTTGGTGGGAGATAATTGAATCATGGGGGTGGTTCCCTTGTACTGTTCTTGTGGTAGTGAATAAGTCTTACGAGATCTGAGGGTTTTATCAGGGGTTTCTGCTTTTGCATGTTCCTCATCCTCTCTTTGCCTGCTGCCATCCACATAAGACGTGACTTTCTCCTCCTTGCCTTCCACCGTGATTGTGAGGCTTCCCCAGCCATGTGAAACTGTAAGTCCAACTACTGCTTTCTTTTGTAAATTGCCCACTCTTGGGTATGTCTTTACCAGCAGCATGAAAATGGACTAATACAGTAAATTGGTGCTAGTACAGTAGGGCATTGCTGAAAAGATACCCGAAAATGTGGAAGCAGCTTTGGAACTGGGTAACAGGCAGAGGTTGGAACAGTTTGGAGAGCTCAGAAGAAGACAGGAAAATGTGGGAAAGTTTGGAACTTCCTAGAGATTTGTTGAATGGCTTTGCCCAAAATGATGATAGCGATATGGACAATAAAGTCCAGGCTGAGGTGGTCTTAGATGGAAATGAGGGACTTGTTGGGAACTGGAACAAAGGTGATGCTTGTTTTGTTTTAGCAAAAATTTGGTGGCATTTTTGCCCCTGCCCTAGAGATTTGTGGAAGCTTGAACATGAGGGAGATTACTTAGGGCATCTAGGAGAAGAAATTTCTAAGCAGCAAAGCATTCAATAAATGACTTGGGTGGTGTTAAAAGCATTCAGTTTTAAAAGGGAGCACAAAAGTTTGAAAAACAGAGCACAAAATTTGAAAAATTTGCAGCCTGACAATGTGATAGAAAAGAAAATCCCGTTTTCTGAGGAGAAATTCAAGCCAGCTGCAAAAATTTGCATAAGTAATGAGGAGCCAAATGTTAATTCCCCAAGACAATGGGGAAAATGTCTTTAAGGCATGTCAAAGGTCTTCATGGCAGCCCCTCCCATCACAGGCCCAGAGACCTAGGAGGAAAAAGTGGTTTGCTGGGCGAGGCCCAGAGTCCCTCAGCTGTGTGTGGCCTAGGGACTTGATGCCCTGCATCCAGCTGCTCCAGCCATGGCTGAAAGGGGCCAATGTAGACCTCAGGCCCTGGCTTCAGATGGTGCAAGCCCCAAGCCTTGGCAGCTTCCACATTGTGTTGAGCCTGCTGATGCGCGGAAGTCAAGAATTGAAGTTTGGGAACCTCCACCTAGATTTCAGAAGATGTATGGAAGTGCCTGGATGCCCAGGCAGAAGTTTGCTGTAGGGGCAGGGCTCTCATGGAGAACCTCTGCTAAGGCAGTGCAGAAGGGATATGTGGGGTCAGAGCCCCCACACAGAGTCCCTCCTGGGGCATCACCTAGTGGAGCTGTGAGAACAAGGCCACTGTCCTCCAGATCCCAGAATGTTATATCCACTGACAGCTTGCACCATGTGTCTGGAAAAGCTGCAGACACTCAACGCCAGCCCATGAAAGCAGCCAGGAGGGAGACTGTACCCTGCAAAGCCACAGGGGCAGAGCTGCCCAAGACCACAGGAACCCACCTCTTGCATCAGCGTGACCCAGACATGAGACATGGAGTCAAAGGAGATCATTTTGGAGCTTTAAGATTTGACTGCCCCACTGGATTTGGGACTTGCATGGGCCCTGTAACCCTCCTTTTTTGGCCAATTTCTCCCATTTGGAACGGTTATATTTACCAAATGTCCATACCTCCATTGTATCTAGGAAATAACTAGCTTGCTTTGGTTTTATGGGCTCATAGGTGGAAGGGACTTGCCTTGTCTCAGATGAGACTTTGGACTGTAGACTTTTGAATTAATGCTGAAATGAGTTGAGACTTTGGGGGACTGTTGGGAAGGCATGATTAGTTTTGGAATGTGAGGACATGACATTTGGCAGGGGCCAGGGGCAAAATGATATGGTTTGGCTCTGTGTTCCCATCTAAACCTCATCTTCAACTGTACTCCCATAATTCCCACGTGCTGTGGGAGGGACCTGGTGGGAGATAATTGAATCATGGGGGCGGTTTCCCCCATACTGTTCTCATGGTAGTGAATAAGTTTCATGAGGTCTGAGGGCTTTATTAGGGGTTTCCACTTTTGTGTCTTCCTCATTCTCTCTTTGCCTGCTGCCATCCATGTATGACGTGACTTGCTCCTCCTTGCCCTCATGATTGTGAGGCCTCCACAGCCATGTGGAACTATAAGTCCAATTAAACCTCTTTCTTTTGTAAATTGCCCAGTCTCGGGTATGTCTTTATCAGCAGCATGAAAACAGACTAATACAAGGTCACAAAAGCATGAATTATTAAAGGAAAACTATGAAAAATGTAAGACAACTGCAAAACTTTTTCAAAAAATACCATTCAAAAAGGAAAAGACAAGCATCAGACTGGGAGAAAATATTTGCAACAGATATCTCACAAAGGGCTTGTATCCAGAATATATAAAAAACTCTTACAATGGAATGACAAGAAGACAATTCAATAAAATACAGGTAAAATATTTGAACATGGAATTTAAAATAAATATAGAAATGACCATAACCACATTAAAAGATGTTGAACGTCATCTAATTATCAGGAAAATGCAAATGAAAACCACTACAATATGGTATTTTAGATCCACTAGCATGTGTAAAACTAAACATTGGCCTTACTAAGTGCCATCAAAGATGTAGAGCAGCTGGAAGTCTCACACATTTCTCATACAATTCATACATTGGAATATTAAGTGAAACAACCACTTTCAAAAAATTCAGCAGCTTTTATAAGGTTAAACATATATGCAATCCAGAAATTCTAATTATAGGTATTTACACAAGGTAAATAATTTCCACACAGAGATAGTACATGGAGGTATATAGTAGCTTTAGTGAAAATAGCTCCAAACTGGGGGAAAAAACCCCTGAATGTTCATTAACAGATGAATGGATAAAAAACTGTGGTATGTCCATACAAGAGAATACTACTCAGCAGGGTAAAGGAATCAACTGCTGATATAAGCAATAGTATGGATGATTCTTAAAAATGTCATTCTGATTTTAAAAAGCTAACAAAAAAGAGAACATACTGTATGATTTCATTTACAACAAAATTCTACAACATTATTTTAATCTCTAGTAACAGAAAATAAAATATTCATTGTCTGGGGCCAGCATTGGGGAGTACTGAACACAAAGAGGGAGGCACGAGGGAACTTTTTGAGGTGATGAAAATATTCTATATATTGATTGTGTTGGTGCCTATATATTTGTCAAAAGACATCAAACTGCACGCTTAGAATTGGTCTATTTTTCCACATGTATATTTTACCTCAAAAAGGCTGATTTTTAAAAAATTGCTGGAATAAAAGAAGCCAAATGTTTGATTTGTTCAGCACTCTTTTTACCATTCTACTTTCATTTCTCTTATTTCCCTCTACTTGAAAGCAGTAGTCAAGAGATTTTGAATTTTAGTTAAAATTACATCAAGTCAGAGGCCTATGGAAAACATATGAAAAAGTAGAGAACTATTTTCCAGCCAAATTCATTGTGGTTATGTACTAGCCCAGGAATCAAGAAATGTGATGAGTCAGTTAAGATGTCTTAGGTTGCAAGCAACAGAAAGCCCAACAGAAACTGCCTTAGGCAACAAGGGGAAATTATTAGCTCCTTTATCAGGAAAAGTCCAGAGGTATATAGACATCAAACAATATTTGACCAAGTGTTTTGGGCAGCAAAGATCTAGTTTCTCTCTTAATATATCTTATCTTGTCTTTATTCATGGTGTTGGTGTCACTTCTAGCAGACTCTCCTATTATATTTCCAAGGTGGCTGTCAGCAGCCCCTGGGGATACAGCCTTTGTCATTCACACACAAAAGGGAAGAGTTCTTTTCCTCTAATATTTTAAACAAAAGTTTTGTGTCTTTATCCCTTATTGTTCTGAATTGGGTCATGTGTTCATCTCTGAATCAATTACTGAAGTTACAGGGATGGAATATACTGATTAATTTGAACCTATCCATGGCGACCCCAAATATATAGGTAGGTCCCATTTGGTAGAGGGTAGGGAGTAATAGATGCTAGGAAGGCAACAAATGAATATCCACAGTCACTGAGTTCTAGTCCTGATAATGTTGCTTACCAACTAGGTGGCTTTTGATGGATTGCTCTCTAAGCCTGTTCTCTCACCTGTAAAATAGGGACAATGAGTTCTGAGTAGAAAACATTGTCAGTGCTCTACCTAGATCTCCTCAGATACCAATTACTGCTTTATGCACCCACCTTCCCAGCTTCTGTTTGTTTTGCTTTTTTAAAAAAAAAAAACAAAACAACTTTTTTTTTAGAGCAGTTTTAGTCTCACAGCAAAATTGAGGGGAAGGTACAGAGATTTCCCACACATACTCTACCTCAGTGGTCCCCAACTCCTCAGGCTGTGGACTGGTACAGGTCTGTGGCCTGTTGGGAACCAGGCCACACAGCAGGAGGTGAGCAGCAGGGTGAGCGAGCATTACCACCTGATCTGCCTCCTCTCAGTTCAGCGGCAGCATTAGACTCTCATAGGAGTGCAAACCTTATTGTGAACTGCACATGTGAGGGATCTAGGTTGTATGCTCCTTATGAGAATCTAACGCCTGATGATCTGAGACGGAAGAGTTTCATCCTGAAACCATCCTCAACCTGCTCCCCATCCATGGAAAAATTGTCTTCCATGAAACCAGTCCCTGATGCCAAAAAGGTTGGGAACTGCTGCTCTACCCTCCACACACATAGCTTCCCTCATTATCAACATCCCCCATTATCAACATCTCAAATGCACATCTGAGTGGTACATTTATTGTAAGTAATAAACCTGCATTATAATTACCCCAAGTCCCTAGTTTACACCAGGGTTCACGGTTTTATGGGTTTGGACAAATGGATAATGATACATATCCATTTTTATAGTATCATTCAAAATCCTCTGTGCTTCACCTATTCATCCCTCACCAACACCTGGCAACCAATGATGTTTTTACTGTCTCCATAGTTTTGCCTTTTCCAGAATGTCATAAAATTGGAAGCATACAGTATGTAGAAATTTCAGATTGGCTATTTCACTTAGTAATGTGCATTTAAAGTTCTTTCATGTATTTTCATGGCTTGATAGCTCATTTCTTTTTAGCACTGCATAATATTCCATTATCTAAATCTAACACCATTTATTTATCCATTTATCTATTGAAGGACATTTTCCTTGCTTCCAGGTTTTGACAATTATGCATAAAGCTGCTGCAAACATTCCTGTGTAGGGTTTTGTGTGGACATACATTTTTAACTTCTTTGGGTGGGTAAATACCAGAGTGGCTGGGCATGTGGTTCATACCTGTAATCCCAACACTTTGGGAGGCTGACACAAGAGGATTACTTGAGCCTAGGAGTTTGAGATCAAAGTGGACAACATAGTGAGACTCCATCTCTGTGAAAATTAAAAATTAGCTGGTCATGGTAGTGCATGCCTGTGGTCCTAGCTACTTGGGAGGCTGAGGTGGGGGGATCACTTGAGCTCAGGAGTTTGAGGATGCAATGAGCCCTGACTGTGCCACTGCCCTCCATCCTGAGTGACAGAGTGAGTCCTTGTCTCAAAAAAATAAAAAATAAAACAAACAAAAAAACCAAAGAGCATAATTGCTGGATCACATGGTGAGAATATATTTAGTTTTGTAAGAAACTGCCAAACTGTCTTCTTATGTGTTTCGTTTTTAATGGCCAACACTTGCAAATATTTTAAAAGGACTGCCCTTGAGTGTTTGGAGCCAGTTTTCTCAAAAGCCCAGGAAACCAGAAGAACCCTGGAGTTTACATCCTTGCAGGGCAGCCTTCAGCCAATTACTGAGAGGTGCAGGAGTATAAAAGTCCAGCTGTGATGTGTAATTTTACATGCCAGAACTCCCCTGAAAGATAAGGTTAAGTCTAGGACTTAGTCTGAATTTACACCCTTTCTTTGCTTCTTCCTTTTTGTATTCTGCTTTCCCTACTCCCTTATTCAGTTCTTCCAGGAGCAATTGCTTAATAAACCATGTGCATGTGGCTCTTCGTCTCAGGGTCTGCTAGTAGGGAATTCACCCTAAAATACCCTGGTTGCTTACCTCACAGGTAGTTATCAATATAACTGAAGAAAATGAAAGTGGCATGTTGCTAGGTCATGAGTCCTCCCATGATCATCCTTTCTGTTTCCCTCTTCGAGGATGAATTCCACATAGGACTGACTTTCAAGGTCCATATGGAACCACCTGGCTAGAGGTGAATCTCTGCCCCTGTTCAGAGTTGGAGAAACTGCAACTTATTTATTTTTTTATTTTTTTTTTTTTTGAGACAGAGTCTCACTCTGTCGCCCAGGCTGGAGAGCAATGGCACAATCTTGGCTCACTTCAGCCTCCGCCTCCCGGGTTCAAGTGATTCTCCTGCCTCAGCCTCCTGAGTAGCTGGGATTATAGGTGCCTGCCACCATGGCTGGCTAAATTTTTTTTTTTTTTGTATTTTTAGTAGAGACGGGGTTTCACCACGTTGGCCAGGCTGATTTGGAACTCCTGACCTCGAGTGACCTGCCCGCCTCAGCCTCCCAAAGTGCTAGGATTACAGGCGTGAGCCACCATGCCCAGCCTGCCACTCTTTTTAATCCACTATTTCTTTCCATTCATGAGCACCCCAGGAATGCCAATACTCATAACTACTACATATTGAACTCCTACCGTATCAGAAGTTTTGAATATGTTATTACACTTAGTCTTCACAACAGCTTCCTGATGTAGGAATTCATATTATCATCCCTATATTACAAATGAGGAAATGGAGGTCCAGAAAAAATTAAGTATTGGCAAATGGCAGTGCTGGGATTCTAACTTGGGTCACATATGCATGACTCAAGAGCCCAGCTGTTGACCACTAAATTATATTGACTCTCACTTTTTAGCATCTCTCAGGGAACTGAGGGATCCCGGTTTCCCCCCATCTTCTCCTGTGTGTGCACCAGAATTTCATCACTTGAAATACGTCTCTATTAGATCCCAACATTTGCCCCTGAACTGAAGTCTCTTAATTTCTGTGTAGTTATCTTTGATCTTTGCTTTGGGACTTCTATATAGTACAGTTTATCTTTAAATGATTGTCTGGGACTTCCAGAGAAAGAAGAGAGAGAAGATGAGCTTTTGTAGAGTGTTCTCTATGTGCTAGGCATTTTACTAATCAGTTAATTAATCAGTTCATTTAATTTCCACACAAACCAATGATAGGGGTACTATTTTTATCAGATAATGAATAATGATTTTTTTGCAGGTGGAAAAACTGAAGCTTAGCGAGGTCTTACCCAACAGGTCACTCAATCAATAGCTAGCAAACCTGGAATTTGGGTCCTGTAGACTCCAAAGTTTGTATTTGTTCTTTTCCATCAAGCTGCCTGTTAGCTTTAATTATCCAAGTCTCAAATTTGACTTTCTGGCCACAGAGCTAAATATGTTGCTTCTGTTCTTGCTGACACACTATTATTGAAGAGAGTGTTTGCTCAATCGTGGCACATATTTGTTTTGTACCAGGTGCTCAGTCTGATTTTTGCAAGTTGTCTAATTTGCCCGGAGCTGTTTGAGAAGGTGGGAAAGGAGCTATGAAACCAGTCACTCTGCCTGGTGTCTCTGCTCCCTGCACAGCCAATCCCTCATTACATACCTGACCTTCTTAGGAAGGATTTTAGGATGTAAGATAAATGACAAGGTAGGTGGGTGATCAGAGAAGGCATAACTCTTTTCCCAGGCTGAAGTTTTTATTCTCACAGCAACACCATGTGTCACTCAACTTTCTGTGGGGTTTTTAGATAGGTAAGAGGCACTAAGATTTTCTTAGGTGCTTATTATGTGCCAGCCTTTATTTTATTTTATTTTATTTTAAGTTCCAGCGTACATGTGCAAGATGTGCAGGTTTGTTACATAGGCAAACGTGTACCATGGTGGTTTGCCACACAGATAAACCCACCACCTAGGTATTAAGCTCAGCAGACAGCCTTTCTTATATGCTGCTTATCCATCATTTGATCAAAATTATCTGTTGAATCCTGTTAATCAGGGCATTGTTATAGACACTGGGGATGCAGCAGTGAACAAAACAGAAAATATACCTACTGTCTGAGAGCTTACATTCTAGTGGGAACCAAATAGAATCCTGCTCCTCTTCCTCCAGCTCCAGTCCCAGCTTCAACCTCTGCATCTGTTATTTATTTACTATATTGGGGTTCCAAGTGAGACTTTATTTGAAAAAAACAATCCTGCTCCCAAGAAAATAATGAAAATTGAGAAAGACCACTCTAAACAAATGAGATAAATAGATCTAAACTAGATCCATAATTCAAACATAATCGTTTGGATCTTTAAATACCTCTTTTGTTGCATACTAAATAAATGCTTTTTTGAGGGGAGACCATCGTTCTAAATATTAATTACATCTGAGTAAAGACTTTGGGCTCAGACAGCAAGAGACTTGAACTCTTTTATTGTCAGGACTGCAATAAAGCCCCAAATAAATAAAAATGTTCTACTTTAAAATTACCAAGTGAGAGTTATTTACAGCAAGATTACTTTCTCATTTAATTTTTATTGCAACTGCATAAAGTAGGTACTATGATTATCTGATCCTGCAGATAAGGAAACTAAAAGTCAGGAGCAGAAGTAGCAGGGCTTGAGTGGTGTGTGTCTGTATCTCATTCATGCAGCCAGTATTTGGAAAAACTGGGATTCAAATCTTTATCTGTTTAATTCTAAAGCCCTGGCATTTTTTTTTACTTGAGCAGATACTCTCTTTTAAGTCTGAACATGTCTGTGTTTTTGCTCCCAACACTGCTACTAATTAATGGCAATATTTAAGATACTTCACTGATACTTTAGCTAAAGAGCAAGAGCAGTGTGGATTCACTGCATGTGTCTGGGCTGGGCTGCCCATGGAATCATTTGACTTGTGGCTCCTGGGATTGACCATGCCAGGGAGGGCCTATATTTGAAGGAAGTCAGTCTTGCCTCCTGTCAGATTCCAGGGATTGAATTTCAAAAAGCTGTGAAGGAAGTGATAGCAATTTATTAGTTCCTTTTCACAGCTTGAAAATTGTCTGTGGTCCCTATAGAGGCAATCCAGGTTCACAGAGGTACAATGAAACTTTGTAGGAGAAGGGGTGTTGGTGGGCACATTGCACTGCCGAGAAAAGCCAACCAAACAGTATATATCCAACTGACTGTGTACCAAGATTTCTACTTTGAATCATGAAGCATAGTACATTGTCTCTTATTTGCCCTCCAACCCTGGCTTCCTCAAACCCCAATCCCAAAGTCAGTATGCAGCTACAATATTCTGCAAGTCATGGATGCCCTCAATTGGCAAAACATAGTTAGGTCTTTGAGAGCAGATACATTGGAATCCACCAGATGGTGACATTTCCAAACAAGGTGATGTGGAGCATGACTTTGAACCGTCTGGGAGGTCCGAAGTGTTTACTGATGCCAAACTAAAAGAACGTTTCAGATGTTGGTTCAACAGTCAAAGGGCATCTCTAAAACCCATGTAGATGATGGGTCTAAGCAGATGAAAAGAACAGTCTGGTACAGGCTGTTTAACAGCAGAAATCAATCATTCGTTCTCTAGACAAGGAACTCTTTAGCTGGTCAAGGACTAAACCCACACTCCCTGAGGGCCCCCAGTACTTTATGTCTTGGAGAAAGAGATACATGACTAAAAACTAGGGCTGATGTCAGAGATTGCAGCAAGAAAGCAAGTTCCAACATCTATCCTAAGATCAGCCCAGATGAGGCCCCATGTCCCGCATGATCTATATCAGTGGTTGGCAAACTTTCAGAAAAGGCAGGCCACAGCTTTATTTAGCCCCTCTAATTTAAGGTTGTGCATGCCAGGAATAATTTGAGCATTTGAGGTCTCTCAACTCAACCCTTCACATATGTACAGGAAATATGATTTCTTAAGTATTCAAGGACTTTCTTTTAAAATTCAACTGCAAAGGCGATCTGGCCAATTTTGTGTGATCCCTGCCTTGACTTTTTCTTGCAGAATATCCTCATGGATGCCTTCACCTGCCTTGACGAAATGTAGCCCCCAGCATTCACCTTCCCCCTGGCTTATGCCACACTGCCCTGCAATTTCCCAGGGATTAGAGGATTTATTTTCAAAGGCCAAGCCCCTGGTATTCTCTTTTCCATGGCCCCCAAGTCCCTTGTCTATCAATTGTAGGGCACATCCAGTCCTTCCCTGTAGGCAGCCTCAATTCCCGCTAGGAATGTTGTGCAGCAAGCTGAACACCTCAGCCCTAGCAGAGACCACTGAAGCACCTGGGTTCTCTCACCCTCCTCCTTGTTGTTTTAGCACTCTTCCCTAGGCTAATTTACTCAATCTCCATGCCACTGCTTAAATGTCACTGCTGCGTAAATGTCTTGCCTGATTCGCTGAACTAGATTTCCCTTTTATCCAGTCTCCTAATCCCCCTTGTAGCACTAATCACAATTCTAAACTTAAAATTGTTTAAATATGGTTTCATGTCCTCTGTACAGGACTTTAAGATCCATGAGGATAGGGGAAATGTCTATTTTATTCGCCATTGTATCTCCAGTAGGTAATCAAATTAATAATTACAATATTTACTAATAACAAACACTTGCCTGTGCCAGGCATTGTTCTATGTGTTTATGTGTATTAATTTATTTAACCTTCCTATGAGGTTAAATCCTATGAGGTGTCCAGTATTACTATCACTTCTTGAAAGGCAAGGAAATTAAAAGAGAGAGAGGTTAAATAGCTTGCCTAAGGTCACATAACTAGGAGATGATTGAACTGGGATTTGTACTAAAGTAATAGGTCTTCAAATCCATATCTTTAGTCACTATACTCTAGTGTTTCTCCCTGGGATTAATACATGAATGTGAATGAGGGAAATAAAATGACCACCTCTAACATGTTCCCCAGCTATGATCAGAAGTACTGCTCTTCTTTGACCTCAGAATGGCCTTTGGTTTGGAAGCTGGAAGTCATACCAAGGAAGTACATATTGACTGGCAATCTCAGTTCAGAAGGGTCCACCAAGTAGAACTGCTTTCTGACAGGCTAGTGAGAGAACACCTTGGGCTCATCTTTCTTTATATCACACATTGAAAACCACATCCTTAAAAGTCAAACAAGGATTAAGGCAAGTTCTGATCTATAAGACAAGACAGAAAAGGCTGAACTATACTGCATTATTTGGGATTAAGCTCAGTTATGAGCAACAGAAAATCCACAAATAACAAGTTTTCATCTCTTTCATGTTCAATAATTTCCAAGGCCATCAGTCCAGGACTGGGACATGGTGTTTCACAGTGACAGGGGCTGTGGATAAAGACACAGGCCAGGGAGCAGGGAAAAAAAGACTGGAGCTCAGTCAGAGATCTGAACTAGTTCTACAGAATGAAAAGTCAGCAACAAAGAGATAGTAAACAAAACCCTGGGAGCTGGAGACCAAGTCCCTTCTCTCTTGTTGCTCTGCCACATATAGCTTTCATTCTCAACGTCATCTTGTGGTCCAAGATGACATGTAGAGCTCCAGCAATTTTTTCTTCTATTCTGGTCAGCAGGAATGAGGAAGGAAAGAAGAATGGCATGCTCTTCTATCTTTAAGTACACTTCCCAAAAGTTGTGTACACCAGTTTTACTTATAGCCCATTTGTCAGAACTTAATCACAGGGCCAAATATACCTGCAAGGAAAGCTGTGAAATGTAGTCTTTATTCAAGGTGGCCACATCCCTTGCTTAAAATTAAAGTTTTATTATTAAGGAATAAGGGGAGATCTGATACTGTGCAACAACTAGTGATCTCAGCCATAAATATAATAGTTTCTACGCAATACAAGGAAAGCTCCAAGGAATACAAAGGGGCAAAAGACATATCTGGTTAAGGAATCAAGGAGAAACTCCATAGAGGAGTATATGATGAAAATGGGCTTTGAAGCATGTAAAGAATTTTGCTGGGGCAGATGAGTTGTAAGAAGGGCATTTTAGATAGACATAAGAGCAAGAACAAAGGTATAGAGATTGAAGTAAACAGAACGAATTGTCTTGTTTGACTGGAGAGCTTAAGATTCAAATTGAGGAGCAGTGGGAGGCAAGGCTGTAATGGAAGGATGGAGTCACTTGGGGAAGGGTTTGAATGTCAGAGCAAAAAGTTTTTGTTTAATTTTCTGGGCAAGGAGGAATAACTAAAGGGTTTTGTTCAAAGTAGTTATGTACTTTGAAATCTACTGTAGCAACAGTGTTACAACTTTTGAGCAGACGAGGAATGAGATCTGAAAACTATTATACAGCAAAAATATGTAGTTTACAGTAGAGGGAGCAGAGAGACACAGTGAGGCTGTTGTAACAGCCAAATGATAACACAGGCCTGAATCAAGCAGTGACAGTGAGGGTGAAGAGAAAGAGACAAATACAAGACGCATTGGAGAGACGGAATCTACTGAAATTCACTATTGATTGTGGAGTGGAGAATGAGTCAGATGATCCTGAGATTTTTAATCTAAGTGGCTGGAAGGAAAATGGACTGTTCATCACAACAGGGAACACAAGAAAAGAAAAGTTAGGAGTGGGCATAGAAGGGAGATGGAGAGTTCTGTTTGAAGTCTGAGTTCAAAGCACCTTTAGGATATCTAAATGGAGATACATATCAGAAAGCAAGATATGAGAATCCGGAACATACAGCAGAGAGTTGGACTACAGATACATTGAGCATAGAAGCAATAACAGAAGCCCTTGGACAGATGAGATTTCAGAATTTGAAAGTATAAAGAGAGAAAAAAATAGACCAATGTCATGAGGTTTTCAAAGGAAGAGAGTTTCAAGTAGGAGGGGAAGAATGGTCAATAACATCAACTGCAATAGGGAACTCAAGAAAGATGAAGACTGAGAAAGAACATCAGAGGTAACTAGTGAAACTGAACTGAACTATCTTGGGTGGTAAGGCATTGTAGGAAGTGTTGGGGAGGTGTGGGTGGCTAGCAAAGCCAGGCAAAAAGCAGAAAGACCCAGATTGCAAGGTATGAAGTGCTGGTGAATGATAGGGAAGTTGAGGTGCTGGTTGTAGACCACACTTTGAGTTTTTGGTGCGTGAGTAGGGGTGGGCAACAGATATGCTCACATTCAAGACAGCATAGGATGTCAGTACTGGAAGGGTCCTTAGAAATTGCATCTAATTTTCAACTGAACAGTATTAAGAACAAAATCTATATCCACAAAGAGAAACCTAAACACTTTGGCCCTCAGCTGTTACTAACCAAGGACAAGCCTTTCTTTGGCCCCATAGGAACTCATGTGAACAGGACTTTCAAAACACTCTTCAATCTCATGTACCAATACAGGGAGTGTTTCCAAAGATTCAAAGTTTGACACCAGGGAACAAATTATCAGTCTTCGCTGAGGAGATACAATATCCCCTCTGGGGACACTTACAGAGAGAGATGTTCCAGTTACAGAAAACAGCATCCAGAATCCCAAGACAGACAGGATTGTTGGTGTCTACTAGGCCTTGCAAACTGGAAAGTGGGCCTAATCCACTGGCTTCTTTAGCTTACCAGGAGGCTCCCTCAGATCAGTCCTCAGATATCAGGGATGTAGTCAAGGATGGAGACCTCTGTGGATTTCCAGAAAGCACTTTCAGTTAGTTCTTGGCAGAGGACATAAAGACCAGGCACAAGCTTTGTTCTTTATACATGTTCCTTTCTGACCACCTCCAAAGGAAAAAATCAGGCTCCAAGGCTCTGCAGATCATGGTAGAAGGCCACATATTATAGGAGGAAATAAAGACCACACATAAGAAAAAAGCAATGTAATTTTTAAAAAATTAAAAAATGTTCCACCTACTTGATTTTTTAAAAGTTAGAAGTGGAAACATAAAACCACTACTATTCAATAAATTCAACAAACACAAAAATACCTTAGGTCATCTCAAACAGAAACTCAGTAACCAATAAGCAATAACTCCTCATTTTCCTCTCATCTCACCTCCTGGTAACCTCTAATCTACTTTCTATTTCTATGAATTGACCTATACTAGATATTTCACACACATGGCATTATATAATCTATGGCATTTTGTATCTGGCTTCTTTCTCTTAGCATAATATTTTCAAGGTTCATCTAAGGGGAAGAAGGTGAAATGGGGCATGGGGGTTGGTGATCACAGAGTGAGGAAAAGGATTAGCCAGACCCTAGGGAAGATGGAAACAGATTGATGAAGACAGAGATTTTAAATTATGAGCAGGGACAGGGAAAGAGGAGACAAGGAAATTCCATCTTAGAGTTGTGAGAGGGTTTAGGTCTATGGAGAGGGTGGACAAAGATAAAGTGCCGGTCCCAGACTTAGCAAAGATGTATCACAGTAATCACTTTGCCTCTGAAATGCTCACTTGCTCTGCAACAATCCAGGAACCACAATTTTCCCACTGGAACATAGTTGTGTATTTATTTTCAAACTGAAAGATTATTTTTGAAGTAAAAGTTTATTTACCCATGAAATCCTGAAGGCTTTACACATTTATGAAGGAATGTCTTGGTTTGTAGAGATATCCTTTAGAATCTTCAGGGTGTCAGCCTTTTAGCTTTAAGTTTAAGCTGTTTATTACTGAAAAGTTTATTTCCTAAAACAACAATGAGACATCACCGCACATCTGTTAGAATGGCTAAAACCCAAAACATTGATAACACCAAATGCTGATTGGAATGTGGAGCAACAGGGACCCTCTTTCGTTGCCGGTGGGAATGAAAAATGGTACAGCCACTTCAGAAGACAGTTTGGCATTTTTTTACAAAGCTAAACACATTATTACCACACAATCCAGCAATCACACTTTTTGGTATTTATCCCAATTAGTTGAAAAACTATATCCACACAAAAACCTACACATGAATATTTACAGAAGCTTTATTCATAATTGCCAAAACTTGGAAGCAACCAAAATATCCTTCAATAGGTAAATGGATAAACAAACTGTGGTGCATTGATACAATGAAATATTATTAAATGATAGAAAGAAATGAATTATCAAGCCACAAAAGACATGGAGGAACCTTAAATGCATAGTGCTAAGCGAAAGAAGCCAGTCTGAAAAGGCTATATACTGTATGATTCCAACTTCGTTACATTCTGGAAAAGGCAAAACTGTGGAGACAGTAAAAGGTCAGTGGTTGCCAGGGGTCCTGGGAGAGGGAAGGAAGAGTGAGCAGGTGAAGTACAGGGGAAATTTAGGGCAGTGAAGCTATTCCATATGATACTGTACCTGACATTATGCATATGTCATATGTATAATACTGTACATGACATTATGCATTATGCATATGTCATATGTATGATATGCATATATTAGCATTATGCATATGTCATATTTGTGATACTGTACATGACATTATGCATTATGCATATGTCATGACATTTAGGGCAGTGAAGCTATTCCTTATGATACTGTACATGCCATTATGCATATGTCATAACCGGTAGAACTGCACAACACAAAGAGTGAACCATAAAGTGAACTATGGACTCAGGTTAATAATAATGTATTAATATTGGTTCATAAATTGTAACAAATTTACCACACTAATACAAGATGTTAATAAAAGGGGAAACTGTGCGCCTGGTCAGAAGGTGGAGGGGTAGGGAAAGGGAATATAAGGGAACTCTTTGTACTTTCTGCTCATTTTTTCTGTAAACCTAACTACTCTAAAAATAAAGTCTATTAATTAAAAGAGAAGGGCAGATAAAAAGGCAATAAAAAGGCCATGTACTCCCTAAAAATTTATTTCCCCTTTAATTATCTTGTGGTTGTTGCTATTTATTATCCCTATAAGGATACAACCTAGACTAAAAATCTGGATTTGATTTGTAATAAGAAAAACACACTCAAAACAAAGACATAAATTTTTATTTCCAGTTCAAACTTTAAAAATTATGAACCCAGGTAGCTTAAATCTCTCCAAGAACAAAGATCATCTCAAATCCTTGGAATGTCACTAAGCCTTGTATCACTTAGCTTGTCAATTCTTCTATCAGGTAGCCAGATGTTTCCGTTTGAATGGAATCTTTGCAATAACCCTTCTTTTTGGGGATTTATTCTATTAACTGGAAGCTTGTCCCTAGAGCAATGACACTCTTTTATACTTGCTAACTCTATTCGTTTCCAATACAAATAGAGGTTTAGGGGTGCCAAAACAGATTACCACAAACTGATTGACTTAAAACAACAGAAATGTATTCTCTCACAATTCTGGACACTAGATATCTAAAAGCAAGGTATCATCAGCAGGACCACGCTCCCTTTGTGACTCTGGGTAGAATATTTCCTTGTTTCTTTGAAGCTTCTGGTTGTGGCCATCAATTCTTGGCATTTCTTGGCTTGAGCTACATCACCTAAATCTCAGCCTCTGCCATGGCATTTTCCCTGTGTGTCTCACTTTGTCTCTTCTCCTCTTATAAGGAAATCAGTCATGTTGGATTATGGGCCTGCTTTACCCTGTTATGACCTCATTTTAATATGATTATATCTACAACAAACATATTTCCAAATAAGGTCACATTCTGAGGTACTGGCGGTTAGGGCTTCAATATATTTTTTAGGGGGACACAATTTAACTAATCACACTAACAGAATAATGAGGTCCCATTGTAAGCATGTTTTGACCTTGGTTCTGAAGTAAGGGCTTCTCAAAAAATGACAGCTTTTACTTAGGATAGCTGTGGGACTCCAGAAAGACCAAAAGTCCCACTCTTTCTACCATGCCTAATCATGTTTCCTCAGTTAGCAGGCTGAACAATTATTACAGTGTTCTCTACCTAGGCCAGGAGCTCTGAAGAGGTTGCCATTACCAGCCTCACTGGGCAGGAGTGTGCAGTTCCTTGAAGTCCTTGAGCCTGCCAGCCCATACCACATTCCTAGCACCAACCAAAAATAGGTCTCTAACCCCCTAAATGTTTCACAGCTTTGGTTCTGAAGTTCTTACTCTAACTGTTCTTGCCCACTTACTTCTGACTCTTTCTGCTTCTGATCTCATTATTCCTTTTACTGATGGTGGTTTTACCTGTCCCTTGGACCAGATGTTCAGCACCGTTTCTCCAGCCTTCACCAATGTGTTTCTTCCTGGGCTCCAAATTGAACTCTGCTGAAGACCTTTTTGTAGTCATACATCGTGGGTAAATACTCACATGTTCATTTGTATGCAAGCACAGCCATCCGCAGAAAGCACTCCCAGCAGGTCATACCACTCTCGTGAACGAGAGCCAAATATCAAGTCATGATTTCTAAGATTCTAGGCCATCCCTAAAGGTACCAGGAAAATTTTGACCTTTTGCACTGGGAATGTACTTCTGCATTTATTTTCAAACCTTAAAGTGTATTTTTTTAAAGGTTTATCATGTGACCCAGCAATCCCATTATTGGGTATATACCCAAATGAATATAAATTATTCTATCATAAAGACACATGCACACATATGTTCATTGCAGCACTATTCACAATAGCAAAGACATGAAATCAACCCAAATGCCCATTAATGATAGACTGGATAAAAAAAAATGTGGTACATATACACCATGGAATACTACGCAGCCAAAAAAAGGAACAAGATCATATCCTTTGCAGGGACATGGATGGAGCTGGAAGCCATTATTCTCAGCAAACTAATGCAGGAATGGAAAACCAAACACTGCATGTTCTCATTTATAAGTGGGAGCTGAACAATGAGAACACATGGACACAGGGAGGGGAACAACACACACTGGGGCCTGTCAGAGGGTGGGGTGGGGGGAGGGAGAGCATTAGGAAAAATAGCTAATGGATGCTAGGCTTAATACCTAGGTGATAGGCTCTTAGGTGCAGCAAACCACCATGGCACACATTTACCTATGTAACAAACCTGCACATCCTGCACATGTACCCGAGAACTTAAAAATTAAAATTAATTTAAAAAAGAAAGAATGGTTTATTTGCCCATGGAATTCTGAAGGTTTCACATATTTATGAAGGAATATCTTCGGTTGTAGGATCTTAGCAGTGTCAAGCTTCTGCCCTCACAGCTTCCCTGGAACAACCCTAGGAAAGATCCCCAATAGCCTCCTAATCACTGCGTTAAATAAGTTTTGTTTTTCAGGCCTCATCCTACTTGACTTCTCAATGCCGTTCAACACTATTGACCACTCTTCATTTCTCAAAAATCTGCCCTCTCTTGACTTTGAGAAATAACGTCTGCTACCTTCTCCAACTTCAATAAACCACTTCTTCACAGTCTCCTCTGATCTCTCTTCTTCTGGCCATCCTTTAAGCATTAGGAATTTCTCAGGCTCTCTCCTTGGCTTTTGGTCCTCATGCTACACAGTCTCTGTGGATGATTCCACTTACTACCATGGCTTCAGTTATATGTTACTGATTTCCAGATCTGCATCTCCAGCCTCGGCTTCTTTTCTGAGCTCCAGACCTGTCTATCCAGTTACTAACTGGGCAATCCTGCTGGGGTAATCTATGGGCTCCTCAAACTCAAGATGTCCAAACAAATCTCACTGATTGCCTCTATTGCTTATGTCAATGAAAATCCCATCAGTCTAGATTTGTCTTCCTTTGTTTCTGCTCACATCTAGTCTACAAGTTCTGCCTCTCTTAACTGACCATTTCTCTTTGTACTCACCACCTTTACCCTTGTCTGAGTCTTCATTATACTTTGTCTGGAACATTTTAATAGCCTCCTGTGTGATTTGCCTCCCACACCAAACCATTCTCCACCCGGCACCCAGAGTGAAAATGTCATAGCACGAAACTGGCTGTTTCACCGGCTCTCCACTGCCTACAGGGTAAAGTTCAGTTTCCTTAGCAAAGCATTCAAGAGATGGCCTTTTGGACTTTGAACCTCATCTTTTGGTTTGTTCCACCACTTCCCCAGAGCTTCAGTCATATCAGACTACTTATAGGACCCCAATATGCATAATGGTTGCATGCCTTTACTTAAACTTTTCTCTCTGCCTGGAATATCCTCCTTCTCAACTCACAATTACTTAGGAAAAGGCTAAGGGCCAGATCTTCTGTTTGAAGATGAGGTAAGAGAGGCAAACCTATGCACCTATGCGAGAGCTTACTTACTCTTGGGGGAAGTTCCAGCAGACACGCTGTTGGTAAATTGCACCTTTTACATCTGGGCTCTGGAGCCCTATGGCGTGGTGACCCTGGATCCCTTCCAGGAGCTGCAGGGCAAAGACAACTTCTGTGGTGAACTCTTCTGGATGTGTGTCAGTTCCGGGTGAGGCTGCAAGGCTGCCAAATTCTCAGGCTGGATCTCCTGCTGGCAGGCTGACAGTTTCTCCATGCCCTGGGTGCCAGCGTTGTGAAGGCTTCTGCTGCGGGGTTGCAGTTCCCCATAGTTCCACAGACAGCTAGACCTTCCCTTATCTTAGGGCCTGATTCAAAACCGATGGGTGGATAGGACCATTCTCATCCCTACTGGCTCCTAGGCACAGTACTCCACCTGCAAAAGTGCTGTTGTTTCTCTAAATAACTTATAGGATAACTTCTCTCTCTCCCTCTCTCTCAGCATTTATTCAATCAACCAGTATTTATTGACTAACACCTATACAGTAGGCATTCTACTAAATACTGAGGACATAGCAATGTACAAAACAAGCAAAAAAACACTGCCTTCTTTTAGCCTACAGTCCAGTATGGGAGACAGACATTAAATAGAAAGACCTACAAATATTTAATTAATGACAGTTAAGAAGGAAAAAGTGCAATAAAGGAAAAAAGCAGGGGTTCTATGAAAGAACTGGGTCTTTACAGCCTGATTTGTGGAAGAAATTACATTCCTCAAATGAGCACAAAGTAATGGTTTTTCTTGACCTTTTAAGTTTTTCTCCTCTATTTGTAAGATTTTTTTAACATATTAAAGCTATTTTTTTTGAGATGGAGTTTTACTCTTGTTGCCCAGGCTGGAGTTCAATGGCGCAATCTCAGCTCACTGCAAACTCCACCTCCCGGGTTCAAGTGATTCTCCTGCTTCAGCCTCCCGAGTAGCTGAGATTAAAGGCACCTGCCACCATGCCCAGCTAATTTTTTGTATTTTTAGCAAAGACTGTGTTTCACCATGTTGGCCTGGCTGGTCTCGAACTCCTGACCTCAAGTGTTCCACCTGCCTCGGCCTCCCAAAGTGCTGGGATTACAGGCATGAAGTTATTCTTTTTCCCTTTATTTTATTAAGTATTTTAAGGACTCCCTCACCCTGCTTAGACTCCAACACCCCACACCAGGCTGCCCCTCCATGGACATCATTCTCACTCAGGAATGGACAAACTCTTTACCCTGTTCATGCTCTGGCCCCACACCATGCTGAGCTACTCCCATGTGTGGACAGTCTGACCACCCTGCTCAGACTCTGACCCCCCGTACCTGCTTGGCATCTGTATTAGTTCATTCTCACACTTCTAATAAAGACATACCCGAGACTGGGCAATTTATAAAGGAAAGAGGTTTAATTGACTCACAGTTCAGGTTGGCTGGAGAGGCCTCAGGAAACTTACAATCATGCTGGAAGGGGAAGCAAACACATCGTTCTTCACATGGCAGCAGGAGAGAGAAGAATGAGAGTCAAGCAAAGGGGGAAGCCCCTTATAAAATCATCAGATCTTGTAAGCACTCACTATCATGAGAATAGCATGAGGGTAACCACCCCCATGATTCAATTACCTCCCACCGGGTCCCTCCCATGACACATGGGGATTATGGGAACTACAATTCAAGATGAGATTTGGGTGGGGACACAACCAAAACATATGAGCATCTGACTCTGCACACCATGCTGGGGCTCTGCAGGGACACCATTCTCACTGTGCTCAATCTCTGACTCCTTCCTCCAAACTGCCTTTCCATATACCTTGCTCCAGACCTCATGATGGCCTGGGGACTGAATTGTTCAGGAAGAGAAGGAAAAGGAAAGGAAGAGGAACAAGTAAAATTCTACCCATTTAACAGGCTCCAACCACTCTGCTGCCTTTAGTATCTGAGGCCACCATACCTCTCACCAGGATTACCTGAGTTACTTCAAAAAGCTCCACCTTTTAAAGGGGTCTTTTAAAATGTCATCTCTTTATGAAGCATTTTCTTCTCAATCCATCCACATGGCATGGACTACACTGGAGGCAAGAAAGATGAAGAGAAACTGATGGATATAGAATACACGATGGAGGTAAAACTGACAGGACCAGTTGATGGATTGTGTGTGAGAGGGAAAGAGAAGAATCAAGAATGACAGGTCTTGGCTTTAGCAACTGGGTGGTGCCGGTAACTGAGACAGGGAAGATTGGGAGAGAGACAGGTTGGGGTGGAAGGGGGAAATCTAGAATTCTATTTTAGCGAGGATGAATTTTGAGTTCTATCAATCAGATATCCAAATTGAGAATGTTAAGTAGGCAACTGGATATAGATCTTTGAAATTTACTCCATTTTAAAATTTATGTCATACCTGCCTTGCTAATCCTCAATCCTGGACAAACAACAGGTATGTCTCTTTTTTAAAATCTGTTCCCTTTACAGGGTTCATGAATCCTCTGAATTTGTGTAAGAATTTTGTGTAAGAACCCTCTGAATTTGTGTAAGAATTTTCCATATATGCATGTGTGTACAATTATATGGATAGACAATTCATCATAGTTATCACATTTGCAAAAAATCCAGGATGTAAAAAAGAGTTTGAGAACAATTGCATTCAACGGCACTGACAAATATTAAAAACAAGCCAGAACAATAATTAGTCTCATTGTAAATTCATGTTATTCAAGCTTGGCTGGTTTCTTAATGTTATTTAGTGATTTTTTTTTTAACTATTTACTCCTGTTAAAAGTTCAGGTGTTGGAGATATTTGAGGATAAAAATATAGGTTTTTTTGAAACAGTGTCTCACTCTGTCACCCAAGCTGGAGTGCAGTAGCACAATCATGTCACAGTGCAACCTCTGCCTCTTGGGCACAAGCAATCCTCCCACCTTGGCCTCCCAAAGGGCTAGAGTTAGAGGCATGAACCACTGTGCCACCCACACAGTTATATTGAGATTGATTCTTTGACTTATAGATGTTTCTCAAGGTATGCTGAATATTCAGCTAGAGAGGGTAGAGCAGAAAAAGCATGGAATCAACTGACCCAAATTCTGGTTCCATATCTGCCTAAAACTCAGGGTGTTTGTTTGGGCAAGTCATCTAACTACCTCTAAGCCTCACTTTCCTCATCTGCAAATAGAGATAATAATACCTCACAAGTTACTTAAAGGTCAAAATTGTAACCAATATTTATGAAAGCATTTTGTGCATATCTAAACTTCAAACCACATGCTGAAAATGAGAAACGTCTTAATTTTCGATGGTGTGGTTTGAGGAACTGCTAGACTGTGTTACCTGGGCAGTTTTTAGAATCTCCTAATGCACTGCCCACCTCACTCATCAAAATCAAAATTTCCCCTTTTACAACAGGTTAAGAAGGGTCACCAGAGTGAAGGCCTGGAAGCAATAGAAAGTGGACTGAAAATTCATAACTAGCAATTGATTCAATGTGTTTTGGTGTAAACACACTCCTGGAAGTATTTTCGATCTTTAGCTGTAAATCTCTAGGCACTAAGCTGGGCCAAACAGGGAGGGGTTCTCCTTGGGTAGAATGATGAAACCCAGGATGTGTCTTTTTGACCCTCTCATGCCCTCCCCACCCCCACACTCCATCCCTGCCCTCAGTGTCCCCTACTGACAGAATCAGAATATATCTCACCCTCCAGAAATGTGGGAATGTGGAATGGCCTGAGGGCAGAAAGAGGCAGAGAGAAGGCAAGCAATCACTCCTGCCAATTTCCCCTCTCTTTACCTCTTGCCCCAAAGAAGTCATGTTTTTACCCGGTTCTCTCTCTGTCTGTCAACTTCCTTTCTGCCAGGGAGCTTTGCAGTTTCTTAAGGAACTTTTGAAGACGCGTAATCTTTCTAGGCCCAAATGAAGGAATTTTTCATGGTGTTATTCTAGGTAATGTGACAAGCAGTATGTGGAAGCCGGGCTTTCTCAGCACATTGAAAATTCAGCCTGATATTTGCTGTCTTTCTTTCCTGCTTCAACGATGAGTCTTGGTGACAGAAAAGAGAGCTACAAGTCTGGAAAGTCCTAGCCAAACATTCTCTTCCCAGAACTATGTCACCAAGTTAGTTGGCTTAGCTAATGAATAAATACTGAAGCACCACTGGCTTCTTATTGAGTCCTTGCAGTTGATAATTATTCAAAAATAGCTAATATTAGATAATGCCATGTATTAAATGTCATTGAGATTATGGTGTATTGCAGTGGTGCTCAATGCAGGGTGCACAATGGAGTCTACTTGGAGGGTAAATTATTGGAATCAAGTGACACCCAACCCCAGCAAGTATGATTCATTTGGTCAGGGTTGGGGGATAAGTGAGGTGGGCAGTGCATTAGTAGATTTTAAAAACTGCCCAGGTAAAACAGTCTAGCAGTTCCTCAAACTATTAAATATAGAGTTATCATATGACCTGGCAATGCCAGTCCTAGGTATATGCCCAAGAGAAGTGAAAACATATGTTCACACACAATATTGTACACAAGTGGTTTATAGCAATGTTATTCAAAGCAACCAAAAGACAAAAGCAGCCCAAAATCTATTAATGGCTGAATGGATAAGCAAAATATGTACATATATACAAAGGAGTATTATTTGGCAATAAAAAGGAATGAAATACTGATACATACTGCAACTTGGATGAACCTTGAAGACATTATGCTAAATGAAAGAAGCCACTCACAAAAAGTCTGGATATTATATGATTCCATTAATATGAAAGCCCAGAATAGGGAAATCCACAGGGACAGCCAGGAGATTAGTGTTTGCTTAGGGCTGGCTGTGGAGGATGGCGGATATCAGCGTGATAGCTAGTGGGTATGATATTCCTTTTTGAGGTGATGAAACATTCTAAAATTAACTGCAGTGAAGAATGCACCTAACTGTGAATATATTAAAGCCATTGAATTGTACTCCCAAATTGTACGGTGTGGATTATATCCCAATAGAGTTGATTTAAAGAGAGAAAAAAATACTCCCCAGATGATTTTAATGTGCAGCTGAGTTTGAGAACCACTGATGTAGTTGAAAGAACATGCACTTGAAGTTAGACAGATTGGAACAAAATGACTGTGTCATTAGGTGACCCAGCTGTGGCTTTCTGAGCCTCATTTTCCTCATCTGGAGAATGAGGATAATAATTACTGTCTCATAGGCTTTAGAAAGAGGATTTGGTGTGGAAAACAAATGAAAGTATGTGTAGAGTCTGACATTTAGCAAGCCGGCACTCTATTAAAGGAAGCCATTGCCATTATTGTTTTTCTTTTCTGCCTGAAGGCTCACAGGGCCAGCATTAGAAATATTCGTCCTCACTGCACTGACCGGGGAGAAGGTGATCTGGAGTGGAGCGGACCAGGCCAAATGCATTACCTGAATGCAGACTCAATAAATGTCCTCTGTGCTCATAACAATTTTTTTGGCCCCATCACAAAGCCCACAATATTCCCATGAGTAAGACTGCAGCATCATTGTTCACTAAGGAAATGTAATTGTTTTTTTTGTTTTGTTTTGTTTTTTTGCCATTAAAACTTATGAAGACCAAACACGGGTCCACAGTGGGATCTTACTGGTATACCCTTGCCTTTCATAACATATTTGTCATCAAATTCTATCAAATCTACTGCTATAATATGCCTCTCAAATCCAGCCACTTGTATCCATTTCCACTGCCACTACCCTAGACCAGGCTTCTAGCATCTCTTACCTAATAATTCTGATCCTCTTTAACTGCCTCTACCCTTTTTCCCCTCCAAATCCTTCTCCGCACTGCAGCCAGAGTGATTTTTGTAAAATGCCAATTTGATCAAATCTCTAATTTAAAGACCTTCAAATGGCTTAAAATCTTTCAATGATCCCCTATAGCTCTAAAAGTCCAACTTCTGTCTAACCCTCCAGGCTTATCTCTTACTACTCTCTGTCTCCTAAACATCTTTTGAAATTGGCCATTTCTTTGTTGCTCTACACCGTGAGTCCAATCTGCCACCATACTCAATCAGTACTCTTGAACAGCTTGCAAACAGTTTTTCCTAGCTTCAGCCATGCCCCCTTTGAATCCACCTTCCACATAGCAGCCAGGGTGACTCCTTTGCTTAAACCCTTTTTATGCCTCCCAATTTGCCTAAAAACAAAGATCAAGCTTCTTATCAGGGCTATAAGACCTTCCATGATTTGACCCTGCTGACTTATCCCCCTTCATGCTTACTTACTCAGTTTTCCATACACACTGCTTCTTCCTATCCATGGACCTTTGCAAACATTCTTGCTTTCTGGAATTTCCTGCCTCTGGCCTTGCACGTCCAAGTCTACTACATCCTTCAAGGCCTAGTTCAAATAATACTGTATTCAGGAACTCTCCCCGAACTCCCCCGAGGAACAGTTCTTCCTGGCTTTCAGACGTCTCATTTTGCATTATTTTTGTCTCATCACTTTCTCATTTAGTTTCTCATCATGTCTAGTATGGATCTCTCTGCCTCAAATCTAAGATTGTTGAGGTTTAACCACAAATTTTGTTTGAGCCACAAATAACTGAGTCTTAAACAGAAAAAAAAAAAACCAGAGGATCTGGGCAATACCTGAAGGTATTGATTGGGGGGATGTGGCTATGCAAGTGTGAGGGGTAACAAGCTTAAATATATAAACTCCTTGGATTACTAAAATAGATTAGAATCATCCCTGCTAGGTGGTCCAATGTGTGAATTTAGATCGGGGGAGTTAAATCAAAATGAGAGAAGTTGTCGTAGAGTTGAAAAATAAAATCAAGATCCTTGGCAAGGAACTAGATCTAACTAGAAACGTGTTAGAAAGATGTGCTCAGCGTATACCTCTGAATGTGCATATGTATACATAAATGTGCACATGCATACTTTTTTATAGATATGAGTGATTACATATATGCATGAGTTTAAGTGTGTGAATGCATGGCTCTGCACAGACATGTATGTATCTGGGTATGCTTATGAATATTTCAAATGTGGTTTTATATGTGTGTATAGTTGCAGAGTAGGGAGGGTCTTAGCTTGAGCCTCAGCTCTGTCAATTGTTGACATTCACACATGCCTGGGCATGGCTGAGAAACTGGTGGGGCAGGCCCGTCAGAAATATATTTGTATTGAAGGACTAAGGATCCTCCTGGGAGATAATTTATCCTGGAAAAAGAAAGAGGTATACAAACTTGGCCCAGTAAGAAAGCTTTAGTAACTAGAGGGGAGGGACATTTCTGAGTAGAGCACAGTGGCTGTCACTCGAGTTTGTCTCCAGACTTAGCACCACAGATTCAATGTCTGAGCCTTATGGGTATGTAAGAAGTTGTAGTCAATAAAAACAAAAACAGCTGTTTTACAAAAATATTTTGTCATTATGCACATGCATGACTGCTTTGGGACTGTACTAATTCATTCATTTTTTTCAGTCAACAAATATATTTATCTAACACCTGCTCTGTACCAGATACTGTGCTAAAAACGCTGGGGATGAAGCAGCAAACAAAGTGACAGAGCTTACATTTGAGTGTAGCCCCCAAAAGAGAGGCATTTTCTGCCACATCCTCCCAAATATCATATACTTGGACATCTATAGGCAGAGTTGCAGCTAGTCTATACTGTATCTGTACAAATTAGAAAATGGCACCTGCTCTAGGCAGCCCCAAATCTTGGTGAGGGAACAATGCACTCTCTGAGCAGGTGAATTAGAAATAGGTATGCATCTTCTCCTCTAGGACAGATTCAACTCCACAGGCATACTGCATGACAGGGGAACACGGGATGAATTTGACAACTCCTTGTCCTCTCAGAGAGACATCTCTTGTGCAGTGTGCAATCTGTACAACAGTCCATGGTGACCATGGCTGCAAGTCTCCAAGGTGTCAACAGTTGCTCTGGGCACAAGATAGTGATGCCCAGCACTAATTTTGGTGGTATTTTAGAAAAGCTACTACTAAGGGAAACTATTATTACTCCATAGAAGTAACAGCAGTTTCTACTGTGAATTACAGAAGCCAGCAGAGGCAGCTGATATCCAGTTGATGTGGTACCATGCCTTCCAAATGCAGCATTACACAGCGCAAGTGTCAGCTCTGCCTAGAAAATATAGCAATGCTTAGATCACATGAGAGCACTTAGAGGATATAAGCTGGAGCACAATAATGGGAGAAAGAAAACACAAAATCCATGTACTTATTCTGACACTACTCATTCATGACCATGTGTGAGAACCCCCCTAAAAACACCCAGAAAAAATTTATTGTGGTACAAACCCTTCGGGGGATAAAGGAGAAGGCAAGAACTAGAAAATGTGTGTGTGTGTGTGTGCGTGTGTGTGTGTGTGTGAGAGAGAGAGAGCGCGAGAGAGCGCATGCATGTGTGCAAATATGTGTATGCACAGGCAGCCCAGGGGCTTCTCTTTGCATTTCACATAAAGGATAGAGTCAAAATGTGTAGCTATAGCTTTCCAGCCTCTCCAAGAAGAGGGGTAGTTTTCCCTTGCGTAAAATAAAATCCATTTGTTCAGCTATGCAGAAAGAGTTTTCTTCAATATTGGTTGAGCGATTGAATTTAGATCCACAGTACTCAAAGTACTATTGATAGCAATATTAGGATATTTATATCTAGAATCTTAAGGCTTTGTTTAGATTTATGTGAGTTATTTGTATATTAAGAATATCAACCATTTAAAGAACTGCTGTTAAATATTCACAGTTTTTCCTAATGTGCTGCTTTTTATTAACAGACTGTTTTCTGATTTTAAAAGCAATATATGCTAGCCTGAAGAGTATGTAAAATTTACAAAGGAAATAAAAATTAGCCATAGCCCCACCATCTACACACACACACACACACACACACACACACACACACACACACAAATGCTATGTAAATAGTTGTTATACTATATTTTTTATTTTCATTATTTTATTGATATATATATGAATATATATCTGAATATATATATGAATAGTTTTGATCAGCAGTTGGTTGATTCCACAGATGCAGAACCCATGAATATGGAATACATGGTTATAGAGGGCTGATTGTATATACACATATGCAATCCATATCCACGGATTATGCTGCTATATATAATTTTGTGTTCTCATTTTCACTTAACCATATATATATACACATACATGTATGTATATATACGTATATATGTATATACGTATATATATGCATATATATATACAATCAGCCCTCCATATCCATGGGTTCCATATCCATGGGTCCTGCATCTGCAGAATCAACCAACCACTAATCAAAACTGTTCCCATAAAAAAACAAGAAAATAATACAAATAAAAACTATAGTATAACAACTATTTACATAGCGTTTGCATTGTGTTAGGTATGATAAGTAATCTAGAGGCAACTTAAACTATATGGGAGGATACGTATAGGTTATATGCAAATACTATACCATTTTATATCAGGGATTTGACCATCACAGATTTTGGTATCCACGGGGGTACTGAAAGCAATCCCCTACAGATACTGGGAGATGTGTGTGTGTGTGTGTGTGTGTGTGTGTCCATTAATATTGTGATGTTTTTCCATGCATACACACACACAAACACACATTAGGATTCTGCTGCTGTATACAATTTTGTGTTCTGATTTTCACTTAACCTTTTATTGAGAACATTTCCCCATGTCATATTGTATATTCTATAAAATATATTTAATAAATGGCTGCATAGTATTTCATTTTATCAATAGGCCATAAAGATTTTCTTTTCCTATTATAAATAACATTTCAATAAACATCCTCAAATATACATGTTTATGAGCATCTTTGCTTAGTTACTATTATATATTATTGGAAGTGGAATTATTCAGTCGAGTTGATGAACATTTAAAAGATTCCAGATACATACCACTAAAGTGTTCTCTATTTAAGGTTAAGCTGATTTACACTCAATGTACAGTCTTAGCAGTAGTGTATAAGTGCTCTTTTTACCCCATGTCTGTTAAATAATGAGGATTATCTTTTTATAAATATCTTTATTAATTTATTCATAATAAAATGTATGTTTTAGTTTCAGATAGTATGGCTGTCTAGGTATTTGGACAGATTTCTGCAGGCAGAAAACAGCTAAAACTGCTGGATAAAGCATATGCATATTATGCTATGTACAGTGTATATATATATACATATATAGTGTATATATGATATGTGTGGAGAAAGAGAATCTTGTTAAAAGTGTCAAAAAGCTAATGAGATGGAAATTACCAGGCATGGATCTAAATGAAGGCAGCAACCCAAAGAAATAAGCCAAGCCCTGAAATTTTTCCCTAAGGACATTTGCCAAAACAGCCTAATTTGAACTTTGCTCTTTTGTGTCTATGTGATTTATCCAGATATGGGGACAGAACATAAAGCTCAGGGCTCTACCAAGATGGGGAAACTAATTAAGAGTCCCTACCACCATAAATCCAGTATCCTAAGGGGTTATGTTCTCAGTGTAAAGGTGAACCAGAAATAAATACATATCCTCAGGAAAATGTAAGGAAAGTTTCTTTGTTGCCTATCACAGCTAGTTGATGGGAGAAGGCGAATAACCATTCCTGGTAAATTATAACCACAATTTAGCTCTTGTGTGGGTTTATTGCCCCACATTTACATTACAAGTGAGAACATGTGGTATTTGGCTTTCTGTTCCTGTATCAATTCACTTATGATAATGGCCTCCAGCTGCATTCATGTTGTTGCAAAGGACTTGACTTCCTTTTTTATGGCTGCATAGTATTCCATATATGTACCACATCTATGAAAATATCTTTGAATCTTGAGGATAAAATACAATTTTCAAACAGTCAGGGACTTTGCCACCAGCAGACATACAATATAAGAAATGATAAAGGATGTATACTACAGGCAGAAGGAATATGATTTTTGATAGAACATTTGAATACCAAGAAAGGTTGATAAGCAAAGAAAATGACAAATATGCAGGGATAAGGAAACTAACTACATAAAACAATAGTATCTTGTGGAGTTTCTTCAAAATAAGAGAAGTTAAGTACACAACAATGAAATAATATTTCACTGTTGTATTATTTGCATATTTTTGTTACCAGTAAGCTTGAACAATTTTTGTATGTAGCCATATATATCTTTTCTATGAAATATTTTCTTTGTCTAATTTTCTCTTGAATTTTTAAGTTTTTCTTTTCAATTTGTATGAGTTTTAAAAGATAGATTAAAGCTATCAATCCCTCATTTATCATATTTGTTACAATATTCTTCCAAGTTTTAAAAATCTAGTACAATCTAAAAATCTTTTGTTATGCCATCCATTGCTTTTAAACTTAAAAAGGTTTTCATTATTAGCAGATCTGACGAACAGTCTTTTTGGGTTTTTTCTATTGTTTTTGTTTAGTTTTTCACATTCCCTTTTTTAGATCCTTCTGGATTCTGTATTAATACATGCTGTGAGATGAAGCTCTAAAGAAGCCATGTTTGCTTGTTTTTGCTTGCTTGCATGATTTCACAAAGACCCTGACTCTGTGATAATGTGCACCTCTCTGGAAAGATGCTTTGAAGACAAAACAGGATAGAGCACATGGTCCCCCACTTCTCTTGCCTGAGATGTATATTCCTTAAAAGATGAATGATCCTAGTCCTTGCCTTTTCAGCACAGAAGATAACATCTGACTGGGTTAGTGATTATGCCTTTGTATTGATAACCATATGTACTTTATTTTTTTTTTTTTGAGATGGAGTCTAGCTCTGTCACCCAGGCTGGAGTGCAGTGGTGCGATCTCGGCTCACTGCAACCTCTGCCTCCTGGGTTCAAACCATTCTTCTGCCTCAGCCTCCCAAGTAGCTGGGACTACATGTGCACACCACCACACCTGGCTAATTATTTGTATTTTTAGTAGAGATGGGGTTTCACCATGTTGGCCAGGCTGGTCTCGAACTCCTGACTTCAAATGATCTGCCTGCCTCAGCCTCCCAAAGTGCTGGGATTACAGGCGTGAGCCACTGTGCCCGGCCCCAGATGTACTCTTATACCCAAACAGTTATATGATTGGAATGTAACTTCTGAGCAAGTTTAATGTGATTTTGCATGTACCAAACCCCTACCACCTATATATAAGCAATAGGCTGAAATACTGTGCAGGAGCACAGTATTTAGGCCTTGGTCTATAGTCCTCCATAAGGCTAAATAAGACTAACTTCATTTAAAAGCTTCATTTTTTTCTTTAGTCAACAATAGTTATCTAATTATCCAAGCACTATTTGTAGTATAATTTCATACTTCCCCACATATGTTAATACCTTCTTATAATGTGTTACATTATATGAACAAGAAATCTTTGGGGGGGTGATCCTTGTGTTTCACTGATCTGTCTGTTCATTCTTACAGTTGTGTCAACCTGTTTTAATTACTATAGCTTTGTACTATATTTTCATGAATGCTAAGGCTAAGTCTTGTGCTTACCATTACTCTTAGTTTTTCAAATAATTCGAAAATCAAGATGAACAGTAAATTGGTTTTCAGAAGTACATTGATTGATATTGAGAGGTGACAGCGTGCTGGCAGCCCTCGCTGGCTCTCGGTGCCTCCTCGGCCTCAGTGCCCACTCTGGCCGTGCTTGAGGAGCCCTTCAGCCCGCCGCTGCACTATGGGAGCCCCTCTCTGGGCTGGCTGAGGTGGGAGCTGGCTCCCTCTGCTTGCAGGGAGGTGTGGAGGGAGAGGCGCAGGTGGGAACCGGGGCTGCTCACGGGCCAGCGCGAGATCCGGGTGGGTGTGGGCTCGGCAGGCCCCACACTCGGAGTGGCTGGCCAGCACTGCCGGCCCCAGGCAGTGAGGGGCTTAGTACCTGGGCCAGCAGCTGTGAAGGGTGCACCAGGTACCCCAGCAGTGCTGGCCCACCGGTGCTGAGCTGGAATTCTCACCAGGCCTCAGCTGCCTCCCCGTGGGGCAGGGCTCGGGACCTGCAGCCCACTGTGCCTGAGCCTCCCCCATGCCGTGGGCTCCTGCGCTGGCCGAAGCCTCCCCGACGAGCACCGCCACCTGCTCTGCGGCGCCCAGTCCCATCGACTGCCCAAGGTCTGAGGAGTGTGGGCACAAGGTGCAGAACTGGCAGGCAGCTCCACCTGCGGCCCCTGTGGGGGATCCACTAGGTGAAGCCAGCTGGGCTCCTGAGTGTAGTGGGGACTTGGAGAACCTTTATGTCTAGCTAAGGGATTGTAAATACACCAATCAGCACTCTGTATCTAGCTCAAGGTTTGTAAATGTACCAATCAGCACTCTGTATCTAGCTAATCTGGTGGGGACTTGGGGAACCTTTATGTCTAGCTAAGGGATTGTAACTACACCAATCAGCACTCTGTGTCTAGCTCAAGGTTTGTAAACACACCAATCAGCACCCTGTGTCTAGCTCAAGGTTTGTAAATGCACCAGTCAGTGCTCTGTGGGGACTTGGAGAACTTTTGTGTCTAGCTCAGGGATTGTAAACACACCAATCAGCACCCTGTCAAAACGGACCAATCAGCTCTCTGTAAAATGGACCAATCAGCAGGATGTGGGTGGGGCCAGATAAGGGACTGAAAGCAGGCTGCCTGAGCCCCCAGTCGCAACCCGCCTGGTTGTCTTCCCCAGTGTGGAAGCTTTGTTCTTTTGCTCTTTGCAATAAATCGTGCTGCTGCTCACTCTTTGTGTCTGCACTGCATTTATGAGCTGTTAACACTCACGGCAAAGATCTGCAGCTTCACTCCTGAGCCAGCGAGACCACAAACCCACCAGCAGGAAGAAACTCCGAATACATCAGAACATCAGAAGGAGCAAACTCCGGACACGTGGCCTTTAAGAACTGTAACACTCACCGCGAGGTGTCCGCGGCTTCATTCTTGAAGTCAGTGAGATCAAGAACCCACCAATTCCGGACACAATATGACCTTGAGGCCATGTAATTCAATGTTAATAGATCATCAAGGAGATATAATACAAGGTAATTAATATGCCTTCACAGAGTGACAGAACCAGAATAAAACATTATATCTAATTTACCAGTCTTCGAATACCCAGAAGAACATGAAACATGGGGCAGACAGAAATGGCCTTTCCTTCCTCATGCTAACTTTTAGGATCATAATAAACTCTAAAAGAAACAAATGTGCTGTTGTGAAGCTAGTACAGTGTACATGATCCTGATCTTAGGTGGAGGAAGGCCCTGAGGTAGCTAAGTACAGAACTGCCCATGTAGAGAGGTCCTGTTTCTGGAGTCAAAGAAGGTCTTTTAGGAGTAGCCTTGTCTTCTTTATGGTATATTTCTAGAATGTCCATCACGGGGTTTCCTAATGAGACACATTTAGAGAACAATGCAGAATAGGATGAAATCCTATGCTAGACAATGTAGATGCATACTATAGAATGACTATCGTCTACAAGGTGGATGATCTCTACACTCAATTTTATAACACTGCTATATATTATTTTCTAACAGTAAATAAATAAACATATCGGAGCCGGAATTATTTGCCAAAGGCAATGCATATATTAGTTTCTAATGCCCCCATGGAAACCTTAATAGGAGGCTGAATCTCTTAACTTTGTTTACATCAATGAAAGGTACTTCAGCACATCCAAATAAAATATGGAAAAATACTCAGTAACAGACTAAGAAGCATCTTGATTTGCTGGAAGGAAGGGAAAGGGAAAGCGGGACTGGAATTTACCCATAAATTTGCAAGGTTTGCAGAAATAAGAGAGCCTGATATTAGCTTCACTTGACTTTGGCTACAGCCCCACTTGAGGCTGATGGAAGAAAACAAGTCTTTATCATCCTATTCCAACCCCCATCTTCAGTCACAGAGCCAGAGGCAGAGAGGACTAGAAATTTGGTGTGGCTGACTTTTCTGCACTGGGTGTGGATTTCGTGTTGATGTAAGTTGGGTGGCTGAAGTCCACGCTGCTTAAATAGAAACGGTGTTTGGGTCTGCTTTAAGAGTGCCTCTCCATGAATGGGCAGAAGACAGAGGCTTGTCCTTGAGATAATTAGGGAAACTACCCACCGCACCTCCCCACCTGTCACATGCAGTTCGCCATGCCCCAAGCTGAAATTACACACCCCCTTCACTCCCAACTACCCCATTAACTTCCTCTTGCAGTACGAAAGGTCTACTGATAGTAGTATCATCTACCCAGCTGAGTTCAGTTCAAAAATCTTTATTGATCATCTATTTTGTGCTGGATACTGAGATAACTAGTAAATTACACATAAACCTTTCTCTTTTAGAGATTACCATATAGAAAAGCAGACAGACAAGCAATTTCAGTGTATGAGTAGGATAGGAGCTAGGCAAGGAAGAGGAAGGAAGTTTCATATGGAGGAAAAACACTAAGCAAAATCTTGAGACTGTATGCAAGAAGCTATGAACTCATGTGATAATCAAAGGGAAAGTGTGAGGATAGAAGCAGTGGAAAACAAAGATGAACAAGTAGTCAGGGGCCAGGTCATTCTAAGAAGTCTGGACCAAGCCTGATAGTGATAATGAGACACTGGGGAGCTTTTGACTGGGGAGAGTCAGGATTATATCGACATTTGTAAAAGATCACTGTGGCTGTTTTGTAAAGAAAAAACTAGACTGGATCAAGAGTGAGAGCGGAACCAACCCAAATGTCCAACAATGATAGTCTGGATTAAGAAAATGTGGCACATATACACCATGGAATACTATGCAGCCATAAAAAAATGATGAGTTCATGTCCTTTGTAGGGACATGGATGAAATTGGAAACCATCATTCTCAGTAAACTATCGCAAGAACAAAAAACCAAACACCGCATATTCTCACTCATAGGTGGGAATTGAACAATGAGATCACATGGACACAGGAAGGGGAATATCACACTCTGGGGACTGTGGTGGGGTGGGGGGAGGGGGGAGGGATAGCATTGGGAGATATACCTAATGCTAGATGACGCGTTAGTGGGTGCAGCGCACCAGCATGGCACATGTATACATATGTAACTAACCTGCACAATGTGCACATGTACCCTAAAACTTAAAGTATAATAAAAAAAAAAAAAGAGTGAGAGCGAAAATACTTATTTAGAATCTAGATTATTTAGGCCTGTCCAGTTACCCAAGCTAGAAATTACTTACTTTATATTTCCCCCTTTTCATCGTAACCAATAATCACATCAAGTTCTCCCAATTCTACTGCCAAAATTCATTTAATCACTCAGTGTTTATTGAACTCTTCTATGCATCCAATGCCATGATAGGTGAAAAATAATTCATTTTTCTCCTAAGAGAGGCTGATTGCCTTGTGGGAGTGGAAAACACGTAAACAGGTAATTTTGAAATAATGTAGTATGTATTTACTGGGTGCTCTCCAAGCTGGAAGTGTAGAGAAAGATTGAGGGGGCGGGGAGGGGAGGGGGGAGAGAGAGAGATTCTCTGTGCAGAGAATGAGAGAGAAATAAGGGATCCATGGAAATGAGGTAAGAGTTATAAGGATGAGTAAGAATTCCCTAAGAGGAGGAAGTTTGGAAGAGGGTATTGCATGTGATGGGAATAGCTCATGCAGAGGCATGGAAACATGATTGAGTAGGGCTTGGTTTAGGAAGCAGCAAGAAGTTTGGAGTCACTGAAACTGGAGCTTAGATTATGAGAGTTAGCATAAAAGGTGAGGTTGGAGAGATAGGCCAAGTTGGAATGTGAAAGCCCTTGTCCGATGAGGTGAATCCTGGAGAGTCATGAGAGATTTTTAAGCTGAAGAATGTGATTGATCAGATTTGGGACTTGAATCCATATCTTAGGCCACCGTAATTTATCACCATCTCTTCATTCTCCCTAATTGTGCCCTATTAAAGCTCTTGCTCTTTCTTATTTATATGATTGCAGTGGTCTCCTTACAGATCTCCCTGCCCCAGGTAAACCCCTCCAAACTATCCTTCACTTTTGTGTCTTTCTAAAACCCCAATCTGCTCCTACCACTCTGCTGCAGCAGGCCAGTGACTCCCCATCATTGCCAGGAGAAATCCTCAAAGGCTCAGTATGGCATGCAAGACCCTCACATTCCAGCCTGTGCTGCTTTCTACCCTCATCTCCCATCACTCTTTCTCGCTCTTATTCTAGCCAGCCCCTCTTGACATCCCTGCTAACTCCAGGTCTCCCAAGCCTGCCAGGCACACTCAGGACTCTATGCCTTTCCTGAGTCTCCTCTCTCAAAGTCTATCTGGAGATGTTCTTAACTGCAAATTGCTCCTTAATCTTCAAGAATCAGCCCACAAGGCAAGTTCCTCTGACCCTGCCTTGACTCCTACAGGAAAAATAAATCCCTTTCCTTCTCTGAGCTCCCTGGCATATGGCACATGCTGATATTAGTGCATACATCACATTGCTTAATAATTATTGCTTAAAAGTCTGTCTCTTAGGCGAGAACATAAGTTCCACCAGAGGATAAGGCCATATCACATTCCTCCTATAAACTCAGCTCATAGCACCGTGCCTGACACATACTTAGAAGCTTGGCAAATGTTAAATAAAGACACTGATCTTTTTGTCCCATTTTTGTCTGGAATCTAGAATCTTTCTCACTAAGCAACTACTTACTGTCCAAGAGAAGTCACTCTTTTTTGGGCTAGGTTTCCATTGCTAGGTCACTGCAATTATTCTCTTTAACCAGTCGGACAGCAAAAGGTCTGTAGCTGAGACATTTTTTGAGTTAGCACGGGCTTCATTCTCCATGCCATAGCTTCCAGAGGGACTCAAGCACCCAACACAGTCTCAGTTTGCAACCAAGCAACATGATAAAGCCCGTGTCTGTCTTTTAAATGTCCACCCCTTCCATTCACCTCTGTATATTTTGGGGCCTAAGCAAAGGACCAAGAACATTCTCAGAGCTATCTTGGGGCATGGCATAATGTCTACACTTCAGCTGAGATTTTTCTAAGGATAGCCACACATATGTCCCAAAGAGGGACTACAAAAAAACAGGGAAAACTATGTCTGCTAGTATCCAGGCTTCCTATGGCTCCCTCTTAAATGGAAGAACAACAAACCCCCACACTGGGGTTAGTTGAAGGGTCAGAGCCCTCAGAAATCCTTCTATTTCTCAATTGTGGATTTAACATCCATCCACTTTCAAACTCCAAGAAAAGTTCAGCATGGGCTCTAACAACCGCCCCCCTGCCCCCGCCATTTCCTCAACTCTTAATGCTTACAGCAGCTGGTAGGAACTTCAAGCTACTAAGCCCAGGGCACTCCCTGGAGCTTACAGCACGAGTAAGAAAGTATCTAGTGCCTCAGGAGCCAATTCCTGGAGGGGCTTTCTGGGGCACCCAGGAGTCTCTGGTTACTTGGCAGACTGCACAGGCCACTCATATTGAAGCACACATGTAGGGCTAACATTTTGGGGGATAACCTTAGGTTGCTTTAAGGGCAGCCTGAAAATGTCTCTAATTATTGTTGTCAAAAGTGTTGAAGACCGACTTTGGGAGGCCGAGGCAGGTGATCACCTGTGGTCAGGAGTTTGAGACCAGCCTGGCCAACAGCGAAACCCTGTCCCTACTAAAAATACAAAAATTAGCCAAGCGTGGTGGCAAGTGACTGTAATCCCAGCTACTTGGGAGGCTGAGGCAGGGGAACCGCTTGAATCCGTGAGGCAGAGGTTCCAGTGAGCCGAGATGGCGCCACTGAACTTCCAGCCTGGATGACAGAGCAAGATTCTGTCTTAAAAAAAAGAAGTCGGAGACTGAGTCTTGGAGCTTGTGGGAAGCAGAGTAAGAAACTTTTACTTCCAATAGCTTTAGTGCTCATAAAACTATTCATGATTCATGTAGAAAAAATGGAAGGGACAGGGTAGGAGTTTAGTTACATGAGGGTACACATTAGTTTGTAGGTACAATGAGGGAATGGGGCAGAGACAAAGGAAAAGCAGAGGAATTGACTGCAGGGAGATAGGTGGGGGATCACCTGAAATTTTGGAAGGGGGAAGTTTGAAGAACAGGAATTAATGCCTCATTAAGGGGAAATACTTAAGATGTTTTAGGAATCCTCTATAAACATTTCTCTGATTTGCCTAAGAATGAAGTAGGAACAGGTCCAGGTAAGCTTCAGGATCTACTGGAGAGGAAACTCAGGCATGGATAGCAAATACCCTTTCTTGATTGTATTCTTGTCCCTAGAGTCTTAGAGGATTTAGTTTTAGACTCAAGGCCCTCTAGTCCACATTCACAGTGTGCCTGTATGGACCATCTCTCTATAGTATACATTTTCCCTGGAAGTGAGTTTAGAAACAACTATTATAAACAAAAACAGGAAGCAAAACAAACAAGCAGCTAACAATTTAGCACTGCAGAGGATGAGGGAGAGAAAATGCACTTCCCACACTACCTAAATGTTATAAATTTAAAAAGACCAGCAGAAAATGGCAAGGTTAGGATTTTCTAAACAGCAAACACCCAACTGCTTTACTCATTCTGTTACTATAACTTCATCAAATATTTATTGAACACTATAAAGTACCACAGGTAAGCACTAAGGATGAAGAGGTGACTTAGGCAAAGTCCTTACCTTCAAGGAATTCACAGTCTATGGGAGAACACTCATAAATTATAACACCATACCAGGACCATTGAGCTTGGGAGTGGGATGACCTTACCCACTGAGAACAATGCCTTTAAGCACAGGGATATGGCTCTGTGCTGACAAAAGACGAGTTGAAGATCAGCTGCACTTCTGGTTCTCCTTTGCGATTGATTCGATTGATTCAGAATACAGCTGCTAAATCTAACTACAGTTCTTTTGGCACTGCTAACCGGGCTGGATTCTGCCTGGTGGTCAAAGGCTGCCAAATCCTAGATTTAAGACATTGCCTTTCCAAAGAAAAATAGCTATAATGAAAATAGCTTATGACTTACATAAACTTTAGTAATATAACACACACATTACCTTTGAAAAGGACGCTAGTATTTTGTTACATATGGACCATCACACTGACTTAAAATAGTTATTTCTTGCTTTTATCTTGTTTCCATAAGCTTTATAATTTTAATAGTACCCATCTGACTCTACCCAATGATATATTTATTTGAAAACTTCTCCAAAAGAAACTTTCTCAACATTTTAATCATTTGACCTTACCTTTACGAACTTAAGGCACAACTTTCCTGAGCCTTGGTTTCATCAACTATAAAATGGGAACGATAAACTCCAAAACACCAGCTAGCAGTAAAGTTCAAATGAGATTAATATGTGTACAAGCTGAAGTTTAACCAAAAAATTGTCTCTGCTTTAAATCTAAATGAGAAATCTTATAGCCTTGAAGCTTGACCCCAAGAGGCTATAACCTGGAAAAGTGTTAAGACTAGGTGAATCTTTTCCCAGGATAAGAATGGCATGAAGAGGACAATGTGGAGGAGATAAAGGTAGTCTGGCTGTGACAGAGTCCCTTACTGATACTCAATGCTGATTTGGCTCGTCAGGCTAGTTTCCCTTAGCTCTTACCTTCCTCTGTCCTCTCATCGTTACTCACTTGGTTAAACACGTTGACCTTGCTGGATGAAGGGATACCACTCCTTTAGTGGAAAAAAGGTGGAAGGCCCTGAAATCCTGAGTGCCTTCATTGTAGAAAAAAGTTATGTATTGACTGCAAGGACAGCATCTAAGGCAGCATATATGGAGTGTCTGGAGCCCATCTGAAGGCCAATAATTGATGGTAATAAACAATAAGATATTTTCTATATGATACAGGTATATAAAACTACCCATTCATTTACAAATATTTTTAAAATGCAGTCCATGTACATTTGGATAGACAGAACTGTCCAACTTCAAATAAAAGATTGATAATGATTTTTAAAAATTGAGGTTAAAAAATCTATTCAACAATTTAAAAAAATATTGAATTGGGCAGCAAATTAAAGTGATTGTCAAAATGTTTCACTGGATAAAACAAAATAATTGTGTCATATTTAATTTAATATTTCAAAATTTAATTGTATTGCTTAATATTGTCTGAAATCTGGGCTGGGCATGGTGGCTCACCCCTGTAATCCAAGCACTTTGGGAGGCCAAGGCAGGAGGGTTGTTTAACCCCAGGAGTTTGAGGCCAGCCTGGGCAACATAGTGAGACCCCCCCAATCTCTACAAAAAAATGGAAAAATTAGCTGGGCGTGGTGGCAAGCCTCTGTAGTCCCAGTTTCTCAAGAGGCTGGGGCAGGAGGATCACTTGATCCTAGAAGTTCGAGGTTGAAGTGAGCTATGATTGTGCCACTGCACTCCAGCCTGAGTGACAGAGCAAGATTGCCTCCAAAAAAATATATTGTCTGAAATATTTTATACATGGACAATTCCCAGTGAACAAATTTGTCATTTGGCCACTTTCTGCATGTAGATCAGGTTATACATATCATTCATTTTCAGCCATTGTCTATAATTTCTATAATATATAATATATAATTTCTATATCATTCTCAGTTTTCCCCCAAAATATGCCAGAATGGTAACTAAGGAAACAGGCGAATGAATGTTTAACTTTGTTTAAACATGTACTGCAATACACATGATCATTTTGATAAAAAGTAATGATTTTCAGTTTTGAGAAAGATTTATAAGTTAGCAAATCCAGAACATGAAGCAATACACCAAATAATTAAAGAAACCAACCTCAGTAATACAGATGTCTATTTTATTAAAAAAGTTACAAACAGGTGGACTGCAGGGTCGTCTTACAAAATGACAAGAATGAAATCTATTGGAAAAATTTTACTTTTACAAATCTTTATAGGTAATTGTTCAATGTTTGTACTTGTTATTTGAGATTTTACCTTTCACTGATAAAGTTACAGTACATTAGATCCATGATAATAGGTTACATTATTTTATTTGCAGAGCCCTACTGCAGTGATTTGAACAACTCCTAAATAGATGCCATAATAAAGACAAGACATATATTGCATTTAATATTAATTTATTATCCTAATAAGCAACATGCAATCTATTGAGGAAGCTAAAATAACTTTTGGTCCCTTTTCTTAAAATGTGCTGGAGAAACCACCTTTAAAATCACTTTCCCCTGATTCCTGCGATCCTAAGTGAATTCAAGTCAAATTTGCTGCTGAGGTCAATGACAATGAACACTGTAATTTTGAGAGAGAGAGAGAGAGAGAGAGAGAGAGAGAGAGAGAGAGAGAGAGAGAGAGAGAAACAAGAACACAATCTACAGGAAAGAAACATTATAAAAAAATCAAAATCTCTAGAAAATTTAAATCATGATGAATTATTTGATTCCTTTAGAATTTCACAAAGCCACAAAGCTAATAACAATGATCCATGATCACTTAACCTACTTTTAAATGAGTGTTTGGTTTTAAGTTTGGTATTAAAGTGCAAACTTAAATTAAGTATTCACTTCAAGCAGTTCATAAATAAGGAACAATGTTTCAATTGCCTCTATCTTTACAATCTCACCATAAAATTCAAAATTTAAGAACAAGAGTTCACTTTGAGGGAATTTGCTCAGGAATCAAATGCAACACGATTTAAAAAAAGGAAATCAAAGTTTAGTCAATTTCTACTCAGTAATTAATGGTCATGCTGACCCATAAATCACATGAATGTAGATACCACTTTATTTGAACATCACACACAATATAAATTTAAAATTGCCACACCCTTTCATAAACCATCACTGCATATATTAGAGCTTTCCTTGACAAAGTTATTGAGCTCTTATTATAGATCAAAAGTATAGTTTTGGTTTTGTTTTATTTTATTTAGAAGCATGTTCAAATGACTAAAGCTGGGCTCCTAAAATCGAGAACTTTGGTGCAGTAGGTGAGCTGCAGTTACTAACTTCTGCAAATGAAAAGCACACAACTAAAATCAAATAAAAACCCAACAATAAAATACTGTCAAACTTACACAATTTAAAAATCATTGCTAGAAAAAGCCCTCATTGTCACGATGTTAAAACTGAACCAAAATATTACTCTGCATAAGTTTCCTTTCTGATTCTACACCTGCGTTACTGTTAAAATGTTCAAGTATTCAGACAAAAATATGCTGATTAGGTAAACAACATGGAAGGCAATGGCTATTAGAAAGCACATTTGCAAAAATAAAAAATAGCCCAGAGACTTGGCGCTATTCTCCCTCCTGTTACACAGATTTTGTCTCTAATACGAACATGCTTCTTGAGAAATAACTAAAAAGCAATTGTGATAGTGCAAGAAAACTTTAACAAATATTGCTTTAAACTATTATTCAGAAAGACAAATATTAAGAACTAGAAAGTGTGTATGATTTTATTTGAATTCAATTTTACATGTGCAGAAGTCTACTAGATGTCAATTACAAGCCTGATAGGCAAAGATGAGCTATCTCTGTTTAGGTATACAATTAATTTACCATGGATACAATATCCCTTTTCAAAGGCATTGCTAAATAGGTCATAACTAAATTTAGAACTTCACAGAAAGGAAAATGTTACTGCCGCAATTCAATGCTGTAAATGAGATTAACACATGTGAAAACCTAATGGAACTGAATGCTTAACTCTTCAACTAAATGCTCTACAGTCAATTTCAAATATCAATTGTAACCTTCAGAACATGTTAATTACAAAAAAAAAAAAAAAAAAACAAAACACATCACAAACTGCACTTGAAGAAAAGGGATATTCCATCCATACAGGTAAAATGTGATCTTTAGTTTCTTTTTACAACACTGCCACACGTAAACAAAGTCTCAAAGTATTAACCAATAATTTTAAAGGAGAAAGATTTTACAAATAGGATGAAGCACTGGTACGAGGTAATATACAGAAGTAACCATTTGTTTAAGGCTCAATTTTTTCTCCATTATAACTTTCTTTTAAAAGGCATTGAGTAGGTAATACTGAGTTTGAGTATTTAATAAATACAAGTCGAGAAACTGATTAAAGAAATCAATTAAAATATTAAAAATTAACCCTTGTATATTAGCCATCAATAAGAACTTAGAAAGCTATAAAAGGACTGATTGATAAAGAATGGATTTTAAACGTATGGTAAACGTGCTAAGCATTCCTGTTTAAGGTCGATGGATCTTGAAGGCCAAAGACCTTATGCACTTAAATAGATGTATGGCAACATGCTGTAATAGAGACAGGTTTACCAAGGCTCAGTTCTGCAACCCAGGTTGTAAAGTTCTCCAAAGCAGCATCTGTGCAAATTTCCTCTGAGTTTTATCTGCAATTAAGATAAACATGTCATAAAAATGTAGAAATACATAGTTTAAAAAGAGAACACTGACAACAGATCTATATACACAGAGAAGTGGTAACAAGAATAACAAACTTCAGTTAAAGTAGAAAGTTAATTTTCCCTCGTCCTGATAAGTCATTAAAAAAAAATAGAAACACAGAAGTGATGCATTGGATATAATGTACTTTGTGTGTGCGTGTGTGTGCGTGTGTGTAGCTATTCTAGCTTATTTCTATAATATTATTATGCCTTGTACTTGTATTATACTTATGCAATATTAAAAATGTCCTTACTGGTTTAAATGATCTTACAGTATAAAAGTTGTTGCAAATGCTGCTTCTACTTTGAACTTGATCTCTTCACATTTTAACTGGAAATGGTATTGTTATCAAATGCATGTTAATTATGAGTTAATTGGCAGTATGTTAGACTTTTCCTAAATTTAGTTTTTTGAGAGATTAAAATAAGAAAACGTCATTCAGGCCGGGCACAGTGGTTCATGTCTGTAATCCCAGCACTCTAGGAGGCCAAGGTGGGAGGACTGCAGAAAGAAAAAAGAAAAGAAAGGAAAAGAAAAAAGAAAAGAGAAGAAAGAGGGAGGGAGGGAGGAAGGAAGGAAGGAAATTCAATCAAGGTCTAGATATTGAGCACCTACTAGGTGCCTAGGTAAGGTCAGATGCTAGGTGATAGCAGCAGTTCACATTTTCCACTTGGGTCTGCCCTTTTTTGGGGATGTCCTCCCAACCACGGGATCTTCTTTTATGACTGGGATTCCTCATTCCCTGCTCTTATAGCGTACAGATTTCTGCCCTTCCAGCTAATACTAGGGAAAAAAAATCTATCGTTCAGACAGATAGAGCGTCCTTCAACTGTGCTGAATCACCAAATAGCTTCTAGGGGAATAGAGTTATGTTTGTTTTTGAACGCATGAGATAAAAAATGTTATCATAAAGCCAGAAACAAAAGTAGAACAGCAACTATGAAAGAATGCCAAGGGAAACCAGTTTATAATCATTTAAGGGCTCTACCAATGTTTATAAATGCATAATTTTAATTTCATTTGACAGCTACACTTCTATTAGTGCTCAAAGAGCCTGAGATAATGCTTTATTAGCAGCTATATCATAAAAATGATTACTATTAAAGAACATCACTCTGCTCATTATTGAAATTCTGCTACCTAAACACATTAGGAAAAAATAGAACAAAAGTCTGCCTCTTTAGAAATTATTATAGAAACATTCTTCCAATTAAAAGACATTTTGCATTAAATTGTTAATTAGGACACCAGTTATTTAAGCTTTGGCAAGTCCGGTTTCCTCATCATCGAAAAAGGGATAAAAATACTTTCTTCACAGGGTTGTTGTAAATTTGTTTTCCATTTCCAACTATGTTATAAATTTCTAGACTACCAGGATTGTAATTTTGATATCCAGACTAAGGAGCTTTATATTTTTTAGCCTAGCTGGAATTTCTATACCTACTTGAACACAACAGTATTTCATTATATATGCAGTATTATGAATAAAAATTATTCATTATGAATACTTTTTAGTAATTTAGAAAGACTTCCTTCAATTAGTTTGAATTAATGAATTTGCTATAAATTTTCATTTCCTTTTTTAAATCAAACAATTATAAAGAGGTTGGGATTTTCAAAAATAATTATTTCTCTTAAATATTAAAGACCTCTTCAAGCATTCTCTAAAATCAAATTGAGAAAGTAGTTATTATTTATTTCTAGCCAAAATAAATATTAATAATCAAATCATTTTACTAACCATAATCTATATGGAATAAAACATGATATATTAATCACCTCCTACCCTCTAAAAACCTGGGTAACATTTGGTCTATCCACATCCACAGGATGACAATACTCCTGTGAAATCAAGAGATATAGATAAATCCTGAGTTAGGCTCTACAATATTAACATTAGGCATACCTTTAAGCAAACAAAGTATTAATACTAGCTACTTTTCAAGAGAGTAATAAATTATAATTATCTGCAGTAATAAATCCTGAAGTAAAATGCTTGCATTAAACAAAAACAACAGTCTCTTTCAGGTTAGAATTTCAAGTGTAAATGTTCTTGCTCCCCAGTGACAGCAAAATTTTCAATATACTAACACTTTCATTTACGTAAAAATAAATCGCTGAAGGTTTAAAAGCAGCTGGTCAAATCAGTACTTTTTAACTTGCAGGATATCACATTCAAGCACGTTGCAAATGTATAACTTGCAGCTTTCAAGATAGAACACAAGTTATCCTCGACCTCACTCTCAAGTTTCCAGCAAGACACTCAACAAATCTTATCTCTGGAAGCTTCTATTCAAACTCTTACTTAATTGTTTGGTTTTACTTTTTAGCTTTTTACTAATGCAATATTATAGGAAAGTACAAAAAAAAAACCACACACACACACACTAATCCAAAGCTTTTGCTCAGGAAATTATGAAATAAATAGGGTCTCCCAAGTCGGGTAAATTGGTATACGAGAGTACCAAACACAGAACAAAAGGAACAAAGATCATTATTTATGTCAGCCTGAAGAAAAAAAGGGGATTCTTGATTCAAGACTAGCACATCATTTCACATGGCAGCAGAATGCCTGGTATGTTAACAAAGGCTCCTGAAAGGCTTAGCAGTTTATGAATGTCTTTTTAGCTTAACTGGACTTACCTTATCTAAATACAATGGTATTTACTAGCATTGTCTCTCTCTCTCTCTCACAAATACTAGTGTGTAATCATAATCACTTTTAATTTTTTTCTAGTTTTAGGGATATGATATTCTTGGGATTTAACCAAAATACTTTTTTTGAAAATGAATTTCCTTTCATATTTAATTAGCATTTTATTTACAAGTTAAAAGTTAGTTGTATTAGCAAAACATCAGGCTGCAATTATAATTTTAATAAATTGTTATTTTAATAATGATGTTAATAAATCATCAAAAGTGCTATTTTAATAAAACATTAAATTATTTTAGTAATAATTTTAATAAAACATTAAATTATTTTAATAATTTTAATAAAACATTAAAATTATTATTTTAATAATAATTTTAATTTCAGAGACAGGATCTTGCTCTGTCATCCAGGCTGGAGTGCAGTAGTGCAATTGTGGCTTACTGCAACCTGGAATTCCTGGGCTCAGGGGATCCTCCTACCCCAGCCTCTTGAACCGCTAGTACTACAGGCACACACCACCATACCCAGCTAAGTTTTTTATTTTTATTTTTTGTAGAGTCGGGGTCTCATTACATAGCCCAGGCTGGTCTCGAACTCCTGGCCTCAAGTGATCCTTCCACCTCGGCTTCCCAAAGTGCTGGGATGACAGGTATGAGCCACTGCATCTGGCCTCAGGCTGGAATTCCTCTGATACAGGTTATGTTTTTGTTAAATATCTTTTGTTTTGTTTCTCTATCCTAATGTGCATAATACTCATGAAGCTTACTAGGGTTGGAGTGGGAGGACTAGATCTTTAAACGTGTTCACTGTCACCCATTAAACACAGAGAGCAAAAGCGGAACCTATGGCATAGAATCCTTGAATGGAGGTGGAATCACACATGAAGGAAAGCAAGCTCACTAAATGTTTATAGTGAACCCAGGGTAGAAGGGATGGGATTAGCTATATTTCTTATGTACTAGACCTAAAATCTCTGAATGTTTAAATTAATATGATTAGTTCAATTCTGAGATCTCACATATTATAACCAAGTCCAGTGATAATAAACAACAGTGTGAGCCCAATGATACAATTCCAGCTGCTAGCTTTGAATTAGACCAGATAAGTTAGTACTCCCCTCAACTCTAAATTGCTTTTTCTGAATTTGATGTTTCTAAGATTGGCTAATTAAAACTACTTGGGAGTATGTTTTTGATTGGATATGTTTTTCTAACAGCTGACAGGACTTAAGTTTTTCTTACTGATATTATCTTCTGAATTGTAGAATTCTACTGAGAAGTAATCCCATGGGGAGAATCTTTTCTGTAGTATGGCTAGAACACTTCCTTGGTGGCAATTCTCCAACTCTATGATGCAATTTTTGTTAATTCTACTGATAGTTCATTCTAAGCCAGAGAGGTAATGGAGTAAAACTGAATGGCTCATATGCATTTTATTATGCAATAAAAGCCTAATCTTGAGGTTAAAAGGAAGCAATTAAAGAGGGAACAGATATACAAAGAGTCATTCTAATCACCAGACACCTCCACATCCAGAGCAGGTCTAACTAGGCACCTGTCCACTCTCAAGTCTCAAACCATGAACCAACCCTATGAATTCAGTGAAGGTCTGGGAGAATTAGGAGTAGTAGAAAGGGCAAGGTGGTTTTGTTTTTCCCTTTTACCCAAGGTTCGCTGAGGGCCTTTATGGTACATACCACCCCCAAAGCATGCTTCTTCTTCCATTCAACTCCTCTGCTCCACTTTGACTCACCATGTGAACTGGATGACAGATGAGCATTTTAAATAAGCCATTTTCCCCATTCAAAGTGATATGCAAATAGAGCAGTGGGAAAAAAAGAACTATCTAACAAAACTATAACTTCTACAACAGAATTCCACCCCAGCATTTTACTGATATTATTAATATTTACCTTGTATAGGAAATTTTAAGTATGTGATGTGATTTGAGGATTTTTCTCCTCACATTTGCTAAACCCCCAGCATACCATAAAAATTAAAAACTAAAATTAAAAGTTAAAAAAATTAAAAACCATTCTGATTCTATATTTTATTTTAAAAAACCCTGAAAATGTTTATCAATTCCACTGTATTTAGGAATAGTAAGTCTAGCTAGACTAAAATGATGTTCAAATAGAGTTTAGTCTTTCAGTAGCCTTTGTTAGCATCCCAGGCATTCTGCTGCCATGTAAAATGACGTGCTAGTCTTGAACCAAGAATCTCCCTTTTTCTTCAGGCTGAAATATATAATGAACTGGGGCTGACATAAATAATGATCTTTGTCCTTTCAGTTTGCTTCCCTGTGTTTGGTACTCTTATGCACCATTTACTCTAGTTGGGAGAACCTGTTCCACAGTACACTGAGAAAAATGGTATAAAATCTTACAGGAGACCTTCAAACCACAGTGAATAACACCTTTTCCCCCATTTTCTTTCTTTATCACTTTCATCAATACTGGACTGACATAAAGGAATCCTTGAAAAATCATCTTTAAAATATTCTATTTGCCAAAAGGATATATCAAACTGTCACATTTAAGAGACACCTTTACTGCACTTCCCCCTTACTATTAGGGAATCAACAGAATATTTTAGGATATGATTATGCTCCTTCTTGGCATTCTTTCTGTTTGAAGGTCAACACTGACACCCCCCACCCCTACCACCAGTCCCCTCAAGTCCTATCCATCTTCAAAGCCTGATTCAAATGCTATTGCTCCCAATATCTCTAACTCGGTGGCGCTTAACCAAGGGCAATTTTTGTCCCCAGGGGGCATTTGGCAATTTCTGGAGATATTCTTGTCATAATGGGGGATGAGGAAGATGCTACTGTCATCTAGTGGGTAAAAGCTAGGGATGCTGTTAAACATCTGACAATGCACAGGACAGCCCCAAACAGCAAAGATCCCAGAATGTTAAGAAACTCTGTTCCAGTTGGTTGTGGTCTCTCCTTTCCCTGAACTCCCACAGGACAGTGATTTACTTCTTTTATAGTACTATGAGATTATTAACAAAACATCAATCCTTCTCAACAAAAATATACCCAAACAGTGAACTGCCAATAATTTATACCAGCACAGAAGAGCTATGATATAGTGAATGAAACCAGAACAGGGTGACAATGCTGACCCGGGTTTCCATTATACTGCTGCCATACAGCAAAAGAAGTCCCTTCAAAGCACTTGATCATACGCTCCTCAGATCAGTAAAGAAATCAGGATGATGGCAGCGTATAAGGAATCTGGTTATGCTTCCAAACTTACACTAAAGTTACTGCCAATGGGAGGGTAAAAGGTGAGGAAACAATCCTGGGAGCCACGCAGATAAACAGGTGTTAGGCACGAGGCCTGTGACCCAAATTGAAAGATGTTAAGACATAAATGTGAGGAATTATCAGAAGCAATTCTTAGAGCATTAATAAATTTTCCCTCTCAGTTAAAAACAACCAATTAACAACAATAACAGTGTTTCTGATTTACATCCTATTATTTCTAACTTGGACAAGGTACTCTTCTAAATATTAGCGACAAACATTTCTCAAATCAACTTTACCTGTCAAAGTTTGATATTCAATTTAGATCTGGGTCTGACAGATTTCAAAGCTCCATGACTCAAGCTATAGGATTCAAAATCCACCATCTATTTTCTTCTCTTCTTAGGTAAATGGTGAGCAAGGACAACCACAAATTTTACTAGCCTCAGATTAGAGATTCCCATATATGGGAATCAGTTCAATTTTATTTGATGTCAGAAAAAAAAAAAACCTGCATATAGTGCACTTTGTTCTAAAAGATCTTGGTCAGGGAGTTCCCCTTAATATTTTTAGAAATTCAGTTTATTGGATATTTTATTTCAAGGCTAATATCTTCATTTATATATTCTGCTTACAAAAACAAACAAAAACCTACACAGAGAACTTGACCCACTACTATAAAAATGAATATAGGTATTAATAATTTCCATTTTTAGTATGTTAATTAACAAAAAATACAAATATAGTTGGCTTGAGATACTAAAAAAAATCTATGTACTCATTCCTGTAGGTAACTAAATAGGTTAAAAATAATTCAGATCACAAAAAGTTACCAAATGAAATAAACTCAGAAATGATTCAGAAGAAGAGGTTCAAAAATAGCTTTAGAAATTATTCACCTGCCAATTTGGCTGAGAGAGCTGGCTCTCTACATGTATGAGACCAATTTTATTCAGTTAACCTCCTATAGCTGTCTACACTAATGATGGAAGGAAAACTGGGAACATTTCGTGGGAGTTGGTTAATTTTTAAAAAGATGATAAAACTAACACAAAATGTGTATAGACACTTACGTTATCTGCCCAGTAAGTGTCAGGTAGAAAAATAGAGCAAAACAGTAAAGACACAATCACCACACAGAACTTGTTCAATTGTGAAGCTGGCTTACAATTTAAGGAGAGAGATTACAGCAGCAAGAATATGGGACTTGATCCATAAGCCTCTCCCCTCCTCAAAAGACTATACTGCAAGTACAATGCTATCAACCAAACACAAGCTGGACTATGGTCTGAAAAGTGACTTTATAAAATAATAGATGTAGCTAGACATAAGAAAATAAATGAGTTTTCATCATATTCTGGTATGCTAAAGGCTGATGAGTGAAAGCATTTTAAATAAAGCATTGTTGTCATCCTTCATTTTCAAAGATGACACTATCTGACAGGAGACCTTGTCTGAAAAGATAAATTAGGGACCGTTAGTCTTTTCTCCGGGGAGCATACACAAAGCCAGACCCTTGATTAGGAATCATTGCTCCAATCTGAAATGCCTGTTGCCATTTGCAACACTGCCTCCTAGACTCGAGGTCAGCCTTGGCTCAGGAAGATCAATTTCATTCCTGATACTGTCAGGCTAGTCTGGCATTTGCTGCGGTTTCTCAGTCATTCACAATATTGGTTGTTTTATCTTATTATCTAAGTGTTACTGTCTAAGTGAGACTATTTGCTCAATTACAATCTAGACTAAAAGATCATGGCATAAATAATCTTGTTTTAAATGCTTCGTAAGTTTTACATAATCTTACTTTTAAAAAAGTATGAGTTTTAAAAAAAAACTCATTCATTAAAAAAAACTTGTAAGTTATCATTTAACTCAGTGAAAGGCCTGAAGGTTTGTTACTGTTCCTATTAATCTCATAATTTATTAAATTGAATAAATTTTTTTATGCATGAAACTGTTCCTTCTAACACATCACAGATAATTCAACTAGATTATCTTTTGGACCGTATATTTATAATGAAGTCAGGGTACACTGTGGCACTATAATTTGTTATTATCAGAGGTCACTTAAGTCCCTCAAGTGTTAGGTACAGATGAATTTGCTTAAATAATTGTACTGTTAATCAAGCACTTGGTGATTAGTAAATTGGTGATTTTAATTGCAGCAATTTGCTTGCTCAGGACATAAAAACATAAAAGTACAGAAAATACCACAAAACTTCTGAAATTATTACTCAGTGCTCTCCTGTGCATTCTGGATGCTAAATCAGAAGAACAGGGAAAAAGTGTATTATGGTTTAACTCAACCCAAAGAAATATTACCAATAAAGCAGAGAAGGAAGAACAATAACTCACTTAAAATCCTGGTGATGGGAATATAAGCAATTTCTTATCTCCGCTTTGCTTATCTGCATTTAAAAAAATTTTCTTCATTGAATGTTGACTATTTTGTGTGATGGAAAATGTTATTTTAAAAATAAAGAAATTTAAGGCAGTGCCATATGTATTAACACTAACCAGCTTTTTGTTTTACTTGATCAAAAAACAAAACACTACCTGATTCATACAGTTCCATCAAAAACTAACCTGCTCGGTATGGCCATGATTGAGGTTATCTTCTTTACTGGACGACACAAGTTGTACAACACTGATCTTGCTTCTCCGGCAGGGATGAATAGTTCATTTGCCTGACGATCTCAGCAAAAAGTTCATCCACCATTGATTTACTTTTTGCCGATGTCTCCATGAAAGGACAGCCCCATTCTTGAGCCAGAGCTCTGCCTTCTGAAGACATAACCTCTCTTTCTGGTTCCAGATCCACTTTATTTCCTACTAGGATTAGTGGGACTTTTTCATATCTCTTCACTCTGACAATTTGATCTCTCATTGGCTTGATATCCTATTCAAGCAATCACAAAGAGAAAGAAAAACATTATGCTGTTTGTATAACCATAACAGAAATATTACAGTATTACAAAAAGTCATACCTCAGTGAGTATACAAAGCTGAATCCAAAATGAAATCACACCTAAACAGAGAAATCGTCATCATTTTGTCCACTGAAGTAAGAACTAGATAATTTCCAGAGACCCTACCTGCTGGGTTTGTCAAGAATATAAAACATGGGTTGCACACTAACCTTGACTCATATAATCACTTTTACCCACCCCCAGTCTATACTGATTAAAAAAGCAAGTTTCCAAATGATTAATCCATTCGTACATAAGGATGTTTGGCCATCTCCCTAAACCTGCCTGCTTGTCATCACTCCTTGTAACACCTGTTATCCTAGCACAGGATTGCAGCATCTATGCATTCCTAGCCATGTAGCAAGAGGGCTTGAGTGAAAGTGTTTTAAGTGGGAAAAAAAACCACTTTGTAATGCCTAGAATAAAAGAGTTACAACCAGATGGATACACTTAAATGTTTTATTTTAAATTGAATGGTATGCATTTATTCCAGTAAAATCAAACACCTTACAATACACTTAAATTCACTAGAAACTACTGTAACAGTGAGCAACTCCTGGGAAGGACAGTGCAAGGGGAGTCTGGGTGGGAAGAAGTCATTTTTTTTTTTTTTGCCTGTGTTTGTTTTTACTACTTGTTTCCCCATGCGTATTACTTTTTCCAAGTAGTTACAACGAATTACAAAAGATAAGAGCGTTAGCAATTCTCCAGTAGCATCAGTTTTGGGAGGTGGGGGCAAGTATTGATTTAATACAATATTATAGACTTAATTATAAAAATCACCATTTTCGGTAATATTTCATAATTTTAAAAGTTTGCCTTAAATAGAAAATGTATGCTTAATTGGAAGTCATAGTAAGTACAGAATATTCACATGTGGGCCTACGGAAAAGCAAGGGACTATGAAAATCTATAAAAATATAGTTATTTGATATTTGCATCAATTTGGTTTGATAATATATCAACTCAGATTTCTAGGTTACGCTTATTTCCCATTGTCTTTATGGAAACATAAGTTCAGCTGAAAATCCAAACTTAGGGCATTTGGGCTCAAAAGAGTTTACACCTCCACTGAAATAACGGCACAGTTTTTCACTCCCAATTCATGTCTATAACACAAATGGATATAACAGAAATCTTATGAAACACCCTTCAAAAGACTCTCAGCCTCCAGAGAGTAAGCTGATAGAATAACAAATCTCCTGAGGATCCTTTAGGGAAAAAATGCCTGTCAAACAGCACCTTCAGTACTTTGGTACTTTCTGGGGGAAAATGCTTTTATGATACTATTGTTTGGGAATTTATGCCTACATAAAATGAATTTAGTTTGGTCTCAATAGCTTTGATTTATTTCCCCAGAATTTATCATCTTAAAAAAAAAAAATCCCTGAAGTTGTTCTATCAGGTTACTGGGAAAGTTCACTATAGTACTTTAATTTAAAATACTAAAGAAAGTGGAATTAGCACATTGTATTGGCTAAAGCACTTAAGGTCTCTTAAGTAAGCTACATTAAGTGCATACCTTTAAATGCAGAAAAAATATATCCATTTCCTAAATCAATGGAGGTCAATATAATGGGTCAATATGAGGTTATTCATTTTCAAGGGATAAATAGAAACATACATTGCATATCCTAAAATAACGTTAAACCTTCAGTCTGTTTCCCAGTGAAGGACAGGACAGATTTTCTAAGAGATTGGACCACATCCAGTTTGGCCACCCAGCCGGAGTAAGAAATCTGCACTTGTTCAGTGTTCCCAGACCCACGTATTTTCTGTAAATACAGGCAATGTTACCAGAAACAATTTGGATCAACTGCAGAAAAAGAGTCATTCCTGATTTTTGTTGGTTATTAATTCTAGGTACTAGTCTTTTCTATTAGTAACTTTTCTTCCTACTACACGCCCCAAGTAATTAAGTAAAATGCCTAGAAGGCAGGTCTTGAGTTCTTCGTCTTGCAACACTAAGATTTATGAATCTAGTTGAGAAACTTGAGAGAGAAGGGGAGGGCGGCGGGAGGGGGTGTTGGGGGGTGGGAGGGGAAGGTGTGGGTGGGACAGACACAGAGGACTTATCTGTGCAACAGATAATCGGCTCCAAATAATTTTTTCAAAGTGCTCTATTTACCCGAGATTATTTGTTAGATGTTTTGTCGTGTAAGTTAATCAATACTTGTTGAATTGAGCAAGCAACTTCAGAAGGTTATATTCCAGGCGAAATATACACAGACTGACATTTCTTTTTCACTTTTCTTTCACTTAAAAATAGCTTTAAAATATTTGTTGACGCTTGTTACTTTTTACTACGCTCTATAGAAACAACCCGATAGTCTTCCATGGCAGGAGTAACCTCAAAAATGCGTCATGTCTAACTTTCAAAAGCAAAGCACAGTCATTAATGCACGGTTCAAGCAACCCAGAAGTCGATGTCGGATTACCACACCCCCTTCTAACAAATTACAAGACTTGGTTTGGTTACCTGAAAAGACTGTTGATTAACCAGGCTATAAACCAGGATGAAACCTTGGCCGTTTTTGATGTAGAGATCTCTCATGGAGGCAAACTGCTCAGTTCCTGCGGTGTCCAGAATTTCCAGCACGGAGGGGGAAGAGTCCACTTCGATCTCTTTGCGGTAGAAATCTTCAATGGTGGGGTCATATTTCTCAATGAAAGTCCCAGTGACAAACTGCACAGTAAGGGCAGATTTGCCAACCCCTCCACTCCCTAACACCACTACCTTGTATTCCCTCATGAGTCTCACCTTCACCAACTCCTACCAGAGGGGGGGAAAGATCACCCCGCTAGCTGTGGCGCGGCTAGACGAGGCGGAAGGTGGGCGGAAATCTGCGAACTGGGGAGGAGAGTGCAGAGGAGCAGAGGGCCCAACCGGGGAAGAAGAGGAAGTTACAGGAGGGGGAGGGGAAAGAGCGTAGAGTCGGGGAGGGTGGGGAAGGGATGGTAATGCCCTTCCTATAGGAACTGCAGCCCGAGCAGGGGGCGTGGGGAGGAGGGCGAGCCTGGGAAAAGCCCGGCGAGGGTGGCGAGGAGGCGCGTGCCCCCGGGAGGGAAAGGGTGGGGGCTGCGGCGAGGGGACCCTGCGGCGAGGCGGACGTCGGAGGAGCCCGCAGCCCGGGGCTGCCCGGCACTCCTCCCCCGCCCTTCACACAAAGGGGCCCAGGGACCCCGCTTCCTGCTCGCGCAGCCCAGCCGGCTCAGGCCTGAGGGCTCCGTTCCAGTTACCGCTGCCCGGGCGGGTTTCTGGGCCCCGGCTCCCGCGGGGGTCGTCCGGCCTGTGAAGGGGAGAAGGACGCACATTACCCGGCTGACCCCCGCCCCGAACCTGCGGCGCCGGCCGCCGCCTCCCCCAACTCCCACCCGGATCAAGCTACTGCCGCTTACCCCGCCGTCCGCACCCGCCCGGCCGCCGGGGAGGCTCTGTCACGCCAAGGCCATGGCCACCCGCTGGCTCCTCTGTCTCTCCGCTGCCCCAGCGCTGCTGCTCGCCGCGGGGAAAGAAGCGGGGGCCTTCCGCGGCGGCCGCAGGGACTCCAGGCGAACCCACCTCTTTTTTTTCTCACCCACCCCCCACCCCCACCCCCACCCCCACCCCCACCCCCACCAAGCACACACCCGGAAGGGTTTCCCTGACACACTGGCTGAGGTGCCCCAGTTCCCCGAGACTGGACGGGATCACTTCCGGTGGGGAAAGTCCCACCTCTTCGGGGCGAGCCGGGTGGCGCTGGAGCCGCGCCCTGCTGAGCGAGCGAGCCGGCCGGGGACGGTTTCGGGTCGGGACTCCGGCTTCGGGAACGGGCCTCTGGAAACCTGCGACGTCAGTCCTTACCCGCCCGCGGCTGCCGCGGACCGTCCCACCCCCAAACCCGTAGAAGCCCCTCCGACCTGCAACCTCCAGCCGCCCGGCCCTAGGACTTGAGCGGCTCCCTGGCCGGTGCGGAACCTGCGGGCTAATAATCTAGCGACCGGGAGAACGCCAAACATCCCTGGACTAGAAGTTGCAGGGGAAATCAAACAGCCCAGAAAGTTTATTCTCCTTGCTGGTATTTCTTCCACTTGCTATTTTGCTGAGAGATGCATGCAAACTACCCTTAGACTTTCAGATGCAGTGCGTTTTACTTAGCCGTGCCTGACAAACACACAGAACTTTTACCGTCTGGTAGATCCGCCTTGACTTTACCAGCGAATACTAAAGTCACTTAAAAAAAAATCACAAGGCTCGAAAACAGCAGCATTAGAAGTAGACTTTATGGTACTCTGCTCAGCTATGTTCTCATTTGATTCCAACCACTACACGGCAGAAAAGGTAACCAATATTCAAGAAAGATTTGATTGGAAACGGTTTAGGCCTAAAGACTAATTTATTTTAATCGTTGATTATGTATAACAATTTGCTTGGCTGGCTCTTACATGCTGAAGTTTTGTTTTAAAGGCCATCCTATGTAGTCTTTGAAATTCAAAAGCAAGTAGTAACTCTGGTGTTAGATTCTAAGTTTCTATTTTTAGATAAAATTGTTACTTCCGACTATCTTTCCCTTTGCTAGCTTTCTATTTGTAAACTTTGTGTCGGATCCACAGAGCCCCAGGGCCAGGAGTCTAGGCTGTATTTTAGGTGTGTCACTTTCTTTTCAATTCAAGCATGTACCCAGAAACCTGCGAGACTCAGTGGCCAGCCTAGCAAAAATGACTCCAAATTCCCTTACTTACAAGCCCTAAATGGCCAAACTCTATAAAGAGATTTATTACTCAGCCTAAATTGTTGGACATTAGAACACAGGCGAATCATAGTAGTGTGAGGTCCCACTGTCCCTCCCTGAGTATTCCCCAATGTCACTTACAGTCTTCAAAGGAGAGTTTAGTTCAATTTCTCCTTGACCTCAGGCCGGTGCCATCTCTCCAGCGAAGTCCCCAGCTCTGGCTCCAGCTGGCCTGGGCCCTGTGTCGTATCAGAGGCACTGCCCTCTGCTGGAAGGGGTTTGGTCTGTGAGTTATGAGTTTCCCCACAGGTCACTGCTCCTTTCACACGTGCTGTTGCCTGATTTGGAGCTCTGCTGCTCATCTCCCTGCCTAGCTGTCTCCAGACTGTCTGGTGGGATTCACAGCCCTCCACCAGCCGTGCTTGTAACTGAGTCTGGAAATTCCTCTTCTGATCCAGCCAGTGTTGAGCAATCGTGGCAAGTCTTTGCTCTATTACTAAACTGTCAAAGCAAGGAGTTCTTTTTCAGGTCATCCCACCTGTTGGCAATTCTAATATCTCTGAATGTGTTGGTCATGCTTAGGAGAGAGTTCTTTGTTTCTCCACGCAGTGAAACATACTCCTCCCCTCAGTACAGCGTCCTGTGGGGTCACTCTCGTCAACTACAGTGGACAAATATTACACTCAGTCTAAAGATCCTTCTAAACTTTCTTAGGAAGGGTATTCATTACAGCATTGATTAGGAAATCAAACAATTGGAAGAAGCTTAAATGTCCTTCAGTAGGTGATTTTTAAAAGTTTCATAGCTCTCTATATCTATTATCTATCATCTATCTATCTATCTACCAACCTACCTACCTACCTATCTGTATTCACAGAATAGGATATTATGCAGCTACTTTAAAAGAGAAAAGCAGATTTGTAAGTGTTTATATAAAAAGATGGCCAAGATATATTGTAGGGCTGAAAAAGCAAGATACTGAACAAATGTCTAGTTGCTACTGTTTATGTAAAACGCAGGTGTGTAATAGTTACATAGCCATTCAAATCTGAAACAAAGTAATTATGGGTGAGGACTATTATGAAATGGCTTTTATTTCTCCATATTTTAATTTATAAACAATAATTGGGAAAAAGGAAGTAAATATAACTTTATAATATTTTTAAAGGAGGAACAAAAGAAAGTTGTTGATCTTGGTTTTGTAAAAAAAAAAAAAAAAAATCCTGACTGTCTAGGGGTCAGTGGACAGGTCCGCCCAATTTAAACAAATTCCCTACCCTTGCTTGCCCTCCCCAAACATCTCTATACTTAGAAAAGTATTTTCACATACATTATCTCATTAGACTCCTGTTGTTTGCTAGTGTACTCTCATTAAGCAATGAGGGTATAAAGAGCAAGCAGAAGAGTGCGGCCTGGCAGTTGAGAGCTAAGGCTCTGAAATGAGACAGAGGTGCATTAAAATTGCAGCTCCGCCACATTCTAGCTCTGTGTCCCCAAGCAAGTGATTTCACTTGTCTGAGCCTCTAACTCCTCACTTGTAAAAAGGAGATAAGAAGTTAACGTGAAAATGTAATGAGGTATTACAGGTAAAGTGCTTAGCACAGTCCCTTGCACATTATAAAGCCTCAATAAATGCTATTTGGTTTTTATTTAAAAGATTTAATGAATTGTTAATTTTTAAAAAATAGCAAACATGGGGGTAACAAAATTTTAAAAGCTCAAATATCTGCAAGTGGCACGAAAATAATAATTCAGTTACTCTTCACAAAGATATTTATTGTTAAAAGCTTCTTATGTTTTTCAGGGGGGAACATTATTCATATGTCAGTGTATCAATCTACCTTCTATATATATTTTTAAAAATTACTGTACTACAAAAGTAATCAACTGTACACACTATTTTTTACCTTGCTTTTTAAACTTTAATTAATTAATTTTTTTAAGACAGTGTCTCCCTCTGTTACCCAAGCTGGAGGGCAGTAGCATGATCATAGCTCACTGCAGCCTCAACCTCCTGGACTCAAGGGATCCTCCCACCTCAGCCTCCCGAGTAGCTAGGACTACAGGTACATGCCACCACACACAGCTAATTTAATTTAATTTAATTTTTTTGGTAGAGATGGAGTCTTACTATGTTGCCCATGGTGGTCTCCAACTCCTGAGCTCAAGGGATCCTCCCGACTTGGCCTCCCAAAGTGCTGGGATTAAAGGCATGAGCCACCATGTCTGGCCTTCTTAATTTTTATTTCATGGCTGTATCATAAGCTAATTAGCCAGCTCCCCTTTGAAGGACACTGATTGCTTCTAGGTTTTTGCACTAAACGCCTTGGACATATATCATTGTCAGTTAATGTTTAGGGTGAATTTCTAGTAATTCAATAATTGAAACAAAAGGCACTTGCACTTAAAATTCTTCTGGTAAGTATTGCCAAATTGTCCTTCAGAAAGGTCACACCAATTCACATTCCCACCAATGCAGTATGACCGTATCATTTTATAACCTCACAGTAGGTATTACTAATTTTAGCATTTTATAGTGATTGTTACTTGCTTTAGGGTATTTTCAGGACTAACAAATGCAGGGCAGCGTTTTAGAAGGAATTTGGACTTCAGAGCCAGACAGTCCTAACACTGCCCTTTTGCAAGCTACACCTCCATTCCTTCATTTGTAAAGTTGGGCATAATAGCAGTATCTAACTCATAGAATAATAAATGAGAAATCCATTCAAAGCATTTAGCCTTCCAAATATTAATTGCTCAATAAATAGAAACTGCTCAAGTAATAATTTTCTACTCCAAAGGCTTGAATATGGGAAGAGGGGAATGGGAGGACTTCTCTAGAGATCATGCCCTTGAGATTCACAACTTTTGCTTTAATTCTGCATCAACCTCCTTTCCAAAGTATTGCTCAGGCATTATTTTAAAGAACACAACCCATTTTTACCATAGTGTGAAGAAACCACAGTGTATGCACTATATGCAGATAATATAAGTAATAGGGCCATAATCTCATTTTTTGAAATTAGTTTGGCACAAGTTTAAAGTGCTGGATGTTTGCTACAGGCACCAGTTGCTTACTTATCCCTTTCTTCTTTTCGAGTTGTTACCTCCTTCAGTTGCAATCCTTGGAGCCACCAACTGCCTGGGATATTTTACCCTAACTTCCACTCTCCAAATGAGCCGTCTTGCCTTCTAGGTCCTGGGAAAAAACCCATGGCTATCCATCTACTTTCTATACATGGCTATCTATTTTCCATCCAGGCTCTTCCCTTCTCTTTTGCTAGAAGTTGCTCTTGAATTACCAGAAAGCTTGAGCCAGTAATGTCCTCAGTCTTTGCCTACAGAAATCTTATTTCAATGCTTTAGGGACCCCATTGATATCAGCTAAATTGTCCTGGATTCTTTCTAGCTCCTACCCTCTAAGATTCCAATCTTCTCTTTCAAATCCTGCCTCCAGCTACACCAATCATTAGTTAATCATTAGTTCTGCATGTCAGGCTCCCCCAGTACACAAAACCAATTTTATACCTTTATTATTATCTTTTTTCTCATGAAAATAATGTTATTTGCAAAAAATTATAAAAGTATAATCCCACTACCTGGAGAAAATTGCTATTAACATTTTAGTGTCTTTCACAATTTTTTTTCTGGAGAGAGTTAAAGAACATTTTTTTTTTGTAAACTAATAATGGGTTCATATAAATTTGTGAATGGCTTCTTTCACTTACTGAAACATCATGTCTGCATAAAGCACTAAAAAATACTCATGTATCCCTCATCCCCTACATGAGTAAGCCTTTTTTCCTATAGCTTTAGCTTTCCTACAGCATCAATGAGAATTTAATCACATTCAATTTTGCTCACCTGGAATCCTTCATCCAATCAATGAGATTTCACTAGAGGTGCTGCTGACCACAGAGGACACTACCCCAACCTGGCCAGGCAGACACTCCTACAAAGTCACAAATTTGTGCGACTGCTGACAAAGTTAGTTTCTCAGAACTGAGAGGCGTACTAAATAGGGATGTGTTTAAAATAGATCTGAATTCCTTAACAATTTTTCCCTCTCCACTTCATCCTTGATTTGAAAGATAGTAGTTAGAAAATTATTTTGTAATCTATCAAGTACCAAATAAATTTAAAGAATTAGTACTAATAATAACTATACTCCCATACTCCTAATATATGTACATCAGAATCACCTGGAGGTGATGTGAACCACAGACGGCCAGGTCTCAACCCCAGAGTTTTTTATTCAGTAGGTCTGGGTCAGGATCTATAATTTGCATATCTAAGTTCCCAGATGACACTGTTGCTGCTGGCCCAGGGACCACATTTTAAGCACCACTGTTCTGTAAAGCGGTAGGACATTATTTGGGGCTTTCTTGCTTGATACTCATTAATGTATCCACTCATTCATTTATCACACAGTTATTGAATTCCTACTCTGTGCCAAGCACTTTACTAGCATTTTTGAGGAATATAGACAATACAATCAACATTACAGTATAGCGTGGCACATCCTGTGATACAGATATCGGCCAGGGTGTTATGGGAGACTTAGGAAGGGTATCAGGGAAGATTTCCTAGAGAAGGTGATTGGGCAGTAGGCAAGGAGGCCAGAAGAATCGGTAGGGGCTAGAACCATAGGGGAAAGCCTTGAGTAGTAAGCTAAGGGGTTTGACTTTTCCCCTGGAGGCTGTAGGAAGCCATGGAATGTGTTTTTACAAAGGTCTTAATTGCGGTATACAAAATCAGGGGCTAGCGACATCCATGCCAGGTTCAACCATTGGCTGTGCTGCATATGTAGCCTGAGGCAAGTTACTTCTTACCTTCTCTGAGCTTCTCTTTCATCATGTGTGAAGGGAAAATATTAATAGATCTACCTTATTTGGGTATTGTGAAGATTAAGTAAGAAAAAGTGCCTAAGTACCCATCATATGGTAGGTGTTTAACAAATGGTGATTATGATCAGGTTTAAGCCATAGAAAGAAATGACATGTAAGACATGCTTCTCAGGTTATTAAAATCCATTTGAAATTGCCAAGCTAGTCTCAATATCAAGGCCATATTTGATGTGAAGATTAAGTAAGAAAAAGTGCCTAAGTACCCACCATACGGTAGGTGTTTAACAAATGGTGTTTATGATCAGGTTTAAACCATAGAAAGAAATGACGTGTAAGACAGGCTTCTCAGATTATTAAAATCCATTTGAAATTGCCAAGCTAGTCTCAATATCAAGGCCATATTTGATGTGGTGGCAAGTCGGATGATTTAATCATGTAATGATAATAGTTTATCTTGTCTTTTGTTTTGTTTTGTTTTGGAGACAGAGTTGCTCTGTCATCCAGGCTGGAGTGCAGTGGTGCGATCTCAGCTCACTGCAACCTCCGCCTCCTGGGTTCAAGCGATTCTCCTGCCTCAGCTTCCCCAGTAGCTGGGGCTACAGGTGCATGCCAGAATCCCTGGTAATTTGTTGTTGTTGTTGTATTTTTTAGTAGAGATGGGGTTTCACCATATTGCCCAGGCTGGCCTCGAACTTCTGCGCTCAGGCAATCTACTTGCCTCAGCCTCCCAAAGTGCTAGGATTACAGGCTTGAGCCACCACACCCAGCCTGATGATAATTTCTTGATTACAGATTATTTGCGAGGCACTGTGCAAAGTGATTTATGCACATCATTTCATTTAATCCTAGCAATAACCTTAAGAGTTAGGTATTATTATTCCCAATTTTACAAACAAAGGAATTAAGGCTCAAAGAAGTTAGTTTGTACATAGTCGAACAGTTGGGTAGTGGTAGAGTTTGAATTCAAACCTAAGTTAGTCTGAGCCTATCTTATATTAGCCACCTTGTTCCACAGAAAGCAGTTTTGTTTCTTTGAAGGACAGGGCAGCGAATGGGCAGTGAGGCAAGGTTAAAGAATCTAGACTTTATTACCCTGTTTCTCTGCCCTCGAGTAAGACTGACTGTTCATACTGATTTCAAGTGCCCTCTGGAAACATGCCTCTATAACCTCCCAGGGGCCCCTTGACCTTGGATCTGTGGCACCTGGTACTGAACCTGAGGTGGTCATAGTTACTTTCCAAAGTGCTCTGGAACATTTACAACAAGGAGCCCCCTTGTTTTGACACTAGGACAATATTAGACTCTGTAAGAGGAGGCATTGGGGTAAGCCTAGTTATTTTTAATGCTGCTATTACTACTATTGTTTATTGAGCACTTGCCACATGTCAGAAATTCTGTACTTCAATCCTTACAGCAACCCTATAAGGCAAGCACATTGTCATCATCATCTCTAGTTTAGAGATGAGGAAACTGAGGCTCACACAACTAAGTTCACACAGCCGGTAGATGCAGATTCAAGCAGAAAACTCGTTCATTCATTTTTACAAACCTTGCATTTTCATTTCTTCCTTTGCCTCTGTACCTATAACACCTTCAAACACAGATGTAATCCTCCTGAATTCTTTTACTGCCCACAAGTTTTATTTACCACATAGTTTAAGCCCTATTTTTAATGATGTATATACAAATCGTGTTTCTCCTCAAAATTATTTCATGCCATAAAAAGTCACTCTTCCCTCCCTTTATTTACAAATTCATTCCTCTTTAGAAATGAGCACTTATAATAATTACATGCAAGGCCAAATTTTTACTGTTTAGTGTAAACCCATAATGTGAAATTGAGAATGGTTGAAAAGCACGGTTATGAAAACATCGTGGACTCCAGACTCATCCCATACAATTTCCAAGGGGAATTTATTCTAAGTACTTTAAAACTTACAAAGAGTTGAATTCTGAACTACTTGGGCCTCTATGCACTCTTAGCAATTCCCCCAGCAGGGAACCAAAAATGAGAATAGAAAGAAATTGCCTCAACATTGAATTCTTAGACATTTAGAAGGCCTGGAGTCTGAATACTTTAAAAGGCTGTTATTTAAATGTGGGAAATGATGTGAAAAGTATAATGTAAAGATAAGATAAATATTGTTTGCTAAAATAAATCATCGGGTTTTTTTTTGTCAAATTCATGGCAATTTTAAAATCCTGTTAATTCTATTTATTTTTTTCTTATTTGGAGCAGGTAGCTGAATATGCAGAGTTCTGGCACTAGGTGTCAGCAAAAGATTAAACTAAAAACACCCACTTTGGGTTTTTTTCTTTTCTTTTTTCTTTCTACACATATATATTTGAGACAGGGTCTCACTCTGTCACCCAGGCTTTAGTGCGGTGGCATGATCATAGCTCACTGCAGCCTCGAACTCCCTGGGCTCAGGTGATCCTCCCAACTCAGCCTCCGGAGTAGCTGGGACTACAGCCATGTGCCACCATGCCCAGCTAATTTTTTGTATTTTTTTTTTTTTTTGTAGAAATGGGGTATTGCTATGTTGCCTGGGCTGGTCTCAAACTCCTTGGCTTAAGCAATCCTCCTGCCTTGGCCTCCCGAAGTGCTGGGATTACAGTCATGAGCCACCATGCCCGGCCTAATCTTCCATATATTTCAAACTTTATAAAAATAAAAATAAAATACATAGTCTGGATTTTAAAAAGAAGAGACAACACACTTCCTTGTTGCCATGACAACGTCAGCATGAGAGAGGCTGGGTTGCTGCTGCTCAAGTAGGCACCTTACAGAGATCCTCATGGCTCAAGGAATTCAATGTAAGACCGTTTGACCTTTAGCATTGAATGGCTGGGGACTCAATTTTGTGTCAGCTAGAAAGCTGGGGAATGAGAAGTTTGGAGGGTTGGATGGGGTGGTGAGGTACACTCCTGTAAACCAGATCTTAAAAGTCTAAATATTAAATTATTTTACATAGAAATGTAGTGTTCAAGCCAACCACAGTGCTTGTGCAGACAAATTCAGTGGATGCTTTTCCCACATGACAAGATTAACAAAATTAACTTAGAGGCTAGCTTTGAGAACCCAGGCTGATCCTAAGGGTTTCTCAAACTTACTATGTTAATTTTAGCATATCATAGGGTTTTTTTTTCCTTTTAATATCCAGAGCTTTCCCCCCTTCTTGTGATTCCTGTCACAGTAAATGGTGTTACCATCCAGCAGTCATTGAAAGTAGAACTTAGGGTATTGTTTTAGGTCATTCTTGTGTTGCTAGAAAGAAATACCTAAGGCTGGGTAATTTATAAAGAAGAGGTTTAACTGGGTCAAGGTTCTGCAGGCTGTACAGGATACATGGCATGTGCATCTGCTGGCTTCTAGGGAGGCCTTGGGGAGCTTTTACTTATGGTGGAAGGTCAAGCAGGAGCAGGCAGGTCACACGGGGAAAGCAGGAGCAAGAGGAAAAGAGCAGGAGGTGCCACACACTCTTACACAACCAGATCTTGCAACAACTGACTCACTATAGCAAGGACAGCACCAAGCCATGAAAGATCTGCCCCCATGATCCAATCACATTCCACCAGGCCCCACCTCCAACACTGGGGATTACGTTTCCACATGAGATTTGATGGGGACACAGATCCAAACCATATAAAATATCACTCTTAACTCTTCCTTTATCCTCATTTCCTATAACCAAACAACCCATTAAGTCCTGCCAAGTCTACCTCCTTAGTCTTTCTTACATCCGTCATATCCTATGTCTGCTCTAGTGTGTAGAGGGACTGGAGAAACATTTGTGTGACAACTCTTTCCTGAATGCTGTAATAGCCTCCTAAATCGTTTGTATGTCTCTGGTGTTTTCTGCATACTTTTACCAGTGTTATGAAACAAGTCTGTTTGAAACAAGTCTAACTACATATTTCTGCTGATTTCAACAACTCTCTATCAGAAAAAGCCCAAGTTTATACGCATGAAATATAAGGTCTTCTATATTCTTATTCCTGCCTACCTTCCAAGCACATCTCCCACCTTCACATCCTTTATGTTCTAGTACAAATAAAATCATCATGGTTTCAGTGAATTTGCACCCAGTCTTATGGCTTTAAATACCATCTTACATACTGCAGACTCCCAAATTTACATCTCCAGTTCAGACTGCTCCCATAGTTCTAGATCAGGGGTCCACGACCTCTGGGCCATGGGCCGGTACCGGTCTGTGGCCTGTTAGGAACTGGGTCACACAGCAGGAGGTGACTTGTGGGTGAGGAAGCATTACCGCCTGAGCTCTGCCTCCTATCAGATCAGCAGCGGCATTAGATTCTCATAGGAGCATGAACCCTATTGTGAACAGCGCATGCGAAGGATCTAGGTTGTATGCCCCTTATGAGAATCTAACTGCCTGATGATTTGACATGGAACAGTTTCATGCTGAAACCATCCCCTGCTGTCGCCCCCCACCTCCCCACCCTCTATGGAAAAAATTGTCTTCCACAAAACCAGTCCCTGGTGCCAAAAAGGTTGGGGACCGCTACTCTAGATTCATACTTATACTATAGTTCCATTTGTATTACTCAGACATCTCAGATTTAACATGTCCAATGCTGAATCTTGATAACCACCTCTCCTCAGAAATGAACACATGCCTCTCCTGCAGTCAGTCTTCCTTTCTTTCTCTTTCTTTTTCTTTCTTTCTCTCTCTTTCTTTCTTTCTCTCTCTCTTCCCTCCCTCCCTCCCTCCCTCCCTCCCTCCCTCCCTCCCTCCCTCCTTCCTTCCTTCCTTCCTTCCTCTCTCTCTCTCTCACTCTCTCTGTCTCTCAGACAAGATCTTGCTCTGTTGCCCAGGAAGGAGTACAATGGTGCAATCATGGCTTACTGTAGCCTTAACCTCCTGGGCTCAAGCAATCCTCCCACCTCTGCCTCCTGAATAGCTGGGACTACAGGCAAGCGTCACCATACCCGGCTAATTTGTGTATGTTTTGTAGAGATGAGGTCTCATTTTGTTGCCCAGACTGGTCTCGTACTCCTGGGCTCAAGCAGTCCTCCTGCTTGCACCTTCTGAAGTGTTGGGATTACAGGCATGAGCCACCATTCCCAGCCTCCCTTCTGCAGTCTTAAAAATCTCAGTAAATGGCAACTCCAGCTTCCAGTTGCACAGACTACACTCTTCCAGTCATCCTAGAGTCTTCTTTTCCCCTTATGCCATACAATCCAACCCATCTGGAGATACTGAAGTTCTTATCTTCATAATATGTCCAAAATGTGACTATTTCTTACCACACCCACTGCTAAGAATCTGGCCCAAACCACCATTTTCACTTTTCTGGATGATTATTGTATTCTTCTAATTGCTCTTGCTGTTTGTGAACTTAGCCTCCTTCAATCTATTCTCAACGCAGTAGCCAAACTGATCCCATTATAGCCACAAAATCCTACAGTAATTTCTCATCTCACTCAGAGCAAAGTCAAAGTCCTTACAATAATCTAAAAAGCACTACATAATCTGGCTCTTCATAAATGATAGATATACTCTTACACTAGCCTCTGTACTTGCTGTGCCATCTAGAACGTTCTTCCCCCAGATTCTCAGTTTCCTTCCTTTCTTCAGCTGTTTTACTCAAGAGCTCCTACTCTGTGTAACATTGCACCCCCTCCTCATGCAATACCTTCAAGTCTTATTTATTTTTTTCTCATTAGCACTTACACTTTTCTAATGTACTATGTTCTTTAGGGATTTTAATATGTTTCCCCTATTACAATGTAAACTCCACAAGGATGGGTACTTTTGTAAATTTTGTTCACTGAATATCCCATGGTCTAGAAAAGTGCCTGCAACGTGGTAGGTGTTAAATAGTGATGATGTTATTAAACTGTTTACACAGTTCTGTACATATTTTATTTGCATATGCCTTATATATTACCTCTGCCCAGAGGGCTTTCCCCTATCTTCATTTTTCCCCGCTATGGATTGGCAGCATTCTTTTTTCTTAAAAAAATCAGCTTTATTGAAATATAATTTACACACCACATAATTCATCCACTTAAGGGGTACAATTCAATGATAGTATTATGTTACAGAGTTACGCAACCATCACCACATTTTTTTTCTTCAAATTCTATTTTAAGTTCTGGGGTACATGTGCAGCATGTGCAGGTTTGTTACATAGGTAAACATGTGCCATGGTGGTTTGCTGCACAGATCATCCCACCACCTAGGTATTAAGCCCCGCATCCATTAGCTATTCTTCCTGATGCTCTCCCTACCCCCACCTTCCCCTCTGAGAGGCCCCAGTGTGTGCGTCACCACAATTTTAGAACATTTTTATCACTTCAAAAAGAAGCCAGGTACTCTAGCTATTGTCTCTCTATCTCCATTCCTGCAGCCCTAACCAACCACTAATCTACTTTCTGTCTCTCTAGATTTGCCTCTTCTGGACATTTCATATAAATGGAATCATATAATATGTGGTTTTTTGTGACTAGCTTGTTTCACTTAGCATAATGTTTCTAAGCTTCATCCATGTGATAGCATATATCAGTACTTCATTCCTTTTCATGGCCAAATAATATTATATTATATTATATTATATTGATATACCACATTTTGTTTATCCATTTGTCAGTTGATGTGCAATTGGGTTGCTTCCACCTTTTGACTATTATGAATAAGACTCCTGTAAACACTTGTGTACAATTTTAAAATGTGGACAAATTTAAAATGTGTTTTCATTTCTCTCTCTCTCTTTTTTTCTTTTTGTTCTTTTGAGACGGAGTCTCACTCTGCTGCCCAGGCTGGAGTGCAGTGGCATGATCTCAGCTCACTGCAACCTCCGCCTCCCGGGTTCAAGCAATTCTCCTGCCTTAACCTCCAGAGTAGCTGAGATTACAGGCGTGCACAAATCATCCCATCCCCTAGGTATTAAGCCCAGCATCCATTAGCTATTCTTCCTGATGTTCTCCCTCCCCCCACCCATGCGTGGCTAATTTTTGAATTTTTAGTAGAGACAGGGTTTCATCATGTTGGCCAAGCTGGTCACAAACTCCTGACCTCAAGTAATCTGCCTGCCTTGGCCTCCCAAAGTGCTGGGATTACAGGTCATCATGCCTGGCCTCATTTCTTTTGAGTTGAGAATTGCTGAGTCATATGACAACTCTAGGTTTAACCGTTTGAAAAACTGCCAGACCATTTTCCAAAGTGAATGCACCATTTCACATTCCCACCAGTAGTGTATGAGGGTTGAAATTTCTCCTCATCCTCTCCAACATTTGTCATTATCTCACTCTTTGATTGTAATCATCCTCATGGGTGTGACATGGTAACACATTGTAGTTTTGATTTGCATTTCCCCACTGACTAATGATATTGAGCATCTTTTCATGTGCTTATTGGTTATTTGTATATCTCTTTTGGAGAAATGTCTAGATCCTTTACCTATTTTCAAATTGGGTTCTTTTTCTTTTTATCATTGAGTTGTAAGAGTTCTTTATATATCCTAGATATAAGTCTGTATTAATCTGTTCTCACACTGCTATAAAGAACTACCTGGTACTGGTTAATTTATGAAGAAAAGAGGTTTAATTGGCTCACGGTTCCACAGATTTAACAGAAAGCATGACTGGGAGGCCTCAGGAAACTTACGATAATGGCAGAAGGTGAAGGGGAAGCAAGCACCTTCTTCATATGGTGGCAGGAGAGAGAGAGAGCAAAAAGGGAAGTGCCACATACTTTTAAACCATCAGATCTCATGAGAACTGACTCACTATCAGGAGAAGAGCAAGGGAGAAATCCTCCCCATGATCCAATCACCTCCCACCAAGTCCCTCCTCTGATTAAACATGAGATTTGTGTAAGGACACAAATCCAAACCATATTCAAGTCCCTTATTAGACATAGATGATTTGCAAATATGATCTCTCATTCTCTAGGTTGTCTTTGGGTTGATAGTATCTTTTGGAGCACAACATTTTTTAAGTATGATGAAGTTTAATTTATCTATTTTTTTCTTTGGTTGCTTGTGTTTTTGGTGTCGTATCTAAGGATACTTTGCCAATTTTGAGGTCATGAATATTTACCTTATAATTTCTTCTAAGAGTTTTACAAGTTTAGCTCTTACATTTACATCTTTGATTAATTTTGAGTTAATTTTTGTATATGGGGTGAGTAAGGGTACAATTTAACTCTTTCACATGTGGCTAACTAGTTGTTCCAGCAGTTTGTTAAAACAACTATTCTTCCCTGTTGAATGGTCTTGGCAAAAATCAATTGACCATAGGTGTATGGGTTTATTTCTGTACTCTCAATTCTATTCTATTGTTTTATGTCTATCCTTATGGCAGTAACACATTGTCTTGATTACTACTGCTTTTTAGTACATTTTGAAATCAGAAGTGTGAATCTTCCAGGTTTGTTCTTCTTTTTCATGATTATTTTGGCTATTCTGGGTCATTTGCAATTCCAAGTGAATATTAGAATCAGCTAGTCAATTTCTAAAAGGAATCCACCTGAGATTATGGTAGGAATTGCATTGAATCTATAGATCAATTCAAAGAGTATTGCCACCTTAACAATATTAAGTCTATTAAGTCTTCTCATCCACAAGCATGGGATATTTTTCAATTTATTTAGATATTCTAAAATTTATTGAACAATATTTGTTAGTTTTCAGAGTGTAAGATTTGCACCTCTTTTGTTAAATTTCTTCCTAAACATTTTATACTTTTTCAATGCTACTATGAATGGAATTGTTTCTTAATTTCATTTTGGACTGTTCATTGTAAGTGTATAGAAATAAAATTGAATTTTGTATATTGATTTTGTACCCTAAAAACTTGCTGAATTTGCTTATTAGTTCTAATAGTTCTTTTCAGATTCCTTAGCATTATCTACATACAAGATCATGTCATCTGTGAATAGACATCATTTTATATCTTCCTTTCCAATCAGGATGTCTTTTATTTCATCTTCTTGCCTAATTGCCCTGCCTAAAACTTCCAGTACAATGTTGAATAAAAATTGTGAGAACAGATCGATATCTTCGTCTGATTTTCCATCTCCTGGAAAGCATGTAGCCTTTCACTACTAAGTACGCTGTTAGCTGTGGGTTTCTTGTAGATACCCTTTATCAATTTGAGGATGTTCTTTCTAATTCTAGTCTGTGGAGTGTTTTTTAAAATCATGAAATAGTGTTAGGATATTTGTCAAATGGTTTTTCTGTGTCTACTGAGATGATCATGTAATTTTCTTGTTTTGTTGATATAATGTGTTATACTAATTGATTTTCAAATGTTGAACCAAACTTGCATTCCTGTGATAAATCTCACTTGGTCATGATACATAATTCTTTTTTGGATTTTGCTGGATTCAGTTTGCTAGTGTTTGTGGTGAATTTTTGTATCCATATTCATAAGAGATATTGGTCTGCAGTGGTTTTTTTTTTAGTTGTGATGTTTTTGTCTGTTTTTTCTCTCAGGATAATATTGGTCCCATAGAATCAGTTGGGAGATGTTCCTTCCTCCTTTTTAATTTGGAAGAGTATGTGATGAACTATTATTAATTGATCATCACATGTTTGGTAGAATTCACCAGTGAGGCTATCTGGGCCTAGGTTTTTCTTTGTGGGTAGTTTTGCCTTTTTATTTTTTTTTTAACTACATCAATCTCTTACTTGTTATAGGTCTCTTCAGATTGCCTAATTTTTCTTGAGTAAATTTTGGTAGTTTTTGTCTTTCTAGAAATTTGTCCATTTAATCTAGGTTATTTATTTTATTGGTAGACAACTGTTCATAGTACACCTTTATAATCCTTCTTATTCCTGCAAGGTCTGTAGTAATGTTCCCTTTTTTGCCTGGCTAATATATATTCTTCCTCTGAGATCCAATTCACACACCATCTATTTCACAAAGCTTTCTTTTACACTCCTCCTACCCCCACCCCCACCCCAAAAATCTTTCTGAAATAATATTCAATACCCCTCTTCATTCCCTCATCATATCATTTTACAGACTGTATTATTTCCTCTTTATTATGTCTATTTTCCTCCTAGACTGTGAGAAACTTGAGGAAAGAAACTTTGGTCTTAATGACACAAGATGCTTAATGAATGTTTTTGGAAATTAACTGAAATTAGTGACTGTTATCAAGCTCCCTTAGCCTGATGCATCTATATCCACTATTGAACTACATTTGCTACTCAGAGTAAATATTCCTATTTTCTCATCAGTGTCCCCTCTTATTCTTATTACTGATCTCTCCCTTTGCCTTTCTCCACACTTGTATAATATGATGACCTCTCTCCCTCATCCACAAGTTGCCAAGAACTTCCTTAAAAAGCTAAATCTCAGTTTTCCATATTCCACCCTTCTAAATCATCCATGGTTCATTGTAAAATCTCTGGCTGAAAAAAAAACATAAAGAGCCCTAAACTCATGAAAAGGTACTCAGTCTCACTCCGTAATAAGAAAGGTGTAAATTAAAGCCACACTGAAATACTGTTTTTCACCTATCAGATTGGCAAAAGACAAAATGTTTGATAATACAAGTAGCAAAGAGGAAGAGAAGGAAAGAAACTTGTAACCATCAAGCAACTACAGTGGACCAGGCACATTACAGGAAGTAAGCTATTGATTTCCTCCCTCTCCATCTTTTACGTGAATTTGCCAGCTAAAATGAAGTATGTACAAATAAAATACATTTTGCTTGAAAAGTAAGTTATTTCTGGACACATATTTGTGTATCAGAAAAGATAAGTGTTTCATATTAAGATAAGGAAAGAGTGTGAATTAGGTTCAACTATACATAATTTACAGATAGATTATAAATCTTTTTCCCTGTCTCTTGCCCTGTGCTCCTCCTAATCCTCATTAGTTAATGACATCAAATGAGAATGCATGCAATTTAGGAAACGATAGTAGAGAGTACAAAAGGGGATTTCAGTAAGTTTTCAGACAACCTAGAAAGTTCAGCCTCCTTTCAGTGTGATCAGGAAAGACTGAACTATGAACAGGATTCCAGATTCATCTAAAGTTAAGGTCGAAATTTCTAAAAGTGGGGCTGTGGATCTCTTAGAGGCTTGTAAATCCCTACATTGAATTGTCTGTACACAATAAATAGATCTGGTATATATGTGCAATGCTTTAAATTCATATTGATGTTATTGTGAAGAATAAAATATAAATTCACATATGTTTACAAACAAATTTTAATTTTTTCATTTTGCAAAAGCAGTACATGCTAATTGTCAAAAACTATGGACTGGCAAGAGGAAGAACATAAAGTTCACCTAAAATTCTACCACCCAGAAGTAACCATAGTTGTATATTTTTTGATAGAAATGATTTAGATTTACAGAAAAATTGTGAAGATAGTATAGAGTTCCAATATAACACACACCTAGTTTCTCCTATTATTAACATCTTATGTTAGCATGGTACATTCGTTTTAATTAGTGAACCAATATTGATTCATTATTATTAACTGAAGCCCATACTGTGTTTGAATTTCCTTAGTTTTTACCTAATGCTTTTTCTCTGTTCAGAGATCCCATCCAGGATACCACAGTCGTCATACCTCCTTAGGTTGTTCTTGGCTGTGACACTTTCTTTGATTTTCCTTGTTTTTGATGACGTTGACAGTATTGGTTAGATATTTGTAGAATGTTTCTCATTTGGATTTGTCTGATGTTTTTTGTAATTTGACAGAAGTTATGGAGTTTGAGGAGAAAGACTATAGAAGTAAAGTCCAATTCTCATCAGTAAAATGCCATTCCCATCACACCATATCAAGGGTGTGTACATTACATATATGTGCGTACATGTACGTTGTAATTATATGTGTATGTATATATAATTACATATAATTACAATGTACATACTATTTTGTACTCTGCTTTCACTTAAATACCTGGCACGAAACCCTTTCATGTCATTAACAGCAACATATTAATATCTACAAGTTCATTTTAAAATGTTAATGATTCCAGAGGAGATTTATGTCTCCATGTCTTTCCTCAAATGATGGATTCTCTGGGTCTACTTCCTATCATGTGCAAGACAGTGTCATTTGTTTACATTATAGAAGTGGGTCTGATTGTAGAGTTTGCATCCTAGACTCCGACATTTCTCTTTGAGGCTGTAGGTTGGGTTGGGTTTTGTGAGCTATTTTGAATATTTTGAATTCCTTTCAGGATCAGTGATAAGTGAGGAGGTAAGAGAGATAAATACAGAGGATACGCTATGTAGAGAATTCAGAAAAACAAGAGACTTTTGGATTTATTATCTAAAGGGAGATAATCCAATTCAGAGTCACTACCTGAGATACTATGGGAACTGACAGTCTCCAAAGGCTATGTTTTGCTAAACCACAGCATATTTCCACGAATTAGGACACAAGGGATGGTAAAGATTTGTGGCAATAGATATTTGCGTCATTTAGAAATGTCAACTAGGGGGCCGGGCGCAGTGGCTCATGCCTGTAATCCCAGCACTTTGGGAGGCCGAGGCGGGCGGATCACGAGGTCAGGAGATCAAGACCATCCTGGCTAACAAGGTGAAACCCCGTCTCTACTAAAAAAAAAAAAAAAAAAAAAATACAAACAAAGTAGCCGGGCGTGGTGGCGGGTGCCTGTAGTCCCAGCTACTAGAGAGACTAAGGCAGGAGAATGGCGTGAACCCAGGAGGCGGAGCTTGCAGTGAGCCGAGATCGCGCCACTGCACTCCAGCCTGGGCGACAGAGCAAGACTCCTTCTCAAAAAAAAAAAAAAAAAAAAAAAGAAAAAAAATGTCAACTAGAACTCATGGTATTTTTTATGAATTGAAAAGTGACCCCAAATAACTAGCTAATTTGTACTTTGTGGTAGCATTTTATTAAATATTAAAATTTGGTTCTTCTGGGTGGAATTTTACCTAAGATAATTACAATATATTATAATTTAAACCAACACTGTGGTTGAACCCAACGTCATATTTTGAGTGTTACTGCCAATTGGACAATGTTTACTTACTACCCCCTATGGGTTAGAGGTAAACTAACTAGATTATTTGTTTGGGCTTATCTCTGCTTATGTTGATCCAAAAGATGTCATTAATTTCTGCTAACATTATTGTTTGAATGAAGTGAAATTAAGGGTGTGTTATTATGACTAATACGGTGAATGTATTTATTTATTTATTTTAAGTATTTGACACTGACTCCTGGGGATTACAATAGGAGATTCTGCTGGCTTTTGCCTACATATCAAGAAAAGTATGTATGCAGTATCATGCCAGGAAATGAGTGGCAGAGGCTTGGACTGGGAACATTATACCAATTGTAATGTATTTGCAGCAGTAAACCAGAGGCCAGGGGAGTTACAAAAACAAGACTGCCAACTCACACCGAATGTCTATGCAAATAAGCAATTGAGAGATCTTAGTTTATTTATTCAAATGTGGTATGCTGACAACAGCAGTGGACTGAGAAGTATGAAGTTCTGAGTTTGGAAGCCTCCTACAACACCAACTCCCTGTGTAATCAAGACTCATCACTTCCTCTTTCTGAGTTTTCCCCTCCCAAGGCTCTTTCTAGATCTAGCAGCCTATGAATCCTATGATTCTACTAGGTGTGAGGCATTAGGTGCTTTGTGAGAGCCAAAATTGTATAAGACACTCTTAAAGTTCTTTTTTTGGAGGCTGTATATTTTTAATAGAAATATTAAAAATTTATCTGTCATTGTGTCACACTCTGTCACTGTGTCACCCAGGCTGGAGTGCAGTAGCACAATCATGGCTCACTGCAGCCTCAACCTCCTGGGCTCAAGCAATCCTCCTGCCTCAGCCTCCTGAGTAGCTGGAACTACAGGTGCACACCAGCAGACATGGCTAATCTTTGTATTTTTTGTAGAGACAGGGTTTTGCCATGTTGTCCAGGCTGGTCTTGAGCTCCTGGGCTCAAGTGATCTTCCCACCTTTGCCTCCCAAAGTGTTGAGATTACAGGTGTGAGCCACTGTGCCTAGCCTCAAGTTCTCTCTCTCTTTTTTTTTTTTTTTTTGAGACAGAGTCTCACTCTGTTGCCAGGCTGGAGTGCAGTGGCCAGATCTTGGCTCACTGCAACCTCTGCTTCCCGGGTTCAAGTAATTCTGCCTCAGCCTCCCGAGTAGCTGGGATTACAGGTGTGTACCACCTTGCTCAGCTAATTTTTGTATTTTTCGTAGAGGTGGGTTTTCACCATGTTAGCCAGGCTGGTCTCGAACTCCTGACCTCAAATGATCCACCTGGCTCGGCCTCCCAAAGTGCTGGGATTACAGGCGTGAGCCACTGTGCCTGGCCCTGGCCTCGAGTTCTTAAAAATCAAAGTAAGGAGTTGAATATTCCATAGATATTCTGCAAATATTTGCTCCCAGGACTCAAGAAGGCCCCAAGAACTGAGGCAGAGACAGAGCACATAAGTGGACAGTTACACAATTCTAACAATGAAGCAAGGCTACAATATTTGTCTTAGCTTCAATTCCATTTATTTTGCTCCAACGATCTATCTATACACAGCTGAAAATTAGTGATAACATTGTCTCTTATCTGTTTTGTGCTGCTATAACAAAATGCCACAGACTGGGTAATTTATAACAAACAGAAATGTATTTCTCACACTTCTGGAGGCTGGGAAGTTCAAGATCAGGTGCTAACATCTCGTGTCTGGTGAGGGCCTATCATGCTTCCTCACATAGCAGAAGAGCAAAAAAAGAGCAAACCCACTACACGAACCCTTTTTATAGCAGCACTAAACACCTCCCATTAGGCCACACCTCCCAGCAGTGTTGCATTAGGGATTAAGTTTCAACATGCATATTGGAGGGAACAAAAACATTCAAACCATAGCACATTGGTTTAAAACCAATATACCAGAACTTAAGCATGTGTATCATCTCTTTGAAGTAATTGAACAATTATTCAAAGACACTTGGAAACTGCCTACATAACCTGTGGCGCATATTCAAATTTACTTGGTTGGGAATAGCCAACCAAGTAAACCAAACATCACTTAGAGCCAAATGAAGTGAATATGATGAGTGATAGACTGGGTGCAGTGGCTCACACCTGTAATCCCAGCACTTTGGGAGGCTGAGGCAGGTGGATTGCTTGAGGCCAGGAGTTTGAGACCAGCCTGGCCAAAGTGGCAAAACCCCATCTCCACAAAAAATACAAAAATTAGCCAGGCGTGATAGTATGCACCTGTAGTCCCAGCTAATTGGGAGGCTGAGGCAGGAGAATCATTTGAACCTGGGAGGTAGAGGTTGCAGTGAGCCGAGACTGTGCTACTGCATTCCAGCCTGGGTGACAAAGTGAGACTCTGCCTCAGGAAAAAAAAAAAAAAAAGAGTGATAGACCTGGTCCATAAATTTTGAGTTAAAAATGAAGTATGATTATTAAGAAATGAGATTGGTTTTCTTGAGGTCCTCATAATTGGCTCTGGAGTTTTTTGTTTGTTTTTGTTTTGTTTTGTTTTTGACGTAGTTTCGCTCTTGTTGCCCAGGCTGGAGTGCAATATTTTACTCCTTCCCCTTGTTATCTTTGTTTAGACTGATGAGCTTCTCTGTGCAAGGGTGCCTTTTTGGAGCAATGTCCCCATTCGGTCCATTGATATGAACCACTTCATTGAATGTCTTAGACGGTAAGTAGTAACAGCTGCTGTGCTTGCTTGTCAAAAGGAAATTTTTCAGAGCCTGGACTTTTGTAATATATGGCTTCTTTCTGTTTTCTATAGCTACCAGGAGAAAGTAATCTTTCTCTGGAGCCATCCCAGAATGTAGATCAAATTACATCAGAATACATAGACATTGACTTACTGGTTAGTCAATCACATAATCAATGTGAAAAAAATGATACTGTGCATTTTTGTACCACACATTTTACTTCTTCTGTGTTCATTCAAATATGGTATTGCATTCAGACCATCTACCAATTATCTGAAGGGCAGTAAGGTAGACATTTCTATCCCCATGTGAAAGACAAGAACACAGGTTCGGAATGATTACATAAATTACCTAGGGTTAGATAGTTATTATTTTATTATTATATAGATATTAGATAGTTATTCTTTTCTTGGTTGTAAAAAAGATTTAGAAGCCTAGAGACTAGTTAAAATATTTTTTTTTCAGGAGCTAAGACGAATATACAATATAGGTAAAACACACTTGAAGCTCAATAAAACAAACCAACCACATAACAAAAGAGGGGAACCCTTTGTAGATAACTGACAAATGTGAAAGTGTTATTGTTCATCTATTTATTAAATCAATGAAAATTTATTTTTATAAAATGAATCAGGCTTTCAGCCCTGATTCTTGCCCAGAGTTTGAAGGTGAGCCAGGCTCTGTCACATTATGATAATCAGTTTCTTTGACTAAAACATGACGAGGGACAGAGAGAATGATACTTGCTTTACTTACTCCCTTGGGGTACTGTGAAGAGCTTTGCCAGTTGTAGAGATCTACACACAGGTAAAGACTTAATTAACTCAACAAATGTTTATTGAGTGCCTACCGTGTATAATGCACAAAGGGAAATATTCATCTGCCTTCAAGAAACTAGTAGCCTGCTACAGCAAGAATAAAATGTATAAAAATGAGAAATGTGAGGTAGAAAATCCTAAGTGCCAAAATAGAGGTAACATCTCTGAAAATATTACAGTTACTACATTTCTGAAAATAAGTAGGTGGTTACTGGAATTGATCAATAAAATGATTACAACTATAAAAATGATCTTTTTAGGCATGCAGCTTTAGCATCCCATTTGCTTTATTCCCAGTACTTAATTAAATCATTTTCACTTGACAAACATTTATTGAGCAACTACTATGAGCTGGTCCCTGTCCTAGGAGCTGGAGATAAAGTTAAAAATGCATGTCCTTGCTCTCAATGAACTTATGGTTTAGTAAGGAGAAACAAACATGCACAATAATGATAAAAATTTACAGGTGCAGTGGGGGATAGCATAAGATAAGCAGTGGTTAGTTCTAGCTGATGGTGGAGTGAGCAAGGATCTGGGAAACTTCATGGAGAAGGTTGTGTTCAGTCTTGAAGGAGAGGGAGGACTCCCTGAAGCAGGCAAGAGGCAAGGAGCCATGGATATCTCTGGCAGAGCGAAGGGCATGAATACAAACACAAAGGTGCAAAGAGCCTGGGAGTGAGGGCAACTGTAAGTGGTTTCCGTTGGCACTATTGAAGTAGGCTGAGGGAAGAGAAGTGCAACGGAAAATATGAGGCACTTGTTGATTTCTTTACAACTTTGCCCAGATTCAGGCCTATAACCATCCTTCAATCTGAATTCCTTTTGTTTTATGTAATAGCTTCAAGTCTGAATGATATGGTTTGGTTCTGTGTCCCAACCCAAATCTCATATTGAATTGTTATCCCCACGTGTTGAGGGAGGGAAGTGATTGGATTATGGGGCAATTTCCCCCCTGCTGTTCTCGTGCTAGTGAGTGAGTTCTCATGAGGTCTGATGGTTTTATAAATGGTAGTTTTCCTGTACTCACTCACGCTCTCTCTCTGCCAACATGTAAGATGTGCCTGCTTCCCCTTCCGCTATGATTGTAAGTTTCCTGAGGCCTCCTCAGCCATGCAGAACTGTGAGTCAATTAAACTTCTTTCCTTTATAAATTACCCAGTCTTGGGTATTTCTTTACAGCAGTGTGAGAACAGACTTATACACTCACCCACACACAGTTGAAAACACCTGCATTTGAAAAACAAACAAACAAACAACAACAAAAAAAGCAAAAAAAGTTTTGTTTCCAAAATGTATTACAAGTATTTTCCATGTGAACATGGTGCGGAATGGCACAACTGGACTTGGGGTAGTGCATTACTCTCTACTGCATATTCATCCAAGCTGGTTAAAGGCTTTCTGTGTGAACTTCTTTTCTTCTAGGAAAAAAGGAGTCTGAAAATTTTTAATTAACCATTCAGGTTTCTAGAGCTCTGAAACAGTTGTTAGCTCACTAAATATTAGTATTATTCTAAAATGTTTTTCAACTAAAGTCTGCATTTTCTGTGTTTCCATTCCTTTTTTCCCTCACTCTGTGGCTTCACTTGCTATATTGCTTTCAAGTTTGGCGAGAATGGATCCTTTCCCTTTTACTGTGGGCCAGCTATTCTGTGTTAGAGCTCACCGGAATAAATGCTTGGTGCCCCTAAGAAGCCATGTTCATGCTCTTTTGTGATATACTCCCCAATCAAAATTGGAGGCCTGCCTGTATCTGCTGTTGACTACAGGCTATCTTGCATGAGTATCATTCCTGCCTTTTGAACAGGAGCTAGTCTAGCGCAATAGTCATTTGCCATAGGGGAATTCCATTACCTTTCCTTACCAGGAGGATGGATTCTGTCTGGTGTTTACACTGAAGATGGGGGAAATTTAATTAAATTCTTTCAAGTGCTAGATTTACTTACACTATCAATTTACTGCTAAAACCGCCATTCTCATTTTGGAGAATGAGAATAGGACCATATGTCTTAAACTTATCAACTGTCAGCACTTCCAGTAATAGTTTTCTGCTTAGAATCAAAGAAAGATTTGGGTTTTTGAGTTCCCAAAGCCCTCTAGTTAGAACCTTGTGGACCTCATGATTTGGAACTGAATTTACTATACATTTTTGCCCACTGGAATGAGTTTTGCAATAAATCTAGTATCTTATTTGGAAAATGTCTTGGGGTAAAGTTTGGCAGCTTCTTCAAAGAGTAGTTCATTCCTCCCATAATTGCCTGGTGAAGACTATGCAGAAATTAGATTAAACAACACCACTGCCAATAAATCATCCAGGTGTTTGGCCAAATAACAAAATACTGGACTATGGGGAAAGCTAGTGAAAGCTAGGATAAGTACACACAATAATTGGCATAAAAATAAATCAGTATAAAGAGAAACAGGGTAAAAATTTCAGATGCCAGAGATAAGGCATTCTTAATCCTGTCCAAAAATTGATATTATGGGAAAACTCCCCTTGAGTTTCAGTTTAGTTCACTATTTGAAGGTGGAAAAGAAATACATATGGATTTGGTTGGGAATTTGTTTACAAAATGTTTGACACTTGGATAAAAGCTGAAAAAAATCTATCAAAAATCTAATGGGACATGAAACCTGTTCTCAAGTAGCTTATAACATAGTTGAAAAGATAAGACTTCCACACTTGGCATCATTAAAGCTTGCAATGATGAGTGAAATGCATATAACTTAGTGTAAACCTGCATGATACAGACACGCATCAAAAGCTATGGAAATTCAGGAAAAGAATCAAAGGATTAATGAGGAGCTCAAGTCTTAGGAAAAGCTTCATGAGGTATGTGTGATTTATGTAGACTCAGAGGCTAGGCACAGTTTGGCTGCACAGAAGGGAGAGAGAATGAGATATTCTGATTGAAAAGGGGGAAGAAAAAGAGCAAAAGCATGAGAGATGGAATGAAATTGGTGGGCAGAAGGCAAAGAAAAGGTCAGACTACCTAGGGTAGAGTATGTGACAAGGCTGGCATGGCTGGGTAGACTCAGACTTGGCAATGCAGGCTTTAGAAGTTAGTTTGAGTTCCAGAGGCAAAGAGCCATCAGGATCCATTGAGCAGCATAGTGACATGATGAATGCAGTGTTATGGGAAAATTAGACCAGGATTTATGGGATTACCTATGGCCATCCAGATGGCAAACACACCAGTTGCAAAGATTCTTACTTGCCGGTACAATGAATGTGAAGGGAAAGAGGCTGAAGGCTGGCATGAAATCAGGCTATGATGGAGGCTCAGATCAACCAGAATGAATTCAGATGGAGGGTACAGATAGTTTCCACTGGCATATGAGAGAGGTGAGATGAAATATTCTGATATAGAGTACCCAAAAGAAACTAAGAGGGTAAAAGAAACTAAGGAGAATTAGAGAGCTGGAATAGTGAAGGTCCATTATTATCTAGCCCCTGCCTCTGACTCCAACTTAATTTTCTTTTTTTTAATTTTATTATTATTATACTTTAAGGTTTAGGGTACATGTGTACAATGTGCAGGTTTGTTACATATGTATACATGTGCCATGTTGGTGTGCTGCACCCATTAACTCGTCATTTAGCATGAGGTATATCTCCTAATGTTATCCCTCCCCCTCCCCCTACCTCACAACAGTCCCCGGTGTGTGATGTTCCCCTTCCTGTGTCCATGTGTTCTCATTGTTCAATGCCTTCCTATGAGTGAGAACATGCAGTGTTTGGTTTTTTGTTCTTGCGATAGTTTGCTGAGAATGATGGTTTCCAGCTTCATCCATGTCCCTACAAAGGACATGAGCTCATAATTTTTTATGGCTGCATAGTATTCCGTGGTGTATATGTGCCACATTGTCTTAATTCAGTCTATTATTGTTCGACATTTGGGTTGGTTGCAAGTCATTGCTATTGTGAATACTGCCGCAATAAACATACGTGTGTGTGTGTCTTTATAGCAGCATGATTTGTAATCCTTTGGGTATATACCCAGTAATGGGATGGCTGGGTCAAATGGTATTTCTAGTTCTAGATCCCTGAGGAATCACCGCACTGACTTCCACAATGGTTGAACTAGTTTACAGTCCCACCAACAGTGTAAAGGTGTTCCTATTTCCCCACATCCTCTCCAGCACCTGTTGTTTCCTGACTTTTTAATGATCACCATTCTAACTGGTGTGAGATGGTATCTCATTGTGGTTTTGATTTGCATTTCTCTGATGGCCAGTGATGATGAGCATTTTTTCATGTGTCTTTTGGCTGCATAAATGTCTTCTTTTGAGAAGTGTCTGTTCATATCCTTTGCCCACTTTTTGATGGGGTTGTTTGTTTTTTCTTGTAAATTTGAGTTCATTGTAGATTCTGGATATTAGTCCTTTGTCAGATACGTAGGTTGCAAAAATTTTCTCCCATTCTGTAGGTTGCCTTTTCATTCTGATGGTGGTTTGTTTTGCTGTACAGAGGCTCTTTAGTTTAATTAGATCCCATTTGTCAATTTTGGCTTTTGTTGCCATTGCTTTTGGTGTTTTAGACATGAAGTCCTTGCCCATGCCTATGTCCTGAATGGTATTGCCTAGGTTTTCTTCTAGGGTTTTTATGGTTTTAGGTCTAACATGTAAGGCTTTAATCCATCTTGAATTAATTTTTGTATAAGGTGTAAGGAAGGGATCCAGTTTCAGCTTTCTACATATGGCTAGCCAGTTTTCCCAACACCATTTATTAAATAGGGAATCCTTTCCCCATTTCTTGTTTTTGTCAGGTTTCTCAAAGATCAGATAATTGTAGATAAGCGGCATTATTTCTGAGGACTCTGTTCTGTTCCATTGGTCTATATCTCTGTTTTGGTACTAGTACCATGCTGTTTTGGTTACTGTAGCCTTGTAGTATAGTTTGAAGTCAGGTAGCATAATGCCTCCAGCTTTGTTCTTTTGGCTTAGGATTGACTTGGCGATGCAGGCTCTTTTTTGGTTCCATATGAACTTTAAAGTAGTTTTTTCCAATTCTGTGAAGAAAGTCATTGGTAGCTTGATGGGGATGGCATTGAATCTATAAATTACCTTGGGCAGTATGGCCATTTTCACGATAATGATTCTTCCTACCCATGAGCATGGAATGTTCTTCCATTTGTTTGTATCCTCTTTTATTTCATTGAGCAGTGGTTTGTAGTTCTCCTTGAAGAGGTCCTTCACATCCTTTGTAAGTTGGATTCCTAGGTATTTTATTCTCTTTGAAGCAATTGTGAATGGGAGTTCACTCATGATTTGGCTCTCTGTTTGTCTGTTATTGGTGTATAGGAATGCTTGTGATTTTTGCAAATTGATTTTGTATCCTGAGACTTTGCTGAAGTTGCTTATCAGCTTAAGGAGATTTTAGGCTGAGACAATGGGGTTTTCTAGATATACAATCATGTCATCTGCAAACAGGGACAATTTGACTTCCTCTTTTCCTAATTGAATACCCTTTATTTCCTTCTCCTGCCTAATTGCCCTGGCCAGAACTTCCAACACTATGTTGAATAGGAGTGGTGAGAGAAGGCATCCCTGTCTTGTGCCACTTTTCAAAGGGAATGCTTCCAGTTTTTGCCCATTCAGTATGATATTGGCTGTGGGTTTGTCATAGATAGCTCTTATTATTTTGAGATACGTCCCATCAATACCTAATTTATTGAGAGTTTTTAGCATGAAGGGTTGTTGAATTTTATCAAAGGCTTTTTCTGCATCTATTGAGATAATCATATGTTTTTTGTCTTTGGCTCTGTTTATATGCTGGATTACACTTATTGATTTTCATATGTTGAACCAGCCTTGCATCCCAGGGATGAAGTCCACTTGATCATTGTGGGTAAGCTTTTTGATGTGTTGCTGGATTCGGTTTGCCAGCATTTTATTGAGGATTTTTACATCAATGTTCATCAAGGATATTTGTCTAAAATTCTCCTTTTTTGTTGTGTCTTTGCCAGGCTTTGGTATCAGGATGATGCTGGCCTCATAAAATGAGTTAGGGAGGATTCCCTCTTTTTCTATTGATTGGAATAGTTTCAGAAGGAATGGTACCAGCTCCTCCTTGTACCTCTGGTAGAATTCAGCTGTGAATCCATCTGGTCCTGGACTTTTTTTGGTTGGTAAGCCATTAATTATTGCCTCAATTTCAGAGCCTGTTATTGGTCTATTCAGAGATTCAACTTCTTCCTGGTTTAGTCTTGGGAGAGTGTATGTGTCGAGGAATTTATCCATTTCTTCTAGGTTTTCTAGTTTATTTGTGTAGAGGTGTTTATAGTGTTCTCTGATGGTAGTTTGTATTTCTGTGGGATCGGTGGTGATATCCCTTTTGTCATTTTTTATTGCGTCTATTTGATTCTTCTCTCTTTTCTTCTTTATTAGTCTTGCTAGCGGTCTATCAATTTTGTTGATCTTTTCAGAAAACCAGCTCCTGGATTCATTGATTTTTTGAAGGGTTTTTTGTGTCTCTATTTCCTTCAGTTCTGCTCTGATCTTAGTTATTTCTTGCCTTCTGCTAGCTTTTGAATGTGTTTGCTCTTGCTTCCCTAGTTCTTTTAATTGTGATGTTAGGGTGTCAATTTTGGATCTTTCTTGCTTTCTCTTGTGGGCATTTAGTGCTTTAAATTTCCCTCTACACACTGCTTTGAATGTGTCCCAGAGATTCTGGTATGTTGTGTCTTTGTTCTGGTTGGTTTCAAAGAGCATCTTTATTTCTGCCTTCATTTCGTTATGTACCCAGTAGTCATTGAGGAGCAGGTTGTTCAGTTTCCATGTAGTTGAGCGGTTTTGAGTGAGTTTCTTAATCCTGAGTTCTAGTTTGATGGCACTTTCGTCTGAGAGACAGTTTGTTGTAATTTCTGTTCTTTTACATTTGCTGAGGAGTGCTTTACTTCCAACTATGTGGTCAATTTTGGAATAGGTGTGGTGTGGTGCTGAAAAGAATGTATATTCTGTTGATTTGGTGTGGAGAGTTCTGTAGATGTCTATTAGGTCCACTTGGTGCAGAGCTGAGTTCACTTCCTGGATATCCTTGTTAACTTTCTGTCTTATTGATCTGTCTAATGTTGACAGTGGGGTGCTAAAGTCTCCCATTATTATTGTGTGGAAGTCTAAGTCTGTAGGTCACTAACGACTTGATTTATGAATCTGGGTGCTACTGTATTGGGTGCATATAAATTTAGGATAGTTAGTTCTTGTTGAATTGATCCCTTTACCATTATGTAATGGCCTTCTTTGTCTCTTTTGATCTTTTTGGTTGAAAGTCTGTTTTGTCAGAGACTAGGATTGCAACCCCTGCCTTTTTTTGTTTTCCATTTGCTTGGTAGATCTTCCTCCATCCCTTTATTTTGAGCCTATGTGTGTCTCTGCATGTGAGATGGGTTTCCTGAATACAGCACACTGATGGGTCTTGAAGGTTTATCCAATTTGCCAGTCTGTGTCTTTTAATTAGAGCATTTAGCCCATTTACTTTTAAGGTTAATTTTGTTAAGTGTGAATTTGATCCTGTCATTATGATGTTAGCTGGTTATTTTGCTCGTTAGTTGATGCAGTTTCTTCCTAGCCTTGATGGTCTTTACAATTTGGCATGTTTTTGCAGGGGCTGGTACCGGTTGTTCCTTTCCATGTTTAGTGCTTCCTTCAGGAGCTCTTGTAGGGCAGGCCTGGTGGTGACAAAATCTCTCAGCATTTGCTTGTCTGTAAAGTATTTTATTTCTCCTTCACTTATGAAGCTTAGTTTGGCTGGATATGAAATTCTGGGTTGAAAATTCTTTTCTTTAAGAATGTTGAATCTTGGCCCCCACTCTCTTCTGGCTTGTAGAGTTTCTGCTGAGAGATCAGCTGTTAGTCTGATTGGCTTCCCTTTGTGGGTAACCCAACCTTTCTCTCTGGCTGCCCTTAACATTTTTTCCTTCATTTCAACTTTGGTGAATCTGACAATTATGTGTCTTGGAGTTGCTGTTCTCTAGGAATATTTTTGTGGTGTTCTCTGTGTTTCCTGAATTTGAATGTTGGCCTGCCTTGCTAGATTGGGGAAGTTCTCCTGGATAATATCCTGCAGAGTGTTTTCCAACTTGGTTCCATTCTCCCCGTCACTTTCAGGTACAGCAATCAGATGTAGATTTGGTCTTTTCACATAGTCCCATATTTCTTGGAGGCTTTGTTTGTTTCTTTTTATTCTTTTTTCTCTAAACTTCTCTTCACGCTTCATTTCATTCATTTCGTCTTCCATCGCTGATGCCCTTTCTTCTAGTTGATCGCATCGGTTACTGAGGCTTGTGCATTTGTCACGTAGTTCTCGTGCCGTGGTTTTCAGCTCCATCAGGTCCTTTAAGGACTTCTCTGCATTGGTTATTCTAGTTATCCATTCGTCTAATTTTTTTTCAAAGTTTTTAACTTCTTTGCCATTGTTTCGAACTTCCTCCTTTACCTTGTATTAGTTTGATCTTCTGAAGCCTTCTTCTCTCAACTTGTCAAAGTCATTCTCCGTCCAGCTTTGTTCCATTGCTGGTGAGGAGCTGTGTTCCTTTGGAGGAGGAGAGGCGCTCTGATTTTTAGAGTTTCTGGTTTTTCTACTCTGTTTTTTCCCCATCTTTGTGGTTTTATCTACCTTTGGCCTTTGATGATGGTGACGTACAGATGGGTTTTTGGTGTGGATGTCCTTTCTGTTTGTTAGTTTTCCTTCTAAAAGTCAGGACCCTCAGCTGCAGGTCTGTTGGAGTTTGCTGGAGGTCCACTCCAGACCCTGTTTGCCTGGGTATCAGCAGTGGTGGTTCCAGAACAGCGGATATTGGTGAACTGCAAATGTTGCTGCCTGATCGTTCCTCTGGAAGTTTTGTCTCAGAGGAGTACCCGGCTGTATGAGGTGTCAGTCTGCCCCTACTGGGGGGTGCCTCCGAATTAGGCTACTCAGGGGTCAGGGACCCACTTGAGGAGGCAGTCTGCCCATTCTCAGATCTCTAGCTGCATGCTGGGAGAACCACTACTCTCTTCAAAGCTGTCAGACAGGGATATTTAAGTCTGCAGAGGTTACTGCTGTCTTTTGTTTGTCTGTGCCCTGCCCCCAGCGGTGGAGCCTACAGAGGCAGGCAGTCCTCCTTGAGCTGTGGTGGGCTCCACCCAGTTAGAACTTCCCAGCTGCTTTGTTTACCTACTCAAGCTTGGGCAATGGCGGCCGCCCCTCCCCCAGCCTCATTGCTGCCTTGCAGCGTGATCTCAAACTGCTGTGCTAGCAATGAGTGAGGCTCCGTGGGCATAGGACCCTCCAAGCCAGGTGCGGGATATAATCTCCTGGTGTGCCGTTTGTTGAGCCCGTTGGAAAAGCGCAGTATTAGGGTGGGAGTGACCTGATTTTCCAGGTGCCGTCTGTCACCCCTTTCTTTGACTAGAAAAGGGAATTCCCTGACCCCTTGCGCTTCCCGGGTGAGGGGATGCCTCGTCCTGCTTCGGCTCACGCACGGTGAGCTGCACCCACTCTCCTGCCCCCACTGTCCGGCACTCCCCAGTGAGATGAACCCGGTACCTCAGTTGGAAATGCAGAAATCACCCATCTTCTCGTCGCTCATGCTGGGAGCTGTAGGCTGGAGCTGTTCCTATTCAGCCATCTTGGCTCCCCCAACTTAATTTTCATGTATGCTCCATTCATAGGGAACTGCCTGTGGTTCCTTGAAATCAATGTTTTCTCATCTTTCGAGGCTTTTTCCCAGAACACCCTTTCTCTAATTTTTTTCCTTGCATTTGTTGTAAGCAGAATGGCCCTCCAAAGATATCCAGGCTCTAATCTCTGGAATCTGTGGATATGCTGCATTACACAGCAAAAGGGACTTTGCAGATGTAATTAAGGTTAAAGTCTTCAAAGTAAGGGAGATTATCCTGGATTTTCCATATGGGCCCAATTTAATCACATGAAGCCTTAAAGGCATAGAGCTTTCTCTGGTTGGAGTCAGAGAGATGTGGCTGGAGAAATCAGATTTGAAGTGTGAGAGAAACTCAAATCTGTTTCTGAAATTGAGAGGCACATGGAAATCATGAGAAGGAACAAAAGTAGCCTCTAGGAGCAAAGACTGGCCTCTGACTGACAGCGAGGGAATGAGGGACTTCAGTACTAAAACTTCAAGGGACTAGATTTGGTGAACAACCTAAAATGAGCTTGGAAGTAGATTCTTCCCAGAACTCTAGAAAGGAATGCAGCTGCTGGACAACTTGATTTTGATCTTGTGAGGCTCATAGCATAGGAACCATCCAAACCATACTGTAGGCAGACTTTTAACATAAAGAACTGTGAGATAATAAATGGATGTTATTTTAAGGCACAAATTTTGTGGAAATTGTTATGGCAGCCATTGAAAATGAATGCATCATCCTTTAACACTCAGCTCCAAAGTCATGCTTCTGGGAAGGCTTTCTTAATCACAGCAGCCAATAATTATTGTTCAGTAGGGCTTAGGAGCAGTGTGGTGGCCATAGCCACTGGAGATGCAAATAAATACTAAAAGGAGACTGAAGGGTTAGAAGGAAATATCAATAATAGACAAGCTGATTCATCCTAGAGGACTTTGGAGAAGGTCAGAAATTGCAGGCATTAAGTTCTGCCCCACTAATGGAATATAACTTCCAATGCACTGTCTAGTTCACTCTTAAGCAGGAATGGATAGCCAAAGATCACCAGTTATTTGAAGGAAAACTCCAATTTGAAAAAGAGAGACCAAAACAAAGATGAAGAAAGAAAACAAATATAAACAATGTTAGGTGTGGCCGACAAATACGTGAAGAAAAGCTCATCATCTCTAATCATTACATAAATGCGAATCAGAACCCCAATGAGACAGCATCTTATATCAGTCAGAATGGCTATTAAAGTGTCAAAAAACAACAGATGCTGGCAAAGTTGCAGAGAATAGGAAAACTTATACACTGGTAGTGTGAATGTAAATTAGTTCAGCCACTGTGGAAAGCAGCATGGAGATTTCTCAAAGCAGTGTGGAGATTTCTGTTTAAAACAAAACTGTCATTCAACCCAGAAATCCCATTACTGTGTGTATAGCCAAAGGAAAATAAATCATTCTACCAAAAAGACACATGTACATGTATGTTCACTGCAATACTACTCACCATAGCAAAGACATGGAATCATCCTAGGTGTCCATCAACAGTGGATTGGATAAAGAAAATGTGCCACATAAATAATAGACACATAGAACAATGGAACAGGATGGAGAGCCCAGAAAATATGCCACACACCTACAACAATCTGATATTTGGCAAAGCTGACAAAAACAAGCAATGGGGAAAGAACTCCCTATTCAATAAATGGTGCTGGGGTAACTGACTAGCTATATGCAGATAATTGAAACTGGACCCCCTTCCTTACACCATACACAAAAATCAACTTGAAATGGATTAAAGACTTAAATGTAAAACCTAAAAATATAAAAATCCTGGAAGACCATCTAGAAAGTACCATTCTGGACATAGGAACTGGCAAAGATTTCATGACGAAAATGCCAAGAACAATTGCAATAAAAGCAAAAATTGACAAGTGGAATCTAATTAAACTAAACAGCTTCTGCACAGCAAAAGAAACTATCAACAGAATAAACAGACAATCTACAGAGTAGGAGAAAATATTTGCAAACTGTCCATCTGACAAAGGTATAATATCCAGAATCTGAAAGGAATTTAAACAAATTTGTAAGCAAAAAACAAACGACCCCACTAAAAAGTAGGCAAAGGACATGAACAGACACTTTTCAAAAGAAGACATACATATGGCCAACAAGCATATGACAAAATGCTCAACATCATTAATCATTAGAGAAATGCAAATCAAAACCACAGTAAGATACCATCTCACATCAGTCAAATGGTTATTATTAAAAAATAAATAACATGCTGGCGAGTTGCAGAGAAAAGGAAACACTTATACACTCTTGGCAGGAGTGTAAATTAATTCAGCCATTGTGGAAAGCAATGTGGTGATTCCTCAAAGAGCTAAAGACAGAACTGCCATTCAACCCAGCAATCCCTTTATTGGCATATACCCAAAGGAATATAAATCTACCATAAAGACACATGCACATGTATGTTCATTGCAATACTATTCACAATAACAATGACATGGAATCAACTTAAATACCAATAAATGGTAGATTGGATAGAGAAAATGTGGTACATATACACCATGGAATACTACAGAGCCATAAAAAGGAATGAGATCATGCCTTTACAGCAACATAGATGGAGCTGGAGACCATTATCCTTAGCAAACTAATGGAAGAACAGAAAACCAAATACTACATGTTCTCACTTGTAAAGGGGAGCCCAATAATGAGAACATATGAACATGAAGAGGGGAACAAAAGACACTGCAGCCTACTTGAGGACGGAGGGTGGGAGGAGGGAGAGGATCAGAAAAAATACCTGTTGAATACGTGGCTTAGAACCTGAGTGATGAAATAAACTGTACACCAAACTCCTGTAACACACAAGTTCATCTATATAACAAACCTGCACATGTAACCCTCAACCTAAAATAAAAGTTAAAAGAAAAAAAGAAGAAAATATGGTACATATACACCACGGAATACTATGCAGCCATGAAAAGAATGAAATCATGTCTTTTGCAGCAACATGGTTGCAGATGGAGGCCATTATCCTAAGCGAATTAACGCAGGAATAGAAAACCAAATACCATGAGTTCTCACTTATAAGTGGGAACTAAACACTGAATACACATGGACACAAAGATGGGAACAATAGACACTGGGGACTGTTTGGTGGGGGAGAGGAGGAGGGGAGTATGAGATGCAAAGCCACCTATTGGGTACTATGCTCAGTACCTGGGTGATGAGATCATTTGTACACCAAGCCTCAGTAACATGCAATTTACCCATTTAACAAATAGGCAAATAAATGTACCCTCCAGAACCTAAAGCAAAAGGAGAAAAAAGCCTGTAATCCCAGCACTTTGGGAGGCTGAGGCAGGAGGATCACCTGAGCTCAGGAGTTTGAGACCAGTCTGGGCAACATAGGGAGACCCCATCTATACAAAAAATTAAAACTTAGCCAGGCATGGTGGTGCATGCCTGTAGTCCCAGGAGGCTGAGGTGGGAGGATTGCCTGAATCCTGCCAGTCGAGACTGCAGTGATACATGATAGTGCCACTGCCCTCCAACTTGGACAACAGAGTGAGACCTCATCTCTAAAAATAAAAGGAAAAAGTTCTGAGAAAGTGATTATTTTCACCCATGAATTTTATCCTCAGCTAAGCTATCAATCAAATCAGAGGGTAGAATAAAAACATTTTCAGATATGCAAAGTCTCAAAAATGTTACCTACCATGCATCCTTATTCAGGAGGTGGTGCTCAACCAAAACAACGATGGAAACCATGGGAGAGATTCACAAAACAGGGTGCTATCCAGGAGACTTGGGACAGGAATGTGCAAGACGACAGCTGTGCAGCAAGCTCAGAAAGCAAACAGTTCAGACTGGAGCAGACCAGAGGGCCCAAAGGGGGACATTTCTAGGGGAAATCCCCCTAAACCCAAACAAACAAAACAATAGCCAAACAGAGAATCTAAAAGCTTTGCTTATGTGACCATGTGAACATTTTGCTGAGGCATTTGACAAGACTGTTGGCAAGTATAGGAAGATTTGGTTACAGGTTCAAATAAACTATGCAAAGGAAAAAGTGAATCGTGTAAATTATTTACTTTTATTTTATTTTACTTTTAGAAACAGAGTCTCACTCTATCACTCAGGCTGGAGTGTAGTGGTGCGATTATAGCTCACTGTAACCTTGTATTCCTGGGTTCAAGTGATCCTTCCACCTCAGCTTCCCTAGTAGCTGGGAGTACAGGCATGCCCCACCACACTGGCTAATTAAAAAAAAAAATGTTGTGTATGTGGAGACAGGGTCCCGCTATGCTGCCCAGGCTGGTCTCAAACTCCTGGTCTCAAGTGATCCTTCTGCTTCTGCCTTCCAAAGTGCTGGGATTATGGGCATGAGCCACGGTGCCCAGCCAGTCATTATCTTTTTTAAAAACAGAAATGGTACAAAAAATGTTATCACAGTATACTTCTTGGTTCAGTAGTGAACAATATTAGCATAGTCATAATGATGCAAATTTTAAAATGTGATATATAACTCTATTGGTAGAACAGAGAAGGGGAGGGGATTTGTAAGCAAATTGACTCCTCATCTACCATTACAAGATGGCAATAGATTAATTATAATGGATCAAAAGACAACAATGCCTGCTTGTTATTTAACAATATGAAAGTAAATGTCAGAAGAAACATTTAAAAAATTGAAAGTAAGATGGGGCAAGTGTGAGGGCAGAGGGAGAACAAGGAGACAGGAGTCTTGCTTTTTGTTATAGCATAAACCTTTTATACTAGGGTAATATAACATTGTAATTCAGTATATATTATTTAGTTAAAAATCATGATCAGTTTGAAAAAGAGTCAATGGTGGTTAAACATAAGGTAGAGGTTATATTCACCCCCATTTTCTGAACTGTCTGCTCCCATACATCCTGTGGTTTCCTCCTGGCCATAATTGGAGAGGAAAGAGCCTGAAAAGCTCTTTCACACTGAGATCTTAGTCTACTACAATCCAGCCTGGGCAACAGAGTGAGACTATGTTTCTAAAAGTAAAAAAATATTTATGAAATAAAATAAAATAAAATAAAATAAAAGTAAATGATTTACCAGATTCATTTTTTCCTTTGCATAGTTTATTTGAACCCATGACCCTAGGCACTTAAGGGTCTATCCCTTCAAGAAGAGGGTACTGGAGGTAAAATCTACAATTTTTTTAAAAGGAGTTTGGAGCAGGTCAATGCTAAGCAAGAAATAATTTCTAAATATGGATATACAGGCATTTGTACATGTTCTGACCAAAATGGGGTTTGGTGGTTTGGTTTTAATGGGTGGGCAGGTGACATACTTTCTTTCTTTCTTTTTTTTTTTTTTTTTTGAGACAGAGTCTTGTTCTGTCACCCAGGCTGGAGTGCAGTGGCGCAATCTCGGCTCACTGCAAGCTCCTCCTCCCAGGTTCACGCCATTATCCTGCCTCAGCCTCCCAAGTAGCTGGGACTACAGGTGCCCACCATCACACCGGCTAATTTTTTTTTTTTTTGTATTTTTAGTGGAGACAGGGTTTCACCGTGTTAGCCAGGATGATCTCCATCTCCTGACCTCGTGATCCGCCTGTCTCGGCCTCCCAAAGTGCTGGGATTACAGGCATGAGCCACTGCGTCTGGCCACAGGTGACATACTTTCTAGTGGGGAAGCTTTCACTTTGTTCTCAAATAGAGCAATGTAATAAAACCAAACATTTGTATTGCATTTATAAAGTACTTTCACCTAGGTCATCTTATCTGAGTCCCATAAGGCCAAGGTCATCCAGCTAATGCATGAACAAAGATGGAGCAGCACTAGGATCCCAGACCGGCTGCCAGGGATCCCAGCCTCTGTACCACTTCATTGAAGTGCCCTCACTGTCCTTAGAAGAATCACTCAGCCAGCAAACTAGTGATGCACATGCCCCAGCTCCTCCCAGTATCCCTCCACCAACTTGCCCTGCTCACTGCCTCTTTTCTTTCTAAGCCCTAAACAAAAGTAAGCAAAGGAAAGGCAGGGACATCAGAAAAAGGAAGGCAAACAGATGAGGTTAGGTGGAGAAGCAGAGAAGGTAAAGTAATCCCCAGGTCCCTTTCTGCTTGGTGACTGGAATCACAAACATGGCACCTGTGTACACTCAACGCTCATCTCATCAGATTCACAGACCTGAATCCTTTTCACTGCTAACACTCAAGGCAGAAGAAGATAGGCATTAAGGATCACGTGTACTGACAGAAACACACAAGGAAGGGCATAATCATTGCCCCTTGATAGCAAACCAACCAAAGTGCAAATGTAGTAGTCTTCTCACAGAGTGTATCAGCCTTCCCAGCAAGAAACTAAAAATTCCATGCAGGGTCTGCCCCATCAGGGATTCTCTGATTGCCTTCAACCACACACCTGGCAAGTTGGAGGTCATCCTGAACAATGTCCCAATCAGCATCTCAAGAAAACCTGCCAATCCTAGCCTGGAGCCTGGGAAGTTTCCCCACTATGGGAATATTGGGAGAAACTGAGCTTGAGAGGTGAAAAGAAATGAGTGATGAGAACTTTGCTCCAAAGTTCTTTAAGGGGTGGCCCCTGGGAATGCCCAGAGACCCACTGTTTTGGTCAGCCTTGGGAATCTAATGTGTTAATCTTTGCCCCACTAGTGGCTGCATTTTCACAAGCAGGCCTCCCTGTCAAGCTAGGGCAGAGACTGATGGTGCCTGAAGCCTGAACAGTAGGGATGTCCCTGCTGCATTTCTTCTTTTCCCCAATAGCTTATCCCTCCCCGTGTTCCACTTTGTGACCAATGGAGGAGGCCATGGATCCCAGATTACTCCTTCCCTCCATCTTGAGAAAACAAAGGGATCAATGGAAACAAATACATTGAAGCGTTAAGAAGAATCTCAGAAGCCTTGCATTTTAACAGAGGCATGAGAGAGCAAATCTTTACCCAGAACTCAGGACAATGACAGCCTATGGCTGCCCTCAAACCTATAGAAATTGAGAGCTAGCAGAACCACTGGAAATCACCTGTCTGCATCCTCATTTTACAGAAGGCGAAACTGAGGTCCACATAGCTGAAGGGATTTGCTCATCATCCTTAAGGAGTTAGTGGCAGAGAACCAAATTCCCTTGCCAGCAGGCCAAGATTCTTTGCAGTTAACCACACCATCTTTAACTCATAGTTCAAAACAAATTCCTTAGAAACAAACTGTTGGAGAACAGTTCATTCATAAGACAGGGTTTGGTAGCAATGTACACTTTTCTGTCTTCTATGTAGAAACGAACTCTTGGAGACCAGTTCATTCATAAGGCAGAGCTTGATAGCACTGTATATTTTTCTGTCTTCTATGTAAACTATCAGGAAGTTCATTCATTAAGTAAAGTAGTAAGTGAATGTGTAGTATCAGATATGGGGAATTGGCCGGGCCTGGTGGCTCATGCCTGTAATCCGAGCACTTTAGGAGGCCAAGTTTGGGTGGATCACTTGAGGCTAGGGGTGTGAGACCAGCCTGGCCAACATGGCAAAACCCTGTCTCTACTAAAAATACAAAAATTAGCTGGGCTTGGTGGCAGACGCCTGTAATCCCAGCTTCTTGGGAGGCTGAGGCACAAGAATTGCTTGAACCCGGGAGGCAGAAGTTGCAGTGAGCTGAGATTGTGTCACTGCACTCCAGCCTGGGCTACAGAGCAAGACTCTGTCTCAAAAAAATAAAAATAAATTTAAAAAAAGATACGGGGAATTCAGAGACCTTGGAGGAGTTCATAATCTAATGGAGGAGAAAATGTAGAAAGGATGATTAAAATGCAGTGTGATTATTGTTGGATAAGGTGATAAATCAGAGTTGTTGAGATTCTGTAAGTGCATGGAGGAGGGGCACCTCATCCTATCTGAAGAAGACGTCATAGAAGGTTTTTCAGAGTAGCTGGTGTCCAAATCAAGTCCTAAAAGTGATGGGACAAGAATAATGAACAATTCAGATAGGGTATAACTGTAAAGAAACTCACTCTCCAGTTAGGAGGATAGATAAATAAAAACCCTCTGTGCTAAGGGCTGGCAGAAAGGTAAACTCAGGGATCTTTGGGAACACAGAAAAGGAATTACTATTGGACATAGGGGCAGGGAATGGGGTGGCCGGGTCACCTTTACAATGGTGATGACGCCTGAGTTTGGTCTTCATTAGCACTGACCAAGGTGGCTTGATAGAAGGCTGAAGACAGACTATGGGCCCGAGTATACAGAAAACTATCCCCTGTGTTATGAGTGAAGGACAACATACTGTGTATTAGGGTTCAGACTAAATTTCTGTTAATAGAGATTCAAACAGGATAGAAATTTCTCTTTGTCTCATGCAACAAATAGAGGGAGAACAGGTAGGCTGCTTTGCTCCAAACGATCTTCCAGAGATCTTTTACTACCTTTTGTAGTGCCATCATCACCTAGAATATTGTCCTAGTCTGCACAGTCAAAACTAGTTCATTACCACTATGTTAGTGTTTTAGCCTCTAGGGGGAAAGGGGAAAAAAAGAAGTGCAGGACAAAACATTTCCTTTTAAGGAAGCAACTCAGAGGTTGCAGGCATCACTTTCACATATGAACACAGTGACATGACCACACATAGCTGCAAGGGAGGTTGGGAAAAGTAGTCTCTATTCTAGCCAGGTTCCTTACTAAGTCTTAGGGATTTATGTTACTAAAAGAAATAAATAGAAGGAATGGACAGTGGGTGGTGGGGGGAAGTAACAGTATCTAACACATGCTAATTTGTTTCCCCATGTACAGGGAAAGGCAGTTTTAGAGAGGAAATAGTTAAATGATAGACTGCAGAGGGTCTTAGCCATGGACAGTTAAAGAGTTGCAGTGTCTCAAGGTTGCTGGTTTGGGTAATGGACAAGCTAAGAGTATGTCCAAGCGTTCTGAATTGGCGACCCCCCCAAAAACTTAGCAGGCCAGGACAAAAAGATACAATCCTTGATAGGAGTGTCCCAGATAGAGTTACTGCTGTCTTTAAGCTGTGTTGCTCAGGCCTCTACTCAATTCTACTTTGCCTGACTTGAAGATGTCAGGCTAGTCTCTCTGCCTGTTCTTTAGGAAGAACATCTTCACCAGATAGAGAAGTCTGACAGGGCTATCTAAATATTTCTGAACCGGTCCAGATCATTGCTGTCATTCTCTGAGGTTGGCATGCCAAGTCCTCAGCATCAGTACAAAGACATTGCTGTACACTCACAACCAGATAGAAGCAGAGGCTTGAACAGGATCAGTCCACTGAGATGAGGTATAAAGCAGGGGCAGGCATAGCTTCAAGCAAGTGATCAGCACTTCTTGGCTTGTAGGTGGCCATCTTCAACCAGTGCTTTCACATGGTCTTCCCTATGTATCTGCCTGTATCCAAGCCCCCAAGCACTGGAAGAGGTCTGAGACCTCCTGGACTACAGGGAACAAGGAGTCAGGGTGGGGACCAGAGCAGGTGCAGAGGATTATGAGCTATGATATTCAGGTAAGGAAGAAGGGAAGGTGACTCAAGGAGCAGTAATCCCAGGGCTTAAGCTTTATCTCAGAATGCAGGAAAGAAAGAGGGTATGCTTCTATCTCAGAAGACAACTTTTCCCAAACCATGTTACTTCCATTGTCCTCTACTCTGTGCTCAAATTAGAAAATTGAGTATCATCCTAGACTTGTTCCTCATCATCTTAACATATCCTATTTATAAGTACCAAATGCTATCTATTCTATCTTCTAATTTTCTCTTGAAACAATTCAGTTACCTCCAGCCCTTCTACCATTACTTTGTCCAATTTTCCAAAGCCCTCCTCTCCTGGATTACTGCAACAGCTTTCTCACTGGCCTGCCTGACTCCACTCTTGCTGCCCTCCAACCCATCTGTCATGTGCTAAATTGTGCCACCTTCCCCAAAATCCATGTGTTGAAGTCCTAACTCATGATAGCTCAGAATGTGACTGTATTTAAAGATAGAGTCTTTAGAGAGGTAACTAAGTTAAAATAATGTCATTAGGATGGGCCCAAATCCAATATGATGGTGTCCTTACAAGAGAAAATTTAGATACAGGCAGATACATAGGGAAGACCGTGTGAAGGCACTGGTTGAAGATGGCCACCTACAAGCCAAGAAGGGAGGCCTCAGAAGAAAAGAGCACCAATACCTTGGTGTCAAACTTCCAGGCTCCATAATTGTGAGAAAATAAATTTCTATTATTTAAACCACTCACTTGATTTTGGGGTACTTTGTTATGGAAGCTCAAGAAAATTAACACATCATCCTTTACACTGCCTACAAAATGACTCATTAATTACAAAGTTGATCATGTCACTCCTCTGGTTAAAACTGAGACAAATGGGACAAATGGGATTCCATCAAACTAAAAAGCTCCTGCACAGCAAAGGAAACAATCAACAGAGTCAAACGACAACCCACACAATGGGAGAAAATATTTGCAAACTATACACCTGATAAGAGGTTAATATCCAAAATAAATAAGGAGCTCAAACAACTCAACAGCAAGAAAACAAATAACCCAATAAAAATGGGCAACAGACCTGAACAAACATTTCTCAAAAGAAGACATACAAATGGCTAATAGGCATATGAAAAAATATGTCAACATTGCTAACCATCAAGGAAATGCTAATCAAAACCACAAATAAAATATTACCTCATACCTTTTAGAATGGCTATTATTGAAAAGATATAGAATAAGTGTTGGAGAGGATGTAGAGAAAAGAGAATTGTTGTGCACTGTTGGTGGAGATGCCAATTGGTACACCCATTATGTAAAACAGTATAGAAGGTCTTCAAAAAATTAAAAGTAGAACTACAATGTGATCCAGCAATCCCACTACTGGATATATATCCAAAGGAAATAAAATCAGTATGTTGAAGAGATACCTACACTCCCATGTTCATTGCAACAGTATTCATAATGGTCAAGATATAGAATGAACCTAAGTGCTGATCGAAGAATGAATGGATAAAGAAAATGTGGTGTACACACACACACACACAATGGAATACTATTCAGTATTTAAAGCAGGGAATTTGCAACAACATAGATGAGCCTGGAAGTCATTGTGTTAAATTAAATTAGCTAGGCAGAGAAAAACAAACTACATGATCTTGCTTACATGGGAAATTGAAAAAAGTCAAACTCATAGAAGCAGAGAGTAGAATGATGGTTGTCGGGGGCTGGGGGTTAGAGATATTGGTCAAACAATACAAAGTGTCAGTTATGCAGACTGAATAAGTTCTGCAGATCTAATTATGTCATAGTGAGTACAGTTAATAATACTGTATTATATACTTGAATATGCTAAGTGAGTATATTGTAAATGTTCTTACTGCAAAAAAAAAAAAAAAACATACATGCTGTGGCTCATGCCTGTAATCCCAGCCATTTGGGAGGCTGAGGCAGGAGGATCACTGAAGCCCAGGAGTTCGAGACCAGCCTAGGCAACATGGTGAAACCCCGTCTCCATAAAAAATAAAAAATGAGGCAGGAGGATTGCTTGAGCCCAGGAGGTCGAGGCTGCAGTGAGCTGTAATAGCACCACTGCACTCCAGCCTGGGTGACAGAGCAAGCAAGACCCTGCCTCAAAAAAAAAAAAAAAAAAAAAAAGACATACAATAAAATAATTAACTCTATGAGGTGATGAATATGTTAATTAGCTTCATTGTGGTAATCATTTCACAAGATATACATATACCAAAAATAACTCAATCAGCCTGGTACAGTGGCTCTTGCCTGTAATCCCAGCACTTTAGGAGTCTGAGATGGGAGGATCACTTGAGGCCAGGAGTTTGAGACCAACCTGGTCAACATAGTGAGACCCTATCCCTTAAAAATAAAAGAAAAAAGAAACTCAATAAAGCTGAAAAAAGAAACTTAAAGCTATAAGAAAGCTCCCCCTAAAGCTCCCTCAATGGGCTTCTGCTTTCAGTCCTACTAAGAATAACTAGAAAATGGTTGTTTAAAATTTTTAAAAGTCTCTGTAAAGGCATAGAAAGCTGCTGAAGCAATCAGCATTGGAGGGGCCAAGATTTCAAAGAAGGTTGAACCACTGAAAGGAGAGCTACATTTTCCCCGTGGGCTTTGGCAAGTTTGGGGTGTATAGTTAGAGATTGAGAATCTGGGCTTTGGCCAGACAGAGGGCCACTGCTGGGGAATACGGGAAAAACAGAACTTTTGATGGTTATTGAGGGCTGGGTTGAGAGGCCAAGACCCCAGTGAAAGGGAAAGGAAAAAAAAAAGAATATGACACATGTCGAGTGTTTTTTGATGAGACTAAGAAGCTAAGCAGGAAGCCTCGAGAAACAGTAGCATTTTGGGCAGTCTCACTATGCTGAGTAATGTAAGGATTTGATTTTAATATCTGCCAGGAATAAGAGCCCCATTGAACACACAAGATTATCAGATGATAGCTCTGAAAGGTAATGCCTTAGGAGCAGGGACCAGGGGCTTTACCAACATTGAACCTGACCTTGATTCAGCTTAGTCACTGATTTGGTAAAGGTGATCTGCCCCTACTTGATCTGCCTAACAGAGAAAACAGTAAATTCTCTCTGAGGGAAGATAGCATCATCTGGAGCCTTTTAAATTATTTATACACAATTGGATGGCATTCATTGAAAACTTTCTAGGAAATATAAGAGATGAGGCCATATGACTGAAAACCTAGAAGGAAAAAAACAGACAATAGGAAAAAACCCATGGGTGATCCGAATATATAAGTTAGCAGACAATGCATTTCTAACAACTATATATTCAGATAATAGAGGAAAGATGGTGAAAAGAAATATAAAAAAGGAAAATTTAATCCAATAATTGGAATCTATAAGTAATCAAATAGAAATTCTAAAGTTAGAAAAAAACCCTAAAATCTCAATAGATGTGTTTAATGGATGATTGTACACAACAGAATAGAGGATTAGTAAACTAGAAGACACGTTAGAGTAAAGTATTTAAACTGAAGCACATAGAGAATTAACTAATAGAAAAGTAAGAGTATAATAGACAGGTGAGATATAAATAAAAGGTTTAACATAGTTTTAATTGGAGTTCCAGAATAAAAAGGGAGGAAGGGAAAATGAGCAGTGACGATATATGAAGACACCGTGAATTTTCCAAATCTGATGAAAGGCATCAACTCACAGATTCAAGAAGGTCTGTCAACCCCAAGAAGGATAAGTGCAAAGAAAATACACCTAGGCCCATCATAATAAGACTTTTGTAAACAAAGAAAAGGAGAAAAATCATAAAGGCATCCAGGAGAAAAGAAACATTGTAGTTGGCTGAATAATGGCCACCCAATAATATCAGATCCTAATCCTGGAACATGTGAGTGTTACCTTATAAGGTAAGAGTTTTTGCAGATATGATTATGTTAAGGATCTGAAAAATGGAGAAATTGTTCTGAATTATCTAGGTGGGTCCCAAATCCAATCACAAGTGTCCTTATAAAAGGGAGGCAGAAGGAGATTTCTCATACACACAACAAAACAACAACAACAACAACACACACACACACACACGAGAAGGTGATGTGATGACAGAGGCAGTGAATGGAGTGATGCAGCTGCAAGCAAAAGAACTCCAAGGCATTCTGGCAGTCAGCGGAAGATAGAAGAGACAAAGAACGGATTCTCCTTTAGAGTTTCCAGAGGGAGAATAAAGTTGCCAACATCATTTATACAGACTTCTGGCATACAAAACTGTGAGAGAATACATTTCTGTTGTTTTAGGCCCCCAAGTTGTAGTAATTTGGTACAGCAACCACAGGAAACTAATACAATAATGACAAGAATGACATTTGATTTAACAGCAATTTTGGAAGATAAAGAATAGAATCCTCACAACCATCCTATGAAATGAATCCTCCACCATTTCCGCATTAAGTTTAGAAAACTGAGGCTCGGAGACTCAAGTGACTTATCCAAGGATCACATGGCGGAGACGGGATTCAAGGTCAGGCCCGTCTTATTCAAAATACTATTTTTTTTTAAACGTACTCACCATCGTATATAGCTTTTCATACTCCTTGGCATGGTATATAATCCTTCTGGGTTTGGTTCCTTCCTGCCTCTTCTGTCTTATCTCTCACCACATCTTCTTTCAGACTCTGTAGCCTATCATTGCTGAACTCCCTGGGATTCCTGGTGTCTTTGCTCTCTGCTTGGAATTTTCTTTCCATACCCTACTTCCACACACCATCACTTGGCTAACTCCAACTTGTTCTTGGAATTCAGCTTAAATGAGAACTTTCACTCAGAACGCCTTTCTCTATGCTTCAAGATTTAGTTAGATGTCTCTCTGTCCTCCCACAATCTCCTATTTTCATCTTTATCACAATGCCAATCTTCCTTATTAGACTGGAAGCTCCTTGAGGCCAGGGGTCATGCCCAGAATGATACTTGGTACAGAGTGGGCACTCAGTAATTGCTGAATGAGTGATACATGGCTTTTCAGAATTGTGGTGGTGGAAAGCACTGAGTTTTAAGCCACATTTGTCTGATAATTAGAATAAGGGTAAATTTGTAGTTGGAGGGATATTTGGAACAGCATGAGGTATGTCTGGGATAGGTGGTGATTTTACCTTATTACTTTCCCCTTGTGTCACAAGCCTCCATGGAGCTTGCTCTAGTTTCTTCAGGTGGTTAGGTAGAACATGCTCCCATCCTGGTCCTGTTACAGGCGCACAGAGAATTTAAATTTAATTTTTTTTAAATCCTAAGTTATGAAGAACTCTTGGGTTGAATTATCACTTGGTGCCCAATACCATGCAGACTCATTACTCTCCCTTCCAGTTGTACATACGTGACTGCAAACTCCAAATATTGTGACCATAGTTTTCCCGCTAAATTTGGACAGTTGGTTGGGGTCAGCTTCCAAAGCTCATATATGTGTCAGAGATACAAAGACATAAGAAGTGATTATAAAATACAGGATCGGGAAAAAGTTAAATAAACCTTTGCTGGTACTCCAAACCTGAGTTTCTTCAGCCAAAACTACAGTAGGAAAGATAATGTGGTTCCTTGAGGAAGTGCCACAGGCAGTAGAATGTTAGAGCAAGTAGAATATCAGGTTGCTCTTTTCAATACCTAGTCTCCACAGATGGCCCTCAATAAGCCACTCTTCCTGCTCTTTGCAACCTAGTGTTGTCTCTCTCCACATTGACTCTAGGGTGGCCTGCGACTGTCAATAACAAATATAATGCAACAGAAATGAAGTTGTGAGAGTTCTAATCCTATTATTTAAGAGGACTGACAGTTTTCACTCCCTGTCTTTTATGACAGGGGTCCCCAACCCCAGGCCATAGACTCAGGGTGAGCCATGGGCAGGCAAGCATTGCCACCTGAGCTTTGCGTTCTGTCAGATCAGTGGGCAGCATTAGATTCTCATACGAGCTTGAACCCTATTGTGAACTGCACATGTGAGGGATCTAGTAGGTTGTGTGCTTTTCCTTTTTTTTTTTTTTTTTTTTTTGAGATGGAGTCTTGCTCTGTCACCCAGGCTGGAGTGCAGTGGCATAATCTCAGCTCATTGAAACCTCTGCCTCCTGGGTTCAAGTGATTCTTCTGCCTCACCCTCCCGAGGAGCTGGGACTACAGGCATGCGCCACCACACCTGGCTAATTTTTGTATTTTTAGTAGAGATGGGGTTTCACCATATTGGCCAGGCTAGTCTCGAACTCCTGACCTCATGATGCATCTGCCTCGGCCTCCCAAAGTGCTGGGATTACAGGCATGAGCCACCAGGCCCAGCTGGTTGTATGCTCTTTATGAGAATCTAACTAATGCCTGATGATCTCAGGTGAAACAGTTTCATCCCAAAACCATCCCCCCAACCCCCCCTCCCCCTACCCCATGCCATGGAAAAATTGTCTTCCACAAAACGGGTCCCTGGTGCCAAAAAGGTTGGGGACTACTGTTCCTTTCTTGGCACCAGGGACCCCGGTTTTGTGGAAGACACTTAGACAATTTTTCAATGGACAGGATGGAGTGAGGGTGGGGATGGTTTCAGGATAAAACTGTTCCACCTCAGATCATCAGGTATTAGATTGTCATAAGCAGCGAGCAACCTAGATCCCTCACATGTGCGGTTCACAATAGTTCACAATAGGACTGGTGCTCCTGTGAGAATCTAATGCTGCTACTGATCTGACAGGAGGCAGAGCTCAGGCTTTAATGCTCACTGGCCTGCTGCTCATGTCCTGCTGTGCTGCCTGGTTTCTAAGAGGCCATGGACTGGTATGGGTCAGCAGCTCGGGGGTTGGGGACCCCTGTTTTAGAACACTTGCTTTGGGAAGCCCTGAAAGAATTCTGGTTCCCCTGCTGGAGAGACCATGTCAAGAGGAGAGCTCCTGAGACTATATGTAAATAAAGAGAGGGCCAGCCATCTCAGATTCCCAGTTGAGCCTCTGGATGACTCCAACTGCCATCTAACTACACTGCCTGAGTGAGATCAGCAGAAGAAATTTCTGGCTGAGCCCAGTCAATCCACAGAATAGTGAAACAAAACAGATTTATGTTTAGCCATTAAATTTTGGAGTAGTTTGCTAGGTGACAATAGATCATAGAAACACTCTTTTTCATGACTGCCTCATACCCTACACTATGAGATAGGGTAACAGAAATCTGATTTCCAAACTTTCCTGAACCCACAGGCCAGCTTTACTTGTCAGAAACCTGTTCATCTCTCCATGGAAAAGACATAGCTCCTGAATCATCCACACTTCTGTGTGAAGCAAGCCTCAGTACATCTTCCTAAAAGATAGTATTCCAAGTCTCTTGAGTTGTGCATGAAAAGCTTCAGTCCCAGACCTTGACATTTCTGGTATCAAAAAGCAGGTGTGAAAACTCTTTGGATGACTCATAATCAATCATCCAAATGGGTGGCCTCCTCCCTCTACGTGCCTGCCTGTCCAGAAGCAGATAACTGCTCAATGGTATTGCCTTTCTAGGGAACCATATCCACCCACCACCATCATAAACCCTTAGAAGTCTTGGTTTCACTCAAAAATTCTCACATATGAATACATGATGTCATCCTGAGGTTTGCATCAGACTGAGTTCAGATTGCATATTTTTCCACAAGCATCATTCTGCTGCAAAGTTAGAAGATGTATTGCTGCTGGCTTTATTTACTTATTTTTGTTTCCTTGACAAGAGTTCTGCTTCAACAGGTCCTGTGAAAACATTAATTTATGGCTATAATAATTTCGAATAATATTCTGGAGATAGCTGGTAGGCATATTATCCAAGAAGACCACTTTTATATAGTGACCTTCCTTGCATTGTTTTATTTAGAATGCACATCTTTATTTTTATAAATACAGCCAACTCAATTATCTAGGTTACCGAAAGGGCAAAGTGGTGCAAATAATCTAAAACGCTGGGGCGAAGGTCATTTGTATTTGTTTTGCGAATGTATTATAGTTTATTTTTCCAGCAGCAGCAGGTGTTCCTAATTATGGTTTTCTTTAGGCTAATACTGGAATTAGCTGACACACTCTGAGTGTGTGTGTATATATATATATAGAATATGATATATAAAAAACATGTTGGGTAACTGAGCAGGGAGAACCGACCCAAGACTCAAGCTGTTTGATGTACAATTTGCCTGCAAAGTCTTAATTTTTTTTTTTTTGGTAACTTACCTGTCAGATTTCACACATTAAATGAGAACTGTTCCTCACCTTGATGGGCTGCATACCAACTCTAAAGACGCCATAATTTTTCTGACATTCTCAAAATTTCTATTTGTGATTTACCTCCTTTTCCTCAGTCATGGGAGAATCTGGGCTTCTGTATCAGCCTGTTCATTGCAACGTCTGTCCCTGAAGGACTTTGGGGGCTGGGAGGAATGCACTGGGATCAGAATGAGACTGCAGGGCTTCAGCCACCATCTGTATCTTTGACTCCCAAATTCATATCCCTAGCCCAGACCTCCCTCCTGAACTCAAGTGGTGTATACATCTTCCTATTTATCTCCCCCAGAATGTTCCACAGGACCTTCAGCTGAACTCCTCTTCCTTACTCCTTTCAGAATCTCCACCTCCTCCTATGTTCATTACATCAGTGGCTGGTACCATTATCCATCCAGTCCTCAAACTATGAATTCAGGAATCATTCTTGCCTTCTCCGTCTCCATTCTTCCTCACATTCTTCAGTTCTTGCTGATTTTACTCCCTTATTTTCGCTTGTGTCTGCTTACCTGTTTCCATCCTCACTTCCACTCAGACCAAACACCTATCACCTCGTCTGTTCCACTAAAACATTTTTTTTTTTTTTGTAGCCCAGGCTGGAGTGCAGTGGCACGATCTCAGCTCACTGCAATCTCTGCCTCCTAGGTTCAAGCAATTCTCGTGCCTCAGTCTCCAGAGTAGCTAGGGCTACAGGTGTACATCACCATGCCCAGATAATTTTTGTATTTTTAGTAAAGAGGGGGGTTTCACCATGTTAGCCAGGCTGGTCTCGAACTCCTGGCCTCAAGCTATCTGCCCACCTCGGACTCCCAAATTGCTGGGATTACGGGCGTGAGCCACTGCGCCCGGCCTCACTCAGACACTTCATAACTTGCTTTCTTGCATCAAATCTTGCTCCCTGCCCCCATCTATCCTCCACAGAGCAAAGACACAGAAGGGTTGTTCTGATACCTATATCTCAAGTCACTCCTGTGCTTAAAATCCCGAATGTCTTCTCATTGCCCTTAAGGTAAAGTGCAAAACTGTTACCTAGCCTACAAAAGTCCTGCTCAAATATGACCCCTGCCAACAGTTATGTCTCTTTTCCCTTGGGTCTCCCCACTTTCCTCCCTTGCTTCTCCCCACCTCAACCATGCTCTAGTTTTTTCTGTCTTAGCACATGCCAGGCTCTCTAGTCTCTGGGCCTTTGTGGGGAGCTTTCCCTCTACAGTTTCCTTTCACTTTCCTCTTCATCTGGCTAAATCCTCCTCATTCTTCAGATCTGGATAAAAGTGTCACCAGCTCAGAACAATTTTCTCTGACCACCCCCCAGACTTTTAGGTCTCTGTTTCATGCTCTCCTAGTACCCCGGACTTCTTTGTAGCACTCCTCAGACTGTAAGTACCACAAGGGGTCAGGACAGGCATGTATTAATTCCCTGCTCAAGTTGTTAGCACTGTGGTGGAAACGGAATAGGAGATCAATAAATATTTTCTAGGCCAGGCACAGTGGCTCATGCCTGTAATCCCAGCACTTTGGGAGGCTGAGGTGAGTGGATCACCTGAGGTCAGGAGTTCAAGACTAGCCTGGCCAACACAGTGAAACCCCATCTCTACTAAAAATACAAAATTTAGCTGGGCGTGGTGGTGGGCCCCTGTAATCCCAGCTACTGGGGAGGCCGAGGCTGGAGAATCACTTGAACCCAGAAGGGAGAGGTTGCAGTGAGCCAAGATCACACCACTGCACTCCAGCCTGGGCCACAGAGTGAGACTCTTTCTCAAAAATAAATAAATAAATATTTTCTAAATGGCCGACTAAACAATGACCTCCTAATTGGTCTGCCTTCCTTCAGGGTCTTCCCTCCTGACCTATTTTATCCACTCTCAGCAGAGCGATCTCTAGGCCTAGAATCTAAGGTACAGCCCCAATCAAATCACTTTGGAGCTTAAAGAAAAGTCAGTTCTTGCCCTCACCTACCAAATGAAGTCTGAAGGCTTTTGTATGACATGACATTAAGGTGTTCTGTAATCTGGTCCTAAACTACCTGACCAACCTTATTTGTCCATCTTGTTTTCTGCTTAGAAGAAACTCCAGATTCTAGTCAAATAGAATTGCATGCTATTTCCTGCCAGTGCTTCACGTTTTCTAGCCTTTGTGCCTTTACTTCTGGTGATCCATCCTCCTGGCAAGCCCTCACTGCATTTCTGCCTAAGTCCCATCTCTCCTTCATGATCCTCCTTAAAAGTAATGTCCTCTCTGAAGCTTTTGCAATTCCCCCTGGCAGCTGAAAATGACCCCTGCTCCCTCTGAACATCCCAGCCCTTTCTACCTCCCTGTGGCATCGATCCTATTATGTGCACGCAAGGCTCATTCTCTACTAGACTGCAAACCACAAGGGAGAAGAGCTTGGTCATTTCTGTATGACTGACAGGACTTGGGCAACACTAGAGGTTAGGGACCTGTTTGGAGGCCTACCATAAGTTTTATAACTTTGTACACAAAGTGTTTTCTAAGGACCAGCTGCTTAGATATCACCTGGGGGCTTGGTAGTAATTTACAATCTTGAGCCTACCAGATTTAGCAAATCAGAATCTGCATTTTAACAAGATCCCCAGGTGATCCACATGCACATTAAAATTTAAGAAGCAGTGCACTGTTTTATTACACAAGGTAAGAGCATCCGTAAAAGAGGATAAACACCACATCTTGTAATTCTGTGCTCTCAGACATGGTATCAACTTTCATATCAGCCGCACAGTGTGTGTTTCTCTGCTTTTGAATCACCAGCCCAATTTCCTTCCTGCTCTTAGTTTGGAACCTTCCCCTTCTTCAAAAACATGGAAGGATCCCTGTCTTGGTCAAGGGAACCCTTTCTCCTATGAGAAAGCTGTGGATGCACAAAGCTGGCCCCAATCAGAAAGGGAGGTTATGATTCCTTACAGCTTGCCATAATTTATGTAGTCTCTGGCCAAGGTGTGAGTCAAGCCTCGTGTCCTCTGTTAAACATCAGTGCAAGAATGCCACGGAATGATGTCAAGTGAGCTTTTGAGCTAACCACTCCTAGAAACATCTGGCGCTGGCAGAGGATCATGACTATGAATACAGAGGAAGGGAACACTTGAGCAATTTGAATTAATCACAGTTTTAAGTGTCTTGTACAAAATGTTTTTATGTTTTGATCTAAATAGGCAAACAACTAAGCAATGCTTTCCTAGGTTTTAGAAGAGAGGTAAAGATCCCATTGAAATGACTTTTTTCCCTCTGCACTTTCTCTTTCCTCACATCATTCGAACAAGAATAACCTTCTCTTCTTCCCTAGGGCTCCCTTAATTATTAACACAGCTGTGCATGGTGTTCAGCGCCCACCTTGTCTGTAGATGCTGATAGGTCCTGTAAAACATATTATCTCGCTTCTTTACAGTACACTGCAGAGAAACTTGATAATTGGAAAAACCCTCAAGTTCAGGCAAAGCAGCTAAAACTAGAAGTGGCAGAACCTGCTGCTTTTGCCTCAGGCATATATTTGCTGCTAAATCACTGCTCCTAAAAACTCCTCTCATTTGAGCTCCTTGGCTTCTAATCAGAACCACACCCAGAGTGAGACAGGAGTGGTTTCAGACTAGCTTCTGTCTGACACTGGGAAAGAAAAATAAAACTGTCTTTCTGCCACTGAAGTAACAGAAAAATAAGGGCTTGCTGGCAACCTCCGTGTCACAGGCCTCTGACTGCATTTAATCAGAAATGTCTATTGTTGAATTGAGCTTTGCTGGCCAAAGAAATAACTGTTTTGAATTAGAAACTGAAAGATGATGAACAGGCCACTGATGGAAGCTATTCTTCCCCTGAGAAAGTTGTCCCTAGACGAGATTGTGAAATAGACGCATTTCACATTTTCTCTTAAACTGTCTCTCCATTTGCTGGGTGTATCAGTTAGGGTTCTCTAGAGAAACAGAATCAATAGGATATATATAAAGTGGGGGAGGGAAGGGAGAAAGAGAAGGAGAGAGATTGATTTAGAGTTGGCTCATATGATTTTGGGAATTGGCAAATTCAAAATTTGTAGGGCAGACCAGGAGCTGCAAACTCAGGCAAGAGTTGAAATCACGATTTTGAGTTAGAAATTCTAGGGCAGGCCAGCAGGCTAGAAACTCAGGCAAGATTTCTATGTTACAGACTTGAGGCAGAATTTCTTCTACAGTATACCAAGACAATTCTGGCATTTCAACTTCATTTCGTATGGGCCACATTTTATTCAAAGTTTCATGCAACCGGTCAAACTACTAGACTGGGCTAGGGTCAACTGGTCTTACTGACTGAAGGCTATGCAGGTTCAAAATTGTTGGTCTGGACCATAAGGAAACATGGTAGGGCTCCCTGTGAAATTAGAAAGCCAGGAAGGTTTAAAAGACAGGGGTATTTGTCTGACCACTCTAACTTGCACAGAAGGAGTCTCTGTGGCCATGTCAAGAGAGCCAAACTCTCAGATATCACATCCTTCAGGAGACGTCCATGATAGGCAGTGACTCAAGAACTACTCTAAGGCCTTACTTTGCCTTTTAAGCCAAGACAGTTTGGCCCTCCCTGTTCTGTACTGCCCTATCCTGACTGACTGGCCATCCCCTCTGAATTAGAAGAGTACTTACTGGTCTTTTCTTCAATGCCTGCCGCTTGTCTGAAGCACAGTGACCCCACATCCTCTCTCCCAGCCACATGCCTTTGTTGGCCTTCTGGTCATCCAGCATTCTGCATTGCAGTGTCCTGGACAGGCTTACCCTCTCCCTGCTCCCAAATAAGCTTGTTCTACCCTTCCATGTGTTCAAACCTTGTTGCCAGCTCATGGAGCACTGGATATCTCTTTGACAAAGTGGAGAGGCAACATGGTATGAATAACTGATAATCTACTTATATTTATTTATTCAATCAACAAATAGGTACTTTAGTGTATCAGGCCTTGTGCTAGAGGCTGGGAAGAAATAAGTAAATCTGACATAGTTCTTGCCCACAATGTACTCATCATCTAGTTAAGGAGACAGACAAGCAGTTGAACACAAACAATTGCCATACAGTGTAAGAAGAATAATGGTAGAGGTATGTTTTGAGAACAGTTGTAGCAGAGAGAAAAAGTGAGTAACGCTTCATGGCCTGGGAGAGTGGAGAGGATTTCAGCTGCTTCCTGAGAAGTAAGTAGTAGTTCACCAAGTAAACAAGGCAAATGAAACATGCCAGAGTGAGGTAACAGCAGGAGCAGAGGCACAGTTGTGTACTCATACACAGCTTATTGGAATAATGGAGACAAGTCAATCTAGTATGGCTACATATGACATGGTGCATGCCAGGGATTGGACATTTATGTAGGAGTAAAGCTCTGGTGTTCCGGGCAACTAACCTTGTACTTAATGCTAAGGGCAACAGAAAGCTATGGAAGTTTTTTCTTTTCTTCTTCTTTTGTACTAACAGCTTTACTGAAGTATAATCCACATTCCATACAATTCACATAAAGTATACAATTCATGGTTTTAAGTATACTCACAAAGTTCTGCCATTATCACCACTGTCTAATTCCAGAACATTGTCATCACTCCAAAAATAAGCCTTATACAGTCACTCCTCAACTTACGATAGGGTTACATCCTCAACCCACTATAAGTTGAAAATTTCATAAGTTGAAAATGCGTTTAATATACCTAACCTACTGAACATCATAGCTTAGCCTAGCCAACCTTAAACATGTTCAGAATACTCACATTAGCCTACAGCTGGGCAAAATTATCTAATACCATGCCTATTTTATAATAAAGTATTGAATATTGCATGTAATTTATTGAACACGATACTGAAAGTAAAAAACAGAGTGGTCGTATTGGTGCTCAAAGAATGGTGTCTATTGAATGTGAATCTCTATTGCACTGTTGTGAAGTTGAAAAATAATAAGTCAAACCATCATAAGTTGGAAACTATCTGTACTAATTACCATCCACCCCCCATACCCATTACCTTCCAGCCACTGGCAACTACTAATCTATTTATACATTTATATATTTGCCAATTATGGACATTTCATATGAATGGCATCAAACAATGTGTGATCTTTTGTGACTGGCTTCTTTCATTTAGCATGTTTTCAAGGTTCATCCATGTTGTAGTATGTATCAGTACTCTATCCCTTTTCATGCCCAAATGATATTCCATTGTATGGATGTACAACATTTCATTTATCCATTTTATCAGCTGATGGAAATTTGGTTGTTTATACTTTTTGGCTCTTATGAATAATGCTGTTATAAACATTTTTACAATTTTTTAATCCATCCCCTCAAGCATTTATCCTTTGAGTTACAAACAATCCAATTACATTCTTTAAGTTACTTTAAAAGATACAATTAAGTTATTATTGACTATAATCATCCTATCGTGCTATCAATATTAAGTCTTATCCATTCTTTCTATTTATTTTGTATGCATTAACTATCCCCACCTTGCCCCCAGTCTCCCACTACCCTTCCCAGCCTCTGGTAACCATCCTGCTCTTTATGTACATGAGTTCCATTGTTTTGATTTTTAGATCCCACAAATAAATGAGAACATGCAATGTTTGTCTTCCTGTGCCTGGATAATTTCACTTCACTTAATGATCTTCAGTTTCATCCATGTTGTTGCAAACTATTGGATCTCATTCTTTTTTTATGGCTAAATAGTACTTTATTGTGCATATGTACCACATTTTCTTTATCCATTCATCTGTTGAAGGACACTTAGGTTGCTTCCAAATCTTAGCTATCGTAAAGAGTGCAGCAACAGAGGAGTGCAGATATCTCTTTGATATACTGATTTCCTTTCTTTTGGGTATATACCCAAAAGCAGTGAGATTGCCAGATCGTATGGTCGCTCAATTTTTAGTTTTATGAAGAACCTCTAAACTGTTCTCCATACTGGTTTTACTAATTTGCATTCCCACCAACAGTGTACAAGGGTTCCCTTTTCTCCACATCCTTGTCAGCATTTGTTATTGCCTGTCTTTTGGATAAAAGCCATTTTAACTCTGGTGAAATGATATCTCAGTATAGTTTTGATTTGCATTTCTCTGATGATCAGTGATGTTGAGCAATAGAGTACCTTTTCATATGCCTGTTTCCCATTTGTATATCTTCTTTGGAGAAATTTCTATTAAAATATTTTGCCTATTTTTTGACCAGATTATTAGATTTTTTTTCCTGGAGAGTTGAGTCCCTTATATATTCCGGTTATTAATCCCTTGTCAGATGGGTAGTTTGCAAATATTTTCTCCCATTCTGTAGGTTGTCTGTTCACTTTGTTGACTGTATCCTTTGCTGTGCAGAAGGTTTTTAACTTGATGTGATCACATTTGTCCATGTTTACTTGTCTGTGCGTGTGGGCTTACTCAAGAAGTCTTTGCCCAGACCAATGTCCTGGAGATTTTTCCCCAATGTTTTCTTGTAGTAATTTCATAGTTTGAGGTCTTAGAGATAAGTCTTTAATCCATTTTTATTTGATTTTTGTATATGGTGAAAGATAGGGGTCTAGTTTCATTCTTTTACATATGGATATCCAGTTTTCCCAGCACCATTTATTGAAGAGATTGTCTTCTCCCCAGTGTATGTTCTTGACACCTTTGTCAAAAATGAATTCACTGTATGTGTGTGGATTTGTTTCTGCGTTCTCTATTCTGTTACATTGGTCTATGTGCCAGTACCATGTTGTTTTGGTTACTATAGCTCCATAGCATAATTTGAAGTCAGGTAATGTGAGTCCTCCAATTTTGTCCTTTTTGCTTAGGCTACCTTTGGCTATTCTGGATCTTTTGTGGTTCTATATACATTTTACAATTGTTTTTTCTATGTCTATGGAGAGTATTATTGGTATTTTGATACAGTTTGCATTGAATCTGTAGATTGGTAGTATGGACATTTTAACAATATTGATTTTTCCAATCCATGAACATGGAATATTTTTCCATTTTTGGTGTCCTCTTCAAGGTCCTTCACCAGTGTTTTATAGTTTACATTATAGAGATCTTTTACTTCTTTGGTTAAGTCCTGGGTATTTAATTTTATGTGTGACTATTGTAAACGAGATTACTTTTTTAAAAATGTCATTGTCACATTGTTCACTGTTGTCATATAGAAAGGCTACTGATTTTTGTGTGTTGATTTTCTATCCTGCAACTTTATTGATTTTAACAGCTCTAACAGTTCTCTTTAAAGTCTTTAGGTTTTTGCAAATGTAAAATCATATTACCAGCAAACAAGGATAATTTGACTTCTTCCTTTCCAATTTGGGTGCTCTTTATATCTTTCTCTTGTCTGATTGCTCTAGCTAGGAATCCCAGTACTATGCTTAATAACAGTGGTGAAAGTGGGCATCCTTATATTCCAGATCTGAGTAGAAAAGCTTTCAGTTTTTCCCCGTTCAGTGTAATACTAGCTGTGGGTCTGTCATATATGGCTTTTATTATGTTGAGGTATGTTCCTTCTATCCCCAGTTTTTTTAGGGTTTTTATCATGAAGGGATGTTGAATTATATCATATGTTTTTTCAGCATCAATTGAAATTATCATATGGTTTTTATCCTTCATTCTGTTGATATGATGTATCACATTGATTGATTTGTGTATGTTGAAACATCCTTGCATCCCAGGGATAAATCCTACTTGATCATGATGAATGATCTTTATAATGTATTGCTGAGTTCAGTTTGCTACTGTTTTGTTGAGGATTTTTGCATCGATATTCATCAGAGATGTTGGCCTTTAGTTTTCTATTTTTGATGTGTCTTTGGTTTTAGTATCAGGGTAATACTGGCGTTGTCGAATGAGTGTGGAAATATTCCCTTCTCCTCTATTCTTTGGAATAGTTTCAGTAGAATTGGTGTTCGTTCTTCTTTAAATATTTGGCAGAATTCAGCAATGAAGCCATTGGGTCTCAGGCTTTTCTTTACTGGGAGACTTTTTACTAGCACTTTGATATCATTACTTGTTATTGGTCTATTCACTTTTTGGAGATCCTCCTGGTTCAATCTTGGTAGGTTGTATGTATCTAGGAATTTGTCAATTTCTTCTAGATTTTCCAATGTACTGGCATATAGTTGCTCATAGTTAGCCACTAACAATCTTTTGAATTTCTGCAGTATCAGTTGTAATGTCTCCCTTTTCATTTCTGATTTTGTTTATTTGGATTTTCTCTCTTATTTTTCTTAGTCTGGCTGAAGGTTTGTCTATTTTGTTTAACTTTTCAAAAAACCAACTTTTTGTTTCATTGACCTTTTGTATTTTTTTATTTCAATTTTATTTATTTTTGCTCTGATTTTTATTATTTATTTTCTTCTACTAGTTTTGGGTTTGGTTTGCTCTTGCTTTTCTAGTTCTTTAAGATGCATCGTTAAATTGTTTATTTGAAGTTTTTTCTCTTTTTTAATGTAGGCATTTACAGCTATACATTTCCGAGTATTGCTTTTGCTGTATCCCATAGGTTTCGGTATGCTGTGTTTTCATTATCATTTGTTTCAAGAAATATTTCAATTTCCTTCTTAATTTCTTCATTGACCCACTGGTCATTCAGAAGCATATTGTTTAATTTGCATGTATTTGTATAGTTTCCAAAATCCTCATTTTTAATTTCTAGTTTTATTCCATTGTGGTCAGAAAGGATGCTTGATATTATTTCATTTTTTTAATGTTTCAAGACTTGTTTTGTGTGATCTAACGTATGGTCTATCCTTGAAAATGATTCCTATGCTGAGGAAAAAAAATGCATATTCTACAGCTCTTAGGTGAGGTCATGTTTTCCTGGATGGTGTTGATGCTAGTAGATGTTCATCAGTGTCTGGGCTTTGAGGGTTAGGTATTTATTGTAATCTTCGCTGTCTGGACTTATTTGTAGCATCCTTCTTGGGAAGGCTTTCCATATAGTTGAAAGACGTGGGTGTTGTGATCTAAGCTGTATCTGCTTTAGGGGACACCCCAAGCCCAGTAATGCTGTGGTTCTTGCAGACTCATGGAAGTACTGCCTTGATGGTCTTGGACGAGATCTGGGAGAATTCTCTGGATTACCAGGCAGAGACTCTTGTTCTTTTCCCTTACTTTCTCCAAAACATACAGACTCTCTCTGTCTCTCTGTTCTAGCCATCTAAAGCTGGGGCTGGAGTCACACAAGCACCCCTGTGGTTACCAACACTGTGACTGCACTGGGTCAGACCTGAAGCCAACGCAGCACTGGATCTCACCCAAGGCCTGCTGTAACCACTCCCTGGCTACTGCCTATGTTTGCTCAAGGCCCTGGGGCTCTACAATCAGCAGGTGGCAAAGTCAGCCAAGCCTGTGTCCTTCCCTTCAGGGCAACACAGTCCCCCGAGCCCCAGGTGAGTCCAGAAGTGCCATCCAGGAGTTATGGACTAGAGTCAAAAACCTTAGATGTCTACCTGGTGTTCTATTGTATTGCAGCTGAGTTGACCCTCAAACCAAAAGACCCAGTCCTTCCCACTCTTTCCTTTCCTTTCCAAAGGCAGAGGAGCCCCACCCTGTAGCCAGCATCACCCCAGGCCATGAGGAGTACTGCCAGAGTAGTGCTGATGTTCCTTTAAGGCCCCAGGTCTCTAAAGTCAACTTGTAGTAAATGCTGCCTGGCCTGGGACTCACCCTTCAGGGCAATGGGTTCCCCTCTGGCCAAGGGCAAGTCCAGAAATGCTGTTCAAAAGTCAAGTCCTGGAATTGGGGACCCCAGGAGCCCAGTTGGTGATCCACCCCCTTGTGGCCATGCTGGTACCTAAGGTGTAAGACAAAGTCCCCATTACTTTTCCCTCTGCTTTTCTCAAGCAGAAGGAGTTTTGTGCCATAACCACCACAGCTCATTAGGTGCACAGTCTCACCTGAAGACAGCAAGTCTCAGAGGCTCAGCCAAGGCCCTTGATGTAGTACCTGGGTGTTGCTCCTGGTTGTTCAGGGCCCAAGGGCTCTTCAGTTAGCCAGTGATGAATGCTGCTGGGACTGGGTCCTTTCCTTCAAGGCAGCGGGTTCCCTCCTGGCCCAGGGTGTGTCTACAAATGTTGCCTGGGGACTAGGGCCTGGAACGGGGTGAGGGGGGGTGCCCTTCTTGACACTGGCCAGTGCCCAATCCTGCTGTGGCTGAGCTGGTATCTTAGATGTAAGACAAAGTCCTCCCCACTCTTTCCTCCCTTCTCAAGCAGAAGGAAGGGGTCTCTTTTGGATCAATGACCTGTGCAGCTTGGGGTTAGGGGAGGGGTGATGCCATCAGTCCCTTGGCTGCTCCAGCTGGTGTCTCAGTAGGTCATGTGCCCCCCAGTCCACTGTCTCTGGGCCTAATTCAGCACGAGGACTTGCCTAGGAGTTGCAGTCCCTTATGGCCTAGACTGTCTTTCAAGTGTACTTGGAGACACAGTGCTGTAGCCCTGGGTGGTGAAGTTTGTAGGCACTCAAGTTCAGACCCACCTGGGATCAATGATTCCTCTCTGGCTAGGGCTGGTTTAAGTACTCCTTCCATGGGTGGGCACCAGCTGAGTTTGGTTTGGTTTTCCTTTCTGTTCTAACAGGACAGCACTGAATTCAATGATTCACAATTGCTATGCTCTCTCTTCCCCAGTGCCCAGAGTTGTTCTCCGCACCACGCTGCTGCTGCTGGGGTGGGGGAGGGGTGGCATCGGCTATTCAGGATTGTTTTTTCTATCTCTTCAGTGCCTCTTTCAGCGATATGAGGTTAAAACCAGGTACTATGAGTGCTCGCCAGATTTCGCCAGATTTTTGGTCCTTAGGAAGGTGTTTTTTTTTTCTGTGTAGATAGTTGTTAACTTGGTGTCTTTGCAAGGGAGACAATTGGTGGAGTTTTCTATTCTGCCACCTTGCTCTGCCCTTTGCCCATTTTTACAAACTTTTGAGTTGACATGTTTTCATTTCTTTTGCATACATACCTAGGGGTGGTTTTTCTGGGTGATATGCTAAGTCTATGTCTTTGAATAAGTACCAAACTATTTTGCAAAGTGGCTATACCCTTTTACATTCCCACCAGCAGTGTAGGAGAGTTCCAATTTCTCCATATCCTTGCCAATACTTATTATCTTTCTTCTTGATTAAAGCCATCCTATTCTAGTGGGTGTGATGTGGCATGTTGTCCCTTTGATTTGCATTTTCCTGATGAATTTGATGTTGAGCATCTTTTCATGTACTTATTAGCCATTTATATATCTTTTTGGAGAAATGTCTATCCAGATACTTTGTCCAACATTTCATTGGATTATTTGTCTTTTACTTATTGAGTTATGAGTTCTTTATATATTCTTGATGCAAGCTCTTATGAGATATATGATTTGCAAATTTTTCTCCCACTCTGTGATTTGTCTTTTCAGTTTCTTGATGGCATCCTTTGAAGCACAAAAGTTTTTATTTGGATGAAGTATAATTTATCAATTTTTAATTTTATGGATAGTGCTTTGGGCATTGCATCCAAGAGCTCTGCCCAATCTGAAGTCACAGGATTTTTTTTCCTATATTATCTTCTAAAAGTTTTATAGCTTTAGCCCATACATTTAGGTCTATAATCCATTTTGAGTTAATTTTTTAATACGGTGTGCATTAATAATCTAAACTCCTCTTTTTGCATGTGGATATCCAATTCTCCTAGACCATTTGTTGAAAAGACTATTCTTTCTGCACTGGCTTGTGTTACCATGTTTGTCAAAAATCAATTGACCATAAATGGACTCTCAATTCTATCCCATTGATCTCTTTGTCTTTGTGACAGTACTAAACTGTCCTGATTTCTAAGTTTTAAAACAAGAAGTTTTGCCTTTTCAAAGTTGTTTTGGCTATTCTATATCCTTTGTATTTCTACGTAAATTTTGGGATCAGCTTGTCAATTTCTACACAAAAGCTTACTGTGGCTTTGACAGGACTTGAATTGACATTATACATCAATTTTGGATAATTGCCGTCCTGACAATATTGAGACTTCCAATCCATGATCATGGATTCTGTCTCCTTTATTTAGATCTTTATTTTCTCTCAGTAATGATTATAATTTTCAGTGCACATATCTTTTGTTAGATTTACCTGTAAGTATTTCACATTTTTGATGGTATTGTAAATGGCATTTCAAAACTTTAATTTCTGAGTGTTTGTTGCTAGTATATAGACACAATTGAATTTTGTATACTGGTCTTGCATCCTTTGACTTTTCTTTTTTTTTTATTATACTTTAAGTTTTAGGGTACATGTGCACAATGTGCAGGTTTACTGCAGCGCTATTCACAATAGCAAAGACTTGGGACCAAGCCAAATGTCCAACAATGATAGACTGGATTAAGAAAATGTGGCACATATACACCATGGAATACTATGCAGCATCCTTTGACTTTTCTAAACTACTTATTAGTTCTTTTTTTATGGATTCCTTGGAATTTTCTACATACAGGGTCATGTAATCTGCAAATAAATACATTTTTACTTTTTTCTTTTCAATCTGGATGCATTTTATTTATTTACGTACTTACTACACTGGCAAGAACTTCCAATTAAATGTTCCTGAAGGACATTAGAAGTGCTATTCCAGTGAATACATGAAAAATAAGAAACAGTCTTATTGCTGATATGGAGAAAGTTTTAGTGATCTGGATAGATCAATATAGCCACAACATTATCTTCAGCCAAAACCCAATCCAGGGTAAGGCCCTAACTAAATTCAATTCCATGAAGGCTGTGAGAGGTAAGGAAGCTGAACAAGAAAAGTTGGAAGCTAGCAGAGGCTGATTCATGAGGTTTAAGGAGAGAAGTCATTTCCATAACATAAAAGTGCAAGGTGAAGCAGCAAGTTCTGATGGAAGTTGCAGCAAGTTATCCAGAAGATCTACCTAAGATAATTGATGAGGGTGGCTATACTAAACAACAGAATATCAGTGTAGATGAAACAGCTTTCTATTGGAAGAAGATGCCATATAGGAGTTTCATAACTAGAGTGGAGAAGTCAATGCATGGCTTCAAAGCTTCAAAGGACAGGCTGACTCTCTTATTAGGGGCTAATGCAGCTGATGACTTAAATTTGAAGCCAGTACTCATTTAACATTCCAAAAATCCCATGGCCCTCAAAAATCACCTAAATCTACCTGTGCTCTATAAATGAAACAACAAAGCTTGGATGAAAGCATGTCTGTTTACAGCATGGATTACTGACTATTTTAAGCCCACTGTTTGAGACTTGTTGCTCAGAAAAAAGATTACTTCAAAATATTGCTACTCATTCACAATGTACCTTTTCACCTAAGAGCTCTGGTGGAGATATACAAGGAGGTTAATGTTTTCATGACTGCTATTATAACATCCACTCGGCAGCACATGGATCAAAGAGTAATAGCAACTTTCAAGTCTTATTATTTAAAAAATACATTTCATAAACCTATTGCCGCCATAGATACTTATTCATCTGACGGATCTGGGCAAAGTAAATCAAAAACCTCTGGAAAGGATTCACCATTCTAGATGCCATTAAGAATATGATTCATGTGAGGAGGTCAAAATTATTAACATTAACAAGATTTTGGAAGAAGTTGAGTCCAACCTTCAGGGATGATTTTAAGGAGCTCAAGATTTCAGTAGAGGAAGTAACTATAGATGTGGTAGAAATAGCAAGAGAACTAGAATTAGAAGTGGAGCCTGAACATGTGACTGCATCGCTGCAATCTCATGATAAAAATGCAGCAAATAGGAGTTGCTTCTTATGAATGAGCAAAGAAAGTTGTTTCTTGAGATGGTACCTATTCCTGGTGAAGATGCTGTAAACATTGTTGAAATGACAACAAAGATTTTAGAATATTCCATAAACTTAGTTGATAAAGCAGTAGCAGGGTTTGAAAAGATGGACTCCAATTTTGAAAGAAGTTCCACTGTGAGTAAAATGCTATCAAATAGCTTTGCATGCTACAGAGAAATCTTTCATGAAAGGAAGCGTCCATCAATGCTGCAAACTTCCATTGTTGTCTTCTCTGAAGAAATTGCCACAGCCACCCAGCCTTCAACAACCACCTCCCTAATCAGTCAGCAGCCATCAACATTGAGGCCAGATCTTCCTCCAGCAAAAAGATGACTACTTGCTGAAGGCTCAGATGATCCCTACCATTTTGGGCAATAAAGTATTTTTAAATCAAGGTATGTACATTGTTTTGTAGACATAATGCTATTGAATACTTAATAGACTACAGTATGGTGTTAACATAACTTTTATTTTTAAGGATAACCTAGGATCCAATTGCCATTTATTTCAAGAGTGCCACACGGACAGGAGACAACTCAATAAATTATTAAATACTTGCACTATTTCAGTATTTGTATGTAATTGTAAAGATAAATACATTGTGTATGATTCCTCTGCTTCTATTTTGTTTGATTTTCCTGATAATCCATCTTGAGCCCAGAGAACTGTACTTGCATGTACTTCCTGTACTTAGCAAAAGGAAAGCATTCAAAGGAAGGACAGTTAAGGAAGGAAATTAGTAGATGGTACTTGGCAAGTATAGTAAGGACCAATTTGGAAGGTCCAGCTGAATTTTGAAGATTTTGTTTTTAATTTTTTTATTTCAATAGCTTTAGGAATACACATGAGTTTTGGTTACATGGATGAATTATATAGTGGTGAAGTCTAGAATTTTAGTGTACCTGTCATCTGAGTATTCAAATGGTATACATTGTACTCAATAGGTAGTTTTTTCTCCCTCACTCCACTCTCACCCTTCCCCCTTCTGAGACGCCAATGCCAGTATACCACTTTGTATGCCTTTGCTTATGCATAGCTTAGCTCCCATTTTTAAATGAGAACATGTGGTATTCGATTTTAGATTCCTGAGTTAGAATAATGGCCTCCAGTTCCATTCAAGTTGCTGCAAAGGGCATTATTTTGTGCTTTTCAAATGGCTGAGTAGTATTCCATGGTGTATATATACAGCATTTTCTTTATCAACTCATTGGTTGATGGGGACTTAGGTTGATTCCATATCTTTGCAATTGTGAATTGTGCTACAATAAACACATGTGTGCTGGTGTCTTTTTGATATAGTGACTTCTTTTCCTTTGGGTAAATACCCAGTAGTGGGATTGCTGGATTGAATGGTAGATCTACTTTTAGTTCTTTGAGAAATCTCCATACTGTTATCCATAGAGGTTGTATTAACTTACATTCTGATTAGCAGTGTATAAGTGATCCTTTTTTACCACATCCACACCAAACTTTTTTTTTTGTACTTTTTAATAATGGCCATTCTGGCTGGAGTAAGGTGGTCTCTCATTGTGGTTTTAATTTGCATTTCCCTGAAGATTAGTGGTGTTCAGCATTGTTTTCATATGTTTTTTGGCCATTTGTATATTTTTCTTTGGAGAAATGTCTATTCATGTCCTTTGCTGACTTTTTAATGGGACTTTTTTTGTTTTTTTGAGGTTTTCTTTTTTGTAAATTCTGGATATTAATTCTTTGTTGGATGCATAGTTTGCAAATATTTTCTCCCAATCTCTGGGTTATCTGATAATTTTTAAAAATTTTATTATTATTATACTTTAAGTTTTAGGGTACATGTGCACAACGTGCAGGTTTATTTATTTATTTTTATTATACTTTAAGTTTTAGGGTACATGTGCACAACGTGCAGGTTTGTTACATATGTATACATGTGCCATGTTGGTGTGCTGCACCCATTAACTCATCATTTACATTAGGTATATCTCCTAATGCGTTCCCTCCCCACTCACCCCACCCCACAACAGGCCCCAGTGTGTGATGTTCCCCTTCCTGTGTCCAAGTGTTCTCAATGTTCAGTTCCCACCTATGAGTGAGAACATGCGGTGTTTGGTTATTTGTCCTTGCGATCGTTTGCTGAGAATGATGGTTTCCAGCTTCATCCATATCCCTGCGAAGGACATGAACTCATCATTTTTTATGGCTGCATAGTATTCCATGGTGTATATGTGCCACATTTTCTTAATCCAGTCTATCATTGTTGGGCATCTGGGTTGGTTCCAAGTCTTTGCTATTGCGAATAGTGCCGCAATAAACATACGTGTGCATGTGTCTTTATAGTAGCATGATTTATAATCTTTTGGGTATATACCCAATAATGGGACTGCTGGGTCAAATGGTATTTCTAGTTCTAGATCATTGAGGAATCGCCACACTGTCTTCCACAATGGTTGAACTAATTTACACTCCCACCAACAGTGTAAAAGTGTTCCTATTTCTCCACATCCTTTCCAGCATCTGTTGTTTCCTGACTTTGCAATGATTGCCATTCTAACTGGCGTGAGATGGTATCTCATTGTGGTTTTGATTTGCATTTCTCTGATGACGAGTGATGATGAGCATTTTTTCATGTGTCTGTTGGCTGCACAGATGTCTTCTTTTGAGAAGTGTCTGTTCATATCCTTTTCCCATTTTTTTAATGGGGTTGTTTCTTTTTTTTCTTGTAAATTTGTTTAAGTTCTTTGTAGATTCTGGACATTAGCCCTTTGTCAGATGAGTAGATTGCAAAAATTTTCTCCCATTCTGTAGGTTGCCTGTTCACTCTGATGGTAGTTTCTTTGGCCGAGCTGAAGCTGTTTAGTTTAATTAAATCCCATTTGTCAATTTTGGATTTTGTTGCCATTGCTTTTGGGGTTTTAGACATGAAGTCCTTGCCCATGCCTATGTCCTGAATGGTATTGCCTAGGTTTTCTTCTAGGGTTTATATGGTTTTAGGTCTTACCTATAAGTCTTTAATCCATCTTGAATTAATTTTTGTATAAGATGTAAGGAAGGGATCCAGTTTCAGCTTTCTACATATGGCTAGCCAGTTTTCCCAACACCATTTATTAAATAGGGAATCCTTTCCCCATTTCTTGTTTTTGTCAGGTTTGTCAAAGATCAGATAGTTGTAGATGTGTGGTATTATTTCTGAGGGCTCTGTTCTGTTCCATTGGTCTATAAGTCTGTTTTGGTACCAGTACCATGCTGTATTGGTTACTGTAGCCTTGTAGTATAGTTTGAAGTCAGGTAGCATGATGCCTCCAGCTTTGTTCTTTTGGCTTAGGATTGACTTGGCAATGCGGGCTCTTTTTTGGTTCCATATGAACTTTAAAGTAGTTTTTTCCAATTCTGTGAAGAAAGTCATTGGTAGCTTGATGGGGATGGCATTGAATCTATAAATTACCTTGGGCAGTATGGCCATTTTCATGATAATGATTCTTCCTACCCATGAGCATGGAATGTTCTTCCATTTGTTTGTATCCTCTTTTATTTCATTGAGCAGTGGTTTGTAGTTCTCCTTGAAGAGGTCCTTCACATCCCTTGTAAGTTGGGTTCCTAGGTATTTTATTCTCTTTGGAGCAATTGTGAATGGGAGTTCACTCATGATTTGGCTCTCTGTTTGTCTGTTATTGGTGTATAAGAATGCTTGTGATTTTTGCACATTGATTTTTTATCCTGAGACTTTGCTGAAGTTGCCTATCAGCTTAAGGAAATTTTGGGCTGAGACAATGGGGTTTTCTAGATATACAATCATGTCATCTGCAAACAGGGACAATTTGACTTCCTCTTTTCCTAATTGAATACCCTTTGTTTCCTTCTCCTGCCTGATTGCCCTGGCCAGAACTTCCAACACTATGTTGAATAGGAAAGGTGAGAGAGGGCATCCCTGTGTTGTGCCAGTTTTCAAAGGGAATGCTTCCAGTTTTTGCCCACTCAGTATGATATTGGCTGTGGGTTTGTCATAGATAGCTCTTATTATTTTGAGATACGTCCCATCAATACCTAATTTATTGAGAGTTTTTAGCATGAAGGGTTGTTGAATATTGTCAAAGGCCTTTTCTGCATCTATTGAGATAATCATGTGGTTTTTGTCATTGGTTCTGTTTATATGCTGGATTACATTTATTGATTTTCATATGTTGACCCAGCCTTGCATCCCAAGGATGAAGCCCACTTGATCATGGTAGATAAGCTTTTTGATGTGTTGCTGGATTCGGTTTGCCAGTATTTTATTGAGGATTTTTGCATCGATGTTCATCAGGGCTATTGGGCTAAAATTCTCTTTTTTTGTTATGTCTCTGCCAGTCTTTGTTATCAGGATGATGCTGGTCTCATAAAATTAGTTAGGGAGGATTCCCTCTTTTTCTATTGATTGGAATAGTTTCAGAAGGAATGGTACCAGCTCCTCCTTGTACCTCTGGCAGAATTCAGCTGTGAATCCATCTGGTCCTGGACTTTTTTTGGTTGGTAAGCTATTAATTATTGCCTCAATTTCAGAACTTGTTATTGGTCTATTCAGAGATTCAACTTCTTCCTAGTTTAGTCTTGGGAGGGTGTATGTGTTGAGGAATTTATCCATTTCTTCTAGATTTTCTAGTTTATTTGTGTAGAGGTGTTTATAGTATTCTCTGATGGTAGTTTGTATTTCTGTGGGATCGTTGGTGATATCCCCTTTATCATTTTTTATTGTGTCTATTTGATTCTTCTTTCTTTTCTTCTTTATTAGTCTTGCTAGTGGTCTATCAATTTTGTTGATCTTTTCAAAAAACCAGCTCCTGGATTCATTGATTTTTTGAAGGTTTTTTTGTGTCTCTTATCTCCCTCAGTTCTGCTCTGATCTTAGTTATTTCCTGCCTTCTGCTAGCTTTTGAATGTATTTGCTCTTGCTTCTCTAGTTCTTTTAATTGTGATGTTAGGGTGTCAATTTTAGATCTTTCCTGCTTTCTCTTGTGGGCATTCAGTGCTATTAATTTCCCTCTACACACTGCTTTGAATGTGTCCCAGAGATCCTGGTATGTTATGTCTTTGTTCTGGTTGGTTTCAAAGAACATCTTTATTTCTGCCTTCATTTCGTTATGTACCCAGTAGTCATTGAGGAGCAGGTTGTTCAGTTTCCATGTAGTTGAGCGGTTTTGAGTGAGTTTCTTAATCCTGAGTTCTAGTTTGATGGCACTTTGGTCTGAGAGACAGTTTGTTATAATTTCTCTTCTTTTACATTTGCTGAGGAGTGCTTTACTTCCAACTATGTGGTCAGTTTTGGAATAAGTGTGGTGTGGTGCTGAGAAGAATGTCTATTCTGTTGGTTTAGGGTGGAGAGCTCTGTAGATGTCTATTAGGTCTACTTGGTGCAGAGCTGAGTTCAATTCCTGGATATCCTCATTAACTTTCTGTCTCGTTGATCTGTCTAATGTTGATAGTGGGGTGTTAAAGTCTCCCATTATTATTGTGTGGGAGTCTATGTCTCTTTGTAGGTCTCTAAGGACTTGCTTTATGAATCTGGGTGCTCCTGTATTGGGTGCATATATATTTAGGATAGTTAGCTCTTCTTGTTGAATTGACCCCTTTACCATTATGTAATGGCCTTCTTTGTCTCTTTTGTTCTTTGTTGGTTGAAAGTCTGTTTTATCAGAGACTAGGATTGCAACCCCTGCCTTTTTTTGTTTTCCATTTGCTTGGTAGATCTTCTTCCATCCCTTTATTTTGAGCCTATGTATGTCTCTGCATGTGAGATGGGTTTCCTGAATACAGCACACTGATGGGTTTTGACTCTTTATCCAATTTGCCACTGTGTGTCTTTTAATTGGAGCCTTTAGCCCATTTACATTTAAGGTTAATATTATTATGTGTGAATTTGATCCTGTCATTATGATGTTATCTGGTTATTTTGCTCGTTAGTTGATGCAGTTTCTTCCTAGCCTTGATGGTCTTTACAATTTGGCATGTTTTTGCAGGGGCTGGTACCGGTTGTTCCTTTCCATGTTTAGTGCTTCCTTCAGGAGCTCTTTTAGGGCAGGCCTGGTGGTGACAAAATCTCTCAGCATTTGCTTGTCTGTAAAGTATTTTATTTCTCCTTCACTTATGAAGCTTAGTTTGGCTGGATATGAAATTCTGGTTGAAAATTCTTTTCTTTAAGAATGTTGAATATCGGCCCCCGCTCTCTTCTGGCTTGTAGAGTTTCTGCCGAGAGATCAGCTGTTAGTCTGATGGGCTTCCCTTTGTGGGTAACCTGACCTTTCTCTCTGGCTGCCCTTGACATTTTTTCCTTCACTTCTACTTTGGTGAATCTGATCTTTATGTGCCTTGGAGTTGCTCTTCTCGAGGAGCATCTTTGTGGCATTCTCTGTATTTCCTGAATTTGAATGTTGGCTTGCCTTGCTAGATTGGGGAAGTTCTCCTGGATAATATCCTGCAGAGTGTTTTCCAACTTGGTTGCATTCTCCCCGTCACTTTCAGGTACACCATTCGGACGTAGATTTGGTCTTTTCACATAGTCCCATATTTCTTGGAGGCTTTGTTCATTTCTTTTTATTCTTTTTTCTCTAAACTTCTCTTCTCACTTCATTTCATTCATTTGATCTTCCATCACTGATACCCTTTCTTCCAGTTGATCGAATTGGCTACTGAGGTTTGTGCATTCTTCACGTAGTTCTTGTGCCATGGTTTTCAGCTCCGTCAGTTCCTTTAGGGACTTCTCTGCATTGGTTATTCTAGTTAGCCATTCGTCTAGTCTTTTTTCAAGGTTTTTAACTTCTTTGCCATGGGTTCGAACTTCCTCCTTTAGCTCGGTGAAGTTTCATCGTCTGAAGCCTTCTTCTCTCAACTCGTCAAAGTCATTCTCCATCCAGCTTTGTTCCGTTGCTGGTGAGGAGCTGCATTTCTTTGGAGGAGTAGAGGTGCTCTGATTTTTAGAATTTTCAGTTTTTCTGCTCTGTTTTTTCCCCATCTTTTTGGTTTTATCTACCTTTGGTCTTTGATGATGGTGATGTGCAGATGGGGTTTTGGTGTGTATGTCCTTCCTGTTTGTTAGTTTTCCTTCTAGCAGTCAGGAGCCTCAGGTGCAGGTTTGTTGGAGTTTGCTGGAGGTCCACTCCAGACCCTGTTTGCCTGGGTATCAGCAGCAGAGGCTGCAGAACAGAGAATATTGGTGAACAGCAAATGTTGCTGCCTGATCGTTCCTCTGCAAGTTTTGTCTCAGAGGAGTACCCGGCTATGTGAGGTGTCAGTCCGCCCCTACTAGGGGGTGCCTCCCAGTTAGGCTACTCGGGGATCAGGGACCCACTTGAGGAGGCAGTCTGTCCATTCTCAGATCTCAAGCTGCGTGCTGGGAGAACCACTGCTGTCTTCCAATCTGTCAGACAGGGACATTTAAGTCTGCAGAGGTTTCTGCTGCGTTTTGTTTGGCTATGCCCTGCCCCCAGAGGTGGAGGCTACAGAGGCAGGCAGGCAGACCTCCTTGAGCTGTGGTGGGCTCCACCCAGTTTGAGCTTCCTGGCCGCTTTGTTTACCTACTCAAGCCTCGGCAATGGCGGTCACCCCTCCCCCAGCCTTGCTGCCGCCTTGCAGTTTGATCTCAAACTGCTGTGCTAGCAATGAGTCAGGCTCTGTGGGTGTAGGACCCTCTGAGCCATGCGTGGGATATAATCTCCTGGTGTGCCGTTTACTAAGACCGTCAGAAAAGCACAGTATTAGGGTGGGAATGACCCGATTTTCCAGGTGCCGTCTGTCACCCCTTTCCTTGGCTAGGAAAGGGAATTCCCTGACCCCTTGCCCTTCCTGGGTGAGGCGATGCCTCGCCCTGCTTTGGCTCATGCTTGGTGCACTGCACCCACTGTCCTGCACCCACCGTCTGAAAGTCCCCAGTGAGATGAACCCGGTACCTCAGTTGGAAATGCAGAAATCATCCATCTTCTGCGTCGCTCACGCTGGGAGCTATAAACTGGATCTGTTCCTATTCAGCCATCTTGGAACCGCTTCTATCTGATAATTATTTCTTTTGCTGTGCAGAAGCTTTTTAGTTTAATTAGGTCCCATTTATTCAGTTTTGTTTTTGTTGCATTTGCTTTTGGGGTCTTAGTCATAAATTATTTGCCTAGGCCAATGTTCAGAAGAGTTTTTCCTAGGTTTTCTTCTAGATTTTTAATGGTATCAGTTCTTAGATCCATCTTGAGTTAAATTTTGTACATGGTAAGATATAGGGATCTGGTTTTGTTCTTCTACATGTAGCTATCCAATTTTCCCAGCACCATTTATTGAACAGGATATCTTTTCCCTAATTTATGCTTTTGTATGCTTTGTCAAAGATCAGTTGGTTGTAAGATGTGGCTTTATTCCTGAGACCTCTATTCTGTTCCATCAGTTACATGTCTACGTTTTTACCAGTACCATGCTCTTTTGGTTACTATAGCCTTGTAGTATAATTTGAAGTCAGGTAATGTGATGCCTCAAGATTTGTTTTTCTGCTTAGGATTGCTTTGGCTATTTGGACTTTTTTCTGGTTCTATATGAATTTAGGGGATTTTTCTAATTCTGTGAAAAAATGATGTTGGTATTTTGATAGGAATTGCATTGAATCTGTAGGTTGCTTTGAGCAGTGTGGTCATTTTCATCGTATTGATTCTTCCAGTGCATGAGCATGGGATGTATTTCCATTTGTTTGTGTCATCTACAATTTCTTGCAGCTGTGTTTTGTAATACTCCTTACAGAGATGTTTCACCTCCTTGGTTAGGTATATTCCTGGGTATTTTATTTTTTGCAGCTACTGTAAAAGGAATTGAGTCTTGATTTGTCATTCAGTTTGGTCATTGTTGGTGCATAGCAGTACTGCTCACTTGTCTATATTGATGTTGTAGCCTGGGACTTTACCAAGTTCATTTATCAGATTTAAAAGTGTTTTGGAGGAGTCTTTAGGGTATTCTAGATATAAGATCATATAATCAGAAAACAAAGATAGTTCGATTTCCTCTTTTCCAATTGGGATGCCCTTTATTTCTTTCTCTTGCCTGATTGCTGTGGCTAGAACTTCGAAATGTAACTTTTATATGCACTCAGCAACCAAAAACATTATGTTGCTCACTTTATTGCAATATTTGCTTTATGGCAGTGGTCTGAAAGCAAATCCACAATATCTTCAAGGTATGCTTATTTATGCAGGACATCCTTTGTTGGATAAGTTTGAAGGTGGAGAGACCAATCAAAAGATGATTGTCGTAGCACAGGTGAGAGAGATGATGGAGGCTGTGACTGGGTTGTTGCTAATGCAGATGAAGAAAAGTGGATGAATTGGGCATCTATAACAAATGCTGAAACCACAACCATTTCAGTTTTCCAGTTGAGAGGTTATGAGGTCAGATCCAGCACAGTGTATGTAGAAACAGAAAATAAGAGATATCTTAGAGATATAACTTTGAAGGAAGTCTCAAAGACTTAATGCCAGGGAGAATTAGAGCATATTGAGGGTGCGGGAGACTGATTTGTGGTCTCAATCATTAGGGAGATTGAAGGACCAGACAAAGAAATGAGGAGCAAAGGATGGAGACAGGGTGTGGGGAGAAGTGAGGAGGGGGACAGTTTTGGGAAAATTTTAATGATGAAAAGTCAGAGGATATCCAAATGAACATGCCCCATAAGCAATTGGAAATGTAGGTCTGGAGCTCAGGAGCAAGAAAACACTGCAAACGTAATGGGACAAAAGATCTTTCACATTTATATTTAGGTAGAGATGTATCCAGAGACCTGTAGACGTCTTTGGTATTACTTTTTTTAAAAACAAACATGTGATCATCCATAGTCTCTAATACTTATCTACAACCCCAAGAAGGTCTTTCGTTATTGTTGTTTTATTTTTGTTTTTGTTTTTAGGGAGTTGGGTATGGAGTGATCATGTGGGAAGGAACATACGGACAAGGTAAAAGAGTGTGGGATTGGGGAGAAATTGAGAACAAGAGAGGAGAAAAGCACATAAAGCATATCAGAAGCTGCTCCCACCACCATCTCTCTAAAGCTATGATTGAGATGCTGGGCCAGGTTGAGTGATTGTGTTAATTCCCCCTCCCTACCCCATTTTCAGTGAAAGTTTCACCTAGCTTCATGAATAACTGTGTCTTGCTCTGTCTCACTTGCTTTGGCCTTGTCTTTGTCCTTCTCTGTCTTTGTCTCTCCTAGTTTCCTTATCGAGCTTTCCCTCGGGGGACTTTTTCATTCTTCACTAGCCCAATATTTCATCCTTGGGTTGGTTCATGTTTCTCCAAAATGCTGACAGCTCCATCAGAGAATGCAAGGATGAATTGCCACAAATATATTTCTGAACTGCCACTAGATGGCAGTGTCTGGGAACTTTGTTAACTCGGTCTAGGCATTCATGAGTGCCTGACTGCTGAGTGGTAGGGAGTTTCATTTGATTATTCTGCTTTTAGGCCGTTGCAACCAGTTGCTAACACAAGTGCTAGACTTAGCTGGATCTCTTTCTCCATGATAGAAGAAAATTCATGTTTGTAAAGCACCCAGGGCTGGAAAAGCCTGTTCTTTAAGAGGGTTAGCGTTTTCCTCTACCTCAATTCTCACACAAGTTCCTAGCCCTTAGATTCCTTAGATTCCCTTTTGTTCCCCCTTCAGCTGTTGTTTGTTGTTTGGTTTCATTTTTTATGCAAATATATTTCCTCCTTCCCCAGCTTTGTTAGTAAGTTGGATCAATTCTCTTTCCTCTTTTTGAGGATGGACTTGTAGAATCATCTGCTATCAAAGCTTGAAGAACTCTTAGATGTCGTCGAGTCCAATCCAATCATTTACAGATAGAGAAACTGAGGCAAAGACAGGAGCAGAAACTTGTTCAAGGCCATATAAAAATTCAAGGCAGAATCCTATGGGACAATCTCATGACATACTTGTAATAATCAACAAAACAACCAGAAGATTATTTTTGATCCATTAATTGTGGATCTAGCACAATAGAGGAAGGGGAGGGAGACAGGAGGTATAGGACATGGTGCCTGTTCTCAAGGCACTTAGAATCTAGGTGGGAATATAGACTTTTACACAATGAAAAAGAATAAATGCATTGTGTGATAAGGTAATCTAAGAAAAAATGCTAATGTAGGCAAGTGGTACAGGGATTCAGAGGAACAACAGCTCTAAGAGAAAACAAGGCAATGGGTGGGGGTGAAGGTGAAGCTGGGAGATGAGAAATTCAAAGATTATTATTATTCAGGGATCAAGGCCTAATAAGTAGGCCTGACAAGTAGAGGGTAGGGGTCAATAAGAAGTAAAAGATAAGACTCAGTGATAGGCTGGGACTGTACTGTACAGGCTCTTAAATGCCAGGCTAATTCCTGGTAATGCTGAACAGAAACTTTCAAATGCTTTCAATCTATTTTCTATTTACGGTGGTAACTTTCTGCTATGTTTGATTCCCCAAGAAGTAGCCTCTTTGCTCTGCCGTGCTTTTCCCCATTAGTCTCATGTTGCCGGCCCAGCAGAAGGGAGATGAAGTAGAGCTGAAAAATCAGTCTGGGGCTTATTTCCACTACAGCTTTTCCCTAGTGATTCAATCAAGAGTGACCTGGACATTCTCCAATCCTAAACCCATTTCATTCATTTTATTTCCATTCTCCACCCACTCATGGGAGTCTGAGCACCTGGCCTCTGCATCCCACAACTTCCTTTGTCACAAGGGCTTTCCAGAAGGTTTGGAGAGCTCTTGACAGCTGAGAAACACCTATAGAAGGTGAGCATGACTTCATGCAAATGAAAGAGGCCTCCATACAAAACAGCTCTTTAAAAGCAGTCTGAACGTAGGAACAATCCAAGAGCCCTTTCAAATTGTCAAGAGCACATCAGTGCCCAAGCATCTTGGCCAGCCACATTTCAAAGCCAAGCAATGCCACCCTCTCCCCTTCTCAACTCTCCCTTTATACTCCCAAATGGCTTGAGGTCTTTCTACCAGGATACAGTGGATACCTCTGCCTCAGCACCTTCCATCTGGCTTTCTTCCCGCCATTTGCTGTCTTCTCGTCCCCACAGAATGCTATATCTTTCCTCTTAGCCTCTGCTTAGTATACAACCTGACACAGTAGGTACTCAATACACGGTGTTCTTTTCCTTCACAAGGACCTTAGAGATTATCTAGGCCTGAATATTATGGAGCCACCTAATGGACCACTGGGGGTAGGGATCATTGGGAAATAAGGAAATACTCTGACAATTACAGTCTTCATTTCTGTAACTGGTCACATGGTTGTAGTTGGAATTTATAACTACCTTCTTCTACTACCCATTCTGCATCTTCTTTGTCTTCAGCAAACACCTCAGCTGGTTGTGGTTCTTTACCTGGAGGCATGACCCAAACCCTCATTCCTGAAGGGTCTGGGCCATTAGTAGTCTTGCCTGGATTGGTTTGTTGTCTTTTCCATTTACCTTAATCACAGGGCGTGGAAATACTAAGATGCATCTTAAGGGATCCTCTGTATTCCAGACATATTCTTCCTTACCTACATTGTGGAGTTATAGTTCAATTTCTCCTTGGTATTCAGAATCAATCAACTCAGCCAGCACAATAACTCCCTTCCTTGCCTCCTGTTGATTCAGAGGCATGAGGAGCCCAAAGTGGCCAGGCAGCAGCCTTAACTTTCAATTCAATGGAATCATTGTTGTGTCTTCTGGCGGAAGCATTCCTCCCTTTGGAACTAAGACTTCTTGGCCAGCAGACCATAAATTCATGAAAAGAGGCAGTAGAAATTTTGCTAGTAGATCACTAGGGGTGATGGTGAGTGGTACCACTCCCTTTGCCACCCCTTAATTGCTGGACCCATGAATCCTGGCTATGGGAGAAACAGCCCCATCTGAAGATGCTGATTCAGAGCATATACAGCCTTCTGGAGAACTTTCCCCTTGCCCTACAAGGTATTGCCAGCTGGCTGGTGCTGTAACAGAGTTTTTAAAAAGCCAGTTTGCAGTGAAGTGAGTTCCTTTATCAGAAGCAATGCTGGGTGGAATACTATGATGGTAAATAGGGCATTCTGTAAGTCTACAGAGGGTAGTTTTGAAAGAATAATTGTGTTCAGGGAAGGCAAATCCTTATCCATAGTAAGTGTCTATTCCAGTATGGACAAAACTTCCACGATGGAAGTGGCCCAATGTAATCAGCCTGCCACTGTATCAGGGATTCAGTGTTGGTCTCTGCTGCTGGCAGATTGGACACCCCGCCATGGCCATAGCCAAGTTGGCCTTGTTGAATAGAAGTTCATGTTGCTGATTCCATGCATAACCTCCATTCCTGCCACCATGGTCACTTTGTTTATGAGCCCATTGAGCAATGACAGAGGTGGCTGGGAAAGAGACTAGTATCCATAAATGGGTGATTCTATCCACTTGATTATTAAAATCCTCTGCTGAAGTCACCTTTTGATGAGCATTCACAAATATCTTCATTTTTTTACCCATTCATAGAGATCTATCCCATACCTCTTCCCCAAATTTCTTTCTCATCAATGTTCCAATTACGTTCCCTTCAAGTCTCTGACCATCCAGCTAAACTATTGGCCACAGACCATGAATTAGTGTATAATAATGTCTAGCCATTTTTTCTTCCAAACAAAGTGAATGACAAGTGCACTTTTTCAAGTTCTGCCTACTGGGAATATTTCCCTTCATCAATGTCCTTTAGGGATGTTTCAGAGAGGGGCTGTAGTCCTGCAGCTGTCCACTTTTGGATAGTGCCTGTATATCATGCAGAATCATCTATAAAGCAGGTCTGGGTCCTCTCTTCCTCCATGACCTGATCATAGGAAACTCCCCCATGAGGCCATAGCTGCAAGCTTACAGACAGAAGATAGTGTAGCAGGAATGAGGCTCATGGGCATTTAGGCCACTTCTTCGTGTAACTTATTTGTGCTCTCAGGTCCTGTTCAGACCAATCAAGAATAATATCACTTTCATTTAATGATGAAGTATTTTGGTGCATGCCCAATTTTATGGCTTGGTGGGTCAGATAATGGTCAGTTCAGGTCACATGGTAATGTGGTGGCCTGTGGTTAAGCATTCAGTCTCTACTAAGGCCCAGTAGCAGACAAACAGCTCTTTCTCCAAAGAGTAGTTATTTGCTGAGGGTGGTAAGATTTTACTCCAAAATCCTAAGAGCCTTGTGTAGCAATTCACCTATGGGGCCTGACACGGTTTCCAAACTACATTCCTATCTGCCACTGATCCTTCAGGCACCATTGGATCTGCTGGATCATGTAGCCCAATTGGCAGAGCAACTTGCATACCAGCCTGGACCTTGTTCTGGGCCCTACTCAAAACTAGCAGCTTTTTGGGTCACTCAGTAAATGGGCTGGAGTAATACACTCAAATAAGGAATACGTTGAAATCCAAAGAGGCCCACCAGGCGATGTGCCTCCTTTTTGGAGGAGAAAGATGCAACAATCTGTTTTTTACCTTCGCAGGGATTCCTCCACATGCCCTACTCCACTTAGCCCCTAAACATTTCACTGAGGTAGAAGCCCCCTGAATTTTTGATAGATTTATTTCCAAACCTCTGCAAGGTGTTGCTCCACTGTCTTGCCATTTGCATAATTTCCAATCTGCTGTCACCTATATATATGTTCTTCTGAACATAACATATCTCTTTTATCTGGCTACTTTAAAGAGTTTTTCTTTGTCACTGGTTTTGGACAACTTGACTATGATGTGCCCGATTCTACTATTCTTCATATTTCCTGGGCTTGGGGTTAATTGAGCTGCTTGGATCTGTGGGTTTATAGTTTTCATCAAATTTGGAAAATTCTCAGCTATTATTCCTTAATATATTTTTTCTGCCCCTGCTCCCCCCACCTCAGGGGATCTGATTACATGTGTATTAAGCCACTTGTTGTTTTCCTAAGCTCATTGATGTTCTATTTATTTAGTTTTTTTCTGTTTCACTTGAGATAGTTTCTATTAATATATCTTCATGTTCACGAATCTCTTCTGCAATGTGTACTCTGCCATTCTATCCAGTGTATTTTTCATATTAGACATTGTATTTTTCATCTCTAGAAGTTCAATTTGGTCTTTTAAAAATTTATTTATTTATTTGTTTAGAGACAGAGTCTTACTCTGTCACCCAGGCTAGAGTGCAGTGGCACGATCTTGGCTCACTGCAACTTCTGCCTCCGGGGTTCAAGCTATTCCCTTGCCTCAGCCTCCTGAGTAGCTGGGATTACAGGCGTGCACCACCACACCTGGCTTATTTTTGTATTTTTAGTAGAGACAGCGTTTCACCGTGTTGGCCAGGCTGGTCTCAAACTCCTGATCTCAAGTGATCTGCCTGCCTCGGCCTCCTAAAGTGCTGGGATTACAGGTGTGAACCACTGCACCTGGCCCATTTTATTTTTTAAAATTGTAAAAACACAGAACCCCTGGTTTATAATCAATTTGGTCTTTTTTATACCACTCATATCTTCACTGAACTTTTTGAATATATGAAATACAATTACAGAAACTATTGCAATGTCCTTTTCTCTGCTAATTCTAATATAGTTATTCTCCTCATTATGGATCATTCTTTCCTTCTTCTTTGCATACTGATAATCTTTTATCGGATGCCAGACATTGTGACTTTTACCTCATTGTATGCTAGATGTTTTTGTATTTCTAATAAATATTATAGACCTTCGTTCTGGGATGCAGTTAAGTTACTCAAAAATATTTTGATCCTTTCAAGGCTAGCTTTTATAATCTATTAGGCAGGTCTGAAAGAATGTTCAGTCTATGGCTAAATAGTCTTTATAACTGAGGCAAGGCCTTCCTGAGTACTCTATCCAATGCCCTAGAATTATGAGGTTTTCCAATCTGGCTGGTTGGGAACAGGCACTACTCCTAGCCTTGTATGAATGCTAAGTGCAGTTACTTCTGATCCTTTTGGGTGGTTCTTCCCTCAATATCAGGTAGTTTTCTCACATGTGCAGTTTAGTACTCAGCTGAATGCTTGTGAGGAACCCTCTATAGATTTCTCAAGTTCCCTCTCTATGCAGCCCTCTCCTGGTATTCTGTTCTGAACTCCAGCCTTCTTAGTCACCCCAGATTATCAGCTCCATCTCTTCAGCTCAAGAAGTCTGTCAGACTCTACCTGGGTTTCCCCTTCCTAGGTTTACTGCATTCGTTTTTCATACCCCGGGGATTAGTTCTCTTCATTGCCTGATATACACTCATGAAAAGTGTTGTATCATATATTTTTTCTAACTTTTTGGTTATTTCAAGTGGGAGATGAAATCTGGTCCCTGATACTCATCTTAATCAGAAGCAGAGGTCCATCTTCAGGAAAGCTCTTCTAACAACATCTCAGCTTCTTCATTATGCTTCCTCTGGAGCTTGTCCCATATAGTTCATTTAGCTGCAAACCCTCTGCATCCATGGGCTCCACCAAGGACACATACAGAACAGGGATATTCTCTGTCTCTATCCAGGATCTGTTTTCCCTCTTAGTCTTCTCCCTAATGGCCACTGTCTTTGTCCCTTCATATTGGCAAACTCATGTCTCACTTGACTGGAGGCCCTTGACACCTTCCCCAGAGTATAGTTTGGTGTCTCCTCCCCAAAGAACTTCATCATGGTAGTTCAGAGTTTGACATTTTCCCCTAGATTTCCCTAATTTCCTTCCTTTTAACAGGACATACTTAGAAAATTACCAGGGGGTTTCACTGGATCTAAGTAGGTCATAAGGATCCTAAGATTTCCCATGGCTATTCCATCACCACCCAACACTAGTGGAAGTATGATGGAAGGGGAAGTTGAAATGGAAAACTGTAGTCTTAACTAATTCAAGTTAAACTATTTTATTTCTGCAAATTTTACAAAAACATGACTAGTGCTATAATAATTCCCAGGGCCTTGGAAAGGTTGCTTGAAAAGGGCCCAGAAGCTTTAAGGTTAATTAGCTATGTGGTAAATCTACCCTGGTGCATGTACCATTTTGATGTTCTACCTTACTCCATATGCTAGAATCTTCCTTTTTGAGTCCATCTCTGTCTCTTTCATAACTCCCAGCTGAGCAACCAATCTCTACTTTTGAACTTTGTCTTAATAATTGGTTTTGGTCACTCAACGACCTGCTTTCCAAAATACATAACTTTCCCATTATCTCAATTATCTCATCCTGGCTCATTCTTCACATAGTATGCTAGTGTAAACACTAGCACCAGTTCATGCTCAACCTTCATGCTTCCACACGGGCTAAACTCTGACCAACTTCTCAAATGTATCTAGACAAGCCATTTAGTAAGAGACAAAATTGAATGGGTATAGATTATAGTGACACATGTCATCAAACTTACTAGGAGATATAAAGTCACCTGCCTTTTATAAAGTTTTGAGAAACAATATGTACAAATGTGAGATGACCTAGACAATTTCCAGACAGACAATGATATATGTCTATGAAAATTTTTGTTTCTACCCACCAGTCCTCACAGTGGATGTGATGGACAACTATAGAGCTTGGATCTTTAGGGACTGGTAGGATAAATTCTAACTAAAAGTCTTGGAGTGAATACAAAATTAAAGAACAGGATAGACTAGTTGGAATAGTAGGAGAAGGGTGATAAACGAAGGATACAATCAAGATTCATAGAATAGGATGAAACTGGGTCTCAGTAGAAGCATACCAGGAACAAGCAAATTTTCTTGGACATCGGTGGATGTCCACAGTTCATTTTCGTGGACCAATAGATGTGTGGCGCCCTCATCAAGTTAATAAGTACGTTAATTCAAGAATTAGTCCATTCATGTAAACAGACCCCCACATATGCCAAATCTGCCTCTCTCTATAAAAGGTAAACATTATTATTATTTGACTCAAGCTTTTAACCACATCTATAGAAAACCTGAACTCAAAGCAAATTGAAGACAGAAACTGTTGTTTCATCTCCAACTAGCAATGACTGGCACAGAGTAAGAGTTCAGTGAACATATGTTGAACAAATTTGCTACTCTGTATTTTACCAATCTGTGTACCCCTATCTCTGCCATGAAAAAGTGACAATTCTTATTTATTTTCCTACCCTCAGTGTCTAGCACTATGTCTGGGACTTTGTGCATTATTGATAAGTGGTTTCCAGATGAATGGAAAACCTTGGAAGTGTGACGCATTGCTTTGTGAATCACGTCAATGTGACACTGGTGGCAATGTTTAACACTTACCCAAGAATCTAAGAAGATTCCTTCCACATCTTGAAAAGGACAGAGCTAGAACTGATTTAAATTATAGGAGGGAGAATGGAATGACCAGAATCAGAATTCCAGGTGTGCCTTCCCACCATAGCTCAGGTGGCCAAAAGGTAATGGAGACCATACCATTCTTAGCTGCTGTCACCTTGAAGTACACGGGTCTTTTCTTTTATAGCATCTAGTCTGATGTTAAGCCTATTCAGTACATTTTCACTTTAGACATTGTACTTTGCAACTCTAAACACTCAATTATTTTTAGTTTAAAATGACTTTTTTTATCTTTCAGAAGGTGTTGATTATTTATTATGTGATAGGAGTTGTTAACTTATTGGTTTTCAAACCTTAAATCAGTTACTTATTGAGCATAGTAGATACAACATGCTTTTTTTAATCAATATTTTATACCGTAGATCTGCAGTATTTTACCATTTACTTTAAAATCAGCAAAGCAAGCAAAATACTCCTGTAATAGTTTATGTAGTCAGTATTAGACTTCCAAACTGATCAGAAGTTGGATATGTCATTCTACTTGAGATTAAGTAAAATGTACATAATCCAAAGATATTTGTTTAGAGTTTCTTTTCTCCTTTAGATTTATTTTTTTAATTTATTTTTATTTTATTGTGGCAATAACACTTAACATGAGATCTACTTTCTTAAATTTTGAAGTGTAGAAACATTTTCGTTGACTTATAGGCACAACATTAAAGGTACAGCAGATCTCTAGAGCGTATTCATCTTGCTTAACTGAAGCTTTATGCCAATTGATTAGTAACTCCCAGTTTTTCACTCCCCCATCCCCTCACAACCATTATTCTGTTCTTTGATTCTATTAAACTATTTTAGATAGCACATATATGTGGAATCATGCAATATTTGTCTTTCTGTGACTGACTTATTTCACTTACCATAATGCCATCAAGTTTCATCAACTCTGTCCCATATCATAATTTCCTTCTTTTTAAAGGCCAAATAATATTCATGTGTGTGTGTGTGTGTGTGTGTGTGTGTGTGTGTGTGTATGCATGCATATATTTACCACATTTTCTCTATTCATTCATTTATTAATGGACATTTAGATTGTTTCCACATCTTGGTTATTGTGAATAATGCTGCAATGAACATAGGAGTGCTGAGATCCCGATTTCAATAGATAAATACCCAGAAGTGGGACTGCTGGGTCATATGGTAGTTTTATTTTTAATTTTTTAAGGAACTTCCATACCACTTTCTATAGTGGATGCACCATTTTCATTCCCATCAGTGGTGTATTTTTTGGGTAATAGCCATCCTAACAGGTGTGAGGTAATATGGTTTTGATTTACATTTCCCTGATGATTAGTGATGATGACCATTTTTTTTCACATACCTGTTGGTCATTTGTATGCCTCCTTTGGATAAATGTCTATTCAGGTGCTTTGCCCATTTTTAAATCAAGTTATTAGTTTTTTGTTTGTTTGTTTTCTCTTTTTTGCTATTGAGTTGTAGGAGTTTCTTGGATATTTTGGAGATTAACCCCTTATCAGATGGATGGTTTGCAAGTATTTTCTCCCATTCCATAGGTTGCTTTTTACTCTGATGATTGTTTCCCTTGCTGTTTGGAAACTTTTTGGTTAGCTATAGTACTATTTGTCTATTTTTGCTTTGGTTACCTGTGCTTTTAGTGTCATATCCATGAAATCACTGCAAAGATCTATGTCATGAAGATCTTCTCCTGTTTTTTTTTCTAAGAGTTTTACAGTTTTTGGTCTTACATTTAAGTATTTAACCATTTTGAATTTATTATTTTGCATGGTATAAGTTAAGGGTCTAATTTCATCATTTTGCATGTGGATATCCAGTTTCCCCCAAATTCTCCTGCTTCAGCCTCCTGAGTAGCTGGGATTACAGGCACTTGCCACCACACCCAGCTAATTTTTGTATTTGTAGTAGAGACAAGGTTTCACCATGTTGACCAGGCTGGTCTCGAACTCCTGACCTCAAGTGATCTGCCTGTCTCGGCCTCCCATACTGCTGGGAATACAGGCGTGAGCCACCCAGCCTGGCCCTGATCTTTTCCTTTGATCTAGTCTGCTGTTGAACTTCATGAGTGAATTTTTCAGTTCAGTTATTGTGTTCTTTAGCTCTATGATTTTGGTTTGGTAGTTCTAATATTTTCTATCTGTTTGTTGAAATTCTCACTTTGTTCATATATTGTTCTTTTGGCCTCAAGAGCATCTTTATGACAATGTTTTGAATTCTTGGTCAGGTAAATTATATAACTCTACAGTTTCTGAAAAGTTATCTTGTTCCTTTGTTTGGAACTTCTTTGCCTAATTCTTTATTTTCCTTGACTCTCTGTGTTGTGTCTGCACATTATGCAAAGCAGCCACCTCTCTTAGTCTTCACAGACTAGCCTTATACAAAAGAAGACCTCCACCAATCAGTATTGCCAGAGATTCTGGGGGTCTCTCAAACCTTCGTGCTAGTCCAACCTGCTTTTTGTGCTTTGTAGTCCCCAAGCATATAGGGTATGTTGAATCCTATCAGTGTAGTGCAACAAGTGTAAATGCAATTGGTTCCTTAGAAACTCCCAGAAAGCTGGATTGTTGGATGCTCCATTCAATTCTGTTTTCCAGTCCATTCAACTCTTTTTCTTCTCAGGGGAAAGCTGAGACCTGTTTTATTAAAATTCCCTTGCTCTGTGCTGATAGGGGGAAAGGAGCTATGGCATCTACCAGCCCAAGCCACCATCTCTGTTCTCCCACAGGTGACAGATTATGCTGGGCCTGTCAGAGCTCTAAGACTGGCAAGTAGCAAAACAGTCCTCTAGTGAGCCCCCTCAGAAAAGTTGTGGTGCTTGACATGCAAACCAACTCTTTAACCTCCCTTTGGAGAAGCTGGGAGTTTGAAGGTCTCTTCCCTCTCATGTGTTGCTGTGCCAGAGGTAGGGATTTCAATGAGAGGGTGTCCTGAATCTCTCTACTGGCTTCCGTGAGTCTGGTTTCACATTTGCCCAGGTTGCAAGATACTGTCATTTAATTTCTGGATTTTTCCTAAAGGCAATTTTCTGTGAATTATTGCTGAATCAATGTGTCTGTAAGGGGAAGAAGGGTCCAGGGATTCCTATTCTGACATTTTGCTGTTATCACTCTTTGTTTTATATGTTTTTCCTCATATCTTCCATTTCTCTTCTCTTTATGCTCATGTTTTCCTTCCAATATTTCAATAGTTATAATAGCTTTCTAAAAGTACTTGTCTGCTAATTCTATCATTCCTGTCATTTATGAGTGTGTTTATATGGATTGAATTTTCTCCTGGCTCTGGATCACATTTTCCTGCCTTCTTCATGTTAGTAATTGAGTGCTAGACATCATGAATATTACATTGTTCAGAGTCTAGATTTTGCTATGTTTCTGCAAAGAAGGTTGAAGTTTGTTCTGACAGGAAGCTAAGTTACTTGTGGATCACTTTGATTCTTTCAAGTCTTATTTTTAAGTTTCATTCAGGTGGGTCTAGTATAACCTCTAGATAAGCGCTGATTTAACCCACTATGAATGCATGACCCTTTCATTATTTACTGAATGTTCCAGTGTTCACTGTGGCTTCTTCACTTTGGCACGTCAGAATTCAAATGCCTCCTGGTAAATGTCAGTTTGGAAATTATTCCAATTACAGTTCCCTAGTAGTTGTTCCTTGCCTGGCCTTGTGGAGTTTCACCATATGCATATGCAGCTTAATATTCAGCAAAAGACTCAAGGGGACTCCAAGAAGTTTTCTTGGGCTTTGTCTCTGCATAGCACCCTTTCCTCTGGTACTCTGTCTCACAAATTCCAGCTTTGTCATCCTCAATGAACCCTAATTTTTGCCTTCTTAACTCATCAAGAGTACCATGTTCTGCTTGTGTTTACCCTCCCTGTGCAAATGGTGTGGGAAGTACATTCAGTCAGAAGGCTGAGGTAATCACAAGACCTACCTTATTTATTTTCCATCTCTAAGGGATCAAATTTCTCCACTTTTTGTTGCCCAATGTTTGACAAGAGTTGTTTTCTATATTTTGTGTACTTTTATAGTTATTTATGCAGAAGGTCAAATTGGCTGCCATTTACTCTATCATGGTCAGAAGGACTGCTGTCACCTTCAGAATTCATTGACTCATAAATTTTTATTCAATGTCTTCTATATTCCCAGTGTGTACTCAATCTCAGACGATATACGGAAGAGAAATAACACAGAATCTCTGACCCTAAGGGGCATACAAACAGCTAATGGGAAAAGATAAATAGGTACTAACTCACTGTTCCCTTTAATTGGAATATTCTCTCCAGTTTGCCTTTCTGCTTAGCCAAAAATTGCTCATCTAGCTCAGACTACTTTGTGTATGAGGCCATAATTTGGATGGAACTAACTATGCTCTCCTTTGAACATAACAATATCCTGCACATATTTCTGTCAGTGCTCACTAAACATCTTCTTGTGTTTCTCTGTTTATATATTACTCTTCCTCACTAAACAGTGAGCTTCTGTAAGACAAATGTCATGACTTTTTTCCCAGTATCCAGCACAATCACTAGCACAGAGAAGATATCCAAGGCAATAAATACTAGTAAAATGAAGGAATGGATGAGTAAGTATACAGATAGGAGCTAATTAAAGAATAACAGGTGTTAAAGGGAGTGGTACCCACTCTTATGCAATAATTTTTTTTTCAAATAAAGAGATTATGGAGCTTTGGGACAATCAGGAAAGGCAGTGATATTGATTTGGTGTGATAGGCAGAATAATGCCCGCCCCCAAAATGTCCATGTCCTAATGCCTAGAATCAGTAAACATGTTACCTTACAGGCAAAAGGGACTTTGCAAGTGTGATTAAGTTAATGACCTTAAGATGGGGAGATAATTTGGATTGTCAGGGGGTCCACAATATAATCACAAGAGTTCTTTAATGGTATTTCTTTTTTTTGTTTATTATACTTTAAGTTTTATGGTACAAGTGCACAGCGTGCAGGTTAGTTACATACGTATACATGTGCCATGTTGGTGTGCTGCACCCAGTAACTCGTCATTTAACATTAGATATATCTCCTAATGCTATCCCTCCCCCCTCCCCCACCCCACAACAGGCCCCGGTGTGTGATGTTCCCCTTCCTGTGTCCACGTGTTCTCATTGTTCAATTCCCACCTATGAGTGAGAACATGCGGTGTTTGGTTTTTCGTCCTTGCGATCGTTTGCTGAGAATGATGGTTTCCAGCTTCATCCATGTCCCTACAAAGGACATGAATTCATCGTTTTTTATGGTTGCATAGTATTCCATGGTGTATATGTGCCACATTTTCTTAATCCAGTCTATCATTGTTGGACATTTGGGTTGGTTCCATATCTTTGCTATTGTGAATAGTGCCGCAATAAACATACGTGTGCATGTGTCTTTATAACAGCATGGTTTACAATCCTTTGGGTATATACCCACTAATGGGAGGGCTAGGTCAAATGGTATTTCTAGTTCCAGATCCCTGAGGAATCGCCACACTGTCTTCCACAATGGTTGAACTAGTTTACAGTCCCACCAACAGTGTAAAAGTGTTCCTATTTCTCCACATCCTCTCCAGCACCTGTTGTGTCCTGACTTTTTAATGATCACCATTCTAACTGGTGTGAGATGGTATCTCATTGTGGTTTTGATTTGCATTTCTCTGATGGCCAGTGATGATGAGTATTTTTTCATGTGTCTGTTGGCTGCATAAATATCTTCTTTTGAGAAGTGTCTCTTCATATCCTTCACCCACTTTTTGATGGGGTTGTTTGTTTTTTTCTTGTAAATTTGTTTGAGTTCATTGTAGATTCTGGATATTAGCCCTTTGTCAGATGAGTAGATTGCAAAAATTTTCTCCCATTCTGTAGGCTGCCTGTTCACTCTGATGGTAGTTTCTTTTGCTGTGCAGAAGCTCTTTACTTTAATTAGATCCCATTTGTCAATTTTGGCTTTTGTTGCCATTGCTTTTGGTGTTTTAGACATGAAGTCCTTGCCCATGCCTGTGTCCTGAATGGTATTGCCTAGGTTTTCTTTTAGGGTTTTTATGGTTTTAGGTCTAACATTTAAGTCTTTAATCCATCTTGAATTAGTTTTTGTATAAGATGTAAGGAAGGGATCCAGTTTCAGCTTTCTACATATAGCTAGCCAGTTTTCCCAGCACCGTTTATTAAATAGGGAATCCTTTCCCCATTTCTTGTTTTTGTCAGGTTTGTCAAAGATCAGATGGTTGCAGGTAATGTGGCATTATTTCTGAGGACTCTGTTCTGTTCCATTGGTCTATATCTCTGTTTTGGTACCAGTACCATGCTGTATTGGTTACTGTAGCCTTGTAGTATAGTTTGAAATCAGGTAGCGTGATGCCTCCAGCTTTATTCTTTTGGCTTAGGATTGACTTGGCAATGCAGGCTCTTTTTTGGTTCCATATGAACTGTAGTTTTTTCCAATTCTGTGAAGAAAGTCATTGGTAGCTTGATGGGGATGGCATTGAATCTATAAATTACCTTGAGCAGTATGGCCATTTTCACAATATTGATTCTTCCTACCCATGAGCATGGAATGTTCTTCCATTTGTTTGTATCCTCTTTTATTTCATTGAGCAGTGGTTTGTAGTTCTCCTTGAAGAGGTCCTTCACATCCCTTGTAAGTTGGATTCCTAGGTATTTTATTCTCTTTGAAACAATTGTAAATGGGAGTTCACTCATGATTTGGCTCTTTGTTGTCAGTTATTGGTGTATACAAATGCTTGTGATTTTTGCACATTGATTTTGTATCCTGAGACTTTGCTGAAGTTGCCTATCAGCTTAAGGAGATTTTGGGCTGAGACGATGAGGTTTTCTAGATATACAATCATGTCATCTGCAAATAGGGACAATTTGACTTCCTCTTTTTCTAATTGAATACCCTTTATTTCCTTCTCCTGCCTGATTGCCCTGGCCAGAACTTCCAACACTATATTGAATAAGAATGGTGAGAGAGGGCATCCCTGTCTTGTGCCAGTTTTCAAAGGGAATGCTTCCAGTTTTTGCCCATTCAGTATGATATTGGCTGTGGGTTTGTCATAGATAGCTCTTATTATTTTGAGTTACGTCCCATCAATACCTAATTTATTGAGATTTTTTAGCATGAAGGGTTGTTGAATTTTGTCAAAGGCCTTTTCTGCGTCTGTTGAGTCCCAGTTTTTCGGGAGGCTGAGCCAGGAGAATGGCGTGAACCCGGGAGGCGGAGCTTGCAGTGAGCCGAGATCGCGCCACTGCACTCCAGCCTGGGCGACAGAGCGAGACTCCGTCTCAAAAAAAAAAAAAAAAAAAAAAAAAAAAAGTCATGCAGAAGTCAGATATGGGCTTGGATGGACTTAAAATGCAGGCCCTGAAAAACCGCCATTTCCATATCCAAAGATTTCATGGAGGGCAAACCTTAACTCCATTCTATTTTTGAGGGAAGTCTTCTCGACCCATTTGCACAAATGAATTTCCTTATAGGCAGCCTTAACAAAGAAGGGGGCTCATGGAATATTCATTCATTTACTTATTTGTTCTCTGCCCAAATATTGTTGAGCTACTAATGCTCTCACTACTGTATACATGATCCTTGCCCTCTAGGAACCTATGTATGTAGGTAATATAGTTTGGATATTTTTTCCTATCCAAATCTCATGTTGAAATGTAATCTCCAATGTTGGAGGTGGGACCTTGTGGGAGGTGTTTGGATTATGGGGGTGGATCCCTCATGAATGGCTTGGGCCTTCTCCTTGGTGATAAGTGAGCTCTTGCTCTGAGTTCACATGAGATGGGTTCATTTAAAAGTGTGTGGCACCTACTCCCCCGACTCTACTGCTTTCTCTTTCTCTCTTACTCCTGCTTTCACCATGTGAAATGCCTGCTCCTGTTATACCTTTTGCCATGATTGAACACTCCCTTAGGCCTCATCAAAAGCTGAGCAGATACCAGGACCATGCTTCCTATAAAGCCTGCAGAATCATAAGCCAATTAAACCTTTTTTCTTTATAAATTGCCCAGTCTCATATATTTCTTTATAGCAATGCATGAATGGCCTAATACAGCAGGAAAGACAAATAACTTTAATATAAGTATAGCAGGACAGGATTCTTCATTCCTTTAACTCTTTTCATTTCTTCTCCTTATTTCTGGGGCAGGGGGGTGGGGGGGATCAAGAATTTTGTTTGTTTGTTTTTTGTTTGTTTTTTTGAGGCAGGGTCTTCTTTGTTTTCCAGGCTGGAGGGCAGTGGCATGATGATGGTTCACTGCAGCCTCGATCTCCTGGGCTCAAGCGATCTTCCCACCCCAGCCTCCCATGTAGCTGGGACCAGCGTCATGTGCCACCACATCCAGCAAATTTTTAAAATTTTTTTGTAGAGATGGGGTCTCACTTTGTTGCCCAGGCTGGGAGCAAATTTTTCACATAATGATATCAAAGTTTTACTATTAATGATGTGTAATATAAGCAAGAAGAAAGGTCATATGGTTTCTCTATGCTAAAAGAGACTGTAAGAAGCCATTGGATGGAAAGATCCATCATCATCACCTCCCGTCTGCCAGAATGAAGAATCTCTGGCCTTTATCACAATCAATATTCCAGCCCATTTGGAAAACCTACAGGAAGGGGCTGGAACATGGTAGAAGGGAGAGGAGGGAGACCAGGGGCTGTCATCAGACATGAGTTTTGATTGGACTGAAAGGAAAGCCAATAGGTAAAGTGAATAACCCTTTTGTGCTACCCTCTGAAATCTGAGTGTGTTTATGATGGACTACTAGTTAGAAATGGGCTATTCTTGCATATCATTTCAAGGTGTTTTGCAAAATAATCGTGGTGTTACCTAAATCAAAATGTACCGTGTTATAAGAGTGACGAAGTGACATGGGGGTTCCACATTAGTATGATCAGAGAAGTATCAAGCATGATTTCCAACCCCCTAAATATCTCTCCATAAAGAGCTTAGAACCTGAAATGTTATCATTGATGCCTAACACATTTGTCTTAAACATTACTTTCTTTCTACATTGTTTATTTCAGCGAGCAAGCCACCTTAGTCTTAAAGAGTTGGTGGGATGAGGGGTGGGACTGGCTGTAAGATGGAAGATGTACCTCTTCATTCTCATTTGCAAAGGCTCTGTTTTTAATCATTTTTAGGGATCTCACTAATACTGCTAATCTGGTCGTTGTTTCTCAGAACTCCCTGAATATGAAGCAGAATGCACATGAGAATGGAGTGCAACTGAATTGCTCTGTGCTAGATTCTAGACAAGGGAGAGCTTGCTGCTCAGGCTTTGGCTCTGTTGGAAGTAAATCTTATTCTTTGGGTGATAGGCCCTGCCCTTTTAAGTGGTGCAAGATTTTCATTTTGTGTACCTAAAGAAACAGATCTCAAAATAAAACCAGCTACTCAGAAACAATGTGGCTGTGACATGCACAAAATGGATACATGGCCAGGAGTAGTGTTCAATATCAGCCAAGAATAGTGGGCTAGATGCTATCAGTGGGGGCTGCTTTTGGTGCTTCCAGAATAAGCTCTATTCAGATATCCCCATCAGTCTTCCCTAGAACGTTAATGTTTATCTAGTCCCACATATGCGGTTCTCTTTTCCTCCTTCTCTTCCTGGCGGCTTCCCTGATATGTTCAATGCCTGAATGCCTCTCTGTGCTATCTATGGGCAGAGGAAATATAGCAGGAAGTGTAGGGAGCAGCTCAAAAGTTGTAATAAAATGGCCATGTGCTCATTTTGTGCATGTTGTGGCCACACTGTTCCTGGGTAGCTAGTTTTATTCTGAGATCTGTTCCTTTAAGAACACAAAATGAAAATCTTGCACCACTTGAAAAAGTAGGGCCTATCACCCAAAGAATCAGAGAGCAGCAAGTGACTCTCGGGTACCTTCCCCTCACCCCCTACATACCCCAAGCCTCTTCCTCCTTCCATTCTCAATCTCCTGATGTACGCTTGTCAATATAAGGGACACAGAGTTGAGTTACATCATTAAAACAGACCATCATTGGCCAGGCACAGTGGCTCATGCCTGTAATCCCAGCACTTTGGGAGGCTGAAGCAGGAGGATATTTGAGGCCAGGAGTTCAAGACCAGCCTGGCCTACAGAATAAGACCCTGTATCTACAATATTTTTTTTAAAATTAGCCAGGCATGGTGGTGCTGGCCTGTAGACCCAACTAGTTATGAGGCTGAGGTAGGAGGATCACTTGGGCCCAGGAGGTCAAGGCTGCAGTGAGCTATGATCATGCCACTGCACTCCAACCTGGGTGACAGAACAAGGCTTTGTCTCCAAAACAATTTAACAAAATATAGAGGAAAGAATAAGTTCCTGGGGTTTAGGAGGCCTAGTTGAGCCATTATTTAGTTGTGTGACCTTGGACAAATCTCTTTTGATTCCTGGGCCTCAGTAAATGAGGGGAAAGGTAGGCTGCATTGCTAAGGATCTTGAAAGTTCTGATATTCAAAAAGTAAAAAGAGAGCATACACCTTGGCTCTGTGTTTGTATCCGACCTTAGACAAATCACTTGCCCTATATGTATCTAAGTTTCTCTATCTAGAATATGGGAGGCTGAACTACATTGTTACTAATAGCCCTGCCAATCCTGACATGCTATGCAGCATTTCCTGAAACCAGACCAGGTGCTGACTACCTATGACAAAGAAAGTCATGAAGCATTTTGGGAGAAGAAAGTTGTCTCTTGCTTCCTGGTGCATGTGCTCGAGGGTCTGGCATAACTCATGGGATGGGTCCAATTTGCCAATAGTTGCATTTTTGTTTGCTTGATTTCTTGTCAAGACAAGTGTGCAATCCATTCTGTGAATATAATTAAAGCAGCTGAGGAGAGCACCCTTCAGTTCTCAAGAGTTAGAGATTCTAGTTCTCTCCAAAGGAGGAAATACATTTGCATTGGGAGCTAGGTCCCAGAGGATGCCTACCAAGAGCTGGTGAGTGCCTAATGCGAGGATCAGCATTGTGAGGAGGTGATGACCTACATGGTGTGCATTGAGGAATAATAGGGAGACCATCACTGTAAAGCATGCTTCTTCCAGTGCTCACCATTATGCCTTTAATTTTCCCATTTAAAAGACATTCATTGCAATATTGCAGATTTCAGTCAGAGGTTGCAAACTAGTGGCCCAGGGGCCAACCAGTGCCTGTCCACAGAGCTTACTTGGGCAGCACAGTTTTAAAGATTTGGATTTGAATACTTTTAGACAGAGCAGTGTCTCCTGTGAGCCATAGACATCACTATTCCTTTTTGTATTATAGCTTCCTTTTTTATTGTGCCCCAGGATACTTGAATGCCAGTGATTTATGTGGAGTCAGGTTTTGGCTCCCTACTTTGTAGCTCCTCCTCTGTTGGAAGTTAGATACTCTGGAAGCTGATCTTCTTCCAGCCTCGGAAGTGGGCACTAGGTGGTAGCTTAATGGTTTAAAGAGATTTGATGTGTTCCAATACCTGCCTGAATTCCAACGAGGATTTTAAATCCTGAGATAACCTGGTTACCTTACCCATCCAGAGGGTTCTAATCTGTACCCTCTGGGGTCCAAATGTGGAGTTCCCCAGTGTGGGTGACTGCTAGCTCTGGCACAGAGGCTCAAACAGTTTCTCCCAAACCTAGTCATTGCTGGGGATGAGAACAACAGCTAACAATGGACCCTGGTCACAGAAGCACTTCCTACAACTGGACTTTAGCTTGAGAGAGAAGAAGATGAAAAAGAACACTGCGGCCAGGCATGGTGGCCTTGTAATCCCAGCACTTTGGGATGCCGAGGCAGACAGATCACTTGAGGTCAGGAGTTCGAGACCAGCCTGGCCAACATGGTGAGACCCCATCTCTACCAAAAATACAAAAACTAGTCGGGCATGGTAGCACACACCTGTAATCCCAGCTACTCAGGAGGCTGAGGCATGAGAATCACTTTAGCCTGGGAGGCAGAGGCTGCAGTGAGCCAAGATTGCGCCACTGCACTTTAGCCTGGGTGACAGAGCGAGACTCCATCCCTCCCCCCATAAAACAGAACACTGAATAATAGTTTTACGTTTTATATTATTTAAAATTCTCTTTAGTTTTCCAGGGCTTGAAAAAAGCCTCTGGGAATGGCTTTCAGACCCAAAGGTAAAGCTTTCCCTGGAGTAAGGTAAAGTTTTCCCTGGAGTGAGGAGAACTCTTTCAGGTTATGTGCAAAATGTTTTCCTTGAGTTCACCAAGTATTTAACTGCTGACTTGTTTTTCCAGCTCTCAGCCTCAAACTTCCCTCTAAGTCAGCCTGAAGAGACTTAATAGGAGATAAACAGTAAGTTATTCAGGCTTGTCTTGCTTCCCAAGTAACATTGTGGGCTCACCTTCTGCTCTGAAAATGGAGGTCCAGAGGGAACAGACACATGAAAGTGAGGCTGGGGCTTGTTGTAGGGAAGTTGTTAATGGCAGAGGAGTTCTGAGAGCAAAACAAAATCCTGTCACCATCCAAACCTCAACCTTCACGACCATCTGGGCAACCTCCCCCCACCCCATTTTACTGACATTTTGTTATCTTTTTCTTCAAGAAGGATAAGAAAAGCAATACTATTCCCCAGCAGAGGAGGCCTACAGCTATGCCTGAAAGTCAAGAAATTTAGTGTCCAGTGGTCAGTAGCCACTTCTGCCTTCTAGCCCTGCTACCTTCTCTCCAAATTTTCATTTTTAGTTCCTTCACTCATCCAGAAAAAGTTCAGTGATGTTTAGAGAAGACAGACAACTGCATAATTCATCTAAGAAATCCTCATTAGGTTCATTTCAATTAAAAAAGAAAAGTTTGGGGTATTAAGAAGCATGCCTCAATTCCCCAGGTAACCTTCCACCTTAATCCTTGAATATATGTTCACCAAGATTGTACCTCTGGCCACCATTTCTTCTCCCGCTTTGTACTTCAAGTACCATCTTTCCATGATTTTAAGAAATCACGTATTTTAAGACATTGATTTAATAATAGCTTTACAAAAGTTCACTGCATTTTATTTTAGAAATTGCTTAATATCAAGGAAGTATGCTACCATCTTTCTGCTAATATTCCTGAACTTTTGTCTGCACCTCTGACCCTTCTCCTGAAGTTATGTAACTAACTGCCCACTGGAAGTCTTCATTTACCAGTTATTTACTGAGGACTTACTATGAGTCCAGACACTGTTCAAATCCCTGTGGGTGCAGCAAAAATAACACACATAAAGTCGCTACTCTTGTGGATTTTATATTCTAGTTGGGAAAGACAGATAATAAATAAGTACATGGTACAACCAATAATAGTAATCATAATAAATTATATGAAGAGAATGAGACCTGCTACTATAAAGGAGAGTGACTGAAAAGGGAGGTTGTTATAGCTAGGGTGCTTACTGAAGACCTTCCCAATGAGGAAACATTTGAGCAGAGGTCTGAATCATAAAAAGGATCCAGCTATATGCAGGTCTGGAGAAGAACATTCCAGACAGAGTAAACAACAAATATAAAGGTCCTGAGGTGAGAACGAAAAGAAAGTCAGTGTGACTGAAGGGCAGTGAGCAACTGTGATCATAGGAGAAGAGGTAGGATAATTAAGCAGTAACCAGGATTGGGCCTGAAGTCCAGGGCATAAAGTTTGTATTTTATTTTAAGTACTATTCATATCAGCATTATTAATAATAGCCAAATGGTGAAAATGACTGAAATGTCCATCAACAATTGAATGGATAAAATGTGGTATATGCACACAATGGAATATTATGCAGCTATAAAAAGGAACAAAGTACTGATAGATGCTACAACATGAATAAATCTTGAAAACATACTAAGTGAAAGAAGCCAGGCACATACTATACAATTCGCACATTTAAAATATGTAATTCAGTGGTTTTTAGTATATTCACAGAGTTTGGTAACCATCACCACAATCAATTTTAGAACACTTTCATCACCTCAGAAATAAACTGTGTATATAGTATATTTTATTTAACAATAAAATTGTTAAAATAAAGAACTGGGTTTGGGACGTGTTAAGTTTGAGGAACAAGTAGGTCCTTAAATATTGGGTAGGTCATTGTATACATGAGTCTAAGAATTCAGTGGGGAGATCCAGGCTGAGGAAATAAATATAGGAGGGTGTTTTTCATCTCTTTAAACTCTATTTCTTCTCCCTCATTCCTAGTGAAGATGGAGCTTTTAGTGTAATGATGTGCCAATAGCTTGCTATTAAGAACTCAGTATTGGCAAGAAGAAAGGTCTTAAGAGTAATTCATGCTGAAGGCTCCAAAAGACATCAAGGAGGCCTCTAAAAAGCCATTGAATGGAAGGATCTACCATAACTCTACAAGAATGATGATTTCTCAGCCCTGACATTTACTAATTGTTTCCTAGGATTCTATTCATAAGTTCCATTATGAGTCTGTTACACATACCTCTTTGTTTTTATTTTAGGGATTGCTGTAAGATTTACCATCTGCATCTTTAACTTATTAGATTTTCTTTTCAAATAATGCCGTATCAGTTCACATAAAAGAATCTTAGAGCAATATATTTTCCACTTCTCTGCCCTTTGCAATATCGTTGACATAAATTTTACATCTACATGTTTCTGAACTACACGATACAGATTATTATTATTTTTGCTTTAAAGTTTTTTTTTTTTTTTTTTGAGTTGGAGTTTCACTCTTTCCCCCAGGCTGGAGTACAGTGGCATGATCTCAGCTCACTGCACCCTCTGCCTTCCGGTTTCAAGCCATTCTCCTGCCTCAGCCTCCAGAGTAGGTGGGATTACAAGTGCCCGCCACCACGCCCGGCTGATTTTTGTATTTTTAGTAGACACAGGGTTTCACCATGTTGGCCAGGCTGGTCTCGAACTCCTGACCTTGTGATCTGCCTGCCTTGGCCTCCCAAAGTGCTGGGATTATAGGCATGAGCCACTGAAGTTAATTATCTTTTAGAGAAATTTAATATGAGAACATAGTTTAAAAATATCTGCCCACAGAAGCTCTTTAGTTTAATCCATTATCCTTAGCACACTAACACAGGAACAGAAAATACTACATGTTCTTGCTTATAAGTGTGTGCTAAATGATGAGAACACATGGCCACATAGACGGGAACAACACACACTAGAGTCTTTCGGAGGATAGAGGGTGGGAAGAGGGAGAGGATCAGGAAAAATAACTAATAAGTACTAAGCTTCGTATCTGGGTGATGAAATCATCTGTACAACAGAAACCCATGGCACAAGTTTACCTATGTAACAAACCTACACTTGTACCCCTGAACTTAGTTAAAAAAAATCTGCCCACATATTTTCCATTCTGGAGCTCTTTATTCCTTTGTTTAGGTCCCAATTTCTATCTGGCATAACTTACCTTTAGGCTGAAGAACTTCCTTTAATATCCCTGTATTACAGGTCTATTGGCATGAAGTCTGTTAGCTTTTGCTTGTAAAGAAATAGTATTCATCAGGGATATTGGTCTAAAATTCTCTTTTTTTGTTGTGTCTCTGCCAGGCTTTGGTATCAGGATGATGGTGGCCTCATAAAATGAGTTAGAGAGGATTCCCTCTTTTTCTATTGATTGGAATAGTTTCAGAAAGAATGGTACCAGCTCCTCCTCGTACCTCTGGTAGAATTCTGCTGTGAATCCATCTGGTCCTGGACTTTTTTTGGTTGGTAAGCTATTAATTATTGCCTCAATTTCAGAGCCTGTTATTGGTCTATTCAGAGATTCAACTTCTTCCTGGTTTAGTCTTGGGAGGGTGTATGTGTCGAGGAATTTATCCATTTCTTCCAGTATTCTAGTTTATTTGCATAGAGGTGTTTATAGTATTCTCTGATGGTAGTTTGTATTTCTGTGGGATCGATGGTGATATCCCCTTCATCATTTTTTATTGTGTCTATTTGATTCTTCTCTCTTTTCTTCTTTATTAGTCTTGCTAGCAGTCTATCAATTTTGCTGATCTTTTCAAAAAACCAGCTCCTGGATTCATTGATTTTTTGAAGGGTTTTTTGTGTCTCTATTTCCTTCAGTTCTGCTCTGATCTTAGTTATTTCTTGCCTTCTGCTAGCTTTTGAATGTATTTGCTCTTGCTTCTCTAGTTCTTTTAATTGTGATGTTAGGGTGTCAATTTTCACTTTCCTGCTTTCTCTTGTGGGCATTTAGTGCTATAAATTTCCCTCTACACACTGCTTTGAATGTGTCCCAGAGATTCTGGTATGTTGTGTCTTTGTTCTGGTTGGTTTCAAAGAACATCTTTATTTCTGCCTTCATTTCACTATGTACCCAGTAGTCATTGAGGAGCAGGTTGTTCAGTTTCCATGTAGTTGAGCGGTTTTGAGTGAGTTTCTTAATCCTGAGTTCTAGTTTGATTGCACTGTAGTCTGAGAGACAGTTTGTTATAATTTCTCTTCTTTTACATTTGCTGAGGAGTGCTTTACTTCCAACTATGTGGTCAATTTTGGAATAGGTGTGGTGTGGTGCTGAAAAGAATGTATATTCTGTTGATTTGGGGTGGAGAATTCTGTAGATGTCTGTTAGGTCCACTTGGTGCAGAGCAGAGTTCAATTCCTGGATATCCTTGTTCACTTTCTGTCTCATTGATCTGTCTAATGTTGACAGTGGGGTGTTAAAGTCTCCCGTTATTATTGTGTGGGAGTCTAAGTCTCTTTGTAGGTCTCTAAGGACTTGCTTTATGAATCTAGGTGCTCCTGATTGGGTGCATATAAATTTAGGATAGTTAGTTCTTCTTGTTGAATTGATCCCTTTACCATTATGTAATGGCCTTTTTTGTCTCTCTTGATCTTTGTTGGTTGAAAGTCTGTTTTATCAGAGACTAGGATTGCAACCCCTGCCTTTTTTTGTTTTCCATTTGCTTGGTAGATCTTCCTCCATCCCTTTCTTTTGAGCATATGTGTGTCTCTGCACATGAGATGGGTTTCCTGGATACAGCACACTGATGGGTCTTGACTCTTTATCCAATTTGCCAGTCTGTGTCTTTTAATTGGAGCATTTAGCCCATTTACATTTAAGGTTAATATTATTATGTGTGAATTTGATCCTGTCATTATGATGTTAGCTGGTTATTTTGCTCGTTAGTTGATGCAGTTTCTTCCTAGCCTTGATGGTCTTTACACTTTTGCATGTTTTTGCAGTGGCTGGTACCGGTTGTTCCTTTCCATGTTTAGTGCTTCCTTCAGGAGCTCTTTTAGGGCAGGCCTCGTAGTCACAAAATCTCTCAGCATTTGCTTGTCTGTAAAGTATTTTATTTCTCCTTCACTTATGAAGCTTAGATGAACGTCGATGCAAAAATCCTCAATAAAATACTGGCAAACCAAATCCAGCAGCACATCAAAAAGCTTATCCACCATGATCAAGTGGGCTTCATCCCTGGGATGCAAGGCTGGTTCAACATACACAAAGCAATAAATGTAATCCAGCATATAAACAGAACCAACGACAAAAACCACATGATTATCTCAATAGATGCAGAAAAGGCATTTGACAAAATTCAACAGCCTTTCATGCTAAAAACTCTCAATAAATTAGGCATTGATGGGGCATATCTCAAAATAATAAGAGCTATTTATGAGAAACCCACAGCCGATATCATACTGAATGGGCAAAAACTGGAAGCATTCCCTTTGAAAACTGGCACAAGACAGGGATGCCCTCTCTCACCACTCCTATTCAACATAGTGTTAGAAGTTCTGGCCAGGGCAATCAGGCAGGAGAAGGAAATAAAGGGTATTCAATTAGGAAAAGAGAAAGTCAAATTGTCCCTGTTTGCAGATGACATGATTGTATATCTAGAAAACCCCATCGTCTCAGCTCAAAATCTCCTTAAGCTGATCAGCAACTTCAGCAAAGTCTCAGGATACAAAATCAATGTGCAAAAATCACAAGCATTCCTATACACCAATAACAGACAAACAGAGAGCCAAATCATGGGTGAACTCCCATTCACAATTGCTACAAAGGGAATAAAATACCTAGGAATCCAACTTACAAAGGATGTGAAGGACCTCTTCAAGGAGAACTACAAACCACTGCTCAATGAAATAAAAGAGGATATAAACAAATGGAAGAACATTCCATGCTCCTGGGTAGGAAGAATCAATATTGTGAAAATGGCCATACTGCCCAAGGTAATTTATAGATTCAATGCCATCCCCATCAAGCTACCAATGACTTTCTTCACAGAAATGGAAAAAAGTACTTTAAAGTTCATATGGAACTGAAAAAGAGCCTGCATTGCCAAGCCAATCCTAAGCCAAAAGAACAAAGCTGGAGGCATCATGCTACCTGACTTCAAACTACACTGCAAGGCTACAGTAACCAAAACAGCATGGTACTGGTACCAAAACAGAGATATAGACCAATGGAACAGAACAGAGCCCTCAGAAATAATTCCACATATCTACAACTATCTGATCTTTGACAAACCTGACAAAAACAAGAAGTGGGGAAAGCATTCCCTATTTAGTAAACGGTGCTGGGAAAACTGGCTAGCCATATGTAGAAAGCTGAAACTGGATCCCTTCCTTACACCTTATACTAAAATTAATTCAAGATGGATTAAAAATTTAAATGTTAGACCTAAAACCATAAAAACCCTAAAAGAAAACCTAGGCAATACCATTCAGGACACAGGCATGGGCAAGGACTTCATGTCTAAAACACCAAAAGCAATGGCAACAAAAGCCAAAATTGACAAATGGGATCTAATTAAAGTAAAGAGCTTCTGCACAGCAAAAGAAACTACCATCAGAGTGAACAGGCAGCCTACAGAATGGGAGAAAATTTTTGCAATCTACTCATCTGACAAAGGGCTAATATCCAGAATCTACAATGAACTCAAACAAATTTACAAGAAAAAAACAAACAACCCCATCAAAAAGTGGGTGAAGGATATGAACAGACACTTCTCAAAAGAAGACATTTATGCAGCCGAATTATACATGAAAAAATACTCATCATCACTGGCCATCAGAGAAATGCAAATCAAAACCACAATGAGATACCATCTCACACCAATTAGAATGGCGATCATTAAAAAGTCAGGACACAACAGGTGCTGGAGAGGATGTGGAGAAATAGGAACACTTTTATACTGCTGGTGGGACTGTAAACTAGTTCAACCATTGTGGAAGACAGTGTGGCGATTCCTCAGGGATCTGGAACTAGAAATACCATTTGACCCAGTAATCCCATTACTGGGTATATACCCAAAGGATTATAAACCATGCTGTTATAAAGACACATGCACATGTATGTTTATTGTGGCACTATTCACAATAGCAAAGACTTGTAACCAACCCAAATGTCCAACAATGATAGACTGGATTAAGAAAATGTGGCACATATACACCATGGAATACTATGCAGCCATAAAAATGATGAGCTCATGTCCTTTGTAGGGACATGGATGAAGTGGAAACTATCATTCTCAGCAAACTATTGCAAGGACAAAAAACCAAACACCGCATGTTCTCACTCATAGGTGGGAACTGAACAATGAGAACACATGGACATAGGAAGGGGAACATCACACACTGGGGCCTGTTGTGGGGTTGGGGGAGGGGGGAGGGGTAGCATTAGGAGATATACCTAATGTTAAATGATGAGTTAATGGGTGCAGCACACCAACATGGCACGTGTATATATATGTAACAAACCTGCGTGTTGTGCACATGTACCCTAAAACTTAAAGTATAATTAAAAAAAGAAATAGTATTCGTTTTGCTTTTATTCTTGAAGAACATATTCTTGAAGTATATTTGAAACTTAAAGATTAGTTCCTATCTGGCTTGCATTGTTTGTGCTGAGAAGTCTGCAGTCATTCTTATCATTTTTCTCTGGTATCTTATGTGTCTTTTTTTCCTCTGGCTACTACTGAAATATTTTCCTTAATCATGACTTTTTGGCAATTTTATTATGATGTGTCTTTGTGTTGTTTGCTTGGTGTTTATCCTTCATGAGTTCACTGGGATTCTTGGATCTGTGGGTTTATGCTTTTCATGAAATTTCGAAAAAATGTGCTGTTATTTCATCAAATACATTTTCCACCTTCTCCTGTTGCTTCTCTTTGGGACCTCAGTTACACGTAGATTAGATTGCTTAATATTGTGCCACAAATCTCTATTCTTTGTTGTTACTGTTTGGCACTTTTTTTCTTTCTATCTTTCATTGTAGTTAGATTCTCTTGCTATGTCATCAAGGCACTGGTATTTTCTTCTGAAGTGTCTAATTTGCAATTAAAGTACAAACCTTTCAACAGCACACTTCAATTTATGATTACTTTTCATATTACATATTGTATTTTTCAGATTTAGAAGTTGCATTTGTTTCTTTTTTATATCTTCCCTCATTATGTTTATAAGTTTTCCTTTATTTTTTGAGCATTCTTAAAATAGCCATTTTAATGTTATTGTCTACTAATTTCATCAGCTCTCTCATTTTTTTATTTTATTTCTATTGACTGACTTCTCTCCTAGTCGTGGGTAACATTTTCCTTTTTCTTGTATGTCTAATAATTTTTAATTTAGAATAGTATGTTGCTGAGTGTCTGCACTTGGTTGTCTTCCTTAAGAAAATGTTGGGCTTTGCCTAGTAGGCAGTTCTGTTACTCTAGCCAGTTCATTATGATATTTTTGAGTCTCATTTGGAAGTTTTGTTATAGCAGATCTATTGCATACTTTACCCACTGCTTGCTTATCCCTAATAAAAAACTATGTTCCTTCATAAGCCTCTACCTGATTCCCTGGGTATTCAACAAGTTCTCGCTCCTTTATCTGGCTGGAACTTAAATGTCTCCTATACTTGCGTGAACTCTAAATTTTTCAGCTCACAGCATCCTGGTAGTTGCCTTTGTCTTGAAACATGGCATTTCACCATATGTATTTATGTGGATGATTCATAAGCAGAACTCAGGATTATGCCTATACAGATTTCTGAAGGTCTTTTCCTGCATATCGTCTTCCTCTCCTGTGCTCTTGTCAAGAAATTCCACTCACCTCAGCTTCCGTAAACTCTAGTCTCTGTTTCCTGAATTCAGTGTCTGCTGAGCTCTGCTCAAGTTTCCTCTTCATGCAGTATGGACAAGGAAGTAGGGCTCACCTCAACTGTTATATTCCATGATGGATCACATTCTGTGCCTGAAAATAGTTGTTTCACGTATTTTGTCCAGTTTTCTAAATGTGTATAATAGGGCAACAAGTTTGGTACTAAGTACTCCACCATGATAGAATCCAAAGCCTCTCAAAGTATTACTTTAAAAAAATTTTTAAAGCACATTTCTGACCTGGCTCTTTCTGGTCTCTGTGCCTTTGCTCATGTCCAAATCATATTCACTCTTCAAGACCCAGAGTATGCTATCTCCTTGATGCAACGTTTAATATACCTCTGCCAGAAACAATCTCTCTTTCCTTTGCTCTCCAGGGCACGTTTATGAATTCCTTCATTCACTCATTTAGGAATTAAACAATCATATAATGAGCACTTTCCATGTTCCAGGCACTGTGCTAGGCCCTGAGGATACAGAAATACAAACTCCCTTTTCTTTAAAGCTCATATTTTGTTGAGGGTGGAGACTATACATTGTGATATTAATACTATTGTGGCAGAAGGATGCCGACTGGACCATGTAAGCACACACAGTGGAAGGACAAGAAGTCTGCTGGAGAAATCCAGATACAGAAGGTTTATTAGTAGAAGTGATAATTGCTAGGAGAGACGGGAGGGAAGAGTGTTCCAGATGAAAGGACTAACATGTACTCTTAATGTCTGTGTAAATCCAAGTCACACTATTACTCTCAGTCCCCCCACTGCTTTGTAAGCTCCTGGAGTATAGAGATTGTGTTTTGTTTATCATCATCCCCACGCCACCCCCGCCCCCGCCCACTGCAGATTTCCAATATAAGCACCATTTATAACACACTGCAACACATAGTAAGTATTTAGTAAGTATTTGGGAGTACAAAATTATAATAGCTTATTTTTCTACAATAGAGTTATGATCAGAAAATTACTTGGAAATGCCTAATCCTCTCAAACTGGGTACACTCGCTAGACTGAGAAGTGTTCCCCCGAGTTTCATTGATCTCTGAGACATAGCGACATCCCCTTTTTGAGCATTATAGAAGGAAGAGTCTCCTATATATAGCTAGGAAATGATATCTATACGTGGCTACTGCAGATTTTTGCAATAGCTTCAGGGCTTCCATGTAGACATCATAAATAATGTCTGTAGAGAAGTTCTCATGCTGGTATATTATCTTAGGTCAAAATGAATCAGTTTGACTGATAATCTGGCTAATTCAGCTCAAATCTTGTGTTTCTGTCTTTATTACCTAGATAACTGCCTGAATCCTTTGATTGGGTTTTGACATGACTTAATTGCATGTGTATTATTCATGTCTGTCAGCCTCACACTGAAAACCAACATTCTGATTTCTGTGTTGCACTAGAAAGGGGTCTGTATACCTGGATTCTGTTTTCAGCTCTGCAAGTCTCATCATGTCTCTGAGACTCTCTCATAGAGATGATAATAATACTTAGAATATCATTAGTATTTTCATGCCTCATATTTGAAGTGAAAGTATTTTTAAATCATATAAAGTGCTTAAAGATGTCTGAAGAATTATTCTACACATGCATTCATGTATCACTTAATTAACTTTGTCAGACAGTTTTCTCACTGTGCAAAAAACATAGACTGTGCTTATACAAACCTAGATGGTATAGCCTACTACAAACCTAGGCTGTATGGTAGAGTCTCTTGCTCCTAGGCTACAAACCTGTACAGCATGATACTGCACTGAATACTGTAGGTAACTGCAACACAATGGTAGGTATTTCTGTATCTAAACATATAAAAGGTACAGCAAAAGTACCTTACTAGACAAGGAAGGGCATTACATAATGATAAAGGGATCAATGCAGCAAGAAGAGCTAACTATCCTAAATACATATGCACCCAATACAGGAGCACCCAGATTAATAAAGCAAGTTCTTAAAGAACTACAAAGAGACTTAGACTCCCACACAATAATAGTGGGAGACTTTAACACCCCGCTGTCAATATTAGATCAACGAGACAGAAAATTAACAAGGATATTCAGGACTTGAACTCAAGTCTGGACCAAGCAGACCTAATAGACATCTATAGAACTCTCCACACCAAATCAACAGAATATACATTCTTCTCAGCACCTCATCACACTTATTCTAAAATTGACCACATAATTGGAAGTAAAACACTCCTCAGCAAATGAAGATGAATGGAAATCATAACAAACAGTCTCTCAGACCACAGTGCCATCAAATGAAAACTCAGGATTAAGAAACTCACTCAAAACCTCACAACTACATGGAAACTGAACAACCTGCTCTTGAATGACTATTGGGTAAATAACGAAATTAAGGCAGACATAAATAAGTTATTTGAAACCAATGAGAATGAAGACACAATGTACCAGAATTGCTGGGACACATTTAAACCAGTATGTAGAGGGAAATTTATAGCACTAAATACCCACAAGAGAAAGCAGGAAAGATCTAAAATTGACACCCTAACATCAAAATTAAAAGAACTAGAGAAGCAACAACAAACACATTCAAAATCTAGCAGAAGACAAGAAATAACTAAGATCAGAGCAGAACTGAAGGAGCTAGAGACATAAAAAACCCTTCAAAAAATTAATGAATCCAGGAGCTCATTTTTTGAAAAGATCAACAAAATAGATAGACAACTATCCACACTAATAAAGAAGAAAAGAGAGATGAATCAAATAGATGCAATAAAAAATGATATAGGGGATATCACCACTGATCCCACAGAAATACAAACTACCATCAGAGAATACTATAAACTCCTCTATGCAAATAAACTAGAAAATCTAGAAGAAATGGATAAATTCCTGGACACATACACCCTCCCAAGTCTAAACCAGGAAGAAATCAAATCCCTAAATAAACCAATGACAAGTTCTGAAATTGAGTCATTAATTAATAGCCTACCAACCAAGAAAAGCCCAGGACCAGACGGATTCATAGCCGAATTCTACCAGAGGTACAAAGAGGAGCTGGTACCATTCCTTCTGAAACTATTCCAAACAATACAAAAAGAGGGAATCCTCCCTAACTCATTTTATGAGGCCAGCATTATCCTGATACCAAAACCTGGAGAGACACAACAGAAAAAGAAATTTTCAGGCCAATATCCCTGATGAACATCGTTGCAAAAATTCTCAATAAAATACTGGCAAACCGAATCCAGCAGCACATCAAAAAGCGTATCCACCATGATCAAGTTGGCTTCATTCCTGGGATGCAAGGCTGGTTCAACATACACAAATCAATAAATGCAATCCATCGTATAAACAGAACCAATGACAAAAACCACATGATTATCTCAATAGACGTACAAAAGGCCTTTGACAAAATTTGACACCCCTTCATGCTAAAAACTCACAATAAACTAGGTATCAGTGGAATGTATCTCAAAATAATAAGAGTTATTTATGACAAACCCACAGCCAGTATCATACTGAATGGGCAAAAACTGGAAGCATTCCCTTTGAAAACCAGCACAAGACAAGGATACCCTCTCTCACCACTCCTATTCAACATAGTATTGGAAGTTCTGGCCAGGGCAATCTGGCAAGAGAAAGGAAGAAAATAGGAAGAGAGGAAGTCAAATTGTCTCTGTTTGCAGATGACATGATTGTATATTTAGAAAACCCCATCATCTCAGCCCAAAATCTCCTTAAGCTGATAAGCAACTTCAGCAAAGTCTCAGGATACAAAATCAATTTGCAAAAATCACACACATTCCTATACACCAATAACAGACAAACAGAGAGCCAAATCATGAGTGAACTCCCATTCACAATTGCTACAAAGAGAATAAAATATCTAGGGATCCAACTTACAAGGGATGTGAAGGACCTCCTCAAGGAGAACTACAAACCACTGCTCAGCGAAATAAAAGAGGATACAGACAAATGGAAGAACATTCCATGCTCATGGGTAGGAAGAATCAATATCGTGAAAATGGCCATACTGCCCAAGGTAATTTATAGATTCAATGCCATCCCCATCAAGCTACCAATGACTTTATTCACAGAATTGGAAAAAACTACTTTAAAGTTCATATGGAACCAAAAAAGAGCCTGCATTGCCAAGTCAATCCTAAGCCAAAGGAACAAAACTGGAGGCATCACACTACCTGACTTCAAACTATACTACAAGGCTACAGTAAGCAAAACAGCATGGTACTGGTACCAGAACACATATATAGACCAATAGAACAGAACAGAGGCCTCAGGAATAACACTACACATCTACAGCCATCTGATCTTTGACAAACCTGACAAAAACAAGCAATGGGGAAAGGATTCCCTATTTAATAAATGGTGTTGGGTAAGCTGGCTAGCCATGTGCAGAAAACTGAAACTGGACCCCTTCCTTACACCTTATACAAAAATCAACTCATGGTGGATCAGAGACTTAAACGTAAGACCTAGGACCATAAAAATCCTAGAAGAAAACCTGGGCAATACCATTCAGGACATAGGCATGGGCAAGGACTTCATGTCTGAAACACCAAAAGCAATGGCAACAGGAGCCAAAATTGACAAATGGGATCTAATTAAAGTAAAGAGCTTCTGCACAGCAAAAGAAACTATCATCAGACTGAACAGGCAACCTACAGAATGGGGGAAAATTTTTGCAATCTATCCATCTGACAAAGGGCTAATATCTAGAATCTACAAAGAACTTAAACAAATGTACAAGAAAAAAACAAACAATCCCATCAAAAAGTGGGCAAAGGATATGAACAAACACTTCTGAAAAGAAGACATTTATGCAGCCAACAGACATATGAAAAAATGCTCATCGTCACTGGTCATTAGATAAATGAAAATCAAAACCACAATGAGATACCATGTCACGCCAGTTAGAATGGTGATCATTAAAAAGTCAGGAAACAACAGATGCTGGAGAGGATGTGGAGAACTAGGAATGCTTTTACACTGTTGGTAGGAGTATAAATTAGTTCAACCATTGTGGAAGACAGTGTGGCGATTCCTCAAGGATCTAGAACTAGAAATACCATTTGACCCAGCAATCCCATTACTGGACATATAAGCAAAGGATTATTAATCATTCTACTATATAGACCCATGCACACATATGTTTATTGTGTCACTATTCACAATGGCAAAGACTTGGAACCAATCCAAATATCCATCAGTAATAGACTGTATAAAGAAAATGTGGCACATATACACCGTGGAATACTATGCAGCCATAAAAAAGGATGAGTTCATGTCCTTTGCAGGGACATGAATGAAGCTGGAAACCATCATTCTCAGCAAACTATCAAAAGAGCAGAAAACCAAACACCACATGTTCTCACTCATAAGTGGGAGTCGAACAATGAGAATACATGGACATAGGGAGGGGATCATCACACACCAGGCCCTATCAGGGGGTGGGGTGCTAGGGGAGGGATAACATTAGGAGAAATACCTAATGTAGGTGACGGGTTGATGGGTGCAGCAAACCACCATGGCACGTGTATACCTGTGTAACAAAACTGCACATTCTGCACATGTACACCAGAACTTATAGTATAATTTTTTTTAAAAAGTACCTTACTATAATCTTATGGGACCACCATCATATAAGTGCTCCATCATTGTCGAAAAGTTCATGACACAAAACATGACTTTATTTTGTATATGTATTTTGGCATTAGTAGAGTCACAGTGGTATGGTAGTAAAATTAGTGGCCTTCAGGTATGTCTCTGTATAAATTAGCTTTTGTCCTTGAGCAAGTCATTTTCCTCTTTGTAGCCTTAGTTTCTTCATCTCTCCTTTTTGAGATATCATTCTGGGTATCTTAACTGAAATTCTTTTCATCCTTTGAAATACATAGTGCTATTAGGATGCCATCTTAATCTGTTTGTGCTGCTATAACAAAATACCTGAGACTGAGTAGTTTATAAACAATAGAAATTTATTTCTCACAGTTCTGAAGGCTGGGAAGTCCAAGACCAACTGGCGCTGGCCAGTTCAATATCTGGTAAGGGTTTGCTCTCTGCTTTCAAGGTGACCCCTTCCCACTGCATCCGCACATGAAGGAAGTGAGAAGGGACAAACACTATGTCCTCATGTGCTAGAAGGGGCAGAAAAGCAAAAGTGATAAATACGTTCCATTGAGCTCTTATTATAAGAGCATTATTGCCACCCATGAGTGTGGAGCCCTTATAGCCTAATCGCCTTCTAAATGCACCTACCTCTTTATAGAATTGCACTGGGAATTAAGTTTCAACATGAATTATGTAGGAACATAAATATTCAATCCACAGCATTCCACTCCTGCCCTTCCCCCCAAAAAATTTATGTTAAAATATACAAATATTCCTTCCCAATAGGCCTAGAAATTTTAACTTATTACAGCATCAACTTTAAAGTCTAAGTCCAAAATCTCATCCAAATATTGTCTAAATCAGATATGGGTGAGAGACCCAAAGTATGATTCATCCCGAAGCAAATTCCCCTTCTAGCTGTAAGCCTGTGAAATCAAACAAGTCACATGCTTCCAAAATAGAATGGTGGGACAGGTGCAGGTTAAACATTTTCATTCCAAAAAGAAGAAAGAAGAAAGGGATAATAGGTCCTGAGTAAGTCCAACCCCCAACAGAGCAAACAATATTCAATCTTAAGGCTGGAGAGTAATCTTCCTTTATTCCATGTCCTGCCCTCTGGACACCCTGGGGTAGAAGTTGGGTTGCCAAGGCTCCAGGCAACCTTGCTGCCATGGCTTTGCTTGGCACAGCCATACTGAAGCTCTCCCAAGTAGAGTCTTGTGCCTGTGGCTCTCCCAGTGTACAGTTACATGCTGGTGGCCCTAGCTCTAGAGTTCTGGGTTCTTGGGGTCACCCCTGCTCCCATGGATCCAATGGACATTACCCTAGTGGGGACTCTCTGTAGTGGCCCACTAGGCACCACTGAGCATTGCTTTAGTGGAAACTCTCTGGTGCCTCTGCCCCTGTGGCATTTCTCTGCCTTGGCCCTTAAGCTTTCCAGGGAATCCTTTGAAATCTAGGTGAACGTAGCCATGCCCCCACAGCTCTTGGACTCTGTGTGCCTGCAGAGTTAGCACCACGTGGATGCTATGAAAGTTTACCCCATGTGCCTCCTGGAGAGGTAGCCCAAGCTGCAGCTGGGCTCACTTGAGCCACATCTGAAGAGACTGAAGAGTGCTGCATTGGAATACATGGAGCAGAAACTTGACACTCCCCTGGGCAGTGAGACTTGAGAACCCAAGTTGATGCCTTCTCATTGTATTCTCACTTGATGGAAAGGTAGAAGAGATAAACTGTGTCTTCACATGGCAGAAGAGATGGAAGAGATGAATGCTGTGTGCTCATATGGTGGAAGAGACAGAGAAGCAAAAGGGATAAACTCACTCTTTCAAGCCTTTTCATAAGGGCACTAATCCCATCTATGAAAGGTGGAGCCCTCATGGCCTAATTACCTCCTAAAGGCCCCACATTTTAATACTGTTGCATTGGAGAGTAAGTTTCAACAGGAATTTTGAAGGGACACAAACAGGCAAGTCCTAGGAGATTTTCAAGTGCCTTAGTTGAAGTCCAATATTTTTAAAGGTCCAGGTCCAACATTTAGATGTTGAGATCAACATTTTAGCCTTTAGATGATAACAAAGACTCCAAAAAGAAGGAGGGGAAATGGGAGGCTGATATGCATAGAACTAAATCTATTGACCTACAACCCAAAGATCCAGCTGAGAATGTTAAGACAGGAATGTCTATGGAGAAGAAAGGAGTGTGATTCTGAAAATTTCGTTTGGAAGCTGAATTTCATTTCTCTGGGAAAGTAGGGCACAATATCCAAGATGGAGGGCAGGGATACTTATGTCCAGCATTGCCCCATATAAACATAAGCTTTACATTAGGGCATCACAAAAATAATGGGCAAATTATTGCTGGAGGCTTTCCCACACATACATTAATAACCTAGTGCCATCATTTTGAGGAACATGAAGAGGGTCAGCTAGAGTCAGTCCATATGACAGCATCCCTGGAAATACTTCTCAGAGGGAATGGCCATTTGGAATTTTGATGGTGGTAGCATCATTGGAAGGCTCAGTGGCAGTTTGCATTAGCAGTAGCAATGGAAAATATAACAGTCCATAAACATTGCACAGCAATGGGTAGACTCCTTAAAAAACAGAGTTTCTCAACCTTGGTACTGTTAATGTTTGGAGCTGAATCATTCCTTGTTGTGGGGAGCTGTCCTGTGCATTGTAGAATGCTGAGTGCAAACCTGACCTCTATCCACTAGATGCCAATAGAATTCCCCTAGTTGTGACAACCGAAAATGTGTTCAGACATGACCACATATCCCCTTGGAGGCAAAATTCCTGATTGAGAAGCAGTGCTCTAGGGAATGACAGAACACTAAGGGTAGATTGAATCTCAGGCCATCAGGGTGAACCATGGATTCCTTGCAGCACCTGTTTTAGCACCTCTCACCTAGATATGTTAAGAACAATCCGAGATTCAATAGCTGAATGCAAAGTGGAGGAGAAAGTAGTGAGTAAGGCAGTCTGGGCTTCTACTCACCCTGTAAGCCAGGAGGAGGAGAGATTTCCATTGTTGAGTACAAAGAACCAGGCTTTAGTTTCAGACAGACTTGTTTCTATAATACTCTGTCACTTTCTAGTTGTTGAGTCCTGGTGAAGTGGCACTACCTCCCTGAATCTCAGTTTCCTCAACTGTATCTACACAAATTTGATTTTTATTTTGTTATTTATAATCACAACCTCTTTTGGAGGAGGGTGCATCTCTCCAAGTGACATTTTAGAACACATATTAAAATGGGGGGAAAATACCCGACAAAGTTGTATGAGAATGAGAGATAATAGATAATAATGAAAGTAAATAGAACACCTGAAACTAGGCCTGGCACATGTGCTGATTCTATAAAGGATGACTATTGTTAAGTTGAATATTTCTGAAATATAATTGGTGGAGGCTTAGTCAGATATACTATTTTGCCTTTTTTTTTTTTTTTTGGTAGTTCTATTTGACATCACCCACCTATTACATTAAGAATCCTCCTTTCTTTAATCTCCATCTCCACCTGCCAACTATATCTAGAGAGGGTTATCAGTCTGTGACCTTTTGCTACTTTCAGAGTAACCATGGGGGCTCAGGGCCTCTCTTCTTGTAATCCCATTTCCCTTGTTTACCTTGGTGTTTCTTTGATGTGAACCTTCCTGCTGACTGTACCTGTAAGAGATTATCCATTGTGCTTTTGCCTCTTCTCTAAGCCCCCAGACATTTGGAGGTATCATTGCTTAATCTTTGTGTTTCACCATCAGTTAAGGTCAGAAGCCTTTGATCCATCCTGTTTACTAGACCCTACATTTTAACACATAAAACTGCTGACAGCTATATTTTTATTAAATTTATTTTCCTGGGTTTTAGTCATAGCACTAAACTTCAATACCAATATATCACTACATTAAAAAAAACTATCATCAGTGTGTGTTTACAGTTACCATAGCAGTAAAATTTGTACTCAACAGCATTATTACAATTTTCTCCTATTTACAAGGTATATTTGATTCATGTTTTAAAACCAACAAAGGAAAAACGTAAATAGAATTATTGCTGTCAACACTACTGCAATTTTTTCTACCCTTAACGCTCACCACCAGTGATAGATATAACAACGGATTGCCTGTAAACACATAAAAGCCCTTCTCAGAAAAAAATGGGCTTTTTGTATCCATCATGGTGAAATCTGGGTCCTTTGATAGGATGACTGATGAGAGAGAAGATAAGAAAAGGTGATAAGGCCTACCTTTCTGCACTCTACACCAGCACCCTGTGGACACATTAGGATGAACACTGGCCTGACTCCTCTTAGTTTCCCAAGATCAAGTGACCCATACTACAATTTGCTACTGATAGATGGGGCAGCCCTGGGCTCTAGCAGGAGCAAGTAGATGATGAAATCTTGCCCACTCCTAATTATTTTTCCACCCTACAAAGTGATCCTCTGGGCAGGAAGTTTAATGGGATACTGTATAGCCCCAACAGTTTTCATGCCTGCTACATTTACTTGCTAGCCTCAGTTCCTGTGGCTCCTGAGCAGCTGGCTGTCTGAACCCCACCCCTTTCTCCTTACTGTACACCTACAGAAAAGGAGAGTTGGTGGAGGCTCTCCTGTAGGTGTACAGTAAGGAGGCTCAGCTCTGTGGAGGTAGATACTGTTGGGAGTTGGTTTCTGGGGGACCCAAGTTAGAATGGGGGTATCCTATCTGAAGCAATATGGGGAGCATCAAATAATAAGATAAAGTCAATACTGATGGAAAAATCTAAAAGGCCAGTAGCAACATGAGGGTTGTGAGTTTGTATCAGTGTGAGATGGGATTAGAGTGACAGCCAGTAAAAAATAAGTCAGTGTGTCCTGTTGGGTCTTTGCTCATAGCCTTGCAGGTAGTACATCCATGGTGTGTGTATAGATTGGGATGGCTGCAGTCCCTGAGAACCTAAATGCTTTATTGCTTCAATTCTGTATATGTACTACGTAGCAAGTATCTACTCGCCAAACTTAACAATAATATTCCTTCAAGAAGGAAACAAAGAAGGTCATTGTAAATTGAGTTCCTTTCATTGTTTTCTTCCAAGAGTGAAGCCTACAAAACAATATATTGGTTCTGAAATGTCCTGATCCTCCCCTTCTCCTCAACCTCGTTTTAGCTTCAACATCTTAAAGCAGTAACGTTTTGTGGGCTTGGCGCAAGTGGCTAATGCCTGTAATCCCACTGCTTTGGGAGGATAAGGTGGGAGGATTGCTTGAGGCCAGGAATTCAAGACCAACCTGGGCAGCATAGCAAGACCCTATCTCTACCAAATTTTTTTTTAACTTAGCCAGGTGTGGTGGCGCATGCCTGTAGTCCCAGTTACTTGGGAAGCTGAGGTGAGAGGATCGTTTGAGCTCAAGAGGTCGAGGCTACAGTGAGTTGTGATCATGCCACCACACTCCAGCCTGGGCGGCAGAGCAAGACCCATCTCAAAAGAAAAAAAAAACAACTTATTTGTGGAATAGCCTTTTGTTTTGAGAGGATTTATTACATTGAAACTCTTAATGGCTTAACAATTTCTATTTCATATTCTTCTCAGAGCAAAAGTGGATCCAAAAGAGCTAAGTAGTCATAAAGTAAGGAAGAATGAAAACCCCATTTTCCTTCTATCTTGTTGGAGGCCCTTGAGAAATAGATTTTGGAAGATTTGCCACAGGGCTTCCATAGAATTGACTCCAGAAAAAGTTTTCATTAAGCCTGGCACACAAATACTGAAACCCAAATGAGAAAATGGATTAAAGTGATAAAAAATGTTCAAATGTTGTATGCATAGATGTTTTTGTGTGGATGATGTGTGATGTATCCTTTTGTTTATAAAGGTAAATAATCGACAAATACAGACTGCCTGTCTAGATTCAGGAATAGTCAAAGACTTTAAGACAAACTCAGTGATGTTTGGCTCTGAGCCTCACACATTTTGCTTACTAAAACTACAACCTCTTCTCTCAACCTAGGCATCTCATTTGCCCTTATACCCCAAGAGGCTCTTTCTGTCATGAATCGTCGTTCTCTGTAGCTTTTGCTCTTGCCCTCATGCTTTGGTTTCATTTTCAGTGTTCTACTTTATCACTTTCAAAGTTGGAGAACAATTACCATACTGAAGTGATTTCAGATTTCCTGGCCAAATACAGATTATCTAGCATTCAAGAGACCACAGTTCTTAAACTCTTGCTCTCCACCCCCATCCCCAAGAGAATCTTCGATTTTGAGTAATGTAGGACAATTTCATCATGAATTGTTTGAAGGGACATTTTAGTGGCACATCTTCATGCTATTCTGGGAATACTATTTCCAACCTTTCTTCCCTGGAACCACAGTACAGGATGTTTTGACTTTTTGACTCCACAATCCGCCATTCCTTCCTCTTTCCAGAGGTCTTCTTGAATATTTTTTTCTGTGAATTGCTCTTTGATCTCTAAATCCCCTTCCATATTTCTGCCAGATGGCCCCTTACAAAAATAGGAGTAACTTTGGCTGTCCCTGCTATCCTCTAGTTTCTAATGTAGGTTTTTAATTCAGGCCCCTACAAAGACCTTGCTGTAGTCTCTCCCCATAACATTTTTATCATTCCTGTAAAGTTCTCACTTTTACCCAAGATCTCCCCCTTTTAAATGATGACTTTGAGAGCATTCCTTCAATAGTTATTAACTTCAGTAGCTACCCTGCATCCAGCTTCATGGTATAGAGTAACTACTCAAATATTTGCTGAATGAACCAATTAATGAAAAACACGATAGAAGGAATGATTGAATCAGATTTCTAAAGTGCCAGACTGAATAGGGAGTAGAAGTCAACCAAGACAAAGTTTCACTTGGGGCTCATCCATCCCTATATTTCTGTTTTTGTTTGTTTGTATTTTAAACCATGGTAGAGGTAGCCCTGATAGGACTCCTAGTTTAGAGGTATGCTCTACCCTGCTCAAATGGCAGGAGCTGGATCAAAATGGACAGTGTTTTTCATACACTAATTTTTTTCCTGGTCCAATTCATTAGCAACTCCCTCAGTCTTGAATTTTGACTCACAGTCGTTCCCTGAATTCATGATAGCCACAGACTGTGGTTCCCATGATCTACTCCTGCTTTATAGTGCTGAGCCTAAGGGACCAACATCCTGGGCTAAAATATGGCAAAAGACAATATCGGCAAAGTCCATTTCACTGTATGAGTTGATCTCATACTGATTATTTTGCCATCTCTTCATAAAGGCCGTCAAGTCCAAGCTGAAGAGAAACAAAGGGATATTTATGGTCTCAGCCTACTTTTTTGAGGCCCAGGGAGATGCGGACCTCATGCTTTTCTGTTGTTTTGACCTCCCCCAGATACATCATAGCTTCCGAAACTCCAGGGGTAAATTCTGGTTTCAGATGCATCCAGCCTATAGAGAACAAACATTATCGTAAGAACAATATAACAGCGGGCTTGCCCCAGAATTACTTGCCCTGTATACTTGGCTCATGACTTCTCTATATCCATTTCCCCCTTTGTTCTTAACAGAATTCTTTATTCAGGACAGTCTACCCTGTGGCTTAGGGGTGACCATGTTTCAGGGTTCTGGCTAGTTAAATGTAAGTAGAAGTCTAATAGATAAGACTATAGGGAAAACTGTTTCTAAGAAGGTGGAGACTCACATATCATATGGATTTTGCCTTTGCTCTTCACCCCTTTTCCCTGCCTTGAACATGGATGCAGTTCCCGGAGCTATGATTACTCTCAAACCCATAGGAAAAAAAGCCAAATAGTAAGAAAGGCAGAAAAGGAAGACTGGAGTGAGGACTGACCTTGAGTAATTAAACCAACTCTGAGCTGCCCACCTCCAAACTTGTTGTAAGAGGAGAAGGAGAAGCCCCTGCCAGGGTATACCTCTTTCATGCAAGTTTCTGCTCTTCTTTCACCACAAAGGCCCTTTCGAGACTTTCTATGGCTGTCTCTGCTACTTTGGTTGTCCCTCTTTTCATTTCTCTTCTTCCTTAAGTAGTTTTGCTTTTAGTTGGAAGAGATTGGGAGGCAGACACTTTCATTTTGCAGGTATATGGAGCTTACGCTGAGTTTGGGTGAAACCCAGTCTCAACCTAATATGAGGGGTCTTCAGAAAGTTCATAATAATGCATGTTATGAAAAAAACTGTGCAAGGATTTCAATTTCTTTTTGTGCCAAAATAAGCTCATATTAACAGTTACAACATGTCTGAACAGGATCTAGTTTGAGGTGCTAAGAAGTATAAGTAATCAGTTTGAAAAGAGCCCCTCTCAGAGCAACATGAATCCTGCTAAAAGTAAAGCAAGAACAAACATCAAATTTATGGTGAAGCTTGGGTGGAAGAATGGAGAAATCACTAATGCTTTACAAAAATTTATGGGGACAAGCCCCACCTCAAAAAAACTGGCAATTTGCAAATGGATCACTCATTTTAAGAAGGGAGAAGACAATGTTGAAGATGAAGCCCACAGTGGCAAACCATTCCATCAATTTGTGTGGAAAAAAATGTATTTGTTCTTGCCTTAATTGAAAAGGACCAATGATTAATACCAGAAACAATAGCCAACATCATAGACATCTCAAATGGTTCAGCTTACACAATTCTGACTGAAAAATTAAAGTTGAGCAAACTTTCTACTTGGCGGGTGCCAAAACCACTGCACCTATATCAGCTGCAAACAAGAGCAGAACTTTCGGTATAAATTTTAAAAAGTGGGTTCAGGATCCTAAAGCATTTCTCCAAACCAACTGTAACAGGAGATGAAACATGGCTTTACCATGTCTTGTGATCTTGAAAACAAAGCACAATCAAAGTAATGGTTACCAAGAGGTGGAAGTGGTCCAGTTGAAACAAAAGCAGATCGATCAAGAGCAAAGGTCATGGCAACAATTTTGTGGGATGCTCAAGGCATTTTGCTTTTGCTTGCTGACTTTCTGGAGGACCAAAGAACAATAATATCTGCTTATTATAAATGTGTTTTGAGAAAGTTAGCCAAAGCTTTAGCAAAAAAATGACCAGGAAAGGTTCACTAGAGAGTCCTTCTCCACCATGACAATGCTCCTGTTCATACCTCTCATCAAACAAGGACAATTTTGGGAAAATTTCAGTGGGAAATCATTAGGCATCCACCTTACAGTCCTGATTTGGCTCCTTCTGAGTTCTTTTTGTTTCCTAATCTTAAAAAGTCTTTAAAGGGCACCCATTTTTCTTCATGTAATAATGTAAACAAGACCACATTGACATGATTAAATTCCCAGGATCTTCAGTTCTTTAGGGATGGACTAAATGACTCAGATCTTCCCTTACAAAACTGCTTGAACTTGATAAAGTTTATGTTAAGAAATACAATTAATAATTTTTTCTATCATTTACTTCTACTGTCCATGAACTTTGAAGAATGCCCTCATATACAGACTCCCATTATCTATGGCAAAAGTAAAAAAAAAATGGTGGTTCAAAGGGGGAAGATATAGCCTTCTCAGTGTTTTAAAAGATTTGAATCCATTGTCAGCATTTAAAAATAATAATATTTTTCATAAACTCTAGATTTTCAGCATCTCTAACAACACTGGGCCCTCATTAGCTCATGACAATAATTGACTAAAGTAGCAAATTCTTCATTTAGAAGGGAGCAGGCACGCTCCAGATTGCCACAGTTTTCAGCCTTCTTGCAAGTGATACACTTCATTTCTTTTTAATACCTGTCTTGCCCTATAGGTGTTTGAGTTTTCAATAACTTATTTATGGATTCTTTGAAGGATAATTAGTAATACTTTTTCTATTTCAAACCCCTAGGCAGAAACCTCTGCCTCCTCTAATAACTGTCAAGGAAAATATGACCAGCCTGCAACTGCATCTCTCCATACTCCTAAACATCTTAGCCAGTGTCCCCAAGAAATTCATCTGTTACAAATGCACTGGAAATGTATTTGTAACAGGATGTTACCTCGAGCATGGGACCCAAAGGCAATTAGATTCTTCTTTTCTACATCTGACACCTGCCATTCTTGAGACATAATTTTGGTGTCTTCCTCAAAAGCATCTTTCCCTACAAATGAGTAAGCACTACTTAATAATAACCTCAGTTTGGAAGGTTGGCAGGTATAATTATTATAAGAATTATTAGTTCCAGTAGCTCTTCTCTAAATCTACTTCTTTAGAGCACTTGGAATTGGAGAACGTTTCATATCTATGCCATAACTGATTTAATTTCTGTTTCTTCTCTAGGATAAATCACAGTAATTTGTAGCTTCAATGTTTCTATTGCTGTAAATGGATACAAACTCTTTGGGAGGCGATCTGGGAAAACTTACTAAAATTTTAAATGTGGACATCCTTTGATTCAGCATTGCCTCAGCTAAGAAACTTTCCTTAAAAAAATACTTTCATAAGTATAATACACACACATGCACACACACACGTGTGTATGTATGTATGTATGAAGAATTTTTTTCTAGCCATACATTGGGAGCAATGAAAATGTCCAGTAATAGGGAACTCAGTAAGTAAATAACAGTAATCCAGTAATATGGCATCTAGAGGCTCTCAGCGACCCTATTGTTTCAGAACAACTTTTTAGTTAATTTCTGGTCTAAGAAGAGTAGTGGGGAAAGGATGATCTTTTTAAGAGCTGAGGAAAAAGTTGAAACTCAATCTTTACCTCTCACTACATGCAAATACTTACTTGAAATGGATGATGGACAAACACATAAAAGCTAAAAGAAATTTTTAGAGGAAAACTTTGGAATCTTTGTGACCTTGGGGTAGGCAAAAATGTCTTAGCTTATTCATTTGAGTTGCTTGTAGATGCTGAATATTAGCCCTCCATCGAATGAGTAGTTTGCAAATATTTTTTCCCATTCTGTAGGTGGTCAGTTTACTCTGTTGATTGTTTCCTTGCTGTGCACAAGCTTTTTAGGTTAACTAAGTCCCATTTCTCTATTTTTGTTTTTGTTGAGTTTGCTTTTGAGGACTTGATCATAAATTATTTGCCTAGGCCAATGTCCAGAGAGTGTTTTCTAGGATTTTTTTTATTATACTTTAAGTTCTAGGGTACATGTGCACAACGTGCAGGTTTGTTACATGTGTATACATGTGCCATGTTGGTGTGCTGCACCCATTAACTCGTCATTTACATTAGGTATATCTCCTAATGCTTTCCCTCCCCCTCCCCCACCCCACAACAGGCCCCAGTGTGTGATGTTCCCCTTCCTGTGTCCAAGTGTTCTCATTGTTCAATTCCCACCTGTGAGTGAGAACATGCGGTATTTGGGTTTTTGTCCTTGCGATAGTTTACTGAGAATGATGGTTTCCAGCTTCATCCATGTCCCTGCAAACAACATGAACTCATCCTTTTTATGGCTGCATAATATTCCATGGTGTATATGTGCCACATTTTCTTAATCCAGTCTATCATTGATAGACATTTGGGTTGGTTCCAAGTCATTGCTATTGTGAATAGTGCCGCAATAAACATACATGTGCATGTGCCTTTATAGCAGCATGATTTATAATCCTTTGGGTATATACCCAGTAATGGGATGGCTGGGTCAAATGGTATTTCTAGTTCTAGATCCCTGAGGAATCGCCACACTGACTTCCACAATGGTTGAACTAGTTTACAGTCCCACCAACAGTGTAAAAGTGTTCCTATTTCTCCACATCCTCTCCAGCACCTGTTGTTTCCTGACTTTTTAATGATCACCATTCTAATTGGTGTGAGATGGTATCTCATTGTGGTTTTGATTTGCATTTCTCTGATGGCCAGTGATGATGAGCATTTTTTCATGTGTCTGTTGGCTGCATAAATGTCTTCTTTTGAGAAGTGTCTGTTCATATCCTTCGCCCACTATAGTTTCGGGTCTCACATTTAGGTCTTTAATTCATCTTGAATTAGTTTTGTATATGGTAAGAGGTAGGGGTCCAGTTTCATTCTTCTGCATATGACTAGCCTATTTTCCTAGCACCATTTATTGAATAGGGTATCCTTTTCCCAGTGTATATTTTGTTGACTTTGTCAAAGATTAGTTGGTTATAGGTATTCTGAGTTGTTTATTCTGTCCCATTGAAGTATGTGTCTATTTTGATATCAATATCATGCTATAGCCTTGTAGTATAATTTGAAGTGAGGATATGTGATGCCTCCAGATTTTTTTCTTTTTTGCTTAACATTGCTTTGGCTATTTGGGCTGTTTTTCGTTCCATATGAATTTTGGAATTGCTTTTTCTAATTCCATGAGAAATGACATCAGTAATTTGATAAGGATTGCACTAAATCTGCAGATTGCTTTGGGCAGAATGGCCATTTTAACAATATTAATTATTTCCATCCATAAGCATGGGCTGTTTTTCCATTTGTATCATCTACGATTTCTTTCATCAGTTTTATAGCTCTGCTTAGAGAGATATTTCACCTTCTTGGTTAAATATATTCCTAGGTATTTTATGTTTTTTATGTATTTTATGATTTGGTCCTTGGCTGGATCATTATTGGTGTACAGAAATGTTACTGATCTCTGTAGTTAATTTTGTATCCTGAAACTTTACTGAATTCATTTACCAAAATGAAGAGTTTTTTGGTGGAGTCTCTAGTGTTTTCAAGATATCAGATCCTATCATTGGTGAACAAGGATAATTTGACTTCATCTTTTCCAATTTAGATGTCTTTTTTTTTTCCTCTTGTTGATTGCTCTGGCAAGGACTTCTAGTACTATGTTGAATAACAGTGGTGAAAATGAGCATTGTTATCTTGCTCCAGTTCTTAGAGGGAATGCTTTCAACTGTTTCTGGTTAAGTATGATGTTGGCTTTGGGTTTGTCAAATATTACCTATGTTATTTTGAGGTATGTTTCTTTTATACCAGTTTGTTGAGGATTTTTATCACAAAGTGGTGCTGAATTTTATTGAATGCTTTTTCTGCATCTATTAAGATGATTATATGGTTTTTGTCTTTAAGTCTTTTTGTGTGATTATCACATTTATTGATTTGCATATGCTGCACTATCCTTGCATCTCTGGGAGAAATCCCATCTGACCAAAACAAATAGCCCCATTAAAAAGGGGACAAAGGATATGAACAGATATTTTTCAAAAGAAGACATTCAAGTGGCCAATGAACATATGAAAAAAATGCTCAACATCACTAATCATCAGAGAAATGCAAATTAAAATCACAATGAGAAATCTGATGGCAGTCAGAATGTCTATTATTAAAAAGTCAAAAAACGACAGATGTTTGTGAGGATGTGGATAAGGAGGAATGCTTATACACTGTTGGTGGGAATGTAAATTAGTGCAACCTTTATGGAAAAGAGTATAGAAATTTCTCAAAGAACTAAAAACAGAGTCATCATTCAATTCAGCAATCCCACTACTGGGTACCTATCCAAAGGGAAAGAAATCATTATATCAGAAAGATACCTGCACTAGTATGTTTTTCACAGCACTATTCACAATAGCAAAGACATTGAATCAACCTAAGTCCATCAATGGATGATTAGATAAATATTAGATAAATATTATGTATACACACACACACACACACACACACACACACTATGGAATACTACTCAGCCATAAAAAGAATGAAGTCATGTCTTTTGCAGCAACATGGATGAAACTGGTGGCCATTATCCTAACTGAAATAATTCAGAAAGTCAAATACTGCATGTCCTCGCTTATAAGTGGGAGCTAAACAATGGGTACACATGGACATGCAGAGTGGAATAATAGAACACTGGAGCCTACAAGAGGTGGGAGGATGGGACCGGGGTGAGAGTTGAAAAATTACCTATTGGACACAGTGTTCATTATTCAGGTGATGGGTACACTGAAATCCAGACTTCACCACTACATAATACATGCATGTAAAAAATCTGTACTTGTACCCTCTAAATATATATAAAACTTAAAAAACTTAGAATTCAATTAAAAAATGTAACTGGCTCTACATACACACACACACACACACAGAGCATGTGTGTATATATATGTACATAGTTTATTATAAATTTTACTGATATAAAAGATACACAATTTACCAAAAATAAATAATATACAGTATTCTTTATCATAAGTTCCATATAGCCAATTGAATTGTACAGAATGCTTTGATTTTTGCTGAACTGTTGTATCCATATGCAACCTCTAATTGCAATTCAGCCATTATTTGACAAATGAAGTTGAATTACAATTTGGTAACTCTTTCTTCAATATATGTATTGTGATTGAATCTGAATCACAATACACTCTTGTAAAAAAAATTATTAGGACACAAAAAATGTGAACCATGTAAAAACGTACAATGAATTGCCTCAAAACTAAACTTTATGCTCTTTAAAAATACACTGTTAAAAAATGTCAAGGAAAGTTAAAGATGAAAATATTCACACTGCATATATCTAATGAAGGAATTATATCCAGAATATATAAAGACTTAAAATTTGATTACAAAAAGATAAACAATCTACTTAAAATGGATAAAAATATTCAAACATTTTGCAAAAAAAGTTGTATAAATGGTCAATAAGCAAATGAAAGATATTCAAAATCACTGGGCATCAAGTAAATGCAAATTAAAACAGCAGAGTCATAGCACTACACACTCATTAAGATAGGTAAAACTGAAAAATACTGACAGTACTTGGTGTTGGTGAAGATGTGGAGCAACTAGAATGCAAATACATTGCTTGTCACATTGGAGAAGGGTACAACAACCACTTTGAAAATAGTCACTAAGACCAGGAGCAGTGGCTCATGCCTGTAATCCCAGAACTTTGGGAGGCCAAGGAGGGCAGATCACATGGGTCAGGAGTTTGAGACCAGCCTGGCCAACATGGCAAAACCCCTTCTCCACTAAAAATACAAAAATTAGCCAGGCATGGTGGTGCACGCCTGTAATCCCAGCTACTTGGGAGGCTGAGGCAGGAGAATCACATGAATCTGGGACGCAGAGGTTGCAGTGCACCACTGCACTCCAGCCTGGGTGACAAAGCAAGACTCTGTCTCAAAGAAGAGAAAAGAAAAGAATAGAAAAGAAAAGAAAAGAAAAGAATCACTATTAAGTGATTTACTCAAGAGAAAGGAAAGCATATGTCCATTAAAAATTTGAACTTAAACATTTATAGCAGTTTTATTGAACTATCAGCAAACTAAGTGTCCATCAAAGGGTGAGTAAATAAAACAAGTTATAGTATATACATACAATGGAATATTGTTTAGCACTAAAAAAGAAATTAACTTACAACACACATAGTGACATGGGTGAATCTTTGGAAGTTTATGGTGATCAAGATAGCCAGACACAAAATTATACATATTTTATGAATCCATTTATATGTAGCTCCAGGAAATGCAAATTTAATCTATAGTGATAGCAATTATCTAGAGCTGGTATGGGTAGAAGGGAAGGGTACTAACTGGGAAGGGGAATGAAAGAGTTTTCTGTTGTGTTGGAAATTATCTATTTGTTGGTTATGGTACTCATTACATAACTGTTACATGTTAAGTTTTTCAGAAGAAGATGCTGAATTGGGGGCATAAGTTGTTTATTAGGGATCAAAACCTGTGAAGGAAGAGAGAGAAAGCCATATTAGGGAGTGGAAGTTGTTGAACTATGACACAGGAACAGTAAAACCTCTGTCAATCTGAAGTATTGCCAATAAGAGTGTCCCACATCAGGCAGAAATACCTGAGCCTTTATATTCTGGCTTTGCTAGGTCACTGGGTATGGCCTGCCTTAGGAAGTTTGTGACCTGGAACATGTTGCTTCTCTGTATTTGAGAAAGAACCTGAAGAAGCTGACAGTGGATGTAATCTGCTGACTGCATTCCCCACAGTTGGTGGTGGGGATTGATGTGTTGGTGGGGGGATGTGCACATGGCTGTGTTTTCAGCAATGTGTGTATATATTTATCAAAAATAATTAAACTCTGTGCTTAATATGTGTGCATTTTTTTGTTTCTTATGTTTTGTTTTCTTTTGTTTTTTTGAGACGGAGTCTCACTCTGTCACCCAGGCTGGAATGCAGTGGCACTATCTTGGCTCACTGCAACCTCCGCCACCTGGGCTCAAGCGATTCTCCTGCCTCAGCCTCCAGAGTAGCTGGGATTAGAGACATCCACCATCATGCCCTGCTAAATTTTGTATTCTTAGTAGAGATGGGGTTTCACCATGTTGGCCAGGCTGGTCTCAAACTCCTGACCTCAGCTGATCTATTGTTTCTAAATTATATTTTTTAAAGCTGATTTTGCAAAAGAATGTTAAACAGATTAGATAGTAAGCATGTATAACAGTCTCGGTACACATTTTATGTACAAAATCTTAATTATGTCTAATCTAGCAGCTTAAAAAAATTGACAAAAATAAAATATTGGACCAAAATGGCATGTAAGTTGTCATTGTTGTTGGCAAAAATGGAAATATGGTTGATAAGAATTAAAATGTATTAAGATCCGTGTACTGTTTGGGAGGGAGATTAAGGTACTGTTTTTAACTTTAGGTTGTGTTATGAAACAACATTTTAATGATAACCACCTAAAAATATTATTTGGTGTAAAATTCCAAACTGTTACAGGAAAAAAGGATGGAATGTGAAAAAAGCAATAATTGTACTATAATTTAATCAGGGGAGAGAGACAATGAGAGAGAAGTATTAAAAATTTCAAATAGAAATAAAGCAGTGAGATGATAGAGACAATTATAAACATATAACAAATCTGATAAAGTAAACCCTTCCCAGAAGAATTGAAATAATAAGCTGTCAAAAGATATACTAGGAAAAAAATATGTATCAGACAAAATAGTAGACAAAACGGAAGCTATGATCGCAATATTACTAGGAAAATTTTACAATGAATTATTAGAGATAAACAGGGTCACCACAGAATAAAAGGCTAAAATTGCTAGAAATATGTAGCAATTCTAAACTTATTTGCATATATACATAGCCTCAAAAAGGCAGTAATAGAAAAAGAGAAACAAAATGTCATAAGTCGTATAGAAAACAAGTAGCAAAATGGCAGACACAAATCCTACCTTATTAGTAATTATGTTAAGTGCAAAAAGACTACTCCAAACAACATATAGAAATTCACAGATTGGATAAATAAAACATGATCTGACAATATGCTATCTACAAGAAATACTTTAAATTCAAAGACACAAATATGTCAAAAGTAGAAGCGTAGATTGATGACTTAAATATAAGAGCTAAAATTATAAAACTCATTGATGAAAACACAGAAGTAAATCATTGTGACCTGGGTTAGGCAATAGTTTCTTAGATGCAGCACCAAAAGCACAATGTCAAAAGAAAGAAATAGTTAAATTGGACTTCATCAAAATTAAAAACTTATTGCTTCAAATAATACCATCAATAAAGTAAAGGCAAACGCAGAATGAGAGAAAATATTTACAAATCATATATCTGATAAGACGTGTGTTCAGAATATGTAAACATTTCTTATAACTAAACATTAAAAGGAAATAAATCAGCTTAAAAATGGACCAAGGAACTGAACAGACATTTCTTCAAAGAAAATATTCAAACAACCAATAAGTACGTGAAAGGATTCTCAACATCTCTAATAATTAGAGAAATACAAGTCAAAACCACAATGAGAGCCAACCTAATACCCAATAGATGGCAATGTTAATAATAATAACAAAAGACAATAACAAGTGTTAGCAAGGATGTGGAGAAATTGGAATCCTCTTAAATTGCTGGGGAGAATGTAAAATGATGCAGCTGCTTTGGAAAACACTCTGGAAACTCCTCAAATGGCTAAATGTAGAGTTAGCGTATGATCCAGCAATCTCACTTCTAATTATATACACAAGAGAAATGAAATCATCTGCTCACACAAATATTTTTACACAAATGTTTCATAGCAGCATTATTCATAATAGCCATAAAATGGAAACAACCAAAATATCCATGAATTGATGAGTTGATAAACATAATGTTGTATATCCACCCAGTGGAATATTATATAGGCATCAAAAGGAATGGAGAACTGAACTGATACATGCTGCAACATGGATAAACTTGAAAAAAAATTATAACAAGTTAAAGAAGCCAGTCATGAAAGACTACATATTGTATCATGCCATTTATACGTGATGTTGAGAATAACCAAATTCATACAGAATGAAACTAAATTAGCATTTGCTAGGGACTGGGAAATGGATCCAATGGGCAATGACTGCTAATGGGCACAGAGTTGCTTTTTGGAATAACAAGAATGTTCTAAAATTAGGTAGTGGCAATAGTTGCACAACTCAGTAAATATTCTATAAACCATTGAATTAATAGAGGGAATTATATATTTTCTGATTTATATCTCAAAAGGAGTTATGTTAAAAAGGATTTGAATAAGCTTTCCATAAATTTTTTTTTTTAATTAAGCACCCTTTTGTGACACAGAATTTCAGCAATCTAGGAATAGAAGGGAACTTCCAAAAGTTATTTGAGATCCCTAGCAAAAATCTACAGCAAACATTTCTTTTTTTATGGGAGAGAAAGTTAGAAAAATTCAGATTAAAATAAGAAACAAGGTAAGGCTGACTATTATCACCACCCCTGGTCACCTTTGTATTCCAGTTTCTAGCCCATGCAGTAAGATAAGAAATTATAATTAAAGACAGATGAATGAAGAAAATGGAAACAAAAGCACTCTTGTTAGCAATTGATATAATTTTCTACACAGAAAACCTAAAGGAATGCACAAATTATTACATATATAAATAGTGTTTGCAATATGGCTAACTATATGAGCAATGTACATAACCTAATTTCATTTGTATCTACCAGCAATAAACATTTTGAAAATATAAGTTGAACAAAATATACCACTTACCATATCAAGAATATCAAGTACCTAGGTGTAAATATATAAAAAATGTGCAAAACACCTATGGAGAAAATTGTAAATGTTTTTCTGAAGACATTAAAGAAATAATGGAGAATTAATGGAGAGATATTTTCTCTTCATGTATATGAAGGCTTAACATTTTACATATGTCAATTATCTCCAAAAATGTCTATAGATTCTATGCAATTCTGATAAAAACTCCCAAAACCATATTCTAATAAGCCAATTCAAAATTTATATGTAAGAGCAATAGGCCAAAAACAGACAAGACACTTGTGAAAAAAAAGGTCAAAGGAATCTGCCCTACTTGCTTCGAAATTTATTTTAAATCTAGACCAATTAAGCCAGTGTCTTTTATTAAATGAAGGGACAAATAAAATAACCAATGTAAAGTAATAGAGAACCCAGAAACAGAAATGTGCATATAGAATCTTAGTATGTAACAGAAGCATTGAAATCTCTGTGTAAGGAAAGTTTAGTTGTTCAATAAATGGAACTGGAACAATTGGTTATGTATATGGAAAGTGAAATAAAACCATCGTTTCACACCCTACAGCTAAATAAAACCAAATGGATTAAGGACTAAAGTGTGAAGCTACCCAAATTGAATCAAGAACACAATCTCATTTATAATAGCCACCCCCCCCAAAAAAAAAAAACCTAGGAATACATCTAACCAAGAGGTGAAAGATCTCTACAAGGAGAACCACAAAACACTGATGAAAAAAATCATAGAGGACAAAAACAAATGGAAAAACATTCCATGCTCATGGACTGGAAGAATCAATATAGTTAAAATGGCCATACTGCCCAAAGCGATATACAGACTGAACGCTATTCCTATCAGACTACAAATTTTTCCCAGAAATAGAAAAAACTATTCTAACATTTATAGGGAACCAAAAAAGTGCCCAAACAGCCAAAGCAATCCTAAGCAAAAAGAACAAAGCCAAAGGCATCACACTACCTGACTTCAAACTATGTTACAAGGCTACAATAACCAGAACAACATGGTACTGGTACAAAAATAGACACAGTAGACCAATGGAACAAGATGGCGAACCCAGAAATAATGCTGAACACCTACAACCATCTGATTTTCAAAGGTCAAAAAACACAAACAATCAGGAAAGACTCTCTGTTCAATACATGGTGCTGGGATAACTGGCTAGCCATATGCAGAAGAACGTAACTAGGCCGCTAACTTTCACCATATACAAAAATTAACTCAGATGGATTAAAGGCTTAAATGGAAGACCTAGAACTAGAAATATTCTAGAAGAAAACATAAGAAACACCATTCTGTCCATTGGCATTGGCAAAGAATTTGTGACTAAGTCCTCAAAAACAATTGCAACAAAACCAAATATTGATAAGTGGGACCTAATTAAACTGAAGAGTTTCCGCACAGCAAAAGAAACTATTAACAGAGTAAACAGACAACCTACAGAATGGGAGAAAATATTCACAAACTATACACCTGACAAAGGTCTAATATGCAGAATCTATAAGGAATTTAAACAAATCAGCAAGCAAAAAACAACTCCATTAAAAAGAAGGCAAAGGACATGAAAACTCAAAGAAAGGTATATGTGCAGGTAACATACATATGAAAAAAAATGCTCAACATCACTAATCATTAGAGAACTGCAAATCAAAACCATAATGGGATACTATCTGTCACTAGTCAGAATGACTATAATTAATAAGTCAAGAAACAAAAGATATTGGTGAAGTTGTGGAGAAAACGGAACACTTATACACTGTTGGTGGAAATATAAATTAGTTCAGCCACTGTGGAAAGCCGTTTGGAGATTTCTCAAAGAACTTAAAACAGAACTACCATCCAACCCAACAATCCCATTACTGGATACATAACAAAGGAAAACAAATTCTTCTACCCAAAAGACTTACGCATTTGTATGTTCATCACAGCACTATTCACAATAGCAAAGACACAGAATCAACCTAGATGCCCATCAGTGGTGGACTGGATAAAGAAAATGTGGTATCTATACACCATGGGATACTATACAGCCATATAAAAGAATGAAATCATGTCCTTTGCAGTAACATGGATGCAGCTGGAGGTGATTTTCCTAACAAATTAATGCAGGAGCAGAAAACCAAATACAGCATTTTCTGACTTATAAGTGGGAGCTTAAACATTGAGTACACAAGGATATAAAGATGGCAACAACAGACACTGAAGACTACTAGAGGGAGAAAGGAAGGATGGGATGACCGTTGAAAAACTAGTTGGTACTGTGCTTACTATCTGGCTGAAGGGATTATTCATACCCCAAACCTGAGCATCACACAATTTATTCATGTAACAAGCTTGCACGTGTACCACCGACCTTAAAGTAAAAGTTGAAATTTTTAAAAAGGATAAAATTAAATGGTCTTTATTTGCAAGTCATATTATTTCTTACACAGAAAACAAAAAAGAATCTATGTAAAATTATTACAAATTATAATATGGTTTATCAATATGGCTCACAATATGATCCACAGAAAAATGTAATTGCATTTATATATTCTAGCAACACACAAAAAGCATAGCTTTTTGTTAAAAGATAACATTTCTTATAGCTAGAAAACTATTAAGGTACTTGAGAATGAATATAATAAAACATGTGCAAGACATCCGTGGAGAAATTTATGAACCTTCATTAAAGACATTAAAGAAGGCCTAAATAAATGAAAAGATATTACATGTCTATGAATTTCATATTCATCTTCTAACACTTTTAGAAGGAGCTATAAGAGAATGTCTTTGTGACCTTGGGCTAGCTTAGACTCAAGACAAAAAAAGCATAAATCATAAAAAACAAAGTTTGATAAATTTGACTACATTTAAAATTAAGAACTGTGGTTTATAAAAATGTAGCAAAAAGAAAGTGACAATGCAAACCATAAACAGAGAAAGGATATTTGAAATACATAGAGCAGACAAAGTTTTAGTGTCCTAAATATCATATGTATTTCTACAAATCAATGTGAAAATCAAAATGAGCTAGTGGGAAGGAGAGAGAGAAGAAAGACAAAACAGGCATTTCATGCAGAAACATGAATGCCAATTTAAAAATACAAAAATTTTCTCAATCTCATTAATAATCCAGAAGATGAAAATTGAGAACACAATGAGGTACCACTTTATACTCATTTGATTGACAGTGATTAAATTGTCTGACAATACTAAGTATTGGAGAGAATGTGGATCAATAGGAATTCTTGTACAGTAATGTTGATCATATCAATCAGCACAGCACAATTTCTTTGAAGATGAATTTGGCTTTATCGTTAGAGTGAAGATTCGCATAATCTACCCAGAAATTCTATTCCTAGGTTTATACCCTAGAGCAGCAAATTCCAATAGGAATGTGATATGATTCCTAAATGCAGGCCTAATATGTAATTTTGAACATTCTTGAAGTAATATAAAGTACAAAGAAAAAAGGTGATATTCATTTTTATATTTAATTTAACCAATATATCCAGTACATTATGATTTCAACATGTAATCAATATCAAAATTATCCATGAGATATTTTACATTACCTTTTCATGGTAAGTCTTTAAAATCCAGTGTGTATTTTACATTTATAGCACATCTCAGTTCTTACCTGCCCATTTCAAATGCTCAATAGTGACATGTAGCTACTGCCTACCATATTGGACAGTGAGCCCCAGAAAAATTCTTGTTCATGTGCATCAAGAAACATGTGCAAAATTGTTTATGGTAGCACTGATTGTAGTAACCAAAATAAGAAATAATCTATATGTCCATCAATAGTGGTATAAATAATAAATGCAATAGGATACTATGCAGCAGTAAAAACACATGGACTAAGGTTATACAATAACATGGATAAATATTAGAAATCATGAGTGAAAATACAATTCTAAGAATATATGTAGAATGATAGCATTTTAATAAAGTTCAATATAAGCAATTCCAGGCAATATAATCTTTAGGGAAACAAACATATGTGACAAAACTATTTTTTGAAAGGAAGGCAGGTTTAAAAAATAAGGATGGCTGCCTTATTTTGAATCTCTCCCATACCCACCTTTCAAAAACTCTTAAAATCACCAAGAAATATATATATAAGCATACATGATGCATGCATTCAGCATTTCTAAGAAACAGCAAACACTCCAACCTTAAAGTGACCCTCAAGGATAAAAAGAGAACTAATTCCAACACACCTCTTGCTGTCCACTTACTGTTGCAAGCTTGTGGATGCAGAAAATGGGACTGGGGAGGTTTAAGAGGCACCTTCAAAAAGTGTTGATGTGATCAGAGGACTTAGATGAGGCACAAATAAAAGTCACCCCTAGAATGTGAGCATTCAACATTGACAAAATATTGAACACAGGTTGGGATTTGGCAGTTCAAAGCACCGATTGCAAGAAAAGGGCTTGAATGTGTGTGGGACCAGAAGGGGCAGCCTCACATGCTCCTGTGGGAGAACTAGATATATAGAGAAGTGTCAGTACCCTTTAGAGATGAGGCTGTGTAGCAAAAGATGGAAATAAGAAGAAAATAAGGGAAAAAAGACTCACTCCCTTGCACCAACACCACCATTGATAAAAGAAACTTCATAGTAGAGGGAAGAACTGACAGAAGAGCATTCTTTAACTAGGAATCCTGTCCATAAATTTAATAGAAATAGAAAAAAGACTGACCATGTCCATAAAAAACTACTGTAAGAAACAAGAATATAATAATCCAAGGATTTCTGATGGTAAAAATTATTCCCCCAAAAACATGAAGTGAAATAAAATTGAAAATACTTTGAAGTAAATTATATGTCTATGTTTCTTTCTCTTCAAAAAAGCTTTCAGAGATATGAAAAAACGACATCATTGAGAAATACAAAACCAAAGAACATAAATGGACCAAAAAAACCTAGCAAGAAATGAAATGAGTTCAGCTCAGGAAAAATGATGAAAAAATAATAATCCTACAATAATAAAGACTAAATTACAGAGTCCTTAATGAAATATCAGTCCAAATGAAAATGGAATAAAAGTCCCATAAGAACATATAACAAAGAAATATTAAGTAGAACAGGAAGTAGTAGAATGGGACAGGTAACTGGCACTTACTCTGATGTGTGAAAGTTGGGAAGGAGTTAGACAAAAGAGTAGCAGGTATCATTAAGGATCATCACAAGCCCTATTGTAGGATGGAGCACAACTTTGTGAATAAACTCTGATAATAAGATGAGGAATAGTAAGACATGAGCCTGGAGTGTATGGTAAAAGCCAAACCATAAAAGTTTGGAAACCACATTATAGACTTTGGTCTTTATGTTAGGAGCAATGTAAAGTCACTGAAGTATTTTTCTTTTTTAAAGAAATGGGCAATACGATCAGATTTGTTTTTGAAAAAAAGACTCTGGCTGCAGTTCAGAGCCTGTATTACAGGGGAATCAGAGAAGATTCAGGGCAACAGATAGGGGGATTTGTCTAGTACTTTAAGTAAGATCAGTCTAGGGTGATAGCAGAAGACATGAAGACAATTTGATAGATTTTAGTGATATTTAAATAGTGAAATTAACTGAAATTTGTAATATATTCAATATAGGGGAGTTGAAAGACAAGGAAGAGTCAAGGATGATACTTAAGATTTTTGGCTTGAGGAATTGAGTAGATGGGGTACCATTCAATAACATTGGACACTGAAAGAGGTTTAGATGTGTGGAGATGAGAAGTTAAAGGGTCTTCAAGATATCAAATTGGGGCAGGCACAGTGGCTCATGCCTGTAATCCCAGCACTTTGGGAAGCTGAGGTGGGAGGATTGCTTGAGGCTAGGAGTTCAAGCCCTGGCTGGGCAATATAGCGAGACCTCATCTCTTACTACTACTACTACTACTAATAATAATAATAATAATAATAATAAGGAAGATATCAAATTTGATATATCAAGCAGATCTTACAGGTGACGTGTAGGCTAGAGATTTCATTGGGAAGTCATTGACATTTAGATGTAATGGAAGCTATGAATGTGAATTAGATCACCTAGGGAGTGAGTATGGGAAGTATAGGAGGAGTTATACTAGGGCAGAACCTTGAAGAACTCCAAGATTGAAGCCCAGAAAGAAGAGAATGGATCTGCAAAAACTTTGAAGCATGGACCAGAGAGATAGAAGGAAAAACAGTAGAATGTGGTTTTACAAAAGTCAAGGGAGAAGTTTTCTAGATGGAGGAAAGATTAACAGGGTCAAGTGCTGCTGAGAGGTCAAATAGGATAAGGATCATAAAGTGTCCCCTTCAGTTGGTAACAAGGAGGTCCCCTTGAGTTGGTAACAAGGAGGTCATTGATGACTTTCATAAAGCTATTTTGTTGGAGGAGTAGAGGACAGATTGGAGTTGGTTGAGGAATAACAAAATGGATAGAAAAAAGACAAATTTTTAAAGAAGTATATCTATAAATGGGAGAAGAGAGACAAGAGGGTAACTGGAAAGGGTGGTGGGGTCTAGGGAAGGGTTTTTAAATAAAGAAGGGACTTAATGAGGCACAAGTATTGTTGAGAAAGTTCACGGTGAAAGAAAGAGGTTGATGGTACCAGAGATGGAATGGATGGTTGATAGTATAAGGTTCCCTAGAAGGCAGGAAGGTGGAGAATGTAAAGGTAGAAATAGTGATTGCCTCACATGGGAGCAGTGACATAATCTCTACTGTTGTAAAAAGAGGGGAGAATTGCAGATTAAAAAGTAGGCTTCAAAATAGTATGTATGGTACTATCCTGTAATTACTTAAGGAACAAAAGGAGCATGCATAAGTACAAGGCAAAAAATATGGAGAAATATATGTCAGTATGATAACAGTTTGGTGGGCTGAAGTCGGATCAGATGAAAATAGTGATGACTTGGACATTCTATATTGTGAATCATTTTATTTAATGTTTATTACATGCTTTTATTTTTACATGCATATTTGGTATATGCCTTTATTATAAGAAGATGGTGCTCTTAGCACTTTCATGCATTACCACAATTCATTCTTATAAATAGCATATGAAGTCAGTATTACTGTTTTGCCCTATTTACAAATGACAAAAGTAAGGATGAGAAAAGTGAAGTATCTTACCCGCAATTACAAAATTAAAATGTCTTTCAAGCCCAGATTTATCTGATTTCCGAGACATGCTTTTCACCAAAATGCTAGACTGCATTCCTGCAAATTTTGAATTTTTTACAGTGAACGTGTATTATTTTGCAAGCAGAAAAACATATAAGGGTCAAAGTCTATAGTAAACATGATACCTCTTTGATTGCCCAATAGCACCTTGTTTTAGGAACTATCCCTCTGTCATTACCTTATATAGGTTTTTTTTTTTTTCTCTAACAAATGATACATTTCTCTCATGGACATAGGGATGGGCATCTTACCCGGACTAGACTGATCTTTGTTCTGCATCCCCCGTAGTCACAGTGATTTGTACAGAGAATAGCTCATGAACCAAGCAGAGCCAATCAGAGTTCTTTCCTGAGATTTTCTATAAGGATTCTGGGGGAAAAAATATCCATCTACCTTTTGAATTTTTAGTTACACAAATATAGACTGGGAACTACCAGCAACCATCTTTCCTGCCAATGTGGAGAACCTAAGAAATAAACAGCACATAGAGATGAACAGAGCTAAGAAATGAAAAGAGAACTCAGATGACATTGTTGAGCCCCTGGGTCCAACTCTGCCAGATCTGCCCTTGGACTTTCCAGTTGTGTGGGCCAATGTATCCCTTTGCCGCCAAAGCTATTTCAACATGGGTTGTTGTTGCCTGCATCTGAAAGAGTCCTGGCTAAAGCAAAATTAGAAACAAAACTGGTGTCTAGAAAGTGGCAGACCTAGGCCGGGTGCAGTGGCTCACGCCTGTAATCCCAACACTTTGGAAGGCCAAGGTGGGCGGATCACCTGAGGCCAGGAGTTTGAGACCAGCCTGGCCAACATGGTGAAACCCTCTCCCTACTAGAAATACAGAAGTTAGCTGGGCGTGGTGGTGCACGTCTGTAGTCCCAGTTACTTGGGAGGCTGGGGCAGGAGAATTGCTTGAACCTGGGAGGTGGAGGTTGCAGTGAGCCAAGATTACGCCACTGCACTAGAGCCTGGGCGACAGAGCGAGACTCCATTTCAAAAAGAAAAAAAAGGTGGCAGACCTAAATACAAAATTTGCTTCACTGAAATCGGCTACAAGGCAAGAGGATCCCCTCATCTCCAACCAGGAAGCTGGCACTCCTTATTATAAACTTGCATACCATCTGGTTAAACTGTTTCTACTGAAACTTGTACCTATTGGTTAGATTAATATTATGTACCTTTTGGTCTGGAGCTAGAAAATGTTCAAGATTATGATGTGATTGCTACTTTTTGTAGCCTCTAGTTAGTATCTGCATGGATACAAACTTTGGTCAAAGCTGGCCCATGTGTAAGCAGAAAGGAAAGGGCACAAAACTTTCTTAAACAAGGCTATATCTTGCTGCACTTAAGAATTTAAGATGGCTGAGAGTTACTGTAAATATTCAATGTCTATTTCTCCTGTTAAAGTTAGAGAAAGTAGGAAACACTGGTAAATCAGACTGGGACCAGGGGAGGTGCGAATTGGGGGATGTGATTCCTTAGCTCCATCCCAAACACTTCTTACTGACCTATATTCCTTTCCTTAATAAATTTAATAATTATTAGCTTATTAAATTCTTTATTCGCTATTACAAAGGGCTGTCCATTAGAATACAGGCCAGGAACAAGGAGTAAATTACCCCTGTATCATTACCCAAGCTCATTTGTCACAGATGGAGACTCTTCAAAAGAGACAGAAATTCTTAAATGAGGGTCTAAATTAAAGAACCATGACTGAGCAGTCTCTGGCCAGTTGATACAAATTACACATTCTCCAGCAGCTGTCTAAATAGATACATACACATGTACATGCATACATAAATGCTATGTTATTAGGTACATACATAGAACTATATCTTCTTGCTGAATTGAGCCTTTTAGAATTATGAAATATTTCCTGTATCTTTCCTTAAAGTATGGTTTGTCTAATATTAATACAGTCACACAAGCTTTCTTTTGGTTAGTGTATACATGGTGTATCTTTTTCTATATTTTTACTTTCAACCTATTTCTGTTTTAACATTTAAAGTGTGTTTCTTGCTCCTTGTAGACATAATTGGGGTCTTTTTTAAAATCGAGTCTGTCAATTCAGTTATTTTCATTGTTTCATTATTTTTGGTGTTTAGTCTATTTATATTTAATGCAATTATCAGTATAGTTTGTCTTAAGTCTACAATTTTGCTATTTATTTTCTATTTGTCCCATCTATTCTTCATTTCTTTATTTCTCTTTTTCTACTTTCTTTGTTTTAATAAGGCATTTATTATTCCATTTATCTCCTCTATTAGTCTTTATGTTATACTTTTTTATTGTTCTTTTAGAAGTCATCCTAAAAATTTCAAAATACATGTGTAGCTTAATGAAGTTCACCTTAAAGTAATACTTTTTCTCCATTCGGAACCATGCAAGAACCTTACAGGAATTTAACCCTAGTCACCCTTCACACCCTTTCAGTTATCACAAGATATATTTTACATTTAACCCCACAAAACTTTATTATTGCTTTTGTTTTAAATAGTCAATAATTTTTGATAATGACCAAATTATTTAGCCTTTCCTGTGCTATTCATTCTTTCTTGAAGTTCCAAGGAGTAATTTTCTTTCAGCTTTCAAGAACTTCCTTTAGTATTTTTTTCTAATACTAGCAAAAATTTATTTCTGCTTTTGTCTGAGTTTTTTTCAGTGATTTTTGAAATGTTGGGTGTAGAATTCTAGGTTGGACATGTTTTTGTTTTTCTTTTGCTCTTTTTGGCACTTTAAAGATGTCATTTTATGGTCGTCTGCTTTCCATAGTTTCTGTGGATAAGTCAGCTATCTTCTTATATTGTTCTTCTCAGGACAATGTGTTTTATTCCTTTGGGCACTTTTGGGATTTTCACTTTAACTTTGATTTGAGCAGCTTGACTATGATGTACATAAATTGTTTTTCTTCATATTTATTCTGCTTGACGTTCACTGAGCTTTTTGAATCTGTGAGTTGATGCTTTTCATCACATTTAGAAAATTTCCATTCATTATTTCTTCCATTCCATTCTCCTTTTTCTCTTCTTCTGGGACTCTAATTACATATATGCTAGACCTTTGTCTGTATCCCACATTTCTCTTATGTGCTGTTTTGATTTTTACATTCATTTTTCTCATGAGGTTCAGTTTAAATTTTCTATTGACCTGTCAATAGGCCTATCTTCCAGTTGACTGATACTATCTTCTGCTATTAAATCTATCCAATGGGCTGGGTGCGGTGGCTCATGCCTGTAATCCCAGCACTTTGGAAGGCCGAGGCGGGCAGATCAACTAATGTCAGGAGTTTGAGACCAGCCTGGTGAAACCCCAATCTCTACATAAAACACAAAAATTAACCAGGCATGGTGGCATATGTCTGTAATCCCAGCTACTAGGGAGGCTGAGGCAGGAGAATCACTTGAACCCGGGAGGCAGAGGTTACAGTGAGCCAAGATCATGCCACTGCACTCCAGCCTGGGCAACAGAGCAAGACTCCATCTCAAAAAAAAAAAACTATCCAATGAATTCTTAATTTCAGATATTGCATCTTGCAGTTGTAAAATAACCATTTAATGTTTAAATAATTATTTGTTGAAATACTTCATCATTTTACTCATTCAATTATATTATTGGTGCCCCAAACTTCATTCCCCTCTACTTTTGGTCTGGGAGTCTCATTTTCATTTACCAGATCCATTGATTCCTTTATTCCTCTGTTTGGGAATAAAGGCCTAGCCTTTTTTTATGATTCTAATCTTAGTTTTCCAGGAACCTGACCATTAGTTTCAAGCTCTCCTTCATAAGTTTTCTAAGGAAAGCTCCTTCAGTTACTGAAGCCTGCCTGTTCTAATAATTCAGAGCTCCCAAACTGGGATTAGTCCCTCCCCTTTTCCACTTGATTCCGTGCAAGCTTGTGTGTGTGTTTGTGTGTGTGTGTCTGTGTGTGTGTGTATGTGTGTGTGTGTTCATAAAGCCTAGGCATATTTCGTCAGGGTTCAAATGGGCATAATTTTCATGTAATCAAGGCAGCTAATGAACATATGGGTATCTGGTGATATGTGAAAAATTATGTCTATTAATTTGTAAATTTTGATACACACAGGTGATAATTATAGGCATTCCTGAGCATTTATTTTCCCAATCATTTTCTGCAATTAAAGCTTAGAATTTCTACAATACGTAATCTTAAGTACTTTAATTTCAAATCAAATACATTATATAACATGGTTTCTAAGAAATTTTATCCATTAATGAGTATTTACCTACCTAAGTATTTAATAAAAGGTTTAATGTTTGTATTTCCGTTTTCATAGCAGCATTATTCATAAAAGCCAAAAGGTAGAGGCAACCCACATGTCCATCAGTGGGTGAATGGATAAACAAAATGTGGATATACATGCAGTAGAATATTATTCAGCCTTAAAAAGAAGGAAATTCTGGCACATGCTGCAATGTGAATGAACCCTGAGGACATTAAAGTTAAATAAGGCAATCACAAAAAGACAAATATTGTATGATTTTATTTATATGCATTATTAAGAGTAGCCAAATTCGCAGAAAAAGAAAACAGAATGGTGGTTACCAGGGACTGGGGGGAGTTGGTAAATCGGGAGTTGTTTAATGGGGATGGTTTTAGTTTTACAAGATGAAAAACTGCTGGAGATTGGTTGCACAAAATATGTTAATATACTTAGTGAACTCTACATTTAAAATGGCCATGATGGTAAATTTTATGTTTGTGTGTTCTATTATGTTTACAACTTAAAAATGAGTTCAGTGTTTTTAGAACTTCAACATGACTGATTTGTGTGATAGAACTGTGACCATATAAAAAATACTGATGTGAAGCCAGGCACAGTGGCTCACACCTGTAATCCCAGCACTTTGGGAGACCGAGGTGGGTGGATTGCTTGAGGCCAGGAGTTTGAGACCAGCCTGGCCAATATGGCAAAACCCCATCTCTACTAAAAACACAAAAAATTAGCCAGCTACTCGGGAGGCTGAGGCAGGAGAATCGCTGGAACCCAGAAGGCAGAGGTTGTAGTTAGCCGAGGTCATGCCACCGCACTCCAGCCTGGGCGACAGAGCATGATTCTGTCTCGAAAACAACAACAACAACAACAACAACAACAACAACAAAAACCTGATGTGAGGGGAAATAAACTACAAAATGAAAATGAAGCAATGATGATGAAAATGAATGAAGAAAAGGTAAAAGAAAAGGAAGACTTAGATATGAGACTAAGAATTTGAAAAATAAGACAATAAAATAGAGGCATTAAGTATGAACAATCAATAAGCAATAATCAACTCATAAGGGCATAATGTGGACAATATATGTTCAACTGTGAGCCATAAAATACAAGGTATTGGGGACAAAAGTTAAATATAATGCATACACACACATACACACTAAATGATGTCCCTATGGAAAGATGTCTAATATCTACTCCAAGAATACAGGATACATGAAAAACAAAAAGAAAAATAAAGAATATATACAGGAGTACAGTTCAGCAACAGCATTTACATCAGTAGGTACAAAGATAAAAATTAATTGTATTTACTCACAAAAATATGTTTTCCTCTCAAGATGTCATTGTACTCAGTAAATGTTGCATCTACCAAAAAATTAAGACTAATAATTGTGTTTACAATAAAATGAGCATATAGATCCATAAACATTTCATTATAATTATGAATAATTATTAAGGTCTACCAGATTAGTGTATTCTATACTGGGTAATGTTAAAATTTCAGATGTCTGTTGCAAATCAGATCTGTACATAGCTCTTAGGCTGATTCAATCAATTTGTTGAGTTACTAGCAATGTGAGGATTAACAAAGGGTAAAACATTATCTCTGGCATCAAAGTATTTACAGACTGACTGGGACCACATCGATGCACTGGAAAAGCTATGAATGTGTTGGTTATGCTTCTTCATGTTTTCAGGCAAAACTCTCTTCCTAATGTTGCACTTCTGTCACAAGATGAGAAAAGGGGACTGAAGGCCAGGACTAGTCAGCTACTCTCAAAACCATGTCCCATGCATTATATTTTTCTAAGTAATTTTGAGGAAAATTTTGGATCCTGTTGATCGCTCCCAGGCATCAGTAACAGTTGATCATCTAGGTGGTTGGAGTGTGTACAAGCCCAAAAAAGACAAGAGAACCTACCACACCTCTATACATTTCCCTCTAACCCAGGGTGGCAGCCTTCCATCACTTTTGAAAGCTTCTCCCTCACTAACTCAGAGTGGGGAGAGTCAGTGTTAGATGAGCATCCTAAGGATGGTGGAAAACAAACTGAAGAAAGTGCAGAGGAGTGGAATCACATACCTCCAAAAGAGGTCCGAGTATGCATTTGGTGTCCACACATGCCTCTGGATCTGTAGTATAAACTTCTAACTTCACTTACCTGTCTCTATCTTTAGCAAGCATTGCTTGTCAAGTGTTGGGTACTGAGGATGAGAGAAAATGACACAGACATAGTCCTGCCCTCATGAAGCTTAGATTGTAGCAGAGGAATAAAATATGAAAGAAGTAATTGTGGATTCACTGTTATGATAAAAGCAATGTGGAAGTAGATAGCAAGTGTACCTAACCTAGTTTAGGAAATCAAAGAAGGCCTCCTAAGAGAGTGAAACTTACATTGAGACTTGAAGGCTAAGATCTAGCTAAGTCTGAGGGGGATGAGGTAGAGAAAAGTATTACAGAAAGAAAGAACTGTATGGGCAAAGACCCAAAGGCATAGTGCTTTCGATGAATTGAAGGAAATCCAGAGTGCTTAGAATGATGTTAGAATACAGAAAAAGGGAAGGTGTTGAAACTGGATTGTATAATAACTGCTTGGACTAGAGTAAGGATTAACATAAATTTAAGAGGTAGGATTGGATGTGGGAAGTGAAGAAAAGGGGAACACCAAGTATGACTCCCACTTTTCTGCCTTAAGCAAATAAGTGGATAATGGTATCATTTATTAAGATAGAGAAGATTGGGATAGAAGCATGGCTAAAGGTGAAGACATAGCACTAAGTTCTGTTTTAGACATGTGGGGTTTGACATGCTTATAAGACATTGAAGTGTATCAGAAGGTCTGAAGGTCAGAAGTGTCTTGGCTAGAGATGTGTATCGTGGAAATGGATGAGATTGTCTTTGAGTATAGTGTAGACTTTCTATCATATATATATGTATGGTGGCCTTGGGCTAAACCCTGAAGATCTTCATATATTCTCTGAGTAGAGGAGGATAAGTGATAAAAGTAAGGAGGAAAATGAGAAATGTCACAAAAGCCGAAGGAAGAAGTTTTTATTGACTTATTTGGGTTTATGTATAATACATTTTATTCTTTGTGGTGTATTGTTCTATGTGTTTTGGCAAATGCATAGTCATAAAACCACAAACACCAGATTTAAGAAATAAAACAGATTTATCATCCTCCAAAATTCCCTCGTGTTGCCCCATTTTAGTCGACCCCTGCACCTACCCATGACAACCACTGATCTGACTTCCGCTGCATGGTTTTCGTTTTTCCAGAATGATGTATAAATGGAATCATACTTCCAAATTGGAGGTTTTATTTAGTTCATCCTGTTTTCCCTCTAATATTGGACATTGGATATTTTAGATGGAGTCGAATATCATGTACCCATAAATGTGAGACCATGGGGAGCTACATCAAGACGTGTCCAAGATGACTGTAAATCACTAAAAGATCTTGCACTTAAAATTGGATACCCTGGCCAGGCGCAGTGGCTCATGCCTATAATCCCAGCACTTTGGGGGGCTGAGACGGGCAGATCACCTGAGGTCAGGAGTTTGACACTAGCCTGGCCAACATGGTGAAACCCTGTCTCTACTAAAACTACAAAAATTAGTTGGGCATTGTGGCATCCGCCTGTATTCCCAGCTACCCAGGAGGCTGAGGCAGGAGAATCGCTGGAACCTGGAAGGCAGAGGCTGCGGTGAGCCGAGATTGTGCCACTGCACTCTACCCTGGGTGACAGAGCAAGACTCTGTCAAAAAAACAAAAAAACAAAAAAAAAAACAAAAAAGGATACCCTTAGGGTATATGTACTTGGGTTGTCTCTGTATAGAGGGCACAAGTACACTTTCATCTGTATATGATATAATTATATTAGTCGAAGAGCTTTTGTAAATCGGCAGGCTATCAAATAGTGGAATATAGTGTTCATGTGTTGTTTTTGTCTATCCAACATACATTCCGATTGTTCGGGGAAAACACTATGGTTTTCCTTCAAGGAACCAGCTCTTGCATTCTCCCTCTTCTCCTTCCCCCTCTCCCTCTCATTTTCAATCCACAAGATTTGAGCGGTGATTTCCCACTGCCTGGTTCAAAGAGTAGGCACATAAACTCAAGCCTGGCCAAGGAGAATGTTCTATTTTCTGGCTTCAGGAATGGGCATGTGACCCAAACTGATATTAGCATCTGGCTAGAACTGTATGAATCAGCCCTAGGACTTACACTGGAACAACTGGGAACAAGTATCTATTTTCTGGATTATTTCTACATGGATGCAAGGGTGGACCTTTCAGTGATAAACACAGAAATTACAGCTGATAAAAAGAGGCAGATTTCTATCCTCACAGCTTGAGTGCCAGCATACAGCTATGCCTGAAATCAAACCACTCAGGATCTGTCAACTCTTTGACCTAATATATGTCTTCTTTTCTTAAACCAACATTATTTTGAAGTGTTTCACTTACAACCAGAAGTACCCTGACAAGTAGACCCTCATAGTCTTACAATGTGCCACCTCCCATTCTGCTCATGCTAAGAATCATTTAGTGACAGTAGGGTATATTTTTTCCTCAGTGCTGTAGGTATTTTCCCCTTCCATATCATGTGGGTAACCAAGACTTTATTTTCCATTGTTTATGTGCTTTTGAATCAGATATGAGAACCCAACTCTCATCCTGTTTGTTGTTGCTGTTTGTTGGTTGGCTGGCTGGTTTTTAAAGCATTGCCTTATTTAGGGAATTATTCTGGATAGTCCTGGAAGTGGGGGCAGGGATAGAGATGAAGGCATGGGGATGGAAACGACAGAAAAGGCAAAATGGGAAAGAGATTTGGAAAACTTCCTGAGCGATGTAAAAGACCAGATAAAAGGAAGGGAGTTCAGTTAGGAACCTATTTCTATTTTGTTGTGTATCCTGTACCTTCTCAGTGCTCTGGGGGATATGGCAGAACCTGAGAAGGAAATGTCTGGGTAGCACAATGAGTGAGACTGATCCCCAGGACTGTGTCTCCCTGTCTTGGAAGTGGAATTCTTGTGTCCAAGCTTAGCATAGAGGCAGTGGAGTCATCTGCTTTTATTTTTGTAATTGTGGTGAAATATACATAACATAAAATTTACCATCTTAACTATTTTTAAGTGTACAGTTAAGTGGTATTAAGTACATTCTCATTGTGCAACCATCATTACCATTCACCTCCAGAACTCTTTTCATCTTGTAAGGCTAAAACTCTATAATACCCTGTATTACTCCGTTCTCACACTACTACAAAGGACTGCCTGTGACTGGGTAATTTATGAAGAAAAGAGGTTTAATTGATGCACAGTTCCACAGGCTGTACAGGAAGCATGATTGGGAGGCCTCAGGAAGCTTACCATCATGGCGGAAGCTGAAGGGGAAGCAAGCACGTCTTACCATGGCAGGGCAGGAGAGAGAGAGTGAAGGGTGAAGTGCTATGCACTTTTAAACAACCATATCTCATGAGAATTCCATCACGAGATAGCACTAGAAGGATAGTGCTAAACCATTAGAAACCACCCCCATGATGCAATCCCCTCCTACCAGCCCCCTCCCCCAACACGTGGGGATTACAATTCAATATGAGATTTGTGTTGGGACACAGAGCCAAACCATATCTTACCCCATTAAACACTACCTATTCCTCCTCCCTCTAGTCCCTGACAACCTCTATTCTCCTTTCTGTTTCTATGAATTCTGGATACCTCATTTAAGTGTAATTATACAGTATTTGTCTTTCTGGAAATGGCTTATTTCACATAATGTCCTCAAAGTTCATCCATATTATAACATATGTCAGAATGTCCTTCCTTTTTACGGCTGAATAATATTCTATGCATATATTATATTTTTCTTATTCATGTATCTGTTTTTGGACACTTCGGTTGCTTCCACATTTTGGCCCTTGTGGATTATGCTGCTGTGAACATGGGTGTACAAATGTCTGTTTAAGATCTTGCTTTCAGTTCTTTTGGGTATATTCCTAGGACTGAAATTGTTGATTCATATGGTAATTCTATGTTTAACTTTTTGAGGAACAACCAAACTGTTTTCCACAGTGGCGTATCATCTTACACACTTACCAGCAAAGCACTAAGTGTTCCAATTTTTACATTCTCACCACCTGTTACATTCTGGGTTTTCAAAAATTATAGTGATCCTAGTGGTTATCAAGTGGTATCTCATTGTGATTTGATTTGCCTTTACCTAATGCTGTTGAATGTCTTTTCATGTGCTTATTGGCCATTTGCATACCTTTGAAGAAATATCTGTTCAAGTCTTTGCTCATCTTCAAGCTGGGTTTTGTTGTTGCTATTGAGTTGTATGATACTACTTTCTAATCGCTACACTAGTTGCTGGAAACAGAGCAACAGATAAGACACATAACTTCTACTCAAAAAAATTCACAAGATAGTGGGAGAAGCAGAAAAAATATTTTAATACAGTGTGGTAAATCCAGTGACACGTGCTCAAGGTATAATGGGAGTTTCAAAAAGGAGTACATTAATGGAGGTGTGGAGCAGAAGTGGAAGTTTTCTTGGGGGATATGGTACTTAAACAGATCCTCAAATGATGGTAGCCAGGCAAAAAGGGGGAGCGTGGACATTCCACGCAGAAAGAAAATCACTGGCAAAGACTTGTAGGCATGAAACAGCAGAGTGTGTGCTGTTGAAGTGTGTGCTTGTTGAAGCAAGTCCAAGGCAAGTAATGGCAAGAGATGAGGCTGGAGAGTTAGACAGGGACTGGATCATGCCAGATGTTATAGGCTATTGTAAGGTGTATTTAGGCTTTATCCCAAGACCCATGGGGTGTCTTTGAAAGTTTTTAAGCAGAGGAGGTGCGTAGTCAAAGTTGTGCTTTAGATCCAAGCTTCCCAATCTCTTTTCATATCACATCTTAGTATATGCAGCATGATAATTTTTGTGTGGCACTCTGGGTGAGGTAGACTTGCAGCTGCATGCTGCTGAAGACAACAGGCGCAGGCTCCAGCTGTCCCGTGCCCAACACAACTGTCCTGAGAGCTAAGGTTGAGAAGCTGCTTTAGCTAGATCACTCTGAAAGTCATGTGAAGAACAGATTTAGAAAAAAAATCACTGGAGGTAGGGTGTAAAGTTAAACTAACCAGGCATAGTAGGGATAGAGAAAATAATTAGGAAATAGAATTGACAAAAGTTTATAGATTGGAGTAAAGGAGGAAGAGTCAAATAAGTTTCTGACTTGCACTACTGACTGGAGAGCAGCATATTTGAGAGGGAAGATTATGATTTTTTTTTTTTTTTTGAGACAGAGTCTTGCTCTATCACCCAGGCTGGAGTGCAGTGGCACGATTTCAGCTCACCACAAGCTCTGCCTCCCAGGTTCACGCCATTCTCCTGCTTCAGCCTCCCGAGTAGCTGGGACTACACGCGCCTGCCACCACGCCCGGCTAATTTTTTGTATTTTTAGTAGAGACAGGGTTTCAACGTGTTAGCCAGGATGGTCTCGATCTCCTGACCGCATGATCCGCCTGCCTCGGCCTCCCAAGGCGCTGAGATTACAGGCGTGAGCCACTGCGCCCGGCCCAGGAAGATTATGATTTTAGGGCTGAGCATAAAGTTTTGATTCAATTTTAGATGACTGGCTGGTGATGCCCAATAGATGGTTATTATTTTCCTATCAGCTCTATTGGCTATGGAGAATTGAGCCACATGAACCAAGGAACTAATTCAGTGTAGAAAATCTAATGTCTTTAAAAACAGCCATGGCAGTGACTGTACTAGAGATCTACCTTCTTGGGAAAGTTTCCCAACCCACAGCCTCAAAGAGACAACATGTCATATGTACCATGTGACTCCAACCTCTTGGCCACAACTAAGTGCAACAGAGATAGCATCTGACTCAAATTGGGCCAATCAGATTCTCTCTCATGAGACTCAGGCATTGGAACCCAGTGACTGAGTCAATTCTCTGTGGGGAGTCAAGCTTGAAGTTCATATCAATCAATGGTTTTCAAAGTGTAGTCCACAGAGCATTAGAATCAACCATCTGAGAACATGTTAGAAATGCAAATTCTCATACCTCATATCATAGCTGCTGAATCAGAAATTGTGGGGTGGGTCCCCAGCAATCTTTGTTTCATAAGCCTTGCAGGTGCTTCTCAGGTTGGCTATCACTCATGAAGACTCTTGGTACAAGGCTGCCATTCTGGGAGTAGTCCTGATCAATCACTGATAAGTTATTATCAGTGCTTATAAGTAAGCAGAGAAAGCTGGTTTGCACACAGAAGCAGGAGAATGGAGCAGAGAGACACAGACAGACAGACACAGAGAGATCAAGGCAGGGAGAAAGACAGGGGAGAAACAAGCCATCTGATAACTTTTCAATTTCATGAGGCCCAGTTGTTCTTCCTGCAACTGGAAACTGAAATTTTTCTATATCATTACATGAATCCCTTTTATTTGAATGGATTTTCTTTCTTCATTATAATAAAAGTGCCCTGACTTGTTAGTTATTTCTCCCCCAAGTTTTTTTTTTTTTTTTTTTGAGACAGAGTCTCGCTCTGTCGCCCCCGCTGGAGTGCAGTGGCGCAGTCCCGGCTCACTGCAAGCTCTGCCTCCCAGGGTCACACTATTCTCCTGCCTCAGCCTCCTGAGTAGCTGGGACCACAGGTGCCCGCCACCACGCCCGGCTAATTTTGTGTATTTTTAGTAGAGATGGGGTTTTACCGTGTTAGCCAGGAAGGTCTCGATCTCCTGACCTCGTGATCCGCCTGCCTTGGCCTCCCAAAGTGCTGGGACCACAGGCATGAGCCACTGCGCCCGGCCTTCTCCCCCAAGTTTTTATTGCATTTGTACTGTATGGCTACTGTTCCAAGTATCATAAAGGATACTAAAATCAAAGAGACATGGTTCTTGCTCTTGAGAAGCCAGATTTAATGAAGGAGGCACAGAGACAACGTTAGAAGCGCTATAGAGGATGTGGGAATTGAGCTTTGAGATCACCTGGTAAGCACTAAAAAAATATTAGCTGCATCTCAGTGTAGCAGGTGAGGCCAGAGAAGACCTCAAGGGAGTGCTAGTTGATACATACATATGTACTAGTCCATCCTCATGCTGCTAATAAAGACATACCTGAGACAGGGTAATTTATAAAAGAAAGAGGTTTAAAGGACTCACAGTTCCCCATGGCTGGGGAGGTCTCACAATCATGACAGATGGTGGAGAAGGAGCAAAGTACATCTTACATGGCAGCAAGCAAGAGACATGTGCAGGGGAAGTGCTCTTTATAAAACCATCAGATCGCGTGAGATTTATTCACTGTCACAAGAACAGCACAGGAAAAACCCACCCCCAGTGATTCAATTACTTCCCACTGGGTCCCTCCCAGGACATGTGGGGATTATGGGAGCTACAATTCAAGATGAGATTTGGATAGGGACGCAGCCAAACCATGTCAACATAGGATGGGTTTGCAGAGAAGAGGAAGAAGAAGAAGAAAAGATGTTCCAAGTTGAGACGAAAAGGCAGACATGGGAACCTATGGTGTGTATCTGGGAAACAGAGAGTGGTGTAAGGCAGATACAAGTTAAAAATAAGAAGCTTAATTTTCCCTGTTGAACATAAGGGAAGAGTCTTCTTTCTACACTACCCCCTTCCGTTTTCTTTTAAAATTTCTTTCTCTGTCCTTTGCAAGTCTTTTTTATGCAAATATTTTTAATAGCTAAATAAGTAAGCCTTTCTTCCAGTCTTACAACTCCTAGGAGCTATCTTTTTGAAATGCAAACATCAAGGGAGGTAGCAACCCTGTCCCCTAGTTCCCATAGGAGGGTAAGAGCCTAACTTTCATGGGCCTTGCTCCAGTTTGCAAAACTACCTCCTGCTTAAAATAGATGAGAAAATTTGTTTCTTCTTCAGATAAAGCCAACACAAGTGACTTCTCCAATTATCACCATAAAGTTAGGACAAAATTTTGTGTGACAAAAGGTGCTCTCAAATCCTCTTGCTCAAGGACTAGTCATTACTTATATTGGGAACATACATGTAATGGGTTGTATCTGCTTGGCTATATTAGGGGGTGAGATTCCTTTCTGTCTTTGCATTCTCTTAGCAAGTTACCTGTGATGTACATCACATTCTGGTTTAATGTTTGTTCAATAATAAGAGTGTTTTCTTTCTTTACTATCTTTCTGGAGAAGATTTCTGGATTGGGAGAAGATCTCTTGTTTTATTACATTTCCCCAACAGTGCTTTAACTTGCCTGGAATGTACAGTGATGAAGTTTTTCCTTGATTAAACTTTAGTCAGATTCCTCTGAGTCCTCTTCCCAACTTGGCCTCAATGTTTACACTTCCATGTTTGTCTTTGCATTGCTCAATTTTAGCAAGAATCTTGCCAAGTTGGTTTAGCCAGAAGCCCACCCTTGATATCTGATCAGGTTTCTCATCCTCTACCAACTCCCAGTTGATGTCTTTTCACCCTGACCTGTCTTCAGCAAGAATCCTGTTAGGTCAGGTTAGCCAGAATCCACCCCCCACCCCACCCTGCCCCTTATCTCTGATGTTTCCTCTTAGTAATCTTCCATCCACTGTCCCCTACCCTGCTCCTTGGCTATAAATTCCCAGTTTTCCTTGTTGTATTTAGAATTGAACCCTGTTCAATACTGAAATCTCTTTTCCCATATGGCAATAGTCCTGAATAAAATCTGTTTTTACTGTTTGAACCACTGTTCACCTTTGGCTTGCTTTTATAACACATTACAGAAGGCAGAGGGGAAAGGTGAAGGGCACGCCCAAGGGCAGAGCACGAAAGAGTGCTATGTCAGAGTGTAGACTATTCCATAGATATTGAGGAGCTGTAAAGATTTTAATCAGGAATCGAAATAATCCACCATCTGACTTTAGGAAAATGACTCTGGCAGTAATGTGGAGGATGGAGCAGAAAGGAGAAGGGTCAAATGGCGCAGCACTGAATACATTCATAATCATAATTTTCCAATTATTTTTTAGTCTGTTATTACTAAAAAAGTTATTCTTGGACTGACTTTTCCCTAAGCCACCCTAACAATATCTAGAGCTGTATTTTTTTCCCCCATAGGAACATTTCTCCAGAATGTGGAGAGTAGAGGACAACATGTTGGGATGCCTGACACTCCTTGGATATTGTTCCTGAGTGGTTTGGGTGTTCCTCTGGATCCAGAATTTCATCCCAATGACACTGAGATTCCAGGCTTCTTTAGTATTTCTGATGGTGTCCATCAGAAGAAAGGAGTTGCTTATTAGAGTGTTCTCTACCGCTGGCTTGTAGTTCAGTTTATGGTAAACACTTGCTTATCACTGAGGTTTTGTATATGAATTGTGAAAATGGGGTGTGATTGTTAGAACAAATACCGCTTGACTTTCATTGGCAGCCCTTTCTGTGAGCCCCAAATTATGACCACTGTTTGCAGGGATTCTTATGGGTGCAAGTTTTCCTAGTATAACTACCCGTAAGTGGATTTAACTTGGGACTTTTTTCATAGAAATTGAGAAGGACTGAAACACTTTGAATAAACTACACACACATTTATTAAATAGTGAAATGGTTAACAAAGGCACATCAATAACCACTTACTATATATACAGAAATATATATAATTAACATGGATCCAATTATCTCATAACTGCCATTTTTTCCAACAAAGAGTCATTCAATTCTTCATGTCATGAAGGTTAAAGGCAAAGTCTTAGTCCCCATCTTATGCTTTCCCACCCTCTTCTTGAAAACTACATTGAACCTCTATGGGTTAATCATCGTCTTCTGTAGCCATAAGGTCTCTGCAAGCATGCTGACTGCAGGCTCCTCAGATTCTTTCTCCATTCCCTCAAGTCCAGTTTTTAATGAACAGGCTGTTTGCTTTAGCAGGTGCTGTTGCTGGTATTCATCCAGTTACACTATGATTTTTTAAAAATAAATCTTTCCTTGTACTTGTACATGCCTGCATTGCATTGCATCACTTATGAAGAGATAGCTCCCTCTCTCATCAGGAAAACTGGATTTGTGTGTCTATGTCTGTTGCACTTTGCACCGGATGCCCTGCCTGCCTTTTCACTGTGTTCTTTCCATGCACAACAGAAAAATGCTGGGCTGCACTGGCCAGAACTGCCATTGTATACTAATTTCTGCATCCACTTTAGAATGCTGTGCTTTTGCTTTGGACATGTTTGTACAAATGGGAATCAGATAGTCTGTCCCTCTCACAAAGCTATTTCCTGGTGGCTGCCCTTTGTATCCAAAATCCTCTGTTTGGAGCTCTTGGCTTTTATTCCCCAGACACCCACTGTCCTCCTGCCTAAGGGAGTAGTGTAAGTCAGGCACTGAACAGAAAAGCTGGGAAGGTTTAGTTAAATGCGCATTTCTAGTACAGGAAAGAGCCAAGTAGAAAATCAGAGAATGTGTGTCCATCTGTTAAAGTTTAACAAATATAGGCTTTAAATTACTCCAGAATTATAATCATACCTCAGGCCTGTCATTGTATCATGCCCTCTACAGATGATGACCATGGGAATGGATTCTGGTCAGTGGAATTTTAGGATGTTCACTATCTATTCAGTATTTTAGGTTCATTATCATATCAGAACTTTCCAGATAATAACAAAATTACGAGAGTGTTCATTTTTTGGCCTTCCTGATGTGGTGAATGACTGCATTGCTTATAGGAATTCCATCTCTGCACCTAAACACTGAGATTCAATGCCTAGAAGTTTGCTTAAGTAAAACATATTTCCCTTATCTATGCATGTAGGTGTCTGATATTTGCCCATTGGAAAGTCATGCCTTTTTAAATGTGAACACTTCCAGGACAGGCAGTATACTAAATACGGCCATTCTTGAACACCATAGGGTAATTTGTCTCTTAGATCTCAACTATGAGCAGTTCTCCATAGTCTGAGAAGCCCAACAGGAAAGCACTTAAGGGGAAAAGTCCAGATCTATCAGAGGAAACAGGCCTGATAAGTTGCTATCATGAGGATTTTCCAGGGCCAGAGGCCACCATGAGGGATGAGAAAAGGATGCTGTGAAAAGAATTTGAAAAGTACCCAAGACAAACTTGGTTTACATCTGGTTTTGCCTGTGGGTCAACTTTCTTCCAGCCAATAGAAACTCCAAGTCTCCAATTTGATGATGGTCGGGAATGCTTGCCCTGAATTCTTACCTAACATTCAGCAGCCTCAAAGAGAAAGACATTAACTGAATTCTGAAGAGGCCTAAGACCTCTTGTAAATGTCTATATACTGAACTGTTTTTAGTGCTGGTATTATCAGACTCACAGAAACACCTACAAAACATTAAACGGCTCAAAGTGGGCTTATCAAGAAATGCCATCATGGGAACCACCTTAGAAATAGTAAAACAGGGCACAAGGGGCAAGAGAACTATGTATAGGGCAGCTGACACTTGACAAGGACCCAACCTCCTCCCCGACCCTCTTCACTGTTAAGAGACACATCAGTAATACTTTGCTCTGCCATAGCCTCTGATCTAAACTCTCTTCACCGCAGTTTTCTATCAGCCCAACTCCAGAACAGTGGTCAATGCAGAGAAGTTCCAGATTCGCATTTTTGAAGCATTTTGAAATAAGGCAGAATAAAGTATTACTAAATTACATTTACTTTCTTAAAGAACAAAAATGATCATCCTTTTATTACTGTGCCATTTGTTGAAGATAACCAATTTTAAGTGAGAGAAAACATTTTAATGGAAAAATTCATGCATCTCATTGTTATGAAATGATTGATGCCCATCTGGAAAGTATGAAATAAACAACACTGGTTTCATATGTTACACTAGGGATGCAGGATAGACATGAATAACTGGGAAAGAGAAACTTCTAATAATGCATCTTAGAATATGCCTCAGGATTTCTGAGGCACAAGAGAAACTAGTAAGCATTCTCTCAAAATTTTAAGTATTCTTTTATTAAAATAGAAGTGTTTTTCTTGTGTCAGTAACTTCAATCTTATAAGAGTAATAGGTCTAACACAACGGATATATTATCTACATAATTCAAAATACTGATGGTATATTTGGAAATAAATTTACTCTATGTATGAAATATAACATTGAGCCAAATCAGAAATTTAAATTTCATTTTAGAATTACTAAATATTAGGATTAATATACTAGAGCATGAATAGCCTTCAAGTGAACTCCTAATGTGTGAATATGGATTCATAAAAAAAGACATAACCAAGAAGTTTATGCATTTTATTAGAAGAACAAAAAATAAACATAGAAGTAGCATACTAAAATGAGCTGCATAATGTGCACTTTTAAACATAAACAAGCACTACAGCACTATAACTTGAAAAAAAATCAAAGCGTCTGCAGTTGAGGGAATGAGCTATTGCATTTTGGAGGAAAATTACTATGGGAAGAGTTGGTACTCATGAAATATTCTGGTCATTATTTAAATATGTTACACATGGCTAATAATTTTCTTATATATATTTTTAATCGCCATTTTCCACCCAAATTATGTGCCTCCATTTTTCACATTATTCCAAATTGTTGTTATATGAATGCACAAAGTTAGTCCTTTAAAAAAGAATATATTTAGGAAAATCCTTCAAAAGTTTTTTAATTTAAATCATTGTAATTTGGGAGCATGGGGACAAATGGCTCATTTTCTGTTAAAGCAGCAACAATAATATTAAAATATTATTAATATTATAATATTAAAATAATATTAAAATATTAATAAATAAGTTTATTTTGAAAAGGGCATTCATTCCCATAATCCAGTGATATGATGGTCATATCATTCTCTCAACTGCTAGACACAAAAGACATAGCAACAAAGTAATTTGTTTCCATCACTAACAAATAGCATCTCTACACAGAAATAAAGCTCTGGAACCATGCAGTTTTATGACAGATAAATCTTTAGGTTGTGTGTTTTCAGAGAAAAAAGCACTGCTTAATAGTTAGGTTACTTTTAGGTCTTGTTACAGAGGTATTTTTTAAAAAACTAATATGATGTAGATGCCTAGCAAGGATTTTGCAATATCTGCAAAGAGCTGCGACTTATTTCATAGTCATACATTTTTTTTACATATACCATAATTGTGGATGGATTCTATTTAAAGATAAAATTTCTCTTCAATAATCCAGCTTTTGAGTATTAGTGATTCTCTTACAGGCAAGAACAAGTAGAAGAGCTGGAAACTGCACAAATTAGTCAAACTAAATATTTTCTTGAGGTTAGTAATAGAGGGCTTTTTTTGGGGGGGGGCCTCAGTTACATCCATTTGTTTTACTTAATTCCCCAATTTGTCTTATTTATTGAAACACAGCCTCTATGTTGAAACTCCAGAGTATGACCCCGTGGCTGTCAGCATGCACACCATGCCATCTATTCATGGGGTATCTTTTGTGATGCTTCTACAGTTATTCCTACTAATTTATAGGTGATTTTTCCTGACTTAAAATGTCGTATCTCTATTGACCTTAGAAAAATACATTCTTGAATCTGGCATATTCACAAAGAAATGTCCATATCAGTACATAGGTTAAATTGGGAAATTATGTTGGAGATAAGGCTGAAGTTGGAGTTCCTAACTACAGAATGAAGGAATGCTTACATTTTATATCAATGGAAATGCTGGTCAGATTGTCAGGCTGTTTGTTGTATGGCTAACTCTAAGTGATTATGGGCTGAGGGAAAAGAAAATTCTAGCCAACTGGCCCTGAGGTATTGGACAACTGTAAGGCTTGGATTGCTTTCTGGCTTTGGCTTATTTTTCTTTCTCTGTAAATGAGAACTATCAAAACGAGTAGCAATACCAACTCCACCAACCCCAGGATGGGTTCCTTCTCTAGGTACTACAAGTACCTGTAGTGATCAAATGCTTAACCTTTCTAACCTTGACCTCTTCTAGGCCTCATTGCCTGGGGGCAAAAAGAAAGTTAACTGGCTATCTATAGGTGGCGTGGGAGCTAAAATTGGCAGAGATGGTCAGATTGAAACATTGTCTTCCAGCTCCTGTGTTACGTAAGATTTTGGCTGGTTCTCTTCTGTTTAGTTAAAACAAAACAGTGGGAGGCTGAAGTGGCACAGTTAACTACTTTGTAATCTGGTAAAGGTAGGTCAAAAAACAGCTTCCACTGAACAGGTATAATGTAAATGAAGCCAGTTATAAAGTTGTGCCAGGAGCATTTTTTTTCCCTTTGTTGAAGGGAATGAACGGCCCTATGCTGGCCATCCTTAACTGTTAAATATCATCTTTCAATGGTTACCGATTTGGTTTTGGTTACTGGATCTTAAAGGAGGAACAATGGTCAACATTAACAATTTGTCACTTAAATACCTATTAATTGATAAACATTTTAACTGACACATATATCAGCTGATCACTTTCTGTGAAAGATGAAATCTTATTCTATCATAACGGTAATATCTATCTTGTAATACATGAGGTATTTCACTGCTTACAACCACTGAAAAAGGAAAACTTGTTCTAGAAACTGCCCGGTGTGTGTGTGTGTGTGTGTGTGTGCACACGTGTGTGTGTGTTTATAGGGGGGATTAATTTAAAAAGCAAACAATCTTTGCTAATGATCTTGTTAAAAGATGAAGTTATTCTACTCTTGTTCAGTGCTGTTAGCTGAGGCTGACCTGTTACCTGTTACTAGCCTTCTCTTTTGGTGACCTGTAGCAAACTAGAAAGCCTCCGTAACAGCAAAGCAACATTATGCTTTAGTTAAGTCTTAGAGCAAAAACACCCTCCTTTTCAAAGCCTTAGAAATAACTCTCTCTTACTAACTTTTCCACTATTATCACAGACTTCTTACATTTAAAAAAAGCTCCAAGGATTGCTTTCATGGACTATGTACATAAGTGCAAAAAAGGTGTGTCTCACACATCCGCACCCTAACTGAGACAGTCAATTAACTGCAGCATATGTTTCTTAAACACTGTTAAGGGGTCATTCCACAGTATCTTTATGTATAGTTTTAAAAATATGAATTAATTTCAAAAGAGGCTTTAGTCATACATTAATCCTCATATAGCTATATTTGCTCATGTAATTCCAGAAAACAGAATTTTTGCAGCTACAGCTATGCCACTTGAATGGGGTAATTTTGAATTAAGTTATAAAAAAAGTTAGGTAATGTATTAAAAATGCAATGATTGCGTTTTGAAGTCTAAATACTGTGGAATAACCCTATCCACACAACAAATTCTATAAACTATAAAGCCTGATTCTAGAATCCATGTGTTATAAACTTTTTCACAAAAAGTCACACAAGGACACAAATTCAGCTTTTATATATGGGCCTTTGGGATTAAAAAAGAACTCAACCATGTCTGTTTTCATAGTTTTGAGCTGTATTTTCTACAGGCTCATACTGTCACAAATCACCTATAGTTTACAAGTAAAATGTTCACATACACAAATGTCTAAAGGTAGCCATGTTGTAATTTTGTTGCCAAAGCAACAACTAAATATAATTAGATAACAATTATTATTTGTATATAAAGTTAAATTTGTTCTTAAATTGTGAACTGTAAAGGATAGTTTTGGACTATAATCTGTATCTTGTCATACTTCAGTGTCAGTTCAGAACCTAGCTAGGCGGGCAGAATCCATGCAGTAAAAGCTTAAACTTTCTTTAACTTTCCTTTGAAATTAAATTGATTAGTTACTTAGAGCTACAAAAAAGCAATAAAATGAAACCTTAAAGATGAACAATAAGAAAAATGAAAATATGGTACCAATTAGTGAGTTATATTTACAGTTTGATTAGGCTAGTAACTAAATTTACAAAAAAAGTTGTTATACTCTTGGACATGCTATTTATTCTAGTGCCTTCTACAGGCACTGGTTAAACAAGGCTACTGTCTTAGTATATCTATTCATCAGAATTGGGAAATCAGATTTCCCTCATAAATTTTGCCTATTTCTGTTTCAATGTATGTGAAATGTATTTGAGAGAAAAATAATGAGGATTTCAGTTTCTAATCATTCTGTACCTCATAGCCTACCCTACAGACTAAAGGAACTCGGAAAACTTGTGGCTGCATTTTACCTAAGAGCATCCTTATCTATACTCTGCAATGAGGGGGACAAAGAACCAAATAACATTTCAAGTAGCACATTAACTTTCTCTCTTATTTAATAAAATGTAATGTAAATGTCATTCCTTATTCAGATACCACTATGCTTATTGGTAATGCTACTTAAAACAGATTCAAGTTGCAAAGATTAATTTCATTCAGTTTCTGCTGATGGTAGGGAGGAGGTACTTGCTTTTTCCCAAATTGGAGAGCCGGTGAGCTGAGGCCCTCCCATTAGTGAACACCACCTAGTGGTATAGGACAACACTTATGGCAAGATCAAAGTGCTTCAGCATGTTCAAAAACGGATGAAAAAAATTGATGGAGTAGAGAGAAGATGACTTTCCACATCATGATTAACTACAAATTAAAGCCTCTGATCTAGAAAAGTGAAATAAAATGCCACAGCTGGTTGTGGAATCATGCTTCAATTACAAAAGTAAATACTGTATTTAAATAGCAATTTTATGAATCCATTTATTTTAATTTAATCTTAATCCCTCTTTAAAATATACGTATGTTATGGTCACATAGTACTTTTTTAAAAAGTTGACACTACTAAAACCCTCTTAAAGATAACTTTTAGATTATTTTCTCTGTATACATGACCCGTTTTATCCAAGTTTCAGCACTCTTGCATATTTTTTGCAAAAGGCTGAGAAAAATGGACAAAAACAATAAATTTGGATAAATAGAGGCCCCTGTAAAATACAAAGCTTATAAAATGTTAACTAAGAATCATAAGTGATTAGAATTTTATATATACAATTCATCCAGTAAATTTTTGTTTAGAGTCACTGATTAGTTTTGTGACTTGTCTTTTTAAATGGAAATTTATAGTCTAATGACTTATCTTTCTTCTTTTCTCTTTTCTTGAATAAAGATAATTTGAATAAGTCATTGCACATCTAGTTTAAAGAGTGCTATCTTAAAATTGTATTTTTTTCTGAAAACTCTATTGAATTTGATCAAAACTTTAGGGCTTTGAGCTTTCTTTCTTTAAGTTCATTTAGAAAACAACTTTTAAAATGCCAACAATGTAGAAAATTGTGGCACCAAAAATACAGTGGCCCTAAATACCCCTCACGGAACCTTTTACTTTAAGGTAAGTCATTGTTAATGTCTTCCAGTGCTTAACGCAACATGAAAACAGCTGTACTGTAGGTCTATTATCTATGGTTTATGTATATCTTTGCCCAAAGTTGAAAAAGTTAAGTGAGACAGTTCACTGCATGCAGATGTCAAACTACACAAAAGTTCATTTTGCACAAAAAAGTTCTTGTCTCCTTTAAGGAATATATCCAGACTAGCTCAGGTGCATCCCTCCTGGATTCATGTAATCAGATCTGCCCTTCTGGAGAGGCACTGGCACGGATCATACAAAACTCAGTTCCATACATGATGAATTTCAAAAAGGCATACACTACTTTCTTCTATAGCAATGTTAAGATTTCAGAAATAGAAATTAACTGGTTCAAAGAGTCCATAGGTAAAGGTCAGGACAACTCTTGATCTCTAATTCCACGCAACATTGTCAACAGCTGACAATGACTCAATACAAGCAAGGCTGTTTAGAAAGCACTGTTGATCAGGATTTGGATGGATAATTAAGATCAACAGAGTATCAATTCCCAGAAAGCTAATTTTGCTCTCTTATATTCTGAGCCAAATGGGTCTGCTTTGGAAGAGAGCATCAAATGTTCTGAAGCAAAAACAATGTGAAAAGGAGGAACAATGGGAAGCAGGAGATATTTCTGGGTCCCACAATGGCTAAGGTAGCCTTGGGCAAGTCATATGCCCCTGGATTCAGTTCCATCAACTATAAAAAGGATTTTGCTAATTCCATTGTTCTGTGATTCAAACACTTCTAGCCAGCTTAAGGTATCCTCAATCAGATTTGCTTTTTACTTGTCATTTTCATGAAGGAGAAAAACCATTATATATATATATATATATGTATATGATGGTTTTATACTTTCTGGTGGAAGAGCGCCTATTTACTAGAAAATATTAAATCTATTACTTGATGTAAAATGTCATGTGTTTCCACCACTGTATAATAACATTAATAAATGAGTAGAGTGGATGAGATATGTCACACACCACAGGAATTATTTGGTTGTAAAATTCTTTCATAAATATTAGTAATGTGAACTCAGCTGAGCTCTGTGGAGTATAGCCACTCTGTCTCATTCAAAGGGTGATAAAACCCTTTCTATTGTCATTTTCAAACATATATAAAGGCAAACGAATCCAAACAAGCATAAAAGAGGCTTGGTTATGATGTGAGAGGGTCTGATGTTAAAGTTTGGGCAGGGGGACACTTGCCATATATCACAGGTGCTTTCTCCTTCACTGAACTGTTTAACAAAACGAAACTCAGTTGAACCGAAGCTAAAGACAACTACAACCATCTTTCCCAGTTCTTTTGAATAAATCAAGGAATAATTGTAAGTGCTTCCCTGTTCCCTGTCCTAGCCATTTCTCCAAGCCTGTACTCAGGCTCCCTCTGTGATCAACAGAGAAGACTGTCCATTTGGGGAGGGAAGTCCTCATTTGCAACCAATTCTCTTTCACCCTGACTGACTTTTGCTAGATTGCATCTTACTTGTTATTCAAAGAGTAGTCTAAAGAGCATGAGCCATTTGCATTTGGAAAATGGCATTTGTGTAAAAGGTGACATTGCCATGGTTTTACACACTTTCCTCCAGTACGTAAAAACTATCTCCATGCCCCCATCTCTCCGTTTGATTTATAACTTGTAATTAGCATATTTTTAAGCTCCCAAGTACCAGTTTCTCAGCTGAAGATGACAAATGGCTCAGTTTTAGACACTCAATTTAGGAGATGGGATTCTCAAGCCACACACACAAAAAATCTAATGAGCACTTTACATAATTTTTAGTATAAATGCTGAGAAATTCATTTAAAGGTAAAGTCTTATTTGCCAAGCTATTTAAGAAGAGTGAATTAGGGGTTAATGTTTTATGAAGTTCTCTGCTTTGTGCAGGTAATTATTTCTCTCTTTAAAAAATCTAGTAATTTGATTGTATTATGCAACATCAGATCTGCAGGTACAAATTATACACATGCATGTTAATGAGCAGGTTTTGTGCACATTCAAAAGTGAGGCGTTTTAAATGTCAGTCCCAAGAAACCTACAGAAATATTCTAAAGAAAGAGAGCATATTTGCATGAACCTGTCATGTTCTTAAGCACATATACTTCTGTTCCCCACTAATAACACTTTAGTTGAAATCAAACACCACACATATACAGCAAAACACTACAGTATGTAAAAACCTAACACAGCACAACACAATACAACACAAGAAATGGTACTGAATATATTTGTTACATCCTGAATCAACCCAATAGACTATCTTGTAAACAAAATAGTAAGGTAACACTTCAAAAACAGATGAACAATTTATCCACCAAGAATGTATATAGTAAGCCAAAAGCTCACTGTGGAAATACACTTAGCATGGTTATTAGAAAATCACAAAGAGTAATGTAACAAGTTACCAAATTTTATGGTCATGTTCTGCTTGATAATTCAAATAGGATGGATGGTAGTTACTAGTTTTCTATTTGTGTTGTTTTAACATCTCCATTGATTTTTAATGCTTTATTTTTTATTTGAATTTGCTGGCTGGCAGGTTTGCTTTGCTTAATACATTGACTGCAACACGCTTATTGTTGTGTTGGTAGAATAAGACATACGAGAATATATATAGAAAGGCCATATGGAGGTTTCCATGGAAAGATTCTGATACTCCATAACTCTGCTGTTCAGAATTTCAGCTGAAATGGAAAAAAAAAGAAAGAAAGAAAGAGTGAGAAATATTGAAAGGTTATTGAAGGAAGAGTCAGGAGAGTGTGGTGGGTCTTGTTCCAGTTCTGTCTGTTAACAGTGCCAAAATATCCCCAATCTGAATTTCAGATTGAAATGGGGCTTTTGAGAATGATCATGAAAGAACCATATATCTATGATAGTCTATGATACCCTTTGAGTGCTAATGTGGAGAACTGTCCTAACAGAGATGCAATCCAATGTTTAAGGCATTATCTATCTACTTTTTGTTGAACATACACCCATGTGTCCACCTTTCAACAGGCATGTACTGAGAAAACATGTTTGATACCGAACATTTTGAAATATGCAAATATTAAATACACTTTCAACTTTTTCTCTGAATGTTTTAGAGCCATGCAGAAGTAGCCTACCTGTGAAATCTGGGTATTGTATTGTACAAAATTACATTTTTGAACTTTAGAGGAATTTTTAGCACCTATTACATATTGAAGTGATTATGTTCTGCCAAATATCTCTACATTTCTAACAAAATCAAGCAAGAAGGAATCACTCTTCCCTAACATGCTCTGTTGGAAAGTTAATTTGACAACTTGTGGTTACCTTGACGTAAAGCAGCCCATGAAAGTTGGGCAAGTGTTGGCAAAACCTACATTATCATGTTTAGTGCTATTTCCAAGTTGCCACTATCCCAAATGACACCTCTGGAAACAATGACAATTTATAGCTCCTTCAGTTATCCCATGTGCTCAAAGGTGCCTTTTAAAATCCTTCCTTATGATTGAGGAGACCTATTTATTTAATGTCCAGTCGGCTATCTGCTCTGTCCAGAACACTTAGTGTTCTAAGCCCGTGTGTCCTCAGCAGGAAAGAAGGGCTAGCTGGGGTCTGGGGAACTAGTTCACGAGGGAACAGAACTGCTGCCTCCTTCAACCAAATGACACACTCCAGGTGTGAGAACTTCAAACTTTCGATGATGAAGGTATGCAATTCAGAGTTGGTACACTATTTTAGTAAGTCCCTAGAATTAATTAAAATACCTAGGAGTCTTAAGTGGCTTCAGAAATCACATGTTCTTAAGTGAATGATTGCTTAAAAAAGTGTGTGCCATGATGGGCACCAGGCAAAGAGGAGATTGAGGGTGAAGGAGAAAAAAAAAATCCCACAACAACAAAAATTTTAAAAAAGAGACATGATTGGAATGAAAATAATGACTCAGTTACTAAATTATGTCACTCAAAATTCAATACAATGTCACATGACAGGCATAGTGCTTACTGTGTTTAACATAATCATATCAGTCAAATCCTGAAAATTCTTGTTTGATCTTCAAAAAAAAAATGAAGCTATAAAATGGTTAAAGAATTACAACTCAAAAGTAATCTGTGCCTCTGGCTAACAAATTATATATTCCTTTAATAATAGGAAAACATTTAAGAATGTGTTAGCTCATTGAGAAAATACAGTACCAGCTGTCATTGCCATATAAAAAATATTGCATATTTGCACTCACATTTCAATTTGGAAAATTTATAATGTGTAAATCAAGCTCTACATCACAAGCAATGTCTATGAATGAAAATATTTACGAAAGCCTTTTAGAAGTGCAATTGTGTAAATAAAATATGTAGCCTATAAATATTATTTATATTAATACTGAAAGAAACTTACTGTTCTACTGAGAACTTCTACATCTGTGAAACAAACATGCTGCTATTCAGTTCATCTATTGATAATTGGGGTATCTATAGTAGTAAAAAAGATTTTAGATTAAAATAGTTTCTTGGGAGAATTCTGTTTATGTTGTTATATATGTGGATCTTTTAGTCTATAAGCATGGTTCCCACTTTAATAAGGCAAAATGGCCCTAATACTATACAATAATTATTGTATGTATCTCCTTATAATTTCAAGACTCCCCCCAAACTTATAATCTGCCTTGTGAACTCTGCCTAGAAATACCTAAAGCAAATAAAAATCAAAACAACAAGCACATCTAATGTCCATATGAGAAGGAACTTCTGATGTAATCACTGCGAAATGATAAGGATATCCATGTCTTGGAAAGAAATGTGATATTTTGTTTTCTCTCCAGTGGATCTGAAGGTAAAGGTGATGACTGTACTAAGCCAAAGTTTAAACACAATAATCAAAAATGGCAGTGAAATAAATTCTCTTGACCAATGAGGAAGCATTTAAGTAACATTAAGTATATACATTTGAGGATTGGTGTGTTACCAGTAATTAAATATAGAATATCAAGAGCAACATCTGGTAACCAATTAAAAATGAGCAAAACTCCTCTGATTCATCTTGGGATGAATAGCAAAGCACATATAGCATTCTAGAATATACACAAAAATAAAAATTCTAAATGTGACAATGGCTTAAGAAACACATAAGAATCTCACCAATCCAAAAAGCATATACTGTGCATTACCAAAACATTGTAGTTATCTTGATCTGAACAGCTTAAATAAATGGCCAAACCTGATTGCCTGTAGTTGGTGCAGCGAACGGAACGCTGGTGGCAGGTGTTGTTGCTGCAGACACAGTGGTAGGTGTAGCACCGTGCATCATGGGCACTTTCAGTTGAAAACCATAGAAGCAACACACGGGAGGGTAGAGGATTTATGCAACCATAACATTTACGATGGAATGAGGTGTGGTAGGTATCACAGCAACAAGCCATGTGACATCATAACGATGAATACATCAGGGTGTTCATGCAATCACAGTCAGTGCAAAGCAACACAGCATGGAAGGGGGGAAAATTAAAAAGAGAAAAGGGGAAAGCCAATTATAGTTACCAATATGGAAAATGGAACCATTCTCAACATTTAGTAAGTTTTTGAGCAGAATCCCATTGTAGTTTACTCAAAAGGCTAAATTTTCAGAAGGGGCTATAATGAATGCATATGAAAACAAAAATCCAATGTTACAAGGGCTATCTATCTGAAGCTAGTTAAGCAGACAAGTAACTGGACTGCACATTCAAAATGGAATTAAGGAATCATAAATTGGAATTTAGGTTCACTGACTTATGGACATGAATGCCGTCACTAGATTTGCAGGTGCAAACAGGCAGTTATATGTATACTTACCTGATCTGCATGCAAAGACATGGTAGGTAGACTGGTTGGTATGTGGTAGGGGGGCAGATATGAAGAATACAGTGGACTATGCATGCAGGTTTTTAAGTACACCTCTGGCAAACTCCTGGGAAACTTTGGCCATTTATCAAACAAATACATGGAGTACTTCACAGTAAATCTTGTCTTCACAGCAACTATTATAGCTACAATGGTTAGCAGCTGTGAAATCTCTTGCAGGATGTTTTATCTTTGCCTTTTCTAGTTTCTATCTCATTTAGAAAGCGTTTTGGGTGCTTTCTGATGTCTAGCTCATTTCAGAAAGCAAACCAGGGAATTAATGTGTGAATGGCAATGTGTGAATGGCAAGCATGCATATGTAATAATTTATCATGTCTACATCAATTAAATTCAGATTTTCTGAAAGTCTAAAGAGAAAATGAATGGCCAGAGAAAAATTAACATGTGCAATGTCATAGAAACTGAAAATGTACCCCAAATGGTGATTAACAGAAACTCCATAGTTATCCCTTCCATTTATCTCTAGTTACCCATTACCCAGAGCCATCCCTGTTGTCTCATATGCCAATTCTAAAAACACTCTTGTTTTCCCTTTGGGAGTGCAGCAATTGTACAGGAAGCAGATCCACTAAAGAATGCAGTTTGCATTCCTAAGCAAAGCTCTGAAGGTGAAAGGACAAGAGAGCATCTTCAAGAAAACTGTCACAAAACATGAAGGCAAAGACACATTTCTCAAACTTGCAGAAGTCTGTTCTAATTGTACACATTATGATTCAAAGGTATACATATTGTGCTCCTGTTGGTATTAATGGAAATGTTTATTAATTCCTACAGAAGACAGTCAAACCCTCAGTAACAGGGGCCTCACTTCCATTCCCAGGGTTCAGATCTCGCTATGTTAGTGAGTGCTGCTACTATGTGGTTGTCATTTTGAACTTTATTCTCAAGAAGCCTGTTAGTAGTGCTTTTGGGGCTCTGCATCTATTCTGGTCCACCAAGGTGACAAAGGTCAATTTGTTGCAAACTCTCAAAAGGGAGGGGATGGCCTGGATTGATGTGAGACGGTAGAGTGGGACGGGTTGGGATCATTTCTCCTTGCATAGAACAGAGCTATTTTCTCCTGGTCTGTTCCTTGTGCCCATGAGGACTGTAGGAGCTGTGAACTCCCCATTCCTTTCTCATGCTCTTCAGTATTAGTGCTGTATAAAATGGTTTAGAGATGGCTATCATATTGTGTTAGTGGCTAACAAAAGGATCTGTGTGCAACTGCTTGTTAAAAATCACGTAACACTCAAAGAGTCATTTTGAAATGATTCTGTTGTGCCTAGCTTCTGTGCCAATGGTGCTTCAGGCTAGAACACTACAGGATTCATTACAGAACACTGCAGAATCCTCTGGCTTTGCTGAACTCATCCTCTCGCAACATAGGAACATTGAATGCTTTAAGTCCTATAGATAACTTTTTCAGGTGGGAATTGTTTCATTGTACTTTACAAGTTATACATTTTAAGTATTTTACAATTTTTAAATAATACATGTTAAGCAAAGAACAAAACTGCCCAGTCTGGCTAGTTTCAAATATTGTAAAAGAAACGATTTTTTAATATTTCAGTTGCTGTTGTTAGGGTAGAAATAGAGAAATGACAGGGCCAGTATTTGGCCACAGTGGCAACCAACTAGGACTTGAGAAAGTAGGACTATTTTGATGCTACAAAGACATAAAACAGAAAGCACCATGTTAAACCTTAACATACTCAGAAAATTTCCAGCCACATCTTTCAGTCATTCATCTTTCATAGTCACAACAGAAAAACACATTTTTTCAGATTAGAAAATGTTGATAATTTTTGTAGAAAACCTACCAATATTTGAAGCGGGTGCCATGCACAGTATTGGCCCTGTACACCACGCAGAAAAGCGTGGAAAGTAAAAGAGATATTTGATTATTAAGGATTTACTGATAGAAATACATTTTAACAGAAAGATTATTTCTTTGCAATATCAATTACTCAGCACATGCAAGTCCAACAATCTCCCATGTTTACAATTACAGATTAGTTTTAAGGTCACAAACCCAGGTAATCAAAATAATTCTTGGATTCTTAGGTACAAAATCAGCTATAATTTTTCTTTAAAAGAATTAACTCACTTAAATTACATATTTATTGTGGACAAATACATCCTAAATAATTTTTATAATAAGAGAATTTTAATTTATTACACATATCATTTTCTAAATATGCTCCAGAATCTCGTATCTGGTGTCCGTGTTTCTATTTAGAGTATTAATCTGTTAACACTGTCTCCTCCACTGTCTCATAGTCAATAGGACTTGACTATGAATATATGGCAAAGAGGTTCCATTAAGAGAGACCTCTTAGCTGGACAGGCTTTTATGTTGCTACTAATTAAGGGAAAGGGAATTTTTCTGACATTTTTGCTTATGAAACTAGATTTTATGTTGGCCAAATCTGGCAAAAAATTCAAACTTGGAAACAAAGTAACTGTAGTATTAAGAAAAACTATGATGAACAGCATACATTTTATTATATTCAACCACCTTGACTAGACTTCCAGGGCTACTGAATTCATTCCACAGCTATAATACAAATTGGAAGTAGCCAAGGTAGAGTGATCTAATGTGTAGGTAAATTACCACAATTTTTGAAGAAAAAAAATGCTAGGAATAAAGTCATGTCAACTCATACTGGTTTTCTCTTTTACTCTGTAGACATTATGTGTGTTTTTCTTAGGTTGGGAGAAAATATCTAAATTATTAGATATCAGTAGTTACTTATTATAAGGGATGTAAGAAAGTGCTGAAGAATTCCATATTTCCTCTCAGAAACTATCATATAAATGTATACAAATTGTATAATTTAAATGATGGCATGAAGGACTGCTGTGGCTAGTAACTAAAGACTGGTGTTTTATGGTACCTTTCAAAATTAATTAACTGATTAATTTACTAGTTAACCAATAAGTTTTCTCAAGTCTGGGTATTAACAAGGATTTCTAAATTATTTTTTAAAACATATGTTATTTTCATTTAAAAATAGTTTCCAATCTTGGGCATTTACCATTGTGTCAAAAAAAAAAAAAAATGGAAAAAAAAAACTGCTGTACTCTCAATGGTTAGAATTTTCAATTTATTCCTAAGAGACTATATGCTCATTCTTAAACTACTAAACCACTGGAAGAAAATTAGTTTCCCCCCAATATATGATATCTAATTGAACAAATTTCTGGCTTAACATTTTCTGTTCAATTTCATGTAAAACAGGCTATTAAATATAGCTGAATGTAGGAGATAACAAAATATGCTGCAAAATGTCAGAAAATATAAACTGCTATGTATTTTATATTAACTGATTCAGGAGTTACAGGCTAAAACTATCTGTTTAATCTATATTATACTATATTATGCACTTAGGGTAGTTTTATTTTAACTACCTTTGGCATATCAAAGACATATTGACAACGCATTTCCATAATATCGAAGCTGGGAGTTTTTGCCTTTTTATTTGACAGCACTCTACTGTCTGTGACAGTGATACCTAAGAGTCAAGGAATTAGTTTGAGACTGAACCAAGTGAATTAATCATAAGCAAAAACCAACAAATGCTAAAAAGAAAAATGTTGATACTTTTTCCTAGTTTGATTTCAAACCATGAATTTTCATGAATTATAGAAAAACAAGTAGTTCTAGATACTAGCAGATAAGCATAACTTCCTTGTTTTATTTTTAATCAAAATACATGTCGACAGTCCTCCTATACAAGCTCTTTGAAAGCTGTTTTGCATTGTATACATTCACAACATCACCAAACTCGCTGCAGTGCCTAGAGCTGTGTTCTCACCTGCAGGGATAAATGCCGGCTGTGGGAGCTGCAGGTTAGTCAGAGCCTGTTGGCAGTGGAAAACAGTGGGATTAAAGACCGGGGTGGCACCATTGGGCTTTTCCAGTGCTGATCTCTTTGGTATCAGTTGCAGTGTACCAGGCTGCAGGGCCTGTGGGGGGAGAGATGGTACTAGTACTAGAGAAAGTAACAAATGTACTCAAACCAAGCAAGCACCAGTCATATAAGGTATTTCCTGGGAATCCTCCGTAAGGGTATGCATTGGGCAAGACACTGGATAAGCAGTGGCCCCACAGCAAGGTAACCAAATGTAGAGATAAGGGGGTTCACAGCCGTGTACAGTGGCTCACGCCTGTAATCCCAGCACTTTGGGAGGCTGAGACCAGCAGATTGTTTGAGCTTAGGAGTTTGAGACCAGCCCGGGCAATATGGCAAAACCCCATCTCTGAAAAAATAGAAAAAGTAGCCAGGCATGGTGGTGCATGCCTGTGGTCCCAGCTACTTGGGAGGCTGAGACAGGAGGATTGCTTGAGCCCAGGACGTCAAGACTGCAGTGAGCTGAGACCACACCACTGCACTCCAGCCTGAGTGACAGAGCAAGAGCCTGTCTCAAGAAAAAAAAAAAAAAAAAAAGAGGTAGTCCAACTACATGAGCAGTAGTGCAAAACAAAAAAAAATGCAAAAAAAAAAAAAGGTTTTCAACTTCACTAATTTAGACCTCATTTGGGCAGGATATGACAGAAAGCTACTACAGTAAACAATCATTTATAATTAATATCTCAGGGATACTCATCTATGAATCTATAAAAATGAGATTAGCAGAAGCAACAGATATAGCAGGAAAGAGATTTCTGCCTGTTAAAACTCCAATACAGATCTAGGACATAAATGGCATATAGGTGATAAAACAGATGTTGGTAGATCAGAGTCTGACACTGTCACCCCATAAAATAAAATCCAGTTTATACAAAGACTTCAGGTTCAAGTCCTATAATTATATATTTCCTAACTAACATGTAAGGAAAAAGCAAATGAATATTTCCTCCCCCACGACCTACCTCACGCAGGTACTATGTAGATAGTTAGCAAAATATATGCAGTTCTTATTTATAGAGGCTTGCTGTCCATTTCGGTATGTACCATTTGCTTTGTTAAGTTCTTGTAAGGTTTAATTCTAAAACCTATTAGCATTTTTAAACCATCCTTTCATGTCTACAGTTCTTTCAAAATCCCACTGTGCTTATAATACTCCGTGAAACTTGCCCCTGGATCAGATTCTTTGGAGAAGTTTAACATTACTTTACATTTTTTTTTTCTCAGCAAATTGCACGTTACTTAAAAAACATGTCCCAGCAACAACAATTAGGTATGCTCCAAATTCTTAAGGAAACAGGAATGCTTGTGTTGAGTAACTATCCTACCATGTGTCCAAAAGGGTAATGCCATGACCTCGTTCCTGTGGATAACAAAGGTCTCAAGGTATCTCTATTTTCTTTTGGGAACTCTACTGTCAGTGCACACACTGTGACAGATCTGCTTTTCATTTCACCTAAATAAAGAAAAGCATGCTAGAAGAGTGAGATAAAATAAACTGAGTAGCTTTAGAGATATAAAATTTCCAAATTTATCCCAGCAGACCAGATGGCAAAGGTCAGTACTAAAATCATAAACCATAAAACAAAATCTATCATTTCGAATGCCTTTTATTACCATTGGGAGAAAATGGTTTTGCTGAACATTTTAACTAAGACAGAAGACCTACTTATCTGGTTGTTAAAAAGATTTCCCTTTGGTATAAACGGGGAGTGTCCCCTTCTCTCTCTTGAAAGTTGGCAGCATGGTATGATCATCAGAACCAGTTATGTTCCCTAGTAAACTACAAATTGGGGTGAAACCTAGATGAACATTCAACAGGTAGACGCTGGTAAGGTAGTACTGCTTGTTTATTTATGGCTGGGGTTTATCCTGATGGGTCAGTGCCCAGTTCCAATTGGGTGGTGATTGTACTATTAAACTCATAAACCTGCCGAAGAGGTGTGAGACTGTGGATGAACTAAGTATCAACCCTTTATGTCTCTCTCTTTTTTTTTTTAAATACAAGCTGCTTTCTGTGAACTCAACCTGAGCTATATACATGAACAAGGTAAAAATGTCTCTTTTATAAAGCATGTCCACTATGAATCCTTAAAAATATAAAAAGCTTGAATTTCTTCATGAAGCCCTCCTTTATTTAATCTTACCTCTATCAAATTCTTATGAGCCAACTTGATCTCACTGCTAAGACCCTGCTGTGATCAGTTACTTAAAAGGGAATTTTATATTGATATTCACAAGTAACAATTGAAGGCCTATGATATAATATTTAGCTCTCTACGTGGAAATTTGAGGCTGACTTGTAACCTATGCATTCTATCAAACACACTCAAATAATCAGAAATGGACAGATGCATATGAAGCTATTTTCATAGCTTATAATTACCCCTTCAAAAGCATTTAAGACAAAAAGAATTTGGTAAAGTCTTTTTTAACATTCATTAACAGATTATGTTGTTCAGATCAAGGGAGAAAGTAAGTTTGTTCTACTTTGGTGCTCAGATCCTTCACGATGTAATGAGTTCAGTTCTGACAAAAAGTGGAGCCAGTCCAAAAATGGTACTGTGTCCTTGAAACCATAAACTACCAGGAAAAGGGAGCAATTTGCAGTATTTGGCTTAGACAGGAGACATGAGAGTCACTCTCACTTGGAATAGGGACTGACTTCTTTTGTGAAGTTCCAGTTGCAGCAAGATAAATTTCAACTCGGTATGAGGAAAACCTTCTTAATAGGGATGTTTGAAAATAAGTGTCTCTCTGTTGTGAATAGGCAAAGTCTCTGTCATGGGAGTCCAAACTATGAATGTTTGTGAGGAGATTTAGCTCACAGTGCATCTCCTGGGCTTCAGGGTCATGTCAGTGCTTTTTCCACACCCAGGGAACATGAGGTTTCCTGTGGGTTTTGTCCTTTACTGGGGCTGTTATGCCTTATTACACAAGGAAAGGTCCAGGGAGAAAAAGAAAGACATAGCAAGCAGCACATCAAAACAACGGACAGCTGTGGCAAACTTAAGTCACGAGAATTCCTGGTTCTCAGTGATCACACTGCAGTGTTACACAAATATTTTTCCTGCTTCCTACCTTTCAGTATTACTAAGCAGCACTAACTGTTCCCCCAAAACTGGCTTTCTACAGCAACTTAAAAGTCAGGACTCTGGGCTGCGCACGGTAGCTCATGCCTGTAATCCCAGCACTTTGGGAGGTTGAGGCAGGAGGATCACCTGAGATCAGAAGTTCAAGACCAGCCTGGCCAACATGGTGAAACCCGGCCTCTATAAAAACTACAAAAATTAGCCAGAAGCAGTGGTGCACGCCTCTAGTCCCAGCTACTCAGGAGGCTAAGGCTAGAGAATTGCTTGAACCTGGGAGGCGGAGGTTACAGTGAGCTGAGATCACGCCACTGCACCCTAGCCTGGGCAACAGAGTGAGACTCCATCTCAAAACAAACAACAACAACAAAAAACACACAACCACCCCCACAAAACAAAACAAAACAAAACAACAACAACAACAAAAAAAAAAAAAAAAAAAAAAAAAACCAAAGTCAGGCCTCTGCTCCCAACCACGTAGAAATTTCCCCCCAGACTAAGCAGGCTGCTGTCCTTGATACTATGCCTCTAGAGAGGAAAAGTGGCCTTAACCTTTAGGAAATTACAACCTACTTAATACCCTATCTTTTAAGTGCTGTGTTTTTGAAAGGCATTAAGGATGTTAGTAGCAAAGGGCCCATGAAAGTGGCTCACAGAGCAGAGGCAACTTTCTGCCTCTCTAGGATATTGAGGGTAGTGAAACTATAAAAGCACTCAAAAATAACTTACTGTTTAAATTATATAATTTACCCTTACTCTGAAAATGGGAGAAAGAGCACAGTAGGTTAAAAGCATTAGTAAGGCTTTTAAATAATTATCTTTAGAAAATCTTAGTAAATAAAGTAGAATAAATAGGTTCTTTCTTTTCCAGCTTATAACCTTGACTGTTCATATTAAGGTCCTCTCATGACCATCCATGAGTATGGTTACAGGATATTAGACAAATTGAGGAATATACAAAGCATTTACTCTGAAACAGGCCACAAGTGCAGGCCTTTTCTTACCATGGCAGAGGCAGCTGAATGGTTCATCTGATGATGAGCTGCCTTGAGTCTGGCTTGCAAGTGTGCAGGAGGATGAAAGTACTTGCATTTCTCCCGCGAGCATCGACCTTTGATGTAATCCATGCAGATTGTCACAGTATTATCACTCGCTTCAATCATGGAAGCATCAGTAGGGTGAGCATAGCGGCAATCATTCTCCCCACGGGTACAATTTCCACGCTGAAATTCTCGGCAAACCTTAGAACACACACATGCACATACACACGCATCACACTGATGACTGGAAGCTGACTGGCTTTTATTTATTTTGCTAGTGAATGTAACAGTAATTATATATACATTGAATATATTATGTGTGAACAAATCTAAAAAGATAAAGAATAATGTAAAGCCATATTCACTATGAGATATAAACAGACAGAATTTCTATTCCCAGAAAAAAATTCTATTCTCCCCAAAAGGAGGTTGTCCTTACATTGAAATAAAAATGTTTAAAAAAGTATTACTGAAAACCAGTTTTAATTCTCCAGTTAATACACAGCCTTAAGCATAATTAGTGTTTTTTTAAGTCCAAGATGAGTCTTTATCACACCATAATGCACTGGTTTTCCAAAGTCAACTTGTGAACCATAACTGAGTTATATGTACAATCAGATTATATTACAATACATTACTAGGCATTTAAGCGGCTGCAAATGGAGCTGACTTTGTAAGGAAAGACTAGTTATTTCAATGTACAAAGAATAACAATAGAAGAATGAAGGACTTCAATAAATCAAAAAGCTGTTTGAAATTTCTTTCAGATTTTCTTTTCTTAGGCATCGGGGTTATTTACTGCCTAGCACATCACTCTCAAAATGGAGAAAAAAGTTGAGGCACTATGAGACTAATTTACCTTCTGTGTTCATATAGCTTTACATTCTGCAATCGTAGAGAGTTATATTGTCTACTTTTTTCCCACTTTGATTATTCTAGCAAGTAGAGACTCATTAACAAATATAGTAATCTGTTTCTGAAAGCTGGAGCCTAGGTAAAAGGAACATTCCCACAGAGGCTTCCTGTGCCATCGCACAGTCTATGGCTGGGTACACTTAACATATTGTTTGACCTACCATACAGGTGAATCAATGCACTTTATAACAAGGTATGATTGCAGTACTAAAATGTTTAACAACCCTATAAGCTAAGAAATTTGGGTTCTCTTATTTAAAACAACACACTGGGCTCTGAGAATACTGCTTTATGTGTAAGGTTAATATCTATTCTACAGGTATTTATATATATGTTCACAAATACCTCCAGTTTATCTGAACGCATCAGTTTTGGGCCAACAGCTCCTGGCATTGCAAGAGGTGGGTTTCCAGGAATCAGAACAGGTGTATTTGGTACAAGTTCTGCAGGAACGAGGCCCATCCCAGGATGTGGTATGTAAGGATTGAAAGCCATGGGAGGATTAGCTGGAATTGATGGAGTCATAGGAAAAGAACCCTGTATGTTTAAAAGAGAAAAAAAGATGTTAGAGGTAAAGATTCTTCCTGTCATTACACAAAGAGGTATTCTTTCAGAAACATCAAAATTACTTATGCCACATCAAAATTTACTATTGTTTTCTTCTGATTTATTTTTAGCCTCATACTAATTCCCATAGAGGAGTTGCTTTTAAACCAACAAATCTCTTTACGTACTAACTTTATTGGTAAGCTCATAAAATAAGCCACATGATTTTAACAGTCATGAATTATCCAAATTAAATCTCACTGCTAGTCTGTTCCAAATGTGTTTCCTCCAACTCTTTCTTTATTCCCTAAAAACCATGTCACCAATGACATTACACATATGGACAATCTTCTTTGTTTCCTTACACAGGCATGGCCTTTGCATTCAGTCCCTTTCCTTCCTCTTTCCTCTTCACCATCAATACTGCTTGGCTGTAAGGCTGCCTGTCCTACCACAGGCCCCACCTGTACTACCAAATACTGGCTGTGCTTCTGTCTTCCTGGCCCACTGACAATTATGGAACACAGCAAGGAGTTGAGGAAGAAAGTGATAAATTAGAAAAAGTGAGTGCTTTAATATCTACCTAAAATGAGTTTAGTATGGTCCATTATATTTTGTTATTTTTTTAAATCAGAGGTCCTGTTTTTTAAATTTTTATGTGTACATAGTAGGTATCTATATTTATAGGGTACATGAGATATTTTGATACAGGCATACTGTGTGTAATAATCACATCAGGGTAAATGGAGTATCTATCACCTCAAGCATTTATCATTCCTTGGTGTCACAAACACTCTAATTATACTCTTTTAGTTATTTTTAAGTGTACAAGAAATTATTGTTTACTGTAGTCATCCTAGAGGTCCTGTTTCACAAGCTAATCTGACTTGCCTAGCCTTGTCTTTATCCAGGGGGCCAGATGATATTCATAGTTCAAAAGAAGGCACTAGAAATGCTACAAGAATCCCTGTTAGGCAGGAAGAGATAAGATAACAGGATTATATGGTACACAAACTAGAGTAACTTGTAAAAAAAAAAAAAACCTCAGAAATGCAAAAAGCTATTACTGCTTTTTCTATTTTCAAAGATCCTGGATTCAAAAAGTTTAATATGTGTATTTCCTTTATTATCTGTTGCCATATTATTTATCACTTTGCTGTTTTCCAGTTTGTTCCACATGTGGGTATCTTTTCTTGTCAATGTGGTTTTATTCCTTTGATAGTTCTCATCTCCCCTATAGTACCCAACACTTAGTGAATGACTGGTTGACAGATATACTCAATGATACATTTTAAAAGCTTAATGAATGAATAATAAATCATGACTAAATGTAGTATATTTCTAATAATGACTCTACAAGTTAGTTATTGTGAAACTGGTGGTGTCTCATTGTGTATTACTAATTGCATGTGTTCCTTCTTGCTTTATAAAATTTTTTCACTTGAAAAAACCCCCGAATCTGTTGCATTTGCCAAACTGTGCCCATACCTGCTAAGTCACATTAATAGAAACAAGTCTAAATACAAATTGTGGAATATAAAGTGAAGGGCAATGTATACTCATTGCCTCACCCCCACACAGACTTGAAATTGTCACCCACACAGCATTCCAAGAAGACTCTGTTATAAACCATATTCAGCTTAGAAGGAAGCACTCCCCCATTAGCATTCTACCTTAGATGAGTTTATCAAATTAGCTGATTGGGACATTAGGAAGGGCAGAAAGAATCTGGCACCAAAAAACTGGCAAGACTCACGAGGGTGAGTAGGAAAGACATGGTTGCCAAGAGCCTTAAGTGGAAAGGGAACGCCAGGTGCCAGGAAAGATGATGGTGTAGTCAGGAGAAGGACTCTAAAGTCTGGGGGCAAATAGCCAAGGGCTGACCCAGTCTAACTAGCTCTTATGATGTAATAGACTACAGGAATACGGGATACTTGTCATGGAATGAGATGTGAAGCTCAGGAACTAGCTGATGTGACATGATTTTATATAATGAGAAGGAAATCTTCTGGAAACAGCCACCCAGGCATGCTTCCGCAATAAGGCAGACTTTATCAATGTAATGATTCATAGTTGTCTCAAGATCACCAAGAATCTCTGATGAGAAAGAGTCCATTTTTGAAGCACACGATAGTGCTCTTCACTTGACTTTTCGTTGTCTCTGACTTTCCTGGTAAATTTCTCACTGAAGCCACCAGCCCATTCTCCTGCATACTTTTTGCTCTTGCCTTTTACAAAAATGAGCAGGACCATTATTGTATCTATTAATTTTTGAACTGAAAGAAAGACCTGGAGGTGGGTGAATTTTCCAGATTAAAAAGTTATTAATCACTAATAAATGCTGATCAATCAACAATATTGAAGCCTAATGTATTTGAAAGCAATGCTTTCTGTTTATGGTAGCTTTTTACTTCTGTAATTTTTTTCTTTTCTTTTTTGAGGTGACTCACCAGGGAAATTCTCCTAGCTAAGTTCTGCTTTCTTTGGAATACTTTTAAACTTTCTTAGGTTTGTTATATGCTCCAAGTGTATGGAAAAAAAGGCTATAAATTAATGATTGGTCTACATATAAAATGTAAAGGGCTTACTGAAAGTATTTAGATTTTTCTAAGGTTTCACCACAAACTATGCTATCTTTAGATCTTAAAATTAGTATCCTAGCTCTTATAACTATTTCCTCCTTGAGTATGAAATGCATTCTATAACACTGTTTATTGAGAAGAAGCAAGCTATCCCATTCTCAATACTGGGGCAGAGGCAGGAACTCCTGAGTGGCTTATTTATTTTCAGTTGGACATTTCTGTTTTCTCACCACCACCTCTGCCCCAGGGTAACTACTCCATTTCATGAATTTGAACATTCAAGGGCTTAGCGTTGACTAACAGCCATGGGTTAAGTCAAGCAGCCTGCAAGCTCAGAAGCTCAGCTTTAATAAGCAACTTTAATCCTGTCTCTATATATATCTCAGCCCTTGATGTCAGTTGAGCTAACATGAACCTATCTGTGGGTTAATTTTTATTGTAAAGGAAAAGGTTTTAACTATACTGACTCTGATTTATCTTTACAGCCTGAAATGGTCTGAACACTTAAATGTTTCAGATATTTAAATTCCAACCTAAATTATTTACTAAATACTTGAAAAGAGACGGCTGTCCCTCCCATAACCAGGTGTAAATTTTCATCTTTCTGAGTGTTGTCAACCAGCAAGAATGGTGGTGGCAACAGACTTTATGAATAAGATCACCTGACAACTATTTATCCCCATGTCTCTAGCAGTATTAGCTCCTACAGTAGAAATTCCCATGAGTTCCCAGTGACTTGCAGATTGCTTAGGAACTATCAGACACTCAGGAAATGTGTCCTAAAAATTAACGAAATATCTAGACAACACTGGCTCCTAATCTTTTTTGAGTCCAGGACTTCTCCAAGAGTCAGATAAAGGCTGCAGACTCTGTCCACAGAAAAATTCATGTATGCAAAAAATGTTGCTTGTGATCTCAGCAAGTTCAAGGACCCCACGACACTCACCCCTGGTGTGGGGTTATGAACTACTTACTGGTTAAGAATCTCTGTTCTAGAGTAAGGCTCTGCAAACTAGGGCCCATAAGCCAAATTCAGCCTGCCTGTGTTTTTGTATGGCCAGCAATCTAAGAATGTTTTTTACAGTTTTAAATGATTGAAAAAAATAAGAGAATAATATTTAGTGAAACATGAAAATTATAGGAAACTCTTATTCCAGTGTCCATCCACAAATTTCATTGTGCTCATTAGTAGAGCTGTATTACAAAAAATTGTAGATATTTGTTTCCTCTCTTGTTATATAAGTACCTATATAATACCCTCAACTTTGCATCTTGAACCTCACAGCCTAAAATATTTATATTTAGCCATTCACAAGAAAGTTCACCGACCTTGGTTCTAAATGATTTCAAAAAATGAAATTCTCCAACGCTTTCAGGAGTAAAGCACCAAATATATATTCATATATATTCATATATATTCATATATATATATTCCTATATATATTCATATATATTCATATATATATTCCTATATATATTCATATATATTCCTATATATATATTCCTATATATATTCATATATATTCCTATATATATATTCCTATATATATTCATATATATTCCTATATATATTCCTATATATATTCATATATATTCATATATATATTCATATATATATTCCTATATATTCCTATATATATTCCTATATATATTCCTATATATATTCCTATATATATTCCTATATATATTCATATATATATTCATATATATTCACATATATATATTCACATATATATTCACATATATATATTCATATATATATATTCATATATATATTCATATATATATTCATATATATTCATATATATATTCATATATATATATATTCATATATATATTCATATATACATATATATATTCATATATATATTCATATATATTCATATATACATATATATATTCATATATATATTCATATATACATATATATTCATATATATATTCATATATACATATATATTCATATATATATTCATATATACATATATACATATATATTCATATATACATTCATATATATATTCATATATATTCATATATATATGAATATATATGAATATATATGTATATGAATTTAGTATTTGTAGCAAGATTCCACAAATTGAAAATGTTTGGCTTTGTAAACCAATACTAAGGTATTCACTAAAATGTTCTTTTACATAGTTACTAATATTAGGATTAGGATTTTTAACTATTTGTTTATAGAACAATCACTACTCCGTGACTAAGAATGGGGAAATAGTAGTTGGAATCCTGTAAAGGTAAAAATTTTAAAAGCCACCACAGATTGCTCTTAAAGGATTCTGAGGCAATGCAATTCAATGCAAAACTATGCCTCAAATAAATGTCTAGTTTACACACACTTTAGGAACAGTGACTTAACAGGTTATTTCTCAAGCTAGTATAAATAAATGAAAATTAAATGTTATGCCAAATCAATCTTTGTGTCTCCTCAATAGCCTAGATCTATTTGTAGTTACCTCAAAAATATCCAAGATCAATTACAATTATTGTTGGATGAATGTAAAATATTTCAAAATCCTGGCCTAAGGTCAACAGAATAATCGGGGCCTTCCATCTCTGAGTTCCTGTCTAGAGTTGAATGACTAGATATTTTCTTTTACAGAAGGGTAAACATTTGGTAACAATTTGTTGACCCAATTTTAATACAAGAAAAATAGCACTCATAAATTTTACTAGCGTCATAATATCTTCATTTTATTGCTCATTTGCAAGCATTTATATAATATAAAAGGAAGGCTCTTTTTACGGTCATCATGCATATTTCTATCTTTAGATAATCCCAAAATGCACTGAAATCCATAATTTTAGTTTCCATCAGACTTCACTTTCACACAGAGTACAATTGAATAATCTCTCTTTCACAGTATTTGCTTGGTCATTTCCACACTCCTTGAGTAATGTTCCGTGGGGACTGAAGTGGCCAAAATGCAGGCTGCAGGAGACCCACATAACCTCCAGACTAGTTAATTAGTTTCTCAATAATTGAGAGTTAACTTTAAAAACAGATGCAAGCTGATAGTGGTGTTTAAGTACTAATCGTACTTGTTAATGAATAAGTCCCCATGGCTCTAGAGAGAGCTAAGAAAAAAAAAGTTCATGGGTCAAAAGTGAACCATTGTCCTCACCTAGACCTGGATTTTCTGATCTTATTAATCAGAGAATTCTCCAAGTAAGAGGAACCATTGAAGGCAGGCAGGTTAGTTGAAAGATCAATAGGTGATTGTGAGTATAAGAGGTATAAAGAATAACACAAATGAGAACACAAGTCATGGTTCAGAGCTACCCATATTTGCTGGGAGGAGAAATACAACAGCAGGCCAGGAATCATAAAGGAGTACCTAAACACAGATCAGCACATCACCTAGGAAGAGAGCAAATGATTGACACTTATAAGCAGGGTAACTTTGACATTGTTCCTGAGGAGGTGAACAGGAATTGACCTAAAAATTTGTTGGTGACCACCGTGTAATAATAATGGCAATTCAATTAACTTTAGTATTCTAGTAGGAAACAAAGATTATTTTTTAAAAAATCAAGTTTGTGGCATGGATTGTAGTAATAGTATCATGAGCATCTGTTTGTCTCCAAAGTCATCAATTTGTATACATTGAACATGTGCAGCTTTTGTGTGTCAATCATACCTCATTGAAGTAGTTCAAAGAATTAAGTGGTTATCTAGTTTTAACAAAGGGTATAAACAAAATGTGGGTTTTTGGGAGATAAATAGGAAGAACTGAGCAAAGCAAGGAACCCACAGGAAACCTGGAGACTATTTATGAACATGTCAGTGAAAGTTAGATAAATAGGTAGGCTAAGAGTTTAAAATTATCAAGGGTTTGACCAACCACAACCACCACCACCACCACCATCAAAACAACACAAACCAAAACAGAACCTTGCATGGCTAATAGAAAGATAATTCTATGTTGAAAAAAGAAAGGCCCAAAGCTACAAAAATATGAAGAATCAGGTACAAATCAGAAATTAAGGGGACCAGAAAATATTCATCCAACATCTTACTTTTGTTACATAACGAATTCCTAGAGGGTAGAGTTTGTTTCTTGATCATCTTTTTATCCACCCTTTACTCATTTAAATACCTGTCACAGAGTATATGCTCAATACTTACTGAATTCAATAAAAAGGGATTCCTAAACCATTAATTAATTTTTGATTTACTAAATAGATCAACCCAATTTAAAAATCAGAGTGCAAAAAGAAGTAAAAGTAGTTTCAAAAATGGTGGCAAAGAAATTGAATAAATCCTTCAGTCTTGTTCTCCACTGAGGAAGACTTTAGGCAGATGGCTAGTCCTAAGCTGTCTTTTGATAAAGATATGAATTGCTAGATCAAACAGTATGAAAAGCACAGGGTATTTTATACATACATATGTACATATGTACATACATGAATCCCATATGTGTATGTATTTTTAAAATTGGAGTGGCTAAATCCATACTAGAAGGTACCTAATTAAGAGTTCTAAAAAAAAGTGATTTAGTGATACTATAGATAAAAATATGTAACTTTATTACAAAGTGTATAAAAAGTAATTTTTTATACACTTTGTAATACACAAAGTAATTCACACCTTTTTATACACAAAGTAATTCACAATGTGTATAATCCAGGTGATTAATGAATTGCTAATGTGACTGGTATCCAGAGTGGTTCAAGAGAGAAGACCACGGAAAGAAGGGTGTAAATGAATATTTAACAGATGATTACAGGATATTAAGGCAAATTAGAAATGCTTGGGGGTACCACTTTAATTATCAGGTGGTAGGGCAGCCACAGGTTTTTATATAAGGTCTCCTCTCATTGACAAATTACTGAGCCATACCAACCTGCAGGTAAAAAAAAAAAAAAAAATTCACAGAGCCCACCAAACTCCCAGCCTTCACCTCATTTGTGATCAACAGCAAGCAATCTCAAGGTAGCTGGCTGTAGCTTACACTGTGACCACGAACAGTGAAGCTCACAGGCCACCATGGTCTCATTAGCACCAGGCTCCAACTAACTGAGCTAACCAGCCCCAGAGGAGAAGGACACAAAATAGAGGAGGTTACATGTAATTTATCTCACGGGAATATATAAAGGATGATAAAGGGAGAATGTTGAGATTTGTGACTATCAAAGAAACTGGACACTATAGAAGATATACCTAATGCTAAATGATGAGTTAATGGGTGCAGCACACCAGCATGGCACATGTATACATATGTAACTAACCTGCACATTGTGCACATGTACCCTAAAACTTAAAGTATAATAATAATAAAATAAAATAAAGAAGATATCATGTACAAGTGTCCTCTGTTTGGCTGCAAAAGTGTAGCATTTTCATTCAACTTTTGAAAAAAGCAGATTTCACAGTGTCTATTAACAGAGATGGGGCAAAGCAGCAAAGGGACTGCTAGGGGATTTATTTTGTTTTAACGTAAAAGAAGCTTTAAGCTATGTGACATACACAGTCTTATTAGCAAAAGGCCCGAATAACTACTCTACTTTGGACCAGTAATTGCAATGAGGAGCAAATCTAGGATATGTGGGGTCTGAAGCTTAGACCACTGGGTGGGGAAGTGGAGCCTTAAGAATGAAACACACGAATATATTTTGCAAATTTTACAAACACATTTTAAACACGTTGCTAGGACCCCTCTCAGGGTTTTGGAAGGAAACCATGCAAATGAGCATCCCTAAACCCCTCATGTTAGTCTCAGGGTAAGTACACCTTAAAAACAATGTTAGTTGAACAAACAGATTACAGTAGGCTTCAGTTGATATACCTAAAAGTAAAATTTTGTCTAATCTTTCAGAAAATGTAGTAAAATCCAGATGATCATGGCATGGTAGCACTCCAGGCACTTCTGTGATATGATTTGGTCAACCTCAATGCGGAAGTTCACATGATCATGACTGTTGTAATTATATTAAGAGCATATTAACCTTATAATTACATAATGCTTGTCTTTCCTAACTTGAAAATTTTGCAAAAATCATTTACAAAACATGTAATGTCACCACATCAAGATGAAAGAACTAAATGCCATCATTCATCATTACATGAGTAGGTGAACTGAAAAACCTGCTGCAGAACCTTCATTAAAATGTTATAATTTCTGTACTGACCATGAGACTGGTAATTTAGAATATGGACATAATTTTCTTTTCTATTAAACCTACATAATGTCTGGGTCACCTTTTAAAATAATAATTGTTAATAAAAGAGCCATGACAAAACTACTCTTTTTTATAGCATAAATATTTCAGTCAATAAACTAAATTTATGTGAACTAAAAAACTGTAAGTCTAATATGAATATTTGTCCTCTTGTTTTCAAGTACTATATCATTTAATGACTGACTTACAAAAATTAAAAAGTAGGCCAGGCATGCCAGCACTTTGGGAGGTCAAGGCAGGAGGATTGCTTGAGGCTGGGAAATCAGTACCAGACTGGGCAACATAGTGAGATCACATTTCTATTTCTATTCAAAAAATTTTTAAAAAACATTACTGTGCATGGTGATGTGCACCTGTAGTCCCAGCTACTCAGGAGGATGGGGCAGGATGATGACTTGACCCCACAAGTCTGCAGCTACATTGAGCTATGATCATGCCACTGCACTCCAGCCTGGTCCACAGAGTGATACCGTGTCTCAAAAAAAAAAAAAAATTAAAAAGTAAATAAATATTTTCCAATTTTATCTCCAGTCACTTAAAATTGTTCTAGTCCTAAGTTTATAAGTAATATAAACCCAAGTAATATAATACATTGTAGCCCTTTAGTAAAAGAGAAAAAAACAACATTAAAAACATGAGTCTAAAAATAATATTCATTAATTAGTATATCTCCCTTCCTCGTACCTATTTGAACTTTCTATTATTTTTTTTCTCTTGGTTCTGAAGCATTACATCACCTTCGTTCCTTACTATATTAATGTTAGATAAACATATAAGCCTGTTTATGAGAAATATATTTGGTAAACAGAATTATGAAAATGATGTAAAAAGGTGGAGAGGGATCCAGGCAGCTATCAGATGATTCAATTTGAGATAAAGGAAAACCTAGAGAGGAAGACTTGTTTATGGCCTTCATGGTTTGGAACTCGGTAACTTAGCCACAGGAATGCCAGCCATGAATAGCATACAACAGAACCTGAGGACTTGGCACATCCCAATGCAACCTCAAATGTGCTGAATCAACAATCTCTATATAAATAATCAAATGAATACACTCTACTGAGTCAAGTTCACCTGTGTGTCAGGATCTGTTTCCATGTGAATCACCACATTCAAAGAGAGAAACTAGGGGAATTTCCCAGGTTTTCCTTTAGTTTGGATATGGACAGGTGTAGATATGCAAAATGTCCAAATAAAACATTTTAACAGCCTGTAATATCATATTCACTTTATAAATACATACACCACATTCAGTAGGGAGAATCTTTCCTCATAACTAAAATTTCTAATTGTAAAACCAAAATTTTAAAACATTAGCTTTGCTTCAGGGTAATCCACTGTGCCTACTCTTTCTAATATTCTTCTACAGTGGTTGTATTTGCCTCATGATTATGGCAAGGGGATACTTCAACTTATACTTTTTTGCTGGGAACATCAGGAACAATCTCTCTTAAACTGCATTGAAAAATACTAGGGAGTCACACCTTTTGTTTCACCTGCTGAACTTCCTTAATAAAGCCAAAAAAAAGCTTTCAGAGATGGACTTTTATACTGGCAAATGTCAATTCAGACCTGTTTAATAGAGTGAACAAACTTGCCTGCTCCAGCAAGCATTCCACCCAAATTGACTAGGTGTGGCTTTTATTCATTGTTCAGTCACACTCAACAGAATCTGTTCTCTAGGTACCATCGCATTTAGGTTGACATTCCCTTTATCTAGGGGCTTATAATAAGCAAACCATATTCAATTCTGCAAAGGCAGATGTGCTCTTCTGGTATCCTAGAAACAGATCAAAGTATTCTTTGTGGAAAGACATGAAGTTCAAGCCAGTCATACAAATGGGTCTTAATATGCAACCTTACAAATATCAGGACTGGAAATTTCTTAAACAAAAGTATGACTATCTTAGAGACAAGAATCAGATTATTGGGTAGGGGTGATTAAAAGGGATAGAGAGTTGTTTGAGGGAGAGTAGGTACCAGAGAAATTAAGTAAAATCATATATTACTTCTGTAATAATATCAGGATCCACAATAAAGAAATTTTTTTTCCAAATCAGACTGGTAAATGTTACTTAAAATTGCTCACACTAGCTCAATTACACCATGTCTACAAAGTGGCTTCCTTAGACCATAGAAGAGGAACATATCAACCATCTCGGAGTTAGATTTTTGTACACATAATAACTGCAGGAATTAATCATTTATCGGCTCATCGCATCATAACAGCTATCATTAAATAATCTACAAGGTAGAGAAGCAATTTCCAATTGTTCCCTTGGGTCTTCTAAGTAATGCCTTGTATCTTGTAACATTCTATAAAATAAATTGTACTCCTGTGAATCATAGCAGTCATCTTCCGTCATCTGAAATCTGAAATTACCCTCATTGAAGAAAAGATAGGGAAACATATTCTAACATAGAAAGCATAGAGAATCAAATTAGAAAGCACAAGTGAAGAGGCTGGAAAGCACAATGGATTTCTTACTGGATTCTCAAAAAAGCTACTCCCTATTCTCCAGTGTGAGCCAGCACGATCAATAACACTTGAAGGGTTGAGACTTGGAATGGAGAGACTCTAGCAGAGGCTGAATAGAACGGCTTCCCTCTGTACCCCTACTTTACCCCACTTCTTGCTCTCTGATTCCCTGAAACAAGGCATTTCACTAGTACCCTGAAGCTATCCCTCGACCTTTGAAAAGATAAATGCTCCAGCTCTGTAGGAACCACTGGGCTCAGGTGTCTGATAATGAAATCTGCTTCCTATTCTTTGCTCAGTTTGAAATTGAGACATCCCATGAGAAGCTGAGAGTAATAATTGTGAGTTAAAATCTCCCTTGCTATACCTTTGACCAACATCTTCCCCCATCCCCTCCCACCCACATCCCCTGGCAACTACCCTTCTACTCTCTGTTTCTATGCATTCAGTTTTTTCAAGGTTCCACATATGAGTGAGATCATATAGTATTTGTTTTTTCTCTGTCTGGCTTATTTCACTTGACATAATGCCTGCCAGGTTCATCCATGTCATCTCATTTCACAATGTATACGTCTAACAAATCATCACACGCTGTACACTTTAAAATATACACAATTTTATTTATTAATTATACCTCAATAAAGCTGGGGGAAAAAATAGAAGCTGCCTTGCTTTATTCCCCACCCACTCACATTTTCTGGACTTACCAAGCACGATCACTTCTCTGTGGTTTTGTTCATAACAATTTTCAGTATCCAAAAGACTTTATCTTCCCTCTGCCCTTAGAAGTAGGGAGGGACTGAGATACGTCAGTATGTGAAAGCCCAGAAAAAGCGTTTGCGCAAGGAGTTCAACGATGTAAAGAATTACTGAGGGTCAAAGAGGAGCTTTGAGGAGTTCACCTTCTAGGAACTAATTTACCAACATAATTAATCTGAGTTCCAAGGCAAAACTTTTTGGTAAACTAATAGTACAGAACATGACATCTATTTATTTTACTTAAATCTGTCTAGACATTCTGGAAAAAGAGTATGGTGCAAACCTTTAGTGATTCATCATTGCCTCTCCCATCTGTTTTTGCATTTATCCATAAAGATGTACTCATTAAAGGGTTCCATATCAACACAGATATCCTTGAATTCTGAGAATTAACTTTATAATGAGATAGGCTTTACTGACAGCTGATTGTCCTCCCCCATTTTCATTGCATCTAAATACTATATACATATTTCAACTTTCAATATGTTCATTGTATCACTGATTAAATGGGTAACAAATAAAGGTAAAACAGGATTTTCAAATTTATCCTGTTAATAGTTTAAAGGAAGTAGGCCAGCTGGAATTAGAATGAGGCACCACTGAGCTAAATGTGAGGCCTGAAGAACTACAGCAGAAAAGGGACAGTTTTCAATTCTCCCTAAGAGGTGTAAAAGCAAAATGAAAGTTTATATTTTAAGGCATAGGGCAAGATGAATTTTCAATAGAACAATATGAACAGATATAGCTTAATTACTTTATAAAGGATCCATTTAAACTTGCAAGTCCAGAAAATAGTAGATATTAGTCTAGAATGACATAATCTTACTAATTTCTGCATAGGGAAACCCTGTAGCTAAGTTAAGGGAAAGCCACTATCAAGATCATGGGAAATTGGGAAAAACTGAGAAATGGTCACAGAGCAGAGAAGAGAGGGGAGGCAAAATTCAAATGAATGCACTGTGGTACCCTGAATCAGACACTGGAATAGAAAGATTACATTAATAGAAAACCTGGGGAAATCTGAATAAAGTCTGGAGTTTAGTTAATAATAATGATGTGTGATTCCAGTTTCTTGCTTTTGACAAATCTACCAGGGTAATATAAGATGTTAACAGTGGGGAGAACTGGGTGAAAGGTAATACAGGAACTCTTTGTACTATTAATACCTTTGTAACTTTTCTGTAAATCTAAAATTATTTCAAAATAAAACGTTTATTTAAAAGCAACAACAGGCCGGGCTCACGCCTGTAATTCCAGCACTTTGGGAGGCCGAGACAGGTGGATCACCTGAAGTCAGGCGTTTGAGACCAGCCTGGACATGGTGAAACTCCATGTCTACTAAAAATACACAAAAAAATTAGCTGGGCGTGATGGCGGGCACCTGTAATACCAGCTACTTGGGAGGCTGAGGCAGGAGAATTGCTTGAACTCGGGAGGCAGAAGTTGCAATGAGCCTAGATCGCACCATTGCACTCCAGCCTGGGCAACAAGAGTGAAACTCTGTCTCACCAAAAAAAAAAAAAAAAAAAAAAAGCAACAAAACCCCCATCAAAGAACAAGAAAATTTGTTTGAATTAATGTCCTAGAATTCAAAGGTTTCCATGTAATAATAATCAACTCTCCTTATCTTAAAATGCCCCTGCTCCTTTATCCATATTCTTTTATAAAGTGAACTCATGCAGCCAGGTTTTCAGTGCAACACACCTGACTGCTCTCTTCAAGTGCACAGCTCTGTAGTGTCAATGAACATATTAGTTTGTGTCCTAAATCCTGTTGCAACTAATTTCCCCAAGTCCCTGCCAGGTTATTCCACTGTTGATCTTTATCGGCAATTTTCAAAATATAGCTGCGACTTACAAGTGATGACATTTGAGCGTTTTGGAGCATAAGCTGCATCTGCTGGGCGAACATGGCTGCGGCAGTCTTCTGTTGAATCAGATTGTTCCGCCCATTAATCTCCAGCTGCGTTTTTAAGTGTGGAGGAGGGTGAAGGTACTTGCAGTTCTCTCGGGTACACCGACCCTGACAATGAAGAATAGGGAAAATATTAAATTAAAACTATACACAAATAGATAAATTTTGGACTCCATTATCTGGGGACAATCTAAGCTCCAAAACTCTTCATCTTGAATCCATATAAGGCGAGAAACACCCTGAAATTCACTGACAGTCTGTTAATGAAATAATAAATCCCTATGCCCGGCAGCCATTTTGTTCTTTAGGTTCCGGAGACAATGGCCCTAGATCACTTGCATGATGGAAACCAAAGTGTATTTTGGATCCTCAGCTAATTGAATGTTTTTTATTGATGTTAAGCACTTTCAAGACAGGACAGTATGTCAGTTCCGTGGAATCAAACATGCTTTTGGTGTCACCTAAATGTTGGCATGGCTGCTGATTATGGTTTACTATGTAGCAGCAAAGGATGTCACTGGACTAGTTGTTGGTCACATTGTCACAATGTGACCTATTACTGTGTTGAACTCATGAGCAGTATATAAAGAAGCTAACGATTCTCTCTTATTTGGATTACTAGGTCCACCATAAACCTTTTAAGAAAGCACAACTGCAAACAATTCTATTTTCCACAGATGCTAAGATTCTTTACAGTAGGTGAGGTTATTGGGGAAGGGGAAGGTGGGGAGCAAAAGGGCAACTTTGTTTTTGGACCAAAGAGTGCAAGCTGCTAGGCCACCTGAATTCCCGAGAGAAAAATGAGTTTGTTCACCAAGTGTTTTCATTCAACACATGCTATCTGCATTTTCCTTATTTATGATGCCTACACAGTTTATGCAATGGCTTCTCCATTGTTTAGTTATGTTGTTATTAAAATATTCCTATAATTTCACTGAGAATCAAGATGTGTCCTTCAAAACTTTTCTAGAGCTACATATAATGCAAACCCAGATGCATTGCAACGGCTCTTTTTAAATATTAGATCACTAGGGCAAGGTGGCTCTATTGTTTTACCTCCTCTGGCAAGAAGCTGAGTATAACTTTAAAGTCAGTGTGAGAAATTAAAAGACACATCATTGTTTTCTGTCGAGTTTGTCTTTTTGTTTTTCCCATTGCTCAATTTACATTTAATTAAATTAAAGTGATTTACAAAATCAAATACTATCTTAGTTTTATGTACTTTTATATTTCTATGCAAACCTTGGAGAAAGAATAATTTATTGGTAGTATGAGTTAAGAATCACGTTAACCTAATCCTCCTAAATTCTTAAAAGTAGCCTAGGAATAGCTACGCAATTTCAACATATATAATGAGTGTAAGCAGACCCCTGTGTGTGCTAAATCACAATAATTGGGGTCTTTTCCCCATAAATGTACCCCTAAGAGAGACCATAAGCTTCTTTTTACACCCACCAATGTGAAGCAAGGCAGAAAGTCACAAGGATCTTCAGTTCCTAGATTCTCCACTCTCCATCTACATAACTGAGGTGATCTGGCTCAGAATTAACAGCTGATGGAGGGAGTGGCACTTGGTGACTTCCACAGCCAAGCATGCTAGTTTATACTTCTACTTCAGGGTTTCTCTTCCTCCTCCCACACCCTAACATTAAAGATTTCCCCAAGGCCCTGTTCTAAATCCTCTTGCTCTCCTCTCTAATCTCTTTTCCCTGGAGAGACTAAGTTGTTTCAAAGTTCCATCTATTTGTACAATTGCTCGGATCTTAAATCTCTATCTCTACCCCTGACCTCTCTTCTGAATTTCAGTCTTTTTTTTTTTTTTTTTTTTTTTTTTTTTTTTTTTTTTTTTTTTTTTTTTTTTACCAATTGCAGCTGCATTTGGAGACCCTGCTGCCTAACCAGGTCTAAATAACTTATTACTGACCTTCCTTCTCATTTGACTATTTTTCATCTTACTGCATACTCCCAGTTAGGGCCACCACTCTAATTCCTATGCTTTGGGGTAGTTAGACAGCAGTAGTGGGGAAAATAAATTATGCAGCTCAGCAGCATTGCTTAAGGATTGCAGAGCCACCTAGATAGCTTGTTTAGACAATTAGCATACACAAGCGTGGAACACAATTTTTAACTCCAAAACAACTATATAATGAAGACTGTCTTTCATATTCAGGAATTCCAGACATTAGATAAGTTAAAAAAAGAAAAAAGAATAATTGGAATTTCACCATTTGTTACAATTGAGTTTTAATATCATCTACATTGAATGTAATCAGAGAGAGAAGAAGAAAGGGAGGGAGAGAACACACTGTATTTGGCACATTTCCTGCCAATATACAGATAAAGAAGTGAACATGCCTTTGTGCTTTTATATCACTATCCTTTACATAAAGTAACTTATCTTAAGCTTTTTCTTGGGAAATAATGACAGTTTAGCAGAGCAAAAACAGTACACAGAAATAGAAAAAAAGAGAATTACACTTTAAAAAATTATATCAAGTTGGGCTATAAAACTAAAGTATGGAATATGAGGCAGCATGAGACTTAAAGAAACTTATTCATCTTAGTTATGAGATTTTACTTGATTTATAAAGCTTCTATTTTGAATGACCGAATCCATAATTTAATTCTATAACAATGCAAATGCATAGCAACACCATCTTACCAGAGACTGCTGCTTATGTTCCAGAAAGCTTATAAAATAAAATAAAAATCTGTATTCTCTATCCAAACAATAGATGAGGAGACCAAGTAATTTAACATCTATATTATCCGTGCAATACAACATTTCAAAAGAAAACTATGCCCCTGTTTTTTCAAAACGACTTTAGAACTCAGGATAATATATTTGTACACACAACACTTGGTGATAATAAATCTCCTCTACATAGCGTTCATTCTTCAAGAGGCCCAAACGTAATTATAGGCCAAAATACTTTAATTGGTGTTTGGGAGAGAACAAACTTGTTTTTTTTACATCTGTTAACACTTGTTTTTTAATCCTTGTATAGAATTAAGGCTTTGGTAAAGCATGTAAGGTTGGGATAGAGTGGGGATTAGGGAGGGACTGTCCCAGTGGAGTAGGTAATCATCTATTGTTTTTGTCCTTTGGAAAATCAATGACTCTGTACTAGGAAGGTTCCAATGATTTCTGTAGGCCACCTAAGCACTCTGAGTGGGCCACAAGGTACCCTATCACATTGGGTCTATAACAGTTTGGTGTGATAGCCCAGCAGCCATCTTGGCTCTGAAAAATCACCCTTCATGTTTCCCTAGCCAAGTCAATGGTGTCCCAAGCCCTCCTTCTTCCAATCTAGACCCACAGGTTCAGAGTTGGCTCACACTAGTGCAAAGTATCAGAGCATGCCTTAAACGACTCTGTAAACGTACCTACAACAGTCGCCATCCTCTGGCAGAGCAGGCTACGTACTAAAATCAGCAGCTAAGGGGAGTCAAGACATGAAAATCAACTCTCTCTCTCTCCCCCTCCCATATACACTCAAAATTAAAGAAACGTTGAAGCGATTAGAGTGCAAGCTCATTTATGCTTGCCTCAATTTCCCTCCTTTTCCATTTCCTTTTGGACTTAAAAAACATGTCATTCTCATCTGGTCTTTCACTGTGTTACTGAGTTAAGAAAATAGCAAAGTGATTCAATAGGAAAGCGATTCTCTGCTGAAATAAGTGCTACTACACCTATGAATCATATGAATCTTCCAGCTCCCCTTTCCCATCGACTGTCTTTGAAAAATGCACTCAAAAAGCAGCAAGCAGGGGGAGAAAATAGCCGATGACATTTCTGAAGTACATCTGCATCAAGAAGTTGATGACAGACAAAGGGATACATTGCAGAACATTTATAAAGCCTCCCAAATTCAATCTATTGCCTTCTTCCTACCTTCAGGCTTCTCCCAAATGAATACAAAGCCTTTAACTAAGAGAGAAAAGTCTCATTGTAGAGATTCAAATCCCACCTATGTCTAGAGAGTTATGAGAGTCAGAGTCTGTCACAAGACTTCCCATGCACTGGGTGGTAGAAAAACCCTGTGAAATGTACTTCATGTTCATGAGAAAAAGCCCTACCATACATCAGAATAAGAAAAGGAACCTGGGAGGCTGCAAATTACCCTTTGTCAGCCACAGTATCTTAAGAGAAACAGCTGTTTGCAGAATGACTTGCTTCTTCAAATACATACAGAGTTAGAGAGAAAAAAAAAATCCTAAATATGTTCTCTCAAATACAATTATAACTGGATTACTTTTCAAATACATAATCTCACTGATCTGCTAGACTGCCAACAGTTAAAAGTTAAATGTTAAATCAAGGCACCCAAGAGATGATTTGTTCTATGAAGAAAAATGTTGTTATTCCATTTTAATCATAATGGATTAAATGAAATAATTCTGATGATAGTGCCCCACTGTAACATACTTACATGCACAGACATGGCTTCTCAGAGGAAGTAACAGTGATTTCAGAATTACAAATCATATGTACCAGTTTGGCTAGTTCCTGCAAGCATCACAGATTTATTAAAGCTAGGAAAAACCTGAGTCAAGATCAACATACAACGAGTTATTAGCCAGATATCGGCATTCTACTGGCAAATTTCCCACTTTCTTCCTCTTAGAATTCTGTCTTTACAAAAATGGATAATCTGCATCATTTTCTCCTCCAAATATTGTATCATCTATAAATATTGATATAGATGCACAAAGAGCAGCCTTAAAATTCTGCATACAACTTTTAAGTTAAATGTGAGATGCAGGCAAGAAATTTAGAGGGAAAAGTCTTTAATAAACCATTTCTTAAATATAATGAAGGCAAAATTAATGAGGCTGAACGTTGACCCCCATGGAGAGGGCCAGCCAAGTACCCCCCACCATTGCAGCCAGCACTGTACCCACCTTCTTCATGCTGTCCCAACTCTGTTTTCTTGACACATCCCATACACACATACACAGGGCAATGACTTTGGCGCAAACCAGATAACAAGTTTGAATAGGCGAGAAGCTGGGGTGAGAGCAGAAGAATTTTCTTGCCTATCTGTCTCCAGAGAACTTTTACATTTTGATCTCCCAATGACAAAGGGAGTACTGGGCTCAACAATCACACTTTTGTTCTGAAATAGCCCACTAAGATAACTTGATTCCCAGGATGGAAACAGTTTAGGGCTGAATCGGATTGTAGGGAACATCTTGTGCACCTTTATCTTACAGAGAATGTGAAGGCCAAAGGGGTGGGGTGACTTGTCCTAATTCATAAGCAGCTCAGTAAGCACACAAGCCAAGTTTCCAGACTTTCACTACCCAATATGGATTCTCAGTTCAAATCACTTTTCCTCTGTAAAGATTTTCCTGGAACCGTCTCCCCATTCCTGTCCCCATTTATCTCTCCCTCCTTTGTGCTTCCAACTGCACCTTGTACTCAGTTTTATCGTAGCTCTTATCGCTGTGTACATCGATAAATTGTTTGCATGCTTGTCTCCTCTATTAGACTTTGAGCCTGTATAACGGCAGAACTACATCTTCCTCCACTTTCAATCTCCAGGGATGTGTGTGTGCCTGATGAATAGCCGCCCTGCCATACACGTTTGTTGAAGTTTGTGAGAATAATTTTATAGGGCATAACACTAAGTCTACCTTAGAAACCTAAGTGCTTCTCTTGCTATTTTCTTTCATAAGTTCTTTCTTCTCCCTCCAAGAAGAGAACAATAGTCAACACATGACTGAGGCTGCCCCTGGTTGTCTGTTCCAAATGAACCGTTATTCTATTCAGGTCCAGAAAATAGCTAGTTCCTAACTTTTTTTTTTCCTATGAATATAGACCCTGAGGAATATGTGACCATTACGGCTGAAACATCCTGGTAATTTAGTATAACTTAACCAGAAGTGACATGAATCCATGAGACCCAGAGACAGAAACTCTGGTCTGATTCCAAGGGGTCTCTGGCCACAAAGGCCCTCAGGATATAGGGCCCCACCGGACGAATAAAGGAGCCAGCAGCAGATCCATATCTAATCAGCACCTGGGCCTGCCCAGGAGGGCCCTGCATTTCCAGGGTCAGTTTAGAAAAAAACTGCGTTCTCCAACTGCCCCACCCCCCATCCTGAATTTCTCTGAACAAGCCGCAAGTCAAATTCCCTGAAGCTACTAAGACAAAGGTGGCTTTAGGAAAATCACAGCAGGTGGGGCCTTCTTGTGGCTCTCTAATGCATATGCCTTCTTACAAGAAAAATGTTTGCGGCTTTCCTTCATGACCCACGCTTAGCTTTGTTTACGTTAAACATTTATTTTCAAATGATCATGAGCTTGATCTTTTTCTTAGAAATTTTTTGAACAGCAAATAACACTAAAAATCCCAGAAGTTGTTCACAGTGAAAGCAAGCCTGCCTCACTAATAACCCAAATCTACTTCCTGCCCTATTCCACCCCACTTACACACTTTTTACCTCGGTTCTCATCGAATACCGTACATCACTGTAGAAAAATATTAACTGAATGACTGGTCAATTATAAGCTCTTCAAAAATGCATCATCTATTTACAAACCAGCCAACCAGAATAAAATTAAAACCCAAACACAACGAAGCACATTGGTACCAAGTTATCAAAAGTCAGAAGGCATTCCTCATGCAAAGTATTACTAGACGCTGTCTTTAGAGCAGCTGATAGCTGCCAACATAAAATGTCATCAAGAATGGAAAAAAAGGGAGAGAAAAAGTAATGGTACTGAATTTGTTACTCTAAGAAATAAAACACACAGAAAATCATATAACTTCAAAAAGCTCCTTCTACATGGACTTCATTAAGAAAGAACATAAGGAGGTGTTTCTCTCTGACCCATTAGTCAAATCTCCTGCTCCTAGGCTTCTTTACCTCCTTTTTCTGGACACCCCATCCACTCACTTGCCACAACGATTTAGAAGCCAGGACAAAGAGGGTACCAGCTGCTTGCCCCCTTTATTCCCCAGCTAGGGCTTCTGCTTAGGATCCTCTCTAGAGATGCCAGGTTTATCAAATAAATATGCAGGACTCCCAGGTAAATTTGAATTTCAGATAAACAGTGAAAAAAAATTTTTTAGTATAAGTATGCCCCATACAATATGTTATCTGGCAGCCCTCTCCCGCTCTGTTCTTCTGCCTTGATAAGTTGAGCTCAATAAAGGCAAATCCTTGAAAACCCATTTTACCTCTTTACCTTAAGATTCTTAGAAGCCCTCTCCATGGAATCAGCCCAGGCTCTCCCAGGCCTTCATTTGCCCAGAGTAAAGTAGAAGACACTCTCAGCCCCAGCTTACCTGATCAGCTGCAAGGAAATTTAAGGAAGTTGACTGTTGGAGACAGCAATTTTTGATCCATAGCTCCTCCCACCAAAAGCTTCACACGGCTCGCTACCCTGGCAGCCACTCCACCTTCCCACCCACCGGTGGCGCAACAGTATATTTAAATACCCTCGATGTCTGCTGGAGCTCCCCCTTTAGGCTAGGATGAAGAGGGGGATGGTGTGTGACCAATACCTGCCTAAACCCGTAACTCCGAATTTACAGAACAGATTTTTGAGTATATGAGGTGTTACATAAAGATGAGGCTTTTAAGTTTTTTAAGGTTTTTATTTATGTGTGCAGAGGTGAGGGGTGGTTAATCTTTTCTTTTTTTCCTTCAGCCCTGTCTTTGGAATACTCAAATTCGAGTAAAAGTCAATCATTAAAGTGCAGGGAAATAACTACTTAGCACATGTTTCTATATGCACACATAAGCGCTATAAAGGTACAGATTCACAGCATGCAGATGAATAGCCATTATTTGCATAGATATCTTTTTCAGTCAATCCCTGATTACTCACATTAAAAGAGAGCACAAAGTAGAGAGGTATGGCTAATTCTAATGAACCAAATAATATATTCGAGAAAAATGGCAATCCACAATAGCCTCACATTACAATTGTGAACATTTAAGCAATTGCTAGACACAGTCCTAAATTTATTTTTTCATTAAGAATGCAGACTCTTTCATTGGAATGATCAAAGATTAAGAATTAGTAAGGTCAGAAATAGTAAAATTGTACTGCTCTGGGGAAGTTTATATGTTTATGGGCATATCATAGAAAGATCAAATAGTAAAGCTGGAAAGGCTCTTAGAGATCATTTAGTCCAGCATTTGCCAGAGTGTGTACCACAGACAACTAATCCCAAGAGAGGAACCTCAAAAGCTGGGTTCACTGGTCAATCGGGTATAAGAAATGTCACTTTATATTCCTCTCTTGTAGGCTGACAATACACAAGAGTATGATAAAGGCTCTCACATGTCCTAAAGTAAAGAAACCTGGTTACCTTTGTTAACCCAGCATTTCCCAACATTGTTTAACTCACAAACCATCCCCCCTTTTTTCATCATATTCCCGTTAACATCTCTCTTTAGTACACCCTTAGGAAAATACTGATCTAATCCAACTTCCTCATTCTATAGGTAAAGAAACTAAAGCTTCAACCAAGTTGTATGGTGTTTTACAGGTCAAGTTTTCCTTAGTATTTTCATTTTGATTTCTCTTAAATAGAAAAATAGAGTGAACTCCCCAAAAATGGCTCTTCTGTTGAAATGCCATTTTTGCCCATCCCTGATCTCCCAAAAGCTAACAAGATGGATATTTTCCTATGATTGCAAAGTAACATCCCACAATCACCTTCCCAACACCCCTTTTCAAAGCTGTAAGTTTCGTCAGATCTTTCCAAATGGTTGCCGTGGCTTTCTTCTTTCATTTGAAGGCTTTAGTCAAGGAACTTCTGAAATAAGAACGTCAAGCCTTCTCTGCCTAACTGGCTTTCCTACATTGTGACTTCTGCCCCTTGAAACCATGCTAATTATTTTAGGCTTTCCATGACTTAAGGGTCTCAAGTGAGTTTTCGCTGTACTGAAACCTGGGAAGTCAGAAGGTATTGGGCAATCTCCTCAATTCCAAATGGTTTTAGTTTTGCACTAACCTTAAACCTTGGGGTTTCCACTTGGTAAAATTAAATTTCCTGTCTCTAAGTAAAATGAAAAGTTTCAAAGAAGAATTTAATTTGCAAAAATATCTTACAAATGTATATGAAGAGTATAAGGTGAGAAAGGCACTGATTATTGTTCAGATTTAAACAATTTATCTTTGCAGGGCTCAGTGTGCTGCTCAGAATAAATTAAATAATTATGTCTTTATAACCAGCCACATATCTCTCCACTCAAACTTTATATAAAGGGTAGATATGGCTATTGATTTACCTCTGCATTTTGAAATTAGCGGTACAAAGATGAAAATCAGTTCCTCTTTTGTTAAACATGAATCTTCTTTCAGATAAAGAAATGTAAAACATTGTACCAAAATGATTGTTTACAGGGTGAATTAATCAGTGTGAAATTATGTTTCAATCCCCCAATGAGGTCAAATGTCTCCACTTCAGAATAAGCATTTTCCTCACACTCCTACCCTACTACCAACCTAACACCAAAAATGGAATTTCCATGCAGAAAGTTTTTACTTGGTGACATGGACTGCCATTAAAATACTTTTGAGGCATGGACTAAGTTTATATTTTGTTAGGGAAAATATACATTTCATCACCAAAAGTTCTATTGAAACCTTTGTGCTAACTTGTTATTAAAATTGTAGGAAAGTAGGCAACTGTTGGTAAGAATGTAAATTAGCACAGCCACTATATATATAAAAAAAAAACAGTATGGAGGTTCTCCAAAAAACTAAAAATAGAACTATGATATGATCCAGCAATCCCACTGCTGGGTATCTATCCTAAAGGAAAACAGTATTTCAAAGAGATGCACCCCTGTGTTTATTACAGCATTATTCACAATGGCCGAGATATGGAATCAATTTAAGTTTCCATCAATGGAAGAATGGATAAAGAACATGTGGTACATATACACAATTGAATATTATTCAACCATAAAGAAGAACAAAATTCTGTCATTTGCAACAGCATGATTGGAAGTGGAGAACATTATGTTAAGTGAAATACGCCAGGCACAGAAAGATCAATACTGCACGTTTCTCACTAATATGCGAGAGCTAAAACAAAACAAAACAAAACAAAACAAAACAAAAAACCCACTCAACTCATGGAGATAGAGAGTGGAATGATCATTGCCAGAGGCTAGAAAGGGTAGTGAGAAGGGGTTTATAAAGAGGGGATGGTTAATGGGTACAAAATACAATTACGTAGAAGGAATAAGGTCTAGTATTCAGTAGCACAATAGGGTGACTATAGTTAATAACAATTTATTGTATATTTTAAAATAACTAAAAGAGTAGGATTGGAATGTTCCTAACACGAAGAAATGATAAAGGTTTGAGGTGATAGATATCCCAATTACCCTGATTTGATCATTACACATTGTATGCCTGTATCAAAATATCACATGTATCCCACAAATATGCACAACTGTTATGTTCCCATAATAATTATCAATTACAAATAAAATATAATTGTATGTAATTTAGAGTATCAGGCATATGCCCAGGGAAAATTCCAAACTCTAAATGTATCGTGTATTTAAGTGGCATTTTTAGCCAAGTGATTCTTTTAAAAAGCATCTGAAAATTAGGCCAACTTACTGTTTGTTTTTGTTCTACAGACATGAAAACAAGGTATTGATACAAATGCTTTCTCTTCTAAAAATAAAGATCTATTCTGCCTGGCCTGAATATCTACCAAGTATGTTAAGTTTCATCCAAAATGTAACTTTCATTTTGGGATGAAATGTTTCAGATATGCGAACACAATTGACAAAGCTCTAATGAAACTGCTGAGATTACTGTAAAATATTTATTTTTCTTTCTCTCTCTCTCTCTTTCATATATGTGTGTGTCTTAAAATGTTCCTCTCCCAGTCTAATTTAGTAAATACTGCAACCTTAATTAAGCTCAGCTTCTGCTTCCAGTGAGCAGTTAATATTTAATGATGATGAAACTGTTCCCAATATTTAAAGAACTAAACAAGGCCCTCCACAAACAATGTAACTAGAAATGGGGTTAAAGAAAATAGTGATAAAGGGAGGCTTTTTGCTTTAAAATAAATCAATGCCTCAACCATAAATGTCTCATGGCCTTACAGAGAAGAAGTTGAAATATGACCACTGCCAAAGGATGCATATCTCCACACCCAAAACAAGAAAAAAATAAAGCAAAGAACAGAGAGTTAATTAGTTAGCTTCAAAATCTATGAACTGTACTCCCTTAGTCAATTTAAACAGCTGGAACAAGACTTATTAGAAGAGCAGTACATGTCTAAGGATGTAGTGTTCATTAAAAATGTGCATCCTTTCTATTAAGCACGAAAAGATTTCTGGGGTCATTCAGGCCATGGTGATATTCTAGTCAGTGCCTTTTAATTAGCGGAATCCTTATTTTGGTGAAGAAAAATAAATAAAATAAATCTACTCTAGCTCCATTGTGCTTTCCCTCAAAATCAAGATAAAATTAGAAAACTTCAGAAAACATCTTTCTGAAAAAAAAATAAGTCAGTTTATGTCTGTTATATAAGGTAAATCAAATTCCATTCTCAAAGATTTTGACAAAGTGGATAGAGCGAAAGAAACTAGGTAGTGTAAAACATCAGTGTGCTAATCTTTTACACTCATTTTTCTACTAAAGATAACTAGACTATTAATTTGGTTTTACATTGTTTCATGTATTGCATTGACTTGGTATACTAGACTCTTGCATATAAGGTCAAATGATCCTTTTCATGTTAACTAATTCAGATCACTTATGAATAAGCTGCAGATATTGTATATACAGCTTTAGCTCATGTTACTTGGCATGAGACAATTGTTGATACACATTTAGACACCAGGTTGAGGCCCCTGTAAAATTATATTTTCTATTAATATCATGAAAGTAGTCATAAAACATAAACTAATTTTAAAAACAAAACTAGTCATAGAAACAAAACTAATTTGAGAGATTTTTTAGAATACTGTAAACTGGTTTCCATTTTTTCACACCATGTCCACCTTAATATTAATGGCTAACTTTGTTGTGGATTTACCACGTGCCAGGCATTGTTCAAAGTGCTTTATATGCATTAACTCATTTAATCTTCACAATTGAGGAAACGGGGGCACTGAGAAGTGAAGACGCATGCCCAAGCTGACATAACTAATAAGTAGCAGAGCTGGGATTTGAACCTACGTGCTCTGTGTCCAGAGCTCATACTCAATCAAGATACTGTGCTTCATAATACTGTGATAGTTCTAAATAGAGGAATGAGCTGGTTCAAATATTTATACTGTCTGGGCCACACTTTCCCTCTAAGATTATAACAAAGACTGCATATCAACTGGCTGTTAGGTATGTCCAGACACTAGTTACTAGCACAATTTTATGGCAAATTTATTTTGTTCAAAACCCAGGGATTTTGGATGGCTTGAGAATGAATAAGACAAGGCAATTGAATGTGTCAAGGCAATTGAATGTGTTTGTTTTTGTTTGTTTGTTTGGTTTTGTTTTGTTTTTTAAGATAGAGTCTCACTCTGTTGCCCAGGCTGGAGTGCAGTGGCACCATCACAGCTCATTGTAACCTCAACTTCCCCAGGCTGAGGTAATCCTCCCACCTCAGCGTCCCGAGTAGCTGGGACTACAGGTGCACACCACCATGCCCAGCTAATTTTTGTATTTTTTGTAACGATGGGGTTTCCCCGTGTTGCACAGGATGGTCTAGAACTCCTGGGCTCAAGCGATCCACCTGCCTCAGCCTCCCAAAGTGCTAGGGATTATAGGTGAGGGCCACTGTACCTGGCCCTAGGTAACCAAATGTTAGAAATAGCCTTCCATAATTCCTGAAGCAGAACAATTAGCATAAACATGTTATCTGTTAACACAGCTTTTTAGTAAATGTTTGCACAGTAGCATTTCGCTAGTTGGTTTGGGAGAAGCAATGTCCAATTATCAGGAGTTGGGTCATGAGGGCTTAAGCATAAACGGCCATGACTTGACAAAAGTAACAGTCCAGCAGTATCCCATGGAGATTGAGAACCGATAGAAGTAGGACTCAACAAAAGAGGTGGTCTGTGAACTTCATGACTATCATCACCTCCCTAAGAGAAGAATCTTTTAAAAACACCATAGTGCCATTCAGAAGCAAGTTTACTCAGATGACAAGTTGAGTGCTGTAGGTTCGACACTATCACAAAGCAGAGAAAGTCTCCAAATGATGAGAAAAGATCAACCTTAACACAAAATGGTACAAAGTGTTCTTCTGAAGCATTTCATTCCCCTAAGGACAAAGGCAAATGAGAACGCACATGAACTGCACACACCATTTCACAAAAGACTACCCCACCGAAAGCTCAGTTTCAGAGGAGGTTTTAGTTAAATGACCGTAAAGTAGATATATTTTGAGATACTGCAAAGTGGAGGTGAAGATCTGCGGCCCTAGGCACTAGGGTTTGACTTTTTCAGTGCTTCAAATGTACAAGTCATGTTTCTTTCTTTTCTTTTCTTTATTGGCAATTTATTTTTGGTTAAGCAAACATTATTCACAAAATAAAACTAAAGGGTTTCAAATACAAATTAATATGTGGCTGCATCATGTAAACATGCCAATAAAATAAACACAACAATTCTATTCTGTGATTTATCATTAGGTTTCTCCCCAGCTTTTTAAAATGAGAAGATCACCTGAGCCCGGGAGGCTGAGGCTGCAGTGAGCCATTGTTACTGGGGGTCCTTGTTCTTAGAGCTCCTAAGATGGTGGCCGGCCACTTCCAAGATGGTGGCAAGCCTCTTGTTCTCTGACCTGGGGTTCTTGGCCTCATGGATTCCAAGGAATGGAATCTTGGGCCATGCAGTGAGTCTTACAGTTCTAACAGAAGCCATGGGTCACAGAAGAGAACCGTGGAACCCAGCAACTAGTGTTCAGCTCGATTAGGACGAATCCGGGCACTAGCCATGCAGGAACAATGGCAAGCCTTTAGCCCGATCGGGAGCGGCAATGGGTGCCTCGCTGGATCAGGAGCGCAGCAGACACCCTGCCGGATCTGGAGGGGTGGAAGTCAGCGGCGGGTCTGCGACGGCGGCAAACAGCAGTGGTGGATGGCGAGTGAAAGCTCAGCTCAGGCCGTAACAAACATGGACCAGAAGAGTGTGCAGTAGCAAGATTTAATAGAGTGAAAACAGAGCTCCCATAAAATGGGAGGGGACCCAAAGGGGGTTGCCATTGCCAGCTGGAATGCCTGGGTTTATATCCCCATCATTGTCCCTCCCTCTGTGCTCTCAGGCGATAGATGATTGGCTATTTTTTTTAACCTCCTGTTTTTGCCTAATTAGCATTTTAGTGAGCTCTCTTTACTACCTGATTGATCGGGTGTGAGCTAAGTTGCAAGCCCCGTGTTTAAAGGTGGATGCGGTCACTTTCCCAGCTAGGCTTAGGGATTACTCGTCGGCCTAGGAAATCCAGCTAGTCCTGTCTCTCACCATGATCTTGCCAGTGCACTCCAGCCTGGACAACAGAGTGAGACCCTGTCTCAGAAAAAATAAAAAGTGACTAGACAACTGAAGATGCAGAATCCAAAAGTATACTAATAGTTCTAAAGACAATATAATAGGGAAAATAATAACAACAACACTGTTATATGAATCAACTGTTTCGGAAGCAGGTCACAGGCTGTTCATACTCTGTCCTCTAATGTATTTGTTCCCAAGAAGAAATGAATTTAAGTTTCAATAGGAACACAGTATTTTATTAGAAAGAGTGCTAAGCTGAGATTCAAGTGCCCTTAATTCTATTTAGTTTTAGATCATCGGTAAATTATTCTCCAATCGTGTTAACTTCTCTAGAAATAATTCCTGCCCCTACATACTTTCTAGGTGCTTTGAAAGAAAAAAGGAACAAAGTAAAATTTAGTCTGTTTTGCAAGTAAAATCAGTACAAAATGTAAAAAATATATTTTTCTTTATTAGTTCTTTACAACAGAACTAAAATATTTCCCGAGAATTAAGTATAATAACTTTGACAGATTATAACTACTTTAAATCATTCTACTTCCCTAAAAGAGGTAATATATTATCATAGAGTAATTACCAATTATATGAGTAATATAAATTACTATGTGCCTAGGGAGAGAATTTATATACGTATAATGTTAGGAAACTGAGGACACTTCTCTTATTAGAACTGGATATTATTGTCAAACAGTCGCTGTTCCCACAACTTAGTAGTATTCTAGGCGAAAAGGCAGAGGATAAAGGAAGCATATCCAAGCTTTAATCTCATCCTCGTAAATAACTAAAAGGAGAAAATAATTATTGCTTCTTTTCAAGTGGTAATAAGCCAGTGCCCACTTAGGAGACTAGTTTACCTAGTCAAGAGACACTCTTTTACCATCACAAGCTTCTTTAAGATTTAGCATAACGAACATCCACTTTAAAATCATAATGAATGAAACATTCAAAGTCATTTGTATTATATAAAAAAGCATGGAGCATCACACTCTAGTTGGTACTATTTTTATTCTAATTTTGCCATGGGTACTGTTATATTTTACTTATAACATATATTAAAATGATAACAAGAAAGCAGGCAAGTCATTTTTTCCTGGTAAGTTAGAAAGACAAAGCCAAATAAGAGACTATAAAAGATGTTAATGGTGCTTAAAATATTAAAAAAAAATTGTAGCGAAGTGATTTTAAATATCATTTAAATAAATTGGTAAAATAATAAAATTGAATCTCATTAGAAAACTGTTTATAAATGTTTGAGCTAATTTTTCATTTTTCTTATTTTTCATTTTAATAGGCTAACCTTATGGAAGTGAAGATTGACTCATATAAATGTGAAATGTCTGAATATACTATGTGTGTGTGTGTGTGTGTGTGTGTGTGTACATATACACACCCTTTTGTTCTCACAGTTGCTACATATGAAAATTTGAAGGTCCATGTGTGGCAGCTAGCAACACCTACAATACGCCTTTCAGGGTACAAAAAAGTCACTAATCCTTTCAAAGGGTTATAATAGTCAAATAATTAAAATAACTTCATTTCTTTTGGGTTCCACACATTTAGACACCAGCATGATTCTTGCCCAGTCACCTGTTATGTAGCATTCCATAAGTTTCTCTATGCTCCACAAAGATAGGGTTCTGTGATCAAAGGATTTACAGAAATTCTTGGGTTCAACAGAACTAAACTACACTAACACGCAGTTAACAGAACTAAACTGTCTTTCATGCAATACCTCTCAGAGCCTTTTCTCAGCTAAAAAGCATTGTGATGCTCCTTGGAGGGAAAATATAATAGGTCTCCCAAAGAAACATTAAGTCTTCCAGAATAGACATCATTTCCCTTCCAACAGATCTGAATATATATCAAGAAAGGGCCGTTTGAACAAGTGGTGAGGAAGGAGGAGGCATTAGAGGAACAACACAGAATCCTGAGAATTATGAAGCTTTGAAACATCATCCTTAATTGACACCCTGCTAAACCAATTATGGTTTTCTCTAAACTAATGGTTCCCAAACTTCAGTGTTTGCCAGAATTACCGGGAGAGTTTCTTGAAACACAAAGTGCCAGGCCTCCCCACAGAGTTTCTGATTCAGTAGGTGTGGGTGAGGTGATAATTTACATTTCTAAATGTGTCCAGGTGAAGTTGATGTTGCTAGTCTGCCACATTTTTGAGAACCCCTGCTCTAAGGGAATATTGTCCTATCCGACAATGGATTTAGTTATTTGCTATGCATTTTATTATGGTACTGATAATTCAGTTTCCAAAAGGTCATACTAAAGAAATTTGGACACCTTAATTCTACATCTCTGACATCAGTAATGATGTTAGCAGCCACGTAAAAGAAGGCCGGTCTAGGTCATGAAGAAGGATTGGCCTTCTCAAAATCTATTCTACTACTCCTAGGAAACACATTCATTTTCTGTTTACAAAGTAGGGCTATTAGTTATGATGGTAAGTATGTATATGAGAGCTCTGTATTGTATGTTGCTTACATTTGCTGTATAAACATTTCCAGAGTGTTTTCTAAATGTTTTCTGTGTACCCAAATTTGAACGAATAAAGGATTCTTTAAAAACTGCCCCTCAGCTCTCCAATAAACTCACACCTTTACTCACTACAGAAATCCCAATCATTTGAGAACATTACCCCTTCTCCTCACCCCTAAAAAAAACATACCTAGAAAAAGACAAGCTAAAAGGAGGAAAATACTTTCCAGATCGATTAGGCAAACAATTTAATGCTGACCACAGCATTTCAGCACAGATGATCAAAAGCCGAAGTATCAATAGATTACTAAACCTCAAAATAAGCACTGAATACAAGTTCATCAGTTGCACCCTGCAGCGAGGAAGTAAGGAAAAAACACATCTCATACAACCCTTTCTCCTTTTTTCCTAATGAAAAAAAGTAAACGTCTAAGGAGTTTCAAGTATTTGTTATTTATTCCTTTCTGTTTTACGAGTAGCCCCAGCTGCATCTGGTTTACTTCTGAGTATCACTGGAAGCCCATTTTAAACTGAGGCCCCCAGTTAACCATACTGGAATGCCTGGAATACATTAACATGTCCAAATGAAAATCACTCAGATAGCCTTATAAGCTGCAAATAATAAATGCAGAAATGGAATTAGCCCCTTCTCTTGTTGACTTGCTCTCTTACTACTTAGACAATTACATTCTTCCCAAAAGGCTTCAAAATGACCTTCAAGAAAGATATTTTTGAAGTAAGATTATTACAGTAACTGTAAAGACTGATATAATGGGAAAGGTGGAACAATGGAGATAATTGTATCAAAAACTTCAAAATTCTAGACTAAGGTTAATTGCTGCAGCTGGGCCCAAAAGGTAGCTGTGAGTTTTCTGGCAACACTAAATAGGAAAATGTACTGAATTGCATTTGCTCCTGTAGCCTGATAAAAGAAGGCATACTGTTTAATACCTCTCCTGCATAAAAGTAAAAACTGTGCTAGATACTATGGAAGAAATGAAGATTATGCCATGGAAACTGCCCACAAGGAGTTTACAAATCTTCTCTCTCCCATAACTAGAGGCATGAGTAGTTGTGCTGGTGGGGGACCTAGGACTTGACGCCTGCTTGGAGGTTGTGAACAGTGGGGAGATCAAAGGTAACTAGTGGTGCATGTTTAGTGGTGCTGTTGAAAATGAGGAAGAGCAAGTTCCATGGGGAGAATGAGACTTCTCTGGGCCATAATTAATCACAGCTATTCATTTTTGCTTCAACGAAAGCAGAGGAGTTTATAATGAAAAATATGCGATAAAAATGGCACAAACAATTCTCTCTTGGGGGTGGAGGAATCCCACTCTTCTATATTACCCTCTTTTCATGAGTATGTTACTCTATTCATTACACTTTCCTTATGTTTTTGTTACAAATACATTATTATTGGAGCTGAAGTATTTCAGAATGAAAAGCCTTTCTCAATGGGTGTCTCTTAACTTCTTTCTTTCTTCACCCACTCCCTCTCTCCCTCCTTTCCTCCTTCCTTCTTTCCTTCTGTTTTTTTTTTTTTAAATCTCTGACTTGGAAGCAATGTCACTTTTTAAAGGTATTTCTTTAGTGGGACAATAGGAAAATTTGGGGAGAAATAAGTGAAACATATTTAAATGTTTTATCATTTCAAAGATGAAGTAAATGTCACATGCCACTAAAGTGAGGCCTCAAGAATTGGGAAAAAGGGGGAGACAGTCTTGGTTCTGTTTTATCTGTCAGTTGCCTATTAAAATATGCTAGTCACAATTATGGAAATCATTGCCAAATGTTGACACCAGCTGAATGCTGCTAAATATTTAAAAATCATTTTAAGGTTTTGTTGTTGTTGTTGTTGAAACACTTTTCTCAAATGTTCCAGACACCTTCCCTGTTTTTGAAAGCAGAGTCAATTGTCCAAACCTGAATCATATCTTGGTTATTGAGGATTGCACCAAGACCTCAGGATCGCCTGTACAGAAAACCAGCAATCATTATCCAGGAATGGAGATGAACATGGAGAAAGTCTAAGAGACTGGGCTGACTGTACAAACTCCAAGATATAGTACATAAGCCTAGAGATCCTTTCTTAAACTTCGATATTGAAATTACTTTCCTATTATTTTTCCTATTTCTTTTAAAAGCATATTGCTTGGACTAAATTACAGTTATTGTGGGTTTTTTAAAAAGTGTCAATTCATGGACCCTCTCTATTATTATATTTCTTTGTCTTTCTATGTTCAAACTTTTTGGACTTTCAAAATGTCATTGTGTATTTAGAACAAGAGTTCTTTATTAAACTTTAAATATATATATTTTTGAACTAGGCAGTCACCTTTTTCCACAAAATCCCTTTTTGAAGATTATGAGCTTGTACTTGATTAGAATCACCTTATTAGCACTCATTATGCTTCCAAGAATACCTTGATTTGCAAGCTACCCATCTGCTGTAAAATTCAACTTCAAACATTTTAAGACAAAAAATGCTAGACCATTACTACATAATCACACTAATTATCTTAAAAATAACACTTAACAATGGCCACTAAGTAATTTTTTAAAAAAATCCGTATATAACGTAAAAGCACTGAAAATGTAACAGTTGGAGAATATCCAACAGCATTTAGCCAAATATCATTTCTATAATGCTAAGGGATGGAATTAAATTTGCAAATATCAGCAATTTGCAGGCCATCAAATCTAGGTTAAAATGTGGTTGAGTGAGGAAAGTTGGCACATGGGTGTATACAATTTTCATCTATATTTGAGTAAAAACTGAACTGGGAGTGAAAGTACAGCTGCAGATGAAGAGATCTCTGTGTACCTCTCAGTTGAGCCCATATTTATTCTCCCTCTTTCAAAGTGTTTCAACAATCTCATGTTTCATTCAACAAATATTTTTCCAAGCCCTAACGTGTACTAGGCACAAAAGATATGTTGGTGGACAAGATAGCATCTAATGCAAAACAAAACAAAAAGTATGGCAGACTTTCACTGCAACTTCAAAGAAATCTGATGTTAAGATGAGCACAAGGTCAGTAGGCTGGAGGGAAATATCCACTGCTTTCTACTTAACCATGTTGGCTTCATCTGCATCTCAATTCCATCGCTAGTTTTCCCTTCCCACCACCACCATCTAAATCAAAACCTTAATATTTCATACCTTCAATACTTCAACAACTTTCTAAGAGGTACTTCCTCTTGCCAGTCTCTTTTTTTCTGTCATTTTTTTTGCACAAGCTGATGGTGTCATTTCTCATGCTTCAGCCATTCTGACTTAACATTCAACTCCCCAAACATATCACAGTTTTCCCCCTCTATCTTTGCTCAGGTTATCCCCTCTGCCTGGAATACCTTCCTATTCCTTCTTCAAAGAACACCTCAAACAGTGTCTCTGCCATGACTCCATCTTCAACCACCACTGCTGAATATAATCCCAGTCCCTACCTGTGCCCTTGGACTGTTGTAGCTGTTAGTTTGTATCTGGCTTATGGCATATAACACAAGTAACCTCTTACTAAAAGGTCAGGCAAGAACCACATCTTTCCTAACTTTGTATTCTCCACATTACTGAGCCCAGTGCCTAACAAGTAAGAGGTTGCAATAAATGTTTGTTGAATGAATCATTTCTTTGGGGAATTGAATGTACATACAATTCTTAATGGATTTAACAGGACTTTCAGCATTAAATAACCCCTGACATTTATACAAATCCTTCTAGGAAACCACAACCAAATAGTCTTACAAATTCAGTGCTGCTGCTTGCTCTCATATGAAGAGAAACAGAGGTAGTAGGATTCCCATGACATAAGGAGCCCTTGTTAGAACTGTTATGTGTGACAAGGCAGCATTTTCGATGTTTATGCCACTTGCTGATAGAATGTTTCATTTCAGATATTTTCAGTGGTTACATCTAGAGTTCACCCAAGAAAAAGGTATTTTCCAAAACTACTTCTCAGGCTCCTTTGAAAAATGAGACAATATTCCAAAGTCAAATTCTTCCTACAGTGGGGTACTGGGAGATTAAAGATGGCTATGGTTTTAAAATTTGTTAGTAATACTGAAGTTAAGACTGAATTTGGTTCTATATAGAACACTTTTTTTGGTTAGTAAAAAAAGTAAAATAACCAGGAAATTGCAGAAACACTAGAGATTACATTTTTATAAAAGCTGGAAAAAATTAAGTTTGTTAAGTGGAACAACTCCTAGGATAGGTATTTGTGAAATATTTAAAACAAGAACACAGAGTACATGAAGCTATTAAAAATCCTCAAATTGTTACTTCGGTTTTACTATCTTTCACAAATGGGAAGATGAACAAAGATATTAAGACAATGTGACAATGTGGTCTTAAAACAATGTGGTTTTTAAAAATGAGATCTCTAAAAAGTATTTGGAGCTAAGAGATTATTGATACTACAATGTAATCTACTCACTGTATTTAGATGCATATAAAAGATGGTTAAAGAGTTTAAAGTCACAGAAAAAGGTTTTCTGTTTGCATTTTTGCACGCTAAGACAGAAATTAGAACATTACTACCGTTCCGTTAGCTAACAAATCATGGCTGATACATAGGACATGTCTTGTTTTTTGTCATATTTAATGGAATTAAAGGGAATTTGTCATATGTAATACATTTATATTACTGTGGACTTTACATTTTCAAATTTTTGTACAGTTTTCAACGTGGAAACTGCCTTCATTGTCCACTATCTACTCATAAGAATATAGGTAGAAGCAAAGCCTAATTTATTTTCTACCAATTTCCAGTGGGTTAAAAAAAATTTGAGCTTCAACAGAAAAAAAGCTTATTTATGATATACAAAAATCCAATTTAAGGCATACATTTAAATGCCTATGACCGAGTTATAGCTGCAAAACTGTTTCTAACAGATAGATTCTATAGCCATATCTACTTAACTAAATAACATATTAGACATGACATTAAGCAATTTTACATAATCTCATCATAAACAAGATACCGAAAAATGATTTACTCTATCTCTAGATACAACATGGTTCAATCCAAATACTGGAGATCATTTAGAAAATAAAAGGATGAAAAACAAATGGAATTGTTTACTGACTTTAAAGAAAACAATATCAAGAAAGATGGCAAAAAATGTGAGATAAACTTGTAATGACATCTAGCAATAAAACTTGACCCTGGGGTGAGAATTGAAGGCACAGAAACAAAAACATTGAAAACCCAAGCAGGACTGCAAATCTGGATTAGACATCAAAAATTAAAAAAAAAAAACCATAAATTTAAGAAACTGAAGACCGATTATGTAGCAGAATAAACACTGAAGAAAAAAAAGAGTATTTACAGAAAATAGCAGACAGCTAAGATTCCTCTGGAATATATAACCCCATAAGTCAGGGACCAAGTGACACACTGAGAGGAAAACAAGGGTCACCTCAAGGATGGTACATGCAGAAAGGTCATCTGCAAGGGCAAACAGAACAGTAAGTAAACAATGTTCTATGAATAATGTCATGTTCCTAGAAGAACTAATTGCTATTTCCGGATGCACAGAAGTACCTTGTATCCACATTTCGAAAAAATCTGATATAGAGAAAAAGACTTCATTTCAGCTATGCTACATGAAGAGATTATTTACTAACCAAGTAGGATCAGATGTATATTACCCTAACATCTAAGAGTTTCTTCTAGACAAAAGAGTTGAAATATAATAGTTTTCAAATTTCCAATTTCCAAATCTCTCCTACTTAATGGAGTTCCTGTAGCAAAGGGTCAGTATTAATGGTAACATCAAACAGTAGTTGGGGAATACATGCCTGGCCCTAGCCCAAGTCTTTTCTCACCAGATGCCCAATTACAACTTGGCCAGGAAGAGATGATTTTGAGCTATGATCCCATAAAACAACACTTTAAATAAGTTGGATTAGATTCCAAATTATTGTATAAAATACTTGACCCATAATAAGGCTGAATTGCTACTGCAATATTTCAGCTGATCTATGACAGGTTTCTTCCTAGCTGGCCAGGGCATTGTACTAATGAGTATATAACAGAATCAGACATCAATGAGTTTCATGCAGTGAAGATGTGATACACAGCCACAGTTACAATCCCCAGTTCTGGTCAGCAAACTCAACAATGCGGTGTTTGGGGAGAAGGATGGACAAGGGAGCAGAGACAGCTCAGTGTTCTGACACTCAGCAATTAAGCAAAGTTTAGTATCACAAAGTTAGGTAACTTTGTCTAAAAATTCTTCTCTTCTGCCTTATTTTCAAAACAAGTTATCCAAATAATTGTCCATGAACTAAATATGAAGGTTAATAAAGTCTTAATCTAAATTATCATGAATCAGAAACAATAAAAGAGGGAGGGATTAGCAAAGGAAAAGTTGGCTTATCCACGCCTTACTTTATAGTGCAAAAAGTAAAGGAGAACCAGAAAACTTCACAGACAGTCCCAATGTCATGTGGAGCAGCATGACTGTGATAAGAGCTGGATGCTTTTGGTTTACTAAAGCAATAGCCTAATTGATGTTCTCTCCATTTCCTTCTTCTCCACAGGAAAGAAGACTGAATAATGATTGGAAGAACGCCGGAGTCATCAAGCTCTTTTGATAACTGCATATGTGAACTAGGTCAAGTCACTCTCCCTCAACGGATCACCAGTTTACCCAACTGTAAATGGCAACAATTTTGAACTGAACGTTCTTCCTTCTACAGCCAAAATTCTTCGTTTGCTAGGTTTGTGAAGTGCTTTTATATGTATGAGCGCTTTCTTAACTATGAAGATATCTGAGTCATCGAACTTTTGGTGGGGGCAATCTCATGATCAGTCATGACTAGATTTTAGAGTTTTCTCATCCCCATACTCAAAGTTTTTTTTTTAAGAATAAAAATGAAAAGAAACAATACCCCACAATATTTCTGAGCCTCAAAGGACAGACTAAAAAAGCTAACTTTTAAAATACTTCATTTTGAAATAATTTTGAACTTACAAAAAAATCGCAAAAATAATACCTGGAGTCCCTGTATACCCTTCACCCAGATTCCCCTACTGTTAAATACTTACATAACCATAACACAATTACCAAAACCAGGAAATTAACACTGGTACGAGACTCTTAACAAGAGATCTTATTTGAATGTCACCAATTTTCTTCCTAATGTTCTTCTGTTCTAGGATCCAATCCAGGTTCCCACATGGCATTTATTCCTCACTTCTCCTTAGTCTCCTCCAATCTGTGACACTTTCTAAGTCTTTCCTTGTCTTTCATGACCATGACACTTTGGATGAGTACTGGTCATTTATTCTGTAAAATGCCTCTCACTTTGTGTTTGTTGAATGTTTTCTCATGATTAGACCGAGACCATGTCTTTTTGGCAGGAACATCACAGAAATGGTGTGTATCCTATCTGAGGGTATGTGATATTGATATATCTTATCACTCATTATGTTAACCTTAAACACCTGGTTAAAGTGGCATCTGCTGGGTTTCTCCACTGTAAAGTGACTATTTTCCCTTTATTTATTTATTTTAGAAACAGGGTCTTGCTGTGTTGCCCAGGCTGGAGTGCAGTGGCACAATCACTGCTCACTGCAGCCTCAATCTCCCAGGCTCAAGCGATCCTCTGCCTCCTGAGTAGCTGGGACTACAGGCATGCACCATTATGCCCAGTTAATTTTTTTAAAAATGTTTTGTATAGACAGGGTCTCGCTATATTGCCCAGGCTGGTCTCAAACTCCTGGCCTCAAAAGATCCTCCCACCTCGGCCTCCCAAAGTGCTGGGATTAAAGGCATGAGCCAGCCACCATGCCTGGTCTATTTTTTATTGATAAATGAAATAGACCATGCCTGTTCTATTTTTAATTGATAAATATCCTGGGAGAAATACTTTGGGACAATGCAAATATCCTGTTTCTCCTCCAACTTTTACCCACTGATTTCAGCATATATCAGTGGATCTTGCCTGCAACCATTATTACCATGGCATTTGCCTACTAGTGATTTTGTGTTTCCTTCATTTGTTCTCCATTTATTAATTGGAATTCTTCTGTAAGGAGGAGTTGTCCCTTCTCCCCAACTTATCCATTTATTCAATTTTTTTTGTAAACTATGGACTCATGGGCATCTATTTTATTCTATGAGCTATAATTCAATACTGTCATCATTTAGTTTCTTGCTCAAGTTATTCTAACTTCAGCCATTGGGAGCTCCTTCAGACTGGCTACTATGCTGTCTTGTCATGCCCCCACCCTTTCTCTAGCACTTTCTTACATTCTTACACCAAAAGACATTACAGCCTCATCTTGTATTTTCCCTGCTTCTGTCCAGAATTAGCCATTATTCCAAAGATCCCGAGTTCCTTTATTGGAGAATGATATTAGACACAAAGATGTGGGTACTAAGTATACTCGTTGCTGTTGGGGTGTTAATTGCTTCTAGGGCTTCCCAAGACAGAGCTAGGAAATGAAAGCATACATAATAACCCATGCATACACACAGATCAATATCTATTCCTGTATCTATCTGTATACATACTCATGTGTCCTTTCTAATCCACACCACGGTATTCATCCTAACCTTCCCTTTTTATTTTTAACTTTTTTCCTCTGATAGTGAGAAAATAGGCTCTCATTATCTACTCTATATACATTTATTTGTTCAACCTCAGTATCTACATACTTACATATGCCTGTGAGGAACAGATTTACTAACTAGAATCCTGTATTTGTGTGCAATTCTTTTTATCTTTATTATAAATATAGCACCTCCAGGCTTCTTTTTATTAGTGTCAGCATGACATAGCTTTTCCCATCTTTTTACTGTTAATATTTTAAACTCAAAAAAAGCAAGGAGGAAAACAGTATGCTACTATCTGTGTGAAAATGGAAAATAAGTATGGATATATTTGCTCATATGTATATATATAATATCTATGGGAGAGGGAAAACCAAAATATCAGTTTGGAGGTCAACTGATTAACTGGGGAAAAGAGATGAGGGGAAAACTTCGCTGCATACTCTACTATCGTTGAAATTTCTTAAACTTTTTCATTGAGTATAATTCACAAATCATAAAACTCACCCTTTTAAAGTCTACACATCAGTAGTTTTTAACACATTTATATACAAAGTTGTGTAACTATCATCACTAATTCCAGGACATTTTCATCACCCTTAAAAAAAAAGCCATGTACCCATTAGTAGTTAATTCCCATACCCCTCACCCCTCACTCACCCATCTACTGCCCTTCACAAGACCCTGGCAACCACTAATCTGCTTTCTGTCTCTATGGATTTGCCAACTCTTGATGTTTCATATAAATGGAATCACACAATATGTGACCTTTTATGTCTGGCTTCTTTCACTTAACATCATGTTTTTAAGGTTCATCCATGTTGTAGCATGGATCAGTACTTTGTTCCTTTTTGTAGCTGAGTAATATTACATTGTATGTATATACCATATTTTGTTGATGTACTCATTAGTTGACTGTTTTTCTAAATTTTTGAATTATGAAAATATCCATTCAAAAATTAAACTTTAAAAAATAGAAACAAAATGAAAAAGCCCTTCTCATAAAAAACAGAAAAATGTAAAAAAAAAAAATCAAGCAAATAATGTATGAAAAATAACAACATACAGAAAAGCTTCTTTGACATTTGCCAGGACTCACAGACTCAATAGCAACTTACACTCGCAACTAAAATTTATTACAGCTTGGAATACAGAGGAAAAGTAACAGGAAAAATATACGTATCAGTAGAATCAAGAGAAGCCCAGCACAAGCTTCCAATGTTCTTCCTAGTTCGAAGCCACATGCACAAGGACTCTCTCTCTCTAGCAGCAAACTACAGAGGCATGTATGGAATGTCTCCACCCTGGGAAGCCCAGTTCTAGTCTCAAGGTCTGAGGTGCAGATGGGTCCTGGTCACATATGCACAGCCTGCTACCAACTGGCCATGGCAACTGTAATGCAGGACCCTAACAATGAATCAGTCATCAATCTTGATCTTGAGCAAAGCAACCCTGACAAGCTGTTATGGCATGGTCCATTGTTCCAGGTGTATACAACACAATAACCAATCAGTGACAAAATGAATGGTGGCCACATTCCCAGGGGATAGTTAAGGTTTCCCTGGGAGACATGCAAAGAGTAAGCCACCAAACCTGCTATATTAACTCTTTCCTCACATGAGATTTCTTTATTGCTAATTCCCCATCACTGGGGTATGAACTGGAGTTGAGGTACAAGTCACAGAAATAAGGGAGTGAAGAATAGGGATTGGGCACCATTTGACTTCTACTTCACCTATAAACAGGAGTTATTTGTCTTCGTGGAAATTATTCTCTTTTCCACTTAAAAAATATAAAGACTAGACACCTCTGCTTTGTGTGGGCTTGCTTTCCCCCGATTATGTCAACCTTTCCAGCTCCTGGAACAGGATCCAAAGTCCTCAGCATGATACACAGAGCCCCACCTGATCTCCCCACCCCCGGGACCTCCCTGCCCTCATCTCCCACTGCCCTCCCCCTTCATGGCTCTGCTCCAGCCACGCTGGGGATCTTGAGTTTCCTCACACACACCAGGCTGCCGCCAGCTTCAGGGCCTTAGCTGTCGCCATTCTCTTTGCCTGGAATGTTCTTAGAAATCCTCTTCACTGTCCCCTCATCTCCTGCATGCCTCTCCTCAAAGGTCACCTCACTGGAGGCCTCCTGGCCACTGTATCTAAAACAGTAGCCCCTGCCATTCTCTGCACCCTTTCCTCACACCTGACAATGTATTGTTATCCTGAATATTTAATTATTTTTTACCTGCTCCTCCTCCAACTCCCAATGAGAATGTCTGCACCATGGAGGCAGGGACTGTTTCTGGTTCACGGCTAAGTCCCAAGGCCATGAACAAGAAGGGGACAGCTGTCACACTCTGCAGTAGTATATGATAGGCACACACATATCACATCACTTCTAGGACTGCTCACTCTCCAGTGTTCTGTCTTTCCAGTGGCTTGTTGCTGCTATTTTCTCTGTCATGCTCTTGGTCCATTTTCCCTTGCTCTCTTTCTTAATTGACTATAATTATAGAAGTACATTACCAATCACTTCTAAGATGAACACTTGTTCACTTTTTAACATCTAGGACATTGGGATGCCCATTACGATCAATGGCATATTGTAGGGGATGATGAATAAATGGGGGACATAGTTATCAGTTTTTACAAAAGAAAAACTGGTCATGTTACAGTGGAGAAATCCAGTAGATGCCACTTGAACCAGCTAATTAAAGTTAACATAATGAATAAGATATATCAATATCCCATACCCTCAGATGTCATGCACATCATTTCTGCGTGTGGGTTTCTTTTTTATTTGTCAAAACCACATGATCTCAGTCTAATCATGAGAAAACATTCAACAAGCACAAGGTGAGATGTATTTTACAGAATAACTGACCAGTATTCATCCTAAGTGTCATGGTCATGAAAGACAAGGAAAGACTGGGAAAGTGTCACAGGTTGGAGGAGACTAAGGAGATATAAGGAATAAATGCCATGTGGGATCCCAGATTGGATCCTGGAACAGAAAAATAACATTAGGAAGAAAATTGGTGACATTCAAATAAGGTCTTGAGTTTACTTAAGAATCTTGTACCAGTGATAATTCCCTGGTTTTGATAACTGTGCAATGCATGGCATGTAAGTTGTTGACATTAGGGGAATCTGGATAAAAAGTATACAGGAGTTTCCTGTATCACTTTTGTAACTTTTCTGTAAGCCTAAAATTATTAATATTTCAAAATAAAATGTTTAAAAGGCGAGGCTGAACTATCAATATGTATTTGTTTGGGTACCATTAGGTCGGTGCAGAAGTAATTGCAGTTTTTGCCATTGCTTTCATGGCAAAAAACACAATTACTTCCGCACCAACCTATAATTGTAATTCTATTTTCCTTTCAAAAGAGGTTTTTGAAATGTCCAAAATAGCATTGACTTTTACCAGTCAAAGATACTTCCCTTTAAAGGTTAGCATCATAGAAAATAGAGATCCTTAAATAAAATGTTATTTTCCTTGACTCTCAAGATGACAGCTGCTGCTTATGTGTCTTTATAGTGTAGACAGACCTCTCTGATGGAGCTGATAAATGGTGCTAAGTCTTGCATAATCCAGTGACCCTTGGGATTGTGTTGCTAGGCATCTAGTTTCTGGTAAACTTTCCCTTGGCAAATAGGGATGAGTAAGTATTCAGTCAAAAATAGTCAAATTTTAAACTAATGAAAACTGCTGTGACTAGTGTTGCTATTGCAGAATATACTGGTAACTTGGGCCAGTTTGACCTACAAGGATAGATTCATATCGATATGCTTATAATATTTGACAAGGTTTCACTTGTCAAAATATTATTTTTCTCGTGATCATATGTGATTTTGAAGACATGGCATGTGACTGTTTTATGTGCATTCCTTACCCAGTTCCCATTTTTTAAGGAATGTATATAGGTTAGCTTGAGTATCCTCTAACTATGTCTGCTGCTATGGCCTTTACCAGGAAATTCTTGGCACAAAACTACCCAAAGTGGTAAGAGGGGTGGACAGTTGTGATGGGTGTTGATCTGTCATAATGAAATAATGACAACATTTATATCCTTCCTGGATAAAAAGTGACTGATAACACATTGCTTCAAGTATAAAGGGAAAGGTTCAAGACATCATGATATTGCTGAAGCAGAATAACTTGGCTATGAAAACAATCACAAAGATTGATTTCGTTTTAAAAATGATGACCCTTCGTTAAATCCAAGGAACATTCACTAAAAATACCAACCTAGATCAATGGCAAACTGTAATATCAAGAAATTGGCATAGAATGGATTAAGCGATACTTTGAAGAAAACTTTGGAGACAGATTATGCCAAGTCCACAAGGCAACAGAGTCAAAAACAGCTGCATACCAACATGATATGAGACCATTCTATGTAGCTGGAAATTAATCCATGGACTACACTAGATTTCCATTTGAAGATGGTGCTGCCTTCATCACTGAGCACTCAACATTCATGGATTGATAGGCACAGCACTTCAGCACAATACACAATCAGCCATCCAATTTGCCCTTCTTATTTTCATAACATTCCCTCATTATGAGGTGAGTTAGAACATTGTATCTGTTGTACCTGTTATTAAGGCAATAACCATCATCTGGTAGAGTAGCTAGTACTAATAGAATTCTTACACAACAACAACAAAACAAAACAAAAACAAAAGCAGCAGCCCAAAACTCATCAAATGATTGTTTCAGTTATTTAATCACTCATGAGAGAAGAAATAGTACACAGATGAAGTTCAACAGTGTTTCAATTATAAAAACTCAGGAGAAGTAGGAAATGCTGCAGTAACCACTGAGGTATGTTATTTGTATATTATAGATATGATACTAGCACAATGCACATAGGTCAATTACCCTCAACTTAATTTAACCTTCATGCATGTCATGGATAAGAACTACAAAGCTCTTGTGCAGACATGGAACTTTGTTTAATGTGCTATCTAAATGGCAAATTAAGTAATTGTTTGAACGGCTTTACATATTTGAAATATTAAGGTTTTCACTAAAATATGAGAATGTAAGGATTATGTAAATCATCTTTACCCTGTGTGACTGGTCATCAGGATATTAACATGATGCAAACATTACTTTAAAAACACTAGATACAGTGAGTAGACAACTTATTTAAATAATTAAGTGGCTTATTAATATTCATTGGCTATTATCTATTTTGTCTCTGAATTAAACACCTTCCAAGCTCTAAAGTTGTAGTGCAGCACGCATTTTGTAAACAGTCACCTTCCCTAGTACTTTTCTTCAAAATGTTTAGTTTATGGCACTCTTTTGCCTTTAAATGGAATTACTGACCTGAGTTTATTAATGATTAGGAAGATCACATGTCTCCTTTCACATTCTATGATGTTTGGAAAGATAGAATTTACAAAGCCTGCAAGGAACTCTATATCAGAGTAACCATAAAAACAGTTATACTTAGCTTGAACAACTAATAACACACAGCAACTAGATTTGGTCATGTACATTTGGAACATGAGTTTGTAATTTTAAATAATAAGCCCTAACTAAATAGAACTTTGTTAAAGAATGCCTACAACAAACATTTAGTTGATAGGAAGAAAACCTTTTATTTAATTCACTTTTATATTGATATATGGTTTTCCATTTGTACTAGCTTACTGCAATCTCCACAATAATCACAGAAGTTAGGTACAGAAGATACTATCTATCTGTTACAGATGAAGTTACTCAAGGATTGTGAGGTTAAGTTGCCCGAGGTCAGATACAGTAGTGAGGCTGGGACTGTACCCCAGATCTCCTGAAACAACAATGCAAAGTTTCTACTGCAGTTCCTGACCCTCTATATGGACCAGATGAAAGATACCTCATTTTTCCCCCAACTAACTCAGTATGCTTTTCCACTTCAAGGCACTGCCCAATCCTGTAGCTGCAGATTTAAATAATACACAAAATAATTGTAGATGAAACTTAAATGAAACCAAAATGAAGAAAACAAAATAAGTTCTTTAGTCATAATGTCTACCACAAATAAAAGCAATTCAGAGATTTTCAATGGTAGGAATTACCTTTATCTTTACAATAACAAGTTTCTATTCTTAAAATGGAATGGTCTGCAAAAAAAAACAAAAAACAAAAAACTAGTAATCACGAAATAAGTAAAAGTAACCCTTTAAGTACTACAGGTTAAGCATCTTTAATCCAAAAACCTGAAGTATAAAATGCTCCAAAAGCCTCAACTTTTTAAGTGTCAACATGATGTCACATGGGTGGCTGAGATAATGACGCTTTTGTTTTCTGATAGCTGAATGTACACAACTTTGTTTCATGCACAAAATTATTTAAAATATTGTATAACATTACCTTCAGGCTATGTGTAAAAAGTGTATATAAAATGTAAATGAATTTCATGGTTAGACTGGAGTCCCATCCCCAAGATATCTCTTTATGGATATGCAAATATTCTAAAATCCAAAAAATCGAAAACACTTTCAGTCTCAAGCATTTCAGATAAGAGATACTTAACCTGTATATCGCTTAAGAAAATGTTTCCTGAGGAAACCATCACACGAAGGGATACATCTCTGTTAGCCAATGCAGCCATAAATAAAAATGTTAATGAGGTAAAATTGGTCATGATGAAGGTAAAACAATATCAAGAAACTGAAAAAGTTCTTGTTAAGCTTAATTCATTTTGACATATTTTGAAAAAAGTCTCAGATGCATTGTAGCAAATCTTAATTAAACCAGAAATCCATTATAATTTATTGCTTCTATGTTTTAATTTATACTTTTTATCCTTAATTTAAGGATAACTATGAATAACACATGAAAATCAGTGCATTTTCTTTTTCTGCAATCATATACATCCTGTCCTATATAATACCTCATCTGGCCTCATATTTTGTTTATAATCTAGTATGTAATACTCAGGCTTGATGACCTTAGTAATAGGACTTTCCTTACAAAATATACTCACAAATCTGAAATTGGTCAATCATCTGTCCAGGAGGAAAATTAAGTGAACCTAGTTTTGTAGCAATACGTTTAAGTTAAAGGTTCAAAATATACTTTGAGACGCTTCAAAATGCCATAATTTTCCTTCTGGAACCCTTATACTCCCTCAGTCTGACTTTAGTTATCCTCTGAAAGCTGACAAGTCCCTCCTAAGTGCATTTTGGTACTATGGATAATATGCTATAATTCAGTGAAGGGCTTCTCTAGGTTACATGGGGATTATGATCACTGTAACATCTAAATCATATACAAAAAAGTAAACGATAGCAAGGCTACAATCCCTCACTCCTACAAAAATTCTTCAATTTTTATTCTTTAAGTATATCTGTTTTGATAAGTGGTAAGTGGTCTTTGGTGGAATGAGCTTTAGACTTGGCTTAGCTCTACAAACACAAAGACTTAAGACATTTTGTCGTTAAGACATTCTGACTTTAAGACCTTCTATCTTGACATTCTGTTTTTTTGTTAAAAAAACAAAATTTATCACTTTCATGCTATTATTAATTTTACTCATTTCAAAGCACATCATATTTCAAAAAACATAGAAATCAACAAATTTAAATTATGTGCATTCAGATGGGACTCACCTTTAGAGAATCAAAACAGGCCACCACACGACCATTTTCCACATGGCAAACTCTTGGTGGATGGGCAAACTTGCAATCTGCATCAGCTCGAGAGCAAGTTCCTCTCTGAAATTCTCTACAGACTTCTAAAGTCAGCCACTTGGTATCACGAATCAGGGCAACATTGACAGCCGTCATATTGAAAGCAAAATTAAAATCCAATGTACCCTCTTTAGGACAATATTACTGTGGACTATTAAAGGATTAAAAATGAATTCAAACTAAGTGCGAAGAGATAACAGGTTGCTTTGGTGAAATGTCTATTTGTTAACACTTAGGTTTTCATTAAAGTCAAATCTGGTCTAGTCAAACAAAAAGCCAATCATAAAAACTATCAGAATAACTAAAAATGAAATTAGAGACCAACTCTTAAGAAGCCAACTGTTAAGATAATGAATGCTTTATTTTGTTCCTTTGCCGAATTTATGTTAAATAACCGGCAGACTTTCAAAAGAATTCTGGGCTCTGCAGTTGATGTTTTCAATTATTCTTGCAAAAAACATATGCTGCTGGCTGCCCTTCGATTTGTGGAATGGTCTCAGATCAGGGGGAGAAAAGTTTTTCTCCCTATTTATTAGCTTTAAATAACAAGATTGGGAAGGATGTTAGAACCCAAAAAAAGTTTCGTTGCAAAATCAAGTGGAGGGAAAATGACTAAGAAAATTGAGAATCACAGAAAAAAGAAATGGACCAGCTGCTGACAGTAAACTACAAGCACACCAGGTTCGGCGGGGAGGTGGAGAGGGCAGGGAACGGTATGGTAGGGAGAGGGGTTTATAAAGAGACAGCTCTAGAGTAGAATCCAAGCAGCAGAGTTTTCAGAAAAGGCACTTTTCAGAACCTGCAAGAAAAAAATAAATAAAATTAGCTAAAATAATACAATGCTTCCGTTTCAAACTCTAGATTTGGAAAAGAAGTAACTATATCCTATTTAAAACAGGAAGCATCTAGATACTGACAGTGCAACATAGTACAGTCAGCCATTGTCAATAAAAAGGGCATTTCCCAGTATAAAACTGTATAGTAAAAGCAAGCAACTGCTTAGATTTACTGTTGTAGTACAAGACTAGGCAACAACCTCACATGAGGTGGGGTGGAGGATGGAAACGTAAAATGTGCTTCAGATAAAGAAAAAAGTCATCTGAAAAGATTTTTTTTTTTCTGTGTAGGCTCCTTAGTCTCTATGAAGGGAAATTGGAGCAACTCAGAAGAAGGTTTCAGCATATACAAACAAGTGAGACAGAATGTGCTGTTTAATGAAATAGATTAAATATTATGCAGCTTTAAAGTATGCAGTTTAACTCAGTGTGAACCAGCTACAATTTCTAGCAACAGCTGAGAAGATACAGGAAAGGTTAATTTATTGGCATATGCCATAAACACATACTGAAATAGCATTAACGCAAAAGTGAGCTCTGAGTATTAGAAAAATCAAATAACTGTTAACTTCATCAAAAAGTGAGATTAAAGTTCTTAAAAATATTTCATTTAATTTTTTCAACAATATTTTCAACAATTTTACAAAATCTAAATCTTCTCTTTGTCTTTTCCATATTCAAGATGCAATTAAGTATCACCTGACTTTTCAAATATCATTGAGAAATTAAATACCTAGAAAGTTCAAGCAAGCTTATCTACTCAAGAGCAAAACATGTTTTTCTCTGAGTCATTCTTCATGGAAATCATTCTAAAATGTATTCTGTGTAACTTTGCCTTCTTAAAAAATATCAAACATAATTTGGCCTCTAATTAAAGACTTGGGACCATTAATGTATTAGGAAGTATAATAGTTCTCCTCTTTAAGTGGCAGACTGTTGTCATATCCACTGTCACTTCTCTGTCACAATATCTACCACAGTGAATTTTCCAGCTCTCTTCCAAAAAACCTAATAGCCAGTCATGAATGTTGAATAACAATTAGTTACCCACTGAATGAGGGGCCTGTGGAACAAGATGCAGAGCTTTCTTGCAGAAGTTCTATGACTGCTCTTACTTCTATGCAGGCCCTTCTGCATCAAGTTACATGCAGGACCATGTTCTAGAGCGTTGAAGTTGCAGGCAAATGACTTCTAGGAAAAGTATTTTAAAAATAACCTGATGATAGAAATGCAAAACAAAATCACAATGTGATGACCACTCTCATTAGTCTAACTATAATTTTAAAAACAGAAAAATTGGAGAAATTTGAACCCTCATACATCGTGGCTGGGAATATGAAATGTTGCAGTTGCTATGGCAAACTGTCTGACAGTTCCTCACTTCCGCAACTCAGTATATACCCAAAGTATCTGAAAACAAGTGATAAAGAAATCCTCCTACATGAATGTTCATAGCAACACTATTCATAATAGCCAAAAGTGGAAATAACCTAAGTGTCCATTACCAGATGAATGGATAAACAAAATGTGGTATATCCACACAATGGAATGTTATTTGGCCACAAATAGGAATGAAGGACTGATGCATGCTACCAGAAGGTTGAACCTTGAAAACATTATGTTAAGTGAAAGAACTCTGTCACAAAAGGCCACATATTGTATGATTCCATTTATATGAAACGTTCAGAGTAGCCAAATCTACAGAGACAGAAGGTAGATTAGTGGTTGCCAGGGGATGGGAAGAGGGGATAAGGGCGAATGACTGCTTAATGGGTACAGAGTCTCCTTTAGGGGGTGATGAAAATGTTTTGGAATTAGATAGTGGTGATGATTGCATGATTTTTGAAATACCATAACCCAGTCACTGAATTGTACACTTTAAATAGATGAATTGGGTAATATGTGAATTACATCCCAATAAAGCTGTTATGTATTTTTTAAAAAGTCTAAAGAGACATGACAATCAAAAACAGCCTGACTAGTGATGGGATTAGCTATCCCAAGCTTTCTGAGTTTCTCCTTAGCCAGAGATTTTTCTCAGTAGTGTTACTAAGTTGAATTTCAAGAGTAAATTCATTTCCACACTGTAACTGACTTAATGTATTATGAAAAGTACTCTGAAAGAGTATGATATTCCAACCTAATCCCACAACCCAATTATATAGTCTGCCTGAACACATTTGGAAGGAAAATGACAAAAAAGATCTATCTATCTATACAAGATCTGCTCAAAACATAAACAGTGAGGGTCTGGAGACTTTTTCTACAGAGGTCCATCAAGTATAGAAACATAATAAATGATACATGTGAATTCTGAACTTTTACAAATGAAAACTGCAAAAAAGAATTGGCTTCTGGCCATGCATTTTATTCAGAGATAGGGGAAGAAGGAATTTTCTTTTTTCTTTTTCTTTTTAAAAATTTTGGCCTGTAACCTATGATGAAGCCCTGGCCAATTCTTCAAAGCATTTCTAGCCACCACATGTCTTCCTTCAGACTGGAACTATTTTAGCGGCTGACTCAGAAGAAACTAAGTGCAACACTCAAGGGAGCTGGCGCAAAGATGGGGAGAAGTTCTCTCATGCAGCTCTGTTTGTCTATGTATAAAAGACAGGGAGAAGTGTCAGTTGTCTCTGTATTCTTAAGATCAGTTTTGTTTTGGGGATAATACAGCTTTATCTTCACTTCCTTAGACTTAAGTAATAGGAATACAGTTCTGCTTCTTAAGATTTATAGTCCTCTAAAGCAGAACATGAAAAGTTACCATTTCTTAGTGCATTTGTACTTTATTGTACTTGCAGGTTTACAAGTGCTTGTATTTCATTGATGTTTCGATCTCTCAAAAATATTCTAAAGCATAAGTGATAACCCAAAACACTGATGACTGAAATGAAGCTCATAGAGGTTAAATTACTTATTCGAAGTTACAAAGCCTGGTGGTAGAGCCATGACTCCAGGCAAGATCTTCTGACTCCAAATCTCATGCACAGATTCTAGCTGAGAAATGTCATAGATAGCATTGCTTATCTCTCCTGGGAATCTTAAACAAGAGAAACCTGTCATTTTTGTAGAGTACTTATGGTTCATTCTCAGAATTACATTCATGCCTGATGTATCAACATTTTCATAATCTCCGTAAGTTGTGCTCAACCAACATTTATCTAGCATCTACTATGTGCCAGGCATTGTTCTAGTTACTGAACAAGACTTGATAAGGTCCTTGCTCCCGTGGAACATGCTATGCTCATTTAAATAGAGAAGTAACTTGATGTACAAGGAAATGAAATGAGTATTAGAATTTATGAAGAGCTGGAAGTAAACACTAGGAATTCTGACTTCAGTACAAACTTCTAACTCACCATGAATGATACACCAAGCACTATGATTTAAGAATACTCTTAAACGCACACTCAAACACTACTGCATAGAAGTTAAGTCATCAAGAGGAATACCTTGGAATTACATTGAGACTTATTGCTCCCCATATTTCTCTTGGAGAGGGAAACTACTGTTCTCATTTTACAGATGGGGAAATGAGGGTGGAGAAAGGTTGAGTAATTTAACTTGCACAACTTCATGAAGCTAGCAGGTCATCAAGCCATGGTTCAAACTCAAGCAGCCTGACTCCAGAGTCCGCCCCCCCCCCCCCCCCCCACCTACTTAACCATACCACAATACTGTGTTACTCTTATGGCATCTATCATATTCTTCCTCATGCTTGCTGACTGGGCCCCTTAACCTTTTCTCCCTTATTAGATTTAAACTGCTTGAGCATAGAGATCATGTCTTGCTCAGCATTGCTGGCTCTATCTTGTCACTGGGGGTTACAGTAGCATTCCCCAGGTTTTTTGTTTTGAAAACTATAAAGATTAAATAGTAATTTAACATTAACCCTTCTGTTGTATCACACTAGAAAAGAGTTTTGTCAGTTGGGCATCCTCTAGGCTAGCTGAGCTTTGGCCACCTCTGTTAGTTTTGAATCGATTGGACCTGTGAAGTTGAATATTTTCTCACAATCCTAGCCTTCAAATTGGGATGACAATATCTAGGATTCTTCATATACAGTGCATTCATTCTCCACAAAGAATGACCTATTCCTGTCCATTTGATAGCAACAAGATCGTATAAAAATATGAAATTCCCAGATGATTTCTGTTTGTGTCTTTGGATAGTATGTTCATCTTTGGAATGTTTTTGCTCAATAATAGGTATGATGAAACTGAACTGGTGGTGGGAGTAAGGGTGGGGGAGATTTCTCTCTGATCCACAGGAAGAAACCTTTCATAAGTATTCTTCCATGAAAATAAAATAGTTAATTTTGACTTTGAATTGATGCTCATCTATAAGAGTCCTAGACAAGACACAATATAAGGAAAATGTAGAAACTTATATTTTAAAATTACATACATAATAGATTCTCTATTAAGTGCAACCTTTGAAAAAAAAGAACTGCAGATTTTATTATTTTTAAGAATTCACATTCTCATGGAAGTTATCTTGAAAGTAAAACAAGAGAAGAAAGACATGTTTTCTTCTAATCTAATGGAAACAGTAACTTGTCCTAGAGCTGTTTGCAAGGCCACTGCCATCAGCTACTTTTGCCCCAGTTTTCCTATACTTTCCTTGTCTCCTACTTTCTTTTGCCTCCCCTCCACAAACCAGCACATAACAAGAACACTGCCAGTGCCTGGTCCAGAAGATCACAAAGATATTTGGCACCTAAACCAATCACTAAAGAGGTCTTCCTTTAAATGCATTTATCAACCCCTGAATAAACAATGAAAACAATGTTTTCTTTGTTTCCATTTTAAGCTTTCCTTACATCTGTATTACTTCTGAATTTCTTGTGGTCATTTATTTTGGCTCTACAAATATATGACACACCTGCCATACACTGCTTGAATTGGATGGCTGACAAGATTTAAAAGCCTTCAAGTTTTCAAATTTGCTTCAAGTTCTATTTCCCTCACGTGTTTTCGTTAGTGGTCCACCACCACACGTTCTGTAAGGAATATAAGAGGTGCTCAGCACAGCAGATGGAAACCATGATTTCATAGGCATCCTATGGAAAACCAAGTCTTCTGTCCAGAAAAAAAAAATTGTCGTAAAAAATAAGGATATTTTGCCTACAGAACTTTTTCATTAACTTTTTTTTAAAGCTTTGCTGCATTTTTTCATAATACTCCTGGGATAGTAAATTCCATATGTCTTTTTTCAAAAAGCAGGTAAGTCAACTTATTCTATTTTGCAAAACAATTAAACACCCCAACTCAGTTCATACATATAATCATAAAAGGAAAAAATAGGTGCAACAGTGTCTCTTTTGAAAATCACTTTAGCAATGGATAAAATAATGTTACTGGCACATCTTTTTTAAAAAGATGTGTCCATTTTTAAATAGTACAAGAACTTGCTAATAAATGCCATTTAAAGTTTTATTATCATTATTATTTTTTAATTGTACTTTAAGTTCTGGGATACATGTGCGGAACGTGCAGGTTTGTTACATAGGTATACACGTGCCATGGTGGTTTGCTGCACCCATCAACCCATCATCTACATTAGGTATTTCTCCTAATGCTATCCCTCCCTTAGCTCCCCACCCTCCAACAGGCCGTGGTGTGTAATGTTCCCCTCCCTGTGTCCATATGTTCTCATTGTTCAACTCCCACTTATGAGTGAAAATATGCAGTGTTTAGTTTTCTGTTCCTGTGTTAGTTTGCTGAGAATGATGGTTTCCATCTTCATCCATGTCCCTGCAAAGGACGTGAACTCATCCTTTTTTATGGCTGCATAGTATTCCATGGTGTATATGTGCCACATTTTCTTTATCCAATCTATCATTGATGAGCATTTGGGTTGGTTCCAAGTCTTTGCTATTGTGAATCGTGCTACAATAAACATACATGTGCATGTGTCTTTATAGCAGAAAGATTTATAATACTTTGGGTATATACCTAGTAATGGGATTGCTGGGTCAAATGGTATTTCTGGTTCTAGATCCTTGAGGAATCGTCACACTGTCTCCCACAATGGTTGAACTAATTTACACATCCACCAACAGTGAAAAAGCATTCCTATTTCTCCACATCCTCTCCAGTGTCTGGAGATGGTATCTCATTGTGGTTTCGATTTGCATTTGTCTAATGACCAGTGAAGATGAGCTTTTTTTCATATGTTTGTTGATCACAGAAATGTCTTCTTTTGAGAAGTGTCTGTTCATATCCTTCACCCACTTTTGATGGGGTTGTTTGTTTTTTCTTGTAAATTTGTTTAAGTTCCTTGTAGATTCTGGATATTAGCCCTTTGTCAGATGGATAAATTGCAAAAATTTTCTCCCATTCTGAAGGTCGCCTGTTCACTCTGATGAGAGTTTCTTTTGCTGTGCAGAAGCTCTTTAGTTTAATTAGATCCCATTTGTCAATTTTTGGCTTTCGTCACCATTGCTTTTGGTGTTTTAGTCATGAAGTCTTTGCCCATGCCTATGTCCTGAATGGTATTGCCTAGGTTTTCTTCTAGGGGTTTTATAGGTCTTATGTTTAAGTCTTTAATCCATCTTGAGTTATTTTTTGTATAAGGTGTAAGGAAGGGGTCCAGTTTCAGTTTTCTGCATATGGCTAGCCAGTTTTCTCAATACCATTTATTAAATAGGGAATCCTTTCCCCATTGCTTGTTTTTGTCAGGTTTGTCAAAGATCAGATGTTTGTAGATGTATGGTGTTATTTCTGAGGCCTCTGTTCTGTTCTGTTCCATTGGTCTATATATTTGTTTTGGTACCAGTACCATGCTGTTTTGGTTACTGTAACCTTGTAGTATAGTTTGAAGTCAGGTAGCGTGATGCCTCCAGCCTTGTTCTTTTTGTTGAGGATTGTCTTGGCTATGCGGGTTCTTTTTTGGTTCCATATGAAATTTAAAGTAGTTTTTTCCAATTCTGTGAAGAAAGTCAGTGGTAGCTTGATGGGGATAGCATTGAATCTATAAATTACTTTGGGCAGTATGGCCATTTTCACGATATTGATTCATCCCATCCATGGGCATGGAATGTTTTTCCATTTGTTTGTGTCCTCTCTTATTTCCTTGAGCATTGGTTTGTACTTCTCCTTGAAGAGGTCCTTCACATCCCTTGTGAGTTCGATTCCTAGGTATTTTATTCTCTTTGTAGCAATTGTGAATGGGAGTTCACTCATGATTTGCCTCTGTTTGTCTGTTATTGATGGATAGGAATGCTTGTGATTTTTGCACATTGATTTTGTATCCTGAGACTCTGCTGAAGTTGCTTATCAGCTTAAGGAGATTTTGGGCTGAGACGATGGGATTTTCTAAATATACAATCATGTCATCTGCAAAGAGACAATTTAACTTCCTCTCTTCCTATCTGAATACAATTTATTTCTTTCTCTTGCCTGATTGCCCTGGCCAGAACTTCCAATACTATGTTGAATAGGAGTGATGAGAGAGGGCATCCTTGTCTTGTGCTGGTTTTCAAAAGGAATGCTTCCAGTTTTTGACCATTCAGTATGATATTGGCTGTGGGTTTCTCATAAATAACTCTTATTATTTTGAGATATGTTCCATGAATACCTAGGTTATTGAGAGTTTTTAGCATGAAGTGCTGTTGAATTTTATCAAAGGCCTTTTCTGCATCTATTGAGATAATCATGTGGTTTTTGTCATTGGTTCTGTTTATGTTATGGATTATGTTTATTGATTTATGTATGTTGAAATAGCCTTGCATCCCAGGGATGAAGCCGACTTGATCATGGTGGATAAGCTTTTTGATGTGCTGCTGGATTAGGTTTGCCAGTATTTTACTGAGAATATTAGTCCCTCTTTTTCTTTTGTTTGGAATAGTTTCAGAAGGAATGGGACCAGCTCCTCTTTGTACCCCTGGTAGAATATTGGCTGTGAATTCATCTGGTCCTGGGCTTTTCGGGGTGGGCAGGCTATTAATTACTGCCTCATTTTCAGAATTTGTTATTGGTCTATTCAGGGATTCGACTTCTTCCTGGTTTAGTCTTGGGAGGGTGCATGTGTCCAGGAATTTATCCATTTCTTCTAGATTTTCTAGTTGATTTGCATAGCGGTGTTTATAGTATTCTCTGATGGTAGTTTGCATTTCTGTGGGATCAGTGGTGATATCCCCCTTATCATTTTTTATTGTGTGTATTTGATTCTTCTCCCTTTTCTTCTTTATTAGTCCGGCTAGTGGTCTCTTTTGTTAATCTTTTCAAAATCCAGCTCCTAGATTCATTGATTTTTTTGAAGGGTTTTTCGTGTCTCTAGCTCCTTTAGTTCTGCTCTGATCTTAGTTATTACTTGTCTTCTGCTAGCTTTTGAGTTTGTTTGCTCTTGCATCTCGCGTTCTTGTAATTGTGATGTTAGGGTGTCAATTTTAGATCTTTCCCGCTTTCTCCTGTGGGCATTTAGTGCTATAAATTTCCCTCTAAACACTGCTTTAGCTGTGTCCCAGAGATTCTGGCACATTGTGTCTTTGTTCTCATTGGTTTCAAAGAACTTATTTATGTCTGCTTTAATTTCATTATTTATCCTGTAGTCATTCTGGAGGAGGTTGCTCAGTTTCCATGTAGTTGTGCAGTTTTGAGTGAGTTTCTTAATCCTGAGTTCTCATTTGATTGCATTGTGGTCTGAGAGACTGTTATGATTTCCTTTCTTTTGCATTTGCTGAGGAGTGTTTTACTTCCAATTATGTGGTCAATTTTAGAATAAGTGCGATGTGTTTCTGAGAAGAATGTATATTCTGTTGGTTTGGGACGGAGAGTTCTGTAGATGTTTATTAGGTCCATTTGGTCCAGAGCTGAGTTCAAGTCCTGAATATCCTTGTTAATTTTCTGTCTCATTGATCTGTCTAATATTGACAGTGGGGTGTTAAAGTCTCCCACTATTATTGTGTCAGAGTCTAAGTCTCTTTGTAGGTCTCTAAGAACTTGCTTTATGAATCTGGGTGCTCCTTTATTGGGTTTATATATATTTAGGATAGTTAGCTCTTCTTGTTGCATTGATCCCTTTACCAGTATGTAATGCCCTTCTTTGTCTCTTTTGATCTTTGTTGGTTTAAAATCTGTTTTATCAGAGACTAGGATTGCAACCCCTGCTTTTTTTTTTTTTTTTTTTTTTTGCTTTCCATTTGCTTGGTAAATATTCCTCCATTCCTTTATTTTGATCCTATGTGTGTCTCTGCACATGAGATGGGTCTCCTGAATACAGCACACTGATGGGTCCTGACTCTTTATCCAATTTGCCAGTCTGTGTCTTTTGTTTAGGGCATTTAGCCCATTTACATTTAAGGTTAATATTGTTATGTATGAATTTTATACTATCATTATGATGCTAGCTGGTTATTTTGCCCGTTAGTTGATGTAGTTTCTTCATAGTGTCGATGGTCTTTACAATTTGGTATGTTGTTGCAGTGGCTGGTACCGGTTTTTCCTTTCCATATTTTAGTGCTTCCTTCAGGAGCTCTTGTAAGGGAGGCCAGGTGGTGACAAAATCTCTCAGCATTTGCTTGTCTGTAAAGGATTTTATTTCTCCTTCATTTATGAAGCTTAGTTTGGCTGGATATGAAATTCTTGGTTGTAAATTATTTTCTTTAAGAATGCTGAATATTGCCCCCCCCCCCCCCCCGCCACTTCTGGCTTGTAGGGTTTCTGCAGAGAGATCTGCTGTTAGTCTGATGGGCTTCCCTTTGCGGGTAACCCGACCTTTCTCTTTGGCTGCCCTTAACATTTTTTCCTTCATTTCAACCTTGGAGAATCTGACGGTTATTTGTGTTGGGGTTAGTCTTCTCAAGGAGTATCTTTGTGGTGTTCTCTGTATTTCCTGAATTTGAATGTTGGCCTGTCTTGCTAGGTTGAGGAAGTTCTCCTGGATAATATCCTGAACAGTGTTTTCCAGCTTGGTTCCATTCTCCCCATCACTTTCAGTTACACAAATCAAACTTAGGTTTGGTCTTTTCACATAGTCCCATATTTCTTTGGGGGCTTTGTTCGTTCCTTTTTATTCTTTTTTCTCTAATCTTGTCTTCACGCTTTATTTCATTAAGTTGATCTTCAATCTCTGATATCCTTTCTTCTGCCTGATCAATTCAGCTATTGATACTTTTGTATGCTTCACAAAGTTCTCGTGCTGTGTTTTTCAGCTCCATCAGATCATTTATGTTCTTCTCTAAACTGGTTATTCTAGTTAGCAATACCTCTAACCTTTTTTCAAGGTTCTTAGCTTCCTTGCATTGGGTTAGAACATGCTCCGTTAGCTTGGAGGAGTTTGTTATTACCCACCTTCTGAAGCCTACTTCTGTCAATTCATCAAACTCATTCTTCGTCCAGTTTTGTTTCCTTGCTGGCGAGGAGTTGTGATCCTTTGGAGGAGAAGAGGCATTCTAGTTTTTGGAATTTTCAGCCTTTGTGTGCTGGTTTTTCTTCATCTTCATGGATTTATCTACCTTTGGTGTTTGATGCTGGTGACCTTTGGATGGAGTTTTTGTGTGGATGTCCTTTTTGTTGATGTTGATGCTATTTTTTTCTGTTTGTTAGTTTTCCTTCTAACAGTCAGGCCTCTCTGCTGCATGTCTGTTGGAGTTTACTGGAGGTCCAGTTCAGTCCCTGTTTGCCTGGGTATCACCAGCAGAGACTGCAGAACACCAAAGATTGCTGCCTACTCCTTCCTCTGGAAGCTTTGTCCCGGAGTGACACCCACCAGATGCCAGCCAGAGCTCTCTTGTATGAGGTGTCTGTCAACCCCTGCTGGGAGGTTTCTCCCAGTCAGGAGGCATGGGGGTCAGGGCCCCACTTGAGGAGGCAGTCTGTCCCTTAGCAGAGCTCAAGCACTGTGCTGGGAGATCTGCCGCTCTCTTCAGAGCCAGCAGGCAGGAACGTTTAAGTCTGTTGAAGCTGTGCCTATAGCCTCCCCTTCTGCCAGGTGCTCTGTCCCAGGGAGATGGGAGTTTCATCTATAAGCCCCTGACTGGGGCTGCTGCCTTTCTTTCAGAGATGCCCTGCCCAGAGAGGAGGAATCTAGAGAGGCAGCCTGGGTACAGTGGCTTTGCTAAGCCATGGTGGGCTCCACACAGTTCGAACTTTGAGGTGGCTTTGTTTACGCTGTGGGGAAAAACTGCCTACTCAAGCCTCAGTAATGGTGGACACCCCTCCCCTCACAAAGCTGGAGCATCCCAGGTCGACTTCAGACTGCTGTGCCTGCAGCGAGAATTTCAGGCCAGTGTATATTACCTTGCTGGGCTCTGTGGGGGTGGGGGTCCGCTGAGCTAGACCACTTGGCTCCCTGGCTTCAGCCCCCTTTCCAGAGAAGTGAACAGTTCTGTCTCACTGGTATTCCAGGTGCCACTGGGGTATGAAAAAAACTCCTGCAGCTAGCTCAGTGTCTCCCCAAACGGCTGCCCAGTTTTGTGCTTGAAACCCAGGGCCCTGGTGGGGTAGGCACCCAGGGGAATCTCCTGGTCTGTGGGTTGCAAAGACCGTGGAAAAAGCATAGTATCTGGGCCTGAATGCACTGTGCCTCACAGCACAGTCCCTCACAGCTTCCCTTGGCTAGGGGAGGGAGTTCCCTGACCCTTTGTGCTTCCCGAGTGAGACAACGCCCCACCCTGCTTCAGCTTGCCCTCCATGGGCTGCACGCACTGTCTAACCAGTCCCAGTGAGATGAGCTGGGTACCTCAGTTGGAAATGCAGAAATCACCTGTCTTCTAAGTTGATCTCGCTGGGAGCTGCAGTCCAAAGCTGTTCCTATTCTACCATCTTGCTCTACACCCAGAATCCACCACTTAAATATGTTAAACTAGCCCAATTTAATATAAAACAGCTGAAAACCTGGATCCTAAACATAGTTGTTATTAAATCACACTCATTAAGTGCTTGCGTATGTGCATGTGACAGAAATCCCAGTGCCATTAAAAGGTCTTCTTTCACCAAAAACTGGATTTCAACTTGAAGACAACAGGAAGCTTGACACATTTGGCACTTCCAATCCTATAATACTCAAGCATTTGAGATGAATGAAATACTAAATGGGTTCCAAGACTGATTCCATTTAATATACGTGGGGTGATTTTGCTGACAATTCACTCAGCAGACATTTATCAGGCATCCACTATGGCCCAGGCCCTTATCTAGGTCCTGGGGAAACAAAGGTGAACAACACAAAAGCCCTGTCCTTTGACTTGTACATTCAAGTGAGTGGTAGCAGGTGAGGACTGGCCAGAGGGGCAGAAAATAAACAAAGAAATATATTCCATCATTCATTTTATCCAATCAACAAATATTTAATATCAATGCAAGTAAAACCTTTAAAAATATTAATATAGGAAAATACCAATCAATCAACAAACATGTTTTGTATACCAACTACCTGCACAGATCTGTATCACGTGCTTCTTGGGAATTAGTATAACCTTAAGGAACTGCCTCTGCACTCAAGAAGCCCCTAATTTAGTTGGGGAGGTAAGAACAACATATATGATATGTCTGCAAACAATGCAGACAATTAAGAACAAAATTTGGTAACATTAACAACAAATCTGATGACAGTTCAGAGAACAGAACATCACTAAAGTCTGGAGTAGTTAAAGGAGTTTTCAAGAAGAAAGGGGAGCTGGGCCTTAAAGAATGAGAAGGATCTAGATGAAGGCAAGAGAGGCAGATAGTATTTCTGAAAAGGGAAGCAGCATGAATAAGGGCTGGAAGATCAGACTGGGCACCTGGCGTGTGTAGGATGGTGAGCATACATGGGCTGGTTAGGATGGTAGGTTTATACTGGGGAAGAGAAATAATGTGTGGGTGGTTTCTGAAGAACCTGGAAAGTGACCTAAGGAGTATATATTTGTTATAGAAGAAGGAGCCTCTCTCATAGACTTGAAGCAGAGCAGAATCTTACAGGCCATAAATGTAGAATGTTAACAATGATCTGCTCCTGGAAAATTGGTTTACTTAAGGAGCCCACAGCACAGAGTCAGAGTAAAGTTCATGCACTCAACGTACTGTGGAAGAACAAAAGGTGAAGCGAAAGTAGATAAAGGTCAGAGTGTTTTTCTCTACTTCACAGGCTCCGTGAGGACAAGATAGAGAGTATTTCAAGACCGGCCAACATAAAAAGGTTGGGAAACAGAAAATTATAGCTTCTTCTTTGCATTTTGCTACCTACCCATCATTTATCAATGACCCCAGTCATTAAGGACACATAGCAGCATTCCTATTTTCTGAACTGACTCAAATACTTTTCAATCTTTATCTCTATAATAGAAATTCCTTTAAAAATGTAGTTGAACTTTCAACTAGGATGGTTTTTTTGTTACATTTTGCTAAATAATAAGCTCATACCAGGAACTAAATTTGAACAATAAATTTTTGGGTATAATGGCATCCTGTAAATTCCTGCTATAGGGCTTTAAGCAGCACCCCTTTCAAACCAGTGGTCTGAAAGTGTTCATGTGGACGGGCATGGTGGCTCACACCTGTCATCCTAGCACTTTGGGAGACTGAGGCGGGCGGATCACTTGAGGCCAGGAGTTCGAGACCAGCCTGGCCAACATGATGAAACCCCGTCTTCACTAAAAATATAAAAATTATCTGGGCATGATGGCACATGCCTGTAATCCCAGCTACTCAGGAGGCTGAAGCACGAGAATCGCTTGAGCCTGGGAGGCAGAGGTTGCAGTGAATGGAGATCATGCCATTACACTCTAGCCTGGGCAACAGAGGGAAATTCTGTCTCAAAAAGAAAAAGAAAAAAGAAAGTGTTCATGGTTCTCCCAAAGTACATATTGAATTGAATCAAATTAAATTTTGGTGGCCAAGATATTCATTGATAAGATTTGGTTGAACATTCACTGTTCACCTCCCCATACCAACACACACACACACACACACATACACACACACACACATATCAAAAGCTATCACTAAATGTTTATTCATCCTTTAATTATAAACAGCTCAAGTAATTCTCTAGTCAAACATGAGGGTCACGTAAGGATAATTATTTGGCAGAGAGGTAAACTAAGGTAGCATCCATGTGATATAATGTCGTAAAGGGATTCACTACTATACCTAATAGGCATCCTGTGAGGGCTTCCTTACCTGAGTTCATCACTGGCATTATAGCCAATAAATTCAGATTCTCAATCTCCATACTAAGTACCTTCTCCTTATCAGGAGCACTTATAAGAGAAAAAATCTCTGTGGCTGAAAATGTTGGGAGAGTCCCAAATGTACCCTGATTTCAAAGACCAATGCCAAACCCTCCAGTAGCCTTGAAGGGAGTTTTCTGGGAAAGTGAATTTTCTAGGAAAGTATACACAAGAGCTCTAACCCTTTGTGTCTCAACTTACTGTTTCTAGAAGCATTATTTCACATTCATATCACACACGACTGAAATACATATCTACAAACCAACTGCCTAGAGTTCATTGGAAAGTTGGCTGCTTTAGTAAAAAGTTATGAGTGAAATGCTGGGAGCACAGACAGGATACAGTCTTAAGCTCTACATTTCCCAATCTTTACACAGGCCTGAGGGTATCCTTCTTTAAAAGTTTCTAAAATAAAAATTTTCATTTTTCTCTTGATATTCCAAAGTGATTTATGCTTCACTGGAAATTGTGGGCCTTTCTTTATGGAAAAATTTAGAGGAACTGCAACATAGGCTTGCTTTTAAACATCTTTTAATTGAATGTTGGCCAAGTAGTCAATGTCCTTGTTAACACTAAAGAAAGTTGTGTAAATATAATACAGTCATTATAAAGTCATCTTCTTGGCCCAGATAGAATAGTTCTCTTCCATCTTCCAAGATCAATCTCAACAAATCTCAAAAGAAAGATTATAGAACCCCCAAAGTAGAGGGGAGCTGGAAAGGAGATTGGTTTAATTATACCATGAGGTTGGAAAGCAACACCTTACCCACATAATCTAATACTCATCTTCAATAAAAACAATGCTATGAAATCTATCATTTTCAACTCTGATTTGCGTCAATAAATGGGGAAGCAACTTCTGTGTCGACTTTTGCAAGGCATGCGATTTAAATCCACGTTTTGGATATCAAAAAGCGATACGGACAATCAAGTATACATCAAATATGAAAATATTCCAAATAAAATGGGCTCATAATAGAGTTATCAAAGCCAGTGAGGGACAAAGTAACCTACTGATTACTTCAACCTTGAACAGAGGCCCAGAAGGATTCATTTACTTGGACAAAATACCTAAAATTTTTAGTGTACACATGAAGAGCTCACGCTGTAATTTCATCTTATCTGATATCTTGGCAATCTGTGATCAGAATGGGTAGGCAGAGTCCCAAAAGTTTAACCCAATTGTCCCGGTTCATTTAGTTTGTTTTATTGACAGCTCATATTCATGTTGGAACTTAATTCCTGGCTATGGAGGCATTTTCACACTACTGAAAACCAGAAGGACATCTTCTGTAGCTTTAAATCCCTGGAGAAAGGCAATCGCTTGCTTCTGAGTTATAAAGATTCATTGACCTCTGTGGGCCTGTGTCTTCCATTAATTTCAACACAACTGCCGTGACACCCTTGTTCAGTTTCAGAGAACAACATCTTCTTTGCACACATGGTTTTGTTTCAATTGCCTCTCTACTACAAGTTGTCCAAACTTTGGATTCAGCTTTTCTATCATACTCTACCTGATCCTCTCTACTTTCTAAAACCTGTTAGAATCAGATTTAGTTTACCTGTTTGTAACCATCTGACCCTCCTGGCCACAGTCTGTTGCAAGCCAAAACTCGTGAGATCTGGCACATTTCTTCTGTTAAACAAATAATTTGGTTTGTCCTCTCTTTTTCCTGTGTTTACCTCTGTGAGCCCATTTCTCCTGTTATCCTCTGGTCTGGATAAACTGTGTCTACACAAAATATTTTCTATATTAATTTCTAATCAACTGGGATACTGGGAATTGTATTAAGTAAGAATTCTAAGAGTGAGTTTAGGATTCACAAATAACCACTAGAACACAATGAGGAAGATAAATTTGCCTTGCTGAGCATATCATATGACGCATTCTAAAGCCAATCTTTGTTATTAACTAATAGGTATTTGTATCTTCCAAGGTCAATCTATTGATTATTAAGTAATAGATATTAATAATAGTTAACATGTATGGAGCTCTTATTCTGTGCCAGACACTGTGCTAGGCATTTTATATTCATTTTCTCATTTAATCATCCCCAATATCCTATGAGGTACATACTTTTAAAGGGCAACATTAAAATTTCATTTAAAAACCAAATCAGTCTTTCACAAATTTTAATTCTAGACTTGTTACCAAATCATTGTATTGAGTTTTTCAATATTTAAATTTCTCAGAAATCATAAGAGTCATAAACACCAATAAAAAATCTCCAAGTTCTCATTTCCCCCACCCCAGATTCCTGAAATGACAATAAGAAAGCTTACTACTCCCTACCCATGGAAGCCAGAGCATCCTGAATTGCTTATAATTTGGAAGGTATATGTTTTCATACATATCTGGCAAATAAGTTAGAAACTGCTTGACATAGTGGGTTTAAAATCATCATTCAAAAGAACATGTGGTCCAGAAATCTGGCAACCAGCTGGCAGAAGGGAAGCATAAAAGCCCTTGGGCACGGTAGGTCCTTGCTCTAAAAATAAAATTTTTCTACCAAAAAAATGGCTATCCAAATCAAAGTGAAATCTCTGAACCAAGATTTGGAAATTATGAAAAAACTAGGAAGCTATAATACTACAACAAGATTGTCAGTACCTTCACAAATTCAACTCTGTTGCTAACTTGTAAATTTACTATATCAAAATCTGGAGTGTGCAAGTCATAAAAAGAAGGCAAAATTTTTTAAAAAAAGATTTCACCACAAGAGGTTTTCAGGACAAGATCTGAGTAAGAGCCTACAAATAAAACAGGGATTTGAAAATAAAACTCAAGGGAAATACTGAAGTCAAACAAGCAAGCAAGTCTGTACATATATGTTGTTAAGTACCAACATATATGGAAAGTAAGAAGATATCTATAGATTAAGAATCATCTCAAAAATCAACTCAGCTTAAATGGCTAGGCAAAAAAGAAGGAGGTGAAAAAGGAGGAGATGGAGGAGGAGGAGTCATGGCTTAAATAGTAATTTAAAGAGGGCATTTACATTTATACTGAAGTGAAGAGAAAGTCCATCAAAGTTGATGGATTCCTATACTGTAGGTAGGAATCATGTGATGTAGGTATCATCTATGTCACTAGGTACTGAATGGCTTAAACTATTAAATCTGACAGCCATATAATTCCATATACAGAAAGGGAACCAAAATGCCTTCATTCTATTTAAAATAACAGTATAATCCTACAAAAGATCATAAAGGTTCTCAGCAAATACAAACTTCTTCAACTCACACTGACATAAAACTAGGCTGAAATTCCCAGGGTCTAATATGGATGGTATTATCTATTACATGTACTACTAAACAATTGTTCCACTGAAGATACTCAAGCCTCAAACAACAAAGCAGCTTTCATATTAGTAATTACGGAAACAACACAACTCATGTTTTCAGGTTTGTCAAAAGTCAAATAAGATTCATTCAGTAAAGGGTAAGAATTTTGAGAATTCTAGAACTGGAAATAACTCTGAAAGATCAAGTCTAGCTCATTACCTTCAGGCAGGTAAATGTAGGCCTCTAAATCTTTTTTTAGGGTAGATGGCTTATATCCATTTATTCAGTGTATATCAATAGCAGTTATCCATAATTAACCTTCTATAAATTTATTCACTAAACACACAGTAAGAACTAACTCAGGGCCACATAACTAAATGTTGAAGGTACAAACATGGATAAGCCACAGTCCCTCATGTTTACATTTTATTTTCAAAATTTCAAACAAATTTCAAAAAATGTCTTAGTGGATAAGTGATATGATTTTAGGAATCCTGATGTTATATACCCTTCATTAAAAAAAAAAAAAACTTATGTGTAGGCCCACAAGGTTACTGAAGAATAGGCCAAACCATATCATCACTAGGAACTGGTCCATCTTCTGTTGCTATAAAGGAATATCTGAGACTGGGTAATTTATAAAGAAAATAAATTTATTTTGGCTCATGGTTCTGAAGGTAGGAAAGTCCAAGATTAGGCAGTCCTTCTGGCGTGGGCTTTGTGCTGCTTCAACTCATAGTGGGAAGTGGAAGAACAAGTAGACACATGCGAAAGAAAGGGGGACAAAGTGGTTGGCCCACTTTATAACAACACTCTCTCATGAGAACAAACCCAGTCTTACTAGAACTGCATTAATCTATTTGTGAGGGTGGAATTCCCATGACATAAACACTTCTTAAAGGCCCCACTGCCTCTCAATACCATTACATTGGCAATTAAATTTGAAGATGAGTCTTGGCAGGGACAAACCACATCCAAACCACAGCAGAACCCATCTATCCCTTGACCATGTTTCTCAGGCCTCTTCCCACTATCACTTGAGCTGTAATTTTGTCTCCCCAACAAACATCCATGTGACTTTCCTAAACTTCAACTCAGCCTCCCTCTAGAGGAAGGCTTCCAAAGCCTTCATGGTTGAAATATCTTCTTCTACCTGATACCTCCTCTTCTTCACCCTTAATCACTCCAGCATGTACTACAATATGGCTTCTATCAATCATTCTATTAAAACTCCCCTAGAGTCAATGACTGCATTCAAGTAGAACATTAATTTGAATTGAATATTACCTCTCCTAGTACAGTACTTGGCATACTAGATTCTCAATAAATACTAGTTGAGTTGAAATTTGTATAAATAATAAAGGTAGTGTGCACTATATAGTAGTTACTCATTAAAACTTCAAATTGTCAGTTGTGTAAGAGTCTCCATATTTAAAACTATTTTTTCTTTCATTTGTTTTCCAAATATGTATTAAGTATTAGTACAAGGCAGTGGACATGGTTCCTGTTCTCATGAACTTTAATAGTCTAACAAACTATAATTTCCATGCCACATACTTAATAAACCTGTGTATAGAAAGAAGAGTACAACATAAATTTGATTTTTAAAAATATATTTAAAGGTCTTATAGGATTATGGAATGTGCTTCCTTAGAATGGGAGAAATCCTACTTATTCTGCGAGAGCCAGCTTTTGATTTACACCAAGTAAAAGGGATCAATGGGTACTCAAAACACTGTTCAAACAGACATCACCACCATGAACCCATTAAATTAAAGTTGTCTATTTCTGTGAACCCCTTCAGAGCAGAACCTAGCCTGGTGCCTAACACTTAATAGGCTCTCAGTCTACTTTTTATATATTTTTTTCCCTTTTGCAGGTGAGGAAACTAAGACCAGACCCAGAGAAGTGAAGAAAGTGTGTTGTTGTATACACTACAGAATAAGGTTTAGAATCACAAAGACCTGAATTTGAACCTCTGTCCAGATATTTAAACTCAGTATCTCAGTTTCCTAGCAGGAATAAGTCATATGACAGATGTGCAAATGCTTGGTGTGAGGTAGGCACTCAATAAAGCCAAGATCCCAGTTAATGACAGATATGGTAAATGGGCTGTTAGGAATTCAAAGAAAATGTTAAAAATGAGCCAATTATAGTATTTATTTGGTGTTTTAGGTTTGACTTCAGCCAAGGTGAAGCTTTAAATAAAGTGTGGGAGAGTGCAAGGGACCTAGACGGAAAAAAGTTAACAGTTGCCCAAGGGATAGAAAACAGAGCTGATGTAACAGCATCCTTAGAGACTATAGTAAAACTTACCCAGACAGTAGCAATGTCAATTAATTAAACAGGCAAAAGTTTTATATAATCAAAATAAATAAAGGTAGAGTGCTTCAAGATGGCACAAACAGAACAAATGAAAGCAATATCTTTTCCAGATCTTTTAAGATTAATTTTTAAATAAGTTCTCATGAAAAATTGGAAACTTTAAACAACTAGGTTCTTACTTAAGAGAACAAGAGAAACAAAATTAAATGTCCTAGAATTTTTTGAAACGTGTAACAGTTATCCCAGCATAGCAGAGTGGTTAAGAATAGGATTCTGGAGCCAGAAGGCCTTGATCATCATTCTACTTCTTACTGACTAATTGAAAACCCTGGGCAAGTTACCTAAATAATCTGTACTTCAGTTTCCTCATCTATAAAATGGTGGCAGTAATAGTATCTATCTCCTAGGGTTGTTTTGTAGATTGAAATTAGTTAATATTTGTAAAGGACTTAGAATACTGTCTGGCACAGAGTAAATACTAATTAAGTGCTTCTGAAATAAATCACCTGAACTTATCTCATTCAGTGTAGAAATAGAAATCTGACAAACCTTATTCCATTACTTTATAGTGGCTCAATTTTTTAAATTATTATTACTTTTTATTTCAACAACCTTTGAGGTACAAGTGGTTTTTGGTTACATGGATGAATTCTATAGTGGTGAATTCTGAGATTTTGGTGCACCCATTACCCGAGAAGTGTACCATGTGCCCAATATGTAGTCTTTTATCCCTCACTCTCGCCTCTCAATCTCCCACCATGAGTCCCCAAAATCCATTATATCACTCTGTATGTCTTTGCGTCCTCATAGCTTAGCTCCCACTTACAAGTAAGAACATACGGTATTTGGTTTTGCATTCTTGAGTTACTTCACTTAGAATCATGGCCTCCAGCTCCATCCAAGTTGCTTCAAAAGACATTATTTTGTTCCTTTTTATGGCTGCAATGACTCAATTTTTAAAAAATGATTTGTTATGTATTTGCTCTGAAGCCATCAAGGTCCTTATATAAATACTTACAAAATGATAAATTCTGGAGATGAACACGGATGAACAAGAAAAAAATAAAGACAAGTGGTTCATTTGCTTTCTGTTTTTCCAGAAAGATCTACAGGTAAAAGGTACAGAGAGATACACTTTAGCTCAACACAGTGAAGAGCCTTCTCACAGCTTGAGCTTTCCGAAAGTGTTTTGAAATGCTTTTCTGGGTGGTACACTCCTCTTCACTGGATTTCTGTCACACTGGCTGGGAAGTTGGGCTAGAAACCCCCAAACGACCACACAAGGCTAAGATACCATGAGTCAATAACTTATTATTATAGTATCAGAGAGGAAGTGCATTTCTAACCTGTATTCTAGGTACATAGCACTGCATTTGGCTTTTGGGTGACACAAAATGCATACAAGATAGTTTCTTCTCTCAATGAGCTTATAATCTAGTTGGGGAGATAATCTCACACCCCAAAAGTATCAGAGGCAGCATATGATTAAGTTCTGAATTTCACTTGCTTTTTTATTTAAAAAGAATATAAAATGACAAGCTTTGCCCTCTTAGAATGCACTCTCTTATCCAATGGCAGTATTTCTTGTAGATCACAATGACTGTATCTATGTAAACAAAAAAATAATCATTGCAAGGTTCCTATTTTCCTTTAGCATGAATGGGAATATGGTATATCTAACAAGATATCCCAAGTGCAAAGCACTACATTGATAGCAGATGATTCAGAAAATGCAAGAAATAAAAATAAAAATAATGAACCTACATATTTCTATTATACATAAGAATCTGTGCTTTTTATAGGAAGTTGAGTAGTTCAATCATGAATGCAAGCAGACCTGAAACTATGCATTCCCCCACATTTTTGCTTTAATATGAAAGCCTGAGTTACAGACTCACAATGTGGGCAGTGATGATCTACAGGCCAACTCCCTCATTTTTCAGAGAAGACAATAGGACTATAGAGGATAAATGACACAGTCACAAAGGGTGACAGAGCCAACACAAGAGCTCAGTTCTGATAACTGGAGTTGAATATTTTGTTCTACATTTTGGAGAAAGTTTAAATCTCAATCTCTTTCCCAATCTCAATCTCTCTCTCCCTCTACCTCCCTCTCTCTCCTGTTTCTCTTTACAGTTAAACTCCCAATTTTCATGGCATGATAATACATGTGGTCAAAGAACTAAAGCAACTATGTCTCTACTTAAAAACCATTCTATTTTTTTGAATGGGAAGTTGAAATAAATGTTTTCAAAAATTCAGTAGAAATAGACTATTGGCCTCCTTTTGCAAAGCAGACTGTAAAACTGCTGGGAATCTGCTAGAGAAGTTCACAGGTAATTTCACTATTTGATGCAAATTAGTTTTTATACCAATCCAAGCATCAAAGTCCACAAGAAAGCATAAGTTAGAATGAGTGACAAGCTGGAAGCTAGTTGGTGGAAGAGAGACCACTGCAGGACATTTTCAGAGACCAAAGAAAGACACAGCCACATGTCCACATATGTATACTATACTGTTAGAAACCAGTGTGTGTGGAGGGGTGAGTACACCTGCACTATGTGTGTGTGTGTGCATGCATGTGTGTGTGTGTGTGTGTTGTTATTTTTGGACATAGGTGTGGAATCTTATGTCTAATGGTCAAAAAGGAGCTAAAACTACTCACACACTGTATTCAATACGTGACACAGTTCTTTCCTATATAAAATTGCTAGAGCTTAACACTTCACCTGAAACCCAACTAAACCAGACTTTAGTTATTTAGGGCACTTAGAACTAGTAGCAAAACAATTAACTAGGGCAATAGAAGAGAAAGCTATAAGCAAAGAGCCACGGGAAGTTGTCCATAAGCATAGGGCCCAGAGCTTTTTAATAAACAAAAAAATTTTGAATAACGTAAAGAATCAAGTTCTCCTTTAAAGAAAAACTAAAGAAAGCACATGAGGTGATTTAAAACATTTAAAGTTTGGTGAAAGAAAAGTACTCATAATTACGCACTCTCATTTATTTAAAAATGCATACCAATCTGACTATACTTGGAAGCTGATTGAATATTTATATTGAGGCGGGGCGCCGTGGCTCATGCCTGTAATCTCAGCACTTTGGGAGGCTGAGGTGGGTGGATCACCTGAGGTCAGGAGTTCAAGACCAGCCTGACCAACATGGTGAAACCCCGTCTCTACTAAAAATACAAAAATTAGTTGGGCATGGTGGCTCACGCCTGTAGTCCCAGCTACTCCGGAGGCTGAGGCAGGAGAATCGCTTGAACCCGGGCGGGGCAGAGCTTGCAGTGAGCCGAGATCACACCACTGCACTCCAGCCTGGGTGACAGAGCGAAACTCCGTCTCAAAAAACAAACAAACAAAAGGAATATTTACATTGACCATTTTAATCATTAATTTTCATTAAAAAATCGAATTCAGTTGTGTACTATAAACCTATTCTCATTGTTATCCACACACGGCAAGCCCAGATGGTTACAACTTATAACCACGCACCACCTAGTGGCAGATAACAGAATTGCAAGCATAGTGGCTAGTTAAAAATAAGGAGTTTCGCACACAATTTTAAAAAAAAGTATCCCATAAAATGTTAAGAAATTACTAAAACCACGCCTTTTCAATGACTGCTTTTTCTCATTCTGTGGTATTTAAGATATACAGATTATTAGAACTCAATCAATTGCATAGCAATTCCTATCACTGTGTAAGATTTAGAAATAAATAAATTTCTCATTTATAATCTATCAAACAAACATGATCTGTATATGTGCCAAAGTTAAAAAAGGTTAAGCCATCACTGTCCCTAAAAAATTTGTCTGCAATTTTTAAGGGGTTAGGGGAGAATAATGTGGCATGAGATTATGAACATAAAAAATGGATGTATGAGAAAAATAGATTTTCTTCCTCTGTTTTATGAAAAGATAAAGCACAATATTGTTGGAAATCAGTAGAAATGTGAAATAGATTCATTTAATGAAAATACGGAATTAATTTTTTAATCATGGTTACTAAAAACCACTTTTGATAGAAACCATTTCAAAATACAAGTCCTTGTTTTTGTCTTGGTAAACAGCATATCGTAAACGGAATTAAAACTTTCTCTCATTACTAAAGAACGTGGTTATACTTTTCTTAACACTGAATCCTTGGTAAATTCAAATTTTTCCTAATAATCAAATACAAATAAAACTTCTGTCGACTGTGGGTTTCAGACAGTTGGGTTCTACTTAATTAATATTTCAATGCACCTGAGAAAATGTATCAGTAGCCCTCAGTGAAAAGAAATAATATGATCATACAATGTAAATAAATATGATGCTAAGTTAAAATCAAGAATATCTTCTCCTCACAATTGCAAAGGTTGATAAAATAACAGTAAAGAATGAAGGGGCTCTTGGTTTTCACATCTAGGTGGGAACTCAGAAGTGAAACTTAAAACACCAAAAAAACATTAATTCCATATGCCATTTCTTTACGAGCTTATTCGGGCCAATAGAAAAATCAGCAAGACCATTAGTGGTAAGTGGAATGGTGCTGTATCAACTAAAGATGTAACCACACAAAAGTCTTATTGTATTGACTATCCAAATACATTTTATATGCTAAGGAGAGGTAAGAAGAGCTTGTTTTAAAAACCATCTGGCCGGTGCGGTGGCTCACACCTGTAATCCTGCACTTTGGGAGGCCAAGGCACACGGATCACTTGAGATCAGGAGTTCGAGACCAGCCTGGCCAACATGGTTAAACCCTCATCTCTACTAAAAATACAAATAAAAAATTAGCTGGGCGTGGTGGCATGCATGTGTTATCCCAGCTACTTGGGAGGCTGAGGCAGGAGAATCGCTTGAACCCGGGAGGCAGAGGTTGCAGTGAGCTGAGATTGCTCCATTGCACTACAGCTTGGGTGACAGAGCAGGACTCCATCTCAAAGTAAATAAATAAATAATAAAAACTTTTTAAAAAGGGAAGTAAAACAGACTTTTTGGTGCTAAGCACATAGTAGGTTTTCAAAAATATATTAGCATATATAGGATTCTAATATACAGGCTATCAAAAAGCTTACCTCTGGTAAATTACTGTGTGTGTGCATATTTGAACATAGAAAACTCTAGGGCACATCTTGTAAGCTGTAAGCTACTATGTATTTATTTTGTTATGGTAGTGGTAATACTTTTAAATAAATTGGAATATTTGTTGCTCATTACACTATGAATGGTACAAAGCTAAACTTAACTTTAAAAGCTATGATTCTGGAAACAATACATGTGGTTGTTGGCACACACAAGTAACATTTATATCTGTATAATATTATCTTCTCTGTATTATAGCACAGGGTATTGTGAGCATTCACATTCACACAGCACTTGAAAATCCTCATATGATAAGCAAAGTATTATTGATATTTTTTAAAAGTTACACTGGTAAATCGAACCTTAAAAAGTTAGTGTTCTTCATCTTCGTTCTTCTTTTAGTCCACATTTCTATTTTTAAATAATGCACAAGTATTTTGAAGCATATATGATATTGATGACAGAAAAATAATTTTCCCTCCAAATACAAATGCATATTTATAAAAAAGTAAAAGGTGTACATGTAAACATTCAATGGTGACACCAGTTCATTTTAGACATTTCCTGAACAGGCTCCCTTAGACTGTTATCAGTGAGATATCTAATAATTCTTCAATCATATTTCTTTGAAAAAAGAGACTAAGAAGATTAATATTATGTGTTCTTTTACCTCACAAACAAACTCTATGAGTTTGGAAGTATTTTCACTGAGAGCAGATACTTATTTATGATGCTGACTCTGGTCCCAAAATAATTTTCTCACTGTGATAATTTCTATGACAAATAATTTTGATTAATATTGCAAGCCCATCATATACTACAAAAGTCCCTAAGTTCACATACAGTTCTTATTACAGCATTTCATTTATTGGAAAAATGTCAGGCAAGGAGATCCATAAGAATAAAATTTCAAAAAACAAAACCCTTATAAATTGATATTTGTCTCTTTTAATCAATCTTTGGAAATATTTCTGAAGTGATTTGTAAAACGTTGTTCCCCCTTAGACATAAGACAGTGAAAAAAGTAATGCTTTTTCTGATAATTCTAGGTTATCATTAGAAAGAAACTTCAGTAATGCCTTGAAGGATATATTGGGCACTTTGTTAAACGGCCCCAAATGCCTGTGTTTTTGGTGTCTTCATTTCCACTTTTTACAGTTTGTCTATCTTCTTCCTCACTGGCAGCTATTTATTGGCCATGACTTCACTATGCCTCTGCCTCTATTAATTCCCCCACAAACACACTGATTAAATTTCTGTGGTTTGCAAAGTCACATTCAATCAAATAAAGTGTAGCAAACAATTGCTTTGTGTAAGGTATTGAATCAAGAGTCTTTAAGATTTGGGTCTTAAAATATAAATGACATGGGCTCTTGAGTGATCTTAGAGAGGGCCTTGGGAGGTTCCCTATGAGTATGTTTTAAATGCTTAAGGGCCTGGCCTTCATGAGATCTACAGTGTCTGTTAGAAGCTGAGGTCTGGAAGTAGTATGCCATTTCTTTATGGGATACAGCTCTTCTCTCAGAAGTCTAGCTGATGTTTAGGAAGCAATCTGGGAAAAACTGTTCAGCAAAAGGCTGTGAATGTCACAGAGCACCAATGGCCTGGTCGGTGAGGCAGGGGGCTGACCTCATAGTAAACCATGAGCCAGGAATGACACTCAAAATGTTAAACAATTCTTATAGCATGGTCACAGGCAAATCAATACTGATGGTGTTCTGCCAAGTGTTGCCATATTTGTTGCTGAATCATGGGGGGTTGTCAGGGAGTGAGCATTGGAAAGGGTACTATAGGCAGTATCTATTTACTAACCAGTAAGGAAGTATTTCAATAAATATTCAATACTATTCAATACTATATGGCCATACACATGCATACTATCAGACTACTACCACACATTCAAATCCCTTGACATTATATGCACAAAATGAAGCGATATACAAGAGCTTAGTTGGACTTGAGTCAATGAGCAAGAGGGAGGATTAGATTTTCCAGGAAGCCAACTAGGAGAAAGCATAGTTTGCATGCCTAGAGAGAGACACAGCCCTCCTTAAGTCTAAAACACGACTAAAAGGCACGCCAATAATTAAGAAATACAAGGAAACTGGTTATTGCTGTTTCTGTTTATTTATCTTAGTAAAAGCTCTGGAGAATTAGTCACTGAACACATTAAAATTTCTAGAGATAATTACAGCAGGTTATAAAGACTATTTGTTGGTAAGTTTGTAAACCCAACTTAACTGCTTGTGCATTTTATTTAAGGGAAGTTCTGATTAAAAATTAATAATGATAATACACATAAGAACTATCATTAACTCATTTTCTTATTGGTGCTGAGGAAACTTTCTTGTGGATACAACAGTCATATGTTTACATTTAACAGCAATATATTTACATTTAATGGCAAAGATAAAATTGTGATCTAAGTACAATGAGACATTGTTAACAACTTGGTCCCAAAAGGTTAAAAGTGAAAAGTGAATCTCCTGTAAACCCCAGACTAAGTCGCACATAGTATAGCATCTTGTCCCAACAGGCTTCTGTTTTTCTGTGCCAAACTAGCTCCATCGCTCTTTTAGGCCATTTTCAATGTTTATACTTCTGCTTAATCTTGAAAATGACTATATATCATCACTGTACTGGAAATAATAAATATGAAGCAATATTGAAAGATGAAAGGTTATTAGTAACCTGCATCTGCACTAAGGCAAAAGCAATAATCTCAATGTTAATTTGTTATTATTCTAAATTACTTTGTATGTGTCAATTTTTGACCAAGCAGAACTCCCAAACACTGCCAAAAACATTTATCAGCAAGACAGACTGCAAGTCACCACTGAATTGTGGTCCCTAGACAGCATACTGGCCAATGATGCTACTGGCTGACTAAAATAAAATGCCCTTGTAAATCACAAGACTCGCAAACAGAATGGCATCAATGCAGTCAAAAAGTGTAAATCCAACACTGTTTATGCTTTATTTCCTGTGGATTTGTAACTATGCATCAAACATTTTAAAAGCACTGATCCTTTGGCATGAAATCATGTGTGAGCTATAGAGATTTTATCAAGCTAACTGATAGGAGATAGGCATGTGACATTATAAAACTCTGTGACCACGCAAAAGGAGCAGAAAGGAATGTCAACCGTGACCTCTTATTTTCAAGTACAGATACCAGAAAATCTAGCTGGCTTTTGGTGTGAGAACACTCAAAAACTATAGGTCCCTGTAAAAGGAACATTCAATTTCCAATGACTTGAATGTCATTTAACGGTGAGTGTGTATGATTTATGAAGAACAGACTAATAAAACATGGCATTTCAGTTGAATTGAAAATATAACAACAGAAAATATGCATGTGTTTTCCATGTGCAAGGCACTGTTTTTAGCACACTCGTATATATTAATTCATTTACTGCTCATAACTACCCTGTAAGGCAGGTTCCATTACTGTACCCATTTCACAGATGAGGAAACTGAGACACAGAGAGGCTAAGTAACTTGGTTCGAGATTATGCAGCAGATGAGTGGAAGAGCTAGGATCAAATTCAGGCATGTTCCAAAATGCTTACTGTCAATCACCACTCTGTACTGCCTCTAATGGGCACAAAAGTATACAAACATAATCTAAAATTTATACATGTTTGTTACCAGAGATTTTGGCACATTAAAAATCCAAGTACTTTCTATAAAATAATAAAGATTACTCAAAGTTCTATTACAATATAGTATCATTTCTGGAGGTGCCAAGGAATGTTAACAGCTCTATTTAAGTTTTATTTACAAACTATGTAATTGTACTATATGGATTTGATGTCAAAATACATGGGCATTTGGTAGATTAGAAAAATGCAGTTTAATTTCACTGTGTTAGTAAAAAGTGAGCATCTTGTTACTGGATGTGTTCAAATATAGAGAAGAATACCGTGGATGGGGTATCCATATCAGATAAGTGAATGAACTAGATCCAGACACAGAACTATACGCAGGGTTTCAGCATCCCCATCAAACATGTCTGCCCATCTCCACCTCAACATTTGTCACAGTGTAGTGTAACTCCTGCTTAGCTGTCTGGCTGACTGTGAGCTCCTTGAGGACACATCTTCATCTCTAGTGTCTGGCTCAATACTACATACAAATAAGTTGTCAACAAGTACATGCTAAACCAATGGAAGTTGTGCACATCTGTCATATGGAAGACATTGTGCTAGATGTTGGGAAGGCAATGATTTGGTCCACATGTAAGGCAGCACGGCCAAGTGCCCAGTAAATAGTGGGACCAAAAAGGAAGGCATCTGTAAGAACAGAGATAGTTGATGTGGGTCTTCAGGTAAGAAATCAACTGTTCCCATAAAGAACAAAGAATAAGTGGAATCCAAAGTTATTCCAATCCATTGCCTCTGTTTAAAAATAGATCAACAATCCCCTCAATTTAGCTATTGATTAAGTTTGTAATTCTAAAATGGGAATAATATAACATATATCATATCTAAGTCAGTACAATTCTTAATAACAGCTTTATTGCAATATAATTCACATACCATAAAATTCACCCTTTGAAAAAGTATTAATTCAGTGATTTTTAGTATTATTTAATAATATCTGCAACCATCACTACAGTCAATTTTATAACACTTTTACTCCCCCACCAAAGAAACCCCATTCCTCTTAGGCTGTGCTCCCACCCCTTCTTCCCTAAGCAGCCACTAACACTAATCTGCTTTCTTGTCCCTGAATTTGCCTTTTCTGGACATTTCATATAAATTGAATCATATCGTAGGTAGCCTTTTGTGTCTGCCTTTTTTCATTTAATACAATGTTTTTAAGGTTCGTCCATGTTGTAGCATGTATTCCATTCCTTTCTATTCCTGAATATTATTCCATTGTATGGGTATGCCACATTTTGCTTACCTGTTCATTAGTTGACAGACATTTGGGCTATTTCCACTTTTTGGCTATTGTGACTAAATCAGTACAATTTTAAAACAACATGATTAGGCTAAAGAAGGACATCTAAGGCAATAAAGGTAATGGTGTTTTGTGAGGCTCAATTTATAGAAAAATGTCTAATTCACTTACATTAACACTAAAATTAATTACTTACATGATCAGAGTTATATCCTCAGCACCTAGAAACATGGCTGACTCATAGTATGTGCTCAATAAAGTACGTTGAATGAATAACAAATGCAAAAACAAAAAAAAACACAAAACAAAAAAACTGAAAGGGGGATGAAAAGGAGAGTGAAATAGGAAAGTCCTAGGGAGCCAAATATCAGGGAAAAATCAAGCTGTAATTTCAAAAATGCTATAGTTCCTCTAGACATTTAACAGTTTACATTAAAGTCTCCTAAATGAGACATTCCTAGAAAAATATCAGGAACTAGCTCTGCTAAATAATAGTAAATCCCACCATAATACAACTTTTAAAAGTCTGAAACATTTAGGGTTGCTATTACTGACAATATTGTGCCAAACAGTCTTATTCTGTACAAATGTATTATTAATCAAATGATGCTTTCCCCCCTCCACTTCTAACAGTTTATAATTCTATAATTTGGAAGTGAATTGTAATGTCTGTCGCGTCTGGTGGTTCCAGATGTTTACTTCATTCAAGCAGCACTATCTTTATCCAGTGCCCAATCCTAGATGGCTAATACACTGTGGAAGTGACAAGCAGCAAACTCAAGTTCCCAATCAAACCTTTTTTTATATTTCCATAATATAACCATGGGGATTATAGGCATAGACCAATGTTAGAGCATCAAGTTCAAGTTTTGATGCTACTGTTTACTAGCAGAATGTCTTTTGGCATGCTGCTTCCTCTCTCTGAGCCCCATGTTCCCCATCTGTAAAAAGGAGATAAATAAGAACGCTAAATTCACAGGGTTGCTGTGAGGATTAGATGAGATAACATGTGCAAAGTGCTTACCACAGAGACTAGCACAGAGTAAGTAGCTGTTACTATTAGAAAAAAGTACAAAATTACATCACTTCTTCCCGCCACTTCTTAATATGATATCAATTATTTTCCCTTTTTTCTCCCTAGTGGATAGTTCTACAGTTAGACCCGCTCTGAAACTAAAAACTGGCTATCAATTAATATTACATTAAAATAAAAAGATATGATTAAATGATTTATTTTAGGTCAGTTATTACAAGGGAAAACACAAATGAAAAATTTTCACAACTGCTACACATCTATAATATAACTGGGCCAGGTGCAGTGGCTCACGCCTGTAATCCCAACACTTTGGGAGGCTGAGGCAGAAGGATCGCTTGAGCCCAGGAGTTCAAGACCAGCCTGCGCAACATAGCAGACCCTGTCTATAAAAAAAATTCTTTTTAACTAGCCAAGCGTGGTGGCACATGCCTCTGGTGCCAGCTAGCTACTCAGGAGGCTGAGGTGGGAGGATTGCTTCAGCCCAGGAGTTTGAGGCTACAGTGAGCTATGATCGTGCCACTGGCACTGCAGCCTGGGCCACAGAGTGAGACCCCCTTTTCATAAAATAAAAATAAATAAAAATACAATGTAACTGCAAGATACTACATAACTGTGGTTTAAATATAAGTTAAAGATGTTCCGATGTTTATTTGTGTGTGTACATGCTGCAGGGGGGAAGGGAAGATATTTAGCACTTAGGATGCCCTGTTACAAAGTCATAATACATACGTAGTCTGTAAATACACTTTGCAAACAAAAAGAAGACTTGCTATCTAATATATTTTGTTGCTGAAGCAATTTTCCAAGATTATAAGTATAGTGATTTCCTGGGCTAAGATTGCCTTGGGAGGATGCCAGCATTGATATGCTATAGAAGGTTAACTGCAGACATCACACACAACTGGTATACTGAACTTTTCTCCATGTATTTTGTAGATTTGCTTTTTTTCATGTGAAATTGTGTAGGCTTATTGACTAGAGTCAGATAAATTAGCGCCCTTCCCCTTTGTGCCAACTGCTCTACACATGTTAAGGGCACAATTTTCAATTTGAGTATTGGAAGAATCAAATTCCTGCCAAGAAAAGAGGATACAAAAGTTTGGATGTCAACGTGGATATTTAGGAACATTGATGCTGCACCAGGAACTGGGGCTAAAGGGCTAAATGTGAGCTTGCACTTTCAGACAAAAGGGAGGTCTGATGATGTACAGACACAAGAGAAATTGATTGGAATTTGAATTGGAAGAAGTGAATACCTCTCGAAGATCACAAGTCCTTCACACTAGGCTTCTCTATCTTTGAATAAGGCAAGGTACTTAGCATCCTAAAGTAAATGTTTCTCTCTCTCAACTAAAATGCAGCTGGGCAGAGATGGAGGCAAAAGCTTTTTACTGAAAAGCCATCTTAAGACATTTTAAGAGGGATATGTTTGGAAATACTCTCTCATCACTCACTTGTGTCTTCCTTGCTGGAATTTTTCCACTTTAAGCTCAACAAACAACTCGTCATTTCTTTGGTATTTATTGTAATATTAATCATACAGACACATACCCCCCAAAAGATAATGCAGTAAAGACTTTTGGGGAAAATACATCTTTTCTATAGGTTTCCCATTTTAATTCTCTTAATTTCATTGTGTAAAACTTGTTAAAAATACTATTTTACAGAGGAAAAGGATTCTGAGAATGTTGATTATTGATACTATCCAAACCCAAAAAGGATCTGTTTGCAAATTGAATTTCTTAACTGAATCCAGTAAATAATCATCATAATATTAAACCAGAGTGCAGATCCTGAAAGAGGGACTAAGATTCCTATGAGGTGTAGCTAATTGGTAACACAGAACACGGACTTTGAGGGGATATCACACTAAATTAATTAGTTCAGAGATGCACTGAGTTCACAACTTGATTACAGGGCTGGCTGATTCCCTCAAAACAATAGCCTTAATTTAAACCAACCATATAAACTTGCCTTCCTTTGCAATCCTTCCAATTATCAAGCAAACAGTTGCAAATCGTTGATCATGGGCTTAATAAGCTCATTCATGCTATTATTTCAGAATTTAAACCTGCTGAATATTTTTACTTCAACAAAGTAAAACTATATCCTCCATAATCTAAATGTAAAGCCATTTGATTTGCTTCTCTATATAGGATACTATAAAAATCTATTTTCCCCAGTATAAAATGATAAAGAATTTATACTAGAAACCATAAACAAAAAATTAAAAGCAAAATTCCTGTATTCATTTTAGAAATGCATTTAAGAAACATTTTTCTCTAGCATTGGGGAAATATTTTAATCTAAAGTCCTGTTGATTTTGTGCAATCTGTTCTCTTGGCATGAAGATGCCGTTAATCTACTTTGATTCCTATTGATAGAGTATTCTTAAATTCTTATCAACAAGTAATATTTGCACAGTAACTTGAAATGCAGCATAAAAAGCTAAAAGCTGAAATTTAGAAGAATAAACACACGCACACACACACACGCACACAAAAAAAACCCATATGTATACATATGTTTATATATATTTTTAGGAATGTAGCCTTAATGCAATTTAATTCTCAGAATGTGGTATTTGTTTCAACCTCAATTCTCAGGCATTCCACCTAGTATATCTTTTTTATCCTAGACCATGTGGCAAAATAAACACAGTTTTGAAAACGCTGGTTTAGATCATTAGTATCTCTACAATATAACTTCAAAGATTTAAGTTTTTCAATGTATTTGCATTGAAAATTCGCATCGTTTTCCGCTTCAGAGTAAAAAGAAATTTGCAGAACCTCAGAGCAGCATCACCTTTTGTTTGACTAGAATCAACCTAGACATTAAATTCAAAGCTTAAGGTAGAGAAGGTAGAGATATTTTCTATCAATAATCATAAGCTTCTAAGAAAAGAGGAAATATATTCTTCTAGATGGGAGAAAGGGGATGGTGATTAAAATGAGGGGAATTGAACCAGACCTGAGGTTTGTTATTTTTTTTATTTTTACAAGTTGAAATATAAAATCCATGAAAAACTGAAGTTGTCAGACGCAACATAAGGGAAGTAATGTCTATGGTAAATTTCCAAATTTATGAAAGACACTGAATCCTAGTGTAAAGGCAAATCAGAGTAAACCTATATCCTCTATAGTTACATTTGAATTCTCATTTTTATAGCTTTCCCCAACCCTCTCTTTCATTTTCATTGAGTATGTGCTGTAAAAAGATGTCAGTCACATTTTCGCTATTTCAGTAGCACTGTCTTGCCTCTGAAGCCATTTAAAAATAATCCTATCTGTTATTTTAGCTGAATTCCACTGTCTTTCCCCCTCCTCCTTTTTTGTTTTTGGTTGTACCTATCCCAGTTCTTTTATGACAATCCTAATCCTCCACCTTAAAGGCAAAAAGAATAAAGAGGACCCAAAATTCAGGCTCACCAGAGTTCTGTATGAATTACTTGATCAGACTGCACAATTAATACTGTGCATATTAACAGAGATGTTGCGCAAGTAGGGCAGCCACTCAGAACATATTCCATGCTTGACAGACATTTTCAATATTCTCTTCTGCTTCCTTCTCATCAGCCAGTAAGCACATCTAAGTCATCTCTATCCTAATAAGAAAACCCTTCCTTCCCTTGATGCAATTTCCTTTTTAAGTTCCAACATATCTCATCCTTCATCATCATATATCTGAAAAAAAGTCATCATTACCACTTTCACTTTCCAACTTTTCACTTACTCCTCAACCCACTGGAAACCAGCTTCTTGGCTCTCAAAAATCACCAACAACCTTTTCAGTGCCAAAACCAGTGGCCTCAACTTACATAATTCCTGTGGTATTTGTTGATTGCTCCCTCCTTTTAGAGACTTTCTTTGCCCTTTGCTTCTATAACAAAAAAAAATCCTCCTGTGTTGCTCAACTTGGGCTGTCCTGGCCACTCCTAGGGGTGAGGGATTAACTTCCAACATCTTGCCTTGTTATTTTCTCTGCATTCTGGACAAGTTTAATCCAATTTTGTTCTAGATTTTTCTACATGGCTTTCACTAGCACTTAACTCCACATCATTTCACACTCCTGACCCCTCACTCTTCATCCACCTCTCAAGCCTCTTCCTGTTTCTCCTATCCTACTGTAGCACCATCCATCAAACAGTGAAAGCAGCCTTTTGTTACATCAAGATGGGTAACAGATTAGTGTTGGCTTGATTTATAATGAAATAAATATCTTCATGGATGGAAGAGGCAGGCCATGGGCCATTAGATGGTTCCCAAATGATGAAGCAAGACAGAGAAGAAATGATTGTGTGTTGGGGGGTGTGTTTTATACAAAAAGTGAGCAGGGACTTGAGGATGCAATTTTTAGCCTGATATCTATTAGATGCCAAAGAGAGTATTTGCCCAGCTAGAACCAACTGTATTTCATAACTTAAAAAAACTGTCATAACAAAATGAAAGTACCTAGCAGAGCATCTGGCACACAGTAATTGTTCAATAAATGTCAGTTGACTCTGAATAAACACCTATTACAGGACGTTTTTATTGGGTGTGAAAATGGGGGTTCAAATTTTATTCCTATATATAAACTCCTGCCTACAGATACTAAGATTGATTTAAAAGTATAATACATTCCTGGAGGTGAAGGTGGTTGTAAACACTGTTTCTCCTGCCACCCAAGTGCCACAAGAGCCAAAGTCAAACTGCCTGGGCCTGCCAGCATAAGGAAATGTCAAGGGAAGTCTCAGGCCTCTAACATCTTACATGGTTAAATTCTATACCATTATTCACACCAAGCCAATCAGAAAGGGACCCTTAACAGCACAGAACCCATAGATTTTTACTGTACTTTCTGACTTCCTATTTCTTAAGTCTTTCCTGCTCTAGAAAGCAAAAAGTATAAAGTCTCAGAAGTCTGGATGCATGCTTCACAAGAGTCTCCTTATAGGGGTCCAAGGAAACCTTACTTATTTTCACTTAAAAAACCTGCCATTTCAAGAGGGTTTTATTTTCTTCTGTTTTAATGATTATCCAACATGAGGAATAATATGAGCCAGAGCTCCTCTCCTGGATCTGAGATGATCAAGTGTTTTTTTTTCAACATGATTATATTTATTTTTATTTTTTAAAAAATGTTGTGAGTACATAGAAGGTGTATATATTTTGTTTTCCTTATGTCCAAATCATTGCAGGCTTCCTGAGAGTGCTAATGGTTGCAATTCTTGGGAAGAAGGGGTTTCCCTCACTTACTAGTTTAGGGAAAACTCTGCTAACAGCAATACAGCATTTCAACCTTCTTTTGGATTTCATGAAAATGAGGAATGCGGTATAAGGAGTTCTCCAAACAAAATGTTAGGAAACCATGCAGCTCTTTCTCTCCTTCCTTTCTCCTCCTCCATTCTACAAGAAAGTTTGCCTTGACAGTCTCATTGCCTACTGAAGGAAATTTCCACTTACAATAAACAAAACAAACTCACCTGTCAAAGGTCTTGAGTTCCATGTATACCTTAAAGTTTCAAATGTAATATTATATAAAACGTCACAATATTTCCCAGACAGCCTGATGAAAGTTAGAGTGCTGCATGAAATGAATGATAAGTTGGTGTTTAGTTGGCTTGAGCACTCCCTCTCACAGAGCTTTTGCTTATCACTATTAATTTGTCAAGCATCCCATAACAAAAAAATCCCAGAAGGCTAACGTGAAAAAGGTAGCTGACACCCAAAACAATGACTAATTTTGTTTGCCTAGAACAGTCAACTACATGCTTGTTACAGCTGAAAATCCTGAATAACTCACACTCAAACCCCCCACACCTTATTCAACTGACTCTATACTACTCTGTACATGTTTACAGTGAAACAGATGCTTATGGGCAAAGGTATCCTATAACCCCCCAAAATATGTATTACTGCTTTCTAAAAAGCTTTAACATCAGAATAAGAAAGAATTAAAACCTTTAGCTCTCAGGATCAGAGCATGTATGCAATTTCACCCTTCAACATTTTTTAGTTTTTATCGTCATAAACAGAATAACGGGTTTTGTTGGTGATGATGTAACCCTTTATTATGGTCCTTAATTTGTTTTACATCTCATTTCATAAATTGATTGCTAATTACACAATCAGTAGATCTGTAAGTCTTTTTCTATTCTTAATCTTTAAATGTATTATATCTGAGGAGGGAGATACAAACTCACAATGACAGAGTTTAGTCACTAACTCATAAGAAGCTGACATTACATTTTCAGAGCAGTAACTTCAGTTTAACATTTAAATATCTATAAAGCCTTATTGTATGTCAAGTCTCAAAGTTGAGGAAGCAACAGTGCTTTAAGGCTCTGAAGGATGTCCACAGGAAGAGACTTTTGGGAAAGAATTCAATATGTCCCAGGCAGAAAGAGATTTAATGACAATGGGAGGGAACTGCAGGAGAGGTGAGGGTGAAGACAAACTCCTCATGATCCTACTGGAGATGCAATAGTACCCCCGGAAGGCAATATTTTCCTCCCCCTGACAATTATTTAATTCTAAGGAATATGCACAAATTGGCCAGACTTCTAAGGCCAGACTTCTCCTAATGGGTTGCATTCAGTAGTTAATCTCTTATCTGTTCATGTGAGTGAATCTTATGTTTTCCTACTACTAGGCTCAATACTCATTAGCACAAAAAAAGTGATTGGAAAGACTATGTGGCTATTTTCTTCTTTATTTCTGTAATCTTTCCCATTAATATTTTAGGTATATTTAACAGACTTTCAGCTTATGCCTCATCTACAATTTTAAAATTCATTTTAAAGTGTGCCTTTGTTCACCGCAGAAAAAATAGACACCCACAGGTTTTTTTCCCAGCATAAACATTTATATTTATGAATCAGCTTGTTTTCTTCTTGCAAACACATTCTCTTGCTATGACCATTTTTGATTTATGAAAATCAAAAACAATTTTTGAGCCCTTTAACTTATATTTAACTTATTAAAATGAGCTTGATTTTCTTCCAACATTTAAAATTTTTGGATAATTCTTTTGCCATTCGAAGCACCTCACACCCAATTGTCCCAAGGTTTTTAGTTGTCATTTTGTTGTTGTTGTCGTTGTTAAACATCCGTTTTTGGCTTTTGTTCCCAGATAGTTTTATTTTCAGTGTCCCAATGTTCTAGCAATAGCACTTAGTAAATACATAATATATAAAGTTTCTGCCTTCAGGATTGCAAAATACCTTGGACATTAAATCTTATAGCACATCTATAGCAATATCTTACTGTTCAGTTTGAAAAGCAGACACATAACTATCAGGGTACTGAACCAACAGCACTAGGTATGTTATCATGAAAGCCTTCAGCATCCCTTGACCATCTTCCCTTCAAAAAAGAGAGGAAAAATATTTCTGACACAGAAATAACATCCACTAAAACACTGACTTTTAAACCTTTCTGACGGCAACAAATAGTAAGAAACACACTTTACATCCTAACTCAGTAACAGGTGCATGGATTTGAAATAACAGTCTCACCCAATATATCTAATCTTACTACATGACACATGTTGATATTTTCTTACTGTCTATTTAATGCAATTCTGTTTAATAGAAATGCTAGTCACAACCTACTAAATGGATTTCATTATGCACTAATGAGTTGTTGCCTACCACTTGAAAATTACAATGATAGAATAAATAGGCTTTTCTAATACCACAAGGTAATGCTGTTGGCTCCAAATACAGTAGAGTAAACCTATATTAATTTTGACACCACTAGTTTAGATTGTGATAACTGAACCTGAATCAGCTTGAAATATGTATTTTAGATTACCTATAAAGAAAGGTTTTGCTAAACAAAATAATAATGTCCGGGCCCGGCACGGTGGCTCACGCCTGTAATCCCAGCACTTTGGGAGGCCAAGGCAGGCAGATCACCTGAGGCAGGAGTTCAAGACCAGCCTGGCCAACATGGTGAAACCCCATCTCTACTAAAAATACAAAAATTAGCATGGTATGGTGGTGGGTGCCCATAATCCCAGCTACTTGGGAGGCTGAGGCAGGAGAATCGCTTGAACCTAGGAGGCAGAGGTTGCAGTGAGCTGAGATTGTACCACTGCACTCTAGCCTGGGCGAAAGAGTGAGACTTCAACTCCAAAAATAAAAATAAATAAATAAACCCATACATACATACATACAGCTGTGTTGCTAATTATAAATGTTTGTAAATATTCAGGCCAATCTACTTACAAAAAACGTTGTTTGTTCTTAGTCCAAACCAGTTTCTAAATCGAATACGGTCTTTCATCTGAGCTTTCAAAATTTTAGTGTATCTTAACATTCAAACTCAAAAATGTTCAAAAATTAAAATCATATTTTGAAATATATATTTTTTTGTTCATCAGCCGCTTTTTTGTTTATAAATCTGCTCTGGGCATCATCTAATAATAACAACAGTAATGAGTATACGGTTTATTTGTGGAACATTTTAAACTTCAGAAAACCCTTTCACTTTTGTGAACTGGTAATGACCAGCAATCCCTGGATTACTGAATATTTAAAAAGCATGTAATGACATTTGCCAGACTCAAAAATGAAACTTAATATTTGGTTTGTTCTGCATGTAACAGATTACTCAATCCCATGAAGAAATGCAGGTGTCTGGCCATCAGTGATTGCCTCTATTTCAGAGATTCAGCCCACCCCTGCCATCCCCCCACCAAATTTGGAAGATATGAAAGAAATTTAAATTTCAAGATAAAGGACCAAGCCAAGTCATGGAGTCAGGGGAGTTGGGGGTGGGGGGCGCTGTCACATAGCCTCCTTTATATGGAGGTACCTACCAAAGAACTCAGAACAGATGTTTGTCTTTTATAAACATTTAACTTTTTAGCAAATTGAAGGCTTAGGAAGCTAAGGGAGTGAAGGGCAGGCCAGGAAGTCAGGGATTCCTGGATGTGAACCCAGCCTCGATCTTATTCTGTTTTTGCTCTAAATCAATGCCAAACTGTTCACACCTCAGCTGCTTTATAGCAGGCAAGAATTATACTGAGGACAAAACTGTTTCCTGGAAATGTCATGGGTTAAATGATTACTATTACAGCTCTCAATGGTACTTCCACTAAAGGCAAAGCACTCTTCATGTATATTATTTACCTTCATTATATTACGAGATCAAAGTAAAATATCTGTAACCTGCTAAACTGACCCTGAAAACAAACCATTCTTTCCATTCCTTTCCAAGTTTTTGTCCACTTTACTAATGATGAGTTATTCAACCAATTAGGAAACTCAATCATGTGATATTAAAGGTTTTCAAGTAGCTGTAACACCTCTGAGTTAAGAATTATCTGGCAGACGTTAATGGCAAATTCAGGGCCCTCAACTTTATTTGGCCAGTCTCTATTGGACCATCGACCTATAGGAAATGCCCTCCCATCAAAGGCCCGATTTGGCAACCTATGAGAAAGAAGTAGTTTGTCCCTGTTAGGAAAAGTAGCTCCATTGTCCATATGGATGAGGAGGCACCACATCCATACCCAGCTCTGCCCATGGTGCTCTGGGCTCTTCAAAGGGCAGAATGTGGTTTCACTTTCTCCCCACTGCTTCATGAGAAAAGCAGCCTGGTCGCTTCCTGGCATTTAATGAATGGTCCTCTCTCCGTGGATTTGGACTGTTGGTCCTTCCAACCAGTCATTAGCTGGCAGGAAATGCCCTCCTCAGCAATCACTATTGTGTAAATAAAGCCATAAACTTTCGAAGGCCCATGCAATCCCAGACCACAAAGCTGCACGTGTGGTGGGGGAGGGACCTTGATTGTAAAAGCACTGCCTTCCAAATTAAACTCAAACCACATGATACAGTTCATAAAATATACAAAACATGCAGCCCAGTGACAGATTTATTGTGGCCTTACAGAATAAAGAAAAAAAAAACTCTATATGGAAAACACAGCTACTTTTGACTCAAATAGCCGCCAAACAGGAAGTTAAAAGCAAATCAGCCAGCTGTGGCCTCACTAAGTTATGAGGGAGCCCAGTGCAACCAGCATTTCCTGTCATTGCTTGTCACCGTTTCTGAGTGCCTCTGTCTGAACTGTTTTCTTAGATGGCTAAAAATATTACAGAGATTTCTTTGGGGATAGACACAAGGCAACAAGGAGGCCTATTATATGATCTAGGCTTGAAAGTGAAAAATGTAACTTTTATCCAAAAAACATTCACTTAACACAGGTTACAGATTCAGTCACTTGAACCACTGCATTTTAATGAATATTGGAATAAAAGCCCACATTTGTAAAAGAATTTAAAATCAGATCTTAGGTTGCCTAGCTGTTTCCTGTTAATTTAGAATATATATTCAGAACCACAATTTTCATGTGCCTGATTAGTAAATGACAGAGCTGGAGACTACAATATCCCAGAAATCTAGCTTCTTAGAGTTTCTCTCATCATCATCATCATTGTCATCCCACAAAATGACTTGTGCAAGTTCAAAGTATGTGCATGAGAGTTCTCTAAATCAAATCACATTTTAGATCCTTTTATGATGTGATGATGATGATGATCACACTCTTCACAAAATATGGAGGTAGTCTTGTCTTTTTTTCAGCACTGTGAAATGCCAAGCCCTAGGACACATCTTTCTAGCCTATCCACTTTTCAATCACAAAAGAGCTTTGGAGGGGGAGTTTCAGTTAGAAAGCAAAAGCATTCTGCCCTGGTATTGTTGCTGCACTGAATCTCAGCGCATCTATATGAATTCCCCAGCAAAACCAGGTTATTAAACATGGGGTAGAGGGGCAACTTGCGAGTCAGTCAAAAGTCCCACCAAAACATGGATAAACCTGGAGGACATTGTGTTACATGAAATAAACCAGGCACAGAAATACAAATACTGCATGTTCTCACTCATATGTGGAAGCTGAAAGAGTTGATCTCATAGAAGCAGTGAGTAAAACAGTGGTAACTAGAGCCTGGGAAGGGTGGGGGTTGGGGAATAGCCAAAGGCTGGTTAATGGACACAAAACTATAGCCACATAGTGGGAATAAACTGTAGTGCTTTACAGCACCGTTGGGTGATGATAATAACAATTTAGTTTATGTTTTCAAATAGCTAGAAGAGAGGATTTTGAAAGTTCCCAACACAAAGAAATGACAAATGTTTGAGGTGATGGATATGCTAAATACCCTGATTTGATCATTACACATTGTATGCATGTATTGAAATATCACATTCTACCCCGTAAATATTACAATTATTGTCAATTAAAAATATACATATAAGTTTATAAAAAGAACTCCCAGACCCTCCCTCTAGTCAATCCACAGGCTTTAGCCCTTCCTCCTCATTTAGATGGGTAACACTGATTTTCAACTCATCTTCTATGGCGAGCGGGACCTACCCTGAACTTAAGTTTAGAGGCAGACATGGAGCCCTTCACTGCTCATACTGGTCTCCTCCCTGGTTCTGATGTCATGTCTAAATGTCGTGATGACCATTTACCTAAGGCCTCAAATTCACAAACTGCCTCACATGCAGATGTTTAACACTATCTCCAGATCAGGTTATGTATTTTGACCCTACATTTTCATTTGCATTACAATGTTAATTTAATAAATGTAAACATATAAAGTACACCACAAAAAAGTCCCGCCAAAATCCAAGGTCTTTCTCAAAAAAGGCCCTCCCTTGACGAGCCTGTCAATCTGAGTCTGGCCTTGACCCTGGCTTCAGAAAGCGAGCAGAGTGCATATTGACACAGCCTCAGCCTCTGTCTGCAGCTGAGGCCGCTGCTATAGGCATTCATGAAACATATCAGATTACACAGGCATGGTACCCCAGTCCCTCCCTAATGATTTTATTGGGAAGTCCTTAAATATAAAATGTAACTCTATAACATGTACTATGTTTCACTTCATATATCTGGGTGAGCTAATAAGGTTTCTCTTCATGTTGTCCAATTACTTAGGGGAAAATGCTGACATAAAGGAGTTGGGAGTTTAATTTTTTCTCAAAATCACTTCTGAAAGAAATGCCCCCATCCTTTCTTCAGGATCCTCATGGATCACAGACAGCAAACAATTTTTAAAATATCAATGTACCCTTTAACAAAACAGCACCCCCAACTGGGCCATTATCAAGTGCCTACTTTTCAGAGGACGAATACAAACTCTTCACTTGGGTACTGAGGTTAAATGTGATCCCCACCTCTGTGCCATGGGTCTTGTTGAATTTGTCATTACATATTTTAAATGGAACTCAGAAAAACCAGTGTATAGTATATGAATCCAACCTTAAAGCAACCACCTTAATATTATATATTGTGACAATCCCATTTTCCCCATTGGTAAATTAAGTAAGGAATTATTTCACGAGATACATGTCCAGTTAATATTCTACAGGGTGCTTTTGTTTTGTGTTGTTTTGCTTTCCTGCGTAGAAGCTGAGTACTACAAAACAAAAGGTGAAATGTAAGCTCTCTGGTTCTTTCACTCTTTCATTTTGCTAATAGACTACCCCTCCCATGCCACTCTCCAACATAACCTCTTGTTTGGTTACTTTGTACTGCCACATAAGGAGAAATTGCAAGCGCTAAACCTAAAGACTGATTATCCTCTGGGCACAAAAGATGATTGTGGTGGATCTGAAATGACAGCTCTTGTCTCTTCTACTGTGTGGACTTTGCTTTCTGTACACAATAAAAAGAGGCACTATTCATACCTGTATCTTGGTAAGTAAAAACCTATGCAAATCCAGCCTCTAAATGGGCAATCAACATCTGACTGAAAATGAGACAGCTCCCAGTGTCCTTTTTGGATTTTGTCTGTAACTTCATCACTTCCTAAACTATACATGACAGGAGGCATCAGAGTCACAGTATTTCTGATTTTTTTTTTAAATTTTTAATCTGGTGAAACAGTTAAAGAACTGTTTCTATGTAAACATTTCTTTGTAATGAAGACTGATATCCCTGGGATGTGGGGGAGGTATTCTAAATGCAACTACAGGTGAAAGAAAAGTAGCAGCTGGCTTTCAGGCCAGTCCTCAAGGTCTCAGCCCCAAAGCTGGCACTGCTTGCATCTCCCTGGACTTGAGTTGCTACTGTGGCCTCTAGCAGAACAGTCATTCAATCTAGCGTTCAGTCTGCTTATTGGTGTTGATTTTTCTTTTGTCAATAAAAAACAGAAATAATGCTACAAGGAAGAATGTTCGTAACATGCAAAAACAAGTTAGAAAGATTAATCTAGTCTTTCATTTATTTAACAAACTTTTACTGAGAACCTACTATCTACCAGGCATTAGGGATATGAGGTAAAGAGACCCAATAACCTCTGCTTAATGAATAGTTACTGGTACATTCAAGGAAACCTGAGTAAGCCTGAGGAAACCTTTCTCAATTTTCCACACCAGTTGAAGGCAATGCCAAGAAGCTCAGGATTCAAGAATCCAATGTGGACAATTTTAAGCTAATTTGTGATCCTAAATGGAAAACAAAATCCAGCCAACTATCAGACTCCAGGATGCTCCCATGGCTTAAAGAGATCAAATGACCTCTAGTCTCTACTGCCAACCCCCTGCATTTCTGTCCAGGTTGCCTTTTCTCTATGGGAGGCCCTTTATTTCTAAGCCCTTCAAGTTCACTCACTGTCTGGGCAAAAAACAAACTCCTGCCTCAAATCAGAAAACAAATAATTCCTTTTCCTCATGAGCCAACTTAATACTGATGCAAGTAAAACTTGAGAGTTGACATAATATTTTAGGAAGCATGTCAAACTGAGTCCTATGCTTGGGCTTCCTGAAAATCACCATACACATACAAAGGGAGAATACACACGCGCACACACACACACACACACACACACATTTAAATCAAGCCTCCTTTTATTCTTGCTTCCTCTTGAGTTCTGAGCAAAGCATCTTTTTATTTTTTATTTTTTTCTGAAAGTTAACTGCCTGGAGTTGAACATTCAAAGCCCTGGTTCTTTTCCTGAGCCTCAGAGTGACATCACTATATCAAATATTTATAATAGTTTACAGTGAACTTTTTTATTTCATTCTTAGAATTGGAGGAATACTGTAAAAATATTTTCCTATAATCTTCCAGTGAGAAAGCAATGCACATCTGTATACATTGTTTTGAATTGACCACTAATTTGTACACTCATGTACGTGTGTGTTTGTGTGCCCAGGCAATTTGGAAGTCCCATTATTTCTCAAATAAAAATGATAAGGTCCTACTTCCCAGATTGTATTGTTTTCTCCATCAATCTTTTAAAAACAATGTCACTCAATCTAATACCAAGCAGATCTAAATGATGAGTTAATAATGCATTTTTACTACAATGATCTGAAAAAATATTTTCTTATCCCTTTCAGGTCATGTGGATGTTATTAACATCCATTAAGACAACTGATACCTTATTTATCCTAATTCTCAAAGTTGCCTTTCCAACACTGTCATTTGGCTATCTTGAGGCAATAGATAACCATTTAGGAAGAACAGAATGTCATGGAACCATCTGGTATCCTTAAGACCTAAAAGCCCACATTATGAAAGATCTAATTGCTTTCTTTCAGTTATAATTTATGTTTGTTTGCTGGTTGGTTAATTGACAATTAAACAACTTGCTCCCAGACACAGTTTCTTCTCTTTCAGGAAAAGTGTCCATCTCATTTTAGCTGAGGCTCGGGTTTCTTTCTATATTTGAAGTGAGAGCTATATCACACCTAGAGAAAGGCAGAAAAATCCCACAAACACAACTTCTGATTTCTATTTTCTTGATATCACATACATTTGAATGAGGAAAAATCCATCTGTTTTGCCTAGTAGACAATGTCATAAGAAAACTCACCAGCATGGAAGAACCTTGATGAAGTAAAGGTGAGTGTAGCCTTCATGCTCTTACAGACACTTGATAATGTTAACATGGCAGTGACCATTATCTAACTTTAATTACAGGATGAAATTACTTGTCAAAAATGTACTATAACTTATGTACTGTCAGCTATGCCCCAATCCCTGTTTGTAAGCCTATCAGGCAACATTATTTATTTGAAAACAGAAAAATTCTGCCACCTTCCTGAATTTATTGTACTATAAGCAGAATAAAAGTAAAATGTTATCAATAGAAATCTTCATCATTTTAGAGCTTCTCACTCCATTCCCTCCCCTCGTCCCTCACACATAAAGGCAGCTGGGTGGAGAACAAAACTGTACTAAACTATACTGTCAACATCTGCACAACAGTCAAGAGACTGTCACTGTTCCAGCATGTGTGGTACTATACAATCACTCAAAAGACAAAACCTTTTTTATTCCCAAGCTGCTGTGATACTGGGAAGTATCACAGTGAAGCTGGAGAGATAATAATACACCTACTGGTCAAAAGCATGAAGTATACAAGTGCCTGGAAGTACAATGAGAGGCAAGAGAACCCTTTAGAAGCAAATACAATGCAGACAACTAGGGGAATGTACATTCTACTCTTCTTTGAATGTTTAGGTTCTTGTGAGTGCATAAAAATGCCTTCCGTTTAAATTAAAAGCTGTACCCAAAATCTATTCCACTGTGAGTTTATAAGCTATTCTTCTTTTTAATGTAACATTTATTAAGCACCTAGTTTGTGCAAAGCATTATCTAGGTAGAGGGTGGTGCAAGAGAATACCAAAGGTCCTTTGCTACCAGCTCATAATCATAAAAAGCAGCTGTTGTGAAATGCCTGAAGTGGACAGTTGAGGAAAAAAAAGGTACTTTATAATAGTCCTGGGAGTCATTACGATTGCTTAAAGTAGCAAAGGAAATTAGAGAAATGAAGTAGCTCTTAGAAGTAGAGCAAAACATGCAGTCACCACCTCTAGCCCAGCACTATATCAATTATCTCTCAAAACATTTTTTTTTTACAAACTCCTTCACTTATGTTTTCATATAAGGTCTCCAATCTCATCACTGTATGAGGCAGCAGAATGTTAACTGGCAAAATTTCCTAATTTCTCTGACACCAGTTTAGCTTGTCTATTCTGGCCTCAAGGTTTAGTATTTTCACTTTTCTTTCTTTCTTTTTTTCTTTTTTTTTAAGGATGCATTTGGTCCGAAGTCTTTTAGCAGCAAGGTAGCACATCCGGAAGCAAACAGTACTGAACTGGGATCTAAGTCCATAATCACTAAAAATGGGAGAAGTTGCTTTTTCTCATCCTCCCTTTACCAAAATGCAAGTGTTTATTGCTCTACCTGCAGGAACTCTCATTTTAGACATGAAGCAATGAATTGCCCCACATACTTCTTTCAAGAATAATATGAAAAACTGCTGAAAATTTGTTGTATAGTAATTCCATTGTAAACAGTTTGGTTGTTTGTTTCTAGGTAGACTACAGCACCTGGGCAGAAAACTGCACCATGCTTTAATAAGGGCAAAACAATATTTTTCTCCCTTTCCACACACTTGCTAAATTTAGTAGCAGAGCGTCTGCCAACCAAGTAGTTTCTACTGCTTTGGGAGAAGGAGTGAACAGCGATAGAATATTATCAGCTGAGCTGTGGGCAGAAGCCCATTTTAGTCTATATTTGAAGAAGTGTTGGTAAATATGAAAGCATCCCCCAAAAGTATCGCACATTAGAAAAAAGTTAAAAATTATTTTAAAAAGTAGTTAAACATTCAGGATTAGATTTTCATGGGCCAAGGAGAAGATGGAAATATAATCAGGAAAAATCCAAGGTGTCTGATAAGCCTCATTGTCTATTTACCTTTCACTGGAGGGGGAAACAAAACAAAACAAAATTCAGATAAATTGTATCAAGCATGGATGTTTAGTCATTCCCACATACCAACAATCTGTTTTCCAAACATTATATCAGTAATCACCCAAACGTTTATTCACTAAAGCAGGGAGTCCGCTTAATAAAAAAAGTACCAATCACTTCAAAATTAAATCTTGCAAGTTTTGTTTTAATTGATTCTTTCCCATGAAGTCTACCCACAAATACGGAGAGGCTGTGGGGATCCCAGCTCAATTTACAAACGATGTAAGAACATCTAGGAGAAAATAACTCCTTTAAAACATATTACTTTAATTAGAGCCACAATTAATTTATCTGTTTTATCTATCATCTAGCTAGCTAGCTAGCTAGCTAGCTATCTAAGAGTGCTCAGAAAAACACACAGTAGGTCTATTACCCTAATTATGAAACCACAACAAAGAATCACTTAAATGTCAACTTTCATTACTCGTCTGGGTTTAATTTCGTTTTCTTACCATAAAAGCTTATTGTGTGAGTGTTAAAAACTAAAGTTCCCTTTTTAATAGTCTCCTAAAATCTACTCTCATGCCCTTCAAACCCCAGTAGTAAAAGCGAGCTGCCCAAACGTGTTGACTCAGGGCAGGAAGAGACAAGGTTCTGCAAGGAAGCTGTGGCACTGCTCACGATATCGCGTGAAAATGGGGAAATTCGTTGTTAAAAAGCATTTGCTGATTATATGCCATGCAAGAAGTTCCTTTAAATTAAAAAGAAGAAAGTAGAAAAAAAGAAAGAAGGAAGGAAGGGGAGGAGGAAGAGAAGAGGAGGAAGAGAAGGAAGAAGAAAAAGGAGGAGGAGGAAAGGAGGAGGAAAATGATCAAAGCTCTAAAATCGCAACAAAGTTGCAGGATGACTTTTCCTCCTATTTGCTATTTTGTAAAATGAAGTTTAAAAGGCATTATTTCCTCGGCGTCCGAGGAAGGCAGCCTCTCTTACAAATCCCAATTCATCTCCAGCCTTACCTTACGCTGCTAGCGCAAACCCAGAGGCTAAGGGGCCCTGCTCTCAGCGGCAGCAGCAGGGGCAGCGGCAGCGACAGCGGCACATGCCATCTGTTAGCGGCAGAAGCAAAAGCAGCGCTGCGCGAGGTGGCCCCGGTGCCGGGAGAGCCTTTAGCAGGGGTGCATACTGAATGCCGCCATTTTAAAGCGAGGTTCCTGAAATCATTAGATATAAGCAAATTAAAGCCCGCCCCACCTCCAGAACTTCAGGGCTGGGACTTGCAACCCGGCTCCAAGTCGGCCGCTCTGGGGTATAAAATGTCAAGTCTACAGACACGCGCACGCTGACTCTCGGACGGAGGCGACGGTTCCCCCTCTCCCTTCGGCCCCCTTGACCCCTTCGTGCTTTTTGCAAGACTCCTTTCGGTTCCAGGGGCCAGAATACTTTCTTTTCTGGGCTCCTCGAGGCCCCTTCCCGGGGCCGGCCGGCGGGCTGTGGGAGGAGGGGACAAGGCCACGGGCCGGCCCTACCCGCTCCTCCCAGGCTCTTGGTTCAGTCCACTCGGAGCACACCTCGGAGCGCCCCAGCTCCCTCGCGGAGGCCGGGCGTGGGGCTCCCGCCCGGGCTCGCAGCTACCATAGCAACCCCGGTCCCAACCCCGCCCGGCCTTTGCCAAAGGCGTGCCCTCCTCCCGGGCCAGTGCCCTCCGCCGGACGCCAGACGTCCCCTCGCGCAGCCCCGCCGACCCCAGGCAGCCCGGGCTGGGGCCGCGCCTCCGTGCGTCCCGCGCCGGACAGACGCGGCACGCGGAGGGAAACGGCGCCAGCGAGGGGCTTTAGGCGCCAAAACGGAAACTCCCGCGAAACTCCGCGGGCCAGCGGAGCGCGGGCGGGCATCCGGAGCGCCGGACTCGGAAGCGGCGCACGCGGCCGCCCGGCCCCGCCCCGCCCGGCCAGGTAGCGCGGCGCCGCCGCCAACCTCACCTGGCTCCGCGCGCCGCTGCGGGACGGGCGGGAATGCGGCCAAGGGCCGCCCCGGCTCCCGCGCCCACCCCGGACTCTCTGGCCTCCGCCTCTCTCTCACTGCTCCCAAAGAGCGCCAAAAAGTCGCGCTGCGGCTCACGCTCGGAGTGCGGGCACTTTCTTCCTGTAGGGCGCTGTTTCGTCGCGAAATATATTCTTTGTGTGGTTCGCTCACTCGTGCCTGGTTCTCCGAGAGCGCAGCGCGGGCTTTATTCTCAGGGGGTGTGGCGCCTCGCCCCCAAACCCAGCAGCCCAGCCCCCGCTGCACAGACCCTTTGTCATTTCATTAGGAAGGGAAAGGGGGACAAATCATAACGCTCAGATTTTACAAAAGCGAAAACAAACGAAGCAGGCACACATCCCCAGAGGCGGGGTTGGGGTAGGGGTGCAAAGTTTCTGGCTCTTCAGGAACTGAAGTGCCAGTGAGAAAGGCAGTGTGGTTCACAGCGGGACGCTCATAGACACTTCCCAGACAGGTGAGGCGAAATGGGTCCTTTCAAAATTGATCTTAGTCGATGAATAAGTCCACTCGCTACAGGCTAAATAAATACATTCATACTCACCAGCTGCCTTCTTGGGGGTTTTATCTTTCATAAATGCCCCAATCGTTTATTTCCCTCTAAGAATTTCAGACAGGGAAATGCTGATCAGTGCAATCTGTTCCCCTTCTTCCACGGAGTTTGCAGGATAAGAGGAACCCTGAGGTAAGGTTCCAGATACTTTGGAAAATGGACAAAGCAAATGCAATTTTATATCTTGATTAAAAAGTGTGCATCTGCACAGGGAAATTACAAGTTTCGATTTAATGCAAGTGTAATAGGAGCACCAGCTGTCCCTTAATTGGAGCCCCACAATAATAAATGCGTGCTTTTATTTAATTTTACGAAGACAATTGTAGTTGATAACGCACACATATGCAGGATCGTCAGTGACAAGCTCATAGCAATTCATGGCTGCTTTCCTGTAATCAGCTACTTCACCCAGAGACAGAGTTCTACATGCTCTGCACAAAGTGCAAAACATTGCAGGAGATATTTAAGCAGCAGTTAGGTTGAAAAGTGGAGTGAATTCTCAGGCTAATTATACTTTTTAATTCTGATGGACTGATCCAAATAGAATTCTCCAGCTAATTTTAGGCAAGAAATCAATCTGTTTGTTAAGTGCAAGATAATAGAGTAGGATGGTAATGGCTGGGAGGACAAGACTGGGTACAAACTGCCCTTCAAATAATTGAGAAAACCCCCGATGGTTTTGGCAAGTATCGTGAAAGTCATTGGGACAATGCGCAGGGATGGTGTCCGATACTTTGTTATACTGGGTAGAAACATAGCATAAGTCAAGAGAGTAGGAGTTGCTAGTTATTTGAGAAAAGGGGGAAAAGACTCTAATTCCTAACCACCTCTTCCCACCTTCCTTCAAATTTGCCGAATTGCCTGAACTGCTGTAAAAGTCAAATGTGTCTGACATACAGGAAGTGGCTTTGGCAGTCCCAAGATCTACCACAGCAAAAAGTAGGCAGTGTTGGCTATCACAGTCAGCTAGAGAGAAGGGCATGGGTGAGTTACATAACTTTATACCCAATGCTCTAACAAATGAGGAACTGTTATCACAGTGAGTCAACAAAGGAGTCTTTATATTAAACATAGCTTGGGTCAACACCAGCTCTCTTACCTCTGTCCACCATTGCGAGCCACATCTGTGGGACATTCGGGGTTTTGCTAATAACACAAAAACTGGCTCAATCTTATTGAACTGCTGAAATAATTGTTTTGTCTTAAATTTAAGGCATAAATAGGTCAATTTGCTATTTTTTGGGATACTATAGCTTCAACATTGTCTCCTGCTTTTAATTTCTGGCCAGTGAAAATTGCAAATGAGACTTTATTATTCTCTCTTTCCCACACTGGAGGGGAAAGAAACCTTATAAACAAAGTTTAGCCTGGTAAACTGCCTTCCTTTTATCCAGGGTGGCATGACCTCCACAAATGAAGCTAGGCAAATTTCCATGCCACCAGGCCACTGGGGAATGTTGTCAAAGGCACTAAGAAATTGCTATTCCCTCCCCTCAGCATTTTAAAAAGGCCCATTTGCTCTCTGGGGTGGACTTACCTTGGAATTACTTTCTTTCCATTTTAGTAGAGTAGTTAGAGCTAGCCAACATTTTCTCTTCTGTTCTTCTCTTTAGGCATAATTGGTGGCATGACCCAGGAAAAATAGGGTCGTGTACTGACTGATATGCAAGATGAATTCTTACAATAATGTATGTACATTATAGTCTCAGAATACATATGCCTGTTCCCCCATTGCGTTTTGAGATCACCTGACAACCACTATCCTGATGGATCTTCAAAAGTCAGTGTCTTGCAACTCGGATTGAAAAATTAAGTCCCTGGCTGGGTGGAGTGGCTCACACCTGTAATCCCAGCACTTTGGGAGACCAAGGTAGGTGGATCACTTGAGGTCAGGAGTTCCAGACCAGCCTCGCCAACATGGTGAAACCCCGTCTCTACTAAAAATACAAAAATTAGCTGGGCATGGTGGCACGCACCTGTAGTCCCAGCTACTCAGGAGGCTGAGGCAGGAGGATCACTTGAGCCTGAGATCGTGCCACTGCACTCCAGCTTGGGCAACAGAGTGAGACTCTGTCTCAAATAATAATAATAATAATAGTAATAATAATAATAAGAAGAAGAAGAAGAAGAAGAAGGGAAGAAGGAGAAGGAGAAGAAGAAGAAGAAAGTCCCGTCCTTCTCTCCTACTCAGTCAAATGCAGGTGTGTAAGCAAACATTTCAACAAACCTAGGGGATATGCTTTTTCTGCTCTATGTCTTAACGCTTGAGATGGACACTTACACAAATGTAAGGCTAGGATTCTGGGTAAGGATGTAGTAACCTCTCAAGTAGCATGTTCTTCCAATAAATATAATTAACTTTGATGTAGGAAAGAATTCTAAAAGTTATGTGATGGTTTAATAACGAAACGATTATTGTACTCCACCACCAAACAAATGTTGCTGTATTTTTAAAGATGTCGCATAGGTGAAAAGTTAAACTCACGCATATATGAGTGAACCAGGGTCTTGAGAAGTTTTTGAACTTTCAACATATTCGATCAGAATTATCCTTTCACTCCTCTGCTAAGCCACATAACTCATTTATTATTCTTTGAAACAGACAGTCAACGTGTGCTATTGGACATTCAGGCAAGGCCGTGCTATGGACAAAAGGTGAAACATGTTTTTCTGTTTTGAACTTGTGGAATTATTCTCACTAGCCTATCAACAAGAGTATTATTTGCTACTGCTGTGTTCTAGCGATGGCTCCACAGGCTCCAGCCCCACAGCAGTATTTGTGGTCATTCCATACAGAAGCCTCTGGCCATTTAAGGGTGGTTCAAGAGCTAAAGACACTGATTATTCATTCATTCCTGAAGAGTCTTTTTCATTCAGAGTTGGGAATTTGGACTTTGGGGTTCAACACAGAGGTTCCTACTAAATAAACAGGAAGAAAGCAGAATCTGGTTGTTAAAAGGGTTTAAACAATCAAGTAAATGTTGGCTTCCAAGGTAACCCCTCTGTAAAATGTTACAGACTGTATTCTTACAGAAGAAACTATAAGGCAATTTAGTAACTAGTTGAATGCAGAAACAAATTGCAAGCATAGATAATAAATTGATCAATAACTCTCAGGTTGCAAAGAAAATTTCTGGAACTCAGTGTTTTTTTTTCACATGGACAAAATTGTCAGAATTATTTGGACATATTCTAATAAATACAGAAGAAAACAGGACAAATTTTTTTTAAAAAATCCTTCAAAGCACACCTGGGCCTGATGGATTTACAAGGTGAATTCTCTTCCAAGCCTTTTAAGAACATATTATACAAATTATCCTTGATTATTGAAAAGTATAGTATATTTCTTAAAATTGCCCTCAGAGGGAAATGTGCTAAGAATGATACAGATAAAATGATACAAAAAGGTAAGAACAATTTAAAAATGGAAGCATGATATAAAAAAGAAAAGTAAGCCCTATTCTCACTTAGAAATACGATAATTGTAACAGTAACCATTTAATGTAGAACTACTCTAGGCACTGTACTAAGTATTTTTCACAAATTAACTCATTTAATTCTCATAACAATCCTTGTAATTATTTTTATGTCCCCATAAAAACAGGAAAACTGAGGCTTGCTAAAAGTAAAAAAGTTATTAGGTAGCAGAACTAGGATTCTACACTATTTTTCTCTGATGACAGGGCTCATGTTTTAACTACTGCACAGTACTGAGTAAAGCTACTATGAGGTCCAGTTGGATTTAAACTCAAACACTTGCTCCATCTAGTATGCCACACTGCCTCTCATTGATGTGGGCGTTTTAACAAAAATTCTACGAATACAATACAGACATATATTAAAATAGCTTTGTCTTGATCAAGTATTGTTTATCCAAGAAATGTAAAGATAATTTCAACAACTATCAATATATTGAAAAATATATGATTATCCTAGTAAATGCCAACAAAGGCATTTAATAAAATCTAACTCCTGTTTATGGTTAACATCAGGAATAGTGAACTATGTCTCTGACATAATAAAAAATGTGTACTCAAAAAACAAAGAACTAACCACCTACCTATTGATAAAACATTATTTTCCAAAAAGCTGGACTAAAATAAGTGTTTTAATCATTTATAAGTCTAGTGTTTCTGAGGAATCTTTGATTTGGCAATAAGATATAAAAATAGATTAGAAATAAATATTGGAAAGGAAGAAACTATGGGAAATTTTTAAATCAAGACTATTTTTTTAAATCAGTTTTAGGTCCACAGTCCAATTGAAAGGTGAAGAGATTTCTCATATAGCCTGGCCCCAAAACATGCACAACGTCTCCAGTTATTAACATCCAATTGATGACCCTACATTGACACAAAATTATCATTCATCCAACAGTTTACATTAGAATTCACTGTTGGTGTTAAAAATTCTAAGAGTTTGGACAAACGTATAATGACATTATCTACCATTATAATATCATACAGACTATTTTCAATACTCTAAAAATCAAAGATAGAAAATGTTTAGACAATATTGCTGTATACCTAGAAAATCCACAGAATTAACTGAAAGAGATTAGACATTACTAGAGTTCTCGAGGCTGCAGTGAGCCATGATCGCAACGCTGCACTTCAGCCTGGGTAACAGAGCAAGACCTTGTCTCAAAACAAAAATAAAAAGCAAAATCATTAAAATATTTGGAAATAAGTCAATATACAGAAGAGTTGTGAGAAAAAGAAATAATATAAAACCTTAATGGCAGAAATAAAGAAAAATTTGAATAAATGTAAAGTCATACTGTGTTTCTGAATGTAATGACCAACAGTATGAACATGACATTTCTTCACAGGTCGATTTATAAATGCAGACAATTCACATGAAGATATCCATTATCTCAAAAATGATACAATAGCAATTGTATATGACAGTCCTAGAAAAGCAAAAGTCTAAAACAATTACCAAATGCTAGAATGTATTATAAGCTAACACTAGTTAAAATAGCAGAATTCTGATGCAAATAAAAAAATCAGTAAATGGGACCTTGAGACCAGGGAAAAGCCCTAGTAAATGTAAGAATTGAATGTTTGATGTACAAAGCATAACTAAACAATGGGGAAAACACTCATTATTTAATAAATTCACGTGAGGTAACTGGTCATGGATATGGTGAGGAATTAACATAAGCTTTTATCTCTTACCATATATAACAATTCTTTCTACATAAGCTAAAAACTTAAATATTTAAAGAAAAATTTAAAAACTAGAAGGAACAGACTAACCATGAGACTAGACTGTTTAAATCAACTATGGGGATTTTTTTAAGTTTTGAAATAATAGAAAACATTACGAAGACTGGTCAGAGAGTACAACATAATACAACAATGTAAAATCAGGATCAAAACTGAGATTAAATGGTGGAAATGCTTAGGACGGTCAGAGATAAATTAATATCATCTAAAGTGTATTCAGAAGTACTACAAATCTAGAAGATCCCCAAGATCCCAAGGGACAAATGGTCAAAGAACATCATCACGCTAAAAGAAATATATATAGTTCAAAGTAGGAAGCACCATTTGATACTAATTCAATTGCCCAAACTAACAGTTTACAAAACCCAATACTATACAGGCTCTGGAAGAAAAGACTTATTCAAGTTGCTAATAGCATTGCAAAAAGAGTCAAGAATTATAAAAATGTTCACAGTCTTGGACCCAGGGAGTCTAATCCTGCAAATTATCCTAAACCAATAATTCAAATGAAGAAAAAAAGCAACCTTAGTTTGAACACAAAAATAATCCTTAAAATAACCTAAATATTAAAAAATAATAGAATGCTTAAGCTATTTACTATATACTAATTCAATAAAATTATTTGAATTCTGTAATAAAAAACCCAGAAAATTGCATAAAATAATATTAGTAAAAGATTAAAATGCAAAATTATATTTTTCACTTTGATTGCATCCAGGCATATTCATTTGCTTTTTTAAAAAGTTAAAAGGGGATATTATTTTATTTATTTTATTATTTTGGCATTCTGTCTAACAAAACATTACTGAATTGGAGAAATAAATAATTCAATGGGAGAATCAGACCTCTATTTCAAATGAACTATTTCTATTTATTTCACCTCGTGCCATTTCTTTTTCTCTTCCTCTGCATCTATCAACATCTGTTATTTTACCCTCTATGAATATTTTTTCTGGCACTTTGTCTCTTTCTTCATTTCTCCCTATTCAAACTGTATTTCTTTTTTTCTTTTATCACCTCTTTTTCTACACCTTTTTTCCCCCTTTTATCCTTCTTAGCTTTTTTTTCTGCCTCTGTTCTTGGAATGGTTAAAATGTGGAACAGGAATGTATTTTATTTGTTTTATCTGTTGAATAAAACATTGCTTTTGTTCATTTTTAAAGTGAATGAGCTGAATTCATTATTTTTAAATTCTGTTATAAAGGGCACTCAAATTGAATTCTCTTTTAATTATTTATGCATGGGCAAGGCCAAATCAAAAGCTTCTTCAAGGCCCTAAACTATGTCAAGTGGAAAGTACTACATATCAAAATTCCATTAGATTTATCATCACAGGAAGAACAATGAACACAAACATGAAAGATTTATATTTGTATGTACGGGAAACTCTGCTATGCCAATTTTTGAGTTTTCAACTATCTACCTCTTAATTATGCTAAAACATGCTTTTAACTCTCATGAGATATGTTGATGCAATAATTATCATCTCGTATTTTGCATTCAAGATATTGTGAATGTAGTATCAGTATGAATGGGTGCCTTTAATCATGGAACCTGAGATGAAACTGAATGGCAATGCACAAATGCAGAGAACGGGCAAGAAGCTAAAAAATAGCTATTGGTGGTACAGTGACCTTGGGCAAGTTATTCTCTCTCAGCTTCCTCACAAATAAAATGAAGATAATACTAGTACCTTTTTGAAGTATATATTGTAGGATTAATATATGGCAAGGTTTTGAAAGCATTTAACACAGTACCTAACACACAGTAAGTGATCCATTAGTGAGAGAATGTGGAAGGTATTGCAGCTTTGGAGGCATAGTGTGCACGTTAGCTTGAGAAGAGATTGGCTTACCTCTAGTCATACTGGAAGGTTAGTTTGGAGAATCATCCTTTTACTTTTAGAAAATAGGATTAGTCACACTTCAGCTGTTCTTTGTCAAAGTTACAGAGCAACCCCCAGGGCTGAGCATTCCTTCCTTTTTTGGGATAGAATGGAGTGGGAGAAGGAGGGCTTGAGAGGCAGTCCTTTGTCAACCTTGTGCAGCATAGAAGGGAAGAGGGTGATATCAACCTCAGAGTAGCTTAAGCTCCTATGAGCAAGGTCAGAGTGCCAGGTCAGTGGCCTGTTTCTGCTCGGCCAAACATGGGGCATGGCTGCAATACCCCCACTGTGGGATTACAGTGTGTGCCTTAATGATGAGTCTCTATGAGCCAATTGTGTCTGATCTATCTGCTGATTCTATGAAGGAAAAGGAGACTTGAGCCTGAGACACTGATAGAGATAGGGTAGTGATTAAGGGCATAGATCCTGGAGCTACACTTCATGAGTTCACTTGGTAGCAGTGTGACCTTGAACAACTTACTTACGCTCTCTATGCCTCAGTTCTTTGTTCAAAAAGTGAGATAATGATAGTATTTGCTTCATGGCGTTTGCAGTGGGAATTAAATGAGATCACATATGTCAAGCACTTAGAATGCTGGCTACCAGATCATGAGTACTGCCTATTTTTATCCAGGTACAAATAGCCCATTCCTCAGCTTCTCTTGCGATCAGGAGAATTTTCTTCATGAGTCCAAGAAAACGCATTCCAAATACAAAAAAACAGGAGGATCATGTGTTTTCTCTTTGATCCAAACTTGGTTGAGGCATAGTAAAAGCCATAAGACAGTGAAGTGCCTTTGGCACCAGAAAGATTTTGCAAACGGCCATAGAAACCAGACCGAGGCTAATCCTGAAAGCCTGGGTCATGCGGGGGCACTCTCTTCCTCTCTAGGTTGCAATGAGACCTAAAATTTCCTGCCATCATGCCTTAATGTCCTCAAAAAACCCCTCTCAAAATGAACAAATTACCTGGGAAGAATAACACATCAACCTGTTAGCTGGATGAACACTTTAGCAGAGATTACTTTTATCAGATTACTTAGCTTCTGGAAGTTGGACCCTGAAACCAGCAGATGAAGGATGGCTAAATGATGCTGGGAGGGAAATAAGAGGGAAAGAGCATTGGGAAGCAGCCTAAGGGCTACTGGGTACTAAAGCTGGGCAAAGCCAGGGGCTGCACGGTCTTCTGGATGGAGCATAGAGCTTCCTCAGCCCTACTGTCTTCCCTACTCCCTTTGTCCTGTATTGTTTTTCATTTCCCTATTTTCATGTGTATCATACACCACCTAACACAGGGCCAGAAACACAATCAACAGATATGTATTAAGTACCTACTGAGTGAATAAGTGCCTACAGAGACAGATGCCTCCACATCCCTCCCCAAGACAGGACAGGGATGTCCTGTGTGGAACACAGCTAGGTCTGGCTCAGTAACTACTGACTAGAAGGGGCTATAATTTAGAGGTTGGCCCGCTCCATAGGGTGAGGTAGGCACCTGTGGCTGGGAACTTAACATGTATTAAGAAAGCACTCACAAATACCTAGAAGGAGGATATTGAATGTCCCCAACACAAGTAAATGATAAATGTTCAAGATGATGAATATGCTAATTACCCTGATCCGATCCTGTACAATATGTGTATTGAAACATCACTATGTACCCCAGAAATAGTTAAAATTGTTATAAGTCAATTAACAAATAAAAGAAAAGAAAAAAAAACAAAGTACTCACAAAATGGCTGGAGCATAGTCATAGGCACTACAGAAGCAAGGATAGGAGATCTGAGCAGAGAGGCAGCATATAGTATTCAAGAAAATAGCAAGACAGGACCGATTCCAAGAACCAGGAGAAAGCTGAGTTTTCAAGAGAAAGGAAAAAAAAAAGAAAGAGGAAAAACAGCTTTTTTATCCAGTGCCTTCGTTGTACCAGGCACTTTCACTGACCTTATCACATGTACTCTTCACAACAGGACCCAAATGAATTATTGCCTCTATTTGTTCAATAAATGGAAAACTAATAGAAAAGCTGTGAAATTTGCAGCATAGTATAGTAGCTAAGTGTAGACTTAGCTGCCTGGGTTTGGCTCCTGCTCTGTCACTTACTAGCTGTGTGATCCTGGGCAAGTTAGTTAACCTCTCTGTTCCTTAGTTTCCTCTTAGAGGAAAATGAGGATAATAATAGTACCTGCTTTATAGAATTATTATAAAGCTTAAGTGAGTTACTATTTACAAAGCACTTAGAACAGTGCCTGCCACATATGGAGTGTTGTATAAGTGTGTGGTAAATAAAATAATCTTCCCAAGGTTATACAGCCATTATGAGAAGGAGGCAGGACTTGAGCCCAGGTCCAAATGCTTCAGTCCTAGCACAATTCCTACCTCCTCCATAAACCTCAAGTTTGACTTCTCTTCAAGGACTCGTTGAAGTCCTGTATCCCCCAGGAAACTTACCCAGTCCACGCCTACTTTGATTCCCTGCTTCATATCCAGTTTCAGATTGCCTGCCTAATGATTTGAATTCTTCCTGCACATTATCTTGTTTTTCAAACTAGTTCATACACCTATTCTTGAGGAGTTCACTTGCTTATTTTCACCTTCCAAAGTACCTAGCATTTCTTCTGTGTATTGAGTTCAAACACTGAGTGGTCTTAAAGTTTTGAGTACTTGCTAAATGGCTGGAGCATAGTCATGGGCACTGCAGAAGCAAGGGTAGATCTGAGCAGAGAGGCAGCATATAGTATTCAAGAAAGAAATGTATATGGCAGGGCATAGAGTTCTGGAATCATTTGGTCTTATGTACTCACATTTTCCACATCTGCCCATGCATTTTAACAGTTTTTTGTTTCATACCTAACCAATGGCTGAAAGAAATAGACATTCTGGTTTTTAACTCATTCTATATAAAGTTTTAGTATGGTTTTTGTATTTTTTAAACAATTCTCTCAGCTACCATCTTTTTTTTATTTTATTATTATTATACTTTAAGTTTTAGGGTACATGTGCACAATGTGCAGGTTAGTTACATATGTATACATGTGCCATGCTGGTGCGCTGCACCCATTAACTCGTCATTTAGCATTAGGTATATCTCCTAAAGCTATCCCTCCCCCCTCCCCCCACCCCACAACAGTCACCAGAGTGTGATGTTCCCCTTCCTGTGTCCATGTGTTCTCATTGTTCAATTCCCACCTATGAGTGAGAACATGCGGTGTTTGGTTTTTTGTTCTTGCAATAGTTTACTGAGAATGATGATTTCCAATTTCATCCATGTCCCTACAAAGGACATGAACTCATCATTTTTTATGGCTGCATAGTATTCCATGGTGTATATGTGCCACATTTTCTTAATCCAGTCTATCATTGTTGGACATTTGGGTTGATTCCGAGTCTTTGCTATTGTGAATAGTGCCACAATAAACATACGTGTGCATGTGTCTTTATAGCAGCATGAGTTATAGTCCTTTGGGTATATACCCAGTAATGGGATGGCTGGGTCAAATGGTATTTCTAGTTCTAGATCCCTGAGGAATCGCCACACTGACTTCCACAATGGTTGAACTAGTTTACAGTCCCACCAACAGTGTAAAAGTGTTCCTATTTCTCCACATCCTCTCCGGCACCTGTTGTTTCCTGGCTTTTTAATGATCACCATTCTAACTGGTGTGAGATGGTATCTCATTGTGGTTTTGATTTGCATTTCTCTGATGGCCAGTGATGGTGTCAGCTACCATCGTTTTAAAGCATTTGCTGAAGCACAGTTAATAAAAGAAAGAGAAACAAAGACAGAGACTGAGAAACAGAGAAATAACATGGCACCACCAACGTTCCCATAAAAACATAATTTTCTATGTTATCCCTTCCCAGGCATATGGCACTGAGTCATAATAAATAACAGTAATGGAAAATGGCCAAATATACATTGGTATACTGGAGCTAAGTACAAAAGGAGATATAGAGTTATTTTTAAGATACACTCTATTTCTAAAATGCTTTCAAGCCTTAAATACACTGAACAGTCATATCTTTAAAGGGAAAGAATTGTACATAAGTTCTAAAAACACTTGCTGAGATAGTAAATGAATGTGCTCAATTTCCCTGATCAGAGCCTTTCATTCCAATTTGATGTAAGCCATAAATGAAATGACTTGGCTGATTATAAGTCAGTTCCCCATGAACATTTGTTTACATCTGAAAGCCACTACACATAATTGCTGTCTCTGCTCAGGGGAGGTCCAGCTGGGATTACAAGAACTGTTGCAAGGTTCTACTGAGGTGTCATCACCAGTTACGGCATGAACCTGGCACTGCATGTCCACACTCTGTCTGCTTTGGCAATTGGATCCATCAGTCTTCCTCCTTCACACAGCTAAAATTAGCTAGAAGACAGCAGAAGTCTTGGGAAGGAAAACATGGGGCTGTAAATAACATTCAGACCCCAAGTCTGCTTTGCTCCTGAGAGATAGCGTGTAATTATACCTTAGTTACTATGTTCTTCCAAAAGCCAGTAATAGTACATTTTCATTGATGAAGAGAAGGGTGAGGTTGAGGATAAGGCAGGATAACGGGCATACCGTAAACATTGATTTCTCTGAAAAAATGGAAATTGACAATTTGCCTTAATCATTTTCTTTTGAAGAAAAAAAAAATGGGTCTACTCAATTTGTATAATAATGGGAAGTAAATGTGTAAACCGCTTCTTCCCTTTATTAACAAATTCAAATTTAAAATAAACCAGTTTAACATCTGTATGTACATTGGGGAAAATAATGGTATCTACCTCAAAAGGTAGTTATGAAGATGAATGAATTTAGAACTTTTATAAGTTTTAGAACAGTGTAACACTATATGTTTTCCAAATAAATGAATAAAGCCTAAGAAGAAAAAAGTCTATTAACATTATTATAATCTTTCATTTTGTGTAGCTAACATTCCCATTTAAATGACAGCATGTAAAAATTTTGTAGTACAATATTCCTTTGCATATTTTACACATAGCACACATTTACTTTCTGATTGTAATGGGACCCAAAAGAAGTTAAATCCTAGCTTGAGAGTCAGTATCATTGCCTCTAGCATTACCAATTTATTGCATATTCTTAGATAACTCATCCATCATCTTACTCCCTCTGATATACATATCTTAACTCAAAAAGGGTTATAGGCCTCTATCACAAATATACTTAAAATGATCAAGGAAAGAGGTGAGATCATAATTCCTTACCCTTGTCTTTACTGTTAACAAATAATAATAAAGACAGATTGCCAGATTTGGTCTGTTGTTACTGTTTCTCTTCATGTTCAAATCTTATCAAATAAAACCCTCTGATTACGACTTAATAAAGAAGTCCCTTGAAGGTGGTCATGTAAGTAACTGCAGTAACATTTCCAGAAGGTGGACTCATTAGAAAATGAGATTCAGATTAATGGGGGAGAAGGGGAGATTCTTCTTTCTTTATGCAATAAAACTGCTCACTGGCGAGGCTGCCCCAGCAGTGTGGACTTCCCTTCACTCCTGAATGAGGATAACACATGTGCTAACTGATCTAACCTCTTAGTTACGGATGATTAGAAATACAGCCTTTTACCAACCCCAAGACGTCACTCTTGTAGACAAAGCATCAGTCCTGGTAACAACCCACTAGGAAAAAGTCTCATGAGGACCCAAAGTCCAGGCTGTTTTGGGTGGTTCTGGCTGAGCAGAATAAGCCAGAGGAGGAGGGAAAGGAAGGGAACACTAAATCTTTCTAATCATTCTCTCTAACCTCCCTTGTCCCATAGGAGAATGTAATTTTGTTTCTGTGGAATTCTTTAAGTAAATGGTTCAGGCTTCCTTTGCCATTTATGGGGGCAAGACTGGCCTGTTATTGCTGTACTGAGGTGTGATACTAAGGCCTTTATAGCAATGGCAAGGTGGTATGCAATTCTGCCTCCCACACAGACTTTAGGCAGCTCACTTTCCCTCTGCAGGCCTCATTGTCTTCATCAGTAATGATACCTGGTCTGTGAATTATTATGATTTTTTTTTGAGACAGGGTCTCACTTTGTTGCCCAGGTTGGAATGCAGTGGCATGATCTCGGCTCACTGCAACCTCTGCCTCTGGGTTCAAGTGATTCTCCTACGTCAGCCTTCTGAGTAGCTGGGACTACAGGTGTGCGCCACCACACCCGGCTGATTTTTGTATTTTTAGTAGAGATGGGGGTTTCACCATGTTGGCCAGGCTGGTCTCGAACTCCTAACCTCAGGTGATCCACCTGCCCCAGCCTCCCAAAGTGCTGGGATTACAGGCGTGAGTCACCGCACCCAGCCCTATTATGATTTTTTTTTAACTTACTTTGGCAAAAGTGATCATCCTCCCCTTTGTGCTCCCGCTATGTGTTGAACACAATTCAGCCTCTCCACTTTCCAGTCTGTCTGCTAATGCACTATTCCAATAGGCCTTGAACTCTTTCAGAGCATGGACTATATCTTACTTATATTTGTATTACTATCACCTCGAATGCAGTGAGCACTCAAACATGTTTGATGAATAAATGAAGGAAGGAAGGCATAAATGAATACACGAGTGAAATGAGTTGGACTAGATATCTTCTGAGACTTCTAAACTACAGGCTGGAGCAGTACTTTTCCATCCCAATTCAAATCACAGTTTGTATAGGTTCAGGCACAGATAACAGAATGATTCAGAAGAACTGGAGAAATTATAGACGAGTGGTTTAAATGTCTTGTATTTTGTACACTCCCTCCCCCAATTTTTACTCATCTTTGTCTTCTTCATCCTATGATGAGACCTATTTTCCTCTTTTCTAAGGCAAAAAAAAAAAAAAAAAAATTGACATTTGCATTTCTCCACCAGCCTGTGTCACTGTTTATTATAAAAATAATTCTTTTCAGCTCATTAAAAACAGCTCATATATGATACGGTATTTCCTTGGTAAATACAACCCTTTTTATACAAACCTGCATCCTTTCCCTCAGATGCACTCAAATTGATTGTATGCCATGACCAGCCAGTCTTAGCCACAGAGTCCCCTCTTTCCACAATCATTGATGGCTGCAATTAGCATATGTGAAGTACTGCTAGGCAACTTCAGCATCTTTCCCCATGTGTCTGAAGACTTAGGCAGGCAGCTTTGGAGTGCAGGCCTTCTTGTCAGTGTAGGATTCCCCAGATTGCACATGCAGTTGCAACTTCTGCCAGTTGCTTGAAGGTTCTGATTGCCTGAGTGACAGTTAAATGGGAGTGTGACTATAATACTGCTTAGACCCTTACATTTTACATAGGTCAGAGAAAAAAGCAACTTTAAAAAATGGAGTGTACTTAAGTAGTACATTTTTCAAAATTGTCATTGTTTTTTCTTTCTGCTATTCTGTGAAATATAAAAGGGCCAACATTCACATATGAATAATGCAGGTGCTTCACTAAATAGGAAAGGGGAGGGAGAGTGAGAGAGAGAAAGAGAGAGAGAGATAAGGGGCACATAAGAAGGGAAATATGGAAATATGGAAGCACTGTTGTTTTCTCTCAATAGTGCTTCTATGAAACAATGTTTCTAATGGACCTAGGAAGGCAGACCAAGGAGGAGAGTATAAAGAAAGGCAGTGTAATTAAAACCGATGGTTCATAACAATGTGTAATGAATGATAAGGCTTAGATCAAAGTCCAAAAGGAACAGTCCAGCCTTGGCTGTAAAAATCAAAAGTCAAAATATGCATTAAGTGTCGCCCTCTGTAGCCAGCACCATTCCTCTGCCGGTGCTCCCTGTCTCTAAAGGAAGCATATGCCACAGCAGCAAACTCTATTCACAAGTGAACATTCTTAAAGAATTACTTGTGTGCTCCTCTACTGCATAATGGTCCAAGGACAGAACCCCCTGGCTGTGCCATTGCACAATGCAATGGAAAAATTCAAAGCTGGCAGCCCTGTGTTTGTAGCTTCCAAGAATCCTAACCAAGGTCAATTACCAGATACTTGCTCTTTCCAGACAAAGCATTACAATGAGAAGCATCAGGGTCTTTTCACAGGAGTATAAAAATTTGGCTAAACATTGGGAAGGCAATGAAAGTTTTCCTACTCTTCTTTCCACTTGTGCTATGCAGTGTGCTGTGTGGAAGTGGGCTGCATGCTCTGCCACCAAGAGTTGGCTGCATTTCAGTGGCAAAGAAGAAAGGCACCACAGAACTGTGATTATTTCTTAACACTCCTGAGGATGATTTCTCCTGAATCCTATTATGTATTTTTCAGCATGCTTCAGTTATGGGATCCTTGTCTTAAGTCCCTTTAACATTGTGACCTCCCAGAATTAAAAGGATGTTGAATGCCACTGATTACATTTGTTTCTCAATCCTAACCTGAGTCACAGTTCCTTTCAGAGCAGTAAAACCCACATGCATCCAAGCTCTTTACATTTGAAAGATTTGGAATAAGTTATCTAGATTTTAGGATTCCTCAATCCAATCAACAGAGGCAATTCTCTTCACTAAGATGGTTCCTACATCAGCAGGACACCCAAATCATTCTTCACTTTGATTCTAGGGTGATGCCTACTGAGGGCCTGAAGGGAACAAGTGTGATTTAAGCGAGGCCTAGGGTTTTTTAAAATAAGTGACTCCTGCTAAGTGCTTCAAGGCTTTGTTTTACAGAAGGTGAGGTCAGTGAAAGTGAAGTTATACTTAAATCATTAGGGAACAAGCTGATCTACTGTGTAATGACCACTGCCTGCCTAAAATGCAATGAGACTACTTTGAAGGAAACTCTCAACACTTGAAACATCCAAGTGACCTTTGTCTTTCAAAAGTAGACTTTTCACTGCCAGTACTTCACATTTTGGAACTCCTCTTGGGGAAATGTCTTTAGAGCCAGTATCTGAGTCGTAAAAGAAAAGCACAGTCATTTCTTCAGATCCACACCTAGTCAGTGAACACAAACAGCATTGTTCAGTTTGATCCAATGTCGCCCCCCTACTGCATTAGACTTCGCTTCCAGGGAAGGTGTCCTTTCCAAAAATTAAACCCACTCTCAGGAGACTGAACTTTTGCACCACTGAGAGTCATAAGAATGGGCTCAGAAGATAGTTTCCAAAGAGGAGGGTCGTTAACCAAACTGAAGTAAGTGTATAGCCCTAAAAGGGACAGCACTAATTTATATTTAAATTATGAAATGTTATTTAAATATTGTGTGTATGGGGGGAGAAAATTTAGTTTAAAGTGGATTAAAAAATCTAGGCTTCCCCATTTCTAACAATGGGGATTACAAACTCTGACTTCGAAAGGCTGTTGTGATAAACAGTCGAGATATGTGGATATCTTTTGTAGACCCCGAGGTGCACATTCAAGAATAAGGTGTATGTGTATGTACGTAAACAAATATAGGAATTTGTACACATCTACACACTACATAAAACTAGTGCTTTAAATTCCCATCTTTTAATCTATAAGGAAAACATGAAGAAGATTTGAAGAGGATGGAGATAAAAGGAATGAACAGTTGAGCTTAGATTACAAGAGTAGAAAGGTGAACACAGATTTAAAAGCAGAATGTAGTGGCTTGAATTTTACTAATGTTTCACTTTTCCCTATCTTAATACCAAATGATCCTACTAGAAAAGGTTAAACCCTCAAAGATTGGACCACATTTAAACCCAACAAAGGAAGAACCATTTTTCTAATTACTCTAAATTAACTTAATATTTGTTATTCTTTTTATACCGGTATTTCAACACAAAACACACTTATCAAAGGAAAGCTAAGTGAATTAATTGGGAAGCTTAATTTGAGTTCACTTGAACAAAATTTTACTGGATGGATTTCTTTTTAGAAATGTAATACTTGATGCCACTCAAGACCCTCAAAATAAAAAGCTAAATACAGAATTTCTCACAGACCCTGAGTAAGTGATTAGTCTTAACACTTTTCCATTCAAAATTACATACTTAGAGAGTCACAAGGTTTTTTCTCATTTAAAGTCAACTCCCAGTTATTGATAATAGATAAAAACCTCAATTAATTGGAACTCAACCAACTAGAAGTCTCATCTTACTGGAATGTTGTTGTCATTACCCTTCAGAGAGAAGAAAATAACAATAAAGTGGCGGGGCACGGTAGCTCACGCCTGTAATCGCAGCACTTTGGGAGGCAAGGTGGGCGGATCATTTGAGGTCAGGAGTTTGAGACCAGCCTGGCCAAAACCCCGTCTCTACTAAAAACAAACAAACAAACAAAACCAAAAACAAAATGCGTGAAAGTCAGCCAATTTGGTGTGTCTTAGTTTCCCAATAAGCCCAGTTTTCTGCAATTTTCCTGTGATAGCTATATAAAGAAATAGGGAAAAGAATAAAGATTTATGAGGCACTTTCCACATGTCCATCTCTTTTTGATCGGGCCCCAGCTAATGTTTTACACCCTATTCCTTCATATGTCTTCCATTCCAGCCATTCTAGATATCTGTCATTTTGTTTAATCCTGACAACAATCATGTAAAAGTTGTAATATATTTTAATTCTATAGATGACAAAATGGAAGATTAGTGATGTTAAATTGTCCAAGGACATGAAGTTAAGTCACTTGTCCAAGGTCACATGGTGGTAATGGGACTGGTATTTGGATCCAGACCAGTTTGACACCAAAGCCTGTATTTGAATGATGGCCCTTAAACACTGCAAAAATCCTCAGCAAGTACAGAAATGTTCTCTTGCATCCATTAGTGTCTATGTCCTGAGTGGCCCATGAAAATTGATTTATATATATATATGAAATATTTATATATATTTATATATTTCATATATATATGAAATATTTTCAGCAAGGAATGAAATTTAAAAGGCCATTTATTTAAACTTCAGTTAATTATAGTTTATTCTAATTCTAAAATTCCAAGTTAAAATAAAAACTTCCATCAATTAACAAAATAAATTTATTCAGATTGAGTATGTTCTCATCACAATGCAATCATATCAAAACTCAGTAACAAAAGTCTCTCAAAACCAGATACTTAGGAAAACTCTTAAATGTCCTAAAAGAATGAGTCAAACAATGAAATCAGTAAAAATTGCAGAGTAGACCTCTGAAATTTTATTCTTAAAATCAATTTTAAAAACTGACAATATTTCTCAGGATTAACTTTTTTAAAGCTCCGGACTGCTACAAAACTTTGGATAATTTCCAGAGTTCTGGAAAAAGATATACCACACAAATGATAACAAAACAAGAGCTGAAATGACTACACTAAAATCAGACAAAATAGCCTTTAAGAAAAAAAATTGTTTCTAAGAAAAAAAGGGACATTTCATAATGATAAATGGATCAATTCCTCAAGAAGATATGACAATTATAAACATATGTGCACCTAGCAATAAAGCCAAAAATGCATAAAACAAAACTGAGGGAATTAAAGTGAGAAATGGGTAGTTCAGTAGTAACAGCAGGAGCTTTCAATACCCCACTGGCATAATGGATAGAATAACTATGTTAGAGCAACAGAATAATAATGGATAGTCAACAATGAAATAGAAGACTTTAACAGCACTGTAAACAAACTAGACTTGAAAGACATCTACAGAACATGCCACTCAACAACAGCAAAATATAGGTTGGTGCAAAAGTGATTTGCACCAGCCTAATACATGGAACATCTTCTCGAGCACACATGGAACATTCTCCAGGACAAACCATATACTAAAATATAAAACAATACTCGATAAATTAAAAATGGTTGAAATGATGCAAGTATGTTCTCTGACCACAATGGAATGGAATGAACATAGAAATCAATAACAGAAGGAAATTTGGGAAAACTACATATATGAAAAATTAACAGCATATTACTAAATGAATAATGAGTGAATGAAGAAATCATAAGAAAAAGTATCCTGAGATGAATGTAAATGAAAGTACAACAAACAAAAAGTTATGGAACGCAGCAAAAGCTGAGCTTAAAGGGAAATTTGTAGCATAAACATCTTTATTTTTAAAAAGAGAGACCTAAAGTAAGTAACCTAACCTTTCGACTTAAGAAACTAAAAAGGAAGAGCAAACTAAACCCAAAGCACACGGATGGAATAATATATTAAAAATTAGAGCAGAAATTAATACAATGGATAATAGGAAAATAATATAAAAAACCAACAAAACCCAAAATTGGTTCTTTGGAATTACAAAGAAAATTTACAGACCTTTAGCTAGACTGTCCAAGAAGAAAAACCGAAGACTCATATTACTGAAATCAGCATTAAAAGCTGGATATTACTACTAACTTTAAAGAAATAAAAAGGATTATAAGGGGATACAATGAAAAATTGTATGCAAACAATTTACGTAATATAGATGAAATAGAAAAATACATAAAAGACACAAACTACAGAAACTGACTCAAGATAAAATAGAGAATATGAATACACATTATTTTATCAAGTAAATAAATCAAATTAGTAATAAAAAAATACCACAAAGAGAAGCCCAGCCCCAAATGGCTCACTGGTGAAATCTCCCATGTTTAAGGAATAATTAATATCAATCTCACACAAAATAAACATACAAAAATCAGTAGCATTTCTATATGCCAAGAGTGAACAATCTTAAAGAAGAAGTCGAGAAAGCAATCCCACTTACAATAGCTACAACAAAATACCTAGAAATCACAAAAGACCCCAAATAGCCAAAGCAACTCTGAATAAAAAAACAAAGTTGGATGCACCATACTATCTTGTTTTAAAATATACATTGAAGCTATATTTTGATAGCACAACAGGGTGACTGCAGTCAATAATAACTTAATTTTACATTTCAAAATAACTAAACAGTGTAATTGGATTGTTTGTAAAACAAGGGATAAATGCTTGAGGGGATGGATACCCCATTCTCCATGATGTGATTATGTCACATTGCATGACTGTATCAAAACATTTCATGTATCCCATAAATACATACATCTACTATGTACCCACAAAATTAAAAGTAAAAAAAAATTAAAAAAAAAAACCTACTATTAGTCTCAAAGTTAGTATGATTCAGAGAGAGGGAGAATGCTAAGGATTTTTTACATTTTAATTGTTTTACTCAAAACAATTAAAACATAAGAGTTTTATATACGTGAGGGGTACATACGATGCTTATAGTTCCGAGATACCAGATGTTCCCTGACAGTGCCAACAGATGAAGTATCAAAAAAGCAGAGAAAACTCAAGAAACTGAGTTTTATTGAGGGAAGAAGGAAATAGAAACTATCACCAAATTAGGGCCACTGGTTGACTCTTCCCTGGCACCCTCACATGTACAAGACCTGTCCCAGACACAGAGCAAGTCTCTGCTCTCTATTAAATGAGAGCAGTAATCCACATTCATTCACAAAACCCTAATTAAGCAGTTATTTGTAAAGGAGTTTTCCATGACTTCTAGACTCGAAAAGATATGTGTGGAATCCCAGCAATTTATGTAGAAGCCAACACAGCCCCTGGCACATAAATAATAGATACTTAATGAATAAAGCATCCACGTTATTGTTGATATTAATAAAAAGAATCTTCATTGAGTGCCTAAAAAGAAAAAGCCATAATAACAAAAACAGCATGATACATAAAAACAAGACACACATACCAATGGAACATGATAGAGAACCCAGAAATAAATCCACTCATTTACAGCCAACTCATTTTTGACAAGGGCACCAAGAACATACATTGGGGAAAGGACTGTCTTCAATAAATGGTGCTGGAAAAACTGGATATCCATACATAGAAGAATGAAACTAGATTCCTATCTCTTACCATATATAAAAATCAAATCAAAGTGGATTAAAGACCAATGTAAGACCTGAAACTATGAAACTAAAAGAAAACATTGGAAAATTTTTCAGGACATTGGTGTAGGCAAAGATTTTGGGTGTAAGACTTTAAAAGCAGAGGCAACAGAAACAGAAATGGACAAATGGGAACACATCAAGCTAAAACACTTTTGCACAGCCATGGAAACAACAAATTGAAGAGACAACCCACAGAATGGGAAAAAATATTTTCAGGCTACCTAACAAGGGATTAATAACCACAATATATAAGGAACTCAAGCAATTCAACAGCAAAAAGAAAAAATAATCCAATTTTAAAATGGGCAAATGATGTGAACAGACATTTCTCAAAAGAAGAAATAGAAAAGGTCAACAGGTATATGAAAAATGCTCAACACCACTAATCATCAGTGAAATGCTAATCAATACCACAATGAGATAGCATTTCACTTCAGTTAAAATGGCCATTATCAAAAAGACAAAAAATAGCAGATGCTGGCGAGGATGTTGAGAAAGAGAAACTCTCATACACTGTTGGTGGAAATGTAAATTAGCATGGTCATTATGAAAAATAGTATGGAGGTTCCTAAGAAAAACTAAAGGTAGAGCTACCGTATAATTCAGCAATTGCACTGCTGGGTATATATCCAAAAGAAAGGCAATCAGTATATTGAATATATCTGCACTCCCATGTTTATCACAGCACTATACACAATAACCAAGATATGAAATCAACCTAAGTGTCCATCAATGGATAAATGGATTTTTAAAATGTGGTATATATACAAAATGAAATAATATTCAGCCATAAAAATAATAAAATCCTTCATTTGCAAGACACGGATGAGCCTGGAGGGTATGTAACTGAAATAAGCCAGATGCAGACAGACAAATATCACATGTTCTCCCTCATATGTGGAAGCTAAAAACGTTGATCTCATAGACATGGAGAACAGAATGGTATTCACCAGAAGTTAGAGTTGGGAGAAAGATGAAGAGAGGTTCATTGATGGGTACAAAATGCAATTAGATAGAAAGAATAAGTTCTAGTTTTCAGTAGCATAGTAGAAAGACTATAGTTATCAATAATTTATTGTATATTTTAAAGTACCTGGAAAAGAATACTTGGAATGGACTCACACACACAAAAAAAATGTTTGAGGTGATTAATGTCTCAATTGCCCTGATTTGATTATTACAAATTGCATGCATCTATCAAAATATCACATGTACCCCATAAATATGTATAATTATTGTGTAGCAGTAAAATGCAAGTCATCTGAAAAAAAAAAGAATTAACACCAATACTTCACAAACTTCCAAAACCTCAAAGGGGAGAATGTACTTATCAGTTCATTCTATGAAGCCAGTATTACCCGAATAACAAAGTCGGACAAAGGCATCACAAGAAACAAACTATAGAGTAATATCTCTTCTCAATATAGATGTAAATGTCCTCAATGAAATACTAGCAAACAGAATACAGCAGCACGTAAAAATGTTATATTCTATGACTAAGTAAGACTTATTCCAGTAATGCAAGGTTGCTTCAACATGCAAGAATCAATTAATGTAAGATACCATATTAATAGAATAAAGGGAAAAATTACATGATCCTCTCAATATATTCAGAAAAAGCATTTGATGAAATTCAATGTTCTTTCATGTAAACATACTCAATAAACTAGGAATAGAAAGGAATCTGCTCATGCTGATAAAGGGCAGCTATGAGAAACTCACAGTTAGTATCATATTGAATGGTGAAATACTTAAAGCTTTCCCCCTAATATCAGGCACAAGATAAGGATGCTTCTCACTGCTTCTATTCAACATTGTACTGGAGGTGCCAGCAAGAGCAATTAGGTAAGAAAATGATGTAAAATGCATCCAGACTGGAAAGGAAGAAGTAAAACCATATTTGCAGATGGTATGATCTTATATAAGAAAATACTGTGGAATTCAGAAGAAAACTATTAGAACTTGTAAATGAGCTCACCACGTTTGTAAGATACAAGATTAATATGCAAAAGTTAATTGTAATATGTAATGAATCAATATTTTATATTGTCTTGACAAATTTCTCATAAAATGTATCACATTGTGTGTTTCTAGTCTCTTTATGTTACTCCTGGAGGGTAGACACCATGAGTTTTTCTATATATGTATCCAGTCTCAGTACATGGCACTTATTTGTCATTCAATTAATACATTTATGAACAATATAACTTGGTAATATGTCATAGATGTTATCCAAGGCCAAAGATACTCATGAAGTAGGGCTTACCTTGAAGTCTGTAATAGAACATATATAGTGTGAGGAAAGATAGCTCCCTTGGTATCACTTAAATACATAGTATTGTATTGGAAAAATAACCACTTGTATTTATATATATTGTCAATGTACAATCTGAAAGTGATATTAAGAAAGCAATTCAATTGAAAATAGATTCAAAAGAAATTACACTAATAATACATTTAACAAAAGCAAAATGTATACCTTGAAAATTAAAGAAAAAAAATCATTGAAAGGAATGGAAGAAAACCTAAATAAAAAAATGGAAAGACCCTGCCATTTTCACAGACAGAACGACTTAATATTGTTAAATGGCAACACTCCCCAAATAGATCTATAGATTCAATGTGATGTTTAACAAAATCCCAGCTTCCTTTTATTGCAGAAATTGACAAGTTTATCCTAAAAGTCCTATGGAAATACAAGAGTGACAGAAAAGACAGATCAATCCTGAAACATAAGATTAAAGTTGAAGGTCTCACACCTTCCTATTTCAGAAATTAGTACATGGATAGCTACAGTAATCAAGGCTATCTTGTACTGGCATAAAAATAGATCAATGGAATAGAATTGAGTATTCAGAAGTAAACTTATACATTAATGGTAAATTGTCTTTTGATGAGGATGCTAACTCAATTCAATGGGAGAATTAATAATCTTTTTAAGTAACCTTTATGAGACAGCTAGAAATCCACACATAAATGAAGTTGAGCCCTTACCTCTCACCATATACAAGAATTAACTAAAAACACAAAATGGATCGAAGGTCTGTATTTAATGGCTAAAGTTACAAAACTCTTAGAAGAAAACATAAGTGTAAATCTTGGTGAAATTTGGTTGAGCGATGGTTTCTTAGATATGACACCTAAAGCACGAGCACCCAAGGAAAAAATAGCAAAATTTTACCTTATCAAAATTAGAAGCTTTTGCGCTTCTTAAGACACTGTCATGAAAGTAAAAAGACAACCTACAGAATGGAAGAAAATGTTTGCAAATCATATATCTAATAATATGCAAATCACATATGCATATATGAGAGATATCATATATGCATAGATGAGAGATATCATATATGCATATATGAGAGATATCATATATCTATGTGATGCAATTCATATATCTAATCATAATCATATAGCAAATCATATATCTAATAATATGCAAATATCTAATAATATGGAAATCATACAGCTAATAAGGGTCTAATATCTAGACTATATAAAGAATTAAAACCTCTTAACAACAAAAAGGCAAATAATTCAGTTAAAAATTGGCTACAGACATTTGGAGACATTTCTCCGAAGAACATATACAAATAGTCATGAAAAGTTGTTCAGCATCATTGGCCATAAGGAAAATGTAAGCCACAATTAAAATATCACTTCATACTCATTAGGATGGGTACAATAAAAAAGACAGACAATAGCAAGTGTTCATTAGAATGTGGAGAAACTGAAACCCTCATATACAGCTAGTGGGAATAAAATGGTGCAGCTACTTTGGAATACAATCTAGTAGTTCCTGAAAAAGTTAAACACAGAGTTACCACATGACTTAATTCCACTCCTAGGTATATAGCATATACTCAAGAGAAAGGAAAACTTCTACCCACACAATATTCACAGCAGCATTATTCATAAAAATATCCCAAAGTGGAAATAACCCAAACACTCTTTAACTGGTGATGGAGAAAAAAAATGTGGACTATCCATACAATGGAATATTATTCAGCCATAAAATGAATGAAGTACTGATACATGTTACATGGATTAAACTTATGAAATTATAAGTGAAAGAATCAGACACAAAAGACCACATTTTGTATAAGTCTAATAATATGAAATGTGAATGATAAGCAAATCCTAGGAAACAGAAAAATTAGTGGTTGCCAGGGGTAGGAGGAGGGAAAATGGTTTGTGACTGCTAGTGAATATGGGGTTTCTTTTTGGGGTGATGAAAATGTTCTAGAATTACATAACAGTAATGATTGTGGAATCTTAAGATAGTAAAAACCACTGAACTGTACACTTCAAAATGGTGAATTTTATTGTATGTGAATTATATATCAATACATACAAGGAAGTAAAAATAGTGAGTTAACAAGGAAATCTTGTTTTTTCCCCCTCATTCTTGGCTTTCATCTTGGGACTGGTTCCTTGTGGGAGCTCTAGGGAAGAAATCTGTTTCCTGCCTTTTCCAGCTTCTAGAGACCACCTAAATTCCTTGCCTCCTGGTCCCCTTATTCATCTTCAAAATCAGTGGAGTAGCTTCAAATCTCTCTCTCCCCTTCTGTATTCACACTGCCTTCCCTCTTTAAAAGGACCCCTGTGGTTGCACCTACCTGGATAATTCAGGATAATTTCCCCATCTCAAGATCCTCAACTGAATCATATCTTCAAAGTCTTTTTTTTTTTTTTTTTTTTTTGGCCATGGAAGGCAACATACTCATAGGTTCTCAGGATTAGGACATGGAGATATTTGAGGAGGGGGGTGTTTATTCTGTCTACTACAGACCGTCTTCTTTATAAGATTAAAATAATAATAATTAAAATGACAGTTTAAAATGACTTAAAATGAGAGTTTAAAAAGCAATAGGAGATTATGTGAGCATTATATAATTGTTTTATTCTGTTCAGCAGGTAGGCAAGCACTGAGAAAAGTCATCAAGTATCAGAAGTTACACCTAAGAAATTGATATGGTTTGGCCGCACACGAATCTCATCTTGAATTGTAACTCCCACAATTCCCACATGTCATGGGAGGAACCTGGTAGGAGGTGATTGAATTATGGGGTTGGGTCTTATCTGCACTGTTCTGGTGATAGTGAATGAGTCTCACAAGATCTGATTGTTTTAAAAACTGGAATTTCCCTGCACAAGCTCTCTTCTCTTGTCTTCTGCCACGTGAGATGTGCCTTTCACCTTCTGCCATGATTGTGAGGCCTTCCCAGCCACATGGAACTGTAACTCCATTAAACTTCTTTCTTTTGTTAATTGCCCAGTCTCAGGTATATCTGTCAGCAGCATGAAAATGGACAAATGCAGAAACCAATTTATTTACCAAGAAAGGACCATGCAGAATTGGCTGAATATTATTATTTTGCTCTTCACAGTAGAATATTCAAATAACCACTTAAAGGTGAAAAAAAATCAAATCAGCAAAAAGAACAATCTGTTCATATATTTTAAAGGGAAAAGTGCTGCTCCTCTTGGGCCAAAAAGGAAATAATTGGAAAGCTATGGCTGAATTTCCACCTAAGGTCACATTGTCTTGATGCAAATATAACAATAATTGGTAATAGTAGTAGTAGTAGTAGTACTAGTAGCAGTAGTGGTAGTAGTAGTAGTAGTAGCAGCAGCAACAGCAGCAGTAGTAGTAACTAGCATTTATTGAGTTATTATGTGGTAGGTATGTATGCTGGTAAAAAAATTTCCATTAGGTAATTCATTTATTCCTCAATATTTTGAGTAATAATGAAGTAAGGCCCCTTCCAATGAAGTAAGGCCCCTTTTTCATAGAAGAGGAAAATAAGTCTTCAATAAATCAAGTGACTTTTCCAAAGTCACATAGCTAATATGTAGTGGGGCTGGATTTAGAACCTAGGAACCCAACCCTAGATTGTGTGCTGGAAATACAATTGTGATCCATCATTGACATGGCCCTGGGTAGGAAGTGTACCAGTACCTGAGATTGTACATATAGGGAACTTCAGTGGTCTAGGAAATCAAGTAATATTTCACTGAGTTAAAATCTGAATAGTGAACAAATGTCAAATAAGCAAATGTGGTATGAGGCAGGGACATGTTTGTGGAGAGCATTCCAAAAAGAGGGATTAGCCCAAGCAAAGGAAAAAACCCTGAGGCTAGAGCACATTCCCAGAACAAAAAGATGGTTACTGTGGCTGGAATATAGTGAGCGTAGTGAGGTACGATATACACTAAAATCAGAGAGGTGAGCAGAGTTCAGCTCTTGAAAGGTTGTATAGCCCATGGTAAGATATTGGGGTTGATTCTAATTTAGTGGTTATGAATCAGTAGTAATTTTTCTTCCCCCCTCCCCAAAGGGACATTTGGCAATGCCTAGAAACGTTTCTGATAGTCACAACTCGGGGTGGGCTGCTACTGTAGTGGGTAAAGGCCAGAGATGCTGCTAAGCATCTTATAGGGCACAGGATAGCCCCTCCTACCCACAACAAAGAAATACCAGTATTGCTGAGGTGAGAAACCCTGTTCTAACTGTAATAGGAAACTTTTGAAGGATTTTAAGTAGGTGAGTGGTCCAATCTTAAATATATTTTCAGATTTATGTCTTATATATTTTATGTCTTATGTCAATGCATAGAATTGATGGTGGAGAGAGACGGCTGGATATAGGCAGATTAAGAGACTTTTGTAGAAGTCCAGGCCAAAGATGATTATGGAATTGCCTAGGATCATGGCAGTAGTAGCAGAGAAAAGTGAAAGGTTCAAGTTGTACTTTAAAGGTAGAGACTAGAGGATTTACTGAAGGATTGGATGGGGTGGTGCTGAAGGAAAGAGAGGAATCAAAGATGATATCCACGTTTCTGGCTTTACTTGATGGGTGGATGGGTGGAGGTACAAATGAGGGAGAAAAAAAGATTGAGAGGGTCAAAGTGTGAAAGGAGAGATAATGTCAATTGTGATCATAGTAGTTTTAAGGTGCCTCCTTGATATATAAGTGAAGACACCAAGAAGTCAGTTAGACATATGAGTTTGGAGCTCAGAGAAATCCAGGCTGGAGTGATATATTCATGAGCATTCCATCCAGAACAGCAAATGGAGAAATCTGGAATGTCTGGGGGCAAGTCGTAATCTTCTGATACAGTATCATGAAAAGATACTGCTGCTTTCTCCTTAAAATTGTCTCTTGACATCACTATTGGAGATACTTGCTATTGGTTGAATCCTAGTGCTTCCCCAGCCTCATATTTCTTATATTCTGTGAATCAATATTCATGTTGCTTAAATGAAAGCTCAGCATATTTTATTTTCATAAATTATGAAGTGTCAAAGATGAACATGATTGTATGGATTTACCATTTTCTACTTGAAGCTAAAATAAGTTTCTTATAGTTCTAGTGTCTTCAGTTTAATTGTCTTCCTATAACTCTAGGATTCAGTTCCACTGCAGCTAGAAGAAATGGTGGGGCATAATGCACTATTTGCCAAGGCAAAGCTCTCTATTGCCCCAATTTTACTACATTAGATGATTACTAAATCTGTCCATTTCTCTCTGCCTCTACTGCCACCATACTAGTGCAAACGACACCAACTCTCTCCTAGACTTCTGCAGCAGGCTCATAATTGATCTCCGTTATCAGTCATGTACTTTTTTTTTGTTTTTTGAGATGGAGTCTTGTTCTGTCGCCCAGGCTGGAGTGCAATGGCACGATCTCGGTTCACTGCAACATCCGACTCTCAGGTTCAAGCGACTCTCCTGCCTCAGCCTCCTGAGTAGCTGGGATTACAGGCATGTGCCACCATGCCCGGCTAATTTTTGTATTTTTAGTAGAGACGGGGTTTCACTGTGTTGGCCAGGCTGGTCTCGAACTCCTGAGCTCAGGCAATCCACCCACCTTGGCTTCCCAAAGTGCTGGGATTACATGCATGAGCCACTGCACCCAGCCAATCTTAGAAATTCTAAGGCTTTCACCATGCTATTAGCTCTAAATTGTCATTAAGGAGCCAAGAAGTCATATACTCTTAATCCATTCTTCAAATGGCTGCCAACACTAATAATTTAAACACATAAATTAGAGCTCACTACTTCTAGAAATTCCTCATGGCACTTACAGTAAAACCAAAATCCTCACCAAGGCTTTTTATGGCGTATATCTCCCCTACCTCTTCATCATTTCCTACCCTCTCCCCATACTCACCACTTTTCAGCTACACTATTCTTCTGTATTGGCCAATTTTGTTCTTGCCTTAGAGTCTTGGCACTTGCTGTCACCCCTGCTTGGGCTGTTCTTTCCCTCAAATATTCACATAGCAGTAGCCTTCCCACCTTTCAGGTTCTAGTTTGAATGTCACTTCCTCAGAGAGGGCCATCTCTTACTCCATCAGCCATGTGGCATTGGGTAAATTTCTTAACTTTTCTAAGCCTCAGTATCTTCATCAATGTAATGAAGTTCAAGAGACTTCTTATCAACAAAAATGAAAATTTTAATAAATGATTCTGAGAAAATTAGTTAACCATTTGGAAAAAGATAAAATGAGATCAATTTTTATACTGTGCATAAGGATAAATTATATGTGTATAAGGAATCTCAATGTAAAAAAAGCAGGCAAACAAGTCCTAGAAAAAAAACATGAATTCATCCTTAACTGGGGCATAGGGAGAAGATTTCTAACTATGGTCCAAAATGCAAAGGCAATAAAAGAAAAGACTGATACATTTGACTACATTAAAAAAAATTATGTATGTAAAAAAGTAACACCATAACAAGATTAAAAACAATTAGGAGAAAATAGTTGCAACATATATCATAAATAAAGGGCTGATATCGCTAACATATAAAGAACTCTTAAGAATTGAGAGAAAAGACCAAAACCTGATACAAAACAGGTAAATGACACTAATAAACAATTCACGAAAATTTAAATGGCCCTCAAATATATTAAGGGACATTTAATTTTCCTCATGATCAGGATAAAAGTAAAAGTACACTGAGAGCCCATTTCTCGTGTACCAGACTGGTAAAGACTAAAAAGTACAATAAACAAATCGGTTGGTGAAGCTATAGGTAAACAGTCACTTTCATGCATTGCTGGTTGGAACACAAATTTGTACAACTTGTATGAAGGGAAATTTGGCAATACTAAACAAACCTTACACATGCATTTACTTTTTGATGTAGTAATCCCACTTTACCCTGAAGATTCACCTCCACCAAGACAAAAATAGATATGCACAAGGTTATTCATTGCAGTATTCTTTGTAATTGCAAAATATTGTACTGGTTTAATAAACTACAGTATGTGCATACAGTTATGAAAAATAATTGTTAAAAAAAGAATGTGGAAGATCTCTATGAACTGATGTGGAGTGATTTCCAGGTTATAATGTTGGGTGAAACAAAAGCAAAGTGCAAAACTGCATAGGCAGTGTGCTACATTTTGTTTAAGAAGGGCAAATGAGAAAATTTCATGCATCTATTTATTTGTGCAAAAATAAAACATGCAAGAAGTATAAACTAGATACTAATGAGATCTGTTTCCTATAGATGTGAGCTGGAACAGGGTGGAAAAGATAGACAAGAATGTAGAGGATCTGAAATTTCTCTGAGTATTACTTTTTAAACGTTTCTAACTTTTGGAACTGTGGTAATGTTTCACATACTCAAAAAAAGAAAATCAATAAAATCAACAAAGGTTGGGAAAACACTAAAATGGAACACAAACAGAACAAATGAACTAAACTTTACCTTAAAATGGATAACATAAATACAGTGAAAAGTGAAAAAAGAGAACTAATTTAAATAACTTTTTCTTTCATACTTGAGATTTTATTGGTTGTTTTCAAGATTAGTATACAGACATTATGAACAATTTTTTTCAAATTTCAATGTATGTACTGAAATCTAAAAAGCTAGGTAGTTGTAATTCTGTCCTAAATAGTTATTTCAGTGACTTTCCAGTTTAAAATTTAGAGGCTAAATAGTTTTTTCAATGATTTCCAAGTTCAACATTTAGAGGCCAATTTTTCCTAAGAGGTTATCAACTATCAATAACTTCAAATGCTTAAAAACGTATTACATTGTAAGTCCCACTAATTCACAATTCAATATAATACCTACTATATAGACAGATTTTCCTTTTTTTCTTTCTTTCTTTCTTTCTTTTTTTTTTTTTTTTTTAAGATGGAGTCTCGCTCTGTCGCCCAGGCTGGAGTGCAGTGGCGTGATCTCAGCTCACTGCAAGCTCCGCCTCCCAGGTTCATGCCATTCTCCTGCCTCAGCCTCCCGAGTAGCTGGGACTACAGGTGCCTGCCACCATGCCCGGCTAATTTTTTTGTATTTTTAGTAGAGACTGGGTTTCACCGTGTTAGCCAGAATGGTCTCGATCTCCTGACCTCGTGATCCGCCGTCTCGGCCTCCCAAAGTGCTGGGATTACAGGCGTGAGCCACCGCGCCCAGCATAAACAGATTTTCAACCTTTCACAGCACATAAGAAAGTAATTAGGAAATCTAAACTACCACAACCAAATATATTACCGAGTGCGCACAATTCTGACAGGGAGAGCCAAGGTCAGGGAGAGGTTTTCTTTAAGAAACAATCCTACTGAAAAACAACATGAGAATAGAAGTAATTTTAAGTGTTTAAGACATATTAAATGTATGACTGTGACTCCAAGTTGCCATTTAGTATGCTTTGTATTACAGGATACAAAAACTGCCTCCCTCCAGTCTATGGGATATGAAATTGGTACCCAAGGCAGTGAATGCCTCCTACAATTCAATGTCTCACTATTTTCTCATTGTACCTAATAATAATAACAATAATAATAATTACCAGCAAATGGTTTCACCTCTTAAAACCATTTACTCTTAGCAAATGAATGAAGTAGCATTCCTGTCTTCTTAAAAATGTGTCTAGAGCTACTAAAAAGCTTGCATCTTCAAAATAGTTGATAAAAATTATTCCACATTAATCAGACTTGGTGTCTTTCTTTCCTACGTCATCAGAGGCTAGATGCTCCTCCATTTTAGCTCTCGGTTTTCTGCAGGTAAATCTTTAGTTTCTCGGTTAGCCTATGCAGCCTGTTTGCCCTTTGTTCCCCTTTTCCCTTTTGTTTGCACTTTTTTTCTGAGGATTTATCCTTTCCTGCTGCTTTTTATTTATTTATTTATTTATTTTTGGGCTTTGTTTCAACTTTTGCAGGGGCAGGCTTAACTGAGAACCTCACATCTCCTCTTGGGCTCTTCCTTTGCGTCTAGAGACTTTGCAAAGCTGGGCTGCTGGGCTGTCACTCTTCTCGCCCTCAAATAACCTTTGAACATAGCATTTGGACAATACGACGTTGGGGCTAAAGACAAAAAGAACTCTAAAACAATATTGACCTCTACTTTGTAGGCTTTTATTTCTCAGAGGGGTGGGTGAGCGATACTGAAATTACTTTTTGTGTATCCTAGGATTGACCAAATAAGTAAATATACTGTGGATAAAGGAAGCTAGGTTTCTTATTGTCAGAGAAGGGAGTTATAAATATGGAAGATGAAAAAAAATAGAATAAATCCTGTAGTGTTGGACTGAACTTGGAGGTATTAGTGTGAAATCATGGATTTAAATATAGCCTAGAGATAGATATGTAAATAAATATTGGCGTATATGGATATTATATATATATATTATTTTTTCTTTGCTAGCTGAGAGGGTCTAAAAGCAATGACTCTCAAGAAACAATGGGCACACCTAGCACTCAGATCTTGGTTTCTAAAAACTCAAAGGAATCAAGGCTCCTTGGAGAAATGGATGAATGCAAGGCTGCGGCAGGAAAAGAACGAGATGAATCTGGAATATCCTGCTATGCCAGAAAGTAAGAAACTGTTCAAAGCTTGATGGGGGCATGTCAAAATGAAGCAGGAGGCAGCTTTAAGGGGCACACACTTGGCCAAATCAGGGACAATTTGAGCTTCTTTTTGTTCTTTTCTTTTCTTTTTTTCTTTTTCTTTTTCTTTTTTTTTAAACTGGCTGGAGTGCAGTAGCACAATCATAGCTCACTGCAACCTTGAATTCCTGGGCCCAAGCCATCCTCTCAAATCAACCTCCTGAATAGCACTGGGACTACAGGTGAATACCATTATGCCAGGCTAATTTTTTATTTTTATATTTTTAGAGGCATGGTCTTGCTATGTTGCTGAGGCTTGTCTCAAACTCCTGGCCTCAAGAATCCTCCTACTTTAGCCTCCCAAGTCGCTGGGATTGCAGACATGAGCCACCATGCCCAGCAACAAATTAAGCTTCTAAATAAATGATAGTAAAGGACTTTATCTCATAAAATAAAATAAAAATCCATGAGTCCACACTGATGTAATGAATAAGGAATAAAAGGAGAAGGGGAAGGTCCTTCTTGGAATAGAAAGCCAGCTAATAAATGTAGAAGAAATTATGAAATTAGAAATTTATCATTTGGCAACTATTATAGTAATAATTGTTTCTGGCAAGAATCTACTAAATCTAGTGTGTAGAATTTTGAGGAATAGCAGAATATTTATATAGTTTCAAAATATCCCCCCCATAAGAAGCTTATTAATTACAAAGGGGAAAAATAGCTACTTCACAATGAGAAAACCCTGATAGATATCACTTTAAACAAGGATCAAAATTAACATCACCAGTAGTGGCACCGATGGACATCATGTGCCTCCTGATACGATGCTCAAAGAACCCAATGTCACTTGAGGGTTATTCTTGACAAAAAATGTATAACCTGAATATAATCATGAGTAAGCCTCAGACAAACTAAAACTGAGGGATATGCTACAACTAGTTGATACCGTCAGAAATTTCAGTGTCTTGAAACACAAAGACTGTATTTTAGGTTAAGGGAGACTAACTAAATATGACAATTGAATGTACCACATGTTTCTGTATTTCATTTGCTGTATAAGACATTACTGGGACAATTAGAAAAATCTGAATGAAGTCTGTAGAGTAGATAAATAATATTGCACCAATGGTAATTTATCAGTTTTGATCATTGGACTGTGGTTATGTCAGATAATTTCTTTGTTTACAGAAAATACACACAAAAGTATTTAGGGATAAAAGGGCATCATGTCTATGATTTATTCTCAAGTAGTCCCCCAAGATAGATACAGATTAAGTATCCCTTATCTGAAAAGCTTGAGACCAGAAGTGCTTCAGATTTATAATTTGATTTTGTAATATTTGAGTTATACAGGTTCGGAGTCTTAAATAAAAATAACCAAAATCCAGCATGCTCCAATGAGCATTTCCTTTGAATATCGTGTTGGTTCTCAAAAAGTTTTGGATTTCAGAGTATGTTGGATTTCAGATTTCCAAATTCCAGATGTTCGATCTGTATAATAATATGCAAATGAATAGCATTTATGTTAATATGTATATATGTAATAATATATCTGTATTATATGTTACATATACGTATGCAAGAAAGTCCTTACTTCACAGAGATATTATATATCATATTAAAAAGAAAATTGTTAGAGACTTCAAACCAGCAGAGGTGAATGTCCCTGTCATCCCTTCAGATTCCAGAGCTGGGATCAGCCACGCCCAGAGGTCTGGTCCTGATGCTGGCAGAGTGGGGGGGCCCTCCTCCATACCTGACTGGCTGAGTGGCTTCATCACCACCGAGTGATGTGCTGAGGCCTCCTGCAGTGAATGCTCCTTCCATTCCTGTACTCGGGCAGTGCCATTCAGCACAGGAGAGCTCTTTTTGCCTTTGGCTTTCAATTCCAAAACATGATTTAATTTCTAACTAAATTAGTATGGCACTAGTTATGAAGTATCTGCTTAAAACCCTTTATCATGATATCCTGTGGATTTAAAAACTCTAATTCCATGTTTTCTTCCCATCTGCCTTATATATCTCATCACTCTGCTTATCAATATTCAGTTTGATGAGCACTATTAACTAAAATATGAAACTTAACAAAAAAAAAAAGAAAATTGTGTAAGGTCTTAGCACAATGTTTGATACAATATAGATGCCTAATACACCTTAGCTATTGTTATCATTATTAACACTTAGAAATCAGTTTATTCATCTCTAAAATTGGGTTAATTATGCACACACACTGGGTGTGTGGGAGGATTGAATGAGCTAATGCTTATAAAAGTGACATGTGAGCCCTAAAGTTCTCTGAAAAAGTGAAATCACCATTCATATAAATTTTTAAAAATTCTACGAGCACTTTTATAGTTCTTATTGTGCAGCAATATTAACTCATTTAATCTTTGTAGCAACCCTATTGAGGTAGGTACTATTACTGTCCCCATTTTATAGACAAGGCATCTGAAGTTCAGGAAGGGTAACTTGCCCAACATCGTATAACTAGTTTGTGGTAAATCCAGGCTTTTAGCTCAGACAATCTGACTCTAGAGTTTGTATTCTTAACCACTATGCTATGCAGATTGTCATTTCTTTGGCTACTACATCTTAATTTATGTATTCTAACACCTTCTCCAGGATTCAAGAGGAGTCATTAGACCAGGATCCTAGAATATTCCAGGATTTGGTGACAATTTAATGGTAGCCCTCTCTATACAACTTAACATAGTGCCTTTCTTGGGTTTATATAAATGTTTATACCTTCTCTTTTCTTCTCACATTGAAGGAGACTTTTCTCTTTCGTATATCATTCTGCTACTTCCCTTACGTAAAATTATGAAGACGCCCTCTGATATTTCTTCTTTTTCTGAATCGTCCCCAGACCTGGACATAGCGGTCCACGTGTAACACTGGATAATGATTATACACAAGAAATGGAGCATAATGTTTTCCATTTTGTTTCCAGTCCCATTTCTGAAAATGACCATCCATTGGTCAGTAATTTGAGAGGCTGAGCTGTTAGGCAGCCTGCCTTTAACACAACTGGTACTCTCACACACTATTAAAATAGGACTCTGCAGTGATTTAGGGGGAGTCTAGAAATAATTTGCTTCTGTTATGCTTTTCTTTTTGTTTTCTTCAGTTAAGTCTAGATTATTATTATTTTCTCAGTGGTAAATAATTGATAAATAACTTCTGGAAAGGTGCCAATAGATACATAATAACTATTGCAATTTATAAGAAATACTGTGAAAATTAAGTTTCTGACTTACCTAAAATTTTAAAATATGAACTAAATTTTGGCAAATTTTCCGTCAAATGCTAGCTTCAGAAATCTACAGTTTAGGTCTTCTCACAGTGGATTCCTCCTTTAGTTGACAAATTGGCAAATATATGAGGCAATCATGGCTATAAGTAACAAAGGTATCGATACTTTCTCTTCTAAGCCTGTTAAAAAGCACTAGTGTTTTAACCATTTCTCTTTTAGAAAATTAGGAAATGTAACTATATTTTCATCATAAGTTTTAAAGGAATAACCAGAATAAGACAAAAGCAGCAAGAAAATGGTTAAAACACAGACAAACACAAACACATAACAGCAGTTTGGTGGGCTGAAATGATGTCTCACATTTCTCTGAGTATCTGTTTTTCATCATTTTTTTCCTCTGTTCTTCAGTTGCATAAGCACTATTGATCTATGTTCAAGTTTAATGATTCTTTTTTCTCCACCTCAAACCTACTGTTGAATTCCTCTGGTGATTTTTTAAAATTTGAATTATACTTTTCTTTTTTAACTTCTGTTTTTAGTATTTTGTTATTTCAATAGCTTTTGGTGTACAAGTGGCTTTTGGTTGCAAGGGTGAATTATATAGGGGCAAATTCTGAGATTTTAGTGCACCTATCACCTGAGTAGTGTACGTTGTACCCAATATGTATTTTTTTTTAATCCCACATACCCCTTCCCAACCTCCCCATTATGAGTCTCCAAAGTCCATTATATCACTCTGTATATATGCCTTGCATACTCACAGCTTAGCTTCCACTTATAAATGGAAGCATACAGTATTTGGTTTTCCATTCCTGAGTTACTTCACTCTGAATAATGGCCTCGAGTTTCATCCCAGTTGCTGCAAAAGACATTATTACAGTCCTTTTTATGACTGAGTACTATTACATGATGTATATATACCACATTTTCTTCATCCATTTTGGTTAATGGGCACTTAATGGTTGGTTCTATATCTTTGCAATTGTGAATTGTGCTGCAAGAAACATACATGTGCATGTGTCTCTTTGATATAATGACTTATTTTCCTTTGGGTAGACAACCAGTAGTGAGATTGCTGAATTGAATGGTAGATCTACTTTTAGTTCTTTAAGAAATTTCCATACTGTTTTCCATAGAGGTTGTAGTAACTTACATTCCCACCAGCAGTGTATAAGTATTCCTCTTTCACCATATCCATGCCAACATCTATTGTGTTCTGACTTTTTAATAATGGGATTTTTTGCAGGAATAAGGTGGTATATCATTGTGGTTTAATTTGCATTTTCCTGATGATTAGTGATGTTAAGCATTTTTCATATGTTTGCTGTCCACTTGAATATCTCCTTTTGAGAAAAGTCTGTTCATGTCCTTTGCCCACTTTTGATGGGATTATTAGTTTTTTTGTTTTTTTGTTTTTTCCTTGCTGATTTGTTTCAGTTCCTTGTAGATTCTGGATACTAGTCCTTTTTCAGATGCATAGTTTGAAAATATTTTCTCCCATTCTGTGGATTGTCTGTTTACTCTGATGATTATTTCTCTTGCTGTGCAGAAACTATTTAATTTAATCCGGTCCCATTTATTTATTTTTGTTTCTGTTGCATGTGCTTTGCGGGTGTCAGTCATGAATTCTTTGCTTAAGCCAACGTCCAGAAGAGTTTTTACAATGTTATCTTCTAGTGTTTTTATGGTTTCATGTCTTAGATTTAAGTCTTTGATCCACCTTGAGTTAACTTTTCTATAAGGTGAGAGATAGATATCGAGTTTCATTCTTCTACTTGTGGCTAGCCAGTTTTCCCAGTACCATTTATTAAATAGAGTGTATTTTCCTCAATTTACGCTTCTGTATGCTTTGTCAAAGATCAGTTAGTTGTAAGTATTTGGCTTTATTTTGGGGTTCTCTATTCTGTTCTATTGATCTATGTGCCTACTTTTTTTCCCCACCAGAACCATGCTGTTTTGGTAACTATAACCTTGTAGTATAACTTGATGTCCAATAAAGTGCTGCGTCTAGATTTATTCTTTGTGCTTAAGATTGATTTGGCAATTTGGGCTCTTTTTTGGTTCCATATGAATTTTAGGATTTTTTTTTCTAATTCTGTGAAAAACAATGTTGGTATTTTGAACAGAATTGCATTGAATCTGTAGATTGCTTTGGGGAGTATGGTCATTTTCACAATATTGATTATTGCAATCCATCAGCATAGGATGTGTTTCCATTTGTTTGTATCATGTATGTTTTTTTTCAGCAGTGTTTTGTAGTTCCTCTTCTATAGAACTTTCATCTCCTTGGTTAAGTATATTCCTAGATATTTTATTTGTTTTGCAGTTGTAAAAGAGATTGAGTTCTTTATTTGATTCTCAGCTTGATCATTGGTGCTGTATAACGGTGCTATCGATTTGTTTACCTTGATTTTGTAACCCGAGAGTTTATTGAATTTATTTATCAAATCCGGGAGTCTTTTGGAAGAGTCTTTATGGTTTTCTAGGTATACGATCATATCATCAGTGAACAGTGATAGTTTGACTTCCTTTTTTTCCGATTTGGATGCCCCTTTATTTCTTTCTCTTGCATGATTGCTCTGGCTAGAACTTCCAGTATTATGTTGAATAGAAATGATGAAAGTGGGCATTCTTGTATTGTTCCGTTTCTCAAGGGGAATGCTTTCAACTTGTCCCCATTCAGTTTGATGTTGGCTGTGGGTTTGTCATATATGGCTTTTCTTAACTTGAGGTAAGTCCTTTCTATGCCTAGTTTGTTTTGTCATAAAGGGATGCTGGATTTTAGTAAATGCTTTTTCTGCATGTATTGAGATGATTGTATGGTTTTTGTTTTTAATTCTGTTTATATGATGCATCACATTTTTTGACTTGTGTATGTTAAACCATCCCTGCATCCCTGGGATGAAAAAAAATTGAAAATGGCATATTATCTTTTTCATATGCTATTGGATCCAGCTAGCTAGCATTTTGTTGAGAATTTTTGCATCTATGTTCATCAAGGATATTGATCTGTAGCTTTCTTTTTTGTTATGTCCTTTCCTGGTTTTGGTATCAGGGTGATACTGACTTCATAGAATGATTTAGGGAGCAATCCCTTTTTCTCAACGTTTTGGAATAATTTCAGTAGAATTGGTTTCAACTCTTCTTTGAACGTCTGGTAGACTTCAGCTGTGAAACCATCTGGCCCTTGGCTTTTTTAAAAAATTATTATTACCCATTCAATCTCACTGCTTGTTATTGGTGTGTTCAGAATTTCTGTTTCTTCCTGATTTCATATAGGAGGGTTGTGTATTTCCAGGAATTTATCCATTTCCTCTAGGTTTTCTAGTTTATGTACATAGAGGTGTTCATAGCAGTCTCAAACAAGCCCTGTTGTGTAGGTTGTAATGTCTCCAGTTTCATTTCTAATTGAGCCTATTCGAATCTTCTCTTTTCTTATCTTGGTAAATCTACCTAATGGTATACCAATTTTGTTTATGTTTTCAAAGAACAAGCTTTTTGTTTCATTGATCTTTTGTATTTTTTGTTTGCTTGTTTCAATTTCATTTAGTTCTGCTCTGATATTTGTTATTTCTTTTGTTCTGCTAAAATTCAGGTTTAGTTTGTTCTTGTTTCTCTAGTTCCTTGAGGTGTGACATTAGATTGTAGATTTGTAATCTTTCAGATCTTTTGATGTAGGCATTTAGCACTATAAACTTTCATCTTAGCACTGCTTTTGCTGTATCTCAGCGGTTTTAATAACTTGTGTCACTATTGTCATTCATTTTAAAGAAATATTTAATTTCCATCTTGGTATCATTGATAACCCAAAAATCATTCAGGAGTAGATTGTTTAATTTCCTTGTATTTATATAGTTTTGGGGGTTCATTTTGGAGTAATTTCTAGTTTTATTCCATTGTGGTCTGAGAAGATACTTGATAATATTTTGATTTTCTTAAATTTATTGAGACTTGTTTTGCGGCCTATCATATGGTCAATCTTGGAAAGTATTCCATGTACTGATGAATAGAATGTATATTCTGCATTTCTTGGGTAGAATGTTCTATAAATATCTTTTAGGTCCTTTTGTTCTAGAGTGTAGTTTAAGTCCGTTGTTTCTTTGTTGACTTTCTGTCTTGGTGATCTGTCAGGAAGTTTATATTTTTTGGCTGCACATTCAGCCAGGAACTAGTAGTTTAGAAGTTTCCACTCAATTCCTAAGACAGCACAGCCTTGGGTATGCCCCTAGTCTTATAGATTTCTAGGGATGACTGTGATATTATTTTTAGGCCTGGTTTCTTGGGAGTTGCTCTTGGGTCAGAGCAGCTTATTGTTTAGCATTTGGTCAGAGGTGTGTTTAAGCACCTTATGCCAAGTGAGGGTTCCACTCTATGTTGAGAGATCTGTGTGTGGCTTGGGGAATGCTTTCAGGTCTTCATCATGTTCTGTTCTGATTGCTCCTGAGTGAGTAAAACCTATCACATGCTCACAGCTTTCCCAGCCCAACAGATTTGACTGTGATGCTAGGAGGGCTCTTCTTAACTATCTCTTTCTCTGATTCTCTCTATTAAACTTCCAGATGCTCTGCTATTTTGCTCATGTCATAGAGGTACCAACTTCTTCTTAACTGGTCTCCACCAAGATTGCCACTGTTTTCTATAACACTCTTAGGCATGGAGTTCTTCATACTCTGTTTCATATTTAGTCTGTGGAGCTCTTCACCCTTATGGCCTGACTTTCTCCCTGGGACGAATCCCTATGACACTGGCCTAGAACTAGGGCCAGGGACCAAGGTTTTTTGGAGTGACAAACACACTCTATGAGATTGGTACAGGAGGGAGGGTGGAAACCCCTGGTCTTCTTAGCTTTCCCCTCCTGGTGTGGACTGTCCGCCCTAAGAGCAACCTGGGGCAGAGATAATTCAGGTCAGGATTCTTGGTTTGCCACACCTGGGGTAGATCTTCCATCCTGCAAGGCAAGGGGGCTCGGTCGGAGACCCAGTTATCTTGGCCATCCCTGCCTAGAATAGACCTTCTGCAACGTGGTGCTGGGGTAATAAGAAACATCAGCATCCTGACACCTCTTGGTGTGAAATCATAGCCCCAGACAGGGAGCTTCCATAACATGAAGCTGGGAGGGGTAGATAAGACTTTCATTGTTCTCACCAAAATTTAGTAAATTTACTTGAATGAATATTTCTCCATTTGCTGTATGCCCTTAGGACAATATTCATGTTAAATGATTGTTTTATATAATTTTCAGCAGCTCAATGATTGTTTTGCTAGAAAGAGCATCTGTTGAGCTGCTTATCCCATCATTTCAGAAGTTCTCTCTACCTTCATTTTTTTATTAGGGGGAGAAACTGAAGCCCAGAGAAATTATGAATTGCCTATATCATTAAAGAGGCTGTGACCAAAACCCAAATCCAATATTCTTTTCCATTATTCCAGGTGCTTCAAGTAAAATGGTCACTGGTTTACATTTCTGCTTGTGTCGTAGCTGAGTAGATGCGAGCCAAGTGAAGGGTTAAAATTATGGATAGATCCAATAATTCAAGTTCAAAATTGATTCACTAAATCAATGTGTTGTCAACTGACCTTACTGTGTCCTTGATGCTTTTACTTTTGTGCTTCACTGATCCTCATTTTCCCCAGTTTATCTCTCTCCCAACCCTTACATATACTATAGGGGGTCCTTGGGGAGTGGTGAAATTTCCAGAACAATTATTTTACTGAGAAAGCACACATAACTTTGAGGCTGTTTGGTGAATATTGGCTTATCACACTTTGAACAGGTGGGCTGGTGCAGGAAATAGAATCCAGACTTTGACATCAAACTTAGTTTCAGATTATAACTTGACCACTTCCTAGTTTGGTGTTCTCAGGGCATGTTAGACAATCTGTATTAGTCTCAATTTCTGAATCTGCAAAATGGGCATAATAAAACTTGGCAGGGTGTTGTAAGGAGTCAGTGTAGTTAGGTGGGTATAGAATCTGGCACGGAACAGGGATTCAGTTTGTTAGCAGCTTCTTCTCATCTCTGTGCCATTGCTGTTAGAGAGAAGTTGGTTACTAGGTTTCACTTATTGCTTTTTTTTTTTTTTTTTTTTTTTTTTGCAGATTGTTGCTTACTTTCTTGTTCCCTGATGATATCTCTTAGATGTAATGTTGTTCAATTGATGCACATCCTTCATACTTTACATAATATAGTGCTTTACCTAATGTTAAATTTAGTACTTTACATAATATTAAAAGAGCAGAACTGCCTTGGAGGTAGATAGAGTCTAGATATCAGGTCATTTTTGTCCTAGTTTGTGAATTTAGGGTTTCTACTTTCATCCAGTTTCTTGCCTGTTTTTGTGACTGTCCCCTTAACCTCTGTTATCAGAGCATCTAGAAATAGTGAAGAATTCACTAAATTAGTAGTCTGGAGTTCAAAGGGCAATTGTTTTATGTAAGTGTTTTAAAAGCTTATCCTCCGAAACGTAAGCAATCCAGTAAATCTATCCAGTGTAAGTGTGTTATGATTGGGATGGATTAACCTCATTCCACTAAAAGAGAAATGCAGAACTCTATGTTGCAGCCAAGGTGCACTGGTTAATGTCCATATGGATTGACAAAGTGGTTGTTTGGTTGTAAGCTGACATTTTGCTTTCCAACCTCAGAATTTGTTCATGAAATTGGTATGTGCCTTAGAGTCTGCTTAGAGTGAATAAAGGATATGTGCATGTGTGTATGTTTGCTTTGGGAGGAGGGGACTAAATGTGGCCTTGGAAGTTCGTAGAAAGGTCATGATGAGTCACCAAAGATCATAATGGTAAAACATTATGTTGTGCTTATAATGTTGAGGGCCTATTCTAAGTGCTTCATATATTAATTAATTCACTGAATGCTGACAACATCTCTGTAAGGTAGTTATGATTATTATTCACATTTTACAGATGAGGATACTGAGGCATAGGAAAGTTAAATGACTTGCCCATGATCAAACAGGGTTGGCATACAAACTAAAATGGGCCAGCTTCAAATTTGATACTGCCAATTACTATGCTGCCTCTTACATAATGATGTGGGGTAAGAAGCATTCAAACGGCTTTCATTACCCTTAAAGCCATATTTTTCAGCTAAGTAGCCTCAGCAGAGGCTTCCCTGTGAGGAAACAGCAGAGTGTACTGCTCTTCTCAAGCCTTGTCACTGATGGTGGCAGTCTGGCTCAACAGAATGTCTCCCAGTCAGTGCTGGGAGGGTTCTGCTCTCCACCTCAGCAGGAGAATATGTAGGTCTGGCTCTAGGGCCTCTCATCAGCTCCAGAGATCAGCAGAGACGCCATTGTGAAGGGTTGTTGATAGAGAAGTTGCATTTGATTCTTGAGAGATCTCTGGGAGATTGCACATGGATATTTCAAGGCAAGGAGCAGAGGCTGCTATCTTAGAAGCTTCCCAGTGCAACACTGCAGTGACATCCATGAGGAAGGGAGCAGAGAAAGAATATCACCAGGGCCCAGCGGGACTGTTCTAAGGCCGTAAGTGTGAGAGCAGCTGGCTCTCTTACTAGAATCTGGAAAAATGTAACCATGAAAGTGAGATGCTTCAACAACATTTCCATCTGAACTGTACCTTAGGGAGAATTCATATGCCAGGTGGCTTCAAACACAAAATATGGCTGCTAACAGCATTAGGTGTTGTCTATTATCTTAGTCTATTTTCTCTGCTATAACAGAATACCACAGACAGGGTAACTTATAAAGAACAAAAGTTTAATTGGCTCTTGGGCTTGGAGGGTGAGAAGTCCAAGAGTGTGATGCTGGCATCTGGCAAGGGTCACCCCATGGCAGAAGATCAGAAGGTGAAAGCAAATGTAGGAGACAGAGAAAAAATAGTGGTCGAACTTATTTTTTTTCAGGAGACCACTCCCACAATAACAGCATTAATCCACTGGTGAGGGCAAAGCCTTCATGCCTAATCACTTTTTAAAGGCCCTGCCTCTTAGTAGTGTTACAATGGCAATTAAGATTCCAATATATGAGCTTTTGGGGGACACAGTCAAACCATAGCACCTATATGAATGGGTCTGTAAGCATAGGATGCATTCTCTTTGTGTTGAATCTATTCCCAAGGCTAGTCGCTCATTTGTTACTTCTCAAAGTATTTCTTTGATGTAATGTAGGCCCCTGAAATGAATAACTAAACAAATGATTAACCACAGAACTCAGCATCAACATAGGCACATTATGATGCTTTGCATCATCTCTCAATGAGAGATGTTGTCTGACATTTTCCCTACTGCAGGAGGGCTGGAGAACAAAAGATACTCAGAAAATCTATCCTAAATTCAATAATCAGTAATTGTACTAAAACAATTTAAGAAGAGGTATTTTCTACCTCTATCCTCAGCCTCATAGGAGACCTTTGTTCTTTTGTCTCTGCAATGGGGAGCATCTTTCCTAAGAGGATACGATATCTTATGCATTTAAGAGAAAGGGAGAAAAAAATGTGTAATAAGCTAGAGTTACACATATCTAAGATGTTATTCTCAGTTGTTAATTCAATCAGGGGACTTATCCAGCTTTTTCTCTAGTCGAATGAAGGCATTTGATACCTTGTCTATATTCAAATTGATTTCCTCTTACAAACTAACAGGTGCAAATGACTGCTTAAAATGGATTGATTGATACCATACCCTAGAGTCTGCTAACTCTTAAGATCATAGCTGTTGAGAATCTCAAAAAAGATTTTGGCTCATCGGCCTGCAGTGGAATCCCAACGGGTGTAAAAAAGGAGTAAAGGAGCTGTTGCAACTCCTGCCCTACAAAGGAGGAGAAAGAGCCCACTTTCACTCAGCTCTGTGTTGCCAGGACCAAAAATGACCTTGTTTCTGTTCTCTTGCTTCCACTGCCTGCATCCTATTCTTTATGTCCCTATGCCTCCTTCTCCTCTTCTCTTTCCTTTCTTCCCCTTTTCTCTACTGTCCTGTTTTGTCCTCTTGATTTTCTTCTTTTCCCTTGACTTTTCATTTTGAGTTTTCCCTTATTGTCATGACAAAATTGAATTTGCGTTTTTCTAGTGGGTAACAATGCTGAACATATTTTCATGGCTTATTTGCCATCCTTTTATCCTGTTTGCCCATCTTTTGATTGGGTTGTTTGTTTTCTTTTGATGGAGCTTGAGATATATAGATAGATAGATATTATGGATATAAGTCCCTTGGCAAATTATTTCATTTACAATTATTTCCTTATCATCTGTGGATTTCATTTTCATTCTCTTAACAGCTTATTTTAGGGTGGGGCATAGTGGCTCACTCCAGTAATCCCAACACTTTGGGTGGCCAAGGCGGACGGATCACTTGAGGCCAGGAATTCAAGATAAGCCTGGCCTACATGGTAAAACCCCGTCTCTACTAAAAATACAAAAATTAGCCCAGCATGGTAGCACACGCCTATAATCCCAGCTACTCGGGAGGCTGAGTCACAAGAATCGCTTGAACCCAGCAGGTGGAGGTTGTAGTGATCCGAGATCGTGCCACTGCACTCCAGCCTGGGTGACAGAGTGAGACTCTGCCTCAAAAATAAAATAAAATAAAATAAAATAAAATAAAATAAAATAAAATAAAATAAAATAAAATAAAATAAAATAAAATAAAAAGTTTATTTTTAAAAGCAGAAGTAGGCCGGGCGGTGGCTCACGCCTGTAATCCCAGCACTTTGGGAGGCTGAGGCGGGTGGATCACGAGGTCAGGAGATCAAGACTGTCCTGGCTAACACGGTGAAACCCCATCTCTACTAAAAATACAAAAAAATTAGCCGGGCGTGGTGGTGGGTGCCTGTAGTCCCAGCTACTCGGGAGGCTGAGGCAGGAGAATGGTGTGAACCTGGGAGGCAGAGCTTGCAGTGAGCCGAGATCATGCCACTGCACTCCAGCCTGGGTGACAGAGCAAGACCCCGTTTCAAAAAAAAAAAAAAAAAAAGAAAAAAAAGAAAAGGAAAGAAAAAAAGAAAAGAAAAGCAGAAGTTTTAGATTTTTGCGAAGTCTGATTTATGTAACTTGTTATTTTATGACTTATGCTTTTTGGTGTTGTACCTGGAAATCTTTGCCTAACCAAGGTCTCAATGAATTTCTCCTATATTTCCTGATGAAAGTTTTATAGTTTTAGGTTTCACAATCATGTCAATGAGCTATTTCGAGTTATTTTTTGTATATGGTGCAAGGTATGATAAAAGTTCATTTTTTGCATATAGATATCCAATTGTTCCAGCTCCATTTATGGAAAAGTCTATTATTTCTCCAGTGAATTGCCTTTGCAACTCTGTCAATAATCAGTTGAGCATATGTGTAAGTCTATTTCTGGACATTCTGTTATGTTCTATTGGTTTATTTGTCTGTCTTTATGGCAGTACCACACTTTTTAGCTCATGGTAGGTTTACATTAAAACTTTAAAATAGGTAGTGTTAACACTCCAACTTCGTTCTTCTTTTTAAAAGTTATTTTGAATATTCTAGGTCCTGTGCAATGTCATGTGTATTGTAAAGCAGCTTGTCAAACACTACACAAAGTCTGCTGGGATTTTGACTGGGATCACACTAAATCCACAGACAAATTTTGAGATATTTGACATCTTAACAAAATAGAGTCTTCTAATTCATGAATATATCTCCCCACGTATCTAGATCTTCTTTAATTTTGCTCAGCAATATTTTCAGTTTCAGTGTGAGATTTTAAAAAAAATTTGTGGGTATGTAGTAGGTGTATGTATTTGTGGGTTACATGAGATGTTTTGATACAGGCATGCAATGCATAATAATTACATCATGGAGAATGGGGTATCCATCCCCTCAAGCATTTATCCTTTGTGTTATAAACAGTCCAATTATACTCTTTGTGATTTGACAATGTACAATTAATTTTTTTTACTGTAGTCACCCTGTTGTGTTACCAAATACTAGGTCTTATTCATTCTTTCTAACTATGGAGTTGGTGGGGGAAGAAAGGAGGGTTATTGGGTTCAGTGTTATATTACCCCTAAATATTTTGTATTTTTGATGCTGACATATGTGGCATTTTAAAATTTTAATCTCATATTATTTGCTACTAATATATAGAAAGCCACTTATTTTGTATATTGATTTTGTATTCTGAATCCTTAACAATCTCACTTATCAGCTCCAGTAGCTTTTGTAGATTCCATCACATTTTCTACATAAATGATTATGTCATCTGAAAATAAAGACAGTTTCCTTCCTTCTTTCTAATATGTACACATTTTATGTCCTTTTCTTGCTTATTGCACTGAAGAGAACTTCCAGTGCAATATTGAATAGAAGTGATAAGTGTACATATTTTGCATTCTTCCTGGTCATAAGAATAAATATTCAGTCTCTCACCATCAATTATGATGTTAGCTGTAGGTTTTTGATGTATGCTCTTTTTCAGGTTGAGGAAGTTCCTTTCTATTCTTAGTTTGCTCATTGTTTCAATGAAGAATGGATGTTGGATTTTGGCAAAAGCTTTTACTGAATATTTTGAAATGATCATATGATATTTCATTTTTAATAGGGTGAATTACATCAATTATTATTATTATTATTATTATTATTATTTTGAGAGGGAGTCTCACTCTGTCACCCAGGCTGGAGTGCAATGGTGCGATCTTGGCTCACTGTGCAACCTCCACCTGCTGGGTTCAAGCGATTCTCCCACCTCAGCCTCCTGAGTAGCTGGGATTACAGGCACCCGCCATAATGCCCAGCTAATTTTTGTATTTTTATAGAGACAGTGTTTCACCATGTTGGCCCTGCTGGTCTTGAACTCCTGACCTAAGGCGATCAGCCTGTATCAGCCTCCCAAAGTGCTGGGATTACAAGTGTGAGCCACTGCCCCCAGCCTTAATTTTTAAATTTTAAACTAACCTTGCATTTCTGGGATAAATTCCACTTGGTCATGATGTAATGTCCTTTTAAAAGTAAACATATTATTGGATTTAATTTGCTAATATTTTATATGTTTATATTTATGTTCATGAGAGATACCGACCTGTACATTTTTTTGTAATGCCTTTGTCTGATTTTGATATTAGGGCAACAATGGTCTCTTATAATTACTTAAGAAGTGTTTCCTTTCTTCAATTTTATGGGGAGTTTATGTATAATTGGTATTATTTCCTCTTTAAATGTTTGGTAAAATTCACAAGGTCTTTTTCTGGGGGGTTCCGGAGGGTTTTATTTGTGGGAAGATTTTTTAACTAAAAGTTCAATTTATTTTATAGCTATAGGGCTATTGAGAGTATCCATTTATCCTTGAATGAGCTTTTGGTACTTTGTGGATTTCAAGGGACTTGTTTACTTCATCTTACCTGTCAAATTTATTGAAATAAAATTGTTCATAATATTTTCTTCTTATGCTACTATTATATGTGGTGATATCATCTCATTCTCTATATTAATAATTTTTGCCTTGTTTCTTTTTTTCCTAATCAGTCTGGCTAGAGATTTGTCAATTTTATATTCTCACAGAACCAGGTTTAGGTTGCATCCACTATTTTCCCCACTGTTTTTCCGTTTTATATTTTATTGGTTGAAACTTGTGTCTTTATTATTTCCTTTTTTCTATCTACTTTGTTTTAATTTGTTCTTTTTTCTAGTTTCTTAAGCTGGAACCTAAGGGCATTGACTTGACACCTTCCCTCTTTTCTAATGTGGAATAAACATCCCCTTATGTACGTTTTAGTGGCATCCCACAAATTTTGATATGTAGTGTTTTTATTTTCTTTCAGTTCAAAATAGTTCCAAATTTCTGTTTTGAATTCAAAGAATAATTTATACCAAAGTCCTCATTGTAGTCCATTTGGGCTGCTACAGCAAAAAGACCATAGACTTGGTATCTTAAAAACGATAGAAAATTATTTCCTATAGTTCTGGAAGCTGGGGTCAAGTTACCCACAGAATTAGTGTCTGGTGAGGGCCTGCTTCCTGGCTTACAGATGGGTCTTCTTGCTGTGTCCTAACATGGTGGAAGGGATCAAGGGAGCTCGTCCCTTTTATCAGAGCACAAATTCTATTATGAGAGCTCTGCCCTCATGACCTAATCACCTCCCAAAAGCACCACTTTCAAATACCCTCACGTTGTGGGTTAGGTTGCGGCACATGAATTCTGGGAAGACACAAACATTCAGTGTATAGTAGTTCACCTGTAAGAGAAACATAAGATAACAAAATGGGCAATGTCTTCAAAATATACAAATAGAAGTTTCATAATGGTTCTAGGTCAGGGGTCTAAAGTTCGATCTAATCCCATCATTTCTTTGCTCAGAAAACTTCTGTGATATCCCAGTGCCTCTGAAATAAAGCTTGAATTAATTTTGCTTCAAGAATTTGAGGCTCTTGAGATCTGGCACCAGCTCAGCTTTCCAGCCTTACTTCCCACAAGTCATGCTCACTTGACTAAACTGTATTAGCTAAATAGTCCCCTCATGTGCCCTGTGATTTTCCATGTTGCTTTGTTCATATTTTTCTCTCTAAATGAACTAACTCATCATCACTACTACCCAATCATAATGCCCACCTCAAATGTCACTTTTCCCAGGAAGTGTTCCCAAATTATATTTGTCTGAGGCCATCTTTTCTTCCTCTGAATTTCTGTAGCACCTTTGTTAGTTTTCTGTTGGTTCCATAACAAATTACCACAAATTTAGTAGCTTTAAACAATACAAACTTATTCCCTTACAGTTCTGTAGGTCAGAAGTCCAAGTAGGCTAGGATGGTTTTGCTGCTCCAAGATTCACAAGGTTGAAATGAAGATGTTTGCCAGCTAGACTCTTAATTGGAGAATTCTCTTCCAAGATAATTCAAGTTATTGGTGGCATTCAGTTCCTTATGGTTTTACGACTAAGGTTCCCATTTCTTTCTGGCTGTCATCTGAGGGTCTCCTTAGCTCATCAAAGCCTCTTCATTTCTTGCGCATGGGCCACTATATCACAGAGCAAACAAATGACATATCGAATCCTTATCATGCATGAGATCTCTCTGACTTTCCATTCTACTGTATCTCTCTTCTGCCAGCCAAAGTTCTCTGCTTTTAAGGGCTTATGTGATTTAATTGGTTCCACCCAGATATTTCAAGATTTTCTCCTATTTTAATGTCCAGGATCTTATTTATATCTGCAAGGTACTTTTTTGCTATGTAAGACAACATATTCACAGGATCATTGGAGGGGCCTTTCTGCCTACCACAAAACTCTGTTTGAAACTTATTTTCTATCTTGCATTTCACCTGTTTGCATGTATGTCTTAACTCCTTTTCTAGACTGTAAGACCCTGGAGAAGAGAAAGTGCAGCTTATTCATCATTGTATTACAAAAAAGGCCTAGGACTGGTATGTAGTAAATAATCATACGATGCTAGCTGAAGGAATGAAATATAATGATCCTCTACAAAAGCTCTGAGTTACATATAACATTCACTCTTAACTTATTGGAGAGATAGCTGGGTGGCCAAAGAACTAATGAGTAAGACCTATGGTGTTTATTTAGGCAAGGCAGGAACTGAAATGTGTTTTGGTCTTAATTATAAAGCAGATTATTTTGGTTTTGGGTTTTGCTCCCCATTTTATTGTTTCTGACAGCATTTCAGTTAATTATCCTGAATTTCGCAGGTACAACATAATATATATTTAAAATTTTTTAAAATAATTTTTGTGAGTATACAGTAGGTATATATGTTTATGGGGTATGTGAGATATTTTCATACAGGCATGCAATGGATAATAATCACTTCAGCATAAATGGGGTATCCGTCACCTCAAGCATTTATCCTTTGTGTTACAAAAAATCAAATTATATTCTTCCAGTTATTTTAAAATATACAATTAAATTATTATTGACTATAGACACCCTGTTTGGCTATCAAATAGTAGGTTTTATTCATTCTTTCTATTTTTGTACCCATTAACCATCCTAACATCCTCCCCACCCCACCACCCTTCCTGGCCTCTGATAACTATCCTTCTACTATCCATGAGTTCAATTGTTCAAACTTTTAGCTCCCACAAATAAGTGAGAACACGTGAAGTTTGTCTTTCCATACCTGGCTTGTTTCACTTAACATAATGATCTCCAGTTCCATCCATGTTCTTGCAAATGACATAATCTCATTATTTTTTATGACTGAATAGTATTCCATTGTGTATAAGTGACCTGTTTTCTTTATTCATTTGTACGTTGATGGACACTTAGATTGCTTCCAAATCTTGGCTATTGTGAATAGTTTTGCAATAAATGGGAGTGCAGATATCTCTTTGATATACTAATTACCTTTATTCAGGGTATATACCTAGAAGTAGGATTGCTGGATCAGATGGTAATGCTATTTTTAGTTTTTTGGAAGCTCCAAACTGTTTACCTCAGTGGCTGTACTAATTTACCTTCCCACCAACAGTGTACGAGGGTTCTCTTTTCTCCACATCTTCACCAGCATTTGTTGTTGCCTGTCTTTTGGATATAATTCATTTTTACTGCGGTGAGATTATATCTCATTGTAGTAATGAAGACAATCCCGTTCTGTGGATTGTCTCTTCACTTTGTTGATTGTTTCCTTAGCTGTGCAAAGGAGTTAGTTGTGGGATGATTTTAGGACTCCTTTAAATAGAACATTCCCAAGACAGTACTCTAAGTGTATTTTCAATAAAACATTAATAGATGGACTCTGACTGCATGTGTGGAAGGTACCATCATAGGTTAGGAAATTGCCACAAGTATAACAAAGAGTTTTGAAAGTTCTAGCTTATAGCTTACTTATTCCAAGCAACAGTGGACAATAAAAAAGCTAGGCCCTCTGATTTCACTATATTTGATTTTGATTTGTATATTTTAGGACTGCTCTGAGAGAAAGAAGAGTGTTCCTGAATAAATTACTAGATTTCTCTAGGATGAAAGGAAAAATCCTAACGGGCAATATAACTGTTTTCTTTCACAAATTTAGATTTCCAGTAAAAGTATTTTTATGCTAAAGTAACCAAAGACCCTGATATTTTTATTAAAAAGTATATATATACATATACATACACATATACATGTATGTATGATTTACAACATAAAAATACCAAATTCCAGGCTCCTTAATATGCCTTCACAATTCCAGTAGTATTAGGCATCATGATGTGCAGTAAACATAATACAGAGGATATTTATGTCTCATTTTATTTTATGTCATCACATCTTGTTTACATTATTCTTTGGTGTTCTCATAAGATATAGATTCCTTTCAAATACTCTTGTCAATGGCATTTTGTAAAGGAAAAGCCAACATTCTAGGAAATCACCATTGTATCTGGAGTTGTAAGAATGTTTTAATATGTTATGACTGTTTGCTTCATATACAAAAACTCCTGTATCTTTTTTTCTTTTTTTATTATACTTTAAGTTCTGGGATACATGTGCAGAACGTGCAGCTTGTTACATAGGTATACATGTGCCATGGTGGTTTGCTGCACCCATCAACCTGTCATCTACATTAGGTATTTCTCCTAATGCTATCCCTCCCCTTACCCCCTACTCCCCGAAAGGCCCCGGTGTGTGATGTTCCCCTCCCTGTGTCCATATGCTCTCACTGAAAAACTCCTATATCTTAATAAACCAGACTTTGTGAATAGGTTCCTACGTCATTGTATAATTTGCAGAATTTTGCAGCCATTAAAAAAATAAATTCCTTCCTGAAGATGAATGAATAAACACGTATCTTTGTTTAACTTACATGGGTTCTACAATTGGTTCAAACATATTCTAGTTGTGATTTTAAAGCCTTATAAATATTCAACAAATATTTAAATATCCATCAATTGCTTGCTACTTGAAAGGCACTATGGGTGTTACAAAAATGTATATGACATCAATCCCAGGGTCAAACACACTGGTAGGGGAGAAGATATGTGTATAAATAACTGTAATAAAAGCCCTAAGCTCCAGGTGTGGCTCTAGTAAAATACTATGGAACTTCAGAGGAAGGATTAGGAAATGCATAATGGAGCATATGGCATCTGTTCAGGGAATGGCAATAGCCCATTGAGGTTGTGATGGAAATTGTATGAAGGTAAATAGATTGCAGTCAGGCTAACAATTTAGGTTGAGACCAGAATTTGAAAAATCTTGGACATAACAATAGGAAATTTGATATTTCCAGAAATTAAATGTTTTTTAATAGACAAGATACTTGATCCCTTCTGGTGTAATCTATCAACCTCTTGACCACTCTCTGTCATTCACTGGAGACCTTGGCTGACAATCTTCCTCTCCATTCCAAGCCCTGCCACCATCATCTTTGGTGACTCCAATGTCCAAAATGGACAATCTTTCAAATACTCTGGCCTCTCTATTTCTTAATGATCATCAACTCTCCACTTCAACTACCCACTTCCAGAGCAACACTCTGGACTTTGTCATTACCAAAAGCTGCTTCATCTTTGAAATCTTAAATTTTTCCACTTTATCAATAGCCGTCCATTTTTCCAGTTCTTTCATTCCATTGTTTTTATTACACCTGTACATGGACAGCATCAAGACCTTTATTAGTCCCCTCTCATTACTTCCTTTTCTATGAAGCCTAAATCCTATTCTCCATAATTCTATATTCTTATTAGTATCCTCAGATATTTGAACTATAATTTTTTGCCTTCTTTATATCTATACCAAGGTTGCTGGGGGAAAGAAATCTCCTCACCACAAAAATGAATGACTAAATACCCACCTGGTGTTCAATGTCAACTAGGGCTTCCACATTATTCAGCAAACCATCTGTATTTCCCTTATCTTCTGCTTTTCTCTTTTCCACTCCAACCCTATGCTCTCATTCTCACTGTATGATCTCAACTCCTGATTCATGGAGAAAATAGTAGCCATCTCAAGTTAAGCCATTTCTTAACTTCCTTGTATGTCAACTACAAACTTACCAGCCTCCACATCCAGTATATAGCCAGTAACTGAAGCCATAGGGAAGATTAACATTGTCCAGGACGTACTGTGTGTATAGAACAGTGATTTATTTAGAGTCTATATGGATCACCTACGATGCTGGATTAAAATAGATTCTAGAGTGCTGTGAGGTTATGAAATTGACTAAGGGGCAAGGAAATTTGTATTTTTTACCAAGCACCTTAAGTCATGGTGACACAAGTGTTCCAAGGACCACACTGAAAAATAATGGTCTAGACTAAGACTAGAAGAGAGCTAAGAGCAAAACCTTGCGTCACATCGTTATTTAAGAGGAACTCATATGGACGATCAGGTAGGAAAGGGTAGAGGGGAAAACCAGGAGAGCACTATTCCACAGAAAAGAAGGGAAGAGGGAATTTCAAGTGGTCAAGTGAGGTCAATAATGCCAAATATTCCACAAATGTCAAGTTAAATAAGACTAAATAAGTGTACTGGATTTATAATAAAATTGAAGGGTGGAGGAGATAGTTGGTGATTTGGTAAGAAGCATTTTGCTCTGAGGGAAATGGTATATTACGGTGGCTTATGGAGTGGATTGAACATAAGGCAGTGTACAAAATGAATATAAAGTTTTCAAGAAGTGCAACTACAAAGGTGATGACATCAGGGCAGCAGCTAGAGGGGATCGTGATATTCTAGACAGAAGACTCCAGGAGGGCAGGGGTTGTGTGTGTCTTGTATTATCAAGACCCAGCCCAGTCCCACTAAATATTTGTTGAATGAAATAATTCCTCCAGTTGTGTGTATTTATGTGTTTCTTTCTGTGATACCAACTTAATTAGAATAGTTCTCAAAGATCCTTAGTGGTAAAGTCTGAGGAGGCAAATGGGTGATGATCCTAAACTGCTTAAACGCACTAGTAATTGGGCAAGAAAGAAAGAAAGAAAAAGGAGGTGTGTCACTTTCTACGGCTGAGGGACTAACTAGTGGGGCCCCGCCACGAACTGAATATGTCCCTGCAAAATTTATAAATACATATACTTATATATAGATTGTGTATATATACACACACATATAAATATATAAATTTATATATATACATATATAAATGTATATATAAACTAGAAATTATATATATATGTAGTGTTTTTTTGAGACAGGGCCTCACTCTGTCACCAAGGCTGGAGTGCAGTGGTGTGATCTCAAATCACTGCAGCCTCAACCTCCTGAGCTCAAGCAGTCCTTCCACCTCAGCCTCCCAAGTAGCTGGGACTGCAGGCGCACACCACCATATCTGGCTAATTTCTAAATATTTTTGTAGATACAGGGGTCTCACTATGTTACCTAGACTGGTCTTGAAATCCTGGACTGAAGCAATCCTCCTGCCTCGGCCTCTCAAAGTGTTAGGATTGCAGGCGTGAGCCACCGCGCCCAGCAAAATTCTTATGTTAAAGCCGTAATTCTTAATGTGTTGGTATTTGGAAGTGTGGCCTTTGGGAGGTAATTAGGATCAGATGAGGTCATGAGTGTGAGGTTCTGGACTGATGGGATTAGTGCCCTTGTAAGAAGAGACACCAGAGAGCTTACTTCCTCATTCTGTCTCCCCCTCTTCACCATGTGAGGACACAGCAACAAGGTAGCTGTCTGTAAACCAGAAAGAGGGCCCTCACCAGGGAACAGAATTGGCTGGCACCTTGGTCTTGGAATTACCAGCCTACAGAACTGTGAGAAATAAATTCCTGTTTAAACCACCCAGTCTATGGTATTTTGTTATGGCACCCTGAGCTGACTGATACAAGATCCTATTGCTTTTCTTTTGTTCAATGAATGTTTGAATCAGTAAATGTGTGAAATAGGTAGGAAGAAGTTAAGTGTAGAAGTGTGAGTGGGGCTAGATCGTATCAGGCTTTGAATTCCAGGTAAGAAATTTGTTATGCTGGACAATTAAAAGTTTTGAGCAGAGAAGTGACAAAATCCATAGACATTTTAAGTGAACATTCCAAACTTAATTATGTTGGATCCTAGCTGCAAAATATGAAATATACCTCTATCTTTCTGCTCACAGTATCTCTAGTCATTTGCTGAGAGACAATGGAACAGAGTGTTTAAACAGTCTGGTAATGGAAAAGACTGGCTCAGGAGTCAAAGAGACTTGCTCTCAAATCTGGCTCTGCCACTTATTCTTGGTGTGTCTTCAGTGAGTCTTAGTTTCCTCATCTGTAAAGTCAGGTCTCAAAGATTAAAATAGATAGTAAATACAAAGTATTTGATATAGGTTAATCACTAATACATGTCAGCCAACATTACTGCTATTATTGAGAATTAAAGGGAAGTCCTGCTGGGATTCTCTCTCTTCAGGTAGTACCTGCTCCTCAGCCAGAAAAAAAAAAAAAGAAAAAAAAGATTTTCTTTTCTCAGAGCTCTACAAGCTTGGAGGTAACAATAGTGCAGATCATTTCAGCTGTTACATTAAATACATCTTAATACCACATGGTAATTCATGTGAAGAATTAGGGTGAAGATAGGAAGTAATAGTTGCTGATAGCTTGACTACTACTGTGTCACTTCACAAAAGGAAGTTGTGATACTTGCATTCTAAGCCCTTCCATGTTTTTGTTTCCAGAAAGCTTGTAAGAGACCCAGTCAATATTGACCAGAATTATTGTTCCTACCTCACTTAACACAAACATGCTAACACTGAGAAAGTTATAATACAATCTTGAGTAATTTTATTTTGCTGGTCAAATTTAAAACGTATACTCTCCTGTACACTCTGCAGCTGAGACTGCAACATCTGAATCCCTGGTGGCTTGCTTCCATAGTAGACACAGAGAAGGAAGTTGGATCCATCTTTGCTTTCAATAGAGCATTAAAGAGTCTGCTAGTTATCCATCTCTCTGCACCTATTTTTATGTAATTTTTCAAAGAATTGAGCTATAAAATGCCCTTTGTGGGCACACAGCACTTAAAGTTAATATTTTGTTAATGATTTGTTTAGCTGATTGCCTTTAGCTAAGATAAAATTACCCGTCAGGCTCTGTTTCAAGCCCTTGGACATCAAATGGGAATTTTTAAGCAATTAGAGTGGCAGCACTCTTGCCACTCAAAAGCAAGAGTGGGATCTCTCTTGCTTTTGAGATCCCCGAAGCAATAAGTTGATGCTTAAACTATTTTTAATTCAGTAGTGGCTGAAAGGACAAATTTCTATGTATTTCTTGTAACACAACCACATTAGGTTCTTCCTTTAGATATTCTTCAATTGTCATAGAATAGCTTCCATCATGTCCATTCCTGGTGTGGATTTTAGATCCTCAAATATCAGTTAATAAAAGATTTCACAGGCCTTTGGTTGTAAATATATTTTCAATACCAAAAATATTAGAAACTGGATTTTGAAATGTGAATCATTAAAAAAAAAAAGAAAATTCACCTTAGGAAAAATAATCTCCTAATGGTGAAGGAATGGGGAAATCTCCAAGTAACATCCTTAATGTGGGTTGATTTTTCTAATGCATGGGCTAGTAGCTGCAAGAAGTATTACAAAATTAGAACATAGAAATAACGGCAACTTCTAGTTTGCCTCTGTTTTAATCAGACCATGTTTTTCTCATTTGCTCCTTTTTCTCTATTCTCAAAACTTCCTTGAGTATGAGCCTTTTAGCCAGGACTGGCTACATAATTTGGGGAGCTCAGTGAAAAATGAAAATGTGGGGTTTTTGTTCTAAAATTATTAAAAATTTCAAGATGGCAACAGCAGAACTTTAAACTAAGTGCAGGATCCTTCTATGTATGGGGCCCTGAGTAACTGCACAGGTCACACGCCCGTAAAACCAGCCCTGATTCTAGCTTTATAGAATCCCAATATCGAAAACTTCATAGATAATATAACAGCTTTCTGTTGAGTCCACAGTCTGATGGTGTTCAGTATTTTCCAGTGATCAAGACTTTTATCTCTTTTATCTCCTGTCCTTTTTTTAATGTCTCTTATGCTATATCTTGAAATAGAGGAATATTTTGATATTGTAAGAATCTTCTAAGGCTGTGCTTCCTTTCAGATTTTGTCTTTGATCATTGTATTGGGAAATCTTGTCAAAATATCCCTTGGGTGTGCATTGAGCTTTGATGACAAAGCCACCGTGCAGTAGGTGTTTACTCTCATTGGGGCTTCTCTTCCTCCTAATTGCTAGATTTGTGCTACCCACTTTGATATTAGAATGCATATTTTTTTTTCTGTTTGTTCTCCTAATCAAGAAATATATGGGACCTTTATTTCATTTATGATTGTGGTTTTTAAAACTCAAGTTTTAGAGCTACTTCTCAAACTCTTAACCTAGGAACTTCTTTTCAAGCCAATCTTATCTTCATTCGTAGCTTTATTTACTCTGGTTGTTACAGTCCAAAGCTTTGAGCTGATTTTCAGCAATTATCCAGTAATTGGATTGAGGATCTGCTAAATTTTTCATATAACAGATTGCCCTTTTTCAGATTGTGTTAATTCTCTCATTAGGAGCTCTTGATATTCACAGGTTTGTCAGCATTGGTATATTTACGTGGAGAAGACTTTGATTGAATTGTAGAAAAAAAATTTGAGTGTTCTTGATTTTACTACTAATGTTTTTCTTCATTAACCTTTACAGATTTGTTTGTTTAGAATTTCATTTTATGCATTACTTTTCTATTCTTTGGGCTATCTACACAAACACTGCTCAATCATGTATCTCAATATCACTGAAACTTTAAAAAACATTGGTCTTATTTAAAGAAGTGCATGGTACAAAGCTACACATGTAAAGCGTTATCTGGAAGACTTGTTTTAAGGCAACTGAAATTATCCAATGATGTTATGAAGGAACACCTTCCATGGAGACACTACTACAAGAAAACGGTAATTTTTTTCCCTTTTTTGACTTCATAGCAAAGTATCCAGACTCCGCTTTTGCATCAAGCCTGAGACCAGACTCTGTAGGCAGTAAGAGTTCATTTTGACTCTGCGGTAGGGTCTTACTCATTTGGCATTTCTGAAATGAACTCCATTACTTTTTGCTTCCCAGTGCCACTTTTCTCCTTATCAAGGGAAGAAACTTTCGCTTGGAGTAGAGCTCAGGCTGCTCAAAGCACAGCAGAAATGGTGAGGTTGGCACTCTCTGTGCATGTTATGTAGCCATAATTGATTGCCTACTAAACTCTTATAGGGCATGCAAGATCTCTTGCTTCTTTTCTGGCTGTCAGCTCACTTCAGCCTCTGTAAGGCCCACTATTCTTTTAGAAAGCAAGTGGGTCACAACAATTGTAGACCAAGTCAGGCACTCTCGCAAAGCTCAATGTATACAATAGTCCCCACCCACCTTATCCGAAGTTCTGCTTTCTGCAGTTTAAGTTACCTGTGGTCCACCATGGTCTGAAAATATTAAGTGGAAAATTCCAGAAATAAACAATTCATAAGTTTTAAATTGCTCACTGTTCTGAGTAGCATGATGAAATCTTGCCCGTTCTGCCCTGTCACACCTGGGACAGGAATCATCCCTTTGTCTAGTATATGCATGCTGTCTACACTACCTGCCTGGTAGTCACTTAGTAGCCCTCTCAGTTATCAGATTGACAGTCATGGTATTGCAATGCTTGGGTTCAAAGAACCTTATTTTACTTAGGAATGGCCCCAAAGCGTAAAAGCAGTTAAGCTGAGAATTTGAATGTGCCAAAGCAGCCATGAAGTGCTTCTTTTATCTAAAAAGGTGAAAGTCTTGAGATATATATATATATGATTTGGTATCATCCAGAGTTTCCACCATCCTCTGGGGGTCTTGGAATGTACTTCTCATGGATAAGGAGGACCACTATATTTGCATCACATAATATCAAGGAAGCAAGAACTCCAAGCTGCCCTCTGAAAATGGTTCCTCCCAACTTCTTGTTCTCCCCCACCTGCTAAACTCAGGGTTTGGGGTAAATTTGTGGGTGGAGGTCAATTACAGAGGAATTCCGTTCATCTACTTGATAGTAAAAGTAGTCACTAAAGATCAGGAAATTTCAAATAAGGATGAGAGATCCTGGAAACTGTTGACTACTTTTTGCTTTCAGGTAAAACTACCGGAAGATATCCGATTCTAATGTCACTAAGCGATGTGGCGTTTATGGTTTCACCTGATATAATTTGTGTGATAAGCAGACTGAGAGGGCTCTCAAGCTTGGCTCCACAGCTGTTGCTGATCATCCAGTGGAGCAGAGATGTATCCATAGTAATCTTCCTGTTGCAGCCAGAATAAGGTTTCCCATAGGGCTTAAAAGCCTGGCATATTTTTGGCATCCTTAATAAATAAAATACTGCATTGCATAAGGGTAAATCTGAAACCTCCTTTTAGAGAGAGGGTGAAAGTGGTGACATTTGCTATATTATGTCAGTAGAGGGTAGGTAGTGAGAAGAGATTCAAATTGGAAGTTATTAAAACACCTCTATTCTTTTAAGTGTCTCATTTTCTCCATTCTTTAATCATGTAAATGACCAATGAACAACATTCCCAGGGGTATGCGATTGATTGCACATTACAGATGATGAGAAGGATGCTATGTGGAGGGAGACAAATAGTAAATTAAGCAAATTCTATGGAGAAGCATTTTCTCATTTAATGTCCTGTTAGTTTGGGAACATTTAGGGAATGGGGCGGAGAAAGGAAAAACATGTGACAATTTAGAGAACATCTGTAGCTGGGTATGGATGAGTATAGGTCAGGGATTTGCTTATTTAAAGCATAATGAGAACAATATTAAATCTTTTTCTTCCTGCCTCTTTTTAATCGATGCTAGCATATATTTCCCAGATGAGGCAACAAAAATGGTACAGGTTTTGAGAGCAAAGGGAAGGAATTCTAAAGGCAATGACATGGTCATTGGAAGCCTCTGACAAAAAGAACATGCCTCTTAGGAGCTGAGGGGTGACATGTTAGTACATCTCAATGAGTAATTTAACAGTTTGATTAATTGTCACTTTGAGAATCCCACAGGCTCTGATTCAGAGAAGGAAACAGAGGATATCTCATTGGAGATAGTAACATAAGTCACTGATGGCTATGGAGAGCAATGGGCAGCGGGTTTAGAAGGCTTTTATGAGTGGAGTGGAGTGCTGACAGAAACACATTCAAGCCATGGTGAAATAGAATAGCTATATCCATGGCTAATAAAGAAGAAGTTAGAGGCTTCGAGGAAAGGCTTTAGAGTCCTAGATAACAGAAGCAGATAGGTTGATGAATTGCATGATACATTCTACATTCTAGTCAGAGCTCGTTGATGAAATTGAAGCAGTGGTTCCCAATTGTTACGGGTCTGGATATTTGTCCCCTCCACATCTCGTGTGGGAATGTGATCCTCAATGTTGAAGGTGGGGCTCAGTAGGAGGTGACTGGGTCATGAGGACTTATGCCTTGTTAATGGCTTGGTGCCCTCCTCATAGTAATGAGTGAGTTCTCACTCACACGAGAGCTGGTTGTTGAAAGGAGCCAGCATCTCCTCCTCCTTCTCTTGCTCCCTCTTGCCATGTGACATGCCAGCTCTGCCTTTGCCTTCCACCACCATTGTAAGCTTCCTGAGGTCTCACTAGAAGCCAAGCAGATACTGGTGCCATGTTTGTACAGCTTGCAGATCTGTGAGCCAAAATAAACTTCTTTTAATGAAAAGAATTAAATTACCCAATCTCAGGTATTTCTTTATAGCAATGCAAAACGGACTAGCACACAAACCCTGAAGTTTCTGATTTTAGTAGCCATGAATAGGAATCAAGAATACAGATTCTTAGGGTGTTTAGCAGATTCTGATTCTTGACCAAGCTTGGCAACCACTGTTTTACGAGAAAGCAATTGCCAAATGACCCGAATTCCATCTAGGCTATATTATCCTATTGTTTAGAGAAAAAAAAGTTGTATAATAAAGAATTTGAAGAAAATATGCATTTTTAAATGTGTCATATTTGAGCATCAGCCCCTCTCTCTTTATAAGGCAAGGGGTTTTAATATTACCATAAAACCATATAGCTTAACAAATGACCAGTGGATCTACTGCTGTTTGGTGATAAAATGCTCAAGTATTCAAGGTTCTTTCTGCATATGTTTGGTTTATCTGTTGGTGGTGAGACACTTTTTCTGGCTTGTTTGCTTGAGAGGGGAAAAGACCAGGTTTAAACAGTCGATCCTCTACACCTTGAATTTGGAAGGAACAGCAAACAATATATGAGTTTATATAAATGAATTATGTCTCAGATTAAAAATATAGTTAAAAAAACCACTAGGAGGCACGATTCACAATAGCCAAGAGGAGGAAGTAACCCAAATGTCTATCGAGGGGTGAATGGAAAAACAAAATGTGGTATTTATATACAGTGGAATATTATTCAGACTTTAAAAGGGAGGAAATCCTGTCACATGCTACTACGTGGATGAACCTTGAGGACATTATGCTAGGTGAAATAAGCCAATTACAAAAAGCCAAATGCTGTATGATTCCACTTATACGACTATTTAAAGTAGTCAAATTCATAGAAACAGAAAGTTAAATGGTGGTTATCAGGAGGTGGGGGAAGGAGAAAAAGGGGAATTGTTGTTTTAATAAGTACAGTTTCAGATTTGCAAGATGAAAAATTTCTGGAGGTTTGTTTCACAACAATGGGAATATGTTTAAAACTACTGAATACACCTAAAAATAGTTGAGATGGTAAATTTTATGTTACGTATATTTTATTATAATCAAAAAAAACTTGGCAGTCTCTTACAAACCATCAAGCCATATAGGACTTTCTTTTTCAAGCATGTGATAATTTTGAGCGGTTGCATACATTTGTACTGGGCTTCCAATAAGTTGTTTTAAAACAGTTTTCAGAAATCCTGTAAATTATTGAAAATATAAACTTTTTAGCTTTTCTATGTCCACAGTTTTTCCATGGCCCTCCTTTCCAAATATTGAGTGCACAATAGATTTATTTCTTTGCTTTTCTATTCTGGATTTCATTGTGTCATGATCACCATGAGATAGGAAGCACTTGTGGGAAATGCAAACTTCCTATTCTTCCTTACTTTAACCCGAGATAGCCTACTCAAAGTTCATATACAGCAAAGTAATATTTTTGTATTCATGGCATTTACATCTCCCAGGTAATCATGATGCTTTCTGTCATGTGCTCTCTGTTTATTTCCCCGCTAGTGCTTATACAAACTCATGTCTATTTCCATTTTCTTTAGAAGAAGTCTTTGTAATCCATCTCTTATTTAATCATGCCATTACACTTTTCAGAACTCTCTCTAATTTGTTTTGTCTTTCTGGTCTTGAAGAGCCCCCAAATAACATAATTTCTGAGTTAGAGAATCTTCTTTTGCCTAAGAAAACTTTGGTGATTATATCGTCCAGACAACACTGGCCTTATAGAGTATAAGTATAAGAAATGCTTGGACACTCCATAACAACATTTTAGACTTTTGCTATGCATTGAATGAGAAAATGCACAAATGACACAAAATTACCGTGAATTCAGTAACAATTGTTGTATCAATCACAACATCTAGACACACTTAAAAAGTAAGAGTACACATGTGTGAGGGATGCATTATTTATTCAATCAACAGACAATATTTATTAGGCATATAATTCTAGGCAACTTCTCTAACCTCCAGCCACCCTCCCACCCTCAAAGAGCTCTACAATCCGCTGTTTAGGAGAACCAACCCTTGATTCCAAGTAAATTTCACTTAAGTCACTCCAGAGAGAGGGTTTTTTAACCTATCCTAAACAGCTCCAGCAAAGGAGATTCCACAGGCTTGTGCTTCCCATTCCACAAGCTAATGTTGCAGCACTTAATAACTAACTCCTTCATTTCAGGCTCCCTGCCAGCCTGAAACATCTGTGTCAGTCAAAGGCAGTGACTCCGTTTTTCATTCTACTGCTCCTCCTCCTCAAGCCAATATGTACAGTCCTTTCAAAGATGGCCTATGCCACCCAGCCTCATGTTGCAGAGGTGAACAGCAGGGAGCCAGTTCAAGGGATGAGGATTTAGAGACACCAAGGCTCACATCAAATGCTATTTATTGTTATTTCACATGTTGATCTCGAACAAGTTGCTTACACTCCGTTCTGTAACCTTGTTTGGTAAATGGAGGCAAAAGTAGTTGACAGACCACTGTGGGGCTTAGCTAATTAAACTTCCGGCTCTGGACTTATGTTTTCTAAAGGCTGCAAAGCTGACAAATTGCTGCCCTCCTTCTCTTCAGGATCATTAATAAAGCTATTAAAGAAATTGTGCTCAATACTGACCCCTTGGTGGACAGCTATACCCAGATGAGAAATAAAGTGTGTAGCTATTAATTACTCTCATGGCCCTTGAGGTGCTTTAGAATTCATAGGGATTTTTCTTTATTCAAGTATTCTGATTTAAAAAATACTGTATTAGGCCGGATGAGGTGGCTCACGCTTGTAATCCCAGCACTTAGGGAGGCCAAGGCTGGCGATCATCTGAGGTCAGGAGTTCGAGACCAGCCTGATCAATATGGTGAAGCCCCATCTCTACTAAAAATACAAAAATTAGCCGGGCATGGTGACTGGCACCTGTAATCCCAACTACTGGGGATGCTGACACAGGAGAATTGCTTGAACCCAGGAGGTGGATGTTACAGTGAGCCAAGTTTGTACTACTGCACTCCAGCCTGGGAGACAGAGCGAGACTCCATCTCAAAAAAAAATAATAAAAATAAAATAAAAATACTGTATTGTTATGACTTTGTTCATGGAGGAAAATGTAGCAGGTAGCATTTTCCTGTAGAGTACTAGACAGAAATCAAATGACATCTGTCATTGGCTGATTTTATTATCTTAAATAACAATCTCACCTTGTCTGGGCTTCAGTCTTGTCATGTGTAAAGTGAGGTGATTGAGTGGCTAATCATAAAGGGTTCTTCCAGCTCTCTTTCCAAGATTGTGTGCAGATCACGTTGCAGTCAATTGAGGCTGATGGAATTATTTTTATTTTATTTATGATTATCACATAATAATTGTGTATATTTATTGCATGCAATGTGATGTTTCGATGCATATGCCCATGGTATAATGACCAAATCAGAGTAATTACCATATCCATCACTTTAAACTTTATTTCTTTGTGTTGACAACATTCAAAATCTTCTCTTCTAGCTATCTTGAAATTTACCTGCATTGTTATAGTCACCCTGTTCTGTAATAGAACATCAAAACTTATTCCTCCTGTCTAAAGGTAACTTTGTACCCATTGACTAACCTTCCCGGTGCCCCACCCCCAACCCCTTATTCTTCCCAACCACTGATAACCACTATCCTACTGTCTACTTTTATGAGATTAACTTTTTTAGATTCCACATATGAGTGAGATCATGCAGTGTTTGTTGTTCTGTGCTTGGTTTATTTTACTTAACGTAATGTCCTTCAGGCTGATCCATGTTGTTGCAATGATAGGATTTCATACTGTTTTATGGCTGAATAGTATTCTATATATATATATACACACATTATTATATATTTATTCCATATATAATAGTATATATAATATATAATAGTGTTCCATATATATATACACATATATACAGAGAGAGAGAAAGAAAGAGAGAGAGAGACTATTCCATTTTATATATATATACACATCACATTTTCTTTATTCATCTGTAGACTGGCATTTATGTTGATTCCATATCTTGGCTATTGTGAATAGTGCTGCCACAAACATGGGTGTGCAGATGTCTCTTCAACATACTCGTTTCATTTCTTTCAGATATATACCCAGCAGTGGGATTGCTGAATCCTATGGTAGTCCTATTTTTACTTTTTTGAGGAACTTCCGTCTGTTTTCCCCAGTAGCTGTACTAGTTTACATTCCCATCAGCAGTGTATAAAATTTCCCATTTTCACCAGAATGTGATTTTTAATCATTTTTATACTACCCATTCTAATTGCGGCGAGGTGTTATCTCATTATGGTTTTGATTTGCATTTCTATGATGACTGATGATCATCAGAGTGATGTTGAACATTTTTAAATATATCTGTTGGCCATTTGTATATCTTCTTTTGATAAATGCCTACTCAGGTCTTTGGCCCATTTTTATATCAGATTATTTGGGGTTTTCCTATTGAGTGGTTTGAGCTCCTTATATATTCTGGTTATTAATCCCTTTTTAATCCCTTGTCAGATGTGTAGTTTGTAAATATTTTCTCCCATTCTGTAGGTTGTCTCTTCACTTTATTGATTGTTTCCTTTGCTGTGCGGAGGTTTTTTATTTGATGTAATCCCAATTGTCCGTTTTTGCCTTGGTTACCTGCACTTTTGAAGTCAAATTAAAAAAATCCTTGCCCAATCTAATTTCATGGAGCATATTCCCTATGTTTTCTTCTAGTAATTTCATAGTTTGGGGTCTTACATTTAAGTATTTAATCAATTATTGATTTTTGTATATGGTGAGAGATAGCGGTCTAGATTCATTCTTTTGCATATGGATATCCAGTTTTCCTAGAACCATTTATTGAAGAGTTTCCCTTTCCCTATTACGTGTTCTTAGTGCTTTTGTTGAAAATCAGTTGGTTGTAAATGTGTGGGTTTATTTCTGGGCTCTCTTTCATTCCATTGGTCTATGTGTCTGTTTTTACTGATAGCATTACTTTAGAAAACCTATGAACAGTATAACATATAATATGTGATTAAAAACTATATAATAACATTAGACTAGTAACTCTACAAGTAGGTATGTTAGACTTAGCATCTATAATCAAATGATTTTCAAAATAATGAATACTGGAAAATTTTAAAAGGCTGTGCCTAGACCTTGGTAGCCTACACCATTCTCCACCTAAAGAAACTAGGGCAACACAGATAACTGGCTGATTTCAGGGCAAGGCCAGGGAAGGTACAAGATAAGCCTAGAGTATCTTATTATATCAGAAAGCCATGAACTGCTCAAAAAAAATAGTGGGGGCATGTCACAAGGACAGAAGAACCAGTTTGGAGGAGCTCCCATTGGCCAAATCTCAGACAATTTCAGTATTAAAATAATAAAGTAATAATTATAAATACATTTAGAAAAATGTAGAAAATCATAAGCTCATATCAATAAAAAATAAATAACCGTGGAGAAGTGCTTGCTTATAGTAAAATGCTGAATGCTGACTAGTAAGTGTGGAGGAAGTGCTATAGTTAAAAAGTCAGTATTTTGTAAGCATCAAAATAAAGATTGGATAAAATAAAAATCAGTAGATATTAAATCTAAGTAGAAATGTTGATGAAGAGGATGTTTAGATGGAATTAAAGCAATCTCACAGGCTGCTTATTAGTTGCAAGTGGAAAGACAGTACTTATGCAATGGAGAATTTGGACAATTATTTGACCAGGCGATCAAAATTAGCATCACGAATGAGGAGCACATACACCGCATGTGTCTTCAGATGTGATTCCTTGAGAAGATCAATACCGTATAACCTACCCTGAGAAAGCACAGCTTGTATCTAATCACGAAGAAATATCAGATAAACCCCCCAAAAGGGACATTGAAAATATCAACATCATGAAAAAGAAGAAACTTTATGGAATGTTTCAGAATAAAAGAGGTTAAAAAAACATGACAACTAAATGTAATACTTGACCCCAGGCTAAATTCTGTACTGGAGGGAAAAATGCCACAAAGGACATTATTAGGCCAACTATAAAAGGTATGATATGAATATACAGACAGTAGATTAGAAAAAACTAGTATATCAATGTAAACTTATGAAGTTGATAACTTCCACAAAGAAGTTATTCTTACAAAGTGTACACCTGAAGTATTTACAGGTAAAGACACATGATATATGCAATTTACCTCAAATAGTTCAGAAAAAGGGTTCAGAAAAATGCTCTAGTCCTAGCTACTCTGGACACTGAGGCAGGAGGATCCCTCGAGCCCAGGAGTTCCAGGCTGCAGTGAGCCATGATCGTGCAACTGCACTTCACCCTGGATGACAGAGGGAGACCTTGTTTCTAAAAATAAATAAAATAATTCAGAAAAACAGTTCTCAAGTAGTTCAGAAAAAGAGGAGATGAAAGAGAGATGGATGGGAGAGAAGTAACTGATGAAGCAAATGAATTAAATGATAGCAAGAAGTGAGGCTAGGTAAAGGTTATACAGGTGTACCTTACACTATTCTTATTTTTGCAACATTTCTGCACATTTTTAATGGTTTCCAAATAAAAAGGTAAAAAACTTTAAGGAGTAAGATATTTCTTTGCTACAATGCCAAAAGCACAATCCATAACATATTGATAAATTGGACTTCATCGAACATAAAAACTGCTTTTGAAAGACACTGTGAAGAGAATGAAAAGACAAGCGCTAGGCTAGGGGAAAAACATTTGCAAGTCATCTAAAACACTTGCATCCAAATAAAAGACTTATATCCAGAATATATAAAGAACTCATAAAACTAAATAATAAAACAAAAAGAAACAATAAAAATGGCGAAAGTATTTGAACGAGCTATGTCACCAAAAAAGGTATATACTCGGAAAATAAGCACATGAAAAATGACCAATCTCATTGGTCATTAGGACAATGCAAATTAAAACCACAATAAGATATCAATTCAAACCTACTGGGACGGTTCAAATTAAAAGACTGACCATATCAATTGTTGATGAGAATGTGGGAGAACTGGAACTCTTATGTACTGTCAGTTGGGATTTAAAAAGGTACCACTATTTTGGAAAATGTTTTGACAGTTACTTTTAAAGTCAAATCTGCACTTATCATATGACTTAATCATTACACTTCTAGGTATTTACCCAAGAGAAGTCAAAGCACATTTCCACACAAACCCTTCTACAAGAATGTTCACCACTCTGGGCAATATGGCTAGACTCCATCTCTACAATTTTTTTTTAATTTGAAAAATAAAATCAGCCAAGCATGGTGGCATGTGCCTGCAGTCCTAGCTACTCAAGAGGTCAAGGTGGGAGGATCCTTTGAGCCCAGGAGTTCAAGGCTGCTGTGAGTCATGATCATGCCACTGTACTCCAGCCTGTGCGACAAAGCAAGACCTTATCTCAAAAAAAAAAAAAGAATGTTCATAGCAGCTTTATTTTTATATCCAAAATCAAGAAACAACCCAAACCTCCACCGTGAGTAAATGGATAAACAAGTTTAGTGGAAGATTACTCAGCAACAAAAAGAAGTAGCTATTGATACATGCTGCAATTTAGATAATCTCAAATAAAAATGTATGCCAAGTGAAAGAAGTAGACAAATGAACGTACACACTGCATGGTTCAATTTATATAAAATTCTTTTTTTACTTTTATTTTAGGTTCAAGGGTACATGTGCAGTTTGCTATATAGGTAAATTTGTGTCATGAGTGTTTGTTGTACAGATTATTTTGTCACCCAGGTACTAAGCCTAGTACCCAGTAATTTTTTATGCTCTTCTCCATCCTCCCACCCGCCACCCTCAAGTAGGCCACAGTGTCTGTTCTTCCCTTCTTTGTGTCCATGAGTTCTCATCACTTAGCTCCCACTTATAAGTGAGAACATGCAGTATTTGGTTTTCTGTTCTTGCATTAGTTTGCTAAGGATAATGACCTCCAGCTCCATCCATGTTCCTGCAAAAGACGTGATCTCATTCTTTTTTGATGGTTGCATAATATTTCATGGTGTCTACGTACCACATTTTCTTTATCTAATCTGTCTTTGATGGGCATTTAGGTTGATTCCATGTCTTTGCTATTGTGAATAGTGCTGCAATGAACATACACATGCATGTGTCTTTTTGGTAAAATGATTTATATTCCTCTGGGCATATACCCAGTAGTGGGATTTCTGGGTCAAATGGTAGTTCTGTTTTTAGATCTTTGAGGAATTGCCACACTGCTTTCCAAAATGATGGAGCTAATTTACCTTCCCACCAACAGTGTATAAGCATTCTCTTTTCTCTGCAATCTTGTCAGCATCTGCTATATTTTTACTTTTTAATAATAGCCATTCTGACTGGTGAGAGATAGTATCTCATTGTGATTTTGATTTTCATTTCTCTAATGATTAGTGATATTGAGCTTTTTTTCATATGCTTGCTGGCATGTATGTCTTCTTTTGAAAAGTGTCTGCTCATGTCATTTGCCCACGTTTTAATGCAAATGTTTGTTTTTTTCTTGTAAATTTGTTTAATGAACCACTGCATGGTTTCATTCATATAAAATTCCTGAAAATGCAAGCTAATCAAAAGTGACAGCAAGCAGAATGATTGCCTGAGGCAGAGCAGGAGGAGGGATTACAAAGGCTCATGAAGAAACTTTTGGGGGTGAAAGATAATAAATATTATCTTGATTATCGTGATGGGCATATGCATATGCCAAAACTTATCAGATTATACACTTTGATTATGTGCAGTTTATTGTATATCAATTATATCTCAATACATGAAGGCTCCATGCTTTTCCTGTCCTAAGTCCCACTCCTCACTCTTTACTACACAGTTAGTAGTGCAAATAACACTGTTTTTTGTTAGAGTCATTTTTTCAGAAATTTGAAGACAAAAATTAAAAAATGATTTACAAAAACCACACACACACCAAAACTGAGCATCAAAAAAAGTGACAACCATTTTCCTGGATGTCGATGGATAAATGGATAGATAATTGATAGATAGATAGATGATAGATAGATAGATAGATATCTTCTCCTGCTCCTTCCACCTCATTCTGTTCCTTATCTTTTTCTTCTTCCGACTACTTCTCCTTCTCATCATTCTTTTTTTGACAACTAAGTTTTGAAAAGATTTCATGAAAAGAAAACCATCAGCACCTTGAGATATGGCTTTCCAAGTCCAATTAAAAAGCAATAAAAAATGTATATTCTGTTTCAAAGTAATTGCAACTCAAAAATGTATGCAATATAGGCAGTTACATGTCTATTTAATAACAACAACAGCAACTTAAAAAGGGACTAATTGGTCCTTATTTCTTCTTAACAAAGATGAAGATTTGGAGGGTAGCAAATTTTGCGGGGATGTACACCTTGTTAAGTAAATGAGATGGGGTTGGGAAGGATGGGTTTGAGATAGAAGACCAGACAGGGGATTCCCCTTCATGTATGCAATTGAAGTGAAAATGTCCTTACCCCCAGACTTAGAAGTTTTATTTGAAGCAAAGGCATTTATGATGCTTACATTAAGTTTTAGGTGGAATAAAATATATGATCTCTGCAAACATTGACTCTCTTCTGAGTAGAAACTGATATTAATATTGGGAAAGAGTTCCTGTCTGCACATATTCATCAGTGCAGAGGATCAAAAGATAGATTATTGTTAATGTTTATTCTGACTCCTTAGAGAGGTCATCGAAGTTGCGCAATGTGTGTTGTTAAGCAGCAGCAGAATAAAGATAAAGGATTGAAGGGAAGAACGAATTAGCAAAAATTACATGATAAACATTAAATCCATGTTTTAAGTGGGGCAAGTCCTAATAAGCAGAATATGTCCTTGTAAAGATATTAAGCAGAAACAATGTTTTAAAGTATTTTGGTGTGTGCGAATAATTTAAAAGCTTTATAAACAAAATAAAAAGGGTAAGCTTCTTAAAGATTCTCATTTTTTTGGTAACAGAGATAACTTTTGAATTTTTATGTAGTGCAGAACAGTAAACTAGGCCTTTCTCTAAAAATTCCTGTGACTCTTTGGAGACTAAGAAGAGTTAAGAGGAAATATGATGGCAGCATAAAAGCAAAGAGCCCTAAATGGGTACATGGTAGATCAACAGAAAGAATAGAGCTAGCTCGCAATTGAAGGGATGACATCCTAAGTGAGATGAAGTGGATATTTACAAGGCTTTGATGTTCTATGAGGAGGAAAAAACAAGGAAGCTGGCTTCTCTGTGTAAATAGGAACACTAGAGATTAGATTAGCAGTGGCAGCACTCTGAAGTTATACTGAGTTCAAGATCAAGGTAAGTTTTAAGGAGGCTGTTGCTAAGCCAGGGAAGGGAATCCAGGGTAGAATTCATTCAACATCTGAGACTTAAGAAAAGGCATCCATTTTTACCTATTTATTATTATTATTATTATTATTATTATTATTATTATTATTATTATTTTGAGATGGAGTATCACCTTGCCGCCCAGGTTGGAGTGCAGTGCTGCAATCTCGGCTCACTGCAGCCTCTGCCTCCTGGTGTTCAAGTGATTCTCCTGCCTCAGCCTCCCAAGTAGCTGGGACTACAGGCGCCTGCCACCACACCCGGCTAACTTTTTGTGTTTTTAATAGAGACGGGATTTCACCATGTTGACCAGGCTGGCCTCGAACTCCTGACCTCAGGTGATCTGCCCGCCTCAGCCTCCCAAAGTGCTGGGATCACAGGCATGAGCCACCGCCCCTGGCCTATTTTGTTTCTTAAAATTCATGTTTTTTATTATGTTTTTATATGTAATCATCTTCTAAATATGATAGCCAATTGTGTTTGTAGATGGTTTAAAAAGACAAAGAAAAGGAGCAATCTTTGATTAGATTGCAACTTTCTAATCTGCTTCTCAATTCTGTAACCCTGAGGAATGCCAAATTACAGAGATATATGCTACACTGACAGGTGCCACTAATGAGGCAGTGACCTTAATGATAGATGTGGTACCAAGAAGACACTAACCACTCTCTAGACTGTTGAGTGTTCCATAAATGTCACCCAATCCAGCTGGGTCTGATCAGAACGAGATTTTCAATTCATGGAATCCAGTCATGAGAAATGCTTATGCAGTCTTAAATGTAATTACACCAAGTTTTAGTTCATCTAGGTGTCTCACTATATCTTCATGAGAATCCAACTGGGGAGAAAACAAGACCTAAGAAGCAAGTAAGTAAATAAAAACAGGAAAAAAGGTTATTAAGGTAACCAAGTAATTTATTTTCACAAGAACAAGATTTTGGAGGCCTAGTTAGTAAATGTAAACCACTTCTAAGATTCCAAAGGAAACAGGCAACTTATTCTTTTTCACACATGCAAAACTTTTCTGATCCTTGAGAAAATATAAGCTTCTTTTCAAAACCTATTTTAAAATTTGAAAATGAAGGGAGAAATGTGATCTTATAATGCAAAAAAGAGAGTTTACATTTGCCAGATTTTTTGAAACCACTAAAATGCTCATCAACTTTTCAAAGGCCGGTGACCACACCAAACCATTCAGAGGAGTCCCTTCAACGTCTTCCCCAGCAGTCTCCATCTCTGTCTTTTTTCCTTATGCCTTTGTTACCATGAGAATATCTGCCTCTTTTTCCTTTTCAGCCAATCTATATTCCAATATCATCTTCTCTGTTTCCTCCATCTTTCTTTGTCCACCCTCCATTAATTGGTTACAACATAGAACAAGGTTTTTAAAAAGACAATATGCAAGTGTAATGTAGCCTTTTAATTTAAAAACAAGAGGACTAGAAAATCCTATATTTGTTCCTCTTGAGAGAGAAAGAGATCCTTTTTTACTTAGATGATCTTGGATTTTTTTCCCCTGTGGGTCAACAGCCATAAGAAAAAGTTCCCTACCCTTAATGTCTGTAGTCAGGGCTGGGCACTGACAAGGATGGCAGGATGAGGAACCAGCAGGAATCCAGGACAAATTCTGCTGCATTCCCTGTTGGGAAGCTTGTTTCTTTATTAAACTCCTGCCTTCACCCCACTTCCTGAGCAATGGCAGAAAAATGTCCTTGCCTCCCCTGCCATGGAATACAGTCATTACTTCTCTTTGCAGGGAGGGATTTGGCGCCTCCTGACCACATAATGCTTTGGAGCTGTAGGAAGACTAAGGGTTTCCTTGTCAGAAAAAAAAAAAAAAGAGTTCTGGTGGGTTTGGTCATGGGACTTCCTATGCAGCAACATCTGGGAGAGTTGCTAACCCTCTCCTTGCTTTCCTGGTCTCCTTCATACCTAATCCTCTGGCTCTCCCACATCCTGTTGCTGTGTTGCCAACAATTCCAGAGGCCCTGGGACACTAACATTTACTGAAACACCGTCTTCCATATGCTTGTTTAGGCTGTGAAGGAAATGTCACATGGGGCTTTGTAATCAGAAGATGCCGGTTGAAACTGAACATGTTCACAAACAATATTCTATATTTAATGGATTTTTCTCTACACCCCAGCTTCCTTTCTCTTATAAGAAAGTCTAGAGGCTGACTCACTATTTTAACTTAAATGAGTGTTCTTAAATTTATCTTATACTTCCTAAACTTCGAATCATAAGCAATGCCCAAAACTGCTCTTTTAACATATTAAGTCCTCATCATATGCTGTGAACAAAATAAAAAGTATTGTTATCAATGGAAATCGAGGAGTTCAGTCATCAGAGCATCTTCAGGTTAGATAAGACCTTAGTTTGGTTGTGGTACAATGTTTATAAAAGGTCTCTGAACAACCATAGGGCAGCCAATGTCTTATTTCAAATAGCCATGGGATGAGAGATGTGTTGACTGTTTCTCCTTGCTTAAAGACAGTCTCACTCTGTCGCCAAAGTTGGAATGCAGTGGCATGATCATAGCTCACTGTAACCTTGAATTTCTGGGCTCAAGCAATCCTCTCATTTCAGCCTCCTGAGTAGCTGTGACTACAAGCATGTGCCACCACAGCCAGCTAATTGTTTAATTTTTTTTTTTTTGTAGAGGCAGGAATCTCACTACATTACCCAGGCTAGACTAGATGTAGAGCAAAGTGAGAAAAAGGAACCAATTGTTAGTTCTACTCTCCCTTTCTGCAAGAACAGTGATATGGATCTCCAGCATCAGGATGTCACATTGTATTTCAGCATCATCAAGAGCAAGCATAGTAGATTTTCAACCCCACCAATATCTAGAGGGCCATAGTGACAATTGTGATTGAAACACAGTTTCAGTTTCAGAGACCTTGGTGGATTTCTTTGGGGCCTGCATCTGTGGATTCTAAGCTCTGCTAATTGAAGTGGTCACTGATAAACAGGACGAATTTTTCAGCAACTGTCAGCACCCATTGGAATTCTCAGAAAAATTCAAGGTATCTCAAATCTTGTATTGGCTATATTGGCTATACCAGCTGTAAGTTTCCTTTATTGGTTGTATAGAAAAGAAATAGGTGGGGTCTGGCAGAGACAGCAAGCTTTGGATACTGATGATGCAATCTCAGTACAATCTGGTTAGTGGAATCTGGGGAAAACAGCCTACGTTTATATGAACCTTCAAATCCATAAAAACATCCCTCAAATGAAGGGATTGGGTATTGGGGATGGCATCTGTTAATGGTAAAGATGTAGAGCAAAGTGAGAAAAAGGAACCAATTGTTAGTTCTACTCCCCGTTTCTCTACAGTGGTGGGACAAAAATAGTGAATTTGTGAGGTCGATATATTACCTATTTCCTCCCCTAGCCTGTGAAGGAACATGACAATTTTGCTTGTAACTGCATAGCACATCCCTATCTGATATTTTCCTTGTTGATTTATTTATTTGATTTGTTGTTTCTCTCCCCCTGCTAGAAGGTAAGCTCCAGGATAACAGGAATTTTTTTCTGCTTTTGTTCACTGCTGTACCTCCAACACCAAGGACAATGTCTGGCACGTGGAAAGCACTCAATAAAAATTTGTTTGATGAGTGGATAAATGAATATAGTGAACTGTTTGGAAATTTAAGTGACATTCAACAAAAATAAATCAAATATTTGATGAGTGGCCAAAGCATAACCTTCCAATCCAAAGTAGTGGGTTTTTTGGAGTGAGGATACAGTGAATTCTACAAGTGCCATTTCCATTTTGCACTCGTCTGACACTTGTGTAGCGTGTGTGTGTGTGTTTCAACAACTCATGTTTCATAAGAGTATCATATAATCTGGACTTCAGAGAACAAGATCCTCTGAAACATAAATCACCCTAAGCCTAACAAACTTTAATTAAATTCACATGTCTCTTGTTTCCACAAGGATACTTAATTATATCTTAGAACATTACCAGAAATTAAACTTGCATTAAATGTCCTTGTATTCACCATAGCATCTTGCATGGTATTGTGTGTAGAGAAATCAATCAGTAAATAGTTGGAGAATTAATGAAGGAATGAAAGAATTAAACCTATCCTAGCACCCAGTAAATTTAGATTATTGTCCTAAACTAGTTGAAATAAATGGACAACTATGAATCCGGTCTAACAGTAGTTCCCATTTGCTCTGGTAGCTGAAGTAGGAGGTTTGAGATTTACAGTAATATGAGTTATGTGTTCTTCAAGTTTTCTTTCTTTTTTCCTTTCTTTCTTTTTTAGTTTTTTCTTTTAAATGAACAGATCTCCCAGGACTTTGTGAGGGCTGTATTGGTTTCCGGGGCACTATATTTGAAAAAAAAAAAGTTTGTAAACATTTTTGAATGTTATTCCTTTTACAATAAAAATATATATGTTAAAATCACAGCAATTTTTTGAATATTCAGTAATTTAATTAAATCATTGGATCAGGCACATTAAGGGAAAAGAAGAAAAAGTCATGCCTGTGACTCAATATCAGAATTCTTCACATTAGGAAGACTATCTGTACTCACAAAAAATAAGAATTTTAAAAGTTTAAAAAATAAAAAATGAATACCTGGTGCAAAGAGAAGAATGAGTTCGATAGAAAGATATTCAAAGTACATACTGACATTCTTAGTTTTGGAAAAGGAAAAAACAATAAGAAATAGTGGAATTGAAATGGAAAACCAAGAACCTGTGGTCTTAATGTTTTTATAAGAGAAAGAGAGGGAGATAGAGAGAGCAAAAGTTGATTAAACATATCATATGAACAAGGAAAGCAGTATAACTATTTTTCAAAATTAGTGTTAATAAAGAAACTACCTCATAACTAGATTGAAAATTGGTTTTAGACAGAGTATGTAGCCTTCTAACCAACAGACTTTGAGGATGAACTAGTCCAAATGAAGAAGTAGCTGCAGAGGCAGGTGGGTTGGGGATAGGCAATGAGAAAATAGTGGTTAAAAGCAGATTCTGGCACTTACCTATGATTGAGTGGTGTCCACCCACAGTAGATAATTTCATTCATTTTCTGGCAGCTACCAACGTTGTAGTGTCTAAAAGTGAATCACTAGGTCAACGTACATATTACTTTTATTCCTTCAAACAAATACTTACTGAGCAACTACTGTGTGACTGGCATTGTGCTAGATGCTGAAGATACAGCAGTAAATAAGTAAGACAAATGCCTTGTTCTTAAGGAGTTTCTACTCTAGTTGAGGAGATAATTTCAATTAAACAAATGCATAAATATGTAATTCCAGATGGTAGTATGTGCTTTTTTAGTTTTGCAAAGATGATGCTGCCCTAACGAAAACACCTTAAAATAGTGTAGCTTCTATAACATACACTTACTTCATTCTCATCTAAAAATCTTACAGGGAGAAGTTCAGTTTTGTAGGATAGCTCTGCTTATGAGGGACATCATTTAGAGAAACACATTTCTTCCATATTGTTATTCTACCATCTCCCAAGACATTACTCTTATCAGCATGGTTGAAGCTAGGTCACTGACATTTGCATTCTGGCTCCCAGGAAGAGGAGAAGAGAGGAAGTCATTTATTTACATAAGCAACTTCTGTTTAAGCAAGTGAGGCAGAAGTTGCACATATCATTTCTGCTCACACTCAACTGGACAGAATTTAGTCACATGACCACACCTGGCTGTGAGGGAAATTGGGAAAGGTGGTCTCTGACAAGGCAACTATGTGCCCAGAAAAAAGAGAAGAAAATATTTGGAGATGCCACTAGCTTAGTGCCACACATGTCATGATGGAAAATTATAGGAGCTGACGGAAACCTCAGATAGTAGGGAGATCTGGAAAGCTTTAGAGTTTTGGTAACAAAGGTGTCCATCAAAGACATCCCTGCTCTAATAACCAGAATTTGTAAATGAGTCACATATGGCAAAAGAGCCTTTGTAGACATATTTAACGTGACTGATCTAAACATGAGCAGATTATCCTGGATTATGCAGGCAGGCCCAATCTAATCATATGCACCTTATTAAAAGTAGAGAACTTTCTCTGACTGGAGGGAGAAGAGATGTGATAGAAGGAGAAGGCAGAGAGATTTGAAACATGAGAGGGACTTGACACACCATTGCTGGTTTGGAGATGGAGCAGGCCACATGGCAAGAAATGTGAGTGGCCTCTGTCTGGCTAGCTGCCAGCAAGGAAACACGACCCTTAGTGCTACAACCACTAGGAAATGAATTCTGCCAGCAACGTGAATGAGCCTGGAAATGGATTCTCCCTAGAACCTCCAGAAAGGTGCACAGCCCTGATGCCACCTTAATTTGGGCCTTGTGAAACCTGAAGCAGTGAAACCAATTGAGCACACATGGATTTCTAATTTATATATATGTGAGACAATAAACATGTGGAGTTTTTTTTCTTTTTTTGAGACACGTCTCGCTTTGGTGCCTAGGCTGGAGTGCAGTGGCCCAATCTCAGCTTAGTGCAACCTCCACCTCCCAAGTACAAGCGATTCTCATGCCTCAGTCTCCCAAATAGCTGGGACTACAGGCGTGTGCCACCATGTCTGGCTAATTTTTGTATTTTTAGTAGAGATGGGGTTTTGCCATGTTGCCGAGGCGGGTTTTGCCATGTTGCCGAGGCTGGTTTTGAACTCCTGAGCTTAAGTGATCCGGCCGCCTTGGCCTCCCAAAGTCCTGGGGTTACAAGTGTAAGCCGCTGTGCCCGGCCAATACGTGTTGTTTTAAGCTACTGAGTTGGTGGTAAATTGTACACTGCAATAGAAAAGTTATACAGATTTGAAATCTGAAGGCTGAATCTGGAAGGTAGAGGGGTGGAAAAGACAGTTATAGGCAAATGGGTTAGCACATGCACAGGTCCTGGGCAGGAGAAAACATAGAAGTGTGAGGACTGGATCGTGATGAGAGACAGAGACATTAGCACAATATGATCTTGGAGAGAGAGAGGCAGAAGCCAGGTCATGAGGACCTTTGGAGTCATGGTAAAACATTTTTTATGAAAACAGTGGCGAGTCGCAAATTTTTGGCCTCAAAATCCCTTTATGCTCTTAAAAATTATTGACAGCCCTCCAAAGATTTTATTTATATGAATGATACCTATCAATATTTGCTTTATTGGAATTTAAGGCTAAGATTTTAAGAATATTTTCTTGTTAAATAATTTATAAACAATAATAAACCCATTACACGTTAACATTTTTATTAAACTAGCCGTGTTTTCCAAAACAAAGCAAAAATAGTAAGAAAAGTGACATCGTTTTACATTTTGCACATCTCTTTAATGTCTGGCTAAATAGAAGAAAGCTGGGTTCTCATCTCCCCTTCTGCATTCAGTGTGTTGTGATGTGTTGTTTTGGTATAGGGATATGGAAAAAAATCCAGCTTCGCAAAGATATATCGTTGGAAAGGGATGAGGTAATTTAGTAGCCATCTCAGACAATTGTGGATATTCTTCTTTAATGCTACAGCAAACTTCAATGAGTGATCATTTCTAAAGAATTAGCTGCAATATACAATCTGCAACCATATCAACAAAATTTTACACTCATACTTTAAAATCCATTGATCTATCTTGCATTTTGAGTGAATCTTTTACCCAAGCATGATTTTGTAACATCATGCCTTGGTTGTCTGAAAAATACTGATACAGTGAGTTATACAGATCTTCCAAATGTTGACACATTACGTTATACAATATCATAAATCACATTCATCAATATCATTTCCAATCTCATCAGAAAAGTCTTTTGTACTGGAAATTTATCAGGTTCACAGTTGCAGATGGAAGTGTTTCAGAATTCTGATTTTCACTTGAAGGCAAAAATTGTATCATTGGTAAAATATCATCAGTTGTTTTCCTATAATTGACAAGCTCACTTATTTCGTTTTCAAGAAAATGTCTGCAAAATACACAAGGCTGCATAACCATATATTTTTGCCAGTAGCTCTTTCATGTGAAAATGGTGTTTCATGTAAAAAAGTGGCTAGTACAGCTTACAACTCAATTATGCAGATGTGTCTCCTCAAGGCAACCATCTTTCTTCAGTATATGATAGAAATGGATTATGCATAGTTTCCATCTTTATAACATAGAATATTAAAAAGATGTACCCACAGGTTAAGATCTAATAAAAATAATAATATTTACTGATTTATCAAGGACAGTATTATGTGCAAATGGCTTTGTGTATTTTTTTAAACTCTGAGTGTGTGATGTTGAAGAATACAATTACTACCTAGTACAGTTTGGTGCTACTGCCTTGATTTGTGCCAAGGCACCAGCAGTTTTACTCTCTGTTATTTTTGCACCGTCAGTAAAGAAAAAGGCTATAATGTCTTAGTATTATTATGAATATAGATTTGAACTTGTTGACACCCTGTAAGGGTCTTGGGGATGTCTAGGGGTCTGTCCACCAGATACACTTTGAGAATTTCTGTTTACAAAAAAAGAACACTGTCTATGATGGATTTTAAGCAAGGCAGAGACACGACCAGAATTGATTACAGTCAAGAGTTGCCAAAGTTGAACTAAGCACCAAAGATTGTATAGTAATAGCATATACACCACAAGCAGTACAATGGCATCAGATGCTCAGACCCTCAATTTCAATTTAAGGTGCATTTACCAAATACCTCCTTTATATTTGTTTGGAAAAAAATATGCAAATAGGAAACCTGAAATGTAATAAGAGTTTAAGACATACAAAAATAACCATAATGCAAGGTAAAGAAAGGTAAATTCTAAGAAAGATACAGAGTAATTTGGGTGTTCCGAGGAAGGAGAGATTAATATCTAGGATTATCAAAACAGGTGTCATCAAGTAGGTGCCCATTGAGATGAGCCTTGAAAATAGGATAGCGTGGAAACTAGTAGAGAAATGAGTGTTGGGATATTCTAAGCAAAGGATGCATTATAACGCAAGGAGGTGGGAGAGTGTATTGGTCAGGGTTCTTCAGAGAAACAGAACCAATTATATGCATACATATATGTACATATATATATATATACTCTTGTATATATATGTATGTGTGTGTATATATATATATACTCTTGTATATATATGTATGTGTATATATACGTGTGTGTTTATATATATATATATATATATATATATATATATATATATATATATATACACACACACATGTAATTGAAGAGAGAGAGAGAGAGGGAGAGAGGGATTATAAGTTATTGGCTCTTACAATTATGAAGGCTTAAAAGTCCCACAATCTGCCATCGTGTGTGTTAGGGTTCTCTAGAGGGACAGAACTAATAGGGTAGATGTATATATACATCTCTCCTCCAGTATGTGTGTGTGTGTATGTGTGTGTATATATGTATATATATACACAAAAAAAAGAAAAAAATGCATATATATATATGCATCCTCTGTCCTTAATAAGTTCTTAATAAACTTAATAAATACTATATGGGAGCTTATTAAAGACAGAGTATGTATGTGTATATATATATATATATATACATATATACACACACACACATATATATAGGAGATGTGTATATATATATATATTATATATATATATATATAATATATATATTCATCTATCCTATTAGTTCTGTCCCTCTAGAGAACCCTATATTTATATATAGGGGAGTTTATTAAGGAGTATTGGGTCATATGATCACAAGGTGAAGTTCCATAAGAGGCCATCTGCAAGGTGAGGAGCAAGGAAGCCATTCCAAGTCCCAAAACCTTGGAAGTAGGGAAGCCAAAAGCTTCAGTCTGGGGTCGAAGGTCCAAGAATTCCAAAGCTGAAGAACTTGGAGTCCAATGCTCGCGGGCAGGAAGCATAGAGCATGAGAGAAAGATGAAGGCCAGAAGACTAAGCCAGTCTAACCATTCCACGTTCCTCTGCCTGCTTTTATCCTAGCCTCGCTAGCAGCTGATTAGATGGTGCCCACCCGGATTGAGGGTGGGTCTGCCCCTCCCAGTCCAGTGACTCAAATGTTAATTGCCTTTGGCAACACCCTCACAGACACACCCAAGAACAATACTTTGCATCCTTCATTCTAATCAAGTTGGCACTCAATATTAACCATCACAGCCATCTACAAGTACCTTGAAAGCCTGAGATATGGAGATCTGATGATGTTGATTTCAGCCCAGGACTGAAGCCCTGTGAATCAGGAGCAACCAAGGGTAGGAGAAGATAGATTTTTCAGCTCAAGCAGTCAGGCAGAGTTACTTCACCTTTTCTCCGCCTTTTTGTTATATTCAGGCCTTCAACAACATCAAACTGGATGAGGCTCATTCACACTGGGGAGGGCAATCTGCTTTACTTAGTCTACCAATCCCAATGTTAATCTCTTCCAGAAACACCTTCACAGACATATCCAGAAAAGACCGTGGAGACTCTTGAACTCTGTGCTAAGGCATTAGCATTTCCTTTGGCTGGCAAAGAGACCCATCAAATTTTGGGTGTTTCGTTTCATAGACTGCAAGACATGTGATTTTTGTACCATGCCAAGTATCTCAGGACTTGGCCAGCGTGCTTCATTACCAGGGAAGCACACAGTGAAAGAGTTGCCCATGTGGAGTGGTTTTGTGACTATGAGGAAAGTCAAAGTGAGAGCAAAGATAACCAGTGTTATCTAGACACATCTGTTAATTAAGAAAGGTAGCAATAGTTATTTAACAACTAGCTTCTTTGTTAAATGAATGAATCCTGCAAATGCCTACTGCCTTATATTCTTTGAAAAGAACATTGTGGATGGATTTGGATTGTTCTAGCTTTCCTAAAAAGTAGTTATACTGACAGTACATTTTTAAGGTAAGACCTAGATTGGAATCTCAGCTCTGCAACTTTGCAGCTGTCAGACCTTTGACAAGCCACTCCAAATGTTTGAATCTCAGTTGTCTCATCTGTGACATGATTATAATAATAGTGCCGACTATACATAGTAAGATAATGAGGTAATGCAGGAAAACATCCTTAGAATAGCGCCTGGCTTGTAGCAAGTGCTCAATTAATGTCAGCCATTATCATCAGCCCTGGTTGAAAGTTTAGGTTTTACTGGACTAAAACAACTTTTTGTAGTAAGTGCATTTTATTTATCGTTGAAATATTAATATGAATGTACTAGGTGAAGAGTCACATTCAAATGCCTAAATCAAAGTGACAAAGTTTTGTTGTTTCACAAACTTTGTTTAAGATGAAGGTTCCCATGTATCTGAGTTGCCTCTCCTGCTCCTCAGTTGACCCATATTTCTGAGTATTACAGTGAGCTATTGCAATTACATTGATACATACATTTTCTTCCCATTGAGGAGAGATTCTGCAGGTCTCTTTAAAGGAATATTTTTAATGTTTTCACCATAACTAAATATCCAGTCCTCCAGTGCAGGGCAGGAGTTTGACAGGTCTGGGTTACAAATTCTGGCTGTCTTACGTCCCTAATTGATAATTCTGAGCAAGCCATGTAACCTGACTGGATTTCAGCTTTTGCATCTGTAAAATAGGAATAATAATACATACCAAGTAGAGGTATTATGGAGACTAAACAGGAAAAGTATGGTCTTTGCTCTAGATATGACAGAGAAAAATGCTAATTGTATAGGTCCATCCTGTTACCAGCTGTCTAAGTGAGTACTAACAAATTAAGAAGCAAGGCTGTTTCCTGAGATTCTGAAACATCAAATCCAAATTCATTTTGTTTTTTCATTTCTGCATAGTCAGGGACAGGTACATGTTGGCCTGATTTAGCTGGCAAATGGCTAGAGTTCTCATTCTCTCTCCTGAAGATAGAGAGAGATGCAGGCTTTGCTAGAGACAGCCTCACTGCCCTATGTTTGACCCTACAAAAAAAGGCAATGTTCTCAATGTACTGGACAACAGCAGATGAGAAAATGACATCTGACTCAAATTCTGTAGCCCAGAGTTGTTTAGTGAGATTATTCTGTGGAAAGTAACATATTTGGGGCTGGGCATGGTGGCTCACTCCTGTTATCCCAGCACTTCGGGAGGCCAAGGCGGGCGGATCATCTGCGGTCAGAAGTTCGAGACCAGACTGGCCAACATGGTGAAACCCCGTCTCTACTAAAAATAAACAAATTAGCCGGGCATAGTGGAGGGTGCCCATAATCCCAGCTACTGAGGTGGCTGAGGTGGGAGGATCGTTTGAACCCAGGAAGCAGAAGTTGCAGTGAGCTGAGACTGCGCCAGTGTACTCCAGCCTGGGTGACAGAGCAAGACTCTCTCTCAAAAATAAATAAATAAATAAAAAGCCACGTATTTGGGAGTCACGAAATTGCTACTTGGATTTATAAGAAAGAATCTAATTAAAGTTTAATGTGTAAGTCTGCTATTTATAATGCTAATGATCTAATATTATTTGTAATATCCTAGAATTGCTCTTTGCTTTGTAAATTAATTACGGACATTTCATCTTGAGGTATTGTGTGAAGCAGTAAATACAATATGAAAGAATTGGAAAAGTGGTGGAGACAGAGCCAGGCAATTTCACTTTTGCAGCCCTGTTTGGTCCTTGGTCATTCCTCAAGCCTACCATCCACAGTCCTTTCCATATGAAGTAAATAACCAAGTGAGTCAATACTCTCATCCTATTTTTGTTCATTTTAATAGGAACCAGAGATTCTCAGATTCTTATACTAATGTATAGCTCTTCATCTGTAAAATATATTTCAGCATGTTGAAATTAAGCATGAAAAAAGTTAAGCATTTTATTTAAAGATCGGGTTTATCTGATTTAATATTACCGCCTAGATTCTATCTAAAAATCATGTTATGGCTTTTCAAAAGTCAATCGGACATGTGCCCGGTGGCATAGGGTGCAGCCTGTACTTTGTGCACTTTTAAAGTAAAAGGAGAGTCAAGCCTTTGGGAACATCCTTGGTTTGCTTTGTGTGGGGTTGTCGCACTCTGTAGCAATCAATCAATTATACCTTAATTGATAGGGAAAATTGTGTACCACCCATAAAGTCACGTTTGGACATGAAAGTACAAGGTCTATATCTGTGTGTGCTTGCTCCATTTGCTCCTGAATGACAAAACCTGCCAGATTCTCTCTGTAGGCAGTTTGTACAAAGACATAAACTTTTGCAACTGTGTCAAAGAACTTAAAATGTAGACTGCTAAAATGGAAAGAAATCTGAAATGTTCAGATTCCAGAGAAACAATCGCTTCATTTTGTTGAGAATGAAGAGAATAAGACTCAAATATGGGACTGACTTGCCTATGGACACAGAACAAGCCAGAAAGAAGTAGACTCAAACTAGGACCCAAGCATCCTCCCAGGCCGGTGCTCATTCTTAAACGTAGGCTTTGTAAATTGGCCAAGTCATGGCACAATATTGAAAGCCAATAAAAGACAAAAGATCTTTATATCCAGCAACATTTCACAGAAATATTATGATTCCACGGATATATCTCATTCCACATGAATAAAAAGTAGCATTGTTAAGGTACATTTGCCAAGAAACAACCTCAAAAGTGTCAATAAAGGACTTGAAGATAGATTAGAAATGTCTCTGATCATTTTTGTGGGGGAACTACCAGTTTGGTTATGATTCTCAGGATCAGGAGAGTTTTGTAAATCATAGAGCACTTTTTTTTTTTTTTGAGATGGCGTCTCCTTCTGTTGCCCAGGCTGGAGTCCAGTGGCGCGATCTCGGCTCACTGCAACATCTGCCTCCCAGGTTCAAGTGATTCTCATGCCTTAGCCTCCTGAGTAGCTGGGATTACAGGTGCGTGCCACCGCGTCTGGCTAATTTTTTGTGTTTTTAGTAGAGATGGGGTTTCACCATGTTGGCCAAGCTGGTCTCAAACTCCTGACCTCAGGTGATCCTCCCACCTCGGCCTCCCAAAGTGCTGGGATTACAGGCGTGAGCCACCACACCCAGCCACTTCTTTAAATTAAAATAAGTAACCTTTTTCTTTTCACTGGCATGCAGAGAAAGTATTGGGAGGGAGGTAGAGGAAGAATTATTCAATAAATGATACTGAACAAATGGCAAGTCATTTGGAGGGAAAATTGAGTTAGATTCTATTTGATGACTTAAAGCAAAATAAACTCCAGATTATTTAAAGATTTAAATATAAAAAAAGAAAAGAAAAAAACTAAAAGTACTATAAGAACTTAACGGTGAGTATTTTGTTTTTAAAATCTTGGAGTGGAGGATGCTTTTCCAAAGACAACATAAAAGGCAGACGCTATTGATAGGTGTGAATATATAAGTACGAAAAACACTTATAGATAGTGAAAACACCATGGTAAAGGTAAATTTCAAACTGGAGAAAACATTGTCACACATTAAAAAGGGTTATTATGTATAACACACAAAGAGCACTAACATATCAGTGACAAGTGAATATCTGAAGTAGGGAAACAACATAAATAACAATTTACCAAAGATACCAAAATTTTCAGTCCAGTACACAAAAAGCCAGTCAAATTTACTAATAATTAAAGACTTAGGGTGAAAAATGGGCTTTGGGGGGGCCTATCAGATAGCAATGATAGTTTGGTTTTTATTTTGAAATGCCTGTGTTTGGAAAGTGAGTATATTATTTGGATCCTATTCCCATAGATGTCATCACTGTCATTTTATTTTCCAAAAACAACGAGTTACCAGATTCACGGAAGCCCACTGTTGAGTGTTAAGCAAATCAAAAGCTGTGTTTATTTTTGCCAGGCAAATTCTCTATTCCCTCTGAGTTCTGTGATGTTGTGTATAGCTGAGTAGGAGATATTTTCAAAGTCTGGGCCTTCAGCTAATGTGCACTGTGCATGCCCATGGAGTGATGTGTACATTAGGGAATGAAGAGCTGGCATGAAATTGTGAAACTACTCCCGCTGGTGTTATATTTGGACAGGCTGACATTAATCATTCCACAATAATACCTGACACTTAAACACAGTTTGAAGGTAATCAGTTTCCTCAGAAATCAGCAAACCCTGTAATTTGAAACATCTTAGTGACCTTAGTCTATGATTTTTTTTGTTCAACTTTTTTATTATAAGATTTTTCAAACATACAGAAAGGTTGAAAGAATAGTACCATGAACACTCGTACATTCACCATTCCAATTCAATAATTAAAACCACGATATTTTAAATGCAGTGGAGGCTTCTTCCTAAACATCCTTCTAGAGCTAAACACATACAAATTTGTTTAGCTCTCACAGGAATGAGATAACATATATATGCATAATGGAATATCATTCACACTTAAAGAAGGTAATCTTGCCATTTGTGACAATTTAGATGGACCTAGAGGATGTTAGGCTAAGTGAAATAAGCCAGACACAGGACAAATATTGCATGTCCTCACTTGTATGTGGAATCTATAATTCTGTAAAACACATAGAAGCAGAAAGTAGAATGCTGGTTACCAGGGATGGAGGATGGGGGAAATGGAGAGATGTTGTTCTAGGGGTACAAAGTTTCAGTTATGCAAGATCAATAAGTTCTGAAGATCTAAGGTATAGCATGGTGGCTATAGGTAATAATATCGTACCGCACTGTTGAAATTTGCTAAGAGGGTAGATACTAAGTGTTCTCATCCCCAAAATATAAAAGGTAACTATGTGAGGAGGTAGATATATTAACCAGCTTGATGGTAGTAATTATTTCATAATGTGTGTATACATATTTATGTAGGATATATATATATATATATATATATATATATATATATATATATATACACCAAGTCATCAAATTGTACACCTTAAATATATACAATAAAAAAGAAATGAGGGTCAGTGCAGTGGCTCACACCTGTAATCCCAGCACTTTGGGAGGCCAAGGCAGGTGGATTGCTTGAGGCCAGGAGTTCAAGACCAGCCTGAGCAACATAGCAAGACTTCGTTTCTACAAAAATTTAAAAAATTAGCCAGGTGTGGTGGCATGTGCCTGTAGTCCCAGCCACTTGGGAGGCTGAAGCAGAAGGATTTCTGGAGCCCTGGAGTTCAAGGCTGCAGTGAGCTATGATCAGATCACCACAGTACTCCAGCCTGGGTGACAGAGCAAGATCCTGTCTCAAAAAAAAAAAAAAAAAAAAAGGAATGAGGTAATGAGGTCACACTTTACATATTCTGTTGTTCTGAATATTTTTTAAATGTTTACTTAAAATATATTATAAAAGCAACACTAAATATTCCTCCACAACATCATGTTTAATGGCCGCGTAATATTTTCATAACCAATCCCCTATGGTTAAACATTGGTGGTGATTCCAATTTCCCATTATGATGAAAAATTGAGATCAATGAACATAAATGCATCTTTTTCCCTTCAGGTGGTAATATCCCTGGGTAAATTTCTAGACTGGGATTGAAGAGTCGAATGACATGCACATTTTCTATTTTGCTAAGTCTACTTTTCAGACAAGATTAAATAGGCAGACAGCTCTAAATGTCTACATCTGAGATGTGATGACAACATTTAAATGCTATCATCAGATAATTAGTAGTTCTTTGTAAATAAAATTTCCAGATACCTAAAGCATACCTTGATACCAAATACTTTTTAGCTACTTAGGCTAAAACACATCTGTAAAATGTACCACATATTCCTCTGACTTCTTAAACAGATGATACTTAATATCACTTAATAATTATTGCTTTTCTGGATGAAGATTCAAGTATTGTGATAAGTTTTTCTAGGCTATTTGTTCCCACACTCAGTGTCCCCAGATTCTGTATTCCATTCCTGGCACTATCCTTTCTAGTGTATGGAATGCAACATCCCTCTCTTTTCTTTTTTCCCCTGCCACACTTGGAAAATCTAATATCATATTGCAAGAACCAAGGAAAAAAAACAAGATATCCAAACTTACTAAGTCATGATTTATATCCAATTCTAAGTCAATAGAATCTGACCTGAGGCCACTTTTTCTTCAGTGTTGCACATCACTTCTCAGAGTCCTTCTACACTGACTTTTTACTTGATACCTGGTTGAGATTGCTAAGAATCTGATCTGAAGATAATCAGGTGTTTCCACCACAATGCGATAGATTCTTATTTATGTAAACTAATTTCAGTTAAGGCCAAATCTACATAAAATTTGTATTATTTTTCTTGAGTCAGTTTTGTCCCCAAGCCTAGCCTCTCCAACAAAAAGAGGGAAATATTGGAAGCAGCAGTTCTCGCTCCAGAACAGACTTTTATTAAACTATTCCTTTCCAGTAATTGTTTCCTATTATATATTAAATAGCAAGTCCTACAGGTTTATTATGTAAAGCTGTAGTTTTGTACTTGAAACTGGCTTATAAACATAGTCTGCAGATCACATTTTATGGGAAGAAAAAAATATACCCATGTAGCAAGGAATTATCTGAACTAGCAGCATAGCTCTTACTTAAATTCACTTACACTCGAGCATGAGCTGGGTCTACATAATCAAAGTGAAGTGGAGAATTAGAGTAATTTGAGATAATTCAGACCAGAAAAGTCTACCCCAGAACCTTTCACCTAATTGCATCAATTATCTAATTGAAGGAAACCTTGGGGAATTGGGGCTTGAATCATTCTGATAATTGATTTAATTTTCATTTAGTTTGCGTATGAAAATACACCCACACACATTCTACCTTGAAGCTTTCTGTTTAGTAACAGGCAAAAGCAGCCTCCATCTCTGGAAATGATATAATTTGTCACTTGTGGTTTCCTCATGTTGGCATATCCCAACCATGAGATTTCATTGGCGTGGTCATAATACATCCCTGGAGGAAAGTTTCCATTTTCTACAACTTGAGTTATGTAACTATATATTAATTGTTTTTTGAAGTTGAGGAATGGAAAATTCCTACATTTCTCGAATTTGCGTGTCATCCTTGCGCAGGGGCCATGCTAATCTTCTCTGTATCATTCCAATTTTAGTATATGTGCTGCCGAAGCGAGCACTCCTACATTTCTCATGTAGATTTGTTCACTAATTCTTTTCTTTTTTAAAAAAATGATTTCTTGCTTTTTTGGCATATCTGACATTTTTCAGAAGAAGCTTGAAAAACTTTAGTTGGAGAGAAGAAGGACAGGGGAGATTTTCACTACTAAATTCTGCCAATTCAACAAGAAAGCATTAATATACGATATTCATACAGAACTCAAAAGATTCCACAAAGCACCCAATATACAACTCTCAATATTAACTAAGCCCTCCAAACTGGCAGTAAAGAGCCACTGGTTAGTCCCTCGTTTCTTAAAAGAAAATCATCCCCCTTCTGCTTTCTTTCTATTCCTAGTTTGTTAAGTATTTTTATCATGAGAAAATACAGTTTTGTCTAAACTTTTTCTGTATATATTGAGTTGATCATGTGATTTTTATCTTTTGTTCTCTTAATATGGTGTGTTACACTGATTTCTGTATGTAGAAGTAACTGCATTCCTTGGATAAATCCCTTTTAGCCATGGTATATAATCCTTGGTATATGCTGCTAGATTCATTTTACCAATATTTTGTTGGGGATTTTTGTATTTATATTGATATAAGATAGTGATTTTTAGTTTCTTTTCTTGTGATGTTTTTGTATGATTGTGGTGTCAGGGTTGTAATGGCCTCATTGAATGATTGGTAAGTGTTCCCTCCACTTTTATTGTTTGGAAGCATTTGTAAACATTTAGTGTTTTTTTTTTTTTAACATTATGTAGGATTGACCAGTGAAGCCATCTGGGTCCGGGCTTCTATTTTATTATGAATCCAACCTTTTTACTTATTATAGCCCTCTTCAGATTTTCTATTTCCTTATGAGTCAATTGTGCTTATTTGTGTCTCCCTAGGAATTTGTCTTTTTCATCTAGATTATCTAACTTGTTGACATGCAATTTTTCATAGTATCCCATTTTATCCCTTTTATTTCTGTAATAATAGGTAAGAATGACCCATCTTTCATTTCTGGCTTTAATAATGTGAGTCTTTTTTTCACCGTGTCAGTCTAGCTAAACATTTTCCAATTTTGTTTATCTGTTCAAAGAACCAACTTTTGATTTTGTTGATTTTTATCTATTGTTTTTCTATTTTCTGTTTTCATTTATTTATACTCATCTTTATTTTTTTCTTCTTTCCTCTTGATTGGGGTTTAGTTTTCTTGTCTTCTTCCAATTTCTGAAAGTAGATAATTTTGTTTCTTTAAATTATATTAGCAAAATTTTCACCACAAGGGCTCTGAGGGTTATCTTCCTCAATTATTTTGGTAACTGGCTTATGTTTTTCTCCTCTTTCCTCTCTTCCTCCAGTATATATTTGATGACTTTGGCACTGGTATCCTATCCTCAGCTCCACTAAGCCCCAAATCCATGCTACCTTAACCACCCACCACACTGCTCCCTCTCTGAATCCCAACTCCATGAAGAAATGCTCCTCTGGTAAGATGTTGCACTTAGTTTTCCTCCATTAAGCACAACTTCCATTCCTGCCTCTAACCCCCATTTCCCAACCACACTAGACTGGCCTTTCACCTTCTACTTACTTTGTCTTTTTTTCTGTTCACAAAGTCCCATAACATTCTTCTGCTTATAATTAATTCTATGTAGCCTGGACTCCATTAATTACCATTTTAGTTCTTTGCTATTCCTTACTATTCTGCTGTGCTTGACTCTTTTCCCAAATTAACCCCATTGCTCTCTGTCTACTACTCCTGTTTCCTGGAGGCACATTATGATTGGTTGTAAGAAAGCATGAATGCATTCTAATTTGGACCAATTATTCCTTCCGAAGAATAACGACTGTTACCTGTCTAACAAGTCACTAGTATGGTGCCTGACACATATTTGAGACACTATGAATGTGACTTCCTTCCCTGTTCCTTCTTATTCTTTCTCTTGTTGACTCTTGTCCACACACTCTTTAATTGCTATTTCTAATCTTTTCCATGCAACTCATGTCTCACATGTTCCGCCCACTAAGCTCTCTCATTCACTTACTTGTCCTTCTCTGTTCCTAAGAAGATAGCAGCAATGCAACATGAGTTTTTTAACCTATCCCCTCAATACCTATGCCCATCTTCTAAGGCCTTTCCTTATATCTAAAGGATATCAATCCTGCCCTCTCAGTACAGTATTACATTTCCTTCAGTTCACTGACAAACTCCTAGATTGACTGGTTAGCAACAGTTCCATTATGGAGTGGTAGTTTCACAAGGCCTAAATGTAGGTTGGTGTAAAAGTTCATGTGGTGAAAGGAAGTGGTCTCTGCCTCTATTGTCTTTTCTTTGCATCATCTATATGCTTGCCATATAATAGACATTTAATAAATATTTATTGAGCAAATTAATGTACTACATATTATGTCACTGGTTTCGTGTACTTTTGACACTTCTGTGATGTTTCCAAGCATCACATCATTTTCCTCATCATTTGGGAGATCAGAATGTGGAAATTCCCCCTCCTTTTTCCTCAACAACCACCCTCGTGCTACACCTGTAACTTAAAGCTCTTTATGCAAAAACAGACATGTCTGATTCCACGTAGTGAACAGAAGATTACATATAGATTAAAAATCAAAAGAAAATGAACTCTGCTCCAGTGTTAGAAAATACAGCCAATGATAGATAAAACCAGAATATCAGGAATGATGACACAATGCAGTGGCAAATGTTTGAAGAATGGAATAAGGTGCTAGCATTCCTTTCCTGAGATAAAGGTAAATGGATAGTTGCTCAGGAAGTCTTCTATGTACTTTATCACAAGCTAGATGAAGTATGCTGTGTAAGTTTTTTAGAAGAGTCTTCAAGAAAACTTTAGATGATTAATGTAAATATCTACAGCCATGGTTAGCAGAATAAACCTTTTTCTGAATAATATAACAAAATCTTTCTGGTAAAGAAAAGCATGTAAGATATTTCCTTTTGCTTCTGGGAACCAAGAAGCAAGAAGGAAGAAATGGTTTAGACACTGAAATGTTAAAATTTAGGAGACATTTCCATGGCCTTGTGAGAGCTGCAGATTTGAACTTGGAAGGCAGCTTAATGGACTAGAAAGAACATGAGTGTCAGGGCTGGACGAGGCATTTAATTCTGGCTTTGCCATTTAGGCTTTTACCTTGAGCACATTCTGAGGAAGAACAAAAAAAGGTGCCTCTTAGTGACTTACAGGAGCACAGTTTCATGGCCTATAATAATGGAGGTGGCCTGAGATGATTTCTTGTTTAGATAGGAAAAGAATGAGGTTTGTGCTGAGTGAGCGCAACGACCTACGTCAAAGCAAACTATTTAGAACCAATTTGGTGGTATCCAGTACTACTTCAGAGATCACAAACCAGTTCCATTACTGCTTGATAGAATCAAAGATGTTCAGTGGCATCAGAAAGGGAGTGTAAGAGATTTTATATCTATGCATTCACAAGGACTTCTAAAAGCCTCTGGGCCTTTCCAGCAGCTCTCACTGGGTGATGCAATTAAAATCTGTGTGAATTAAAAAAAATAAAATTCTTTAAAACTACTCCTCTCAAAATGTTGACAGTAAATGTTTTATCACCCTTGACTCCCTCTTGCTATGTTTTGCTAAGGTCCTTAAACCTTGTTTTCCACACTGTTAGGTTGTAGAGAGTCATTTCTGCTTGCCTTTGACATGCATAGTGAGGTAACCACTATGTGCATAGTGAGGTGACCACTATTCAAAGGCAAGCAGAATAATAAGCATACAATAAAAGAGCTTCATAAAGAATCAGGTCTTGGCCGAGCATGATAGTTTATGCCTGTAATCTCAGTGCTTTGGGAGGCTTAGACAGGAGGATCACTTGAGCCCAGGAGCTCAAGACCAGCTGGACAACATAGCAAGACTCTAAAACAAGCTGAAAAAAAATTAGCCTGGCATGGTGATGCATGCCTGTAGTCCCAAATATACTCCGGAGGCTGAGGCAGGAGGATCCCTTGAGCCCAGAAGTTCAAGGTTACAATGAGCTAAATTTCACCACTGCACTCCAGCCTGGGTGACAGAGTGCGACCCTGTCTCAAAAATTTTTTTAATTTAATTTAAATTTTAAAAAGAACCAGAACTTGACTTCTACCCAAGCTTCTGTGACCACATTCACCAAAATATCAAATAAAAATCAGGTAAGCTGTATGACAGAGGTCTTGTGTGCTGCTTCTGAGTGTGACAAGTGAGGGATGCAACTTGTACATGGAAATGTTTGAACTTGGGGGCCATTCCCATGATATATAGACACAGATAACAGGGGTTTAAAATCCAGAGTCAGTTTTCTATGGTAGCAGAGAGTAAGGGCATGTGGACAGAGCCAGACATTGGAGCCACTGAAGCTTGGGTTTGAATTCTAGCACTCCTACATACTAGCTGAGTTATCTGTGCTTTAATTCCTTCATCTATCCACATGGACATATTGCTACCTAACTCCAAGGTTTGTTTTTGGGACTAAATAATTTGATATTTATAAAGGGCCTGCCCTGTAATAAGTGCACCATAATTATTAGTTTATGTGTTCACTCATGTATTCGTTCAATAAATATTTATCGAGCACTTGCTATGTGTGGCAATCACTGTACTAGGCATTGAAACTCAGACAAATGAGATAGAGTGTCTGTTCTTAAGGAGGTCACAATGAAGACAAGGAGACCAAGAAATAGACAATTTAGTTACAGTGTGGAAAATACCACAATATAAATCTGTGCATATGCTGTTAGGAAGGAACAAAAGAGAGATTAGGGCAGGCTTCCCAAAGCAGGTGATGAGCCTTAAAGGTTAATTGGGAGCTCTTCCAAGTTAAGAAGAGGAGAAAGGCATTCCATAGATAGAAGTAACATGAGCAAAGCCTCAGGGGTGAGAAAGGTGAGAAACAACATAGTACGTGCAGGAGACTACCAGCATTTGGATATTGCCAAAACATAGTATATGAGGGAGGAGGTTGCCGGAGGTGAGAATGGGGATACGGGCAGGGAAGGTATTGGCAGGCCCTCTTTAATCTTCTCCTCCATCCTTTCTTGGAAAATTCAGAACATGTAATTATAGTAGTTATCGCCAGAGGAGCAGAAGGCTATTCCTCTCCTGACTGTTTTTATGGTACATCCGGTAAATAGAAGGGTCATTTTGAGACCACCTACCCGCATTGCCACTTGGCAATCATGAGTACCAGAATGTGTGGAAGAAGAAAACAATTATTTTGGTTTTTTTTTTCCTCTCTCTCTCGGGCAAGGGCAGAAGATTTAAAAGCTGTGAAGTTAAGCTCTCATCAAAGTAGAACTTAGGTAATTAAAAGTGTGGACTCTGGATTCAGACAGACCTGCATTTTAAATTTGCCTTACTATATGTCTTATTATCTCGAGATAGTTATTTAAACCTCCAGGCCTTAGTTTTTCCAGCTGTAAAATGAGTTTAATGAAATGATGCATGTAAAGCAATTAGCACAGTGGTAGGCACATACAAATGCACTATATCAACGTGCTATTGCAATTGTCTGAACACAGTTGGCCAAGATTGTCATAGAAAAGCAATGAGCCTTGAATTTGGACTGGTTATCCCAGTGATGATTTTCAAGTCTTCCTCTATCACCATTGCTTTGACTTCATACCAGTTGAGCTTGACTTGACTACACTTTAGGAGGGTCCCCAAGCTTCTGTATTGTTACACCTGTGGCCATAACAACTAGGAATATAACAGACTGTTAACCTGAAAATGGAAAAAGCTATGTTTTTCTTCCTTCTTCTCCAGGCAAGTTCATGTTAAGGGAAGAACATCCAGGGAAACACAGAAATTAGCCTATGCATTATCAAGCAGATAATGGTCTTGTTTTTAAGACAATGTACCTGCATAAGATACTAAAATGTACCAATATGACTAATTATCTAATTAGAAGGCAATTTGAAGAATTCATGTTTTGTATAAACTTACTTTGAATTTTAAATTCAACTTCACAAATGGTATTGAGGAAAAATTTTACTTAATTAAGCCTATGTAGCATACTCATTTACAATCTCTTTAAATTCAATTAAATTTAGAAAAGAGTGTTAAAAACTATGGCTAAGAACCCACTGGCAAAATGCTGAACATACAGCTACTATATGAGCCAGCAATTCCAATCCTAAATATGTACCCAAGATAAATGAAAACACATATCCACACAAAAGCTTGTAAAGGAATGTTCATAGCAGCATTATTCAAAATAGAATTTCAACTGAAATGCCCATTAGTTGATGAATGGATAAACAAAATGTGGTATAATCATACAATGGAATATTATTCACCCATAAAAAGGAATGAAATGCTGATCCATGCTGCAACATGGATGAACCTTGAAGACATTATGCCATGTAAAAGAAGCCAGACAAAGAATGCCACATAATACATCATTCCATTTATATTAAATATCCAGAATAGGTAAATCTACAGAGACAGAATGTAGATTAGTAATTGCCAATGGTTGTGAGGAGAGGAGAGAGGGAAGTTAGTTCTTAAAGGGTATAGGGTTTCTTTTTGGGTGATTAAAATATTCTAAAATTAGATAGTGGTGATGATTGCACAACTCAATGAGTACACTAAAAAGAATTGAATTATACTCTGTAAATGGGTGAAATGTACAGTGTGTATTCAGTGTTTATTGTTGAGATATAATATCTCAATGAAGTTGTTAAAAATTTCTCATTGGCACGCTCCCTATCTTGGAATTTAGAATGTTTGTTTCACTTCTGAACAACCCCCTTCTCCACTACTGCTGCTTACAGTGTATGGTGAAATGGTTAAGCCTGTCAATGGAAGTGGAAAGGCTAATCATTGTGATTACATATTTGTAAACAGTAAAATAATTCCTTTGCTTTATGTTTAAAAGACTTTCAGAGTAAGTTTCCCACTGTTTGTCCTTAGCTAGATTGATTAATTTCATTTCCTGAGTGCTAGCTCACCCCAAGTGCCCCCTGTCCAATTTATACCTTTGCCTAGATAAGTTGCCACAGCCTACCATTACTTCCACAATCAAGTATTAATGACGCTTTCCCTCTCTTGAAAAGCTGAGGAAGTTCTAACTGCTGTTAATTAAAACTGTAATCATTTCCTAAATAGGCATAAATAAAAGGGATGTTCTTGTTGTTAAAGTAGAAGCTAGGAGTCTAAATTATCTGTTGCAAGCAAGCACTCGACATTTCTACATGGGTATTAAAAAATAAAAAGATTTTTCTCACATAGCTAGATTTAACAAAAGGATACCAGATCAGGTTAGCACTGAAAGCATATGAATATCGTAAATGAAATGGGAAAGGTTCATTCATGGCTCCTTTACATGTTAAATTAAACAAGGTCATGATCACTGAAAGTTTTCTTCTCCCTTTTTGTGAAAAGAATACATTTTGGTGTTATGTAGGACATGACTTAACAGTTCACAGCTAAGGAGTAAATAATTACAGGAAGGCAATGAAGTGAAAGCTGTCTAATGGCCATATCTTGTGTTCTGCATCAGATGATTAAACAGCAAAATCTTAATTTTAATTAACTTCTACAGGATAGCAATATATTATACATTATCCCATATATTTGCTTGAACTGGAATAGCTGCCTCTGTTATCTCCAGATAAAATCTAATAAAATTATTTTAAGAAAGAGATTTTCATGGGCACTGCATTCAAGGATAAAGATATGTTTGGGGCAGAGGGAAGAGCAGCTCATTTCTTACCCCCATGAGTTAGTAGTTGTCAGTCTACCACCATTAGGCTATAATATTCACGTGCTAAGACAGGCCAGAGCCTAAGATGAGACAACAGTTTGTAACTCACATCTGAGAGAATCTTCGGGATTTGGAAAGAAACTCACACAGCTCCAAAACATCTTAAGAACTACAATACCTTCTAGCAATTCTCAAAATTGGGTCTTTTAAAGGATGTTTTGAACACAGAGATGGGGTGAGGGTTAATCAAAGGAACCTTATAAGGAAGTAGTTCTTTGGAGTGTGGGAGACCAAAGTCCTTATTTCAATGAAACAGCAGAGTCAATAGGAGGATTCTAGAGAGATTCATGCTGCTTCTACTTTTGTGATTGGATCTCTCTCCCACTAGAATGTGGGCTCCTGTCAAGTCCATTTGTTTGGTTCATTGCTGACTTCCTCAGTATATAGTGCATAGTAAGTGCTCTGTAGATTCTTCTGACCTGTAATGCATCAGCACCAAAGAAGTTTGAGAAGGGCTAGGAGTCAGGAAATTTGTGCTGTGAGTGCCCTTGAGTAGTTCCTTTGTGACTCAAGGAAGGTGGAGGAGTGAGCCCAGTGATGGCCCCATATCAGTGGTTTCCAACCCTGTGTGCATACCTAAAATCACCTGAAAAGCTTTTAAAATGCAGATGCCAGGGCCTTACCCGCCCCTCAACACACACACTGGAAATCTGATTTAATTGCTCTGGAGTGGGGCTGGCCATAGGTGTATGTGTGTGTGTGTGTGTGTGTGTGTGTTTTAACTAAACCTCCAGTTGATTCTAGTGTATGGCCAAGGTTAAGAGCCACTGCACGATAGGCATATTTGAGGAATTCAATCCACTGATGATTGTGGGTCCTACATGTTGGTATACCAGAGAGTTATTTTTTTGTTTAAAATATGGTTTCTTTGGGCCCACGCCAAGAGATCCTGAATTGGTAGTTTGGCAATATGCATGAGCCAAGAATCTGCATTTGTAATAAGCACATGATTCTAATGCAATTGGTCTGAAGACCACACTATCAAAAACAATACCATAGAGCCACTGCCCTTGCCATAAGAAAGCATTTGGGTAAATTTTGAGACAAGAAATCAGGTAAATGGCTTGGAAGTCTGTTCTTATAATGAAGTGGAACTGTTTCCTTCCTTAAGCCATTAAACACAGGAGGAGGATTGATTTCTCTAATAAGTAGTTCAAAGGTACCAAATTTTCACTGCCTGGGCATTGCTTATCTCAAAACTAATTTGAAATGCAGGCTGGAAACAGCCACTTGTTCCTTCTGCAGTGCCATTGGTCCCATTAAGCCAATCATCTCACTCATTTTTGATCCAGTGGACATTACAGTAAACACGTTTTTTTCCTTCCCACCCAGTAGCCTTGCATGAAGTGCAAGAGAACGGTATTCTCATTTTGAAAGATGGAGAGATTGAAGCAGAAACCGACCCCAACGCAGTGTCTAGATTAGATTGGGAAAAATCAAAACCCTGATTTGATCTGTGTAAAAAGCACTTTAACATCCCTGACCTAATTTCATCCTTACTAATCCCTTTATGAGGCAAGGCAGGGGCAGGTGTCATTTTCTTCAGAGCTGACCTTATCCATGGGAAAAGCAGGCAAGCAACTATTGATGGGACCTGAAGGGTGCCTGAAAACCCCACTGCCAATAGGCCTCCCCCATCTTTGATGGCTCAGGTTCCATCTTGAGCAGTGATTCCTTAGGGCTAAGTTTTGTCTTCCCTATGGGTCTTTCAACATGCAGATACTCTAGTAATGGGTTGCATGACATTGGATATATTTAGCAGGTTACTTCTTCTTTGCTAGGGGAGAGAAGAAGGAGGGGGAAAGCACTGAGAAACAAGGAAAAGGGGATCATTACTCAAAATGTCAAGAACCCGAAAAGAGGTAATTATGGGAGGAGGATGTTTTCAATCAGATTCACCTATTTTCCATGTTGCCTGGAGCAGGCCCTGGTCCCCAAGAGATAAGTGAAGTTGTTAAGGGACTTTGCCATGTTTCTTAGAGATGTATTCAGGAATATGTTCCTCATTAATCACAAAAATATCAACACTGAAGGGAAATAAATTGTCTTAGAATTAAGATATCATCTACCTAAATGACCTTCTCTTTTAAATGTTGACAATTGAAGAAGAATCTAGTATTTCAGTACTAAATCAGTCTGGGTGATATTGAATTACACTCTTAACATAGGGAAGAAGTCCTCTTATTTTCCTCTTTGGTAGAGGAAAACCTTTCTCTCTAACTTCTCCCCACCCTGGGTTAATTTGAAGATTCAGTCCATCTTTGCTTTACAGACTCTTTTCTCTTTATCTCTGTGGCTTGTATTAATACATTCTTTGAAATGAAGAGAAGGTGGTTAGGATCTAACTTTAAAGGTGGTAGATAGAAGTTGGATAGGACCCAACAGAAAAATCTAGACTTATAATCCAGAGCTCAGGCAGGCTCCAGAATGTGGAAAAATCGAAATATGGTTACCTCACTGTGGAATCTACTTTATAGGGGATGTTGACATGGAGATATGAGTCCACATGGCTAGTTCAAAGCAAACTACTAGGCAATGTGTGCTCTTCACAGAGTTCAATGTAGAGCCCAGGGCCCAAAAGTTACATGCAGGGTAACTGGGTGGTCAGGGTCAGACAAGAACTGTCCTTATAGATGAAAGGATGTCACAGGCAGGAAAATGCCTTGCTGCGACCAACAGAGATAAGATTCAAAGCCAAAGATAAGTGGGTAAACAGTCATGTTAGCTGTCTATAGATATTAGTGGCTGGCACCTTGAACCTGAGACACAAATGACAAAAACACAGTGCTTGTGGAGTTGGGTCATAAGGGAACAGCAGGAAGCCACTGACTCAAGACTGATCCACAGGACCACTGAAGACCTGGGTTCTTGGTCCCAGCTGTGCCATGAGCTTATAGTGCAGATGCCAGGAAATTCACTCATTTATAAAATAAAGAGGCTAAGATACATCAGTTGTTTTAACCATGATATGGAACTGGTGTACTGCAATGATCTCTTATCATTTGTCACTCACAGTAAGGAAGTGTTCATGACCTTGGCCACACTCAGGGAAATGTGTCCTGCACAGAATTATCATCTAATGTGTGATTGTCAAGGGAAAAGTTTGATAATTACTAATCTAAAGCACTGTTTCTCCAATTTTAATGTGTGTACAAATCATCTGGGAATTTTGTTAAAAGGAAGATCCAGATTCCGTAGATCTGATAAGGAGCCTGAGGCTCTGCATTTCCAATGAGTTCCAGGTGATGTCGGTGCTGCTGGTCTATGGACCACGCTACGAGCATCAAGGTTCTTACAGGGTGTCTTATCAGCTCTGAAATTCTATGATCCCATGTGTAACTTCTCACTCTCTTCCAATCAGCCCCTCTCCCCACTCTAGGTCAAGATTGGCCCCAGATATGGGGCCTGTAGGAAAATCAGAGTCTCCTGATGAGGCCAAGTAGGAAAATCAGAAACTAAGAAGACTGTTGCCCCATTCTGAACCCATATGCTAACTTCAGTTGCTTGTGTACTGTATGCCAGTAGTCCTGATCTGGGATCTATTATGCTACCAGCTCTTGGCTTTAGTAGAACTCTTTGCCACATCAAATTATGGGCAGGATTGGCAGCAAGATCCTCTCTAGGATTCCATGGCATCTTAGAGTGGGGTAATCCATTTTCATTGGTGAGGTAGGCCCATGAAGACAGAGAAAGAGACACTACTGGGAGGAAGATGTGGTTAATCCATGTGAGACAATTTCCCAAGACTTCTAGAATTAAAATATCCATCTCACTTTTACCTTTTTGCTTTCATGAATAACTACCTTCCACTTTAGATGGTGAATGCTCCTTGTTCATCACTATATACCTACGGCCTAGCACAGTATCTAGCGCAGAGCAGAGTTCAGTAAACATTTGTTGAATGAATGAATGAATGAATGAATGAATGAATGAATCAGTCAAGCAACTGGAGCTGCAGTTTGCTTAAAGGAGACTTCTTGGGGAATTCAGCCAGAGGAGCAACAGAAGTAGCAGGAGCCAGAGAGCGAGGAAGCATGCACTCATCCAGTCATAATTATCTAAAGTGCCCCTGCCCTTGCATTCCCCTTTGTTGTTCAGTAATACACAACAGGATGCACCTGCCCAGATATGGAAACTCTAGCAGGGTAGATAGGAAAGCTGATACAAAGCCCCTGTTAATTAAAAAGCATTTGCAACTGGAATTGTCTTCTGGCTAACACAAAGTGCCCTGCCTCCTGATGCATTTAATGTCTACATGCTTTGAGAATATACAATGAACAGTCTCAGGATTATCTCCTAATCCTGACCCCAGCAAAGGAAAAAAGATCTATCGAAAGTCACCCACTTTGTTATTTATGATGTCAAAGCCAAAAATTAAATTGATGAACAGCCAGATGGCCAAGGAAATAAAGTATGTTTTTCTATGGGTTTGTGAATGACAATGAAGTTTAAGGGTTTTTTTTTTGTTGTTGTTTGATTTTGTTTTGCTCTAATTTTATCTGATTTTTTTTCTCCTACTTTTGTCTGAATTTCTAGCCAAATAATAGCACCAATGTTTATGCTAGGACTTTTGGAATGATCTACTCAACCAATTTACATTAAGCTTTGCAAAGTTTAAGGGAATTTCCAATTCAAAAAGAGGATATTAATTAAATCAATGGGATGATTGAAGAGAAGGTGAGTGAGGAAAAAGTGGCAGTGGGGAGAGAGTTCTCACCCCTCTTACCTAGAAGTCATCTAGGTAGGCCACCTTACCTATCTGCTATGCTTGTTAACTAGGACCTCTCTGGCCCCACTAAGCAGATTTACCACCAGGAGATTAAATACAATGTGCCACGGCCAATCCAAATCCATTCATTCTGCAGTTGCATTTTCAAATTAGCCTAGGAAAATCTCCCCTGCTGAAATATTGGGACAGATAAGAATTGGTCTGTTTGGCTTGAAGAAGGACTGTTTAGTTGCCTCCTCATCACTCTAAATGACCTGGCCCTCAAATTGGGCAGACTGGGGTGCAAAAAGACCAGAGAAGCCAGCGAGTATTTTGTGAGCTTTCAATTGAGAGATCAGTTGTGCTCCCCTGTGACCAAAGACTGAACTGCACCACAGAAGGGCAGACCCAGAGCAGAGGTTCTTCTTGCTGTAGCCTCACCATAATTACTGTGTGGCTGCTTTGTTTTCCAGGGCAAAGGGGAAAGGCAAGGATATTTAGAAGAGATTTAGGGGAAAACGAAATTCTGCTTCCAGTATTCCTAATTTTCCCTTTGAAAATTAGCAACTCTTTAGTAAAACCCTTGCTAGGGCTCCATTAAGGTTTATGTTGACAAAGAGTAGCTACTAATGGCCTTTAATGATGAGTAGGTGGATTGCTCAGAATATTACTTATTTAATGAAAAGTAATGGCTGTCTCACTGAAGCGAGGAGAGTAATGCTAAGTGGCCTCTTCACATGTATGTTCCTTTTAGCACTAGCCTTTGTCAGGGGATACACACTCGAGAGATTCTAAACAAAAAGGGCTCATCCCCACCTGGTAACAACCACAACAAAACACACCCAGAATTTGCTTTCAGTCCATTTTCCAAATGCTCCATGGTGCTTCCAACTAATTCTCAACCTCTTTGTGGTTCTAAAGATTGGAGACCACTGATCCAATGGAAACGGACCAGAGAGTAAGAAAGTCTAATTTTTTCCCCTCTGAGCCAAATCTCCACTAAGTAGCAAGATGATGTCAACGATGACATTTGTATCTTCATTTGGAAAATGAGAGGCTTGGGCTTGAGGGCCTTAAGGGCCAGTCCTTGCACCTCTGGTTTTCAGTGCTCCCGAGTTTCTGTTCAGTGTGAAAATGGAAACGTGATATTATTGAAGCACACACTTGAAACATAATATTGGTTGGTTGATGAAAAGAAAAAACACTTTTCTGGCTTGCTGGCTTCTGGATTTATTCAGCTTGCCAGAGGGTGGGAATAGCACCCTATATCTCTCCTTGCCCAAAAAGCACTTGAGAGCTGCTACCTTTCCATTATCTTTTAACAGATTACTCTTTAATTCATAATACAATTTTTCCCATTTTGTGGTGTGTGGAGCCTTTGCCAGGATTTTTTAATTAGTTCATGTTATAATCAGTAAGTTACAACAGAACTAGCCTTTCTTAGACTTATGTCTCATCTTTTCAACCCAGTGACCACAATCACAACAACAACATGACGAGGACTTACTGAATGCCTGCCATGTGCCATGTGCTGTGCTAAATACTTTATACGCATTATCTAATTGAACACTAATGCTGTCTCATAGGGATAGGTATGATTAATCCCCATTTAACAGATGAGTAAGCAGCCTCTGAGAAAGCGGAAACATGAACAAGGTAATACAGTGTGTAAGGGGTTAAACCAGGACTTGAATCCAAAGTCTGACTGACTCCAAAGTCCATGCTCTTTCTACATTAATCCATGATCATGATAACCGGGCTCACGAGCCTGGGCCAGATAGCTTGGGAACTACTCTGCCACAATTCAAGGATAAGTGAATCCTTGTGAATTCTAAAATTATAAAATAAATTTTAAAACCTAGTACTGCGACTAAACTGAATATGGATTTATGAAGAAAGTATACTTGTCTTTTTTGGAAAGTCATTGTCAAAATGACTCTGTTTGCCTGGAAAGTTAACCTGGGAGAATCACTTTTCTTTCAGACATAGGTGATCATGCTCTCCTACAAACACCTTCACTTCTCAACTCAACATCACACTCTTTTCTCTTTTATCTTTCAGCAAATGGCGCTGTGGCATTATTGTATTTATTAGCTTTGCTTCATTGTGATACTAAGTTACCATAAATATTATAATACTATTAATTCTACTTTACAGTACAATAAAACAAACCAGTAATCCTACAAGAGAAACTATAGCAAGCAAGCAAACATGTTAGGAATGCATGTAATAAATAAGGGAATGTAGATTCCAACAAAAAAACTAAAATAAGGTGCCCCTTCTCTATTTGGGAAACGCCTATGTATTCTGTAGGAACCAACTCACACAAGTCTGCCTACGTTCTAGAAAAACAGGTAAGCTCATCTATTGAATCCATTCCTCGTTTTTATTCCTATGGAAATGTATACTCACCTCTGTCATCACAGCACTTACCACATTCTTTTCTCCTTATCTACCCCAGGAGATTGTGAATTTCTCCTAGGCAGCGCCCATATTTTATTCATCTCAGTGTGTCCACAGCACCTAGCATGATGCCTAACTCATTAGGAGCTCAATAAACATATACTGAGTAAATGCACCATTTATGCACATTATTCAATAAAAAATTAATTTTAGATTGCTGTGAAGGGAAACCCATCAGCTACTGGTGTCATTACATAATATAGTCCACCCTCCATATCTGTGGGGTCTGCATCCATAGATTCAACCAATTGCAGATACAAAATAAAATATTCAGAAAATGCTGGGTGCGGTGACTCACGCATGTAATCCCAGCACTTTGGGAGGCCAAGGCAGGTGGATCACTTGAGGTCAGGAGTTCGAGACCAGCCTGGCCAACATGGCAAAACCCTGTCTCTACTAAAAATACAAAAATTAGCCGGGCGTGATGGTGGGCACCTGTAATCCCAGCTACTCTGAGGGCTGAGGCATAAGAATAGCTTGAACCTGAGAGGCAGAGGTTGCAGTGAGCCAAGATCGCACCACTGCACTCCAGTCTGAGCGAGACTCCGTCAAAAAAAATTCAAAAAATTAAAAATAACAATACAACAATAAAAATAATACAAATTGAGAAGCAATACAGTATCACAATATTGGCCAGGAGCGGCAGCTCACACCTGTAATCTCGGCATTTTAGAAGGTTGAGATGGGCAAATTGCTTGAGCCCAGGAGTTCAAGACCAGCCTGGGTAACATGGTAAAAGCCCATCTCTACAAAAAATACAAAAATTAGCCAGGCATGGTGGTGCACACCTGTAGTTCCAGCTACTAGGAGGCTGAGGTAGGAGGATAGCCTGAGTCTGGGAGGAAGAGGTTGCAGTGAGCTGTGATCATGCCACTGCACCCCAGCCTGGAAACAGAGCAAGAACTTTTCTAAAAAAAAAAAAAAAAAGCTATTTACATAACATTTATAGTGTATTCGGTGTTATACGTAATCTAGAGAGGATTTAAAGTATACAACAGGGTGTGTGTATTTGTAGGTCACGTGCAAATACTGTGCCATTTCATATAAGGAGCTTGAGCATCTGCAGGTTTTGGTATTGACAGGTGGCCTGGAACCAATGCTCCTGCAGATACTGAGGGGCGACTGTACAATGGTATGACACTTTTAGGGCTCAACTTGTATCAAAAGTCATAAAGTGTTACCAGCCTCATACTCAGTAAACTCACCTCTATAAATTTATCTTCAGGCAATAATTCAAAAAAATGGATATAAGAACAAATACATCTATAATATTACAATGAGAAGAATATTGAAATCACTTAAAAAGTCCAACAATAGTGAAATTATCAAGCACATTATATCAGCTTGGTGGAATAGAAAGCCAACATTGAAATTCTAGACAAGAAATTTTGTAACAATATGGAGTGTTTATGAAACACTGGAAGGTTTCAAAAGAAGAATGCAGCGTTGTCTATTTATTATGATTACAGTGACAAATTTTCTAAGTATATAAATAATGTTTGGAAGAAGATGAAGGGAAAGGAAAATAGTTGTACTAAAGGTTAACAATATTGTCTTTTAAAAAATGTCCTTTAATGGGGTTATAACATTATTTTAATACATTTCTTAAAACTAAGTTAAAAGTGAGCCCTATTTTAAAAACAGATTACATACCTGACATTCATCTATAAGTCAGATGTCTAGTACACCAAAATATTATGCAGGGTGGTTGTGCGATTTCAAAATATTCTACTGGAGTTAACCAAATTATAACTGCAACACTGTGAGTTTTCAGTATAAAAGTAGTATAAAACTACATTGTTGGAATAAAATTGAAAAAATGAGACTTTTATGCTTCCTTTGAATGTCTGTGGTACTTAAGGAAAAGCAGGTTTAATTAGAAGAAGATGACAAAGGTAGGCAGGTACCTTTGTTGAGATTCTGAAGGGATCTCTGGACAGTTTCAAGGACTTCAGCAGATTAGGGCACTGGTTCATTGTCTAATTTCATGTTGTAATTTATGAATTTCTCCTTGATTTGAGTGCATTGCTAGCATTACTCTTAGGCATTTTTGATTAGGGTCATTATTTTTTTCTTCTTGACACACAAATGACATGACTGTGGAGGGAGACAGAAAATAAACTTTACTGAGACAAAATTATAATTGAAGCAGAAATAAAGGACTAAAAGATGGTTGAAGCAGATGCGCCGAAAAATGTAACAAAGAGGCTGAAATAAAATTGTATAAATGAAGACAAGAGTGAAACTCTGTGTAAAAAAAATTGAAGACAAAGCCAAGTTTACTGCTGGTAACACAGCAGAGTAAGTATCTTGACTGACCCTTCTGCCTTAAAAAAAAAATGTTGAATGAAATCTTCAAAAGATCTTAAGAGCTGCAAAGAGCAAACAAAAGAGTTAGTAATTTCCAGGCCAAAATATAAGTCAAAACTGAAACCCAGGGATTTAGCGGAGCATTAATAGTACTTCTGAACTAAAGGTATTTACTATACCTGGGGAATCACAATTTGAATTTTCATGGCCTCCTGAGCTATGGGTGACGGAAGATTAAGTTCAGCACTATTCAAAGTAAAAAGTCTAATATTGATTATATAATTATCATGCCTTGTAGGCCTAAAAGAACAGAATACAAACAAAAATCATCGCAAGTATATCTATCTCTCTATCACAGGAGAAGAGCAAATGTATTTGGTGTTCTAAGATTTAATAGTTCTCCAGGAGAGTAAGAATATGATCAAAATATTTTTGATAAGTTAAGCATGCATGTTGCCATTTCAAAAATACCCATTAAAAGATTAGACACAAAGTCCATAACTTCCAAATTAGGAGAGAGGAAAATGGAATGATAAAATAAATTAAATCCTTCTAAAATAATGAAGAAACATGGAACAGAGTACAAATTGAAACAGAATGGCTGAGACAAATGAAAAGCAAAAAATAATTTGATAGATATAAATCCAAATAGATCATTAGTTATATCAAATGTAAGTGGACTAAAAGCTCCAGGTAATAAGAAAGATGTTCTGACTAGATTAGTAAAAAGACCAACTAAATGTTGTTTATAAGAGATACATCAGAAAGATAAAAATACAGAAAGATTGAAAGTAAAAATACGGAAATAATGCATGCCATGAACATGCTAAAGAAAAATTGAAATTACCTAGGTTAACATCTCTTAAAATAAACGTTGAGACACAAATGATTTCTAAAGATGAAGGCAATCACTTTGAAATAACAATAAGCTTAAATCACAAAAATGATATGATGATTATAAGTTTTTATCTCCCAACACTATAGCCTCAAAAAAGGTATAAGCAAATGGCCTATAAAAAGAAATAAAGGCCGAGCGTGGTGGTTCATGCCTGTAATCCCAGCATTTTGGGAAGCTGACAGGGGAGGCCAGGAGTTCAAGACCAGCCCGGGCAACATAGCCAGACTTTGTCTCTACTAAAATTACTAAAAATTAGCTGGACATGGTGGCACACACTGTAGTCCCAGCTACTTGGGAGGCTGAGGTGGAAAGATTACTTGAGCCTGGGAGATCAACACTGCAGTGAGCTGTGATCATGCCACTGCACTCCAGTCTGGGCAACAGAGCAAGACTCTATCTCAAAAAAAAAAAAAAAAGTTCACAGTAGTCGAAGATTTTTAATATACCCCTCTCAATAAGCCATAGAACAAACAGGAAAGAAAAGAATATAAAAAAGTATACATATAATGATACATATACAAAAATAATACATATAACAAGTCTCATGATACATATACAAAAAAGAATAAATATAACAACTGTCATAAGGACAAATAAAGATCTTGATACCCAGCAACTGCAAAATACACATTTTTTCCAAGCATTCATAGAACAGTTTTATGAAACTAAAGCTTCAACAAATTTTCAATTTTCAGAGCCACAAAGTTTACTTTATGTTACAGCAATGAAATAAAGTTAGAAATGAATAACTGAAAGTGACATGGAAAATAGATTTGGAAATAGAGAAACACAATTTTAAGTGGGAGAAATAATAAATTACAATGAAAACTAGAAAGGAATTTGAGCTGAATGATAATGAAAACCATAATGAGAGACTACTACATACCCATGGCATTGACAAGAATTCAGTTGTCTGGCAATACCAAAGGTTGGTGAGTCTGTAGAGCAAAGAGAATGCCCCTGTGCTGCTGATTGAAACATAAATTGGTACAACAAAGTAAAAATCCGAGTAACCTACATGAACATATGCATACTTTATGACCCAGCAATTTCACTCCTAGCTATATACCCTAGACACTTTTGCACATGTGTCCCAGCTGTGCACAGGACTGCTCATCGCACTGTCATTTGAAATAGCTTAAACCATTAAGTAGCCCAAATATTGATGATGAAAATGCTGATGAAAATAACAATAACGTGAATGAATACATTGTGAAATAATGCTGATAATGCTGACGATGATGTAGATGAATAAGTTGTGAAATATTCTTACAACAATTTTTTTTTCAAAACAGGCTCTTGCTCTGTCATACAGACTGGAGTGCAGTGGCACGACCATAGCTCACTGCAGCCTTGACCTCCTGGGCTCAAGCGATCCTCCCACCTCAGCCTCCCAAGTAGCTGGGACTACAGGCAAGCACCACCATGCCCGGCTAATTTTTGGATTTTTTGCAGAGACAGGGTTTTGCCATGTTGCCCAGGCTAGTCTTGAACTCCTAAGCTCAAGTGATCCTCCTGCCTTGGCTTCTCAAAGTGACGGTATTACAGGCATCAGCCCCCGCACCCAGCCACAACAGAATATTTTATCACACAGCAGTGAAAGTGAATGAACTACAGGTACATGAAGCAATATGGAGCAATCTCACAAATATAATGTTGAGTGAAATATGCCATTCATAAAAGTATACTGGATCGTTCTATTTATATGAAGTTTTTAAAAAGCAGACAAACTAAACTTTAGATATGCACATCCAGGTGGTACTACTATAAAGATGAGCAAGAGAATTATTAACACAAAATCAGCGCTGTGGGTCTCTCTGTGAGGAAGAGTGAGGCGGGGACATGAATGGGGAAGAAATAAAGGGAGCCTCAAAGACTTTGGCATCATTCTACTTTTAACTGGGGTGAAAGTTACATAGGTGTTCTCTTTAATATGATTTTTGAAAAATATGACTATGCTTTATATATTTCTCTATATGTCACATACTTCACAAAATTAAATCTAAACAATTACATAATTTTTTAAAACAGCAAAAAATTGATCATTTTCTCTTTAACTTCCTTTTTTCACTCATCAAGGATTCACTAAAGAAATATCGAGTTCCTACTACATGCCAGGTGTTGTTTTAGAGAAGACACTGGAGACACAGCGTATAAGACAAAGTCCTTGTCTGAAACCTTTTGCGTTACAAGTGACAGGAGACCTAGCACAAAGTGGATCATGTAACTGAAATGTCTAAATTTAGTCTCAGATGAGGTTTGATCTAGCAACTCCATGATGTCACCAAGGTTCTTTCTGTCCTTCTGTCTTGTTCTCTGCAGTGTTACCATTATCTTTAGGTTTCACACGATGCCCCTAAGCAGTGTCAAGTGCCTCTTGATCATAAATGGCTGTAGCAGCTAAATGTCACACATCCTCACACCCATGGAAAAGGGGGTCTGTGTCTCAGCATTTACAACAAATGTCCTGAGGTTTACCTTAATTCAACCAGCTTACCACTGAGTATATTTCCATCTGCGAAGCAATCAGTAGAACTTTAAGAGGGTGAATCAATTATGTGGCTGGGCTTGGAGTAGGTCATGGCGTCAACATATCCACTCCAAGCACATGGCTGAAACTTATACTTGGTACATTTCACCAATTATGAATCTGGGGCTGTTGCTAGGAGAAAGGAGAATGAAAGTTAGAAGGCAACTAAAATCACTTTTACCGTCCCTGTTGTCGTGGAGCATATTTTCTTGGGAGGGGTGGGGGACTTGACAATAATCAAGTAAACAAATAAATAAGCAAGATAGAAATAGTAGTAAGTGCTATGATGATAATAGAATGAAATGCAAGGTCCATGAAAACCAGGATTTTTTATCGTTTTGCTCAATGCAATACTCCACCTGCCTAGTCCAATGCCTACCTAGCACATAGTAGGCCCTCACTAAGTATTTGTTGAGTTGAATTGTACCAAATCATAAACAGGGTGAATTGAGAAGCATTGTCTTCCACACACCTTTGTTTATTCCTCCCACCTGAGACATCCTCCACTTTCTGTTTATCCAGGTCTGGTACATCTTTCCACACTTTGTTGAAATTCCGTCTTCTTCAGGAGGCTTCCATGACATCTCTACTTCTCTTTAACCTCTCTCCTTTCTGATCATTCCCTGCCTCCACCATGGCATTGATCAGCAATGTGCACTTTAGCCTGGGGTTTTATTACATTTTGTAATTTGACAAATACTCATTTGTAATGTAAGTTAAAATTATTTTCTATTTACATGTTTTTTTTCAATCCCAAACAGAACATGATTCACCTATGGAAAGGTAGTGTCTCCTTTCCTAGCTTAGCTGTTTACTACCTGCATGTGATATTGGGTAAATTATCTGGCTGCTCTAAGAGTCAGTTTCCTAGTCTGTAATATGGGGAGAGTACCTCTCTTGTAATGCTTCATCTCTGAGTACTGAGATTTGTATGTCAGTGCCTGGCACATGGTAGGTACATGATAAACAGTAGTGGTGATGATGATAACAATAAGGAATTTCCTCTTTTTTCTCCCCCACTCCCTTCAGCACTTAGCCCAGTTAAGAATACATAATTTCAAATGCCTAATAAAGACCCACTGAATTGCCCAAAGATCCTCACTCCCTAGAAATGCCTTGAACTCCATCCCAATTCTGAGCTTCAGTATCTTGAACCTCTTGAATGCATGAGCCAGAGCCCTTCAGCAAGAAAGCTGCAGGTTTGACCCCTCTTGCTTGTTTGCCACTGATGTAGAGACCCAGTTGCTGGCCCATTTTGACTTCAGTGTCGACAGGAAATTCCCTGAAGCAAAACCTGTTTAGTAACCATACTGCCGAAATGAAGAAGCTGGGATGGGAGAAAGCAGCAGGAGTAACAGCAGCAAGCACCCTACCCATCAGGGTTTAACTGATCGGTGTCTGTAACTGATAGACACAGCCATTAGTTACATCCACGGTGCTAATACTGAACTAATGAGCACCTGTCATCAGTGTGGGCAGAGTGGCTGAAGAGACACTCGGTAGCTTCCTAATTGACTCAAATGATGGTCTGCGGGTTCCTGGGTGCTAGCTGAGCTGCCACCGGGGTTGGAGGTGGTGCTATTATGCTAATTCTTGTGCATCCCATGGGTCATAAAAGAACAGATACTTCATCTGCCAGAGGAGGAATGACAGCAATTAAGGCCATCACGATGCCATGAAGTATTAACACAACAAATGAGGACTCTCTTTCGGTAGAATCACCCTGGACTTTTGGGGGCGGAAAAAGCCCTGCCTAAATCATTTCTCTTTACTTTTTGTGCTTATAGCCCATGATTGCTCCATTAGATCATTCATGAGCATGGTGTCCCAAATGGAAAGAGTGAGATGCACGGGCTTTCCTGTAATCCCAGCTCCTCTGCCAGCTGGCTTTTCAGGATTAGAGCACACCTGCTGTCTTCTCAGCTGCAAACTTCCCTGCACGATAATTTGGACACAACCCCTTACCCAAGTCCACCCCATCCAGCACCACTTCCCATCCTGGAGTGAGAGTCAGGGCTGGTGAAGGCCAAAGTCACTGCCTAGCAAGCAGGTTGAGTAAATAAAGCCTGAGGTCCTCACATAGACATATCACTGGCAGGAAAAGCTGCCGTGAGTCTGTTCCTGGTGTGATTATTCTAGTAATTCAGAGGAAAAGTTGTGAATTAAATTAACTCGTTTTTGTTTTTGTTTTTGTTTTTTGACAGAGTCTTGCTCTGTCGCCAGGCTGGAGTGCAGTGGCACGATCTCGGCTCACTGCAACCTCTGCCTCCCGGGTTTAAGCGATTCTCCTGCCTCAGCTTCCCGAGTAGCTGGGACTATAGGTGCACGCCACCATGCCTAGCTAATTTTTTGTATTTTTAGTAGAAGTGGGGTTTCACCATGTTGGCCAGGATGGTCCCGATCTCCTGACCTCGTGATGTGCCCAGATCGGCCTCCCAAAGTGCTGGGATTACAGACGTGAGTCACTGTGCCCAGCTGACTTGACTTTAAATGTTGCTATTAATTAGTTATGTGACCTTCAACAAATACCTAACTTCCCTGGGGTGAAAAAATAGGACCTACTTCATAGAGTAGTTATGAGAATGAAATAAAATAATCTATACCTGGTGTTTGGCACAAATTGTGTGTTCAATAAATGTTAGCTCTTATTATAATTATTGGCAGGGACTGTGGTGATATTTGAGAGTAATGACTTTGACCAAAGAGCTGGAAAGACTGATGCTATCTAACATCAGGGTCAGCATGTAGCTGTTCAATCAGGCTGGCCTTCAGGTAAAATTGGCTAATTTCATAGACTATAGTGAGCTAGGACATCTGCAATTTGAAAATGAAAAATATTTCCTATGAAGCCTATGAAGCCTTAGTTGTCGGTATCCAAAAGGTACATTTGGTTCCTGCCAGCCCCTGGGGTTCAGCTGGACCAAATGGCTTCAAAAAGGTATAGATGGCAGTTCAGGGTCATTATGGACTAGCTTCCTGGTCTGATGGCTAAATAGTAACCTGCAATGCGACATGTACAGTAGGCCTCTGACCCCAGCCCCAATTTACTCCCTTGTTAATCAGTGCGTTAGTTTGGGACCTGCAAGAAGTAGATACAGAGACCGGATTAAGTGTTCAATGATTTCACTGGGGGAAACGTGTGAGAGAAAATGGGACTAGAGCCAGAGAGGCCCAGAGTGGCCTCAGACTGCAATGTAAGTCTGACCTTGAAAAATCAAACAGAGAGAGATCAAACAGCAGAGTACGGCAGCTGGAGCCCTTGGTCAAGGATGTTCTCTGTAGTTGGAACAGCAATGCACATTACCATGGTGGCCACAATGAATGACATGGAAGAAATATCTAAAAGACAAAATGATCAAGTTTGCAGATGACACTGGGATGCAATGCTTAGAATCTGGTCTTGCAAGGTTTTGAATGTGTTCTTTTTCAAAGCTGAACATATACAAGAGCTCCTTATATGATCCCATTAGCTTCTTGGGATGCCTCCCCCTATTCTTTCATTGCAGTTGTATAATCAGAATTATATTTTGACAGGTATGAGAAATTATGCTGCGGAGAAATACTTGACAGCAGGTATTAAAAGGTATTCAAGTTATATTTTGAATTTAAAGAAAACAGGTTAAAAACTGTCTTTACAGCATGATTTTCATTTTCTTAAAAATTACACATGCATAGGAAAAAATAAAGAAACAGATAAACATAAAAATATCAAAAGTGGCTATATTTAATGTCTTTTAAGCTTCTTTTTGTGTCTCTGCGGTTTCTATTTTTCCAGTGTATTACTTCTGAGATATTCCCAATGCTGTGGAGTGATCTTCCCTTTCAAAATCCCCTGTACTTGTATAAGTGGACCTTCCAAGGGCTGGGTATGCCTCTCACTGGCTCAGCCTTTCTGAGAAAGGATGAAATGAAAAAGTGGTTTATCTCAAGTCTTGTCACCATTTCAACTACCTTTTTAGCTTTTTGCCTCTTGACTTGCTTCTGACCACTGAGAATTGCTAACTCCCTGCCTAGGTCACCATGTCCCCCTGCTGTCCAGACACTCAGCTTTACTTAACTTGAAGCTGCTATGGGATTAGTCCCCTTTGGACCTATTAGTAGTAATAATATCATTCATACATTTCCCTCACTCCTCTGTTTCCTAGAAACAATAATAATGTCTAACATTTAATTGAGTGCTCACCACATGCCAGACACTGTGCTAAATACTTTAAATGTATTGACTCATTAAATTCTCTCTATAACTCTGTAATGTTGGTACTATTATTATCCATATTTTACAGATAAGGAAACTGAGACAATGGGGAGTGAATTAAGTGGGCCAAACTCACTCAGCCAGTGAGTGGCAGGGCCAGGATGCTTGCCTACCTTTGCCTGGGGGATTTTTTTTTTACTTGCACTCACAAATAAGATTTATCACAGCTAAAGGATACAATGCAAAACCTGCAAAGGGAAAAGGCATGAGAAGGGAGGTCTTAGAGGAAGCCATGTACAAGCTTCCAAGAGTCCTCTCCCTGTGGAGACACATAGGACGTGCTTCATTTTCAGCATTAAATTTAGAAAACATACATGAAATGTTGTTTACCTGCCTGGAGGATTGATTGCCTGTTGTTTCTTGATCCTGCCTCAGAATGGTCCTATCAACTGCCACTGGCCCACATCCAAGTGTGAAAGATCTATATGCAACATTTCTTCAGGCAAGGTACCCCAAGAAGCATCCAGCTGTGACTTTGAGAAAGTTATCTACATCCTCTGAGTCTCAGTTTTCCCATCTGTAGACAGGATTAATATTCCTTTGCAGAGTTCTGAAGATGATTGAATGGAAAAAGGTATGAGAGACAACTGATGCCAATTCCCAACACAGGACAGTACTCATTGAGGAGAAAGCTGAAGAAGACATGGAAATAGTCACCTTTAGTTAATGGAAGAGGGGACTCACCTATGAGCACTTTGAAACATTCATTTTCAGAATTCAAAAAAGCACGAGACTGTTCAGAATGGATTTTCAGAGTAGCAGCTTTCAAGGTTTGGGCATTTGAAATTTTAAACAGTGGATTCTGGATATTAGCCCTTGTCATTCTCAGCAAACTAACACAGGAACAGAAAACCAAACACTGCAGGTTCTCACTCATAAGTGGGAGTTGAACAGTGAGAACACATGGACACAGGGAGAGGAATGTCACACACCAGGGCCTGTTGGGGGGCGGGGGACTAGGGGAGGGATAGCATGAGGGGAAATACCTAATGTAGGTGACGGGTTGATGGGTGCAGCAAACCAACATGGCATGTGTATACCTACGTAACAAACCAGCACATTCTGCACATGTATCCCAAAACTTAAAGTATAATTTAAAAAAAAAGAAATTTTAAACAGTGAAGGAACCACATGACTAACGCCTTGTTGGGAAATGTACTGTCATTCAGGTCAATGCAGAGTGCGATGGAAGCATGAAGAAGCTTCCATAAATGAGGAGACCAGAGAAAGGGCCTAAGAAAATTCCCTGGAGGATGTTCACATTGAATTGTGAAGGGTGAGGAGAGCTGATCAAGAAAGGGGGTTAAGGCATTCCAGATACAGGAAACCACATGCACAAAGGCCCAGAGACAAAAATGGCATCGTCATTGTCATTGTCATCATCATCATTCTTCCTATCTTTTGAGTACCTTCTATGTGCTAGACACTATAGTAGGTGCTTTCTATGTTATTTGAAATCCCCACATAACGTTATAAAGTAAGCATCCTTCTACACATCTTACAGATAAGGATACTGCGATCTTAAGAGGTTCAGGTGATCCATGTAAGTAGTAAAGCTGGAACTGGAGAGCCCAGGCATGCAGACTCCAAATCCCAAACTCATTCTGCTGTATGGAGACCCTCCTTTGGAACATGAAAAGCCATGATGAATTTGCGGAACTGTAGAATACCCAGTGCAGCTGAGATGTATCCAAGGAGTTAAGGGAAACTAGGCTAGAAGAATAAGCAGGGTTTAAGTCCCACAAGGCTTTGAAGGACATGCTCAGGCATTTCGACTGTATCCTGAGGGACTGGGAATTTTGGAAGCAAAACAGCAAAATGGTGGTGGAGTTACATGATCAGTTTTGTGTCTTTGGTAGCAGTATGCGAATTGAATTAGAAGATCAAGATTGAATGTAAGAAGACCAGCAGCTCAGTGCTTAAGCCCAAGAACAAGAGGCATCAATTATTCAAGTATCTGCTACTTTGTTAAGTGGATTTATCAGAAAAGTGTCAGAGGTCTCAGTCACTTGTTTCCAGAATCTTCACAAAGGCTTTGCTGCTTCCATTATCCTTCTTCCTACCTCCCTGCTTCTATTCCTCAGTATGATTACAGACTCCTAAAACAGGGTGCTGTCTAGGAGGGAAATCACGCAACAGTGGAAAGCTATTACTCACTCTTTTTGGAAGCCTGTTCCCTCAATACTGTGGCAATAAAGAAAATTCTGAGTTTAACGATGGTGGGGATAGAATAGAGGAGTGGTGGAAGCAAGCAGTAATTCTGCCAGTAACACCAATGAAGCCATGTGGTCTTTTCAACCACGGTACAAGGAACACCTCTCAGCTCTGGATATATTACTCAGATTCTTGCATGAATCAAATAGTGAAAATTCAGGCACACTTTCAGACACCTATGGAAATCTTGGCCATGCTTAACCAGAACTTTATAGAAGTTCACATTCTTTGATCCAATACTTTCATTTCCATGAAATCATTCGAAATACAGCAAAGTTTCATGCATAAAAAGTTTAAATACAGTGATATTTATAACAATGAAAACAAAAACAGGCTAAATGCTAAATCACTTGGAAAAGGCTAAACTATATACTCGATCAATTGATTACTATGTAGGCTTTAAAAAATTACATAGCAGGGAAAATGTTTATGCTAAGATATAATTTTAAAAGATAAAATTGTGAAACTTCACAAAGTTACATGTATTCTTATGATCATGTAAAACAAACAAATCATAAGAAAAATTATGCATAAAAGAAAGACTGGAAGGAAATATAACAAAATGGTGAGACTTGGTATAAATTTTCTACCAACTTTTAAAATACGAATCTATATTTCTTTTATAATAGAAATAATACTGTGGGCTGGGTGCAGTGGCTCACACCTGTAATCCTGGCACTTTGGGAGGCTGAGGCAGGTGGATCACCTGAGGTCAGGAGTTCAAGACAAGCCTGACCAACATGGTGAAAACCGGTCTCTACTAAAAATACAAAATTAGCCAGGCATGGTGGCGGGTGCCTGTAATCCCAGTTACTCGGGAGGCTGAGGCAGGAGAATCTCATGAACCCGGGAGGTGGAGGTTTCTGTGAACCAAGATGGCACCACTGTACTCCAGCCTGGACAACAAGAGTGAAACTCCGAAAAAAAAAAGAAAAAGAAAAGAAAAGAAAAAAAAGAAAGAAAGAAGGAAAGAAAGAAAGAAAGAAAGAAAGAGAAGAAAGAAAGAAAGAAAGAGAAAGAAAGAGAAAGAAGGAAAGAAAGAAAGAAAGAAAGAAAGAAAGAAAGAAAGAAAGAAAGAAAAGAGAAAGAAAGGGAAAGGAAAGGAAAGAAAGGGAAAGGGAAAGGAAAGGAAAGGAAAACAGTTTATTTAAAATTCTGTTTAAAAGTATCTAGAATGCCATGAATTATAAGATGGATTCTGACTTCATGGACAATAAAATGTCCAAAAAACTTATGTGAGACCCTAGGACTGCCCAACTCTAGCCCTACAAAACAGTGGCCAACTCTGCCACTCTTTATCCATCTGATTATGGGCAAGTCACTTAAACTCTCTGAACTTCCATTTATGCCAGGTATAAAATAGAAGTTAATTCCACAAAACAGCTTAGCACCAAGCCTGAAACTTGCACTCAATAAAAGTTAGTTATTATTGCTTGTAATAGTATTGCAATGTCTTCCCTCTAATTCTGATAGAAAGCAAAAATGATTAGAGAAAATTTCCAGCAAGAAGTTTTCCTTTTGTATGTGAAAATGTGAGGATGGGTTTGGTAGGTCTGCATCCACAAAATGACTTCTCTAATGTTTACATTTTACTTACATTAATTAACACAGAGTCATGACACAGGCAAGGGAGGCATCTAAACAGCAAAGGTCAGAGAACAGGTTTCTTTTATATATTTATTTCAAAAGACTCATTGCACTATGTAGAGAAAGAGCATGGGGTTTATGAAACTGCAGGTTACTCATTTAAACTCTGGGTGCCACACCTCACTGTAGGATTAGAAGGGGGCTCTCTCAGGCATTAGCCTACTCCCCCAGCACTACTTCCAGGAGCAAACAATTGCAGTCCTTGGCATAAGTGGATTGTGACAGATCTACCTGGTGAACATTCAGAAAGTGGGTTTATTTATTAATACCTTTCTCTTGCCCACAATAGATTTGAGACAGCTACATTTAAAAAGAAAATGGGGAGAGCCAAAGCAAGGAATAAGTTCCTACTAGGAACAGATGTATGGGAAAGTATTCTTTATTGCATGGAAGGAAGGGGAAATAATGTGGGTCTTTGTGTTGGACTGTGTGGGAAGGTAGTTCAAACCATGACACTAAAGTAAAAGGAAATTTTAATGTACATACACACACACAGACACACACACACACACACACTAGCCATCACAGCAGGCAGCCATGAGCTGCCTAACTCTCCATATGCACAGAATTCATATTGAGCAATGCCAATTGATACTGAACATTCCAAACTGTCTTGCAGGACTTTCACCCTAAAGTGTGCAAAGAATGCATCTTGATCCTTTGAAGAATTACAGAGATGTCTCATCTTTGGAAATTCTTGGAAACCGGAGTTCCTGGAGATTAGAAAAAGCCAACTAAAAAAAATCTACCTTTTCAGAAAGGATAGAGAGTCAACATAGAGATGAAAGATTGAATAACCCAATTTTACTCACAGGATAATATGTTTTTAAAATTCCTCAATGAAAATAAAAAGAACGATAAGAATAGCACAGAGTACTGAGTAACAATCAGCACTACATTATGAAGAAAATAGTCATGCTGACCCAATCTAATTTTTGTTGGGTAACAGATGACAAGCCTAATGGATTTGGGGCAGCAAACAACGTAATATGTATTAACCTTGGAAAGGCTTTTGATTCTGCTCCTAGCCGTGACCTACTCATTAACTAGCTTGAAAAATATTGTTCACACCACATACAAGTGGCACTAGTGGATGATAGTGACCAGCTGGGTTTTGATAGCTCAGTAAGAACCAGAGATAGGGAATCACAGTGCATATTGTTTCTCAGGGAACTGACCTAAGTCTGATACAATTTAATATTTTCATCAAAACTTCAGTGGGTGGAAGAGAAAACATGCCTGTTAATTACAGGAAAATAAAGGAATGAAGATTTTTAAACCCAGAGATAAGAAAATACATGATAAATGGTAACTATTTTATCCTCTACCTCTAACAGCAAAACGAAAACAGATTTGGAAGAATATAGGAATGAAGGGAAGAAGGGAGATAAGACACTAATCTTTGACACGTAGCACCTTCTAGAATAAGACAAAAAGGAGGTCAAAGAGCGTGAAGATGAGAGAGTAAGTAAATGATGGGGATCTCAGAGAAGGAGTTCTTTATAAGTGTACAGATAAGGGGAGCCAGTGGAGAAAGCTGAAAAGTCACTTACAAATATAACTGCAGGTCAGGATCTGACGGTGTTATGTGACTAGCAATCCATAGGCCTGTTGGAAAAAAGTACACCAGGCCACAAATTGCCAAATATGCCTTAGGAATATGTTTAAGGCAACAACTCAGCAAAAGGTAAAATACTCAGCTAAAATGGATGGCATTCGTCATGGCATTTTTTTTCTGTGAGGGTAAATAGTCAAGGGGTTGAATGTGGACAGAATCTTGATGGAATGTTACCATGGTGCAAGAACATACAGGTCACTCAGAAATCACAAGCATTCAAGAAAATGCAGAATAGGAAGGCAAATGCTTTCAACAAGCCGAAAACCCGGATAGAAGTTTCCAGGTGGTCATAAGGGAAGTGTGGGGGCAATTCTACAGGTCCAGGAATGGATTTGTCATTATTAGTCCAGGGGAAGAAAGAAGAGGAGGGAGAATAAGAGATAGAGTTGGCTGAAGCAAGAATTCCCCAGAGCCCCAGAAAGCAAATTGGAATGCTTTATACCAAAGGCCAATCTAGCCAGATCACAAAACTCTGATGACAAGTACTAAAAAGTACATGATTGTGTGTTAAGTGACTTAGAAAGCCCTAAAGTGAGACAGGACACAAAAAGTCAAGAGAAAAACATTCTTCAATTAGTTAAGGCAACAAAGGAGGCTGAAGGTAAGAAAAACATGATTTTCCAGTCATCTCTCTTGTTCCTCCCCCCAGACCCTCACATCATCCCTCGGAGAGCTACTGCCAGATGACAACCAGGAAACACTCATAATACAAGTGAATTGTGTGGGCCTGAAAAGAACAAAATTAAGGGGTATTAGGAGCATGTAGTTGTTAATCTCCATCTCATGCAGGTCTTAGCTTTTTGATTTGTTATTGAGGATTATTTGGGTACCTGTGAAGCTTTGAGAAGAGAAATAATAACTCTTATAATCCTGGTAATGTCTTTTTAAAGAAATTTATTTTTAAATTTCATAATATGTTAATACCTGCTCATTATTAAAAACATAGAGAGAAGTATATAAGGCAAAATATGATAATGTTCCTTCACATTGGCAATTCAAATTCTCTCCGCAGAGCTAGAACTAATTAGTATTATCAGTTTGGAGTGTGTTCTACCAGGTCTGTTTCTGTATATTTACGCACACACTTCTTTAAGTACGTAGACACACACACACAGTTCTTTAAGTACATAGACCAGAGATTGGCCCATGTCAGCACATGCAGTTCTGCCTCACTCCTTTTAACAACTGCATATCCTATGGTATTGATAGTTTATTTATTACTGGCCTAATTGATAGACAATTAGATTGATTCTCATTTTCTCCATTTTGTTCTAGTATAATTAATGTTGTGATGAAAGGCTTTGTATACACAAATTTGGGCACATACTGAATATTTCTATAGGAGAGGAGACATTCCTCAGAGTCTAATTTCTTGGCATATGCATTCGAATTTTTGATAGAAACTGCCAAACTGCCATCCAGAATTGCTATTCCAATTTACTCTCAAGGATATATGACAGTATCTGTCGATACTATCAAAACCTCTGGATATTATTTTTTATTTTTATTTTTGCCTGTCTGAGAGGCAAAAATAATGCTTTTTGTTTGGACCTGCATTTCCCCATTATCAATACCTACACTATCCAGTGAGATTAAGCACCTTTTCAAATGTTAGTTTATATTTTTTCTGTGAATTGCTTGTTTAATGACTTATACTTATTTGGTATGTTTATCTCTTTCTTATGGGTTTATATAAGTTCTTTGTACATTATGGATGTGAATCCTTTGTCATATGTCGTATAGTTATTTTCTTGCAGACTATCATTTGTCTTCCATGTATTGTAACATCGTAAAACAATCTTTATCCCTAGTGCTATGGCTCATGCCTGTAATCCCAGCACTTTGGGAGGCCAAGGCGGGAGAATCAATTGAGGCCAGGAGTTTGAGACCAGCCTAGGCAACATAGGGAGACCTCATTTCTATAAAAAATAACAAAAAATTAGCCTGGAGTGGTAGGGCACACTTGTAGCCCTTAGCTACTCGGGAGGAAGGCTGAAGTGGGAGGATTGTTTGAGCCTAGGAGATTGAGGCTGCAGTGAATTGAGACTCATAAGCCATCTTGTACTGATATTTCTTTCACCACCCTGTACAGGATTTATGTGGCATAATGTAAAGAACCTCATAATCCAGCCTTGAGAGAAAAGTCTGTAGTAAGAAGGATAAAAAAAAATCTGTGTCCCATCCCACCCATAGCCCACCACGCATGTCCAATGGGAACAGAATCTGTCATATAAAAAGTGCCAATATGCACCACAGTTTAGTAGCTTGCTGCATAACTGACAAAACCGAGCTCATAATTAGCTGACAGATTTACAGATTGCATACCCGGTCCCCTTCACCAGGATTTCAGTGCCAAGGATGGGTGTAAATAGATTTTCTTTATTCTCAAACACTGTGGATGATATTTGGTAAAACACTTACATTTCCTGGCTCTCTTCCATGTTTGCTATCTTCCCCATGTTTAGGTCCCATATGGAAAAACAAGAACAAGAACACTGAATATTTAGAGGGCCTTGATTTCCCTCCTGGTGCCATACACCATCTGCACAGTCACTGCACCATCCTGTGGCCATGCCTGGAAACTGCACACTCGCTGCTCGTAGGCAGCCTGCCAAGGTCCCCTCTGCTGAAACCTTGCAACCGGTCTATCACCATCTTGTCTCCTCTTTGCCTCTTTCCAACCACCAAATTAGAAAGGAAAGGCAATGCTAGCGAAGCTTATCCATGGTATTTTCTTATCTTTCTCTCTTTTAGAGGGTGTGTGTGTGTGTGTGTGTGTGCGTGTGTGTGTGTATGTGCCTACACACCCTGTCAGGACTGCCTCAATGCCTCAACCGGCTTTAAAGGCTGAATCAGAAATCCTGAAATTCAGATAATGGGACTTCCAGAATAAATACTGCACAAAGGTCCTATTCCCTTCAATCATCGATATCATCTTCCCCAAATAGCAGCTCTGTATTTGATTTTTAAAAGAATTCCCCTGTAATACTACATAGCTTCTGAAGTGATTTTGACAGAAACAGACATATTTTGCTTCAGCAGTAAAAATGACCCAAAGTAATGCCCTCATTAAAAGCAATAGCAACAAATAAACAAACAAAAATCAGCTTAAACACTACAGATGGAAATCACCTTACGAAGTCAGTAAAATGGTATGTCTCTGAGGTGTATGATGATGTGACATATTTAACAGAGTTTCCGTCAAAGTAGACTGAGGCTGGATCAGTGAAACAAGAAATATATGACACACTCAGGCAGTGTTGACGAAAACAGGTCACTGCCTTCTTTTGTAAGGGAGTATGGAGCATTTGACAACTCACAAGCTCTAAAGAGTAAGGGCTGAGTCAAGGCCATTGCCTTGGCTTTGTAATGTGTCAACTTGGGTAGGCTTGACCACATTTCCCAGCATTCTCTCTCCTGTATGTTTTCTTTCGGTTGTTGTTTGTTTGTTTTTGAGACGGAGTCTCACTCTATCACCCAGGCTGGAGAGCAGTGGTGCAATCTCAGCTCACTGTAACCTTCACCTCCCGGGTTCAAGCAATTCTCCTGTCTCAGCCTCCTGAGTAGCTGGGATTACAGGCGCGTGTCACCACACTTGACTAATTTTTGTATTTTTAGTAGAGGTGAGGTTTCACCATGTTGGCCAGGCTGGTCTCGAACTCCTGACCTCAAGTGATCCGCCTGCCTCAGCCTCCAAAAGTGCTGGGATTACAGGCCTGAGCCATGGTGCCTGGCCCTTCTCCTGTACGTTTTGATTAGAGTGTCCACACTCTAATCATCTGTCCACAAGACAGATTATTGGGGGCCATTCAGAAGGTAGAGGGGAAGCAGCAACAATTTTGCAGCTCACACACCTTGTTGCTTATGTTCTGGCTCCCTCTGTTGGTGTCAGGGCATGGCTGGGCCTGCAACTGCTCCATCTCTCCCTGTATCCTCTTTCTCCTTCTCCAACTTTTGGGCCAGGTGTGTGTGTGTGCTGGTCTCTGTAACAGTGTCCTAGTCTCTGCTGGCCGCCTGTGACATCAAGGTCAAGGCAGCAAGTATTAACACGCGTTTCAGTTAATCCTCGCAGCTTCCATTGGGTTCCTGCTTTCCCCAACTTTACATCCATCTTCACTTCCCAACTGCCCATCCTGTAGATGTCAAGCTTCAACATCAGACACCAAAAACTACCTTACAAAGATGGTTTAACCAGCTCCTACAATTACGTGATTTCAAATTCCTGAAACAAATCTCTTTATAGTTAAGCGTGCATACTTGTAGTTCTGTTTCTCTCATTGAACCCTGATGGATACAGCCACATTATGGAAGGGCCTCACACAAAGAAAACCCACCACACCATGAGCTGCCCTTGAAGTTAGTGAAGCTTTTCCAAGAATATAACTTCAATGAAGCAAGGCCTCATAAATTTCCTCTCGGAAAAAATTTAATCCAAACATATGTCTTGAGTGTCTGCTATGGGCAAGTCAATAATGGGAGATGGATAGTGTCTAAAAAGCACATTCTTACCCTAAAGAATATATCTACAGTTCAGTAAGGGAGATAAGTTAGGCACACAAAAATAAAATGTAAGGCAAAATGTGATAAGCTTTGTAAGAGAGGTTCAAAGTGTTGTCAGATAATCTTCCTGACCAAGGATCTAATATCTAACTGTGTATAGAAAGAACCACAAACACTCTACTTTATCACCTCCAAGGACATGACTACTTGCTTTCAAGTTTTTCAAAGTGTACATAAATCAGGTAGGACAACATCCTAATTAGTCACATGAAAGGCTGTTTATTGCTTGAAGAGAGCTCCTCGGGAGGAGTTGCTAAGTTGGGAGGCTGCCCAAGACCAGGGGTCAGTATGCTGGATCATGTGCACTGGGGCCTGTTAGAAAGTGAGCTGCGTGGATGACTGAGATAGAGCGCCCCCTGCTGAAAATGACTCCATAACCTCAAGAACCACCAGCCGGAGGATTGATATGGGCCTGCTGATAGCCCAGGGCCACTGCAGAGGAAACTCAAGATAGAAAACATGGAGATCAGGGATGACTAATTCTATTATGAGTGATCCTTCATGACAAAAGCCTTTGCAACAGAATTCATTTCAATCTCCATCACTCATTGATTAATTCATTCAATAAACATGGTATAGTAGTCCCACTTTATTTGTGGTTTCCTTTTCCATGGTTTCAGTTACTGTGACCAACTGCAGTCTGAAACTATTAAGTGGAAAATTCTAGAAATAAACAACTCATAAGTTTTAGATTGCACACTGCTTTGAGGAGTGTGATGAAATCTCATGCCTTCCTGCCCCATCCTGCCTAAGATATGATGCATCCTTTTGTGCAGTGGATCCATGCTGTAGACACTACCTGCCCATTAGTCACTTTAGTAGCCATCTCAGTTATCAGATGGAAAAAACATAGTATATACAGGGTTTGGTACTATCCATGGTTTCATGCATCCACAGGGAGTCTGAGAACATGTACCTCATGGATAAGGGGCCACTACTGTATTGGGTATCTAAAACATTCTTCCTCTCCTGTGACAGCATGCCTTTTTGCATGGCCAGCTTCTTCTCATCCTTCATGTCTCCATTTAAATGTTACCTCCTGGAGTAGCCTTCCTCCATTAACCTAAATGTACTCTCTCTGTTACCCTTTATCACTTTCCTCTATATATTTCATTCGTGGCACTTAGCATGGTTTGGCATTCTAATTGGCTTGGAAGATGTTTTGATTAACATCAGTCTCCAATGCTTAGACTATTAGCTCCACAGGAGCAGATACTGCATCTCTTTTATTCATGTCTGAATACCCGGCATGAGCAGACCGTGGCATGTAGTAGGTTAGGGACTCAGTAAATATTTGTGAAATAAGTGAATAAATGAATGAATGACTACCAAGGCACAGCACAAGGTGTGGCTCTATGAAGGTGACTGGCATAGTCCACCTCTCTGCCTTCCCCAAGCCAACAATCTAGTAAAGGAGACAAATGAGTGGCCATGAGAATGAGTGACGGAAATGGCCACAGGCAGTCTTACTTATTACCTCCCAAAACTACACACACACCTACCAAGTTTTGGAAAATGTACTTAAGTCAAGGCAGATAGGATCCTAATTCATCACACAAAATACTATTCCTTACCTTACTGGAATGAGTGCTGGGATGGCAGCTGACACAGTGAGAGCGGGGCACAGAGGAGAGAAAACTAAATTCGGTTTCAGGAAGGTCAGGGAAGACTTGCTAGAAGTGGTAACATCTGAGCAGGGTCTGAGGCGAAGTAGGGATTAACTAGGCTAAGATGGTGTATCTGCATGCATGCATATTTGTGTATGTGTGCATGTGTGTGAGGGGGGTGTGTGTGTATTATTGAGTGGAGGAGCATTCACTGATAATGGAGAATAATAGAGTGAAACAGATAAGGAATAGCATGGAAGGCAGAGATTACCACATGCAAAATGTCTAGAGGTGAAATGAGAGATGATGGCAAGAGAGGAGAACTCAAAGAGCTCCTCATGGCTCATACCTGGAGTGTGAGAGGCAAGTGTTAAGCGATGGGACAGGCAAGTCAACAGAGGCCGGATCATGAAAGGCCTTGAATGCCAGACTAAATAATTAGGAATGATGCTTGAAGATATTCACTGGGTGTGCTTTATTTACAAAGATGCCATTTCATTGATTATGCATCGCCAGGGATTAAAATGAAATACACAAAAAAATTAACATTTAGTACTAATACTACAGATTTCCCTAGTTTTTCAGGACAAATACTGAAGCATGTAGATACACAGTGGAATAAAATGATAGAAACTGTGATTGCCATGGAAAATGCAGAGCATGTGGTTGATGTATATATTGCCAATGCTGTATGCAACACACAAGGAATCCGAAGGACAGAGACGAGGACACCGTATGCATCCATTAACTAGTAGGCATTGTTGGGAATCAACATTGACATTGTTCTTATCCACCAGAAAAAAAGACATCTGCCAACTTCAGGCAGATGTTACTCTGTCCAAAAAAGTGCCCACTATGTGTAAAATGCAGCACAAGACTCTATGAGAAGAGAATGAGAGAAAATGTCCAGCAAAAAAGAAATCTAGTCTCTGCAGGGATTTCAGGTAGAAGCATTTCCTTTTAGCTATGGTGAATTCAATTACTGGGTAACCTATCAGAACACAATGAATGGGGAAAATAATGTAAAACCCTACTGAGAAAAACAGTGTAGGTGTTCCATAAAAATGTACTGAATGAATAAAACATGTTAGTCAAAAACAATAATCAATTGCTTTAGTGCTGGAAATGTTTGCCACTATTGATCCAATTAAATTGCCAAGCACCAGAACTCTGCTCTAAAATACGGTGCATGCTTTAATTCATTTAATCATTCCCTCAAATCTATGGGGTGAATACTGTTATAAATTCAACTTTAGAAATGAGGAAAGTAAGGCTCAGAAAGATGATGTGACTTACCTCAGGTTACACAGCTAATATGTGGTGGAGCCAGGACTATGGACCCCCAAAATTTGGCTCCAGAGACTGTGTTCTTGACCACTATACTATTGTAATAGAAATCCATTCCATTAGGAAATGGAACAGAGTGTGCAAAAGAAAAGTAAGATAGAAATCCTTTAAAAAATATTTTGTTAAAACATTAGTGTAGTGCTGTGAACACTAGCCACAGAGAAACCTGAGATTTAGTCTCAGCTCTGCCACTAATTCCCTGTGTGACCTTAGGCGAGTCAATTGTTCTCTCTGGACCTCAAGGTAAAATGGAAAAAGAGGGGTGGAAACTTGACATGGGTTTGTATGATGGTGTCGGAGTTGAAAGAAGCTTTAAAAATGCTTTTTGATGATTTCAAAAGAAATTTTGCTGCTTCAGATGTATCCCACCCACGAAGTGTGGAGATCACATTCTCTCTTCGATTTACAAAAGTACAGTGTAGAGACTGTGTATAGTGATGGTTTTTAGTAAGAAATGCAATATATAAAGCACAGAGGGCCCAACTCAGACCAGAGAGACCAAACTATTTTGTTGAACATTAAAAGTATTATCTAATGCCCTCCAGTTGGACCAGGAATTAGGCCTGTGGAAAGCAAAACACAGAATTATTGGTCAAAAACCCTGACACCAAGGGCCAAGCTTGTCCGCTTTCATTTACGAACACTTGAAGAATATTTGTGGGTGTAGTAACACTGTGTTCAAGGACCAGGGGCTCCCAAGCTGCCTCTCCAAGGATAAGGTACCAGGCAATTCCCTCCCAAAAAATGTGAACTGGCTATCTTCAGGTCCAGGGCCAAGTACTGAGCAGGGAAAGAACCAATGTCCAAAGAACCTGAAAGAAGGCAGTTGCTTTGTGAATATTCCTCATTGGAAAAGAACCCGCTGTTAATTATTAATGAAGCCAGGAATGGTTTCCTAGCTTGGCAGTATCAGGAGCTCAAGGCCCTCCATTCCCCAGTGCTGTCCTGGAAGAAGTTTTTGCTATAGAAGAAAGCTCCAGTTTTAGCAAAGAAAACACCAGCAAAGCAAAGGCTTTGGAGGTAGACAAACCTGGGTGTGACACTCGGACCTGCCGCTTGCTAGTTATGTGGCTTGAGACACTCCTCCCTGAACCTCCATTTACTTTTCTGTATAATGGGGAGATAATAAAGTTTACCTGCAAGTGTTTTTAGAAAAATGAAATAAAGCTTCTTTCAGAGATACATACATAACAAAATATATACAGATGATGTCCGGGAGTTGCTTTAATATATTACAGATTGTAGGGAAATTAGTGAGGACACAGATTAAATTAGATTGGCTGAGTTGATAATTACTGAAGTTGAGTGATTGGGAAAGGAGGTTCATGATGCTGTTCTCCCTAGTTTTGCAGATAGAATCTTTCCATAATAAAATGTTTTAAATCATGAATAAGGTGAAGATACTGCACTCTGGATTTAGAACTAGGCTTGATTCTAAAGTATTAGGCAAGTTAATGAAGCTCTCCTGAGTCTCAGCATATTCCTCTGTAAAATGTGGGAAAGAATTTTTCCTGCCTCACTGGGTGGTTGTGAAGATTAAGTGAGGTGATGCAGACCAGGCACAGTGGCTCATGCCTGTAATCCTAGCACTTTGGGAGGCTAAGGCAGGAGGATTGCTTGGGCTCAGGAGTTTGAGACCAGCCTGGGCAACATGGTGAGACCCTCGTCTCTCCAAAAAAAAAAAAACAAACAAACAAAAAACAAAATGAGGTGATGCATAAAAAGGCTTAGTACACTGTCTGAACTATAATGTAATTTCCACAAATATTAACTGCCACTGCTGCTGTTATATGAAGGGCCAAGAAGAGCACCTGGCATACAGTACGCACTTAATAAATGGTATAGATCATCATCATTATAATTAGCATCAAGAGTCAGACTCTTCACACCTGGTCAGGATGGGCATATATTGGCATTGAAGTCTCCTGGCTGAATAAGAACTGTCTTCCCTTAGTGGTGTGGGGCTGTAATAACTGTTTCAGTGCCTGAAGTTCAGAAATTTCCATTCAAGAATAGGACCAACTAAGTAGCTTCAAGTTAAACTGTCAAAACCATCCTCCACAGAGCTTCTGGAGCAGGAGACAACTGGACATTCAAGAAGGCAGATTCAAGATTCAAGAAGGCAGGAGACAGCTGGAGATTCAACACCAGGTTGTTTCATTCATGGGGGGAGGGGGTTAGAGCAGGGCTCTTGGCCCCAGGAAAGGGATACAGCTGGGAATCACTTCCTTAATAAGTATTCTCTGACCTCCCTCCTGGCTTCCTGTTTCACTGGCCCTAACTCACAGTAAAGTGCTCAACACAGGTTTGTCAAATGAATGGGCTACAAGACAGAAATCAAGTTACCAGAAGCTGGACGCTAGATCAGCAAGCTAGAGCTAGGTAAATAAATGCTTCCAGGCCAGGGTTGGCAGCTCATGCCTGTAATCCCAGCACGTTGGGAAGCCAAGGTGGGAGGATCACTTGAGCCCGGGATTTTGAGACCAGCCTGGCCAACATAGTAAGACCCTGTCTCAACACAAAATAAAATTATCCAGGTGTGGTGGCTTGCCCCTGTGGTCCCAGCTACTTGGGAGGCTGAGGTGGGAGATTCTGATTCAGATCATCTGCAGTGCGGCCTAGAGAATCTGCATTTCTGAACCACATCAGGGAGGATTCTGAAGCCACAGGCTCATAGCTTCTGTTCTGAGAAAGTTTTAGGAAGATGAGCCCGGTGATCAAGAAAGAGGCTGAAGACAGAAGGATAGTTAAGAAGACATTGGGACCATCCAGGTGGGCTACATACAAACCTGCCTTAGAGTGGGAGTGCTGGGAATATGCCAAGGTCCTGGGAGTTTGGAGAAAGCATGTGGACACTGGGAAGGGATGGGAAACTGGACAACTTACTGATGCTTGTTAGTGCTTCTTAGGTCAAGCCATTTTTTTTTTTTTTTTGAGACAGGGTCTCGGTCTCTCTTTGTCACCCAGGCTGGAGTGCAGTGGCACAATCACAGCTCACTGCAACCTTGACCTCCCAGGTTTACATAATCCTCCTGACTCGGCCTCCTGAGTAGCTGAGACTACAGGCACACAATACCATGCCCAGCTAATTTTTATCTATATTGTAGAGAGAGGTTTCGCCATGTTACCTGGGCTGGTCTCGAACTCCTGGGTTCAAGTGATCCTCCCCACTCAGCCTCCCAAAGTATTGGAATTACAGGGATTACAGGCATGAGCCACAGTGCCCAGCCTTCAAGCTTATCCTTGATAAATGCTATTCATCTTAACTAATCAGTGTTCAGGCTCCTTATTTCAACTTCCTTCCTATGTGTTCAGCCTTGTGAAGCCAGAATCCATCTTTTTGACCGAATTCATAATGTCTTTGCCATATGGTCTCAAGGGCCTTGATGAACATGTAATCCTACTCTAGGTAGTTTCAGGGACAGAAGACCGCCTTCAGGACTGAGAAAAAAAAAAGCAATCTTGTGTTTTGGATGAATCCATGAAAAGGCTGATTAAGATTGGCTCTAGTTGGCTGGTTAGGTCCTATCAAGCTATGGTGTAGCACTCTCTTTTAAGACTTGACTGTTCTTCTCAGGTCCTTATAAGTTACATGAAATCCAGTAGAGCATTTTTAAGTCACAAAAACTGTTAAACTTTTCTTAGGCCCAGTTAGGCATCATTAAATCTTACTAATATTAGTGAAGTCACAAGATTGAACCAGGCATAATGAAAATAGAATTTGTACAACTTAATGAGATTTGATGAAGATTATTGAACCTTATTCTGTCCTTAAGGCAATAGGACTAAAATTTAAAAATTCAAATTGGATAAATGCAGAAGTTCATTTTTCTTCTTTTTTTTTTTTTTTTTTTTTTTTGTTTAAGTAAAGTGAGCTAGCTGAATTTACAAGCCCTGTGTGTCCCATTCCCCGAGGGCCCTCTGTGACTACTAATTTGAAAACTAATATGTGCTAACTTTTAATGGGTTACTCTCTCTCCTCCCTCCTAGGTGGCATAAATGCATCTTAATAGGGTCTTCTGGACATGCTCCTTTCACCCACAGAAGAGAACCTTGGAGTGTAGGCATTCCAGGCACCAAGCTAGGCCCATAAGGGAAGCAGCTAGACCTTTGGGGTCCTCGCAGATCTCATCAGGCAGACAAGCCCATACTCCAGCAATATTGGGTGGAGAGATGAGTGGGAAACGGGCGGGGCTGGAAGTGAGTCATCCTTGGCTAAGTGTGATAAAGTAGGTCCCCAATCAGCCAGAGACACCAGATAATGCCTTTTCATTGCTGGAGAGAGAATCTGTGACTCACTTGGCATTTTGTGGGTTACATCTTTCAGAATGTTTCTGTCACTGGCTGCATTCGAAGCTCAGAAGTAAACTTTAAGATAAGTCTTTATACATTTGATTATGTTACATTTGAAACACATTTGTTTTATTTTTTAGAAAGGTTTCCTTAAATTAGTCACAACAGGAAATATACTCTTTTTCTTGCAAATATTTTTAATTCTTGATCTCAGAGTCAGTCTTTAGCTACTGAAGATATAGGAATTCAGCAGACATCTAGTCCTTATGCTAATAACAGTAATAATGATTATTATAATACTATCAAACACATATAAAGTTTATTTTATCATGCCTGTAATCTCGGAACTTTGGGAGGCCATGGTGGGAGGATTGAGCTCAGGAGTTCCAGATCAGCCTGGGCAACATAATGAGACCTTATCTCTACTAAAATTGTAAAAAATTAGCTGGCAGTGGTAGCGTGCACCTGTAGTCCCAGCTACTCGAGAGGCTGAGGCTGAAGGATCAGTTGAGCTCAAGAGGTTGAGGCTGCTATGAACTATGATCACACCACTGCACTCTGACCTCAGTGACAGAGTGAGAGTCTGTCTCTAAAAAAATAAAAATGAAAAGTAAAGTTTATTCTATATCAGGCACAGTGTTAAGTGCTTTACAGATACTAACTCATTTAATCCTCACAACAACTCTCTGAAGTTACAGCTTTTATTTTCTCCATTTATAGGTGAAGAAACTGAGGCATGGAGAGGTTAGAGACTTTCTCAAGGTCACAGAGCTGGTAAATGGTGGAGCTGGGATTCAAACCCAGGCAGCATGCATATAGAGTCTATACTCTCAACCTATAACATCAGCAGTAATCAATTTTGTTGGGATAAACCATCCACTATATTCCTGTTTTGGAAGGGAATCCATGATACACTGCTGAACTTTTTCATAAAAAAAAAAAGAAATCAGGTAACAATGAGAACAATATGGTTTTATCCTTTTAAATAAATATATGTGTTTGTGTGTGCGGTTGGGTTGGAGGAAGAGCAGGAGGGAAGGGGGAGGGGGAGAGATAGCAGATTTGAATGTGGCTAGGACAAGGAGGTCTGGAGGAAATCATAATCACAGTAGTTATTTTGGGGAAGTGGGAGTTGTATAGGTAATTTCACTTTTTACTTTACATACTTATATATTGTTTTAATTTTTAAAAGCATGTGATAAAACACATACACACACGCACACACTCCAAGGAACTGGCAGGCATCAGCTATGTAAGACTAATGAAGAACTAATTAAGCTCTCACCTATAATTACTGACACAGCATGTGGCTGGGATTTCTGCAATCCTGAGAGAAAAGACCAGGTTCTCCCGTGCTTTCAGGCCTAAAAGCAGTGACTCTCACATAGTAGGTACTCAGTAAATGTTGTTTGTGGTGATATGGTATTGGAAAGTATGTTGTTTGAATCACATCCTTTTATTCTCTCAGACTCTGGGGTCATTATAAACTCCGCCAAGTTTTCAATACTTAGGAAATTTTGATCTGCTCTCTCGTTCCAGGGCTGACCAACTTTTTCTTTGGGGGGCAAGAAAATAAGTATTTTAGGCTTTTGGGGCCATAAGATCTCTGTTGCAACGACTCCTGCCACTGTTGCATGAGAGCAGCCAGGGAAAATATGCAAAGAAATGGGCGTGCTGTGTTCCAATAATACTATATTTACAAAAGCAGGCAGAGGGCTGCATTTGGCCCCAGGACAGTAGTTTTTGGACCCTGCTCTAGCTGCTCAGAACAGTGCCATTTGTACTGAGAAACAGCTCATTTGCTTTGTTTTCAGGATAGTTTTCTCCTGAAGTTCTGAGGGCTTTGCCCATTTGTGAAGGTCTGAGGGATGTACCTTGGAAATTGTGAGGTGTTGATCAAATTCCTTGGACACTTAAAACTGTCAGGCGGCCTCATTCTTGCCAAGTGAGAGATTTGAGTTGCCTTATTCCACAGTCCCAGAGGGTTACTTTCAGAGTCAGCATACTCTGTGTTTTTGCTAGAACTTTCTACAAAGTACTCGGCTTTTGTTTCTTTGCTTGGTTCAATCTCTAGAGAAGACAAGAGAGAAGAAACTTCCAGTCCACCTCTGATGGCCATTTGTGCAAAAGGAATATGCTGTCTCCCCTTTCCCAACTTTCAGTGTCAAAAGCAGTGTCTTCAGGTCAATGAATGCAAGAAAGCTGTGGGTTGCACATCGCCAACCTGGAATATTCTGTGGTTCTCTTCTGTGACTCAGACCCAGCATGCAAGTTTTATGCTTCTTTTTACCCCCGTACTCCACCCATGGAAGGAAACCATCCTTCCCATTGTGACAGCTTTATTAGACCCATCACCCAAAGGTAGTTCTGGTTGTACTTGGTTATCACCCCTATTGAGAATCCTAATTAAGTCCTGAGGAACCGAGCCAATTCGTTGTTTCTTCATTTTAGCTCCTCCCTGGGCTGCCTCAATAGCTCATTTCCTTAGCAGGTTTCCTATCTTTTCTCCACTACAGTTAGAGCGCCCTGCTCTCCATGAGTACCTACCCTCCTCAGGGGAAAAGGGAACCAAACTTTATTTCTGAAATATTTCAAGTTCTTGGACTTTATGTTCCTGTTCACAGATCCTCCCAAGGGGGTGTAGGATCTTTATACAATCAGGCCCTTTGGCAGCCCAAATATTGATCAAGAAGCAGTTGACAGGCAAAACCATGTAAGCTGATATGGTTAGACTTTTTGTCCCCACCCAAATCTCATCTTGAATTGTAATCCCCATAATCCCCATGTGTCAAGGGAGAGACCAGGTGGAGGTGATTGAATCATGAGGGTGGTTTCCCCTTTGCTGTTCTTGTGATAGTGAGTTCTCACGAGATCTGATGGTTTTATAAGGGGCTCTTCCCCCTTCACTCAGCACTTCTCCTTCCTGCCACCTTGTGAAGAAGATGCCTTGCTTTTCCTTCACTTTCTGCCATGATTGTGAGTTTCCTGAGGCCTCCTCAACCATGCAGAACTGTGAGTCAATTAAACCTCTTTCCTTTATAAATTACCCAGTCTCAGGCAGTTCTTTATAGCAGTATGAAAATGGACTTATACAATACATATGAATAGTTTACAGGCTAAGGCTACTTAACTACATCTCCAACCAAATTTGTAGCTTTCTTCCTCTAACCCCTTGGGACTGACATTTAAAGTCTCTTTGGAAAAGCGCAAGGACAAATCATACCCCACTCCCCCATAGTGCTAACTATAAGAGTTTGTTTGAAAAAATGTGCACATTTTGTGTTTGGGACTTTAAAAACCAATACATTAATGCTTACATTTAAACTCTACCCTGTGGATAGAAGGGAGAATGAAGAGCACCATTGTGGGTTGGACACGCTTGTACAAAAAACATGGACTCCCAGAAGGAATCACCCCAAATTAAGGCCATTTTAGTGTGAGGGATTAGAATGGGCCATCTAATTTTCATACCTGGCTGCCAAGAGGATAAAAGGAAATGTCTTGTTGAAAAAAATTCTGTTCTGGTTTGTGAGATCACAATGTCTAGCAGCTGCAAATCTTGAAATTATGAGATTACTCAGAGCCTGTAATTTAAACTTTATTTCATATCTATTGTTAAATTACACAAAATCAGTGAATGGTTTGTAAAGCTACACCAATGGACAGATGTTTACAGTTGAAATCATGGGATTTACATAATGGCAAAAATGTATATGTATATTTATAACATCCTCTATATACAATAATCAGTATAGACAGAGAAAATGCACTTAATCTTTGCAAATCATGCACACCACAGCAATAACACAAAATGTTTTTTCTGTAACAAGCTTTTCCACTGGCTCAGGCTTCATCCTGCTTTCCAACAATACCTATCAGTTTTAAAAGCAAACATTTTCAATTAAAACTAAAGAAAATTGAAATACCATAGTGATCTACTAACTATTTTAAAAACACAATTGTACACAAAATAGTTTTACTCTAAAACACTGTGACTTCAAGGTGTGGAAAAATTCCTTTCAGTTTTTTAGCTCTCAGGATTTTCAAGACTGCAATACTGTCAGACAAAACAAAAGCTAGAAATACTGATACAAGCTCAGAGTCAAGAAAATCTATTTTAAACCCAAATACCCAGCTTCTTGTCCAGTTTGTGGCTATATTACTACAGATGAAACACATGAGCAGATTGTACAAGATGTGACTTTATGGTCACACTTCTAAGCATGTCCCTTGTGAAAACATAAATGCCACTTTCAGTCACCTTGTTTGATTTACAGCCAGGAGGTTAGTGTAAGTCCTTGCATAAGTATAGCAAAATCCACAGTAAAATGAAAACTGCCCGGAATCATGATGCTTGACAGCACAGTGGGTTACATACTTCTTTTTATCTTGGTCAGCTTGTAATAGGTACCATAGAAGTATTTTTGCATCGACTTACACTACCAAATTACTCTGCTCAACTCATATGTTCCTGATATGTAACCTCACTACAGAACACTTTTTACTTTTGCTCTTTTCAAAACAAAAACTTTGTAGAAGGGTTTGCCCACATTATCAAGGTGCTATTGAATAACTGGCTAGCCTTCCTAATGCTTATTTTATCCTTTTTTGGCTTTTGTAATTGTCTACAAATCTGTCAACATGAAAAAGAACTAAAGGGCTAGAAATAGTTGGCCCAACTGGAAACATTACAATAGAGATGTACAAAAAGTAAGTAAGAGTTCACATTTTAGGTTAAATTCTATCTGATCAAGAATAACTTCAGCAATATTTTTAGACACATTATCCTGTTCAAGTTTCTTGATTAGGACCTCACTACACAAATATTGATAAAATAATTCTATAGAAAGAAAGTCCTGACTTTAATCCAGGATTATATACCACAATAACTTCAGCAACACACCATTTAGATGATGAAGAAAGATTCTATACATGGGTTAATTTGGAATGAGCACAATTCAGAGAAGCCTTAAAATGAATGAGAAGCAGCGCCAAAATGATTCCAGTATTGTTGAAATTACAGTGCCCTGAAAGCGCCTGGAAATTAGATCTTTACATTGGTATTTCATTTTGAAAAAAAGGTGTTTTGTTTAATGTGAGATACACCCTGTGTAAAACCTTTAAACAGTAGAAGGTAGAAAAAGTTTAAAATTTTAAACATCTCTTAAATATCAAGATATGAGTCCTGTTCTTGAAAAGCCAATATTTTGACATAAAACTACCCATGTTTGGAGAGGAATTTTTTATTTTCTACAGCTCGGTAAGATTCACCATCAGTTGTTATTCTATTTAAATAGATTCCTTGTTAAAATCAGAAGAAAATAAAAGGTTTTATGTTTCATTTTAGTTGCTTTATGTTTATACTTATTCTCACCCCTGGAAAAAATATTTGATTCCAAGATTGGGTTTTAACAGTGTATCATGAATAATTTAAAGTCCATTTCTTAGCCATAAGTTAAATGGTCACATTTTATGTTTTCACTTTGTCTCCATAACTAATTTAAGAACTTCTTAAAATATCTAAACAGCAATTTCTGGTGAGTCTGGTTTGGCTTTCGGATTTCATATTTAGTCCAACCCCAAAAAGACAATTTAATTCCATATTGAGATTTGTTTTACCTACACACAGTATAACACTGAATTGAAAGGCAACTGTAAAGGCAACATCTAAACTTTTTTTTAAAACTTCCCCAATGAAGGAAGCAGGATGTGTTTGGACACTTTCATCTTTTAAGCTATGCCATCTTTTCAGTGGCGCTTTGGGAGAAGTATGTACAGGCCTTTTTGAGCCATTTAACGCCATTTCTCTACACTGCCTATGTAGTCGTTGGTGCCATTGCTGGTGTTATCATTCTGCTCCTTGCCTGAGTTCTGCTTCGGGCTTTCCCGGTTCTCCTTCTGGCTCAAACTCTGAGTCAGATTCTGCATCAGATTCTGAGTCAGGTTCTGATTGGCATTCGGATTTGGGTTCTGACTCTGATTCTGATTCGGATTCTGGCTCTGGCCCTGACCCTGGCTCTGGAAATGGGTCTGAAGGAGCCTTCCCTTCAGAAATTTGCGTTGTTCCTGACGCTTTCGCCTGGCCTCCTGATGCTCTTTCTGCCTCATAAACTGATACCTCTGCAAAAAAAGGTCTTTGGCATAGCTGTACAACTCCATATCCAGAAAATTCAGTCCCTCAATACGCTTTTGAATTTCCTCATTGATCTCTACACTAGAGGCCCTAGTGGTATTATACTGGGTAAATGGCGAAATAAAGTTCATGTTGAAGGTTTTCTCAAACAGATATTGGGTCTTCCGCTGAAACTCAGTGAGGCCGAAGAACGCCATGTGCTTCAGATTTGACTTGGCACTTTCCAGAAGGACCTTGTTTCTTTGCTTTTCAGGCATGACAGAGAGGTTGTAGCAGCCTACCAGGGTCAGGTCGGAGAGCATGCGCACCTGGCGGTTGTTGGCTAGATTGTAGGGACAGTCCATAAACTCTTTGAGGGGGCAGCCAGACCAGTCATCGCCAGTGTAGCAGCTGGGCAGCTCTTCGGAGGTTGGAGGCCTTCCATCGCAGACATGCAGGGATGCTTTCCATGTTGCCCCTCTCTGGACATGCCTCCACTCACTCAAGTACCGGGACACTGGGTCTCGGAGGATGGTGATGTAGTGGAAGTTCCTATGGATGAAGCACAAAAACCAACAGTCAGAGATATGGGCGAAATAAGTGGAGTCATGGAGGTACATGGCATATGTGGTGTTCACTGGCTAAAAAGGAAGGCAAAGCAAAAATGACAGGGATCTGATGGCATTTGTCCTGTAAACTGTACTGCAGTCCCCTCTCTGAGTCTCACTAGCCTAGAGATAGCTAATTTTTTCAACCAATTTGCTGATACTTCAGCTAAAACAGGTATGAAAAGGTTAGATTCCAGACATTGACCTTGTCATGCTTCACTCCCGTTCGTTCCCCCTTCCCCTCTTTTTCTCCCTCTCTAACCAAAGACAAAATCTTCCCAATGACACCATTGGCTAACTAGGCAACCACTTTATTTCATGCCCCCCACTCTAAACCATTTAGTGATCATGAAATGGAGACTCATTGGAAGCACATACTTTATTGGAGTGAAATGGAGTTGACAAGTGGGTTCAAATTCGAATCTTATTAAATATGCAATAGCATTTTTTCTAATATCCAGTCTAATCTGCATATCTTTTTGTTTTTAAAAAACTCATTAAAAGAGTGTATGATATGATACTCTTGATTCTGGCTGTTGTCATATTATGGCTCATACATTATGGAAGTGGAATGTAGAGATAGGCAGAGTAGCCCAGGGCCTCCAGCAATAAACGCTGTGGTTAGTCACTGACTGAAATAGACATGGTAGCTGCCAATGGCATGTATGCAAGCTACTACCTTGGTTTCCACCTTTGCTCCTATGATAATATTCCCAGGATAGGAAACTTAACTCTATCAGCAGCTTCAAAATGTCCCTTTTCCTTATCTACTAAAAGGGCACGTGGATGTCAGCAAGTGTGGAGGCTTTGCTGTATGGCTGTCTTCTCTTTAGGGCTTCAAACAAAGTTCTTTGCTCAAATAGCAGACTAGCAAACATTTAAACCACATGTTAACACACTCACACCATACATGGTAGGCACACGCCCCAGAAACATCAAGTCCATGATACAATCAGGCATACTTAAGGAGAGAACCGTGTCATTGTGCTTTTCATGAGAAATGGGTTACCACTCAGGTACAGAAGATGAAGGACGAGGCCACAGAAGGGCATATTGTGGAAAGAAAGCAACAATAAACATTGAATATTAGCATTTAGCTTCTTAAAGGAAACCCGGAGAATGGCTTGCAACTTTTCTGAAATATTCATTCCCATCTGAGGGAGTGGTTGTTCTCTACACATACATGAGGAGCCACAGGGAACCTGCTCAGCCACCTGCTTAACTGAATATTGGCTGATGTTCATTGAGGAAACGTTTCTCCCAACTGGGGCTTCCATCACCTCAGGCATCCTGAAATCTATCTCCTATGCCTCTATCCTGTACATGGTGCTTGCTCTGCCTGCCATGATCTTCCCTCTTTGGCTGGAAAATTCTACTCATCCTTCAATACCAGTTCAAGTACCATCTCTTTTGTGAAAAAATGTACCCCACTCTGTGTTGCCAGTTATCATTTCTTCCTCTGTGTTGCCATAGCACTTCTATACTTAGCCTTTGTTAAAATATTTGTGATACTGGGGCTGGGCACGGTGGCTCATGCCTGTAATCCCAGCAGTTTGGGAGGCTGAGGTGGGTGGGTTGCTTGAGGTAAGGAGTTTGAGACCAGCCTGGACAACACGGTGAAACCCCATCTGTTAAAAATACAAAAATTAGCCAGGTGTGGTTGTGCGCTCCCGTAATCCTAGCTACTCAGGAGGCTGAGGCACGAGAATCACTTGAACCCAGGAGACGGAGGTTGCAGTGAGCTGTGGTTGTGCCACTGCATTTCAGCCTGAGCAATAGAGTGAGACCCTACCCCTCCACCCCACTGCCTCCCCCAAAAATGTGTGATACTGAATTACAATTAATTGTTTATATTTCCACTTAAACTATGTTTTCAAGGACAGGGGCTCTGTCCTATTCTTCTATATAGCCCTCATCCCATCCATTCCAGCTTTGTACATTGGCCTTCATCCCTGGCATAAAGCAGAATCTCAGTAACTTCTTTAACTGCTTACTTGATGAACTATCCTGGGGAAGAGGAAGGAGAGAGCTAGGGACATGCCTCATGACATAAAAACTCTGGATAATCTTCTAAGTGCCTTGCAAAAAATCACAGGAAGGTTTTTCTTAAAATAAATCACTTTATATATTTTTTCAGGAAGAAACAAGCATTGGGCACAGGAGAAGCATCTGGGAGTGAGGATGGAAAAGGGGCCAAGAGCACTTTCACTTGTCTCACTACTTTCCCTAGGACCTGATCTTGTTGGTGCCACTAAAATTCATCTCTATGAGAAGCCACTGCTAAAGAGTAGCAGCTTTTGTTCTCCAGTAGCCTTTACCAACAAAGATGACTACTAAAGCCCTGGGTTCCCTCCTTCCACTCCTAGCTTTAGTACTCATCCATTCAGTGCATACTTATTGAGCCTTTATGCTAGCCCTGAGGCAACAGTTTAGTGGCAATTAGTCTGATTATTTGGAAAAAAAAAAAAAGAAATTTATTAAGGTCTGTGACACATTTGGATTAACCTTTCAACCAGCTTTTCCAGGCATGCATTGTAATGGGGGCTGCTCGGTGTTCTAACCCCCCAAAATGGAGTCACCTTCATGCTTAGCTGGAAGTCTTCTTGCCCTAACTTCTTGTATTGGTTTAAGCCTACAGTGACATCTTCTGGTAAATATTAAGAGTGCACCACAGTGGAAGTCTGCAGCTCTCCTTCCTAAACATTGTTCCTAGCCTTTCAGAGCAAATACATCCCAACCACCAGGGTTAATGACACAATCAATGTTTCATAAGCACCACCCCTACCCCAACATGGATAGAGAGAAGGCAACACAGAGACAGACTTTCAGAGAGGGTCTCTCATGTTGTGGGTGTGTGGATCCAGTATGCATTCAACTTGAAGGTCACCTAGTGCCCTTAAGAAATACGGACAGCCCAACGTAGGCAGCCTCAGTGTCTACACTGTAGGGATTTTCACTGCAGCAGAGAAGTTAGAGGGGCACACACATACACACACTGCTGCCTTGGTGATAACAGCCACCTAGACTCATATGACAAAACCTGCAGAGATTCAGTGAGTGTCAACAGCCCCCTTCTTCCAGGGCAAATAGCCTTGGGGACCCAGAATGCCTCAACTGAAAGCACTTGATGCTGCTTAGAAATATTCCATGTGTAGAAAGAAAGAAAGATCTGCTGAAGGGTAGGTGTCCAGGGTCCAGGGGTCTCCTGAATTTCATGGTGTGTTGGAAGTAGGAAGGCAGGTAAAGATAACACCTTGGAGGTTATGTCAGAAAAAGAATCCAGGATGCTCATTATATCCAAGGAAGAGCTTTTAGGGCAATATCAGAGAAGCACGCTGGGGAATGCAGCTGGGGTCGGGGGCAAACAGAGACATGGCCAGTTTTCCCTCAGTGGTCAGGTCAGGTCAAGACTTGCTTAGTCTTGGCACCTAATGTGTGCCTGGCACTATGGCAGGCACTGGGGATACAGACAGGGATAAGACATGGAAACCCGGGGAAAGTGTTTCAATTGTGTGTGCCATGAATGCTTGGAGCAAGTGCAGGGTATGATTAAAAAAAAACACCTCACACTGATTTCTAACCTAGCCTAAAGATAAGACAAGGGTTTCTGCAGCTTTATTTTGAAAAACAAGAATTAGATGAGGCAACTGGGCACGGTGGCTCACACCTGTAATTCCAGCACTTTGGGAGGCCAAGGTGGGCAGATCACTTGAACCCAATAGTTCAAGACCAGCCTGAACAACATGGTGAAACCCTGTCTCTGCAAAAAATAGAAAAATTAGTGGGCGTGGTGGTGCACACCTGTAGTCTCAGCTACTAGGGAGGCTGAGGCGAGAGGATCACTTGAGCCTAGGAGGTAGAAGCTGCAGTGCACCATGGTATCACCACTGCACTCCAGCCTGGGTGACAGAGTGTGAGACTCCATCTCAAAAAAAAAAAAAAAAAAATGAGTCAAGGAGAGAGGAAAGGAGTATGAGACAGAAGGATCAGCATGAGCAGAGGCACAGAGGCATAAACCAGCCTATTGTGCAAGAGAAACGTGCATCAAAAAACCTCCCGGGGAGTGAAGGAGTAGTGGCAGGAATTGAAGATGGAGAGGGAGCCCAGGACCTGGTTGTGAAAGGCCACAGATGCCATATTAAAGCATTCAAAGTTAATTCTGCAGGCAACAGAGAGGCTTTGAAGGGCTTTAAGCAGGGGAATGACATGATGAGGTCTGTGTTTTAGAAAGATCATTATGTATATGAAGATGAAATTCGTGAAGTTAGTTAAGAGGCCACTGCAGAAGACAAGGCAAAAGAGAAGGAGGAGCAGACTAGAGAAATATTTAGCGGGTAAAAGTGACAAAAGGGATTCGGGGGAGAAAGAGGAGGAGGACTTAAGGATGCCTCCTAGAGCTCTGGAGGAAGGACTGAGGTGCCTGCGGGACATCTGAGTAGAGTTGAATGAACAGATCTGGCACTCAGAGAGCAACCTGGGCTGAAGATAAGGTACGGAGTGGTCAGCACAAAGTGGTAATTTCCAGACCATCATGGTCTATTTAGGGACCTTTTTAAAATTCCACTTGTGTGGCTTCAGATATTCGAAGACAGCATTTACCCCAGGGCTTCTCTTCTTTATGCTAAAAATGGTTTTCAACTATTCTCTATATAGCTTCAAGGCCCCGCTATCCTGTTGTCTGCCTGCAAGTGCATTCCACTTTATTGGAACATGGCCTGCTAAGCACGATCTGACAAGCAACAAGAAGGGACAGCCTATCACCTTCCTCATTCTTGACACCATTTCTCTTAATGTGGCCTCAGATCACATGGACCATTTTGGCGGCCACACCACACCACTGATACACAGTAAGCTCAATTGTTTCATACTTTCACATATATGCCACGCTGGAACGCAATCTATATTGTCAGGAACTGATGCAGTGTATTTGTGGCCCTGTTTAATCTCTTCTTGATGGAGGAAATCTAAGCCTGTCAAAAGACATCTACATTCTGATTATATCCCCCAATATCTTCACCATACTTTCCTGTTCCTGTTGGCAATGCCTGGATTCAGGCATTGATCAAAACAGAGCAAGATGCAGGTGAGAGCAAGTCTCTGATAGTTGCTGGAAATCTTTCTTCAGGTTGACATGAAACTGAAGGGTGCCGCTGAATGGACTGACTGAATTTTAACTGAATGAGGCCAGTTCAGCCCCAGGAAAATCATACGCCACCTGTTTCACTTAGTAGTAATTGGACAGGACTTTCTTGTGACCAAATGTATCACCTAATTAAAATGACAAGGTGTCACATTTTTAAATTGGAGCCATGACTCCCCATTGGGTTACATGGGTTAATTGAATGGCTGATTGGTGCTTCTGTATGCCCATGGTGACTTTACAGGCACTACACAGTTAAAGGTTTACCACCTTCTACTGAATGACAGTTCTCTGGGTGGCCTTGGACCAACACAATACTCCCCTCATTCTTGCTTGTCATTCTTAAGAATAACTGTAGAATGTGCTGGGAGTGCAGTATCCTGAGATAGGGAGGAACTGCCTGAAACAGCAAAAGCCTTGTTCCAGTCCTTCCTGGAGAATCTAACATCTTGAGATAGGGAGGAACTGCCTGGGACAGCCCAGCCTTTGTTCCTTTCTCTCAGAAGCAGGATGTCCTTCAAAGCTTTGCTAAATGAGTCACATGGCCCCTGAGGTATATAACTCAGGAAAGGCTGCCTTTTGGGGTCTCTCAGCTATGGTGCAAGTGAGGCATGCTTAATCGAGACTCATTCACCCAGGCAGCTTTCTTGAGTCTTGGGAAACCATCTCACAGTGGATCCTAGGCTTCTTTTGTCCCTTGCTGCCTATCTGTAAGTAATAAACCCACTTCATGTAACTTGTTGCTTATGAGTGTGTTCTGTCTCACCAAACCCATAGAAGTTTATAAACAATGCACAGTGAACCTGCTTTGTGTCTACAAGTTTAGGCCAACTTTTTCCTGTCACTGATAAGCAATTGTCGAAATAATAGCAACAAATGAAAGAGTTGTCCAAGCAAGAAACCAAAGGGCCATCCTTGACTCCTCTAATCTCCCCTCACTACTAAGAGCTAAACATTCGCTTAAGTCCTTTCCAGTTTCTAATAGCTCTGAAATCCATCCTTTGCACCACTGCCTGGGGTCAGGCCTTCATCACTTCTCTACTAAAACATTGCAGTAGCATCCCGTCCTACTCTTCAGGTCTCCAGTCCCATGCCACTTCCACACCCCCAGATGGCACATACCTGACCTGTCATTCCCTAATTAAGCCCTCCCAATGGCTCCCTATCAACTATGACATGAAGCCAAGCTCCTCCACATGCTACAGACAGCCTTGTGGAATCCAGCAACCACCTTTCTTTCTGTCCAGCCTTCTCAAGTGAGCTCCCTCTATACAAGTCTTTCTCAATTGTGAGTGATCTTCCATCTCCACTCCCCAAACCCCCAACTCTGGGCCACTTGGCAATATCTGGGGATATTTTGGTTGTAATGACTTGGGGAGGGGGTTGGTACTGGCATCTAGTAAGTCAAGTCCAGGGATGTTGCTAAATATCCTATCATGCACAGTCCCCCTACAACAAAGAAATACCCTGCCTCAGATGCCAATAATGCCAAGGTTGAGGAACCTTGCTCTATACCCTATATGCTGAATTTTCCAAATCAAAGTCCCAGGCAGTGACTCCACAGGTGCTTTGCCTCTGTATATGGAGTGCCCACTCTTTTGAATGGCTTCTATTTATCCTTTGTAGGTTACCTGGCAAAGTCTTTCAAAACTCAACTCAAAGACTGTCTCCTCCGCGAAACCTTCCTTGACCTCCCTGGATGGAGTTAAGCACCCCCTTCTCTGCTCCAGACGCCCTGGTGTTCTCCCATTGTAACATGTATCACAATGTGCTGGGATTGTCAAGCGATTTTTCTGCCTCTTCCGCTGGACTATGAGCTCTGGGAGGGTAAGAACCATGTATCTATCCTCAGGGCCTAGCACAATGTTTGACATAAAGTAAGCAATTAATAAAAGATTGTTGAATGAATTTCTGCAGGAGAAGCAGCAGAGCTTATGATGAGCAAATAGGAAAATGCGTATCTTATTCTTTGATAAGGAAAAGCCACTAGATGTCACTATGAAATAACAGATATACCATTTTATACCTGTAATGGAGCATTTTAAGGAGATGTAGCTGTGAAGGACATTGTTATATTTAGCTGTTGTCCCTGACTTTTTGTGCAGTATCCCAGTTTAAAAGAAGGCTGGAAAGTTTAAGGACGTTAAAAATAACTAAATGGTTAAAAACAAGAATCTTATTTTTTATTCTCCTTTTAATAGACCATTCTGAAATAAGTGCCCAAGTTCTAAGTCACAGAGTCCTACACTCGTCAGAACAGGAGGAAACCTTTGAGACAGTAAATCATTTAGGTCAAACCCTTCACTTTAAAGGTGGGGATACTGAGGCCCAGAGAGAGACAGGCAAGGACTTGTCCCCAAATCACACCTTGCCAGTAGCCCTTGAGAATCAATCTACCTGAGAGAACTATTTCTGGGCCGAAGTCCTGTTATTTTAGCAGACCCTCTTTGTGTCTGCTAGTTACCTAGGATGGCACACTCAACCAGGCCTGAAAGAACTCACTAACCCCCATGAAGGGTAAACATTTGGCTGCTCAAAGAGGACACTTTCTTACACCAACTACATAGCCAGGAACTGGGGGTGCTCTGTGCCTGACACTTATACGTTAACTCCCAACAATCCTGTGAATCATATATTATTATTCCCTTTTCCAGAATGAAGAAACTGAGACTCAGAGATGATGTGACTCTGGGTCACGCCTCAAGTTAAGTAGGTGTGTTCAGGCTTCAATCCAGGTCTCTCTCACTCTAGAAATGGTATTCTTTCCATCCTGGTGCTAGGGCACAAGCCCAGGACTTCTAATTCTATGAGTTAACTAAAAAAGTGGTTCCTAAAGTGTGAGCCCAGAACCATCAGCATCAGCATCATTTAGGAACTTGTTAGAAATGCACACTCTCAGGTCCACTCACTGAATCTGAAACTCAGAGGCTGGGGCTTGCCAATCTGCATTTTGGGAAGCCCATCCAGAAATTCTGATATACACACAGTTGAGTTTGAGAATCACTGTCCTAGGCATGTGGCTTCAGAGATCAGAAGTCTCTCAGAAATCCCAGGTGGTATCTAGAGTGTAGACAAGCCAACTGTGCCCCCGGATGCAAGCCCTATCTTCTCTCTACCCCTTGGAGAAACCCTGGGGGCACCCATTTCCATCAAGGGAAAGTCCAGGGAATGTTACTTGAGCAAAGTTCTGAGGATCATGCTGTAAACATTTACTTTCCTTTGAGGCTACTGGTTCACGAAAGGCCATGATAAGGTTTTCCCTGCACTACTCAAAGGGGAAATAAATATCAAAGACATTTTTTAATAGAAGAAGGCCAGAAAACCCGTAGCAGTTAAGGTCATAGGAGTGATCAATAAAAAGTTAATTTAAGAAAGGAAACAAATTCTTATCCCAAATCAATAGGAGTGAACATTCTATTATACCTGTAGCATATATATGTGCTATATATATATAAAAAATATATATATAAAATATTATATATTTATATATATAATATTTTATATATATAATATTATATATTATTTTATATATATAATATTATATATAATATTTTATATATAATATATATATAATATATTATATATAATATATATATAATATTTTATATATAATATTATATATAATATTTTATATATATATTATATATAATATTTTATATATAATATATATAAAATATTTTATATATATATATAAAAGTTCAGCCTTTGCACATCTTGTTCTTGGAGAAACAATGAGTGGTAGAAAAAGAACTGTGGTTGGTGGTCCTAAGTAACTCTGCCAATAGTTGGGGTGGTTGTATATGACACTGAGTCATTAATGTTGAAGGTCTGGTCTCCTTCCTTGGCTAATGAAGTCTAAAGCAACCACATGGATCCTCCCATTGCATGTAAATGACTGGGTCAAAGCAAGGAGGAAGGCGTTCAAATCAAACAATATTAATATGTGAGCACAAACTAAATAAAAGTATGGTAAATTGAATCAAAGGCAAACATGCTTCTGATGGAGCTGGACCCCTTAAGCCCTGGAGGTGCTGTTTTAAGTGCTTTTCTTGTGTAGCTCATATTAGTAGTCCCCAAACAGGAGTTTAATAAATGCTGTTATCAGCAGTGGCAGCAGTCTCATAAAAGAAGTGTGGGACTTCACAAGGGGACTACTTTGAAGCAGACAGACGTGCCTGTAGATGTGTTGTTTTTGGCACATTTGTCACAAGTTTTATGGCTTAGTAGTCATGCTTTACCTAGTGAGAAGAGTGAGCTGTTGCATTTGCAGACAGTGGGTTACATAGAGCAGTGTGACACATGACTTCATTTAATTGTCTTCACAACACTAGAAAGACCTAAATGATCTGGATGCTGAACCTCTTCCTTTCCCCTTGAAGTTCATGCTGTGGGCTGCTGACTTAGCCAGACTTTCTGGGCTACCCACAGGAGGTGGGGAGCAAGGTGAACTCTTGGGAGCACAGTGATCCATGAGACAAGCAAGACTTATTAGACAAAAGATCTACCAGACACAAAACCAAATCTGAAGAGGCTGAAGGTCTTGCACCCACCAAACATGCTATTAGTTCTCCTTGAAGGAGTTTTCTGCTCTTCTTCATACCTCACCCAAAGGACCAGTTCTGTGTATATAAAGTAACACCTTCATTCATTGATTCTTTTCCTCTGATTAACTAAAAGTAAACCCATCTGTGTGTATTGTGGGGAGTGCTCAAAGGAGCACAAATGGGCTTTCATTAAACAGAAGGATGTTTTTCTATGCGATTCTTTTTCTTTAACAAAGCAGAAATTTTTTTCCTTTGTTGAAAATAAAGAAGATTTCTAATGCCTTTGAATTCAAACTCAAGGTGGAATTCTTCACACAATGAGTCCTGGTGATATTTACTTCTTTTTAAAAGAAATCACTCTCCTTTTTCCCAAAGCCCAGTAGGTTTCAAAGTACATAACTCTAAGGGCTTTTGCAAATAGTGAAAAAGCTGAGTTCTTTAACAAGATGTGAAATTCCAAACTTTATGACCCATAGTTGCAGGCCTTTACCCAGAATCCATCCAATTGCTTGACATCATGAAAAATTTTGTAGATTACACTGCCTTTCTCCCAATTTTTTGCATTCTAAAATTATTTTGTGAGTCTTGGTTCATTAATAGTCAGTGTATTCTTGAGGTGGAAGAAACTTTTATGAAAATACCCTACAGCATGCAGATTAGGGGACTGGGGTCCCATGAAGGGATATGATCTGCCCAAGTCACATGGAGACCAGATCTGCCACTGATTAACACACTCAAGCTTCCTGCCTGACTTTCCTTCTAGGAACTCCTCCCTCCACATATGGAACTTCTCAGCTTACTGAGTGTTTCTATGTGACATCTTCTGTCAAATTGCCATCCCTTGAGGATTGGCATCTGGAACTGCCAGAGCTAGGGGTTGGTTCTCTTCCTTCTCCCAACCCTGAAACAAGAGTGCACAGAGGGGAAGAATCATAAGCTCCATGCCACAGTGGATGGGAGGAGGTTGGGGAAATTTCTAAGTGTCCCCACTGGGACTATCATGGTTTGCTCTTCAGATAAACATCCCTAGTGCCTCTTGTCCCAGGAATCCATTGCTTTGGTCCTGCCTTTTGATTGATTAGTACATCCACATAAAACCCTGCATGTTTCAGGTCTTAACTAAAAAGTAATAAAACTGGTACTTTCATGAAACTCAATCCAGAAACAGGCATGTGCAAAGAGGGTACATAGTGCCCTTTTAGCCCTGGAGGTGAGGGGCTTGGCCTTGGGTTGCAAGACAGAAGTTTAATCAATCCATGAACAACGTATCAACTCTGACCTAGAAGTCGCCATAATTAGAGCTGTAGGCATGGTGAGGAAGTTGCATGTATACGGGTGCCAGCTTTCAACGGGCTTAGAATTGGAGGGGGCGGGGGCAGATAGAGGCACAGTATATTTCAGTGCTAATTGTGTCATACAGAGATTAAGTGAGAAATGAGTGGGGAGAAGAGAGTTGACTGTATTATGGTCATCAAGGAAGGCTTCATAGAAGAGGAGGAATATGATGGATTCTGAAGGACAAAAAGGATTTGACTAGGTGCGTGTATGGTGGTGGGGTGGGTGGACGGCATTCTGACATCAGCAAAGAGCAAAACACACAGGAAACTAATAGATGTTTTGATTTAACAGGTGCCTACAGTATGTCAGACACTAGGCTAGAAGCTTTTTCAGAAAACCTATCAAATAGGTGTTAATGCCTTCATTTTAGTCACAGTGTATATCATGAAAAGGGCTTGTTCTAGAGCTGCACTGTCCAATATGGTAGCCATCAGCAACATGTGACTACTGAGCTCTTGAAATGTGGCTAGTCTGAACTAAGAAGTGATTTAAGTTTTCAAGCATACTAAGATTTCCAAGACTTAGAGGTAGAGAAAATATCTCATGAATTAATTATTATTTATACTGATTATATGTTGAAATAATAATGTGGATATATTGGGTTAAATAAAATGTATTATTAAAATTAATTTCATCTGTATCCCCATTTTTAATGTGGATACTATAAAATTTAAAATTACATAGGTGACTTGCATCACATTTCTTTTTTTGAATTTCAACTTTTATTTCAAATACAGGGGTACATGTGCAGGCTTGTTATATGGATATATTGCACGATGCTGAGGTTTAGGGTATGGATCCCATCACTCAGGTGGTGAGCACAGTTCCCAATTGGTAGTTTTTCAACCCACAACCCCTTCCTCACCCAACCAAGTAGTCCATGGTGTCTATTGTTTCCCTGTTTGTGTTCATGTGTGCTCAATGTTTAGCTCCCACTTATAAGCGAGAACATGAAATACTTGGATTTTTGTTTTTGTTTGTTTGTTTTTGGAGATGCAGTCTCGCTCTGTCTCCTAGGCTGGAGTGAAGTGGTGCGATCTCAGCTCACTGCAACTTCCACCTCCCAGGTTTAAGTGATTCTCCTGCCTTAGCCTCCCGAGTAGCTGGGATTACAGGCATGCACCACAATGCCCAGCTGATTTTTGTATTTTTAGTGGAGATGAGGTTTCACCATGTTGGCCAGGCTGGTCTCAAACTCCTGACCATCTCAAGTGATCTGCCCGCCTCGACCTCCCAAAGTGTTGGGATTACAGGCATGAGCCACCACACCCAGCAATATTTGGTTTTCTGTTCCTGCATTAATTCGCTTACGTTTATCGCCTCCAGGTGCATCCATTGCATTGTATTTCTATTTGACAATGCTGATCTACAGCCAGACTGCCTGTGTTCAAATTCCAGTTCTGGCAGTTACTAGCTGTGTCATCTTGGGCAAATAACCTCTCTGTGCTTCTACTTTTCTCATTTACAATGCATGAAAACCATAGAGTCTTTATGAAGATAAAATCTGGTCTTTATATTTGGTCTTTGTGTCCTCACTGACAGATGTGTCTGAGCCTCCAATGTGTGTGCTCTCACCCACTGGGCTGTTCATTCTCATTTGTGCCTGAGCACAGCCTCAGGAGTCACAGGCCAGGAGCACAACTGGCCTGAATGCAGCAGGACATTTGAGTAGGAGGCAGTTGGATATGCTGGGATGTGAAATGAGGGATCCAATTCTGTGGTTTTTGTGGGCCCCTTACAGAACCGCAGGGCTGGGATCTGAGCATTTTAGAGCTGAGGGGCCTGGGGGCAGGGGTATAGCTGGACACCATTTTAGACCATACTTCGTATTCTACGGATCCCGAACCAGATAGCCAGCTCCCTTTCCATGTCTCTAGATTGTGAGAAATCCAGAGACACACAGAATCATTTCTTTAGGGACCTCCACAGAGACAAGAAATCAAGTAAGAGGCCTTTTTCACATGGTAGGCCGTCAATAAATATTAAGGCAATTTTGAGCTAGTGATAGCCAGTCCCACGCATTCACCTGGGCCTGCTGGACATGTGCTGTCTGGGAGGCAGGTACCCTAACTGTGCTTTGGAGAAATCGTTAGAGGAAACCTAGTCAGGAAAAATGCCTGCTCTCAGCATTGTGCTATTTTCCAGAGCAGCACAGGGGAAAAGTTTTCCCCCTAAATGAAGGCTTCCCTTCTTGAGCCCTGGGTTGATTTTAATGAGCTCTAATATTGCTTCAAGGTGCTGAGAGATATGAAGTGCAAACCCTGGCTTTTTCTGGGGGGGTGTGGGGGAACAGAACTTTTTAACCATTTGAACTGTAAAGAATTGAAGCCATTCAGAATTTCAAGGGCTGGCAGGGTCATGCCTCCTTTCACCTGGGAAAGTTTTTCCTTCAGATATTCAAGCTGCAAAAGGCATAATTACTGAATAACATGGCTGGGCTACATGTGTGGGGAAATAAGCATTCTATACAGTAACAGGCACAGCCTTGTTTCTTTGCAATGATAATACTGGGTGGTGAAAAAAACTCATCCATCCCCCATCCCACCTCTCTAGCTAAGGAATGTGATGTCACACTGGGGCAAGTACAGGAAGGAGGACTGAAGACATGAAGATCCTGATTGAGCAGAAGGAATTATTTTGAAGGTTATGTTAATGCTGAAACTGACAAGCGTTCTATAAGTTTCGTGCATCAGAGGTTTCTTTTTGATGGCATAGAGACTTTGGACAACTGTGTTTCCCCTTTAAGGCAAAAAGGAGACCTTCCCTGAAATCAGTGGCCTAGTATTGGGGAGTCACGGGGCAGTTGCCCTCATCATCCCTTCTCCACGCACAGTATATTCCTCCAGATTGCAATTTTACATCACACTGCAATGTCCTGAATCCTAGAGAAAAGACATTTTTGTCCAAAATGTGACAGAATAGAAAAACAGTATGTGAAATTAGACAGCTATGCGTGTTGTAAAATATAAGCCATGGCTCTACTTTGATGAAAGCATGAACATTCCATAATTTTTGACAGAATAGAATCTTTTTTTTTTTAAAGGGGCACTTTACAAACCTCATCTTGTGCAAAACGGGATCTTACTTCACTGAAAGTGGGTGAGGCCATTTTACTCATCATGGTTGGGGGCAGTTCAACCAAGGGGGAGCCTGAGAGTGTTCCACACCTCCCTCCATGCATACAGTGAGCTCTGGATTACTCTCTCGTTGAGTAAGAGCCATGTCCCATGTGTGGAAACTGGCCAACCGATGAAGGGCAAGGTTCCTGTGAATGGAACCAATGAGAGCCACTCACAAATGAAAGATGAAAGTGACAAACTCATATTTTTCATAGAGTAGATGGTTTGGCAGACCTCTCAGAGGTTACCTGCTCCAATCACTTTAGCAATGAGAATGCTAAAGCCCAGAGGTGAAGGATAGGGACTCATCCAGGGTCATTTGGCCAGTTTATGGCACAGAAGGGACCCAAAACCAAGTCTCTGACTCCTTGTTCACTTTCCTGAATATCACCCTTAAGATGACCAATGAACAGGAATCGGCTTTAGGCAAAGGCAACCCCTCTATTTGGTTGACGTTCACTTATTCTTTACTGCAAGACTTTAAACCCATAAAAAAGGACTCAAAGTCAATGCTCACATTAAGACAGATGCCTGACCCTGACTTTCCAACTAAGGCAAATGCTAGAGGGCAGAACCTCCCTTAGATTCTTCAAGTCATCATTTACTGTGAGGACATGTCAATGAGAAGAGAGATCTGCTTGCGTGCTGCGTGAGCCACCTACAGAGCTTTCCCTCCTGGCTTGGGCTTTTTTGTCTGGAATTGAGCTTAATTCTCAGAAATAGTGACTCACTGCAAAGTGGATTTAAGGCCAGAGATAATTACTCTAAACGACATTGCCCTTCTCAAAATAGTTTTTCAGAAAAGTCATCTGAAGAAAATTCATTGATATCAGTGCCTGAGAGAAGGAAGGAAGGAAAGAAGGAAGATGGGAAGGAGCGAGGGAGAGAGAAAGGACAGAAAGAGGGAAGGAAGGGAGGAAGAAAGGGGGGAGGGAGGGAAGGAGGGAAGGACAGAAAAAGGGAAAGTGGGAAGATAGGAGTGAGGGAGGGAGGGCTGATTAATCACAATGAGAAATTTGAAAAGGTTTCCACTGTTTTTATAAAGTTAGTTTCTCACTCAATCCTATGAAGTATACAGGACAAGATATAAAATTCCCATTTTGCAGCTAAGGAAACTGAACCTCAAACAAAGGAGGCAACTTTCCCAAGGATATATAGTTGGTCAGCAGTGGGTCTAGGACCAGAACCCAGGTTTCCTAACTCCCAATTCAGTGTTTCCCCCATGTTTTCTCTGTTGCACATTAAGCCTCAAATAAATGGCTGCATACTCCATTTCTCTTATTTTGTCTTGCAAACCAGGCTAGACATTCCTTAAGAGCCAAACTATTTGATATCTCTCCTGTCTCTCAACACAGGGCCCAGCACCTTATGGGAACTCAGACTGGTGGGTTAATTGATGAGCCTTCTAGCATGAAGCCTTGAAATCACCCAGGATGCTCCATTTTATCCTCTCCCATCCCACTGCACATCAGTTCCTCCTCCCACCAATCAGAAACAAAGGGCATTGTCCCCTAAACTACACAGGCCCTGAAACGAGTCCCAAAGTGACTCCACCTCTGGCTGGTGCAGTGCCTCAGGTCCCCAGGTTGGCATTTCCCCAGTCAGGAGAGACTGCTGCACCCACAATACAACTTGTAAGGGTAAAGGAGGCCCCTTCTCCTCCAAATGTACCCCACTGAGGCCTGAAATCCCATCCTTAGTTACTATTTCTTTGGTCCTTTGTTGTAGCTGGGAGACCTCGGCCCTCCAAGCTTCTCCATTCCTCCTCCTACACCTCCCCCTTCTTCCAGCCTTTCCCCCACTGGACTCTCTCTCTGGGCTTAGTCTGTTCAAAATCTGAGACCTAGAAGGAAAGTCATTAGAAAAACTCATTTTGTCAAAGTGTCATGTACTTAGCACCACCAGAAGCATTTCCATTTTAAAGGGGCAGCCCCTAAGGGGCAATGCTATGCCCTCTTATGGTAGAATTTCAGGCAGCAGTAGGGCAAGTTCTATGGGGCAGGAGGCCATCCAAAAATCACAGAATATAGGAGACCAGCTATTATGCACAGGTAAAGCCTGCTTCAATAGTCATAATCAGGATACCTATTCCTTTCTGCTCAAAGAAAGTAGAGGAATTTAAAATGAGGTCTTTTGGTGACAGTTTTGATCAAACACTTTTTCCTTTTCAGAGCCATGAATCGGTCATGAACACACTAAGTTAAAGCAAGATTTGATTTCCCCAAGGCTATTTTTGAAGTCCTGTTGTTCCCCTATCCCACCTCCTTCCATTTAACATTCATGAGTTAAGGTGTTACTAGAAATGCACGCAGGGAGAACATGTCGACCTTCACCTTCTACGTGGTGGAAAGAATGTGCTGACAGTTGAAATATGGGCAGGTACATTTTTGGGAGACTGGCATTGCTGCATTTCAGCATACCAAGCACAGTTCAGGTGATGAGCAGGTCACCTTTGAGGTTTTTAAATAATCATAAGTATTTATATTTCTCAGTTCATTTTCAAGGATTAAAGAGCTATTATTCCAAATCTTTTGAAAGGAATAGCACCCTCTTTCTCTTCTACTTCTAAAAAGTTCTTTATAGCAAATATATATTTATTTTTAACAAAACACATCTTCTTCTTCATAGAGCCTTACACCATGACTGAGAAATAGACAGTTCCAGTCCATTTCATAGACACTGATATTAGTGCACAGAGAGGTGAAAGGTCACACAGCCAGTAAGTCATCAAGTTACATATGTTTTAAACCCAAGTCTAGATATCCAGACTCATTTTTCTACCCCATGCCACTTTGTTCATTTTATTTTAAAAGGTAATTTGCATGACAGCGGAGAGCTTTCTACAACACCATAATGGGACAGGCAACCAGGGCCAGCCTTGTGGGGTGGCATAAGTTCAGGAGTGCTGGGAAGCACAGCCCCTCCCCAACACAGTTGGCCAGCAATCCACAATGTAAAGTTTATTCCTTTGGTTTAAGAATCTGCCTCCTGTGCGTAGGGGATGATAGGAGATAAGGAGTACGGGGTCAAAAGCAATGAAGACTTATTGGTCATTTGCATGGGGGAGGGACTAAATGACCTCTAAGATATCCCTCCTGCTAGGTGTGGTGGCATGTGCCTGTAGTCCCTGATACTTGGGACGCTGAAGTGGGAGGACCACTTGAGCCCAGGAGGTTGAGGCTGCAGTGAGCCATGATAGCAGCTCTGCACTCTAGTCTGAATAACAGAGCAAGACCCTGTCTCTTAAAAAAAAAAAAAAAAAAAAAAGTCATGTGTCCAAATTCAGGACAAGAAGACAGGCCTCATCTCTAAGTGTACCTGGAGCTCACAGAAGGAAAAGAGCAAGGCCATCTAGTTGGAACACCGTGCAACGTAAGAGCCTTTCAGTGGTGCCCAGCAGGCAGTCAAGGAAGACTACTGGTGGTGAGGAGAGTGTATTAGTCCATTCCCATGCTGCTGATAAAGACATACCCGAGACTGGGTAATTTATAAAGAAAAGAGGTTTAATGGACTCACAGTTCCACATGTCTGAGGAGGCCTCACAGTCATGGCGGAAGGCAAAGGAGGAGCAAAGGCATGTTTTCCATGGCAGCAGGCAAGACAGTGTGTGCAGGGGGACTGCCCTTTATAAAACCATCAGATCTTGTGAGATTTATTCACTATCACAAGAACAGCATGGAAAACCCACCCCTGTGATTCAATTACCTGCTGCTGGGTCCCTCCCACGACGTATGGGGATTTTGGGAGCTACAATTCAAGATGAGATTTGAGTGGGGACACAGCCAAACCATATCAGACTGCCCATATGGACAGGACTGAGATCACAGAAGTGAGGAGAGAGAACATCTCCATCAGCCTTTCCCCTCAGTTTCCTTCCTCTCTCAGTCTTCTCCACATCCCACCTCATGCTGTGTGCATCCCCTCTTCTTTTTCAGTGACTTCCTCCTCCTCCTGGTTGTTTTGCCATTCTCTCTTCATCTTTTTTTCCTGTCCTGACGCCATAACTCCCCTTTCTCCCCCTCTATCTTCTCCACCCCTCCAGCCTCTATGTCCCCTCATTGTATTCTGATGAGTCCTCTTTGCTCCACTGTCTCTTAGTTTCCCTTGTCAGTGGCCAGATCAGCTGAAATAAGGCCCAGAGGTGAGCAGCAGGAGAGAAAGCTGAATATGGGTACCCCCAAAGCTTCAGCCTGGGGACAAGCAAGTGAATCCTCAACATGCCTCTGGGAAATCACTTTTCCCCTTATTCCCCTGCTGGAGAGTCCCAAAACTCCTAGGCAGGCATGGTCTTTGCCCAAGTGTGTCTTTGGCATCCATCTCCTCTCCTCCCTATACCCATTGGCTTTATTCTTGCTCCTCTAGCATCTGTGCAAACACTGGTAGGAAATGAATGAAGCCAAGTTGTTGGATGCAAGAGGCTTAACCATGGGACAGGAGGAGAGTGAAGTTTGGCCAAGTGTTTTAGGAGGACAAGAAAGCCTTCCTACCATGGGCATGGGGCACTTGTGAGATAATCCAGGCAGCATGTCTGACAACAGAGGGCTTTTATAAAATTTCTTTATGCAAGGCAATATAATATAGATCATGAGCATGAGCTCTGCAGCCATTCTGTTGAGGATTTGAATCCAGCTCTACCTCTTATGAGATAGCAGTGTGACTTTGGGAGAGATGCTCAGACTCTGTGCTTCAGTTTCTTCATAAAGTGAAGATGATAATTCTATCACTTGCCTCATAGAGTGGCTGTAATAACTAAATGAATTAATACTTAGAATTGTGTTTGACACATAATATAAGGTCAGTAAGCACTGGCAATAATTGTTTGCATAGGGTTGCATGCAGGACTTCAATGACACCTCTAAAAACTGCTTGATTCATGAGTCAGACTTACACACTTTGGGCAGAATGTGTTCTCAGTGCCTGAAGAAGCTGTCCCAGAGCTGAATGGGGTTCACTCTAAGCCACTTCCAAAGTCAAAAGCAGTGGTACCTGTCATTTGCCTTGGAACCACAGACTTTGTGCACTTCCCGTGGGTCCCAGTGCATGAGGACCAAGTGAAAAGTGCTCACAACCTGGCCAAATCTGACCCTGAATGGACCACTTTCTCAGTATGCCAGTGGAAATCAACTACATCTCTCAGCTAAAACAACTGTATTTATCATTCTGAAATCAAATTTTGAACAAGTGGATAGTTCCGGAGCCCTAGGCTTTTGATGTCATTTAACACTGAAAATTGCATGTGGAAAGAGACAAAAAAAAAAAAAAAAAAGGTTGGGTGTAAAAATACAGAGAACAAGTTTAAATTGTAGGCAGATGTAGAACAGTCTAATTTCTCTTTTGTAAGCCTTCAGCTTCTAGTTCTACCTAACCTATACCTGCGCTTTTTGTGGCTGGTTAACAATTCCAAAACGGGGTGGAATTCTTTATCTCTCTATCTTTTTACTTTCTTTCATGCCTTTAACCTGGTGGTACGGGAAAGCCATCACTTTGTCTTACAGTCTGATTCTTGGTTGGGTCAATGGAGATATTATCCTTGTGAGTGGCAAACAAACAACTAATGGGGATAGCTATTCTAGTCCTGGAGCCCTGGGAGGAGGTTCTCAGAGCTAATGTTTCTAAAAGATCCTGAAATGTGTGTGGGGTAACACATATTTTATCATAGTTATTCTGGCTCTGCAAGTGCAATGAAAATGTTAGCCTCGGCATATCAATCGTGTTTTACAGATGACTGTAATTTCCTGAATGTCAAAACTCCAAATTTTTCTACTAAGCAAACTTTTCAGTGGCAAAACAGATTGCCTCCATAATGTATCACTGTGGGCAGGAAAAATGAAATCTTTATGCACTGTATTATGAATCAATGAGGCATTGAGATTCTTGGAAGGATGAGTGGACTCTGGAAAATGAAAAACTGCCACTATTCCATCTCTACAAACTGCTGCTCTGGGAGTGGAGGCTTTGGTGGCATTCAGCATGTGGGCCACAGAAATATCGAATTCAAGTTGAAACCAGTTCCTGTCTTTCCCTGCATTTTGATGGGGTAAATGTCACTGTAGACATAGTGTGAGTCAGGGCATTTAGCAAACCCTTGCCCAAAAGCCCCCTAATGTGATTTCCTTCTGGAATAATGGCTCAGTTGGATTATTGCCACAGGGAGCCAGAGAAGACTGCACCTTTCCTTAAGGGAAAAATGGTATCAATAACAAATAATTGTGGAATGTATACCATGTGTCTTGCACCATGCTAAGCATTCTACATGGGTTATCTCATTGAAAAATCACAACTCCAGGCTGGGCATGGTGGCTCACGCCTGTAATCCCAGTATTTTGAGAGGCTGAAGCAGGTGGATCACCTGAGGTCAGGAGTTCGAGACCAGCCTGGCCAATATGGTGAAACCTTGTGTCTACTAAAAATACAAAAATTAGCTGGGCGCAGTGGCGGCCACCTGTAATCCCAGCTACTTGGGAGGCTGAGGCAGGAGAATCTCTTGAACCCAGGAGGCGGAGGTTGCAGTAAGCCTAGATCATGCCACTGCACTCCAGCCTGGGTGACAGAGCGAGACTCTATCTAAAAAAAAAAAAAAAACACAACTCCGAAGTAGGTGATTACAGATGAGGAAACCAAGACTTAGAGAGGTGAAGTAATAAACACAAGCTGAGGCTTGCTGCCAGAACTTCCTGACTCCAGAGTCTGAACTCTTAACTAGAAAGCATTTATCAGTGGTTGGCTATTTTTCAAGATTCTGGGCCAGCTCAGTCCATGGGAAGAGAGGAGTAAAGATATAAAGAGGACTTGCCCTCCTTCCAAGATGTCTGCAGCCTTGAAGGGAAGAGAAGACTTGGACATGAATATACATGATAAAGCCAGATGAACAGCGTCCCCTAAGAGAAGTCCAGAAAACCCATTCCGGAGGTTCAGAGGAAGGTATGGCTGCTTCAGCTGTTGAACATCAGGAGGAATGAAGTCTTGAGAAGTCAGTCCTATTTGGACAAAGAGGTAGAGCAGGAAATGTGTCTGGAGAGAACAGTATGAGCCAAGGTATGGGGTGGCAATGTGCGGCTCAGGAAGTTTGGTTTGCTTAGAGTATGGAGGTCACTGTGCAGGAGAACAGTGATAGGATGGAATATGAGCTTGGACCAATAACTTAGTGATAAATTGTGGACATCTTTCAACTAAAAATCAGTCTGCTCATTTTCTCTGTAAATCCTTGTGCTTTGCCTTTAATATCTTTGCTTTCATATTTATTTTTAAACCAGAGAGTCCTCAGCCCCAGCAAAATTCTAAGGCAGCCAAGTTTGCCTTTGGGGTCCTCAGTGATCCTTCTTGGCCTCTTTTTCTTTCCTTAAAACTCGGTCTTGGTGCCCATCTCTATAATATGGCTTTCACACCCCCTTTTCCACCTCAACCCACCCCTGCCCCAATGCAGGATATGATTATTAAATCCATAGGAGGGATCTCTCTCTCTCTCTCTCTCTCTCTCTCTCTTCTTTTTTGTTTTGTTTTAAGAGATGAGGTCTCACTCTATCGCCCAGGCTGGAGTGCAGTGGTGTGACCATAGCTCACTGCAGACTCAAACTCCTGATTCTTGCATCTTAGCTTCCCAAGTGGCTATGACTACAGGCACATGTCACCACACCTGACTAATTTAAAACAATTTTTTTTAGAGATAGGGGTCTCACTATGTTGCCCAGGCTTGTCTTGAACTCCTGGTCTCAAATTATCCTCCCACCTTGGCCTCCCAAAGTGTTGGAGTTCAGGCGTGAGCCACCATGCCCAGCTGGGATAAATGCTTAATGGCATTATTTCTGGCCTCAAATTTCTCTCCTACCATTGTAGGAATTCCTTTGAACATTAGAACAACTAACATATGTATTAAGCCTCTAGTACTCACTATTTCATATTTATTAGCAGAGTTTATTAGAAAGTAAATAAAGTTCCTTGCAGGTATGGAATACAAGACAGGGAAGTTTTGCTTGGAAGGGCAGGCAATACTTGGAGAGTGCAGATGCTGGGAGAAGGAAGTAAAAGGACAACCAAGGGAAGACTGGAGCAAGTGCCCCAAATACTTCCCTCATTTAACCACTTCCCCAGAGTTGATCTATTGTATAAAGTGAGAGAGCCCCAATCTGTTTGTGTTTCCATATAATCATTCTCCTCTATTTATATGGTACACATGGATTCAACTTTCAGAAATAGTTCTTAAATACTCTTAGGCATGAGTAAGAAAGGCTTTGGAAGTCATCTCAAATCCTTTGTGGAAGTAGGCAGGATCTAAAAAAATATGTGGGGCAAAAACAGCCTTTCCTTCTTGTTTAACTTCAAGATGTCTTACAAATTGATTTAGAGGCCTTTATTACTCTGTGAGTCACACATTTGGCTTATAGCAGGTTTTGAAAACCAGACTCCATAAAAAGGGCCTAACAGATTGTGAGAAAATTCCAGAGGCACTTTCACCCTGATGGTTCCTGAGTTCACTGCTGGGCCTGCCTGCCTCCTGATACCACCCAAAAAATTGAGAGAACTGCTAGGGCATGGGAATCAGCAGCAGTAGGTATTATTCAGTACCCTCCTCCTCCAGGGGGTGGCATATGACTGGCACACCAAGGGGCTGTTTTTAGGTAGTACTCTCACAACTTGTGTGGGTTGTTGAGAGTGGGAAGGATTTGAGAGATTCCAAACCTGTTATGCGCAGGCAAACGACAGGCACCCACAGTGCTCACCTAACAATGAAGTTGGGCTTTTCTTTTCAGTTCCTTCCTGCTTCAAACCTACACTGAAGAGGCCCATTTCTCATTTAGCAGTCAGTCCTCAGAACCTCAAGGAAGCAAGCCTTTTGGAGGGCTCTGCAGGCACAAGCCAGGCTTCCAGTAGTTTCGCGGCTGCTGTTTCCATCCTAGCCACCTCCACAAAGTTCTCCAGCTCTAATGATTCAATCTGTTACCCACTTAGCAATTTTCTTCATTTCTGTCCCTAGACAGTTTCTCTCACACCTCCCCCTATTGTTCTGTTTCTTCTATCTCCAAGATGATCGATGACCCAATAGGCATTTACATTTACAAAGCAATCACATTTACATAAGATAGCTCTTATCTACAGCTGAAAAAGGCACAACTATAATACATATATAATAGAGAGAGTGCCTATTCATCACCCACATTTACAGTGCCTTCTAACAGGATAGACTGTTCTAGGAATTGGTATACGGGGGAGAGAGCCCTATAAAATTTATCACTAAAGGTAATCAATGAGTTCCGACTAACATGCTCCACACCTTGAGGTGAAAGTATGCCAAAAATACAGGGAAAACATATTTACTCCTTAAAGTTTGCTGAATTTAATTTGAGCTTTCATCGATTTCATTTAATACAAAGATTATATAATCAGAAAGTCGGTAGCAATTGAAAATACCAAGTCTAGTGTTCACCCATCAGGGCATTTTGGTAATATCTAGTAAGGCCAGGAGATTCTCATTTAATTGAATTGGAAATGCAACGTATATTAGCTTACAGAAGCTTAATCAGTGTGATCAAATTAAAACAGGCCACTAAGACATACCATCCTGATTAAGGCACTTGCAAACATGCCACAATTATCAGAGATTTGTGGTGTTAATGATTTAAACTCAGGTTTCTTCTCTGGGGATTCAGACTTAGATTTTTTTTTTAACTAGACAATTAGAAAACGCCATCCTTTATTTTGAAAAATGTTGCAACAGTATTACTGACATTAATTCTCAAAGAATGCAGAACAGTAAATACCATGTGCTTGTAATTTCTTTTTTTCTTTTAGCGGTCACTGCCTTCTCTTTAAGATGAGGATCATTAATCTCGAAGCTTTAGCTCCTGGGAGTGGTAATGAAGTTTGGCAATGGTGAAGTGACCATTTTTTAAAGTATTAGGGGAAAACTCCACTTTTCTGCTTTCTGCAAAGCAGCTCTAGGTTTCACCGAAAGAGATTTGCTTATAGCCCTATTCAAAAAACACTTTGACTGAACTGGCCTGCTGTCCTGGGTAAAACACTACAGAATTAGTCCATTTCTTTTCAATGTGTTCTTAATAGACCATTATAAACACTATCTTGGGAGATGTGAATTACTTTTTCCCTCCTTTTAAAACTCATCTTCTCGGCCCACGACTTTTAAAATGCAGCAGTATTAAATTACCTGGAAAGGATCTCGTGTTTCTAGCTCCATTATTTGTGTTGATAGTGGTGACGGGGGCTTGTCTCACGATTTGTTTGTACTTTAGTCAGCAAAGCCAGCCCCATCATTTAACAGCAGAGAAAACAGATTCAGAGAGGCTAGGTGACTTTCTCAAGGTGTCAGAGTTGCTTAGGGTTAGGTATGGGGACAGATGTCCACAGTCATTTGACTCTCAGGGTTTTTTGCATCCAGCTTAGTCAATTAGGACAAACCCTAAGTCATTGGAATCTGCCTTAAAAGAACTGTGCACTACTGAATAAGCAACTCTGTTAATGAAAGGACTACTGTGGGTTGAAAGAGGGATGAAGATGAACAGGAGGAGGAGAATGTTGTGCTGAGATGGGGTAGGGGATGCAACTTTCAACAGACACTGCAGCAGTCTTATATGGCTGAAGCCAGGTCAAGGAAGATAGTTCTAACATCCATCAAAAGCACAATCAGGTCAAACTCATAGAAGCAGAAAGGAGAATGGTAGCTACCAGGGGCTGGGCAAGGGGGTGGTGATGGTTAAAGGGTACAAACTTTCAATTACACAAGATAAATAAGTTCTGGGAATCTACTACACAGCATAGTGCCTATGGCTAACAATACTTGATTTTATATGTAAAATTTGCTAACAGGGTAGATCTTATGTTGTAAGTGTTCTTATCAAAAAACAAAACAATAATAATCATGGGGCAGGAGGAAACCTTTAGGGCATGATAGATATATTTATGTCCTTAATGATGGTGATGATTTCATAGATGTATATTTACCTCCAAAACTCAATGAGATATATACATTAAATATAAATAAATATTAAATGTATGCAGCTTTTTATATGTCAATCATACTTCAATCAACTGGTTTTTAAAAAGTACTCTCAGGTATAATTTCTCAGATTCAGAAAGGCAGGGACAAGCAGTAGGTTCAAATAGAAGTGCCTGTAGGGTAAGTGTACCCCAGAAGTGCTCCTAGCCCCTCTCTGTAACATCATGAGGTTCAGGGAAATGCAATGTGTACTATAGTTGGCTCAATACCAAAATCCTCAACAAAATGCTCTTTGTTTAAAATAAGCTCAAGAATCTTTAAAGTTCAAGGAGGAAGAATACTTCTTTATGTATCCATTTTTTTTAGAACTTTTTCACATATCGAGTTGCAGTGCATGCACTTTTTATGAGATGCTATAAGATGGAATAAGAGAATAGGTGGTCTTTTCTGGCATGTGTTGTATACCTATTCTGTTTACTGCAGATACTTTGCAGGTACTTTACTACAGATACTGCAGATACTTTACTCACATCAGCGCATACACTGAGAGCTCATTTTGTACTTTGGTAGGCTCTGTGGAAGATAAAGAAGTACTCCCACTCTTCCTCAAGGAGCCACAGCCAGAACTTTGCTGGAGAGATAAGCAAACAAAGGGAAAGTTAACAAGAAAGAAGACAGTTGACATTTCCAGAACTTTTTCTTCCAGTGGAGACAGTCCTCCAGCCGAGTCTCCAGCTGCACCTTTCTTACAAAGCACATAGCTTTGTTCCTTGTATTCTAGTTATTTTTGTATATGAATATCTTCTTTACTAGAAAATTAGGTGCTTAAGAGCAGTATCTGTTTCAGCCCTGCTGTCTCCACCTTCTCTCCTCCTTCTTTCACATCCACCTCTCTATGCCCACCCTGCCCCAGCATCTGGTAATGTGCCTATCACATTCTAAATGCACAATAAATAGTTGCTCATTGAATTAATAAACAAATGAATGGCACATCTTAGTGTCTGGTTCAATGCTAAATAGATGCTGTTCAGAGGAGGGAGAGATGCCCTCAGGTTGCATCAAGGGAGACATGATGGAGTAAGGGGCACAGTAATTGTCTTGAAATATAAGTAATAACAACGATTCCATTTAATGAGTACCAGTATGTACCAGAAGATCTGCCTAAGTCATCTCAGTGAACATTCAAGGAATTTCTAGCAGAGAGGAAGGTCCAGTTATTCTCCCCATTTTACAAATGAGAAAACTGAGGCTCAAAGAGATTAACTTGTCCAAGGTACTAGAGCTGGGATAGAAATACATATCTTATCTATTTTGAAAGAATGAGCTCTTTTCAATGAACTAGTGTTTGGACATGGGTAGTTGAAGGACACAGGTTATTCAAGATAGGTGCAATGGTATGGAAAAGCAGACATTTTATAGACAAGAAGAAGACCAGTATAACGAAGGGGATGAAGGTTGGGCCTGATGATAACATTATATTGTTGGTGATAAGGTTGAATTTGTTAGTGAATATAATATAAAGAGACAATTTAAAATTTATTTTAAAAATTGTTTATAGGGTTATATAAAATAGCTACAATGTGTATGTATAGCATACAATAAATATGAGGAAAACTCATGGACCTCCTAATGACATTTAAATTAAAAACAAAGACTCCAGCCTAACCATCCGCCTATTTTTTGGGAGAGGATGGCTTAAGCAACTAAAATAATCCTTTCCCCAAGCAAATGGTCTTTCTTCCCCTACAGGTTTCATTACAGCCTAGCACAGAGGCCAGTTTAAGGAAATGGAGTGGAAATAGTGTGTGTTCATTTAGTCTTGAGAGCAGATGCCAGTCGGGGAGCATTACTCAAAACCTGTAGCATTTTTTTTTCCTCCAAGTGTTTCAGATTCAGCCTGGGTGTAGGCTGTAATCTTAGGGAACAATCACCTGTCAGTCTGGTCCCTTTCATCTGTTCAGAGCAATTTGGCCATATGAAAGGAAGCATTTCTTTTTTTCTTCTTTTTTTAAAAAAGCTTGCAGAATTGAGAAAGGGGACTGTGAGATTGTCCAATAGCCAGAACTGCTTTGCCTGTCACTGGGGAGCTGAGGCATGGTGGATAAAGGCGGTTTTCCAATAAAAACCTTGCTCCCTGAGTATTCTCTGGCTGGGTCTACACTGGTAGTTATCAGTTCCTTCTTAGCAACGGGGCTTTTGTATTTTTTATTTTTATTTATTTATTTTTATTTCAATAGCTTTTGGAGTACAAGTAGTTTTGTGTTATATGGATGAATTACACAGTGGTGAATTCTGAGATTTTAGTGCACCCATCACCCAAGCAGTGTACATTGTATCTAATGTGTAGATTTTTATCCCTGGCCTCTTGAGTCTCAAGGTCCATTATATTGCTCTGTATGCCTTTGCAAACTCATAGTTTAGCTCCCATGTATAAGTGTGAACATATGGTTTTTGGTTTTCCATTCTAGCAGCAGCAGGGCTTTAAAAAATGAAATCTAGGCAGATCCCAATATGTAAAACAGATTAAAATGGAGTCACTCAGGAAGAGGTAGAGTGAGGGCCTGGAGCCCCATCTATTTACCACTCCAGACTACCCCATCACTTTCACTCATGGCAGGCTTTGAGGTCCTCCCTCAGAACCCAAGGGCTGTACAGAACATAGACTGAAAACCACTGGTCTACACAGAGGAAGGACATGGTAAGTGCATCACAATGGCTCTATGAACTCAGGCTCAATGGCCTGGGTGGCTTCTTTATACCTCTTTTCGTCCTTTTTCATCTGCTAGAAGCCAGAATTGGAATGAAGAATGGCTACAGCAGGCAGAGATTCCCCACCAGGAGGCATTTGCAGGGGAGAGGGACAATATGCCTTTTCCTTGGTATTCCTGTTGACTAACACAAATGCCTTGTCCATTGTAGGCATTCAGTAATGAATGGTCGCACTGCCTCCCAAATTACAAGCAAGCAGAAAAAAATAACAACATTATGCATGTGTTTCCTCACCACCAAGTGGGGGAATAGAAACCCAGATAATCAGGTAAGGAAACTCGTGGCCTCCAGACTTGGTGTGTGTTTTTAGGACAAAGCTGGGTATGTGTAGTTAGCCCCTGAAAATATGGCTGCCAATGGAGGGCAAGTGAGAAATGAATAGTCGGTGAGACACTAGGCATGTGGTTGGGAAAGGACATAACGATCTGTGGGAGAAAAGGGGCAACCTCTGCAAACCTGGCACATAGATGGCAAGAAGACATTCTCAGGGAAAGGGGTAAGAGTCTGTCAACTTTACTTATATGGAGATGCATTTTTTCCCCCCAAAGTTACTGAAAACCACCATGAAGTATGTTTTTGTAATTATTTATTTTTTGTAAGGTCTTTGGAGACATTATATTGCTTGTTTTCATATCCTCCTGGTGATGCCAGGAGGAGTGATGAGAATGATTACCTGCATTTCACAGAAGAAGGGGGAGCAGTACTAGGAGAGTGGGCAGTGGCAGCATACTATTAGGTTGGTGCAAAAGTAATTGTGGTGTTTGCCATTAAAAGTAATGGCAAAAACTGCAATTACTTTTGCACCAACCTAAGATTTTTCTGACAAATATCACAACTGAACAACATACCCTGGTGCCTAGGGTGAAGGCACAAAATAGCTTGATCATCCTTGAAGGGTCCATAGGCACGTATTGGGGAAGTGAAGATAAACATGCAGACGTTGGGTACAGAACATCTCATTAAAGCCCGTGGAGCACAAATCTCCTCCCCAACCATGATGAGAAAGAAGGACACTCTTGAAGAGCCACTTGGAAGCAAGCCCAGCCTTCTTAATTCCATTAATTATGGTCTTTGATGCCAAAACAGCGAAACTCTTTAGACTCCAAAGCTGGGAGAATCATTACCTTGGCTCAGCTCCACAATCCAGCCATGCTGTGTCTGCTGAAAGTACCCAGACATCACCCCAAAGAGAACCTTCAATATTTGGGTATGGGCAACACCATCTAAGCTACTGATGAACTCTCCCTGAATCAACGTCATGGAGTAGTTCTCAGGATTAAATGAAATAATGCATGCATTTAAAGCACTCCGAACAGGGCCTGGTGCATAGGAAGCACTCAATAAATGTTATTTCTTATTATTTAAAAATTCCAGGCCCTTGCTATATTTGGCAGTCTCTGGCATCTTTGTTGGAATTGAAGTCTGTAAGTTTCTCTACCTGCCTGTAAAGTTGTAAAATATGGTTTTTTTCTTTTTCTTTTTTTTTGGTCAGGTATGTAAAATTATTTGACTCTAATATCAGAGCACGTTGTGCTTTGGCCAAAAAATACTTTAGGATTTAGAGTTAAAAGGGCCCTGTTTTGAATCATGGTTCTACCACTTACTATCTATGTGGCTTTGGGCAAAAATATGCTATTTCCCTCAGCCTTAGTTTTCCAGTCTGTAAGATGTAGATATAATTCCTGCTTCCTAGGATGGTGGGTAAAATTAATTAAATGAAATAACAAAAGAGAAGGCTGTTTGCAAATTATAAAGTGCTTTACAAGCAAATTCTTTTTTAATTAGGAATTTTAGGCTTAGCCAGACTTGCCTCCCTTCTTCCTTATATCCCTGAATTCACTATGAGCTTTGCAGACAGTGATGGCCAAACATATTATTACGCCTGCCATACTGCATGGGCCTAGCCAGTTGATCATTTTGATTAAATGATCCAGTCAACTCAAGAAAGCAGTTTTCTCAGTGTCCTCATCTCCTCCTCTACTCAACCCCACTCAGGTGATCCAAAACACTAGCTCCTGTGATTTCATATAAATGTATCCTTCAAGCAACATGATATTCCTCTCAGAACATCTTCACCATCCACAATCTTTCCAGGGATGCTAGGCACCCATGCACTGATGATTTGTGCTTCAAATGCATGTGACATCTTAATTATCCAGTGCAAATGCTACTTTAAGCAAGCACTAACAGATGGTGGCCTGAATTTTATAGCATTGCCAGCATTTTCCAAGCAAAATTTATAGTTCAGTCATCAGTGAGCTGAGTCCAGCCTCATTTTTCTTTTTTCGTTTAAACTTCAGCAAGCGACCATCCTGAAAACCCAAATCATCTTTTGTAATGGAGTAATAGCTATTGCCCAGTAACGTTGTTTTATTTCTGTCCTCCCCACTTCCCATTCTTAGGTTGCTTGCCCACAACATACATAGTAGTGAAAGTGTCAGAGCCAGGTGCTGGTATTGGAGTGCCAGGCAATATTGCCCTTATTCTCAAGTTGAAATACTAAAGATAAGGTGATATTTCACCACTCCCCACAGCCCTTGTAGAAGCTTTTAGCTACATAATCCTATCCCATCTGAGGCCTCCAGCAGCAGGACCAGTCTTCTAATATTTGTGAATCAAAGTCTAGTCTAATATAGTCCCTAAGCATGCAGGATGTCTTCAGAAGGGGTAGATGAACTTAGCCTCGTGAGACAAGCTCAGATGTGATCTGAGTATTGGCCCTATCACCTACTATGTGACTTTGGACAAGCCAATGTCTTGAGATTCCTCCTCAGTAGAAAGGGCTAATAACCCTTACTTTATAGGCCTATTATAATAATTAAACAAGATAATATGTAAAGCATCTCGCACAGTGTTGGACACACAGAAAGTACTCAATAAATTATAATTCATAAAAGTACTATATTTTTGCTGTATGTAAAGAACTATTCCCATTTCTTTACATGCATTAACTGACTTAATATAAATCAAACCCTTCCTCAAATGTCACCTTTAGTGATGTTTCCCTCAACTACTTTAAATTTACAAGTTTCTTGCCTCCACGATTCCTTATACCTCTCCCCTGCTTTTTCCAAATTATGACTTATTCCCTTTTAAAATAATACGTCTTTTACTTGTTTAATGACTGTATCCCTCTATTATAATGGGCATAAGGACAGGGAATTTTGCCTGTTTTGTTCTCTGCTGTATCCCCAGAGCCTAGAGTAGCATCTTGTACCTACTATGCACTCAGTAAAATTTTTGAATGAATAAAGAATTTAATCCTCAAGAAAACCCTATGAAGCATGCACTACTAATAGTTTCTTCTTATAAGTGAAGAAACTGATGCAGAGGGAGAGCCGGTAACCTTCCGAGGGCAATGCTAGGCTTTTAAGGCAGTAATTAGGCTCCAGCATTTGCTGTCTTAACCATTATACTATACTACCTCTTTCAAAGAAGAGAGAGAGAGAGAGAACATGAATGAAAGAATGAGAATAATGAGAAAAGTATATATGATTCTATGAACTTTAGGGTTTATTTTTCTTCTTGTTTTTCACTTTTTCTCCTCCACCTCCCCCTCCTCCCCATGAATAGGATCTACTTTTCTCTGATGAAATATATCTGTGCAGTGCTATGGGAATCTAGCTTTGGACATGCAATAAAGGCAGGGATCAACCATTTGTTCCCAAAATAGCATCTTCGGAGGACGCTTCCATTGTTCAACTATCTCTCCATTATTGTATGTGTCTTTTTCCAGACTTAAGTGGGTAGAAATTATTTACACACCAAAAAACTCATAGCTATTTGTATTAGTCCGTTCTCACACTGCCATAAAGAACTTCCAAAGACTGAGTAATTTAGAAAGGAAAGAGGTTTAATTGACTACTCACAGTTCTGTATGGCTGGAGAGGACTCAGGAAACTTACAATCATGGTCTAAGGTGAAGGGGAAGCAAGGCACCTTATTCACAACGTGGCTGGAGGAAGAAGTGCTGATCGAAGAGGTAAGAGCCCCTTATAAAACCATCAGTTGTTGTGAGAACTCACTATCACAAGAACAGCACGAGGAAACCGCCCCCATGATTCAATTACTTCCACCTTTTCTCTCCCTTGACACATGGGGATTATGGGGATTATAATTCAAGATGAGATTTGGGTGGGGACACATAGCCTAACCATATCACTATTCAACACTGTACTAAAGGCTTTAACCAGTGCAATAAGGCAAGAAGAAAAAGACATCCATATTGAAAAGGAAGAATAAATCTGTCTTTAGTCACAGATAACAATCATCTATGTTGAATATCCAATGAATATCCAGTGGAATCTACCAAAAAAAAAAAAGCTCCTAAAACTTAGTAAGTTTTGCAGAATACAAGATTAATCTACAAAAATCAATTATACTTCTGTTATCTATTAGAAATAATCAGAAATTGAAATAAAACAATACTATTTACCATAGCACCAAAAGTGTGAAATATTTAGGGATATATCTGACAAAAAAAATAGGAAAAGCGTGTATCCTGAAAACTATAAAACACTGATGAGTGAAATTTAAAAAACCCAAATAAATGGATAGATACCCTGAGTTCATGGTAACTCAATATTGTTAAGATGTCAGTTTTCTCCAAATTTGATATACAGATTCAAGGCAATCCTTGCCAAAATCCCAGCAGGCTTCTTTTTTCTTTTTGCAAAAATTTATAGACCGATTCTAAAATTCATATGGAAATGGAAAGGACGTACAACATCCAAAACAAGTTATAAAGGAAGAATGGTTGGGTGCATTGGCTCACACCTGTAATCCCACCACTTTAGGAGGCCAAGGCAGGAGGATTGTTTGAGACCAGCCTGGGCAACATAGTGAGACCCCATCTCTACAAAAAAATTAGCCAGGCATGGTGGCATGTGCCAGTCGTATCAGTTACTTGGGAGGTTGAAGTGGGCCATGATTGCACCACTGTACTCCAGCCTGGGTTGACAGTCTTATCTCAAAAAAAAGAAAGAAAAAAGAATGAAGTTGGAGAGCTCACAACATCTAATTGCAATACTAGTATAAAGCTATAGTAATCAAGACAGTGTGGTGCTGGCATAACGATAAACATATCAATCAATGGAATAACACTGAGTCCAGATATAGACCCAAATACATATGGACAAATGATCTTCAAGAAAGTTGCCAAGGTAGTTCAAAGAAAGCTCAGTTGAGAGCCAGAAAAATGGGGTGGAAGAATTAATAGATCAATGAACAAACAGATGAGGGAAGGAAGGAGGGAAAAGTGAAAGAGAAGGAGAGAGAGAGAGAGAGATTTGCTTTTTATTACGTGGAAAAAAATAGCATACTGTTTAACATCACTCTTCCTTGCATTCCTAGTCTTTCCCAATAGGGAGAGAGAAGAGTGGAATTCCAGACAGTGCCTGGGAACTGGACAGAACCCTGAGCTCTGCTAGAGCAATATAAGTGAGAATTCTCAACCATGTATGACACAGAGGTAGAAAAAGAGTCACTGAGGACCCCTGTTCTAGAGAGCAGCAGCACATTGCCTCCCTGATTTTTGTATGGCAGTTGAAGGGAGAGAAAAATGGTTCCTGCTTTTCAAGGCTTGATTAACAGAACACTCTTCTTGACTAAGCTATAGAAGCATGACCAGCATGGAAAGTCATATATGTTGGGTTGGGGGGGTGGATTTATTATGTCACGAAGTGTACTGTATATCCTAACCATCACAGAGATGCAGGTGAACTTGCTAAGAAACATTTCCATGGCTGGACTCTTTCTTCCTGGATCTGTTACTCATTTCTTGTAGCATCTAATCTATGGGCACTGTTTATGTTATGTTATTATGTTATATTGTTATTATGGTGCTGGGGCTTTTGCTTCCACATTTCAGTAACTGGCAAAAGCAGACAACCAGAAAAACTGAGCCAAACAGAGCTCATCAGAATCATACTGGCCAGGTCACACTGTCCCCCACTGCAATACGTTGGCAGCTGAAACAAGCATAATCACTAGTTGACATTTATTGAGGGCTTGTCACGAGCCAGGCACTATGAGAGCCTTACTTAGTTTATGACATTTAATCCTCACCAACAGCCCAATGAGGTAGGTACAAAGTTAATGAATGATAGAGTCAGGACTCAAATACAGGTCTATTTAACTCCAAAGCTGATGTTCTTTCAAATACACAAAAGGCTGCCTAATTTATTTAAAGATATCTTTAAACAGCCCTTTGCCACAGCTGACTAGCACTAGGTTAAATATCAAAGCATGTCCAGCCTATGTTATTTATCCCCGGTTATTGAAAGTCCTTTTCAAATAGCTTAGGCTACTTTCCTGCCTTATTAATAAATGCACTTTCTGGGATAAACTGGAATTTTTTGTTGTGATCAAAGATCTCACACTATTCTGGATGGGGGACTACTGAAGGAAAAGGTAGTTAGGCTATAAATGAATTCATCCTTGAGCACACTCCACTAAAAGCCATCTTTAGGAATACATTCTGACATCAGTTTATGCTTTTGTCATTCGTCTTTTTCTACAAAGGTGCAATTGCAAAAAAGAAAAAAGAAAGTAAAAGAAAAAATAAGCAGTAATATTAATGCTTTCATTTGTCACAAGCTTTTGTGATATTAGACTTAGTCTAGTAGCTAAACTAAGGAACTATTGACATTATCATCACATAAAACTACAGCAATTACTGGCAAAGTCAAATACTTGGCCAGTGGATTGCTATCTTCATGCAACATACAACCATTTTGAAGAGAACACTCACACACACATACTTTCATACACACACATACTTTCATACACACACAGTGGCAAAATTAGTGGGGGTTAGCAACAGTCACAACCCAATGTCTTAGAAAAAATACATGGGTCTCAATTAGAGGAAAAAACATAATCACGATATAATATGCAGGACTCTGGTGCCAGCAATGGACATAGAAACAGCTGAAGTCAAACATGAAAATGCACCATGCTGAGTCCAAACAGAGCAAGCAAGACTTCATTTTATCTTTCATTTTTTTCTTTTCTTTTTTTTGAGACGGAGTCTCACTCTGTCACCCAGGCTAGAATGCAGTGGTGCAATCTCAGCTCACTGCAACCTCTGCCTCCTGGGTTCAAATGATTCACCTGCCTCAGCCTCCCGAGTAGCTGGGACTACAGGCGTGTGCCACCATGCCCAGCTAATTTTTTGTATTTTTGTAGAGATGGGGTTTCACTGTGTTAGACAGGGTGGTCTTGATCTCCTGACCTCATGGTCCGCCCACCTCGGCCTCCCAAAGTGCTGGGATTACAGGTGTGAGCCACCACGCCCAGCCTTCACTTTATTTTTCTAAAGCTGAAAAGTTTTTCATTTGACTCCTGCCAGCCAAAAGCAAAGGGGTGCTGGTATGTTTATTTATGAAGCTATGTGCTCTTGACTACTCTTATCTGGATACTACTGAATAGATAAACAGGTTTGTTCACTATAAGGTACTTCCGGCAAAGGCAGGTTAGAGCCGGTCTTACCAGAGTCAGCTCCAAGTAGATTTGTGGAGTAAGCAGGGTTTGACTTGATCATCTCATATTCCCCTTCTGTACACCTTCTTTTTCTCCATTTTAATATCCCTCCTTCCCCTAGCTTAATTCATTTAACCCATCACTTATAGTGCTTAATTCAACATTTATAGTATTGTTTGCCAGGCACTGTGCTTGGTTGCTCTGCCCTGGCCCCATATTTGTGGCCTTCACTAGTACTTGAAAACTGGACTTGGTCCTTGTTATTCCCTAGCCTGAGCCTATGTGAAAAACATCTCAGACTGAGAGGAGTGATCGAGTTCCATCATCATCTCAACTTTGGGCAATTTAATTTTTAAGTGGATGCCTCTGAATGTCATACGTAGATGTAGATATATGTGTGTCTGTTTGTCTATCTACCTATCTAATCTACATCTCCTTAGCTTTGGTTGGCTGATTCGAGAGAGAATAGCTATAGTGATATATGAGTTCTCTATTGCTTCATTGATGGAGTAGATTAGAGGCTTGAGATGGCTCAACAATACTGTTGAGGAAAGGTAGCTGTCCAAATAGAACCAGAGATACCATTATTTTAGAAGAAAAAATGAAGCAGTTGAGAAGTACATGCTTTTTCCTTTCATCACCGCTACTGCTACATTTTTTTAAAAGTAGGATGATTCTAATTTTTCCAAAAAGTCTCCATTTTCACAGTAGCTGGCAGAGCCCACACAAAAAGAGGGAAGAGCACCTGGCTGGACATCCTGAGATCTGGCTCCTGGCCTCCCTTGGTGCAATTAGCTGAAGTATCTTGCTCTCTGGGAGAAGAACTGTAGCATACATTGCAGTGGAAAGATCATGGGACAAGTATGAGAAGACCAGGTGTCTAGGCTGCCCTCTGCTAGTAGCTAGGTGTGTGCCTCATGGAAAGTGACTTACCTTTCTTGAGTCTCAGTGTCCTTGTGTTCAGCAAAATAATTGGTCTCATGTAAAGTATGAAAATGTTCCAATACCAAATGAACATTATAAAGGCTCTTGGTGGCTACTACACATGCCCAGCTTTGACAGTTACTTGCTTTCTGGGGATAATCCAATGGGTCAGCAAATGGATTGACTGTGTTCTGCTGTGTTGGCCAGAATAACAGGTTCACATTACCAAAGGGAACCATATGTGAGGCTAAATGCAGTGGTCTGGCCTGATTGGTCATGGGTCAACCTCTGCAAAACCTATGCTTCCTGATCTCAGTGACACAGTTCTGCACTGAAGTTTTTTTTTTTTCTGTCTTGTCAATTTGGCTCACTGTTGGCATAGAAGAAACTGCTTGCACCTCCCTGAAAGTCATTTCCAGGGTAGTCTGGCTCTGCTGCTCAGACATATCCCATTCCATCTGTTCCTCCCTGAAACAGAGGGCTGGCTACCCAGCTTCACATCCAGGCAATGAAATAGAGCAACCAGAACTGACGCAACATTCAAGCTGTAGGTTTCCTAAGCGACTCAGCATGCTACACTGAATCTCAGTAGGCTCCAAATGGATTGAAAGTTGGAAAAAGGTGGAATTAGACATTTCATTTTAGCTTTGACCTAATCCACAACTCCAACGTGTTCTGACCAAGACACAGAGGATTCTGCCCCTCTGGAGTGACCGACTTGCATTTTCTTTCTCTGACCTAACCTTGCTACATGAAGGGTAAATGGATAAAATTAAAGAGCTCAGGGATTGCTTCTCAGGAGCCTTTATTGATATCCCCATATGACCTATTTCCCACCCCAACCCTGGCATCAGCTAGGGATTGTAGCACTTAAATACCACGTTGTCATCCTCTGTCCTCCCTACTAAGACTGTGAACTGCTTGGGGGCACCTATAGTATTTTATATTTATATGGCCCCAGAGTCTAGTGCAATGGCACAAAGTAAATGCTTAATATATTTTAATTACTACTACTATTATTATCATTGGTGCCAAAGAAGGTTTTTTACCAAAATTGTTCATTTGGATACCTCAGGTGGGCATATCATTATCCTCTTGGAGCCTCAATTTCCTCATGTGTGCAATAGAAATAATAGTGCCTGTTTCATGAGCTTTTGGTAGGCAAGGATTAATGAGACAAAATGTACCAAGTGCTTGGGACACAGGTTGGCCCGTAACACTCAGTCAACACATATTCCTTATTTTTAGCCATGATGCATATTTGGGGCAGCTTGACTTTTGCTTTTTTGTTTTCTTCAAAAACAGAGAAGACTGAATTTCTTTTCAGAGAAGGAAAGAACCCTCCTTCTATCTCCCAGCCTGTGTCTGGCCTCAAAATAACATAGGGAAATTCTTAAAAACTGCTCTATATCCTATTGTCATTAGGTCAAATAACATCAGAACATGGCATCCTCTGGGCTGGTTGTTGTGAAAGAAAATACACCATGGGGAAAAGCCTTGGGGTGGAGACATCTACCTATCCCCTCCTCACCACCACACACACCAAAGCTAAGGAAATGCATAGACAGTGCAGCAGGAACTGGCAATCACAACTCTCTCTGAACTAGAACACAGTGCCTAAACATCCATAGGCACTGTTCTATAAAGTGTGAAAAATGCCCTTCATAGTCTCACCATATGCACAGAAGGTCAGTACTGCTCCTGTTGAAAATGATATCCCAAGAAGGAGAAAATGTACACTAATGGAAAAAAAGAAAAATCTCCTGAAAACTGATGGGAGAGGACTAAGAGGAGGAGAACAGTGCAAGAAACCCTGGCACACATATCTAGGAAGAGGATGTCGGAGAACTTGTAATTTTTCACTAACAACCAATAAAAACAATGAAGAATTCAGAACTAGCTCAGTCTATGAGTCACTATACATGTCAAGTAAAAGTTACCTATCTCAAAATGTGCAAAGAGAGAGACCCTTCACCATGGCAGAAGCTTGGGATGTGACCAAGTATGGCAAGTGAGATATAGATCATTTTTTATCTCCTTAAGAATGTATTTATTCAGCCCTCCCACTGTTGAAAACCTGGGTATGGTATTAGGTATGCATTCTCTATGTCATCTTAACTCAGATTCTACCAATTGCTCCTTTTGTAGCTCAAATGGAGATTCTTCACTCAAAAAGTAAGACAGTGAACTCCTGCAAAGCCAAAAGAAACAAGGGAAGGCCCCTTTGGAAAGGCAACAGCAAATCACAAACATCCATAATTATACATCAGGGACTAATAAATGGAGATTGTGCCCTGTGGTTTTTGGTGTGACAGGTAGGTACAGGGTGCCCAGGTAGGGTCTGCCATTGTTGTAAGCATGGAGTTAAAAGAAGTTCTGCAATGCCATCCCTGTTAACTAAGAGTGCGTGTTAACAATGAATTGGGACTAATTTGAAAACATTCAGCTGCCTGGGAATGTGTGCATCAATTCCCTTCCTTCATAATTTATACAGCATTTTGATTATGGTGCTCAGCAATAAATAACTGAAATGAGTTCTAACTGCTTGGAGATTTAGTTTTATGTCTTTAACACCGTTTTTTATATTTTGCAAGATAACCCGCATTCAACTTTATATGCAAACCTGAAATGGTATTCAGAGGAAAAGAAGGAAAAAAAGGCAGCCAGTAGATCTTTCACTTTGGGAATTGAATATAAGATCATATTCAAAGTGCAGCATTTACGGTCCAATGCTGAATACATAAAATATATGACCATTACAAATTCACCTTTCATTGCAAAGCTGTGCTCTTGTAGTGACATATCTTATTGCTAGATTAGAGCTTTTAGCATGATGAAGGTATCTTTCATTTTCTCCTAGATGCAGGCTGGGTGCTCTTTCTGGACTGAGTTTCTGCGTGTCACAATGCCCCACACCCTGGAGAGAGAGCTTACGGAGAACTCGAGCCATTCACCACAGGGTTGAAGCAACTTCCAAGGGGAAGTGTCTAATTAGAGGTATGTCATCTGCGTGGGATCACACTGCCTGAGTTTGCCACACTTTGCTGAAGCCAAAGGGAGAGATCGGCTGGTGTTGTCTTCTGGAATAAGCCCAGAAAAGGTCAATCTAATATCGCAAATATTCAGCCCATACAAGTTTTGGTAATACCAAAAAAACAGCTTCATGTAGGACTTGGTGCATATTAGTTACTAGGAAAAGAATATACATATCATATAAATCAGTGATATGGTTAAAACATAAATGTACTTAAACCAGGAAATTTATGGAAAAGCTTACCAGATTCTTCTAACTCAAGCCTAAACTCAGTGTATGGATCAGGACAGGTTTTCATGGACTTTGTAAGTCATAAATCAGTGCTGCTGCTGCTGCTGCTTTAATTCTTAAAACTTGTAATCCAACTCTTACATTGCCCTTATGGACTTATGTCCTTGCCCTTCACAGTCAGCCCTAAGCTATCTTTCCAGAGTCATCTCCTGACTTTTCCATCCCTCTCCTCCCTCTTCCCTAGTTCTTCATGCACCCAATATTACTGACACATGCCTTGCTCGTTTCAATTCCCCAGTGACGAGCCCAGTGGGAGGCACACAGAAGACATTCCACAAATCTTTGTTGAATGAATATGAATAAATGACAAAAGGAGGACAGCACTTGACTTTTTGACAGCTATGTCAGATGTACAGGAGCACTTTTTCACTTACTTCCCACTCTTAGATGTGTTCCGGGTCTTTGTGGATGACGGAGAGTTGGCGCCTGCGTTAGTGTTTGGAGAACCCCGTTTATCCTTACTATACCCACAGAAAGAATAGAAAACATATACACAACAAGGACCACAGAGACAAAAAGCAATTAGTCACTTCATTTAAAGACTCTCAAGGCCAGCCTGCATATCCCCCCACCACCCCCTGGCCAATCTCTCTCTCTCTCTCTCTCTCCTGTCAAAGTATGATCTTATCCAGTTGTGCCCTTTAAAGGTAGAGAGTGGGAACCACTGGTCAAGTTCAAAGAAAGCTATCCTTTTGGCATTCAAAGCTTGAGCTCATGGATTCCATCAATGATAGCACCACAGCCCAGGCCCCAAGGGGGCCTCTAGTTTTAAAAAAAAAAGTATAAAAATAACTAGTCTTTAAAATAAAATCCTTTCTTTCCAGGCACTGAATTCTCTTCATTACATGTTCAGTTCTGAAGCTGCTGACTTTTGGTGAAGTATGTGGATGCCAAATGACTTCTAAAAGTCTTTGGGAGATACTATCAGATGAATTAATAATTTTCACTCATAATGTTACATGGGAAGTCCGTGAATTCAGATATTCTTTCAGGAGAATCACCACCTGCTTCATAGTAATTGAATTTAAATCTCCACCTTCAATAACTCCACAGCTTATGTCAAACCTTGGAAACAATTACGAAATAAATCACAAGGAAGGCCTGCTTAATCTCATCAGGTTAATAAACGCAGACGAATTAATCACCTAAAGGTAAACAAAAAGGAATAATTGATTGGAGTCTTCTTGATTACTTTATTCTATTTCCTTTATCAAACTATTTTACCATTATCTTCAGTTCAGCTGCTCTGCCTTGAAATTATTCCTTTACTTCATCTTCAGATTTCCATGGAAACCAATTCAAAGCCTTTCTCTCCACTTGAAGATGTGTGGAATTATTTATCCTGATTTCATCAGGAAGATTTTTTTTTTTTTGTTAGTAAGTTCTACGTCAGCATAACCTTTTATAAAAAGTGAAGGTAAGAAAGAAAAATATGTATCTTTGCTTTTAATGTGTATAATAGAACCTTCCAGTGGCAAAGAATATTGTCTCAGAAAATGTCAAACATCTTTTCAGATATTTATGAACCTTTTAAGTATCTCCAAAATAGATGTCTGCAAGTAGCTGTATTTATATGTGGGGTGGGCTGGGGGTCACAAAAGATATTCTGCCATGCACCCATCAGCTTCAAATGACTTCATGGATATGATTGGAACAAGAGATAATGATGGGTTCCTGGTGATTGCAAAGGTAATAAAGATGTGTGTGGGCATGGAAAAAGGCTGATCAGGAAAAGTCAGAGAGATAGCAACTGTCCAAGCACTTAAGAGTCAGTGTCTAGGCTGGGCGCGGTGGCTCATGCCTGTAATCCCAGCACTTTGGGAGGCCAAGTCAGGCGGATCACGAGGTCAGGAGTTCGAGACCAGCCTGGCCAACATAGCAAAACCCCATCTCTACTAAAAATACAAAAATAAAAAATAAAAAATTACCCAGGGCATGGTGGCGGGCGTCTGTAATCCCAGCTACTTGGGAGGCTGAGGCAGGAGAATAGCTTGAACCCGGGAGGTGGAGGTTGCAGTGAGCCAAAATTGTGCGATTGCACTCCAGCCCGGGCAACAGTGCGAGACTCCGTCTCAAGAATAAAACAAAACAAAAAACGTCTAGGGGGTATGAAAAGCAGCTCTTAGAAGTGGGAGATACCCATGTGAGCTCTGGCTCTGCTGCTGGAGTGGATGGCTCTGGAGAGAGTGGACACACATTCTATCCCAGAGGAGGGGGCAGAAATCCACTGGAATGAAGTGCTGGGATTCCTGCACAGTGCAGGGACCATTACCCCGTACCACTCACAGACTCACCAGAATGTGGCCACATTCTGAGTGGGGACTGAAGAATTCATTTGGTGCTGCCTCTATCCGTCCTCGATGACTTCCTGGCAAAGGATTCCTTAGGGACCTGAGACCAGGGACCATCCTGGCTATCCTCCTCACAAATTCAAAATTGTCTCTTCCAGAAGTTTGGCATAGCCTGATGCAAAGAATGCAATATGCTAATATGCTCTGTGTCACTCTTGCACCCTGGTCACTGGCCACTGAGCCTTCCTCCTCCTAGCCCCTCACTTAAGCAGTAGGCAGTGGGAAACTTGGCTGGAAGCATTCAGATACAAGGGATGTTTTTGATGTGTCTCATGCACACTACTGGGCTCAGAGTAGGTGGTCATTTAAGTCATCACTAAATCACTAAGTGCTGAGTCACTAAGTTCATTCATTCACTTTTTTTTTTTTTTTTTTTGATAAAGCAAAATCCCCCACTGCTAAATTCCCATGTCTGCGCCTTGGGCACTAGGGTCCTCTATAGTTTACATTATAATTGACCCTGTTTAAGCTCAATGCAGGACACAGTAGGACATCAGGGAAAGCTATCAGCTGGCAGCGGCAGCCTCATTATTGTCAACTGGTGCTCTAGCGGGAGGTGGTCCTGGAGCAGTAATCCTTTAAAAGATAGGAATAAGGGCCCCTCTAACCTACTGCCAAATCCCCCAAGTACAGATATTGGGGAAATGAAAACAAAAACATTCTCAGGAATAAATCACACAGGGAAGGCATTGCACCAAGAATAGGGGTAAAATTAATCAAGTAACTGGAAATGTTTGTTCTGTGCAAATAACAGATCCATTAACAGTGATGAAATGTATCTGAAAGGGGGATCAAGAAGAACTTGTGGCTGGCTTGGATCCTCGGAGCTTAATTTTGTAGATGTACTAATGACTGTGGTATAGAAAAGTTTACCTAACATTGACAGAAAAAGTCTTCATTCCTCCACCAAAATCCAGGTCAGTTAGATAAGCCTGGGCAAGATGCCATAATTCTGAAACTTTGAGAGAGAAGGAGATCTAAAGCAGTGATATCAAGGACACTGCAGTTTCTAGAAGGGTCCCATGAAAAATAAAGAGAAAATACTGCAGCTGCAGACTGTCTGGGAACTTCAAAGATCTTTGGGGCAAAGACCTAAAGATTAAGATCCTGCCAAGAACTCTGGTCACTGAAACATCCCGCAATCCCAGGGATTTACAAGAATAAATCCAACCTGTTTCAAAGACACATAGATATAATTTTGGATATATGAGATTGGTGGGGGGGGGTGGGTGCTCCTTGATTTAGAGTTCCTAACTTACATAACCGAAACAGATCTACCCCAGTAGTTATTCTTTTGATTTGCCCATCTCTAGACTACTTGTCAGCCCTCATCACTTTCATCTTGTCTTTGAATTGTAATCTCAAACCTTATGTCCTACAATTTCCAAGGCTATGGATCCAGGCTTCCTCTACCTCACCTGAGTAGCTATCCTTTTCTATGGATAAGCTGCTTTCCTCTCTCTAGTGCCTCACAACCAAGCCTCATTAAAGGCCTGTGAAAACAATTACAGGTGAGTTTCTGTTGGGAAAAGTTAATGAGTGCTAGCTCTCCTTCTGTCTGGTTGGCTGTCCATCTCCATCTGTCAAGAAAACCCTTTCCCACAGGTTCCATAAATGTCTCCAGCACTACAAAAGTGAAAAAACAATTTGCAGTATTATGCACATTCTATTCAGGTGGGAAAATTGCAACTAACCCAACTCTTCAGCATTTTCAGTGTTTCTGATTGAATGATTTGATGCTGAAATGGTATCCAGTGTACTTAAACCAAAATGGCAATCAGACCCACTCCAATCTGAGTTTTGCTGTTTGGTCAAAGCTAATTGTGGGAGAAGAACCCTGTGGCTTAAAACACACCTGACTCACTTTTTTGATGGGTGGCATATAGAAACTTCTGCATCTCCTTTGTAAGCTCTTTTCGGAATTAATTCATCTCAGATCCCTGAAAAATAGTTGTGCTGATACAACTACAATAGTACTGAAATTTTAAGAATTAATTTTCAGGGTCCCAGGAAATTGAAATTGTATTTCAAGAGAACAGGTTTGGCTATGATATTTATTGTCTACATATCTTTTACTAGGCACTTAGCATGTGGTGCTCGTAGTGTTGCTTATATTTTATTATTTATCTGTCTCTCCAACTCACTTTTAAATGGGCAGTCAAGAGGTATTCATTGAACAAATAAATGAAAAAGCTGCATTTGGGCTCAATGGAAAGAAGTGTCATGATTGAGTATTAATGTCTTGCACCAGTTTGAGAGAAGGAAGTGGTGACACATGTCACATATCTTCCATCCCTGAAGAGGAATGGTCTGGGAGAATTGGACTCCAGTCACTGAAGGTTGGTCATCATGTGCATCACAAAAAACGTGAGCTTAGAAAGGATTCTCAAGCAAGCTTGCTTGGATGGTTGCAGAGTGCCTCTGAAATAACACATCTGTTGCATTTGTATAGTCCTTAATGTTTTCCAATGTGTGTTCTTGTAAGTGATAACTGAGATGAAACCCACTTTATTGTTGAGGGTTTGTTTCAAGTCTCTCTGAGGGAAATACTGGCTATTCTTTACTCCCTAGAGATGCCTCTAGGCTCCTGAACACTCCCTGACTGAAAAAATGCACTTAAAACAGACTCTCCCAGGGATAAAAGCTCATCTAGTCGGCCTCCCCAACAGGTGCTTCAGGCCCCTCTCCAACAGATACACCAAGTCGTCATCTTTTGAAAGGTTTTTCAATCGTGGTTGTTTCCCCATGAAAACTTGCTTTTCTCTTTTCTAAGAGACTCACATTTCTGAAGTATGTTTGCCCTTGTTCTATTGTTGAGCAAGACACCTCTTCAAATATTGATTTCCTTTAATTAAAGCTGATAATACTTTCGCATTTCATTTTTTTCTATCTTGTTAGGTTATGTCCTGAGTGGTTTTCTTTGTTCCAAACTTTTTCACTTCTTTTGCCCGAGGTGTCTAAATTAGAGTCCTTGCCCCTTTAAGTATCTTACGCTCATTATCTATATTTCTGATAATCACCTGGCAAAGATAGTTCAGTTCATTGAGATGTGCTTTTATTTAGCATCCTCTTCTAGTTTCCCTTTGCCTAACTATGGATAATAACAGGATTTCTGAGGGAAGGGAAAAGCTCATTTTTATTGCTATGAAGCCCAGTGTAACTATGATCTCTCAGAAGCAGCCTCATAAGTTCAAAGCATTTATTCAGGAATCCCAGGTTCTAATCCTGGCTGCCAGCAAGGCATTTAACTTCTTGCTGTCTTAGTCTTCTTATCTACAAAGGAGAGGGAATTATACTGATCAGGTAAACCATTCACAATGAAGCTCACAGTTACTCTGGAATTGAAAAGCTCTTGGAAAAGGCAACCAGGGCGCTCACATTATCTTGCCCTCTCCCATTCCATTAACTTTTCACTCTAGCAGCTCACCACAGGGCATCAGGGACTGCAGCAATGGGCTCATTTATTTTTGTTGCTATTTTGCTCTCTTCACCTCTTGGTACATGTTGTTTTTGCCCAGAGAGTGACAGTCACGTCCCTGAATGCCTCATTGGGATCAAGAAAGAACATGAGTCAGTTTCTAAATTATATTATTTTCTCATTTAAGCTGACTAATCCCATGTGTCTTTACCAACAGTATGGACCGTAGTTACAAACTATCAGAGGCCAATAGAACGGTATCTAACAATTGTAAGTGGTATTATAAAACTGTTGCGTTCGCATCTAACTCTGGGCTTCTCCATCACATCAGGGATTGAGGAGCAGAAACCATAGTTATGGAATTGGATGGTTTGGGGTAATTGAGATCTGAAATATAATGAGAGGCTGGGCTGGAATGGCAGTTATAGGGGTGGAAAATAACTATGCCTGGCATGGCAAAAGAAAATATGACAGAACTTGGGGATTGACTATGTTTGGGGAATGAGAATAAACCCTAAATGAAAGTCACTGAGAAGGTTTGCAAGTTGGATGACTGAGAACAAATTTACTCTGCCAGTGAAAGAGAGAGTAGTTGGGAGGGAGATCTGGACTAGAGGAGAAGATGACGGATTCAGTTTGGGGCCTATCGAGTTGGGGTATTGATGGACAGTGTCCCAGTAGGCAATTAGAGAAATGGAACTGGAGCTCAAGAAGAAAGACAAGGCAGATGTGCGGTCATTGCTCCAAAGTGGGACTCAAAGCCATGAGATAAACAGTGAGGCCTGATGAGACAGTGATCCACTATGATTAAGGAGTGTTTCAAGAAGCATCCTATGCCAGAATCTGTTTACTCCCACCCCACTCTATGAGGATTTACAACTGCGTTACAAAGACTTGTATGCCAGAGGTCCAAGTAAAAGCATCTAAATCAGGTAACTTAGTTATGTAGAGATTAATGCTAAGGTTAATGAGGGAAAGTGAAGGCCTCGTTCCTGGTGCAGGCCAGTGGCTTTCTTCATCCCATGCCCATAGTCTGCTTCTCCCCATTCTCCCAGCCCACCCAGATTGCTTACAGATGACAAGGCAAGCTGGGTACCAAGAGATTGGTGGCAATCATTGGCAGCCCATTCCTATAACAAATACCTCACAGAGTACATCCTATGCTGTTTTCACCTTGGTGTAAGAAGGACACTCTGGCAAATGAGCAAAATTGAGCTTTCTACCTTGGCTTCACTTGCAGTTCACATCTTTTCTCTTTACCACGGCCTAACCGAGTACTAGAATTTATACCTCCAATAGTACTAAAATCTCCTTTTTTTTTTTTACATGATTCCCTTCCCTCTTGATTCTCAGTCTCTGCACGTGTCTCACTAACTGGCAACCTCAGCTACCCTCTCTTAGCATCCTTGGTTTTGGGGCAGAAAGCAACCTGTCTGGGAGTAAATCAAGGGCTTTGCCCTTGAAGAGCCAAAGTATCCCAAGCTTCCTGAGTGGAGTTTAGTGTATTAGGCCAGTTTTGAGGGACCTGTGGCCATCACCTTTCCCATACTGAGGTAAGCTTTTGTTGTTAGCCCTGCCTCTGCAACTTCTTACCAACTGAATCCTTTAATGTCTCTGGGTCTCAGTTTCCTATTCTGCCAGTCGTACTTCTTAAGGCCATTACCTAGTTTTGAAAATTATACAATGTTAACCAATTTATCCACTCAGAAAATATTGAATGTGTTTACTCTGTGCCCTTTAATGTGTGTTTACTATGTAGCCTTGGGGATACTATGATGAGTGTGACAAGGTTCCCGCCGGCAGGTGGCCCCAAGGCTAGTGGAGAAGGCAAGCATGTTAACAGCTACATAACAATGTAATGTACCAAGTGGAATAAACAAGTGTGAAAAAATGCTAGGGAAATAAAACAGGAAACAACTGCCTATGCTTGGGAAAGTTAGGGAAAGCAAAGGTAAATGTGAGTTTCCATTATGAAAATTAGGATTTTTGTTTTTGAAGAATTGTAAATCAGAAAAATGAGTTATGAGAATTTTCACAAAATAGAACGAAATTATGCTTATCCTTAGTTTGAAACAGTTCTCTCTCAATAGTGGGCTCATAGACTTAATCATACATCAGATAACCTAGAGTATTTTTTAAATGCAGGTGGCAGGGACCCCCAGAGTTTCTGATTCAGCAGGTCTAAGATGGGACCTGAGAATTTACAATTCTATCAGGTTCCCAGATGACGGTAATGTTTCCTGTCTATGGCCCACACTTTGAGAACTACTGCCTCACAGGAAGCATGAGACAATCACACTTGGTGAAAATTGAAAGAGAACAATCAGCTGTATCCATTGTCTCTACTTTCCAAACATCAAAATTCAAATCTGCTGGATAAAGTGCCCCGCTGTAGGGCTTCTGAGGAGGGCAGATGAGAATGCAAAGGGCTGCTGACATCCATCTCTGCAAAAGCTCCTCTTTCCTGGGGAAGTGGCAATTACTGCAAACACCACAGAGTGGAGCTCCATAGCAGGTGAGACAAAGATTAGATCTGACAGCATTAGTTGAGCCCGAAGTTCTATTTACTGAAAATGATCCGGCATAATTAAAAATTCACAACTGGAGCCTAGTTGGTGAACATTACACATTAGGGAGTCCCCAGAGTAGGCCAGAAAATTCTCAGTGAACTTTTTAGGAAAAGCCAAAGGAGCCAACTGCAATGGCAAGAATTAGCACACGGAGAACAAAGAGAAGTCAGTCAGCCTATTCATTTGGAGGTGAGATTCTGATTTTACACTACAGAATGATACGAACTAAGTGTTGGTGGAGAGGCTCATTTCCTCCTCCCTGGTGAATTACCACTTTGTTTCACTTTCTACTTAATATGTTCTTATGGGATTTTCAAGAATGTCCACTCTGCCTGCACATTACATATTAACTTCTTTAAGGACAAGGGCAAATTGTATTCACATCTGTTCACAATATCTCTGATCACACTTGCCATATACAAGGTTTTCAGCACCTGCTGACTGAAAACCATACCTGGTAAATTGGGCTTCTAACATGTTTACTGAATTGAATTGACTGACTGACGCAAACTAGGTTAGAGGTTTACTAAAGGAGTCATGTGGCTTTGGCTTTTTGTTCAAATTATATGTTAACTCACACTTTATGACTAAAAAGTGACAGCCTATTGCAGAAGTATTTCTTAGCTCTAGTGCCCACAGATAGGAAACTCAAGTAGAGTAAAACCAGTGAAAATTAGCAACTCTGGAGAATGGTGTTGCCATACTAACTGGAAGCAGCCCTGGTGTTGTGGAAAAAGCTTGGGCACTGAAATTAGGAAGAGCTGAGGTCATATTCTGTCTTTATAGCTAGAACTTGAACAAGTTGGGTCATTGAGGCAGGGTTGGTCCTACTTAACCAAGACTGCTGATTTTGACATTGGGGCATGGGGTACCCATTCTCTAGCTCCATGTTGTGCCCAAAGCCAAGAGTATTCAAATATTTCCTTGTTGCTGAACTTGGCATCTTGAGTACTTTCTAGGGGGCCAAATGCATCTATACCTAAAAGTGCATCTGGGCTAGGTGTGGTGGCTCATGTTTGTAATCCCAGCACTTTGGGTGGCTGAGGCAGGAGGATTGTTTGCGCTCAGGAGTCCAAGACCAGCTTGGGCAACATAGCAATACCCTGTCTCTACAAAAACAAAAACAAAATTAGCTGAGTGTGGTGGCACATGCCTGTCATCCTAGCTACTTGAGAGGCTGAGTTGGGAAAATGGCTGGAGCCTGGGAAGTCAAGGCTGCAGTGAGCTGTGATTGCACCACTGCACTCCAGGCTGGGCAACAGAGCGAGACCTTGTCTTAAAAGCAAACAGTGCATCTGGCTCCTTAGAAATCAAGTAGAAGGGCCATGCCAACAAGATATTGAAAATGCCTTCTGGGGTAGAAAGGAAAGTTCCCCTAAACTATGCGTTCATGTGTCTGTTAAAAACACTGACCCTTTAAACCAAAGGACTTTGTACTTTTCTCTTCACGTTTATTTACAGGGACAGATGAAACTATTTCAATTTTTAAACTACTTAGTTATCACACATTCAGGCATCATACCTTTGTTTGAATGCGTGTTATTTCTAAGTAGGGTCTCCTTTGCAAATATTATCTATTCTGTGATCTGTATTGACCACTTTTAATTTTCCTTTCCAAGTGAAACCCAATTGTCAGCCTCTTTGTATTGTGTTACAATTTGGAAAATTGAGCATTATTTTAGTGTGCATGAAAACAGAAGACTAAAATTCTGACAATTTATGGAAACAAAGCACATCTTTTTTATATCATCCACTAATCACTGTTAAACGCTAAACCTTGTATAACTTAAACCAATCTACTTCGCTTCATGCACATGAGTTTTTAATCACAGTCTGGTTAAACCCAAGATGCTTAACTGAGCCAAAGAGTGAGGCTCTTTATTGACCCCTCCCCAGACAAGGGAAAGACGCCTAGAAATATAGAGTTAGAGGAATCCTTAGAAATAGAAAAGTAAGGTCCAGAGAGAAGGGATGTATTCAAGGTAAGTATCCAAGGATGCAGTACTGACTTGACAGAACTTAGCTAGCATATAGCAGACAGGGCCATAGCCACCACGGAGTACAGAACAAGGCCAGAAGGTGTGGGATCAAAGATGCTGTAACATGAATTAATTGTGGCTCCATTTGCCAATATCAGCCATACAAGAAGGGTTGGCAGTCTTATCAGGGAACCTGCCCCTATAGTCACGTAGGTTCTTTTCTATTTTCCCTAAGCGTCAGCCAGTTTGAGAAATAAAGGGACAGAGTACAAAAGAGAGACATTTTAAGGCTGGGCATCTGGGGGAGACATCACATGTCAGTAGGTTCCGTGATGCCCCACAAGCCGCAAAACCAGCAAGTTTTTATTAGGGAGTTTCAAAAGGGGAGGCAGTGTACGAATAGGGTGTTGGTCACAAAGATCACATACTTCACAAGGTAATAGAATATCACAAGACAAATGGAGGCAGGGCGAGATCACAGGACCACAGGACTGGGGCGAAATTAAAATTGCTAATGAAGTTTCAGGCACCATTGTCATTGATAACATCTTATCAGGAGACAGGGTTTTGAGAGCAACCAGTCTGACCAAAATTTATTAGGTGGGAATTTCCTCTTCCTATTAAGCCTGGGAGCGCTATGGGAGACTGGGGTCTATTTCACCCCTACAGCCTCGACCATAGAAGACAACCACGCCTGGGGGGGGGCCAGTTCAGAGACCCACCCCCAGGCGCGTATTCTCTTTCCCAGGGATGTTCCTTACTGAGAAAAAGAATTCAGCGATATTTCTCCCATTTGCTTTTGAAAGACGAGAAATATGGCTCTGTTCCACCTGGCTCACCAGCGGTCAGAGTTTAAGGTTATCTCTCTTGTTTCCTAAACATTGCTGTTATCCTGTTCTTTTTTCAAGGTGGCCAGATTTCATATTGTTCAAACACACATGCTCTACAATTTGTGCAGTTAACGCAATTATCACAGGGTCCTGAGGTGACATACATCCTCCTCGGCTTACGAGATGACGATTAAGAGATTAAAGTAAAGACAGGCATAGGAAATCACAAGTGTATTGATTGGGGAAGTGATAAGTGTCCATGAAATCTTCACAATTTATGTTTAGAGATTGCAGTAAAGACAGGCATAAGAAATTATAAAAGTATTAATTTGGGGAACTAATAAATGTCCAAGAAATCTTCACAATCCACGTTCTTCTGCCATGGCTTCAGCCGGTCCCTCTGTTTGGGGTCCCTGACTTCCCGCAACACAGCCTTCTTTTTTTGTTGGGGAGAGTATGTGGAAGAAGATGACATGTTCAGTTTTGAGCTATGTTGAGTTTTGTGTGCCTGTTGGTACCTCTAGGTAAGATGTTTAGTTGGCAATTGGATAGACGGATGCAGAACTTAGCTGGATATAGAGATCTCAGCTGAAGAATGGTCTTTAGAGATTTGGGAGTCTATGGTAGTTCAAACCTTTAGAAGAGATTACATGAGGAGAGTGTGTAGCATGAGAAGAGAATAGCCTTGGAAGAAGATTAAGGAGGACAGGCCAGAGAAGGGACAGTGGGCTCAAAGGAGAACAACACCAGAAGGCTTGGGATCAAAGGAGAAACTAGATCTAGTCTGGGGGCATGAGTATTCCCATCATAATAGACTCATTTGCTGATGGCTGGGCATGGTGGCTCACACCTGTAATCCTAGCACTTTGGGAGGCTGAGTCGGTGGATCACCTGAGGTCAGGAGTTCAAGACCAGCCTGGCCAACATGGTGAAAACCCTGTCTCTACTAAAAATATAAAAAAATTAGCTGGGCATGGTGGTGGGTGCCTGTATTCCCAGCTACTTGGGAAGGCTGAGGCAGGATAATCACTTAAACCTGGGAGGCAGAGGTTGCAGTGAGCCAAGATCAGATCGCGCCATTGCATTCCAGCCTGGGCAACAAGAGCAAAACTCTGTCTTAAAAAAAAAAAAAAAGTCTTGTGTTTTGGGTTTCCAGCCATTACATGTTGCTTTTTCCCTGGTGCACTTATCTGATTAGCTGTGGTATTTCGTCAGTCATCCTGTCCTTCATCCCACCAAGGAGCCTTTGTAATTACATGCAACCTGTTCTCAATTCCTGGCAAAGATGACCTGAAGTATGCTGAAGGAAGCAACATGTGCCAAACAAATATAGAATTATTGGCTTTGGATATATTTTTGTTAGTCTGGCCTTATTTATTGCAACAAAAGTTAATTAAAAAAAGAAACTGTTTTAGTACCTCAACTAGATGTCATAACTGTTTTAAAGTTTATGCAAATATGGTTATAACTTCCCAAAGAAACAAAAAATCCACCTTTGATTATTGTTCCTGGTTTGTTTCCTTTATTATGTAGAAAATCAGAAATGGGTCGTTTTGCTCTCAACTTGGCTTCAAAACGTCAAGAAAGTCTTGGCTCTGATATAATCAGAATTTAAGGGCTGGGCATGGTGGCTCATGCCTATTATCCCAGCAATTCGGGAGGCCAAGGCAGGAGGATCAATTGAGGCCAGGAGTTTGAGACCAGCCTGAGCAACATGGGGAGACCCCTGTCTCTACAACAAATTAAAACATTAAAAAAAAATTTAAGTCAGCCTTATGCCACGACCCACTTGATGAACACTTCCAAAAGCCTGTGCTTCCTGAAAGTCATGATATCATCTCCGTCACCTCTTTGTAATATAGGTTGTCAGCTTTCAAACAATGGTCCTCTGGTTCTCTCCAGCCACAAAACAATCAACTTCTTACTTAATAAAGTCTTTAAACCTATACAAACCTGGTGTCCACTCATTTCTCTATACTAAGCACTTTAATCACAGTGCAAGATGTCACTGTCTGGAGGCACTTCTTGGCTTAGAGCAGATGGAGGAGTGGAGAGGTAGAAAACTCCAGTGATAAAAACATGAAAGGTAGAAATCATGCTTATTATTTAAAATGTCTAATGTCTAAATGACATAAAGAGCAAACTCCTTGCAGAGAATGTTCTCAGTACTGGTGGACCAGATGCTACTGTAGGAAGAACCTGCCCTATCCCTGACTTCCCTTAACGTTGGTGAGAAAATGGCAGTCTTCACTCTGTTACTGACACTGTCAAGGAAGAGATGCCATAAATGTTAAACTATATTAAACAATTTTCAGACCCCCTCTCAATGGAGGATGTATGAGTCCAGACACCTCAGAAATATACATTTTACAGAATGATTCTATGTGAGATGGGAAGATAATGTAAGCTGTGAAAGGCTAGAACCTTCACTGGGGCTCAAGAACGTCAGTCTATCATCATGCCTTGGGGAAGTAGACCAGACCTTCAGATCTGAAAGGAGAAGGCCCTGCAAGTAGCAAAGAAGTTTCCAACAGCAGAAAGTAGAGTTGGCATATAAGGGAACAAGATAGTATTTATCTCAGGGAATCCCAGAATTGGGAAGAGGGGCATCCAGCTAGCTGCCTCAAAAGGATATAAACAATCCTTTGTGGCTTGGGGGCAAAAGAAATGGCTTTAAAAAGCTGTTCAGTGCTTCTCCTGGGATTCTTAGAATTATGGATTTTTAGACTCCATCCACTCTAATGACGTTTACTTTTTTTTTTTTTTTTCAGAGCAGTTTATTAGTTACCTTTGACATTCTCAGCTTTGTCTGTGGCTTGTGAGAGGCCAGTTCAGCATTAAAGTTTCAGAAGCCCAAGGGGGAAATAAAACCCCAGAAGGGGAGTATGCCCCTCTTACTCTCAAAAAGTTCTGCTGTTTCTTTTTAAAAATTTCCCAGGCCAGGCACGGTGGCTCACACCTGTAATCCCAACACTTTGGGTGGCTGATGCAGGATGATCGCTTGAGCTCAGGTGTTCAAGACAAGTCTGGACAACATAGTGAGGGCTCGTCTCTAAATAATAATAATAATAATTAAAATGATCCGGGCATGGTGGCACTTGCCTGTAGGCCCAGCTACTCCAGAGGCTGAGATGAGAGGATCACTTGAGCCAGGTAGGTCAAGGCTGCAGTGAGCTATGACCACACCACTGCACTCCAGCCTGGGCGACAGGGTGAGACCCTGTCTCAATCAATCAATCAATCAATCAATCGAGGTAAACAATTAAAAATTTCCCTTAAGGACTCTTTCTCTACTCATCCTTTGTATGCCTAGGTGGGCATTTTATTTCAATTAAGGGGTCATGTCCTTTACAGCCTGCTTGCCAGGATGTATCCATGACCTATGGATAACAATGGGCTGTGGAGAACCAACTGCTTTCAGGCATGGGCCCTGACCTATCTAGTTTTAGTTTCTGAGCACAGTACAGAGCCTTTGTTTCCTGCTCAGACTGTCTCTTCTGGAATAGGCTGTCCCCTTCAAGAAATTAGCAGATAGAACAGAGGCAATTTTTAATCCTGTCAAGTGATGGTCACAAACTGAAAGTCAAGTAAGACACCAAGTAAAACAATCCTAGCACCCGTAATTGCTACAGGTCAGCACTCCTAGTGCTGGAAGGTTCTGGTTTAAGTGGAAATTTTCTTCTTGACAGCTTTATACAACCAGCTCCAGAGATAAGAATAAATATTAGAGAAATGCATGCCGCTATTTGCCTCCCCATCCCCACTTGTTCTGATATTTGGGGGCATACAGAAATTATAATTCATGACTAACATAGGAAAAAAGCATCAACTCTAGTGTAAAAATAGGGGCTGTAACTAACAGAAATCCATTTTATTTCAAGGAGCACCAGGTCAGAGCAAGTAGCATGGGCCAGGAAGAACACAGGTTGGTGTGTTCGGACCATCACAGACTAGGGTCAGAGCACTATTTTTTATAGTTTATAACCCATCCAGTACCCCAATTTTGAGAAAGCTTAACCTAAAGCGTACCTGTAATATGACCCTGGGGAAGAACAAGATCAGTAGAAATATTTTAGAAGGGATAAGAGACTAATTCTCAAAATCTTAAAGAGCAAGATTACTGAAATTGAATGCTGGGGTTAGCTCTGAGTTTCCCAGCAACGAAGGCAATAAACATTAAAAGAAACACGCTGGATAATAGCATTCTCAACTTGTGATTAAAGAGAAGGTATCATTTTGTCAGGAGAATCAAACTTATTCCTGGTGCCAAAACTATGAAGCACTGATTTTTACAGGATATGTAGGAGCAGTCTCCACAGGACAGTGTCATATATATACATATATATATATATATATACACACACACATATATATGTATATATATGTATATACATATATATATACACGCACACACATATATGTATATATATGTATATACATATATATGTATGTATATAGAGAGACATTTTAAAAAGTCAAGTTAATTGGGATATACTTTCCATTCAGTAAAATTTACTCATGTCCATTTCTTTTAATAGCAGCTGGGGATACCACATTGGAAGGTAGGCCAGTAACAGCTAAGCTAAAGTGGCAAATGGGCGGCCTTTCTGTGATCTAACCTGATCCTGGAAAGATGGTGAAAAACCAGGAGGCATGAATTTGAATGCAGGCCTTGGACCAGTGGCTCCCTAAAGCACCTGCTCATGGGACAATAGGAAGGATTGCTCCCACTGGATCACCTTGTACCATTGCATTTGGGGCTTTCCTTGGCAGCCCCTTCCCTAGCACAGCTCACCTGTCTGGATCCTGCCCTCTCATCAGCAGTGTTATCTGCTGTCTACATCCTTTTGGGAGCTAGGGAGACTTAGCCAAAGGCTGCAAAGAAGCACTCTGATTTTCCTTGGGTTTCTTTCTAGTTCTTTGTTCAGGACTCATGGGGTGTTGCTCTGTTGTCCAGCTCTAGCACTTGTTTTCTTTTATCATCATCTACTTCCACTATGTGCAATTCTTTTTCTATGCCTCCTAGCAATTCCTCATGAAACCTATTCCTGGGAACAGGGCATTGGCTCATCACCTAAACAATAAATTCAATGATTTGATGCTCTCTGAAGACTAAGAACCCACTTTTTTCTTTCTTGTCTATAGGTTACCGAGGAGCACAGTAAAGAAGTAGATATCTTTTCCCAAAGGCATATTCACCTGTAATCAAAGAGGACACACACAAAAAGGTACCAGAGCAAACAGAGGCTCCCTCTTAAGACCTTAACAAATTAAAACCCATATTAATTAATTCTCTGGCCCTTTATTTGCTTCTGGATTAAATATACTAAGGTGATTTTTCATTCTGACCCAGGTTGTCACAAGCTCAATAATTCACTCAGGGAATTCTGACATCATGTATTTGGCCCTGCATGTCTATGGAGTCAAAAGGAATAACTCATTAGCAAGCAAGATATATTAATTAAACTTTTGTAAATTTACACTCATGAAGGATGCTAGCTCCATCCAGATTGTTGGAAGGAGAACCATGCTCATAGTTACTTGGCAAATGTGGAGCCAGTGTAGGCGGTGTGACAAAGTATTGAAGCAGATCTTTAGCAAGCGCACGAGGGCCTGTGTTGTACCCAATGCATGCTGGTCCTCTCAAAGTTGTTACCCAGAGAAGCTGTATACAGATTCCAAGGATACTGCTGGCGTTCACATTTCCAGAGCTGTTCCCTGGGAACTATCTTCATAGACAGTTATGAGCCACATGAGAAATATCACTCATGACTGTGTAGTCACACCTCACTTCTGGCCCCCAACCATAGGACCCAGTCTGATCATCCAATTAGTACATCATCATTACCTTCTCAGGACATTTGACTGATTCCCAAAATTCAATCCACTCTCAAAGGACAAAGATATCTCTCAACCAAGCAGAGTCAAGAGAACATGCTACAGCTGTCAAATGTACTAACCAATACAGCAACATGCAAATGTTGAATATGTTGAAGAAATCAGCACCCTTTTCCATTATGTCAGTTCTGCTATGTTTGTTAAAAATAAATCCATTGCATTCCTTTATTCACTATAGTGCTTTGACATCATTTTCCCTTTGATTAGAAATCAATCCTAATATTAGTATTCCTAGATAACTGTTCATTAATTTTCACAGTAGATATAGGTGAAAGGACAAGATACCAAGCTGAAATGTTCCCTGCCACCAACTTTTAGCTCCTCTCAGCATGTGGTCTTTCACTGACTTCTTTAATGAAAACAGTTCTGCTGACAGGTGAGAAAATGGATTCATATGTCAGTGCTTTCAAAGGTCCATTAAATATAATGTTATTTAAAAGCATATTAACTATCCTAACCAGTGTCAGACAACAACTAGGGAAGTGCAGGAGCTTGAAGACTAATGTAGATTCTTAGGATGCTGAATGCAAATGTAAATCACAACCCTCACTAATTAAAACTTTGGCCCTTTGATTGCTCCTGGAGCAAGTTCACAGGGGTGATTTTTCATCTCTGCTTGGGTTGACACAAGCCCAATAATTCACTCTGGCATTCTGACATCACTTGCTTGGCTCTGCTTGTCTGTGGAGTCAGAAAAAGTATCTCATTAGGGAATGAGAGGTATTAATTAGGCTTTTGTAAATAGCAACAGTGTGTGATGCTAGCTCCTGATTTCATCCAGATTGTTGAGAAGAGTGCCACATGCAGAGCTGAAAACCTGGAGCTCTTATTCTAAGCCATCACACCAGTCCCCCCAAGTGATTGGTATGCCTTGGTTCACACAAATGAAAAATAGGATAAAAATAATCCAAGCTTGCCACCTGACTTCACAGAGTCATGATGCTTATAAGTGGGAAATGGCAGAGTACAATAATATTTTTTATAATTAAAATGTGGTGATGATTCTGGTGCTATACTCATTATGGCAGTATAGGCCTTATTGTATAAGTTCACAGCTCAGATCTACTGTTGTTGCAATAACAACCCACTTACCACCTGCTACGGGCAAAATGCTAGTGATACAAAGATATATCTATTATGTGTTCCATACTTTCAAAGAAAACTACTGAATTGTAATATGGAATTCTAGGACACTCCAATGAGCCATCTTCCTTGACCCTTCAAGCTCAGTCATAGAATGTTTAGAAGAAATAAAGAAATAATTAGTCCACACCAGTCTGGCTTTCTGCATCCCTTCTAGACCAATATGAGTCCTCTGTTGTGACCATTGTATTCAGCGCTTTTCGTTCTTTGCCAGTCTTGAGCTTCTTTGCCATGCCGCCTGTATGTCTTCTGTCCACTTATCATCTCTCTTTCTCTGGGCAATTTGGAATAGGAGTTGAGACCAGGTGTCTTGGGGAACTCAGCAGAAGGGGAAGGGAGGAGGAGTTTTGATGGTCCCCTCAATGCACTACTTTCTCCTGGGAGAAGGCAGGATAATAAAAAAGGAGAGCCAGGGAACCATGCTCATTTGGATATATATGTTCTGCTATGTTAAAGCAGAAGCCTCATTACCTTATCATGTTGCTGGGCTTAATGAAGGCTCTTGCTGGAGGAACAATCGTACCTAGGGGCAATATAAACATTTATTGGCCCCAAGAAGGGCACTCTTTCAGCCGCTGGGGGAGGGGAGAGTTAATGGAGAGTGGCAGCTGGCGGATCAATACTTCTCTGAATGAATTTGATCTTAAGTGACACCCCTTTGGAATAAAAAAGGGCTGACTGGAAATTATTCAAGGTTATCAGCTAAACGATAGTTTCTAGAGTATTCAGGTGCAACATTTGGAACTTAAACCAGTGGCCCTACAAGAAATCATGACAAAAGCTGTGTTGTCTATAACCAGCCCAAACAGAAGACACTAGTCAACATTTGTTTTTTTTTTGAGACAAAGTCTTGCTCTTGTCCCCCAGGCTGAGTGCAATGGCGCAATCTCGGCTCACTGCAACCTCTGCCTCCCAGGTGCAAGTGATTCTCCTGCCTCAGCCTCCCCAGTAGTTGGGATTACAGGTGCCCACCACCACGCCCAGCTAATTTTTGTATTTTTAGTAGAGACGGGGTTTCATCATGTTCGCCAGGCTGCTCTCGAACTCCTGACATCAGGTGATCCACCCGCCTCGGCCTCCCAAAGTACTGGGATTACAGGCGTGAGCCACCATGCCCAGCCAACATTTCTGACAATCCTCATACAAATCTTTAGTCTAGCAACCAGACTCATCAGAAGATAACTCTGTTGTGATTTTACAGAAGGTTCCTGAAATATAAATTTAAGCTAGTTATAATGATTTTAGCAGAGCAGAAAAGCCAGGGGATGGGGATGACAGGAACCTTTCTCCTAGGCTCCACAGAGCCAAAAGTAAGAGAGCTATGAAAACCCATGAAAAATGACATGGTCTCCAAAATAACATGTAATTGAAAATATATGGTCATAATGGTATGAAACTATTGATTCAAAATGTAAGAAACAATTATGAAAATTACAAAAGTACAGTACTGCATTAGTCCATTCTCATGCTGCTAATAAAGACATACCCAAGACTGGGTAATTTATAAAGGAAAGAGGTTCAATTGACTCACAGTTCAGCATGACTGGGGAGGCCTCAGGAAACTTACAAGCATGGTGGAAGGGGAAGCAAACACATCCTTCTTTGCATGGTGGCAGCAAGGAGAAGTGCTGAGCAAAAGGGGGAAAAGCCCCTTATGAAACCATCAGACCTCCTGAGAACTCACCCCCTATCATGAGAACAGCATGGGGTTAACCACCCCCATGATTAAATTACCTCCCACCAGGTCCCTTCCACAACAAGTGGGGATTATGGAAACTACAATTCAAGATGAGATTTGGGTGGGGACACAGCCAAACCATATCAAGTACTCATTAAAGTAATCTAGTTTGAAGAGACAGTGATGCAAATCTGAAGCTTAAAGGCCCTTGGTCCTCTTAGCTAGCAGAATAAATTTCAGCAAGTCACAGAATTCTTAGATCTAAGCTCTAGCTAATACAGGTGCTCAGTGAAGAGGCAGAAGGCAGAAAACTGCCTTAACTGTATGGGCTTCAAAGACAGCTAATCAATGCAAAATATATCTTGAAACTGCATAAGAAATGATTCATAGGTTGAATGTCCCAACTTGTAAAATGTGTCCTTCCTGACCTTCCAATACTGATCCTCAACCCCTTCATTTACCTCCTGGTCATCTGTCCCATACCTCCTGGTCATCTGTCCCAAGCTGGAATCAACCCTCCTTCATCCTAGTGCACAGATCGAGAGAGAAGGTTCGGGTGAACATTTAAATTCCTGTTTGAATCCCATTATTCAAAAATGCCCTTGGAAAGCACAGCTTGGTATGGCATTTTGGTGGGAGATGCCATATCAAATAGATAAGTAATTAGCCAGAAATCGGTACAAACAACTGCTTGTCTCCACAATCTGCCTGATAGGAAGTCTGTTGCTGTAGAGGTATTATAAATTAGAATCTACAGCATTTTTTTAAGTCAAATTGCTGACTTAACCATTCAGGCTTTAACTACAGCTAATCGATACAAAAGTGTCCTCAAACAGTCTGGGGACCCCATTGTTTGCTGCTGGTTATATGAAGCTGGTTGTTACAAAGAGCAAATGAAAAAAAATTCCCCTTAATCTCATTTTGAATTACTGGGAAGCTTAATATTACATTTTAGAAAATTGAAATATTTGACGTACCTCTATGGAATACAATTTATAGTTAGACAGGAAGCATAATATTCCACTTTTGTAACTTGATTCTAAGTACAAGTCATTGAATTAAGTTATATTGAACCAGATTATCCCAATGTCTAAACTCCCCTCTGGTTAAGAGCTGGGCTCTAGAGAAAGTTATTTAACACTTTCAGATCATGAAGATACTTCAGTTTGAAGCAAGCTTGTACAAACCGCAGCCTGCAGGCTGCATGCAGCCCAGAATGGCTTTGAATGCAGCCCAACACAAATTCGTAAGCTTTCTTAAAACATTATGAGATTTTTTTCGCTTTTTTTTTTAAGCTTATCAGCAATCATTTGTGTTCGTGTGTTTTATGTGTAGCCCAAGACAATTATCCTTCTTCCAATGTGACCCAGGGAAACCAAAAGATTGGCTTAAAGCAACGGTTGACAAACTCTTTATGTAAATGGCCAGATAGTAAATCTTTTCAGAGTTGCAGACTCTGCTGTTACAGTACAAAAGCAGTCATACACAACATGTAAATGAATGCATGGCTGTGTTCCAACAAAACTTTATTTACAGACATTGAAATGCGAATTGCATATATTTTTCAAATGTCACAAAACATTGTTCTTAATTTTTTCACCTGTTTGAGAATATAAAAACTATTATTAGCTTACTGGCCATACCAAAAACAAACAAACAAACATGTAATGGACTGGATTTGGCCTGGGGACATAATTTGCCAACCTCTGATGTAAAACCCTAAATTGGCAACTTCCCTAGGAAATGGAAAGAGTCTTCAATTTCCCAAAGTACTAACTTCCAAAACAGAAAGTAGTTGAAGCTCTGGGAGATTCAGCTGTTTTATGTTCAAACATTAGCTGTTTATCCCAGAGAATGTAGGAATTTTGAAAAAAGAGTCAACTTTGGTTTGTTCCTCATACAGAGGTTTCTCCCTTAACCTCTTCCTTTCTCCTTAGCCTGTTCTCTTTATCTTCTTCTGTTTTGTCTCCACCCCAGTAACAACAGTTTATTTTTCGTGTTTTTGGAATTCAAGAGAAGTATCTAGAAATCCATTATCAGCATTTATTCCTGACTTTAAATCTTCCATTGATTTGTCTCCTATATCTCCTCACTGTACCTTAAGTCTATTCCCATTCTGAGACAATTTTATTTTACACCCAGAATATTTTAATGTTTTTATCTATAAATCCTTTAAGAAATTACAGGAACATAAAGTGAAACCTTTCTCAGCCCTCTTTTTAAAAAAGGAGTTCAAACTCCTCTTTGGGTAAGGGATCCCAGTCTACAACACACTGTCCTTTAAAATGCCACCAGTAGAGCCATGGATAACAATGGGAGTTCAACACAAGATGTTATGGTGAAAAGCACTATGCAGACTATAAAGTGGTATCTATGTTATCGTTGGTCGCATTATTATGCCAAGTGCCAAGGATGCTAACTTGTGAAAGTGAATTTTTGTGAAAGAGGCAATGTTTTCACTGGGCTACTGGAGTTATTCCCAAGAGACAGATGAAGTACTGCTCCCATCGAAGAAGGCAAAGCAGCTGGATTGTAGACCCGATTCTAGCTCTGCTTCTGCTAAGGACCAGTCGAGGACAAAGGGTAAGTCATTAACTTCTGTGAGCCTTCCTACTTATCTTGCAAAATGGAAAGGTTTGGGCAGACCCTTAAGGGCTCTTCCATGTTATGATCTCTAAGGGTTTGGGCTGTAAATGACAACAGAGGAGGAAAATGAACCTTGCTGAGCAACTACTAGGTGCTACCTCTTAACGTCAGAAAAATGATCACATGAAATAACTCCCTTAACCGCTCTTGTCTGGTTGTCCCTAGGCATTATAGGAGCAAAGCAGGTTGTGGTTCCACAGTCAGTTACTTCATGTGTCAAGATTGCCTGGTTGCTGCCATGGTCTTCCCCAAAACAAAGTTTAGATCTTTCTTAAAATTTGTTACTATTTATTACATATCTGGAAGGTTAAGCACAGCGCAACCCCAAACAAGAAAAAGTCAATAAGCCCTAATGTTGTTTTACAGAAATGTCTCTATGGGCTGTAGTATTTGAATGCTTTGGGCAAAATAAAACCCTTCAGGACAAAAGCTACTTCTAACACATCATTGAAAAGGCAACAACCGCTGAGGGCTTTCTCTATTCTTTATCTTGAAATCCAGGCAGTTTCTCCCCAGTTCTGTTAAAAATAAATCTCTTTACCCTCACTAGACAAATCTTAATAAGTTGCATATTTTTAACAGCTCCACACTCCTTGGGTATCTTGTCTTAGTCTGACAAGGTACAACATCATGAGTGATCCATATGTGAGGGACAAAGGGGCACTGTGGCTGGCAGGTGTTACCCTCTGACTTCTGCAAGGCTCAAAAGCACTGGCTAAAACCCATCGGGTGAAGAAACAACAGGAAAAGTATCTGTTTTCAAGTTTGTTGCTTGGAGTCCGGGAGACAGGGGAAGTTAGTTGTTTATAGAACAATTTATGGTTACAATTTCAATGGCTGATTACTTGATTTCTTCATCCAGCTCTTAATCACAGATCAAACACTGGTTCCAATAATGAAGTAATTTTAGGCATGATTACAGTCTCCTACTGAGGACTTTTGCCTAGGAACAAGGAGCTCCCAGCCCACGCTCAGTTTAACAATGATCAGGACAAGTGATGCAACTGCAGTTCTTCCGCCCGGGTGACACAGCCCTTAGGACTATCACTTCCCCGCTTTCACACTGAGAGTTGTTTGCTCAGTGTGGTCAGTGCAGTGATGGTGAGAGTATGGTATTTATCCATCACAGCGCCAACCCGCTCCCTTCTTTGCTCCACAGTTAAGCTACTATTATCTTTGGAAGAAACAGCTGTTTTCTCCTTCCCCTGCTTGACAACCGTACGCAGCTCCTTATTGCCTACTTAATCAGGTCTATGTCTCAGCATGGCTTTCAATACCCTCCGAGATGGAACCTGGCCTTACATATTTTCTAAATGCCACACCACAACCCTTCCCAGATCCTCCATGCTGGTCCTTGCCTCTGGGCCTTTACAAAGCCACTTTCTCTAACAGGATAGCACTTCCCCATCTTCTCCTCTCCACAAAATCCTGCTTCTCTTTGAAAACCCACATCTGCCTTTCCTGTTGAATAGTCTTCTCTACAGCCTCAGGCAACAACAAATTGCTTCCTCTTGGCTCCACTTTGCTCAGACCTGATTATATTGCACTGATTCATAGGCTCTGTCTGTACCTTTCTCACTATTTCCACCTTCTGTGGATTGCAGGCTTTTTGAGGGCATATGGACCATGTCTCATGTCCCTATTTCCCCCAACTCCTTTACACCCAGGCTGTGTGGTTCTCGGCAAATGTTTGTTGAATGAGCCTGGATGGCATATAACTGTTAAGTGTGTATTTGATTTATAGCAGAGGGGGTAACAGAAAAATCCTCTTTTGTAGGGGTATGAAATGACCTCCTCCACTCCCGGTAGAAATAGCTACCTATTCTTGGCCACACTCGTGATACCATTTTCCCTCCCACATAGGTAAATGTCTCATATGACGAATATGGTAGATATCAGGACAGGCAGAGCAGACCCTGTGGACTGACCCAGGTGATAGGCTACAAGTCACAATTACTTTCAGGAGATAGAGGGCTTGAGGTCTAAAACTCTGACATTTGCAGGCAGAGCTGGTTTAAGAGCAATACTAGAAATGGGATCAGAGTCCTGCCACGGCTTCCTAGCCATTGGTGTAGAGGCCGATGCTGCAGAAGTGACCTTCATAAAATTCTCAGACAGCAAAGAAAGCAGGATTTACTAGTGGTGTCAAAAGGATCTAGGAATAAAGAGTTTCAGGGAAGGCCAACCTTCTCTAACTGGTGTCTAGGGAAAGATCTCAGAGGGCAGAGCCTGGAAGGGGGGCAAGATACAAGAAGAAAAGCCATTCCTACAGTGGTGTTTTGAACTCCAGTAGATAGTTAAATAAAGGAGAGGCGATAAAGGAGATGAAGGTTGAGCTCAGTTAAAATTATTAGGGAACCCCATGTTCAATGTGGTTCAATGTGGTTTTTCACCACCAGCCGAGTGTTAACTATCTAAACCACCTGTTAAATATCTGTCCCTAAAGTCATTAAGATTTTGCTTGAACCCAAGGATAGCTTTTGAATTTAAATAGCCCTTCCAGTCTAGAAAGGGGATTTTAAAAGGGAAGTGAGCTAGTAAATACACAAGCAGAGATTGAACTTTCTTATCTCCCTAAGACACTGAGGATGGTCTCAGCCTCCCCCACAACCTGTGTGCACTGAAAACCTCTAAATCACATGTACAGCACCATGTCACCCGTCAATACTCAGGGAATGGGTCTACAATAAATGCACAGATTTTGTTTTTCAAACATATTCCCTGAGAAAAACTGAGAAAGCAATCACAAACATTCAGCAATTTAACGTGTTTTAACATAACCAATTGTTTGAAAATAAGACTCGTGCCCTCATCCCACAAACACTGAGTGCCTACTGGTGCCAGGCACTGTGGAGGGTACTAGACAGACAAAAATGAATGAGACAACAGCACCAGACTCGAGCGGTGCACAGCCTGGTAAGGGATACAGATGATTCAAAAACAATGTGGCTCCTCTTCTACCACTTGACTGCAGCTGCCCTCTAAAAAGTCATCAGTGACTTCCTGCTGGCCAAGACCAGTGACCTCTTTTTAAGAATTGGACTCCTTGGCAATCCTATTCCTATGACATTTCAAGAAAGACTGGAATGAACATAAGGACCCAGCCCTGCAGATATCTAGGGGAAGAGCATTCCAGGTAGAAAGAGGAGCAAATACAAAGGCCCTGAGGCAGCAAGAGGCCTGGTATATTTAAGGTAAAGCAAGGAGACCAGTGTGATTAGAGAAAAATGGGCCTGAGGCAGGGTAATAAAATATAAAGTCAGAGATGGAGCTTGCAGGAACCTTGCAGGGTTGGTTGTTGAAGGAGATGGAGAGCCACTGCTGGGCTGGGAAAAGAGGAATGACAACATCTCAATTAACATTTTAAAAGGGTTATCACTGTGGTTAGACAAGACTGTAGGGGTCCAATAAAGGAAGCAGGGGAGCCAGCTAGTAGGCTTTTACAGAAGCCCATGTAAGAAATGATGGCGGCTTGGACTAGGATGACAGAGCTGATGGTGGCGAGAGGCGGTCAAATTCCAGATATATTATGCAGGTGAAGTAGACAGAATTTGCTAGTGGATTAGACATGGCCTGGGGGAGAAAAAGATATGCAAAAGATACCTTGAAGATTTTCCCCTGAGCAACTGGTAAGGACAGAGATGCCACTCACTGAGGCGGGGAAGATTGGGAGAGGACCACGTTCTGGGGAAATGTCAGGAGTTTGTCTGGGGGCAGGTGAAGTTTGAGATCCCAACTAAACCTCCCAGTAGAGACAGGAGTGGTGTGAGAGTTGCAGGAGTCTGGACCCCAGGGACGAGGTGGCGCTGGAGATATATGTGGAAGCCAAGCCTCTCTTGTGTCTTTCAGCATCCTCTCTCGCTAGCTACAATGACTCAACCAAACCCATCCGCCACTTGGTATAAGAGCAAGCTTGACTGCAGCCAGCCTGGCTTCTTCATCCTCACACATCATGCCCACCCTAGCCTGTGTTCTCAGGGCTCACTTGTCCTGGAAGAGTAAGGCTTCCAGTGATGGCAAAAACCTCTTAAGAAAGTACTATGGTAATGGGTGCAATACAGATTGTTATCCTAATGCACTATCTTTCTCTAAGGAAACACAATTTTGATGGAGTTGCTTTTCATAGATTCTTATAAAATGTACTAGCATCAAAATGTGAAGCTCTAGATGTATTCAAAATGGTGTCCCAGATACCAAAGGAGTTTCTTGAGAAACAAATGCTTAATCAGATTTTCCCAAAGGGGTACCTACTATCAGCTCATGTGCCCTCAGATTAAACTATGGGGGTATTATTTTGGGGAAGGCTGATAAATTATAAGCAGTCAAAGTAAGAAAAATCACACTATATTACATCTTGCAAAAACCAATGGAAGTGAAATAAACCAGATACTAAAATCCATCTGTAAGTCCTCATCATTTTGCTGCACTCACTTGAGTGCATTGTTAGCACCTTACTAAAGTCATTCGCTGGCTGGGAGCTCGACAAGTACTAATTATTCTCTTCATTTCCATGCCCCTGCAAACAAGACTCACAAAAGTTTAAAAGTGGTTACCTTTGAAAGCCTGGTGAACACAGCGTGCTTAAAATTATCCATAGAACATTACAACCAGACAGATATCCAGACAGAAAGTTGGACAAGAATATGCATGGTAGGTTATGTGAGTTTTTTCATCCTCAAGTGTTAAGAGTTAGAAGAGTAGGCTGAGTTCTTCCATTTGGGCATCAGAGGTCATTTGCAGATCCTGACATAACTAATCCTCTGAGTCGGTGGAGGAAAGGGTCGGCCAAGCCAGTCAGAAAAGGTCTGAATGCTGGCCTCCAGGAAGCTGGGCAAGTGCTAGGTAAAAGGAAATCTGCCAAGTTTTCACCATGGCAGTATCAAAAGCGATGAGACGATTTTGTGGATCTGGCTGCTGCTCTCTGTGATTCACAGTTCACTGGTCTACCATGATTTGGGCTTTGTTCTATTTTTGTGAAACTTGTGTATGCATGTATGTGGCCAGTCTGTCTGTCTCCATGCCTGCCCGTGTATATCTTTACCTACCCACCTGCCTGCCTTTTCATTTACCTTGCAGCTAAGAGTAGAACCAGGGAGTTGGTAAGTTCTATAGAGTCATATTCTAGTCCATCCCTTCATCTTACACATGAAGAAACCAAGGCCCAGAGAGCAGTGACCTGACCAAGGTCTCTCAGTAAATTTCATGACAGAGTTGGAAGGTAATCAATAGGGTGGCTGATTTTCAGTTCTTGGTCTCTGTCCACCTCTGGCTCAGCCTCTTGCTACTTTCTCTCTCTGTGTCTCTTTATCTCTGCATTTCTATTCCTGTGCCTGTCTCTGTGTCTCTCACAAACACATGAGCTTTGGGAAATTAACCTTGGTTTGGCAGATGTTCTACTGTTTCACTACTTTCTTACAAATGAATACATCCTTATAAATATTTAGTAGACTCCCATTATTTTACTGCAGTACCTCAGCTCCAAACTTTGGTCATGTTTCGGTAATATTCCCTTTTGCAAAAAGGTCACACTAAGCGCCTTTATTATGACACAGATGTTGCTTTCCCTGTGGGATTATTAGGAAATATCTCAAGGCTAGTTTCTTAAATTAATTTTTATGATACCTCTTCTTCCCACAAGTTGACCCTTACCTTAGAGTATTTAAAATACTGCACATATTTCCCCATGGCAAATCAAGAATTCACTTTTAATTTGATCCACACCTTCCAATGTAACTTGTTGATAGTAAAAAAGAAAGGAAGAACATTGCTTGCATTTTCATCAAATAACACTGTAATCTATTACATGTCATATACAAAATACCTTTTAACTTGAAAAGTCACAAAAAGAAAATACTCTCTAGGGGATTTTCCCAATCCTGTAGAATGTGACTTGCCACTTTCTGTTTTCTTTGGATTTATATGAGAAGGGAAATGAGCATATCAGGTGTGTTGGATATTCTTTCCAGTTTGTTGTCTGTTTTAGACTATAAGCTCCCAGAAGACAGGGCTACATTAATCCTCTGTTCAGTGTCTATTTAGTGTCTTATGCAAACAGTCAATGAATCTGTGCTTTTGGCTCAGATTTGCTACTAGAAATGGAGCTGGTGTTGCAAAAAGAAAAAAAGAGAAAGAAAAATTAAGGCCGGCTCTTCACAACAGGTCACATGAGAGTTATTCTGAATCGGTCTGGTTCTACATTCAAGAAGAAACCACAGAATATTACCTATAAAAGCTACTTATTTTGAAACTAGACCTCACCATTATACCTGCCTTTAAAACTGGCAGATAGATTGAAAGTGTATGCATGTGAATCATGCCAAGAGTCCAAAGATATTTATATGAGGTGAAGAAATGAACATACCTGCCCCATCACTAGCTTTAGCAAACCATAGAATAGTTCCCTTAGTAGTTTCTGACCCAACGACTCAACCTAGAGCAGACTCCTTGAAGTACCAAGTATCTACGTTTATACATATTAGTATGAACCATATTCTACCACAACGGTTAGTTCTATCTCCCAAATTCAATGTGAGCTCCATAAAGACAGGATCTCTCTCTAATTCACCTCTGTACTCCCAGTGCCTGGCAGAGTAGTTGCTCAAGTAAACACCCATGGAGAATATCAATGCTTCTCAAGACAGGGAGCTAACGTCACACTAAAGATGTAATTAAATGGCTATCATTGGCTTCTTCTCATTTTACAAAACCATCTCTATTAGATATCCTTTAATGGGGACATGTCTAGAACGATCACTAAACGGACATGGTAGATATCACTTAAGTTAGTACAAGAAGGAGCACACAAGGGGTCCTCAATTCTCCTATCATGGCTTCCTTTGTCTGTTCATCTTCATCTTGACATTCTAGCTTATAACATTCTTGCCTTTCCTAGACTCAAATTGATTGTATCTCATCGAAGTGGTGTATTAGCATTCTACAGATTTATTTGATACAAAATAGCATAAATGAAACTCCACTTTATTTGGACTAATGAAATGAGAGAACTAAATTATAATTGTGACAGAATCAAATTTCACATGTTACTGCTGTACTACATAGTTTGGAATGTCTCTGAATGTTTATTTTATGTACCAATATAACAGCTAAAGTACATTTGCCAATGATGACAAGGGTTGACCAGAATTGAGGAGAGGCAGAGAACTGGAGACAGTGCTGTTGGTAGCTATAGATGCCTAAATGCTTGCCAAAGGATAACACCCATTGCTGGAGCCCTTTCACTGCCTTTAAAAACATGGGCGTGCTTATCACTAGTTAGTGTAGTATATATTTTTACTGACACTCAAAAATATTACAGTAATTACATATATACCCTCATTTGGGGGCAAAACTTTTATCAATCAATTTGATCTTCCATTATATATTTATAAGACCTGGCCCCATATCATTTTTGATGTTTCCAAAAATCAAATCCATCCACAAAGGATAAGTTTGCCCCACAATGAGGTTATTCCAAAGGCTACATATCCCCTATCTAGCACTCCACTTAATTCTTTCATAACATTCATCACAATATGGACACATTTTGTTGACTTGCTTCCTCCAAATTATCTATATCTGCCACCAGAATATAAGCTCCCTGAGAGAAGGAACTATATTTGTCTTATTCAATTGTCATATCTCTAGCATTAAGAATCGTGCTGAATTATGGTAGGTGCTCAATAAGTGTATCTGTAATGACTGAATTAATTAATGTAGTAGTACATTTTCAATCACATTACTGGAAAATCACCAAGTTAAGAGGCCCCCTCCAGTTTCTCCAAATCTATTGAAGGACACTACCTGTTTTCCCTCAGCCCCAGAATGACCCAGAGCCAATTGACCTATGATTGTAGGCCATGAAAATTAGTGAACAAAAGTACCCATTGCCAAGACATAAAATACCTCCTGCATGAGAAGGGGAAATCAGAGATCCTGTGCTTGAGATTGTTGTAGGACAGAAAGCTAGGGGCCTCTCCCCAACCCCTACCCCAGTTATCCCACTTTGACTCCAAATAGGGAAATATTCAGGTACTCATGTTAAATTACAGTTACTGTGGGTTAAATTTAAAATCAGCCCCAAGAGTGTTGTTTTATTTATACATATTTTGATAGCATTGTAAAGGAGACACTGAATCTGCTCATATAGAGAGGAATAAATGAGGCTTTCTGGACTCTCCTGGTGGATTGCTTTACATGTGATTTCATGATCACTGAGTATTAAATCACATGGCTCTTCAACAATAAAACATTGTGTTATTTTCAGAGACTCTTCCTCAAAAAGCTCTTATCCCATTTCATTTTCTCATATAAGATGCAAGCATTTATAATTACAACTAATTCGTTTTTTGAGACTCTGTATTTCATCTCTTATGAATTTCAGAAAACCTCTATTAATTAGGAGGTTTTCCAGCAAAAGAATATCACAGTGACCACTTTCCCCTGCACAGGTTCAGAAAGTGGATTATGGTCTAAAAGGTGTGAGTCAGAAAATGGCTCCTGCCTAAAGCATCACACAATGTCCATTTCTTCCCTGTAGCTTTTATTCCTTTTCATGCAAACAAGCAGCAGTGAGCTTAAGAAACACTTTACTTTGTCTCATGCATCATCTATGACATTGTCAAATCAATTCATATGAAAAAACGGGAGAAAGACTATGCACAGTCTCCTCACACAGCCTCATGTGGATTTATATGTCAATATAGAAACAATCAGTAAAGGCCATTAAAGACCTATTTATGCCAGTTTAGGATGACTCTGACATTCCACCACTGTACATAGTAGCCTTCTTTTAGGTCTCCTGACAAATGAACAAGAGCTCCCAGGGAAGAGAAGGCAAACTGTGCCCTGTGGTGAGCAGAAATCAAGTTAGAATTGTAGAAGCCATGAGAAGAAAGACCAATGCACCACCAAATGCCGTTTACGGATGGTTTGTACCATACCCATTGCCCAAATTAGAAAAGTGGAAAAGTTTTGAAACCACACAAGATATTGATGAAGCTCCCTTGTAATTCTAGTGTCTGGCTGATGAGGCAAGGTTGAGAAAATCAATGGAGGTCTGGAAAATCAATGGAGCTCATTGAATAGTAAGCCAATGAAAGTGAAGGGACAGGAAGCTTCATGGTAGCACAGTGACCGTCATTTTTTTCTGAGGTGCAATTTTAAGATTTTGGAGAAGAGCCATTTGTCAAGAGGAAATCTTTCAGTTCCGAAAGAGGAACAGAAATAATCTAATAGTTTCTAACTTGTTAAATAGTGTTCTCCATTTTATGTGCACATAAGATCATATATATATATATATATATGGTTGTGCCATGAGTGCCCTGGTCAAGACCGTGAGACCAAACTAATGGAAAACATTAGAGATGAAAAACCATACAGAATAGAAAAACAGAAAGACAAGGAGAAGGCCACAAATATGCCTGGAAAGAGACTCAAAGTACTGAGAACCCTAAACAAAAGACATTTCAATCTTCAGATGGAGAATGGGCTACAGCTGTCATTAAGAATGAGCATTAAAGAGATGATGTGTACCTTTAAATATGGATCCCCAGTCTATAGCCGCAATCCTCTCTTTCTTCATTTTATTTTAAGCTAAATCTTGAGTTTTAGGCTTTATTTCCAATCCAACCACTCTCACCTCTATGCGATCCTGTACTATCTGTCAGCTGGCCCCAACCCCTCCAAAACAAAATTCCTTTTACCTGTTTCTAAGGGATTTTGTCCACCTTTGTTGATAAAGTCCTTTGAGCATAATGAATTAAAAGTGCTGGCAACAAACGTAGCGCTAAGAATTAAACGGCAAAAGCAAGCCAAAAATTCAGCGAGTTTAGTTAATTACCAATCAAGATACTGGATAGGATTCAGTTGACTTGTGTTCTTCTCTTGCATCTGCCACTAATTAGCTGCACGTACTTAGATAAGTCATTGCCTTGATGTGCATCTATTTTCTCACCTGCAGAAAATAACAGCCTTTTCAATTAAAATCATACAAGGACTCACTGTGCTGTGTGCCTTCCTCACTTCTTTCTCTATACCCCACTCCTTTTCTATGTCAAGAATCTCTGTGACTGTAAATCAGAGTTGCATTTCTAGGAGTTTCCAAACTCTCTTGGTTCCTCTTCTCCTGAAGATTCCTTTACCACAGAATCATGCTCAGCTTTTCTCTGGATTTTTAAAAAACTGCTTTCCCAAAATCTAGTCATGGAGTTGATTGTTGTATTTAGAACACAGCCAAGTATCTGAGTGATAAGTGGAATAGTAAGTGACGACACAGAAGTTTTAAAGAAGGGAGATGCAAGGGTACTTGGGATATTGGCAACATTCTGGTGCACCTTCTCCAAACCCACCCCACCTGCTTCCCCATCTTCTCCCACAGAGCTCAATGGGACAGGACGGGAGGTGTGAGAGGAGTTAGGGAAGGCAAACTTTCTAACTCCTACCTCAGTTCCTACCTGGGGCTTTAACTAGGTGCTGAGGAAGACAACAAAATGATGGCTGGAAGAATCCGAATGGCCTTCTAAGAGTTAACATGCTTTTCTTGGCACCTAACTCACTAGCAAGCAACACCTATGCCATAGCATTTTGAAACCACCAAACATTTTAGTGGTGTTTGGCTTTTTAGTTTTTTGAAGATTCCCTGTGGTCAAGCTGAAAAGACAATGAACTTTCAGATATTCACATTTAAGAAACTGACAATTGAATCTGCTGTGCTGAATTGCTGCTCTAGCTGGCAGAGGTTAAAACAAGACACAATGTTTTAAGTTCCTGTGACATTTACAAGAATTGTAAAGCTAGCTTTTGTCGGAAAATGTATGCTTAATCTAAGCACTTCTGATACACTGGAAAATGTTCCTGCATATCCACTTTACAAAATTAAACAGCATATTGAAAAGAGATTTTGGCTCCGTCTCTGAAAACAACTAATTGTACTACTTTCGAACTAAAGAGAACCTCCAGGATCATCTATTTAACTTTGAACACTAATTTTAACAATAGCTTTTCCCTTTACAGAAATAGGCAAAGCCAAATGCTTACTAACTCTTAATGCTTGCGTTTTTCTTTCAATAGGTAGTTTGCCTTGAGTAACAAAAATGCACTGAGTAATCAAGTAAAATATCCTTAAAGGATTAGCATCCATTTATATTCTATAACAGGGAAGAGCGTGAACATGCTGAATTCTAATACTGACTACGACAAGAAAAGTGTGGAACACATATTTGACAGGAGGCTACATTAGTTTACTCTTCAGGACTAGCTGAAGGGAGGTTGTCCTAATAGTACAGTGGCAAGAAGCAACAAAATGAGAATGCATACCGAGTCCAGGATATCATGAAATGGAGGAAACCAAAGGACCCAAAGTGTAACTGAAGTCTGTACAAAATCAACAAAAGCAAAGAGCAAAATTCACCTCCTTAGGGAGGCCTTCTCTGATCACTCTCCAACTGTCTGACCATTCTCTGTCCAATGTGTTTGATTTCTTCATGGCACTTACCACTCCCTATGATAATCTTGTTCATTTACTTGTGTACTTTGTTTTCAATTTCCCTCCAACACACACACACACACACACTTTAAGAAACACAAGAGAAGGGACCTTGTCTGTCGTATTGTCCCCCATGTCTAGAACAGTGCCTGGATCATAATAAGTGCTCAATAGATACATATTGAATGAATAAATCTAAGAAAGGAAAGAGAAGTTATATTATGATTGATGAAAACCATGAGAATAAAGGCATTTGAGACTCTAAATTCAAGGATGTTTTTAATCATTCTTACCTCCAGTGAGAATAACAGAATGTCTCTAACTCACGCAAGGCAAAGGAAATAGAAGCACTGGCCAATGTGCACATCATTATAATGAGAGGTTTTGTGCCGTGAGAGATCTGAAGGAGAAGCTAGCATAGTGGAACAGAGGGTGGCTGCCATCTACATAGCTCTGACAGGAGCTCTGGGCATCCAAGTAGATCTCTAGGTTTACTGATGCAATGAGGGATCCTTGGGACCTGAGAGGGACCATGAAGGGGACTTTGAAACTGACAGCTGGGACCAAGAACACTTGGAATTGAGACTTACAGACAAAGGCCCATGCCAAATTTCTGAAGGGGAGAATGGCATGCAACCATGAAGTCAAGGAACTCACAAGTAGATGATTCCCACTTGGAGGACAAAATGGTCTTCAAATATGCCATATGGTAGTAGCTCAAACAGGAGTGACTGTACTGCATTTTGAGAAGGTAGAGAATGGGACCATTCTTCTGCAAAAAGGGATATTGTCCTCTGTGCTAAAGATATCAGCCCTGAGCCTGCAGTTTCTGTAGAAATAACTCATTTACAACTAATTCTCCTGACAATAGTACACACATTAACCAGGAGTTGTCTATTCCTTTACTCTAATTAAGTTTTAGGGTTAGACATAATCATTCTTACCCTGGCCTGGAACACTGGCAAGCCAACTTGAAATGTAAAACCCCAAAGCAATTCAATATTTACTAAATTTAAAGGAAGTAATCAATTTCTAATTCAGATTTATGTACATTCCTTTCCCACTTTAACACTGTCTTATTTCCCTTAAGTTCCTCTTTGGTCATTAAGATTGTCAGCAAGATTATGGCCATTGAACAATTTGTGACATGTTGCAGATATTTCTAAACTAAATTAAATTGTCAATGTACCTGCATATAACAAAAAAAAATGTATTAGACACTTAAGGACAGAGACCCTATATGTTCTATATTCACAGCTGTGTTGCTCCACAGAGAGCTTGGCATGTTCTGTAAATATCTGCAGAATGAATGAAAGAAAAAAATCTATCACTGATAGAATTATTTGCACACATTCAAAATCTCAGGCACACCTGACCCAGCATATGTGTATGTGTCTACACACACATTTGCTCTCACAAAATTCCCACCTGCTCATCATTCAAGTTCAGTACATCATCTTTCCCCTTGGCACGTGCGTTTCTTAAACAAAACACTGAAACAAGATTAATGATAATAAGTGTCCAAAGAAAGACGATTTTGGCCAGGCATGGTGGCTCACGCCGGTAATCCCAGTACTTTGGGAGGCCAAGGTGGGTGGATCACCTGAGGTCAGGAGTCCAAGACCAGCCTGACCAACATAGTGAAACTCTGTCTCTACTAAAAATACAAAATTAGCCAGGTGTGGTGGCACATGCCTGAAATCCCAGCTACTTGGGAGGCTGAGGCAGGAGAATTGCTTGAACCCAGGAGGCGGAGGTTGCAGTGAACTGAGATCGCGCCATTGAACTCCAGTCTGGGTAACAAGAGCGAAAAAAACTCGTCTCAAAAAAAAAGAAAAGAAAAGAAAGATGATTTTAATTAACACTTCTTCCAAACATGCCAATCTTCCAGCACCTAAAAACTGAACTCAATTTTCATCTTAGGAAGCTGTTCCCTTATCCCTAGAAAATATAAACCTTTTAAAGTTCCAACTGCCAATTGACATCTCCAGTGCATAATAACAGAAATTCACAGTTTATCTGTTATGCCTCCCCTGGAAAGCTCAGTTTGAAGCACTTTGCTAACTTAGACCACTGTTACTTCTGCTCAGACTAATGCTCCATACTTGTGCCTTGTTTTCAACCCTTAATACTTCTGAAGCTAGATTCCTCCATCTGCATTCCTGAGAAGGATGACAAAAGCCAGACTACGCTTTCAGTCTCCTAGGACATCCTGCCCTGGAGATTCTCAGCAGGCAATTGGAAATTGGAGTTAGCCTGGGGCTCCGGAATGAATTAAGGGTTGGAGAGGTCAATTTGGGAATCATTAGTGTAGAGGTTAAAGGTGAAGCTATGTGAGGAGGTGAAGTTACCCAGGGAGAAAATATAGCAACAGAAGAGAAGCAGATCAATGACAGGACCTTGGGAATTGCTCTATTTAAAGGGGCAGTGGGGGAGGGAGAAGATGTGGGCACGCGTGTGTGTGTGTGTGTGTGTGTGTGTGTACGTGTGGAAAAGAGATCCCAACAAAGGAAACCTAAGGAATGTAGAGAAGACATCAAGATAGATTATGAACCCTTTCAAGCAAGAGAATATGTGCAAAAGTGCCAGAATCTCCAAAGAGGTCAAGAAGACTGAGGCCAGGGAAGAGGCCATTGAATTGTGAAACATGGTGGTCACAGGTAACCTTTGGGAAAGCAGTCTTTCTGATGCAAATCTTATGAACTTGTGTGCCCAAATATGCATGTGTACAGGTGTATGTGTAAGTACCCCAAATCACTGTAAGATTAAATATACTATTGAGTGAGGCTGCCGCTGGGTATGCCAAAAAACGATGGTAATAACCACCATTATCGACTGTTTACTATGTGACAGGAACAGTGCTAAGCACTTGATATGCACGATCTCATTTTAATCCTCAAAACAAGCCTATATACTGGCTACATTTCACATATAAGAAAACTACCTGAAGCCAACAGAGATGAACTAAATTACCCAACGTCACACAGCTGGAAAGTAGCAGCGCCAGGATTGGACCCGAGGTCAGTTTGACTCTAAACGCCTAGACTGTCAGTCACTGATGTAATGTTTCCACTATAGTAATGTTAATTAGGTAATCTATGCATGAAGGAAAGAGAGCTGATATTGGTTGAGTGTCTCATTGCCAGGTGATTTGCATAGAACATCTCCTTTCACACATATACCATCAACATTATGGCTATGTTTAGGTAAGCCTTATGAGGGCATATTTTTAAAATTCTGATTCAGTTGTTTTGAAAATAAGTTGAAACTATATGATTCCCAAACAACCAGTTATCATTCAAACTTACTATAATAGTTCCCAACGTTTGAAAGGTACAAAAAAAAAAAAGTGTGGCATCATTGATTTGGTGGTTGTTATCAAGATTCAAATTACTGACAATCATACTCATCTGAAAAAGGAGGGAGTGTGACGGGATGATCTTAAAGCTCCCCTCCAGCCTGGACTTTCTATGATTCTTATATGCAGGTCTAATGCCAATAATTTTAAAGATATGAAATATGTAGTAGAATGTAAATGCAGCAGCAGAACTGATTGGCATGTCAGCATCCTTTTATTCATTAACTTTATAGAGGTCTATTGTTAAAATATTATAAAAATAAGTCTGGCTGTTCAAGGCATTGATTGCTAACTGAAACTTGGAAACTCCATTACAAGATGATACACTGAAAATCCAACAAAATAATTTGCTTACAGTCAACTGCAGACCCTATGATACAGTTGGCTATAGGAAAAAGAGAGAGAGATTGACAGGCACTCTGGCTATTAATGTTTTTGCTGTCCTTAGAAAAACAAATGAGGTTCTGGTCTGAAGCAATTAGTATCGCTGTTAATTGTGCAAGTGTGTAGCAATAATACTAGGCATTTGGGATGGCTTCCACTGATTGTTCCCTTCTTTCTCTGGATTACAAAAATCTATTCAGACAACTAAAAAATAGCAAGTACTTATGCAAATTGTTAATTATGAGGCAGCGATAATCATAATCTTGTATATTTATGAAACTGCATATACAATGGGGATTACCAAAAATGTTATTTGTTTTATTGCTTTACTAGTGGTTGAAAAATATGCTAGCCTTGCAAATAGTTTTCATACATCATTCAGCTCACCAAAATTCAAAAAGGGCCCCATTGATATTTACCAAAACCGTTTCTTTCCCATCTCACCATCTGTACTCCTCTTGTTTTCTCTCATTAAGACCAGGTATTAGTTGCTCTGGCAATAATCTGGTCCAACTAATCAACACCATAGTAAAAATAAAGAGTGTGTCAGGATTTGCTTTGTTATACAGCAAAACTGTTTTAAAGAGATGGTCCTATCATCTAGCAATTTTAAAGCAAAAAGAAAACAAAATTCTCAAGACTTCCCCATAAAAGCTATTATAGGGATAGTGGTACCTATGTTATTGACCATTGTCTTAATGGTCATCCGCTCCATTTTATTTTACAGGCGAGGAAATTAAGGCTCAGAGTGGAGCTAGTGCTTGACAAAAGTCACCTCATTAGTAACAGAACTTGGTACTTTGCCTCCATGACACACCCAATCTATGATATTTAAATGTTCTCCCATACTAATACTGTGTGATTAGGTGTCTATGTGTGTCTGTGCCATTTAGCTCAATAAATTATAATCTGACTACAAAATTAAACACTAAATTTACTATTCTCAGCTGTCAAGTAAATCCATTGAGGCTCTAATGGGAGTATGGAAGCCCAGCTACAGAAAGCTAAACTGGGCATCCCCAAAATGGCTCAAGTAGTCTATTTTAATGGGAGTCTGTCCTTGTGGAGAAATGCCAGAGCTACAGTCTTTGCTCTTGCTAACCTATTTGGCCAGGGAGCACAGGGTGGATTGTAGGTGGGTATTAAGAAAAAACAGAGGCACTAGTAAATATTTCTGGAGCCAATAAGCCTACAAAAAGCCAAAGACAGTACTGGTGAGCATCATGACCTTAGAAAACAATGTGCCAAGCGACTAGAGCACACATTTCCAAAATGACTTATGGTTCTTGCTAGACTCTCCGGTTCTGGTGGCAATATGATGGTACAGCTCTTAGCAACAGTTGTTGCCTGCAGGGGCATCATCTGGGAGCATTCTCAGCGTCCGTCTTCCCCACAGAGAGGAACTTTCTTGTATTTGATTAGATTTGCTCTCCTGCAGGCTTCATGTCAAAAAGGCCTCTGGCCTATGGGATTACTTGTAAATATGCAAGTCTACGTATTTACATACGTTAAAAGCCCTGATATTTTCAAATAATTGATTTCCCTTCAAGGAAATGCTGACCTACTTGTTCTCTAAATCACAATCCAGCCTAGGGACAGGCAGACGTGCCTGAAGCACTGTAAAGAACACTTTGCCAACGGTTGGGGTCTTCTCAACAACACACTCTACTGTGTCATCCTATTTCAGCAAAAAGAGGAAAAAGAGCTAATGACCTACTGCACACCTGTCTGGGGTGGTCGCCCTGAACATTCATCCCCCTTCTGAACTAAGTCAGCCTTCAGAACTGAGACTCCAAGCCTGGGTAGTTTCAGCTGTTTTAAACTAAAAAAAAAAAAAAAAAAAAAAAAAAAAAGCCCTGGAAAGAATTTGTCCAAGCCAAAAACTTAACTATTTGTTGTACTGAAATTAAACGGACAGGCAACTGCAGAGTCTCTTTTTTCTAGCTTACTTGGGTTCAGTCAAACTAAAAATACATTGTTACTTACCTTGCTGCATCTAGAATCTGAAAAATCCTCCACCTGTTAAAGGAACAGTAAAACCAGTCGCTAGCAAGAGCTTGGTAGGAGAGGAGATAAAATAATAAAAGTTTTCCATTGTGCTTTAAGAGCATATTTCTCCAGCTTCCCAAACCTTAGGGAAACAGCTCATAGATGGCTTCTCCACTTTGTTCCCCACTGGCTCCTCTCAAGTAATGGGGAGATTCCCAATCAGAAGGCTAAAAGGGGCAAGGCTGCACTGAGAGCCAGATCCCTGGAGTGCTGTGGTCTGGGAATGATGGATCTACCACTCACTCATGCTAATTCCATTCCCCTTCACAGAGAGCAATGGGAATCTAGGTAAAAAAACAAAAGCCAATAAAACAAAACCCAAACCAAACCCAACCCTGTGGCATCACTGAAATGGAAATGACTGATTGAAAGGTCCTAGGAGGAATTGGCAGGGATTTTTCATATTATCAGGAATATACGAAACACAAATAACAAAAGGAAAATAAAGAACAATTAAACTTTACTGATGCTCTTTAAAAAGATGAAAATTCAAAGCACACATAAGGTGATATATAAATCATCTCTCTAGTCCCTTCCACCCAAACACAAGACATCCATCAAAGTAAGCAATGTCTCCCCATTCAAAAAACATGCTCAGCTGTTTTTATAATGTATGTCTTAAGGGTCACAAAACACTCATTCCACTGTGTGAATTACTGATATTATTAGCAGGCGGAGACTGTGAAGTTATACACAGGTCAGTTGCTAATTTGAGGGTTCAAATGGGCTCAGTTAGCCTTTTGTTTTTTATTATGCCAGAACAAGGAATTTTACAATGTAGCAACACTTCTTTTATGCCCGAAGTGGGCTATATAGCCTGTGCATTTTCTTGGGAGAAATGTTTCTTTACAGCAAATACGCTTTGCAGGCCTTAGAAGTGAGTTAAGAGAGCCTTTTTTAATAGCATGGCTAGCAGCAGAGCCTTTGAATCATCATTTGAGAAGCAATACATGGCTCTTTTATTATCAGTCTCTGGTGCGGTTAAGCCCCCTTTCCCTGTTTCTGAGCTGTTAAGACTGCTGGGGAAGCAAATGTCATGAGAAACAAAAGCGATATACTTGGTGAGGCCTAACATCAAATCTGTTAGACAAGACACTCCTATTAGTGGACTTACCATCCAGAGCCCAATGTGCTCGTCTTCTACTCCAGCCGCAAGAAATAAGTAATCTACAATGTACTGACCTACCCCATGATTTAGAGTCCCTACACAGTGAAGAGAGGCTATGATCCCTTCCACAAAATTTGGCCTTGTGAACAAAAACAACACAACTTTGGGTGAAAAGACAAAACACACACACACACACACACACACACACAAGAAAATATTTTTAGAAGGAAAACATAAAGCCATATATTGATTCCTAGGATCAGAAAATTCCAAAGTTAAGTATGCAGCAGTTTCCAAAGCCATAATTTTTATTTCACTGTACTAACAGAAATTCTCAAATGATGTTAAGTGTATAAATAATTGATTTATATGGGAACGGGATCAAATTTAACTTTAATCACTATTATTGTCTCTTGAGTTTTTTTATTTCTAGGTAAACTTCTTGACTGCCTTATAAAATTTGCCTGGTGATTGCACTGAGAAGACTTTTGGAAGCTCATTGCCTTACCTGGGAGCCCAGGTGGGAAGAGGTGGAGTATTGAGTGACGATCCATGAAGACGTTACAGGTGCATCAATCAAAAGGGTGGCCAGTCATCAGAAGTGAGCCAAAGTTCATAGGGAAAAGGTAAAACAAAAGATACATACTAATTAGAAGAGAATGAATTAATTTTAAGAACCCATTTTATGCATACACACACACACTCTCTTTGGGAAGGTTGTTTAATGAAATCCTTTAAAAAGGCCCTTTAATCATGATGTTTTATTAAAAAATATTTATTATCTATTATGTGCTAGCCATTGTTAGAGGTACTGAGGTTAGAGGTACTGAGTAGTGAATAAAACAGACAAAAATCCCTGACTCTACAGAGTTTACAATCTTGTGGAATATTTTTAGGCCATCTGCTTGGAAAAGAGTTCTACAGAAATATACTGTATATTATCAATTCTAGGAAAGAGTTTCTCCCTGTTTTATTTATGCCTTTGTTTATGTATGGAGAACATACTCGATGGCATCAGATTAAACATTTGCATTAGAAAGAATTCTCTTTTGGATTGGAAGGGACGTTACAAATTCATAATTTCTCCTTGTGGAAAGCCCTCCCAACAGGCTGTAAATCAGGTTTCTTTTCAGCTGGGCCATTTGCTGCCCAGAGAATGCCACTTGCTTGCACCTTGAAATACTGTAAAAACAGGAAGCCTCTAAGTGGCAGTTTCATAATACTGTAGTCCCACATCCCAACAGAGTCTTTCTCATTTGTTGCTGTCATGTTCTTTAACAGCTGGCCTGGCTGACACTCTAAGATGGGATTCATCAGCCCTCAGCAAGCCACATCCTGGGAAAGCAGCAGCACTGGAAGGACAAAAGGAGCTGTGGTTACCATGCCCATGACCCAGACACTGGCTGGAGAAAAAGCCATAGGAATAACCTTCCTCTGAGCCAGGTTCCAGAAGATGTGACTAAATGTCACTCAAATGGTACTTAGGCAACTGACTAAGCATCCAATAAGCAGGGAAGGCAAAAGATGAAAATGAAGAGAACACATATATAGCACTGGAGTAATGGGAATAGCGGGAGACTTGGGAATCCAAAAGCTCCAGATGTGGATTCATCCTAATCAGGAACCTCAGACCATGACACTTATGCTTGGCATTTACATTCTCAGGGTGGGTGCTTAGGGCTTGAGAAATGAAAGTGAAACGATTCACTTTTGTATGAAGGATCCAAATTAAGACTTGGAAAACCCAGGATGAGGTAAAAATCCAAGAGCCCTTGACTGAGAATCAGGATCCCTGGTTTTTAATCCAGGTTTTACCAATGACTCATTTGATCTTGGGCAAATTCTCTTCTCCACTCTCCCAGTGGGCTGTATGACATGAACGAGCTTGACAAGATGGTTTCTAAAATTCCCCCAGTTCCAATATTCTTTCATTCTCTAATAGCTTTCCCTTGATGTTACTTAGAAGTATACCAATCCCTAGTCATTTTCTCAGTACAACATGCTATTAGTAGTTCACAGAGCCCAGAGCACAGCCTTCGAAGAGTTTATGAGTAAATGAGAGTATGTCCAAAATCATAATGGCCAAATTTAAATGCAGCTGAACATCATTCTGTCCAGAGAAACAGCTTTGTTAATTTGAAACATAGAGTGGCAGATTCTTTATGATGGAAAAATTATAGAAGGAAACTTAATTGAGAAAAACAAGAAAAATCGAATTGATGAACAATTGACCCTCTTGCACCGCCACCACCCTCCACATTTCTCTTTCTGTTCATGCAGGTTCTTCATCTGCCAGGAGCCTGGGATATTGGTGATGGCTGTTCAACAGCAGAGACCTCCACAGCCACACACTTCCATATAACAGCTAGAGAGAAGGAAGTTGTTAAGAAACCCACACCAACACTGTTTGGGTCAGATTGCAAATCTGCAGCAGATAGTACACTCTATGATAAATAACTGCCTACCACTGTTCCAGAGCTGCCAAGCAAATGGTCCATTCAACCTCTCTGCTTTCTGACACTGAACTGGTGTGCTCACCCTCCCTTTAACTGCCACACCAAGAGCTGACGTGTTTTAGAATTTCCACGTTCTCCCATGTAGAATGCCCTTCCACCATCATTCTGGTCTTCACCTACTCTATTGCTGCTCAGAAACCCACCACTTCCTTTTGTATCTCAAGCCACCTTCCTCATTTGATCTCTGAAGGCCAAATACAGTAGTATATCCTAGCAAAAAATGCCTTATGTTAATACATGCTAAATTTTATTTCCCTAAATGGAAAGGGGTGTGGTGCCCCCAAAGTCCCAGGCTAAGGACTGTTGCTCAAACTGGTGGAGGTGAATGGAGGAGCCAGGCAAAGGGCCTGGGTGTTTCTTAAGGCCCTATGCAAAACAAGCTGCTGGTCTTTTTTACTTGCAAAGTGTTAAAATGCTTGACCTCAGCCTTTTGCTTATGCACAGTCCTGAGAGGTGGTGTGGGACCATGAAATAAGTCCATTAGTCACACAGACTGGAATCTGGTCCTAAAGCTCTTTCACTTACCAACTGCATGACACTGAAAAGGCAACTTAATCTCTCAGCCCTGATTTCCTCACCTAGAAAATGGGGACAAGGTGGGGCATGGTAGCTCACGCCTGTAATCCCAGCACTTTGGGAGGCGGAGCAGATGGATCACCTGAGGTCAGGAGTTCGAGATCAGCCTGGCCAACATGGAGAAACCTCGTCTCTACTAAAAATACAAAAATTAGCCTGGCGTGGTGGCAGGCGCCTGTATTCCCAGCTACAAAGGAGGCTGAGGCAGGAGAATCACTTGAACCCGGGAGGAGGAGGTTGCAGTAAGCCGAGATTATGCCACTGCACTGCAGCCTAGGTGACAGGGTGAGACTCTGTCTCAACAAAGCAAAACAAAACAAAAAAAACAGCAAAAAACAAAGTGGGGACAAGTATAATGCCTACACTGGTGATGATCACCATCTTTAACAACAGATATGGTATCGGAACTGACCAATCAGAAGAAAAGACAGCCCTATCAGAGGAGAAACCAACAGCAAACGACATGGGTAGGTAGGCCCATGTGTTTCAGTCTAGAAGGGTAGTTCCTAAAGTACTTGGGAGGATTAGATGTGATCATGCCTGTAAATCATGTAGCAGAATGTCAGGTCCACAGTCATCATACAATACGTTTTAGGCATTATTACTGTCACCTAGGGAGGAAGACCAATCAGAGAATTGTCTAGAGGCATAGTGAGTCTGCGGCAGGCCTGCCACACAGCTCGCAGCCCCCTGTACCTGAGCCATCTTGTTGCCCTGGGAAAGGAACCAGCTTTTCAAAAGCAGAGCTCAAAGACACGTGCAGTTAAAGGCCATGCGGAAAGTAACCACATCACTGATATGGGAGAGGGTTGTCCCCTGCATCTGTGTTCTACTGTTTGACCGCTCTTAATTCCTCCTTGTTCCATGCCAAGTCCACTGGAAATCATGCATACCTCATGAGAGGGAGCTCCTTATGTTTGGCATGAGAATACTGGAACCCAGAATATTCTTTCAAATATGTATTCTTTGAGTATTTGTTTTAACCTCCCAAGGAATAGCCTTTGGCACAACTGTGAAGTTCCCTGAGGTTGTCTTGACTGCTCTTTTCACAGTGTCTGCCCTCCCCCGAGATACTAAACCTGGTTTCCAGACCTACCCTCCCATCCTTTCGTTCCCTGCCAGCTGACAAGGATTCCAACCTGATCCTTGCTTTTGGGCAAGAGCATCTCAAGACTTCAGAGCCTTCTAGATCCAGAGGAATGATCCTATATTGGTTTGATCTCCAGTCCTATGACATTTAAACAGGACATATTTTTGATAGGGATGTGTCCTCATATCTTTCCACTTGTACTACCTTAAATGACACAATCCATAAACACGGAGCTATTCTAGCTATGTCAAAAACCCTTAGGTTCAGAGCCATTGGTCACTTATTCCCTAGAATGGACATTGCAGGAGAGAGAAAAATATAGCACAAGGTAACAGAAAGAGGCCTGGAATAGAAATAAAAAACTGATACCCCAATGCCAGCTCTGCCATTAACTGGCTGTGAAACCCTAGGCAACCCCATTCCCAAATGAAGATGGCTCCCCGTTTCCCTATCTCTACAGTGATGGTGTTGGACTAGCTGATTTCCCAAAGGTCCCTGTTCATGATAACATTTTTTTTTTAGAGGGAGTCTCCCTCTGTTGCCCAGGCTGTGCAGCGGCATGATCTCAGCTCACTGCAACCTCTGCCTCCCAGGATCAAGCGATTCTCCTGCCTCAGCCTCCTGAGTAGCTGGGACTACAGGTGCCTGCCACCACACCCGGCTAATTTTTTGTATTTTTAGTAGAGATAAGGTTTTGCCATATTGGCCAGGCTGGTCTGGTCTCAAACTCCTGACCTCAAGTTATCCACCTGCCTCAGCCTCCCAAAGTGTTGGGATTACAGGCATAAGCCACCGTGCCCGGCCAATAACATTCTAAGACTTTATAATGAATTTGACTCAATCAGGAACATTCCTATGAAGGATAGCCTGGGTTCTTACAAGCAGAGACTTAAACAAAAACACTCATGCATTTCTCTAGCAAACACTGGGGCCAAAGTCAGAGTAGATAAGTCTGTCTTCAGTGTGCCACTCTTCCCATCAAGTGCCCAGAGCCCCTGCCCCACACTGGCTCCTCAGGGAAGGACACATGGGCATGCCTGAGATTCTGGCTGGTGCCTAGCACACAAGTGAGGGATCAGGCTTAACTTGGACATAATGAGCGAATTTGAGGGGACCTACTGACGGCTTAGTGTGGTCACTCTCTGAGGTTATATTTGGACTGAGCCATAAACCTAAAGCAATGACTAATACAGGCAAATAAGCCCCTCTGTGCTGGCAAATCATTTCGGTACCATCCTACTGACAGCATAGAGTCACCTTCTACCCCAGGGTGCCTACCATATCTTGTTCGATTCAGAACTCAAGTGGCTGCTATAAATGACTGATATGGGAAGTTCTGGCAGAACACAGTGGCTCATGTCTGTATTCCCAACACTTTGGGAAGCCAAGGTGGGAGGAACTCTTGAGCCCAGGAGTTCAAGACCAACCTGGATAACATAGTGACACCCCATCTCTACAAAAAATACGAAAAATAGCTGGGCATGTTGTCATGTGCCTGTGGTCCCAGCTACTCTGGAGGCTGAGGCAGGAGGAGCGGCTTGAGCCCAGGAGTTCAAGGCTGCAGTGAGCCATGATCATGTCACTGCACTCCAGCTTGGGCAACAGAGTAACACTGTCTCTAAAACCAAAACAAAACAAAAGTTATTTCCGCAATCATAAATCACAAACTCGGGGATATGTCTTCTAGTGATCTTTTAGAGACCTCTAGTGTCACCCAACTCTTCCCTGACCCTGAGACTTTGAGAGGGCAGGGACTTGCCACAGATCACAGAGCACATCAATGCCAGAGACAAAACCAAGTCCATTTGTCCCTTTACTTGACAGCACATCATCCACCCTGTGTCCATCAGAGCCTGCCTAGGGGCAGCAGACAAGCAAGCACCTGCTCTCCCAGACTCAATCACACAACCCTTCAGAACAATTCACAGAGCAAGGGCTGCAAAAGATGGGGAAAACAACCATAAAAGACCCCAAGGATTTGAAATTCTTCTTTCTCAGTAGCTGTTAAGTTGTAAACACATTCTCCTATGCTTCTCTCCACATTTTGTTTTCTGCCTAAATGTGCTTTTACTACATCACATGGTAACAATCAGAGCTTCTTATATCTCTTTCATTTTGAGAAATAATGCCTTATACCTGGATCGTGTATTGCCAAAGCACCGACTGCATTTTGGAAACCAAGTGGATCTGATAGGGAACACTGCCAAACAGCCCTTTTCAAATAGTGTTTTATCTGTTGGCGATCCAGTCAATTCTCAGTTGCACATGTCTTGTCTAAGCTGTTTGTCTGTGGTCTGCAGTCCTTACAGAAACTGCCCCCTCCTCATCTCCTCTCTCACACCCCTGCCCAGCAGATTTTAGTAAAAATTTCCCATTTTGGCATCATAAGAGTGCCCTCTAGTGCTGATCTAATTAACAATCTAGACACTGAAGGATTCTTGTTTCCGTGGAAAACGGGTTTGTCTATAACTTGTCCTTGGCTATGGCAGGATACATTGTTTCTGAAAACATTACCACAGCACCTATTTGACAATTTAGTCTTTCAGAAAGCAGTGAAAAGGATGTTTTGCCATTGAACAAACAAAGTAAAACGAAATAAAACAAAATTGAAGGCCATAAAATAAAACCTGGCTTGTTTTCCCTTCTGAGAAGCCTTTCCACTCATGATGTGGGGGAGCTAGTTGAGTTATAAAAAAAATGTGCATAGGTACAGGCTGACTTCTTCAACTGAAACTTGACAATGATTTTCATATGTGTTTTGGAATTCTCCAAACGCAAGCACCTGTATTTGTATGGTAGGTTCCAGTGATGCATTTCAGTTTGATCATATACATACAGTATTTTTGACTTAAAGGAAAGAAAGAACGAATAAGGAATCTCTTAGAAATTTTCTGGGTATAACAGGGCCTGCTTTCTGTTAATAAAGGCCGAAAAGTTTCATTTACAAGGTAAGTATATATATGTGTACTGGGAGTTATTTTATCCCATTTCATTTCCATGTTTCAGATCGTTGGGTCTGGAAGGTCCACAAATGATGCTATTTCAGCACTGTTTCAAATCAGAAGGAAGGTTTTCATTGTATCTTTTACACAGCTTCGCAAGGGGCTGCTACTCTATGGAATCCAAAATATTTTATGCTGACACAGACCAAGGATGGCAAGCTGCCAACACAAGATATAACTGCTTCATTCACATTTTTACACATTTAAAACACAGAGAACGAAAAACTCCCTAACAAGTAATGATTTGGCTAGTGCTAAAATAAGGATCAAGATAATTCTCAGGGAATATTCCACCAAGTCACTAAAAGGATCAGACAATGGAGACACATGAAATGGTCCATTTGGATATATGTCACCTGCTTTCAGCAAAGGAGCTTAGGTCGCTGCTGAAGTCAAGGCATGGTGGGAACCACTGGATTTGGTCTGAAACTTCCTTTCAGCCAGCCCCAAATGAAAAGAGGCCATGTGCTAGAGTGAAGTGAGCACAAGCATAGGAGTTGATGGAACTATGTTCATATCCCAGCTCTCCTACTTTTCATTGGTCACTTCAAACCTGTTAGTCTAATTTTTCTCAATAAAACTGTGACTTCCTTGTGATCAATAATACCTAACAGGGCACAAACCAGGTGATTAATGAAACCTGCTGAATTTAATACAACCAACGGTTTTGATGAAAGATATGAAAACTACCCCCACATTGTCCAGATGTTTCCAAAGATCTGAGTGTCCGGGGTCAAGTACATGAAACATCTGGATAATTAACTTCATTGTCAAAAATCCATGAAAAAGGCTTTAAGCCATTGCTGTTCTTGTCCCCATGCACCTTGCTAGTAGTCTTTGTCACTGTGGCAAATCCACACATCCAGGGCTGTGCTTGAGACCCGTGGCTAAAGGATTCTTTCTGTTTGGCAGGTGTAATATTCATAACTGGATTAACACTGCTGCTCCCGATGGAGGTGCTACTTTTGAAATATCATGACCACTTCAACAGTTTTGTGGGCTGCAGACAACTGTCTACATGAAGGTGTAGCACCATTGTGAGCGCAAACTTGCTTTCCATGAGGAAACAGGTATCCTTTTATTGGAAGAGTCTCAGTTTCATGTCTTACCTGTAGTTTCAAAACCAGGACCAAAAAAATACCCAGTGCTTTTTCCCCAAGCATATAAAATATGGACCAAGTTTGCCAAACCATCTGGCACAGTACACAAAATATCTTTTCTAGAATTATTGGAAATTTTACCTAAATGACAAACAATAACAATCATACCATTAGCTAACATTTAATGAGTGCTTACTATATGCCAGATGCCACACACTATAGGAATTATCTCATTTCATCCTGAACAAAAGTCTATACTCATTGCCTAAATGAGAAAACTGAGGCTCAGACGGACTTGCATGATAAGTGGTAGAGTCTGGATTCAAATCCAGAGTTGTAGGGTGCTGGGACCAAGCTCATGAGCCACTCAGCTGTACTAACTGTATTTCATTTTGCCTTCACAGCAACCCTGTGAGGTAGGCGGCATTCTTCTCACTTTACAGGGAAGTCAGAGAGGCTCAAAGAGAAATTTGCTCAAGGTCATACAGTTAATAAGTGAAGGCGCTGAGATGGGAATATTCAATATTTCCTGTCTCCAAATCCTACGCCTTGTCTAATTCTAATGCATTGTGTACCATGCCTACACAAGGCACTAATGTGGAGAGGGATCACTGTATATAATCTCTCTGGGCATATCACACCTCCACTGAGAGCTGGGGACTGCATCCTACTTACTGTACAAGGCTGCAGCACACTCTGAAGTGCTTCCTGTTTGCCTCTCTTTAGGCCTCTCATGGGACTATTTTTCATTTTGAATTCCAGAATTCAAGTGCTTGGCTATGAGTGCCAAGCACTTGAATACACAAGGAACAGAGGTAGTAGCTCATTTGAAGATGAAAACCTGGTATAAATCTTCACCATAGCTATGCTGCTCCCCTAGGACATAAATCAGGTAGCAGTGGATAGGCCAGGGACCCACAGGGAAAGAGAAGTTGGCAGACAGATCAGGTCTCTCTCTCTCTCTCTCTCTCTTTGAAGCAGTGGGGGGTGAGGTGCTCCTTGCTATTATACCTATATTTCTTATCTATAGGAAAATGCAATCAAATTACATATAGACAGAATCCAAAATGTCCAAGCCAAGTTAACCAAGGGGGGGAAGAAACTGGAAGAAGCTAGAGTATGTGACTCATTCCAGCAGGGCCCATGTAACTACAATGGTAAGAAGGGCAATGTCGCCTTGGGAAAGAGTTGTGCTTGCCAAATGATCAGGGCCATCCTCTAGCACAGTGAACCAGGCCATTCAGAATTTGACCTTGACATCGTTTAGAAACCTATCAAAGTTGGAAGGTACCCTTAAAGACCATCAAGCCCAAACTCTGCATTTTATAGGTCCTGAGAGAGAAAGGGACTCAACCAAGGTCACACAGTCATAACAGGGTCAAAACCATCTCTCAGACCTTGTGAATTCCAGTTCAGGAATCTTAAAAGTACCAAGGTCCCTCTACAATAAAATGAACGCAGCAATCTATGCTAGAGAGATAGGAGGAAAAAGGTGAGTTGAGAGCCAGTGGCGGAGATCCAGGCATGAGGACTGGACATTGTTTAATTAGAAGAATAGCCCCTGTAGGATGCTCTTTCCTATCTCCTTTTACACGTGAGGAAATCAAGGCTCAGAGGTGAAGGCCTTGGACAAGGTCATGCATCTAAGACATAAAGAATGGGACTTGCAGGTTGATCTGACTCCAAAGCCTATGTGCTTTTCACACTAGCAATGTTTTGGCCCCTTCGTTTCTCTGTGGCTATCTCCCAATTAGAAATGATGCCCCTTCAAGTTACAAGTGAGTTTTCACATGTCCATTTTTTTGCAATTGTAAGGAACATTGAATGAGCCCTCATCTGCAAACCCAGATCTGACAAAGCCTTGGCTGATGCCTGATTCTCACTTCCCAGGAATAACTTTGGACTGCTCTTGTCTTCAGGATCCAAGGAAAACAGGCAGAAAGCCATCAGAATAGCTTGTCAACTCCTTCGTAACCACAGAGGGCTTTATAATCTCCCCACAGAAACTGCTGTACCACCTAAGGTTGCTGGGGCTGCCTGTCTGACTGTGACATCCAAGCTACTCTCTAGCTGGGATGATGCTGTGGGAGTTTCTTCCTGCCTAAGGGCAAAGGATACAGCTGCAGTCTGCATCCAACACTAGGCAGTACTTGCCTCCACACACAGCCCCACCATGGTTTCCCTGTAGCCATGGTGTCTCTTCTTTCAGAAAAGCTGATAGACACTGAAGTAGTGGGGACGGCCCCTGGAGTAGGAAGAAGAATTCAGAACTGCTTATTTGAAGTTGAACTTGCTGAATTGCTAATTGTATAAGTGGCACATCATTAGACTGCTTGCTCATTCCTCCTCATGAAAATGTGGACACCCCATATATCCTACAGGCAGTGCAGAAATCATCAGGCAGCTGGGTTTGTGTAAATCGAATCCTAGTTTCCCACTGACATACATTCTGATCAATCTCCAACTGCCCAACAGTTGGCAGTTGCCCTTCATACTCTGCCTTTAAGCTACTCTGCCCCTAGCCCCTCATCAAGTAGGTAATGATCTGGAAACTCACATGAATTGCTGCTGAAAGGAAAGCCCAATTTAAAGGGATCTTTCCAAAACAACCAGAAAATAAATAACAAAATGGAAGGAGTAAGTCCTTACTCATCAATAATAACATTGAATATAAATGGACTAAACTCTTCAATCAAAAGACATAGAGTGGCTGAGTTTATTTAAAAAAAAAATGACCCAATGATTTGTTGCCTACAAGAAACACATTGCACTTATAAAGACACAAATAGACTGAAAATAAAGGGATGGAAAAAGATATTCCATGCCAATGGAAACCAAAAAAAAAAAAGAGTAGGACTAGCTATACTTGTATCAGACAAAATAGATTTCAAGACAAAAACAATAAGAAGAGAAAAAGAAGGTCACTATATAATGATAAAGGGGTCAATTCAGAAAGAGGATATAATAATTTTAAATATATATGCACCCAACACTGGAGCACCTAGATATATAAAGCAAATACCATTAGAGTGAAAGAGAGAGATAGGTCCCAATACGATAATAATCAGAGATTCCAACACCCACTTTCAGCATTGGATCTATCTTCCAGACAGAAAACCAAGAAAGAGACACCAGACTTAATCTGCACTATAGACTAAATGGATCTAATAGATACTTACAGAACATTTCATCCAATGGCTGCAGAATACACTTTATTTTCCTCAGCACATGGATCATTCTCAAGGATAGACCATATGTTAGGTCAGAAAACCAGCCATAAAACATTTTAAAAGCCTGAAATAGTATCAAGCATCTTTTCTGTCTGCAATGGAATAAAGCTAGAAATAAAAAATGAGAAGAATTTGGGGAACTACAAAAATATATAAAAACTAAACAATATGCTCATGAATGAAGAGTGGATAATGAAGAAATTAAGAAGGAATTGAAAAACGTCTTGAAACAAATGATAGTAGAAGCACAACATCCCAAAGCCTATGGGATACAGTAAAAGCAGTACTAAGAGATAAGTTTATAGCTATAAGTGCCTACATCAAAAAAGAGGAAAAACCTGTCTTCAAAGGGAATGATCTAACTTCTTGCCATTTGGGGTGACTGTTGTAAGCTTTCATTAGATTCTGCTTATCAGGTTAAGAAAGTTCATTTTAATTTTTATTTGCTAAGAGTTCTTCAAAATCATGAATTATTTTGGAATAATAAAAATTCATTTCCCCCATCCATTGAAATATTTATTTCTTTCCTTTTGCTGAAGTGGTTGAATTATACTAATTAGGTTTTCTAGTGTGAACCCAACTGAAATTGGACTCAATGCATTATTTATTTTATATATTGCTGGTTCAATTTAATAATAATTGATGTAGGTACTTTTAAATTTATGTTTTAAAATAAATATGGCTTATTACCCTTCTTGCAAAAAAGAGGAAAAACTTCAAATAAGCAACCTAACAATGCATCTTAAAGAACCAGAGAAACGGCCGGGCGCGGTGGCTCACGCCTGTAATCCTAGCACTTTGGGAGGCCGAGACGGGCGGATCACGAGGTCAGGAGATCGAGACCATCTTGGCTAACACGGTGAAACCCCGTTTCTACTAAAAATACAAAAAATTAGCCGGGCGTGTTGGCGGGCGCCTGTAGTCCCAGCTACTTGGGAGGCTGAGGCAGGAGAATGGCATGAACCTGGGAGGCGGAGCTTGCAATGAGTGGAGATCGCGCCACTGCACTCCAACCTGGGAGACACAGCGAGACTCCGTCTCAAAAAAAAAAAAAAAAAAAAAAGAACCAGAGAAACAAGAGCAAACCAAACCCAAAACAGTAGAAGAAAAGAAATAACGAAGATCAGAGCAGAAATAAATGCAATGTAAATGAAGAAAACAATACAAAAGATCAGTGAAACAAAAAGTTGGTTTATAAGACTATTTTGTGATGCATGAAATAATTTACTATTGCAAAGTTGGGGTTTTTAAGGACAGTTAAAAGCTTTCAGGTATGCCAAAATAATGTTGAAAACTTTTCATGATTAAAGAAAGTCACAATATGCATTAAAAAAGGGATCAGGTAATTTTTAAAATAAATCCATGCTCTAAATGTTATTTAAAAGTTTTCAGGTTGTTCCCCAGAATGTTTTTGAAAAACAGGTGTTTTTGTAAAACAACTCTATGGAGAAATGTTAACATTTTCATAATAAAACTAATAGAGTCCAGTCCTGAGAACAATGCCAGATATACATAGTAGAAAAAGACCACAAATATTTTTGAATACATGAAATAGTATTTTCCATTAGGTTTAGGTCCCAATTATGAATTAGGAACAGTCATGTCATTTGATAAAATATACAGTGAGGCTAAAGGAAAGAATGCTTTGTAGAATCATTGTGCTGTGAAGGTGATTGAGATTTCAAATATTCAAACATATAGGTGTATTAAAATAAAATTATGTTAAAAATAAAAAAACAAAAAAAAAAAAACAAAAAGCAAACAAAAAAACCAAAAAGTTGGTTTTTCTTACTAAGGGAAAAGAGAAAAGATCCAAATAAATAAAAAATCAGAAATGAAAAAGGAGACATTCCAACTGATAGTGGAAAAATTCAAAGGATCATTAGTGGCCAGTATGAGCAAGTATATGCCAAAAAATTGGAAAATCCAGAAGAAATGGACAAATTCCTAGACACATACAACCTACCAAGACTGAACCATGAGGAAATCCTAAACCTGAACAGACCAATAGCAAGTCATGAGATCAAAGCTGTAATAAAAGACTCCTAGTAAAGAAAAGCCCTGGACCTCATGGCCTCACTGCTGAATTCTACCAAACATTTAAAGAAGAGCTAATACCAATCCTACTCAAACTATTCTGGGAAATAGAGGAAGAGGGAATACTTCCAAACTCATTCTACCAGGCCAGTATTACCCTGATACCAAAACCAAAGACACATCAAAAAAAGAAAACTACAGGCCAATATCGCTAATGAATATTGATGCAGAAATCCTCAACAAAACACTAGCAAACTGAATTCAACAATATATTAAAAAGATCATTCATCATGACCAAGTGAGAAATATCCTGTGGATGCTAGAATGGTTCAACATACACAAATCAACCAATGTGATACATCGTATCAGCAGAATGAAGGACAAAAACTATATGATCATTTCAATTAACGCTGAAAACACATCTCATAAAATTCAATCTCTCCATGATAAAAACCCTCAAAAAACTGGGTATACAAGGAACATAGCTCAACATAATAAAAGCTATGTATGACAGAGCCACAGCTAGTATCATACTAAATGAGGAAAAATTGAAAGTCTTTCCCCTAAGATCTGGAACATGACAAGGATGCCTGCTGTCACCACTGTTAACCAATATAGTACTGAAAGTCCTAGCTAGCATAATCAGACAAGAGAATGAAACTTGTAGTTTTGGCCAAGCACAGTGGCTCATGCCTGTAATCCCAGCACTTTGGGAGGCCGAGGCAGGCGGATCACAAGGTCAGGAGATTGAGACCATCCTGGTTAACACAGTGAAACCCCATCTCTACTAAAAATACAAAAAAAAAATTAGCCAGGTGTGGTGGCGGGCGCCTGTAGCCCCAGCTACTTGGGAGGCTGAGGCAGGAGAATGGCGTGAACCTGGGATCACGCGTGGCTGCGGCTGAGATCGTGCCACTGCACTCCAGCCTGGTGACAAAGCAAGACTCCATTTCAAAAAGAAAAGAAAAGAAAAGAAAAGAAAAGAAAAGAAAGAAACAAATGATGGCATCCAAATTGAAAAAGAAGAAATCAAATTGGCCTTGTTTGCAGATGATATGATCTTATATTGGTAAAACCTAAAGACTCCACCAAAAAACTATTAGAACTGGTAAACAAATTCAGTAAAATTGCAATTACAAAATCAACATACAAAAATCAGTAGCATTTCTATATGCCAACAGCGAACAATCTAAAAAAGAAATTTAAAAAGTAATCCCATTTACAATAGCCACAAATATAATCAAATATCTAGGAATCAACTTAGTCAAAGAAAAAGATCTCTATAAAAAAACTATGAAACACTGATGAAGGAAATTGAAGAGGACACCAAAAAATGGAAAGATATTCCATGTCCCTGGATTGGAAGAATCAGTATTGTTAAAACGTCCATACTACCAAAGCAATCTACAGATTTGATGCAATCCCTATCAAAATAACAGTGATATCCTTCACAGAAATAGCAAAAAAATCATCCTAAAATTTCTACGGAACCACAAAAGACCCAGAATAGCCAAAACTATCCTAAGCAAAAAGAACAAAACTGGAGGAATCACACTACTTGATTTCAAGTTATACTACAGAGCTATAGCAACCAAAACAGCATGGCACTGGCATAAAAACAGACAGGTCAATGGAACAGAATAGAGGACCCCAACACAAATCCATACATGGACATTGAACTGATTTTTGATAAAATTGCCAAGAACATACACTGGGGAAAAGACAGTCCTTTCAATAAGTGGTGCTGGAAAACCTGAATATCCATATGCAAAAGAATGAAACTAGACCCCTATTTCTTGCCATATGAAAATCAAATCAAAATAGATTAAAGACTTAAATCTAAGACATCAAACTCTAAAACTACTACAAGAAAACATTAGGGAAAGTTTCCAGGACATTTGTTTGGGCAAAGATTTCTTGAGCAATACCCTACACGCACAGGCAACCAAAGCAAAATGGACAAATGGGCTCACATCAAGTTAAAAAGCTTCTGCAGAGCAAAGGATATAATAAATAAAGTGAAGAGAGAAATAATATAATATAATAATATAATAAAGTGAAGGGAAAATATTTTTAAACTACTGACATTACAAGTGATTAATAAACATAATACATAAGGAGCTCAAACAAGTTTACAGAAAAATCTAATAATCTGATTAAGCAATGGGCAAAAGATTTAAACAGACATTTCTCAAAAGAAGACATGCAAATGGCAAACAGGTATATGAAAAGGTGCTCAACATCACTGATTATCAGAGAAATAAAAACTACAATAAGATCTCATCTCACCCCAGTTAAAATGGCTTATATCTAAAAGACAGGCAATAACAAATGCTGGCAAGAATGTGGAGAAAAGAGAACCCTCATACACTGCCGATGGGAATGTAAATTAGTATGACTGCCATGGAGAACAGTTTGGAGGTTCCTCAAAAACTAAAAATAGAGCTACCATATGATCCAGCAATTCCACTGCTGAGTATATATGCAAGAGAAAGGAAATCAGTATATGGAAAAGATATCTGCACTCCCATGTTTGTTGCAGCACTGTTCACAATAGCTAAAATCTGGAAGCAACCTAAGGTGTCCATCAACAGATGGATGGATAAAGAAAATGTGGTACTTATATACAATGGAGTACTATTCAGCCATAAAAAAGAATGAGACCGTGTCATTGCAACAAATGGGTGGAACTGGGCCATTATGCTAAGGGAAATAAGCCAGGCATAGAAGAACAAACATCACATGTTCTCACTTATTTGTGGGATCTAAAAATCAAAACAATTGAACTCATAAAGATAGAAAGTGGAGGGATAGTTACCAGAGGATGGGAAGGGTAGTGGAGGGGGGTAGGGGGAAGGTGGGGATGGTTAATGAATACAAAAATAGAAAGAATGAATAAGACCTAGTATTTGATATCTCAACAACACGGTGACTATAGTCAATAATAATTTAATTGTACCCTTTAAAATAACTAGGTGTGTAATCAGGCTGTTTGTAACACAAAGGATAAATACTTGAGGGGATGGATACCCCATTTTCCATGATGTGATTATTATGCATTGCATGCCTATGCCAAAACATCTCAAGTACCCCAGAAATATATACACCTACTATGTACCCACAAAAAATTAAAATTAAAAATGAAAAAATAATAAAAAATAAAAAGTAAAGGAATCTTTTCCTAGAGAAACCCTTTGAATCTAGCCAGGCAGTTATTTTATATTTTAGATGAAGATCTCTCCCAAAACACAGTCACACTTGTTTTTGATTCAAATTGTATTCTTTACTTTTCTGACATTTATCTAAATTTCTAACAGCTTTATGAAGGTATAACTCACATACCATGCAATTCATCCAATTAAAGTATACAATGGGTTTTAGTATATTCACAGACATGTGCAACCATCACCACCAGTCCATTTCTGAACATCTTCAGTCACCTCCAAAGAAACCCTGTACCCTTTAGCTGTCCCTGGCCTATCTGGCTATTCCTTCCAGCCCCTACTACCAGTCATCTACTTTCCATCTCAGTGGATTTTCCTATTCTGGACATTTCAAATAAATGTAATCATATAACAGTGACCTTTTGTATCTGGCTTTTTTTTCACTCACATAATGTTTTCAAGGTTCATCCATATTGTAGCATTTATCAGTACTTCATTCCATTTCATGGCCTGGATAATGTTCCATTTTATAGATATCCACAATTTTTTTTTAAAGTAAAATGCATCTAATCAGTCTCATCCCCTTATTAAAGCTGAGATCTCTCTCTTACTCTTTTTGAATCTCCATAGGCCAAATCTCCTATTTTTCTACATCCTGTCCAATTTTTATATCTCATTTTTGAAAAAAGTGTTTTTAGTGAATAGTAATGAAACGCTAATCAAAACCCCAATATGACTCTTTATGGAACTTAAGTTTACTTTAAGGTTCATTTGAAATAAATAACCTTAAAAAAAAACTAAAACTAAAACAATCTCATCCCCACTCACTTGACAAATCCATAGATCTGTTCTGAGCACCAGCTGTGGTAGAACTATTACTAGCATTATTGGGGGGGGGGGCATAGAGATGAATAAAGAGGAGTCACAAACATATTCATTCATTCATTCAGCAAACATCTATTGTCTCCTATGTGCTGGGAATGGTGCTTAGGCGCTTGGAATTCAAGGGTGAATAAGACATGGTCCCTGCTTTCCATGAGCCTACAGTGAAGACAGCAATATGGGAAACCATATATGATATCTCCATACATGATAATAGTTATATACTCAATAGTATATAACTATTGAGTGTCTACGAGTTATTGGAAGCCCATTTCCCACTCTGGAAGAGTTCACGGCCCAGGCTTGGGTTCCTTATTCCACACACATTCATAAGAGAAACTAGCTCGAAAGAGGGTAGCAGCCACGGATTCAGGTGTTTTGTTTTGTTTTGTTGTTCATTTGTTTTGAATTTTTTATTGAGGAGAAATTCATGTAACACAAAATGAACCATTTTAAAGTGTGTAATTCAGTGGAATTTAGTACATGTTGTGCAGCTGTCACCTCTATCTAGTTCATCACCCTAGAAGAAAACCTTGTACCCATTAAGTAAAGTAGTCACTCTCCCTTCCACCCTCCCCTCAGCTCCTGGCAATCATCTGTTTTCTGTCTCTATGGATTTGTCTATTGTGGATTATTCATATAAATGGAATCATACAGTATGTGGTCTTTTTTGTCTGGCTTCTTTCACTTAGGGCATCAAGTTTCTGAGGTTCATGCATGTTGTAGCATGTACCAATCATCATGTCAGTCTTTTTTACAGCTAAACAATATTCCATTGTATGAACACAGCACGTTTTGTTTATCCATTCATCCACTGATGGGCATTGGGGTTGTTTTCATTTTTTCACTATCATGATTAATGCTGCTATGAATGTTAATGTACAAGTTTCTATGTGAACATGTGTTTTCATTTCTCTTAGATATATACCTAAGAGTAGAATTGCCGGATCATATAATACTCTAACTTTCTGAGAAACTGCCAAAGTGTTTTCCATAGCAGCTGCAACATTTTACATTCCCACCAGCAATGGACAAGGGTTCCGGTTTCTCCCAGGGATTCAGTTTTATTTCTTACTTTCAGAGAAGAGTTCCACTAAATTGGAAACACTCAATTAGCCCAAATGATTGACCCTAACGGTGGGCTTTTGAGTCTGGGCCTCTTAATTAATGCCTAGGCTGGTGGGAGAAACAAAACAAATAAGGACAAGGCAGCGGGTGTGGGAGCCTCCCCTCCTCCACAGCTCTGAGAGTACTTCTGCGCATGCTCACAGCCTAACGCGGGCATGTTGGCAAGATGGCTGTGGAATTGTCCCCTGACCCACATAGATGGGATTCACAGCATCAGGCCCAGCAGAAGGCTGAGGAGAGAACATTCTCGGCTATAAGAGCCAAGCCTAGGAAAACCCAGGAGGTGATTTTATAAAAGGAATAACATGAAATCAATAATGACTCTGGCAATAAGGGAAAGAAGAGCACGGCCTTCTTTATTAAACAAGAAATTGGAGGAAGCTTCAATGGGTTGTGAAGGCACTTAGATCCCATGGTATTCAACACTGGCTCCTGTCCCTTGGAATGAAAGTTCGACATAAATCTAGGAAATAAATAATGATGATGAATGTCTAGCTCTAAAGATGACGACATAGAAGTATATCACTGAAACTTGCCCTTATGGCCCATCTCTCTGCTTCAGTGATCAGACAGCTCAACAAATATTGAATCCCCTCCACCTTCAGCCTGTATCACTCCCTGGGCAGGTCAGTCCCATTGTGAAGTGGCATTAAATCTTTCAAGTCATTCAGTGGCATTTTCATGTGCTAAGACTGTCACTGTCAAGATGACATGCCAGTCACTGTCCAGGAAGAGCTGAGGCACAATGCCAAAGGACCCTCCTCAAAGCCCAAGAGTTTGCATCCTTAGGGGAGAAAAATCCGAGTGATAGGATCTCAATCAGCTTCCAAATCCTTATATCTTCAGTAACCTAAGATTAAGGTGGGTGAATTTCAAACACTTTTAGAAGCAGACTCCTTTTTTCAAATAAAATCTTCCAGGATCTCCATTATATAAAATAGAAAAACTGAGCTGCTTTAAATAAAGAGGGGATACAGTGAAGGGGGAGGGAGTGAGAGAAGAGCTGCCATTCATTGCCCAGCAGGATGGGCACTGTACATCTCCAGGGAGTGCAATTCAGGTAGAGAAGCAGTTCTCAAAGTGTGGTATAAAGACACTGGTGGTCCCCAGAATCATTCAGGGAGTCCGTAAGGGCCTCTCTTTTCCAAATATATGTCTGTGTGAGGCTGGATTTTCTTCATATACTTCAACCGAAACAACATATCACAACAGATCAAATGTAGAAGCTGATATGAGAATCCATGTATCATCTATGGAGCCAGATATCAAAGACATTTGCAAAATATAAAACAATGCCACTCAGTTATTTTTTTTTACTTTGGAAATAGGTTATTTTTAATAAAAATATGTTAATATGCAATAGGTACTATTGTTCTTTTAAATGGATTAATACATATTTTTGAAAATTTCTCAGTTTTAAATTCTAATGCAGTCAATATCAATAGATAAATCCCACATGAACCAAAGCTCTTTGAGGTCCTCAGTCATTTTTAAGAGTATAAAGGAGTCCTGAGATGGAAAAGTTTGAGAACTGGTGACATAGACTATGATGTGAATGGCAGTTTGTTCTTGAGGCTCTAGGTGGTCAGTTAGAGGGTCTGGGTTCTGCCTGCTCAGCCTCCTCTTCCACCTTCCATACCCCTGAGGCAGCCCTCAGGGTGCCTCCTCAGAACCCTGAGAGTCCAAGTTTGAAAATAATTGATTGAGTCCAGCCTCCTCATTTTAGAGACCAAGAAACTTAAGGAAGCTGAGAATTTTGGATCTGCAAGTCAAGAAGAGCAGAAGAGCTGGGGTTACATCCAAGTCTTCTTCAGGGAGCTTCTCTTCCCTTACACTGCGCTGCCACTACAATAACACAGCAGCTATCATTTGTTGCAGTCTCCTCTGTGCTCAGAAGCTGTGCTAAGAAGCACTACGCCCTGTGCGTTCCAGACTGAGCCACCCGCTCAGTGCCTCCTGGTTTCCACTCAGCAAGCACATTTGGCCTGTAATGCTCCATGTTTGCTAAAGCGACAAGGAAAGAAAAGCAGGCAACAGGCTGCCCTCCCTCCTCTACCATATCCATGTCTGAATCAAGCCGGCTCTGGCCTTCTCAGTGCAAGGAATTTAACCTGGCATCAGCTTCCCGAGAACATCTTGATAAGCAGCATGCAACCCACCAGAGAGGGATTTTCGAAAAGCCAGGAATCAATTAATTTAATCAGGTTCCTGCATAGTTCAAGAAAAGCCCACGTGGGCAACAACTGGGAGGTTAAGAGCAGCGTCATGGCGGCTTGCCACATTGTGACTCCACAGAGTGTTTCTTTGTGCCTCCTGCCCTCTGCACAGCTCCCATCCTGTGAAATCACTCTGCTCGGAAGGGGTGAGCTGAAAATGCAGTTGAGCTAATCCCTGTGCCACCAGAATACAGCAGCAGGACACACAGTTCCTGAAAAGGCCCCTAAAATTGCCCATTCGTCTTCCAGAATGGCAGAGCTGGGAAGGCCCACAGAGACTGGCCAGCCAGGGAACTAAGCTAGAAGTACACATCAGAGTGACCTGGGAAGCCATTGAAACACACAGACCTGCAGAGCCCTGCCCCAGGGGAAGCCCTGCTTTAGTTAGCTGGGGATGGACTCTGTGTGTGTGTGTACATATATACACACTCCTGGTGGGTACCAATGAAAACCCAACACCCTCTCCTCATCCTACAGATGGGGAACAGAGATAGAGGGCAAGAGATTTACTTTAGGATACACAGAGAGTTCAAGAAACAGCTGGGATGAGAACCCAGATATCCTGACTCTCATGCTCCCATGCTCAACTGAGGGGAACTGACTCTCATGCTCAACTGAGGGGAAAACTAGTGTATGCATGCATGTGTGTATGTCAAGGAGTGGAGGAAGGTGAGGGAGCATTCAGAAATAACGAAGCCACTTTTATTTGATTCATCCTCTTCATTTCACATTCTCTCCCTTTTCTTCCAATGTAATCACTGACTGGGTCCAAGCCTCATAGTTTATAGATGAAGAGCCTGAGGGCCAGAGTGGAGATGGGAGTTGCTCTGGATCCAATTTAGGACCCAGATCTCTGTGCTTTCTTGCCTGTGTTCCTTCTACTACATTTTGACCCCTAAGATACATCCCGAGAGAAATATATTATCATAGACGGTATTTCATTATTATTCCTCCTACCAAGAGGCAAATCTTGTTAGAAGCCAGCACACTCAGGCCAGGCGCAGTGGCTCACGCCTATAATCCCAGCACTTTGGGAAGCCAAGGTGGGCGGATCACGAGGTCAGGAGATCGAGACCATCCTGGCTAACACGGTGAAACCCCGTCTCTACTAAAAATACAAAAAATTAGCTGAGTGTGGTGGCGGGCACCTGTAGTCCCAGCTACTCGGGAGGCTGAGGCAGGAGAATGGTGTGAACCTGGGAGGCGGAGCTTGCAGTGAGTGGAGATCGCGCCACTGCACTCCAGCCTGGGTGACAGAGTGAGACTCCGTCTCAGAAGAAAAGGAAAAAAAAAAGGAAATTGGGGAAGCCAGCACACTCCGTGGTTCTATAGCATCAGCCTGCCCTGGGAGCTACTCTGACTGCTTTTTTTCCAATCTAAACTCATATTTCAGGGCCGCCCTGGAAATATTGGTAAAGCCAGCACTGCTAATACAGGCAAACGATGGCAATCCTAAAGGGTAGTGTTGCACTGAAATAAATTATTTGCATAGGTGGGATTTCTCTTTTAATTTTACTATGTTAAGGTTACAAATTGTTTTCTGGCCTTTACGTATAATTAAATATAGATGCTCTTGGAGCTTAATGTCAGTTTAAATTTTAGTCTTTGGAAAGTAATTTGTTTGCACGTTCAATGAACAAACCATTTCTTATTGGTTTCAAAGACCCAGGCTCATGCATCATGAATCAAGGTTGCCTTTATCAAAGCTAAAAAGGTCAGGCAAAGTAGGCTTCTAACTCCAGTTTAGCCACCCCCTACAAGAGAAAAATCAAGGTTTTGGTTCTCTGTCTTAAGTACACATATGACTTAGTTTCGTTAGGCATAGGAATAATAATACAAATGATTCATCTGTTCCCTCTCCACACACACAAAACCAGTTAAATACTGCTTGATACCGTTTGGCCGTGTTCCCATCCAAATCTCACCTTGAATTGTAATAATCCCCACTTGTCAAAGGCGAGGCCAGGTGGAGATAATTGAATCATGGGGCTGGTTTCCCCTATGCTGTTGTTGTGGTGGTAAGTCTCACTAGATTTGATGGTTTTATAAATGGGAGTTCCTCTGCACAAGCTCTCTTACCTGCTGCCATGTAATATGTGACTTTGCTTCTCCTTTACCTTCTGCCATGATTGTGAGGGCTCCCCAGCCATGTGGAACTGTGAGTCCATTAAATGTCTTTCCTTTATAAATTACCCAGTCTCGGCTATGTCTTTATTAGCAGCATGAAAATGAGCTAATATGCTGCTCATTATGCTACCAAGGATCAAACCATTGGGAGGGCTTTGAACTATTCCTCTGCTCTCTGGGCCTCAGTTTCCTCATATTACATTTAAAGAGATCTCTGAAGTTCTTTCAGCTCTGATAATCTAAGGTAACTAGACATAGAAAGGCTATCCCTAGCAGTGATTTTAAATGACACTGGTTTGTCTTAAAAAGCAGTTTGTAAGGCTTGAAGTGTTTTAGGCCAAGCAATCACCAAGGACATTAGAGCCATGAGTTCTTAGGCAACCTTCTTCCTCTACCTTTCCTCCCTTTGTCCTCTACTCTCAGAAAGATGTCAGCTGTCTCTGTCCCTTTCTCAATGGCTCCAAGGATATTCCCACTCCTTTAGACAGCCCTGCAGTTCCAGAAATCTCTTCCTCTCATGCATTTTCCAATCTCTTAGGGTTCCCCTACTAAATGTGCATGTACACTAGGGCTCATAAGGAGTTATTTGCTCATTGACAATACATGACCAAGATATATTGTTAAGTGAAAATAAGAACAGGCTATTAAACAGGATATCTAGTATGATACTATTCCCCCTACCCAAACCTCACAAGTAAACCAATCAGCCACTCTTTCTGGACATGGCTTAAGTCTAGACTAGCTACGGGTCTCTTTTGCTTGCCTCTCAAAGTTAACAAAGCAGAATTTTGGAAGTACCTCACAAGTACTTACTAATGAGCTCTCTGTTTTATCTTTCTTTGAGCTAATCTGAGGTATTAACATTTGCAGAAACTCTCTTTTTCAAAAGATGTTGAAACTCTACTTCAATTTGAATTCCTTACATAGTTAAGACCATAGGATTCAGAACAGCAAAAAGCTTTAGAGTCTAAATGTTCCATATTAGAAAGATAAGATTTAACAGTAAGCATGGAAAGGTCTAGAAGAGTGTTAGCAGTAGATCTGGAACTGAGGTGATCTCATGTAGAGTCCATCTGATGCTAAGTGTTTTATGCTATTTTCTCATGTGATTCTAACAACCATTCCTTTACATAAGGTATTTTCATTTCATTTTACAGATGAAGCACAGAGATTAAGCTACTTACCCACGATCAAAGCTAGCAAATGGTAGAGATGAGTGGAGACTTGAACTTAGTCATTTCTTTCTAAAGTCTATGAACTTTACCTATATTTTAGGGTCATGTGAAGTAAAAAAAAAAGCAACAGTCTAGGAATCTTAGACTTGAGTTCTAGTCTCAGCTTAACTACTAATCCTCTGACTCCCTGAGACAATGAAAACTCCATACTAGATCACCTCTTAGGTTACTGGCAGCTCTCAAATTTCTTTATTCTTAATAGAATCAAGAAAACTTGCAATTAATATGCAGACGGCAGAGAAAGGATGGTGACGGAATAGCTCAAGATGACAGTGATGTTTCTATCTTGGACAAAAAAGTGGCACTTCATTAACAAAACGGGAAGGCATGATGATGAGTTTGGTTTCTGATTGGTGGGTCTAGAAGGTTGGCAACACATACTTATAGGAATGTCCATGAGGTCTTTAAGAAATCTAAGAAATCCCAGTTAGAGAGAGGGAGAAAGAAGACCTAGCAACGAAGAAAAGCAGGAAAAAAAATCACAGAAATAACATATCAATCAAGCCAAGACAAGATAGCATTTTAAAATGGGAGGTGAAATAAAGTGGTCAGAGTTGGTGAAAACTAGGTGAGAGAGCCAAGTCACTCCCACTTGTGAACTCTCACAGCCTTTTCCCCTCTCTGAAGATATGCATTTCCCCACATGGGCTCCCAAGGTAAGGGTGAATCTCCCCCTTCCTTTAGATTCCTGGTTGTAATAGGCACTCAGTGTTCTTCCACCGAATTGAATTGCACTGGGCTGACTGGTTTCAATCACCATAGCCTTACAGGCTGTCTCTTTACAAGCAAAGCCAACAGGCTTCCCGAAAAACAGAAAGGCAGGAGCAAACAGCTACAAACCAAAGCACCATCTTTAGGAAAAGAAAATGCCATGTTGGCCCTTTCAGCCAAACCTGCATAGGCCTGGATACCGTCTTTAGCTGTGTCATCTATGAATGAGAACAGAAAGAGCAATGACAGAGAGATCTGCAAAGATACAGTATGTGACTAGAGATCAGTACAGCTACAATGGGATGTGTCTTTTCCAGAAAGAAAGTTGGTGGGGAGATGGGGATGGGGGGTGGTGGCTGGTGGTGTGTGTGAGAAGAGGCCTAGAGAAATATGAGAATAACAAAAATTAAATAAATAAAAAGGCAGTTTCATTGTCATTTCAATTTGGGAAACCAAATTGTATTGTTTTCTTGATTTTTCAAACACACTTGAAAGATGTAAACACAAGAGCAAAAACATAATGAAGTCTTGTCAATATTCTGAATCAGTTGTCAACGGAGCCATCCCTCAAACACAGCTGTCATTTGGTGCTCCAGCTTCCTGGGAAAGAGGCTTGTACGTGCCCAGAATCATCATTGTCACACTGATGGGGGATGGTATCAAGGCAGCCCAAGTAAGGCAGGCTAGGATGCGGGCTCCATAGGCAAGATGCATGTTTCAGAGCCTTTTGGGCAAAAGCTCCAGGATCTAGAAGGTCAAAGCAGGTGTCAAAAACGTGTAAAGATTCCAAGAAATTCCAAGGAAAAAAGCACGCAAGACACCAGGTGGGAAAACCGACCCGTGACAAAAAATTCAGGCAGTTAATCATGCCTGTGGGGTCAGGAAGGTTGCAAAGGTCTGAGTAGGCCAGTAATCTGAAATAAAGGTGTGTGAGGAAAGTTCCTGGTGTCAATCACTACAGCTTAAACAGGAAGGCTGGTCTCAAGGCTTTCTCCAGTTCTGCTTTCTCTGGATGCCCACATGGAGCTGGGATATAGCTGGGCTTTGGCCCGAGGACGCCACAGAGAAAGAACTGTTGGAGCTGGAGACCCAGGGCCTTGTGACTTTTCCTGATATCAGGATTGAGCACTATTCATCTTCTCCCTTAAAGAAAGAGGAATTTTGCAGCACTGCAACTGTGTGCTTTTATTTATTTATTTATTTATTTTTTTGAGTTGGAGTTTCACTCTGTTACCCAGAGTGGAGTGCAGTAATGCGATCCTGGCTCACTACAAACTCCACCTCCTGGGTTCAAGTGATTGTCCTGCCTCAGCCTCCTGAGTAGCTGGGATTACATGCCATGCGTGCACCACCAGGCCCGGCTAATTTTTGTATTTTTAGTAGAGACGGGGTTTCACCATGTTGTCCAGGCTGGTCTCGAACTCCTGACCTCAAGTGATCCACCCGCCTCGGCCTCCCAAAGTGCTGGGATTACAGGTGTGAGCTACCGTGCCCGGACAACTGCAACTGTGTTCTAAGCAACCAGACATTATAGTGAAGGCCACATAGGGCCTCAGTTTCCCTTTCTGTAAAACAGGTAAAGGGGTAAGAATTATACAAGAGTATCATTGAAAGCATCTGACTCCAAGTTTGACTGATTTAATCAAAGGTCTTAAGAATAGCCCTCTTAACACTAGGTCTGATACTCAAAGTCTCCTGAGTGTCCCATCAAAGGAATGAAAACACACACATATAGCTTCTGTTAGTTTGCACAATTTTTCCTCTTTTCTTTTAGGTTTAACGTCTTTTAAGTACTCTCTATTCTAGATTGCTTAGCCTATGAATTGATCATTTGCAATACTCTTAAACACAGGTAGCTTGTCTTTCTAATGATATGGTGTAAGTTTCAGGGTCTCTGCCAGGGGTGGTATGTAGTAGCGCAGAGTGACTCCAGTAGGGTGACAGCTCAGGATGGCAGCAGGGTTCATTGTGAATCACCTCCCATCTTACAAAAGTGATCATGCTGTATATTCTTATGCATATGCATTGCCCACCATGATACTATGCATGAGGTAGTCACACCGTTGATATTGCTGAATGAGAGAATGAATAAATATATACATGAATGAATGATCAAACACACCTAAGATGGAAGGGTGGTATCAGGTGATGGGCCTGAGTATCTTATATAAATACGAGATTCCTCCTTGCCCCTCTTGAAAAGAAACCTCAATGCAGACCATTTTCTTTGTGAAAGGAACAAAGTGGACCCATATGCCCACATTGGTAGGGAATTAAAAAGATAGAAAAGAATTGAGTTTATAAGAATATTGGTAGGAACAAGACACTTGGGTCATCCCATGAAGGCAATTTCAGTTTGGACCAAAAGAGGACAAACCTGAATTCACAGAATGAATGCTTGAGCTGTAAGGTACCACTGAGCTCATCTGACTTAACGATCTCATTTTACACATGGAGACCCTGAGGCTCAGAAGGGAGGTACCACTTGACATAGATCACATAGCTCGACCCTGTGGGGAGTCGAGCAAAAAAATCTTAGACTGAGAATAACCTGGGCTTTGGGAACCTGGACAAACTGAAGAACATAGTGAAAAATGGCTTCAAACCTAGTCTTCATATCAATGTATGGACCTGAGAGTCCCTTCGTGGTAACTCACTTGGCCCCTTACGTATCCTAACATCTGCTAGACAACAGTTTCTGGTGCTCTTGGGAAGGGATGTGCACTGCTGTCATGAGAACTTACTGGGCAAGATTGGGCTAATGGAGTGGGACAACAGTTAGCAGCTGGATGGAAGCAGACACGCACAAAGCTTTTGGTATTTCCATTCGTTCCCACTGGGGCCCTCCCTTTATCTTCTAGTTCCTCCCACCTTTAGCAACACGGTGGGGAGAGATGGTCAGGAACTATGGCAGGAGTCTACCCCTGCAAGCCCATCTGCCAGAATAAATTCAGCTTAAATACCAGTTTGACTAACTTTCTAATGGAATCAACTAATTGTTTCTTTGAATCATTTCACTGAATTTCTCAGGTCCATTCCGGGAAAACAGTCAAACCAGCGGAAGGGGCAAGCATAGGTGTTTGGCATTTCTCTAGTTAGAACATACCCTGCCCCCACTAGGGCAAGAATGAAGGCTCCAAAGCCAGGGCAGGCAAGTGCCCGCTGCAGCAGCTGGCAGATTAGGCGTGGGAGGGCTGGTGTGACTTCCTGCTGAGTTCTGAGACTGAGTTCCTGGAAGTAGGTGCCTCTGCACCAGAGAAGACGCCTGCAGGGTTTGATCAGGACCTCATGGTGTTGGCTCCCGTGGCCAGTGCCCATCCTGTTCTCAAACCCACTGAGCTGTTTCTGTTCTCTGCCAACCCTTGGGTCTAGGCCAGAGCAGGTTTCTGACCTAGTCCTGACCTGAACCGGCAGCCCTCAGTGAGTCACCTCCCTCTTAGAGCTCTCACTGCACTTGGAAGAGTCAGCCTATCCTGTCTTTTCTGGCTTGTTCTTCCTTTCCTGTGTATTTCTCTTGCCACCTCTGTGAGAAGGAAAACTCTACTGTGTCTTCCTTGCCCTTCTTCATAGTCCCTGGAATGGGATGTGGACCATCCGTGTACAGGGATAACCAGTAATGGACTGAATCTCAGCTTCCTTTGCCTAACTCACAGATAGCATCCCAAGGTCATAGAAAGTTGTCTTCCTGCCTGTTGCTTTCCCATGACATTGACAAATCCGAGTGGGTCTGTGACTAGACCTTGCAGTGGAAGTGTACAAATGCTTTCCCAAGGCGGGATGCAGAGTTGTGGGAAAAGAATGGAACAAGATTGCTGACAGCTCTAAGGGAACCTCTGCATTTTGATGTCAATGGTTAATCTACTGTGTCACATCTCTTAAGAAACTAAACAAAATGCAGTAACTGCTATGACATTGAAGCTGTGTTGCAGAAACGATATTGTAGAGCAAATAACTATCTTATACTGGCTATTTTATGCCTTATTGAACAAGCAGCAGTTTATGAAAACAACGTTTCATAAATATGGTTGCAGATTCCTGTGTGGAGACTGCTAGAATTTGCAGCAAGGTGGACTCATTGGTTTCTTCATTCTCCCCCTGAGCTCTTTCCATGTTCACCCTACTCTGGACCTTAGCTAGCTAGCATGTGGCCCCACATCCAAGCACATCTTTCAAGGTCTAAGAGACGATGTATGAGGTATCATGGGAGGGGTCACAGCTATAGCAAGACCAACATAAACTCAATAAAAGGAGATACTTGAATGAAACTAGACCCTGGATTTTGTGGAGGGCTGGAACAAGCCTCAGAGTGGGAGTCAGGAAACCTGGACTGCAGTCCTATCTTATCCACCAGCTACACAAGTCACTTTACCACTGGGAGTCACTTCAACTCAGGATCCTCATCTGGAAAATGCAGATAAATGTACTTGTTCTCCCTGCCTCCCAGGGTTCGTGAGAGGAAAATGTGCCTTTAGAAGCTTCACAGACTATAAATCACTAGACGCGCACCAGGGATGGGATTATCACTATCATTTACTTTGAAGAAGCGGTTGCCAGAGGCGGTGAGCAAGTTCCTTAACCACAGTATTTAAAGAGAGACTGCCTGAACCAGTGTGTCAGGTAGTCACCGAGGGGATTTCAGTGGCATTGGTGGGGCTGACACTAGATGTACTCCAAGGTCCTTTTAAGTTCTAACTCCATGAGTCCAGAATGTACAGGCTTTTAATCATTTTCTTAGTAGTGACTGTGTGTTTAAGCTGGACTATCATTCCCTTAGCCTCATTTTTTATTCTATAAATTGTGGCTCATGCCTGTAATCGCAGCACTTTGGGAGGCCGAGGCAGACGGATCACTTGAGGTCAGGAGATCGAGACCAGCCTGGCCAACATGGTTAAACTCCGTTTCTACTAAAAATACAAAAATTAGTCAGGTGTGGTGCTGGGTGCCTGTAATCTCAGCTACTCCTGAGGCTGAGGCACGATAATTGCTTGAACCCAGGGGGCAGAGGTTGCAGTGAGCCAAGATCACATCACTGCACTCCAGCCTGGGTGACAGAGCAAGACTCCATTTCAAAAAAAAAAAAAAAAGGTATATCGTACAAAGAGGAGATATGATTAGTTTTGTACCCTGAGAGAATTTTTTAAAAAATATTATGCCATAAGCGTTTTCCTAAAACCTTAAATCCTTAAATATTTGCTAAGAACATGATTTTGGATAAATTGCTATGTAATATTCTAGCCTATGATTATGCCTTAGTTTAAGAAACACTTTTTAGACATTCAGAGTCTTGTTTTTTTCTATTATAATAGGGAAAGTTAAGATTTGTAGACATAAACAGTAGTGTCTGATGAATTCTTTATGTGAAATCTAGTAACAAAGCTATGGGGTCAAAGCGCATAGACATTTTTAATTCTCTTGATTACATTGTCAACATGTTCTCCATAAAGGCTGAGTAATTTATGACTCCCAGCAGTAGTGTAGAAAAACAACCATTTCACGAAATCTTCGTCAACCCTGGGAATTTTGATTTTAACATTTCTCAGCCAATTTTATATGCAAAAATAATTTCTCTTGTTAGTTTTAATTTACAGTTCATTGATTACAAGTGAAGTTGATTTTTTGCCTTTTGTTTATTACCTACTTGTACGTAATCTGTTGTGAATTGTCCTTTGTATCAGCCCCTTTTAGAACCTACTATTCACACTGCTCTGCAGATGTAATCAGAGTTTTCAGCCATCAATACCAAAGGAGAACAGGATTTTCTGAATGAGCTGAACCCCATCAGTTCCTAGAGCTTCTCTCCCAGCAAACCATTCACAATAGCGGGGGTGTGGGGGTGCTGAAATCCGGCAGTGATTTGTATTTCCCTGCATTTACTTCTCCTGCTCTGCTTCTTGTATAAGAGCTAATGAGCAGCAAAGCTGACAAAAGACTAAGAAAAAAGAGAAGAAAGGGCATAGTTAATCCCTTAAGTAGGATTGAGGAATGGGTGGTGTTTGCCTTTAGAAAGGGGGAAAAAAATTCAGGACTTTTTTTTTTTCAGCCATGCAGTTCCCAATATGTACCACTGGATGGCAATCCTCTATTGGTTAGGTAAAAAGCTCCTACCTGCCAAGACTAGGGAAACTGAGGAAGCAGCTGCTGAAACTGAGAGATAGGCACATGCAAGGCAGCTAACAGTTGAATACAGGTGGCCTTTAGACACCACTGGGAACATGGATCACTGATATGCAAGGAAATGAAAAGCAAGGAGTATATATTATAGACAGTGACACAGACAGTGGCTGAGGAGAGTCACAGAAGGGAATGCATTTCTTCCTACTTCATTTGTTCCTTCTTTTCCTCTGCTCTATATTGGGTATAATTTGATTTACCTTTTTGTGCTTGAAAAGGCAAAATTACCTACTTTGGGCATACAATTGTCAGTAAGTACTGCATGCTTCTGGGAGATGGAGTCGGGTGGATGCTGCTCTTGCACTATGGGAACCCTGAATTGCCCAAGCCTGGCCAGCTGCGCCGGCAAAGCCATTCAGAAAAGCAGTGCCACAGTTCCTGGGAGCAGAGAATAGAAAGCAAACCCACAGCCTCTTTAAGACTTGTTCTAGCCCTAAAGGCAGCATGGTGTAGAAGAAACAGCACGGGTTTTGTTTTTGGTTTTGTTTTTTTTTTTTTTTGAGACAGAGTCTTGCTCTGTTGCCCAAGCTGGAGTACAGTGGTGTGATCTTGGCTCACTGAAGCCTCTGCCTCCCAGGTCCAAGCAATTCTCCTGCCTCAGCATCCCAAGCACGCCACCATGCCTGGCTAACTTGTGTATTTTTAGTAGAGATTGGATTTCACCATGTTGGTCAGGCTGGTCTCGAACTCCTGACCTCAAGTGATCCGCCCACCTCAGTATCCCAAAGTGCTGGGATTACAGGCATGAGCCACCATGCCTGGCCAACAGCATGGGTTTGAGGGCAATTAGCCTCAGATTCGTTTCAGCTTGGATTCTTATAGTTATGCAGTTTTGGGCAAGTTACCACATCTCTCTCAGCCTTGCTGTCTTCCTCTATAAAATGGAGGATAACAGCACCTACCTCACTGCGTATAAGAGATACTGCCACTGTTGTTATTATTAATACATCCAAGTTCCACCCAGGGATGCAAAAAGCATACTTATAATACTCATTAAGACCCTGGGATCTGGCAGTACTAAGTCTGCAACTTACTAGCTGTGTGTCACTTCCATGAGTCATCCCTCCTCTCTATCTGTAAAAGGGATTAATAACAATGCCAACTCCATAGGATATTATAAGGATCAAAAGAGAAAATGTACACAAAGCATACAGCACAGTGCCTGTCACACAAGACACAGTCATTGGTAGGTGCTATTCATGGCAGTAGTAACAGTATTGTAAAAAATCTCTCCCAGTATTCTGAGAGCACAGTCAAGAAAAAAGACGTGCACATCTAGTGCTGAGATGAAAAGGTCTTGTATGGTCAGCCAGTGTGTGGAACCAGGCAGGTCTGAGAAAGAATGGGCAGCAGGACACAATCCAAAGACGGAAGCTGCTATTTCAAACTGGGGATCGTTTGCCTACAATGTGGTTTTGGTTCTTTTTAAAGGTGCAAGACAGACGTTTGCACTTGGATTCAGCTGTTTCTCTTAAGTCACTAAAATAGTCAAAGTTCAAATCTGGAAGAAACCTTCCAATCTAACACCCTCTGGAAACTGAAACCCAGAGATGGGCAATGGCTTGCTTCCCTAAGTCACAGGATGAGTCAGTTGCCTAGCAGGAAATGGGTTCCAGACCCCAAGACCATCAATAAGGGCTCCTCCCACTGTGTACCCCACCCCTAGACAGGCTACCACATGGCTAGTCCTTTAGAGAGCCCATTGCATAAAGGCCAAAAAGGACTTCCCCAAATTGGGGTGAGCCATTGTTGTGTATCCTCATCTAGCCCATCTAGCCTTATTGTAACCAGCCAAATCTTCCCAACAACAGGTGCAATACAGGTTTTTTGTGTGTTTCTGCCCATTCAAAATCTGACTCTTATTTTTGTATGCACCGATTTAAGGAAACAATTACATGGATAATCCACAAGTCACACATGTATATCTGGCTTTCCGTGTCACTACGTAATTTCCCTAATTTATGAAGTTCAGACAAATACTTAAAATCATACACATTTCTCACATTCCTCAACACTTAAAGGATTTAGGAGTTCAGGGTAAGCCTTATAGAGTCCTGTCTAGGCACCATGGTAACATTTCAGGTAAATGCCTCCAGATGACCAGCAGTGCATGTTTGAAAGTATAGGTGCAGCAGGTAGGGTTTTCAGGAAGGCTAAATGAGGAGCACACATGTCAATTCAAGACTCACAAAACCACAAAGAGCAATGAGGGAGATGGTGGCATGATTAAGCACCATCATGTGTCTCTGCAACACACAACGCCTAATTAAAAAACGCAACCAAAATAATCAAGAAAGTGGGATACAAAGAGCCAATGACTGGCTGGAATCATGGGCCAAAACCCAAGAGATATTTGACAAGGATAAAGGTCAAGCTGCAATCCAAGGTTTTAGAATATCAATTAGCTAGAAGCTGGGGGAGACCTGGTTTCACAGCAGGCCTTACAATAGGACCTTGGGGCTTTCATTGACGGGAAGCTCTGCATAAGCAAACAGGAATGAGTGGGGCAGGGTTATGAAAAGGCTAGGCCCCAGGGCATGGATCTAGGGTTCATTTTGTATCCCACACTCCACATGGGAGTAAATGGCAAACCAAAACACAACCAAAAAAAGGGGACTGCAATGACTAGCACTAAGGAAATTGCGTCCTACTGAGGAGTGACTGAAGAACTAGGGCAATTTCCCAGTAACTATCATATTGATGGCGATTGATAATCATAAAAACCAGCATTTATTGACCACTTACATACCAAGCCCATTGCTAAAGGCTTACCTCACCTCACCCTTCAGCTATGAGAGAGGGCGAGGGAAGTGGGACCTACCAAGAGATTTTATACTGACTTGCCCTAGGCACCCAGCTAGGAAGTGGTAGAGCCAGAATTTGAACCCAGATCATCTGACACCAAAGTCTGTGTCCTATCCACTGCACCAATTGCAGCGTTTTTTGTTTGTTTGTTTGTTTGTTTTTTGAGACAAGGTCTCACTCTGTTGCCCAGGCTGGAATGCAATGATGTGAACATGGCTTACTGCAGCCTCAATCTCCTGGGCTTAAAGAATTCTCTCACCTCACCCTCCTGAGTAGCTGTGACACCCAGGTACTGAGCAAAGGTGTGCTGCCATGCTTGGCTAATTTTGTCTGTGTGTGTGTGTGTGTGGAGAAACGGGTCTTGCCATGTTGCCCAGGTTGATCTCAAACTCCTGGCCTCAAGTGATCTCCTGCCTTGGCCTCCCAAAGTGCTTGGATTACAGGCATGAGCCACCATGCCTGGCCTGCAGCATTCTATTTTATAAGAATCATCAATGCTACCATTTATTAGATGCTTCCTATGTATATGCATCAAGCATTTTTCTAAGCATTTTCTGTGTCTAACCTCACTGAACTCTCCCATCAACCCTATGAAGTACATAATATATTTACTCCTATGGCTGGAGGAAGCAACTGAGGCTCAGAGAGGTCAAATCACTTGCTCAAGTCCACACAGCTGAGAAGCTTTAGAGTCACTACAGAGCTGTGCTCTCTTCTCTCCTTAAGAAGAAACTTGGAGGTAATAAGCTACACGGCCCCTGAGATCTGAAGGACTACAGTATGATGAGGAAGAAGATTCACCCATAGTCATGGTACCCCAGTGCACTTTATATCTTTTTTACTCAAATGTGGTTCCAATAGCTTGTGTCAACTGGGCTCCAGTGATTGCTAAGCAGATGCTTTTGGCATCAGCTGTTTATCTGGCCTCCCAAGTTATAGCACTGTAGTTTCTTCTTGAGTGGCTCCACCAGCCCAGTCAATCAAATAACCTATCAGCCTATCAGTTCACTCAGCTGAATTGTTTTTTTCACTCTATTGATCTGTTTGGCTGCACAGAATACATTGACAGGGTGCCCCAGGGTTATGTAAACACACCCCTCCTCCTACTGAGGGCTCTCTCTGTAAGCCTCAAACCTCAAAAGCCCCAAAGTCAAAGATCTGTTTCCACCATGTGCCCACTACACATTCAGACCAAAGAAAATGAATGAATGGAAGCCAGGTATCAAACATTCTCTCACTCACCGTTTAAAATTACTTAGAACTGCTCTGGCTATACTATTATGAATGTACTTTGGAGGTAACTTTTTTATGATTTGGGTTTTTTTGTTTGTTTGTTTTAACTTTTAGTTTAGATTCAGGCGTTACATGTACAGGTTTGTTACCTGGGTATATTGTGTAATTGCTGAGGTTTGGGGTAAGAATGATCCCATCACCCAGGTACTGAGCAAAATATCCACAGGTTTTTTTATTATTATTTTTTTGAGACAGAGTCTTGCTGTGTCACCCAGGCTGGAGTGCAGTGGCACAATCTTGGCTCACTGTAACCTCTGCCTCCCAGGTTCAAGCAATCCTCCTGCCTCAGCCTCCTGAATAGCTGGGACTACAGGAGCACATCACTGTGCCCAGCTAATTTTCGTATTTTTGGTGGAAACAGGGTTTCACCATATTGGCCAGGCTGTCTCCAACTTCTGACCTCAAAGGATCTGCCTGCCTTAGCCTCCCGAAGTGCTGGGATTACAGGCGTGAGCCACCGCGCCCAGCCCCGATAGTTTTTTTTTTAAGACCTGAAATTCTGTAATCTGTGAGAAAGGACTAGATACTCTGCCCAAGCAATGAAATCGAAGTCAAAATTATGAGTGTCTGGGGCCTTATAAAGCATAGTGGGAAGAGAATTGCCTTCCCCAAATACTTTGTACCCTTACCCATGTGCTTGATGTGGACCCAGACACAACTTAGACTGAAGCAAAGCTCTAGGTGAGAGCAGAATGAGTATTTCTCTCAAAATCTGTTGTGTCTCAAACCTTCACAGAGTTGGGGAAAATCCTGAGAGTTCTGGTTTCAAGGGTCACTGGCTTTAGAATCCCTTAGAAAGTAACTGAGAACAAGAAGAGAACACATTATCACCTTCTACTTAGATCAGTGGTTCTCAATTCTGGCTGCATATTAAAAAACATCTAGAGAGTGTTTCCAAGGCTGACCCATGAGATTCTGACGCAATTGGTATGAGTAGGGCCTGAGCAACAATTGTTTTTCTTATTAACTCTGGTATCAGTTTCTGTTTTTTTCTTACTTAAAATCTTAGGTGAATTTTCAACTTTACATAAAAAGGTTTGAATGTGCAGTCAGCATTGAGAATGACAGACAACGCTTCCTACAACAGCCTTGGCTACAGTACAAAAAAAGAGATGTTTTGCTCACTTTCCTGGAGCAAATGAGTCTAAGTAAAAGATACTGCCTCCAATGACCCAGGATCCTACGGTACACGGCTTTTAGGAATGGGAATATCTTTGCATGTAAACCTGTAGGGCTTACTCCAAGGCCAGAGAATGAAAACCAAGCTATAGATTGGTGCAAAAGTTAATGTGGTTTTTGCCATTAAAAGTAAGGGCGGCCGGGCACGGTGTAATCCCAGCACTTTGGGAGGCTGAGGCAGGCGGATCATGAGGTCAGGAGATCGAGACCATCCTGGCTAACACGGTGAAAACCCGTCTCTACTAAAAATACAAAAAAATTAGCCGGGCGTGGTGGCGGGCGCCTGTAGTCCCAGCTACTTGGGAGGCTGAGGCAGGAGAATGGCGTGAACCCAGGAGGCAGAGCTTGCAGTGAGCCAAAATCGCGCCACTGCACTCCAGCAACAGAGCGAGACTCCGTCTCAAAAAAAAAAGGTAAGGGCAAAAACCACAATTACTTTTGCACCAACCTAATACATTTAGATGAGAAAAAACATTCTGACCTGAAGCTCTGGCCTCCTCATAATCAGCCAATCCCCACCTCACTCCCTCTGCCTAGGAAGATGCCTCCCTCCAATAATGTTTAGGTGAAGGACAACAGAATTCAGCCATGGCCTTTCAGTCTAACTGAAATCTATTGAACAACCTGTATCCTGTTCCTGAAGTCTACAGTCACAGACATCCAAGCGAAACAATCCCATGGACCCACCAGGGATTGCACAGGTGGGCCTATGGCAGACATACCACCACAGAGCAGGGCTCTTCAGGACTTGAGCTAGCAGAGTCCCATGAAGTATCCTGCCCAGTGAATAACAAACAACTCGTTTGGATTTCCCATTTCCCTACCTACAGTGGTTGGTTTTTCAATTCACCGAGGAAACAAGAGTCAAACTTTTGTTACCATGGGAATCTGAGTCCTCGGTCATTTAAAAAACACTGATTGTCTACTTTGGGCTGGACCCCGTGCTATCCACTTGGGACATGGAGAAGACAAGGTCCCTGTCCTCAAGAAGTTCAAAGCCCAGAGAAAGAGACAGATGAGTCAACCATGACAGACAGTTGATAAAGGCTAAGGTGAGGAGGGGTTGTGCAACTCAGTCTTGGAAATCAGGAAATGCTCCCTGGAGGAGGTGATGCATGAACTGTGCCTCAGTATGATGGTTTGAGGACAAAACCTGTGCCACAAGGGGACTTAGGTCTATAACATGGCTTTGTCCACCTGAATCTCCTCTGTAACTGAGGAACTTCATTGATTCTCTACTTACAAGGCATATAACATAGGAAAGCTCGCTGGAAGGGAAATGTGACTAGAAATAGACAAGGCTGTTTACCTAAGGGAGGAGAGCAGCAAGTAGGTCTGTCCCTCTTTTCTATAACTTTCCCTATTGGCAGCAATTAAAGCATGCCCCTGCCTCTCCAGGAGACTAATCTGCTGCTTGGGACTGCTGAGAGAGACTGCAGCCCATAGTTGCAAAGACTAGAAGAAAGAACCCTGAGTTCAAATCTTGGCTCTATCTCCATGGCTGTGTGACCATGAGCAAGTCCCTCCCTCTCTGTGGGCCTCAGTTTTCCCATTTGTACAAGGGGGAGGGAGGTTGGGCTCAATGTTCTCCAAGGCCCCTTCCAGCCCTAATGCTCTCAGATCTTTTGCTTGCCCAAGGTTAGACAGGCACAGGGCAAAAACAAAAGTCCAGCCAGAGAGGAGTCAGCTGTCTCATCTATTTGCAGATGTTGGGACCACCAGAGGATGCTGCTTCTTGGGGCTCCACACTCTCCAGGTGGGAGGCTCATTCTCCTCCCCACTATGGGAAGGAAACTGCAGGCTGGCCAGGTTTGGAAAACAAAGCCATGTGGAAGGCATGCCATGAGTGACAAAAATCCTATGTTATTTTCTTTGATTTTTTTTTAAAAGGTTGACATTTTTCAAAATAAAGCTGTTACTTCTCTGCCACAATGCATGGGCCAGTTAGCGTGTTCATGAATCAGACATCAAATATTTTCTTTCTTCCCCAACATAGCTCTCTCTGTGGGAACAGAGAGTCTAGTATCAATAATACCATTAGAGGGGAACTACCCTTCAACATACCTAAGCTGCAATTCCAACCTGCCAAGCAGGGAAAAAGTGATCCCAAATCCTATAGCCGTTACTGTCTACTTCTTTTCTTTTGAAGGACCCTTTGATTTCTTTCTTTCTTTTCATCTTCTTTGGCTTTTCAAGCCTATCTTGAACACTTTGGTGATACTCAGGAGGTCATTAGGCGTTTGCCTCTTGTTAAGCCTCACTCAGAAAAGGACCGCTGGTAATAGAACCAAAATAAATCTTCTCACATTTAACTCCTCTCTCCCACAAAGCAGCTGTCCTTGGCTGCCACCACTGTTGCCACAATTTAAAGGAAGGTGGCTACATACCAACCTTTGGTGCCCAGGGAGGAGCCATCCACAATGACACACACTTGGCCATCTACGAATGCTGACCAGGATGGAGCTGAGTCCTAACGCTTGGATCATACTTGGGAAAAACCTTTCTACAGCCAGATGCTCTTTTTTTGAGACGGGGTCTCACTCTGTCACCCAGGCTGGAGTGCAGTGGTGCAATCATGGCTCACTGCAGCCTTGATCTCCTGGGCTCAAACAATCCTCCTACCTCAGCTGCCCAAGAATCTAGGACCACAGGTGTGTGCCACCACATGCAGATGATTTATTATTATTACTATTATTTGTAGAGACAGGGCTTTGCAGTGTTACTCAGGCTGGTCTTGAACTCCTGGGCTCAAGCAATCCACCTGCCAAAGGCATATAACACAGGCAAGCCTCCCAAAGTGCTGGGGTTACAAGCGTGGGCCACTGTTCCCAGCCTCAGACACTCTTGATTTCATTTATTCTCTGGAAAACCTGTGCCCATGGGAGGCCTCTCATCTCTAAACCGAGATTCCCCAAATATGGCAAATGCATGCATGCCATTGCTCACACAGTTCTCCTCGCTTGGAATAGCCTTCCCACCTGACCCAGCTCAAATATCACCTCCTCTGAGCAGCCTTTCCTGACCCTCTCCCCTCACAGGCAGAGTAATCCATCCTTCCTTCGGATTCTCACAGCACACTTTGTTCTTGCCGCTACCATGGCACTTATTACATTACATTAGAGCCAAGTGGTGACTGCCTTTTACCTCTGAGTGACTGTGAGCTTCTTGAGGACAGGGGCTTCATCTAATATTGGAACAATTAGCCTTGGGCTCAGCCCATAAAATTTTCAGAGCTTGAATTGAAGGGGTAAATTCAGACTTCAGCAATGAAGTTGGAAAGCAGTCCTCCCCAGCCATAAAATTCTGTAACTGTACAAATAAAATGTGGTCCCACAGACACACTTGTTTTGGGGGCTTGGGGAGGTACATATTTGGCCGTGTTAGACTGGTCTAGAAATCACAATTCCCTTAACTAAACTCACCAGATGGTTGGCAATCAAGCTCAATCACTTAGTTAAGGTGAACCAACTTGATATGTCTGTGTCAGGCAACAGACAGCTGGCTAAGTGACTGACACCCCTGAGCCGCAGGCCACGTGCTTATGGGAAATGGAATAGTGTGTGGGGGTTGGGAGAGGACAAGGGAGTCTGGATGCATTTATTTTGAATTGGGTGATGCACTTGTATAAAAGCAAATTGGAACCCTTGACAGAGTCATTCAGCAGTATCAAAGATCTATAGTCACTGCAGCCTGGTGGGGGGAGTGCTACTAGTTACAGTTGCTTGGCTGTAAATAAAATCTCCCCTGGAATGAAGCATTTTAATTCGAAGTGATTCTATAAGGAGCAGCTGAAAAACCTTTCAAGGAAGCTGGCAGTGTTAAGAGGAACCTCTATACCAATAGGAAAGGGCTTTGAAAAGAGCTAATGAAGTTTCAGCACGCAGCCCTGAACATGAGCTAGGCCCATTTAGCTACTGGTCAGTGTGTTTCAGAAACAAAGCAAATTAACCGGGGTGGGGGGCCTAGGGAGGACACACCCCCCAGCTTCCTTCTTGAAGTTTCCTGCAAAACACCAAGAGCCAACAGCCTCATCCCCAGCCAGTCTCCCACCACAATCTGTGGGGCCAGATCCAGCCTTCTCTCCAGACTGGACACAGTCGAGTTTGGGCATGTGTACTTGTAACATTCTTCTCCAATTGCAGTGCCTGGTACAACACCATGAACCTGTTAGGTGCTCAATAAATGTTGACTGACTTGAATTTTTGGAGGAAATTTTTGTTTGGTTTTCCTAGAAGTGAAAGATGCCCATCAAGAAAAAAAAAAAAAAAAAAAAGAGATCCAAGGAAACGCTGCAAAGGCGACTTTGCTGGTCAGTATCACACCAACAGGAAATGGGGTAAGGAGTGAGCAAGTAAACCAAAAGCCACAACAATCTACTTTTAAAACTACAACAATATGTGGGCTGTACAGTAGTGCTGCTAGCTTTGTTTTCATCTAAAGACATCTGTTTAGAGTTTCTTTGGCTCCAGCACTTTATTTTGTGGTGTGATGGGCCAAGGGTATGGGAACTGGGTAGAATCACGTGGATATATATGTGTGAAGTTCCCCAAACAGGCATAATGTTGTCTACAGAAGATAAAGGAGCTCTCAGGATACTGCAATTTAACAAATACCCAGGAAATTCCCCTGTCTCTAAATCCCCACCACCTCTAACCTGTAGCTGGGACCTCAAATTACACCATTAGTACACCAAGCCTTCGGCTTCAGTATTCACCCCTGTGCTTGGAAGCTTAGTACATCTCTCTTGATGTTTTACTCAGCCAAGGTGGGGAGTATGTAATAAGCCACAAACACCAGGCTGCGTGATCTGTTGCTACTCAGATCTTTGACAGCATAGCAAACCAGCTCCAAGCCGACAGTGGGAGGGATGGTAGCTTAACCAGGGGATGAGGTGCAGGGCACAGACTCTAATCCAAAAAGAGAAAGGAGGCAAATCATAGACACATGTGGTCCTGGTAGAGCAAGCTAAATGGAGATTTCACAGGCCAAGAATTTGTTCTGGAAACGCTATTCATGGTTTCTTAATCCACAGTCTAGTCACCCACAGCTCAGCCCAACCTCTGGGTACACAAAGAAAGATCTGGGTAGAGGACAGCTGCCATTCTGGATCCACCCCCACTCCAAAGAACTCTTAGAAGCAGTGTGTCTCCTGAGGTGGGGCGGGGCGGGGGGGCTTATTTCCTGTGGCAACAGCTGCTTCTGTCTCCCACTTTTCAATGAGGTCATCTAGTCTTCAGCTGCACAATCAAAAACAGTAAAGAGCAGGCCTCTGGAGTTATGATTGTCATTAAAACTAAACTCCATCAGCACATTCTCAGGACTGCACCTGGGAAGGCAGATGCAGGATGCTGCCCATTCTCAGGGCTGCTCCTAGCTCCCAGGGATCTGAGTGCAAAGCCCAGACAGGGGTCATCACACATTCCAAATGCAAAGAATTTACAGACAGGGGAGGAAGGAGGAGCAAGACTCTGAGCCACTTTCTTCTGGAAACCCTTTCTTGACCAAATACCTCCCCTTCTTCCTGTGAGCATGGAAAAGGAAGGACAAGAAATCTCAGCCCTAGGGAATACCACCTTGGAAAACCATCATTTTTCACACTGTCACTTCCGGGATTCTCCCAAGAGCAAGCTATTGTTCCTGAGCCATTTCCCATGTATTAACCAGCACGAAGGACACACTCCAACAAAGCTGGCAGGCCTCCTGCAACATGTCTCCAGAGTTATTCCTGGGTCTGTACTCTAGTGGAAGTGTCCCCTACCCCAGTCCCAAGCTTCAGAGTTTCAACGATGAGAGCTATCATCCAGTAGGCACCTTTCCTGCACCAGGCAATGGGATGAGTGTTTGAATTAGCTCCTTTAATCTCACAGCAACTCTACCAGCATCCTCATTTTATAGATAAAGACACTGTGGCTCTGTGGGGGCTACATGACTTGCCCAGGTCACACAATTAAGAAATTCTGGGACCCAAACCCAAGTCTCTCTGAAACCAGAGCCAATGGTCATATACATGAAACTGGACAAAGTCTCTGGCATTCACTCTGCAGCATTTCCCCTGCTAAATCCCATGTGGTGGAACTGTTAAAGAACTGACACCAGGCCTGGCATGGTGGCTCATGCCTGTAATCCCAGCACTTTGGAAGGCCGAGGTGGGCAGATCGCCTGAGGTCAGGAGTTCGAGACCAGCCTGGCCAACATGGTGAATCCCCATCTCTACTAAAAACACAAAATTTAGCCGGGTGTGGTGGCGCACATCTGTGGTCACAACTACTTGGGTGACTGAAGCAGGAGAATTGCTTGAATCTGGGAGGCGGAGGTTGCAATGAGCCAAGATTGCATCACTGCACTCCAGCCTGGGTGACATAGTGAGACTCCGTCTCAAAAAAAAAAAAAAAAAAAGAACTGACACCAGATTTAGATTTAGCCACTTCTTCCAATGAGACTCAGACTGCCTAGCTTTGAACGATCTTCTCACGCAGACGCTGATCAGAAATGGGATGGTATGCTCTGTGAGTTAGTATCAGAATCACCTTCTCCCAGATCCCAATTCCTCGCAAAACACATCTTTCTGCCAAGTCAAGTCAGCTCAATGTTGTACTTTCATGGCTGCAGTTTTCCCTGAGGGAATAAAGTTAAAGCAGTGTCTCTACCCAGCTTTCTGCTCCAGGCTGGCAGCTTCTTCGCCCTGAGGAAGACAGTGAGGAGAAGTCCGTGCCTATGACATTATGTCTTGATTGAACACTTGTCCTCTCTAATTGGTATTGATGTGAAAAGAGGGAAAGGAGGAAAGAGAGCAACAGGAAAGACAAAACCCACTTTAGTCATGTCATTTTCTAGGACAAAGGTCCAGGCTTCCAGAGCTCTATCTGAGAGGCAGGCCCAGGCAGCAGAGGGGCCAATGCTCTTTGCGAGGATGGCTTTGCTTGGCAGGAATAAATCAGCTGCAGGAGAAGCTCATGGCTTTGCTTGGCAGGAATAAAGCAGCTGCAGGAGAAGCTCTGGCTGCTGGGCACAGCATTATAACCTTTCTTGGACTATACTCTGTTTCTGTGGCTTAGGCTTCCAACCACTGCCTCTTCTCTTCACAGGGCTGTACAACTGCAACTTTGGGAAGTGCACACTGAGCTTCATCTAAATTCATTCCTTGTCAGAAGCCAAGGAATGTAATTCAGCTTATGCTAAGGAGAAGGTTGTGGAGGAAAGAATACTATGGATTTATTTATATACAAATAAAGAGAATGCAGTGTGTACAGGTGATAGGGTTTGGCTGTGTCCCCACCCAAATCTCACCTTGATTGTAATAATCCCCCATGTCAACATGGGGAGAGGTGGAGATAATTGACTCATGGGGGCCGTTCCCCCCATACTGTTCTCGTGGTAGTGAATAAGTCTCATGAGATCTGATGGTTTTATAAATGGGAGTTCCCCTGCACAAGCTCTCTTGCCTGCCACCATGTAAGGTGTGACTTTGCTTCTCCTTTGCCTTCTGCCACGACTGTGAGACCTCCCTAGCCATGTGGAACTGTGAGTTCATTAAACCACTTTACTTTATAAATTACCCAGTTTCGGGTATGTCTTTATTAGCAGCATGAGAACAGACTAATACAACAGGTGTCTCCTAGGAAATCCAGTGCTACAAATGTATTTTGCACTCAGACAGCAGGGCCAGGATGAAGGTGAGGCAAGCAAGGTGCTCACCTTGTGTGTAAAATTTAAGGGGGCACCAAAACATTCAGCCATCAAGATACTTTTTCAAAGAATGTTTTGTATTTTAGAATAGTTTTGGATTTCTAGAAAAATTGTGAAATAGTACAATGAGTTCCCATAAGCCCCACACCCAGTTTCCCACATAAACATCTCTTGATTAATAAGGTACCTTTGTCACAATTAATGAGCTAATATCAATTTGTTATTAACTAAAGTCTATGCTTTATTTAGATTTCCTTAGTTTTTACTTTTTTCGGTTGCAGGATCCCACATTACATCTAGTTGTCACATATCCTTGAGCTCCTCTTGGCTGTGACAATTTCTCAGACTTTTCTGGATTTTGATGACTTGATAATTTTGAGGAGTACTGGTCAACTATTTTGTAGAATCCCATTCTATTGGAATTTTTCTGATGTTTTTCTCATAAGTAGGCTGTGGTTATGGATTATAGGGAAGAAGACCACAGAGATAAAGTGCCATTCGCATCTCATCATATCCAAAGACACATACAATCAGCATGATTTATGATTGGTGATGTTCACATTGATCACCTGGCTGAGGCAGTATTTGTCAGGTTAATCCATGGTAAGGATACTTGTCTTTCCCTTTCCATACTGCACTTTTTTTTTTTTTTTTGAAACGGAGTCTTGCTCTGTCGCCCAGGTTGGAGTGCAGTGGAGCAATCTTGACTCACTGCAACCTCCGCCCCCCTGGTTCACGCCATTCTCCTGCCTCAGCCTCCTGAGTAGCTGGGACTACAGGTGCCTGCCACCACGCCCATCTAATTTTTTTATATTTTTAGTAGAGACTGGGTTTCACCATGTTAGCCAGGATGGTCTTGATCTCTGACCTCATGATCTGCCCACCTCGGCCTCCCAAAGTGCTGGGATTACAGATGTGAGCCACCACACCCGGCCTGCACCCTTTTTTTTTGACAGGATCTTGCTCTGCTGCCCAGGCTGGAGTGCAGTGGCATGATCAGGACTCACTGCAGCCTCAACCTCCCAGGCCCAAGTGATCCTCCCATGTCAGCCTCAAGAGTAGCTGGGACTACAGGCACATGCCACCATGCCTGGCTAATTTTTAATTTTTTTGTAGAGAGGGAGTCTCACTATGTTGCCCAGGCTGGTCTCAAACTCCTGGTCTCAAGCAATCCTCCTGCCTCAACCTCCTAAAGTGCTGGGATTTCCGGCATGCGGCACCATGCCTGGCCCATACTATACTCTTTTACAAGGAAGTCACTATTCGCAGTTCATACTTAAGGAGTGAGGAGTTACACTCCACCTCCTTGAGGGCAGAGAATCTACACAAATTATTTGGAATTACCCTGCACAAAAGATGTGTCTATCATCCATTTATTTAACCATTTAATTATATCAGTATGGACTCTTGGATGTTTATTTTATACTTTGGGTTATAGTCCAATAATACTAGTATATTTTCTCAAGTTTTTATACCTTTGGCTGTTGGTAGCTCTTTTAGTTGGCTCCTGTGATGTTCTGCTTTTTGTTTTTGTTTGTGTATTTGTTAACACTTCCTTACTTTCTGGCAATACAAGATGTTCCAGGCTTATCTTGTGTATTTTCTGCCTCAGTCCTGGAATCGGTCATTTCTCCAAGGAGCCCTGGTTGCTTTTATTGAAAAACAGTATTAGAAAACAAACAAGATTTGGATTCTACTTGAATAAATGATATTTAAGGCAATGGTTTTTTTTTTTTAAGTCAAGAAAATATGGCCCACAGGATGGCTGCCTGATTCTGTATATAAAGTTTAACTGGAACCAAGGATGGTGTTAGGGTGGGTCAAGAGAGGCAGGGGTGTGCAAGGGCAGAGTTGGAAACTGTATTTAAAATTTTGATATTTGTTCATTTTGGATTTGTCTACATTAATTTTAAGTCTTTAAAACATATCATTACAGCTACTCAGGAAACCAAGGCAGGAGGATCACTTGAGCTCAAGAGTTCCATGATCGCGCCTATGAATAGACACTGCACTCCAGCCTGGGCAACATAAGTAGAAACTTCTCTTTTAAAAAATCATATCATTAAAATGTTATTTATGTTGATTACTGATTTTTTGGTACCCCCTTTAGTTTGGGCCTTGTTGGAAAGCAATCTGGCTTCAGGTCAGTGGTCCAACTGAATTTGTTACTGCTTTCTGAAAAAGGGTGTAGCTTAAGGCCAGTGTCTTCCTGGGCAATGGAATCTCCCAATGGAGCCACGTATTAAAGCCATAGAATTCCAGGCCTCGGCCCAGCCCTCCAAAATCATGACAATGATCTACTTCTGGTGTTTGGCAACCACTAAGGTAAGCTGTCTAACACAGGTCTGTGGATAGGGAGGTGGTTTGATAAAAACATACTCCAAAATGATCATCCTTTACTTTGTGTAGAATAATGGCAGTTGTTCTAAAATTTCAAATAATACTGAAGGATGGGGAGGTGTACTTGTGGTTCTAATTGGAATCTGGGTCTTTAAAGATGACATTGATCCTGAGCATGTATGTCCCAGAAATTCCATTTTGGATTAATGAAAGCTGGAGTCTGTGCCCTGTGCATCTTCTCTTCCTCTTCCACCAACTCAACAAGATGAGGGGAAAGCAGCTCCTCATTTAGACTTTCTCTTCATCTGCCCACAAATAATGTGCTGATCTCTCTCATTGACTCCTTTGCCCTGAAGGCTCGCTCTCCCTCTCCCACCTCCTTTCCCCCTTTCTTGATCTCTTGCACTCTCTTGCTTTTGCTCGCCCAGCCTCCTGGCCTCATAGATTCCCTTTGCTGTCACTGGTGCTTTTTTTCAAGGTTGCTGGCACTCCCATGTGTGCTCTCTTGCTCCTGCATGAGCTTTCTCCATCCATCTTGGGCTCTTTCCCTACCTCTAAAACACTGGCTTGCTGTCACCTTCTCAGGCCTGACTGTGATCTCGCTTTCTTTATTGCTTTCTCCTACTCTCTTTCTTTCTCCCTGTCTCTCTTCAAGTGGCTCTCTCTCACACGTTCTTGCTCTCCCATTCCCCTGTGCATGGTGTGTGTGTGTGTGTGTGTGTGTGTGTGTGTGTGTCTTTTCAGTACCCGAGAGTCATGAGTAATTTCCCTAAATACAGAGTACCCCAGAGCAGAACAAGAACAAGGCTGATCTCACAGGGAGAACAGGAAAGATAATAATTTTTTATTCACAAGAAGAAAAATGCCACTGGATCCAAGGTTCTCAAGAGTGGTCTCAGAAAACGTAAAGCCCTGGGGGTAAAAGGTGCTGTAAAAGACATAGATGTGTAATCTAACATTGTCTATTACAGATAAAGCCAATAGCCTCATTAGAAGCAATCAAAGTCACAAGGAGCATCCTCTGGAGAAACCCTAACAGCTGGGGCTATTTAGGACTAATTGCTTAACTCACCCTTAGGCACAGGAAGCTGAGGCTGAAGGAGGAAGACATTTAACTCACCTCAAATGTGTTACTAGCAAAGGAACTTCCCAAAGTAGAAGAGCCAGCATCTCTGAGAAGTCAGAGAGGAGAGGCTTCTGAAGAGTTGCTAAAGGATTTCACAAACAAGCCTCGAGCACAGAGTCACTGGTTAAGCCCCTGGTTTCTGCCACCAAAGCAGTCAGGCAGGCTCACTTCCTCACCTCCAGAAACTTCTCTCTGGCCACTCTCTGCCAGGGAGCAAAGTTGTAATATGATTCGTGGCACCTGGGCAGATGCTGGGTTCATGTGTGGGTGTGGTGAGAATGCAGAGTGGGGTGGGGACATCCTGAAGAGCAAAATGGAGAGAAACGAGGGGAGCTCCAAGTGGGAGCTGGCCCTTTGTGTTCTCTCTCTCTCTCTCTCAGCACCCCCACCCACCACGTGCAACTTCCCTTGCACCCCCATAAGCAAAAAGTTAGGAAGGGATGATTTAGGCAGTGCTTTAGTGTTTTGTGACACTTCTAAAAGTCTTTTTAGACAAACACAGGCCAGGGGCCAAAATAAGACTTGGGCCATTCCTCTTTGTGATATTTGCCTTTTATGAGAGATTTAGCCAGCATGTTTTGGGCTCATTTATAGGACTCCATCTAACTGCAGCAAAATACAAAAATCATTCAGTTTCCAGAATGGAGTCTGATTTTTCATAAATACTTTCCTTCAGGAACAGAAAGGGCTAATTCAGAAGGAGACACTAAATCTCCTACCGAGTGAATAGGAGGCAAAATTCATTCTTCCCAAATTTGAACACACATGAGAAAAACAAAATACCCTTGGGCATACAACTTTCAGAAATTTCTATTTAATAAAACCCAAAGATGGGTCTTCAAAAATACTTGTCAAATTTACTGATGTGGATGAAGTTAACTCATAAATGTTAAAACTCATCCTGCAACTTTACTTAATGTATTTTCAGTCACGGATAATGGCCAATAATTAAAAACTTTCTTAGTAAAGTAGGAACTGTGAATAAATAGAAATGAGTGAGAAGACTTACTTCAGGGTCATCTTTTCTGAATGAAACTTCTTATCTTTTTCAACAGGCACCTCCTCGCCAGGTGATTCTGCTGCAGGCTAAAGTGTGCAGATCAGTGATTTAATGCAAGACCCAACAGAGGAAGCACATTCAAGTTACAGACACTCTTCATATATTTCCTTCTGGAATTCATATGAGAGTCCCAATCACCACCCATCAAAGCAAGGTTTGTCCAATTACGTTAGTCTTCTCTACTCACTTTTCTGGTCTTAAAGGCTACAGAAAAGTTGCCCAAGGCAAGGTCATGGTTTCCTAAGAAGAGGATGCTCTTGATGACATTGACCAAAGCTTTGCACCCCACAGAAGCAGAAAACCTGCCTCAACATTGATTGCCAAGTAGCCTGCAGAGCCTAAAGAAAGGGTCTCCCTTTCAGCTCCCAAGGCCAACAAAAGCCTTCTCAGGCAGGCCCACAGCTCCAAGGGCAAACTGGCTGACCTACAAAAGCCTTCACATACATTTGCCAAATCCCGTAGTATTTTCACCGAGTCCTCTTAACTGTTGGTCCTTCTTCCCACTTCTCACTTGAGCATCAAGCCAACTGGAGTTCCCCTCCTTTCCCCTTTTCAGCTGACTCATCAAGCCTGTCTCGTCTGCACACAGCCTGATATAGAAAGCCTATAAACCATCCCCGTGCAAAGAAGTGGCCAGCTCCACTGTATTTGAGTGCTGAAGAGCTGGGCCCCTCCAACCTGGGTGGTGTGAGTAGATGGGCAGCTGCAGAAATAGACAACCAGGAGCTTCAAAGGGTCACATTTCCCCTGAGGGTTATTTGGTGCCTCCCAAGACTAAAATTCCTTCCTTGGAATGTGGCAAGATGGAAATTAAATGCAAAGAGGCTGACCTGCTAACCTCTTCCTAGGCTTTACCATCATTTGTTTATAGGGGGTTTAGAAAATCTTTCCCTCCCCTTACTCAAAGTTTCAAGCTCCTTTTCTCTCTCAGCTACCAGGCAAAGAAAATAATGTGAAATATGGGCAATAAGTATTAAAGGAGTAATTTCTGTGTTGGCCTGAATGAGACTATATCACTTCTGATTTTTCACTTCACTCTCTGATAAGGCAGTCCCAGAATATCAGAGTATATTTCTTTTATTTAGGAATATGTTTCTGATTGATTTTTGGAAAAAAGCTCACTATCTAGCCTTCCTGAACTTCTCAGATTTATGGAATGGCATATGATCTGAAAGCAACATTAAAAAAAGATTTGGTAGGTGGGGGTGATGGGGAGTGATTGTTTAATGCATACGGGTCTCATTTTGGGGTGCTGAAAATGTTTTGAAACTAGATAGTGGTGATAATTTCACAACATAATGAGTGTCACTAAATGCCACTGAATAGTATAATTTTAAATAGTGAATGTTATGTTATGTGAATTTCACCCCAATAAAAAAAAGCAAACAATTTGGCAATGGAGAAACTTGTTCTGCCTCCTGAGCAGCAAAGAAACATAACCTAGAAGATGCAAAATCTTCAACAGCAACAACAACAACAACAATACAATCAGCTAAGATCACCACGCTTAATGATAATAGCAAACATTTATTGATCACATGGGCCAGGCACTGTACTAAATTACATGCCCTATTTCACTGAATCCCCACACAACAATCCTATGAGGTAGGTTCTATTTATGATTCACTGAGGAAGTAGAGGCTCAGAGAAGTTAAGTAGTATCCTCAAGGTCACATGGCTAATAAGTAAAGACATGGCTCCAACTCACTACTATCTAATTCCAGAGTACATGCTCTTGATGGCATGTGTAGGTGATCAATCAGTGTGCATATAGGAGGAAGAGTTTTCTGCGTCTATAAAAGCTCGGTTTTTGAGGTGAGTGGGGTGAGCTCCTTGAAATGGCAGACATGAGAAAAGGCAGAATTCGTGACTACAGCATTGGCCACCAGAGCAGTAATGTGGGGTGAGGCCAGGGAGAGAGTAGATGATATGGTTTGGCTGTGTCCCCACCAAAATCTCATCTTGAGTTGCAGTTCCTATAATCCCCATGTGTCATGGGAGGGACTTGGTGGGAGGTAATTGAATCATGGAGGCGGTTACCCCCATGCTGTTCTTGTGACAGTGAGTTCTCACGACATCTGATGTTTTTATAAGGAACTTTTCCCCTTTTGCTCATTCTTCTCCTTCCTGCCACCATGTGAAGAAGGACATATTTGCTTCCCCTTCCACCATAATTGTAAGTTTCCTGAGGCCTCTTCAGCCCTGCGAAACTGTGAGTCAATTAAACTTCTTCCCTTTATAGATTATCCAGTCTCGGCTATTTCTTTGTAGCAGTGTGAGAACGGACTGCATCTACTCAGAGCAAAGAAAAGTTTTAGCAAGGAGAAAGTGTGCATGTACAACTGTGTGTATACATGACCATGTGTGAAGAGAGAGAGGACACAGGCATGGGAGAGAATGAGCACTTCGAGTTCAGTGGAGGGGGCAGGGCGAGTAAATGCCCACCTTTCCACTCTGCTCTCAACACACATAACTCACCCTTGTAGGCTGGGAATCCCTCACTTGTAAGCGTGCTTGCCTGAGGGAAAAAAAGGAATTTGAGGCCCGGGCCAAAGGCGTTACACTTTTTTTTTCTTTAAAAACAAAAACATATGTAAGCAACTGAAATAAGGCTCAATAAAACCTTGATAACTAACAAGACTTGCAATTACTCAATTTGGGGTGATATGATTTGTAGTCATTCAGTTTAACTAAAAAGAGGGCATTGTTTTCTGGGATAAGATATGGGTGAAAAAAAATCACTTTTTGCCTAAGAATCTTCCATATATGCAAGGAATAAATGGTGGAAAAAGACTTTTGCCTCTGCTTTGGAGCTGAGAAGCCTGCAGAGACCTGGCTAACTGACCCTGGAAACTTTCAGAAAGGTACAGAAAATGAAGCAAAATTACCCTTTATCTGTCTGAGCACAATTCACTAGATTAAAGCCCTCTACAGGCAAAGTACATCCATTCTTGGTGCAACACCGTCTGCAAACTCTCAGAGTGAAAAGAACTTCTGATTCTCAGGGACTGAAAAGGGTCCTGGGAAGTGAGTGCCCAGAAGTCAATGGGCCTGCTGCTGTGGGAGGGGAGAGACTGCCAATGGGATCCCACTGAGAGAGAAACCCCAGGAGCCCACCCCAGCAGGGGGCGAGCCAGCACCAGGGCATCCTGAGAAGCCAATCCTGGAAGTGGGCACGAAGGCCTTTGACCCTGAAAGCATGGATCCCAAGCCCTGCCATTTCCCAGGTCAATCATCCTCTCGCCAGCGTCTCTACTTCCCTGTGGGCAGAGGCAGATAATGAAGTGCCTGTTCTGGCTCATGCTGTTGCTTTACAAAGGGAGTTTTTCTGTAATTGGTCCATGCAAGGAGAGTTATTACATCTTCTGAACCGTTAGGTCCCAAATGGCAATACCGAAGCACAATGGCTACAGTCACAGCCTTTGGAGACAGTATATTCATAGCCACTTCCCGTAGAGTGACAGGGAAGACAGAAATGGCCGAGAAATGTGTGCACTGGCCTTATGAAATACGGGTCTGAATCTTCTGTAAAAACTCCATTGAAGTTTTCACCCCTTGTATTACTTATGGATCCACAAGGTAATTCCTCCTTACCCTAATTACTTCATCTGTACAATGGGGGTAATTATATGCATACATCATGAAGACATTTGTGAGGATTAAATGGGATAATGCATGCAAATGGGATAATGCAGCTATTGCTTAGTGCAATAGCTGGCGCATGATGAGCTCTCAAAGAATATTAGCTATTACTGATATGAAATAATTCATCATTATTATTCAGCATTATAAGCAGCTTGTGTCTTCTGAAGAACAGACACTACTCCATTTATCAGATGAGTACTAGATAATCCATCATGTTTCACTTATTGTCTTGGTTTGAACTCAAAGTCAAATTGAATGTTCAAATTCAGTAATTCTAATGCTACTAGATATTGAGCTCTTTGAGGGCAGGAGCCATGTTTTACTCAGCTCTGTATTTTTAGTGGCAATCCCAGGGCCAGGTTCACAGTGCTTATGAAATGTGTGAGATGACTTCCACCCCAAGTTCTTGATAGAACCATTGTTCATGTCTTCTTCTCCCTTGACTTTCTTCCACAAGGTTTCAGATCTTTTTGTAAACTTCAAATTACTTAATAGACAGATTTTATTCAGATCCTTTTCAGAAATAGGTGGGGAATAAATAATACTGATTCTGAAATATTTATTTACAATAACCCTACATATCTCACCTAAAATGGAGAGTGGTGCATGTCCAAAGTAGGATGACAATGTTACTGAGGATCCAGAGGGAAAGGAATGTGGAGGCCAGGGACAGGGACAAGAATGGCAGAGACCACAAAAGACCCAGAAACAAGCTTTCAGACATATTGGTCCATATTGGCATCATGTCAGCTGCTAATGACCCTTTCCAAGAGGTTGGCTTAAAACAGCATTTCCCCTTGGGCCTCTGTTGCTAGCATAGCCCAAGAGGGAAAACTCACTCTTCTTTTTTTTCCTATTCTTAATGTTTTTGGAAAGGGTAAGGGACAGGGAGTTGCCAGCAACAGAGCATCATGGTTAAGAATTTTTCTACTTTTCAATTGACTCAGCTTCAGTCTTAACTCTGTCACTTACTATCATGTGACCCTGGGTAAGTTTCTTAACCTCTCTGAATGTCATTTTCCTCCTCTGTAAAATGCCGATGACAATAATGATATGATCCTCACTAGGTTGTTGTGAAGATTAAATTAAAATTATGTGAAGTGTCTGGGACATAGTAAGAGTTCAATAAATGTGAGTTGCTATGATTATGTGTCCTGCAGTCATTAGCTACAGGCTCGAATAACTGAGCACCTCAGGATGATGGAAAGACCGGACTAGAAGCCATGGGTTCAAGCCTTGAAGAGTGGCTTGTGGGGTCAGGGATCAGAGATTAAAGGGCATACCTAGTTACTCATTTGTAACATGGTAAAAATGTAGTGTCTATCTATTTCCCACGAGTAAAAGTTTTAAGAATTTAATGAGCTAACGCATGTGAAAGTACTTTGCGAAATGCAATCATTCTGTGCAGATGTAAGTGGTATTCTCACTGGGCATTCCCAGAGAGAGGGAAACATTATGTTTAGCTCATAAATACTTGGGTTTTAATCCTTTGAAGGCTTTCCTGCTAGCACACCGTGGTACGGAGAAACAGCAGACAGTGCAGACTCGAGATGTTCTCTCTGCACCGAGCTGGGCTCTGCTCTCAAACCCCTCCATGTCCCACCCTGTTCAGGAGCTTTTAAGATGGCCTTGTCATTTTTAAAGGTTCTTTTCACCAAGCCATCAGTTTTAGGCATCATCTTGCAACTGTGACATGTCTAATCTTGCTCACTTGACGATGCTAGGGCCATGGCGAAGTGACTGAGGGCTTGGAGCTGCCTGTCATAGCTAATGGCTCAGCCCACACAAGACTTAGAGGCTGCTTGTGTCATCCTCTGTCCAGCTGGCAGACAGAGAGGTGTGAAGAGTTGTCATCCATCACCAAATAGAAAGCAATCTCTCCTGATGGAAATAAAACAATCAATACGTTTGGATTTCAATCACAGAGAATATGTTTTCTCAGAATAGGTCTTAATCAGTGTGTGCCCTGACAGATAGCATGTTGGTGTGAAGCATAAGCTGTGCAAGAACAAATGTCACTTGGAATACCAAAATAGATTTAATAGAAGAAACATACATCAGAATGTATCTTTGTTCCCTACCTCCTTACAGAATTTGTGAGACAATTCTTGTAACATGGTTACCTGACTCACTGGACTGCCAGCATTTCAACATTAGGAAAGAATGAATTTTCCAAAAAAAGGAGTGGTGCATTTCTATTTCTGGGAGACTCTCCCATATTTAGAGCTAAAAAGAACCTTAAGATCTTTCAACCTAGTTTGCTCCTTTTATAAAAGGAAATGAAGTCCCAAAAGGGCAACTGACATGCCCAAGGTCACACAGCCAGTCAGTGGCAGAGCCAGAGTATAAATCCAAGAAATACTAATCATTTTGGAATCAGAAAATATGCAGTAAAACAGCAACTAAAGGCATTTGAACAACCATTGACATTTTGGTAACACTAACAAAACAATGGTGGGTGGTCTGTACTTCTTATTCTAGACGATTCCTAAAATCCCTTCAGTATTGGCAGTCTGGGAGTTTATGATGTGACATTTGCATTACATCTCTTGGGGACCAAATCCCTGTTCTATGAGGTGTAAGTTGTGGTGACACCCATTGAATATAAACCTTCAAGCAGACAGTTGCAGAAAATTCAACCAGCCTCTTGTTTCATGTGTTCTGATGGGAAATGCCCCTCCTTATTTAATTGTCTGTTGAGTGCCCCTGCAAAAATCCACCTCCTTCCAGGCCAAGCTCAATCTTCCCTACTTACCAAGTTAATGAACACCCACTCACAGGAATGGGCTTTTTCTTTCTCCAAGAAACAAAGGTGTGATTTCAGGAAATGTCTTCCATCTGGTTACGATTTTTTAAAACAACAGTAATTGCTGGGGTGGTTTTGGGGGTGTTCTTCTCAATTCTACATTTTTGGACATTTTCTCCCAATCGTACTGCAGAACAAACAAGCCAGAGAAGATCCAACACTTCCCAGTTTTATTCTCTCACCTCCCACTTGCTCAGACCAGAAAGAGTAAAGAGATTCTGGTCTTGAGTATTTCATTTGAGGCTTCTCACTTCCAGAACTTCAGGTGAATATAGCAAGTGTGGTTTTAAGTACTACAGAGTGCTAAGCACTGGGTAAGACCTGGGCCACGGTGTATGAGTTGGGGTGCAGGATGGCTACAACTGCTCCCCTGTCCTTCAGCAGCTTGCAAGCCTGGAAGAGAGAGATGCAAAATTCTCACTAGAATTTGTTGCAGAACAAAATGCCTTCTATGGGAGGCACAAGTGGGAGAGATATAAAATGAACAATTATTCCAGTGAAGAGGAAGATCACAAACACCTCAAGGACAAGAGAACATTAGCACTAAGCTTTAAAGAATGCGTGTGGAGACACACGTGTGTTAATGCAAGGAGAATCTTCTGTTAACACTAATTACCATTTAATAACCAGAAAAACACATTGTAGACTTTGTGTGTGTGCATGTGTGTGTGTGTGTGTTTCAATAGATTTATTTCTATTTTTTATTTTTATTTTTTTGACACATGGTCTTGCACTGTCTCCCAGACTGGAGTGCAGTGGTATGAACATATCTTGCTGAAGCCTCAACCTCCTGGGCTCAAGTGATCCTCCCACCTCAGTCTCCCGAGTAGCTGGCACCACGGGCATGCACCACCATGCCCAGCTAATGTTTTTTGTAAAGACACGGTCTCATATTGTTGCCCAGGCTGGTCTTCAACTCCTGGGCTCAAGCAATCCTCCCGCCTTGGCCTCCCAAAGTGCTGGGATTAGAGGCATGAGCCACTGCACCCGGCCCTAGATTTTAAAATAATATTACTTAACATTTCTTGAGTGCCAACTGTAGGTTCAGCACAATACTAAGTGCTCCACATTTATTATCTCATGTAATCATCATAGCAACCTTACATGGACTAGTATGTATTATTCTCCTTTTTAAGTTTAGGAAACCAAGGCCCAAGGACTTCCAGCTAGTCAATGGCAGAGCCTGGATTTCAAGCCAGGCAGTCTGACTCAAAGCCAAGCAGTTTTCTAAAGGTGTGGGCTGCATATACCACTAGCCTTAGACTCACGTGGCAAAGCCTGTTAAAAGTGCAGATTCTGAGCCTCGGCCCAGACTCAGGAACCAGAATCCTGTTATATGGGGCACAGGAATTTGTATTTTCAACCAGACCCCAAGGTGAAACTAATTCAACTAATGTTTGAAAATCACTGTAGTACAGCATTCACTTGCATGGAGAAAGCTAGAATATTACTACAGGGATCCCAGAACAAATGAAGAGCAGTCAAAATTATTGGTAAATGAATCTTTCACCATTAATTTAACTAACTAAAATAACAAATTCATTTTATATTTTGAAATGATATGATTGATATCATATCTAAGAAAGGCAGGCCTAAAAGGCTGGCCATCTGGGATTTGAGGGGAACAAAAGAAGTGGTTAAATGGAGGGCAGAAACTATAGAAAGGAAGGTGAATCAGTATGCGAAGGCAATGGCTCTGGAGGACAATGTCACAAAGTGGAATCTTGGGGTCCTGACAGTCTAATCCTAGCCCTGCCACTAAACAGGCCAGTTGACCTAGAGCACTCAACTTTTCCAGGTATATTAGTCTGTACTCACACTGCTATAAAGACATACGTGAGACTGGGTAATTTATGAAGAAGAGAGGTTTAATTGATGCACAGTTCCACAGACTGCACAGGAAGCATGGGTGTGAGGCCTGTGGTGATGTGGTTGCATTTTCATACCACCAATTCTCACCTAATTTTAATATCATGAAATGCACTCAATTGTAAATCAATACCACATGTAATGAAGTCTTGCTTCCATACTCAGAAGATATCTTTATTAGGCACTTACCATGTTCCAGTGAATGGTTGAGGTACTTTTACATGGATTATCCTATTTCATTCTCTCAATAACCCTATGCAGCAAATAATTATTGTATTATCATTTTGCAGCTGAGAACAAGGGGCTCTGCGAGGTTGAGTAACTCAACTTGCCCAGTGTCACACAGCTGGCAAATGACAGAGCTTGGATTGGAACTCGATTATCTGACCTCAACGACCTGATTACAAAGGACTTCTATAGCAGTCCATGCAAGATCAGCCAGTTCTAGGTAGGCAAAAAAGGCCAAGGACAAAGAACATAGTCTCCCTCAAAGAGAGGTTCAATGGAACTAATGCTCCAGCAGACTTCAAGATGACTGAGACCTTCCATCCTCAAGGGGCAACGCCACCGCTGCTGTCAATCCTGCTACTCCTCTCCCTTTTCTCTTTTTGAGACAAGGTCTCGCTCTGTCACCCAGGCTGGAGTGCAGTGGCGTAATCACAGCTCACTGTAGCCTCGACTTCCAGTGCTCAAGCAATCCTCCCACCTCAGCATCCTGAGTAGCTGGGACTACAGGCGCACATCACCATGCCCAGTGATTTTTTAAATTTTTAGTAGTGAAGAGGTCTCGCTGTTTTGCCCAAGCTGGTCTTGAAGTGATCAAGTGATCACTGTCAAATGGGAATAGTAATAATTTCCAAGGTGTTTGCGAGGATCATCAGATACTAAGGATTTTACTTGTTTTTATTTTCCTTATATGATGTACACATTGTTTACATTGAAAAAAAATTATTTCTCCAAACTAGAATCTAAGTTCCATGGGTATGGTGGGTTTGATAAAGTAACCAAGTGATCCTCCCACCTCGGCCTCCCAAAATGCTGAGATTGCAGGCATGAGCCACCCTGCCAGGCCGCCACTCCTCTCAACTGCCCTTTATTGTGCCTCTATGCTCGGCATGGTGCTCCTATGCTTTGCATGCTTAATCTCATTTAATTTCTGCTCCCCTTTGAGGTGGGTAGTATGATGCTTGTTACTTTTTGAATGATGAACCTGAACCACAGAGAGGTTAAGTAACTTGCCCAAGATCATAATTCCTAAGCAGGAGGGCTGAGATTCAAAACAACACCTGGCTCAACACAAAGGCTTTCCTTTTAACCATGATGTTGTGGTGCTTCCACTTAACTTAGTAGACCTAGCCAGGGTCTCTCAGAGTTGATACATCTTTACGTTGAAGGTTTTGCTAATGACCCAAGGTATCTATATCTCCCATGGGCTCCATTAAGTCAAATCTCAGGGTGGCAGCACTTTGGGAGGCTGAGGCAGGCAGATCACTTGGGGTCAGGAGTTTGAGACCAGCCTGGCCAACATGGTGAAACCCCATCTCTACTAAAAATACAAAAATTAGCCAGGTGTGGTGGTGGACACCTTTAGTCCCAGCTACTCGGGGGCTAGGGTGGGAGAATCACTTGAACCCCAGAGGTGGAGGCTGCAGTGAGCCAAGATCATGCCATTGTACTCCAGCCTGGGTGACAGAGTGAGACTCTGTCTCAAAAAAAAAAAAAAAAAAAACTCAGGGTGAGTGGGATCTACCTAGTAAAAGAGATGCCAAATACTTTATCAGACCCATCATACCCATGGAACTTAAGATTCTAGTTTGGAGAAATAATTTTTTCAATGTAAAGAACGTGTACATCATATAAGGAAAATAAAAACCTGTAAAATCCTTAGTATCTGATGATCCTCACAAACACCTTGAGAAGTATTACTATTCCCATTTGACAGATGAGGAAAATGATCATTCACTTGTCCAGCAACTGAGCTATGCAAAATGCAGGACTCTGCACAAAAACTGAGAATTCTTCCACTGGAGTGTAGTGACTATTGGGAACAGGCTTGGCTTTTCAGCTTCCTTATCATGTTCAACCTCTCATCTCTCTTACTTTCAATAGGCTTACCCATTGGTGTGGTTTTTGGATTTTGTGGATCTTTACATTAGAACATACTGAGTTTTCTTTCTCAGAAGAAATGTCTGCCAACATAAATCCAAGCCATGGGCTTCTCCTAGTACTCCTTTTCACGTTTCATCAAAATTTTACTTTTCATCAAAATTCTGGGCATAAGCAACATTCAAATTTGCTTCTTTTATGTGGTGTGATTAAAAGTCCTGTGTAGTGCCTGTACGAATCATCCACCCTCCTGAAAGCTTCTCTGTAATAACATTTCCACCTTTGAATAATGTGCTGATCCATTGATTAAATCAGTTTCAAAGGTTGAATCAGTGAGGTAAAATTGGCAGGCAGGAAGGTAATGCCAGACACTAATTCCCTTTCCTCGGGGTGAGCTCTATAAATGTGTAGCAATAGAATAGCTTTGTAATCTTCAGGGAAGTCTACGGTGCTGAAATTAAACCCATCAGGCAAAGAATACCTTTTCCCAACCACAAATTATCCTGCATTTTATGAGCAACAGGTAAACAAGTAACTTTTGAAAGCAAGAAGACAATAATATTTTCCATTCTGCAAAGGTTTTATTTCAGAAGGGCCTGCAGCATTAGTACTTTAGAAGAACAGTTAATTTGTCCTCATTCTTTTGAAACCTGGAGGCACCCAATGCATGGGCTCCAGAAGGGAAGAAGTCAGCACACATCACCGAAATAGACCAGTTTCCACCACCTAACAGGAAAGCAGCTCAGGGGGAAAAGTGTGTTCATCAATTGCATTTCATAGACATCCTCTGCAGCTTTTCCAGCCACTAACTTTTTTTGCCAGACACTTAGAGCCCTTGAATGCTTGTTTAATTTCAGACTACAAAAGTCATTATTCAGCGATGGCACAAGAAACAAATATCACCCACTGCTAAAAAGCTTTGGGCTTGGTAGACAATTCCAGGCCAGCAATAGGCATGTTGTCACGGTTCTACCAAGAAAAAACACACTCCAGGTGCCTCAAATGAGGTAGGCGCAAAAGCGGAAGTGACCAACAGTTGTGTAGATCAGAACTTGCAATTGCTTTGAATGTCTGGTTTTAATAAGTCTTGGTGTCACAGGATGTGGAGAGCCAACACTGTCTTCTGCAGCAACCCATGCCGAGACTCACTTTCTCTGAGACAAGGGGCAAGCTACCCTTTTGTTACTCATTTATGTTTGGTACAACTCGCTTGTGATATGTTCTTCACCAAAAAGGTTGTCATTATCATCAGATCGTCATCTTAATTTGAGACTGTAGTAGCACTAAGTGTTTTGCATTTGTTACTTCATTGAATCATCACAAAACCCTTGGAAGATAGGAAACATCATTACCAAAGCAATGGTAGTTATCATCTCCTGAGTGCTGCTATAGTGTTATGTGCCACACACTCTCCTAAGAACATTATACACATTATCTCATTTCCTTCTTACAAGAACTCTGTTATTCACCCTGTTTTACACATGAGAAAACAGAAGATCAGAGACATCAGGTAACCTCTCCAAAGTCACTGCTATAATGGGTAGAAGAATCAGAATTGGAACCCAGGTCATTCAAATTCCAGCTCGCACACACTTTTCCCTGCTACTGGATTTTAACATTCTGGGAGGCCAAGAACTGTGTTTAGTTCATCCATGCATCACTCATAGCACCTAACTCAAGCTCTGACACATAACAGAGAATTAATAAAATTTGGATTGCCTCTCTGAGGTTATGCCAACACCATTCATCCAGTTCACTCTTAGCCCTGTAAAGATAATTTATAAACGTATGTAAATAAACAACCTGCACCACTGCTTATTCTTGCCCCCAAATCCCAGTACTATTATATTGAGAGAGCTCTCCCTGGTGTTTTTCAATTCTCTTAAACAAACTGGCTTCCCCTCTGGTGGTAGTGGTCATTCTGTCTCTCCTTGGAGGCAAAGGGATGTATTGGGTAAGTCTTTCAGTTCCTTGGGTCTGCCATTTTGGAACTTCCTTCAACTTCATTTGAGAAATATTCACCTACTGCGGTAAATGCTTAAATTAGTAGGGCTCTTCTGGTGGGCAGTGTGGCTAATACAACACAAGCCATAAAAATGTGTATACCCTTACAAATGATGTTCAAAATGGAATTAATTAATTATAATTATCAAAAATAGCAGAATAAAAAGAAAATATCTTAAATGATCAATAAGGAAATAGTAAATTCTAGTAGATGCTGAAAGTGAAGTCTTATGCAGCCATTAAACTTTTTATTTTCAGATAATATTTAATGACCTGGTAAATGGTCATAATACGATGTATGGTGAGTAAGATGGTCCCAGACACTAAAGTCTAGGAGAGGAGGCATGGACTATGCCAACAATTATAAACCTAATTATTATAAAGAAAATTAGGATCACAATTTGTATCTTACCACAATGCAAGGCACATAGTAGGTGCTCAGTAAATATGCAACGAGTGAAAGAAAGAATGAATGCAAGCAAACAAACAGTGTAAGAAACTAAAGCAAAATGATACACTTTGGGTTGTGACACTGCAGGTGATCTTTATTTTCTTTTTAGTATTTTATGGATGTTTAACTTTGTTTTCTAATGAACAATGTATTACTCTCAATATCTGAAAAATATCTTACTGAATGGATACTACCTACAAAAGAAGAAGAGGAGCCAAATCTGTTCATGTAAAGAGAAAAATGTGAGTGAGAAAAGCAAGAACTATCTGGAGAACCTGGAGGTATTTTTCAGATGAGATGTTATTTTTTTCCCACAGCATGACAAGAAGCAGCTGTTGAAACCCCCCTTTGTGTTCGGCATATAACTTTAGAAATGAAGACAACTTTTAATTCTTCAATTAGGCTCAAAAGAAGGAAATGGGGAAGCACATCACAAAAATGGGCTTCTTGTCCTTTGAGTTCAAATTCAAAGTATAAGTTGGTTGCTTGAGCTTGGGCCCCAGGAATCCCTGCTCGCATGGGAAGCCTTAGGAATAGAAAACAGGCAAAGCCTTGGGAAAAATACTGTCACATCAAATCATCTTTGAAGTAACTTTCATAATGAGACTTGAAGATACTGTATTTGCCTAAAAATAAAGTTTGGAGTGAGTTCAAAATTTGTAATTTATGAGAGCCTTTGGCATATATTGGATGACTTCATTTTGATCTCCTCTTTGATGTGATGTATCAATCAATTTTCTTTTCTCCTACCATTGTTCTTGGATGTGTACAACAGAGCCCTTTATTTTCAGAAAAGCAATTAGCATGAAATGTTACTTATGGTGTCTTAAACTATGTGTTCTATAAATGGTAAATTGTTGTAATTACCAGAAGATGAAAGTCATATATTGGATACATTCTTATAATTATTATAAAGAAATGGCCTGGTCATGGACTGAAATCAAATTACAGATGCATAAAATTCAATTTCACTTTTCTCGAGATCTGTGTAAAAGTTGAACACACACAAAATGTGGTTTCAAATGTAACATGCTGGCACAGAAGCAGTTTCTGCACAGATGCTGTGAAATGACACATTTCTAGAATTTTCCATGCCGTCTCAAGGCCCAGTTGTGTTTTCTTGTGACCACCACACTCTAAATTTAAAAAGTGCTAACATCTGGTTTAGCAGATCCCCAATCCCTCTTTTTCATTTGCTTTATGAGGAAATAAAACAACAACACATCAAACTAAAGATGCAAGAAGGGAAATATTGTGCTGGCAAGGCCATTTCTGAGGCAAAGTATAAGACTTTCACACTTGTTAATATATATATAATTAATATATGTATATATTGCATACAATATAAATAATTGTATGCAATATAATTATATTGTACACAATAAAAATAATTGTATTCTATATAATGATATTGTACACAATATAAATAATTGTATTCTATATAATGATATTGTACACAATATAATTGTATGCAATATAATTATATTGTATACAATATAATTAACTGTAATGATTAATATACAATATATAAAAATATAGAACTACATTATTAATATAATATATACTTAATATAATATATAATATATATATTATTTTATATATGATATAATATAAAATATAATATATATTATATTATATATTCTATAATATAAAATATAACATATAATATAGTCTATAATATAAAATATAACATATATTATATATTATGTAATATAAAATATAATATATTTTATATAATCCAATTATATTAATATATAATTTAGATTATATATTAATATATAATATATTAATGTAATCTTTTATATTTATATATTTATGTAAAGATATAAAAATAATAGATTATATATATGTTTATATATTATAATGTATTAACATAAACTTTCATATTTATAGATTTACAATCTATAAATAGATTATAAATATATAATATTAAAGATATTAATATATTAATCATGTGAATATATTGATTATATATACTATATAATATATATTAATGCATATTATAAATATGTAATATATAATAAATATGTATTATATATTTATAATATAATATATACATATAATATATTTATAATCCAAAAGTCAACATTAACTCATTAACATTATAGGATGGTTATATAAAAAAGACCAGGAATAACCAGTGTTGACAAAGATGTGGAGAAATTGGAACCCTCATGCACTACTGGTAGAAGTGCAAAATGTTGCAGCCATTTTGCAATACAGTCTGACAGTCCCTCAAAAAGTTAAATTTGAAATCATCATATGACCCAGCAATTCCACTCCTAGGTATATATCCAAGAGAACTGAAATCACCTGTCCACCCAAAAACCTCTATATGAATGCTCATAGCAGCTCCATTCATAATAGCTGAGAAATGGAAATAACCCAAATGTCCATCAATGGATAAATAGATAAATAAAATGTGATTAACTCATACAAGGGAATGTTATTGGTCACAAAAAAGAAGTGAAGCTCTGATAGTGCTAGAGCAGGGATGCACCTTGAAAACATTTAGCTAAATGAAAAAAGCCAGACACAAAAGATCACATAGTGTGTGATTCTGTTTACATGAAATGTTCAATATAGGTAAATCCATAGAGATAGTAAGCAGATTTGTGACCACCAAAAGCTGGAGGGAAAAGGAAATGTGGAGTGCCTGCTGACAATTATGGGATTTCCTATGGAGGTGTGAAAACTGCTCCAGAATTAGTAGTGATGGTGGCACAACTCTGAATAAACTAAAAACCACCCAACTGTATGCCTTAAAAGGGTGAATTGTGTATCTTAGGAATTGTACTTCAATAAAGCTGCTATTTTAAAAACTCAATATGAAATGGATGAACTGAAAATAAAGATGATTATTCAAATAATGTCTGTGTCAAAAATGGAAAGTTTATGAATTCCACAGCATATGATTTAAAGGGGGAAATGTAGAACATCTACTGTGTTCCAGACACTGTTTTAAGGGCTGGGAATAAAGAATGGACATAACAAAGTCCCTGCCCTCATAAATTTCACATTCCGAGGACTCAGCTTTACACAATCTGGCAGATGGGTGTGACTTTAGGTTTGGAGGAACTCCCAGAAGAAGGTTTAGGGGGTTGAGAGAAAAGCTCCTGAACCTCCTTGTTCATTTATAAAACAGTGCTATTTGCTGTTTTCTGCTCTCCACCCCAAACATTTATTTTTAGGACGAAGTGCAAATAGTCTTGCTTCTTGAAAAATTGCTCCTACAGACCGTGTCTCAAAACTGCTATGAAGCTAAATCCCAGCTTCTCATGCAGAGAGACCTTATCTATCTGGGGAAAGCCAGAGTGAGTCATGAAAGGCATGGACGACTGAAGTTGAGGTTGGTTTAAGCACCTTCAGGGAACAGATCAGCATGACCTATATTTACAGATTTACAGGAATCATCACAATTCATTTTATGTAAACTTGGGTTGTTGAACACTTTAGGACTGCTCCAGTTTTAAAGGAGTTTCCCCTTCAAAGTAGCTTTTTTTTCTTTTTTGATCTGGAGTCTCGCTCTGTCGCCCAGGCTGGAGTGCAGTCCCGTGGTCCTGGCTCACTGCAACCTCTGCCTTCTGAGTTCAAGTGATTCTCCTGCCTCAGCCTCCAGAGTAGTGGGGATTACAGGTGTGCACAACCACACCCAGCTAATTTGGGTAGTTTTAGTAGAGATGGGGTTTCACCATGTTGGCCAGGCTGGTCTCGAGCTTCTGACCTCAAGAGATCTTCCCACCTCGGCCTCCAAAATTGCTGGGATTACAAGCGTGAGCCACTGTGCCCGGCCCAAAGTACCGTTTTCTTCATGATCCATCTCTGCTCCATGGACTGCAGTGGTTACCACTGCTGACGACACTAAGTAGCCTGTTTTCCAAAACACTCTCATCACAGCCAGGGGCATCCTGTCCATCAGCCTTACTTCCACTCTTTCCCTAAATATACAGCTTCTCTGCTTCCCTCCACCAGCTGAGCAGAGCACCTAGCTTTTCCCTATAGACACCACGCTAGTTCTGTTCTCATGTTACTCAAAATGCCCATACCTTTCTCTCTACATTACTTTTCAAAACCAAGTATAAATTCAACCTCCTCCAGGAAACTTTCTACAGTTCTCCAGACCATAGTGACCTTAGGTGTGCCACACACAGCTACTCAATTACCTCAGCTCAGTCGTGAGCTCCTTGAGGTCAGCGATCATATGGTTTGCCGCTCTTCCTCCAGTTCCTCTCACACAATAAGAGGCATGTAGAAGCTTCAGGGCTAGTACTGATTCTGCGAGCTTATCCTACCTCAGATATGTGAAAGGGTACATTGAGTATTTCCTTTTCTAAGTGAAATTACTAAAAAGATTTCTTTATGAGACATAATGCAAGAAAACGGGGGTGTTGTTTCTGCTTCTTTCCTATATAAACTGAGCTTGAATAATACTGAGCCTTCCACTGACTCACCATCTGCCAAGGCCACATCATTGTATTACCAAATGGCAAGCCGATTGAGCTCAGATTCACTGAACAGAACTATGGGACTTTTAAAACTGTTCTCATGCCATTTTCTACCTTAATTTTTAGATTTTAATAATTTTCAGATTAGTTGTGCTAGAGATCTTCTCTATCACCTTTCCGCTACTAAACCAAGTGAATTTTCCTCTTGCAGCTAACTCGTGCTTCAATGATATCAGCCACAGTACAAGGCTCATGTTTTGCAGCCATTTTTGTTTGTCTTAGGTCCTGAAAAAAAGAAGTCCTGAGATCATGTTGTTGCCCTAAACATTCAAATACTCAAATTTAGATGCTGATTATGTGGAGTTCTTCATGGACATTCTACATGCCATGTAGTTGTTAAACTCATCAATGTAAATACTATGAAGTTTGACAAAATGAAAAAAAAGTTTTTTCCAGGTGCTTGCAACAATTGTATGATCATGGGGTGGATGGCGAATAAGATAATACATTGCCATATTATTGGAGGAGAGAAAGTGCCGGCAAAATTGATTGAGAACATTTTGAAAGAAATATGAAAGTGGCACAACATAATTGAAAAGAGAATTGTCGCAAGACACAGTTGCAAAGAGAGCTGTCTGAAGAATATGGATTTTAGTCCCAGGAGCTAATCTAAAAGACCTAATGAAGTATATTAATGTGAAGAACAAGACAATTACTTTCAAAGACAAATCTGTGGCATCTACATCTTCTGATCTCCAAATCACAGGCAAAAAGAAGAAAGAAAAACAAATCTGCAGAATCTACCCTATGACATGAGCGATGTGATGTCTAGTGCACACAAAGCTTAGGAGATGCTATTGCTGCATTAGGAATCTGTGTTCACTATTTCAACTTGTTTTCCCCTCTCTCTTTGTAAAAGCATGGATAAGGGGAGTTACAGCCCTTCCCCCATCCATCCTCACTCCAAACCATCCTACACACTACTGGCAGAGTCACTATCCAAACCCCCCCTGCATCCTGCCGCTCTTTTAAACTGACATTGTGGCAACCAGCCTACCTTATTCGCCTCATTGTCCACTATCTGCATTCCTCTCCATTCACTCAAGCCAGTCAGTTAGTCACTAGGCCATCCCACAAACCCACCAAATTGCAGCACCGCAGTCTTAGAACCATAGCACATGCAATTTTCTATACCTGCAATAATCTTGCCACTTATCAAAATCCCACTCAGTTTTTTAAAGGTCCAGTTTAAGTCTCTGATTACTCCAGCTCATTCACGCCAGTGAATTCCACTCCCTATTACTTCCTCATTTGACTGTCTCATACTAATTTGCATGACAGATCACTTTTTACACCAGTGGTTTGCAGTAGGAGGCGATTTTGCATCACAGAGGAAATGGAAGGCCGTGGAAATGTCTAGACATTTCTCATTGTTACAACTAGGAAGGGGGTACAACTGGCATCTAGTAGGCCAGGGCCAGGCCAGGGATGCTGCTAAACTTCCTACAATGCACAGGGCAACCCCCTACAACAAAGAATTATCTAGCTCAGAATGTCAATAGAACCAGTGTTGAGAAGGGTTGTCTCTTCAACAGGATTGGAAGCTGTCTGAGCAGGAACATTGGCATTCCCTGTGTCTAGCACGGTGCTGAGTACCTACAATAGCATCCCTCGATAAATGTGTGTTGATTATATGTCACCAACTATCTGGTTGAGTAAAAAGAAAAAAAATAAGTTAAAATGATGCATTTGGCTTTCTTCTACTTTTAATGAAGTTTAAATATCACTTTTATTTTATTTTATTTATTTATTTTTTGAGACAGAGTCTCACTCTGTTGCCCAGGCTGGAGTGCAGTGGCACGATCTTGGCTCACTGCAACCTCTGCCTCTAGGATTCAGGCGATTCTCCTGCCTCAGCCTCCCGAGTAGCTGAGATTACAGGCATGCCACCACCACACCCGGCTAATTTTTTTTTTTTTTTTTTTTGGATTTTCAGTAGAGACGAGGTTTCACCATGTTGGCCAGGCTGGTCTCAAACTTCTGACCTCAGGTGATCCACCCACCTAGGCCTCCCAAAGTGCTGGGATTACAGGCCTGAGCCACCACACCCGGCCTAAATATCACTTTTAAAGAATGGCATTTTAGACTAATGCTCCATGTCCTTTCTTCTTAAGATCTTTATGAGATGGATAGCCCTTACTAAGGAAATGGGGACAGCGAGTAGTTGAGGGGCTTGTCTGAAGTTGTCGATTATGATGGAACTTGAGAGAACAGTTCTCAGTCTTTCATGTTCCACGTAGTTGTGTCTGAACAGAATATAGACAATTAATTCACTCATTCAGCAGACTTTGAATGAATTCCGATTATGCAGCAGACACCGGGCTATGCTCACTTCTCCAGTTTTGGTATGATGCATTTATTGCTGCAGGCCAGAAGTCATGTCACTGTCATGGCATACATTTTCCCATGAAAATAATGCTGCAATCTTGACCAGAGATTAGGCTCCAAGTATATCACAGATACGACTATGCATGTAACATAAAGGCAATCACAACCAAATTATAGTGTAGCTTCTATAATAAATTAAAATAGACAATTGTTCTATAAGTTCTTTAAATAAACAATGGCCTCTGGATACAATGATGTATGTATTCAACATGCAGAATACAACTCTATTAAATATAAATTCAACTCAATAAAGTAGTTAAAATGTATATCAGATGCTGGATTGAGCAAAAAACGTTGTTTTGTTTTGTTTTGTTTTGTTTTTTTGTTTTTTGTTTTTGAGATGGAGTCTCACTCTGTTGCACAGGCTGGAGTGCAGTGGCATAATCTTGGCTCACTGCAACTTCCGCCTCCCAGGTTCAAGTGATTCTCCTGTCTCAGCCTCCTGAGTAGCTGGGATTACAGGTGCGTGCCACCACACCCAGCTAATTTTTTTTTTTGTATTTTTAGTAGAGATGGGGTTTCACCATGTTGGTCAGACTGGTCTCAAACTCCTGAGCTCGTGATCTGCCCGCCTCAGCCTCCCAAAGTGCTAGGATTACAGGCCCGGCCAAAATGTTTTTACCTTCTACTAATTAGAGAGGACTTGGGAGGTAGTATGTGAAGCTGAATTTAAAGCCCTAAATCTTTTCTAAAAGTTGCCTTAAAGGAGTTGGAATTGGCCTTTTCTTTTTCTCCAAGGCCTTCTTGACACTTGGCTGCCAGCTATCAGAACATTTCACACTTCCTGAAAAGCTATAAAAACATTTAGCTGATCATCAGCACTATGTTTCTTTTTTCAAAAGGTGCTTCAAAACATTTTTCCAAAAAAATGTAAAAACAAGAATAAACAGTATCCTGGAATGGAGGAAGAAAACAGAGAGAATTGCTGTGTGGGTGTTTAATTAGGCAGCAACCACCTGCCTGAGCAGCACAGGGAAAAGCAAAGGGGTGCACAAACTGCCAGCAGGGAATGGAGGACTGGATCAAGTCACAAGGAAAAACTGGTGGCAACTCAGGCTGGAATACATGCTATGTGTGCTTGGGTAATGGCTGTGATTTAGCAGCAGTTCAATCCACTCTGAAAACAAGACTCCATCTTTTAAAACATGCTTCATACCTCATTGATGATATTTTACATCCTTTCCCCAGACCCATGAGGACCATCTAGTAAGTGAAGCTGCTCTGAAGTAGATTAAATGTGCAAGCTGCATCCTAGCAGTTAAGCCCCATCTAATCTAAGAATTAGTGAAAATTCATAATTTGCACTGGATGCAAATATCACATTACTATCATTTCAAGTAAAATGCCTGAAAGAGTACAGCAGAACTGTCAGATGCTGATATCTTACAGGGTAGTCTGAAATTGGATCAAAACCTCTATAGTTTTTTTTTTAGCTCATTAAGACATGAGCTGCAAAATAAACTTAAGAGAAAAGAATGCAAAGCTTCTCTAAATTAATGGAGGCAGAGGCAATATTTGCAGAGGTTAATTTGAAGAAGATTCATTTGGGACTGTTTCAGCAAGCCCTATGATCCTCCACATTGGCCCCATCTCCCCTGCCACGTCCAGAACACATAATAATGATGAAAAATCAGCATTTCTTGAACCTTTACCATGTGCCTGGTCTGTGCTAAGTAGTTCACAGGAATAAATTCCCCTGTTCCTCCCAATAACCCTATAAGGTTGGTACCCTTACTATTGCCAGTTTACAGATAAGGAAACTGAGACTCAGAGAGATAGTGGATAGCCCAAACCCACACAGCTAGCAAGTGGCACAGTCGTAATTCTAACCCAGTAGGTCTGCCGCCTGAGTCCCTAGCTCCAGCTCCACCCACTGTCAGTCACCCACCTTCACTCACATCCCTTCTCCAGATGGTCCTCCACATCTGTGAGCTGCATTTCTCACAGGAGTGGATGAAGCTGCCCTTACGGGGGAGGCATCAGAAACCACCGTGCACATGCAAGATCAGCTACATGGAATACATGTTGAGCCCATCTCTGATTTGCACAGGAGCCAAGCTTCACTGACTTTGTTCAGTCTCCATATGGCCAGCCCTTTACACATCAAGAGTTCTGGTACCTGGCTGCCATCTCCCTCCCTGTGTTTAAGATAAATTTTTCCTCCTTTGCCTCCCAAAGGATTGTGACCTTTTCATCATCCAAATAATTTTTAGACCTACCCTCTCCTTCAGTATAAAACTGCCCTCATGCCTCCCTTCATCCTGGCTGAAAACAACGTCTCTGATGTGAGCGCATAATAGCTACCATTTATAGAGCACTTACCAAGTGTCAGGCACTATGCCAGGCACTTTGCATGCATCCTATCATTGAACCCTCATAACTATTCCATGAGATAGACACTAGTATTGTTCCTATTTTACAGATGACGACATTGAGTCTCAGTTAGATCAATTGATTTGCCCAAGGTAACCCATCAGGGCAGTGCCACAGGCTGGATTAGGGCCTGAAGCTATGGCTCGTTGACAGGTCATTTTACTTGCCCAGCCTCAGTGCGCTCACTCATCTGTTACATGATGAAAATAAGAGTTTCCACCTAATGGAGTTGTTGTGAGAATGACATGAGATAATGCAGGCAAAGACTTAGCACAGTGCCTGAACAGAGTAAGCCCTTGACAATGAATATTCCCCTTACTGACGAGCAGGATTCATGAGGTGGGCTGCTACTCCGAGCCCCCAGCCTCAAGATGACTGGAAAACTGAATACAGATCCAGGCTAACTAGCTGAAGCTGAGCCTTGAGCCTGTCTTAGGAGCAGGGGATAAGGTGCCTTTGGGTTTTGTTTCTGTGCCAAGATGTTATTATCCACCATATACCTACAATCAAGCCAATCTACACACCATCTAGGTGAGACAGCATACTGTGGCACATGCTATTGTGGACTGTAGCTGAACACATTAGCAAACACTCTGGATTGACATGTCCTCCACCCATACCTAACTGTAAGGTTTCTCACATACACTGTCTTACCAAAAACTAGAAAGGATAAGACTGTTTTCTGTTGGGTCAGTGATGAGTCCAAACTTCTGACAGGAGATAAAGGTAGTCATAACATGAAAAGATATAAGACAATAACCCAATTGGTTTGAAAGGTTAAAAGGCTAGGTAGACATAGAATAACTTCGTATGTCCTAAGTGTAATATTCAAGGTATAAAGGAAGATTCTAAGTAAAAAGAAGGGGTGTCTACTTCTCCCTTGCAGAAAATAAGAGAAAGCTTCATAGAGGGGAAGACAGTTGAGCTGGGTCTTCAATGATGAGTTGAAGGCAGGCCGAGATGGTGAGGGGAGGGGAATAGCTTTTCAAGCAAAAAACAAAAACAAAACCACAACACAGAGGTATGTGAGGAAGATGAGTATTCTCAAGAATGGTGAGAGTAGTGAGAATTTAAGGGGGAGAGGTGGCTAGACAAGTGTATTAGTCCGTTTTTATACTGCTATAAAGAACTGCCCGAGACTGGGCAATTTATAAAGAAAGAGGTTTAACTGACTCACAGTTCCACATGGCTGGGGAGGCCTCAGGGAACCTATAATTGAGGTGGAAGGTGAACGGGAAGCAAGGCACGTCTTACATGGTGGCAGGAGACAGAGCACAGGCAGGGGAAACTGCTACTTATAAAACCATCCGATCTCATGAGAACTCACTCACTATCACAAGAATAGCATGGTGGGAATTGCCCCCATGATTCAATCACCTCCACCTGGTCTCTCCCTTGAAACATGGGGATTATGGGGATTACAATTCAAGATGTGATTTGGGTGGGGACACAAAGCCTAACCATATCAACAGGTGAACAGAGGTCAGATGAACAAGAGCCTTGTATGGCAGGCCAAGGATCACAGCATTCATCCTGTGGTTTCAAATGTGTTCTGCAGAAGGTTGTGAGCAGGACTCATGCTTAAAAATATGAGTGTTTGGGAGGAGGGGTGATTCCATGATGAAATCCATTTGGGATGCTGAAGTATGTAAATGTAAGCCTGTTTTTAACTTAAGGGATTCTCAGGACATTTAATATGCTATCTGAATCTCCAAAAGGAAACAAAAAGTATAGTACACAGAAAGTTTCCAAAGCTACTTGACCACAGTGGTCCTATTTTTCACAGAGTATCCTGGAAAAATAGGTTGCAAATGTACTTTGGAAAATAGAGGTTCTGAGAGCCATGGAACAGTTTAATTAGCACCTCAAAAGATCTCTGTCAGCGGCATGGAAAACAGACTCATGCAGTGAAGCAGATTCAGAGAGACTTTTTAGAAGGCTCTTGAAAAGAATCCTCACTTAAAGAAGGAGTCTTGGGCGTAGAGAAGAGAGAGATCGTCTTTAAGAAATAATCACAAAACAGAATGGAGAGAACTTGATGGACTGATTTAGATGAGTGGGTGAGGGAAAAGATACACCCAAGTTGCTGGCTTCATAGATCCTGCAAAGGGGGTTGAATGGGGTGGTGGTTAGGAGAAATGCTGGATTCCTTTTGGGAGTGTGTGGAGCCTCTGTAGGATATCCCAGATGAATAAGTCTAGTAGGCAGTAGATGGATAAGCCTGAAGCTTAGGAGAGAGGTCAGGACTGCAGAGGTAGATTTGAGATTGATCAGCATAGAGCTGGTACACCTATGAAAATGAATGAGATAGTCCAATTCAAGAGAGAGAGAGAGACCATTCATGCTAAATACTATGAAGGCAGGTTAGATAAGGACTGATTAGGGTTGGGTTTGATGGTTTGGTCATCAAATGACCTACAGGAGTACTGCTTCATTGGAGATGCTGGGATAGAAGCCAGATTCAGGAACCAAAGAAGAATGAAAGGTGAAACTATGGAGAAAGCAAATCTAGGCAACATTTAGGAGAAGAAAAGTAACAATATGTATATCCTTTTAAAAAGACATAGGGGAAGAGGGTCATGAGAGGTGAAGTAAAAGAAGCATAACTTCAATTATATGTCAGGTTAACCCAGGTTCTTACACAGTTTGTGTAACCTTGAGTAAATCATGTCAGTGACCTGGGCCTCAGTTTCTAAATCCATAAAATTGGGATAGTAATCATAGGCACTTCAGGGCATACTTTGAAAATCAAATCATTTGCTAGGGTAACATATGGGTGAATGAATACCCTGGTGCCTGGTGCTTGGCACACAGTGGGTATTCCACAAGTGTTCAATCTCATTTCCTAAATCACAGAGACAATGAAATAATGCTGGTGCTGTTTTGCAGACTCAAAATCTTGACACAGATTTGTGTGATAGATGGAGAGGGTGTCTGTAAATCTCTCTCAGATTTGTCTCTTTGTCAGGAACCTGAAACCTGCCCAGGCACGTGCAGTCTCTCCTCTTCCAAGCCCCAGTCCTTGTTTGTTTAAGTCATTCGCCACCATCTGAAGCAGCTGGAACTTTCCCCTTCATCTCTACCCACCCACACACACCCAAAGTAGGCCCTGGGGTCCCTGGCAGGGCAAATTTCCTCAACAATAGCTTTCTTTCACCCAAATGCACACAGGGTCCTCCTGAGGGAATTCCCAGGGAGACCCCAAGCCTGGGAATTTCAGTCTGGAATTGCTGCACTCTAGGAACCCCTCCCTCAGGTCCCAATAACTCCGCCTCAGGAAGCCCTCTCCAGCAAGGCCAGCCCAGGAGCACTGAGGTTTGTATTGGGAAAGTTCCTGGGAATGAAGCCTTAAATGGAAGATGAGGCCTTATTTGCTTGGGGCCTCCTAAAAGTCTCCTCTCCATAGACTTTTGCACACTGGGAGAGTCATAAAGTAATGAAGGCAAGCAATTCTTTTGAATGCAGAAGGCAAGGGTTGCCAAAAATATTCGCCTGGAAAGCTAGCAATATTAGCTGGAATCAGGCAGGAGAGGGAGGCAATCCAAACCATCAAAGCAAGGTGCCGAAGGAATTTGGCACAGGCATTCGGAGTATTGAGGCCAACGTATACACTTCTCACTCTTGTCACCATGAAGAATGTGACTCTCCCTCTAAGTTGCAAGCGGATGGATGAGCAGAGCAGAAAAATATCCCCAAATTCAACAAGACACTCTAAGTTAGGGGTTCTCCACCTCGGTTGCACATGAGTCATCTGACAAGCCTTTAAAATTACAAACGCCCCGATTCTTACTTAAGACTGAATGAATTAGAATCTTAGGATATGGGAACTGAGCCTCAATGTCTCTTTTTGCTTGTTTGTTTGTTTGTTTGTTTGTTGAGGCAGTCTCGCTCCGTCACCCAGGCTGGAGAGCAGTGGTGCACTCTCGGCTCACCACAACCGGCGCCTCCCAGGTTCAAGTGATTCTCCTGCCTCAGCCTCCCAAGTAGCTGGGATTACAGGCACACGCCACCACGCCTGGCTAGTTTTTGTATTTTTAGTAGAGACAGGGTTTTGCTATGTTAGCTAGGCTGGTCTCAAACTCCTGGCCTCAAGTGATCTGCCCGCCTTGGCCTCCAAACGTGCTGGGATCACAGGTGTGAGCCTCAGTGTTTCTGAAAAGCTCCCTGGGTGACTGAAATCGCAGCCAGGGTTGAGAATACTTCCAGAACATGTAAAATGCTCAAGCATAATGCCTAACACACAATGGTTGTGAGCTAAACAAGAGCCCCCTCTTCTGCTTTCTCAGCAGACACCAACCACACCATTGAAAGAAACTTCATTTGGTCGGGCTGGCACCACATCAAAAAACAATCCCACAGATTGTCAAATGAGGTCCTAAAGAAATGACCAGATGGTATTTGAAATCTTTACACATTAGGCTCGACCACTTCCAGGTGCCAGACGTGTCCCTTGGGAAAGCTCTCTAGAATCTGTCCTTTTCTGTCCCACTCTACCTCGTCCTTGGTTCGGTTCAGAAAAGTGGATATCCTTGTCCAGAGATATGGACCCCTGAGTCACTTCAGATTGCAGGCCCCAGTTGTAATAGTGACTGAAACACAACAGTGACTGAAACAATTTGTTGAAACACATTGACAGCTAACAATGTATTAAAAGGCTCCTTAGCCTTTCAATATTTGATATAAACCTTCTCACTCAGTTACACTTTTCAATTTAAAAGCTACATTTGAGTCTTCTCAACTTAATTGAGGCAAAAGAAAACAATTAAACGTTTTATCAAAGTCAAGTCTTACTGGTAGCTTTCAACATACCCCCAGAGAGACCTTGCATGGCAACTCTATCACACAAGACTTCAGGCTGATGCTGAGGCTCAAGTGTGGCCTTGGAAGTGTTCAGAAGACAGAAACGGGGAGAACCAAAGCATAAAATTGCTTTGAAATGATGAAACAAAGATGCATTTTCTTCCCAATCAAATCATCCCTGGAAATCCTGACAACAGGTTTACTCAACGACCTTGAAATCTAATCTCTAGCATTGCTGGTCATACTTTGGTCCCCTGTTCAGCACATCACCCTATAATGCAGCCCATTTGACTATAAATCACTCCCAAAGGGACACACTAACATCATTGGACACTTGGAGGATGGCTTCTAACACGATCGCTGAATTGAATTGAAGCGCAAAAATACCTTCTGCCAGCTCCAAAACACTCACTGTTCAAATGGCAATGCCATGATGGAAGTTAAAATTGGGGGCAGACCAGCCCCAAAACTAGGCTGAGTTCATGTGCTCTCAGAGGTAGAACCATTCCAAAAACGTGGGGACAGGGAGACTGAAAAGTTCATTCTCATCCTTGCAATTACTATGGGATTATGTTATTTACAACCAACTGAGGGAGCACCGTCGAGTTCTGGTTACCATAGTAGAAAGGGCACTGCACTGGGAGACAGCCGAGTCCATTCTTGGATCTGCTGCTATCCAGCTGTATGATTTTTGAGAGATACAGACAAGTGATTATACCCAAGGTCTACAGCACCACTAATGAGCTGTGTGACCCCATAGGCAAGTCACTTAACTTCTCTGTGTCTCAGTTCCCTCATCTGTAAATGGGAATCATAATAGTTTCTACTTCACTGGGTTGTTCTGAGGGTTAAATGGGGTAATACACAGTAAACACTTAGAACAGTGGCTGCCACGTGTGCATTACTTTGTAAATTTTAGTTATCAGTACTTTGTAGCTATAAAATGAAAATTGGACTCAATGACCCCAAGCCCCCTTTGAGCTGGATGACTATGTTCAATTTATGTGACATCTAGAGCCTCTGCCAGATGTGGAAGTTGAAGCACCAGCTTATGGTAGGAATGCCAGGGCCAGCCTGCTTGCTTTTACAGTAAAATCTTGAAGATGTGGCATAATTGGGGAATGAATCATTCTGGTTAACCAAGTCTTCCAAACTACAAAGGTTCAGCACTTTACATTTTCTCAGGAGTCACTCAGCTGTCCCTCCTACCACCACCTTGAGCTTTGTCATTACTTTTAGTGGTGAAACTGGCAATTACCTTTGCACCATCCTAATAGTTCTCCTCTCTGCGGTTTTGCCATCCTCAAAGCTGCATCTTTAATCCTTGTCATTATCTTCTTTCTCTTTGCTTCCTGTCTTTGTTTCTATTACTTTTTTTTTTTTGACAGAGTTTCGCTCTTGTTACCTAGGCTGGATGGAGTGCCAAGGCCCTGTCTCAGCTCACTGCAACCTCCGGCTCCCGGTTTCAAGTGACTCTCCTACCTCAGCCTCCCAAGTAGCTGGGATTACAGGCGCCTGCCACCATGCCCAGCTAATTTTTGTATTTTCAGTAGAGACGAGGTTTCACCATGTTGGTCAGGCTGGTCTCGAACTCCTGACCTCAGGCAATCCACTCGCCTTAGCCTCCCAAAGTGCTGGGATTACAGACGTGAGCCACCCCTCCCGGCCTATTTCTATCACTTTGTTGATCCCTTTGTTCTTCCTTCTTGGATCCACATATTGTCTCTACCTGGACCCTCTCTCCAGCCTAACCCCTCTTAGCTCCTAATCATTTTCACGTCTCAAATTAAACATAAATCCCAAGCTGGGTCAAAGGTCCCTAATATATGCTCTCATAGCACTTGCTTCTTCTTTTAGAGCACTTACCACCATTAAAACTATATACTCCAAAGTGTGTGTGTGTATATATATATGTATATATATATATATATATACATATATATATACACATATATATATACACATATATATATACACATATATATACATATATGTATATATATGTATATATTTATAATATATTATTATATTTATATAATATATATATATATTTTTTCAATACAGAGTCTTGCTCTGTCGCCCAGGCTGGAGTGCAGTGGTGCGATCTCAGCTCACTGCAACCTCCATCTCCCAGATTCAAACGATTCTCCTGCCTCAGCCTCCCAAGTAGCTGGGATTACAGGCACCCACCACCACGTCCAGCTAATTTTTGTATTTTTAGTAGAGATGGGGGTTTCACCATTTTGGCCAGGCTGGTCTCGAGCTCCTGACCTCATGATCCACCTGTCTTGGCCTCCCAAAGTGCTGGGATTACAGGCGTGAGCCACCGTGCCTGGCCTATATACTCCAAAGTATTTTTAACACAGAGGCTCACGCCTGTAATCCCTGCACTTTGGGAGGCCGAGGCAGGTGGATCACCTGAGGTCAGGAGTTCGAGACCAGCCTGGTGAGCACGGCGAAACCCCCATCTCTACTAAGAATACAAAACTTAGCTGGGCGTTGTGGTACATGCCTGTAATGCCAGCTGCTCAGGAGGCTGAGGCCGGAGAATCACTTGAACCCGGGAGGCAGAGATTGCAGTGAGCAGAGTTCAAGCCACTGCACTCCAGCCTAGGTGACAGAGCGAGACTCCATCTCAAAAAAAAAAAAGAGGTATTTTTGGATGAATTGATGACATGTGTTTATCTATCCATCATTCATTCATTCATCCCTTTGGTTATTCAAGGCATTTCTCTTTGTTTGGTTATGAAACTAACGATAGGGTATTGAATAACCTTTGAAGTCTCAGTGTTTGGATCTTTTTTCATGTTGTTTGCAGAATGATTCTTTGCAACCAAAAGCATATTCAGAAAGTAGAGACAAGCATACCTCATTTCATTGTGCCTCAAAGATACTGGGATTTTTACAAATTGAAGATTTGTAGTAACCCTGCATTGAGTAAGTCTATTGGCTCCATTTTTCCAACAGCATGTGCTCACTTCATGTCTCTGTGTTACATTTTGGTAATTTTCACAATATTTCAAATTTTTTCATTATTACTATATCTGTTATGGTCATCTGTAATCAGTGATCATTGATGTTACTCTTGTAATTACTTGCGGGCACCATAAACTGCACCCAAATAAACTGGTGAACTTAATTGGTAGAAGTTGTGCGTGTTCAGACTGCTCCACTAACTAGCCATTCCTTCATCTCTCTCCCTCTCCTTGGGCCTCGCTATTTCCTGAGACACAACAATACTGAAATTAGGCCAGTAACTACCCTACAATGGTCTCTAAGTGTTCAAGTGAAAGAAAGAGTCCCACATCTCTCACTTTAAATCAAAAGCTGGAAATGATTAAACTTAGTGAGGAAGGCACGTTAAAAGCCAAGATAGTCTGAAAACTAGGCCTCTTGGTAAAAGCTAGGCCTCTTGTGCCAAACAGTTTGTCAAGTTGTGATTGATCAGGAAGAGTTCTTGAAGGAAATTAAAAGTGCCACTCTGGTGAACCCACAAATGATAAGAAAGCAAAACAGCCTTATTGCGGATATGGAGAACATTTTAGTGGTCTGGATAGATCAAAACAGCCACAAAATTCCCTTAAGCCAAAGCCTGATCCAGAGCAAGGCTCTAACTCTCTTCAATTCTGTAAAGGCTAAGAGTGCTGAGGAAGCTGCAGAACACAAGTTGGAAGCTAGCAGAGGTTGGTTCATGAGGTTTAAGGAAATAAGCTGTCTCCAGAACATAAAAGTTCAAAGTGAAACAGCAAGTACTGAGTTAAAAGCTATAGCCAGTTATCCAGAAGACACAGGTAAGATCATTTATGAAGGTGGCTATGCCAAACAACAGATTTTCAATGTAGATTAATCAGACTTATATTGGAAGTAAATGCCATCTAGGGCTTTCATAGCTAGAGAGAAATCTATATTTGGCTTCAAAGCTTCAACGAACAGCATCACTCTCTCGTTAGGAGCTAATGTAGCTGATGACTTTAAGTTGAAGCTAATGCTCATTTACCATTTCAAAACTCCTAGGGCCATTAAGAATTATGTTAAATCTACTCAGTCAGTAATCTATAAATGGAACAACAAAACCTGGATTAAAGCACATCTGTTTATAGCATGATTTAGTGAATATTTTAAACCCACCATTGAGACCTACTGCTCAGAAAAATGATTCCTTTCAAAATATTGTTGCTCACTGATCTGGTCACCTGAGAGCTCTCATGGAGATCTACACAGAGCTCTACAAAGAGATCAATGTTGTTTTCATGCCTGCTAACACAACATCCATTCTTCAGTTGACGGATCAAGGAATAATTTCAACTTTCAAGTCTTATCATTTAATAAATACATTTTGTAAGGCTATAGCTGCCATATTGATTCTGATGGATCTGGGAAAAGTAAAGTAAAAACCTTCTGGAACTGATCTACCACTCTAGATGTCATTAAGAACATTTGTAATTCAATGGAGGAGGTCAAAATTTCAACATTAACGGGAGTTTGGAAGAAGCTGATTCCAACCCTCATTAATCACTTTGGGGGCTCAAGACTTCAGTGGAGGAAGTCACTGCAGATGTGGTGGAAACAGCAAGAGAACTAGAATTAGAGGAGGAGCAAGATGTGACTGGATTGCTACAATCTCATGATCAAACTTGAAGGAATGAGTAGCTGCTTCTTAAGGATTAGCAAAGAAAGTGGTTTCTTGAGATAGGATCTACTCCTGGTGAAGATGCTGTGAATAATCGTGTTGAAATGACAAGAAAACATTTAGAATATTACATAAACTTAGTTGATAAAGCAACAGCAGAGTTTGAGAAGATGGACTCCAATTTTGAAAGAAGTTTTACTGTGGGTAAAATCCTCTCAAACAGCATCACATGCTACAGAGAAATCTTTTGTGAAAGGAAGAGTCAATTGATGTGGCAAACTTCACTGTTGTCTTATTTTAAGAAAGTGCCACAGCCACCCCAACCTTTAGCAACGACCACCCTGATTAGTCAGCAACCATGCACATCGAGGCAAGACCCTTCACCAGCAAAACAACGACAACTCATTGAAAGCTTAGATGATAGCCTCTTTTTTTTAGCAGTAAACTCTTTTTAAATTAAGGCATGTACATTTTTTAGTCATCATAATGTTATTTCACACTTAATAGAACATAGTATGTTGTAAATATAACTTCTATATGCACTAGGAAACCAAAAAATTCATGTGACTCACTGTTTTGCAATATTCATGTTATTGTGGGGTGGTCTGGAACGAAACCCGCAGTATCTCTAAGATATGCCTGTATTCAAAAGTATTTTCATATAAATGGATGATATGTATTCATGTATCCAGTCATTCACTCATCTTTTCAGTTATTCAAAGCATTTTGGTCATGAAACTAATTATAGAGTATTGGATAATCCTTGAAGTCACAGTATTTGGCTCTCTTTCATAATGTTTGTAGAATGATGCTTTGCAACCAAAAATGAATTCAGAAAATAGATACATACGTATCTCTAAAAGTAGCACTGTTCTGGGTACTAAGGCATTAAAAGAGTGACTGACAATGGTTAAACTTTAAAATGCCTATTACATTTTCTTACATGTTGGTGAAATAATTTTGTAAACCCTCTTCAGGCTGGGTGTGGTGGCTCAGGCCTGTAATCTCAACACTTTGGGAAGCCGGGGTGGGAAAATGACTTGAGGCCAGAAGTTCAAGACCAGCCTAGTCTGGTCAACATGGTGAGATCCCGTCTCTACATTTTTTTTTTTAATTAGCCAAATGTGGTGGCATGTGCTTGTAGTCCCGGCTACTTGGGAGGCTGAGGCAGGAGGATTGCTTGAGCCCAGGAGTTTGAGGCTGCAGTGACCCATGACTGCACCGCTGCATTCCAGCCTGGGTGATAGAGCAAGACTCTGTCTCAAAAAGCTAAAAAACCCTCTTCAAAGAAAATCTTAAGATATGTTTGTGGTCAAAGACATGGAATGGTGACTATCACTTCTCACTGTATAGTATTTTGGGTAATATATTCTGGGAACCACCCTCAGAAAACTTGTAAGTATACCATTGTCTATTTTGCCAAAACCTTTAATTTTTACCAACATTCAAAATACTTGATATCACAGTCAATATTTAACTATTGAATAAATATTTTTAGTTGAATTAAAGGAGTACTGACTTTCCAGCATGGACCTCCAGTTCCCTCTTCATAATTCTCATCGCAATATGATCTCCTAGAAATATGAGCTTATTGATGAGGCTTTAACAAAAGATATCTATGTCCATCAACAATGGTTAGAAATCACTATCCAATTTATAAAACGAGCATTTTCTTTTTCAGATGTCAAAATAATATTTTGTTACTTTGGACTGATTCCCTTTAAAGTCAGAAACTGGGTGTACCTTGAGGTGTGAACTAGCAAAAAAGTTTTTCTTTTCTTTTTTCTTGTCCTTTCTTTAAATAAGCAAAAAGAAGATTTAACCAATGAAGTGTACAGCTCAATGTTTTGGGTTTGTCATGTTAAACCAGGGTTTTAAGAAAGCTACTCCTTTTTCTTACAATTTCCTAGTGAGAGCCCATTTCTACAAAAAAAAAAAAAAATCAAACAAATAGCTGGGTGTAGTGGCACATACTTGTAGTTCCAGCTACTTGAGAGGATGAAGTGGGAGGATCACTTGAGCCCAGGAAATTGAGGCTGCAGTAAGCCATAACCGTGCCACTGCACTTCAGCCTGGGCAACAAAGCAAGAGCCTGTCTCCAGAAAAAAAAAAAGTTACACTTTCCTATATAAACATTAAAAATTACTTTGTAGCAGCTCCTTTCATTAATAGAATATCTGCATTGTTGTAGAAGAAACGTACCTAAGCTATTTCACTCTCAAAGGGAATAGCAATCTGAATTAGGATTTGTCAGGTCCTGGAAAAACATGAGAATGGGAATAATTGGGTCCTGATCCTCAATGATAGAGCACCTACCCAAGTGGGCACAAGGTGGTTAAGTGTAGACACAGCTTAAAACCAAAAGTTCTTGTTTCCTCTCCTCCGCCATGGCATCAATGCTCTTCAAGGGAGTTCTTTGTTTCGGGAATTAGAACTTCAAAAACTAGGTAGCAGCAAGGTAGGCTGTGTGGAACCTGAAGGTCCTAAGATCTGAGAGGAGACAGGAGTTAGGAGCCAAAACTAAGGTTAGGAACTGTTAATCTAGCTCAAGCTTCTGAACTGCAAGTGCACATCAAAATAATCTGAAGTAAACTTTTATTTATATAACAGCTTTATTGAAATATAATTCACATACCATACAATTCTCCCATTTAAAGTGTAAAATTTGAGGTTTTTAGTATATTATCAGTCATGCAACCATTGCCATAATCAATTTAAGAACATTTTTAACACCTCAAATAGAAACTTCATATCCTTTAACTATTATCTACCAATCTCCCTCTTCCCCCATCACCTGCCCACCACTAATCTGCTTTCTGTCTCTATGGATTTGCTTATTCTAATATTTCATATAAATGGAATCATACAATAAATGGCCTTTGTGTCTGGCTTCTATCACTTAGTGTAATGTCTCCATAGTTTATCCATGTTGTAGCATATATCAGTCCTGTTTATGAATAAATAGCGTGCCATTATATGGATATACCACATGTTGTTTACCCCTTCGTCAGTTGATGGGCATGTAGATTGCTTCCACCTTTTAGCTGATGTGTTTTTAAGATATAGTGAGTTACCACTTAGCACCCAAAATCAGGTCCACAACAACTCTAGAAGAAACCCTGGGAATGTTTCCCATGACAAGTTGCAAATCTCCAAATAAACTCCTTTTTTTTTTTTTTTTTTTTTTTTTTTTTTGAGATGGAGTCTTGCTCTGTCACTCAGGCTGGAGTGCAGTGGCGCAATCTCAGCTCACCACAACCTCCGCCTCCTGGGTTCAGGCAATTTTCCCTCCTCAGCCTCCTGAGTAGCTGGGATTATAGGCACCCACCACCACGCCTGGCTAATTTTTGTATTTTTAGTAGAGATGGGGTTTCACCATGTTGGTCAGACTGGTCTCAAACTCCTGACCTCAGGTGATCCACCCATCTCAGCCTCCCAAAGTACTGGGATTACAGCATGAGCCACTGCGCCCAGCCCAAATCAACTCTTTTTACATGCCAGCCCCTGTGCTAGATGCTGGGCTTGTGGACCAGAATGGAATATGTCCCTGATTTCAGGTAGAAACAGTACTGAAAGAGAGAGAGATGAGGAGAGAGTGTTTTCTTCTAATGGTTCCCATCTTCCTCCTGTATCTTTATTGGCCTGCTACAGAATTGGTCAGAGGTTTAGCTTTGTTGACAGAAGGTGTCAACCTAAATACTTACGTAGGAACATTTGGCTTGACTTCTATGCCTGGACTTATTACATTTAATAATATTTGGTACCCTGAGCATGGTGTACAGATGTCAAATCAAGTACAATTAGAGTTGGGGTGAAAACGTTTGATATTTTACAATTAAACATTTTTCAGGACAAGAAATCAAAGTAGCTATGTTCCTGATAATGTGTAAAGGAAGGAGCCTGAGAGAATGCTAACCAAAAGCAATCGAAATCTCACTTTGTTCATATTAACTTCTTCCTTTTGGAATTTCAACTACTTAATTATAATCCCGAAACTGTGTTTGATTCATTCTTGACAAGACCATATGTGCCCGTTTTGCCGGATTCTAGTAAAATAGATATTCCGTGCCACGTTTCACCACTCTGCCATTTGTAAAATTAGCAATTTCAGGGAAGCAAAAGGCTACTTGCCGTTTTGCTGGATCAGCACCTCATTTGGTCTGCGTGCATACGCTGTGAGTAGAATTAAAGAATGCACAATTTTGTCTCTAGATAAATAAATTTGAATGCAAAATAGATGCAAAGCTGTGTCTTGAGAGACAGGGTTCATTTAAATCTCAAACTAGCTCTCATATCAGAAATGTAGCGCTTGGACTTAGATGAAGGCTTCCTTCTGCTCTGGAAATGTGCTTTAAGGATGAGGGAACCTGTCCACCAAGGGGATAGCACCAATTTTCTCTCCTCCAAAGGACAATGTCAATTATGTGACTACCCTTTGTTAAATTTCTTATAATCACTTATGTGTATGTGGAGCTTTAGACTTCGGAAATGCTTTCACATATGTCTCCTTATTTATTTATTTATTTTTGAAATAGGGTCTTACTCTGTTGCCCAGGCTGGAGTGTAGTGGCATGATCATGGCTCACTGCAGCCCTGTCCTCCCAGGCTCAAGCGATCCTCTCACCTCAGTTTCCTGATTAGCTGGGACTACAGGTGCATTTCACCACTCCTGGATGATGATGATGATGATGATTATTATTATTATTATTATTATTATTATTTGTAGAGACTGGGTTTTGCCATGTTGCCCAGGCTGGTCTCGAACTCCTGGGCTCAAGCAATCCACCCACCTCGGCCTCCCACAGTTCTGGGATTACAGGCGTAAGCCACTGCACCTGGCCCTCATTTAATCTTTGCAATGATCCAGCAGTGCCTAATGGGAAAGGATTATGCTAGTCACTGTGCAGTTGCAGAAGTTGTAATGAAGAAACTTGCCCACAGTCATACACCTCAGACATGGTAGAGCTGGCCTTGATGTTAGTCCTTCTGGCACCCATCGCAAGGTCCTTTCCACTGCCCCGAAGTACTGGGGGCCACCTTAGGATTGTCACCTTGTCTCGTATGCATGGGTCTTTGTCCTGAAAGCACATTTCCAGACTGAAGTCCCAGTTTGATTCCCTAAGAACCTGCAGGCAGTGGCATTCATAGGCGAGAGCAAAGGGAAAGGTAATTAAACTGGGAGACATAGAAATCTGTCGTCTTCAGCTTTTCCCCTCTTTTCCCTAGCTGAGACTACTCCTTCCTTCCACTTCACTGAGACTGAGAGGGAAGGGGATGGTGCTGAAGTCTTTCCCCCATCACCTACCAACCACGAATCTGCTTTCTGTTTCTATGGATTTGCCTATTCTGATATTTCATATAAATGGAATCATACAATAATATGGCCTTTTGTGTCTGGCTTCTATCAAATGAGTGTAATGTCTCCATGGTTTATCCATGGAAGGCTGTGAGTATTTCAAAGCCACCCTCTGCATTCTTCTTACCATTCTTTGACTGTGCTGATAGGGGCTGAAGGAATGTGGAATCCTCCCTGTGACAGATTCCTGTGTGGCCCTACTCCCAGAGCTGCTTAGGCAGATCTGGCTGGCTGCACAGGAGCCACAGCCGACGTGCTCAAAGCCCTTCCGTACAAGAAGCTGTGATCCTTTAGTGAAATTTACATGTACTTTTCTTCACTTACTGGACTTCCTAATAGTATAGAGAACAAAGGCCTTGAAGTCACAGAGACCTTTTTTTTTATGAAACAGAGTTTCACTGTGTCCCTCAGGCTGGAGTGCAGTGGTATAGTCTTGGCTCACTTCAGCCTCAAGCTCCCCAGGCTCAGGTAATTCTCCCACCTCAGCCTCCCAAGTAGCTTGGACTACAGGTGTGCACCACTATGCCTGGCTAACTTTTGTAATTTTTTGGTAGGGACAGGGTTTTGCCATGTTGCCCAGGCTGGTCTCAAACTCCAGGGCTCAAGCAATCCGCCCACCTTGGCCTCCCAAAGTGCTTGGATTACAGGCATGCACTACCGCACCCAGCCTCAGACAGAACTTTAATCAAAGCAGCTCTGTGACTTCTTAGCTGTATGACCTTGAACAACTTAATGTTTAAGTCTCAGTTTTCTCATCTGTAACATTGGGATAGTATCCTCCACCTCACAGGATACATGTGAGGATGATATGAGATGATGCTGGTAGCATAGGGCCTGGCATGTGGCACTTACCATTGACAGATATTATTTTAAAGAAATTCTCAAAGCTTAATAATATTTATTGCACATGTTCAGGGAAAGGTTTGGGTCAAGGGTGAGGCACACTTCTGAGAATCTTCTCCAAGTTTCCCCTCTGCTCAGCAGAGACTGATTGCCTATGGATCTGCAAATCACATCTAACTTGTTTCTGTTCTCCTTATGAAAGCTCGTTAACTATGAATATTTTCCATCCAACCTACCGAATTCCTACTGCCACCTGGATACCATTTTCCTCTTTTTAATTCTTGCTGCCCTTGATGGCACCATAACTGAGTCTGGCCTAGGGTATGCTCTAAGTACCTACCATATGCTTTCAATAAAAAGAGAATGACTGTGCTCTGACTGCACTGAAAGTGGCAATCACACATGGACTGGTAAATTTAATGGGAGTGTTTTCTAAGAAACTTTCATTTGGACTTCCAGTGCCCATCACATAAAATGCAATGATCAGGTTGGAACAGCAGTGTAGCTTTCAAATAAGCAAAGGTCCATTCACCAAATAGGCCTTAACTGAGACATCTTCAGAGGTGCCCAGCCAGATGGTCACTATTAAAGTCAATAGGCTTTCCATGGCAAGTGGAGCTCTGGGCTCTGACAATTACTTTCAACCATTCCCCTCACATTAGGCTACTGATGCAGCCCCAATCCATGGAGCAAGGGCAACAGAGCAGTTAAAGTCCCTGAAAGGGACAAGACATGCAACGATTTTTGGAGCCAATTACCCCCTATTTCATCACTGGGGAGTGAAGCACTACTACACTTCTTATTTTCTTCAGCCTACTTTAAGTAACTGAGAGCTTAATGTAAACCCAAAGTGCTAAAATCATATAAAGGAAAGGAAAATTTAGGGTGAAGGCGAAGAGGTGGATTTGTAAACACACTGCATTATGTTCTTTGAGCCAGAAAACTTCAGTAGTCCCCGATTAGCCTGCCTGCTTGTCCTTAGCAAGAGGATTCTGGGAAGGTAAAAGCACCCTGACTGAAGCGGGGTATTGGGCTCAATTCAAAGGAATAAAAGTAACTCCAATTTCAAGAAGTCCATAGCCCACAGGTGCTAAAAAGACACAAAGATTCAATTAATCTGCCATATCCTTTCTCCTTGATTGTAGTGGGTACTTGGTTGATGGAGAGAGCTACGAAGTTGATGGGAAGATGCGAAGCTCAAAGCTAAGTCATAGGGTTGGAAGCTGCAATGCCAAGCCCTTTATATATTCCAAGTCAGATGAAAGCTCAAGCCTTCAGACTGCCGAACTGCAGACTGATTAGCTTACCACCCTGTAAAAAGCGCTTGCCAAGAACACCATCACTATTGGAATTCTGGGCTTTCCCCTGTCTGAAACTTGACAGGGAGAATGGAATTCCATTTAATGCCTAACTTGTAAACGTAAAGCTGTCACTTTAAGACTCTGAGTGCGAACAGAGGTTTGGACCTAATTCCTTCTCTCTAGTGATGGCAGTGGAGTGTGTGTATGCACATGTGTGTGCATTAGGAGAAGGAGGAGATGGAGAACAAGAGGAAAGTTCTCATTTGTTCCTCTGAAAGAAGAGCTGATCTGAGTATTGATCTAGTTGACCATCTAGAAACAGTGACAAGAAAGGGAGTCAAGTTGAGGCCGGGTGCGGTGGCTTATGCCTGTAATCCCAGCACTTTGGGAGGCTGAGGCAGGTGGATCACCTGAGGTCAGGAGTTCAAGACCAGCCTGGCCAACATGGTGAAAGCCAGTCTCTACTAAAAAAATACAAAATTAGCTGGGCATAATAGTGCATGCCTGTAATCCCAGCTACTCAAGAGACTGAGGCAGGAGAATCGCTTGAACCTGGGAGGTGGAGGTTGCAGTGAGCCCAGATCGCGCCTCTGCACTCCAGCCTGGGCAACAGAATGAGACTTTGTCTCAAAAAAAAAAAAAAAAGGAAGTCAAGTTGAAAGAAGGAGGTAGGGCGGGGGGCGGGAGTGTCCCATTCCCAATGGGGCACCTGCTTTTCCCTTCAATACACCCCATTCCTCCCCAATGCTGGATGCTCTCAGGAGACTGCCTGGATACATGCAAGGAAGGAAGCAAAAGGGGCCCCTACTGCATATTGTTGTTTGGAACCTCAGAAGGATGCAGCATTATCGTAGAAGTCCAGGATTTTAGCGACTTGAAAGGGAATGCAGATCTTCAGATTGAGATTCTCATCCAATACCCATTCCACCAACCAGGAAACTGAGGTCCCAAGAGGAACAGGGACCTCCTGGGGTCACTCAGCAGAATAGCCAGCAGGGATCCTTTTTTTCCTGTTCACAAGTCAACGCTTGTCTCACCAAGCTATGCCGCCTCTTTGTAGTTTATGATTTTTAGCATGTTACTTTTCTTTACATTTTTGAAAGTGCAGTCACTTGTGTATTACTCATTCAGGCTTCACAGCACACTGATGTATTCCAGTATTGTCCTATTTGTGCTATTTTACAAAAAAAGTCCCCTGAAGCATGTCAAAACATATAGTTAGTTATTTTAAAGGGAAAAAAGGCTCAGTAAAACTCTACAGAATACATCTTTTGAGTTTGCATAATAAAAAGTTGATTCTGTTAAAATCAAATCATTTAAAAGTCAAGTGTTTGGCTTTAGGCTGATCTCAAGTTCAAGGTGGAAAAGACTCCAGATCTGATGGAGCTACCAACATCCTGCTACAATGTCCCAAGCTCTCACACTTCCAAAGCACCCAGGGGACAGAGTTACATACCTTCACAGTAGCACTTATCTCAGGGTTTTATAATGATCTGTTTACTTCTTTTCTTCCCTAGCTGACTGTGATGGCCTCAAGGGTGAGAATTCCCTCATGTCTATGTCCCCAGAACCTTGCAAGGAGGCCTGACCCAGGGTAATTGCTCAGTAAATGTTTGCTAAATAAGTTATTAGAATAGCATTATTCCACTTTACAAAGTTCTACCTATGTTGCCCAGGCTGGTGTTGAACTCCTGGGCAGAATCCTTAAGAGGAAGAGCAGCACTATTAACAAGAGGTGAGTTTCTAGGCTTTAGAAGTCCTTTCAGAGAAACTGATGGTTAAACTTTGGGAAAAATTGCAATGTTCATAAATGCACTTATCTGATTAAAAATGTCTCTAATTAGACACTAATTAGACAGGTGAGGTGCTATGGAGTAGAACAGTGTTATCCCATGTAAGCCCCTAAATCCTGATGCCTGGGTCACTTTATTTCATCCAAGACATTTTTAGTGTCAATTTCCCCATAAATCATCATGTTCTCTTTTACTTTTTTTTTTTTTAATTATTTTGAGACAGGGTCTTGCCCTGTCATCCAGGCTGGAGTGCAGTGGTACAATCACTGCTCACTGCAGCCTCAACCTTCCAGGCTTAATCAATCCTCCAACCTCAGCCTCCCAAGAAGCTATACTACAGGTGCATGCCATCACGCCTGCCTAATTTTTGTTTTTTGCATTTTTTGGTAGAAACAGGGTCTCACTATGTTGCCCAGGCTGGTCTCAAACTCCTGGGATCAAGCAATCCACCCACTTTAGCCTCCAAAAGTGCTAGGATTACAGGTGTGAGCTGCTGTGCCCAGCCCTCTTTTATTTTTGAGCTGTTGAATCTACTTCTGCCACAGAATGGTTTTGTGAGCAGTATGTATGTCATGATAACCTCTCTGAGCTCCACTTTCTTCATCCAGAATGTGGGGATAATATAATTATCAACCACATAGGATTATGGAGGTGATTCAATGAAGTAATGTGTGTGAGATGCCTAGTGCACTTCAAAAGTTCTCAATAAATCTAATGATTTATCTGCTTCTCTCATAAATACTTCACAGGACACATTGTTCTCTTTACCTCTTTACCTGCTGGCAAAGGTTGAACTAAAAGTGAACAATAAAGTTGAAGGTGAGGTGAGATGCAAGGAAGGACCGATTCTCAAGAGTCTGGAACATGCCATAACAGTGCTGTAGAGCATGGGTCCCCAACCCTCAGGCCATGGACCGGGTCACACAGCAGGAGGTGAGCGGTAGATGAGCGAGCTAAGCTTCATCTGTATTTACAGCCATTCCCTATCACTTGCATTACTGCCTGAGCTCTGTTCTGCCTCCAGTCAGATCAGTAGTGGCATTAGATTCTCATGGCAGTGCAAACCCTATTGTGAACTGCACATGTGAGGGATCTAAGTTGTGTGCTCTTTATGAGAATCTAATGCCTGATGATCTGTCACTGTCTCCCATCACCTCCAGATGGGACCATCTAATTGCAGGAAAACAAGCTCAGGGCTCCCACTGATTCCACATTATAGTGAGTTGTATAATTATTTCATTATATATTACAACATAATAATTATCAAAATAAAGTGCACAATAAATGTAATGCACTTGAAGCATCCTGAAACCATCTCCCACCCCCTAAGCCCATGGAAACATTGTTTTCCATGAAACTGGTCCCTGGTGCTAAAAAAGTCGAGGACCACTGCTGTAGAGCACCTCACTCCCACCATCCCCTATGTTGACTGCTGCCCCATATGCCTGCCTAAGCCCCAGAGCCTACCGTGCAGTGGAGAACTCCATCATACCATGATCTGCAATTGTGAGCTCCAGAGGGACTACATGCTGACTGGCCGGTTTCTAACTGGGTAACAGAGTTTGGTTTTGTGCCCCCACCCAAATCTCATCTCAAATTGTAATCCCCAGGTGTTGAGGGAGAAACCTGGTGGGAAGTGATTGGATCATAGGGGTGGTTTCTCCCATGCTGTTCTTGTGACAGTGAGTGAATTCTCATGACATCTGATGGTTTTATAAGTGTTTGGCTGTTCCTCCTTCACTTTCTTCTCTCACCTGCTGCCATGTAAGACGTTCCTGCTTCCCCTTCAGCCATAATTGTAAGTTTCCTGAGGCCTCCCCAGCCCTGTGGAACTTTGAGTCCATTAAATCTCTTTTCTTTATAAATTATCCAGTCTCGGGCAGTTATTTACAGCAGTGTGAAAACCAACTAATACACTAGGTGTTGTTCCTGACTCCTGACTCTGGTGTTTCAAGGGGTATACCCAGAAACCCATGAAACAGGATCTTGGCTCATGCCTCCTGGGAGAAATTCACCAACAGGAAGAAGAGAATTGCTTGAACCCGGGAGGCAGAGGTTGCAGTGAGTCGAGATCGCGTCACTGCACTCCAGCCTGGGTGACAAAGCAAGACTCTGTCTCAAAAAAAAAAAATTCTATAGTTATAATATCCTCCTATTTTCTTGCTCAGTCCCATTTGCAGCTTACTCATTCTCCCTCCTTTCTCTTGTGTTGGATTCATTTTATATTCTTTGATTAGTTTTACTGCCTTGAAAATTGAATATTGATTATGAGACAAAGTATGGAAAGAAACATTAACATTTTTTACTTGAAAAGAAGACTTGGCAGGATTGTCCTCTGATGGATTACACAGTGAGCTTCCTAAAGCCAGACCACCCCACAGGCCAGTAGAATTGCAGCGCCAGGTGGATGCTATCTGTTTCCTTCCTCCCTTGGTCCAACAAGGGACTACAGCTTAGAATGGCCTTCTCTTGGGTTCCTTACTTGCTAGGGATCTCCACTTTCCCAGAGAACTTCTGCTGCCTGTACTTTAGCATGTAGCACTGTTAAGTTCATAGCATAGTAGTAAGAAGGAAAACATTAAATGTGTGCATCCTCAAAGGATTTGGAACAAAGGATGGTTTTAGGATGCCCTATGAAACCATCTTCCCAAGTAAGGATTCCTACTATTATTTTAAAAATTCATACCGAAGGGATCCAATTAAACATGTGGCTTTTGTTTTTTATGACAACAAAAATGATCTAACAGATAAATACAGGATGAGATGTTTATCCTCTCCAGGGTAAATATTAATGTGAAGCTGTAAGGTAAATGGTGGGATTTTTATAGAGGTCTAAGTAGTTTATAGATTTTAATTGGGAGCTGTTCTGAATGAATGCAATTAACATTGCTTGTAATATAAAATATCTGTATAACATATAATTAAATATATCAACTCATTAATGAAGGCATGTGTCAAAGGCAGGTGATGATAACAAGGAAAGCCATAAGTGGTACTACAGAAAACTACCATGATGTTGCTTAGCTCACGGAAGACTAACCAAGTGAGAAGAGAAAAATGAAACCTTGGTTATGCAAAAGTGGTGACACTCACTTATGTAATCTGCTTATTGTTTTTGTCTAAAACCCGGGCAGCACAAGGATAATAACAGATCTCAATAAGTTTGTGTCATACTTCCTTTGTCATCAATTGTCTTGGACTTGAAGAGAAGCCCGGATGCATCTTTTTTCTGTCCGCAAGTGTGTGGTCTTCTCATACAGCAAGGCTGCCTGCCTTTTCAGTTTCGCAGATGAAGGGGACACTGTAAAGTAGTAACACTTTTCCAGGAAAATACATCTTCATTCCAAAATAAACTATGAGATTCTACAAACAGAGCAGAGCAGCTATTTCCCCTAGAAGATGACTCGTGGCTAAACTTCTGGGGGAGCTAACGAATATTTGAAAGGCAAGCGATAACAGGTGAAAATGCACTCAGATACTGCCTGGGAACCGCAGGGCACCAGGAATGCACCTTCACCTCTGCCTCTCGTATTTTGCATGCAAAAACACCAAACTGAGCCTCTGTGATTTTTCCAGGCTCAGCAAAGTTTCAGTGTCAGGAAGAGTGGCTTTAGATCTGCCTTATAATGATTGGAACCAGGTCTGAAGAAAGCCTGGTGAAGGAGAGGAGATCAAGCAGAAGGGGGAAGGGGCTCAAACGCTCTCCTTTCACTGTAGTTACCAAGCCAGGTTTGGGGTCTCCCTAGAGGAAATTGCCTTGCTAATAAACTTAATCTCCCCAACCCCATTCTGTCCTTCCTCAGGAACATGATCAACAGGGCTGCTTGATGACAGCCATGAGAAGGAGGCCAGGTAAAAGAGACATTTCAAGGAAGTCAAGACAGGCCCAAGGCCAGCCCTGCCCAGTTACAGATGTTCGGTCCAGTTCCTTCCAGATCCGAGGCTCTCTACTTGGTTAGCTAAGCAGCCAGCTTCTCTCCTTTGTTTGCCCCTTATTGGCCCCCTACTAGTTAGAGCTTCTTCACTTACTTTTCCTAGTCTCTTCTTTTTCCTAGTCTCCCAGAAAATAGCTCCCTTTTACTTGTTTTCCTAGTATCTTGCTTTACCTCTAGGTCTCTAGCTCTGCCATATCTGCAAGATATGACCTAATGGACACCCATACAAGAGAAGGGCCCTATAGAAGTTGACATGCATGGTACAGAAAATGGGGTGTGAAGGCAGCAGACGTGCTTTATTTTATTTTATTATTTGAGTCAGAGTCTTGCTTTGTCACCCAGGCTGGAGTGCAGTGGCACAATCTCGGCTCACTGCAGCCTCCACCTCTCTGGTTCAAGCGATTCTCGTGCCTTAGCCTCCTGAGTAACTGGGATTACAGGTGCCCACCACCATTCCTGGCTAATTTTTGTATTTTTAGTAGAGATGGGGTTTCGCCATGTTGGCCAGGCTAGTCTCGAACTCCTGGCCTCAAGTGATCCACCCACCTCGGCCTCTCAAAGTGCTGGGATTACAGGCATGAGCCACAGTGCCAGGTCCTCAGATGCATTTTAGAATTTCAAAAATTTTCTTAGAATTGCCAGCTGCTGTCTTGGGTAAGTGATTTCCTGAGCCTCAGCTTCCCCGTCTATAACATACGTATACAAATACTAATCTACCTCAGAGAATTATGAGTAGCATTACATGAAATAGTATTTGTGAGCCCTCTGCACAATGCCTGGAACATAGGAAGGACTAAAAGGTTATTGTTTTTATTAATCAGGAGGTGTGACTTTGACACATGCTTCCCTGTACAAAGAAACAGCTTAAAAACAGCTCTCACTGGCCATGGCAGGGGATAAAACTCCAGGCTGTTATTTTTATTACTAAATCAAAACTATATTGATAATTTATATATGAAAATCAATGCTGAACTAAAATAATTGGCTTTATTTACACCTTTGAGCCTATGCCTGTTATAAAAGTGTGACTCCAGTGAATAAATATGGCAAAAGGACTGTTGACAGGTTTTCTCCCTTAAGCTTCTTCTCTGAGCTTGGGAGGCCAAAAGATTCTGTGGGAGTTCACAGCTCAGTGACACTGCCATGATTGTCTCTTGTTGGCCATATCCATTGCCACCATCCACTGCTTAGAACCCTGCCCCGAGCAAGTGTGCAGATACCTGGACACCACATACCACCTAGCCCAGAGGAAACACATGCACCAGAGGCTGGAAGTCCCAGTGCTCTTCTTGGCCTCATCTTGAGGAAGAAGGCAGAAGCCCACAAGTTGCTATACTACATGGTGTCAGCATCTCTAGCCATACTCACTGCTCTTCTCCTGCTTCACCCATTCATAAGAAAAAGGGGGGTGGGCATGGTGGTTCACACCTGTAATCCCAGCACTTTGGGAGGCTGAGGCAGGAGGATCGCTTGAGCTCAGAAGTTTGAGACCAGCCTGGGCAACATGGTGAAACCTCATTTCTACAAAATAAAAAATTTTTAAAAATTAGTTAGCTATGTGCCTATAGTCCCAGCTACTTGGGAGGCTGAGATGGGAGGATTGCTTGAGCCCGGGAGGTTGAGGCTGCTATGAGCCGAGATCAAACCACTACACTCCAGCCTGAGCAACAGAACAAGAACCTATGTCAAAATAAATAAATAAATAAAGGAAAAAGACACAGGGCATTGGCTCTGTTACTTTACTGAAGTGGTAGTTTGGACATTGAAACTGATTCTTCTTTAAAGCAACTTGTTGAGATAGGCAGATTTATACCCTGTATAATATCATCAAAATGGAAGTCCACTGCTACAGTGTACAAAGAGGAAATTCTGATATATATACATGTATATATATAGCTACCAACTGCCACTGTCCACAGATGTTCAGTGTGCCTCTCAGAGGACAGTAAGAAAGGAAAGGCAGTCTAGAAGGTGAAAGGAGCCAGGACCAGCCCTGCAAAGGAGGTTCAAATATGAAACCTGAGGGTGTGAGTCAAGACTGTTTGGTAGATTGCAGATCCGGTGACCTTGGAGTGTCAATTCTATACACACATGGCCACCTTTGGCCTTCGCTGGTCTTTGTCATTGTGGTCTTCTGGTGGTACGCAGAAGTACGGGGCACAACATGGGCAAATCAAATGTTAAAAAGTACATCTCTCCTTAAGACCAGTCCCTTAAGTGTGAAAGCCCAAATATAGGAAATGAGAGGAGGGGAGAAGTCTCGGGTCTGAGAGATTTTCTCAACAAGATCTGGCCCAACAGCTCCTCTACAGCCTCCCTGCCTCCCCCATCCCCCTTGGGGCAAACCAGTCTCTGACCCCTCTCACCAGCAGCTTTCCTAGCCTCTTCCCTGACAGAGACACCCAGATTGGTTCATCTGCATAGCCCGGCTAAACACATACCTACCCCTGGGAGGCCAGACCTCCAAATGTCCCCCCTCTCCCAGCCCCAAGTATACCTCATCCCTACTGAAAAGGCATCTCACTGCGACCACAGGCCAGACACAAGATGAATCTGAGGACCAGAGCTCCAGAGCTTTTAGCTCCTAAATGGGAAAAACTCCTGCCCCCACTTTCACATCCAAAAGTGGGCATTTTGTTTGTGTGCCCGGATGGCTGCACGTTTTGTAAAGCATATGAAATTTAATATCTCACAAGTATTCAAATCTAGTTCCAGTACTCAGACACCCACTAGAGGCCACCTTAGTTGAATAGATTGAGTAGACTGGGTTTATTACACAATGTTTTGCCTTCAAACAGGATATTGTATCTACATCGGCAAGGAGATATTAATATCAATATCATTCCCTCAGATCTCCAGGCTCCTTCCAATCTTGATATTCTAAGATTTTATAATTCTCTACAGAGATTGCCTTTTGGGGGAGAACAGGGTGTTATGGTGGTATTTGCTCAGATGAGACTTTGCCTTGGTATACCACATTCACAACCAACCCAGAGTCCTAGTACACTAACACAAGCAATTCAATTCATCTTACAAGGAGAAACTAACATCCATTCTCTCCTCCTTGCAGAGAAGGTACTGATAGAGGAAAAGAAAACAAGAGAATCTGTAAATTCTCCTAACCAATATTGCTACTACTTCTAAATTCTTTCTGATCCCTCGAAGGCACAAAGTGAGTCCTTAGCTAAAACTGCCACAAAAGCCTCATCTCATTTGTCTTACATGGACCTGTGTAATTTTTTTTTTTTCTTTTTGTTATGACTTGTATAATTTCTTCCTTTGTAAATCACTCTCCACACAGAAACACACGCAGTCAGAGTTTTGGAATAACAGTGATGATAATATGCAAATAATTCCTGAACTATCTATCACAGTGATGTTCCAGAGACATGGCTAAATGTCTTAGGGCAAGTGGTCGGCAAGGTGGCAAATATTTAGGCTTTCTAGGCCATAGAATCTCTATCACAACCACTCAACTCTGCTATGATAGAGCAAAAGCAGCCATAGACAATATATAAATGAGTGAGCACAGTTGTGTTCCAATAAAACTTTATTTATGGACACTGAAATTTGAATTTCATATAATTTCCCTATGCCACGAAACGGCACTCTTCTTTTGATTTTTTTCAACCTTTTAAAAATATGAAAATCATTGTTAGCTCACAGGCAAGCTGCAGGCCATGGTTTGCGGGCCCTGTCCTAGAGGAAAACTGTGTAGCATCTTATACCCCTAATTGAAAGGGTAAGTAAATTATCATAATTATAATGACATATGAGTTCATGGTATCTGCCAGGGATAAGGCTAAGCTAATGAAATGGGGTCTTTGGTTTAGTCTTCAACCTATGTGATTGGGACTATTGTGCCCATTTTACAAATGAGGACATTGAGACACAAGAAAGGTGAAACGAGTTACCCAAGACTGCACAGCTACTAAGTATTAGGTTGGTGCAAAAGTATTTGCGGTTACTTTTAATGGCCGAAATGGCAATTACTTTCGGACCAACCTAATAGTAGATCCAGGATTGGAACCACACCTGACTGACTCCAAGGCCTGAGCTCCTTACCACTCTCTATAGAAAGGGAGTGCCAAATCCACACTCATTAACCTACCCCAATTATGTGAAATCCTGTCCCAGGAAGATGTGAATACAGTGGCTCCAAATAAAAATTGTATCAGGTACATGAACTAGTGGGCCTGAGATGGCCACAATTCACTTAAAATTTAAAGAGTTGAAACAACTTTCATTACGTTTTCAGCGAAGCCCTTAAAAAGCTTGATTCTTCTCATAGCTAAACTAAGATAAATCACTAAAGAGAGCCTAAAGAATAAAGGGGGTCCAATGAGTAGAGCTGAAGGGAGATTAGTGCTGTCAGGGTAGGGGAGGAGGAGGAAGTGGACAGTGCCAGGGCTCATGCTTATAGGGACTTATTTCTGTCTTTACTCAATTTCTGATGCTCTTTATCGAGCTCAGGTCAGAGTAGGCCAAAAATGCTGAATGTGGCAAAATTGAAAATGTTAACACCTTAAAAGACATAGAAGGATTCAGGAAACAGCTGATAGATTCTTCACTGTGAGAAGCGAAAACTCTAGGAAAAGAAAAGTCACGAGGCACGATTTTGGCTGAAATGCAAGCACTGCGAAAGGACGCTAAGGAAAGTGACTAAAAGCAGAGGGTGCTGGGCATCAGAGCAAAACGGCGCTAGCATTGAACAGCTCCTAGGAGGGTCATGTCACAGCTGAGAGTGCGCTGGCTGGCATTCCCTCCAGAAGGCTGGGAGAAACTCAGCAGCAGTGGTTGGCCATTAGTGCCCAAAGGAAAGCCTCCTGAAAACTCTTCTGTGACAGCACACAAGGATCCCTATAAGACAATTCCAATTTGGCTGGCTTGGTGCATTTACTTCCAAGCTAGATGTGTCTCTGCAGCCTTTCCTTGCCCATTTGGAAATCTCGCCCTTGTGGAGCTGCTGAGAAAATGGCTTTCTCTAAAATCCCTGTTCCAGAAGATCAGGCAGGTGAATGAAAATCACTATCTGAATAAGACACAGGATGAATAAAAACAAGAGAGATATACAAAAAGGGAGATATTCCACTCAAACCCCCAACTACTCCCCAAAAGCCTCTTTTTACATTTCCAAATGTCACACTCCACACTTAAATTAACATGCCTTTCTTCCTAATAGGGAAAAAGTGTCCAATTTGTTTTGATATTTCAAAATGTGCCTGTAATATAAATGATTCCTGTAACCGAAGGCCACAGGGCAAAGGAGATTATTTGACATGGAAACTCTGAAGTTTTTACATCCCCAGCCCCATGTGTCATGGGAGGGCATTATCAGGCTACCCCACTTGCCTGGGCTCATGGCTCCACTTTCTCCAAAATCCTAGCACTTGGAAAATCTAAATTGTCAAAGACAATGGGGAAAGAAGGCCTTTCAGAAGCAATGGATACTTTACAGAACTGTAGGAACCTATCATTGCTTTTGGGGTCAAGATCAAATTCCTACCCACTAGAATAAGGAAGACAAAAAAGTGGCATGAGTTTAAATTCAGGTTCCCAAGGAAAAAGTCAACAAAAATGGCAAACAAAGAAATTAGAGCGAAATGGCTAAGAGATGCTAAATGACTGCTCCCAATTCCATATGTGTGGGACGCATGTGGTGAGGGTTCAGGTCAGTGCACTGGACCACAGCCTTCCCTCTAGAGGCTCTCAGGTGGGGCAAGGGTAGAGAATGACCATCGCACCACTACCTTCACACAAGACTACATTAGTGCCAGTTACAACCAGTCCCAGATTTAATAAAATGTGTAAACTAGGATTTCTCATGCATCAAACGCAAGAAGTAGAAGGTGGGATCCTGGCATTCATTTTTGTTTGTTTGTTTGTTTTTTGAGATGGAGTCTCACTCACTTTGTCACCCAGGCTGGAGTGCACTGGTGTGATCTTGGCTCACTGCAACCTCCACCTCCTGGGTTCAAGCCATTCTCCTGCATCAGCCTACAGAGTAGCTGGGACTACAGGCCTGTGCTACCACGCCTGGCTAATTTTTGTATTTTTAGTAGAGACTGGGTTTCCCCATGTTGGCCAGGCTGATCTCAGACTCCTGACCTCAGGTGATCCTCCAGCCTCAGCCTCCGAAAGTGCTGGGATTATAGGCATGAGCTACCATGCCCGGCCCTGGCATTCATTTTTTAAACAAGCCCTGTAGGTGATTCTGATGCAGATGGTTCAGGGACCACACTGTGAAAAACTATTTACTTATCCTGCTCAATCAGAATCTCTGAGAATAGATCCCAGGAATTAGCAGAAATTCATTCAACAAATACGTTTTGAGTACTGACAATGTGGTTGGCACTGTGGTTCGTATCAGGAATGCAAAAGCATCATGGTCCCTGCCTTTCCTGAGCTCAGGCATTACCTGCAGGCCTCTGATCCCACATTTTAACTAAGGATCTGAGCAATGAAAACCTCATACAACTGGCTAAATAACTGAAGTTTCTTCTTATTGTTTCTTTTCTTTCCTGTCCATGTTCTCTTTGCTTGGATTACTATTCTAAGAAAGGTATTGTCCAAGCAACAACCTCAACTTTATGATCCTATCACATGGCCCATAAACCACCTCGATGCTTCATTCCATTACCATGAGCTTCCCCAGGACAAAAATAGAAATTATAATGAGCAATGCAAAACAAACCAACAATGCCTTCCTGACCTGCATTGAAAAATAACACTTTATCAGTTTAATCCAACTCCATTGTTCTTTGTAACAAGTAAATGATTATATGAGATTGTCTGAAAAGCAGACAGAGAGTGTTCGTTTCAGCATCTGCCTCTAAGAGACCAAGAGGCCTGAATCATAAGCTGGAAATAAGGAGAAGAATAAGTGCTCCCTTCCCCACTGAGTCTTCGTTTTCTGAACGTTCAATGATGCTGGTTCCAATCTTGGTGTTAAGAGATACTAGAATAATATTTCTGAAAATATTAAGGGATAGCCTGCATCAGTATCACTTTAGGCTGGGCATGGTGGCTCACACCTGTAATCCCAGTGCTTTGACAGGCCGAGGTGGGAGGATTGCTTGAGCCCAGGAGTTTGAGATCAGCCTTGGCAACATAATGACACCTCATCTCTGTAATTTTTTTTTTAAACAGCTAGGCCTGGTGGTGCATGCCTGTAGTTCCAGCTATTTGGGAGGCTGAGGCGGGAGGATTGCTTGAGCCTGTGAGTTTGAGGCTGCAGTGAGCTGTGATGGCACCATTGCACTCCAGCCTGGGTGACAGTGAGATCATGAGAAAGAAAGAAGGAAGGAAGGAAGGAAGGAGAGAGAAAGAGAGAGACAGAAAGAGAGAAAGAGAGAAAGAAAAAAATCACTTTGAGAAGCTTGCTAAATATGTAGATTCCGAGGCTTTACTGAAACCTACTGTAGTAGATTAACTGCATTAGTGGACCCAGTGACCTCTCTACATCCTTGCTATTGCCCTCTTTGTACACCCCTCCCACTCTGAATCTCCACTCAGCCATGTAACTTGCTTTGGCCAATAGGACGTTAGCAAATAGGATGCAAGCAGAAACTTGAAGAGCTCATGTGCATTTCTTCTTGTTCCCTCATATTATTGTGCTTGCTTGCTTAGACTCCTGCCACAGCACAAAAACAAGCCTGGGCTGATGTTTTGAGGATGAGAGGCCACGTAGAGCAGATTAAAGTCATCCCAACTGAGGCCATCCTGGAAAAGCCAAGCCCTGGTTAACCCACTGGCTGACTGCAGCTGAGTACATCTATGATCAGCGAAGCCTGGCCCAGATGAGCAGAACCATCCAGCCAACTCATAGGCTATAAAATAATAAACAGTTATGTTAAATCACTTAGTTTTGGGGGTGGCTTGTTATATAGCACAAACTAGCTGATATACCTACTACATTAGTTTGATGGAAGAGATGATTTTGTGAATCCGCATTTTTAACAAGTTCTCCAAGTGATTGTTTCTCATGCACTTTCAAGTTTGATCATGTCACTATTGTGTACACAGCAGTGAGAAAGAAAGTGATATGTCAGCTGGCTTAAATGTAATGCACACAAACCTGAATCATAGTTCTGCTAAGAGGTAGCTCTTACACGAGGTGTCTGCTCTGGATTTGCTATCTGTCAGCAGTGGAAAGAGCCACTACTCTAGGTTACGAACAACCCAGGAGACCCCAGTCAAGCTAAAATGGTGGCTCTAGAAAGTTTTTTTTTAATGGTGGTAAAACTTATTTTAAGTATTATTAAGTATATAGTTCAGTGGCATTAAGTACATTCACATTGTTGTGCAACCATCACCACCATCTCCAGAACTTTTTTCATCTTTCCAAATTGAAAGTCCATACTCCATTCCTCCCTTTCGCAACCTCTGGCAACCTCTACTCTCTGGCTCTATGAATATGACTACTCTAGGTACTTCATACAAGGGGAATCATACAGTGATTTTGTAACTGGCTTATTTCACTTAGCATAATGTCTTCAAAGTTCACCCATCCGTCACTTACCATAATGTCTTCAAGGTGTAGCTGTGTCAGAACTTTGTTTTAAAGGCTGAATAATATATATATATATATATATATATATATATATATATATATCACATTTTGTTTGTACAGTCTTGATACAGGCATGCAATGTGTATTAATCACATCACGTAAAATGGGATATCTGTCCCCTCATGTATTTATTATCCTTTGTGTTACAAATAATCTAATTATACTCTTTTAGTTATTTTAAAATGTACAATTAAATTATTATTGACTATAGTCACAAATATCTATTTAAATCCTTGCTTTCAGTTCTTTTGGTTCTGTATTCATAAGTGGAATGGCTGGATTATATGGTAATTCTACTTTTAATTTTTTTGAGAAAGCACCATGCTGTTTTCCACAGTAGCTGCACCATTTTATATTCCCACCAGCAGTGCACAAAGGTTGCAATTTCTCCGCATCCTCAACAATACTTACTTTTAATTTTCTTTTAATAATGGACATCCTGGCCGGGCGCGGTGGTTCACACCTGTAATCCCAGCACTTTGAGAGGCCAAGGTGGGCAGATCACGAGGTCAGGAGTTCGAAATCAGCCTGGCCAACATGGTGAAACCCTGTCTCTACTAAGAATACAAAAATTATCCAGGCATGGTGGTGCACACCTGTAATCCCAGCTACTCCGGAGGCTGAGGCAGGAGAATTGCTTGAACCCAGGAGGTGGAGGTTGCAGTGAGCCGAGATTGCACCACTGCACTCCAGCCTGGGCAACAGAGCAAGACTCTGTCTCAAATAATAATAATAATAATAATAATAATAATAATAATAATAAAATAATAATAATAATGGCCATCCTAATGGGTGTGAAGTGGTATTTCAGTGTGATTTTGATTTGCATTTCCCTAATGATTAATGCTGTTGAGCATCTTTTCATTTGCTTATTGGCCATTTGTATATCTTTTTTTTTTTGGGGGGGGGAGAAATTATTCAAGCCCTTCTCCCACATTTAAATAAAGTAGGTTTTTGTGTTTGGTTTTGTTGTTCTTGTTTCCATAAGGATTTTACATAGTGTAAAAAGAGCAAGGTTTCTTACGCAGAGAATTCTAAATTAAAGAAAATAATCAATCACAAATACCTCAGACTCTGTTGGAAAAAGCCTTTAGTTTATCTGTGCCCCTGTGCATCCTCGCTTCAAAACCCCATCTCAGAGGAAGGGCTCAAGTCCATAGCTAACCATCTCTCTGTGGTTTCCTATTTCCTTTTGGTCCTCTTGCTACCTCTCCAATCTTTATCCGTTATCCCCCGATTTCTCCCCTTTTACTAGCTCTTTCTTCACTGACTCACTCCTCTCAGCCAAAATAAATGCTCAACTTTCTCCATAATTAAAAAAAAGTTATTCAGGATCTGTTTGTCTTCAAGATTCTGTCATCTCTCTATACCTTACCAGACAAGTTTCTAGAAAGAGTTGTCTACATTTATGTCTCCAGGTCTCCATTCCTCATTCAGTTTCCAAACCACTGCCACATAATTTCCACCCATAATATTCTACTTGGTTTGCTTCTTATTACTCAATAACCTCTTTAATTACTAAATTACTTAATTACTAAATCCAAGGGACATTTTTCAGTCTATCTAACTTGGCCATTCTTTAGCGCTTAGCAATGTTGACCTCCGTTTCCTTATTGAAATTCCCTTCTCCCATGATTTAGATGCTCTCTCTCACTTACTCTTGGTCCTCTTGCTACCTCTCCAACTGTTTCCTCATGGTTCAGGTTGTTTGTTACATTTATTCCGCCCAGATCACACATATAGATATTCCCCAGGGTTCCATCCTTGTTTTCCCTCAAGCTTCAGACCCATATGTCCATCTGCTTACTGAACACGTGGAGGACTCAGAGAAAGTTAGATTATAATAAAATTGAATTGACTTTCCTTCCTTTTCTAAACCGATGCCCAGGCTTCTTATCTCAGTCCATCAGTTCAACCCATCACAACATACAGGCTGAAAAAATCATGCCTTCATTGGTGACTCTCTTTGACTCTTGCTCTGACCACATCAAATTGGTCACATGTCCTGTCTTGTCAATCCCTCTCTTATATGTGTCCCCTCCTCTCCATTACCACGCCCCTAGTTCATGTCCTCGCTGCCTTTTACCTACCGTAAAAGCCTCACAATTGACTTTTTTGCCTCTGATCTCCCCTCCATTTAAGTTGTCCCCTACACTGCCACTAGAGAAAGCAAATAAATAAGTGAATAAATACTCAGTTGGATAAATAAACTGCAATGAAAATATGTTTCCCCATGTTCAAGAACATTTATTTAATTTAATTTATTTATTTATTTATTTGAGATGGAGTCTCGCTCTGTCGCCCAGGCTGGAGTGCAGTGGCACAATCTCAGGTCACTGCAACCTTTGCCTCCCAGGTTCAAGCAATTCTCTGCCTCAGCCTCCTGTGTAGCTGGGATTACAGGCACCCACCACCACGCCCGGATAATTTTTTTGTATTTTTAGTAGAGACGGGATTTCACCATCTTGCCCAGGATGGTCTCGAACTCCTGACCTTGTGATCCACCCGCCTCGGCCTCCCAAAGTGCTGGGATTATAGGCGTGAGCCACCGTGCCTGGCCTTCAAGAACATTTAAAGCTCCCATTTTCCATAACGTCCAAGCTGGTACAGAAGTTCAGGAGTTGGTGTGGTATATGGAGAGGGAATAAGCATTAGCATCAGAGAGAGACTTCAGTTTGAATCTGGAGTCTGCCACATATTGGGTGTGATATTGATCAATTTATATCACCTGTCTACACTGCTTCCTCAGGATGATTGTGAGAATCAAAATAGTTACCCATACATATCTAGTACTTGGTATTTTACAGAGCCTGTTATATAGTTTTTTTGTTTTTGTTTTTCTTTTTCTTAGACATTGTCTCACTCTGTCACCCAGGTTGGAGTGCAGTGGCACGATCTCGGCTCACTTCTCTGCCTCCCAGGATCAAGCGATTCTTGTGCCTCAGCCTCCCAAGTAGCTGGGATTACAGGAGTGAGCCACTGCGCCCAACCTCAGAACCTGGTATATAAAAGGTGTTCAGTAAGTATAAATTCTCCTCCCTTTTCCTACTGAGCACGGCCCCATCTATATTCAGGCTCGTCTCCCAGGACATCTTGCAAAACCCTATGCGATGAACACATACAACACTTAGCCTTTCCCAAACCATGGCAAATACTTTCTTTTCTCCACTTCTACTGTTACCTCAGCCTGGAATGTCTTCTTCTCTCGCCCTCTTCAGTCTGGTGAAATCTGGCTCACATTTTAAAACCCAAGTCAAATGCCACAGCCTCCTTGAAGCCTTTCTTATACCCTTTATGCTTCATACATACTTTATTTGGGGCACTTCCTGTTGCTTGCCTTGATTTATAGCTACATATCTGTTCACCTGCCTTCCTTACCTGACTGAACTTCTTAGGCATTTGAACTCTGTTTTAAACATCATTTTTATACCTAGCCCCTAACACTCAAAAATATATGTTGGAAGAAACGAAATAGAAATTATGTATGAATACAGTCAGGATTTAAAACCTGAAGAACAAATATTTAAAATATACTTTAGGACATTACGAAATGTTTTTATATTTAATAACTAGGTAATGAAATAATAATAACAATCATTTTATGTATCGATTATTCTGTGCCAAACACTATTTTAAGTACTTCATATAGAAACTCATTTAATCTTCACAAGAGTCCTATAAGGTAGTTACAATTATTATTTCAAGACAACAAATGAGGAAACTGAAGCTGAGAGAGGTTAAGTAACTTGCCTGAGGTCACACAGCCTATAAAAGGTAAGCTGAGAATCAAATCCACGCAGTCTGGCTCTAGAATCCATGCTCTCAACTGTTACTATGCTCCAGAAGTTTGTATTGTAATTAACATTGCAACAGGCTAAGATGGCACAATACATGAGTTTTAATTTTGGCTCTGTTAGCTTTTTGTTCTTGGGCAAGTCATTTCTTGTCTTTGGGCCTCAGTTTCCTCATATGTGAAATGAGAAGATTATATCTGATGATCTTCTTAGTGCCTCTCAATATCAACATTCTACGATGCTATGATAAGTACGCTTCACCTGCCTGATGTCTCTTTCAATAGCTTGCCATCCTCTCAAAGGCAGGTACTGTGTTTTAGTCAAATTTGTATCCCCACAGTGGTTGCCTAGGGCTGTGAGTAATAGGGGGATGGGAAAGTGATGGCTAAAGGATGCAGGGTTTCTTTCTAGAGTGATGAAATGTTCTAAAATAGACTGTAGTGATGGTTTCACAACTCTTTGACTATACCAAAAATCACTGAACTGTACATTTTAAATGAGTGAATTATATGGTGTATTTATTATATCTCAATGAAGCTATTAACAAAAAAATTATATCCCCAGGCCCCAGCACATAGCATTACTCAACAAATGTTTTTTGAGTTATGAACAGTTGTACTACAGGGCTTTTAATCTTAAGATTCTGAGTCTATTAATGGAACAATTTGTGTGTACTTACCAGTTCTTTGCATGTGAACTGGCACTTCTAAAAGTGTGCTCTACTTGGCAGTTTAAATAACCCCTTTGCCAACTTACTTTCTTCTTGTCATAGACGTTTCAAGTTTGTTCTTCACACTGTTTGAATTATTACCTTTTGAATTAATAGGGGCTCAATTAAAGAGGTTTAACTATATTTCTGATAACAATGTTCACTGCTATGCTGCCCACGAACAGATTAAACTAGTCCCCAAGATTCAAAGGTTATAAATTGCTCTGAGTTCTTCAAGTGAGAGACCTAATAGGAAAAGATGGTGTCACTACTGTAATTAGTCTTCAGGTACAAAATTAGTTATTTGAACCAAATGGGTAGGGAATGATTGTCAATGACTGTTTTCCACCTCAAAGGAAATAAAAGGAGCATATTAATTACTGGGAATATAGTCTGAAGTTTGTGCAAGGGTCTCCACTGGAGGGAAGTTTTCTCAAAATATTTGCTGGCTTATAATTAGCTCATGCATCTGATTGACTTAGGAAAAAAGAGAAAAAAATCTGAAAAACAACAACTTTGAGACCAAATGTTAAGTGACTGTACTTGAGAAAACCCAACTCCAAAGACAGCAACTTTAGAGTTCACTGCCAACAAAGAGTAATGAAGCTTCCGGGCCCTAGGAAGTCTCGCTGCCAGCTGGGTTCTGTGCCTCAGTACAAAGAGGCCCATTAGGCTGAGAGGCAGACAACAGAACCAGCATGGACTCAGGGCTCTAATTGGCGGTGATTAGAGAATAAAATGAAAAGTAAAATAAGATCGCAGCAGGTAAAATTAGGGAAACAGTGGAGGCCACAAAGTTAAACCTTGGAACATGTAATCAAGGTGATTAAAAACTCAGGCTGCTCCACCTTGTTACTCACCATCTTGCCAATTCACCATACACTCTTCACAATCACAGCCAATTTTTGTTCTGATTTTTAAGAATGCCCCATCCTAGAGACTCAACTACAGTCAACTTGCATTGAGGTGGTTGAACAGGATTCGCATCTCCCCCCACCTTCCCCTCAATAAGCTTGGCATACCTTGTAGAGACCTACATTTGAATCATGTCAATATGCAGAGGGTTTGGGTGGCTTCTGGTTGGTCACTTGGAAATAAAAGGCAGGGGAGATTATGCATAGTAATCAGGAAATGAAACATCACATAGATTCATGGGGCCTGCAGAGTTACCTAGCCCATACTCAGGGGCACCACATAACCAATTGGAACAATCTAGTGAGCCAGTTGGGAGAAGAATGGGCTTGGAAATCAGTGTAACAGCCCTCCAGGGAACACTGATTGAAAGTAAAATGCCTATGCTTTGCCAAGCCATTTGTCTTTAGAAACTCTAATAAATTATCTTTTGACCATGTTGATTCTTTTCATTCGTCCAGCCAAGACTTACGGAGTCACACCTTTGAGAATGATTCCTAAGATGAAATCTACACAGAGCCGGCAGTGTGCAAATCAATTCAATTGAACAAATATCAATAAACATCCCATTATGTGTCGGGCACTGTGCTGGAGATATGCAAGTAAATAAAAAGGAAATTGCAGTCAAAAGTGATTAAAAGCAGGAGCTAGACTGCTTGGCCTCAAATCCCAGTGCTGTCACTTATTAGCTTTATAACCTCTCTTAGTCTCAGTTTCCCCTTCTGTAAAATGGGCATGATAATCATACCTACCTCTGATAGCTATGGTGAGAATGAAATGAGTTTGCTTAAGTTCATGCACATATTCATGAATCATATTCATGCCTGGCAAGTGCTACATGCACTTTAGGATTATGTGGAAGTTACTAACCCTCTTGTGTGTGATGGACTTCTTCAAGAAGTTGATGAAAACTCTGGCCTATCTCCCTTGAATATACACACATATTTTTGCATCTAGTTTGAAGGGCTTTATGGATACTGAAAGGCTCTACAAAACCTAGGTGAAGAGCCCAATTTTGTGGGAGAGACTCCCAAAAGGTTTGTAATCCTAATACACGTGTGCCCCAACCCCTAGTTATTAATAGTTGTACTGTGTGACACTCTTTCGGCTTTCAAGAGAGACGATGCAAGAGAGCGGTTAAAAGCACGGACTGCAGGGTAGAAGAGCTCTATGTTCTAAGCTTGACCCACCACTTACTGTTTGGTTGAGTGACTTCAGGCAAGTCACTTAAGTTTTTTGAGCCTCAATTTTCATATCTGCAAAATAGAGTATTACCCTACAGAGTTGGCAAGAGGGATGATGCTTTGGCATGTGTCTGGCACCAGATAAACACTGCAAAACTGTCCCTAATACTAATAATATACATTAGGGATAGGCAATAACTGCCATCAAAATATAGAATGATGATCAGGAAGGAACTATTCTGCACTAGGATTAAAAAAAGCAGCTGGAGGTTTTGTCTCTTGAAAATTACAAGCTCATGTTTCTCACCTACAACTAAAATCTGTATTCATCTGTAATGGAAATGTGTGCAAAACTCAGGGCTTGCTGTGGAAGAGCAAAAGGCAAGAGGTTGGTGTCCACTGACTTTCTCAATGCATAAAAGCCAGTCTATTTTCTGTATTATCAGAGCTAATGCAACATGCCAAGAGAAATAGGTAGGTGTGACCAATTGGGAGTTTCTTTCCATTCCACCAGACTGTTGAGTATCTCACCATATCCTTTGTCATCCAAATCAGCAGTGAAAAGCACTGTCAGCCAACCCCCAGCACATTCAGCAGATAGGTTGCTTAATTAAGTATGCCACTGAATGGTCTATAGAATTCTATTGCTGATTCTGACAGGTGAAAGACAGAAGGGACAATTTCCTGGGTTTTTATTTAAGATGTATTTTCAATGTATCCTCCACAGAGGGTGTCCCAGGCTGCATTAATTTTTATGTTTTTTTTTTCTAAACTCAACTCTACACAGAATGAGCTAGTTGATGAAAACAAGTTTAAAATCAGTAATGCCCCCATTGTCCCCACACTGAGAACCAACGCGCAATGGGTGGATTAGGCCATTATGAAAGATTTAGAGGATGTTGCAAAGCAGTGTTGGGAAATAGGCTCTCTTTCCACCATTCTCAGTGTTAATGCCTTTAAATCAGGAGTGGGGAACCATTCCTCAGTACCAATTGGAGGTATGGCATTTGTATATAGCAAACGGACCTAACAAGTTATAAACCATGCTGAATTTAGGGATTATGTGAATGTTGTTAAATGAAAACTTGCAAAACCTGGGATTCACCAGCTTTGAAAAGAAAATGCTGGAGACAAAAAAATTAAATACAATACAGTACAACGGTCTGGCACACTGAGCTAGGAGCTCACCAGAACTAGCTAGTGTCCAGGCCCCATCAGTAGCACCAACTGCATGTGATGTGTACAAAAGACAATACCCAGAGAACTAAGAGTATGACCCATGCTTCCTAGAGATCCAACCTTTCTGAAATAAATGGTAAAGAAAGACAAGGTTCCAAAACAGCATTCTCTTTTGGAAGAATTTGAGGATTGGAAGAAATCCTCCCTTCTACTTTCCCATCTGGAGAGAGAATTGCAGTTGTCATGCTCCATGTCCCCTGCCATCCCAGAGCCAAGCACTTGACCTGACAAAAAAGTGAACTTGCAAGAGAGCCCTCTCAAGCACTTTGCTTCCTCCCTTTAGTCTAAGCTGCTGCATATATGATAGCATGAGTCCTTAACGCCAAGACTGCAACAAAACACACCGATAGAGCCCACCCAGTAGCTTAGCAACTGTTTTTATTTCTTTAGGCTTTTTTGAGAAGTAGAGAAAAGAAAAAGAGCTTTGTCAAAGTGAATGTCACGCCACCGTATTTCTTCCCACTTCACGGGGGTGGGGGTGAGGAAGAGGCTTGGCCAAATGTTAATTGTGAGCTCTGAAGCGTTTCATTCTAAGGCCCAAGGACAAAGGCTGTAAGGCAGCAAGGGTGGCTCTTCCTGCTTTTAGAAGGCACTATGCAAACTGGCTGCCCTAGTAGGCACCTCGAGCCTCCCCAGCCTGAGGTCTATTGAAGGCAAGCAGACTATGCCCCTTAATGCCAGACAGTTTTTTTTTTAAGAGAGAGTTTGAGAGTCTGAGCCTCTCAATGCAAAGGCCCCCTGCTTCACTGCTATTGTCTTTGTCCAAAATAGACAGATGAAAGACCCTAATAGATAGGGCCCAAGTCAAAGCAATCACCCCTATTTCAAAATGCAGAAAGTTGGGCATCGCCATAGGTCTGTCCTAGAGCTAGGGTAGATGGAGGTAGGTAGGAGAGGGGGCAGCCAGAGGACTGATAATGATCCCTAGAGATTTCTGAACCCAGGAGCCAGAGAAAGGAAGAATGGAAAAGAGATTTTGCTTGTAGGCATCGGAGAAAGCCCATGCAACGTGTGAGAAAGTACAGACAGCAGGCTGAAGACCAAACCACAAGACTAGCATGCAGGGAATGGTGGAGCTATCCAGGGAGCTGTGGGCAAAAGGAGCTTCAGATGGCTGCTATCGAGAACCACCGGCATGAGCTAAATCTATGATGGTGTATAAGCGTGAATGCTCGCTCTGGTAATTTATAGGAATATTTGGGGTAATGGGGCATGAGCACTGTAATCAACCACGAGTTGGATCAAGGGCCGGAGTGCTCTTCCATTCAATCAGAATTGAAAGGTCATTAGGCTGATGATAGGGTATGCAGTGTTAGTGTGATGGCAAACTGGGCAGGATATTTACTCTAACTCCACCCCTGTGAGCTGGAACACTGAGAATGTCCTGTTTCTACCCTCCACAGCCCAGGACATTCAGTGTCACCGCAAGGAGGAAAAACTCCTTGTTTTTGGCATCAGTTCCCATTAACAAATTAGGGTTTATTTATGAAATTCAGATCTCCTCCTTCTCAAAGTGATTTGACTGATAATTCTCATCACCTCCCCCCACCATAAAACCCTCATTAACAAAGATAGATAACATTCCTTTTAAATAAGAGAATATTTCTTACTTATAGTTACTGAGAGATCATCAAAAGCAGTTTTTCCTCACTGTAATGAAATCATAGTTCCTGCTTCCCATTCCCATTCTTTTTTTTTTTTTTTTTTTCAAGACAGAGTCTCTCTCTGTCGCCCAGGCTGGAGTGCAGTGGCGGGATCTCGGCTCACTGCAAGTTCCACCTCCCGGGTTCACGCCATTCTCCTTCCTCAGCCTCACAAGTAGCTGGGACTACAGGCACCCACCACCACGCCCAGCTAATTTTTTGTATTTTTAGTAGAGACGGGGTTTCACCGTGTTAGCCAGGATGGTCTTGATCTCCTGACCTTGTGATCCGCCCACCTCGGCCTCCCAAAGTGCTGGGATTACAAGCGTGAGCCACCGCACTTGGCCCCCGTTCCCATTCTTTAGAGGCAAGAAGAGGCATCTGAGTGATCCCGGTGACCCCCTCCCCACCCAGGCCCTCCAATCCCCAGGGTCTAGGTTCTCAGAATCCAACACCAGAGCTGGAGAATGCCAAAATGAAGAATCTAAAAGAGTCCAGTTCTAACAAATATAACAGCTAATACTGTACTCAAAAAGCATTTGCTGGCACGGCATGGTGGTTCACGCCTATAATTCCAACACTTTGGGAGGCTGAGGTAGGAGGATTGCTTGAGCCCAGGAGTTTGAGATCAGCCTGGGCAACATGGCGAAACCCTATCTCTACTAAAAATACTAAAATTAGCTGAGAGTGGTGGCATGCGCCTGTAATCCCAGCTACTCGGGAGGCTGAGGTGGGAGGATCACTTGAGTCTGGGAAGTGGAGGTTGCTATGAGCTGAGATCTCCCCACTGCACTCCAGCCTGGGTGACAGAGCCAGACCCCATCTCAAAAAATAAATAAATGAAAGCACTTGCTTATGTGCCAAGCAATGTTCCAGCACTTGACAATACAAACTCATTTAATCTTCATAATAACCCTAGGAGTAGGTACTTTTATTGTCCCTGTTAACAGGTGAGGGTACTGAGCCACAGAGTGTATAAGTGACTTGCCCAAGTCAGAAAGTTAATAAGTGGTAAAGATGCAAATATCCAGAGTTCAGCTCCAGAGTCTGCACACCTGTGTCATAAAAACTCAGAAGAGCTGGCTCTGTCGAGTAGGCCAAAGTGATTTCTGTGTCCCTTTCTTCCCCTGGCCCAGAGCTACCTCTCCTTCCATCCCTGCCCGTGGTCTCAGAGAGGACACCCTCTCTGATATCAGAGCCGCATCCTGCTCAGCAACTCAGGCTTGCACTGAGGAGCTGGGCAAACCAAGACCATGGAGGAAGGAGAAGAGTAAGGCCCAGTACAATCTCTCCTCATGCTCTAGCTAAGACAAAAGGATCCTGGCAGCTCCCCAAACTCTGCCTGGACTCCTGATATGTGCTATGTCAGTTTCAAATATATCCAGATTATTACCCCAATACTTCACCTGAAGTGTCCTAATGAAATATGAGTGGATATTAACTAAGCTATAAAATCCATAAAAATGCTGCTTTACAAGAGACATTTACCTATGAATCAGCAGTTGGGTTAATTCATTATTTAGCAGGGTTGTTATTTACAGCATATTACAGCTTGGTAAATTATTTATATGTGCTTGTTTCTGTGCATGATTTTCCCTTAAGAGAGGGAAAATGTTTATCAACCATTCAGGGAGGTTGTTTCAGTCAGAGGCCTGTTGTCAAAATAGCTTGGGCTAGTTTCTCTTTCTTACTTCCTGCACAAGATTCTCGTCTGGAAGGAACAGGGGCTGACAGAACTATAACCAAATCAGGCATTTAGCCATTACTGGGGAGCCAAGAGTCCACTGTAAAGCAGCATTTCCCATTGTGTGTTCTGCCACAAGGCCCATGGAACATGGACTACGAAATAAAGGCTCTGTAGGAAGACTAGTTTGGTTAATACTGGGTTAAAGTCAAAGTTACAAACTGCAAGACTTTGATAAAAAAGTTTGAAAGCTGTATAGCCTTTAATATACGAACGAACATGTCTTTTAAGTCTCCAAGAGGAAGATATGGAATGGCTTGCCTATGGAGTCCTCTTTATGCACAAATCTCATGGGGACTAACCTATGTTATGAACACTCCTCTAAGAAGTATTTCTCATGCTGAAATGGAACTTACATATTTTTTTAATTTTTTTATTTCAATAGCTTTTGGGGTACAAGTGGTTTTGGGTTATATGTATGAATTATATAGTGGTGAATTCTGAGATTTCAGTGCACCTGTCACCTGAGTAGTATATGTTGTACCTAATGTGTAGTTTTTTTTAATCCCTGGCCCACTCCCACCCTCCTCCTTCTGAGTCTCTAAAGTCCACTGTATCACTCTGCATGCCTTTGTAGACTCACAGCTTAGCTTCCACTTATAAGTCAGAACAAATGAATTTTGGTTTTTCACTCCTATGTTACTTCACTTAGAATAATGCCTCTAGGCCAGGCACGATGGCTCATACCTGTAAAGCCAGCACTTTGGGAGGCCAAAGCTGGTGGATCACTTGAGGTTGGGAGTTCGAGACCAGCCTGGCCAACATGGTGAAACCCTGTCTCCACTAAAAATACAAAAAAAAAAAAAAAAAAACCCACCTGTAGACCCAGCTACTTAGGAGGCTGAGGCACAAAAATCACTTGAACCCAGGAGGTGGAGGTTGCAGTCAGCTGATATCAATCACACCACTGTACTCCAGCCTGGGCAAGAGTGAGACTTCATAAAAAATAATAATAATAATAATAATAATAATAATAATAATGGCCTTCAGCTCCATCCAAGTTGCTGCAAAAGACATTATTTCATTATTTCATTTTTAATGGCTGAGTAGTATTCCGTGGGTTATATATACCACATTTTCTTTATCCACTCATTAGTTGATGGAGAAAATTTCTATTTTGGTAAATTTGGGGCCTGAACTCTGCCATCTTGTCCATCCCTGAGATATTGTGAAGTGGAATAGTCAACATGGACCAATCTATTGATGCAATACAGAAACAATCTAGCCCAGCTACACCTAAATACCTCTAAGAAGTATCTGCACTGCATCATTCAGCACACTATTGTATTTTGGGGGGTTTGTTCATTGCTTCGTGTTTTTTAGTCCTGTCCTCTAAAATGACTACACTTCACTATGGCAGGGACTGTCTTCTGCCTCTTTGGTCCCTCCTTGTACTGCATAAGCATGACAAGCACCAGGTCCCAGCAAATGCAATGATAAGCAGCAAACATTAAGTAGCAACTAGCTATTTCAGGCCTTAGCTTTCTAAAATGATTTTGCTTCCAAGCAAAAGTAGAAAAGCAGACAGTGTATCTTTGAACAAAGGCCATAAAGTGAAATGATGGCCAAAGTCAGAAGAAAAAGGGTAAAGGAATTCAAAGTGTTGGGACCTTTGAGGCCAGACTTAGAGGGACTGACTGCTCTATGTTGTGAATAGTTTGTCAGATAAGGAAGGCAGCCTGAATACCTGCCAGAAGGCCTGGCCTCTATTCTATGGTTACTCTAAGCATTTTGTTGTTGTTGTTACTCTAAGTATTTTTATTCTATGATTTATTCTCCAACTGGAATCGTATTCCAAGTAAGGGATACCATTAAACTTTAACTTTAAAAGTCATTGCTTTTCTCTTAAATGCGAGTTTAAAAGATTTACTGCATTAAAAAGTGCCATTTTATTATATTCAGCAGGGTCAACATTTTTTCCATTTGAAGGACATCTGATTTTATTGAAATCCACAAGGCTATAGAGGCCACTTACCAAAAACTCATTTTATAGCAATCATTACTGAAATCCATCTCTTAATTCAGGGATACCTTCATCTATGATAAAGTTTGTCAACTGTTAACCCTAGAAAGCTAAAACAACTACTTAGTGATTGAAATACACTTCCTAATCTGAATTTGTTGCTTTCTATGGAGAAGGCCTTTGGCAAACACTAGCATAGCTCATTGGGTGGAGAGAGTCCTGATGTGGGCCCAAGCTCTGACACTTCTAAAACTGTGTGACTCTGGGCAAAGTCCTTTCCTCTCTAAGCCTCTGTTTTCTGTTCTATAAGAACAGGGCCTTGAACTAAAAGGTCTCTGAGATCCCAGTATTCTAGTATGATACTGGGGTATACGAGGAGAGAGAAAGGAGGAAACCAACTAGTGGAACACTGGGTTGTAAAGACCTGAGTCAGTGACTTCAGTCAACTTTCAGGGGCATCATGCTAAAAGGCCCATTTGTATCTGTTCAGAGGACACAAACTGCAGAGAATCCTTGGCCTGGAAATTCTCTGTCCTATGTTGAGGTGGTACGTCAGCACTTGGGCAGCACCTTTGTCAATAGGGCTGGGGGGCGTCCCATTAATCAAACACAGAGATCACTGCTTCCAACGTTCTCAGGAGCATATCTCCTGATGGTTAAAGTAAATGCTCTGAACTCAGAAGGTTCTGTATTCAAAATTTTGCTAGGCCAACTTTCTGGATGTGTGACCTTGGACAAGTACTTCTACCTCTCTAGAGATTCCACTTTCTCATTTGTAATATTCAGTGACAAAAAAATGCAAAGAATTTGATACAGGGACTGGACCCTAATCAGGAACATGCTAGCTGCGATTATTATTTTCATTCCTGTTGTTAACTGAGGTCTCTTAGCCATCTCTCTATATAGTCCAACTCTCTTTAATACAGCCAAAAGGAATCCCATCTTTCTTTCCACAATTTCCTTTATGTGAATTCTCAGTTATAGCCAAGCTAATCTACTCTCTGTGTCACAATGCTTCTGTAGATGTGTTCAAGCTGTCTCCCCCACATGAACTGCTTGTTCTCCTCTTTCCCCATCTCAGACAAATATTATACTTTGTCCAATGTCCCCTGTCCTCCATGACCATCTCAAATAGTAGGGATTACTTTCTCCTTTAAACTCACAGTCCTAAGCTGCCAGAATCACTTGCTTGAGAATTAATCACAAAAACTGCCTTGTGCTTGGACACATTATAAATTACAACCAAAATGATTTCACTTTTCACGTGTGACTGCTTTACGGTAGAGGCTGCACTGCACCCTTTTGTCTCCCCACTCTAGTGCCTAGCACAGAGCATGGGACCAATAAACATACAGAGTCATTTTTTGTTTTGGTTTTGGTTTTGCCTATGAACAAACGTAGCTCCATCTTTATAAGAAAGACTCCACTAGAAGTTTCTTTGGGCCTGTGCTGGCCAATATGATCGCCAGTAGCCACATATAGCTCTTGAGCACTTGAAATATAGCCAGCTTAAAAGGAGGTAGGCTGTAAGTATAAATTACACACCAGATTTCTAAGACTTAGAACAAAAACAAGTAAAATATCTCATTAATATTTTTATATTATTTACATGTCAAGGTGATAATATTTGGGGCCTACTCAGTTAAATTAAATATATATTATTAAAATTAATTTCACGTTTCAACATTTTTAAATTGACTACTAAAAAACTTTAAAATTATATATATGGCTCACATTTTATATATATATATGGCTCACATTATATATATATAGCTCACATTATATATATATATAAAGGGCCACTGCTGTGGCCCTTTAAAAATATAAAGCATGTGAACACACTGATAATTAGATGCACTAATTATTTTACCACTGTTCTTTTCAGAGAACACCTATAACAACCTAGTGGCATTTGAATTTCACATCTGTTCTAATCTAACACTGTAGGTGTGAACTGTTCACGGGTCCTTGGAGGGAATGGGAGCTCCTGATCCGTATGCCAGCTGGGGACCTGTCTACAGAGTCCTGGTAAAGGAATGTACTATGGTCAGGCCATCTCCTTCCAGCTTGATGTGTTTTTGTTATTAATTAAGATGACTGAAAACTCCTTGGCGAAATACTAAAATAAAATATGGCCAAAAAGGTTTCCACATGCAAGTGGGGAGGGTGGCAAAGGAACAAACTCAGTGACCAATGTTGGATAATTATATTGATTTTAAGGCAGCAACTGGGCATTTCCTAAGGCACTTCCATTGATAAGAAATCACTCAAAGGCCCTCCATCCATTTACAAGGACCATTTGTATCTTTATGCTGACAGTGGCTACAGTGTCTTCCCAACAGAACCCCATCTTTGTCACAGCATTATTCAAGCCTAGAAATTGTTGAGTGCTCTGTGAACACAACTTCTATAGGTGCTGTGGGAGCTGCAAAAGATAGAACTCCAACACTGAAGGGTCCTGTAAACTTACTATGGTTCACGGTGTCAGGGAAGGCTTCACAGGGCATGCCACACTGGATAAGTGACAGTTTGTTATGGCACAGGATGTTACAGCAAAGGACGAGAAAGATGTGAAGGAAAAGGAAAACAGGAGGAGGATGTGTGTCCTGGAATGTGTCAACAGTGGGAAAAGGGGAAAAAAGAAAGAAAAGAGGGAAGGAAAGAGGCAAAGAAGAAATGTAACTGTGAGACTCTGGACATGTTTCAATTCCCTCCCTTTAAAGGGAGATTTATATAGATCAACCTCATAAACTTATTGCAAATATTAAATGGATTATTACATATGAAAGCCCCTAACGTTGTTCCTAGCCTCCATCTTTGTTAATTTCCTCCCCTCTTTGCCTTTCATGTTGGGCTTACACCTCTTGGTTTCTGACTTGGGACACTGAATTTACACCTACAACCACTGCTGAGCCGTAAGTTCTTGCTCGTGATGTTCCTAACCTTGATGTTGCCCCTCGATTTTGCTGTTAGAGAGGATTTCAGGTGCTTCATAACTCATGAAGAGCCAGTCTATCTCAGAAAGGATAGCTTTCACGGAAAATTGGGAGCCATGATTTTCATCAAAATGAACAACAAAATGACTGTTTAGTCTCAGCAAGGGAGTATTTACTGTCTGAACCTGTATTTCGAACTCAATTGACCAAAACAAACATATCATTTTATCTGCCCAATCCTAATCACTCTGGGAGATCCACTTTTAATCTACTTCCTAGGGACTTGCCATGGCAAAGTATTGCAGGATTTGCAAACCAAGCACTTCATACCCTCTGTTTTAACTCATCTATAGAAAGAAAACAGCCAGGAGCATTTGGGGGTGGGGGTGTTTCTTTAAAGTCAGCATGGCTCCTACTTTATTTCTGTAACACACCTTCATTGTCACCCCCTACCTGCTACCGCACATGGTTCAGAACAGATGGTAGTGGTTTTGTTAATTCTTGAAGGGAAAAAAAAGGTAGTGGATAAGCTGCACATAGTCACAAAGTGATCCCTAAGGCAACCTGGGCACAGGATAGCTAAGCTCAATACAGGCAACTGGACATCAATGAAATAAAGACTGTGCATATCTTCTTGAGCCTGCCAATGTAAGGTGGCAGAAATCCGAGCAACACCAAAGCCATGGCAATCTCCCTTCAGAGACTGCCTGTCAAATCATTTCAGATGAGAGAAGAACATTTCCGAAATCACTCAAAAATGAGGGACTTTCAGAATAGTGGTTACCTTGGGGGTGGGTGGAGACACCGACTGGGCACTACATACCAACTAGGCACTAGAAAACTTCCTGGGGATAATGGAAATATCATATTTTATATATATATATATACACACACACACACACACACACACACACACACACACACACACACATACACACACAAACATAGGTGTGATTTATATATATAAATATATACACAGCATATACATATTTATATATTTAAGTATATATATGCTGTACATATATTTATAATTTAAGTATATAAATATATATATGCTGTATTTATATATTTAAATATGTAGCTATATATATGCTGTACATATATTTTATATATAAAAATCACACCTATCCTTTTTTAACCTAGCATTATAACATAAGAATTTTCTAACATTAATTACAATGTTTTCATTTTTAAAAAATGATGACATAATAGTCTATCGAGTAGATTCATGTTAATATAATTAACTACTTGTTGCTGGAAACCTAGATACTTTCCAACTTCCTCTTATTCTGATCTGGAAAGATCTAAGTTAATATCTAAGCTGGAAAGTATCTAAGTTAATCTTGTGTTGGATCCTGTAGGTAAGGAACATATATATATATATATATATATACATACTTATATTTATATTTATCTATGTAAAGATATGTGAAGCACATATGTTTATGCATAAATTAAGCCTATGTGTATATGATTCATACTAACATATAAATCATATATAATATTAAATATATAAATCATATGTGATATATCATATATAAATATAAATGCTGCTCAGATAGATCAATCTATGTATCTATGTATTTATGTATGTATGTATCTATCTGTCTACAGAGAGAGAGATCTGGGATCTGGGTGGCATTTACCCAAATGTAGGTATGTAAAAATTCCCCAAGCCTATGCACTGAAGGCTTGTCCAGTTTATTGTATGTAAATTATACTCATTAAAAAAATTTAATGTTAACTGTACCCATGTACAGGTCCAGAGGAAGACTCAAGCCTTGCCCCTGCCAGCCATGTCAACTGGCACAGCCCTTCAGGAAGGCAATTTGCCACTACATATCAAGGGCCTTAAAAGAGGTTGAGAATCTTTGACTCAGTAATCCCATTTCCAGATGTCTCTTCTGAGGAAATCATTTGAAACATGAGAAAAGTGATGTGCAGGGTGATGGTGAAACAAATCACTGGATAGAAGATGTACTTGCCCGTGTGTGACTAGGTTATGTTCTGTGAACATGTCAGGTTAAAAAAGCAGGATACAAAAGCTTATTTGTTCATGATGACTTACTTGTACTGACAAAAAAGGAACAGAGAGAACAAAAAAGACAAAAAGTACCACACAATTGTCACAATATTTATGTTGTGATGAGAGATTTTTGTGTGATTTCTTTTGTGTCTCTCTCCTGTGGTTGCCTTAGAATCACTTTGTGTCTGTGAACAACATAGCCACCACTGGTGTTTTCTATGAAGTATGGTTATATAATTTGCAAAACAAAATCAGGGAGCAGAGAACCCAAAGGTTTCTGGATGGATCTGCCCTTAACAACTGCATCAGGTAATTGGTATCAAGCCAGACAAATTAATAAAATGATACTTCTCAAAGCAATTCCATACCTGCATGACTTCTCTTATATTTGTACCATGATTTAAATATTTTCCAGAGTGCTTTTACATACAAACATCAAATTCTGAGAAAGAGGGAATGATAAAACGCAAACCTAAAGGGGCCTTTGGATTGGATCATACAGGGCCCACTAGGATGGACATGGGACCAGGTCACCCAGTGCCTAAAAAGGCAAAACGACTATAGAGGTAAAGTCCTTCAGATCCCTGTCATCTCGTAAGAAATTCTGATCTGGTTCTAGCCTTGATTTATTCTGCTAGCTGGAGCAATTCCAGGGCAAGCAAATTGAGACTCACATTTTTTCCACTGCCTATAATAAAAACAAGCATTTTTAAGCATTCTTCATCATCCCCTGCTACTTCTTACATTTTAAACACAAAATTTTACATTCCTGTCACTTCTCAGAACTTCCAGAGATTTTCTCCTTTCTACCTGTAAGAAGTTTGAGAACAATTTCATTTTTCCCCTCCAGGTCTTCCATTAGCCAAAACCGTTAGAAAGAGCCTGAACCTTGTCTTTATGAGGCCTCCTTCAAAGTAGGCTGTCACTGGGGTTGATGGTCCAGTTACAAGATTGAAGACTTGGGCTCTGTAAAGAACTGCTCTTGAAAAGTCATTAGTGAGGTCCCCAAGGCCCAAGTTTTTACACCCAGTGCAGGAATTCCCAGTGCCTTTTACCGCCAGTGAATACATAAATTCCATTAATCCACATGTACCTTTCTGCTATTGCCCAAGAGAATGGCTACATATGCAGAATACAAAAGAAGGTAGTGAAGGGGGCGACAGGGAAGACACTAGGGGTTGTTTTGTTTGATTTTAAAGATTTCAAAGAAGATGTATGTCAAGAAACTATCTCAGGACTTTTGTTTTTCCAGAACTTTCAATAACTTTCTTTCCTTTAGGTCTCTGAGACCTAACTGGAAATCCTGTGACAAACTATATGTACCTGTAATTTTATTATGCTGGATTAAGGGCCAAATAATAAACATGAGGAGAAAGAGATTTCCCAGAAACCTGACAAAGAGAGGACAGAAAACAACTCTGAAATACTGTGATGTTATTATATAGGCAGAAGAATTCCACTAACCAACTTTGTAGCATAAAACAAAACACTTAACTAACCCTGGCATCGGTCTTCTAATCTGTAAAATAAGGGGTTCCAACAAAATAGCCTTCCAGTTTCCAGAATTTCTGGTACAAAATGAGAGCCTAAGAGGATATTCAAGTGGGAGGCTCAAGATGTCCAAGACAAGGAGGACTAGCAACGTGCGGGCCTCTCCTCTGTAAGTCCCAGCCACTTACAGACATTCTACAGCACACGAGCTTGTCCAACTACCTTCTGGACACTGCCTCTCAGTTCTCAGAACCGAGATACTTTGGAAATGGTTCTCATCTACTAAAATGTACCCGACAGCTGTACTTAATAAGGCTGGAAGGAACACTTCGGTCCTTTTCCAGGGGAGAAACAAAAGGGTCAGGCCTGTCTTAGGCAGAAGCCACCCAGGGCAACAATGTTTCTCTTCACAGTGAGCTTTCCCACCTGTCAACAGATGCTTAAAGCAACAGGATGAATCTGAAACAGCTGAGTTGGACACCAAAGTAGAACAAGGCAGCTGTTTCTTGCCTTTCAGTATAAAAAGCCTGGCAATTATGCTGAGAAGGATCTGGTGGTCCATAAATATGATCGCTTTGCACATTCTCTTCTTTCTGTGGTTTTTAGGGCTTGAGTTATTTAACTGAAATAGCTGCAGAACAACCAAAAGGTTTATGCTACAGGTAGGCCAAAGAAGCAAACATTATAGGAGACAAAGGATAATAATAAATTACCATGGTGAGGCGAGGAGAGCTAGGGAGTCTCTGAGCTTCAGAATTAAGCTCCAATAGAAATAATAGATTGTATGACGTTCACTTGCAAAAGTTCATCTCCAACCAGTACTTAAGTACTAATCATTTGAAGATCACTTATCTGAATGTTTTGATAAAAGCTAATATAAATAATAGATTTAAGATCAGGACATGTAAATTAGGGGTGCATTATGATTACAAAGATAATTTTTAATTTATATTCTGAAAGTTTCAAAAGCTCTAAATCTAAACAAGGATAGACGTCAATTCTGAGAAAACAGTTTATTAAAAATTTTTTTATCACAGATTTTCCAATATTTATGCCATGTGTCTTATGTATACCATTGTGTTTGGCAATTTCATTACAAGCCAAAATATTAATGAAAAGGTTAAGTATTGATATTTAATCCAGAGTACACGGGGCCACATACTCTATGCTACATTTTCATCTAGTTTAAAAATAATTTTTTCTCTTACTTTTTAAATTATTTATATTTTCAATTCCATGAGCTAAAAAAGTTGGCATTAATTCATTTTTGTTTATTTGCCTTTCCAATAGTTTTTTTATTTTAATATATGAGACTACATATGTGATCATTAAACTTAATCACTGTATTTTAAAATGTGAAAAAATACAGAAGAAAAATCAGTCCCAATTTGCTACTAACTTATATACACTGTTAGCCTTCTGGAAAATTTCTTTCTGTTCTATTTTTGTATGTATAAGACTTGTTCTTGTTGTCAGTAACAGCTTTATTGAGATATAATTTACATAACATACAACACATCCATGTAAAGTGTACCATTCAGTGGTTTTTAGTATATTCACTGATGCAACCCTCACCACAATCAATTTTGTAACATTTTCATCACTCCCAGAACAAACCCCACGTCCCTTGGCCAATGATTCCACAACCCTCATTATTCCCAGACCCTGGCAACTACTAATCCACTTTCTGTCTTTATAGATTTGTCTATTGTTGTTGTTTTACATTTCTAATTATACTATATATTTTTATCCTTTTTGACCTAACATTACAACATAAGCATTTTCTAACATTAATTACCATGTTTTCATTTTTTTAAAATGATTAGATAAGTTTATCAAGTAGATTTACGTTAATATATTTAACTACCTGTTTCTGGAAACTTGAATACTTTCCAACTTCCTCTTATTTTGATCTGTTAATGTTGTGTTGGGCCCCGTACATTAGCAATTGATCCAAGATTCATTCATTGGAATGTGAGTGCCAGCTGTGACATTAGGGCAATGCCAGCCCTCCTGCCAGCCTGTATTTCTCCTTCTCTGTCAGAGTTTAGTGCTTGGCTAGAATTCTGCCCATGAAACACTTGGCATGTAGTGGCTAACCTTGTCAAGGGGAAACTAGGGATCAAAAGTGACCCCTGTGACCAGCTGTCAGATGCCGGATGTCTAGTGTCCTGATATCTTCCTGATCTGATCAGTATCACACCCAGAATACTATTCCTCCATTTGGCACTGTAATCTGATGCCCTCAGGCTGCAGCCAGAAGCACACAGCAATTAGGAAACCTGTAAAAATCTAGTCCCCACTTGGGGAAGTAAGCAGGAGGCTTCCAGGAGCATTCACAGGAAGGGAAGTTGAACATTCCACTCTCCCCAATGTGAAAAGTGATGGGACAACACACAGCAAACCTGGAGGGAACATAAGTTTTCACGGCCAGATCTTTTTTTTTTTTTTTAAATTATTATACTTTAAGTTTTAGGGTACATGTGCACAATGTGCAGGTTAGTTACATATGTATATATGTGCCACGCTGGTGTGCTGCACCCATTAACTCCTCATAGGGCCATATCTTAAACCTGATAATGACCGCTGTTAAGGATGAAATGTTAATAACTACAGGTAACACTGAGCATTTACATGCTGTTTATATGCACAATCACATTCTATTATCCATCCTCATTTGGCAGATACAGAAACTGAGGCTCTCCTGCTATGTAACCTGCCCAAGGTCACACAGCTCTCTGCAACCCCATCCTCCCACTCCCTAAAAAGGTGACATAGGCAGGACTCAACTCCATTCTTTTCCCGTGCCAAAGTTCAAGCCCTCTCATTCATTTAAATGCCATCCACCTGCTATAAAAGAAGAGGAACGAGGCAATATCATGTGTTTATTAGAACACTTACTATGCACCAAGCCCTGGGTAAAATACTTCCTCACATATAAGCACTCAATACATGTGTGAGTTAAAGGCATGCCCATTTTACAGTTAAACAAACTGAGGCTTTGAGAGGTTAAATGATCTGTTTGACCTCTCAGAGCTTAACGGATGGCCCAGCTGTGATGAAATCTCTGATTCCAACTAAAAGAGCTTATTGTTATTCCGCGGCTTAAAGAAAAATGCCTCTGCTTTAGGTCATTCATACAGTCAAGGTCCTGTGGCAACATCATTATTTGAAGACCCAAGGCTCAGGAAATTGCACTTTGGCCAAGTTAAAGAAAAGCAGGCTAAACTCATCTCAGGGGGCAATGAGTTCTGAATACTTCATTTCCAAGTGTAAGATAAACTCAATGAAAAAGATATAATTTTCTTCGTAATTTGAGAATTGCACATCACACATAAATGTGCACTTTGTCAAAGCTTTGCAGTTCACCTTTACGCTTTACAGCCCTCTTGGGAAGCAGAAAAATATGACAATTATGCAAATAGCAGTGTTGAGCCAATTACATGGAAAAGTGGTTGTACTGAAAGGCAAAAAGGGTTTGGCAAAACTTAAGCTTCCCTTCTTAACAATGAAGAGTTTAAATTCAAATACATTTTTGGCAAACATGAGGGCATAGGTGGCTCTCGCTTTCTCCCTAAGTGTTATTAGTGCCAGAGGGCTCCTAGTCCTTTGTTTTCAGCTTTTAATAACCCAAGTGCTTTCTAATGGTATTTTAAGTGAGTTGCTAAAATGTTCAGAATTCATTTCTCCATATTGAGCTTCACAGAGATGATTCTCAGCAAGCAAATAAAAATAAGCATTTAAAAAGATTTCTTCTCTCATCAAATGGTGAAGAAATCCATTCCTTTTAGCCTGTTCCATGCTTGAAAAGGTTAGTGTGGCCTTTGGAAAATACCAGGCTGTGCATTCCATACACTGTTAATGATTCCTGGGATGCGCTGACACTTTTGAGGACATCTTAACCTTTTTAAAATGGGGCCTCCATTGTCTTACCTTAATAAGCAGTTTGCTCACCTTATGTCTTACAAAGGCCACCATGGTGGAAAATACATATGAGATGAAAAGCTGCACAGATGAGTGATATAACAGAAGGAGGAGGACGGAGCACCAATTACATAAAACACAACCTGCAGAGCACCTCCCCCACCTGTCTCTGACCCCAACCCAGTAAAGGCAGTAATGACAGCGGCTCTCTTAAACAGTACCCGATGATTACTTCTCCTCTCAGTATCTTCCTGGACGTCCTTCTCCAAATTGTAGCTGTATGAAGGTAACTCAAATACACATTTATGTATCTCCTTGTAGTCACAAAACTTCAGGTTCACCAAGTGGTCCCTGTGGTTTAGAGAACCAGATTGATAAGAAATCTGTTATAAACATTTTAGGCCACGCCTGTAATGCCAGCACTTTGGAGGCCAAGGCAGGCAGATCACCTGAGGTCAGGAGTTTGAGACCAGCCTGGCCAACATGGCGAAACCCCGTCTCCACTAAAAATACAAAAATTAGCCGGGCAAGGTGGCAGGCGCCTGTAATCCTAGCTACTCGGGAGGCTGAGGCAGGAGAATCGCTTGAACCTGGGAGGTGGAGGTTGCAGTGAGCTGAGATTGCGACACTGCACTCCAGCTTGGGTGACAGAGCAAGACTGTCTGGGGTGGAGGGGGGAAGAAATCTGCTAGAAACATTTTACTTTCCTGTTTCGATGCCTCACATATTCTGGGGGCAAGAGCTCTGAGCTGTCTGGAGTACCCTTTCGAATTCTTGAGCCTATTAATCCCTCATAAATCTCTACACATTTTTTAGGCTCTTCAAGTGAAGCAGTGGACCACACATTTTTTAGCACAGCTCCAGAGTCCCCTATGTGGAGTTAGCTGGCCCCTCTTCCAGATGCCCATAGTACTTTCTTCCCCCAGCAGTTTAAAACTTTTATTGAGCATCTGCTATGTGCAACACTTTGTGCTGGGTTCTTGGGTTACAGATGTGGCATCACATAGTCCTCGCCTTCAAGGAGCTCAAGACCAAGTGGGCTGCACTTCTGTGGGGTTTCTGTAAAGTTAAAATAGTTAATATGAGACCTTTTTCATGTGTAATTTACAATCTATCCGTAAACATGAGGGAGTCTCAAGGGTACTGGCAACAGGGCACCTTAAGGTTGCTAGGGCAGGGGGCCCCTGTGCCCACAAATGGGAAGGCTGGAAGGCCATTATGAAGATGGAAAAGGCCATTTTGGAGCATTCTTGGACTCTCTGCATCCCATGTAGAGGAGGTGCTGCTGTGAGAAGCAACAGCTCTCCTCTCCTCTCATAGTCCTTTGCACACACTTCAACACAGGTTCAACATATCTCATAGAAGTGTCCACTCTCATATCTGCCCTGGCCAATGGCCAGTAAATTGCTTGAAGGAAGCAGCTGGACTTATCTGTATCCCAGATCCTTTTTCTTTTCTGTATCCTCTTTAACAACTAGCATACTACATGGCAGATTCTAAGCCTTTCCTATTGCTTCCAGATGAACAAATAAATAAAGGCAAGTGAGTTTAGGTTGGTTAGTGGCAGGCCTTGATTATAAGGTCAAGGAATTTGAACATAGTTGGACATAATTTTTCATGAGAGGAGTCAGAATAAATAAAGCCTCTAACAGGGAATGTATATTCATTTGTGTGTCCTATAGAATTAAAAATTCTAGCTTCCACAGTGTAAAACAAGATATTAAGAACTCCTTTGAACAATCTGTTTGTGGGAAATGAGGAGTCATTTAGGATTCATCAGAGCAAAGAGGTTTACTTGAGCCGTGAGGTGGAGAGAAATGGCATTATAAATCCATTTTAAAAAGAAAAGCCAAAAACGCCTAGAAAGCATTTTGCAGTACAAGAGAAAAGCAATTTACTTGTTACTGCTTCAATTTCTTAAATCATCTGGCTTCATAGATCAACACTAACTCTCTTTAAATCTACCAAATGAAATTCCATCCAATGACTCATTACCCAGGGCAAGCCACAAATTGTGATTTGTGATTCCAGTAGTTCCTCCAGGAAATGTGGGAAAAATGATTGTCCAGGAAAACAGTATAGCCGTGTGTGTGTGTGTGTGTGTGTGTGTGTAAATAGACGCCATTCACGTGCCTGAGTCTGCTCCATGATGTCCAGATTGGGAAGACTAATCATAAATGGCCTTGTGACTTCCTAGACAGGTGTTTCTGACTGAATGCTGGCCCCACTGGCCACAGTTTGCAGTGAAACTAGCAGAATGCAGAAAGCCTGGCTTCACTCTGATTGAGTTCAGGCAGTGTCACTAAATCTCTACCTCAAACAGGAACCCTGTGTGGCAGGTTCCTGTGAAACAGTCCTTATTGTTTCCCTCCATTAGCACTTCTTCCATATCCAGGCAAGCCATTCTTTACAGAGTAGAATTTGGGAAAAGAAAACCCCGAAACTCAGATCTAATCTCTCATTCAAATTGTTCCGCACACTTCTAGAACTATGACTGCAGGTGCCCAAGGAGAGTTCAGAGAGTTCTCAGCTTGACCCTGTTTCTCAGAATCATCCTTTCATCTCACAACCATTTTTTGTTTGCTGTACTCTGTGCATTATTTGATCCAGCCCCATCTTGTAAGGAGTCATTGCTTAATCAATGGCTTTGTTGTGAACAATTAACATGAGACGCAAATAGCCATAATAAATACATATTTTTTTCTCCTCACAAAAGCACAGGTTTCTTTATGGCACAGGCATAGTTGCCATCATCAAGTGGTTATTTAGTCTGATGCAGCATGTTTTACAGCAATTATGTTTTTATGGCTGTATTCCTTCAGACTTACATAGAAACGTCATTTTAATTATCATAAATTCTTTAACCATCTGACTCTTCTGTGAACACAAGCTCTCCCCGCCCACCCACTTCACCAGATCCTGGCAGGCCTACAGCAAAGCTTTACAACACACTATTTCCCTTCTTGCTCGTGAAACATATCTGCCCTGCCCTCTCCACCCTTTTACTGCCAGAGAGTCATCAGTTCTGTCCGGAAAGATGTCACTCATCAGATGAGATCCCAGGAACCATCCGCTGGTTGCCCTGTATCTGAAAGCAAGTAGGTCATTAGCAAAGAAGTATCTCAGTTCCACTATCTAGCACCAGACGGTGATTACAGTGAAGGGAGCTATGAGATCTCCAAATGATAGGCCTGGATTAAAGGGATGGTCTAAGGAGGCTTTGGCTCCTAAGACCCAGAATTATAAATTATAGTATCTGAATTGAAATTAAACTCTACTTGGCAACACCGAATTTAGTATTTTATCATTTTAACTTGGACTTGATTTTTTTCTCACTAAAAAAGGACTTACACAGAAATTCCAAAAGGACATATATTACTTCCAAATGAATGCAAGAAGGTTTTATTTTTTGCTGAATCACACTTGACTATAGAAAAAGTGGTTCTGGATTTCAATATCGTGAGCTGAAAAATTCAGTTGTAAATGACAAGTCAAGTGTGAGGAACATACCACCTGCCGTCACTATTTTTTTTTAAAAAAACACCCCAATTAAAAAGCGGGCAAAAGACATGAATAGTCATTTTTCAAGAAGACATACAAATGACCAACAAGCATATAATAAAATGCTCAAAATCATTACTCATCAGAGAAATGCAAATTAAAACCACAATGAGATACCATCTTACACCAGTCAGAATGGTTATTATTAAAAAGTCGGAAAAAAAAAAAACAGATGTTGGCAAGAATGCAGAGAAAAGAGAAAGCTTATACACTGTTGGTGGGAATGCAAGTTAGTACAACCTCTATGGAAAACAGTATGAAGATTCCTCAAAAAAAAAAAAAAATAGAACCACCATTTGATCCAGCAATCCTACTACTGTGATTTACCCAAAGGAAAAGAAATCATTATATCAAAAAGACATCTGCACTCATGTTAATCACAACACTATTCACAATAGCAAAGACACGGAATCGATCTAAGTGCCCATCAACGGATGACTGCATACAGAAAATGTAGTGTGTGTATATATATATATATATATATATATATATATATATATATATATACACACACATGTATGTATATACACACACACACCGTGGCATACTATGCAACCATAAAAAAGAAGGAAATTATGTCTTCTGCAGCAACATGGATGTAACTGACGGCCATTATCTTATGTCAAACAACTCAGAAACAGTCAAATACCTAGCGTTGTCACTTATAAGTGGGCACTAAATAATGTGCACACATGCACATAGAGTGTGGAATAATAAACACTGGAACCTCGGAAGGGTGGGAGTGTGGGAAGGGGTTGAGGGATGAGAAATTACTTAATAGATACAGTGTACATCATTCCAATGATGATTACACTAAAAGCCTAAACTCCATCACTAGGCAATATATCCATGTAACAAAACTGCACTTGTAAACCTTAAATTTATACACATAAAAAAAAGTTACCTATGAGGATCAACAATTGTTCAAGATGATAAGGATCTGCAACCAGAAGAGGAGGGTAAAAAACAGCTTCCCATGGAAGTGGGAAGATGCAAATGAGTATCCTCTTCAAATTAGAACCTCTGGCCGGGCACGGTGGTTCATGTCTGTGATCCCAACACTTTGGGAGGCCGAGACACGTAAATCACTTGAGGTTAGGAGTTCAAAACCAGCCTGGCCAACATGGTGAAACCCCATCTCTACTAAAAATACAAAAATTAGCCAGGCATGGTGGTGCACGCCTGTAATCTCAGCTACTCGGGAAGCTGAGCAGGAGAATCACTTGAACCCAGCAGGCAGAGTTTGCAGTGAGCTGAGATTTTGCCACTGCACTCCAGCCTGAGCAACAGAGTGAGACTCTGTCTCAAAAAAAAATAATAAATAAATTAGAGCCTCTGCAGAAGTAGTAAGAGCAGCTGAAGAGCTGTGAACTGGGTCAACCACTTGGCTCTTGACTATGAAACAAGTATCTTTAGTTCTAATTTGATATTATACCCACAAAGATCCAGTTAATTTAACAATTGAATTTAGTTGCATGAGGTAGAGGGGAGACTCAGAATCATGAGATCAATAATGCAGGTTCCCAAAGTCAATCAAGCCCAAATATTTTGGAATGAGGCAAGCGTTGGGTTTCCCTCCTCCCCACTCTCCCTTTCTCTTTCCCTTTGTCACTCCCTCCTCCTCCTCTTCCCCTTCCTCTTCATCCTCCCTCTCTCTCCCTCCCTCCCTTTCTCTCTAAGTACCTAACACATGTTATTAATATTATTGGGATTTTAAAAGCCTGTATATTGCAAGAATGTTTTAAGGATTAAATGGAATTGGGTGTGTGAAAATGCCTAGTACAGTGCCTGATACATTTTGGAAGCTCATAAAATATTAATTTCACTCTATTTCTCCTTTCCTTCCCCTTTTTTTCTTCTTCCTACTTTGCCCTTCCTACAGCCATTGTGTCCTTATCTGGCCATGACTAAGAATTGAAGTCAATTCTAATATATGTGCAGGTACAAAAATGCATAAACATTAGCACTTATTCTTAAATCATTCTGTATGCTGCCTGTTCTTAATGATAAAAGCGGTTATGTTGAACATTTTCTATTTCCCTCTCATATATAATGCATACCATGTTTGTGTTTTATTAACTTCACAGGGGTGGTTCATAAAAATCGCAAAGCAATTTTAAAACTGGAGTGGGCCAGTGGAAAGCAGTAGGCTTACAGAGCTTAATTCTTTTTCAAGTGCAACAAAGTTGTTCTTAAATTCTAGTTACAAGTGGTGAGAAAGCCCTAACAGAGGAAATGAAATCACATGATCTCATACAATCACCCAATTTCATACTTTGAAGGAAATTCAGTCTCTCAATTATTTCTATGAGAAATAATGAGCTAGTACTCTTACGTAGAACTATGGGAGAAACTTGAGACTTACCAACTTTAGAAGAGCTCCAAAGATTTATTGTTCATTTTTCCAAAGGTCTCCAATGAGACTGCTTTTCTTATCTGGAGGTTTTTCCCCCCAAAATCAAGAAAATATCTATAATCAGTATACATATTGCTTAGTTGCTGCATCCTTGGTCCTTCATATACTCCACAAATACTCTTCTAGTACCTCCTCTGTAGAAGACCCTTGGCATCTTGTGAATCTCCCTACTGGGTATCAAACTGGGCAACAGAAGTACCGCTCACCTTTCTGTAAAGAAAATCGACAGGCATGATACTCTTTATGAAGCTCAGGGTAGGGAGGCATTGCTGAAAATGAAGCTTATTATGGGAATTAAATGAGGAGCCTTCTTGCCAGCAATAGGGCTCCCAATAGAATTAAGAGCAAACCAAAAGGGTGCTGGCAGCAGCAGTCAGTTTGGTGAGCTACCATATAAAATGGGGAGGCCCTACTGTGACAGTTCTCAAAAGTACACTTCAGTTGAACTTGATACCCAAATAGCCAGTTAAAAGGTGAAAAAAGCAAGCAACCAAGCATCATGTTTTATAAAGACAAAACTCCAGCTTTGCTGATTTGTTTTTACAAAGAGTAGTATTTTTTTACAACAAAATTAGTCAATTATTTTTATAATCTATAGGCCCGTCATACTAGGTTAAACATTTTCTCTGTTTTCATAGAAATAGGTTAGTGAAACTGATGGACACAGCTAACATGCCCATCAGGTGAAGATCAAAGGAAAGATGAAGGGTTGTATCTTTTAAAGTTTAAGAAGATTGAAGATGAAAGACGTTGGGTTAAGGAGGAAACTGGCAATGAAGACATGATATCAAACGCAAATGATTAAAGGTTAGAAAAAATCCAACCCATTGAATTTAGAGGTTTTGCCTACATAACAGGAGGGGAAGCACTTGAGATAATTCGGTCACTACATCAGCTAGTTCTGACTGAATAGATCAAATCACCCTACCACTTTCCAGCAGCCACAGTGGGCTTTGAGTCCATTCCACACACAGCCACAAACAACAGCTCAGGCTGGCGAATGCTCCCTGACAAGGTTTTCCACCTCTCTGTGGGAACTGTATCTGCTCAATTTTGGTTTCGTTGCAATTATACACAGCCTAATTTCAGCACATTCATTTTTCACACAGCAGTTTCATTTATTTATTTATTTTCATGTTCAGCGGATTGGTCCCTAATCACCAAACAGCTTGTGCGCAAGTACCCCTAAATATGTTAACTCGAACTCATAATGCAAGCGCATTGTGCTGCTGTAATCACTTTTCATTACCACCCCTAATTAAATGTTTTGCTAAACTATCAGGAAAATATTTTCCTTTTGATTCCCAGAAAATCCCGAGAGAGAAAGACAGAGAGAAACAGTGCTTCCAGGCTGGCCTGTTCTCTTCCTCCCCTCCCCCTGCCCTGAATAGACAGATCTGTGGATGAAGGCAGGGGCCTTTCCAGATTACCACACACAGTAGAATACTCTCACTGGTCATCAGTGCATCCGACAGAAGCAGCCTCTGAAGGAGATAGATCCTGGTGACTCTATTCCCATATGAGGGGCCTGCCATGCCTGGGATGTTTAAGCCAGCCCAGTCTTTATCCACAATTCATTATAGACTTGGAACCAGAGGGGGATCTCTAGCTCCACTACAAGTATCTGGATAAATGGCTACTGATTTAACAGCAAGGAATTTATAAGAAAATGATGTTGAGAAACCATTCTATTTCTCCAAGGAGCAGAGCCACCACACATTTACACAAGGATGTTCTTGCTTGTTTACACATACAACACAGTATGCTTCTAGGTGCAGTTGCATTCCAGGCAGCCCCGAGTGGCAGTCTCCCATTTTGGCATCTGTTGGCAGGAGGTTATCTCCACCTCCTACTTGGCTCACACTATCTTCCTCATCTTATAAATAGCAAGTGACCACTTTCTGCTGCAAATAAATTCTTCATAAGTATTATATCCGTTAAAAGTTCTCAATGCTACCTGAACTAATCATGTTTACTATTTCATTTCCAGAATGTCCAAATAAAAAATGCTGAAAATTCCTTCAAAAACAAATAATTGATCATGAATTAAATAAACCACTTATGTATTTTCATGTGTGAACATTGTTAAGTATTATACCACTTACATGGGTTTTGGTGTTCATTCTGAAAGCATCAAGATGTCCTTAATATTTTGCAAAGCAACAAGAATAATAAAGTTAAATGACGTGTGTGTGTTTTTTTAAATTCATAAAGGGAAACTTACTCATCTACATACATGTGCATAACAGTCCTGATTTGGGCATCAATGTGATGCCTTTTTTAAATATAAAAAAGTGGGTATAAATAGATTCACATGCCAAACCTCCAAACGCAGCTTGGAGGAGGCTTTAGCAATCAACAGTTCATTATGAGTCAGCAGTGTGAGGCACTATCACAGAAACTAGTTAATTGGGCATTACTAGAAATATATTACCTAGAACGAGGGGATTGTAGATGATAGCATTCTGATTTGTGCTGGTCAGAACACTCCCGAAATGCGATCTTCAATTCTAGCTGCCATGACTTTATGAGGGACAAAGACAAAACAGACAAAACAACCAACACAGGGAAGAGTCTGTAAAGCACAAATACATGAGAAAAGTTTGGAAAGGCTCTTTTCCCTGGGGAAGTCGCCTTAAGGAAGGCATACAAATTGTGTCCTTATATTCAAAGGACCATAGAAGAGGGGTGGAACTTACTTTCAGTTACTTTAGGGAGCAGAGAACAAACAAATAAAATGAAGTTGGGGAAAGTTACATAGAGATAAATTTCCACTCAATGTGGGGAATAATTTCACAACAATTCCAGCTGTGCTGCCTCATGAAATCCTACATTCGCTTTTATAGGAAGGTTTACATGAGATCTGTCAGCAATTGTTTATCAGAATCCCTGTGAAGAGTTCACACATCTTCTAGAGAGGTGGCTTTTAACTTTTTGGGGGAGTGGGGATGAAGGAGGTTTCCTGGACTCATCCTATAGAAAATAATGAAAGCGTGGAATCTCTTCTCAAGAAAAATGCATAGACACATAGCCTTTTCAGGGAAGCCACTGACTAACCCAGATGAAGAACCATTGAGCTAGAGGGCTGAAATAGAGAGGCTCCAATGTCTCTTCCATCCTGGATAGCCATGATCCTCCTGTATTCTAAGTCTTGATCTACAGGTACAAATAATAACATTTCTGATCTTACAGGGTATTTAAGTTGTGAACTCAAGATCTGGAACTAAATTTAATAAAGGTTCTGCCTGGATGAGCTAATTTTTCCCTTCTCATCTTCCTCTCATTTCTCTTAGCATCACTACTGTCTCTCCCTTCAGCTCCACTTCCAAATGGGGTGCTCTACCAGGGCAGCCATCAGCAGAATGAGCTCTCCAGCTAATCCACTGACTTCCAGCAGACCACTCTTTACTTTTCTGGCCCCCTCCCAACACCACAGGGACTCCTATAAGTGGAATCAACACCCACGGACCTGATGCTGATGGAGCATAAACAAGCTCTTGACAATATCAGTGAAATTACAGAGCCATATTTTTAGGTCAAGTCTCCATCACTGAATAATCTAATCCTAAGGATAAAAATTATATAGATAAAGAAATCTCAAGGCTATTCTCTCGATTAAAGTCAGTTTAGTTCCATTCAATCAGCATTTCAGAGGCATCTACTATGCTGAGCACCATACGTCGTGCTAGATGAATAAAGTTTCCAACTTTATTCATCACTGGAAAACTGGAGTTTTCCAGTGTTGGTATCCTAAATGAACTATTAAAATAGAATATTCTGGGTGCTGTGATAGAGTCTCTCTAGGGTTAAAACTCAAAGTTCTGGAGAAAATATAAATTTTAAATATATATGTGTAGTTATAATATCTAATTATTATATATTAACAATTAATAATTATAATTATTAATATATACATTATACATATTGTGTATTTCATCGAGAGAGAGATTGATTCAGAGGATCAGTCTCAATCACTGATTAATCTAATCCTAAGAATAAAAATTACATAGATAAATATCAGGGGATATTCTCTCAATGTCAATGTCAATTTAGTTCAATTATATGTGAATGTGTGTTGCATGTGTGTATATATAATATAAGCAGCTGAAATGTAAAGCTTAGCTTTCTAACATCTCTATGTATGATGAGAGACACAATCAGCCATAATTCAAAAGGGAAGAACATAATTTAGCATCAGTTTAATTGCAACAAAATTGAGGTAGAAGCTCTCTAAATTAAATATATACAAAAAGCTTTGGGAAAGGTCTCCACATTTATTACCTGGCACATAGGAGGTATAAAAGAATTCTACTGAAAGAATGTAAATAACTGAACAACTCTTAGAGTTAATCAGGAAGCAATTCTCAAAATCCCTATGAACATTAGAAGTTACCTTACAACTCTAGGTTGAGAGGCTATTAGTTGTGCACATAAAAAATCCAGAAATCCCATCCGGCAACTTGAGCTTCTTAAAGTATTTCTTCCAGCTCCCAGACCATGACAGTATATATAGAAATAGATGCCTTATTTAGCAGTCTCAAAAGCCCTCGGTGCCTTCCTTGAGTCCACACTCAGACACCAAAAGACTCCCATCAAATACGTTATTCATAAGAAGTTTATTTTCTCAGCCCCTAACAGAATAAAAGTCACAAAATGAAGGGTCTTTTACACAAATTAAGCTCTAGACCAGGGATTGGCATGCTTTTCCTGTAAAAGGCCAGAAAATAAATATTTTAGGCTTTGTGGGCCATAAGGTCTCTGTTGCAACTACTCTAGTTTTGTTTCAAGAAAGCAGCATAAATAACACATAAATAAGTGTGGTTGCGTTCTGATGACCCCGCCATAAGGACAATGAAATGTGAATTTCATATAATTTCATACAACTTTCACATGTCACAAAATCTTCTTTTGACTGTTTCCTACCATTTAACCAGGTAAAAACCATTCTTAGTTTGTGTGCCACAGAAACACAGCAGGCAAGGTAGAATGGCTGTAGCTTTTGGCCTCTGGTCTACTCTTGGGGATCAAAAATTGCACATTTGTCCCTTGGAAAAAACATTTTAGTTGTCTGGTAATTTCACTCCAGTGAAAAATTTCATCTCAAGTGAATAAGGTAATCAGAACTCTCTTAGTAGGACCCTTATACCAAGCTCATCTCAAGTGGTTTGTTTGCAGGATGCAATATCATTGAAAGCTGAAATGAGAGTCTGATGATCTTGACCAACAGCGGAGCCAATGTGGTCATTAAGTCAGCAACTCTAGCATTGTTTGGCCTGATACAGAAATCAGAATAGATGCAAGAACTTTTTCCTTAAAACAGATCCCATTAGAGACAGCAGGACCTGCCTACCAGTCGCAGTGATTCTCTATCTGTCTAGGCATGTGGAACTAATATCACTGGAACAGTGCTAGGAGTGAATGGATTTGCCAAGCAACAACCTATGCATCCTTGTTTCCCCCTACCCCATGCTCTTATGAGTGTAGATACTTTTCTTTCTGCTGATGTGGCATTTGGAGACTCCATTTGCAGAGCAGTGGTGCTTGGCTAAACTCTCTCTTGCTAATCTAATTGGGTGGGAGAAGATACAAATGCCATTCTAGATCACACCAGCTCTCTACTAAGGAAGTCTGGGAGTACCAAAAATGTAAAAAAGAAAAAAAACTGAGCACAGCACCTCCTAATGATCATCAGTCCACCTGCCATGGAATCCCATGCCAGTCTAGGAAAACAATTTGCTTTTGGTTAAGAGGAGAGTTCCCTGAATTTGGTATTAATAGTCCATCAGAAGCAAGAGGGGTTCATGCATGAAGCTGGAGGTACTGCAGATATGTTCGTTGATGATATATATCAAGTCCAAGAAGGTCTTGAAACACTACAGCTGTATGATTTCTAACCAGATGAAATTAAATAGGAATAAGCAAAAGATCCTGACTTGAGTCAACAAAGCTACCTTCACAGTACAGAGAAAAAATTTGGAAGGAATATGGACACAAGTGGCTTGAAGCAGGGTTCTGTAACCTTGATGCTATTAACATTCTGGGCTGGATAATTCTTTGTCATGGGGGGCTGTTTTGTGCATCCTTGTTGGATGGTTAGCAGTATCTCTGGACTCTACCCATTAGATGCCAGTAGTATACCATCCCCCAAGCCATAAAAATCAAAATTGTCTCCAGACATTGCCAAATGTCCTGGGGACGTTGTGGGGGATGACAGTATCACCCCGGTTGAGCACCAGTGGCTTAGAGGAAGCACAGACAATAATAAAATTTTTATCAAGTACAAGTTGAATAGGAATCTCTAGTATGGTGAGATCACCAAAAGAACTAACAGAATCTTGGACTCCACTGCTGAATCAAAGTTAAGTATAAAGACGGAGATCATCAACACTAGTGAGACCACATCTGAACATTGTTAAGAGGAATATGGAAGAACTAGAGCCTATTTCTATCAGAGGGACCAAAAGGGAGAGGGAGAATCAAATCCATGTTATCAGAGGAACAGATGTGCAACTTCTCACCCCACCCTCAAGTCTTCCTTAATTCAGGTTAATCAACCTTACTGCAGCTGAGATGGAAAGGAAGGGTGAGACTGGAATGTGACATAAAGCTCCGAAGGGCTGGCATAGAGAAGAACATTAGACTTGTTTTGTATGGTTCCAAGAAGCCCAGCTAGCATCAGTGCATGACAGCAATGGGAAAAAGATTTCAACTCAATCAATGGAAGGTGTTCTAATGCCGTGTCTTTGAGAACATCATGCATAGGCAAGGATAACGACTTGGTTGTAGAAACAGCTGGTGCATCAGATGGGGGTGGGTGGTGGAGTAGATGACTTTCAAGGGATCTTCCAGCCCTTAGATTCTAATGAGTAAGTAAACGGAATGCTGCCAGTGCTGTGTTTTTTTTCTGAGCAGGCTAAGAAGGCAATAACCTAAAGCACATATGCTAAAGATGCCCAGTACTGTATTTAACACGAGATCAGAAAGATCATCTGTTCTCACTGTTCCTTTGAAAAAATATGGCTTGTCTGATAATCAGATAAGGAAGCACCATCCAACCTGCCTTCCTCAGCACTGTCTCCATGCTCAGAGATGCATCCCTCCTGGGTAGGATGGATGGCAATGAGCCTGTCATAGGACGAAGCTTGGCATCAGCCCATGCCCAAAGCTAACTCAAAAGGAAACAAAGAAAACTGTTTTCCACATCCTTTTTGTTCAAAGGAGTAGTGTCCTCTAGAATTCCTGGCCCTCTTCCACAGGGTGGTGCCTTCTACTTTCCTGGCACTTAGCCTCAGTGGCGCTCAGCACACATTCATCTGGCTGTCACTTGGGCCGTTTTCATAGATGAGCGCCATGGACTCTTGGGGACTGCAAAAGAGAGGTCTCTTAACTCCCGAAAACACAAGAGCCCAGAATATACTGCTTATAATCACTCACAGATTGTTAAGAAAATTCTATGCATACTCCAAGAGAATCCTTACTGAAACTTGTTACTGAAAGCCAACAGCATGTGGCAGGAAACCCTAAAGTAGTGGAATTACCGAAGTGTCTAACTCTGGAAACAGCACTCTCCCTAAACTCCCACATTCCAATGACTGCAAATTGCTAAAAGGGCCATGATTGGAAAGATGCATGCTTACAGAGTCCTTGATCTTTCCTCACATACTCAAATGTACCCAGATTCCTATATAGCTTATCTTAAAATGGGAAAATGAGAAAAATCTCTTTGTCCTTGAGCTAGTAAAAAAAATTGGGTGTGCACAGGGGAAAGCTTGATAACTGGACAAAATTCAAATGCATAGGTTTGGAGAGGTCTTCTATTTCCTTCATCATTAATGACTGATAAAGCTCGGCAAGCCAATAAAACAAAAAGCAAACAAAGATAAAAATCTCTTTTTAATGTCCGTTTTTCTCTCTGTTGTAATTTTTAATAAATTCTTTCTGGTAATATTTTGATTGCAAAGATAATTTTTGCTTTTATTCCTTTAGGCAACACAGCATATTAACTCTCCAGTCCCCCCAATGGCAATGCAAAGACACAGTCAAAAACGTGGATGCAAGAAGAAGAAGGTATTTTAACTACACATACTCTACTGCTGGCTTTTAAAGAGCCAAAGAAAGAGGTGTATACAGAAAAAAAATCAAGTGGGGAGGTTGCCAGGCAAACACAATTACCTTTTCAAATAAAAATCATTATAATCACAGAAGCCTATGTTAGATCACAGGGGTTACACTAACAATATCAGACAATCATTCTGACTGCTGGGAAACACTGTACTGCAAACATTAGCACAAAAAGAATACATTTCAGTATTCACCCTCAGCAGAACCCAAGTACTCAATAGTAAATATCTTTGGAAATGTTTCAGTGGGGCACACTGACTTTATAAATTACTTACTTGGTGACATTAAAATGTCAGTAGATCTGCTTTATCTAATACACGAATAATAAGGTTTGATGCATATTTCTTTTACGAACCTCCTATCAACCAAAGGTACATTAGCATCCATCAAATGACCTTTGTACACAAAACTGCCTATGACAACATCAGAAAACTTTTAGAAAAGCTAGAAGATAGCAGTGTTAAACCATCTAAACATTATAAGACTACAAACTAATCATCTTCCCACTTGCAGAGACTTATAGAAGAGAGAGGTGCTTTCAAAATCATCCAGTTGAACCCTTTTATTTTGCAGAAAAGGATATCAAAGTCCAGAGAGGCAAAATGATTTGACCAAGATCACATAGCATGAAACGAAAACATAAGTTAGAAACTAAGTCAACTACCTCTTAGCAGAAGGCTATTTCTCCATGCACTAACAGCACCTCCTCATTTTCTACATCAAGATGAGTTGACTTTTGGCATCTAAAAAACCAAGAGACAGATTTCAGTGGGACTTTGTGTTTGGGAAAAAATACATTGTATGGTTTTATAATGTTCCCTAAAAAGTTTATTTTTAGAGTATTTTGTGAGAAAGACTTTCATTTTCTTTTTCTTTTAAAGCCCACATCGTAGTCAATGTATTATTATGTAAATAATGACGTGCTCTGGTGAGCCAATTTTCCTCACTTTTTATTCTCTTTAAAGCTTACCTCTGGCCTAGAATTGGTCTCTGGCCACCAGATGAAGGTGCCAGCACATTTTCCCACACTCTCTTTTTCTAAGAAGCAGAGAGTCAGAAAGAGTGAAGGCCGACAGACAGTGCAATATACCAGTACAAATCAGGCAATCTGAGCTCCAGTTTGTGTGACTTTTGCAAATCTCAATTTCTTCTTATCTAAAATGAGGGGAGCACCTATGAATCAGCTGCTAACAACACTGGGACCAAGCATTTCGAATTTGGTTTACTTGCACCATTGCCCCCTGGGGAGACAGAAGAAAGGGATGGAGGTGGAGATAGAGGCGTTAAAGCACAGGTAGGAAGTCTACACATACAGATGTATGAACATAATTTACTTTAACTATGAAGTCTAAAGTCCAGATAAGAAAATGCTATTTTCTACATCTACACACACACACACACACGCTCCCACATCATACACACTGATGTATTCTCATCAATGCATCATCAATACAACCTGATATATTCTCTCCCAAGAGCTAGGTCAAAGCTGCCTGGTTTGATTTTATGTGCAGAGCAACTTCTCAAGCACTAGATGTTGAACATCAGTTTACCTTTCCCTTTCTTTAACAATCCTGTGTAAATGACTATTGTTCTACTAACCTAACATTTTCTGCCATGAATTGTCCTCTTCCAGCTTCACAATTAATGGTCTATTTTTTGTAAAATTGAGAGGCATTAATCTATGTAAAGATTAGTAGAAGAGCTATAAAATCTGTGTTATTAACATAATATTAACCTTATCCAACCTGTGCTGTAAGTCACTGAGTTCCTAGGATCTCAGCACATATCAAGAAGCTAAGGTTATTTCCACATAATACTAAGAAACACAATACAAACCATTAAAGAGGGGTGGAGAGAATAAAAGAGAAAATTTAGTATTAATCAAGTTTCTCTTTTCTATTCTACCTGAGGGTAACCAAAATGCAATCCAGAGACTCCAAAATCAACTTCAGAAATAAACACCCACCATTATGTCCTTTCTATGTAAGACACATCTTGTAATGCCTCCCGTAAGATAAGTAAGTGTTAGAAATATTCTAGTCTCTGGCATCAGAAAGGCCTGGGTTCAACCCCTGACTTGCCACTGTATGAGTCTGGGAAAGTCGCTTAACTTCTCAACTTCAGGGTTGTTGTAAGGGTGAAATTAAACAATGCATGGAAAGGATCTAACACATAGCAAGAACTTAATTGGCATTACTGCCCTCCTCTTGAGGGTTAATGTGGGCAATGGAAACAATATCCATAACCAGAGACAATTTAAATATCACATCATAAATTGGCTGGCTTCACAGATCTATATCATGCATTTCCAACAAGGGTGATATTGTCCATAAGGGGAAGAAAATTGATTTGGGGGGAAAGTGAAAAAAAAAGATATTACAGTAGATTGTGGCCCTTCACATCCAATCCTCCTCCCCTAAATCTTTTTCCTTAGTATTTAAGTTCTCTCATTAGGATTATTTAAATTGAATTTCCTCCTTAGGGGATGATCTTTTTCAAAAGGTTGTGAGGCCAGGCAGGGTGGCTCACACCCATTATCCCAGCACTTTGGGAGGCTAAGGAGAAAGAATAGCTTGAGGCCAGGAGTTCCAGACCAGTCTGGGCAACACAGCAAGACCGTGTCTCTACAAAAAACTTTAAAACTTAGCTGGGTGTGGTGATGCACGCCTGTAGTTTTAAATATTCCAGAGGCTGAGGAGGGAGGATCGCTTGAGCCCAGGAGTTCAAGGCTGCAGTGAGCTGATTGCACCACTGCCCTCCAGCCTGGGCAACAGAGTGAGACCCTGTCTCTTAAAAAAAAGAGAGAAATTTGTGAAACACTGATATGTATCCTTTGCATTATTGAAAAGATGCACTCCTGGAAATTTTCACTGTTTCCCTATGCTAGGACTCAAAAAACTGCCATGTTATCAGTACAAGGGACAGGAGTAACTCCAAAGGGCATTTGACATTATGCATGATATTACACGCTGTATAAACATGACATTGTCTCTATTTTTAATATAATCATAGTAAATTCCATTTATTGGGGTTTACCTCATAAACCTTATATGTCCCTCTTCCTAGCATCCAATTTCCAGCCCTATTTCTAATCCATTTCAGAAAGACAATATCAATGTTACTCACCTTTTCAATTAGGACTTGGGCTAAACAATTCTATATCAGAACATTGTTGCAGCAGATGTAGATTAAATCTAAAGCTTCATCCTTGCCTATTTGCATTGTTATCCACCCATAGAAATTCATTGCGTTTTCAAAGGTGACCTCCTTGGAATAAATCCATTCAGCTGTCTCTAATGAATCTGTAGGTGTCAAAGTCTTCTCCTACCCTGTCATCAATTAATGAGCCTAGGGACCCATCCCTGTATAGAATTCCGATTATGGCCCTGTAGTTACCTACAGCCATTCTATAAAATGGATAAATGGATGTCACAGCTAGTTCAGTCCCTTAAGTATCAGGGTTCTGATTAAAGTAGGAGAGGGGTTCAGAATGAGATGAGGCCAACACACAGCTGATGGCCCCAGGCTCTGCTACCTGTCCTTGATCATCCCTGAAATCTTGGAGACACTAGGTAACTTCAACTGTAGATTTATTTGGTCATTTGTTTATAGCCAGCTGCCAATAATCTGTAGTCCTGGGGTACAACATAAACATGGATAACTAAAATCTATAATCTCCCAACACACCATAGGCAAGAGTGTCAGCTCCTTCCTCATTAAACTGTTCTACCTGCACAAGCTGTTAAGATAAAAAGTAAAATAGTTTCCATCTATCCCCCCATTTTCAGTTTTAAACAAAATTTGTTTTTGTTCTTGTTTTGAGACAGTGTCTCCTGCTGTGTCACCCAGACTGGAGTGCAGTGATGCAATCATAGCTCACTGCAACCTCCAACTCCTGGGCTCAAGCAATCCTCCTGAATCAGCTTCCTGAGTAGCTGGGACTACAGGCGTGTGCTAGGGTGCCTGGCTTTTTTTTTTTTTTCTTTTTTTTTAGAGATGGTCTCTTGCTTTGTTGCCCAGGCTTGTCTTGAATTCCTGGGCTCAAGCGATCCTCCTGCCTCAGCCTCCCAAAGTGCTGAGATTACAGGCGTCAGCCACCGCACCCCACCCTACACAAACTTTAAATCTGGAGTTTACAAAGGTAAAAGGTAGGCATTCAGACAACAAGAAGTAAAATGAGACAGGATACTCCCCAGTAAGGATAATCAGACTATGAATAATCAAGAGCTGCACCCATTGTTACCCAGAAACATCAAGTCTTCTCATGTTTTACATCAAGCCCTACATTATGATTGTAAGTGAATCAGGGTGGGGAGCTTACAATCCTAGAGTTGGCACTGTGGGAGGCATGAAGCAGAAGCTCAAGAGCCAGTTAGGGACTAATGTACATCAAAAGCACAAATAGGCCAGGCACGATGGCTCATGCCTATAATCCCAGCACTGTGGGAGGATCACTTGAGCCCAGGAGATTGAGACCAGCCTGGGCAACATGACAAAACCCTGATTCTACAAAAAATACAAAAATTAGCTGGATCTGGTGGTATGCACAGGTAGTCGAAACTACTCGGGAGGCTGAGGTGGGAGGATTATCTGAGCCTGTGGAGGTGAAGGCTGCAGTGAGCCTTCAGTGCAGTGGTGATCACACCACTGCACTCCAGCTCAGGTGACAGTGAGACCCTGTCTCAAAATAAATAAATAAATAAAGCACAAATACCCCAAAACCATATCACCATATTCCCCATTTGGAAAAAGGACCAGCAGATCATCTTAACAGCGTTTTGGAATCTGTGCAATTCTCACAGCTTTTACTCTATCGCTAGTCACAATGCTGTTCCTTGCTGAGATTTTTAAAGACTGCCATCTTCATGATCCTACAACATCCATCTTTTCAGAGGGATATCTTGTTTGAGGAGACTCAGACTTAATTACTTTTCATCTGTCTTAAAGAATTCAGGTACTAACCTATTCATGTCAATGTGAATAAAACAGCAAAAAGTAGTTGCTATGGCCAAGTGCTGTGAAATAAGAAAAGCTGTGTTTCTTGTCCTGGTATCTGCTTCTAACAAACAGCAGGGTCTTGGATAAGCATCTGTACTTCAACGCCTTCACCTATGAAACTCAGACAATAATCTCTGCCCTGCTGGGCAGAATAAAATAAGTGCAAAAACATTTTAAAGAGCATAAACCATTACATGTGTTTAACTTATTGCAAGACACTTGAATCTGGAAGTTAAGCATAATATATTTGTGGTCCTTTCCAATTTACAGTAATATGACAATAAATTAAAATAATTTTAATAGACACAAGGAACCTTCTGCTTTTAAAAACTGCAGTAAGACTATTTCTTTTACATTACAGAAACACTTTTAAAAGATCTTTTAAGTGCTCATTGTGAGAAAAAAGTAATGTTGCTTTCTTATGCCCTTTACAAACCTTTACTCTGGACTCAACTAACTAAAATTAACAGCTAGAATTGTTTTGACTTGTTCTAACACAGACGAACTGAATTTCAAATCATTCAACCTCACCTCTTCTCTCCTTCACTCCTGGCAGCCAAGAAGTGAATTGTGCATTCCGTCTGGCCTTTTGATAATTTCCAAAATGCTAGAGAAAATGGTCAGCTTTAAATTTCCCAAGGTGAGTTCTAGAAATTCTGTGCTTAATGTACTTTGCTCTCTCATTCAAATGTATTTGAACTGAGTTTAAAATGTCCATGTGGGAAAAGTTCAACCCCCGTAGCCTGTTACCTTCAAATCTTCCCACTCAGTGGATTGAGTAGAGATACTCCAAGGGGTGAACCTTCAGCAAGAACCTCTTCGATAGCTCTTCAATCCATAGACCAGCACTGGGGCTCTCCAGCACTCACAATGATTATAAGAGCCATCATTTGTTGAGGTTCTACCATGTTCTATGTGCCAAACATCACACCAGTGCTTTATAGACATAGTCTCATTTTATTCTCACCACAATCCTTCCAGATAGGCATTATGCCTATTTTAAGATAATGAAACTGACTCTCAGAAAAGTGAAATAGCTTGCTTAAAAAGACCAGATTTTAAGTTTCATGAGAGCAGGAACCATGTCTATTTATTCACCAACATAAATTCCCCAGTGCCTGACATAATGTCTGTAAAATAGTAGGTATGGCACAAATATTTGTTTAACAACTGATTCAGTAAAGTGGCACTATGAACACATTGCTATATCAACACAAAATTCACTGGGGCTGGAGGACTGGAGAAGGGATGATGTATTAACACGAAACAAGTGATTTTTCAGTAACATTAACAATAATAAACAGTTCCCAGCCACCCACCAACTAGAAATTTGTAAAACTGTTGGACTGTGTTTAATCCTCTACTCCCTACATTGGCATGGCCCAAATCTTGGGACCACCTCAGTTGCCATTTGGAATTCAACTACAATAGTTTAAAATGACTCTCGCTGTTCCTTGCTCATGCAGAGAAGTGACTTTCTAAAATAAAAGCATTTCCTTTCCATGCCAGGCAACTAGATGTGGTTCCGGGAGTTGGTCAGTGCTTTCCTTATTGCTAATTGCAATGCTCACAGTATCCTGGAAACAACAACCAAAGGCAGGCCGTTTTTTGAGTTACTGTGTACATTTAAACTTGACATGTGTTAAATTATGGGTCGAAAACAGAACCTTCATCCACTTAGACCAATGCTGTTTAATAATTAAACCTGAATTGTAACAGTATGCATTCCAAAAGGAACACATTTAGTTGCCTTGCTCAGACAATATATTAATACCAATCTTACCTTACTATCATAGTCCCCACCCTTATCTGTGGTTTCACTTTCAATTTTCAGTGAGCCATGGTCACTCACAGTCAGGAAATACGTGATCACAGTATAAGATATTCTGAGAGAAAAAGACTACATTCATATAATTTTTATTACAGCATATTATTATAATTGTTCTATTTTATTGTTGTCGTTGTTAATCTTACTGTGCCTAATTTATAAGTTAAACTTTATCATAGGTAAGTATGTGTAGGAAAGAACATAGTATATATAGGGTTTCAGGCATCCGCCGGGGGTCTTGGAACACATTCCCCACAGATAAAGGGGGACAACGCACCTTGAAACTGAAACTTAAACAATGTGAGAATGATCACTGGATTGCAAACACTATAAAAATCATACAGGAGTACATTTATCTTTTCTTCAGATTCCTTAAAGTCATTCCATTTTTTAAAAGCTCTGTTTTTTCAATAATGACCAAATGCTGCTTCCAAAAAAGAAATTTAAGAGATAATTATTATTAATAAACTAATAATCCTCCAGCAATGCTAACTACAATCCCTCTGATAGCCCGGGGAAAAAAAAGAAAGATGTAAAAACAATAAAAGCTATTTTGGGGAACTCATTAAAAAAGAAAAACAACATCCCCAAAATAAACACTCAAGCTGCGTCAGATCAGGTACCAAATTGTTTGGAAATGAAATTATCTTTGAGAGGATATTTACTATAAGCAGTCAAGATTTAAACAAATAAAATTATGAGAGAAAAAAAGGCTCAATTTTGTCCTGAGTATTTATCATGGTTAAACATGCAATCTCCTGCAGCTTGAGAATCCAAGGCTATAACTCTGGGGGATGCTCTCAGGACAGAGGACTAAAGGAAATAAATGAAAGAAGGTTGATGTTATAATGGGAGAAAATACTTCAAAAACTGAGTAACAGCTCATTGTGAGCTTGGCACTCAAGACGGAAATACAACAGCCATTATCTTTGGGCTAAACAAATTGATGATATCAAAACAAAGGAATGATCTAGGCAAACATAGATATAAAAATACCCAAAGGTGAACCATTGAAAAAGGGCATCCTCGGCCGGGCGCGGTGGCTCACGCCTGTAATCCCAGCACTTTGGGAGGCCAAGGCGGGTGGATCACGAGGTCAAGGGTTCGAGATCAACCTGACCAACATGGTGAAACCCCGCCTCTACTAAAAATACAAAAATTAGCTGGGTGTGGTGGCGGGCGCCTGTAATCCCAGCTACTCAGGAGGCTGAGGAAGGAGAATTGCTTGAACCCAGGAGGCAGAGGTTGCAGTGAGCCGTTATCACGCCACTGCACTCCAGCCTGGGCGACAGAGTGAGACTCTGTCTCAAAAAAAAAAAGAAAAAAAAAAGAAAAGAAAAAGTACATCCTTGTTATTTTCCTTACAGTACTGGATATTAGGCAAAAATAGATAACCAAGAAAGCAATTAAAAGTACGGAGGTTGATTAAAGAAAAAATAATAGGAAGGAAAAATGGAAACATCTGTGAAACCTTCAGTGTACACAGAAGAACACACTTGGTCCGGAGAAGGAAGTGATTTGGTTGAGTCTACACACAACTAGTAAATGGCAGATCTGGACAAGAATAGAAAGTTCCATGACGGCACAGACTTTTGTCTGTTTAGGTTCATTGGAACAAAGACTGAAACATAGTACAGTCTCAATGAATATTTGTTGAAGGAAGGGAGGAAAGGTGGAAGGAAGGATAAATTCAATTGAATTCAAAAAGTATACATTACACAATGTCCTTGTGAGGAATTCCAAGACAGTGCACGGCATGGCACCTAACTATAAATTTGTGAAATTGTTGGACTGCCTTTAATTACCTACTCCCTAAATTGACATGGCCCAAATCTTGGGACCATCTCAGTTGCCATTTGGAATTCAGCTACAACAGTTTAAAATGACCCTCACTGTTCTTTGCTCATGGAGAGAAGTGACTTTCTGAAATAAAACATTTCCTTTCCATACCAGGAAACCAGTATGTGGTTTCCTGAATTGGTCCAGGAGCTTACAGTCTATCTGGGGTAAACAAGATGTACACAGGAAAGGGTGACTCACCACCAAATGTTATACACTGAGAGCCAAATAAATGGTGTGTATGTCAACCCTGCAGAAAGTTTGATGAATAGAGACTCAGCTATGAACTGTTGTAGACAGGGAATCTTGATGGTGAAACAAGAGGCACTAAATGCCAGTAAAGCCTCTTGACTTCCTGGTGTAACAGGATCTTGTCTAATGATATTGATGAAAAAATTCTTCACAGTTTTCAAAGTGCTTTCAGTTTGCCTTACCTCCTGTGTTCCTAACAAAGTACTAGGTGGTGGGCAAGAATGGGATGCTGATCCTCATTGAAAAGTAGAAAGAAGATGTATTCTCTGAAATGAGAATTCAATCCAGCACGGTATGTGATGGCACCTATCCATCTCGGGGAAGTTGAGAGTCTTAATGTGGATGTTGTTAGCATATGTGAGATAAGAAGACACAAGATTGGCACAGACAAGTTTAGAAAAAGGGATTGTTTGGCAGTGCAATAGAATCAAAGCACATCCAGGAAATGTGGAGATGGTGGAGAAGAGGCAAGCACTTCCTCTAGCACACAAGTTCATCTATTCTCTCCCTTGTTCTGCAACAGTAGACAATATCCCCTCCTGGGATAGCTAGGGCTACCACTAGCACATACTGGTGTCTTTATGTGGAATATCAAAAGGTAACTTATCTTGGCACCCGTTCTTCTAGGTCGGCATGGCCTCACTCCAGAGCACAGGGCTTAGTGAGCAAAGCACGGGCTGCATTTCAGCTCCCATTCATTTTCTCGGCCAGGTGTCTTTGTACAATGCACAAACTGAACACCCAGATATGTCGGCCCTGGAAATAGCCCATTCAGTCTTTGACCTGCTATATTAGAATGTGCTTCCTTTTACAGAGTCTAAGTACACCTCCCAGTGGGATTTGTTGTGCCCTTTCTAGCCACATGGGAATAGCTAAGCTCCTCTTCCCAGAGACAGTCCTTCAAACACTTAGACTGCTTTTGTGCCCTTCCTCAATCAAGCTACCCATGTAGCTATCTCCTTCCAAAGAAAACCAAAGCAGCCCCAAAGCCACAGCAGAACTACAGTGCCATTGAAAACACACTTGTAGCAGAGCTATCATAAAGGGACTTGAAATATAAGGAAGAACTATATACAGACAAGGATCATGACAGAATTATCAACACTCTAATGGAAGCAATCAAAGCATTAAAGGTGAGGAAAAGCAGAAGTAGCTGAATATGCAGGATACATGCACTCGAAAGAGCCCCAGAGTAAAAATAAAGAGGAAATGGAGAATTGGAGGAACATTAGGACAAAATGAGGGGGCAAGTGTAGTGGAACTATAAAGAATTCCAGACATACAGGCTAAAGGATAGGGATATGAACTGCTTAGGAAAAGAAGAAAAGAAAAGAGGAGGGGAGGAAAGAAAGGGAGGGAAGGAGAGAGTCAGAGGAAGGAGGGAAGGAAGGAAGGGAGGAAGAGGGAGGGAGGGAGGGACAGGAAAGAAAGAATGAAGAAAAGAAGGCAGGAAGGGAGGGAGGAAGGGAGGGAGCGAGAAAGAAAGGAAGGAAGGGAGGGAGGAAGGGAGGGAGAGAGAAACAAAGGAAGGAAAGAAGGAAGGAAGTGAGGGAGGGAGGGACAGAGGGAAGGAAGGGAGAGAAGGAGGGAGAGATGGAGGGAGGGGAGAGGAAAGAATGAAAATAATTGGGAGGGAAAAGAGAAAGGCAAGCAGGGAAAGGAGGGAGGGAGGGAGGGAAAAATGGCTCCTTATATCCATACCCAAGTCTAGTTGTCTGGTTTGGGTGTCAGAGTTCACTAATGAATGTGAGGCAGGAGAAGCCAAACCAATGCCTTCCAGATCATTATGCATTTACCATATTTATTGAAACAGTAGCTCTGTATCAGGCATCTGCGCATGTGTGGGGGACACGGTGGGTAATTTGTTGATTTTTTCCCCTACGGGAAATCCACATCAAATGAGCTCTGCAAAATCTGGCTTGAATGATGCTGTCCCTAGTAATGGGCATATCTGAGCTTATGAGTGGCATATTGTCAGTCTGTAGTTGATTGGTTTTATGGTGCCTCAGATGGGCTTTTTCCAAGTCCAGGGCATTTGGATTTTCTTCTGGTATTTCATGTTCATAAAACTCAGTTTAATTTGCCACAGCACATTCTACCAGATGGCCTCTCCTTTCACTTTCAGTACCTCTGCTAAATCTGCCCACACAGAGTCTTTGTGCATCCTTTCTTTTGCCAACCATCACACAGTAAATCTCCTTGCATAAAGCAGTGCTTTCTTCTACAGATTATGTTTGACTGAAGGCTGGATAATTCTGATCACTTGCTGCTCATCAAAATGAGGAGTACATGTCTGAGGGCAAAGGAGAATAAAAGGCAGCTTCCAACAGGAAACAATGCTTTATGAATATCCTTCATTTCTGTGACTGTGTTTCCATTTCTAGTTTGAGTTTATTGAGAAAATAGGACAAAGGTAAATAAAAATAAAAACAAGTCCCATGACCCTAACATACCAACTGTTTTTGTTTGCCTTGAGTTCCCTTCCAGTCTGGGTCCTTAGGCATGTGTATCTTTTTTTTTTTTTTTTTTTTTTTTTTTGGACATGGAGTCTTGCTGTGTCACCCAGGCTGGAGTGCAGTGGTGCAATCTCGGCTCACCACAACCTCCATTTCACAGGTTCAAGTGATTTTCCTGCCTCAGCCTCGCAAGTAGCTGGGATTACAGTCATAGTATGCCACCACACCCAGCTAATTTTTGTATTTTTTTAGTAGAGAAGGGGTTTCACCATGTTGGCCAGGCTGGTCTTGAACTCCTGACCTCAAGTGATCTGCCTGCCTTGGCCTCCCTAAGTGCTGGGATTACAGGCATGAGCCACCACCTGGCCCTCATGTGTATCTTTCGACAGGATTGAAATTTTAGACAAGATACAAATGTGTATCCTGCTGTTTTTCGTTTGCCATTATAAACATTTTCCATGTTGCTACACAGTGGCCATAATTATCACTTTAACAGATGCATAATATTCTACAGAGTATATGTGTCATAATATATTTAATGGCCTTCACCAATGACTCAGCATTTTAGATTGCTTCCCTTCCTTTCCTTATTAGGGCTAACTCTATAAATTAAAATCTTCACATTATTTAATATATGGCCTTTCCTCTACTTTAAAGGTTTGATGGTAAAAGGAGGTGAATTTTCCTTAGGATTTTTTTCTCAGATAAATTTTCAGGGGCGGATTATTAAGTCAGACTGAATGAACATTTTTATGGTTCTTGATTACTTCATCAAATTTGCTTCCTAAATCAGAGTAATTTTAGCTGCCGCAGGCAGCATATACAGCAGTTTTCTGCCTTATCTTCAACACAAAGAATTACTATTTTCTTAAATGTTTGCTAATTCAAAAGGCATAAGATGCTATCTTGTCATCACTTAATTTGTACCTCTTTGAAAAGCCCTAATTCAACTATTCCCCATAAGCTCAATCACTAGTTATATTCCCTGGTGTGTGAACTGTCTGTTCACGTTCTTTTCCATTAACTTTCCCGGGTATCTTAAGGTTTTCTTATTGATAATGTAATTATCACCCTTGTCTTTCTTATTCGTTGCAAATATTCCCCAAATCTGTTATCCTTTTTATTCTATGTATATTTTTATTGTTCATTAGTCTTTATTTCTTAAGCAGTCAAATCTGTAATTTTTTCCTTCATGATTTCTTCAGAACTTACCATGGAACAGATGGTTTCTTAAATGAATTTTCTGCTGTTTCTTGTGATTTGATTTTTTAAACAAGTTTGTTCTTTAATAATTGAATCTTATGCCATTTGAAATATATTTTCATACAATATACTAGGTTGGGAGCTTATGAATGTTTAATTGATAACCAGTTTTTCCCAAGTCATTAGTTAAATAGCTCTTCCTTTCTTATTCTTTTGTGATGCTCAGTTCATCACAGTAATATAAGAATATAAATATAACACAAGAACATCTATTTTCATACCTGTACATTTTTTCTTCTGTTCCATTAGCCATACTTCTATTTTGGGACCAGGGTAGTGCTGTTTTAATGACTGTTGTCCTTTATTGTATAATTATCAGTTTTATTTCTTTCAATGGTTAATTGCAAATGTACCAGAGGTGTTTCTTAACAAATTTGGATACAAAAAGAGCAGGCACAGTCTAAATAGTGGCCATACACTATAGGGATAAGGACACTGACTTCAAAATCAAATCCTTGCTCTGCCATTTGCAAGTTCTGTGACCTTGAGAAAATTATTTAATTTCTTTGAACTGTAGCTTCTCTACATGTAATATGAGAATCAAAGTACTTGTATCTGCATCATGTCAATACCATAGCTACTGGCCACACTAGCTATTTACATTTTAATTAATCAAAACTAAACAAAATTAAAACTTTAGTTTCTTAGTCACACTAGAAACATTTTCAATGCTCAATATTCACATGTGTTAATGGCTACCAGAGTTAGGTGGTGCTAGTATTATAAAACATTTCCATCATTGCAGAAATGTTTATTGGCCAGACCTGTGTAGGGTTGCCGTGACAACTAAATATTTCATGGAAAGCACTTAGTACACAATCTAGCACATAGTAATCACTTTATGGTAACCGTAGTTGCAGTAGTGAAAGTTTGAACCACGAAGTACCTACAAGGAAAATGGAAAGGATCTACATCAAGAAAGCTTATCTGCACCTCAAAGTAAGAGATCATTTAGAAATCAATGGCTGAGGAAGCTGAGGAAATTCACCTGTCTGATCAAGGTGAACAAGCAGGGCCTCAGCCCCAGAATACAATTTCAAAAGGTGTTTGGATTCTTCAGGATTGGGATCTGGCACCCTCTGCAGAACAACCTCTCCTGGAAAAGAGGTGGTTTTCTCAGAGACAATATGCATGGAAGTATTTCAACTCTGTTCTCCATGGAACATTCACTGTCTGTAATTTGGTGTCTTGAGTGAAATCCTCACACAAGAGTGCCTCTTAAGGGTCTGAGCAATCAGTGTCAGTTGGCAATATAATTAGTAAATAAACAAACTATCACGTTAGAGTTATAGATCAGTGACTTATACATTTGCCTGTTTTTTCCACTTTTATTACATATTTATTTATTTAAAGAGACAGAGTCTCACGCTGTTGCCCAGGCTCAAGGGCAGTGGCACAATCATGGCTCACTGCAGCCCCCAATTCCTGGGCTTAAGTGATCCTCCCAACTCAGCCTCCCGAGTAGCTGGGACTGCAGGCGCACAGTGACACACCCAGCTAACTTAATTTTTTTTTTTTTTTTGAGACGGGGTTTCACTGTGTTGCCCAGGCTGGTCTCAAACTCCTTGCCTCAAGTGATCCTCCTGCCTTGGCCTCCCAAACTGCTCGGATTATAGGCATGAGCCACTGCATCTGGCCATATTTGGTTCTTAAAATCATTCCTCCAAAGTTTGATAAACTCTGGGTGAGCTGATGAAACTGAATTGAGGATCAGCAAAGTAAAAGACTTCAGGAACTTAATCAAGGGAGTTTCTACCCAAGAGACTCTATTTAAAAAGAGCTCTTCTTTCCTCATAAGCATCGTATCCACTGCAAACAAGAACCACTTATCTTCATCCCTAAAAATATCCATCAGTATGCAGACAATTAAATATTGAAGAAGGCTTACTATGCCTGCTAAACATTACTCAAGAATGAACGGGCAGCAATCTTTGCTGTTCTGCAGCCTCCGCTGATGATACCCAGGCAAACAGGGTCTGGACTGGACCTCCAGCAAACTCCAGCAGGCCTGCAGCAGAGGGGCCTGACTGTCAGAAGGAAAACTAACAAACAGAAAAGAATAGCATCAACATCAACAAAAAGGACATCCACAGAGAAACCCCATATGAAGCTCACCAACATCAAAGACCAAAGGTAGATAAATTCATGAAGATGAGGAAAAACCATCACAAAACGGCTGAAAATTCCAAAAACCAGCACGCCTCTTCACCTCCAAAGGATCACAACTCCTCGCGAGCAAGGGAACAAAAATGGAAGGAGAATGACATGGACGAATTGACAGAAGTAGGCTTCAGAAGGTGGGTAATAACAAACTCCTTCAAGCTAAAGGAGCACATTCTAACCCAACACAAGGAAACTAAGAACCTTGAAAAAAGGTTAGAGGAATTGCTAACTAGAATAACCAGTTTGGAGAAGAACATAAATGACCTGATGGAGCTGAAAACACAGCATGAGAACTTCACGAAGGATACACAAGTATAAACAGCCAAATTGATCAAGCAGAAGAAAGGATATCAGAGATTGAAAATCAACTTAATGAAATAAAGTGTGAAGACAAGATTGGAAAAAAAAAGAAAAGAATGAAAAGGAACAAACAAAACCTCCAAGAAATATGGGACTATGTGAAAAGACCAAACCTACACTTGATCGGTGTACTTGAAATTGATGGGAAGAATGGAACCAAGTTGTAAAACACTCTTCAGGATATTTTCCAGGAGAACGTCCCCGACCTAGCAAGACAGGCCAACATTCAAATTGAGGAAATACAGAGAACACCACAAAGATACACCTCCAGAAGAGCAACCCTAAGACACGTAATCATCAGATTCACCAAGGTTGAAATGAAGGAAAAAAATGTTAAGGGCAGCCAGAAAGAAAGGTCGCGTTACCCATCAACGGAAGCCCATCAGACTAACAGCAGATCTCTCTGCAGAAACCCTACAAGCCAGAAGAGAATGGGGGCCAATATTCAACATTCTTAAAGAAAACAATTTTTTTTATTATTATTATACTTTAAATTTTAGGGTACATGTGCACCATGTGCAGCTTACTTACATATGTATACATGTGTCATGCTGGTGCGCTGCACCCACTAACTCGTCATCCAGCATGAGGTATATCTCCCAATGCTATCCCTCCCCCCTCCCCCCACCCCACAACAGTCCCCAGAGTGTGATGTTCCCCTTCCTGTGTCCACGTGATCTCATTGTTCAATTCCCACCTATGAGTGAGAATATGCGGTGTTTGGTTTTCTGTTTTTGCGGTAGTTTACTGAGAATGATGATTTCCAATTTCATCCATGTCCCTACAAAGGACATGAACTCATCATTTTTTATGGCTGCATAGTATTCCATGGTGTATATGTGCCACATTTTCTTTATCCAGTCTATCATTGTTGGACATCTGGGTTGGTTCCAAGTCTTTGCTATTGTGAATAATGCCGCAATAAACATACGTGTGCATGTGTCTTTATAGCAGCATGATTTATAGTCCTTTGGGTATATACCCAGTAATGGGATGGCTGGGTCAAATGGTATTTCTAGTTCTAGATCCCTGAGGAATCACCACACTGACTTCCACAATGGTTGAACTAGTTTACAGTCTCACCAACAGTGTAAAAGTGTTCCTATTTCTCCACATCCTCTCCAGCACCTGTTGTTTCCTGACTTTTTAATGATTGCCATTCTAACTGGTGTGAGATGATATCTCATTGTGGTTTTGATTGGCATTTCTCTGATGGCCAGTGATGGTGAGCATTATTTCATGTGTTTTTTGGCTGGATAAATGTCTTCTTTTGAGAAGTGTCTGTTCATGTCCTTCGCCCACTTTTTGATGGGGTTGTTTGTTTTTTTTCTTGTAAATTTGTTTGAGTTCATTGTAGATTCTGGATATTAGCCCTTTGTCAGATGAGCAGGTTGCGAAAATTTTCTCCCATTTTGTAGGTTGCCTGTTCACTCTGATGGTAATTTCTTTTTCTGTGCAGAAGCTCTTGAGTTTAATTAGATCCCATTTGTCAATTTTGGCTTTTGTTGCAGTTGCTTTTGGTGTTTTAGACATGAAGTCCTTGCCCATGCCTATGTCCTGAATGGTAATGCCTAGGTTTTCTTCTAGGGTTTTTATGGTTTTAGGTCTAACGTTTAAGTCTTTAATCCATCTTGAATTGATTTTTGTATAAGGTGTAAGGAAGGGATCCAGTTTCATCTTTCTACATAAGGCTAGCCAGTTTTCCCAGCACCATTTATTAAATAGGGAATCCTTTCCCCATTGTTTGTTTTTCTGAGGTTTGTCAAAGATCAGATAGTTGTAGATAGCAGCGTTATTTCTGAGGGCTCTGTTCTGTTCCATTGATCTATATCTCTGTTTTGGTACCAGTACCATGCTGTTTTGGTTACTGTAGCCTTGTAGTATAGTTTGAAGTCAGGTAGTGTGATGCCTCCAGCTTTGTTCTTTTGGCTTAGGATTGACTTGGCGATGCAGGCTCTTTTTTGGTTCCATATGAACTTTAAAGTAGTTTTTTCCAATTCTGTGAAGAAAGTCATTGGTAGCTTGATGGGGATGGCATTGAATCTGTAAATTACCTTGGGCAGTATGGCCATTTTCACGATATTGATTCTTCCTATCCATGAGCATGGAATGTTCTTCCATTTGTTTGTGTCCTCTTTTATTTCCTTGAGCAGTGGTTTGTAGTTCTCCTTGAAGAGGTCCTTCACATCCCTTGTAAGTTGGATTCCTAGGTATTTTATTCTCTTTGAAGCAATTGTGAATGGGAGTTCACTCATGATTTGGCTCTCTGTTTGTCTGTTGTTGGTGTATAAGAATGCTTGTGATTTTTGTACATTGATTTTGTATCCTGAGACTTTGCTGAAGTTGCTTATGAGCTTAAGGACATTTTGGGCTGAGACGATGGGGTTTTCTAGATATACAATCATGTCGTCTGCAAACAGGGACAATTTGACTTCCTCTTTTCCTAATTGAATACCCTTTATTTCCTTCTCCTGCCTGATTGCCCTGGCCAGAACTTCCAACACTATGTTGAATAGGAGTGGTGAGAGAGGGCATCCCTGTCTTGTGTCAGTTTTCAAAGGGAATGCTTCCAGTTTTTGCCCATTCAGTATGATATTGGCTGTGGGTTTGTCATAGATAGCTCTTATTATTTTGAGATAGGTCCCATCAATACCTAATTTATTGAGAGTTTTTAGCATGAAGGGTTGTTGAATTTTGTCAAAGGCCTTTTCTGCATCTATTGAGATAATCATGTGGTTTTTGTCTTTGCTTCTGTTTATATGCTGGATTACATTTATTGATTTGCATATATTGAACCAGCCTTGCATACCAGGGATGAAGCCCACTTGATCATGGTGGATAAGCTTTTTGATGTGCTGCTGGATTCGGTTTGCCAGTATTTTATTGAGGATTTTTGCATCAATGTTCATCAAGGATATTGGTCTAAAATTCTCTTTTTTCGTTGTGTCTTTGCCCGGCTTTGGTATCAGGATGACGCTGGCCTCATAGAATGAGTTAGGGAGGATTCCCTCTTTTTCTACTGATTGGAATAGTTTCAGAAGGAATGGTACCAGTTCCTCCTTGTACCTCTGGTAGAATTCGGCTGTGAATCCATCTGGTCCTGAACTGTTTTTGGTTGGTAAGCTATTGATTATAAGAAAACAATTTTCAACCCAGAATTTCATATCCAGCGAAACTGAGCTTCATAAGCAAAGGAGAAATAAAATCCTTTACAGACGAGCAAATGCTGAGAGATTTTGTCACCAATAGGCTGCCTTACAACAGCGCCTGAAGGAAGCACTAACATGGAAAGGAAAAACCAGTACCAGTCACTGCAAAAACATACAAAATTGTAAAGACCATCGACACTATGAAGAAACTGCATCAACTAACAGGAAAAATAACCAGCTAGCATCATAATGAAAGGATCAAATTCACACATAACAATATTAACCTTAAATGTAAATGGGCTAAATGCCCTAATTAAAAGACAAAGACTGGCAAATTGGATAAAGAGTCAAGACCCATCAGTGTGCTGTATTCAGGAGTCCCATCTCATGTGCAAAGACACAAATAGGCTCAAAATAAAGGGATGGAGAAAGGTTTACCAAGTAAATGGAAAGTAAAACAAAGAAAGGGTTGCAATCCTAGTCTCAGATGAAACAGACTTTAAACCAACAAAGATCAAAAAGACAAAGAAGGGCATTACATAATGATAAAGGGATCAATGCAACAAGAAGAGCTAACTATCCTAAATATACGTGTACCCAGTACATGAGCACCCAGATTCATATAGCAAGTTCTTAGAGACCTATGAAGAAACTTAGACTCCAACACAATAATAGTGGGAGACTTTAACACCTCACTGTCAATATTAGATCAGCAAGACAAAAAATTATCAAGGATATTCAGGACTTGAGCTCAGCTCTGGACCAAGTGGACCTAACAGACATCTACAGAATTCTCCACCCCAAATCAACAGAATATACATTCTTCTCAGCACCACATGGCACTTATTCTAAAACTGACCACATAATTGGAAGTAAAACATTCCTCAGCAAATGCAAAAGAACAGAAATCATAACAAACAGTCTCTCAGACCACAGTGCAATCAAATTAGAATTCAGGATTAAGAACCTTACTCAAAACCTCATGACTACATGGAAACTAAACAACCTGCTCCTGAATGACTACTGAGTAAATAACGAAATTAAGGCAGAAATAAATAAGTTCTTTGAAACCGACGAGAACAAAGACACTACATACCAGAATCTCTGGGACACAGCTAAAGCAGTGTTTAGAAGGAAATTTATAGCACTAAATGCCCACAGGAGAAACTGGGAAAGATCTAAAATAGACACCCTAACATCACAATTAACAGAACTAGAGAAGCAAGAGCAAACAAATTCAAAACCTAGCAGAAGACAAGAAATAACTAACATCAGAGCAGAACTGAAGGAGATAGAGAGACGAAAAACCCTTCAAAAAATCAATGAATCCAGGAGGTATTTTTTTTTTAAAGACTAACAAAATAGATAGAAGGCTAGCCAGACTAATAAAGAAGAAAAGAGAGAAGAATCAAATAGACACAATAAAATGATCAATGGGATATCATCACGGATCCCAAAGAAATACAAACTACCATCAGAGAATACTATAAACACCTCTATGCAAATAAACTAGAAAATCTAGAAGAAATGGGTAAATTCCTGGACACATACACCCTCCCAAGAGTAAACCAGGAAGAAGTCAAATCCCTGAATAGGCCAATAACAAGTTCTGAAATTGAGGCAGTAATAGCCTACCAACGAAGGACCAGATGGGTTCACAGCTGAATTCTACCAGAGGTACAAAGAAGAGCTGGTACTATTCCTTCTGAAACTATTCCAATCAATAGAAAAAGAGGGACGCCTCCCTAACTCATTTTATGAGGCCAGCATCAACCTGATACCAAAACCTGGCAGAGACACAACAAAAAAAGAAAATTTCAGGCCAATATCCTTTATGAACATTGACGTGAAAATCCTCAATGAAATACTGGCAAACCGAATCCAGCAGCACATCAAAAAGCTTATCCACCATGATCAAGTCAGCTTCATTCCTGGGAAGCAAGGCTGGTTCAACATATGCAAATCAATAAACGTAATCCATCACAAAAAGAGAACCAATGACAAAAACCACATGATTATCTCAATACATGCAGAAAAGGCCTTTGATAAAATTCAACATGCCTTCATGCTAAAAACTCTCAATAAACTAGGTATTGATGGAATGTATCTCAAAATAACAAGAGCTATTTAGTACAAACCCACAGCCAATATCATAATGAATGGGCAAAAGCTGGAAGGATTCCCTCTGAAAACTGGCACAAGACAAGGATGCCCTCTCTCAACACTTCTATTCAACATAGTATTGGAAGTTCTGGCCAGGGAAATCAGGCAAGAGAAAGAAATAAAGGGTATTCAAATAGGAAGAGAGGAAGTCGAATTGTCTCTGTTTGCAGATGACATGATTGTATATCTAGAAAACCCCATCGTCTCAGCCCAAAATCTCCTTAAGCTAATAAACAACTTCAGCAAAGTCTCAGGATACAAAATCAATGTGTAAAAATCACAAGCATTCCTATACACCAATAATAGACAAGCAGAGAGCCAAATCATGAGTGAACTCCCATTCACAATTGCTACAAAGAGAATAAAATACCTAGGAATCCAACTTATAAGGGATGTGAAGGACCTCTTCAAGGAGAACTACAAACCACTGTTCAAGGAAATAAGAGAGGACACAAACAAATGGAAAAATATTCAATTTTCATGGATAGGAAGAATGAATATCATGAAAATGGCCATACTGCCCGAAGTAATTTATAGATTCAATGCTATCCCCATCAAGCTACCATTGGCTTTCTTCACAGAATTGGAAAAAACTACTTTCAAGTTCATATGGAACAAAAAAAGAGCCCATGTAGCCAAGACAATCCTAAGCAAAAAGAACAAAGCTGGAGGCATCACGCTACCTGACTTCAAACTATACTATAAGGCTAGAGTAACCAAAACAGCATAGTACTGGTACCAAAACAGATAAATTGACCAATGGAACAGAACAGAGGCCTCAGAAATAATACCACACATCTACAGCCATCTGATTTTGACAAAACTATCAAAAACAAGCAATGGGGAAAGGATTTCCTATTTAATAAATGGTATTGGGAAAACAGCTAGCCACATGCAGAAAACTGAAACTGGGCCCCTTCCTTACACCTTATACAAAAATTAACTCAAGATGGATTAAAGACTTAAACATAAGACCTAAAACCATAAAATCCCTAGAAGAAAACCTAGGCAATACCATTCAGGCATTGGCATGGGCAAAGACTTCATGACTAAAAGACCGAAAGCAACTGCAACAAAAGCCAAAATGGACAAACGGAATCTAATTAAACTAAACAGCTGTGCACAGCAAAAAAAAAACTATCATCAGAGTGAACAGGCAACCTACAGGCAACCTACAGATTGGGAGAAAATTTTTGCAATCTACCCATCTGACAAAGGGCCAATATCCAGAATCTACAAGGAACTTAAATTTACAAGAAAAAAACAAACAACCCCATCAAAAAGTGGGTGAAGGATATGAACAAACACTTCTCCAAAGAAGACATTTATGTGGCCAACAAACATATGAAAAAAAGCTCATCATCAGTGGTCATTAGAGAAATGCAAATCAAAACCACAACGAGATACTATCTCATGCCCAGTTAGAATGGTGATCATTAAAACGTCAGGAAACAACAGATGCTGGAGAGGATGTGGAGAAATAGGAATGCTTTTACACTGCACTGTTGGTGGGAGTGTAAATTAGTTCAACCATTGTGGAAGACAGTGTGGCAATTCCTCAAGGATCTAGAACCAGAAATACCATTTGACCCAGCAATCCCATTACTGGGTATATACCCAAAGGGTAATAAATCATTCTACTATAAAGACACATGCACACGTATGTTTATTGCAGCACTGTTCACAATAGCAAAGTTTTGGAACCAACCCAAATGCCCATCAATGACAGACTGGATAAAGAAAATGTGGCACATATACACCATGGAATACTATGCAGCCAGAAAAAGGATGATTTCATGTTCTTTGCAGGGACATGGATGAAGTTGGAAACCATCATTCTCAGCGAACTAACACAGGAACAGAAAACCAAACACCACATATTCTCACTCATAAATGGGAGGTGAACAATGAGAACTCATGGACTCAGGGAGGGGAACATAACTCACGGGGGCCTGTTGGGGGAGTGAGGGGCTAGGGGAGGGATATTATTAGGAGAAATATCTAATGTAGATGACGGGTTGATAAGTGCAGCAAACCACCATGGCATGTGTATACATATGTAACAAACCTGAACGTTCCGCACATGTATCTTAATACTTAAAAGTATAATAATAAAATAAGAAAACAAATAGTCCTCATATTGTCAGCAGTGTAAAAATGCTCTTCTTTCCAACAAATGTGTTAAGCTCTAGCCACTGTGTTCCCTTGCCTTCCAACACCTTTTTAGGGGGTCACTTCTCACCAAGATTAGTTGGTATGTGCTAAAGACATGAGCACATTCCAGTATTATTCTGGGGCACGAAACCTGCATCTACTGGGAGTAGGAAGATCTCCAAATGATTCACATCGGTTGTCCTTTATTGGTGCAGATAACTGATTGATAGTCGTAGTCATTCATAGTCCGACTCAAGATATCAGTTTAAAATCCCATATAAATAAGGTCCTTGTACTAGATTTTGAAAGTCAGTCTTTCAATTACCTCTCCACTTGTTTATACTACCTGTATGGAAAATATTGCAAAGAACAGCCTGTCTCCTATGAGCTTTTTTAAGCCTCAGAATGTTAAAGCTGGTGAGGGACTTAGAAGGGACTAAGAGACTCCTCGTTTTACAGATCAGGATGCAAGAGGGAATGGAGGAGAAGTGACTTACCAAAGGTCACAGCTAATTACTGGCAGAGTCACTAGAACCAATATGCACTCATTCCCAGCAGAGTGCTTCTGGAACAAAATCAAGTGCTTCTGTAGTATTTTGCACACATAACAATAACTCTTGGAATTTAACAGATCCCTTAATGTGATCATATAAACTCTGTAAGGCTTGCTTATTATTTAATACATACAGTGTTCATAACCAGAAAAGGTTTATTGAGAAGCTGACTCCTTATCCCTTTGGGATACTAAGAAACTACCAAGATTGCTGTGTTTTGAAAGCAGGAAAAAATAAATCAATGTGAGATCATTTCAGAATTTTATCACACAAAGAGGCCTTACAACATAGACACTTTTAACAATAAAAAAAGGTAACCATGATAAAATCGATAAAACGCTCTCTTTCTGAACAAGCTGATCAAAGCTCTGCAGAGGCCCAGAGCTTTCTTCCAAGAGTCCTTCAGGAGTAAAAGCAATGCACTGCTGAGTCCCATGGCTAAATCACTTGAATGCCCAGCCATTCCCAACCCAGCCCATCACTTCCTGCAATCTCTCAAAACTGCATTAAGGCCAGTTAAACATCTCAGGAACCAAAAATCATAAAGAAGAGGAAAACGTTGTCACTGGTAAACACTGAAATATGTAACATGGCTATTTTGCGATGGGGTGCTCAATGCCAAGTCTACATGAGGCACTAATTGCTCTGTTTTACTCTATTACTGCTACTGTAAATGCACAGGATCAGGCTCGATGCTCCACTCACTCCTTTTCTACTATATGGGTGATATAAGCTTGTTGCTCTTTCTAGCCCCACACATCCTCTTACATTTCTTCCAGGGAAGACAGGAAACTAAGTTATTCTATGGGTGACAACAAGAAGCTTTGGGTCATCACTCATGCATCTATCTTAATATCATGTTATTCCAGAGCCCTCCTTCCCAGCAATTTTCCCATGCCCTCAGACCTCTGGTTATGAAAAGATATTAAAATACCAGCATTTGGTTTGAGAATTAGATGCCTCTGTGGCAAACTTCATTAAAGTGCATTTGCCTGAAGCATCCATTCATATTTATGGAAATCATATGCCCAGCACTGTGTATGCATAAATGAAATATGCACTCCCTGCTCTTAGGAAGCTCATAGTTTGGTGGATCTGGGTCTTATTAATCACTAAATTCCAGCATAGACTTAATTTCAAAACACATTTGTTGATTGACAAGGGAGGGAGAGAATGAATGGATGAATGAATGAATGGCTTTAAAGACATGAGCAGTCATCGGTTAAACAAACTTATGAACTTGTTAAGAATAGAAGTATCCATATACTGAATGAGCAGCAACAAGCACTAGATATGGGATCTGGAGAGGAGAGAATTGCCCTGGACCTCGGGTGAAATTGTGAGCAGCCCTCAATGCAGGTTCTTAAGAGATGAAGCCAAATCTCACCGTCCCCTTGGCAGACAAATTGTCCTCCAAGTGAAGAGACATTGTCTTTATGCATTTGACAGCCTTCTACACCTCTCTGCTTCTGAGAGCAGTCCCACACACCAGATTTCTCTTCATGCAGCCAGAGGCCTTGTACACTGCCCTCCGCGAGGTCTATCGATAACCCTGAAACTACAGGCTTGCCCTAGATCAGAGAGGGCACTTCCAGAGCATTCCTGCTCTGGCCTTGGGAATGATCTGTGTGTACTTTAGACAAACATGTGATCCATAAAAACTTGCAAGAAGAATTTGGCCTAGAGCTGCCCCTGCAAAAAAGAAAGATTTTGAATCAATTAACACAACCAACTATGCAACTTTGTTTCAATTTTAAAACACCTTCCGGCTGGGCATGGTGGCTCACTCCTGTAATCTCAGCACTTTGGGAGGCTGAGGCAGGCGGATCACGAGGTCAAGAGATTGAGGCCATCCTGGCCAACATGGTGAAACCCCGTCTCTACTAAAAATACGAAAATTAGCTGGGTGTGGTGGCACACACCTGTAGTCCCAGCTACTCAGGAGGCTGAGGCAGGAGAATTGCTTGAACCCGGGAGGCCGAGGTTGCAGTGAGTGGAGATCATGCCACTGCACTCCAGCCTGGCAAAAGAGCAAGACTCAGTCTAAAAACATAAAACAAAACTAGCAAAAAAAACACCTTCCTTAGGGCACAAGAGAAGCCAAAGAGGTCGGTCATGATAGAGACCTCCACACAACAGCCCAGGATGCCAGATCATAGTCAAACTCCGCAGTAATGATGAGAAGTCTCTCATGGTTCCTTGGGACCCCCACATGTGTTTCCACCCTTTCCAACTGGCTATGTGAGAATAGAAAACCCAAATCCCAGCTCAGTCTTGGTCTAGCACAACATCTGGCCCAAGATGACTGCCAAAGACCTCCCCAGACTTGAGTGGTTGTTCTGCCATGTGGGAGAGGTTCCCCAACACCTCCTCCTCTGGAAGGGGGGGGCGGCCCATGGCAGAAAATGGGCAGCAGAGAGTCAGGGATGTTCTCTCTGCCTCTACCTCAGAGACAGCCAAGAGTATGAAGTCCAAGTAGAGCAGAAGTCCAAGAGTAGAGGAAATGAAGTGCACCCCCCAGTGACAAGAAGCTGTTGAATACTCTCTAATGAGAAGCATGATTCTATGAGGTAAGCAATGAAGCTACAGGGAATGCCAAGGCCTGTGACAGGAAACAGGTAGCTGGGGAAGGAGTTCAGATTGGAGACTATGGTTCCAGCAGGTGGCATGTATTGCCAACTTGATTGTCACAGCAGGCACCCAAGGTGTTTATGCATCCCCCAGAGTAAAGAGTGAGCGAAAAGGGCAAACTGATTTTAAACATGGGAGTTTAAATGTAATGTTTGCTTCATTTCAAGGTTCAGGTTCATGATTTAAGTGGTTTGAGGATCCTTGGTTAGAGTTCACGTCTCTGGAGATGGAGCTTTGGTATCTGTATGCCCAGCCCTGCTGGATGGGTAGTGAACAATCTTAAAGTCCCCAGTCTGCAAAGGCTAGCGGGCCTTTGTGAAAAAAAAAGTGAAAAAAATGTGAAAAAAAAGTCAGGACCTCAGCCAGCTGTTTCCTTTATCTCTCTCAGCCTGTGTCAGCAGAGCCAAGGTGTCTGGGCATTTTGTTATGGGCTGAGGATCTTGTAAGTTTACAATTGGCACAGATCTTTCTGGAAAGCTCCTCTTGGGGAGCCTCGATGAATGGCAGGGGAGACCTTGAATGAATTCATTTTCCTTAGCTGATAGAAATGGGGATGTAACACCTCTGTGGAAAAACACACTTAAGCCCAAAGTCTACAGCCAAAGGCTTGGACTAGAAGTAGATGTTTTATTTTAAAATCCAGCATGCTTTGAAGATCACAAACTTTGCAGGGGGTGGAGAAAGTGAAGGGACACACTTGGTTCTACACGACACTCTGTTTGCTGTTAGCCCATAAAAATACTGCCTCAGGGTATTCAAAAGGATGTGAAGTGATCCAAGAAAAAAAAAAAACTCAGCCTCTTTGGAAGAGATTTTGTAATTGAAGGTTTTTGCCAACTGGTCATTTCAATGTGGGAGATTTAAAAATGACCATGGTCCTACAATGAGAGGCTTCAGTAATGAGAAGATCCTGAAATACCTCTCTTCCAAAATGCAGGTCTATAATCAGGTGCTGTGACAAATATGTGCTTGCTTGTGTAATCCTCTGAGCACCCCAACCCCTTTGTGTTGAAAATGTCAAGGTACAAAGGGGATTGGAAGATGGGCAATTTGTGTGAGAATGGAAGGCTTAATCTACCTTCACCTTAGGCAAATTTCATTAACCTTTGAGATACCAGTCCTCAACTACTAGAGAACTGAGACCCATCCAGAGTTACACAGGCATCAGGTGCTAAGTTAATTGGAATCTGGATCTCCTGACCTTCCTGAATCTTTCAGTAGTTCTTTCAGGGGTAGAGCTTTAAGTGAGGCTATTTGTGATCTGGAGACAGAATAACAGCTTATTTTCAAGTAATCAGCATTGCGGGTTAGGTGTTTACCATTAGGATTGTCTTTCCTTGCAAGTTTTAGTTTTGAGGCTTTATTGCCTTTGGTCCCAGGAAAGATAAATCAGCCACAGGGTGGAGAGGTTCTGGGAAGTATGTGTGGGTGGGAAAAAGAGGGATAGAGGGAGGGAGGCGAGTGCACAGTCCTGAAGGAACACCCACTCCTTTATGGTGGGAGGGGGGTGAGAGACAGCTGAAGAGGCAGAAGAGTGAGTGACTGCTAAGGAATTAGCTCTGGTTCCAGCCCACCAGCAGGGGCCCCAACACTCCTTGATGTTAACCCTTGGTTTACCTTGGCAAAGAAAAATCACACTCCTTTGCTGGCAGCTGTCATTGCTGTTTCAATACAGATAACACCTTCAAGTGGGAAATGTAGAGGGGAAAACATTTTTCTTAGTTTTCTTCTAAAAAGCCAAGGCAGGAGTATGTGTAAGTAAATATGATATTTCCTCTACATCAAGGACATGAATTCTAAAAGAATAATATTTAGTCCTTTTTATTGGCTGCCATTCAAAGGCCTGGAAACATTTACTAGCAAATTTAATTACTCTGCATTTTATAGCTGAGAAGTTGGAACTAACAAGGCTACACTTTTTTTAAGTTGCCTAATCCAAGGTACAAGCAGCCTGATTTAAATGCACATCCCCCAAGGGCTGGAAAAGCCTCACATCAGGACAGTCCCGAGAGGGGAATTCATATCCAGGCAACATTTATTAAACACCTCCTATTTGCTAAGCACTTCCACATATGTTATTCTACTTAATCCTCACAATAACCCAATAAGAAAGGTAGGCATTTACATGTCTATTTTACAGATAAGAAAAAAATGAAGCTCTAAAAATGGAAATGTACTACGTGTGTTTGCACTTATAATTTCTTAAAGGTTTGCACGTATATTCGTTCTTCTAATCCTTACAGCATTTTTTCAAATTATGTATGCCAGATATTAATATTTACAAAGCTTAAAATGAGGAAACTACACTCAGAAAACTGAAGTAACTGGAAGTCACCCTACTAATCTGTAGCAAGTCTGGGGCTTGAGTCCTTCAGCTCTAACCTCTCAGCTCTGTCCACTTAGGGTCAGACCCCGTTTCACACAGGCCATTTGACTCAATGAATGCTGCCCAAAAGGATCAGCTCGGTATAATAAGGAAGGTTGTTCCTAGAGCAAACATGCAGGTGCCAAGAACTATGTAAGACACTGTAGGATCGAATCCAAACTGTGTACTTGCTTTTCTCAAGCATCTGCTAGTCAAATGGGACAGTGGCTAGCAGCTCATTGAACCCTACAATAAGCTACACCTTGACAAGCAGGGAACATAAGAGAGCAGATGATGAAGCCCTTGGTACTAACAGTGATAAACCCATAAATTCTATTGTATGGAAAGGGGAGACAGGAGAGGCATCTTGGAGGAGACGGTCTTGGAAATCAAGTAGGAGATGGAGTTGACTGGCATTCCAAAAGAAGGAAACCACTTGAGTAAAAATATTTAAACGGAGGAGGGGAAAATAGCCATTTGAGGGATACAATATAAAACCTCCTCGGGCAAGATGTATTCCTTAATAAACAGTTGTAAAATTGCTACTGATGCAGGAGTTTCTGCTCCCTGGCTCAGTTAAATCCAGGTTCTCGTCTCATGACTAGGAAGAATTAGGCATGCAGACACATTAAAGGGTGAAGAGGGCAGAATTTATTAAGTGAAAAGAAAGCTCTCAGTAAGGAGAGGGGTCCTCCAAGCAGGTTTCCCCCTCACAATTGAATACCAGGGCCACCACACAAGAACTGATGAGGCCAGGCTCCACCCCTGCATAAGGTGTGAACTCCTAGTGGCTCCATCCCATTCCCCCAGTGGGCCTCCAGTATGCTGTGGGCATGCCCAGGCAAGCCCCCTGTGCAGGTTCCCTTATCTGCACAAAACATCTGGTGTCAACACTTGTGGGGCAGGTCGGAGATTCTCCGGGGACCTTTCCCTATCTGCCTAGGGATTTGGCTGTCTCCTGCCTCTATCACTGCCAAGGCTGTAGCAATTGGATCAGCTCATGTTCAATGTGAATTCTAAAGTGAACAGAGATTCTATGCTACACAGAGTGTACTTGCTTTTTTCTTTTTCTTTTTAATGCTCAAAGATGGTGAATGATGCCAAACGCCAATGAATAGCTTCTAAATAACAATAGAAAGGAAAACAGAATTGCAAAGACTGCACAAAATATTACTTTTAAAAAGTAAGATCATTTGGAATATAAATAATCATAAACCTATCATATTGTCAAAATGTGGAACATTTGTCATAAGGTACCACATCCAAGATACCACATACAATCAGACAATTTTCTTGGATATTACGACTCTAATATAGAGCACCACAAAACGCTTCCCTGGCACCCTGAGCTAGTCCCAATCCTGAAATAAAAACCAGCAAATAAGTAATGATGCCTGGGAAAGCAATATTTGAAAACCCCATTTCCAAGATGAAGAATGTCATAAAAACAAATTAAATAAATTTCACCCTAGCCAGCAGTGCCCCAGTTGGTCAAGTTCCCCAAACAGATTGCTTGACAAAAACCAATACAGTTCACGAGAATTTCTAATTACAAGCATTTAAGGAATTAGGATCTATGTTGAATTAGCAAGTTGGAATGCAAAACTCACAGTTCCAAGGGCCTTCTACCGCTTCTCCCTAAGCAGGAGAATAATCAGTACTGGCTTAAATCACATACAAAGTAGCTGATACTACAGGGGCTAACCTCATGGGGAATTATGACCCTGTAACTAGAGTCCTGTGCTAAGGTGTGCTAAGGTGAGCTAAGATTGAAAATGCTCCCCCATCACACTCATTGCCTAACAGCCACCCATCATAGAAATCCTGTGCATCATAAAGAAGAAAGCTTGTTCTAAACTGTAACCCATTTCAGGCCATTGTAAATGTAGAAAGTGTGGCTACATCTCAACTCCTGAAAATACATTCTTTTGGGCCTTGTTTGAAATCCTATCACATCCTGGTAAGTACAACAAGAAACTGACACCCTCCTAGGACTTGATTGAAAACCTATACTATTCAACCACAAAGAGGTGGTTAAACTAAGGAAGCACAGGGTTTCTCTCAAGGAGGCTTAGCCAGGCTGTTATGGTTGAAATCAGAGGAGTCTGAATTTTCAGGCCAGAAGGAACCTTAGAAATCAGATTTTGACTTCAGTTCAATCTTCAATTCAACTTATTCTAATCCATTACATACCAATTGAATGCCTTCTTAGTACAAGCCTCTGTTCTGGGTACTGGAAATACAAGTTGAAGATTCATTCCCTATGCTGTAGCAGCTCATTGAGTAATGGGGGAGACAGTCAACAAAAAACCCAAAAGATGTGTGAGGCCATGAAACACTTTTCCCATCATCTGGGAGCTGAGCACCTACAACGTCATCACTATTCCTCCCCTGGCACATCTCCTCCACTTCTTGTTCTTGCCTGTTAGTATACTACACTCCAAAAAATACACTGAGCTAGACTTCAGAAGGTACTTGAACCCAACCTTGTACCTAACAGAGAAGCCCCTCTGCAGAATGAATGCCTAGCGGCTGGCATCCAACTTCTGCTGGAATACTCCAGGTGTGAACTAAAACTTCTCCAGGATTTGTCATTACACCACAAATGTTAAAAAACTTTTATTCACTGATGTATTTCTCAAGCAGTTTCATGCCTTCCTTTCCTTTTCTGCATCTCTCTACTGCCCCCAACCAAAATTAAAATAAATACTGGTAAAAAAGTTCAGAGAGGCCAGGTGCGGTGGCTCATGCCCGTAATCCTAGCACTTTGGGAGGTCAAGGTGGGTGGATCAACTGAGGTCAGGAGTTCGAGACCAGCCTGGTCAACATGGTGAAACACTGTCTCTCCTAAAAATACAAAAATTAGCTGGGCGTGGTGGCATGCACCTGTAGTCCCAGCTACTTGGGAGGCTGAGGCAGGAGAATCACTTGAACCTGGGAGGCAGAAGTTGCAGCGAGCCACTACACTCCAGCCTGGATGGCAGAGTGAGACTCTGTGTAAAAAAAAAAAGGAAAAAAAAAAAGGTTCGGAGAGAAGAATCTTATCTGGGAAGATGTGTCGCAAATTTAGCAGAGACTATTTAACCAACAACTTTTTTTTTCTTTTTTTTTTTATTACTATACTTTAAGTTCCAGGGTACATGTGCACAACGTGCAGCTTTGTTACATATGTATACATGTGCCATGTTGGTGTGCTGCACCCATTAACTCATCATTTACATTAGGTATATCTCCTAATGCTATCCCTCCCCCCTCCCCCCACCCCACAACAGGCCCTCATGTGTGATGTTCCTCTTCCTGTGTCCAAGTGTACTCATTGTTCAATTCCCACCTATGAGTGAGAACATGCAGTGTTTGGTTTCTGTCCTTGCGATAGTTTGCTGAGAATGATGGTTTCCAGCTTCATCCATGTCCCTACAAAGGACATGCACTCATCATTTTTTATGGCTGCATAGTATTCCATGGTGTGTATGTGCCACATTTTCTTAATCCAGTCTATCATTGTTGGACATTTGGGTTGGTTCCAAGTCTTTGCTATTGTGAATAGTGCCACAATAAACATACATGTGCATGTGTCTTTATAGCAGCACGATTTATAATCCTTTGGGTATATACCCAGTAATGGGATGGCTGGGTCAAATGGTATTTCTAGTTCTAGATCCCTGAGGACTCGCCACACTGTCTTCCACAATGGTTGAACTAGTTTACAGTCCCACCAACAGTGTAAAAGTATTCCTATTTCTCCACATCCTCTCCAGCACCTGTTGTTTCCTGACTTTTTAATGATCGCCATTCTAACTGGTGTGAGATGGTATCTCATTGTGGTTTTCATTTGCATTTCTCTGATGGCCAGTGATGATGAGCATTTTTTCATGTGTTTTTTGGCTGCATAAATGTCTTCTTTTGAGAAGTGTCTGTTCATATACTTTGCCTACTTGTTGATGGGGTTGTTTGTTTTTCTTGTAAATTTGTTGAGTTCTTTGTAGATTCTGGATATTAGCCCTTTGTCAGATGGGTAGATTGCAAAAATTTTCTCCTATTCTGTAGGTTGCCTGTTCACTCTGATGGTAGTTTCTTTTGCTGTGCAGAAGCTCTTGAGTTTAATTAGATCCCATTTGTCAATTTTGGCTTTTGTTGTCATTGCTTTTGGTGTTTTAGTCATGAAGTCCTTGCCCATGCTTATGTCCTGAATGGTATTGTCTAGGTTTTCTTCTAGGGTTTTTATGGTTTTAGGTCTAACATGTATGTCTTTAATCCATCTTGAATTAATTTTTGTATAAGGTGTAAGGAAGGGATCCAGTTTCAGCTTTCTACATATGGCTAGCCAGTTTTCCCAACAGCATTTATTAAATAGGGAATCCCTTCCCCATTTCTGGTTTTTGTCAGGTTTGTCAAAGATCAGATGGTTGTAGATGTGTGGTATTATTTCTGAGGGCCCTGTTCTGTTCCATTGGTCTATATCTCTGTTTTGGTACCAGTACCATGCTGTTTTGGTTACTGTAGCCTTGTAGTATAGTTTGATGTCAGGTAGCGTGATGCCTCCAGCCTTGTTCTTTTGGCTTAGGATTGACTTGGCGATGCAGGCTCTTTTTTGGTTCCATATGAACTTTAAAGTAGTTTTTTCCAATTCTGTGAAGAAAGTCATTGGTAGCTTGATGGGGATGGCATTGAATCTGTAAATTACCTTGGGCAGTATGGCCATTTTCACAATATTGATTCTTCCTATCCATGAGCATAGAATGCTCTTCCATTTGTTTGTGTCCTCTTTTATTTCCTTGAGCAGTGGTTTGTAGTTCTCCTTGAAGAGGTCCTTCACATCCCTTGTAAGTTGGGTTCCTAGGTATTTTATTCTCTTTGAAGCAATTGTGAATGGGAGTTCACTCATGATTTGGCTCTCTGTTTGTCTGTTATTGGTGTATAAGAATGCTTGTGATTTTTGCACATTGATTTTGTATCCTGAGACTTTGCTGAAGTTGCTTATGAGCTTAAGGACATTTTGGGCTGAGACGATGGGGTTTTCTAAATATACAATCATGTCATCTGCAAACAGGGACAATTTGACTTCCTCTTTTCCTAATTGAATACCCTTTATTTCCTTCTCCTGCCTGATTGCCCTGGCCAGAACTTCCAACACTATGTTGAATAGGAGTGGTGAGAGAGGGCATCCCTGTCTTGTGTCAGTTTTCAAAGGGAATGCTTCCAGTTTTTGCCCATTCAGTATGATATTGGCTGTGGGATTGTCATAAATAGTTCTTATTATTTTGAGATACATCCCATCAATACCTAATTTATTGAGAGTTTTTAGCATGAAGGGCTGTTGAATTTTGTCAAAGGCCTTTTCTGCATCTACTGAGATAATCATGTGGTTTTTGTCTTTGGGACTGTTTATATGCTGGATTACGTTCATTGATTTGCATATGTTGAACCAGCCTTGCATACCAGGGATGAAGCCCAGTTGATCATGGTGGATAAGCTTTTTGATGTGCTGCTGGATTCGGTTTGCCAGTATTTTATTGAGGATTTTTGCATCAATGTTCATCAGGGATATTGGTCTAAAATTCTCTTTTTTTTTGTTGTGTCTCTGCCAGGCTTTGGTATCAGGATGATGTTGGCCTCATAAAATGAGTTAGGGAGGATTCCCTCTTTTTCTACTGATTGGAATAGTTTCAGAAGGAATGGTACCAGCTCCTCCTTGTACCTCTGGTAGAATTCAGCTGTGAATCTGTCTGGTCCTGGACTTTTTTTGGCTGGTAGGCTATTAATTATTGCCTCAATTTCAGAGCCTGTTATTGGTCTATTCAGGGATTCAACTTCTTCCTGGTTTAGTCTTGGGAGGGTGTATGTGTCCAAGAATTTATCCATTTCTTCTAGATTTTTGGTTTATTTGTGTAGAGGTGTTTATAGTATTCTCTGATGGTAGTTTGTATTTCTGTGGAATCGGTGGTGATATCTCCTTTACCATTTTTTATTGCGTTAACCAACAGCTTTTTATTGAGTGCCTAACATATGTCAAGCATATATTGTACAGAGCGCCCTTAACATAAGTAACTCCATCTTAGAAAAAGACTCCATCTTACATTTCATAGGGCACTTTTTTAAGAGGGTCAAGATGTTTTGCTTAATAAATAAAGACTGCAACCAACCAGATAAGGACATAGGCATACTTTTCCACTATCAGTCCTCACCAGAGGACTCTGTGGCCATAAAAGGAGCAGGACTTCAGCAGCTCCAAATGGCTGTCTTAACTGACACCGTCTTGCTTTCACTCGTGATAAGCACCCAGCATCTGCCACCAAAGGCTCTGCCCACATGAGACTTTTCCTTGCAAAATTGACAAACCAGCTGGTCCAGACCAGGACATTCTTTTTGTCTATATCTGTCTTCCTAGACTGGTTCATTAACCCCTTTTCCTATCCTCTTTCTCTTGATGTTAAATGTTAATTTGTTTGTTGTGGAATGTTCAATCTGTAACATATATATATAGATGAAATGTACTGTTTTGTGTGGTTTGCAATATTGACTGACTTATGGAGTGGCTTGTGCCTCTGTGGCATGGCTCTGACTTCCGAGTGAATGGGAAGTACGAAGGAGAATTGCCTCCTTGGGAACTCCATGTGGCTCATGGATTTTGTGATTGAAATAGCATCAATAAAAGTCTGACACTGTGGAAAGACACAAACATGTGTGAAACTGGTTATCTCTGACCTTACACCATTCAAGATACATATAAATAGAAATTAGTTTTATATACAATGGTAGTAAGAGAAGGAGGGAGAGAGATGAAGGATGGAAAGGAGAGAGACCATGAGAAATAATAAATTTGAAAGTCCAAATTAAACCACAATCTGCAGATGTTATGATGTTTTGAGTGCTACTCCTTTGCTCTGATCCAATGCTAGGCTGCTCTGGGGATGCAAGAATGAGTAAGAATAAAAGATTATTCTTGCAGCCAGGAGGAAATTAACAAATTACAACTAAAACAAAAATGACTATTCCACAAGACACTAAGTGCCATCACAAAGTACAAAGTGCTATAGAGAAAAGAGTAACTGTGTCTAATCTGGGGCATAGAGAGTGATTTGACTGGTAGGAATGTGGAAGAGGAGTACAAAATAATTTTCAAAATTAATTTGAAGATAAAATTGGCCAGATTTGGCAACCAATTAGATAAGAAGAATGATGGGAAGTGTTAAAGGTAACTGAAGGCTTGGGATCAAACATATCAGATCATGTTTGTAGACTAACAGCATGGACTCAGAGGAGAAGATGAAATGACTGGTAAGGAGAGATACTGTGGGAGCAAGAAGAGAGATACTGATGAGGAGTGATATTGTTGGAGCAAGGTCCTGCAAGTGGTGATAGAGAGTGGGAATAAAATTTAAGAATTCTTCATGGCGTAGAAGGTAATTCTTCAACAATGAGAAGTAAGTAACAACATTATTATAATATATACTTTACATTAAATAAAATATAAAGTGGGGAGGTGTAAACCCAAGAGAACCAAAAAGATGTCTGCACTAAAATTTGTATGCAAAAGTTCATAGCAGCATTATCCACAACAGAAAAAATGTGGAACCAATCCAATGTCCATCAAGTGATAAACAGATAAACCAAATATGATCTACCCTTATAATGGACTATTATTCAGCAATGAAAAGGAATGAAGCAATGATTCATGCTACAACTTCTGGTATCCAGGAGTTGGTGGGAAACAGAAATGAGAAGAGATTGCTAATGGGCACAGGGTTTATTTCTGGGTGATGAAAACATTCTGGAATCAGACAGTGATGGTAGTTGTACATCTTTGTGATTATACTAACAGTCACACAGAGCTGTGTACTCTGAATGGTGAATTTTACCTTAGGTAAATTATATCTCAATAAAAAAAATGAAATCGGAAGTCATGGGTTCTATACTGTGTGGCCGACATCTTTTCAGAAAGCAAGAAGGAGGGTCACCTGCTGAGATTGAAGAAGCTAGAAAGGAGAGCTACTGGAGAGCAAAAAAGCCTTTGGTACAACTGCTGAGAGGAAAGAATATACAGTCATAATAATCATAACAACTAAAACTTACAGAGAACACATATGATGTAAGATGGCCCAGTAGAAAGTAATAGCCAGGGCAGACTTGAAAATAGCTTAAACCCTGAATGAGCAACTCTACCAAACACAGACCCACCAACAGAAGATAGTAGCCTTAATGGCACAAGATGTTTGGTCACAGCCTCTGTACACTAAACTACACAGACAGAGAAAAGAACCAATAGAAAGCCATGCTTAAAAATAAAAAACAAGAATTTAAAAACTGAGCACAGACATCGGGGGCTACACACGATGTGGGAGACATAATTCACATATTTAGATCAGGCAAGTTAATAAACAAAGAAACTACCAAACAAACAAACAAACAAAGAAAAACAGCAACAACACCAACCATCAGAGGAAAAACACCAGAATCCATAGTTGCTACAATATATTATGTAAAATGTGAGTTTTGAACAAAAAATTAGAGAGAAACAGAAAAGTGAGATGTGCTCAGGAAAAACAAAGCAATCAATAAAGTTTCTGGATGTCCCCATATATTGGACTTGCTGGATGAGAACTTCAAAAGACCTCTTATAAATATGTTCACCACAGAACTAAAGGAACCCACGTTTAAAGAGTTGAAGTATGACAACAAAAATAACAAATTTTTAAAATCCTCAGTAAGGACAGAAAAATTATTTTACAAAAGACTAAATGGAAATTCTGAACTGGAAAATTGGAGAAAGAGAAATTAAAATTTTCCCACAGAGCCCCATCAGCAGATTCAAGATGGCAGAAGAAAGAATTTGTGAACTGGAAGATAAATCTATAGAAATTATCTTATTTGAAGAAGAAAAGAAAAAGGACTGAATAAAAATAAACAGCCTCAGAGACCTGTGAAACATCAAGTATCATGTGATTAATGAAAATTCTAGGAGAGAAGACAAAAAGGGAGTAAAAGAATTTGAAGAAATAATAGCTAAAAATTTCCCAAATTTGATTAAAAAATAAATAGCCTACAACCAAAAAGATCAAAGAATCCCAAGTAGGATTAATACAAAAATTCTACACCTAGGAACATAATGGCCAAAATGTTGAAAGCCCAAAGAGAGAGACTGAGGGGAGGGAAGGGGAAGATAATGATGTAGACAAAAACAAAAAAGAGAAGACAGGATAGAAAAATCTAGAAAGAAACAACAGAAAAAAGCCTCTTATGTACAGTAGAGCATCAATACAATTAATGCTCTTTTTGTCTGAAACAATGGAGGCTGTAGGTAGTGGAGTAACATTCAAAATGCTGAGAGGGCCAGGCATGGTGGCTCACGCCTGTAATCCCAGCACTTTGGGAGGCCAAGGAGGGCAGATCACTTGAGGTCAGGAGTTTGAGACCAGCCTGACCAACATGATGAAACCCCGTCTCTACTAAAAATACAAAAATTAGCTGAGCGTAGTGGCACACACCTGTAGTCCCAGCTACTCAGGAGGCTGAGGCAGGAGAATTGCTTGAACCTGGGAACAGAGGTTGCAGTGAGCTGAGATTAGGCCACTGCACTCCAGCCTTGGTGACAGAGCAAGACTCTGTCTCAAAAAAAAAAAATGCTGAAAGATGAAAAAAGGTAACCAATAATTCTACATGCAGTAAAACTGTCCTTTGAAAATGAAGGCAAAATAAGGCTATTCCCAGATAAACAAAGTCTGAGAGAATTCATTATGGGCAGAACTGATAAAGGACTTGTATCTATACTATATAAAGAGCTCTTACAACTCAATAATGAGAACATAAACCAATTATAAGCAAAATATTTGAATAGGCATTTCATCAAAGGAGATCTGTGAATGTTTAATAAGTATATGCCATCAATTGTCATTAGACATCAGGGAAATTAAATTAAAAGCAAAAGGAGAACCACTGTACATTCACTAGAGTGACTGTAATAAAAGATAGACACTAACAAGTATTGTTGAGAATGTGGTGAAACTGGAATCTCATATATTGCTATTGAGAAGGTATAATGGTACTGACACTTTAAAACATTCTTTGGCAGTTTCTTAAAAATTAAACACACACTTACCATATAACCCAGCAATTCCACTCCTAGGTACAGATCTAAGAGGAATGAAAATATATTTCCACACAAAGAGCTGTATACAAATATTCATAGCAACATTATTCACAATTGGAAACACTGAGGAAACAATTCAAATATCCATCTACTGATGAATGGACACACAAAATGTGGTATAGCCACAAAATGGAATATTATTTGGCCATCAAAAGGAATAAAGTACTGATACATGATGCCACATGCACAAACCCCCAAAATATTATAATGTGTGAAAGAAGTCAGATGCAAAAGACTACATGTTATATGGCTCCATTTATGTGAATGTCAAGAAAAAGCAAAATTATAGAAAGTGGTTCACTCAGTGGTTGCCAGAGGTCAAGAGTGAAAATGGCAATTGACTACAATTGCCTGTTTGTAAACAGGCACATTGGAATTTTGTGGGGTAATGGAAGTGTTCTAAAACTAGATTATGACAATTGCACAACTGTATAAATATTCTAAAATCATTAAATTGTACAATTACAGTTGGTAGATTTTTTTTAAGAAAGAGTTTGTATTCGTCTGTTCTCATGCTGTTAATAAAGACATTCCCGAGACTGGGTAATTTATAAAGATTAATAATGGACTCTTAGTTCCACATGGCTGGGGAGGCCGCACAATCATGGTGGAAGACAAAGGAAGAACAAAGGGACATCTTACATGGTGGCAGGCAATAAAGAGCTTGTGCAGGGGAACTCCCATTTATAAAACCATCAGATCTCATGAGACTTATTCACTGTCACAAGAACAGCACAAGAAATACCCGCCCCCATGATTCAATTATCTCCCACCAGGTCCCTCCCACGACACGTGGGAATTATGAGAGTTACAATTCAAGATGAAATTTGGGTGGGGACACAGCCAAACCATATCAGAGTTTCATTACAGTTGCCCAGGCTGGAGTGCAACAGCATGATCACAGCTCACTGCAACCTCCGCCTCCTGGGCTCAAGCAATTCTCATGCCTCAGCCTCCCGAGTAGCTGGATTACAGGCACGCACCACCATGTCCTGCTAATTTTTCTATTTTTTGTAGAGACAGGGTTTCACCATGTTGCTTGGGCTGGTCGTGAACTCTTGGGCTCAAGTGATCTGCCCTCCTTGGCCTCCCAAAGCGCTGGGATTACAGGTGTGAGCCAACGTGTCCTGCCACAATTGGTAGATTTTATGGTATATAATTCATACCTCAATAGAGCTGATGTGTATGTGCTTGTGTGCATGTGTGTGTGTGTGTGTTTGTACTTCGTGTGCCATTCACTGTGTTATAAGTGCTTTCCATATATGATCTCATTTGGTATTCACAAGCAATCCCCTAAGGTGAGGAGCAATCCCAATTTACAGGTGAAGAAAACTAAAGCCTAAGATTAGATCAATTTTCCCAATCATACAGGCAGCAAGTAGCAGACCCAGGATTTCAGCGTCTAAGTCTCATCAGTTGCCTGTGCTTGGGCTATTAACTGCTGTGCCATCCTGCCTCTCTGAGAAGATGGCAAGAGAGGAATACAAGAGCATCCAAGAGAGCATTCAAGCAGTAGGGAGGGCCCAGCTAAGATCAGAAAGTACTACTGATCTGTGTACCCAATGAGCATCATTTTGCAACTTTTTCCACCAACACTTGGTACTTCAAGAGCAGAGAGATTATGCTGGGGATTAAATCAAGAATGATATAAGATTATGGTGTTGAGGGATTTTGGAATTATGAGTCATCTGTTGAAATGACTGGCAATGGTGTGCAGGATACAGGAGAGTGTGAATCCATGGCAAGAGAAGGGGGGAAGTGGCTGAAAGTAGGGAGAAGCTTCTATACTGGGTCAAAGGGAACGGTATGAAGATCAATGAGTCCTGGGAATACCAAGAGCAGATTCTGAGGTGAGAAAGGAAGAGATGTATGTAGTCCAAGATGAATGTAGTCAGAGGTTGAGGTCTTAGGAGTGGATCCACATACGAAAGTGTAAGGTTAAATATGTGACCTTGGTAGTGGGTATGTGAGGGAAGTACAATGGAGCAGAAATGCAGATCATCAAAGCTAGGAAGGTGGAGAAACAGAGAGGCAATGTGGAAGTAAGTAGCAACTAGCTCTGATGTTCTGGGTGGAAGGAAAGACGATGATAGATAAATGCCACCATCATTCTTTACAGAACTAGAAAAAACAATCCTAAAATTAGCCCACATAGCCAAAGCAAGACTAAGCAAAAAGAACATATCTGGAGGCATCACATTGCCTGACTTCAAACTATACTACAAGGCTACAGTCACCAAAACAACATGGTACTAGTATAAAAATAGGCACAAAGACCAAGGGAACAGAATAGATAACACAAAGATTTTTAATTTCTCCTCCACTAACTGAAAGAGTTAAGGTTCATAGGCAACAGTAACTCTTTGTACCCAATGCTCCTGTTAAAGAGGACATATTGTTTTTGGCCTAGAAAGTAATAACAACAGTTAGCATTTAGTGAGTACTTGCTATGTGCCAGTCATTTGGCTGTGTGCTTGACATAGATCATTTCATTTAATCTGAAAACTACCCCATGAGAGCAGTACTATCTATCACTATTATTATTAGCATCATTATTCTTATGTTGCAGGAAGAAGAAACTGAGACTAGAGAGGACAATAATGTACCAAGGTCATACAACTATTAAGTGGAATAATTGGGATTTGAATCCATGCAGTCTGACTACAAGGCCATGGCTCATAAGTGCTCAGGTCTATGAAAATGATGGAAATGCATTAGGTTGGTGCATAAGTAATTGCAGTTTTTGCCATTAAAAGTAATGGCAAAACCCGCAATTACTTGTGCACCAACCTAATAAAAATGAGCAGGGATGGGTTTTAAAGGTAGGCTTCTATGGCTATTATTGGGATCAGAGCTGTTTCCATGTTGAATCGTCAGAATGGTTTGGTGTGCTCAGAACACCTTGAGCTCATCTATATGTATTCTTTTTGGTTTCTGTAACTCTAATTACCTCCTGGTGACTAATAATTAAATATTGATCAAGCTCATTTTGCAGATAGATATTGAAAATGCAGAGACCTAGGTAAGTAACGATGAGCCTCACTTCTACCGTATTGCTGGCTGAGGGTGCTACATGCACAGCCCTAATGACAATCACAAGGGTGGAAAAGGGAAGCTGAAGGTCACTGACTTTCAGCTCTAGGGAAATTAGGGAGTACTTCTGCCTGGGCTTTGGCTGACAATCATCTGGAAAGTTATCTAAAAGGCCTAGTGCATTTATTTTTACCTAATTATAGCATTCAACTGGCATTTTCCAAGGGCTTCAATTATGTAGTCAGCAGCCTGAGAACTCATAGCACCTGATACAAATAAATTGCATATATTACTATGTATTCTTCTTGGTCAAGGATTTGGTGATGGGGAATTCCAGAACCATTAGAAGGAGTGCACCTTTCTCCTGGAGCACTGGTTTGCAAGTCCAAGGAGAATGTGATGAACAGTTCCGATTCTTCCTCAGAACATGTACAAAGAAACATATATGAATGACTGTGTATATGATCATGGGGAGGAGAAGTGTGAATCTCCCGAAGCACATTCAAAGACCCCTGCTTAGAGTGTCAGCAATGTGAAGCTGAATTCAGCAAGTGGGGCAAAACTGTCATCATCTGGATGATACTGTTTTGGTAAACATTTGGATAAGCAGGTTTCCTTATCCAAATGTTTACCAAAAAAAAAAAAATGTTAACTGAAAGAACAAAAGTTTTTTTTATTTTTTTTTTTATTATTATTCTACTTTAAGTTTTAGGGTACATGTGCACAATGTGCAGGTTAGTTACATATGTATACATGTGCCATGCTGGTGTGCTGCACCCATTAACTCGTCATTTAGCATTAGGTATATCTCCTAATGCTATCCCTCCACACTCCCCCCACCCCACAACAGGCCCCAGAGTGTGATGTTCCCCTTCCTGTGTCCATGTGTTCTCATTGTTCAATTCCCACCTATGAGTGAGAACATGCGGTGTTTGATTTTTTGTCCTTGCGATAGTTTACTGACAATAATGATTTCCAGTTTCATCCATGTCCCTACAAAGGACATGAACTCCTCATTTTTTATGGCTGCATAGTATTCCACGGTGTATATGTGCCACATTTTCTTAATCCAGTCTATCATTGTTGGACATTTGGGTTGGTTCCAAGTCTTTCCTATTGTGAATAGTGCCACAACAAACATATGTGTGCATGTGTCTTTATAGCAGCATGATTTATAGTCCTTTGGGTATATACCCAGTAATGGGATGGCTGGGTCAAATGGTATTTCTAGTTCTAGATCCCTGAGGAATCACCACACTGACTTCCACAATGGTTGAACTAGTTTACAGTCCCAGCAACAGTGTAAAAGTGTTCCTATTTCTCCACATCCTCTTCAGCACCTGTTGTTTCCTGACTTTTTGATGATCGCCATTCTAACTGGTGTGAGATGGTATCTCATTGTGGTTTTGATTTTTTGTTTTTGTTTTTGAAGACCATATTGAAAATGAAGCAAAGTTCTAGTTGATAAAACATTTTGTTCTTTCAAAATGTTCAAAAATTTATCCTGTAAATTTTCAACAGTATTTTTGTTAAAAATGTCCAATCCGGTTATAAGATTCTTGACTCCCCTTGTATTTCTGATAGTGCACACTCTTGCTACTCAAAATGTGGTCCATGGATCAGTAGCAGCAGCAGCACCTTGGAACTTGATAGAAACACAGAATCAAGGCCTCATGCCAGAGGTACAAGATCAGAATCTGCATTTCCCAAGATTCCCAGGTGATATGTATACAGTCGTCCCTCAGTATTCATAGAGTATTGCAATGTTCCAAGACCCCCTGTGGTACCAAAATCCACAAATGTTCAAGAGCCTGATATAAAATGGCAACACAGGCTGGGCATGGTGGCTCACGCCTGTAATCCCAGCATTTTGGGAGGCCAAAGCAGCCTGATCACTTGAGGTCAGGAGTTCGATACCAGCCTGGCCAATATGGTGAAACCCCGTCTCTACTAAAAATACAAAAATTAGTTGGGCGTGGGTGTGCATGTCTGTAATCCCAGCTACCCCGGAAGCTGAGGCAGGAGAATCATCTGAACCTGGGAGGTGGAAGTTGCAGTGAGCCGAGATTGTGCCACTGCACTCCAGCCTGGGTGACAGAGTGAGACTCCATCTTAAAAAGAAACCCAAACACACAAATAAATAAAATGGCAAAGTATTTGTGTATAACCTCTACACATCCCCCATATGCTTTAAGTCATCTCTAGAGTGCTTCTCGTATCCAATAAATGTAAATGCTATATAAACAGTTATTACACTGTATTGCTTTTAAAATTTGTCTTATTTTTATTGTTGTATTGTTATGTTTTATTGCTTTTTATTTGAAATATTTTCTGTCTGTGGTAGGTTGAATCCATAAATGTGGAACCCACGGATATAGAGGGCCAACTGTGTACATACTGCGTTTGAGAAGCATTGATATACACAGTAGAGACATCAGAACATAAAGAGGCAGTGAGATGTGGTAGAATGAGGACCTGGACTCTGAACAAAGCTCTACCATTTGCTAGCATCTGAGGTTGGGCACATTCCTCAACCTCTGAGGATGCCTCCTTAACTCTAGCAGCACCACAAAGGGTTGTTGTGCTTGACTTATAGTATTCACGTGATAAACAGTAGTCACTGTTCCCACTGTTAAGATTTGTATTACATCTTAGTAACTGTCATTTACCAGGGCTTAGTAAACTAAAAATCTCCCTGTAGATGTAAATGGAAGGAAAGGAGAGGGAGCAGTGTGCAATTGCTCTAAGCAGAGTGAGTGGCCCAGATGGTTCATAGGACTTATATGTGCAAAGTTAGGGGTCTAAGGCTCTATTGACTGTCTCTCAAATGTATGCCTCTGGGCACAAAGGAGAGGACTAAGGCAAAGTCTCAGGGTATGAGCTCCAATGCTAGGCAGACAGCATTGTTCATGAAGTTCAACAGAACTCTTCCCAGGCTGGGAGACATTCACCCAGGAGCTAGGTGGCAGTGGGGGAGGATGAGGGTGCCCTATGCCAAGATCTGCCTGAAGCCAAGACAGATAGGGTTGGGGAAGAATGAATATGGCATTGAGGTCTATTGAATGCCACTAAACAGGGTGTCTATTTACTATAGGCATACAGCTTGCTGTGTTTCCCCAATACACAATCCTGAGCCTAATTTCCAAATGATAAGGGAAAAAGTCAGGCCCAGAGCCCAAACCTTAACACTCCAGATCCAGTTTTTTCCCCACTGCATCCCAGGAGCTTCATCCAGAGCTCACTAATTATCTGGAATCTCCATTTAATATGCTTGGGGCTCCATATAAAGTGGGACTGTTCAAATACACTTCTGGCAATCAGCAAATCAAAACTCAAGTGCTTTTGAGGGAATCACAGGTGAACTTGTGAAGTCCATTTTGAGGCTACAGCATCATGATATAGTCATGATGGGTTTCAGGTTTTTTTTTTTTTTGTGGGGGGGGAGGTGGGGAGAGAGACGAAGTTTTGTTCTTGTTGCCCAGTCTGGATTGCAATGGCGCAATCTCAGCTCACTGCAACCTCTACCTCCTGGGTTCAAGCGATTCTTGTACCTCAGCCTCCTGAGTAGCTGGGATTACAGCATGCGCCACCACGCCCGGCTGATTTTTGTATTTTTAGTAGAGATGGGGTTTCACCATGTTGGTCAGGCTAGTCACAAACTCCTGACGTCAGGTGATCCACCCGTCTCAGCCTCCCAAAGTGCTGGAATTACAGGTGTGAGCCACTGTGCCAGGCCCGGGTTTCAGATTTTTTGAAATTCCTATTGTTATGTTATGTTATGTTATGTTATGTTATGTTATGTTATGTTATGTTATGTTATGTTATTTATTTTGATGTTATTTTCTTTTCTGAGATGGAGTCTTGTTCTGTTGCCCAGGCTGGAGTGCAGTGGCACAATCTCAGCTCACTGCAACCTCTGCCTCTGGGGTTCAAGTGATTCTCCTGCTTCAGCCTCCTGAGTAGCTGGGATTACAGGCATGTGCCACCATGTCCGACTAATTTTTGTATTTTTGTAGAGACAGGGTTTCACCATGTTGGCCAGGCTGGTCTCGAGCTCCTGACCTCAAGTGATCCACCAGCCTCGGCCTCCCAAAATGCTGGGATTACAGGCATGAGCCACTGAGCCCGGCCTATTTTTATAATATAAAAGATCATTAGGAAAGTCACGTACTTCATTTTTAAAAGATGATACAGTTTCCAAAGGGACAGAATACAAGGCTAAAAGGCAGGAAGTCCAGTTTCACATGAGAAGCAGAATATGGCCAAGAAAACTAAGTGAATGTGTATTTTTAAATTTCACTTCAAGTGCCACCACCTTAATTTTAGCTACAAAACTAAAACCTCTTCTTTCTTTTTGTCTCGCAGTTCAAATTCTATCACTGATCTCTTGGGTTTCCCTATTCAAATAAACGAATAAATTAAAATTTTTCTCCTCTAACTCATTACGTTTTACTGTCACTTAAATTTAACACAGGGAGCATGCCACCAGGAAGAAGGTAGCAATTGTATTACTTTATGTTGAAGTGTGTTCGTTAATCTTACCATGGAGACAGAAAAAATTCTTATTTTATTAAATACAATGGCTCCTCATTTTTCTAGCCTCATTACAGAAAGCAGTGTTGCACTGTGATAACTGAAAGTACTTCTCAATAAACGAAAAATATTTTTTAATTCTAGCTACTTCCACGGAAATCATTCTAAAATGTCATGTATACTTCTCTTCTATAAGGTACAATGTATATAATGATATACATACATATACACATATATATGATATATATAAAATACAATGATTATAATTTAGCCTTTTCATTTGTATATTTGTGTGTATATATAAAATGTATATACATAGACACACACTTTATTCTGTGCTTTATGCGTGTCAGGCATTAGATGAGGGCTTTATATGCATTTTGTCTCAGTCTTTAGGAATATCTATTACTGTACTAGGTTATGATAATGTGATGCTCAATGATGATACTGACATATAAACAACTATCTGGCAGCTGGCCATACTTGTTAGTTCATCTATTTCCTCTCACTGGTATCAATCATCACTTCTGCTTGCTGACACTGGGCTGTGGGTTCTAATCTGTTGCCTTACATCTTATCAATGGACTGACAGTGACTCTGAATGCCTATGGTGTATACTACATGACTTTGATGAAAACTGCAACTCAGGTGCCTCTTTTGGTTCTATAGGAGCGTCACTCCAATACTGTCACCAGGCAGATCTTCATATTAAATAATTGGAGGAATAATAAACATGAAGAGTTTAAAGACTTTATGTTAAGTGAATTAATCCAAGCATAGAAAGACAAACATCATATGTTCTCACTTATTTGTGGGATCTAAAAGTCAAAACAGTTGAACTCAAGGAGACAGAGAGTAGAAGGATGATTACCAGAGGCTGGGAAGGGAAGTGGGGGACTGGGGATGGGTGAGGATGGTTAATGGGTACAAAAACAATAGTTAGAAAGAATGAGCCGGGAGTGTTGGCTCATGCCTGTAATCCCAGCACTTTGGGAGGCGGAGGCGGGTGGATCACGAGGTCAGGAGATCGAGACCATCCTGGCTAACACGGTAAAACCTCGTCTCTACTAAAAATACAAAAAAATTACCCAGGCGTGGTGGTGAACACCTGTAGTCCCAGCTACTCGGGAGGCTGAGGTGGGAGAATGTCATAAACCCAGGAGGCGGAGCTTGTAGTGAGCCAAGATTGTGCCACTGCACTCCATCCTGGGCTACAGAGCCAGACTCCGTCTCAAAAAAAAAAAAAAAAGAATGAGTAAGACCTACTATTTGATAGCACAATAAGGTGACTAGAGTCAATAATAACTTAAATGCACATTATAAAATAACTTAAAGAGTGTAATTGGATTGTTTGTAACTCAAAGGGTAAATGCTTGAGGGGATGGATACCCCATTTTACATGATGTGATTATTACGTATTACATGCCTGTATTAAAATATCTCACATACCCCATAAATACATATATCTACTATGTACCCACAAAAAATTAAAAATTAAACAGTGGAAACACTGATTGTCTCAAAAGAGAAGGGCAATGTTAAAATCAGTGTTTTGCTCATATTAGGAACTCAGTAAATATTCTATGATTGGGAATTTTGAGCAGGTTATAATATGAATATAGGGGTGCTATGTCATAAACATCTAGAAAGAGATTCAAAGTACCAGAGAATCTCAGAGAAAGTCAGAAAGACCATCTAACCAAATCCAAGGTAAATGCTGATAATTCAAAGCATTAGAAGGATTTCGACAGCATGTGATCCATCAGGAAAGACTAACTGAAAGAGCCAACTAAGTCTTGAGCTTTGAAGGAACATGACATTTAAAGGCAGCAGTGATTAAGGTCTAATCAGGAGACAATGAGGAAGTCCACCATCTAGTGTTGAAGGAAGCAACATGACAAAACTATAAGGTGGAATTCTATCAGAAGGTGGAACATTTTAGAGGTTGAGAGATACCTGTTGCCGAGTAACATCGAGGCTCTTCCTGAGCTGGAGTCGCCTAAAATAGATACTTGGAGGTGCTGGGGGCGGGGGGAGCGGGGGCAAGGGATGCAAAGAATCGTGGTCAGTGCTAAATAATGCCGAGATTGATTTGGAAGAACAGGAAATCCCAACTCAGGTGGAGACATGAAGGCAAAAGTACAGAGTATGGAGTCAAAAAGCCTGGGTTCTAGTCCTAGCTCAGCCAATCACTAATCTGTATAGCCTTTAAGTACATAATTAAACCTCTCTATATCTGAATTTCCTCATCTATAAAATGGTAATAGTAATAGCACCCACCTCATAGGCAGATGTGAGGATTCAGTGAAAGATAATATATAAACTTAGCACAGTGCAAGGAACATAATAAGCACTGAATAAATGGTAACTTTTATTATTCAGAGATCAGTGATATGACTTGCTCTTTAGACATGCAAAAAAATAGGGAAGGCAGCTCCAGGAATAGGGGACATACAAGAAAGTGTGGATGTGACAACTTCTGCCCTATGCTGATGTTCACCACCTCCCTCCGCCCTCTTCCATTTACAATCTTAGTAACATATGTGTTTCAATTCTCATCATTTTGGACCTAGGGCGAATGGAGTCATTGCATACTCTCAGAAAAGTCACTTTATTTCTGTTGCTAAATATCCCCTTAACCATGATGCTGTTAGCCTGAGTGACTCAAAGTTATAAATCAGAAGTCCCCATCCCTGGGCCACGAATGGGTACTGGTCCATGGCTTGTTAGGAACCAGGCTGCACAGCAGGTGGTGAGCAGCGGGCCAGCAAGCATTACTGCCTGAGCTCCGCCTCCTGTCAGATCAGTGGCGTCATTAGATTCTTATAGGAGTGCCAACCCTATTGTGAACTCTGCATGCAACGGATCTAGGTTGCGCTCCTCATGAGAATCTAATGCTTGATGATCTGAGGTGGAACAGTTTCATCCCGAAACCATCCCCCACCTCCCCCTGTCCGTGGAAAAATTGTCTTCTACGAAACTGTTCCCTGGTGCCAAAATGATTGGGGAACACTGCCCTAAATGGCTTAATATCTTCCTAATAGTTTAGAAAACCAAATGTTTTCTCTTCTAGATGCTTCTACTAACTACTCAGTTTGAAAAAAAGGTGTCCTGTCATATATGCTCTCTTTATCAACATAAGGTTATATATATATATATATATATATATAAGCTTCTCTGCATTTTAATAAGCTGAAGAGTTAGCCCTTGAATAGCCAAACAATGAAAGTTCAGTCTGGCATCACAAAAACGTATTAACAACTTTTGCTTCCAACCATGATGGAGTAAAAGCAATCAGATTAAACAACTAAAAAACTGGACAAAATACATGAAAAAAAAATGGCTTTCAGACACTAGACAACAGTCAGTACAAGATTGCTAGCCCTCAGAGAAGGGGAACAAGTGAGGCACCCCTAAATCTTCCCTAGCTTACTGACTGGAGAGGCTTTCCACGATGCAGTGCAAACAGCCCAGTGATTTCCTGCATTGAGAAGACAGAAATCAGGGAAGAGGGAGGCCAAAATAATTAAAACTTGTGGGAAAAAGTTCCAGAGAGAAGAGAGCTACATAGGAGAGAGCTCTGGAGGTCTTCAGATGGATCCCTTTATGTCTTTGGCTGAGTACTGATTGGCATACGTATGGGAGGAAACTACCCAAGACCAATAAAAGAATTGCTAAAAAAAGAAAAAGTAGGAGGGCCAGTCCCCAGAAGCTCACAAAGACACAGGAACAGTTTGTGTTCCTACCAGCAGAATGGAAAGACCTTGTGATATATGGGGCAATAATTAGAGCCCTGAAAAGTGTATTGTCTTGGTAGTGAAATAAAATTAGCTGCAGGCTAAAGGCTACGTTGATACTACCCTAAGAAAGCATAAAAATCAAGCCTCAAAAGGATCAAACTGATTCCAATTAACTGCATGCTGGTTCAAAGTTTAATAGTATTTAAAGAAATATGATAAAATAAAGCACCCAACAATATAAAATCCATAATGTCCAACATCCAATCAAAAATTATCAGACATGCAAAGAATTAGAAAGATACAACTCTTAAATGGAGAAAAATCAATCAACAGAAACAAACTAAGATGACACAAATTATAGACTTAACATATAAGGACATTAAAATATAGTCATTATATATATGCTCCCATTTAATAGGGGAGCTAGAGGAAAGACTGGGCATGTTAAGTAGAAACATGGAGGGTACAGGAAAGACTCAAATCAAACATCTAGACATGAAACATACAGTATCTGTAATGAAAAATACATAGGCTGGGATTTCTAGTACAATAGACACTGCGGAAGAAAAGATGAATGAACCTAAAGACACAGCAATAGAAACTGGTCAAAATGAAATACATAGAGAAAAAAGACTGAGACAAACAGAACAGAGCATCAGTTAGCTATGGGAAACACCACAGGGTTCAATGAAGTACCAAAATATTCGAAGAAAAAGGACCAAAAGTTTTGCAAATTTTATGAAAACTATAAATGCGCAAGTCTAAAAATTTCAATGGACTGTAAGCCAAAAATAAAAGGAAAAAACCACACCATAGCAAATCATTATCTAAGTACTGAAAAAATGTGAAAGTTGTTCAAAGGAACAAAGATAAAAATGATGGCATACTTCTCATCAGAAGCTATGCAAACCAAAAACAATAGTGTGACATCTTTGAAGTATTGAAAGAAAAAACTGACACCTTATCATTCTATTTACAGAAAAAAAAAACTGTCTTTCAAAAATTAGGTGAAATAAGGGAGCAGTCTGAGAAAATTACTGCCAGAAGTCCAGCTGTTTTTGGATCAGTTATCATCGGTACAGAGAAACGCTATTGATTTTTATAAGTTGCTGCATTTTCTTATTAGTTTTTATCATTTTTTCTATCCATTATCTTGTTTTTCTTCTGCAGATGATCATACCAACTGCAAGTAATGATAGTTTTATATCTTCCCTATCAATTCTTACACTTCTTATTTCTTTTTCCTTTTTTGAGGGAGAATTCATTGCAAGGAGACCAACACTATAAGAAATAATAAAGTTCTTTCATCACAAGGAAAATAACACCAGATGGGATGCTGGAGCTACAAAAAGGAATGAAGAACACTGTAAATGATAAAAATGTGCATAAATATTAAATATTGGTTTCTCATTTGTAAAATCTCTTTAAAAGATAATTATTTAAATCAAAAATAATAGGCCAGATATAGTGGCTCATGCCTATAATCCTAGCACTTTTGGAGGCTGAAGTGGGAGGACTGCTTGAGGCCAAGAGTTCAAAAACAGCCTAGGCAACATAGCAAGACCCTATCTCTAATAAATAAATTAATTAAATAATACTATATTGTACTATATGTGGTATAACATATGTAGAAAAATGATGAGAAAGGTAGTTCAAAGGCTGAGAAGAGGAAAATTAAAATATATTGTTATAGGTTTTCACATGAATAATATACCATCTAAAATGGTATATTATTATTTCAAGGTAGAATATTAAAAGTTAGAAGGATGTTATGGTAGGCAGCCTCTAAGATGACTTCCAATGATCCACAACATCTGTTATTCATGTCATTGTGTAATACCTGCCCTTTGAATGGGTGATGGATATAATGACTCATAACAAATGGAATAGCGCAAAAGTACTAAGATGTCACTTCCAAGATTATGGTACAAAAAAAAAGACTCTGCCTTCTCTCTTGTTCACCCTCTCTTATTATCTTTCACTTTCTCTGATGAAAATAGATGCTATGTGGCAAATTGCCCTATGCAGAGTTCCATGGGGCAAGGAACTGATGGGGGTTTCCAGCTGACAGTCAGTGATGAACTGAGGCCTTCAGTCCAACAGACTACAAGGAACTGAATCCTTCCAACAACCACATGCATGAGCTTAGAATTGCATCCTCCCTCAATCAAGCCTTCAGAAGAAATGACTGCAGCCCCAGCCAACATCTTGATTGCAGCCTTGTGAGAGACCTTGAGCCAGAGAACCCAGCAAAGCCATGCCTAGATTCCTAACTCACTAAAACTATTAGATAATAAATGTTTGTTGTTTTAAGCCACTAAATTCGAAGACAGGTTGTCATGCAGCAATATATAACCTAGTTATATATGTGTACTAATACTAAATTGTTATATATTGTATGTCCTGGAATAAACACCAGGAAAAACACAAAATAAAGAGCATTACTAATGAGCCTATAATAGAAATAACATGAAATCTTAAAAATAATCATTCCAATAGACAGCAAGCAAAGAGTTTAAAAGGACCAAACATTTATTGAGCATCCACCATAGTAAAAGCAGGGAGTCATATGCTAAGAATATAAAGTCCCTGCCTGGACTTAAAAAATTTCATATTTTCAGTACTGGGCAGGAACTCAGAAAAGTACATGAAGGAAAACAATTCTAGGTATGGTACCCAAATATCCTATGCCTTGGCAGTTTAAGGGCAGAACAGTCTCTCAGGTATGGGGAAAACCAGGGAAGCAGATTTGAGATGGACCTTGAAGAATGGCACAATTTTCAGCAAGGAGAGATGTAAAAGAAGGGCAAAATATCCCAAGCAAACAGTACACAGGATCAAAGGCTCAGTTGAGAAAGCTAGAGAGATATGTTGAGGGGAAAAGTCGGGGGAGGGAAGGCCAGAGACTTTACAGGAGACCCAGAATATTGCTTTGTAACAGAGATCTAAAGAAGAGAGGGTGGTACAAAGGGGTATGGACCATAAGATTTAATGTTGTTGAAGGAGTACGGAGGGCACTGAGAAAAAGGCCACTGGAATTGGTTGAGGCACAGGCACAGTCTAATCCAGAAGTTGTATCAATTTGCAGCCTTCCCTACTACCAGACCAGTGACACATATCACTCATTTTTTTTTTTTTTTTTGAGACAGGCTCTTGCTCTTTAACCCAGGCTGGAGTGCAGTTGTGTGATCTCGGCTCACTACAGCCTCCACCTCCTGGGCTCAAGCAATCCTCCCACCTCAGCCTCCTGAGTAGCTGGGACCACAGGCGTGTGCCACCATGCCCAGCTAGCTTTTGTATTTTTTGGTAGAGGCGGGGTTTCACCATGTTGCCCAGGCAGGTCTCAAACTCCTGAGCTCAAACAATCTGCCAGCCTTGGCTTCCCAAAGTGTTGGGATTACAGGCCTGAGCCAGTGCACCAGGCCAGATAACACTAATTAATGACAGCACTGAGACTGTGCCTGGCCTCAGATTCCTTCTTAACAATCCTTCGGGCAGCTACTACCAAAACATCAGAATTGGTACAGGAGATGAAATATATTTGTTACCTGTGGCCTGATAATTTAAGAAGCCTGGTCTGTAGGGAATGAAGGATGTAAAGACCTTACTTTGGCATCCAACAAGGAGGCTCATTGTATGTAGGGTGAAAAACAAGAAGGCCCTCCTCTAACTGGGAAGCTTGTAGTCTTTCCAAAATCATGCATATCTTAGAAGGATAAAATGGAGCAGGCTTTAAGAAGGAAGTCTACAATTTCCAAAGCAGCAAGACCACCTAAATCCATCCTGATAATCAATAGCTTAAAGAAAAAAGGAGAATGGACTTCCTCAACCTGATAAAGAATAACTAGAAAAAACCCACAACTAACATCAGACTCCATGGTGAAAGAATGATACTTTCCCCTTGAGATCAGAAACAAGACAAGGATAATTTTTCTAGCCACTTTTATTCAACATTGTACTGGAAGTTTTAGGTAGGCCAATTAGGCAAGATAAGGAAATACAGGCACCCCAGTTGGAAAAGAGGATGTAAAACTATTTGCAGATGACATGATCTTGTATATAGAAAATCCTAAGGAATAAAGTAAACATTTATTAGAACTAATAAACAATTTTAATAAGGTTGCAGGATACATGACCAATATCCAACAATAATTTTATATCTATATAGTAGCAATGGACAAACCAAAAATGAAATTAAGAACACTGTTCCATTTACAATAGCATCGCTAGAAATTAAATACTTAGGAATAAATTTAATAAAATAAGCCTAAAATTTATACTCTGAAAACTAAAATACATTGCAGAAAGAAATTAAAGAGGACCTAAATAAATGGGAAAACATCCCATGTGCATGAATCAGAAAACTTGATATTGTTAACATGACAATACTCCCCTAATTGATCTACAGATGCAATGTAATCCCTATCAAAATCTTACTTTTCTTTGCAGAAATCAATGAGTTGATCATAAAATTCACATAGAACTATAAAAGACCCAGAATATCCAAAACAATCATGAAAACCAGAACAAAGTTGGAGGACTCACTTCTCAATTTCAAAACATTAATCAAGACAATAAAATATGGTGTTGGCATAAGTATAGATAAATACAATTAAGAGTCCAGATCCTCATATTTTTAGTCAATGATTGTCAACAAGGGTGCTAAAACAGTGGGGAAAAATCCAGTGAGAAAATAATAGCCTTTGTTTTACATCACAATATCAATTTTTATTACATAGGATTTGTGACCATTATTTTGCAGCATAAAAACATGACTTTCTTGTTTTCATGCTAATATTTCACAATCTATAATATATAGTTTCTTAAAAGATAAACTCAAAAAAGTAGTTTTTAACCACAATTCTGTTACTTGGTTTTTAAAAATTACTATATGTTATGTTGCAGTAATTGATATGCTCATTTTATAGATTAGTCATAGCATACATACAATGTTCTCATCCATATGTACAAATTAAAGACTGCAGTAAGCACCCATGTGGCCATGGCCCAAAGGTAGCCTCCCTCAGGTCCCTCTAGTCATCAACTTCCCCTCCCTCACCAAGAGGTCTCCACTTCTTCACTTTTGTGATCATTATCTTCTTGCTGCTTGCTACCTAATATAGCAATATTAAGTAGCAATAAATTAGGTATTACTACCTAATATAGATGGAAAGAAATTAGGCATTGCCAAGTAATATCTAATTTACCACCTAATATAGTTTAGTTTCTCCTGTTTATGAACTTCATATAAATGGAGTTATATTTTAAATTTTTTTGATTTGCCCTTCTCAGTTAATATTGTGAAACTTAGCCTCGTGTGTTGTTTAGCATTCCATTGTATGAATATATCATAAGTTGCCCATAGTCCTATTGTTAAAAGTTTCCGGCTTTTACTATTAAAAACTATGAATATTCTCATTTTGCGTCTCATAGTGCAATATCTAAGGTCAACAGTTATGAGGTCATTCCTGGGTCAAAAGAGTATGCATATCTTCCACTTTATTAGAGTGTCAAACTGTTTCCTTCTTTCCTTTTTTATTTTCTTTTTTTTCTCTTTGTGTGTGTGTGTGTGTGTGTGTGTGTATAGAGACAGGGTCTCACTCTCGCTCAGGCCGTAATGCAGTGGCACAACCTCGAACTCCTGGGCTCAAGGCACCCTCCCACCTCAGCCTCCTTAGCAGCTGGGACTACAGGCCCACACCACCAGGCCCAGCTATTTTTTTTTTTTTTGTAAAGACAGAGATCTCGCTATGTGGCCCAGGCTGGTCTCAAACTCCTGGTCTCAAGCAATCCTCCCACATTGGCCTCCCAAAGTGCTGAGATTACAGGTGTGAGCAACCACAGCCGGCCCCAAACTGTTTTCTAACCTGCTTGTACCAGCTTACACTCACAGAATTGAGTAAAACTCCATCCCCACAGTACCAAGGCTTGGTGCTTTGGACATTTTTAGTTTTGCCAATCTCATGGTATAATGGTGCCGCATCGTGATTTTAATATGCATTTTTGATTACTAATAAGGCCAAATGCAGTTTTTGTTTATTGCCCATTTACTCTTCTCTTTTTGTATAGTACTTAATGGTCTTTCCCATATTTATTTATTTATTTATTTTTCCCAGCTATAGTTCTTCTCTATGTATTCCAGATAACCAACAAACACTGTTGTAATGCTTTTGCAAATATCTTCTTCCAACTTGTGGTTGGTCTTGTTATGATCCTTATGACATCTTTTGAAGAACAAAATGACTTCACTTCAATGAAACTGAATATATGAACTTTTCCTTTACAGTTATTGCTTCAATGGCTTGTTGAAGAAGTTATTTTCTATCCTGAGGTCATGGAGACACTCTCCTATATTATCTATCTTTAAAGAGCATTTTAGCTTTACTTTTCACACCTAGATTTTTCATAAATCTGGAATTTATTTTTTGTGCATATGATAAGGTAGTAATCTGGGAAAAATTTTTCCACACATGGCTGTCAAATTGTTCTACCACACTTTGAAAAGTCAATTCTTTCACCACTGATCTGCAATTTCTCCTCTAAGAAATGTCAAATTCCATGTATTCCTGGATCTGTTTCTCAAATTCTGTTCCACTGGTCTGGACAACTACTACAACGCTAACACAAAGTCTTATTTATTATAGCCTGACATTTGGAGGGGCAAGTATGCCCATTTTGTTGTTTAAGAATACCTTGTCAGCTGAGGTGGGAGGATCACTTGAGCCAAGGAATTTGAGACCAGCCTGGGCAACACAGGGAGACCCCATCTCTATATTAAAAAAAATTAAAAGAATATTTTGTCTTAATTTAGCTATTTCCGTTACCTCACAAGTTTAAGAATCAGCTTAACAGCCTAGGCAACATAGTGGGACACTGTGTCTATGAAAAAATGTTTTTAATTAGCCAGGTGTGGTGGTGTAGGCCTGCAGTCCCAGCTACTCAGGAGGCTCAGGTGGGAGGATCACTTGAGTCTGGGAGGTTGAGGCTACAGTGAGCCGAGATCATGCCACTGCATTCCAGCCTGGGTGACAAAGGAAGACACTGTTTCAAAAAAAAAGGAATCAGATTAACAAATCCCACAAAAATACTTGAGGTTTTGATTGCAATTACACTGGATCTGTGGATCAATTTGGGGAGAATTACCAGTTTTATAATATCACGTCATCTAATCTACAAGTGCAGTCTATCTGCCCACTTAGCTAGCTCATGTTGAATGCTTCTCAATAAAGCTTTATAAACTTCAAAGAGGTCTTGCATGGCTTTTGTTAGGTTTTTCCTAAACACTTAATGTTTTTTGGTAACACTGCAAATGACATATTTCTCTAAATGTTATTTTTTGTATATTGAAATGCAATTGATTTTTGTACTGAATTTATATCCAACTTCTTAAACATTGTTAATTCTAAACATTTATTGTAATAAATCCATAAGAATAATTGTGGATTTTCTATTTGTACAATCATATCTATGCAACATAAAAGTTTTGCTTCTTTCTCAATTCTCATATTATTTTATTTTTCTCACTGATACAGTTTGAATATTTGCCCCTTCCAATCTCATGTTGAAATTTCATCCCCAGTGTTAGAGGTGGGGCCTGATGGGAGGTGTTTGGGCCATGAGGGTAGATCCCTCGTGAATGGGCTTGGTGCTATCCTCATGATAATGACTGAGTTCTCACTCTAGCAGGTCCCTCAAGAAGTGATTTTTTTTTCTTTTTGTTTTTTGAGATGGAGTCTCACTCTGTTGCCCAGACTGGAGTGGCTCACTGCAACCTCTGCCTCCCGGGTTCAAGCAATTCTCCTGCCTCAGCCTCCCGAGTAGCTGGAATTACAGGCACCCACCACGCCCAGTTAATTTTTATATTTTTAATAGACACAGGGTTTTACCATGATGGCCAGGCTGATCTTGAACTCCTGACCTCAGGTGATCTGCCCACCTCGGCCTCCCAAAGTGCTGGGATTACAGGCATGAGCCGCCATGCCCAGCCAAGAAGTGATTCAGAAACAGAGCCCAGCACTCCCTCTCTACTCTCTTCCTCTCTCACACAATGTGATGTCTGCTCTCCCTTGCCTTCTGCCATTAGTGGAAGCTTTCTGAGGTCATCCCAGAAGCAGATGCCAGCACCACATTTCTTGTACTGCCTACAGAACCATAAGCCAAATAAAACCTCTTTTCTTTATAAATTACCCAGCTTCAGTTTCCTTTATAGCAACATAAATGGACTAAGACACTTGTTTCCCTGTGCTATCTAGGGGTACAGTAAATTATTAAAGGGCCAACCAAAGGCACCCTTGTCTTGTGCCTTTCTGAAATTTCCTCCAACAACTCTATGAGTTTAACAGCCAAACCAAGATATGGAAATTTTGGGCAACAGAAAGAGCTGTGGCATAACGGTGCCATTCTTCCCTAGCTACTGAACCTTCTGCTTTACCCACAATACAATCCATTAACTTTCCACTAGATGCCTCTGCAATGATAAAATACTCTGGCAAGATATTGTAAGTAAAAAGGAATCTTGTAAGTTTCTGTAAGTGTCTCCAAGTTAATGCTGTTGAAACTGAACGGGTCATTACAGATGAAGCCCCAGAGCATGGTCATCATGCCACCATCACTGAGGCCTGCTTGCCACAACCTCATACTCACCTCACTGGAAGTTGCCCCATGCATGGCTGCTATGGGGCAGGGAGGGAACTGTTAACAATAGCCTTTTCAGCAAATGATTCTGGGTCAAGTCGACGTCCACATGCAAATGGACAAAGATGGACCCCTACTTTATGCCATATTCAAAAATTAACTTGAAATCGATCGGAGACAGAAATGTAAGAGCTAAAACAATAAAACTCTTAGAAGAAAACACAGTTGTAAATCTTCATGTCCTTGGATAGGCAATGACTTCTTAGCTATGATGCCAAAAACACAAACAACAAAAGAAAAAACACATAAACTGGAAATCATCAAAATTTTAAACTTTCATGCTTCAAAGAACATCAAGAAAGAAAACTCACAGAATGGGAGGAAGTTTTTGCAAATCCTGTCACTGATAAAAGACTTGTACCTAGACTATATAAAGAACAATTATAACTCAATAACTTAAGACAAGTAATCCAATTTTCAAATAAGCAAAGAATCTGAATAGATATTTCTCTATATAAAATATACAAATAGAAATTAAGCAGATAAAGATGATCAATATAATTAATCATTAGGAAAATGCAAATCAAAACTTCAGTGAGGTAACCCTTCACAAACCTGCTAAGACAGCTATTTGAAAAAGACAGATTATAACAAGTGTTGGAAAGGATGTGGAGAAACTGAAACCCTCATACATTGCTGGTGTAAATATAAAATGGTGCAGCTACATTGGAAAACAGCCTGACAATTCCTCAAATGATTAAACACAGAGTTATCACATGACCCAGCAATTCTACTCCATGAGAAATGAAAACAAATGTCTGCACAAAGAGTTGTACACAAATCATAGCAGCATTATTCACAATAGTTAAAAACTGAAAACAATCTGAATGTCCATCAACCAATGAATGAATAAATAAATTGTGCATTCATGCAATGGAATGTTATTCAGCAATAAAATGAAATGAATTGCTGCTTGATGCTACAACATGTTGAACCAAGAAGACAGTCACAAAGGACCACACACTGCATTTGTCCATTTATGTGAAATTATCAGAATGCACAAATCTCTAGAAACAGAAAGTAGATTAGTAGTTGCCTAGAGGTGTGAGGAATGGGGAGACTAGGAGTGAAGGCTAAAGAGTGAGGGGTTTCTTTTCTGGGGAATTATAATATTCTAAAATTGATTGTGGTTTTGGATGTACAACTTCGTAAATATACTAAAAACCACTGAATTTTAGCCTTTAAATGGGAAATTGTATGGTATGTGAATTACACATCAAAAAAGTAGCTGACTTATATATGGGTTTCTTGTGCCATTGCTTTCCTAAACTAGAAAGGATAGAAGTATTTCAAAGCCAGACCCATTGAAGAACTCCACTGAAAAAAAAAAAAAAAAAAAAAAACCAACTCCACTGGAAGCCCAGGTTTGGGATTAGGCACTTACAGGGCCTGCAGTTTGCTGGACTTCACCCAGCATGGAGCCAGTCACCAGGCTGTCATTTCTGATTAGAGACAATGGGTAGCTATGAGGTGTTACAGCCTGGCTACCATATAAATGTGATTTTCTGCCTGAGCAAATTCTGCTCTAATTAAGTAAAATATTTTTAAATGATTATCAAAACAGGGCTACTCCTCAGTTCTCTCAAAACATGAAAATGCCAAAATTTTAATGCCTGGGGGTTTCCCAAAGTGAGTTGAACACGCTCTTGTTTCCTGAACTGAGGCAGACAGAGGTTTTTCAACTGTCAGCTCCACACGGATTCAATTTACCTCATGGCCCGGTGGCTACACACTGGTATATTTGCCACAGCTAAAGTGGAATTAGCAACACAAGACTATATAGTAGGACTAAATGCAAAGAAGTAAGCAAACACTGTGCCTTTATTAAGAGCTATTGATTGGAACTCTTTTTTAAAAACAAAACTTTAAGATTACTTTTTTTTCTACACTCATGAAAATAGAATGCTTTCCTGAGGCTGAGGAAGGTACGGAGGAAGGGGTACACACTGTGAAGTCATTCCTCAAACCATAACAAATTGAAAGCTGTGGTTTAATATATGACCCAGATGGTCAGTTTTGTAATGATTTTACATTTACAGTATCTTATATTTTTCCTGGGGCATTATATTTCATTTGGCAATAGTTCTTACCCTGGTTTCCCTCCAGCTGCATTTCAAAGGCAAAAAATGTACATTACTTCATCTTGTGGTTTAATCTTGGTATACGAAACATTACATCAGCAGCAACAATTTCTTGTAATCACCTCTGTCCTGTAGCAAGGTCCTTAGGGAGATAGTATTTCGTGCATCATAATTTAACCACCACCAAGAATGATCATCACTTAAATAGCTACAGAGGTGGAAATAAATGAGGACATCAGACGCCCGCACCCATCCTGCTTAAACTACATTCTTCACTGGACAGAAGATGATGATCATTGAGCATAAATTTCTAATATTTTCACGTTCGCTCTACCATTTGCCATCTGGAATCCTGAAAGCCTTCAAATTCGGTCCTGAACCTTATAATGAGAACATTTTATTCGTTTCTTTCTAATTCTTGTAAAAACTGGTTGCCATGAATCTAGACTGTTACCAACAGTTCCTGGAATTTTAGTTAAGAATAAACTGTAGATCCAAACAAATCTAAGCATCCTATTTTAGTAAAATGCTTTCTACTTTATAGCTGGAACAAATCATCCCAGAACCAATTCTTGTTCACCAGTTTTGCATGGTCAACACTGAATATGAAAGAACATAACCTTGAAAAGTATGATCACCCAGGAAAAAAAAGGGAGGCGAGGAACAAGAAGCCTAGATTTGGGCTCCATTATCTTTTCTCAGTGAGCAATGTAAAGGCAACTTATATATATTCTTTCAAAGAGCATGATTTTCTTTAAGTCACTACTAAAGAACACCCTGATGATCAGTACTATGGAGAATTTAGATTTTGTTAGTGCCTTCACTAATCCCATTGATGAAATTACAATTGTATTAGAAAGAAGAATGGTAGGCATTTTATGCCTATCAGACATAAAGCAGGAAAGTAAAACTTGCAGAGTCAAAGGGAAGTCAGTTCCAGGGCAGAAAGTAAAATCCTGGCCTTATATTCCTTTGTTCCAGGGCGTATCCAACACAGGGATGGTTTTATATTTCTAGTACTGGTTCCTTGCCTTTCGTCCATTTGCCTCGGTAAATACAAGCCTCTAATGGAATAGGAATCCTGCAGCATGACATATGTTAAAAATCTTAGAAGGGGCTGGGTGTGGTAGCTCACGCTTGTAATCCCAACACTTTGGGAGGCCGAGGCGGGTGGTTCACTTGAGGTCAGGAGTTTGAGACCAGCCTGGCCAACATGGTGAAACCCCGTCTCTACTAAAAATACAAAAATTAGCCGGGTGTGGTGGCACATGCCTGTAATCCCAGCTACCAGGGAGGCTGAGGCAGGAGAATCACTTGAACTCGGGAGGCAGAGGTTGCATTGAGCTGAGATTGCAGCACTGCACTCCAGCCTGGGTGACAGAGCGAGACGCTATCTCAAAAAAAAAAAAAAAACTTAGAGGGGAAATATTTATCAGTATTTTACCAGTAGCCTGGTCTCATGGGCACATAAAAGACCATTCCTAACTCATTTCCTTCCCACCGCTCCTGGCCCCCTAACCATCCTGATCCCATCCTGCTCCTACCAAAAACTCAGCAGACAAACAAGCTTGAAGGGAAGTTTCATGACATGAGCCTCTGCTGCTAACTCTTGAATTAGATACACCAACAAAGCAGTAATTGTCCATTGGGAGTTCCAGACAGCAATGGGTCTGTCAAAGAATTACCTCTAAAAAAAGGACTTAGGCAAGCACATCATCAGGCAAGGACATTTATCCCAGGGACAAATCAACCTCAGGGTCTTTGCAATTGTGATTACTTCAGCCTGGACTTCCCCTGGCTTTGCTATGGCTAATTCTTTCCCATGATCCCTTAGATTTCAGTTTAAATGTGACCTCTTTAGAGCTGCCTTTCGTGAGCACACACTCTTTTTTTTTTTTTTTTTTGAGACGGAGTCTCGCTCTGTTGTCCAGGCTGGAGTGCAGTGGCCCATCTCGGCTCACTGCAAGCTCCACCTCCCAGGTTCACGCCATTCTCCTGCCTCAGCCTCCTGAGTAGCTGGGACTACAGGTGCCCGCCACCACGCCTGGCTAATTTTTTGTATTTTTAGTAGAGACAGGGTTTCACTGTGTTAGCCAGGATGGTTGCGATCTCCTGACCTCGTGATCTGCCTGTCTCGGCCTCCCAAAGTGCTGGGATTACAGGCGTCAGCCACCACACCTGGCCTCATGAGCACACACTCTTAAGGAATTCTCTCCTCCTCCAACCACAAAACACTCTATCATATATCCCTGTAGTTACGTCCACAGACTCTGGAATCAGACAAACACTGGCTACTGCCGCTCACTAGTGTAGCCTGGGGCAAATCACTTGTCCTCTTGAGTCTCCTGACCCATATCTGTATGATCTCCATTGCAAAGTAACAATAAAGCCTAAAGAGAAGCAAACACTAAATTGAAAATTAGGTAGCCTACCCTTTAGGTCTGTTCTGCAACTAACCTGGTAGGTGACCTGAAACAAGTTGCTTCCCCTCATGGGGCATCAGTTTCCTCTTATGTTCATTGGAGGGACTGGATTTGATGAAAGTCACCTGTTCTGCATCTGGACAGTCTGTGTTTTCACATTTCTGTCCCAAGATCACAGCTGCCCCAGTGTTGGTCCTAACCTGGGACCACTTGGGCTATCCCCTCCCTCTCCCAAATACCATTCAATTCAACTCAATACAATGCATGATTTAATACATGTAGGCTGTGGCATCCTGCTTTATATGGAGCTAGAAAGGTATTTTATAACCAACAAAGGAGTCAGGGTCATCTGTAGTTCATGGTACAGAATTTAACCCTCTGTGATTGTGCTAACATTTCTCTTGGAACTTTCCTGACAAATCCAAATGCTCATCTTTGTGCTCTTCCATTTGATAAATTTTGTCCCTTTTACTGACCCATTGTAAAATCTCCCAACTCATGGCTCAGATGGGGCTCTATTCTGCTTTTGCTCCTGCCTCTGTGTACTGCTCATAGCAGCAGAAGGCAGACAAGTCTTAGGCAGACAGGGGCAAGTCCCTGATAAAACCCCACCTTCAAACCATAGACAGTTTAAAGCTTGAAAGCCAAGCTACAAGTCCTAGATAAATCCATGGACAAAATTGAGAACCTCTCTTCCCATCTGGCATGCTTTCCTTTAATTGATCCCCACCCTTCACCTATTTTACATATACCTACCCTTCCCTAATTGGCTTTTTATACTGTCGTGCCCACCTTTGAGTGGTGCCCTTGTTTTAGCCTTTTTTGAATACTCACAAACCAATCAGCGTGCATCCCCTTCCGAGTCCATAAAAACCCCGGACTCAGCCACACTTTGGGACCACCACTCGAGGGCTGGCCTCTCGAGTCCCCTCTCTACTGAGAGCTGCCATGCAATAAAACTCTCCTCACACTTCAGTTGTCAACGTACCCTCATTCTTCTTGGATGTGGGACAAGAACTCAGAACCTGCCAAACGTGGGTACAAAGAAGGCTGTAAAACTGTAGCCCTCTGCCCTCCGCCAGTGCCAGGCAGCCACTTCATGCTCCAGGAAGCAGCAGCAGGGCCAGCCTAGCCCTGGGGCTGCGGGCTGGAGCAGGGCAACAGGACTGAAAGAGCTGTTAACACACCCCTGTTTGCTCAGGCTGTGGATGGTGGGACTAAAACAACTGTTAGCACACTGTAACACCCCCTCTGGGGCTTTGAGGTTGTTGGCATCCCTGTTCAGATGCCACTGTGTTCCCCTCATCCAGATGTCAGCACACAAGGGGGAAGCTGGTTGCAGCATGCCCGGCCCAGCTGCAGGCTGAGTGTGGATCCTGTGGCAAGTGTGGGATCTGGGCAGGAGTGCAAGCCAAGCACAGCCCCCTGGGCCAAGTGAGCAGGGTGCCTCCTGTGGCAAGCCCAGGGCCTGAGTGAGATCCAGGCATGGCCATCGCTGGCTGCAGAGGTCTCCAGCTGGCAAAGTTACACTGAAAAATCCTCTGTCACTGATTTTCCTGGTGAAGTGCTTGTCCCCACTACCCTTAGGTGGCATCTTCCACAACTCAGCCCTCCCCACTTAGTCAACCACAATTTATAAGCCCCAGTCCTATGAGGATTGAGGTTATAGCAAGTAAAATGAGTTCACAGTTCCTGATTTGGGATTGGGGAATATGTTACCCATAAAGGGCCTGTTCCACCAAATCAAACAGGATTATATATTGTCCTGGCATATGACGGCTGATTAACCAGCCCCTCTCCCCCTCTCCTGCTCCCTCAGGCTTCCCACTGCCTGCTCTAAAATGCTGTCCTTTCACCCAGCCTTTTCAATACTGACTTACTAAGTTACTATGGAATTATTTCCATTGAATTACACAAAACTCACTGACTAAACAACTTAGACAAAAATGTGATTTTTTGTGCTTCAATAATAAAAGCAAACCTTCTGTTTAACCCATTCTGCTCTCCCAGAGGGAGAAAAAGATTAAGGTGTCATGATGTTGCTAATAGTTACTTCCTTCCCTGACAGTGTGCTTTCTGTATTATATCATCATTTTATTAAACCCACATATAAATGCTTAAATTGACCAGGGAGTTTTGGAATCCACTGACAATTACCACCTCCATAATCTCCCTGTGAATAAGGCAAAAAGGGGACCTCATCTGACAAGACCAAATCATGTAACTTCTGGCTCTGAAGCCTGTCTGTGTGCAGAATTAAGGGTAATCATAGCCTACAGCATTTAAGCCTAACCACCAAATGTTCTTTAGAATCCTAAACTTGTCTGCAGGGTGGTTTACTAATAATTGTGTGTTTAGTTATTTTTTTCCTTTTAACTAAGTGAAATTAACAGCACAGAGCTTGCCAACTCTGTAGATGGAAACTTTCTATTCATTCACAAGAGGGAAACTCAGGGGCATGGCAGGACCATTTTTTGGGCAGCCATCTAACCAACACAACAGCCCTGACCTGGGGGGCACAAGGCCAGAATTCAGAAGATTCAATATCTTGATGCGACTAGATCATTGCTTTCTGAACCTCAGCGGACATCCAAAGGGCCTGCTGAGCTGGGCTTGCTCTCTCAAACACACAAAAGGGACCAAACAAGTTGGTAGGGTTTATGCTTTCCTTTTACATTTTTAAGTATTAAGATTTATAACCATTTTTGTGCCAGCTTAAAAATGATCAAACATTTAAACTTCAGAGAAGTCACATGTCACCACATTTTTAAAAGGAAAGATGTATTTTCAAAGGGAAAATTGCAGCATGCAGCATGCAAAATTGCAGGTCAAGAAGCAGCCAAGTGAAATGAGTCCTTGAGGCTCTCCTGTAACCAGCCTGAACTGGACACAGATTACCCAAAGCAGCAGCTAATCCCCACATTAGCCACTGGACTGTTCCTCAGCTCCTCCTTGGTTTGGCACTCTCACTAGCAGTGCAGGAAGCACTGCCATCGGCCATTAGCCCATTGTTAAACCTTAACTGTCTCTGTTATGATAAAACACCCAATGCTCAGTATAAGGCCATCCTCAGGGCTCAGGGCTCAGGGCTCAGGCTATGGCACCAACTTGTAGTTGAAATCACCCAATGACACGGGGTTTCTGGGATATCAATGACTCAACGTCCCTGGTGAAGGTGAGCTGCTTTCAGCAATAAAATGATGTTCTTGCAAGCTTCTAGTGAATAACTCTTTCCTCAAGACGTATCTTTAGATTTATGTTTTGCTTTAATGTGTAACAACATTGAATGAGTAAATCAGGACCCACGGATGGTCTTCTCAGTTCTGTTAACTGTCTGCATGATCTTGAGCCAATTGCTTATCCTCCCTGGGTATCAGTTTTCTCATCCATAAAATGGAGGTGATTGTCTTAATAATGATGATAATAATGATGATGATGATATCCTCCTTGCTCCACCTAACAAGCTGTGGTAAAGATGTAAGGAAAAGGAGAATATAAAATTGTTCTGTAAAATGTTAAGGGCTATAGTAACATAAAATGTTCTTATCATTGGTAACTTTTTTTTTTTTTTGAGAGAGAGTCTCTCTCTGTTGCCCAGGCCAGAGTGCAATGGTGCAATCTCAGCTCACTGCAACCTCCACCTCCCAGGTTCAAGCTATTCTCCTGCCTCAGCCCCCCGAGTAGCTGGGATTACAGGTGTGTGCCACCACGCCCGGCTATTTTTTTTTTTTGTATTTTTAGTAGAGACAGGGTTTCACCACATTGGTCAGGCTGGTCTCGAACTCCTGACCTCGTGATCCACCTGCCTCGGCCTCCCAAAGTGCTGGGATTACAGACGTGAGCCACTGGGCCCAGCCTATCATTGGTAACTTTTAATAAGATGGGTTTACAATTCCTGCATGCAAACCAAGTCATGGCAAAGGAAAGCTGGGCTGGTATGCAATATGGCTGTAGACAAAAGGTACTGTAACATTGTGAAGAGAACTGGAGTGGCAGTCAAGAAGCCTGAGTTCTAGCCCCAGCCCTGCTGCTAACTATCTGTATGACCTTCTCCTGTCTGGACCTCTACAGAAGAAATGGGTTAGATTAGGTCAATTTTCAAACTCTGTAGGAGCAGAAATCTGTGACATGAAACCATAGGCATTAGCCCAATCTATAAAATAGCAATGAAACAGTGCTTACCCAATTGTGTAAAATTATACTGTTTAACAGAAAACATTATATTTCTTTAATTTGATGATGGACAGTGTGATGGTTAATATTAAGTGTCAACTTGATTGGATTACGGATGCAAAGTATTGTTCCTGGATATGTTTGTGAGGGTGTTGCCATAGGAGATTAACATTTGAGTCAGCAGAGTGTTATGGGTAGACCCACCCTCAATCTGGGTGAGCACTATCCAACTGGCTGCCAGCGTGGCTAGAACAAAGCAGGAAGAAGAAGGTGGAATTAGCTGACTTCCTAGTCTTCCAGCTTTCATCTTTCTCCTGTGCTGGATGCTTCCTGCCCCTGAACATCAGACTCCGGATTCTTCAGCTTTTGGAGTCTGGGACTTACACCAGTGGTTTACCAAGGGCTCTCAGGCCTTCAGCCACAGATTGAAGGTTGTACTGTCTGCTTCCCTACTTTTGAGGTTGTGGGACTCAAACTGAGCCACTACTGGCTTCCTTGCTCCTCAGCTTGCAGATGGCCTATCGTGGGACTTCACCTCGTGATCGTGTGAGTCAATTCTCCTTAATGAACTCCCTTTCATATATATACATCTATCCTATTAGTTCTGTTCCTCCAGAGAACCCTAATACTGTATTTAATTGAAGTTCATATCTAAAATAAGGATGGGTCTTAGAATGACTGCATACATTCTTTTAATATTCCTGAAATGCCAGTATTAATTGATGGTGCAAACTACAACTAATGGCATCTTAGCATCAAGAACATATGGTGCTTTGGATTTTCCCTGACCTTGATGTCCCTTCTCCAAACAGTTGAGATCTGGGGAACATAGTTTGAAAACTACTGGACTAGAAGATTTCTAGGGGGCATTACAAATCTGACATTCTATGGTTTAAATACCATACACATGACTATGAGAAATGGTGGCAAGGTTCTGTCCAAGCATATTCAAAACATGACCATGTTGAGGCTGGGCATGGTGGCTTACACCTGTATTCCCACCACTTTGGAAGGCTGAGGCGGGCGGATCACTTGAGGCCAGGAGTTTGAGACCAGTTTGGCCAACATGATGAAATCATGTCTCTACTAAAAACACAAAAAATTAGCGGGGCATGGTGGTGTGTGCCTGTAGTCCCAGCTACTTGGGAGGCTGAGGCAGGAGAATCGCTTGAACCCGGGAACCGGAAGTTGCAGTGAGCAAAGACTGCACCACTGCACTCCAGCCTGGGTGGAGACTCCCTCTCAAAAAAAAAAAAAAGACCCTGTTGAAAGATGTTTCTTTTGTGACTAAAATGACCAGCTCTAAAGGCAGTTCTCAAAGAGAGGATTTCAAGAAGTTAGAGCCACCTTTACATGGTTGGAAATGCTGTGTATCTTTACAAGGTGACCTGTCAAAAGGCACACATCTCATTTAGAGCCACATTTAAACAGAGCCACGTGACCCCACAGGAGAGGGAATGTGTTTCCGCTTTAAGGTGAGAAAAGCTTAAGAAAGTCCTGGGCCTGCCTGACCAGGGACAAATGGGGTAGCTAGAGCCCAATTAGCTGCAGTGTGGTTAATAACCATGATAACTACCCTTACTGTGTGCAACACACTTTATCCATGATCTCCTCAACACAAGTCCAGGAGTGTAAAAAGACAGGCACTGTCCTCCCCATTTTAGAGATGATGAAACTGAAGACCTGACAACTGAAATAGATTGCCCAAAATTTCCCAGCTAATAAACAGCAGTGCTAGTGATTTAAACTGCTTCTTCAGGGTTCAGAGTCCACATCAACTCCTATTTCATTGCATGCCCATAGGCCTTACAATACGGAGCCCCCAAGCAACCTTAGCTCTGTTTGGAATCAGGTTTGTTTTAACAGAGGGGCTTCTTTTGGTGGCAATGAACATGTCACTCTCACTGCAATGTGTGGAGGGTCTTATTCCTTAAGTGTGGTCTCCCCCTATGAAATCTTCAGAATCTCTGAAAGTTTCCCAAACTGTCCCTTCTGGAAGAGCCAGATGAGAGACACAGGGGCAACCCTGGTAGCTTGATTAAACCAAGCCATAATGATGGCATAGACCTTGAGAGGCAGTTTTGCCAGGAAGACAAAGCGTGTCTTTCTGACAGCTATAGATGGACAAAAAGCTAAGACACTTGGTGCTGAGGGCCAGAAATTTTTTAAACTGGACACTAGCAGCCATAATTTCTAAGATGGGAGGTATTTTCCCCTACCCCTTCAGAAAGCCTTCAGAAGTACAATTCAACTGGAGCCCATTTGCTACCTGCTTGGAATGTGATCAGGTGGGACATGATCTCTCTTCCTGGGTGGTCTTAGTGAAGCCCAGCTGGCTTCTCTATTTGCTCTGGAAAAAGCCCCACAGCCTACTGACAGCCAGCCAAACAGTCACCCTGTTAATGGTCCCTGTTCTAAATACAATTGGCAGGTTAGCTCAGAATAAATGGCCTGCTGAAGGCAAGAAAGCCCTGCTAACTCTTCTGATGACACCTTCAGATTGACCATAGGTCCACACCACTTCTTTATGCTCAGTCCTTAATTATTCATGCTAACAGAGGGGAACAATGTCAATGACTATCTAGAAAAAGAGATAATGAGAGGATAATTCCTACTGGGTGGTGGACTATGTTTGATGATGACTTTACAAAATTACCTTCCCAATTATGTTTTCTTTAATGAATCGTGAAATAAGTTGCCTTTTCTGGTTTGGCAGTGGCAGAGAGTCTTTAATGAGATGTGTATAATAGGGGGAGGGACTCCTCTGACCAATTCTCCATAGTTAACCACTAGCAGACTAGACCGCTGCAGGACTAGCAGCACATACAACCAACTGTCACTATGAAAAGACTGGCTAATCATTTAATGCAAGTGGCTAGAATATTCACTTAATCCCATAGGCACAACCATAGTTTAACATGACAATAGAAAATAAAAGATGAGATGCGATTTTCAAATTTCCTGTACCATAAAGTCACATAAACTCTCTGCTCTGAATGGGTCAATTTCCATGATAAAATTTTTCCATTTTAGGACTTCTCTAAGAAGACAGAAAACAGCATCACTGACTTCCAAAAGCCTAAGAAAGACTCTCTGGAGTTTTTCCTGAAACATAATATAGGTTTCATGTTAATTATTTCTTGAGATTTATAGGAGCTGAAAAACTAAAGAAAATGTGAAATTATTGAAAAGGGATATTTTGTGCAGCTTCCCTTTCTTAACATCTGCATACAGCCCTTTGATAGAGCATATTAAGGTACAGTTTTTACAACTTTGATCTTGCATTAGTGAATTCCTTCAAGTCAAATGCACTTCATTTTGTCCCTCACTCTTGAGTTGTAAATGGCCATTGGAAATCTCAGAAGAACTGGACACTCAGGCTACAAAGCAGCCATCCAAGGTGTGATTGTTCTGTTGCCATTGGGAGGCATTTCGCTGGGCAAATTTCTGCCCTTGTAAGCACTTCTTCTCACTGAAACGATTTAAAGCTGCCTGAACACATTTGAAAACCTGATTTACCCTTTAAGATTTCATTTGATTGATCTTCCCAGCACTTCTCTCCAGAGAGAGCCAGCTGTAAGCATTAGTCAGCGTACGGAAAACCCTGGAAAGATGAACAAAGAACAACCCCCGTGATTAGTTGCTAAATTAAAGAGGGAAGAAAACAAATTCTACCAAATGTCAACAGAGCTCAGCATTCTCCCCTGAATGAAGCCACACTCCAGCAGTGGGAGGTAGACGGTGGGGGGCTGGCTGAAGACTGGAAAGTGACATGGAAGTAAAAATTAAAAATTTCTGAGATAGATTCGGCCCGTCCATCCACCCACCAAAAGGATAGGATGCCTTCCTCTTCTTGTCTCCTGAAGTCTGGCCATCCCAGATACAGTAGGTCTCAGAAAGCACAGCAGGCTCCTTCTTTAAGGTGGAAATGAAAATGCCTGGTCCTGGAAGTGTGTCAATCTCCTGAAACCACCCAAGGCACTGCATCCCATTCCCAGGACAGGTACAGTATCATCGATGCTTACACCTCCGTGAGAATGTGCACACAGTAACCATCTACCAAACCCCAACTTAAAACACAGAAAAAAAAATCTGGAAGAAAAAGGAAATGGCAAAACATCTTTTAGGTACAGGATATAGAACAAATTGTTGATCGATGTACACTAAAATTCTCAGTAATTCAAACGTAAAAGCAACATGAGCAAGGGATTTTGGACTGATGGGACCCAGACTAGCTAACATTTTGATTTAAAAGAAAAAAAACAGTGAGGCATCTTATCTGCCAGAGACTCTGAAAGAATAGACATCAAGTTATTGGGGTTTTAGCGTAAATGACATGAAAAAGCTTGTCTGGTCCAAGAGCCAATACTTTTGGCATGTTGGATGCCTGCGCAGCTAGCTAACCAGCAACTGGCTAGATGGATGGAGGAGACAATAACTGTAGGCAGCTCCATCTGCATGGGTTGGTCCCTACTACTGGTCCACCAGTACTCTAAGCTCTTGGCTCTTCAGTCCTCACATTGTTTTGCCCCTGCCTCTGCTCCCACCCAATATAAAGGCAATCTAACCACAGAAGGTCTGTTACTTTATCCTACATTGAAAGCCCCTTAACAATGGATTGACATGCCCAAAGGTGTATTTGAGAGATATCATCTTGGCTGCAGTATAGACAGTGGAGTGGAGAATAAAGAGCAGGTAGACTACATGAAAGCTATTGCAATAATCTCTGCAGTGAAATGATGAAGGCTTCAGCTAAAGTGGTGGCAACAGAAACAGACATGAGTTGGGACAAAGGAGATGGAGACAACATGACTTGGTGATGGATTAAATTTTGGAGATAAGGTAGAGACCAGGGTCTAGACCTTTACTACTTAAGGTGTAGTCTGCAGACCAACAGCATCAGCCTCACCTGGGAGATTGTTAAAAATGCAGAATCTCATGCCCCACCCCTGACCTACTGAATCAGAATCTTCATTTTCACAAAACTTAGTGATTCATGTGCATAGTTAAGTTTGAAAAGTGCTGGTTTGGAAAACACTCAGGTTCCTGAAAAGCTGGCTATTGTGCCATCCCCTGAAAGACAAAAAATTGGATTTGGCTTTTGGCAGGTTGAATTTATGGTGCTTAAAAATTATAATTTTGCTTATTCAACATACAATAATTGATTACTGCGGACAAAGACACTGGGAAGACAGACATGAAAGACATAGTCTCCCATCTGGTAAAACAAAAGAAAACAGAAACAAAAACCAGGCAATTACACTACAGCATGGTAAGTGCCATGTTTGAAGTATTAGAGAGCTCCCATCAGGTAAAACAAAATAAAACAAAAACAAAAGCCAGGCAATTACACTACAGCATGGTGAGTGCCATGCTTGAGGTATTCACTGGCTACAATTTGAGTAAATTACCCAAAGACTGTTTACCTTCCTGCTTTCATCCTGGAGTTAGGAGTCAGCCCGGATCCCGCCTGGGCAGGTCATGTTGTTGGCTCAGTCAATGAGAAGCCCATATCATCCTTCAGCCAGACATGTCAATGGCTTAATCGGGACCCCTGGGCTTCTTTCCTTCAAATTGTATGGTTGGAGTTAGAAAGTAGGATAATATTTTATGGAGTAAGTAATTTGGCTCATTAGATGCTGATGAGCTATCATTTCTATCTATTGCCTTACAAGTCAAATCTCTGAAAGGAGTAAAGCCAGAAAGCTATAGACATAAAGAAGCACCTTCATTTTCACAAATAAACACTCTTTCAAAAAACTTCCTAAGCAGGGCCGGGCATGGTGGCTCACGCCTGTAATCCCAGCATTTTGGGAGGCCGAGGCAGGCGGATCACGAGGTCAGGAGATCGAGACCATCCTGGCTAACATGGTGAAACCCCGTCTCTACTAAAAATACAAAACCAAACAAATTAGCCAGGTGTGGTGGCGGGCACCTGTAGTCCCAGCTACTCCAAACAAAAAAACAACTTCCTAGGCAGATGTGGATAGTATCACCTTGGCTCAACCAAAAAGGCTTTTCTTTGTCCACAGGTGCCCAATGATGCCGGTTGTCTCCATTTATTCCACCTCTTCAAATGCAACTCATTACCAACAAGCGAGCAAATGCCATTTAAGCCACATGGCCATGGTCCTTATCCAAATCTGACCAACATTTCAGGGCTCCTTTTGGCAGAGTGTCAATGAAAAGAGTTAAACTCTGTAAGATATTTGAAGTGATTTATTTTGAGCCAAATAGGAGTGACCACGGCCCATGACACAACCCTCAGGAGGTCTTGAGACCATGTGCCCAAGGTGGTCGCGGTGCAGCTTGGTTGTATACATTTTAGGGAGGCATGGGATTTCAATGAAATACATTTAAGAAATATATTGGTTCGGTTCAGAAAGGCGGAACAACTTGAAGGGGAGAGCTTCCGGCTTTATAGGTAGGTTTAAAATTTTTCTGTGGCTCACGCCTGTAATCCCAACACTTTGGGAGGCCTTGGCGGGTGGATCACTTGAGGCCAGGAATTTGAGACCAGTCTACCCAACATGGCAAAACCCTGTCTCTACTAAAAATACAAAAATTAGCCGGGCGTGGTAGCACACACCTTTAATCCCAGCTAGTTGGGACGCTGAGACATGAGAATCGCTTGAGCCTGGGAGGCATAGGTTGCAGTGAGCCAAGATTGCAGTAGGGCACTCCAGTCTGGGTGACGGAGCTGGACTCTGTCTCAAAAAAAAAAAAAAAAAAAAAAATTCTGGTTGACAACTGGTTGAGTTTATCTAAATAAAGGCCTAGGATCAATAGAAAGGAAATGTTTGGGTTAAGATAAAGGATTATGAAGACCAAAGTTCTTATTGTGCAGAGGAAGTCTCCAGGTAGGAAGATTCCAAGAGAACAGATTGTAAATGCTTCTTATCAGACTTAAGGTCTGTGTTGATGTTAATGCCAGAGAGGTAATCATGAGGCATGTCCCACTGCCACAACCTGTCATGACTTGAACCAGTCTTTCAAGTTAAATTTTAAGAGTGCCTTGGTCGAGGAGGAAGTCCATTTAGATGGTTGGGGGGTAGGTCTCAGCATTTTATTTTTGGTTTACAAGAGCAACACTTTCTTCTTGGCTTTCTTTAGTGCCATCTTTTCCCAACTATGTTTACTGATGTTACTAATCCCTGTTATATTTGGTCTACATGTTTTGCTCCCCCAGTGATGTATTTTCTGGCAATATATTTATATTTACAAAACCATAGACTCTACTTAATTTGAGACAACATATTTTTCAATACAGCTCAAAGTGCTCTTACATGATCTAATTATCAGTCCAGCATCTCCATGAGTTAAGTGACAGTAGGTATTCATTTCCACTTCACCATTAAGGAGACTGAAGCAGACAGCATTTTAGGGGCTTTGTCTAGAGCCACCGAGCTGAGCAGAGAATGGAACCTGGGTACCATTAGTCCAAGGAATAGTGCCATACACCACAGGCCCGCTCCATATGTAATAGCATTTGTAAATAGACAATTCACATTTGCAATTAAAAAAACAAATCTCTAAGCATCAAGAAATATCCATAGAAGTCCATAAAATTTTTGCATTGCCTGGATTTCAGCAAAAATGTAATTTTCCTTTCAAGCATCCAATGCTAGCCCGCATATCTTGTAGTCTAAAAAAAATGAAAATATTTTTTACAATAACTATTCCCCAGTTAAAATCTGTCACCAGGTAAAGGCTTGTTCTTTAGCTGTCCCACAGCATCACAAGCTACGATACGTAACTTCCTTCAGGTATGGCACATAAGCTAAATTTTGCCTCTTCCTAATAAATCCAGCTCAAGTTGGAAACCAGGAATATTTATGGGACACATCGAGACCATTAATAAAACCAAATTTTAGTGAATATATGCAAAAATCTGATAATATAAATGTCTTGAGATCATTAAAGTATTTCGTGCTAAAGGGAAGAGCAACAATAGTTGCAAAGTCACAGCATTTGACACATTTTAGGTTTGAAACAGTTAATGAGTCATCAACAGATGCCCTTAAATGTGTTCCTATAAGCCTGAGGGAAAAATTGAATAGAATCAATCCTCGCTTAGCCTAAAATTAAAAGCATACATACCAATAATCACTGTGGTATTGTGATTTATAATAAGAAATATATATTTTGATTTTCATTCCTCCAAAAACTGTTGGAATCTCTGAAGTGATAGATGTTTTGTGTGCTAATGAATGACTGATGGCTGGGGGCTCCTGGATAGCCTCAGGATGAAGGCTGGTTGCCAAGGGAACCAACCATGTGATTAGAGGGTTGAAACTTTCAGCCAGACCAGCCCCACCACCTCTAGGAAAGGGAGAGGGGTTTAAGATTGAGTTGTTGACGGGGCATGGTGGCTTACGTCCATAATCCCAGGACTTTGTGGGAGGCTGAGGTAGGCAGATCGCTTGAGCTCAGGAGCTCCAGACCAGCCTGGGCAACATGGCGAAATGCCGCCTCTAGGAAAAACAAAAATTAGCCGTGTGTCGTGGTGTGTGCCAGCAGTCCCAGTGACTCAGGAGGCTGAGGTGGGAGGATTGCTTGAGCCTGGGAGTTCGAGACCAGCCTGGAAAAGAAAGTGAGACCGTGCGCCTGTGGTCCCAGCTACTCAGGAGGTGGAAGTGGGACGATTACTTGAACCCAGGAGGCAGACGTTGCAGTGAGCTGTGATCGCGCCACTGCACTCCAGCCTAGGTGATAGGGTGAGACCCTGTCTCAAAACAAAAGATAAAAAGAGAGACTGAATTATTACCAATGACAAATGATTTAATCAGTCCTGCCTAATGAAGCCTCCACAAAACCCCAAAAAGACAGGGTTTAGAATGCTTCCATATTGGTGAACACATGGAGGTGACAAGAGGCTCTGCATCCCTCCCCACATACCTTTCCTTATGTACCTTGGCATCTGGCTGTTCATCTGTATCCTTTATTGTATCCTTTCTTAAATAATAAACCAGTAAATGTAAGCAAGTGTTCCTTGAGTTCTGTGAGCTGTCCTAGCAAATTGTCAAACCCAAGGAGGGGGTCGTGGAAACCTTGATTTACAGCCAGAAGTACAGGTGACAACCTGGGACTTGAGATAGATGTCTGAAGGGGAGGGGGCAGACTTGTGGGACTGAGCTCTTAATCTATGGGGCCTGCACTAATGCTGGTTAGTTTCAGAACTGAATTGAATTGTAAGACACCCAGCTAGTGTCGGAGTATTGGTCTCTGTCGGAAAAATTCACACATTTTGATGACCAGAAGTGTGTGAGTGTATAGAGGAAAGAAAGAACTGTTTGATTTTTTTGTTTACAGCCACCTAATGATATTCTTTATTATTAGGTGGGCATGAATTAGGAGTTACTTTTAAATAAAGCAACATATTTTAATATTAGCAAGAATCTTACAATTTTTCTAATAACACTTTAAAATGTTATTAATAGAATGAAACCAGAAGCTAAATAATGATTAAATAACATTTAAAGAGCAACTTATACGTTATAAAGCCCTCTCACTTACATACAGTATTTGGGCCTCAAAACAGTCCCATGAGGTAGCATTCTCCTTTTACAAATGAGGAAACTGAAGGTCAGAAGTAGATGCAGTGATTAACCCAAAGTCTCATGATTGGTAAGTGAAAGAGCCATCATGTGAACTCAAGTCTGTGTGACTCCAGATCCTAGAAAGCTTAAATAGCTGATTCTAGATTCCCAAGAATAAATATCTTCATTAGTAATTTGACTGGTTAGAGATAATTCCCACAATATTAAATTTTTTACTCTAAAATTGTCACTCTCACTTCTCCACGAACAACTGTGATCTAGAGAAATCTGCGTTTTTGGAGAGCTGTATATAGAAAAGAAAGAGAGGAAAAAGAAAATACAAGCATTTACTTTTTTCCGGTGTACACACTTCATGACAAGAAGGTACAGTTGTTCTCCACTGCTCTTGGGCTTGGCAACTGCAATGGGAAGGAATGGGCATCCAAATGCCAGTCTTCAGAGGCATTCCAGGTATCCCTCACTTAGGGCCTTGAAGCTGGGCTGAGGTAAGTAGGGCCTTCTCACCATTCTGCATGGCCTTCTCTTGTCAATCCATTCTAAGGTTTAGCATCCCATTTGGTCCAGAACAGCCTCTTCCAATCCTGTCTGTTTAGGTCCAGTTGTTTGGATTTTATCCTCAGCAACTAGCGAGGAAAACCTGTCTATGCATTGCAAATAACATTTCCTTTTAACATATTTTGAAATTATTTTAAGTGAGATAAATGAGACAAAGCACCTCAAAACTCCCAGTCTGGCTGAGCGCAGTAGCTCACACCTATAATCCTAGCACTTTGGGAGGCCAAGGCGGGTGGATCACTTGAGGCCAGGAGTTCTAGACCAGTCTGGCCAACATGGAGAAAACCTATGTCTACTAAAAATAGAAAAATTAGCTGGGCATGGTGGTGTGTGCCTGTAATCCCAGCTACTCGGGAGGCCGAGGCAGGAGAATCACTTGAACCCAGGAGGTGGAGGTTGCAGTAAACTGAGATCGCACCAATGCACTCCAGCTTGGGTGACGGAGGGGGACTCCGTCTCAAAAACAAAACAAAACGAACAAACAAAAAACCCTCCCAGTCTATGTCTGCAGTACTGAGCCCCCCCATCCACAGATCCACTGCCCGTGGGCATCTCAACATGGCGACTCCACAGTCTCCCCAAATTCCACATGTAAACAAAGACTCTCTCCCACTGCCCTGCTTATCACAGCTTCTCCAGTCTTCTCAAGGCAGAATCCTTGGCAGAAACTTCCTTGCTTCCTCACTCTCATCCCTACCATCTATATCTTTTACTCGCAGCATTCTTTCTGTTCTTCCTCCTAAACCTCCTGAATCCATTCACCTCTCTGCATCCCCACAATCACTTCCCCAAGCCAAGCCACAACCCTGTCTCCCTGGGCTGCTCCCTGCAGCCTTCTAACTCACTGCCATGTTCTTGCCACTCTCCAGCCCCTTCACACAGAAGCCAGAGGAATTCAGTAAAAACACAAATCAAATTAAATGACTCCTCTACTTAAAAAGTCCCAATGCCTTCTCACTGCTCTCAGACTAAAGTCCAAAATATGTCGCATATCCTACTGGGCTCTAGGTGTCCTGGTTTCTATCAAATTCTGAGGTCACAGATCTCATTCTAGCCCATAAGTACAAGCAACACTTCCTCTTGAAACTCCCTTTACTCATGCTGCTTCCTAAGGTTTCCCCCAATCCTTGACTGGTTATGGATCCTTGGGGACTGCATTGGACCATACTTGCATTGCTATAAAGAAATGCTTGAGTTTGAGACCAGCCCGAGCAACATGGCAAAACCCCGTGTCTACCAAAAATACAAAAAATTAGCCAGGCATGTGCCTGTAGTTCCAGCTACTCTGGAGGCTGAGAGGGGAGGATCGCTTGTGCCTGGGAGACAGGGGTTGCAGTGATAAGAGAACACAACATTACACTCCAGCCTGGGCTATAGAGTGAAACCCTGTCTCAGAAAAAAAAAAAAAAAAGAAAAGAAAAGAAAAAAGAAAAAGAGAAAGAAATGCCAGAGACTGGGTAATTTATAAAGAAAAGAGGTTTAATTAGCTCATGGTTCTGTAGGCTGCACAAGAAACAGAGTGTTAGCATCTGCTTGGCTTTTGGGGAGGCCTCAGGAAGATTCCAATCATGGTGGAAGGTGAAAGGGTAGCAGGCATGTCACATGGCAAAAGCAGGAGGAGGAGAGAGACAGTGGTCAAGAGTAGTTGCCACACACTTTTTTTTTTTTTTTTTGAGACGGAGTCTCACTCTGTTGCCCAGGCTGGAGTGCAGTGGGGCAATCTTGGCTCACTGCACCTCCTGGGTTCAAGCGATTCTCCTGCCTCAGCCTCTCAAGTAGCTGGGATTACAGGCACACACCACCATGCTTGGCTAATTTTTGTAGTTTTAGTAGAGATGGAGTTTCACCATGTTGGTCAGGCTGGTCTCAAACTTCTGGCCTCAAACTCCCACCTCAGCCTCCCAAAATGCTGGGATTACAGGCATGTGCCACTTCGCCCAGCTGCCACACACTTTCAAATGACCAGATCTCATGTGAATTCAGAGTGAGAGCTCCCTTATCACCAAGTGGATGGCCCAAGGCATTCATGAGGGATCTGCCTCCATGATCCAAATACCTCCCACCGGGCCCCACCTCCAATTATTGTGGATTACATTTCAACATGAGATTTGGGCAGAGACAAATATCCAAACTATATCAGGGACTCAACTCAGGTGTCACTTCCATCAACAGAGCCTACCCTAATTTGAGTACCCTTGTTCTCTATTGTCACAGCAACCTGTGCTCACCTTTATCATAGCACCGAATACCCTATTTGATTGTCTCCTCTCAGTAGTCTATGAACTCTCCAAAATCAGTACCTATGGCACTGCTAGCTCTGTAACCCCAGGACCTAACACAGATCCTGGCACACAGTAAGCACTTCATACTGAATGAATTAATAGCAGAGTCCAACTTCATACAAATAAGCCATGTTATTAGGTCTATCTTGGTGTCAACCAGTTTATAGTCAATTTTTGTTTCTATTCATGCTGAGTCAGTGGCAGGCAGCAGATGGAGATTTGCAGATCATACATCATTGCAACTCTCCAAAACCAAATGCCTACAAAGGCAGTGGAGGGACAGATGCAACCAAAGCAACAAAAGGCTAAGGGCATATTTGATAAAAATATATGGACTTTGAAAATTTGATCTTTGAAAAAAAAAATTGAGCCACTACAGCCCTTGATGTACAGAGTAGTAGACTCAGTAACATGATCTTATTGAGCTAAAATTAGGTGAGTGCAACACGGAGCCTCAAAGACTTAAAAAGCCAACCCAGATCATTCAAGAAAACAGAAATAGGTGAACTAGATTTCTGGTTCTGGACAAGACAGAGTATACACATTTCTCTCTATTCCTCCAACTAATTCTAGATTTTACAGAAAACACACATGACAAGCCAGGTGCCATGGTGTGAGCCTACCGTCCTACCTACTTGGGAGGCTGAGGTGGAAGGATCACTTGAGGCCAGTAATTTGAGGCTGCAGTGAGCTGTGATCAGACCTATGAATAGCCACTGTACTCCAGCCTGACATAATACATAAAACAAGCAAAAGAAGGCACTGAAAAATAGAAAGATATATCATGTAGGCATCAATTAAAATAAAGCAATAAGTAGCTATACTAATATTAGATAAAGTAGACTTTGGAACACAAAATTACCAAGAATGTAGGGGGACATTACATAATGATAAAAGGGTCAATCAACCAAGAACACACAGCCATTCTAAATGTGTGTGTAACAAACAACAGAAATGCAAAATATATAAAGTGAAAACTGATGGAACTAAAAGGAGAAATAGACAAATCCACAGTTATAGTTAGAAACTTCGACCTCCTCTCTGGAAAACTGATAGAAAAACTAGAGAGAAAAACAACAAGGATATGCAAAAGGTCCACAAAACCAAATTAAGCAAACAGGACCTAACCACAGCTAGGAGACTTATTTCAGGAAGTCCCCCGAGGACTCAAGACCCCTCTTCCCCCAGAGACATCAGGATAAGCAGACGGAGATTGAAAAAGGGACTCAGTTATACCTAACAGCTAGATATAGGATGCTCCTTTGTCCCCATGAGCCTAAGACTCTCTTCCCTTTCCCAGAGGCATCAAGGTGGGTGGGCAGAACCAATAAAAGAGACCCAATTGTGGCAAGTAGCCCATTCTGGGAAGCTTTTTTTTTTCGCTTTGCTTTTTTCGTTGTTGTTGTTGTTGTTTTGTTTTGTTTTGTTTTGTTTTAGATGGAGCCTTGCTCTGTCGTCCAGGCTAGAGTGCATTGGCATGATCTCGGCTCACTGCAACCTCCACCTTCCAGGTTCAAGTGATTCTCATGCTTCAGCCTCCTCAGTAGCTGGGATTACAGACATGTGCCACCAAGCCTGGCTAATTTTGTATTTTAATTTTGTAGAGAAAGGGTTTCGTCATGCTGGCCAGGCTGGTCTCAAACTCCTGACTTCTGGTGATCCACCCACCTCGGCCTCCCAAAGTGTTGGGATTACAGGCATGAGCTACTGCGCCCAGCCACTGGAAAGGCTCTTTGTCCCTATTGGCCTGACACTCTCCTCCCCTGACCAGAGACATTGAGGCAGGCTGGAAGAGCTACCAAAAGAGACAACTGCAGCAAGTATATGGGTCTAAGAGGCCTGTTAGTCCCCATGGACCCAAGAATTTCCTCCCCAAACCTGAGACACCAGGCTGGATAATACTATTAGGAGGATCTCAATACAACCCTCCCCCACCAAAAGACACCCAAGGGCTTGGCTTGGGGAAAGTCCTTGGCTTCCTTAGGCAGCACTAAGAGAGACCAGTGAAAAGTCCAATAATACTAAATAAACAGAGGAGACCTAAATAACAACACAAATGCTGTGAAAATTAAACTCACAGTGGAACCACAGACAAAAAAAGTAGGCCAAGACCTATATGCTAAACCTAAACAGGGAGACTGCTTGCTAAAATAAAAGATTTAAATAGGACCCAGCATCCCTGAACATAATGTATAATATGTCTTGGAGCCAATAAAAAAAAATCATCCATCATACCTAAAACCAAGAAAATTGTGACTTAGCTCTGCAGGCCTCTCCCCAGTAAAACAACCATACCGGTGAAAATTCTAAAGCAGCCATTTACTGTCTCTGGAAATGTTCTTAATGCATATAGCAAATAAGGAAAGATTTATTCAAGGAAGTCTACTAACCTTTGGTAGAAAGAGGGAGAGTCTGTAGCACTTGAGCCATGATCTACTCCCTCCCCTTCACACAGCAGGACCAGTACAGGTGGGTGTGGACAAAAAGAGGAGATACCCACAATTCCTAGCTCCCAGTCAAGAGCTATGTATCTCCCCAGGAGACCAAGGCCTCCAGAATTCTCATCAACATCAGCTCTTTGTTGCAAAGGCTAAACTCCAGGCAAGCATGGCCAAGAAGACAGGGGCTCCCTTCCTCAACAATGTCTCCAGTTATAGGATGGAGACTGTACTTCAGGCATAGCAGAGCAACAACACTGGACCCCCCAGTCACCACTGGTGTAGCTCGCTATCAGCAAAGAAGCTCCATATCAGGAGAGGCAAACTGAGAAGACCAGAGGATACTGACTCCATGAATACCCAGCTAGAAAAGAAGCAGTGTCATTTTGAGAGAAACAAGACCCCTGTCCTTGCCTCCAACTCCAAAGCAATGGCTCAGACACTGTACACCAACAGAAAGGCAAGCCATAAAACAGAGAGTTCCAAAGCTCTCCCCAAAGGAACTGACTTTTTATTATAGCATAAGGGAAAGTAAAACCCTAAAGGTCCTCTGAGAAAAAAATGGAAATCTTGGTGGTAAGCATTTAAGAGGATGTGTAACAGTGACAAGCTAAATCATAGGAAAGCTAACATTAGATAACCAGAAAAAGAACCAGCAAAGAAGAGCCCTTTTGGGGTTAGAACAAATCTCAAAGACTGGCCTCAAAAAATACCCCAGCAAGGCCAGGCGAGGTGGCTCACGCCTGTAATCCCAGCACTTTGGGAGCCGAAGGTGGGCGGATCACAAGGTCAGGAGATCGAGACCATCCTGGCTAACACAGTGAAACCCCGTCTCTACTAAAAATACAAAAAATTAGCCGGGCGTGGTGGTGGGCGCCTGTAGTCCCAGCTACTCAGGAGGCTGAGGCAGGAGAATGGCGTGAACCCGGGAGGCGGAGCTTGCAGTGAACCGAGATTGCGCCACTGCACTTCAGCCTGGGTGACAGAGCAAGACTCCACCTCAAAAAAAAAAAAAAAATACCCCAGCAAAAGTGTCCAAATCTGATCAGACTGTGGAGCAATTGATGCCCCAGGACACTGTCAAAAACAATACAGCAATCACCCAACAATTAGTGGAGTCCAACAGATAGACATGATAACAACAGAGACAGACTGTTTAACAGAAATATCAGGGAAAGACCCAAAGAAATCCCTGCTAAAACTGTTATCCCACTGTGACTCTGCACATGCCCAAGACAGCCCTCTGACATCAAAGGATTCACACAGGGGAGAAATAGGTTTTAGTAAAATAGTTCAGACAAGTCCCAGAATAAATAAGCAAACAGCAACAAATACACAACCCAGTGAAGGTGGAGGAGAATCATTATCCAGAGTTTCAAAAGGTCCAGTTTCCAACAAAATATTATGAGACACGAAAAGACGTAGAAAGGCGTGACCCATACACAAGAGAAAAAGGCAAGCAATGGGATCTATCTGTGACAGAGCCCAGATGTCAGACTTAACAAAGAATTCAAAGTAGCCTTTAGAAATAGTGTTGAAACTAATGAAAACCATACTTAAAGAAGTAAAGGAAGGTATAATGACAATGTCTCATTAAATATATAATATCCATAAAAGGATATTATGTCTATATTATATAATATATAATATTTTTCTATATATTTCTGTATTTAGAATAGAATATATATTCTATTCTATATATATTCTATATTCTATAATATATATTTATATATAATATATTTTTCTATATATATTTTCTATAATATAATGTCTATGTTATATAATATAGACATTATAAAAATGAAACTAATGAACACTCTGAAATTGAAAAGAATAATTGAAATTACAAATTTACTGCAAGGGCTGGGTGCAGTGGCTCACACCTGTAATCCCAGTACTTTGGGGGGCCTAGGTAGGCAGATCACTTGAGGCCAGGAGTATGGAGACCAGCCTGGCCAACATGGTGAAACCCCCTCTCTACTAAAAATACAAAAATTGGCCAGGCATGGTGGCATGCGTCTGTAATCCCAGCTATTCGGGAGGCTGAGGTGGGAGAACTGCTTGAACCCAGGAGACGGAGGTTGCAGTGAGCCGAGATCGCACCAGTGCACTCCAGCCTGGGTGACAGAGCGAGATTCTGTCTCAATTTAAAAAAAAATTACTACAAGGCTTCCGCAGACAATTTGAGCTGGCAGGATAAATAATCAGCAACCTTGAAGATATTTCAGTAGACATTACGCAATCTGAAAACAGAGAGAGAAAGAAGGTATAAAAATGGACAGAACCTCAGAGAAATATGGGACACCAAAAAGCACACCAGAATACACCTAATGGAAGAGTACCAGAAAGAGAAAGAAACAGAAAAGAAAAAAAAATCTTAATGGCTAATACTTTCTCTAAGCTGGAAGAAAAATTAATCTACACGTGCAAGTAGCTCAATGAACTGCAAGTAGGATAACCAAAAAGAGATCCTAACACAGACATACCATACTAAAAATGTTAAAAAGAGAAAGAGAAATTCTTAAAAGCAGTAAGAGAAAAGTGACCCATCACACAGAGGAACCTCAATAACACTGACAGCTAACTTCTCATCAGACACAATAGAGGACAAAGGCAGTGGGATGGCATTCAACATGCTTAGGAAAAGAAACCAATAATTAAGAATTGTATATCCAGCAAAAGTATTTTCAAAACCGAAAGCAATATAAAGACATTCACAGAAAACAAAGTATCTCATGTTAGCATGAGACAATCTCATGCTAACAGTCCTGCATTACAAGAAATAATAAAGAAAAATTCTCCGGCTGAAAGCAAGTGGGACCAGGTGGTAATTCAAGTCCACATGAAAGAAAAAATCAGCTCATTTGAAGATAATAATGTAATAATAAAATAATAATGTAATAATAACAAAATACAGTATAAATGCATATTTACTCCCCTTTTCTCATAACAAACTTTGAAAAGCAATAAAAAAATAGGTATATAATTGTATTGTTGGGACCATAAAATATATACATTTAACATATGACAATAACAAACCAAAAGAAATGTGTTGGAGCAAGGCTGTACTGGAGTGAGGAAATACAAAATGGTAACTTAAATGCACAGAAACAAACAAACAGAACCAGTAATGGTACATAAGGTGGTTTATAAGAAACTCAATAAATATACTTGTTCTCTCACTTCTCTTACCTTCTTTAGAAGACATAAAATTTCATTAAGTAATAATTATAACAATGTGCTGCTGAGTTTGTAACATGTATAGATGTAAAATTTATAACAATAACAGCACAAAAAGAGAGAAGAAGAAACAGAGCTATCTAGGAAAACACTTAAAGAGCTTATTGTAATTAAGTTACTATAAATATGAAGTAGATTCTGATAATTTAATATACATAGATTAAGCCCTAGAGAATACATTGAGAAAATAACAACAAAATACAGTAGAAAATCATTAAGGGAATTAAAATGTTACACTGGAAAGCATTAACTTAATATAAGACAAAGCAGTACAGGAGCAATAGGGGAACAAAAAAGACATGAGATATATGGAAAATCAAAATAAGATGGATCAAGCTATATCATTAATATTGTTAAATGTAGATGGATGAAACAATCCAATCAAAAGGCACAGACTGCCAGAATGAAATAAAAACCAAACAAGATCCAGCTATTTGCTGTCTACAAGAAACACACATTATAGATAGAAAAAGATAGAAATCATTGGAGAGGAAAAAGAAGAGAAAAGATATCATGGAAACAAGAACCACAAGAAATATGGAATGGCTATACTAATATCAGAGAAAATAAATATTACAAAATTACTAAAGAAAGAAGTTTTATAATGATAAAGAAACAATGCATCAAGAAAACAAAACAATTATAAATATATATGCAGCTAACAACAGATCCCTAAAACACATGAAGTAAAAACTGACAGGACCAAAGGGAAAAACAGATAATTCAATAATAATAATTGGAGACTTCATTATCCCAATTTAAATAATGGTGGAACAACTAGAAAAAGATCAATGGAGAAATAGAAGTCTAAACAGCACAATAAACTACCAAGTTTTAGCAACATCTATAGAACACTCCACCACCAACAGCAAAATAGTCTTCTCAGATGCACACAGACATTCTCCAGGATAGAGCATATGTTAGGCCACAAGATGTGTCTCAACATATTTTTTTTTCCAGCTAGGGTCTTACTCTGTCACCTAGGCTTCAGTGCAGTGGCACAATCTCAGCTCACTGCAACCTCCACCTCCCAGGACTCAAGTGATCCTCCCACCTCAGCCTCCAGAGTAGCTGGGACTGCAGGTGTGCACCACCACAGTCAGCTAATTTTTTGTATTTTTGGTAGAAATAGAGTTTCGCCATGTTGCCCAGACTGGTCATGAAGTCTCAATATATTTAAAATAGTTGAATCATACAATGTATGTTCTCCAATCACAGTGGAATGAAATTATAAATCATTTACAGAAGGAAATTTGGGAAATTGACAAACGTGAAAAATTAAACATCACACTGCAAAATAACCAATAAGTCAAGGAAAAAATCACAAAGGAAATCAGAAAATTGTTTGATACAAATGAAAATGAAACCAAACATACCAAAACCTATGGGATGAAACAAAACATATCAAAGCTTATGGGATGAAGCGATTTGAAATATTTTCTTTTTGAAAATATAGGCATTTACAACTATAATTTGAAAATTTTCAAATCACTAATATAACTTTATATCATAAGATACTGAAAAGGGAAGAACACACTAAACATAAAGCAAGCAGAAGAAAAGAAATATTATAGATTCTAGGGAATTGAGAGTTGAAAAAGAATAATAAATTCCATGAAAACAAAAATGGATTCTTTGAAGAGATCAACAAAATTGATAAACAGAACTTATACTGAACAAAAAGAGAAAAGACTCAATTATTAAAATCAGGAATGAAAGAGGGGACATTAATACTATCCTTTAACAATAAATTGAATTATAAGGTAATGCTATGAACAGCTGCATGCCAATAAACTGGATAACTTGGAAAGAACACACAAGTTACCAGAAAGACAATAAACTACTGAAATTAACTCACAAAGAAATAAAAAACTCAATTGAACTATAAAAAGTAAAGTGATCAAATAAATAATTTTAACTTACCACAGAGAAAAGCCCAGGCCCATATGTTTCTCTAGTGAATTACACCAAAAATTTAAAAAGAATTAACACCAAGCTTTCACAAACTCTTTAAAAAAATAGAAAAGGAGAAAATATCTCTCAACACATTCTGTGAGACTAGTGTTACTCTAATACCAAATTCAGACAAAGACATCACAGGAAAACTATAGACCAATGTCTCCTATGAATATAGATACAGCTGGAGGCCATTTATTCTAAGCAAATTAACACAGGAACAGAAAACCAAATATTGCATGTCCTTACTTATAAGTGAGAGCTAAACACTGAGTACACTTAGATACAAAGAGAGGAACAATAGAAACCAGGGCCTACTTGAGGGTGGAGACTGGGAGGAGGATGAGGGTTGAAAAACTACTTGTCAGATACTATGCCCACTACCTGGGTCATGAAATCATTTGTACACCAAACCCCAGTGACATGCAATTTACCCATCTAACAAACCTGCGCATGTACACTTGAACCTAAAATAAAAGTTGAGAAAGAAAAAAAAAAAAGAAAGAAAATGCATCCAAATTGAAAAAGAGAAAGTCAAATTGTCTCTGTTTGCAGATGACATTGTCTTATATATAGAAAACCCTAAAAACTCCATCAAAAATATCTTAGAACTATTTAATGAATTTAGTAAAGTTGCAGGACACAAAAATCAACATACAAAAGTCAACAGTGTTTTGATACACCATTAACAAACTAGCTGAAAAGGAAATCAAGAAAGTAATTCCATTTATAGCAGCTACAAAAAAATAAAATAACAAGGAATAAATTTAATCAAGGAAGTAAAATAAAAACAATAAAACTCTGAAGAAATTGAAGAAGACACAAAAAAGGAAAGACATCACATGCTCATAGATTGAAAGAATTAATATTGTTAAAATGTCCACACTACCCAAAGCAATCTACAGATTCAATGCAATCCCTGTCAAAATACCAATAACATTCTTCATAGAAATAGAAAAAACAAATTCTGAAATTTGTATGAAACTACAGAAGACCCTGAACAGCCGAAGCAATACTGAGCAAAAAGGACAACGCTGGAGGCAAGACACTACATGACTTCAAATTATACTAGAAAGTTATAGTAACCACAACAACATGACATTGCTGTAAAAACAGATACATAGACCAATGGAACAGAGTAGAGAACCCAGAAAAAAAATCTGTGTATTTACATCTAACTGATTTTCAACAAAGGCACTAAGAATATATATTGGGAAAAGGGCACCCTCTTCAATAACTTGTGCTGGGAAAATTTGATAGCCACATGCAGAAGAATAAAACTGGACCCTTAGCCCTCATCATGTGCAAAAATCAACTCAAGATTAAAGACTTAAACCTAAGACCTGAAACTATGAAAATACTAGAAGAAAATCTAAGCAATCCAGCAATATATAAAAAAAGATTATGCACCATGACTAAGTAGGATTTGTCAAGAGAATGCGAGGTTGGCTTACTACCTGTGAGTAAATTAATGTAAAACACTATATCAATAGAATAAAGAGGTAGGGTGTGGTGACTCACACCTGTAATCCCAGCATGTAGGAGGCCAAGGCAGGAGGACCTCCTGAGCGCAGGAGTTTGAGACCAGCCTGGACAACATAGTGAGACCCCATCTCTACAATAAAAAATAAAATTATCTGGGAATAGTGATGCACACCTGTAGTCCCAGCTATTCAAGAGGCTGAGGTGGGGGGATTGCTTGAGCCCAGGAAGTTGAAGCTTCAGTGAGCCATGATCATGCCACTGCACTCCACCCTGGGCAACAAAGGGAAACCCTGTCTCAAAAAAAAAAAAACAAATAAATAAAAAATAAAGAGAAAAAAACACAATTATCTCAAGAGATGCAGAATAATCATGACAAAATCCAATATCCATTCATTGTTTTTTTTTTAAAGAAACACTCATCAAACTAGGAATAAGAGAACTTCCTCAATCTGATAAAAGACACCTAGAGCTCACATATTTAATAGTGATAGACTGGGCAGAGAACAGTGGCTCACACCTGTTATCCCAACACTTTGGGAGACTGAGGCAGTACACCACTTGAGCCCAGGAGTCCAAGACCAGCCTGGGCAACATAGCAAGACCCCATCTCTACACAGAATTTAAAAATTAGTCAGGCATAGTGATCCTTGCCTATAGTTCTTCCTACTTGGAAGGCTGAGGTGGGAGGTTTCCTCAAGCCCCAGGAGGTTGAGGGTGCAGTGAGCTGTGATCATGCCACTGCATCCCAACCTGAATGACAGTGAGACCTTGTCTCAAATAATAATAATAATAATAATAATGAAAGACTGAATGCTTTCCCCTGAGATCAAAAACAAGATAAAGAAGTTCATTATAGCCACTTCCAGTTCACATTTTACTGGAGATTTTAGCCAAGGAAGTAAGGCAGGAAAAGGAAATAAAATTCATCAACACTGAATAGTAAGAAATTAAAGTGTCTATTTACAGATAGCATAAGCATGTTGTATTAGTCCATTTGTGTTGCTATAAAGGAATGTCTGAGACTGGGTAACATAAAAAAGAAGTTTATCTGGCTTACAGTTCTGCAGGCTGTACAGCTAGCATAGTGTTGGCTTCTGCTTCTGGCAAGGGCCTCAGGAAGCTTAGAATCATGGTGGAAGGTGAAGGGAAGCCAGTGTGTCACATGGCAAGAGAGGGAGCAAGAGAGAGAGGTGGAAGTGCTAGACTCTTTTAAGCAAACAGATGTCATGTGACCTCATTATCACAGGGAGGGCACTGAGCCTTTCATGAGAGATCTGCTCCCATAATCCAAACACCTCCCACCAGGCCCCACCTCCAACATTAGGGATTACATTTCAACATGAGATTGTGGGGAACACACATCCAAACTCTATCATTTGTATACAGAAAATCTTGAGGGATACTCTGAAAAACTATTAGAACTTAAAAATGAATTCAGCAAGGCTGCAGCATACAAGATCAATATTTAAAAATTAACTGGCCGGGCACAGTGGCTCATGCCTGTAATCCCAGCACTCTGGGAGGCCAAGGCGGGCAGATGACTTGAGGTCAGGAGTTTGAGACCAGACTGGCCAACATGGTGAAACCCCATCTCTACTAAAAATACAAAAATTAGCCGGGCATGGTGGCGTGCACCTGTAATCCCAGCTACTCAGGAGGCTGAGGCAGGAGAATTGCTTGAACATGGGGGGCAGAGGTTGCAGTGAGCCGAGATTGCACCACCGCACTCCAGCCTGGCCGACAGAGACTCCGTTGCAAAACAAACAAACAAAAAAAACTATCTTTTTATATAGTAGCAATGAACAATCCAAAAATGAAAAAAATTCAATTTACAATAATATCAAAAGAGTAAAATACTTTTAAATAAATTTAACAAAATAAATTCAAAACTTACAATCTAAAGGCTTCAAAATTAGCACTGAAAGAATTTAAAGAAGACCTAAACAAATGGAAAAATAGCCCATGTTTTTGAATTGAAAAACAATATTGTCCATATGGCAATACTCCCCAAAATTGATCTACAGATTTAATACAATCCCTAAAAAAATCCCAGCCGGCTTCTTTGTGGATATTGATAAGCTGATGCTAAAATTCACAATGAAATTCAAGGTGCCAAGAATAGCCAAAACAATCTAGAGAAAGAAAAAATAAATAAAAGATTCGCACTTCCTGCTTTCAAAACTAGCTACAAAGCAACAGTAGTCAAGACTGTGTGTCACTTGATTAAAGATAGCTTTATAGACAAGTAAAATAGAATCCAGAAATAAATCCAAACATTTATGATCAACCGGTTTTGTATAATGGTACCAAGGAAAATGAATAAAGAAAAACAGTCTTCAACAAAGGATTCTGGGACAAATATTACCTAAATAAAAAAGGATAAAGTTATACCAATCTTATGGGTGTGTCTCCTTTTTCACAATATGCACAAAAATTAACCTGAAATAGATCATTGACCTTACTGTAAAAGGTTAAACTATAAAACTCTTAAAAGCAGATATAGGAGTAAATTTTTGTGAACACTAGGCAAAGCCTTCAGAAGTGACAAAGAAAAAAATTAAATTGGACTTCACCAAAATTTAAAACTTTCCTGCTTCAATGGGTACCTTCAAGAAAGTGAAGCAACAACCACTGAATGGGGGTAAAATGTTTGCAAAGCGTATATCTTATAAGAGACTTGAACCTAGAATATGTTTAAAAAAAACCAATTAATATTAAAAAGAAAAAGAAATAACACAATTAAGAATGTCAAACAACCTGTATAGATATTTCTCCAGAGAAGATACTCAAATGGGCAATAGGCACATGAAAAAATGTTTAACATCATTAGCCATCAGAAAAATGCAAATCAATACCACAATGAGATACAACTTCACACTCCTAAGATGGCTATAATGAAAATAGCTGATACCACATCTCTCCATCTTGGGAGGTTTACTGCATACAAGAGCCCCCTCTGTTAACCAGAAAGTACTGCATCCTGGAGTCAGATCCTAGCAAATCAGAAGAGCTGAATTTTGTGGTCGCAGGTTTGTTTGCAGTCAGCATAGAAATCTGACCTCTGTGACATTCTCTAGAGAAGGCATTCTCAGCCAAAGGTCACAACCTGAAACCCCGCACCCAGTCCTTGGACACTGAAGCCATAATCTTCCTACAATGAATAATGGTTACATCACCATGATTTAAAGCAAAACAAACATGACATTGAAAGGGGAATATCACAATCCTGCCCATTCCAGTCCAACCAGAATTTTTAAAACAGAAGAGTTCGTCAATGCAACTGCTAACTTTCATACATACGAACACTGTATGTAGCCTTTCACTTAGCATTCAGCTGAACTCTGGAAAATTATGAGCCACTTTCCCATAATGGCATTAGGCAAGGTGGCTGCAACACAAGATGCTCTAACTGAGATGAGCTGAGCTAATCTGGCTGCATTAAACAGTCCAGCTGATCCACATACCTTTAGCTCTCCCCATATCAAAAGCACACCCCTTCCCATAAAGGAGGCAGCCAAAAAGTGTACTTTCAGTCTCGTCCTAATGGATCTCATGACATGTAGGTCTCTAAAACCCTCACTAATAATTTTTTAAGACCACTGGATTAAATAGAAGGCTCAGTCAAAGCTGCATGTATGCAAATTCTGGCACTTTAAATGGGTTCTCTCCTTAAGTGCATAAACCAAAAAGCATGGGAACAATTGGATTAAGAAAGCAAGTGTTCTTTTTTAACACCCTCTAATTGGCATTAAGTCACCAATCGTTGTCAAACACACATCACTTGCTTAATTATTTTGTGTGCGCATGTGTATATCTTTATAACTTCATAAACATATAAACGAGAGGGAGATGCAGATTTAATGTACACCCATATGGCGATAAATATAAAAGCTTCCAGAAGATTGTAGAATGCTATACTAATGCTAAAATGATCTCTTTTTTTTTTATTTGCTTAAGTCATAAAAACAAACTGAAGGAGGCAGCTGCAAAGCATAGATCCTTACCTAAAAGCAGAAATATTCAGACCATTTTGTTCAACAATGTAATTTTTAAAAAATACCTTGCTTCAGCTTCATATTCTCATATTAGTATGATTATCTTTCATAAATCTTATAGTGTGTTTATACATAAAATCATGTTTACATGTTCATGAAGTTTTTTATTGAAGTAATTTTTCATAAATAGCCTACTATGCATCATTCACACCAATATGCTTCATTTCAACATTGCTTTAATGCTCTGGAGCTGGCCTATTATACTCTTAGAACATACTGTGCCACTTTCAGAAAAAAAAATCACAAAAATAAGTATTTTTGCCTCTAGAGTATCTGGCAATGAGCTCAAATAGTTCGTCAACCTTCAAGCTGTTTTGTCAGTTAATCTTCCACTTAGCAAAGTCTCAGCCATGAGGCATCAGCTTAAGTGGCCATCAGCCCAATGTCACACTGGCCTCTGGTTGTTTTTTTATGGTTCTTCCATACCTTCAACCTAATTTCTTTACCTCCAACATTAATAATGCCTGCCAGGCTGGTAGGCCCATGCTAATTTGCATTCTCTTTAATGGCACTTTTTTATGGCCTTCAGCTTTGCATAATGGCACTTTTCTAAAGCTGCCCCTTCCAAAAGGAAGAGAATGGTCACTCCTATGGGAATGTGCCACTCTTATTTGGTTATTTCAGCAACAAAATGGATTCTTATTATCTTCATGATGAGCCCCCAAAATAAGAATAGCCTTCAGGATTCATTTCATCTAGGACTCCTCCCTTGGTTTTTGAAAGAAAGCATCTTTATTTCACTGGCTCCTCTGTTCCCAGATTACAAGAGATGCCCTGCCTGAACTCATTTATATTACCCTCCAAAGGCTGTGTCTACACTTACCAAATGCAGCAAAAAGCAATGGTCATTTATAGAAACAGGTCACAATTGGTCAAAGCAATGCAACTAACTGCTAATGAGACAAATGCCAACATTCTAAAAGGAGCAAGATTCTTTGGCCTCTTACAAATTTTGCATAGTGTATGTACCAAAAATGCAGTCTACAAGGGGGTAGAAATTAAAATACAGTTAAGGTCCTCATTTTTCTTATTTGAAAAAAGAAAACCTGAATCTTTTCTCTAGCGCCTTTTTTCATTTCCATTAAAACATCATACTTATGTGTAAATCTTCAATGTAAAAAGTATTTGAAATAACTTCGGCATCTAAATCTTTAAGACGGGAAAAAAGAGCTGCAGAGTTCACCTTGAAAGAGTGACTTTTATTAAATTTTTAAAAGGTGTTTTTTTAAAAACAAGCTAATATGTTGGATCTTGGTATCTCCAGATAGTTACTTCAGGTCTCCATTCCACTTAGCTTGTATAGACTTAGCCACAGAAAAGAAAAAGGTTTTTGGAGATTTGTCTGAGAATTTAGTAGACATTAAAATATACCAGACAGGCCAAATATCCCAGTTGATTTTAAATGCCAGCTCCAATACTGTGTAGCTGTGAAGATTTAGGAGGTTATGTATCTTGTCCAGTTCTGTTTTCTCATCTTTAAATGGGGTTTTAAAACATCTACCTCAGACGTACAAAGAGGAGCTGGTACCATTCCTTCTGAAACTATTCCAATCAATAGAAAAAGAGGGAATCCTCCCTAACTCATTTTATGAGGCCAGCATCATCCTGATACCAAAGCCTGGCAGAGACACACAAAAAAAGCGAAATTTAGACCAATATCCATGATGAACATTGATGCAAAAATCCTCAATAAAATACTGGCAAACCGAATCCAGCAGCACATCAAAAAGCTTATCCACCATGATCAAGTGGGCTTCATCCCTGGGATGCAAGGCTGGTTCAACATACACAAATCAATAAATGTAATCCAGCATATAAACAGAACCAAAGACAAAAACCACATGATTATCTCAATAGATGCAGAAAAGGCCTTTGACAAAATTCAATAGCCCTTCATGCTAAAAACTCTCAATAAATTAGGTATTGATGGGACGTATCTCAAAATAATAACAGCTATTTATGACAAACCCACAGCCAAAATCATACTGAATGGGCAAAAACTGGAAGCATTCCCTTTGAAAACTGGCACAAGACAGGGATGCCCTCTCTCACCACTCCTATTCAACATAGTGTTGGAAGTTCTGGCCAGGGCAATCAGGCAGGAGAAGGAAATAAAGGGTATTCAATTGGGAAAAGAGGAAGTCAAATTGTCCCTGTTTGCAGATGACATGACTATATATCTAGAAAACCCCATCGTCTCAGCCCAAAACCTCCTTAAGCTGATAAGCAACTTCAGCAAAGTCTCAGGATACAAAATCAATGTGCAAAAATCACAAGCATTCTTATACACCAATAACATACAGAGAGCCAAATCATGAGTGAACTCCCATTCACAACTGCCTCAAAGAGAATAAAATACCTAGGAATCCAACTTACAAGGGAAGTGAAGGACCTCTTCAAGGAGAACTACAAACCACTGCTCGATGAAACAAGAGGACACAAACAAATGGAAGAACATTCCATGCTCATGGATAGGAAGAATCAATATTGTGAAAACGGCCGTACTGCCCAAGGTAATTTATAGATTCAATGCCATCCCCATCAAGCTACCAATGACTTTCTTCACAGAATTGGAAAAAACTACTTTAAAGTTCATATGGAACCAAAAAAGAGCTCACATTGCCAAGTCAATCCTAAGCCAAAAGAACAAAGCTGGAGGCATCACGCTACCTGACTTCAAACTATACTACAAGGCTACAGTAACCAAAACAGCATGGTACTGCTGCCAAAACAGAGATATAGACCAATGGAACAGAACAGAGCCCTCAGAAATAATACCACACATCTACAACCATCTGATCTTTGACAAACCTGACAAAAACAAGAAATGGGGAAAGGATTCCCTATTTAATAAATGGTGCTGGGAAAACTGGCTAGCCATATGTAGAAAGCTGAAACTGGATCCCTTCCTTACACCTTATACAAAAATTAATTCAAGATGGATTAAAGACTTAAATGTTAGACCTAAAACCATAAAAACCCTAGAAGAAAGCCTAGGCAATACCATTCAGGACATAGGCATGGGCAAGGACTTCATGTCTAAAACACCAAAAGCAATGACAACAAAAGCCAAAATTCACAAATGATATCTAATTAAACTCAAGAGCGTCTGCACAGCAAAAGAAACTACCATCAGAGTGAACAGGCAACCTACAGAATGGGGGAAAATTTTTGCAATCTAGCCATCTGACAAAGGGCTAATATCCAGAATCTACAAAGAACTCAAACAGATTTACAAGAAAAAAACAAACAAACCCATCAACAAGTGGGCAAAGGATATGAACAGGCACTTCTTAAAAGAAGACATTTATGCAGCCAAAAGACACATGAAAAAATGCTCATCATCACTGGCCATCAGAGAAATGCAAATCAAAACCACAATGAGATACCATCTCACACCAGTTAGAATGGCGATCATTAAAAAGTCAAGAAACAACAGGTGCTGGAGAGGATGTGGAGAAACAGGAACACTTTTACACTGTTGCTGGGACTGTAAACTGGTTCAACCATTGTGGAAGTCAGTGTGGCGATTCCTCAGGGATCTAGAACTAGAAATACCATTTGACGCAGCCATCCCATTACTGGGTATATACCCAAAGGATTATAAATCATGCTGCCATAAAGACACATGCACACATATATTTATTGCGGCATTAGTCACAATAGCAAAGACCTGGAACCAACCCAAATGTCCAATGATGACAGACTGGATTAAGAAAATGTGGCACATATACACCATGGAATACTATGCAGCCATAAAAAATGATGAGTTCATGTCCTTTGCAGGGACATGGATGAAGCTGGAAACCATCATTCTCAGCAAAGTATCCCAAGGACAAAAAACCAAACATCACATCACTCATAGGTGGTAATTGAACAACAAGAACACTTGGACACAGGAAGGGGGGCATCACACACTGGGGATTGTTGTGGGGTGGGGGGAGGGGGGAGGGATAGCATTAGGAGATATACCTAATGTAAATGATGAGTTAATGGGTGCAGCACACCAACATGGCACATGTATACATATGTAACAAACCTGCACGTTGTGCACATGTACCCTAGCACTTAAAGTGTAATAATTAAAAAAGAAATGAAAAAATGCTCATCGTCACTGGCCTTCAGAGAAATGCAAATCAAAACCACAATGAGATACCATCTCACACCAGTTAGAATGGCGATCATTAAAATTTCAGGAAACAACAGGTGTTGGAGAGGATGTGGAGAAATAGGAACACTTTTACACTGTTGGTGGGTCTGTAAACTAGTTCAACCATTGTGGAAGACAGTGTGGTGATTCCTCAAGGATCTAGAACTAGAAATACCGTTTGACCCAGCCATCCCATTACTGGGTATATACCCAAAGGATTATAAATCATGCTGCTATAAAGACACATGCACACATTTATTGTGACACTATTCACAATAGCAAAGTCTTGGAACCAACCCAAATGTCCATCATTGATAGACTGGACTAAGAAAATTTGGCACATATATGCCATGGAATACTATGCAGCCATAAAAAGGATGAGTTCATGTCCTTTGTAGGAACATGGATGAAGCTGGAAACCATCATTCTCAGCAAACTATCCCAAGGACAGAAAACCAAACACCGCATGTTCTCATTCATAGGTGGGAATTGAACAATGACAACACTTGGACACAGGGTGGGGAACATCACACACTGGGGCCTGTCATGGGGTGAGGGGAGGCGGGAGGGATAGCATTAGGAGATGTACCTAATGTAAATGATGAGTTAATGGGTGCAGCACACCAACATGGCACATGTATACATATGTAATAAACCTGCACGTTGTGCACATGTACCCTAGAACTTAAAGTATATATTAAAAAATCTACCTCAGAGGGTTGTCGTGAGAATTAAATGAGAAAATATATAATATGCTCCTTGCACAGGACCTGTCTCAATAGGTACCCCAAAATAGTAATAGATCTTCTTGGAAAATAAGGCCAAGTTACCTGGGTCAAACTACCTAAGTCTTGGAGTTCTTCACTTTTGTATGTCAATTAAGAAATGTTATGTGGTCGGTGAAGGATTGGTAATACTTACAAATATAGCAAACTACTAACGTTCCTTCACACGCACTCAGGTTTAACACAACACCCAATGTCTAAGCACTGCATATGATCAGATAGTATGGTCTACAAGATAATTCATTCACTGAAGTTTTTCAAGAGTAATTTTAGGGCTCAGTATATGGTCTATTTTCAAAAGTGTTTCATATGCACTTGTGTGTGTATTCTTCCAATTGGGTGCAGATTTTATATATATATATGTGTGTGTGTGTGCGTGTATGTGTGTGTATGTGTGTATTTTAGATGTATATGTATATGTGTGTGTGTATATATATATACCCATTATATTGAGTTTGTTAATCATGTTGTTCAAATCCTCTGTATCCTTATTCATTTTTTGTTCATTTTACCTATCAATTTCTGAAAAAAAATCAGATTTTATAATTTCTGCTTTTAGCTCTGCCAACTTTTGCTTTATACGTTTCAAACTTATGGTATTAAGCATATGCAAGTTTAGAATTGTTATCTGAAAAAAAAACTGAACTGTTAATCATTACACAGTGATCTGTTTATGCCCAATAATGGTTCTACCTTAAAGTCTGTTTTGTCTGATATCAACATAGCCACATCAGTTTACTTCTGGCTAGTGTTTGCATAGTGTACCTATTCCAATCCTTTTTGTGTGCTTTATGTTCTTATGTTTTACCTTTGTCTCTTATACACAGCATATAGCTGGATTTTTTATTTTCATCCATTGTGATAATCTAGGTCTTAACTGGTGAGTTTAGTCAACTCCTATTTATTGTAATAACTGAAGAGTTGGCTGCCATGATCAAAGAGCCCTTTAAAAGTATTTCTGGGTTGTATGATGTAACTTGGTCCCCCTAGTCAATTTCTAAATACTCTTGCTTGCATTGACTCTCCTGTAGTAAGTTAGCAAAAACCCAAGGATCTTTATGAGTAAATTGAAGCTAATACTATACTGAAGATTTGCAGTTATTAGTACAGTTATGGGAGAAAGTCAATTAATGCAAGGAATGGTGCACACAGGCCTAATCCATTTGAGGTAAATCAATACACCGCACATTTCAATTGCTCTGTATTCGCACAGAACAGTGCATGGAAGCAACTCATTAGAACTAAACTCTTCATAAGAAACAGACCAATTCTCTCAGACTCACTAGGGCATCTCCACTAGTAAAATTTAAAAAGCAATCAAACTGAATAAGAAGTCCTCTTTGCAGACACTTACATTGGGGAAGAACAAGATTCTTGACAATTCAGAGTAAATGAAGTGCAAATTATTCTCTTATAATATAACTCAGAATTGAAGCTTAAATTGTGACTGAAAAAGAGCCCACAGTTTAATCAGAAAAATACATTTATTGATAATTCCCATGAGCTCCTATTTGATACATTTATATCATAGGATAACAAGTTCGAAACTATTGCCAAGTTATAAATATGGAATTTATGCACAATTTGCATGTATTAAATTGTATTTTGAATCGGCGTGTGTGCCTATATTTGAATATTTATAATATTCCAGAAAAAGCACAGTGGAATGTGCAAGACAGATTTATTTAGTGTAATGCTCTGAAATGTGTCAAAGTCTTCAGCACAGTTTTTAGAGGCAAAATGGCAGAAATAACAAATGGGATGCAATAAGACCAACTGAATAATCTGCAAAGTTCAATACCTAGTAAATGAGAAAAGCTCTTTTGCCAATAAATATTTTACTAAAGTTTAGACAAATATTTATCTAAGCTTACAAGGACACTGTTTTAGAGGACATACGCCATTAAGTGGATTATTCATTATCCTTTAATGGAAAGGGGGAAATTCCCATCCATACATCTCTTTTTAAACTCAGTGACTAAATACCTCATTTCATGTGTCACAGAATGTTAATATTAGCTTTTCAACTGTGAGGGACATTCTTTACACTGTCAAAACAACTTGTACCTACGGTGTAGTTTCAGTGGAGTTTCAACAATAAGATTATGCACCTCACTATATGTGCATAGAGTGGTCCCTCAGATATTGGAATAGTTGGACAATGACATTTCTAATCAACTTTATTTATGGTTAACTGGGGGTAATACTCTTATGCAGTGAAACTTCTCTAGGGGGCGCTGCTTAGCAAAGTGAACTCTCCTTTTCTGCTGGACGAGAGCAACACATACACTAACTGATCTAAGCTCCCAGTTATGGATGTTTAGAACTATAGCCCTTTACCAACCCCAAGATTTTAACTCTTCCAGCCAGACCATCAGCCCTGGTGTCAACTCACTAAGAAAGAAGCTCATGGAGATCCAAAGTCCAGACTATCTCGGATGGCTCTGGCTGAGCAGAATAAGCTTTATATTTCCAACTGTGTACCACTATTAACTTCCTGTTCCATATAATTTATAAATTAAAATTTATAATTTATAAATGAGAAAGAAACAATAGCAATTCACTCAAGTAGCTCTATACCATACTGGTATAAAAAGAGTTCCATGCATTGTGTGGGAATATGATAAAAGTCAGTTATCGAAAATCAGCAGCCAATGTCTGACTCATCACCTCTGCCTTTCAGGGTGAGGGTTTATTAGGGCTGAGGCTACTCTCCTCATTAAAGGCTCCCAGGATATCAAGAGGCTAATGAAATAACCAGCCAGGAACCAAAAAAGTAGACCTGTGTGCAATTAATCACAGCTTAGTAAAACATTATTTTAAAAATTGTTAATGCTTATTGTTATTATATAAGTAATGTAGACTCAAAGAAAACTCAAAACCTTCAGAAAAGCAGAATAAGAAAATAAATCACTAATAGATCTATTTATATTCTATTATTTTTTTCTTCCAGTCTCTGTCTTTTATGCTTAGATTTGGGAGGGGTAGGAGATGATTTCTCTCGCTCGCTCGCTCGCTATCTTTTTTTCTTTAATATAATTGTAGTCGTACTGGGTCCATAATTTTCTATCTCTTTTTCTCTTAGCATTAAATCACTAGCAATTTTCCATGCTCTATCAAAGGACATTTAAGTGGTTTTGTAATAATCTTTCAAGTGGATGTACTGAGATTTCTTGAACCATTCTTCTCCATGTGGATGTTCAGATTGTTTCCAATTTGTTGCACTTATGATAACTCCAGTTAGTCTCCTAGTATGTGTTCTCATAGCATCCTGTACTTTTCCCCCATGGCACTTCATATAATTTTAAGTAATTGATAATTTGTTTTCTGTCTATCTTTCCCACTCCTACGAAGGCAGGGACCACATCTACCTGGTTCTTCCCGGTAACCCCAGCACATAGCACAGGGATACCAGATACTCAATAAATATTTGCTGAATCAATAAATAAATGAGTGAATGAATGAAAGCATGTATAAAAGTATGTTTTTCTGCAAAATCCCAGAAAAGAAATTATGGGTCATAGAAATAAATATTTTTATATTCTGTGTTTACACTATTTATTTCCAAAAAGATCATTCAAGTTACATTCCCACTGACAATGTATGAGAATTTTGATATTTACCATGCCCTTGTCAGCACTGTCTACTTTTTTTGTTTGGTGGTGATATATGTTGGGTTTTGCTTTGTTTGTTTGTTTGTTTTAATCAGGGTTAGAGAGGCAAAAAAAGTATTCTATGTTTAAATGTGCATTTCTTTAGTACCAGTGAAATAAAACAGTTTTTCCATGTCTGCAAACTAGTTGGGGGTCCTATGTTGTAAATTGTCTGGTCATGTCCTTTGATTCTCTAATCAGCTCGTGAGAGTTCTTTGTACAGTAAAGATTTCAACTTTGTGTCTGTTGTAATTGTGCATATTATTACCAGTTTGAAACCTTTTCGTTTTGGCTTTTTTTTGACAGATAAGCATATCTTATTCTTATGTAATCATAACTATTGATCTTTTTTCCTTTATTCAAACATCCTTTTCCTTGGCTAAGAGTCCCATATGTGAATTGCAGCTATCACTTAAATAACAACGCCAATTGTGAATTCAGATTAACTGGGTCCACAGATTCCCACATATAATGTACGATGGAGCCCTAACCTGCCCCAGAGCCCCAGTTGTCACCTCCTTATAAGTCCTGTCCACTAGAAATCTAGGCAACAGGAACCAGTCATGACTTCTTAGTACTCTCCAGCCCGAACCAGATCCCCTTCTCAACCTCTCTGTTTTGGTGGCTGGTACCACCTACATTCCAGACTAGATATCAGGGAGATAGCTTTACCTAGACTCCGACCTTTATTTACTTTCATGGTGTTTTTGCACTCTTTCCATCCAAGAGCTTCTCATACTTACTGGGGTTCCTCATTGCCATTCAAGTCCTCCACAGTGGAGCCTAACCCCATCTACTTCCCTAACCATTATTACTCCAAGCATGAACCTTTCGGGTCTGGCCAGACCTGCCTAGGTGAGGTTGCTGGACCTCAAAAGGTCATGAGGACTCCGTGCCCACCCACAATGCCTCCTTTCTTCTTAATACAACTCTCCTACTCCCAGAGGCCTTCTCAAAAGGATGTCTCCTTTTTCTGGCCTGTTCCTCATACTTTAGAAAGGAAAGGGCCCTGGAAAGCATGTCATTTAAATCTCCAATTTTATAGATAAGACACTGAGACCAAGGGAAGGAAAAGGGCCTGTCCAAAATCTAAATTTCCTCTCCCAGCACCTGTCTACATGACATAGTCCTGCACTTCACATGCTAATCTTTATGGACTTGAGGCTGAAGATGGTTATCTTGGCTTTTTTGGTTTCTTCTTGGCTCTAATCTCCCCACAACTGCTAGCACCATGCCAGAGACATAATAGTTACTCCATCTGCTTTGCCGATTAGACCCAAACTACAACATAACAGATGGACTTTTGTCTATTTTTTGTATATTCTGGTAAATGTATGACATTTTAAAGACATTATTGATTTTCAAATTGTTTTCAAACAAAATCCATTTTTTAATTAAATATCTAAAGTACTAAATTGTTCTGTTCTACCATAAGCTCTGTGAGACAGAGAATGATGTCTCTTCCCTGGAATATAATGAACAGTTTCACAAAATCTTGCTTAATGAATGACAGAAAAAAACGGATGGCTATTCTTTTAATGTCATTACATACTACCTCAGTTGATGACTGATATCCATGAAAGACAAGCTCTAGCATTTTAATTGCCCCATAGCACTGATCTAAAATTATTATTAAGTGATGTTAATTCTGAATAGCCTTTTGTACTACCTGAGAACTTACAGCTTTGTAAGGACTCCAACACCATGTTCGACATCCATGCAAAGATGCTAATTAATACTACTGGAATTCTACAGATATTGTAATGGTAGATTTCTCCCCCTCTTCTATGAAATAGCTAAGATGGTACCACAGCTCTCAAAGACAGCTGAAGAAATGTATCCTCAGCTAAGTAAAACTGAGCCCAACAGCTTAGAGCCTGATGAACCACACGACCAGTACTGACCACTGGCTGTAACAGTCCATTCTGCTTAATGCCTCAGCCTATATCACAAGCCTGTTGTGTCATTTTGCCTCACTGCAAAATCAAGGAGAAGAAAGAGGGAAAGCGTGGGCTTGTGAGGCATGATCAGGTACACACACTCTATAGTTACAGCTCTTTCAAAATAGAGCCACCTTTTAAAAACAAATGGGAATAAAAGAAAGCTTTTCCCACAATTAAAAAAAAATAGAATGACCAAAAAAAGCTTTTCTCCATCTAAACAAACACTTTTTAGTCCTTTCCCATCAATGATATGCTACTGGATTTGAGATGATAATTAATTACTCTTCCAGATGCCTCAGCCTGCTCCCATCCTGCTCAGCTTTGCAGGGATTCCCAATATGGCAATGAAAGGCCCCTCTGCAATCTAGCCACAAGACCTACCCCTGGTGAATAAAACACCTCAGGGATGTAGAAATCTGTTCTTCTCCCAATGGGTGTGGTACCCCCGGCCCAATCACTCATCCAAACTGAAAATTTTAGAGATGCTAAAAGTCTAGGGTACAACATGAATATGATCAGATTCTTTGACTTGTATAGCCATGGACCCTGACCTCTCAACCCCATTCTGTGCATGCTGGCCAGCATGATACTTAGTGATGAAGAAGGGGGCTAGTGCTATTTCTTTGGGCCCAGTTCTGAATTCCCTCTACAGAACAAATGGCACACTAGAGTTGGCTACAAACAGAGGAAATTTGGCCTAAGAAAAGCCTGCAGAATTTGGGACTTTTAACAGCTTGTGAGCAACAATGTTTGGATACACTTTCAAAAATGGTCTCAGAAATTCTAAAATGAGCAGGACCCTGAGTGACTGCAAACAACATACTGGCAGACAGATGGATGAAATCCAATTTCTGATTTTTTTTAAAGAAATATTATTCTTAATAAACAACTTGAGCCTTTCACCAGCCAAGCTCTCTCTCTCTCTCTCTCTTTGTCCTCTCCAGGCAACGTGATCACGGTTGTTTCTATTCAGCAGTTATATATCACCCAAGCACTTAACCATCCGCGGAGGCAGAGAAGCATCCCAAATGTAGCACTGGAAGCAGGATTCAGAGTCTTGGCTTGCAGCCACAATAGCCTCTGATACCTCCCTAATGTGGATGAATGGCTGTGAGTCAGTAGGTGGTTCCTGTCGCAGCTGAAGGCTCCTACTGAAGCTCATCCAACCAGGCCTCAGCCCGCTCCCATCCTGCTCAGCTTTGCAGGGATTCCCAACATGGCAATGAAAGACCCCTCTGCAATCTAGCCACAAAACCTATCCCCAGTGAATAGAAAGCCTTAGGGATGTAGAAATCCGTTCTTCTCCCAATGGGTGTGGTAATCCTGGCCCAAAAACTCATCCAAACTCACATGTTGTAAAATGACTGACGATGATAATGATGTAGGTGATAACAACAACAGCCAACATTTATTGTGTTCATTCACTTTGTGGGAATGACTAACTCAAGACCTCACTGTGGTTTTGCAAAAAACCCTTGTTCATCAAGGTGCAGTCAACAGAGCAAGGGTTGTGGAGTCAGACAGAAGTGCAGTCAGATTCCTGCTGTGCCGCTAAAAAAACTCAGTGACCCCGGGGAAGCCCTTTAGCCTTTTTGGGCTTCATTCTCATCTGATAAATGGGGATCCTTTTGTCCACTCTGGCCTCTTGCTGAAGATGGTGCAGGTTTACAGAGGAATACCAGAGATAAGGGATATGAACGCTTATCATAAACTGGAGTGCACTCTCTACACAGGATCTGGTCGAGGGTCACATGGCTGGTTAGTGGCTGGCCTAGAACTAAGGCCCAGCTGTCTGAACTCCCAGGCCAGAAAGGTGGAACTGTTGTTCCCCTCAGTTGAGAGGAGCACAGAGACCACCAGCTGGCATGGAGAGGCTGTTTGACACAGGAACTCCCAAAAGCAGACTCTCCCATTTCCAGACACCAGCTTCTCACCCCCACATTTCACCATCGGTGCAGCTGCCTTTACCTCTAAATTTTTGCCTCGCACAGACACATACAACAGTCACATACACACACTCTCTCATTCTCACACACACATGCACACCTTAGCTCTTACAGATTATCAGAACTCACAGAACTGGTCCTGCAACCTCCTAGGGGATCTGTCAACATCCAGAGAAATTCTGGAACCCCTAGGCTATCCCTATTCTTCAAAGTGAATATTTCTGGAGGTGGGCAGGAATGAATGAAATAAAAAGGTGCCCTTGAGGTAGCAATGCATTTCTCTAGCAAGTTTTATTTCATTTTTGCAAACACCGTAAAATCCAGTAACTGTGACTTTTTAGAACATGGTTGCTCTTTGATTAGACTAGATGCTACTGTAGTATCACCCTTTTAATAACCAAGAAAATCCTATGTCATTTCAAATAATTTTGCTTCAATTTGGGACAATCCAAGAGGCTTTGAGGGGTTCTGGTTATCTTCTGGAGAATGCGGGAAGGAATCTGCCAGAGGACAGTAGCCACCAAACAGATAATCTAGACCACATTAATAATGTGTGTTTATAGACATCATACTCTGACCTACATGTTCAAAAGGATCAGTAAAGGCACATGTGCCCCATGGAACTCCAGACAAGGCCATGGCTTTCATGGTGACCAAGACCTTGTTTTCACTTCTCTGCTATAGTCATGGCTGTGGAATTCTACTTTTGCCCAGAAGAGCTTTTTAAATATTACCACCTCTCAATACACCTACAAGGTCTGTCAGTATGAGAAATTCTTTTCAATATTGCCAAATTGTTTGGGAACTTATTAAACACCAGAATATTGTTGTGACAATGACTTACACAATTGTACCAATGGATTGAGGTCCTGGGGCTAAGGTTTTCTTGGGGTGGAAGAAAAAATTTGTTAGTATTGGAAAGGAAATACAAGTTTGGCAGATTCTGACACAATTCCAGCATTTGAGAAAGGACAGTGTAAACTGAGAGAAGAGAGAGTGAAGAGGAGAGCCAGGGGGTGATGTTCCCCTTAAATCTCAATGGTAATCTGAAAGTCAGAGGGCTCTAGGGCTCTATTTGCTGCAGTTGGACAGAAAAATCCACACTGGTTGTTGCGTTCTAACAGTCACCTGCAAAGCATCCCCTTGTCCAGGGTACCAAGTGCACCCGGGGGATGGGGATGGGACACAGACATGTCCTTGCCGGCCCAGAGACCCCATCCAGAGGCCTCCAGGCCATGAAACTCACCTTGTGCACCCCCTGGACTCCCTGCTTCAGCCCAGATTTGTTTTAAGGAGACTTGCGAAACAGTAGCCCTGGCTGGACTAACTGCACCCCATAGCACTCACTTCCCCCACCCCACCACCACCCACTTTACAGTACTGCATGACCTCTAGCAACTGGACATCGCGTCTGGAGGGAGGAAAATACCCTTGCTTCTGGCTACAGACTATTAATAAATCAGCTTTTACCGCATCAGCCCAGGCTCACAGAACATGGGCTGGCAGCGCCCCATGCTGGGGCTCAAGCTTTTTAAATATTTTTTGTAAATCAGGAGAGGCTCCTGGTGACTGAACCCCACATGGGGTCCAGGGCACCATCCCAGCCCGCCCTTCGGTCCGCGGGGTGCCCCCCGCCACTCCCAAAGAGCCACGGATGCCTCTCATGCAGCCAGTAGTGATAAGCAAGCCTGGGAACCATGAGCTCTCCTTGGATGTCGGAAAATAGCGACAGAGGGACACCCAGTCGCCCGGGAAGACCAGAGCCAGAGCGGGGAAGGAGCGAGGTGATAAAAGTCCGGCAAGAAGAGAAAAACAGAAAGGGTAAGAGAGAAAAAGAATAAAAGCGAGAGAGGGGAATGGAAAGAAGGAAACAGCGAGCAAACAGGAGCAGACAACATCTAGGACACAAGAGAGAAAGAGGGAGAACAAGGCAAATAGACGAAATAGGGGGGAAAGCGGGGGGAGGGAAGAATGCGGGCGCCGAAAGGAGGAAGAGAGCGCTGAAAGGAGACTTCGGAACCCGGGTGCAGAGTAGAAGAAAGCAGGGATCCAGAGACGCTGCACGGAGAGCGCGGCTCTTTAGGGCTCTCCAGTGCGGAGACTGAGTACGATGCCCCGTCCCAGCGGCCCCGTTCCGGCCGCTCGGCCGCCTCCCCCGCACGCTCTGCCAACCATCACGCAGGCCACCCTGCGGACAGACAGACGGTCAGTCCGGGGCCGGAGCGGAAAGCCTTTCTGTGGCCGCCACAGCGCGGCGAACGTGCGCTACTGGGCGCCCAGCACCTGCCCAGCCGGGGTGCAAACGCCCGGGCGTCAGGGTGCGCGCTAGGTCCCCGGCTTGGGCCAGCCGCGCCTCCCAGCCCTCCGCCCGCCTAGGCCCGGGTCCCGCTCGACTACCGGCGCGCACTCACCTGGACGGTCTCAGCCTGGCGTCGCGCTTGCCGTCCACCACGGAGGGCACACAGCTGGTGAGCTCGGTCCAGTCGGCGTGCAACCCGCAGCTCCAGCCCGTGGAGAACCTGGAGAAGAGCCAGGTTTCCCGCTTACCCGGCCGGTGGCAAGTGCATTTCTTCTGACCCACGCGGCACTCGCACGGCTGCTCCAGCTGGATGTTACGCACCAAGTGGCGGCCGAAAGTGGTGCCCCCGGTCTTCTGGATGTGCAGGAACACGATCAGGTCATCGCCCTTGATGTCGAAGTCTACCTTGCGCAGGAGGTCGCCGCGGGTGAAATTGTAGCGGGGCACGAACCTGGCGGAGCTCTCATCCTCCGAGCGGTACGGGTCCGGCACCGGGGAGCTGAACGCCTGCAGGCGGAGGAGCTGGCATTCTGTGCCGGGGCACACGTATTGGAGGACGATCACGGCAAATAGGAAGAGCATCACCAAAGCTAGCAGCAGCTTGTTGGATTTCTCATCCATGTTCCCGACGCTGGGGGAAACCCAAGCTCGTTACGTCAATCCCGCAGCTCAGCCCGCGCTCGTCGTGCCCCCGCACCGCCCCCTTCCCCTGGAGCCGCTGCTGCGCCCCTCTCCCCCTCCCCTCCGCACCGAGTACTCCACGGCGGCGGCGGCTGCGGCGGCGGCTCCCTTCCCCGCTTCCTTCCTTCCCGGCAGGCTCAGCGCTGTGGCTTCTGCGGCACACACACACCCCCACCCCGACTCCTTCCCGCGGGCCGTTCGCCCCCTCCCCCCGCCAGAGCTCTCCGGAGCTCCCCGGAGCCCCTCCACGGGGTTTAGCCCCAGTGGGACCCCTCCGGGCCCAGTCGCCCCACTCCTCAACTCACGCCCCCAGTCCGGGCCCCCGCGTGTCTCGCTCCACTCTCGGTGGCTCCCGCTCCCATCCCCATCCCGCTTCGTCCGCCGGACTCTCCGGGCTCTTCTGCCCCTATCCTCTTTGGAGCGCACACCTCTGTCCGGGTTTCTCCCCGCATGCCCCGAAGCCCTCCTTTTGCCGGCGCCCGCGCCCGCTTGCCCACCCGGTAGGCGGCCTCGAGGGAGCTCGGAGCCGGGGGCTCAGAGTTACCCTGGGGGAATGAGCCGGCCGGCAGCCCGACTTGCTATCGGAGACGCTGCGCTGCCGGTGCCCGCGGAACAGTAGCGACGGAGCCGCGGCGTGGGCAAATGCGCGCCGCACCCCTCCGGAGACCCTAGCCGGGCCACCAATGGCCAGCTGGAACTTTACGCCCTTCTCTACCCCCCGCGGCTGCCTTCCCTCCCCGTACAGCACCTTCGCGCCCTGGCCTGGGAGCGCGAACCCCGCTTTCACCTAGAACGTACCTGGCCATGGGGCCGAAAATCTTGGAGAAGATCGCACCGAGCACGTGCTTCAGCGAGTGGCCCAGGGCGGCCAGGCCCCGAGTGAGCAGGGCCCGGCAGAGGGAGCCCAGGTCCCAGCGTCGCCTGAGGACGTGCATCCGCCTGCGGCGGCCCCGGGACAGCAGCGCGAAAAGCGGGGCGCACGCGGCTCCCGCCAGGGAAGAAGACGCCTTTCGGGGCTTGTCCAGGAGCGGCCGGGTGTGGAATCCGTGAGACACACCCCTAGGAGGGCCCGCGCGAACTGAGGCGGCGACCGACCCGGGCCGGCTCGCTGCCAATTCGGCCTCTACTCTGGAATGCCGGCGGGGACAGGTGGTGCGGACGGGCGCTCCTCGCTCCGGTTGCCGCGGCGGCTCGAACTCCCGGACTGCACACGCAGGCAGTGCCATTCCCCCCTTCAGGCAACTCAGGGTACTAAGGATCACGAGCGAGCTTGAATTTATATAATAATGCCTCACGCCTAAGAGCTCGAGCCACTTCACAAGCAGAGAACCTGGGTTTTCTCTTTTCTTGGAGTACGGAGGTCACTCCGCTTAGCGCATCACTCCACTTTGGCTCGTAATTTCAACCTCTCCTAAAATAGCAAAGGCGCAAATTGGAGCTTTTCCGTCTCTCTTTGCCAATTTCCATTCTCCAGCGGAAGCGGGGGCATTTTCTGAAAAGGTAAGTCAGCATGATAAAAAGACAGCAGGACCAAAAAGCATTACAGAATGAGAATCTGACCTTTTTTAGAGCACAGACTGTCTTCTTGCTGAATCCTGTGTACCAAACCCTGTGCCTGCAGGAGGGCTTGACTCATAAAAGGTTTGTTGAATGAATGGATACATAACTAAAAACTCCATCAGAGTGAGACCGTCTAATCCAAGGTAATGTGACACATGAGGAAACTGAGGCCCAGAGAGGGGTAGGGATGTGCCCAAGGTCACACAGCAGAGCCCCAGGGTTTGAACCCAAGAAACCCAGCACCATCCACCTATTTCCTGATACTAACACCACCTTCTCTAATAAATAGGCACAGATCTTCCTCAAGCTCCAGTGTCCGAAAGGCTCTTTTCTGCTGCTGGACCAGGAATGCAGGGTTTAACAGGGAAAGAATGGATGTTCCTTCAGGAAAAGGACCCTGGGAACTCAGGAGTCAGTCTGTCCCCATCTGATTGATCAAAGGGGCTTGCTGTACATCAGGACACTGGTGTTTCCGTGACTGAGTGTGCAACTCCCTCCAGTCCCACTGCTACAGAAGGGGCACCGGTTGGCAGCAGTGTTTCTGAGCAGTGCTGTTGGCACTGGGGCCACTGAGTGGGAGAATGCAGACCACGAGCTGAGTCCTGGGGTGGGGGCATGTCCCTCCTGGAGACAGGCTCTCCCAGTATCTCCCTTGCTGAGCTCTGCTCCATCCGTTTCCTGTTCTATCTATGCCATGAAGCGGCAAGCCTAAGAATAGTCCAGAAGTCCTGGGAAATCTGTCCCTGGGCAGCACTGGGATAATCACTTGCCCCTCCTGAGCCTCAGTTTTCTTGTCTGTAAGATAGGACCAATTATGTCCCCTGTTTTGACCAACTGAGTCACCGTGGGGATGAAATGTAGAAACCTTTAGGCCACTCCAAATGTGAGGCTGTGTTTACCTGTTGCTCTAAGCTCAATGTGCCAACTGCGTCACAGGCCAAATAAGGAACAGGCCGTTCTCAGGCAATTCTGTGGCTGTGCACCCTGTCTTTACCACCCCCTAGAATTCCCAGCCCTGGCTAGACTTCTACGTGCCCCCAAACCTACTGGGGACCGTGAGGGACCCTTTGTCCAGCTGCAGACATAAGGGATAGTGGATTTTTTGGGAATCCTGAATTTCTAGCACTCCAGGCATCTCCTGTCCTGAGGTTCCAGGAACACTCTGAAAACCCAATGAACTTGTGCGAAGAAGCCAGATGCAGTAACTTACAAGGTTGACCTCTCAGCTTCCCCAAGAGCTCCCCTGGTGCCCAGGCTGGTAGTCCTAGGCCTGCTCCCCCTGAGGGCAGCTTAGGGTGTGAGCCAGGGTAGTGGGAAGCTATGGGGGTGGCCCCGGAGCTCTGCTTGCCAGCTGCCCCTGCCTTCTGCTTGGCCACTCACTGCAGTCAACCTCTTTAGCCTACCCAATAGGTGGCTCTCCTCATGGTGTCGCATAAAGATTCCCTGCCATTACACCACCTTTGTATGTAATGGCATTCATTGGGTCCCTAGGAAAATATTTCTGAAACAGGTGGGTCACAAATTCAAGCCCTCAGCAGCTAAACTACGGAGTTTCTACTGTAAGAGGGATTAGTGGCATTGGAACACAAGAAAGTGCCTTGGGTGGAGGGAAGGGGGAGGTGGTAAACAGTACGGGGGGAAAAGTCAGGTTTTACTCATTTGAGTTGTGAAAAGGAAGGTGTCCACACACCTGCACACACACTCACAGTCCAACCTTCAGAGAAAGGGCCAGTGAGGTTGGTAGTTGCAGAGCAAGAGGGACAAGGTGGGGCTGTAAAGTTCAGTTTCTGAGATATAATATGTCACTAGGATTTTTGCATTTAGAAGCCCTTCCTCCACCCCCTCATGCTGTGAGGAACAAAGAAATGAATCTCTCATACAGGAATTCATATATCAGGGCTCCTGGAAGTATAAGAAAACAGTCTTTGTGGGGAGCAGGGAGTCCCACAAACCTCAGAAGATCCCTCCAGGATTGAAGAGGCTTTTTGCTGAGAAGCAGGGAATTTTTCCTACGTGTGTCCCAAGAGCCATGTTCTCCCGAGGCCAAGGCTGGGCCTTGGCTGCATGTTGAAGAGGCTTCTTGTAATCTCGGCTGGTCTCTGCTCCCAGGAGCCAGTTCCTCTCAGGCAGTGAATGACAAAGGCTCAAATGCTCTAGATTTTGGCCTTTTGGGGAAAGACTGGGGGTAGGAGGCAAAAAAAAAAAAAAGGGAAGAGAACTGGCCGAACTGTCAAGTGTTCGGTTTTCCATCTCCTTAATTCTAACACCAACTGGAGTTGCTGTGTATGCATATATTTGGGATTCAGTACCTGGAAGGCGAGGAGAACTCTGTCATCTGAGCAGGGCTTCTGGTTGTCTCTATGGTGTGGTATGATTTTCATTATTTTCCCAGAACCGTCCTTCCATGGTTTCCAATGAAAAGGCTGATGATTCTGGGAGCATAAAGGTCAGCCTGGCTTGCATGCGAAGCAGCACAAGGCCAGACATGCATTTGGTTCCTGTAATCTGAGACAACAGTGGGAGGTAGTTACAAGAGCACTGGCCTGGGAGTCCAGAGACCTGGGCTCATGTCTTGACTCTGACACTAATGAGACTATATATATATATATATGACCCTGAGGAAGCCACTTGCTCACTTTTGGGCTCAACTTCCTTATCTGTGAGATGGCAAGGTTGACTTTGTGATTCAAGAGGCACTTCCCTGATCTGACATTCCTTGTCACATGTTTACCTTTACTGTCTTCCTCAAAGGCTGAAGGACTGCCAAAGACTCAGGGCCTTAGCCCGGGGGGAATGACTTAGACCTGGTTCTACCTGCATTCTGTGGCATTTGCATCACTGGATCCCACCAGGCCAGCAGCAGCTGCAGTTGTTCTGGGCCCATATTACAAGGGTGACAGCAGGGTACCCTGTTCAAATTAGAACAGAAATAGTGGAAACTTCATATTAAAGAAAGCATGACATTCTTTCCAGAAAGCATAGATTATGCCTTCCCCTCATCCTGAGCATTCTCTTCAACCCTGGCTTTCTAGCTGTCTCTCATTTTGTGAAAACGTTCATACTCTCAATAATAGGCAATTCTGTCACAAAGATGGAAGGCATGCAAACTACTGAGTTGACTGGTTTCTGTTCTTACGTGTCTCTCCAAACGGAATGAATAGCAGTACTTAATGAAAACACTGTCCGGCAATTCAGGCTTTAATATTATAAACAGGCTGGGTGTGTTATATGCATCACTCTCAATAGTCATTTAGTTTCCCCCACAGAACACTGAGTTTTATTTTTCTAGCCTAACAAAACGTGGGGCTCAAGGAGTTAAAAAAAAGGAGGTGCCAGGGTGCTGTATATGCTAAATGAATATGTGCTGAGAAGGTAGGATAAGCACTGGAATGGGGCTCATAGTAGACCCAACCCTGTGAACAAGCAGCCCAATGACCGGCCCTCTACTGATGAAGGGTTCCCACCATTTCACTAGCAGTGAAATTCCCTTTTTTTTTTTGAGATGGAGTCTCACTCTGTCACCCTGGCTGGAGTGCAGTGGTATGTTCTCAGCTCACTGCAGCCTCCACCTCCTGGGTTCAAGCGATTCTCATGCCTCAACCTCCAAGTAGCTGGGATTACAGACATGCACCACCATGCCTGGCTACTTTTTGTATTTTTAGTAGAGATGGGGTTTGGCCATGTTGGCCAGGCTGGTCTCGAACTTGTGACCGCAGGTGATCCACCCACCTCGGCCTCCCAAAGTGCTGGAATTACAGGCATGGGCCACTGTGCCCAGCCAAAATTCCCACTTTTCACTGACAACGAATGGAAGAGTCAGCTCATGCAGGGCTTTTAAAGCTACAATAAGCCAAGGCCTAGCAACCATAGGCAGCAGGCCAGACTGTTCCTGGAATAGTCATCTCACTTCTTTGGGCCTCAGTTTCCACTCTTAGAAAATATCCTGGGCTCGGTTTGGTGGCTCACACTTGTAGTTCCAACACTTTGGGAGGCCAAGGCAGGTGGATCGCTGGAGCACAGAAGTTTGAGACCAGCCTGGGCAACATAGTGAAACCCCGTGTCTACAAAAAAAAAAAAAAAAAAAAAAAATACAAAAAATTAGCTGGGCGTCGTGGCATGTACCTGTGGTTCCAAGCTACTCGGGAGGCTGAGGTTGGAGGATCCATTGAGCCTGAGAGATTGAGGGTGCAGTGAGCCATGACCATACTACTGCACTCCAGCCTGGGTGACAGAGTGAGACCCTGTCTCAAAAAAAGAGAAAAAAAAAAAAAAGAAGAAGAAGAAAGTAGCCTGACCAGGTACCTCCAAAAAGCTGGTTTAGGGGTATAGTAAAGAGGAATCCAATCTCAAATGAGTGCTTTTAAAGAGAAGAGAGCATAGGTTTGGAGAGCACACTGCCCTGTGGGGTTTAATTAGGGCTCTGTGAGTTCATCAGAACCTCAATTTTCTCATCCATGAAAATGAGGTTAATGATGGCTACCTCAGTGGGCTGTCATGCGAGTTAACTAAAATAATCTACTGAGAACACTTAGTCTAGTTCTTGAAAAAGCAGACCTTCAGAAAATGCTTGCTTTTTTCCGCCTCTTTTGACTCAATGTCTTTGATTTGATATCTTTGTTATATCTTCACAGTAGCAACACACATATACTTAATGACAGGCAACTGGCTATGGGCCTAATTTTGTCCTAGGCTGGCTTTGCCACATCCTATTTTTTTATCTGCAGTCTTTTCTCACCCTCCCTCCATGTCTCTCTAGTGCTCTCCTGGCTCATGTCCCATGGAGGAGGAAAGCCTCTGATCCACTGTGTCACATTGAGGGATGGGACAAATACACGTGTCCCCTTCCAAGATATATCAACAAGAAAAGAGGAGATGGCATTGCTTAACCCTAATGAATGGTCCTTCCCATGGGATACTAGGAAACACAGAAAATAGGGCACTGGAGGAGATGCTTGGAGAGCTGAGATAGAGAGCTATAGGTAAGTAAAGAGGAGAGCTTACGGGGCGAGCCCTACTTTAAACTCTTGACACTAATTTTAAGCTCCATTCACTTCAAAAGTTAATGGTTGATCTGGCCGGAGGGGTTTCCATTTGAGCAACTAGTCAAACCACAGCAGTTGGGATTAAAAAACAAGGTCAAGTTTGCATTCATCCTGCTTGAGCCTTAGCTGAACAAGCCCCATCAACTGAGCCCTGGGCTGGCAGCACCAGTTCACAGTGGCAGAGTAGAAAAAGCACCAAGTGGGATGCCAAGAAAACAATGTTTGAGTCCCAGTTCTGCCTCTGGCTCACTGTGTGACCCTGGGTGAGTCACTTGATGTCTCTGGGATTTAGTTGCCAACTTTCGTAAAATGAGGGGCTGCCTTAGATGACCGGGAAAGCCCCTCCCAGCAGGAGCCTTATGTGATCTGAGCTATGCTAGCTAATGAGAAGGCTGGGGAGGGACACCACTCTCTTCTGGCTGTTGTGTCAGCAAAGATACACTACCAAATATGACCCTCCAGTTAGTCACTGAGTCACAAAAGCGGAAGAAGGACTTAAATGAGGAGCAAAGTTTCTCAGATCATAGGGATAAGACAGAAAGTTGAAAATAAGGCTTCTGGGCCTCTACTGACTTGGATGGTAAAGTCAAGGCTGAAAGATTGGGAAAAAGTCATGTCAAGAACTTACCTCCAAGGCCAGGCGCAGCGGCTCATGCCTGTAATTCCAGCAATTTGGGAGGCCGAGGTGGATGGATCACCTGAGGTCAGGAGTTCGAGAACAGCCTGGTCAACATGGTGAAACTTTACTAAAATACATCTCTGCTAAAAATACAAAAATTAGCTGGGTGTGGTCGTGTGTGCCTATAATCCCAGCTACTTGGGAGACTGAGGCAGGATAATCGCCTGGACCTGGGAGGCAGAGGCTGCAGTCAGCCGAGAACATGCCACTGCACTCCAGCCTGGGCAACAGAGCAAGACTTCATCTCAAAATAAAAATAAAGAAGTGACCTCCAGCTAACACAACAGCCTAAGGTAGGTTTTAATAACGGTAATGATAAAAACAAAAATGGCCTTGCCTGACCCACAGTTTCCCATTTATGTTTATACTCTGGGATCTCAGCAAGAGAGGAACACACCCATTGCATGACTGGTCTCTGTGGGAGTCCTAGTTCTGAATACTAAAATACAAGAGTTGAAAATTATATCTTAGGTCAACCTGGAGAATTTGAAGGAAGCAGGCTTCAAGGCCAAAGTTGCTCCCAGGAAAAGGATTTATTTGTCATTCAAATGGGCTGGAAAGGAAATGCCTTATAAGCATAATCCAGGAAAAGAGAAATTACTTTAGAGAAGCCATACTTGTCACAGACTAAATGAAAATTAATTTTTAATAAGAAAGAGCCAGACCAGAGGCTCCTAAAGCCCTTAACTGGGCTTTATAGTAAAACCTGAGAAAGGACTTGCTTCTTTAATACGTATTTTCAAGATCCACATTTCACAAAATGGCATAAAAATGCAGAAAGCTACAGCATTAGAGCAGATGAGGGAAATGAACTTGGTAATAAGCACTTTGAATATTTATCTTCTGTACTGAAGAAAGTTGCCTTAATGGTTATCATCATGTGGGAGATTTAGCTGAAGCAGAAGATGATATTCAAATCCCCAATGAGAAGAGACAAAATGCGGTTGGTAGCGCTCAACAAGGGGTTAGAAATGCAACAGGCATGGGGAGAGGGGTCTACCTGTTGTCGAGGGTGCCAGTTTCAAAGATCTGCACAGTGATCAGGATGGCTGGCTATAGTGGTGTCTCCTGTAGGTTGACCTCAGGATGGTTAGCAAATAGTGCCAATAGTAGCTCACATACTGAACACTGAACATCTGCTGTATGTCAGATACTGTACTAAACGCTTTGCATGCACTATCTCAATTAGCATTGCCAGCAACCCAATGAGATAGTTACTTCTGTTGTACTTACTTTACAAATGAGTAAACTGGAGTTCCATATTACAGCCACACAACTAGGAATTATAGAGGTGGAACTTGAACCCAGATCTATCTAAGTCACGAGCCAATAATAACTCTAATGTCTCCCTGATCATCATCCAGCTCCAGGGTGTCTGAGTTTGATTGGAGAATATGAGACATCCTGTTCCAAAATACAATGTCAAGAGACTTAGATAATCCTCATCCCAGGCAGGAGAGCTGGACAGAGAGGGATTGTGTGTGTGCGTGTGTGAGCACACATGGACACATGCTGTCATGCACATGCTCTGAGAGCAGTGAAGAAGATAGAGAGCCCAAAGCCTGAATTTTAGTAAAGAGGGAAGCAGAGATGAAGACACTGCTGACTAGACAACTCAATACACACACAACCTTGGGATGTCACCCGCATGATCTGACACTGTTATCTTTGGGAAATGTCACAAGCAACTTTGTCCACTCTACTAAACAATAGCCTTCTGAAAGTCTAGGACCTTGGCTTCTTCATTTTTAAAAATTCTTCATAATGCTCAATAACAATCACATTTAGTCTAGGGCTTCACAGTTTACCCAATATTTTCACAGACACTGATTGGATCTTTACAATAATTCTGCAAGGCTGCTGTTAGTGTCCTCACTTTATTTATGAGGAAATGGAGTCCCTCAGGGCTGAAGAAACATGGCTAGGGTCACATAACGTGTGGAATTGCCACTTCTGACCTCTCCCTTAGCTCCCCCAAGCACACATACCAATGTCAGACAATGCCCACAGCACCTCACAACGGATCTGGGACAGAAGAGGTGCTCAAGAAATGTTAGTTTTTCCCCTTACTTGCCAATTTATGACTTAAAATGTTTTCTTTCCACTAACTACATTTTACCAGGTACCCAATATCTTCAACAGAGACTAGTCCACATTCTCAGAGAACTTACCATCGATATAAGGAAATATAATACACCTAATATGCAAGAGCCTGAGGATAATGACTGACTAATCTGTGGCACTAGCTCTAATGCAGTGACACTCAGCGGATGGTTCACAGATGTCTGGAATGGCCAGAAAAGCCTCCCTACTGAACATTGGGAGGGCCTGGAGGAGCTAATCAATCTGCCCACCCACCCATTCTTTTTTGTCTTGGTCCCAGAAAGAGGAACTTTTGCTGACAGAAACTGTTTTGACCACCTTTTCTTGTTGTACTCAGGGCATCAGTCCCTTCCTTGTTCACAGGGTTGTATACAAAGTGTCCTAGCCCTCCCCAGCTACAAATTCCACCCTCAATCTGCAGTGACAAGAGCGTGACATGGCGGAGTCTTTCATCAAGAGAGCAGTATGTAGCCTCACAAACACAGTACGGGCTGTGTCAACATGCACAACTCAGTTGCAGAGCAAATAGTTGATTTTTTTAGACCAAGTCAATAAGCTGCTTTTCACAGGGAGAAGAGGGACCAGGATAGGCACAGTTTAAACAAGAAGACACTCTGCATTTTACCCTAAATGTTTCCATTGTTCTATATCTTGCCAGTGGTTGGTAGCAAGTCAAAGCAAAAACTGACATTTAGTGTTCCAGAGTCTTCTGGAAGAGAGCCAGCTAATGAATTACCAGATGAACAGCTTTTGGCTCACTTATCAAGGACAAATCTTATGCCAGCTGAGATGCTAAGATGCTGTTGCAATAGCAAACTAACAACCACAATAACAACAACAATAATTTACCAGGATGATTGCAAGAATGCAGGACAGACAATTTTCTTTGTTGGCTGTAATCTGGAAATACGTTTAGTTTTGATTTTTCATCCACATTAGATGCTCATAACATGACATTCTAAACAGAGACATTTTAGGCTGGATATCAACAGAGAATTATTTTTATTCATCATTAGTTTCATCAAAAACTTAACAGCTGATATAGATTTCATCAAATGATGAGGGAGATTAGTATGATGTAAAAAAATTCACAACAAGGCACAAGGCTCACACCTGTAACCCCAGCACTTTAAGAGGCAGAGGCAGGAGGATCAGATTGCTTGATTCCAGGTGTTCAAGACCCTGTTTCTATAAATAAATAAATAAATAAATAGTGGGGCATGGTGGGGCACGCCTGTGGTCCCAGCTAATTCAGAAGCTGAAGTGGGAGGATCACCTGAGCCTGGGAGGTTGAGCCTGCAGTGAGCCATGATCACGCCACTGCACTGCAGCCTGGGTGACAGAGTGAGACCCTTCTAAAAAAATCACTATAAAGATGTATTTTATTCTTTTGCTCTGCCTTGTAACACTACCGTTCATCTAATACTCAGACAAACTGAGGGTAGAAGATTCAGGCTTAATTGTCCCTCCTCTCCACCAATACCCCCTGTACTAGTCTGAAATGACAAGGTAGGAGCTCCTCTTAGCAATATTTACAGACCATTCTTCACATAAAAGAATATAAGAACTCTCAAAAAGCTAAATAAACAGAGTACTCTAAACAAGCCCTCTTCCTGTCCTTTTCTCAGAAGTCTGCTGCAAAGGCTCTTGGTCAGTGCCACAGGCTGTTCTTTTATCTCAGTAACCGGAGTGCCTTTGCAAAGCTGGCCTGGAGGTCAGGTCTCAGGCTCACTCCCCGGTATTCAGTGAATTCTTAGTCAAGTCCAAGCTTGAGTCAGCTGCCTCCATTGTAACTCTTTTGCAATTCGATGGATAGCTTGGTCCTTATGTCTTGAGGATTGGAATCTCCTGGGCAGGGATTGGATTTCACTTTCCATGTCTACAGTGTTTGCACTAAGGTTATTAATATATTCTCTACAGGAGGGATCATATTGAGAGCAAGCTGAAATTCACATAACAAAGCCTGTGGCTTGAAACTACGCTGGGCCAAGCCCCCAGGGGGATACTGGGTAACTCTGAGCAGCCAGTCACCCTTGGAGAACATTGAGAAGCATCTGAGTCTACCCTTTCTGGGACACAGCATCTTTCTATATTAGACCCACTCTCCCAGACTTCCCACCATACCTGGAGGTGCCCTGCAACGCCAATGAGGGAAAATGTAACCTGAGGAACACTCATTTCCACCGTGGTGTGAGGGACTCAGAGGATTCCCTTTCCCAAAGTTCCATTTAGAATGAAATGAATGAATAATTTATACCAGGGTAAGAGTCAATAAGACCATTAAAGGAGCAGGCAACTGTAATACAAAGAGCACACCCTCTAGGATCAGACCAGGATTTGAAACTCAGTTCTGCTCTTTACTAACTGTGTGGCCTTAGGCAAGCAGTTAGCCTACCAGTGCCTCAGTTTCCTCCTCTGTCTCTGTACAATAGGTATGATACTAATCAACAACCTTGTAAGGTATGCATGTAAAGCTAGAGGATAATATACATAAAAGGCCTTTTACAGGCCCTTACAGAGAATGGGTATCCAACAAATGGCAGTTACTGTTATTAAACAAAGCAGGAGAGATGTCTGGGAACTTCTTAATGTCTTTCAAATCACAGCCCTAGGTGAATGTTTATATCCAATCTAGACAAGAATTACCCTGTTCAAATACATCATTGGATCTATACAGATGTTATTATTTTTCATTGTTTTGTTTTGTTTTTTGAGACAGGGTCTCGCTCTGTTGCCCAGGCTGGAGTGCAGTGGCACAATCATGGCTCGCTGCAGCCTCGACCTCCCTGGGCTCAAGCAATTCTCCCATCCCAGCCTCCCGAGTAGCTGAGACTGCAGGTGCATGCCACCACGCCTGGCCAATGTTTTGTATTTTTCATAGAGGCAGGGTTTTGACATGTTGTCCAGGCTGGTGTTGAGCTCCTGGGCTCAAGCAATCCTCCCACCTCAGCCTCCTGGGTTGCTGGGACTACAGGTGCATGCCTCTATGCCTGGCTAATTTTTGTATATTTTGTAGAAACAGAGTTTCACCGTGTTGCCCAAGCTGTTCTAGAACTTCTGGGCTCAAGCAATCCTCCCAGCTTGGCCTCCCAAAGTGCTGGGATTACAGATGTGAACCGCCATGCCCAGCTTATACATACGTTTTAATACTTTTCTGCCTTCATGTTTTTAATAACCCAAGTAAGGCTTGACTGAAACTCTTTGTAAATGTTCAAATATCATAGAAGGTGCAAAAATTCCTCTTGACCCCCATACAATTCCATTCCCTTCCCCTGAGGTAGCTGCTGTTTTCAGTTTGTTTTGTATGTTGGAGGGCCTTTATTGTAACCAAGTACACATATGAATACACATATTAAAATAAAGAATGTTGTTTTTGTGGGTTTTTTTTGAAAAGGAAAATGTATGTTTTGGATGTATGCTTTTGATATTTTATTGAACTATAATATACACTTGGAAAAGTGAACATAAGTGTACAATTGATGAAACATACATGAACTGAACATACCTATGTAATCAGCCCTCATACCAAGAAATGCTGCCATCACCTCAAAAGCCTCTCTTGTGCCCCGTTCCAGTCAACAAATCCCAACCAGTGGCCACTATTTCTGATTTATATCAGCATAGATTTGTTTGGCCTGCTTTTGTACTTTATATAAATCAAATCACAGAGTGTATTAATTTTATATTGCTATGTAACAAATTGCCACAGATACCACAGCTTAAAACAACACAGATCTATTCTCAGAGTTTCTGTAGGTCAAAAATCCAGGCACGGTGTGGGTGGATTCCCTTCTTAGGGGCTTATGGGGTTCAAATCAAGGTATCAGCCAGGGCTGTGATCTCATCTGGGGCCTGGGGTCCTCTTCCAAGCTCACTGGTTGTTGGCAGAGTTCATTTCCTTGCAGTTAAAAAACGGAGGTCTCTATTTTCTTGTTGGGTGTCAACCAGGGGTCACACTCAACAACTAGAGGTCATCTACATTCCTTGTCACAAGCCCTCCTCCACTTTCAAGCCAGCAACAGAGAATTTCTCTCATATCAGTCTCCCTCAAGCTTCAACTCTCCGACTTCTGATTCTGCAAGCAGTCCAGGAATATACTTTGCTTTTAAAGGAACTCATGTGGTTAAATCAGGCCCACCTAGATAATCTCCCTATTTTAAGGTAACTGATTTGGGACTTTAATTACATGTGCAAAATTCCTTTATGGTGGTACCTAGATTAGTGTTTGATTGGATAACTGGGAGACGGTCTGTGTACACCAGGGTCATGAAATCTTGGAGGACCACTTAGAAATCTGCCTACCACATACAGTATTTACTGTCTCAGGCTTTCTTCACTCAAAATTATGTTTATGAGATTCATCCATATCATAAGGGGTTATAGTTAATCCATTCTCATTGCTGTGAAGTATTCCATTGTGTGAATACACCACATTTTATTCATCCAAAATTTCTTCATATTGATGGGCATTGTCCTAATTTTAAGTGCTGGGCTGTTATGAATAGTGATCCCACAAACAGGACATTTGGTGAACATGTGTACATATAGATTGAAGAAGAAACACACTTTTTTTCTGTTATAAGACCCTAAGAATTTGGAGTTCTTTGTTGCCACAATATAATCCAGCCTATTTGACTGATTCAGAAAGCTGGGAATAGAATTAGTGCTATTACTAAAGGCAATAGATACTGCCATATTGCCATATTGCCCTTACATGTGGCATGTAAGCCACATGCTTACCAGCACATGGTATGATATATGTGTGTATATTTGCATGAACTTTGGCCAACCTGAACTTTATCTCCTACATGTATAAAATAAGGACACTGCCCTGTGTAAAGATCCAGGAGAACATGCTTAACCCCTCTGCCTGCCCCAGCATGAATATTATCAACCCACACCATGGATATCCTGTACTGTGCTCTATTATTTCATGGAACTTAACACTCTTAGATATTCCATATGTTTACCAAACTTACAGTGTTTATTGTTTGCTTTCTATCTCTACCCACTAGGATATAAGCTTCTGCATGCAGGTATCTCTTTACTTTAGCCAGTTTACTGATATATCCCAAGGGCCTAGAAAAATTTCTGATACATAGTAGGTGCTTAAAAATATTTGAGTGAACAAGTGTTAACTCAGGGTATGAAATTTGATGATGATGATTAATAATAATAAATTAATTTCATAGTTACAGTGAGCATATTTTCTAAACAAAACAATTAGAACACTGACTGGAAAAAAACTTAGCTGCACTTAAATGTGGGGAAAGATTTAATCATGCATTTACACCCATGGAAAGTCATTTATTTCACTTTCCCTACCTCATTTTTAATTTTATTTTACATAGTTGCATTATACATCAGTTTTGGATACTCTTCATTCTTTCTGAACATTCCTATAAAATTGAGACTGCTATAGGAAACTCAAGATTTAAAGTTGCTCCTTTCACAGGGCTTTGTACCATACAAAACCAATGAACATTTGTTTTTGCAAATTCTTTCCTGAAATGTCCTCCCTTCTTTCTGCAATTATTGATATTCTGCTCTTCCTTCAAGATCAGAGTCATTTGGGGTCTACAGCAGAGTTGTCAAAGAGAACTTCTTTGATGATGGTAATATTCTTTATCTGTACTCTTCAATATGATAGCCACCAGCTGCACGTAGCTACTGAGCCCTTGAAATGTGGCTAGTGTGACTGAGGAGCTTAATTTTATTTTATTTATTTATTTTTATTTTTATTTTTTGAGACAGAGTTTCACTCTTGTTGCCCAGGCTGGAGTGCAATGGCGCAATCTCGGCTCACTGCAACCTCCGCCTCCTGGGTTGGCTTCAAGTGATTCTCCTGCCTCAGCCTCCCGAGTAGGTAGGATTATAGGTACCCACCACCACGCCCAGCTAATTTTTTGTATTTTTAGTAGAGATGGGGTTTCACCATGTTGGCCAGGCTGGTCTCGAACTCCTGACCTCAGGTGGTCCACCTGCCTCGGGCTCCCAAAGTGTTGGGATTACAGGTGTGAGCCACTGCACCCGGCTGAGGAGCTTAATTTTAATCAATTTAATTTTAATTGAATTTAATTTCAAGTAAGTTATATTTAAATGGGCACAAGTGGCTGCTGGCTGCCATACTGGACAGCACAGCTCTAAAGAAAAGGGTGGAAAAACGGGACCCATTTTTGATCCTCTGTGGCAGCTAAAGGGATTTCAAGACCCACAGGTCAGACAGAAAGGTACTCACGTCCCTTTCTTTACAACTGCTGCCCCCAGATGAGAGACAGAAGGACAGAGTGCTCTGACCCATTCTCTTCAGGTAGGGGAGCTTGGGCTAGAGGGGAGGAGGAGGACATGTTTTTGATGAGTTCAACTAAGGCCCTTGCAGTCATTGGGCATCACCTTGCCTTGTTCCTTCATGTGGTCATTGGTTTAGGCTGTGTCTACACAGACCCACTGAGTCAAGCTGGAGGTCTGAATGTGAAATACGAATTACAGAGACATAGATTTTACATCCCACACAGTTCCCCAGCTCCTACTGTGCTTGTGCAGCTCACCCTGGAGGCATGTGCAGAGAGGCATTCAATCTACTTGCCAGGGCTTGGACATTTCAGAGATGATGGTAATTACTGAAGCAGGTAATGGATCATAAGGAAGTAAAGTCTAGATAGGTGATCCAATAAATAAAATAACCAGACCCAGGGCTTCAGAGAAAAAGAATATTTCCTACTTTGAGATACTTCTTGGAGCAAAGCATATCTGGCTCTTAAGTGTACTGTTATGAAATTAATTTGAAGTTGAGGAACTGTAATATATTACAGCTATCAGTCTCCCTGGACGGTTTTACAATCAACATGTAGGATATGAAAAAAGAAAGATGCCAATAACATATTAATGTGGTATTCGGTGTTCAATCTTTTTTATGCAGCAGAATATTACAGCTGAGCAAAAAATGATCAAAAAGTTGGTTCTCTTTTATACAAAGAAACAGAAGAAGGAAACTTGAACTTTAAATTATCTCATCTGTCACTTTCCATTGATTGAGTCTTGCTCATTAAGATAAATTCCAAGCGAGACTATCATTTTTATCTTTTGAGCTCTCCAGAAATGTATGCCTTTCAGCTGTCTTGCCTTTCTTTCTTTCTTTTCTTTCTTTCTTTTTTTTTCTTTTCTTTTCTTTTTTTTCTTTTCTTTTGCTTTCTTTTCTTTTCTTTTGCTTTTCCCCCATATATGCAGCTTCCAAGGAGGAATGAGACACTATATCTTATGGTCTTTCCCTTTTTAATTGAGTTCCTCTGGAAATGTATGTACCTGCAGTTTAACACCTGATGCGCACCTACAGATATACCCAAAATCAGACATCCCTCTTTTCTCTATTTTGTATGCCATATTGGTACAAGAAGGGTATGTGGCTTCTCTCTGACAGAAGAGAACCCAAACACAACTCTACCATAAACCAACTGTGGGATCTTGGGAGTCATTTACTCTGATTCTTAGCTTCACCATCTGCTGAAAAGTAAATAATAAGGAAGACAGCAGGATGGCTAAGTGAGACTTTTGGCTGGTTCCCACTAACTGCTTTCTTCTGACTTAGTTTCCTTTCTCTCCTAGCACGCTGTGGCTCTGTTCAGTGGGTTATTTCAACCTCCCTCCAATAATGAATGCTGATATGATGTGGACATTCCTAGTAACTGGCAGATATCAGGTGCTCAGTAAACATAAATGCACCCATCTCTCCATTCTGTTCTTGGCAAAGTAGCTAGAGCTGGATGGTAAAAAGCTGCCCCCTTGTTCTTCCCCCTGCCCTTCATTGCTAGGGATAAAGTGATGGGACAAAGCAGGAAGCATTCATATATTCAAATCAACAATTCAGGGCCAGATAGACCGTGTGTAAAAGGGGAAAGTCAGAAGTGGACCTTCATTACATACCTCCTTCCCCACCCACTTCACCCCTGTGATTTACTTCCCTACTGCCCCTACCTGTTGGCTCAGTACGCTCTTTTTCCCTTCTTGCACCATATCAACCTTCCCCACTCCCAATCGATGATACTAATGTGTGGGTGAGTGATAATCCCCCTCTGTTCATGGACATTTGCATATAGATCAGAATCTTCAGTTAAAACCTGTCTTCCTCTGCATGTGACATCTCAGGCATCAAACAGTGGGAGAATTGCCTCCATTTCAAAGGTCTTTTCTGGAGTTCTGGAAGTAGAACTGTGTAATTACATACCCACAGGAATAAGCCAACACTGCTAGCCTCTTGAACTACAGACGTGACCAACCATTTCTCTCTCTCTCTCTCTCTCTTTTTTTAGACAGTCTCACTCTGTCACCCAGGCTGGAGTGCAGTGGAGCAATCTCGGCTCACTGCAACCTCCGCCTCCCGGGTTCAAGCGATTCTCCTGCCTCAGTCTCCCAAGTAGCTAGGATTACAGGCACCCACCACCATGCTCAGCTAATTTTTTGCATTTTTTAGTGGAGACGGGGTTTCGCCCTGCTGGCCAGGCTGGTCTCGAACTCCTGACCTCAGGTGATCCGCCCGCCTTGGCCTCCCAAATTGCTGAGATTACAGGCGTGAGCCACCCCACTGGGCCCCAACCATTTCTCAATGGAAATTGCCCAGGTAGTTACCATAAATAAGAAAACCTTCTAGGTCCCTGTCAGTTTGAACAGCAGGGGGCAGCAGAGAACAGTTTGTCAGAGACACAGTGGCAGAACAAATGTGGTTGGATAAAATGATGGAAAGAGTTTGAAAAGACGTTTAAGAGACGACAGACTAGAGATGAGAGTAAGGCTGATGCCAAGAGAACAAACAAAATCAGAGGAACAAGTCTAGGACTAGGGCATTGAGATGATTTGGATGTTTGCCCCCTGCAAATCTCGTGTTTAAATGTAATCCCCATTGTTGGAGGTGGGGCCTGGTGGGAGGTATTTGGATCACGCCAGGGGCAGATCCCTCATGAATGGCTTAGCGCCATCCCGTTGGTGATGAGTGAATTCTTGGTCTGGTAGTTCATGTGAGATTTGGTTGTTTAAAAGTGTGTGGCACCTCCCTGCTGTCTTTCTAGCTCCCTCTCTCACCGTGCAATGCCTTCTCCCTCTTCACCTTCCGCCATGATTGCAAGCTTCCTGAAGCCCTCACCAGAAGCAGATGCTGGCACCATGCTTCCGGTACAGCCTGCAGAACCACGAGCCAAAATACACCTCTTTTCTTTATAAATTATCCTGTCTCAGGCATTCTTTACAGCAACGCAAATGGACTAATGCAGGCTTGAACAGATAGCATTGGAGCTGGGGGTAGGGAATAATGAAGGGATCTGTGTCCCCACATAAGAGCTCTAGGGAGGAAGTAAATCATTCTTCAAGAGACTACAGCAGCCCTTCTCAAGCTTTTGTGGATTGTGAAAAGACCTAGGTTTGAGAATTCGATGAAATCAAGGGTCTTCTCCAGAGAAAAGTAAACATGAATGATAAATTTTGCAATAAAACTCAAGGGGCTTTCAGCTCCCACCCCTGTCCCACAGATAGATTCTAAGTCCAAAATTAATCTAGGCTTCAGAGACAGTAAAAGCAAAGCCATTGATCATTCAGGCTGCTTGTCCTCCTGGAGGTGTGGACCTGGGACTGCCTTCTCACTAGGGAACGGACCTAGGCCTGTCTTCAGAGTGACTTGGGTTTGTACTGGTTCTAACAATCCCAAAGTAGCCCTGGGCTTTGGAGTTTATCAAGGATCCACATACACAGATTTTGATGGGACCCACTGCTACTCCCTACTGCTCTCCACTAGCTAACATATTCATATGTTCCTAAGTGCTCAGGGCTTTGCATTCCTTACTTAAATAAGTTGTTACAAAAAAAAAAAAAGTACTCTTGTTATCCCCATTTTAAAAAATGACAAAACTGAGGTTAAACCACTTGCCCAGGTTCAGAGAACTGGCCAGCTACAGAGGTGGTGTATTAGTTCGTTCTCACGTTGCTATAAAGAAATACCTGAAACTGGGTAATTTATAAAGAAAAGAAGTTTAATTGGCTAACAGTTCCACAGACTGTACAGGAAGCATGAAGCTATCTGCTCAGCTTCTGGGTTGGCCTCAGGAAACTTGCAATCATGGAGGAAGGTGAAAGGGGACCCAGGCTTTTTACATGGTATAGAGTAGGAGCAAGGTGGGGGGGAGGTGGTACGCATTTTTAAACAACCAGATCTCAAGATAACTCACTCACTATTATGAGACCAGCACTGAGGGTATGGTGCTAAGCCATTCATAAAGGACCACCCCCACGATCCAGTCACCTCCCACCAGGCACCACCTCCAACACTGGGGATTACAATTCTATATTAGATTTGATTGGTACACAGATCCAAACCATATCAGGTGGGATGGGCATCCAAGTCACTCTGAGCCCTAAGTCTTGGGTATTCAACATGATCTATACTGATTACCAGGTTCAGCTCAAACTTTAGAGCTTTCAGAACAACAGTTAAGCATCATTATATGTAGAGACAATGTTCTGAAAATCAGTTTCAAGTCTTTACTTCTGATGAGTGGGGAAGAGCCTGGCCATTGAGATCTTTGTCCAATGTTTGGTTAGGCAAGTGAGACACCCACCTGGAGTAAGCAGGATTTTCTCACTTTCTCCATCTCTCAGTTAACATTGCCACTTCTTTAAACACATGAGCCTCAGATGACTACATAGGTTTGTGAGTACAAAAACATTTCCACTCCAAAACCCATGCAACTTATTGAATAGTGTAGATAGATTTTCTTCATCTGCCTTGTTATGTTCTCCTACATTATTTTTTTAAGACGGTGTCTCCCTGTGTGTTGCCCAGGCTGCAGTGTAGTGGCACAATCGTGGCTGACTACAACCTCTGCCTCCTGAATTCAAACAATTCTCATGCCTTAGCCTCCCCAGTAGCTGGGATTGCAGACACTCGCCACCACGCCCGGCTAATTTTTGTATTTTTAGTAGAGACAGGGTTTCATCACGTTGGCCAGGCTGATCTCGAACTCCTGACCTCAAGTGATCCACACCTTGGCCTCCCAAAGTGCTGGGACTACAGGCATGAGCCACCACCCCCGGCCATGTTCTCCTAGATTTTAATTGACAAAGTGTCCCTATTAGAGAGATTGTTTTAGAAAAGAGAGATCCCCTGTGGTGTGGTGGTGACTGACTTTACACTTCCCTACCATCATCCTTTGCAGTTTCCTCCCCACTTGAGGACAGATGTTTAGATCTCTTAGTTGATTATGTGAACAGGTGGCAAGAAAACATGGGTTCAATACCTGCTGCAGTAGTTGGCCTATACACACAAAAATCAATTTCTTTAAATAATTTTCTTAAAACAACAGGTGTTTGTTAACTTACTTCCTGAAAACCCTTACAGAACAGAAAAAATATGAACACAAATAGCAGGCATTTTACAGAATAACGAAGCCAGATCCTACATCATATAAATAACAGATTCCTGTGGGTTAGTTTAGTTTGTCTTCATATACAAAACTCAGTTACCTTCCCTATTGTTCAATCTGCTGTCATCTTAGATACACAGAGCTTTTCACCAGCTGTATAAAGAAATTGGATCAAAGCTTCCTACAATAAAATGAAAAATAATTAAAAATGATGTTTCTCAACTTCCCTGCAATGGTGTGGCATTATGGCTGATGTCCATGAAATATTCAATGTGGTGAGTTTTGCTATACTTCCTATATTAAAGCAAAAAAAAATTTTTTTTTTTGAGACGGAGTCTCACTCTGTCACCCAGGCTGGAGTGCAATGACATGATCTCGGCTCACTGCAACCTCCGCCTCCCGAGTTCAAGCGATTCTCCTGCCTCAGCCTCCTGAGTAGCTGGGATTACAGGTGTGCACCACCATGCCCAGTTAATTTTTGTATTTTTAGTAGAGATGGGGTTTCACCATGTTGGCCAGGCTGGTCTCGAACTCCTGACCTCAGGTGATCCACCCACCTCGGCCTCCCAAAGTGCTGGGATTACAGGCGTAAGCCACTGTGCCCCACCTAAAGCAAAAATTTTTATTGAGACAGTCTTGCTCTATTGCCCAGGCTGCACTACAGTGGTGTGATCAAGGCTCAGTGCAGCCTTGCACTCCTGGACTCAAGTGATCCTCACACTTCAGCCTCTGGAGCAGCTGGGACTACTAGCTAATGCCACCATATCCAGCAAATTTATTTTTTGTAGAGACGAGGTCTCGCTATGTTGCTCAGGCTGGTCCTGAATTCTTAGGCTGAAGCAATCCTCCTACCTCGGCCTCCCAAAGTGCTGGGATTACAGGCATGAGCCACCATGCCCAGCCTATATTAAAGCAAATTTTTAAGAGATTTTTATTTATTTCTTATAATTACCTGGAATCATGAGAGTGTCCAGTCACTTTGACATTTTACCTCTAAGATACAGTTTTCTCAGCAGGAAATAAAAATAATTAACATGATTTCCTTACATGTTTCTAAAGAATACAATGGTCTCAATGACATACTCTGCAATGACATACTCTGCTCTCTGGGCATGCAATGTGGCAAAACAGCTACCCATACAGGGGAATTGCTTCCTACAAAACTGCAGTCCTCAAGGAGGAGAAAGAAGAAAAGAGGAGAGGGGAAGAAGAGGAGAAAGTGGAAGAAGAGAAAAAGAGATGGGAAAAGGGGGTAAGGAAGGTAGGAAGTGTGGTGGGGGAAGAAAATTCTTGAGAGCAGACTTGATAGGGGTGTGTGTGTGTGTGTGTGTGTGTGTGTGTGTGTGTGCATGCGCACACCATGCCCAAACTGACAGGGATATTGAACTTGAAATACACTAGCTGAAATGCGGAGCCAAATGAGTAATTAATTACCCAAAAGAAATTAAGTTTTTAACCAGAAAAGAATGAGACATCTTAAAGAGGCAGGGTTTAGTAATTTCTTCATCAGTGGAAATGGGGACTCGTGAATAGGTTGAGATCAGTTATAGAGAAAGTTACATTGCTACACAGATGAGTTACTCGAAATCACAAATCTGTGACAAGATGCCAACCCCTACAAAATTTCCAAGTGGTATCAAAATGTTTGCATGTCTTTGGGAACTTCCTCTTGATCTACAATTGAACTTCACGGAATAGTAGTTTTGCAATACATTATCAGCTATTATGTGAAGAAAGTGCTTCATGGATAAAGAAATATAGGAAAAGCTGAGTTAAATAAAAGAGACAGGTATTTGTAATTGCAGGGCTTCTCAGAATCTTTATTGCTAATTGACATTGTACATCTCCCATAGGGGGACGTAGCACATTATAAAAAGTTTCTTGCCTAGCAATTCTATTTTGGGTATATACTCAAATAAATATAAATCATTCTACCATAAAGACATATGCACGCTTCTGTTCATTGCAGAACTATTCACAACAGCAAAAACATGGAATCAACCTAAATGCCTATCTGTAATAGACTGGATTGAAAAAAATGTGGTACATATACACCATGGAATACTATGCAGCCATAAAAAAGAATGAGATCATGTCCTTTTCAGCAACATGGATGGAGCTGGAGGCCATTATCCTAAGTGAATTTATGCAGGAACAGAAAACCAAATACCACATGTTCTTACTTACATAAGTGGTAGCTAAACAACAAGAACACATGGACGCAAAGAAGGGGACAATAGACACCAGGGCCTACTTGAGGGAGGAGGACAGGAGGAAGGAAAGGATCAAAAAACTACCTATTGAGTACTATGCTTATTACCTGGATGACAAAATAATCTGTACAACAAACCCCTGTGACATGCTGTTTACCTATATAACAAACCTGTGTGTGTACTCCTAAACCTAAAATATATATTTTTTAAAAAAGAGTTTCTTGGCCAGGTGCAGTGGCTCAAGCCTGTAATCTTTTGGAGGCTGAAGAGGGAGGATCGCTTGAACCCAGTAGTTCGAAATCAACCTGGACAATGTAGTAAGACCCTGTCTTTACAAAAAATTTAAAAATTAGTTGGCATGGTGGCATGTGCCTGTAGTACCAATTACTTGGGAAGCTGAGTCAGGAGAACCATTTGAGCCCAGGAGTTCAAGGCTGTAGCGAGCTGTGATTGCATCACTGCTCTCCAGCAGGGGTGACAGAGAAAGACCCCGTCTCAAAAAAAAAAAAAAAAAAAGAGTTTTTTTTTCATTTTTTCTTTTTTGAGACAGAGTCTCGCTCTGTCCTCCAGGCTGGAGTGCAGTGGTGTGATCTCGGCTCACTGCAACCTTTGCCTCCCGGGTTCACGCCATTCTCCTGCCTCAGCCTCCCCAGTAGCTGGGACTACAGGTGCCTGCCACCACGCCCCACTAATTTTTTGTATTTTTAGTAGAGACGGGGGTTCACCGTGTTAGCCAGGATGGTCTCGATCTCCTGACCTCGTGATCCGCCCGCCTTAGCCTCCCAAACCAAAAAAGTTTCTTAAACATACTTGTCAGGGAATTCATTGTTCACAAAATGCCTGTTAATATCTCATTGATCTAGTAGTCCCTGAAAGAGTTTGGAAAATATGGCTTTATAATTTAAGGTGCTTTCTAGGGTATCTAGACCTAGAACACAGAGGGGAAAAATGGGGGTCCCTAAAATCGTCAATGGAGCTCCAAAGACAAACGTTTCCAGCTTCTCAAATTTGCTTTGACTGGCCCGGGGCTGGTCATAGTAAGAACCTTCTTTTTGTTTTTTCTGAGGGTAGTGGACAAACTTCTGACTGACTCCACTAAGTACAGCTTCTTTCCAGTCTTCTTTAGCAGGCCTAGCTGTGAACAGGGATTAGGCTGGGTCTAGCCCAACACTTTGCAAATAAATCCAGAGGGCAAACAGCAGGGTCCTCCAAGCCACCAGGGGACCCCAGTCACTTACATGATGCCCAAAGACTGCAGCCTGAAGTCATAGCTCCTAGACATTTCACCAATAATGGACGGCTAGTTGGACTTGGAGGAGGGGGAGAAATGAATCCAATAAAAATGGCAGGGAAAGGATCTGTCAGTTCTAGAGTGAAGGGGTGTGATTATTGGAATATTTTATTTTTGTTTTTGCCCTAAGAATGATGTCCAGGTTCAATAATTTTAACAGGGGCCTAGGTGTTGGCTGAGATCAAAAGCAGAAAAATTCTGCCATTTCACACTTTTGTGACCTTAAATAACCCCCGTGTTATTGGGAAAGTGATATTTACTCTAAAGCCTCTTTCTTGTGCTTTTCCATGAATGTGGAGTGCCATTCTCTCCTGGAACAACTAAGTTTCTGTCAAAACTCCAAAATATGGAAAGTTTGGTAATGGAGTGTTAGGTTAGTGGAATGTAATCTTTCTGCCCTCCTTCTGAAGGTCTCTGATGTTTCCCATGTAATTATCTTTGACATTTAATTGAAAGCATCATTTTTTTTTTCATAAAGCAACCTATTTGAGCCCTTGGTGGTCACTTAAGACCAACTTCATTGCCACCTGGCACTCATCCAAGACCAAGATTATGTAGTAGCTGTGTGGTTCAGCTCCATCTGCTATAGACATCTACTGATTTTGTGGTTATTGGGGAAGTGGTGTCTTATTCGTGTTTTCAAGTTCCAACTTACAATGAAGGTTCTTTGGCTTTCCATGGTTTCATAGCTGCGAAATCAATGATGACTTCAGTAGCACTGACAATGTACTATATTTTTGAAAAGAAAATTGAAAAATTATTACCTGATGGATGAGAAATGGTTTTGGCATTTAAAAACAGAAAATGCTTCTCCATATCTCTTCTAAATTATGTCTGATGTTGACATTAGCATTTGTGTAATTCATCCAATTGTGGGAGCCATCATGTACTAATTCTTAACAGAAGTAAAAGCTATTACAGTGAGGAATAACATTCCTTCAAAAGGCTTCATTTCAGTCCTCTTCTTCTATGCATTTTGTATCAATTCCATGGTATTTAACTTATTTTGCTTTAATTCTGTTCTGGCAAATGCTGAAGAGGACATAAGGGGGCACCTAGAATTAAAGCCGAAATGAACGAGACAGTAGGCCTTAGTCCAAACGTTTGCATTCATTCAGGAGAGGCTTAATGGGCAATATTGAAAGGTATCAGATTTCTTTTTGTAACGAGGGCCAAATCTTCACTTAACAGAAGGCAATTTTGATAAATAGACAAAATATAAGGCTTAATTTTGGGGCAATCTTAACAGAAAATTATAATATGCCTATCTGTGATAAGACCAGAGGAAAGCATCATCCTACCTCAGTTTCCCCACAGTAGTTGGTTTGGAAGGCTAAAAGCAAAAAGATCCAAAATGTCTGCAAATGAAACTGAGTACAGGTTTAGGAGCCGTCTTTCCACAGTAAAGACCCGGGCATCAGGACCACATCCCATCAGCTCAGTCTGAAGACAGGGAGTGGTTCATGCTCATTAAGCTGACCAACCTGTGTCTCCACCAGGGAGAACATGGTGGCAGCCAGGGTTGTTGCTAAGGTGCTCTGCGTACTACGCCAACAAGGGTCATCTTGCCAAGCTGAAAACAGGCAGATGAGTATTGTCGGTGATGGGACTAGTCCATGCAAAAGAAAGGAACCATCAAAGAGTGCATTCTAAAAATAGACAAGTACAGTGTGACATAGAGTAGGTGACCAAAAAGGGTCCTAAAGGGAGTCTGGGACCATATTTTATAGAGCTTCTTATGCCATACTGAGTTTGTATTTGGTTTTGGAGAAAAGTAAGCCCTTGGGCAAAGAGGAGAGCATTCTATAAATGGGGAAAGACTGGCAAGATATCCTTCTTCCTCTTCTCTCCCTGGGGATTCATCAGGACAGACTTAGCTCAAACACTATCACCACAGATTCTGTGAGACTCTCTGACCAACCCCATCACTCTACACACACAGACACACTCCACAGATAATACTTCCTCCTTGACGTTCCCATTTCACCTCGTAATTGCCTTTATCCTGCACTTAGAGCAATCTAGTGTGTGAATCTGTGAACATGCCTGCTTCCTCAACTAGAGCATGCATCTGCTGAAGATCAGGGAATGTGCTTCATCTATCTCTGTACATTGCCTGGTGCATAATAGGAATTCAGTATATGTTTGCTGGATGAAAGACATTTTATTCTATTTTCTGCAGACAACATAGCAGGCTCAGAGTTTGATTTTGCTTACATAAAGAGGGTGTAGTGTTAAGATTTTTCTTCTTAATACATTAGGAGGATATGACCCATGTAGTTCACAAACACTGATTTCTAGTCAATTGAGATTTGTGCAAAACCCACTAAGGATGAGTTGTGTTTATTATTTGTTTGCAGTACATTACAGCTAATGTTTTGGTATTCAAAATCCACTGTACTTTTGCCTCATTTAGTTCTAAAAAAGAAACCAGGAAATATTCTTTCCTCTTTAAGTAATGGACATGATGAGCCAAGAAAAATACATTAAAGAACACGTGCATTCACTTTTCGTTTGTCTTAGATCAAAATTAGATGTTTCTCCTCCATTATCTCATAAAAGCATGTGATTTATAAAAGAAACTGAAATGAGTGTCATTAAAACTGATTACCCTAAGTGAATGGTGACGTATATGTGGGTATACAATTGTGATTATAATATTAGAGAAAGTAACCTAATGAACAGTGGGATAATGTGATTTTGTGGTGTTAGTAAAAGACTAAAAGCAGAGCCCCTTGGTGAAATCGCACCTGCTGATCTGAAACAGGGCCCGAATGGGAACCAGGGACAACAACTGTCACGGCCTCAACCCTCTGATGCCACTCACAGTGGACAGTGCCCTCAGGCTGCCCCAGCTGCTCAGAGTCCTCTCTACCCCAGATTGCGGTAACAATTCTGAGCCTGCCTGTCTTATGCAGAAACCAGGAGACAGAAGAGCATGCAGAACAGGAAGGGGAAGGAATGTTCTCTGAGAGAGGAACAGGTCTGCTGAGCACACCTTTCCACAGATGCACCCAACCCCCAACTGGAATAACTGTTGCTTCCTCCTCTGCTCATTGTGTCTCTGATCCCCACCCCCATCCTGTGAGCTCTGTCTCCTGCTGCATCAGTGACCTTCCTCCTCCTTGCATCTCATCCCTCTCTCACATGACAGTAGATCCTCCACCTCTCAGAGCTTCTCAACCCCCAAAATCCTTAAATTGCATCATCTTTCCTCTCTGCTTACCTTCCACACCAAACTGACAGTAGACGCACCCCATCCTTGCTCCCTCTCCTTGCTCACCCTTCCTTGCCTCCTTTGTCCTGAGTCTAGAGCTGACGCCCTCATCCTTCTGGCCTGCTTTCCAATGACATAAGGGAACGTCTCGGTAGTGAATGCCACTTCCTCTTAGCAGTTCTCCTTCACATCTCACCTCTCAGAAGTATTTGATGACTGCCTGGAATTCTCTTTGCATTTAGGATTCCAATATTTACCTCCTCTGACACCATTTCCCTAATGCACTCCTCCATTCCTGCCACCTACATGTGGGTGTCTTCAAAACTGTCCACATCTTGCCTCTCCTTTCCCTCGCAGATGTTTTCTTTTCCTATGACTTAGATGACCTGGTATCACTCTGTGGTTGGCTCTCAAATTTATGAATCCAGCCAACCATGCTGCCCCTTGCTCCTCGCTCCTGCTGTCACACAGACAATCTTCCCTCTTCGTCATTTGCCCTCTGCCCCTGTGGCATAGTTCACTGTGGTGCCATGCATTTCACTATTACGGTCCAAAGTTAGAGATTCAGATAAAAACACCTTCAACATCCAGCTCTGCCACATACTTCCAATCTGACTTCGGACAAGTTTCTTCACCAGTCTGAGTCAGTTTCCCCATTTGTAGAAGCAAAGATAATGCTTCATCCATGCCTCTGTCTTTGATGTGAGAATGAAGAGAATCCATGTAAATCACCTGGCCCATAGTAATTGTTCCATAGGTTTTAGCTGTTATTATTAATGTACTCAGTAGATATTTATTGAATAAGAATGAACTATGGTGATGCCTCAGGTACTGTAATAGGAAGATGGGAGGAGGGCACGAGGTTTGAAGACTTTTGAGCCTCCTCACATCTTATAGCATGAAGTGAAGGCCCCTTCTCCAATGTGGGCCAATCTAACCCAATGAGAATGACTAACCTTTGTGAAATATTACTTTTTAAAATTGCATGTAAGTAATATAATTATCCTCCAGATTAAGCTGTTTATTCACTGTAGCCTACTCTATATGATCACCCTTATGAGGTGATTCCAATCTTTGTTGATTACTTAACAACAACAAAGTTGTTTCACCTGCTTTCACCATGTGACGTGCCTGCTCCCCCTTCGCCTTCTGCCATGATTGTAAGCTTTCTGAGTCCTCATCGGAAGTGGAGCAGATGTCCAGTGCCATGATTCCTGTTCAGCCTGTGGAACTGTGAGCCAATTAAACCTCTTTTCTTTATAAATTACCCAGTCTCAGGTATTTCTTCAAAACAATGCAAGAATGGCCTAATACGATTACCTTAATGAAAATTGCACAAAAGAAATGTGCTGTCAAAGAAAAAAATCACCATTTGATTCTCTTGAAATTAAAATGCCCCTCCCCAACTCAGCCAGGTTATCTTTCTGGGATATAACATGCTTTTTCTCCTAAGTAGTAGATTTTTCACACAAATCAAGGAGTCACCTCCCTAAAGAATTTTCCCCCAGTGTGTGAGGGAGTCAGCACTTTGATTAGCAATTTTTCATTGTTTCTTGACTGCTCTGATCTGTTCTTAAGACTACTTTTAAAAATAAACTTTGTTTAGAATCATTTTATATTTACAGAGAAGTTGCAGAGTTCCTGTATGCTTGTCATCCAGTTCCCCCCTAATGCTAACATCTTGCATAACAGTGGTACATTTGTCAAAACTGAGAAATTGGCATTGATACATTACTATTATTAAACTACAAACTTCATTCAGATCTCACTAGTTTTGTCATTGATGTTTTTCTTTTTCTATTCCAGGATCTGATTCAGGATACCACATTGCATTTAGTCATCATGTCCTTTTAATAAATATTCAGCTGATAGTGAATCATGCTCAATCATTAACTATCAAAAGGTTCTCTGCTGCATGACAGTATATAAAACCTGTGAAACTAAAAGTGAGGTGGGGAAAGCTGGCCAAAATGGAACTTAGACCAGTCATCCAAATAAGCAAAATTAGTTGGAAAAAAATTTTTTCAGATGCTATCAAAGTGCAATGTTAAACATTTTGTTTTTTTGTCCTTCCTGCATCCCAGAACTTTCTTCAGTTTGTCTCTCCAGGAAGGATGAGCACCTCCACACTCAAGGTTTGACTATGTTGAAGCTACATCATTGATCATCAAATCAGAAGAAACAAGGAGTTGTTTTAGTCTTCACTGGAAGCACACCTATGTGACCTTGAGCAAGTGTATTCAGCCATTCTTGGTCTCCCTTTCCCCATCTGTAAAATGTGTGGTTTGTTGATGACTGGTCTGTGGATCTGTTGCATCAGAATCACCTGGAAAGCTGTTGAAAATGCTAATTTTCAGGTCCTAGCCCACTCACGAATATCTTTGCAGTTGGGCCAGGGTATCTGTAGTTTCATACACACACAGACACACAAGTGTGTGCGTGCACGCACATACATACAGAGTCACTCCCAAGTGACTTGGATCCACAGCAGGGTTTGGGACACACTGGATTAAACAATCTTCCTGCTTGCCTGAATTCAGAGGCAAAAAAATAGCCCTGGGAAGTATCCTTTAATAGAAGGCCAGGAAAAAGGATCAGCCTCTTTGCAGAAGCAGGTTTGGTGCTTCAGGGAGCTACCAAGACTATCTTCTTAAGAAACAATCCCCACTTCCCAGGCTTCTCTTTCATTCTACCTGGGCATTCAGTGTATAATGCATATGTAGCCTACAAAGTCAAAGAACTGGCTTTCTGTGCATTTTATTTAAATTAGTTTTAAGGAAAGTGGTTAAAGAGGAGAACTGAGGTAAATGAAAGTTAATCCACTTATTTTACTTGCACTCTGCCTTTTAAGAAACCCTCTTAACTATATTCTGAGTGCCAATAAATAACAAGGAAATATTAGCAAGTTGATTTTGTCTGTGATTTCTGCAACTTTCTGTTTTAATTGACAGAACCTCAAGAGCTGAAAAAAGGAATCATATAATCAAGACAGATTATAGATCAAATAATTTTATTAAATGAGAAAACTGAAGAAAATCAAAATGCAAACAGGCAATACCATTACATAAAAATTTGACTCAATTAATAATGAGTCACTCCACATCACAATTGTTTGAGGCACCAGTTTTCCTGCATTTACAGATAAAGAAACTGAGGTCAAATGCACAAGATTTCATAGAGTAGGTGACATAGAAATTCAGTCCAGGTCCAAGGTCTCTAATGCCACGTTCCAGAGATGTTTTTAGCAGGCTTATTTATGAACCAGAAATAGTATATAAATGTTTAGGGAATATACTACACATCTACTTGATGTATGCAGTCATTAAAATGGATAAGCACCCTTACATCCTGCAGATGAGAGAATAAATTGGTACCATTGAGCCAGGTGCAGTGGCTCTTGCCCATAGTCTGAACTACTCGGGAGGCTGAAGTGGGAGGATTGCTTGAGCCCAGGAGTATGAGGCTGCAGTGAGCTGTGATTGCACTACTGCATTCCAGCCTGGGCAACAAAGCGAGACCCGCCTCTTAAAAAAACAAAAATAAAAATAAAAAATAACTGATACAATCATTCCAGAAAGCAATTTAGCAATCTCCATAAAGTGTCTTTTCAAAGTTCATACTCTTTGCCCCAGTAATTCACTCTCTGGGAACTTATCCTAAGGTAATAATCAGAAATTTGGCAAGAGGCTTATTTGCAAAACTGTGCATTAAAACAGTACTTTAAAAAATGAAAAACCTAGAAGGAAACTAAAGGTTCCAAATTAATGAGTTAGATAAGTGATAGCTCTTTATATGTTATAATATCACATAAATACAAAAAAATGGTGTTCTAATAGTGTAGGAAACTATTTATAATATTTTAAGGAAAAGGACATGATCAAAATATTGTATGTATACTATGATCCCAATTTTGTTGAAAGAAAAATGTGTGCATGTGTAAAGAAAACAGGACTGAAAAGAAATACATTAGCATATTTAAAGTGTCTTAAAATGTAAAAGAGTGTTAAGGTGGTTCTCTCTCTATGGTGAAATTAGAGTTCATTCTTTAGTCTCTTCTTTGAGCCTTTCAGAATTTTGAATTCTCGTTAGTAAGAAACAAACCACTTTTATGATCAGAAGGAACACAATGTAATTTTTGAGAGAAATGAAAACTGCAGATTATAAAAAAGTAATAACAGAAAAATCCTATGATATGTTTAGTAAAAAAATAAAAATTGCATACACAGTAGAGTTTATGAAGATATGCACATAAATAATTATAACTCTGCAGAGGAAGGATTAGATGAAAGCACAACAAAATATTAAAGATGTTTGGGTTTAAATGGCAAAAATAAAGTGAATCTCTTCTATAGCTTTTTATTTTCAAAAATTGTATTAAGGCCAGGCGCAATGGCTCACGCCTGTAATCCCAGCACTTTGTGAGGCCAAGGCGGGCAGACCACCTGAGGTCAGGAGTTCAAGATCAGCCTGGCCAACATGGTGAAACCCCGTCTCTACTAAAAACACAAAAATTAGCCAGGTGTGGTGGCGCATGCATGTAGTCTCAGCTACTCAGGAGACTGAGACAGGAGAATCGCTTGAACCCAGGAGGCAGAGGTTGCAGTGAGCCGAGGTTGCAGTGAGCTGAGATTGCATCACTCTACTCCAGCCTGGGTGACAGAGAGAGACTCCGTCTCAAACAAAAATTTGTATTAATGTGATTTTTAAATAATGTTTACATGTTCCTTCATCTTCCCTGCCACCTCCATCCCCAGTTCTCACAACCTAGGGTGCTGTGCAGCTAAGAGCACACAAGCTGTAGAATCAGTCACAAGTGAGCTCCCACCTTGGCTCTGAAATTCACTTGCTGTGTGTCCTTTGGCAATTATTTTCTTTGAGAAACTCATATGAAAAATAGCATAGCACCTGGCTCCCCAGATTACCAGGATCATGAAAGGAGATGATGGATGCTAATTGCTTAGCATATTTCTGCTAGAATCACTAGAGCTTTGTGGCCATTAGAGTTGGGGCGCTTGATGAGTTTGGGGTTTTCACTAGCGTGTCTTCGGCTTCACTCTTGATCTTACTTTGCCAGGCCCCAGAAAAGTAGGGGTGAAGTTGGCAGGTCTTCTGAACCCTGCTTGTAGCATGAGAAAACTAGTCAATAGTCTAGAGAGGAGAACTTGGATGAAAACATGTTCTTCCTAGTCCCACAATGGATGTCTCTGTCTTGGGTAACCCACTTGGAATTCAAAGTGAATTCCAACTTTGGTCAGTGTGCTCAACCTTGGGTTATTGAACTTCAACTCAAAGATGTGTTTTTAATCAATGCCTTTCCTTCTTCTAAATACACATGCTTTTAAGGAATAATGGCGGGTGCTCAGATAGGGCATGGAGAGGCATACATATAGACACACTCAAGGATGCCCGCCAATATCTTTCTGCAGGACGTCCATTCTGTCTCGTGGTCCATCATTCAATTCAAGCCTTTGGGTCAACTCCCTAACTCTCCTAAAATGGAGTATTAATGTGTATTCAATCACATGTCAGTGTCATTCATTTGTTAGGGACTTCCTCTAATCAGATAGCTGGGAATGAGGTCTGAGGGAACATGGGTTTTGAAGACAAAGTAATTTCAAAATTCAGGACACTAGCTGAGTCTAGTCTAAGTGTAGAGTCAAAGGCAAGGAGGTGAGGAACTCATGGAGACTGCCCAGCTCTGTGCTGGTGAAAAGCAGCTACCTTCAGTTCTTCATTGCCCTCAGCTCTAAAATGGCCCAGTGGTTCAGGCTTTCTTTGCCTCTTGAAATCATCCTTAATTTTTAGTATTAACAGATACTAGTGGTTCAGGGCATGAGGTCCAAGTCAGTCACACATGGACTCCAAGTCAGAATTCCCATCTTAGCTGTGGAACCTCAAAGAATGTTTTGAAATGATGGCACCTTCTACCAAGAAGTGCTGGAATGATCAAGTGAGATGTTACAACTAGGCAACAGCACAGATTGTGGCACTAAAAAAGCCTTCAATAAATAAGAACAAGTATTATTCTACTCCTTGAGCTTACTTGTATTCTTAATGACTTCTGCAGTTCCAAAATTCCTTGCTCTCATGGAAAACAAACATGCAGGCTTCTCTCTGATCTGTGGAAGTGGACAGTGCATAGAAATACTAGCAGCAGCAATTCCTGTCTCAGGGCTTTCTGAGACCATGGTTACTCACATAACTCTCTCACACAGAGCCTGGCTGAACGGAGACACCAAACACTTGGTTATCTTTCCCCATCAGCTGGGGGCCAGTGGAACTGGGCATTGCAAGCCTTATCTGAACTATAACAAAAATTCATTATTAGACTCTCATTACAAGCGTAGGGTCAGGCGTGGTGGCTCACACCTGTAATCCCAGCACTTTGGGAGGCCAAGGTGGGAGGATCACTTGAGCCCAGGAGTTCAAAGACCAGCCTGGGCAACACAGGAAGACCCCGTCCCTACCAAAAATTAAAAATTATCCAGGCATGATGGTGTGTGCCTGTGATTCCAGCTACTCGGGAGGCTGAGGTGGGAGGCTAACTTGAGCCTGGGAGGTCTAGGCTGCAGTGAGCTATGATCAAGCCACTATACTCCAGCCTGGGCTGCAGAGTGAGACCTTGTCTCTAAAAAAATTTAAAAAAAGAAAAATAAAAAATGAACTTAAGTCGATGTTCTGAAATGGAGTCAGGTTAATAGTAATATCCTAAATGTCACTGTCATCTGCTAACCTAACACTTTAGGCCCTTACAAACTCCCCACCACCCAGAGCAGCATTTCAAAGAATCTCTGGGGAGAGGGGCATACACAATGGGAACACTATGTTGGTTGGTGCATAAGTGAAGATAGCTGGGTAAAAATGGCTCGCAGCCTAATGGACAACTCATTCCTTAATGCAGAAAAGGTAATAATAGGGATATAAATAAAGTTCCAGCTGCTTTAGGAGACCAGGAGAGGAGGTTATTTGAATGCTCCAACAGGACATGAGACACAGCAGCTTGGGCCCCTCCAGCTCAAATGGCAAGAATAGAGTTGCTGACACTTGCAGCCCAAGATATGTATGAAATCCCAGGGAGACTTCCATGCCCGACAACCCAGCATGGCACATCTATAAGATGGACAGACTGCCACAGTGTTACTCTCCTTTCCCATGGCGGGAGATTTTAATGACTATGATAATAAGGCAATTGGATGAAATGTGTAAACTATGGTAAGCTGTACAGACAGGACATGCAATTTTAGTAAATTGGAAATTTTATACAAGCAGTATTAAGAGTATTAATTTTTAAGGAACACGTATGCAAAAAATAATCTTTCACTAGCTGACCTCTTTGGATTCTGTCCTTACAGGGACTTTATTAGACCAGGCAATATGGTATAATGAGAAACACTTCAGACTCAAGGGATCAACAGTCTACTGCAGATGTGACAAGAAGTGAACTGTGTACCCACTCCTTCCAGTCCAGCTTCTCATGACTTCTGGACGGATCTTCAGCAGAACCATGTGAAGTCTCTGCTTCTACCATACCCTTAGCAGGATCAAGAGATGCTCCCACCACACCCACAATCTCCAAATATTTATTTGTGGCCTTCATGAAGTGGTCAAAAGGATCACTTCTCAGAGGGCGATATTAGATTACCTACTGCCTTTCTTACCTTAACAAGGGGGAGAACTTCCATCCTGGCTTGGCCTGGAGATCCTATACCCTGCCACTGACTCCCCATCCTCAATACATCAGTTTATATAACTCAGAGTTTTGCCCTGGAACACTGCATGATGTACCTATTAGAACCACAAGCTTCCTTGGTCACACTTGTATTTATTGTGAATAATAATTTTAAAAATCTACAAGTGGAAGCTTTATAATAACAACAAAATTATTGGGAAAATATAAGTATTTCATAAAACCCAAAATACAATTCCAAAAAATCCAAAGCAACACACCACAGGTGCATAAACAAGGGTAGCTCAGGAGGATTAAACATTAGGTCTTCTAAATAATGTTCTCTGTACTAAGACGGCATTAATGAGACCTAGCAAGCCATCACTCAGTCTCGCCGTCTAGTTCCAAACTCCAAAATTAAGAGGTTAAGTGTTGAGATAGGTTCAACTAGAGTGAGGCGACAAAGATCAAACCAAGTAGCTATGGCCAGTGAACTCAGTCACCACAGCAAATAGAAGGATGTGTGTGTAGTGGATAGTTCACAGAGAAAAGATTCCTGCTGGACAGACCAATCAGCCTGAGACTGTCATCCCATAGGATACAAATATACTACATATCATATTTTGACATCTGCTGATATGTAAAATTCCAAGGTTCCTTGTGTAAGCACAAGCACACATACTATAAACAACGAAAACAACCCAAAGTCCATGCCAAGGCCAAACCAAAGGTACAGCACACTGAGGGCTGATGTCACAGGACCCCTCTTTGATTTGAAATCCTCCAGGTGAAGTTTATGGCTTCTGTAGAACTGCTGTGATTATTTGAGATTCAGAAATCTACAGACTGAAGGTTAATCTTTTTTGAGACAGGGTCTCACTCTGTCACCCAGGCTGGAGTGCAGTAGTGCGATCTCGTCTCACTGTAACCTCCTCCTCCCAGGCTCAAGCGATCCTCCCATCTCAGCCTCCTGGGTACAAGAGCATGCCACCACACACAGCTAATTTTTTTATTTTTTGTAGAGACTGGGTATCATCATGTTGCCCAGGCTGGTCTTGAACTCCTGGGCTTAAGTGATGCATCTGCTTCAGCCTCCCAAGGTGCTGAAATTACAAGCATGAGCCACTGTGCCCAGCCTGAAAATTAATCTGAAACACTGCCAATGTAAAATATTACATACAAACTGAAGAATCAAGGCAAAAATAATTACGTGGAAGCTCTAAATTGCATTTCCCATTTCTGCAGTAGAAACATTCTTCTCCCTGAGCTCTAATATCAAAAAACATTTGAGGGGGAACATTCATTTGTTATTTTGGGAAGTTCTGTGTTTGACTATGAAGCCAGATTCCTAGACCCATCTATTCTGGGCTCTGAAAGAGAAGCACAGGTGCTTGGGTCCTGCCTAAAAGTACATTCCACATGCTGTAGATCGGCATTTTGACTATATAGTCTGTAGTTTCCAAGTTCATACTATAATGGAGTCTATAACAGGTCTTTGCAGCTTTCCATAAGGCTGCATAATGATACCTGACTGATGGTATAGATTGAGAAAAATCAGTGAATAGCATTGGGCATCAAGCCACTGCTATTCTTCGATCAAGTTGTTAAGAAGTAGTACAGTAGTACAGTAGGTGTGAATATTAAAACGAAGGGCAAGAGAAGCTCAGAAACCCCACCCCAATCCAATGTTAGGTGGCCTGTCTGGCAGGACTCATTAATTCTTCTTCTTCTTATTATTATTATTATTAGAGACAGAGTCTTTCTCTGTTGCCCAGGCCAGAGTGCAGTGGTGCAATCTCGGCTTACTGCAACCTCTGCCTCCCGGGTTCAAGCGATTCTCATGCCCCAGCCTCCCAAGTAGCTGGAATTACAGATGTGTCCCACCATGCCTGGCTAATTTTTCTATTTTTAGTAAAAACAGGTTTTCGCCATATTGGCCAGGCTGGTCTCGAACTCCTGACCTCATGTAATCTTCCCGCTTCAGCCTCCCAAAATGTTGGGATTACAGGAGTGAGGCACCATGCCCTGCCAGGATTCTCTGGATAAATTATCAGATATAAATTCTTATATTGTGATACTGGAGTAAGCACAACAGCCTGAGTGAGAGTACAAACCCAAATCCAGAGGCATCCAGAGGAGATCATTCAAACTGTCATTGTATCTCACATGCAGAGAAAACAACTAAATTACCCGCCACGTCAATCATCCTATAGCCTCCTAAGTTCTTCAGAGATGTTTGAATCAGTTTGTAAGCCAATAGAATGCATGGATACAATAAATCCTGTCCAATAGAAACTGATAAAATTATGCCTAAGTTATCCCATCCACCAAGTCAGGGCTTGAGGTAGATCTGAAGTAGTTCACGAGTAGATAAGAGTGCATGGAAAAAACAAATTACACATCAAAATCATGCGGAATCCCAATTATAATTGTTTTCCTTTTAACCACTGACACAAGTACCCTGAAATTGGCTCAGGAGTGTAGATATATCAAGGTATTCCCCAGTGGCAGCCCAACAGCATAGGCAGTCTGACAAAGAAAACTGGACTCCCAGAAAGAACATCAACAGAAAAGTAGGACCAAGACACAACCCCATGAAGGTCACATTGCCAATTTTAGATGCAGGACCTGTGCCTCAATTTAAGAGGCAAAAAGAGCCCCCGTGGCTTCTACTTCATCTCCCTATCATGGTGGCCTTTTGCTCCAATGGTCAGCAAGTCAAGGTGAATTTTCACAAATGCTTAACATGTAATATGCTCACATGTTCGTTTCTATTATGTTTTAGATTATATTAATGAACAATGGATGACAAAAATGTGGAAAATATTTGGAGGAATCTCAAACTCCCTCCATGTAAGTTTTTCTAAATGTGTGTTGAGTCTTGTACTCCTTGACAGCCAGATATATGTGAAAAGAACTTCAACCTGACCGGGCACATTGGCTCACACCTGTAATCCCAGCACTTTGGGAGGCCAAGGTGGGCGGATCACTTGAGGTCAGGAGTTCGAGACCAGCCTGGCCAACATATAGTGAAACCCCATCTTTACTAAAAAATACAAAAATTAGCCGGGCGTGGTGGCACGCACCTGTAGTCCCAGCTACTTGGGAAGCTGAGGCAGGAGAGTCGCTTGAACCTGGGAGGTGGAGGTTGCAGTGAGCCGAGATCGCGCCAGTGTACTCCAACCTGGGCAACAGAGCAAGATTCCGTCTCTCTCTCTCTCTCTCTCAAAAAAAGAAAAAGTTCACAAATACAAACAATTGCATATATTGTGTAAAACTGTAGATGAAAAACCCAAGATCTAAAGATTGTATACTTAATCAATTCCTATATCCCTCGGTATCATAAATTCCAAGAATTGTGTGTAACATCCTCTTCCCCACCCCGCACCCCCAACACAAAAAATAAGACTGACAATGTGTCCACCTCGTTTAATAAACTTCCTTCAGGTTGTGTGCATAATGTCCAAATTCTTTGCATGGGTTAAATACTACATGGCAACTTCCCAATTTTTACATTTCATGCTGCTGCAAACTTTCACCACAAAGAAATTTAAAACTTTCTCATTGCTGATTAAAAAATTTAAAGCCCTCAATTTAAAGCAAAGCAGCCAATATAAATTTCTTCACATAGGAACTGAGATCCTCAAAGACTTTTATTCACAGGTTAAGAAATGTATCATATCTGAACAATTTATATTTTGAATTTTATATCCCCTCCTCCAAAATGACATTTGTGCTTGGACTAGATTCCCAAACCTTCAGTTGATAGGTTCAGAAGAAGTAAATAAATAAAATAAACTATTCTATAGCTTATCTTCAATATTTTAAAATTTTTCAGTTTTGAATTTTTCAATACTTTGAAATATTAAGGATCTTCAGTATAGCAAAGTTGATTTCTAAATGGTACTAATATGATTTCACAATGTTACACAAAGCCATGTCATGAAAATGAAGAACACAGAAAGTAAAAAAAAAAAAAAAAAAAGTCTCCTAGAAATCACTACTGTTATTAGGTTGCTTTATTCTCTTCCAGACTGTTTTCTACACATATACTGACTCTATCAAAATGGGATCATAGCATATTAGCTTTTCTAAAACTCCCTGTTTTTATTTGATATTGCTTAAACATTTTTCCGTAACATTAGATATACATTTGCTTCACTTTTAACCACAAAGTCGTTTTCCATTTTCTGGCCATACTGCAATTTAATTAACCATACCTATTAATGAACAGTTGCAAACAGCTAGAGCCCAAGAAAAGCTAAACTCTGCTCTCCATAACCCAACAAGTAGTTATTTTAGAGGCTAAGTCATTTCTAATGCTGAAGCAATCAAACACTCTACCAGTCTTTTAAAATGTCTTCAACCTCTCTCCAACCCCTGGTTGTCACCTTCTCTTTCTTACCCTTCAGATATTTTTGAAACCTAAATTATGTTCCTATCATCCACTCCTCCATTTACCTCTTCCCATAAATCTCAATTATTCTCTTACTCTGAAGTGCTTCACTGTACATGCCAAATATCCTGAATTGGAAGAGACATGGCCAATTTATTTTAAAGAAAAGCATCAGAATTTTTTCTTTCTTCTTCTTTGCTGCTATAAAGGCAAGAGGATATTTCTTTCTAATCCCAGAGCCTATATAGCCCCCTAGTCCCTCCCATCTTTCCACAAAGATAATAGGTGGTAAGCACCTGACAAATGCACTTATAATTGCAAAAATGCTCCCAACTGTGTAACTTTAACATAGCTATACACAGTACTCCATTCACCTTATTTATTCATAGCAATTCTACAGGGGGCAGGGGAGGTGGAGATGGTTAATGGGTACCAAAAAATAGTTAGAAAGAATAAATAAGGCCTAGTGTTTGATAGCACAACAGGGTGGCTATAGTCAATAATAACTTAATTGTACATTTTTAGATAATGAAAAGAGTATAATTGGATTGTAACTCAAAGGATAAATGCTTGAGGGGATGGATACCTCATTCTACATGATATGTTTATTTCACGTTGCATGCCTGTATCAAAATATCTCATGTCCCCCACAAATATATACACCTATTATGTACCCACAAAAATAAAAAATATTTTTTTTTAAATCAGAGCAATTCCACAAATATTTTATAGCAGACACCTGAGTCACAGGGTGCCTATAAGAGATGGCACACCCACCCACAACTCAGACTGATTCCTGTTGCTCTTATTTGGCTATCAGTCTCAGATTTTAATGATCTAAACTCTGTACCTCACACATATCCTTTCATGTTTTTAGCATGGACACACTGTCTGTCTGGGTTCTGACTTGAGTTTCAGCCCTAGACCATGTCAATGGGCTTATTCTCATCTCTACATATAGAACATATGGGCCACAGTGCCTCATCCCAGGTACCAACATCAAGCCCCCATGCCCCAACCTGGGGCAGTCTGCACCTGGAGGGCCTCCTTGCTTTCAAGGACAATTTGGATGCCATATACTATCTACAAAATACTTTTAGTATCATATGATAATCCATTCAGTCTTTGCTTCAAGAGTTCACAGTTGACTAAAATCAAACTATAAAGTATATGCACAGCTGTAATCATAATATAGAAAAAAGTTATCTGTTTAGTATTTTTTCTGTTCTCTTAGATATGCCTACATAATCATCATCTCAAACATTAATAATGGTCAAAAATGCTATTAAGCCCCTTCTTTGACTGGGCTTTTCTAGTTTCTTCCATTGTCTTTGAGAAAGATAGTTACTATGCTCCATGCTTCTAGACAGGAAGCATCATGTAAGTTCTTACTAGGAAACAATGCAGGTGATTTCATTTTTAATGAACATACACCCTTTTCCTTTCTTGACCTGCTTCAATAAAGTGGTGCTGGCAATGAAACAAGTACATTTGTGAATGGGTTGCAAAGCCACAAACCCAACTAGCCTGCTCCTGGTAACCCAGGCAGTTAACTAATTAGCCTTCAAATGCAAACTTTGAGTAAGACTTTCTGTGGTGCTGGAGAAAGAGCTCCAGCAGCCGAATTATTAGAAGGGAAGTATGGAAGAGCTGCAAAACATGAAAAAGCCTGGAACAAAATTGTTGCTAAGGAATGTAATCGGTGATTGGTATGTATATGTCTTGAGCAGAAAGCAGGTACACAAATGGGAACAGTTTTCGGGAAGAGAAAGGAAAAAGAAGGAACAGATTCCAGTGCCATCCTCTCAGATAAGGATATGATTCTCTGCCTGCTTTTTGTGACAATAAATCGTATATATCACTAGCTCACCTATTAATATCTACTTCCTTTTGGAATAGAGCAGAAGGTCTTAATGCTACAAAGACACATCACAGTCAGTCAGTATAGTTCAACACCTTTATTTGACATGTGAAGAAACAGGCCCAGAAAGGGTGAGGTGGCTTGATAAAGGACCTAGTCAATATCAGAACTAGAGGTGAGTGAGGTTCAAGTCTCTTGACATCGAATCTAGTGCACTTTCTCTATAAAATTCTTCCTCTCAAAAAATCATATGGCACATGTAATCTGCAGCATCTTTCAAAAAAAATATCAATTCAAAGATTTTTTTTCTGTTTAGATATGACTCCTCTGGCAGCAAATCTTTTACCTTTTGAAACTGAAAAGTACTAACTGAAATTTCACTTGGACCGATTCACCAGAGAAATCATATTTGCATCTACATGTTGTATATATAATGTAAATAGATTTTTATCTTTCTGTCTTTGGCTTAGTTTGATGCTTCAGTTTGGCTGCACTCATCTGCAGGCACCAACTAGCAGGAAATGCTGCACCATTGGAAGGAATACACCATGCCCTGCAAGCAATCTGAAGTCATAGCAACCTAGGTCCATTGAGATGGCACCTCACTGTGTACCAAGAACAAAGAGACTCTAAATAACATTCTGTTTCCCATTCATGATCATCCCGGCAGCCATGGAGTAGCCAGAGGTCACCCATCTTTTACTATGTCACCAAATTAGACAGTACTTAAAGACTGTCTTATTCTAGAAACTCCTCTGGAGGGGAATATGATCAGGTATCAACATAGGTAGCTTCAGACAAGAAAAAGGAAACTGCTGCAAAACGGACAACCCTCCCCTATATGCATACTGCCAAAGGGCCAAATGTCCTTCCCTCACACGGGCAGTTTTTATGGGTAAGTGAACTCAGGGTTCCAATTTTTGTAAATAGTATAATATTCCTCCAAACAAATTACAAAATCCATGATAGACCCTAGCTGAAGTACAAGCAAAAATGGATCATCGGTTACATGGACATTTATGAACTGATCTAAGTGCAGCAGTCCTAGGTATAGCAATGTGTTTACAGAAATATGAATCCTCCGTTGAACAGCAACAAGAGTACAAACACCTGTCCTCATTCCCTTCATTTTTGATTCCCCACACCTGCAGTTCTGGGGACCGCTACTGCTAGGAGGGGAAATGGAATTATTCCCCACTCTCTGAGGGAGCTGCATTCCCAATTCCCAAGGGTAGGGTTGGGTGACCATTTTGAAGGCTGGGTGTTTGTATGTCAGCAAGCACATATATTTATTTCAGCTTTCTGAAGCATTTATGAACATAGGTTAGTCATATTTCAGCCACAATATGGGGAGATAAGACAGCCAGGAGTTCTCATAGGTAGGTTGTGAGGAATAAATAATGAAAAAGCACTTTGTAAAATATGAAGTATGATCTTAATGCTCAATGGCATAAGATACATTACTTTACCATTAGCCTACTTTATCACAAGCCGCCTGGAAGGGAGGCAAATGCTAGACGTCCTCAGCACAGCCTCTAGTTATGGATGAGGTCATAGAAAACAAAGTAACTTTGGCTGGAACTGTTTCATCTAAAATAAAATCCGGTCATTAAAATTTTTCAGAAACATTCAGTTCTTGGGGTCTCATGACCCCCATTTACTATTTGAAATAAACCTTGTAATAAGGTATTAATAAAAGCTGATTTAATCCATTCATTTCATCTGGAAAAACACCACTAACAATGTACTGATTTTTTTTCCTTCATAAAGAAGGCGACATTACCAGGTACTCGAGCCTAGGATAGTCTAATAAAGAGGCAGAACACAGAGTTAGAATTGTAAATTTGAGCCCCAAACTTGCAATTCATTTTGCAATACTGAAGCCAGGAAACTAACACCACTTTGAAACACTGGTATATAACAGAGAACTGAGACCAAACTATGTATACAAGGCTGACACCATGGAAAAATTGAATAAACAAATATTGGCGTAGGCCTATAGCTTCTGAAAAACAAGCAAACTTTCTTGCAAAGCTGAAGATACAATGTGAATAAGTGCTTTCTCTTTTTTACGGAATTTATAATCAAAATGAGAAGAAAAATATGTATGATATAAAGAAAGGACAGGGCCGTCTATAAAATACTACAGGCAGAACCTGTCATCATTCTTCTTTCTGCACCGCCACCCATCTTACACCCACAAAAAGAGAAAACATTCTGGCCCTAAACAGCTACCACTGTAAATTGCATATTTAATGAAGGCTATTCATAAATGTTCCCATGCCTTCTTTTAAAAGCAAGCTCCCAGGCCAGGTGCAGTGGCTTATGCCTGTAATCCCAGCACTCTGGGAAGCGGAGGCAGATGGATCACTTGAGCCTAGGAGTTCGAGACCAGCCTGGACAACATGGAGAAACCCTGTCCCTACAAAAAAAAATACAAAAATTAGCTGGGCGTGGTGGCACACACCTGTAGTCCCAGCTACTTGGGAGGCTGAAGCAGGAGAATCACTTGAACCCCAGAGGCAGAGGTTGCAGTGAGTGAGGATTGCTTGAGCCCAGAAGGTCAAGGCTGTAGTGAGCTATGTTCATACCACTGCACTCCACCCTGAGTGACAGAAGGATACTCTGTCCCCCCCAAAAAAAAGCAAGCAGGCTCCCATACATATTTACATTTTACATAAATGAAATGTTATGATGCCTAGATTTTGCTTCAAAATAATCTCATGCTGTTAGGAAGGGGGAGCAGGTAGAGATTACATCCCATTCATCATGGGTTGATAATTGTTATAGACAGATGATGAGGACATAAAGTTTCTTTGTATTACTTTTCAGCTTTCACATTTTTGAACATTTCCGCAGAGGTTGCAAAGCTAAACACACATTTATCAGGCCATCTTGCAGTTATTGGTGGCCATATGCAAAATGTATTGTCTGGGGGTGCAATACATAGGTTGAAAGGGGAACCATATGGCCAACATGCTAAGGAAGGCAGAGCTGAACAAATGCTAAAGCATGACTCCTCATGGCAGTTGATTTCCTACAGTACAAACAATGATTCTCAACACTACCTGCTATAAGACACATATGTTTACACTATTGTTCAGTTGGGTTTTCAATTATGTGCTACCAAATACATTCCTACCCTGTTCAGGAAGATAGTCAATGTCTCTCTAAGAGAACCCAAGAGGGATATGCGTGGTGGTAAATGTTTAACAACCAGCTCTCTGAAAGGCAAAAAGGAAAGACCTGATTTGTAGTATTTACCAACTTCCAAGGAGTAAACACTCCCACCATGACTAAGGTCAAGTTATCAACAGATGTCACCGAATGTAGGATTGGAAAGAAATGTGCACGATCATCTTGTACCAGTACAAACCAACTCTGGCACATCATTGAATATGTGCTATCTACACTTCTCAGGAACCCAGACTCAAGCAATTTGCTTAGAAATTGCCTATAACCCCATAGACAAACGGCGTTGGAAAAGGGGGTGGTGTGGCATAGAGAAGAGGGATAGGAAAGAGGAGGGAAATGGGAAAAGTGTAAGTTCTTTAGAGTCTGTAATTACTTACCAAACTGGAAAACATTAATTTTGACCCATAGCTTTCTTCAGGGATTAAGAACTTTAGAATTCTAAGATATTAACAATGTGGGAAGTGTTTTGCAGTATTTATTTATTCCGTTTTACTCCTAAATTTGGTCTCATAACCATCATGTAATCCTAGAATACAGGTGTACCCTTGTTTAACACTTAAGAATATACATGACATTTTTTGGCAGGGAGGGTATCCATCCCCTCAAGCATTTATTCTTTGTGTTACAAACAATCCAGTTATATTCTTAGTTTAGTGTTTTTTGTTTGTTTTTTGTTTTTGTTTTCATTTTTGGTTTTTTTTTCGGAGTCTCACTCTGTCGCCCAGGCTGGAGTGCAATGGCACAATCTTGGCTCACTGTGAAAATCCATCTCTACTAAAAATACAACACTACCACAATAGCCGGGCATGGTGGCATGCACCTGGGGTCCCAGTTATTTGGGAGGCTTAGGTGGGATTGCTTGAGCTCAGGAGATTGAGGCTGCAGTGAGCCATGATTACGCCACTGCACCCCAGCCTGGGCGACAGAGCAAGACCCTGTCTAAAAAAAAAAAAAAAAGAAGTGGCAATCTTTGAGGACTCGTCTCACTGCAACCCCAACCAGTCTGGGGTAGAGCAACAGACAAGGCAGGTTTCACTTAGTGGCTGTTGGATCAAGACCTAAAACCATGGCTAATGTGGTCGTTTCTATAATGAAAACAAACACAGTAGCTTGTTTTCTTTTTTTATGGAAGTCATGCCCCTAAAAATAACAACAAACCCCACAGAGACAGCATGTGAAAAATATTATCAATTTTCACATTTACTCCTTAGACTTGGTAGTTTTCAATTTTAAGAATAACAACTCAGATCCCTGGCACTTCAGTTGCACTTACGGATAATTGCTTGTAAAATGAAAAGGGCAAAAAGAAAATTAGAAGCTTCTAAAAGAGGAAACTGAAAATCCTTAAGAGAAGATAATCATTTTCAATAATGGTCATAATTATTGCTAAAGGATACTCTCTGCTTAGCAAACTTTTCATTTCCTACTTGTATTTCTCTCTGCTAATCTCCAACTTCTCCCTCAGAATTACTAATGTGCTCCCAAATGGAAAAAATATGGCCATTACAGCAAAAACCAAGTGGCTCATATGACTAAATTAAATATGTTTTATCCCTACCAGACTCAGGAGTGATTTTTTGGACTCAATCCTTGGTCTCTTTACCCCAGGGCCCTGGATGACACCAGCCAGAGGAGAGTGGAGTTTTAGTAAGGAAGTCTTCACCTTGACAGTGCAACTGCTATCATGCCAACACCTGGGGAGGCCCAGCCGGCTGAGAAAAGGAAAGTTTTCATGTGCTGTAAAGGAAGGTTAAGAGGAGTGAAAGAGATGTAAGAATGAATAAGAGGCAATTGAAGAATGTGATACTTTGAGGAAAGGCAGTCTTGGGGAGGAGACTGAATGGAGGGTGCTAATAAATGGAGAGGTTTTAGAGACTGAATGAAGTGACAGCAGACATAAAAGTGGGCTATGAGAGATGAGTGGACTCAATCCAAAGTAAAAGTAGTCTATTATGTAATGAACCAGGCTGCTGCATACGGAGGGGCTGAAGAACAATGGGCTTGCATGTTTCATCGAGTAGAGTAGAAAACTGTCTGCCTGAAAACTAGGCAGAGGCTTTATGGGAACTGGGGACAGTCCTATGAGTGTTTTGCAGCTACCCTAGGCCTTCTGGGTAGGCCCTGATCAAAGGGCACCAACCGTGCCCAAGGATATCCAGTATGCACCAGAGGACATACTGGTGGCCTAAGCTATCTCAGAAACTGCTCAGTACCATGATGCCCAGGGCCCTGTAGCAGCAGTAAAATCTCAGGTATGGAAAACAATTGTTACATCAGGTCAGCTTCTGTCTAGTACTTTCATTACCACCAGCGATTCTTTCCTAATGCAAATCAGTAGACCTTCTCTGCGTCAAAAAGACTGGAAGGAAAGCAGGGGTGGCATGTTAGTATAAAAAATTCTGACTGGGCACAGTGGCTCGCCCTGTAATCTCAGCACTTTGGGAGGCCAAGGCGGGTGGTCAGGAGTTTGAGGCCAGCCTGGCCATCTTGGTGAAACCCCTTCTCTACTAAAAATACAAAAATTAGCAGGGCATAGTAGCGTGTGCCTGTAATCCCAGGCTACTCGGGAGGCTGAGGCATGAGCGTCGCTAAACCTGGGAGGCAGATGTTGCACTGATCCTAGATTGTGCCACTGCACTCCAGCCTGGCCGACAGAGTAAGACTCAGTCTCAAAAAAAAAAAAAAAAAAAAAAAAATGTGTGTCTGTGTCTTTCTTCCCTCAAACCTAAGAGCCTTAAAGCCTGTGTTTGCAGATGAACTAGCCTAATCACCTTTTTGGAGCATCCATGACTGTGGAATGAATGCATACCTTGTTTTTAAATTTTTAGGTGAAGCAAGTATTCTGTGGGGTAGAAAAAGGTGGGATCAGGGGTTTTAGGCAAGATTATGAAGGGACCTTTCAAGTATTTGGGGACTATGTTGCTGAAAACATACAAGTATTAAGCCTTTCATGTTACAGATGGATCCAGGGTTGGGGAATATGCCTTTTGAGCTATTAACCAAGGGTCAAAAAAAAACTGAGGCTCAGAAATTTACTAGCTAAGCAAACAAGATTCCAATCTACATAGGCCAAGGTTTTGGTGATATTGAAGTGAAGAAGTTCTCCCAGTTATCAATGTATCATCTTTTAGTTCCAAATTCATCCATCAATAAGTGCTCTGTGATAATGGACAAAATTCTTTAAAACATTCCAAAATGAAAATGCTGAGCTTTACCAGTAGAGGGCGATGGAAGGACATTGCAGGAGAAAGGGGGCTCTGCTGTTTCATGCAGCTGGTACTGTGGAGTGGGTCAGCGGTGTGGATATGAGGAAGTCTGGGGAAGAAGTATGTGGACAGATGACTCAGAATGGACACAGACTGTGACAATATCAGGTAGACAAAATTATGCACCCTGGCAATGTCAGTCAGCTTCTTTCTCCAGCCATCTGAGTGCTTGCCGAACAGGCCTGTGGACAAAGTGGCAGTGGTGGCAGAGATGGAAGCTGGGCACAGGCAAAACAACATGAACCTCCCTTCATGAAGGCTGGCCTGGCTAAAGCTATCTTGAGGGCCTAACCTGCTGATGGCAGTGATGAACACTGAGCCCCAGATACGGCACCATTCCTAAGATGACCAACCAGCCACCTACTGCCAGACTGACGACACTGGACCTCTTCCACCATGGAGGCAAATATTTGTCCTCACTAAAATAGATACAGAGATCTGGGTATAAATATAGATATGGTTTGTCTTCCCTACTAGTAATGCTTCTCTTAGCACCACCATCCATAGACTCACAGAATGCCCAATCTTCCATCATGGCATTCCACACAGCCCTGAATCTTATCAGCAAAGGAATTCATCTCACAGCAAAAGAAGTGTGGCAAAGGTCTCATACCCATGGATGTAACTGGTGTTGTGACATACCTCATTACCCAGAAACAGCTGGTCCAACTGAAAGGTGGAATGGCTTACTGAAGACTCAGTTGCAGTGCCAATTAGAAGAAAAACATCCTGACTGGATGGGATTCAGCTCACAGGATGCAGTTTGTGCTTTAAATGTGAGACCACAGTGTGGTGTTATCTTCTCCATACCCATAATAAATGGGCTAAGAAATCAGGGAGTGGCAGTAGGGGTGGCTCCTCTCACGATTACACCTAATAACCCACTTCCTGAATTTTTGCTTTCCATTTCAGGAATTTTGAGCTCTGCTCATTTAGAGATACTGGTTCCCAAGGCGGGGATGCTTCCACCAGAGGCACAACAGTATTTCCACTGAATTGGAAGTTGAAAGTGCCATTTGGCCATTTTGGTCTCCTTGTGCTGCTGAAAATACTGGCATAAGGAGGGGTTAATCTACTAGTCATGGATCCTGATTACCAAAGAGAAATCAGGTTGCTGCTACACATTGGAGCCAAGGAAGACTACGGGTCAAAACAACAACAACAACGACAACAAACAAATCTGGACTTTGGTAAAGAGACGCTTTATTTGAAGGGACCGTTGAAATAGAAGGAATGGGACTACTGTGGTAGGGATAACCCTGTGACCATAATATCTGCAAGTATCTCAAAAGTCAGGTAGAAAGGGTTTTTCTTTTATAGGAAGAATTAAGGCAGGCTAGAAATAACCAGATACAAGGGCATGAAATGAGTATGTGGCATAATTGGACAATCAATCAAAGATGTCTTTCTTGGCCGGGCACAGTGGCTCACGCCTGTAATCCCAGCACTTTGGGAGGCCGAGGCAGGTGGATGATTTGAAGTCAGGAGTTTGAGACCAGCGTGGCCAACATGGTGAAACCCCATCTCTACTAAAAATACCAAAAACATAGCTGGGCAAGGTGGCATGCACCTGTAGTCCCAGCTACTCGGGAGGCTGAAGCAGGAGAATTGTTTAAACCCTGGAGGCAGAGGTTGCAGTGAGCCGAGATCGCACCACTGCACTCCAGCCTGGGTGATAGAGTGAGACTCTGTCTCAAAAAAAAAAAAAAAATCTTTCTTTTTGGTCAGCTGATTTTCCTGGAGGGATCATTAAGGAAAGGAGGGGCTGTTCTGCATTGTGATACTTGCTCAGGCTGACAGTGTGGGTCAAAGCTCAAGGGTCTGTGGAGAGGGGAGAAGCCAGACTAAAGTTTGCTCCAGTCAAGTTAGTTGGTATTTTGTCCAGATTGGTCAGTGGGGACAACCAGGTCAGTTCAATTTTGATACGGTTTCACTCTGTGTCCCCACCCAAATCTCATGTTGAAAATCCCCAGTGTTGGAGGTGGGGCCTGGTGAGAGGTGACTGGATTATGGAGGTGGTTTCTAATGGTTTAGCACCATCCGCTTAGTGCTGTCTTGTAATAGAGTTCTCATGAGGATCTGGTTGTTTAAAAAAGTGTGTGGCAACTTCCCCTTCGCTCTCTCTCTTCTGATCCACCATGTGAAGGTGTGCCTGCTTCCCCTTTTGCCTTCCACCGTAATTGCAAGTTTCCTAAGGCCTCCCCAGCCTTGTTACCTATACAGCCTGCAGAACTATGAGCCAATTAAACCTCTTTTCTTTATAAATTACCAAGTCTCCAGTAGTTCTTTATAGCAATGCGAGAACAGTCTAATACAAATTTATATGACGAAGAATGGGAATTTGGAGAGTCTGTGTCTGGCCTTGTCATCAGTAAGTAAACAAGGAGGTCATGCACAACTCATATGGAGAAGCATGATTCTTTGCAATAAGTCATTTCCTGGAGCACAAAAGGGTGAGAGAATTCGTCACTGTTTTCTAGTGTCACAGGGTCACTCAGGCCAAGTTCCACATTGTCATCTGGAACCCAGGGGAGTCTCTGGGGCACCTCTTAGTAATTCCATGCTATATTAGTTTTCTATTGCTGCTGTAACAAATTACCACAAAATTAGCAGCTTAAAACACAAATTTATTATCTTACAATTCTGGAGGTCCTAAGTCAGAAATAGCTCCTACTGGGCTAAATCAAAGTGCCAGAGTGGCTGTGTTCCTTCCAGAGGTGCTAAGAGGGAATCCATTTCCTTTCCTTTTCCAGCTTCTAGAGGCCACCCGTATTCCTTGGCTCATGGCCCCATCCTCCATATTTGAAGCCAGCAATGTCAAGCTGAGCCTTCCTATGATATCATCTTTCTGGTTCTTCCTCCTTCTTCTACTTTTAAGAACCTTTGTGATTACATTGGGCCCACCCAGATCATCCAGGATCACCTTTCTTTCTCTTTCTTTTCCTTCCTTCCTTCCTTTCTTCCTTCCTTCCTTTCCTTTCTTTCCTTTCTTTTATGGAGTTTCGCTCTTGTTGCCCAAGCTGGAGTGCAATGGTACGGTCTTGGCTCACTGCAACCTCCACCTCCTAGGTTCAAGCAATTCTCCTGCCTCCGCCTCCACAGAAGGGATAACCTTTCATTTTAAGATAAGGTGATAAGCAGCCTTAATTCCACCTGTAATTTCCCTTTGCCATGTAACATATCATATTCAGAGATTCTGGGGATTAGGATACGGTTATCTTTGAGGGGGCCATTATTCTGCCAACCACATTCAGGATATTATGTCTATTGGGGATTAGGATGGGTTTCCACTCATTCAAAGGAAGTATGTCATTTGGTAGGGACATAGCATTGTCTTTTGGGGAATACAAGAAAGTGTTTATCCTGATGTTTGGATGATGAGTAGGGATCTGGCAATAGGAGTTTGTTCCTGTATATTGGTCATGTCTGTAGTCACCTCTGCCACCCTGGGCAACACTGCCCATCTGCCAGCCTTTCTCCTGTTAAATGTTGTTCAGCAGGAATGACATCATTCATGCACTGACCAGCTTTTCAAGTACATGCTGTTGGCTGTTGTGGGGACAGATGATGAGTGGAATTCAGCATTGATATGAGAGTAATCAGTGTATATGATGAACACAATGTATAGTTCCCAAATCCTGAATGACCTCAAAAAGGATTACTGTATTCATCAGATAGCCTATTGAAATATTTAATGAGACCATTATATGAATTGTAGAGGTCACTGGACATGTTAAATGGCAATGTGGTAATACAAACTGAAAACTCCCAGTGGGGTGAGAGTTTATCAGTGTTCATTCCTCCATATTGGTCACCTGCCGTGAAGATGACAGCCCTGGGGTAGGTGAGAAAATACAGTTAATCTTCTGTATCTTCGAGTTCCACATCCATGGATTCGACCAACCATGGATTGAAAATATTAGGAAAAAAGAAAAAAAAATAACAAAACAACAAAAAATATGAATAACCAATACAGCACAACTATTTACATAGAATTTACATTGTATTAGGTATGATAACCAATATAGAGATGATTTAAAGTGTATGGGAGGACATACATAGGTAATACACAAATATTATGCCATTTTATACAAGGGACTTGGCATCTACAGATGTTGGTATCTGCAAGGTGGGGGTGTTCCTGGAACCAATGCCCCACAGATACTGAGGAAAGGCTGTATACATCATACACAGGTAGGAAAGTGCAGAGATATCATATTTCTATTCAACAGTGGCTCTTTAGATTGAATTACTTTCTAAAAGATATAGCAAATGAGAGGTTTTTACAAGATTTAGCTTTCCTACTGGTTTTGCAGAATATTTTGTGGTTTGTGGTAGATAAATTGATACAGACTTGAAGAAACCAGAAGTGAATTACATTATATTCATTTCTTAAGAATTTCATGAAGATGGCTGAATAGGAACAGCTCCGGTCTACAGCTCCCAGCGTGAGCGACGCAGAAGACGGGTGATTTCTGCATTTCCATCTGACGTACCGGGTTCATCTCACTAGGGAGTGCCAGACAGTGGGCACAGGACAGTGGGTGCAGTGCACCGGGCGCGAGCCAAAGCAGGGCGAGGCATTGACTCACTCGGGAAGCACAAGGGGTCAGGGAGTTCCCTTTCCTAGTCAAAGAAGGGGTGACAGACGGCACCTGGAAAATCGGGTCACTCCCACCCTAATACTGCACTTTTCCAATGGGCTTAAAAAAACGGCACACCAGGAGATTATATCCCACACATGGCTTGGAGGGTCCTACGCCCACGGAGTCTAGCTGATTGCTAGCACAGCAGTCTGAGATCAAACTGCAAGGCGGCAGTGAGGCTGGGGGAGGGGCATCTGCCATTGCCCAGGCTTGATTAGGTAAACAAAGGAGCCGGGAAGCTTGAACTGGTTGGAGCCCACCACAGCTCAAGCAGGCCTGCCTGCCTCTGTAGGCTCCACCTCTGGGGGCAGGGCACACACAAACAAAAAGACAGCAGTAACCTCTGCAGACTTAAATGTCCCTGTCTGACAGCTTTGAAGAGAGTAGTAGTTCTCACACAACACAGCTGGAGATGTGAGATCTGGCAGACTGCCTCCTCAAGTGGGTCCTTGACCCCCGAGCAGCCTAACTGGGAGGCACCCCCCAGTAGGGGCAGACTGACACTTCACATGGCCGGGTACTCCCCTGAGACAAAACTTCCAGAGGAACGATCAGACAGCAGCATTTGCGGATCACCAATATCTGCTGTTCTACAGCCACCACTGTTCTGCAGCTACTGCTGCTGATACCCAGGCAAACAGGGTCTGGAGTGGACCTCTAGCAAACTCCAACAGATCTGCAGTTGAGGGTCCTGCCTGTTAGAAGGAAAACTAACAAACAGAAAGGACATCCACACCAAAAACCCATCTGTACATCACCATCATCAAAGACCAAAAGTAGATAAAACCACAAAGATGGGGAAAAAACAGAGCAGAAAAACTGGAAACTCTCAAAAGCAGAGTGCCTCTCCTCCTCCAAAGGAACACAGATCCTCACCAGCAACGGAACAAAGCTGGATGGAGAATGACTTTGACGAGTTGAGAGAAGAAGGCTTCAGATGATCAAACTATTACGAGCTACAGGAGGAAATTCAAACCAATGGCAAAGAAGTTAAAAACTTTGAAAAAAAAATTAGACGAATGGATAACTAGAATAACCAATGCAGAAAAGTCCTTAAAGGAGCTGATGGAGCTGAAAGCCAAGGCTCGAGAACTACATGAAGAATGCAGAAGCCTCAGGAGCCGATGCGATCAACTGGAAGAAAGGGTATCAGTGATGGAAGACAAAATGAATGAAATGAAGCAAGAAGGGAAGTTTAGAGAAAAAAGAATAAAAAGAAATGAACAAAGCCTCCAAGAAATATGGGACTATGTAAAAAGACCAAATCTACGTCTGATTGGTGTACCTGAAAGCAATGGGGAGAATGGAACCAAGTTGGAAAACACTCTGTAGGATATTATCTAGGAGAACTTCCCCAATCTAGCAAGGCAGGCCAACATTCAGATTCAGGAAATACAGAGAACGCCACAAAGATACTCCTCAAGAAGAGCAACTCCAAGAAACATAATTGTCAGATTCACCAAAGTTGAAATGAAGGAAAAAATGTTAAGGGCAGCCAGAGAGAAAGGTCAGGTTACCCACAAAGGGAAGCCCATCAGACTAACAGCGGATCTCTCGGCAGAAACTCTACAAGCCAGAAGAGAGTGGGGGCCAATATTCAACATTCTTAAAGAAAAGAATTTTCAACCCAGAATTTCATACCCAGCCAAACTAAGCTTCATAAGTGAAGGAGAAATAAAATACTTTACAGACAAACAAATGCTGAGACATTTTGTCACCACCAGACCTGCCCTAAAAGAGCTCCTGAAGGAAGCACTAAACATGGAAAGGAACAACCGGTAGCAGCCACTGCAAAAACATGCCAAAATGTAAAGACCATCGAGGCTAGGAAGAAACTGCATCAACTAACGAGCAAAATAACCAGCTAACATCATAATGACAGGATCAAATTCACGCATAACAATATTAACTTTAAATGTAAATGGGCTAAATGCTCCAAGTAAAAGACACAGACTGGCAAATTGGATAAAGAGTCAAGACCCATCAGTGTGCTGTATTCAGGAAACCCATCTCACATGCAGAGACACACATAGGCTCAAAATAAAGGGATGGAGAAAGATCTACCAAGGAAATGGAAAACAAAAAAAGGCAGGGGTTGCAATCCTAGTCTCTGATAAAACAGACTTTAAACCAACAAAGATCAAAAGAGACAAAGAAGGCCATTACATAATGGTAAAAGGGATCAATTCAACAAGAAGAGCTAACTATCCTAAATATATATGCACCTAATACGGGAGCACCCAGATTCATAAAGCAAGTCCTTAGTGACCTACAAAGAGACTTAGACTCCCACACAATAATAATGGGAGACTTTAACACCCCACTGTCAACATTAGACAGATCAACGAGACAGAAAGTTAACAAGGATATCAAGGACTTGAACTCAGCTCTGCACCAAGTGGACCTAATAGACATCTACAGAACTCTCCACCCTAAATCAACAGAATATACATTTTTTTCAGCACCACACCACACCTATTCCAAAATTGACCACATAGTTGGAAGTAAAGCACTCCTCAGCAAATGTAAAAGAACAGAAATTATAACAAACTGTCTCTCAGACCACAGTGCAATCAAACTAGAAGTCAGGATTAAGAAACTCACTCAAAACTGCTCAACTACATGGAAACTAAACAACCTGCTCCTGAATGACCACTGGGTACATAACGAAATGAAGGCAGAAATAAAGATGTTCTTTGAAACCAATGAGAAAAAAGATACAACATACCAGAATCTCGGGGATACATTCAAAGCAGTGTGTAGAGGGAAATTTATAGCACTAAATGCCCACAAGAGAAAGCAGGAAAGATCCAAAATTGACACCCTAACATCACAATTAAAAGAACTAGAAAAGCAAGAGCAAACACATTCAAAAGCTAGCAGAAGGCAAGAAATAACTAAAATAAGAGCAGAACTGAAGGCAATAGAGACACAAAAAACCCTTCAAAAAATTAATAAATCCAGGAGCTGGTTTTTTGAAAAGATCAACAAAATTGATAGACCGCTAGCAACACTAATAAAGAAGAAAAGAGAGAAGAATCAAATAGACGCAATAAAAAATGATAAAGGGGATATCACCACCGATCCCACAGAAATACAAACTACTATCAGAGAATACTACAAACACCTCTATGCAAATAAATTAGAAAATATAGAAGAAATGGATAAATTCCTCGACACATACACCCTCCCAAGACTAAACCAGGAAGAAGTTGAATCTCTGAATAGACCAATAACAGGATCTGAAATTGTGGCAATAATCAATAGCTTACTAACCAAAAAAAGTCCAGGACCAGATGGATTCACAGCTGAATTCTGCCAGAGGTACAAGGAGGAGCTGGTACCATTCCTTCTGAAACTATTCCAATCAATAGAAAAAGAGGGAATCCTCCCTAACTCATTTTATGAGGCCAGTATCATCCTGATACCAAAGCCGGGCAGAGACACAATCAAAAAAGGAATTTTAGACCAATATCCTTGATGAACATTGATGCAAAAATCCTCAACAAAATACTGGCAAACCGAATCCAGCAACACATCAAAAAGCTTATCCACCATGATCAAGTGGGCTTCATCCCTGGTATGCAAGGCTGGTTCAACATATGCAAATCAATAAATGTAATCCAGCATATAAACAGAACCAAAGACAAAAACCACATGATTATCTCAATAGATGCAGAAAAGGCCTTTGACAAAATTCAACAACCCTTCATGCTAAAAACTCTCAATAAGTTAGGTATTGATGGGACGTTTCTCAAAATAATAAGAGCTATTTATGACAAACCCACAGCCAAAATCATACTGAATGGGCAAAAACTGGAAGCATTCCCGTTGAAAACTGGCACAAGACAGGGGTGCCCTCTCTCACCACTCCTATTCAACATAGTGTTGGAAGTTCTGTCCAGGGCAATCGGGCAGGAGAAGGAAATAAAGGGTATTCAATTAGGAAAAGAGGAAGTCAAATTGTCCCTGTTTGCAGATGACATGATTGTATATCTAGAAAACCCCATTGTCTCAGCCCAAAATCTCCTTAAGCTGATAAGCAACTTCAACAAAGTCTCAGGATACAAAATCAATGTGCAAAAATCACAAGCATTCTTATACTCCAATAACAGACAAACAGAGAGCCAAATCATGAGTGAACTACCATTCATAATTGCTTCAAAGAGAATAAAATACCTAGGAATCCAACTTACAAGGGATGTGAAGGACCTCTTCAAGGAGAACTACAAACCACTGCTCTAGGAAATAAAAGAGGACATAAACAAATGGAAGAACATTCCATGCTTATGGGTAGGAAGAATCAATATTGTGAAAATGGCCATACTGCCCAAGGTAATTTATAGATTCAATGCCATCCCCATCAAGCTACCAATGACTTTCTTCACAGAATTGGAAAAAACTACTTTAAAGTTCATATGGAAATAAAAAAGAGCCTGCATTGCCAAGTCAATCCTAAGCCAAAAGAACAAAGCCGGAGGCATCACACTACCTCACTTCAAACTATACTACAAGGCTACAGTAACCAAAACAGCATGGTACTGGTACCAAAACAGAGATATAGACCAATGGAACAGAACAGAGCCCTCAGAAATAATGCCACATATCTACAACCATCTGATCTTTGACAAACTTGACAAAAACAAGAAATCGGGAAAGGATTCCCTATTTAATAAATGGTGCTGGGAAAACTGGCTAGCCTTATGTAGAAAGCTGAAACTGGATCCCTTCCTTACACCTTATACAAAAATTAATTCAAGATGGATTAAAGACTTACATGTTAGATCTAAAACCATAAAAACCCTAGAAGAAAACCTAGGCAATACCATTCAGGACATAGGCATGGGCAAGGACTTCATGTCTAAAACACCAAAAGCAATGGCAACAAAAGACAAAATTGACAAATGGGATCTAATTAAACTAAAGAGCTTCTGCACAGCAAAAGAAACTACCATCAGAGTGAACAGGCAACCTACAAAATGGGAGAAAATTTTCGCAACCTACTCATCTGACAAAGGGCTAATATCCAGAATCTACAATGAACTCAAACAAATTTACAAGAAAAAAACAAAGAACCCCATCAAAAAGTGGGTGAAGGATATGAACAGATACTTCTCAAAAGAAGACAATTATGCAGCCAAAAAACACATGAAAAAATGCTCATCATCACTGGCCATCAGAGAAATGCAAATCAAAACCACAGTGAGATACCATCTCACACCAGTTAGAATGGCAATCATTAAAAAGTCAGGAAACAACAGGTGCTGGAGAGGATGTGGGGAAATAGGAACACTTTTACACTGTTGGTGGGACTGTAAACTAGTTCAACCATTGTGGAAGTCAGTGTGGTGATTCCTCAGGGATCTAGAACTAGAAATACCATTTGACCCAGCCAACCCATTACTGGGTATATACCCAAAGGATTATAAATCATGCTGCTATAAAGACACATGCACACGTATGTTTATTGCGGCACTATTCACAATAGGAAAGACTTGGAACCAACCCAAATGTCCAACAACGGTAGACTGGATTAAGAAAATGTGGCACATATACACCATGGAATACTATGCAGCCATAAAAAATGATGAGTTCATGTCCTTTGTAGGGACATGGATAAAACTAGAAACCATCATTCTCAGCAAACTATCGCAAGGACAAAAAACCAAACACCACATGTTCTCACTCATAGGTGGGAATTGAACAATGAGAACACATGGACACAGGAAGGGGAACATCACACTCTGGGGACTGTTGTGGGGTGGGGGGAGGGGGGAGGGATAGCATTAGGAGATATACCTAATGCTAAATGACGAGTTAATGGGTGCAGCACACCAACATGGCATATGTATACATATGTAACAAACCTGCACATTGTGCACATGTACCCTAAAACTTAAAGTGTATTAAAAAAAAGCGCTGTTTGGAGATATACCCTATATATTCAAAGCTAATAGAGGAGAATATCAGTATATATGAATTACAAAATTAGGGTTGGGTGTGCTCTATGGCTAGAATAGGCAAATCTAATTTTTTACTTTTGCTTTTATATATTTCTTTTATGCATTTGTAATATTAAAATTCCCTATAGCTCCAAAAAAAAAGAATTTCACAAAGTTATAAGTGAATTGTATAACCTCTTACTATTGTCTCAATGTAGGCACAAATGCCACTTTATTTCTTCATGTTGGATTTGTTTCACTGGAACACTGTTTTGTGGAGAATGTAGATGAGGTGTTACTTGCTCTCCTGCACACACAATTATGTTATCTTTAGCATAAGTAGCAGTCTCCCTGGATACAGGAGTCCATTAATCAGCACATCCTCTTAAATTAATTAAATGTAAGTAAGCAATCTAAATATGCTCAGCCAGCTCTTTAGTGATCACTCAGCTTGGTGGGGGTTTGGTCACTGTTCTTGATGGCTTACCTCCTATTTAGAGGGCAGAGTTTTAGGTTCTGCTTTAGTGCCGCTGTGTGTCGTAATATGAGAATGAGGCATTCCACATTTTATGCCATTGGTAGACTCACCCTTTCACTTGAGGTGCCCTTTTCCAACATGTCTGAATTCTGTGCAACTTTCAAGGCTTAACTCAGTTGCCATGTCTGTCTTTAAGCTTTCTCTAATGAACCGAAGCCATAGCAATCTCCTTCCTCTGGAATTTTATCACTCTCAATGTCTTGTGCCTCTCTTTAGCACTGTATGGTGTCACCAGTTATATTTTCATGTATACATCATAGACTCAAAGGGTTATTAGTTGACTAGATTGTTTGCAGTCTGGTCTAGAGGTGCAGCACTGGGAATGAGTGAAAAAGAAGAGACAGATGATTGATTGGCTATATGGTGGTTGAGAAAGAGGGTGGAGTTTAAGTTGATGCTATTATTTCAAGGTTGGTAGCCCCACTGACAGAAATGAATCAAGCTTTCTATTCTCAGCTAGATTATCCACCTTTTGTCAGCTAGTATAGATGAAGTACTCAATTAATCCTTGTTGAGGTTAATTGAATTCACTTCAACTGGAACCTTTTCTCTATCTTTTTGGTATTGGTCCAAAGTCTCAGTGTAGTGCTCTCCATGCCATTCTCTCATATTTGGGCTTGTTCTTGCCAGACGTTGCAGAAAATGGTATTCATACAAATCTGCCACCCCGTGTTCCTTATTCTCTGCATGTATCCTACATGGGTAAATCGTGTTCACTACCACACCCTCTGATACAGACTCTGTCCTGATGCATCTCTCAATGCCCCAACTTCCTTTCTCCCTCCTCCTAACCATTTTCATTTCTACCATAGGCTTAATTTGGAGGAGAAAAGCATCTCCCCTCATGAACACTGAGTATTGTATCTATCCAGGGCTTTTCCCTTTGCCAATAGGAACATTCCCAAGTGATATCTTCCTAATGGGGAATTTTAAGCACTAGCGGGATGATAGCCTAAAGAAGGGATTGGCAAGCTTTGTCTTTAAAGGGCCAGATAGTACATCTTTTAGTTTTTCTAGGCCTTTTCACAACTGCTCAACTCTGCTGTTGTAGTTAGACAATATCTAAATGAATTATTAGGCAATATGTAAATGACTGATAATGGCTGTGTTCCAACACAATTTAATTTACAAAAACAGACAGCAGGCCAGATTTAGTCCACAGACCATAGTTTGCTCAACTCTAGTCTACAGTCTTAATTTTTGGCATTTCCACTGTCTGTGAAATAATAACAGAAAAGCAATGGCCATTTCTCGCCATCTACCTATCGCTCTCTTATACATATCCCATATACGTATAAATATATGTATATATATATGTGTGTGTGTGTATATATATATATATATATCTTGCATTTCAGTGACAGGAAACTTTGTGATGTGCAGAAAAGGCAAGGGAGTATGTTTTTCCACTGAGAACCTTGGCTGTGAATGTTACAGATGCTAGCATTCCAGACAGAACTGCACAGATGCCTTAGAGAAGCATCAGGGGCTGGTTATGCATAGAAGTAGAATTAAAGAAGGAAAATTAGAAAGAGTGTCTATCAGATGAAAATACTCATTCTTGGAAAACTTCCAATTTTATGTAGTAAGTTTTATGGACTAGTGTAAGACAATCATAGTTCCTGCAATAATGAAACTGAATAGTTGTTTGAGAGTTTTTCTAAGTAGCCCAAGGAACAATTTCCTCAAGAAGTGGATTTTTGTAGGTTTTTTTGTCCTTAATATTGTCCAACTGAAATTTTTTTCCTAAGAATCTGCTTATCCTATAACGATTTAGGATTATAACACAAAACATAATGTGTATTAACAAAACTGACCATTTTGTTCATGCTTTTCTTAAGGCACTCTGAGTTTCTGGACTTAAATAATACATGTGAGGATAAGTTTTATGTGTCAACTTGGCTAGACTACAGTCCCCAGTTATTTAATCAAACGGTAATCTAGGTGATGCTGTGAAGGTATTTTGTAGGTATGGTTAACATCTACAATAAGTTCACTTTAAGTAAAGGAGATTACTCTTGATGACGTGGGTGGGCCTCATCCAATCAGTTGAAGGCTTTGAGAGCAAAACCTGAGTTACCAGAGGAATTTTTGCCTTAGGACTACAGCAGTTTTCAGCCTGCCTCCTTGCCTTGTGGATTTCAGAATCAAGACTGCAACACTGACTCTTCATGAGTCTCCAGCGTGCTGGCCTGCCCTGCAAAATCCAGACTGCTAGCTGTATTAGTTAGGGTTCTCCATAGAAAAACAACCAATAGGAAAGAGATAGATGATGGATAAATAGATGATAGATAGATAGATAGATAGATAGATAGATAGATAGATAGATAGACAGACATTTATCATAAGGGATTGGCTTATGTGATTATGGAGGCCGAGAAGTCCCATGATCTGCCATCTGCAAACTGGAGGCCCAGGAAAGCCAATGGTGTATTTCCAGTTCAAACCCAAAAGCCTGAGAATGAGGGGAGTAAACGGTATAAATCCCAATTTGATTCTGAAGCCTGAGAATCAGGAGCAATGATGTCTGAGGGCAAGAGACCACAGATATCCCAGCTGTAGCAGAGAGCAAATTTGCCCTTCCTGTGCCTTTTTGTTCTATTCAGGTGCTAAACAATTTGGATGATGATGATGCTCACATGCATTGATGAGCATCATCTTTTTTTTCGTTTTGAAACAGAGTCTCACTCTGTTGCCCAGGCTGGAGTGCAGTGGTGCAATCTTGGCTCACTGCAACCTCTGCCTCCAGGATTCAAGTGATTCTTGTGCCTCAGCCTCCTGAGTAGCTGGGATTACAGACATGCACCACCACACCCAGCTAATTTTTGTATTTTCAGTAGAGACGGGGTTCTGCCATGTTGGTCAGTCTGGTCTTGAACTCCTGGCCTCAAGTGATCCACCTGCCTTGGCCTCCCAAAGTGCTGGGATTACAAGCATAAGCCACCATGCTCGGCCTGATCTTCTTCACTGAGTCTGATTCAAATCCTAATCTCTTCCAGAAACATTCACAGACACAACCAGAAATAATGTTTTACCAGCTATCTGGGCATACCTTAGCCCAGTCACATTGATGCATAAATCATCACACCAGCTCCAACACATGAGCCAATTCCTTAAATCAATCTCTCTCTCTACACACACACACACACACACACACACACACACCCTGTTGGTTGTTTCTCTGGTGAACTCTCACTGATACATTGAAAGAGTAGCTAGCCTGGCTGTATTTCTAGCAGAAAAACTGGAAAATATGTCTATGTGTTGGCTAAATTATTCCAGGACAAGGGTCAGCTGTGCCTAGAATACCAGTAATCTCAGATATAAAACTTTCAGATGTACATTGGGGGAAATATAACACCCTGCTAGGTTATAGAAACAAACTTTTCTAAGGCTTCTCTTTTGAAATATTTCTTACTGGGTGAGGTCAACACAGAGTAGAAATGTAAGCAGGTTGATAGGAGATGAACATAGACAGTAGAGAGTGATGTCTGAAGTCCCTGTCATTGACATGTGAAACTGATCTCCAGTCACCCCATAAAACTCTTAGTGTTCCTTATTGTCATCCACATAGCAGATGAAGCATGAAAATAAGAGGTGCTCAATTAATATCTCAGCTATCTCTTTTCAGACGTTACAGAAGCAACCAAAGTCCTGTGATTCTGAATCCAGCATTCTTTGCACTGCTTTACATCAAAATACAACACTAAATAAAATCAGAACAAAAGATCCCACATTAAAGTCTTTAGATGGAATATTATAGCTAGACTATCTCATATGCTCGGCCTCCATATCAGTCTGGGTGCAATCAGGAGAAAGAAACTATTTAAACAGGAGAATTTTAATATAAGGAATTATTAAACTATGGTAAGAGTATCTATAAGAAAAATCTATATAGTTTCTGTAGGGCACAAGGCCCTTGGCCTTGTGGTTTCACTTAAAAATCAACTTGCAAAAGGCAGATTAATTAGAGAAAAGTCATACACATTTATTTAATGTATATATAGATGACAGCCTTCAGAATGAAAGGCCCAAACATACAGGAGACATTGCTCATTTTTATGCTTAGGTTCAACAATGTATGGAGAGCTGTATAGAAATATGATTGGACAAAAAGATATGCTCTAATGCTAATAGACTGAGTGGGAAAATCCAGCAAAGTTTCACTATCTAGATTGTTCCTGTCCTCTCTGAGCATGGGGTAGGTCCCTCTCTGGAATGGGAGTCTCGTGACCTACAGTCAAATAAGGTAGGTCAGATAATTTCTTTATTGCCAGTTTTTATATAGAAAAGAAGAGGGAAAATTAGAGTAATATTTTTAGCATTTATGCTGGCTTTGGGGAAAAAGGGTTCTGGTTTCTATGACCCACCTTGGGGAAGTAAGATTCTAGCTTCTATGGCTAGCCTCAGGGGAGAATGGGACTGAGACAGGAGGGCAGGATGTCAAAGAAAAACTTTTGCTTCTGAGGCCTTCATTTGGGGGTATTGTTTTCTAAGTCCCAACATATCCAAAGGCTGAGAAGAGTACCCAAGGAAGGACAAATTTGGAAAGGTGCCCCAATCTACAGGGCTAAGGTTCAGACCTTGCTGAAAGTCTATTGTAGTTGCAGTCCAATGGATTGCAGAAAAGTCAGCCAGTTTGAGGCAGACCTGTTCTGCAGTCACTGAGCAAACAGGAAGCAACCCTCCAGAGGGCAGATGAGGCACAGTTAGGATGCAGGCAAGCCCCAGACAGCGCTCGATGCAAGGGCATGCAGAGGGAGTGGGATCCCCAGCGGTAACCCTCTAGCACATAGGCAGGGCTATAGTCAATGGCCAAGTATATGGTCGTGCAGAGGAACTGGGAGTGCTAGTGTGGCAGGAGGCCTGGAGTGTACCATATCCTGTCAGGAGAGCTGGATGTTATAAGAACTGTGGAATACCAAACCGGGAAGGACTCAGGAACAGAGGGAGTCAGGACACTGGTGCAGGTGTCCATGTAAAGATGGCAATAGCAAAGTGATCACCAGACCAGGCTGGAGCTGTGAGGGCATCAGAAACCACACATTCTGGGTCTGTGGCTGGCATAGGGCACCACCAGATACTCTCACAGCCACACTGTTAACCCACCACAAACGAAACAGCAGAAATCCCTTCCACTTGGAATGCAGCTGTAGTGCTCACTACTGAGAAAGCACAACATATGTTTACTGGAAAGGAGAAATGCCTAAAGCAATTCTGTCCATTATCGCTGAGCATATATTGAAGGTGAATTTGAAGGTGAGGTGCAATACATTGGTAACAGGCACAGTCTACTCTCTTGGTTGCCTCCATGTGAACCCCTTGACACACATCAAAATTCCCTTGCAGCAGCAAAACAACGTTTTCTACCTAACATGATACACCAATCCTTCTTGTAAGTGAAGTGCTCACTCTTACCTAAAGTTAGATGACCAGGATTCTCCAGTGATTGCAATTATCATGGGATCCATTAAGTATTCCTCAAATTCAGTCAGGTGCCCACTGAATATTATCTTACCTAAAGACAAGTAAAGTTAATCTCCCATGAAGTTGTGCATAAAATTAAAAATAAGAACCAGGATAGCAAAAAAAGAAGTACACATATTTGAATAAAAGCATCCGTATGATAAACATAGAGAAATATGCAAAGTAACAATAGTCTTTGTTTTTGTAATTTGTCTCAAGGTCTGAGCTCTTCAATTACCAATTATAATTTTCTCTCAACCTCAGCTAAAATTTTAAAAGCTTTATTTACTTCAGTTCTTTACCTAGTAAGGCTATCCAAACTTTCATTTCCCAGGGGTCTCAGCCCTGAACCACCCTACATTTTTTGTTGTTGAGGTAGATTTCCAATAACATTTACTATTGAGCATGTGCAATATGGAGAATAATGGCATTGCAAAGATGTCCACATCCTAATCCTTGAAAATTTAATATGTTGTGTTACAAGACATATGGGAATTAAGATTGCTGATTTAGGCTGGGCATGGTGGCTCATGTATGCAATCCCTGTGCTTTGGGAGGCCAAGGTGGGAGGACTGCTTGAAGCCAGGGGTTTGAGACCAGCATGGGCAACAAGACCCAGTCTCTACACACACACACACACACACACACATACACATTAAACAGGTGTGATGGTGAGCACCTATAGTCCTAGCTATTCAGGAGGCTGAGGTGGGAGGATCATTTGAGCCCAGGAATTCGAGGTTACACTGAGCTATGATTGCACTACTGCACTCCAGCCTGGGCAACAGAGCAAGACCCTGTCTCAATAAATAGAATCTTTAAAACACTGCTGATTTAAAATAGGGATATTATCCTGGATTATCTCAGTGAGCTCAATCTAATTACAATGGTTCTTAAAAGTGGAAAAGGAAGACAGAAAAGGGAGAACCAGAGATGGCAGCGTGAGAACTCAATCCAAAATTGCTGACTTTGAAGATGGAGGAATGAAGCCATGAGTCCAGGAATGCAGGCAGCTTCCAGAAAGCTGGAAAAGGCAAAGAAACAGATTGTGTCTTCAGAGCATCTAAGATTGCAGCCCCGCTGACACCTTCATTTTAGCCAAGTGATAATCATCTTAGACTCTTAATCTCCAGGACTGTAAGATTTAAAAAACTATGTTGTTATAAGCTTCTGTAGTAATATGTTACAGAAGCAATAGGAAATGAACACACTGAAAGTCAAACTTTTATTTCCATGGATTACTTGAAAACTTGACCCATAAATTAAGAGAACAAATTTATATACATAATAGTCACTGAGTCACTTAACAACTTTTAATCTTTTATTTGAAAACATACCATGTAGATACTATACAAGCATTCATAGTGCATTCAGAATTTCTTCTCACAGGGCAACAATGGATTGCAGCCATGATCCTCCCTGTCATGGATACCCCTACCATCTTCTTCACATTTCATTTTGCCCTGCATTTGGAAGTGCTACATGCTGAAGAGCAGCATGACCAGGATGTAAACTCTGTACTAAAATATCAAGTTATTAGCATCTTCACACTCCTTTCAAAACAAAACAACTTTCCTTCATTCTTACCAAAATCCTGTTCTGATATCTATGTAACTGGGCTCAACATAAACTACTCTAGAGGCCAAAAAACTGAAATTTAGAAACCAAACTGTCACTCTCCTCTAAATGCAACTCCAGCCTTATCCTTCAGCTGCTGAAGTACTACAGAAGTTGAACAATCACTCATTGTGTCTGTAACACCTTCTTCCCTAAGAGTGATCAATTCAATCTATGATATTCCCTCCTATATACCTTAGCAATCTTCAGGTCTCATAAGACCTCCTTCTAGATAAACTGTGTTCTGAATACAATCTCCAAACTTTGGAATCTGGTTTTCCTCTTACAGGGTATTACCTACTAATAACTTCCCCACATCACTAAAATCCAACTCACCTATTTTAAAGGACCCTAGGCTTAAGAGCATCAACAAGCTCTTGGATTAATACAACTATACTGAAGCCATACCCCATATACAAGGGGGCATATTCCTATTGGTAAAGGTGTGACTGAAAATTCAATCCTATGTTATGTGAGAAAACCTCTTAGTACAAGTCATTTGTTCACAGCAAAGGCACAAAGTACAACAGATTCACTGCCTCAAAGGCAGGAAAAGGTTATGATAATAGTGGTGGCACATGCTTGATGGCAAAATTATTAAATCCCCTGGATTTTAATGAAATATGACCACCCTAGGATCCATGCATCTTTCCCCAGAAGCAGAACATCTTCATATGGAGTTTCTGATGTTGTGTCAAATAAGTAACAAGTAATACTTTCAAATTCTACAAGTCCACTTTAAAGCATATATTGCTTACTCATTGAAGAAACAAGACCACCACACTATAAGGTACAGAGATGTAAAAAAAAAAAAAAAATCTGGAATTAGTCATGTAATGTTGAATGCAGAGGATTGTTCAAGGTTTCGCAGATGAAGTCCAGGTAAACAAAGTTCCTCTGAGGCAATGAAAGTGCCCCTCTAAGAAAACTAACATGGCAAGGTGGGCTCAGACCACCAAGGGCCAAGAGCTTGCTAGCAGACACACAGGAAATGTGGGCCAATTTCTTAAAAGCAAATCAATCTGGAGATTTGACTTGGCGTTTAGCCTCATCTATATATGCCCAAGAGGATTCAAAAGTTATCAGCCTCATTTTTTATTGCCAGGATCCCAGCAACTATTTTTTTCCACCAAATTGCAGAGTATGATCAGAAGTGATTTTTGTGAGTTTGGCTTTTAATAAGTTCACAAAGGCAAGGCATACATTAATATGAAAAACACAAAAATGTAATCAAAACCTTTTACAAAATAAGCAATTTAAATATACAACCAAGGTAGTGTATGTAGTACAGTAGTGGTTCTCAAACTGTATCAAGCATCACGGTCTCCATCAGATTGCTATCCCTTACCCCAAGTTTCTGAATCAGTAGGTCTACAGTGGAACCCAAGATTTTGCATTTCAAATGACTACCCCCATGCTCCTGGTGCTGCTAGTTTAAGGAGCATACTTTTTAAACCACTGTATTAGAACATGGAAAGAGGCAGGAAGATTGCTTGAGGCCAGGAGTTCAAGTCCAACCTGGGCAGCATAGTGAGACCCTGTCTCTGCAAAAAGCAAAAAAAAAAAAAAAAATAGCTAGGCCTGGTGGCACACATCTATAGTCCCATCTCAAGCAAGAAGATAAGTCCCTCTCTTTTCAGGAGGCTGAGAGAGAATCGCTTGATGCCAGGAGTTTGAGGCTGCAGTGAGTTATTATTGAAGGACTGCACTCTAGCCAGGATGACAGAGCAAGACCCTGACTATATTAAAATGAAGAAGAACATGAAAAACACAATTTCAGTCTTGTAGGAGAGAAGGATGCTCATCAGCCAGAGCTATGGGATTGAGGTGTCTGTGTCAGGATTAGAATGCAGATCTCCCCATTAAGTGTTTCTGTTTGACCTTTGGTCCTAGACTAATTGCATTTTCATCTCTGGATAAAGTTCACAGTTTTCCTTCCATGGAGGAAGTGGTATCGAGTGAGACAGTCAGGCAGATCTGTACAAGGAGGAGTACGTTCCTCTTATTCCTTCTGAAGGGTCTCCTCTACCTCCTTGCTATTAAGCTGGGCATTCTCTTCTCTTTTCAACATCTCTTCAAAGATCTCATTATGCATGTAAAAGAAGATGTACCCAGTGCAACGCCTATCCTCCTGCATCTGGGCCTCCTGGATACCTAACACCCGCATATCATCGTAAGTGAACCAGATCTGTTTCTCAAAGTCATAGGCATCACAGATATAATGGCCTGACTTTAGAGTCTTCCCAAGATGGCTGACAACACTAATGAGCCGGTAGGTATGATCTCCCTTATCATCATTTCTTTTTGTTTCCTTGGCTTTAGATTTTATCTTATCTAAAATGTCTTTGTTTCTTGGATTCTTATTGGAACCCAGTGCAAGTAGGGAATTCCTGTTAGACTTCTGTAGATTTAATTTTGTAGGTCTTAGGAGGTTCTTTGTGTGCCCCTGGGTGCCTGGCTTTGGAAAGCTTTGAGGCAGTGCCTGCTGAGGGGCTTGTTCACAGATTCTCATACCGTCACACTGCTGAGTCTGTTCAGACACTTTTTGGAATCTTTCTGGAATTCTGATATTTTTATCTTCATACAAATCTTTAGTAGGATTGATAATCCTATCAAAAGCTACAAACTTACTGGTTTTCACATATTTCTTTCGTTTTGGATTTTCGGGCACTGTTTGAAAGTCAACTTTTGAGAGAGGTGTGCCTGGGCTGCTGGCAGGTTTACCTCCAGCTTTGTGGAACTGACAAAGTGAGGTATCTTCCAGATACGTCATTAAGTGAGCTAACGGTTCTTTTTCAATGAATGCTCGATCTCCTGAGTATACAGATTCTAGCTCATTTGGTTTAGAATTTTTTCCAAGGTACTTTTGCTGCTGTCTTCTGCTTGCCCCTTTAAAGACTGTCTGGCCTTTTTTTTGTTCAGACTCCTTATCTGATCCAATGTGTGGAGCCAGGATATCTTTGGATTCCTTTGTTGCAGGCCATGATACACTGATGTTTCCAGAAGTCATCTTTCGAATAACTTTTAATAATTGGAAATCTGTAATTTCTCCATCCTCACTCAAGGGAAGAGGTGGTCTGGTGCCTTCATTGCAATGAGAAGACACCTTTAAATATTTGGAAATGATGACTTCCTGGTCATTCTTCTTTAATGCACAAAACTCATTCAAGCTATAGCGTTTGAGGTGAACAATAAGGATTCTAGGTAGCCTACTGAATGAGTGCACTCCAACGGAAGTCTTGTGCTCACATTTTGCACATTTATACTCAAGCTCTTCTGCTCCAAAAAAAAGATCAAAAGTAGACTGAATAGATGAAGGATGTGCTTTTATTCTTTGGGGAAGGTTGATGGAGAGGTAATTATTCAGTTCTGTCTTGAGAATAACCTGACCACAAGCTTTACAAGCAATGGAGTGCAACAACTCTAACTCAAAATTAGTAATGACAGGGCAAGAAAACCCACTGGTGTCAGGATCATCAGCAAAAACCTGTTTAGGAAAATTATCTTCCCCAAATTCACTTTTAGGCTTCCAAATTGTGTTGAGTTTTTCCATGTTATCTTTCAGTTGATCTAAACAGTGAGCTAAAAACTCATGAGCATCGTTCTGTGCATTGCCATGGAATATCTCTGCAGCTGCTGAAATGGCCTTTTTAAGATTCAAGAGTAACATCTCCTTGATTTCTATATTATAGGTATCTTTAAAAAAAAGTAGCCGTGCCAAGCACATGGTAAGAGCATTAAGGGGAATTTTACCCCATGGGAAACTCTGATTAAGTAAATCATCAGCAAACGATGGGATTGAAAGTAGAGACTGTAACACTGCATTCATATAACAGGTGTTTCCCAAATTGGGGAGGCCGTGGCATATTTTCTCTGGAAATAATTCAAAAAATAGTTTTAATTTATCCCACTTTGTGTAACCGTCACTATACCCTTGTTGTAACAGAAATACCAAAACCATTTTCTCAGTGAGAGCTTGGAGAAGACCAATGTCATCTAGGTAAGGATTTCCAGTGGCGTTCATGATGCATGAAGATTCACATTCCAATTTCTTATTCTCTTCTAACTCTTTTAACTTCAATTGTTTCTCTCGATTATAGCTTACACACCTCGAACAATCTGCCTTGGATTTCTTGTATTCTACAGAATTATTTTCTTTCAAGAATTCCTCATTCATCTCTGAGCTAGATGAGAGCATTCTTTTCCTCTTCTTGTGCTGATTTTCTGATAACTCTCCGCAAGTAAGTGTCAATTTTGATGTAAGCAAAGGCATCCTCTGAAGGACACCTGTCCCACTTCCTTTTGCTATCTCAAAAGATTTGCTACTTGATTTCTCATCAACTTTGTGGAATGAAGTTTTGTTGATTTCCTTCTGTGTTGTGCTAGAAAAGACACTCCCACCCTTACCAGGTCTCACAGGTGGCTGAACCTCGTTTTGATGAACTCTGTCCAAGAATATCTTCAATTGTTCAGCATCTGTGGAGGATAATCCTTCAATAAACAAGCCATTATTATTTTGTAAAGTTAAATGCAGGTGATTTTGGTTTCCTCTATAGGATTTAAGGACTACATTTTGAATATTATCACTTAGCCGAAAAGTGCTATATTTTCCACTTTTGAAATACAGCACCAGTCTATCTTTCTTCTTTCTTTCCACTGCTTCAATGAATGCTTCTTTTGACTTAGATATCCCAGTCTTGCAGTTCCCTATTTGGACAAAACCACGTAGGAATAGGGCAGCCATGTTTTCTTTACAAATAAAATATACGTATCTCCGATTATTGATAATCTTGAAGTTCCAATCTGTTTTGCAAGTTCAGCTGTGAAGACAACACCAAAGAAATAGTTCATTAGTTCTCTACACAGAATGATCCTATTTCTAGTATTGGTTTTATACTAGAGTCTAGTTCAGGTTCTAGATATCCAGCTCTTCAGTAACGAGACCAATGCCTTTTGAGAGCCTTCCATGGCTGCATGAAGGCAGAGTCTTGATTCCCAAGACAAGCACACTATGGCAAAAATCAGGAAACATTCTTTAAACTATTACAGAAATGCTTTGCTTCAACAAAACTCAAACTCTACACTCATACACTACATGTAGTTTCCACCAAAATACTGGACTCCATTCTGATTAATTTCCCAACTTCAATTGAAATCATGAAACACTTGGAAGACTTTCAGTACATAACTGAAAGTATACTCAATAGAGTCTCAAGTGCATGCATACAATATGCTAATCTTCCTGTCACAGAATGACCCCATGGGGCAACTACAATAAGTGAATGAGAAAGTGAAGGCACTATGTGGCCCTCAACTCAGTAACAGATGAATTGTTCCTTGATTTCTAGAGGATCTCATATATGGGCCACTCAAAGTAAACCAGTCTACCTCCCTCCAAATCTAGCTATGTTCCTATATTTCACTTGGCACTGGGGAACATCATTACATTGTACTTGCTCATTCAACAAAAGTTTAAGAATAACAACTTCTTACCCATTAGATATATAGGCTAGTGAGGCTCCTGCAGGCAACTCTGGCTATAAGGCCCACTTAACCGGAGCTAGCTCCCTGTATTCAAAACCAGTGAGGAAGAATTAGATGTACTTAATTATTGAAAATCAGAATCTCTGAACAACTCTGGAGCCAATGTGAATTACTGAATAAGTTAGCAGACAGCACTACAAATGTTTGCATCAGAAAGTATACATCCAAGAATTAGTTGGAAGCTGTTTCCTCCTCAGTAGTTAAATATTCTTCCTGAATCTTCTCTATGCTATTAACTTGCTTAAGCAAACCCCATCTTTATGAATAATACTGAAGGAAACTTCTGCTCAGTCCCTGTCCAAATTATCAAAATCTTAAAATTGGTGAAACATAAATTAATGAGATTTTTGTTTTATAAAGTATTTCATCTATCAACCTATGTTCAGCGAAATAGAGATGGCATCCATCCATATACGAAAGTGCATATGCATCCAAGTAAGAGAATGGTTATATTTTTCATGGTAGAAATGGGGCCATAAAAACATTCAAGCACAGCACAAATTTAAGTTCTCTGGATTATTTCTATTTCACTGTCCTACTATAGATGCTAAGTAAGGATTTAAACAATTTTCTCTCCACAGAAAAGGCAGTCTTAATTGTTCCTTTTTATTTCAACAACTTGAGAGAACCTGCAACCATAGAACCACTTGCAGCTTATTTTAAAATTTTGCACCCAGCTCATCTGTATTTATCAAAAATTATTATCTTCTTTCTATTGGTAGATGAAATAATCTAAGACCCTCTTGATATTTCTTCTCTCTGCCCTCAAAAATACAGTTAAGAGACATTCCTTTCTCACAGTCCATCCTGACTACATTTCATTCCAGATGAAAGGAGGCTTATTTGAGCCCACTGAGCATGGAAAGTAAAGGTTAAGAACCATCTTGCTGATGTACAAGTTGAGTGGTCTAACCACTGCCTACATCCCTAAGACATCTCAAGCTTAAATCCTGTTCTTCATTCTGCCTTGATTGCTTGCTTTGAGAGTATTTTAAACTAAAATGTATTGTTTCTCCAAGACTCCATTGAAGAGCACTATGTGACTATTCCATACAGCCTAAAATAAACTTCAGCATTCCTCCTCCTTTCTCACCCCCACACCAGATTCAAAACGTATAGATGACAGCTGCATTCAAAAGTTATGAAAGCCAACAGGCTTTTCTCTCATTTTACCTACAAATTCAATCCATTCAATTTGATTGATCAACCACTAGTGCAACACTTCAGACTCAAAGGATAGCCAGACACTCACAAAACTGTACCACTTCTGTCAGATTTGGAGGCATGATCTATGGTGCCAAGCAGCTGGTTGTCCAGTTAAAAAAAAACCCTAATAGAAATGTCTGCTCCATTATTAATTTACTAATTCACTCTACATTGATCTTCGTGTTCACTGAGACAGTTGCTGAGCATCTACTCTATGCTGTCTGCATATTATGATTTGCTGAGTATCTGCTCAATGTTGGGTATTGCAGCCGGTGCTCTCAGGGACACAATGGATGTGAGGATTCACTGTACCTAAATGATTTAGACTCTAAACATCACTGTGTAATCGTCACAATAAAAGAGGGGACTCCTGTAATTTAATGAAGGTTTGTGTTGCTTTTGGAGTATTTACCCTCTGTATCCTCCATTTATATCTCACACCACTCAGGCTTTCATTATTTCAAGAGGTAGAAGAACTTGAAGACAAATCCGTATATACCTTTCAAATCTGAATTTGCATTTCTCAATCCCAAAGTGTACATTACCAAAGAGTAATAAAAATAAGAAAACGAGACAAAAATTATTTTCTTTCAAGTATTTTGGTGAAATGGATGATGCTTTAAGAAGAGAACCATTTGTTTTGAAAAGTTTAGAGGGAGCTATGGCCTGGAGGCAGATTAATAACCTCTAGAAGGGTCGTTAGGCTCAATGACTATGAGAAACTAACATTTCTAGGTCAGTTCTCCTCTGCTGACATGAGTACAGACTGTCATCAATTATATAAAATCGAGTATGTGTTTATCTTACTGAATAGGTTAAGGTCAAGATATATGGCAGTGTGGTACAGGTGGTGTGTGTTTTAATTATCATTTTTTCACAACTTCATGAAAACATGTGAAGAGAACAAAGATATACTGAGAAATCCCGCTAAGTTACCTAAGCAAATCTCACGGAATAAAAATGAAGTACCCATGAGGTGGTGTGCCAACCCATGAATGCAGTAAGTGGAAAGACGGAGCCAGGTAATGACTATATGAGTTTCTAACCATTTCTGGGTATCTCCAATAATCCCAAGCAAGAGTTTTGAAAAGCAAAACAACTTCAACTCACATTTATTTTAAACTACACTTAGCTTAGTGATCTTGGATAAGCCAATTCCTCTATTAGGGCCCATTAAACAAATCGGGAAATGATCATAGAACTCTCTTTGAGGACTCCATTCTGTGAGACTATACTTCTAAGTACAAAATACTTACATTGGATTTCTTAAGACAGGCCAAATAAAAGATACTTTCTCCAACAGTTAGATGGTATGCACTAAATCTGGACTTGCATACCAGGGGCACAATACAAAAAAACATGGGAGGATGGGTAGGGAAGGGATATTCTAGGTTTGGCAATTGGGAATAGAAGATATTCAAAAGCCAGCAAGCATCCATTCATTCATTAAATAAATATGTATGGAGTACTAGAAAGCATTACATTAAGCTTTAGGTATAGAAGAATGAAAAAACCCCACAAAATCCATGCTCTCGAAAAATTTTAATTCTAGCAGGGGGATAGAAAATACAGTACATACACACAAAATATGGAGAACACCAGATGGTGGCAACTGCTAAAGAAAACAAAGTTAGAGGAGGCTAGGTACAGTGGCTCATGCCTGTAATCCCAGAATTTGGGGAGGCTGAGGCAGATGGATCACCTCAGGTCAGGAGTTTGAGACCAGCCTGGTCAACATGGCGAAATCCTGTCTCTACTAAAAATACAAAAATTAGCCAGGCATGGTGGCCTGTGTCTGTTTATATCCAGCTACTCGGGAGGCTGAGGCAGGAGAATCACTTGAACCTGGGAAACGGAGGTTGCAGTGCGCCGAGTTCATGCCACTGCACTCTAGCCTGGGCAACAGAGCGAAACTCTGTCTCAAAAAAGCAAAAGAAAAAAACCCAACCAACCAACCAACCAACCAACCAACCAAACAAACAAACAAAAACCCAAAGTTAGAGGAACTGAATTTGTCAGTGGTGATGGGGATGTGCTGCCTTATATAGGGGGTTCTGGGAAGGCCTAACACGTGATGACAATATGCAGCAGGGTGTTGAAGGAAGTGAACAAATACCTAAATGTAGGGTGCCCCAGGCAGGAGGAAGAGTAAATGAAAAGGTCCTCAGGTGGGAATGGACTTGGCATGTTGGAAACAGAAAGCAGGCCAGCATGACTGGAGCATGGTAAAAGAATTGAAGAGAAAGAAGTTGTGGAAGTTTTGTAAAAGAGCGGGAGACTGAATGGACTAGTAACCTTGCTGAGTAGCACCAAGGGCTGACTTAGGCTAATAGTCATATATTTACAGCAAGACCAATCTGCATATTTTTTCTCCAGCCACGTTTAGCTGTCTAGTTGCCATGGTTCAGGTGTGTAATAGGCAGAGCCTTGAATTTAACTTGCTTGAAATTTTGCCATTCATAAGTAACCGAGTAAGAGGAAAATGGGAGCTGAAGGTGTAGAGAAAAAAATGATTATAAGTACGGACCCAGAAAGGGTGGAATGGAACAATGAACAGAAACACATGAAAAGGCCTAAATATCACAAAATACTACGGAGTAGGGGAGAAGCATCAGGGGAGTAGGTGTCCAGCTCTCATTTCAGCAGCTACAATTCCATCCCCTGATTCTAAGCAGCTGTCAACTGCTTGCAGACTTTCTTCTCCTATTCTCCTCCCACCTTCCTTTCTGTTCTTCTATTCATTCTCATCCCGGCTCCAAAGCTGGAAGTAACTAATGGAAATGGAAGTGGAGAGTTGAATGTTAGGGGCACGTAGACTGCGTTAGAGACAGACATGATCAGATGCAGGGAGTCGGGGACAGCAGGCAGAAGGGGAAAGGAAATCCTCCCCTCCCTTTTTTTTACCCTCCCAAGTTTGGGTTAAAGGTCAACACATCAAGAGACACACTGCCTCTAGAGCATTAGCAATTAAATCCTGTTATTATGTTTGGTCCCAGCTTCAGTGTGCATGGCTTTTCAAAATGATTGGATCAGGGCAGACTTTCTTTTTCTTTCTCTAGTTTAAAGGTGCATTTCTGTACTCAACAAACGTCCGAGTCATTGTGTTGCAGAGAAATGCCATTATTTTGTCTCTTGACATACACTGCACATAAATCTCTCCATAGGAGGCCCTGACCAAAATGGGAAGAATTCTCTAGACTAGCAAATTGTTCCCATGAACTATTCAAGTTTGAACCCTTTCTGAGGGACAGATTTGGCAGAGCATTTTTTTCATTCTTTTAAAATTATGCTAGTGCTATTAATACAACATAGTTGATTAGGAAAACAGAATGCAAAGATTATTTTCCAAAATTTAAATATGAATTCATTAAGAAAGAGTGCTGTTTCATAAGAAAGCATGTATTTGTTACACTGAAATAATGATAAATGAGGTTTTCTTGAAATTAATCCTTCTTCTCCTGTTGGAATCTTCCTAGTATTTTGCAGCCCTTTCTGCTAACTATTGCAATTCATTTGTTTATTCACTTACTAACCAAAATATGTTGATACCTAGTCAACTATGGACATTAACTATGGTCCATATCCAAACATGAAGCAGTAAAATATTCCTGACCTCGGGTTTTAAGATAAATACAAACAATGGCCATGCAACGGAAAATGTCTTAATTAAAAAAGTAAAATTCAGTTAGTGTTACCTAAAAGTCCATGTATTTTCTGCTATCTTAGCTTTTTGTAGCATTTCCTCTCTGCCTGGAATTCCCTAATAATTCCCTTACTTTTGTCTTAGTTCTATCCTTCTTAATTTCTAAAGACCCAGTTCAAGTCACACTTTATTTCGATGATTCCCACGTTTGAGTTTTCCTGCCTCAGAATTCACCAATCATTCACTTTTTCTAAGACTGTTACTTTGCCTGTGATACCCTGCAATGCTGCTTATATTACCCGACCACAAAGTTAATAGCTATCAGAGGATAAATTTATTTTCAGTGCGTGTGTGCAGCCAAATTTTCCTTTGCCGAGAGAAACCATAAAGTTGGAGAAGTAGGACCCCTTTAAGGGCTAGGACCAAAGAATCTTAACTTTCCTGAGGAAAACAGCATCTAAAGTTTTAAAATAAGGGCTGACGGGTCAGGAAAAGATGAAATTAATGGGCTAGAACTGTTATGGGAACATCAAGCTGACTATGACATGAAGGCAAGGTTAAATAAGACAGGAGACTAAACAGATGTACACCTCAATCTATCAAATTTTAAATGCATACACACTTTAATGAAGCAATTATTCTATTAAGTTTGTGTCCTACATAGTTGAAAACTATAAATCTTTCTAACAATCAGTATCTTTGATCATTTTTAAAGGACCTATAAAATGAGACTTTTCTTCTTGTCTCATGATACTGGCAAAGATGCAAAACTGAGTAACAAGAACTATAATACACTGCACAAGAATTACCATACATGTGAAGAATATAGTTATCAAAGATTATTTAAAGAAGGCTGGGCATGGTGGCTCATGCCTGTAATCCCAGCACTTTGGGAGACCGAGGTGGGAGGATCTCTTGAGCTCAGGAGCTCAAGACTACAGTGAGCTGTGATAGTGCCAACCTGGCAATAGAGCAAGACCATGTCTCTTACAAAAAAAAAAAATATTTAAAGTAAGGAAATTCATTAATAGAGAACACTGTGGCATTTCCCCGATTCCCATGTCCAAGTCAAGTAGGGGAAGGGGTAGTAAAATTGGAAAATCATTTACAAAAGATTTCAGACTGCATCTTACACCCTGGCTGGATACTCACTGAGAAGCCAAAATCTGTAAGCTACACTGATAGTAGAGTATGAGAGTCATGGGAAAATCTGACATCTTTACTCTGGAGTTAGAGGGGCAAAAACACTGGTGCCTGACTGAAACTGGTTAAGTCATGATACTGAAAGAATCCCACATGACATGGCAAAAGGAGGCAAAAGTGAAAGCAAGTTCTACTCCCTCTATTTGGAGAAGAAATGGTACAAGATTCTATGTACTAAGTGGGAGATAACTGGATTACAAGAAAATCATCCAAAGGAATTATTTGCTGGAAAAATGTGATCCTGCAAGAAAGAGGCTCTTTTGGACACACTGCAGGAGAGCAGAAAATAAGGGGGAAATCACAAAAGATTAGCTGGAGACCTCACCTTATCAAAGAATGGTACTAAGTGTTGGTCCCAAGGGGAAGAGTTTCCAAAGAATTTGGTAATGCCTCCCATGACAGAACCAGCTTTTAGAGCCTATTATGACAGAAAACATTGGGGAGCTAAAACCACAAACACATGTGGTGCTAAATAAAAATGTTTTGTCCATATTTTTTTCATCTGTGGAGACTAATTTAGCCAACATCCCACCTGCCTCCTTTATTATTATTATTTTTTTCCTGTCTCATCTGGATGGAGAATCAACTTGCATTTCTTAGGCTTTTTCTCTCATTTCCTTTCTTTCCCTTGTCTTTTCCAAATGAGACATCCAAATCTTACAGACCTTTTAAGCAAATATCCACAATAATGGATCAGCAGGTAAAGAGTAGAAACAAGAGATAAAGCAATTCTGTCCCAAAGTAGAGGAGAATCACAGCAGAACAGAAATCATCAAATGATTCCAGCTTTAAAGTACCAGTTGAGGCTGAGTGCGGTGGCTCATGCCTGTAATCCCAGCACTTTGGGAGGCCAAGGCAGGTGGACCACTTGAGCCCAAGAGTTTGAGACCAGGCTGGGCAACATGGTAAGACCCCGTCTCTACAAAAAATACAAAAATGTGGGCCGAGACAGGAGGATTGCTTGAACCCAGGAGGTGGAGGCTACAGTGAGCTGTGATCATGCCATTGCACTCCAGCCTGGGTGACAGAGCAAGACCCTCTAAAAAAAATTATATATATATATATGTACCAGTTGAAGAAGCTCATTTTTTTAAGGTTTTTTTTCTTTAAGTTCTGGGATACATGTGCTGAATGTGCAGGTTTGTTACATAGGTATACATGTGCCATGGTCGTTTGCTACACCTATGAACCCATCATCTAGGTTTTAAGCTCCATATGCATTAGGTATTTCTCCTAATGCTCTTCCTCCCCTTTCCCCCCACCCACCAGCAGGCCCTGGTGTATGATGTTCCTCTCCCTGTGTCCATGTGTTCAGCTCATTGTTCAGCTCCCACTTATGAGTGAGAACATGCGGTGTTTGGTTTTCTGTTCCTGTGTTAGTTTGCTGAGGATGATGGTTTCCAGCTTCATCCATGTCCCTGCAAAGGACATGAACTCATTCTTTTTTATGGCTGCACGGTATTCCATGGTGTATATGTGCCACATTTTCTTTATTCATTCAGTCATCGAAGGGCATTTGGGCTGGTTCCAAGTCTTTGCTATTGTAAATAGTGCTGCAATAAACACACATGTGCATGTGTCTTTATAGTAGAATGATTTATAATTCTTTGGGTCTATACCCAGTAATGGGATTGCCAGGTCAAATGGTATTTCTGGTTCTAGATCCTTGAGGAATTGCCACACTGTCTTCCACAATGGTTGAACTAGTTCACACTCCCAATAACAGTGTAAAAGCGTTCCTATTTCTCTGCATCCTTGACAGCATCTGTTGTTTCCAGACTTTTTAATGATCACATTCTAACTGGCGTAAGATTGTATCTCACTGTGGTTTTGATTTGCATTTCTCTAATGACCAGTGATGACAAGCTTTTATTCATACGTTTGTTGGCCACATAAATGTCTTCTTTTGAGGAGTATCTGTTTATATCCTTCACGCACTTTTTGATGGGGTTGTTTTTTTCTTGTAAATTTGTTTAAGTTCTTTGTAGATTCTGGATATTAGACTTTTGTCAGATGGATAGATTGCAAAAAATTTCTCCCATTTGGTAGGTTGCCTGTTCACTCTGAGGATAAATTCTTTTGCTGAGCAGAAGCACTTTAGTTTAATTAGATCCCATTTGTCAATTTTGGCTTTTGTTGCAATTGCTTTTGGTGTTTTAGTCATGAAGTCTTCGCCCATACCTATGTCCTGAATGGTATTGCCTAGGTTTTCTTCTAGGGTTTTTATAGTTTTAGGTTTTACATTTAAGTCTTTAATCCATCTTGAGTTAATTTTTGTTTAAGAGGTAAGAAGAGGCTCCAGTTTCTGTTTTCTGCATATGGCTAGCCAGTTTTCCTAACACCATTTGTTAAATAGGGAATCCTTTCCCCATTGTTTGTTTTTGTCAGGTTTGGTGAAGATCAGATGGTTGTAGATGTGTGCTGTTATTTCTGAAGACTCTGTTTTGTTCCACTGGTCTATATATCTGTTTTGGTACCAGTACCATGCTGTTTTGGTTACTGTAGCCTTGTAGTATAGTTTGAACTCAGGTAGCATGATGCCTCCAGCATTGTTCTTTTTGCTCAGGATTGTCTTAGCTATATGGGCTCTTTTTTGGTTCCATATGAAGTTTAAGGAAGTTTTTTCTAGTTATGTGAAAAACTAAATGGTAGCTTGATGGGAATAGCATTGAATCTATAAATTACTTTGGGCAGTATGGTCATGTTCATACTGATTCTTCCTATCCATGAACATGGAATTTTTTTTCCATTTGTTTGTGTCCTCTCTGATTTCCTTGAACAGTGGTTTGTAGTTCTCCTTGAAGAGGTCCTTCATGTCCTTGTAAGTTGTATTCCTAGGTATTTTCTTTGTAGCAATTGTGAATGGGAGTTTACTCATGATTTGGCTCTCTGCTTGTCTATTATTGGTGTATAGGAATGCTTGTGATTTTAGCACATTCATTTTGTATCCTAAGAATTTGCTGAAGTTGTTTATTAGCTTAAGGAGATTTGGGGCTGAGAAAATGGGGTTTTCTAAATATACAATCATGTCTGCAAACAGAGACAATTTGAATTCTTCTCTTCCTATTTGAATGCCCTTTATTTCTTTCTCTTGCCTGATTGCTCTGGCCAGAACTTCCAATACTATGTTGAATAGGAGTGGTGAGAGAGGGCATCCTTGTCTTCTGCTGGTTTTCAAAGGGAATGTTTCCAGCTTTTGCCCATTCAGTATGATATTGGCTATGGGTTTGTCAATAAATAGCTCTTATTATTTTGAGATATGTTGCATCAATACCTAGTTTATTGAGAGATTTTAGCATGAAGGGGTGTTGAATTTTATTGAAGGCCTTTTCCGCATCCATTGAGATAATCATGTGGTTTTTGTCATTGGTTCTGTTTATGTGATGGATTAAGTTTATTGATTTGCATATGTTTAACCAGTCTTGCATCCCAGGGACGAAGCCGGCTTGATTGTGGTAGATAAGCTTTTTGATGAGCTGCTGGATTCAGTTTGCCAGTATTTTGTTGAGGATTTTTACATTGATGTTCATCAGTGATACTGTCCTGAAATTTTCTTTTTTGTTGTCTCTGCCAGGTTTTGGAATCAGGATGATGCTGGCCTCATAAAATGAGTTAGGGAGTAGTCCCTCTTTTTCTATTGTTTGGAATAGTTTCAGAAGGAATGATACCAGCTCCTCTTTGTACCTCTGGTAGAATTTGGCTGTGAATCCATGTGGTCCTGGGCTGTTTTTGGTTGGTAGGCTTTTAATTACTGCCTCAATTTCAGAACTTGTTTTTGGTCTATTCAGGGATTTGACTTCTTCCTGGTTTAGTCTTGGGAGGGTGTATGTGTCCAGGAATGTATCCGTTTCTTCTAGATTTTCTAGTTTATCTGTGTAGAGGTGTTTATAGTATTCTCTGATGGTAGTTTGTATTTCTGTGGGGTCAGTGGTGACAGCCCCTTTATCATTTTTATTGCATCTACTTGATTATTCTCTCTTTTCTTCTTTATTAGTCTGACTATTGGTCTACCTATTTTTGTTAATCTTTTCAAAAAACCAGCTCCTGGACTCATTGATTTTTTTTAACAGTTTTTCGTGTCTCTATCTCTTTCAGTTCTTCTCTAATCTTAGTTATTTCTTGTCTTCTGCTAGCTTTTGAATTTGTTTGCTCTTCCTTCTCTAGTTCTTTTAATTGTGATGTTAGGGTGTCAATTTTAGATCTTTCCTGCTTTCTGATGTGGGCATTTCGTGCTATAAATTTCCCTCTAAACACTGCTTTAGCTGTGTCCCAGAGATTCTGTTACATTGTCTCTTTGTTCTCCTTGGTTTCAAAGGACTTCGTTATTTCTGTCTTAAATGTGTTATTTACTCAGTAGTCATTCAGAAGCAGGTTGTTCTGTTTCCATGCAGTTGTGTGGTTTTGAGTGAGTTTCTTAATCCTGAGTTCTAATTTGATTGCACTGTGGTCTGAGAGGCTGTTTGTTTGATTTCCATTATTTTGCACTTGCTGAGGAGTGTTTTACTTCCAATTATGTGGTCAAATTTAGAATATGTGCTTTGTGGTGCTGAAAGGAGAATATGTGCTTTGTGGTGCTGAGAGGAATGTATATTCTGTTGATTTGGGGTGGAGAGTTCTGTAGATATCTATTAGGTCTGCTTGGTCCAGAGCTGAGTTCAAGTCCTAAATATCCTTGTTAATTTTCTGTTTCATTGATCCGTCTAATATCGACAGTGGTGTGTTAAAGTCTCCCACTATTATTGTGTGGGAGTATATGTGTCTTTGTAGGTCTCTAAGAACTTTTTTTATGAATCTGGGTGCTCCTGTATCGGGTGCATATACATTTAGGATAGTTAGTTCTTCTTGTTGCATTGATCCCTTTACCATTATGTAATGCCCTTCTTTGCCTTTTTTGATCTTTGTTGGTTTAAAGTCTGTTTTATCAGAGACTAAGATTGCAACTCCTGCTTTTTTTTGCTTTCCATTTGCTTGGTAAATATTCCTCCACCTCTTTATTTCGAGCCTATGTGTGTCTTTGCATGTGAGATGTGCCTCTTGAATACAGCACACTGAACGATCTTGACTCTTTATACAATTTGCCAGTCTGTGTCTTTTAATTGGAGCATTTAGCCCATTTACGTTTAAGGTTAATATTGTTATGTTTGAATTTGATCCTATTATCATAATGCTAGCTGGTTATTTTGCACATTAGTTGATGCAGTTTCTTCACAGTATCATTAGTCTTTATATTTTGGTGTGTTTTTGCAGTGGCTGGTACCGGTTTTTCCTTCCATATTTAGTGCTTCCTTCAGGAGCTCTTGTAATGCAGGCCTGGTGGTGACAAAATCCCTCAGCATTTGCTTGTCTGGAAAGGATTTTATTTCTCCTTCACTGGTGAACCTTAGTTTGGCTGGATATGAAATTCTGGGTTGAAAGTTCTTTTGTTTAAGAATGTTGAATATTGGCCCCTACTCTTTTCTGGCTTGTAGGGTTTCTGTAGAGAGATTTGCTGTTAGTCTGATGGGGTTCCCTTTGTAGATGACCTGACCTTTCTCTCTGGCTGCTCTTAACACTTTTTCCTTCATTTCAACCTTGGAGAATCTGACGATTATGTGTCTTGGGGTTGCTCTTCTTGAGGAGTATCTTAGTGGTATTCTCTGTATTTCCTGAATTTGAATGTTGGCCTGTCTTGCTAGGTTGGGGAAGTTGTCCACAATAATATCCTGAAGTGTGTTTTCCGACTTGGTTCCATTCTCCCTGTCACTTTCAGGTACCCCAATCAAATAATAGGTTTGGTCTTTTCACATAGTCCCATATTTCTTAGAAGCTTTGTTTGTTCCTTCTCATTCTTTTTTCTCTAAACTTGTCTTCATGCCTTATTTCAGTAAGGTGATCTTCATTCTGTGATAACCTTTCTTCTGCTTGATTGATTCAGCTATTGATACTTGTTTATGCTTCACGAAGTTCTGCCGTGTTTTTCAGCTCCATTGGGTAATTTATGTTCTTCTCTAAACTAGTTATTCTAGTTAGCAGTTCTTGTAACTTTTTATCAAGGTTCTTCGCTTCCTTGCATTGGTTTAAAACATGCTCCTTGAGCTCAGAGGGGTTTGTTATTACCCACCTTCTGAAGACTACTTCTGCCAATTTGTCAGTCTCATTCTCCATTTAGTTTTGTGCCTTTGCTGGAGAGGAGTTGCAATCATTTGGAGGAGATGAGGCATTCTGGTTTTTGGAATTTTCAGGGTTTTTGTGCTGGTTTTTCCTCATCTTCATTGATTTATCTACCTTTGATCTTTGAGGCTGATGACCTTTGGATGGCATTTTTGTGTGGGGGTCTTTTTTATTGATGTTGATGTTGTTGCTTTCTGTTTGTTAGTTTTTCCTCTAACAGTCAGGCCCCTCTTCTTCAGGTCTGCTGCAGCTTGCTTGAGGTTCACTCCAGGCCCTGTTCACCTGGGTATCACCAGTGGAGGTTGCAGAACAGCAAAGATTGCTGCCTGCTCCTTCCTCTGGAAGCTTCATCCCAGAGGTGCACCAGCCTGATGCCAGCTGGAATTCTCCTGTATGAGGTGTCTGTCAACCCCTGTTGGGAAGTCTCTCCCAGTCAGGAGTCATGGAAGACAGGGACCCACTTAAGGAGGCAGTCTGTCCCTTAGCAGAGCTGGTGTGCTGTGCTGGGAGAATCCCCTTTGTCAGGATCCACTGCTCTCTTCAGAGCCGGCAGGCAGGAAGGATTAAGTTTGCTGAAGCTGTGCCCACAGCCACCCTTCCTCCTACGTGCTCTGTCCTAGGGAGATGAGAGTTTTATCTATAAGCCTCCGACTGGGGCTGCTTCCTTTCCTCCAAAGGTGCCCTGCCCAGTGAGGAGGAATCTAGAGAGGCAGTCTGGCCATAGCCATTTTGCCACACTGTGGTGAATTCTGCCCAGTCCAAATCTTCCAGTCTCCTTAGCATTGTCAGGGTAAAACCGCCTACTAAAGCCTCAGTAATTGTGGATGCTCCTCCCCACATCAAGCCCGATCACCCCAGGTTGACTTCAGACTGCTGTGCTGGCAGTGAGAATTTCAAGCCAGTGGTTCTTAGCTTGCTGGGCTCCATGGGACCGGGACCCACTGAGTGAGACCACTTGGCTCCCTGACTTCAGCCCCCTTTCCAAGGGAGTGAATAGTTCTGTCTCGCTGGGGTTCCAGGCACTGCTGGGGTATGAAATAAAAACTCCTGCAGCTAGCTCAGTGTCTGCCCAAACAGCCACCCAGTTTGTGCTTGAGACCCAGGGCCCTGGTGGTGTAGACATATGAGGGAATCTCTTGATCTGCAGATTCCAAAAACCATGGGAAAAGCATAGTACCCAGGCCAGATAGCACAGTCCCTCCCGCCTTCCCTTGGCTGAGGGAGGGAGGTTCCCTAGCTCCTTGTATTTCCTGGGTGAAGTAATGCCCCACCCTGCTTCTGCTCACTCTCTGTGGGTTGCACCCACTGCCTAACCAGTCCCTGTGAGATGAACTGGGCACCTCAGTTGGAAATGCAGAAATCACCTGCCTTCTGCATTGGTCTCGCTGGGAGCTGCAGACTGGCACTGTTTCTATTCAGCCATCTTGGCCCCTCCTCCAAGGAGCTCAATATTTATTTAAGTTTGTCAACAACAACAGAAAACCAAACTGCCACTTTTTTGGCAAGCAAGGAGTGCTTCCACCTATTGAGGACACAGTATTAATTGTATTTATGTGTACAGTATCAGTGCCTGTCACTGCTAGGAATCCTTATTCTCTAAGCATGTGAATGGCTAGACACTATACTCAAAAAGTAAGAGGGAAGACCTGGAACCAATTTTGACAGTAAAGCAACATGAAGCCTTAAAAAACACACAGTCTAGACTTGAGTTAGGAAAGGAAAAAAAAAAGGCCTTTGTTTAATTCCCTCAAATATCTGGAGTGCTGACAGGAATCCAGGAAAGGTACGAAGTATTTCTGGGCAGAGTTAGTTTGGTGTCAATAAACTGATTCAGACAATAAGTGCTTAAGCATTCAGAGAAGGAACTGGTGGAGGTGGTTTAAGCTATCAGAAAGTAGTCAAATTGAAGGGGGGACCAGAAAAAGGATGAGAATTTTGAGAAGGTACTGGATTGGGAACACCTTAAGCACTGTGCTGTACAGGGATTCACTTGCTTTAAAATTTCATTAGGTAAAAAGAAAGGTGAGATTGTAGGAAGTTTTAGAAGCCTACTGTAGGCCAATGATAACTGAGCTACCAGTGCTAAAAGATTTCCTGGGCTACTGAAGCCCCCAGACACACAGGTCCTTTTCCCTCACACTGTTTGTGTAATCTTACTTAGTTTGGACTTTCTGTCCAGAGTAACCCTCAACTTTACTCATATCTGACATCCCATTACAACGTTCTTTGCTCAGCAGAACTTCCAGCCCTGATCCTGCTATACTGTGCTCTCTTGTCCTTACTGGTAAACCTATTTCTAACCCTTCACTGACATCTTTGCTTGCAAGTCCTGACACTTGACTAAGGAGCGCTGCCATAGCAGACAGGCGGGGCTGGGGCTTGTCCCATATCAAGTGCTTCCTGCTGGGAGCAGTGGCTCATGCCTGTAATCTCAACACTTTGGGAGGCCAAGATGGGAGAATCACTTGAGCCCAGGAGTTTGAGACTAACCTGGGCAACATAGCAAGACTCCATCTCTACGAAAAATAGAAAAAAAATAGCCAGGTGTGGTGGCATGTTCCTGTAGTCCTAGCTACTCAGGAGGCTGAGGTGGGAGGATCAGTTCAGGAGGCCGAGGTGGCAGTGAGCCGTGATTGCACTCAAGCCTGGGCCTGTGTTACAAAAAACAAAAAACAAAACAAAACAAAAAACTTCCAAAGCCATTGCAAACAAAGATTATTGCTCCATTAAAAAAAAAATAGCTCAAAAAGAAGTAAGTCCACAAGTGAGCAGATGGTTAAGTATGCATCAGTTTTGTCTTTCAATTTCTGTCAAAAAGCTCAGGCACTTGACCTTTGAAGGAAATCTGAGGGTAAACTGCACTATTTGTGCCCACCCACCCATCTACTACTCTCTTCACATTCTTCCTTGAAATAAATATGCTGGGAAGTCTGAATAAGGAAAACAAATCACAAGCTGACAGCTTATGATAATGAGAGGTGACAGCATGCTGGCAGCCCTCGCAGCCCTCGCTCACTCTTGGCGCCTCCTCAGCCTCAGCGCCCACTCTGGCCGCGCTTGAGGAGCCCTTCAGCCCACCGCTGCACTGTGGGAGCCCCTTCCTGGGATGGCCAAGGCCAGAGCCGGCTCCCTCAGCTTGCAGGGAGGTGTGGAGGCAGAGGCATGGGCGGGAACCGGGGCTGCACGCAGTGCTTGCGGGCCAGCTAGAGTTCCGGGTGGGCATGGGCTTGGCAGGCCCTGCACTCAGAGTGGCTGGCCGGCCCTGCCGGCCCCAGGCAGTGAGGGGCTTAGCACCTGGACCAGCAGCTGCGGAGGGTGCGCCAGGTCCCCCAGCAGTGCCGGCCCACTGGCGGTGCGCTCGATTTTTCACACGGCCTTAGCTGCCTCCCCGTGGGGCAGGCTCAGGACCTGCAGCCTGCCATGCCTGAGCCTCCCCTGCTCCCCACCGTGGGCTCCTGTGTGGCCCAAGCCTCCCCGACGAGCGTCACCCCCTGCTCCACAGTGCCTGGTCCCATCGACCACCCAAGGGCTGAGGAGTGCAAGCACAAGGTGCAGGACTGGCAGGCAGCTCCACCTGCAGCCCCAGTGTGGGATCCACTGAGTGAAGCCAGCTGGGCTCCTGAGTCTAGTGGGGACTTGGAGAACCTTTATGTCCAGCTAAGGGATTGTAAATACACCAATCAGCACTCTGTGTCTAGCTCAGGGTTTGTAAATGCACCAATCAGTGCTCTGTATCTAGCTAATCTGGTGGGGACTTGGAGAACCTTTTTGTCTAGCTACAGGATTGTGAATACACCAATCAGCACTCTGTGTCTAGCTCAAGGTTTGTAAATGCACCAATCTGTGCTCTGTGTCTAGCTGATCTGGTGGGGACTTAGAGAACCTTTTTGTCTAGCTAAGGGATTGTGAATACACCAATGAGCACTCTGTATCTAGCGCAAGGTTTGTAAATGCACCAATCAACACTCTGTGTCTAGCTCAGGGTTTGTAAATACACCAACCAGCACTCTGTATCTAGCTAATCTAGTGGGGACTTGGAGAACTTTTGTGTCTAGCTCAGGGATTGTAAACGCACCAATCAGCACCCTGTCAAAACGGACCAATCAGCTCTCTGTAAAACATACCAATCAGCTCTCTGTAAAATGGACCAATCAGCAGGATGTGGGTGGGGCCAGATAAGAGAATAAAAGCAGGCTGCCCGAGCCAGCAGTGGCAACCCACTGGAGTCCTCTTCCACACTGTGGAAACTTTGTTCTTTCACTCTTTGCAATAAATCTTGCTACTGCTCACTCTTTGGGTCCACACTGCCTTTATGAGCTGTAACATTCATCGCAAAGGTCTACACCTTCACTCCTGAAGCCATCAAGACCACGAACCCACCGGGAGGAACGAACAACTCCAGACGGGCCGCCTTATGAGCTGTAACACTCACCGTGAAGGTCTGCAGCTTCGCTCCTGAGCCAGCGAGACCACAAACCCACCAGAAGGAAGAAACTCCAAACACATCCGAACATCAGCAGGAACAAAATCCAGACACGCAGCCTTTAAGAACTGTAACACTCACCGCGAGCGTCCACGGCTTCATTCTTGAAGTCAGTGAGACCAAGAACCCACCAATTCCGGACACAATAATAAAAAACAGTTACTTCTTGCCATTGATTATTCCAACAATCATTGTTGGGTCAAGGTCATCCTGGGAACATCCATGACCACAGGTCCAATTCTGGAAAGGAAAAGGTATTGATCCAACTACGGAGTAGTGGGTAAGTTCATTTTTCAAAAAGCAGGAGTATGACAGAGGTCTCCCTGGAATGTTTTGGGGTGGTCCTACAAGGATTCCTTGGTACTTATCCTTCTATCAATGTCCTCATCCCCAAAAAGCCTTGCAGAGATACTATTGGGACACTAATGGAATAGATTCCACTGCTGTGGATCAATCAGGGGTTGTTTGGCCTCACACGACACAAGAGGGAGCTATAGCATTTTCATTTCCAAGGTAAAGAGGGCAGCAATTCTTCAATGCATCTTCAGCTTAGTTAAGGAGAACTGTAACATACACCTAGCAAGAGCTGTGAGGGTATTTTATATAGACGCTTGTTTGGAAAATGAACTTGAAAATGTATTAAATGCCACAGGTATTGGAATGAAAATCCCTCAGAATGGCTTAAAAATACCAATTTGTCTTATCTAAAGGATCAGTCTCCTGAGCAGATTTGTAAAGTTGCCTTAATTTGTCCATTGTTTTTAAAACTTGTCCTGAGATATCCTTAAGATTGGATTCCCAAAACCTAAATCATACCTCTAACCCCTAAAAAGGTGATTCTCATTCATCTCCCTACTTAGGTGGTCCCTGATTCTGCATACCAGATCTTCTTCCTCTTTGCTGCCATTTAAAAAGTGTGTGTGAGACGAGAGAGAGAGAGAGAGAGAGAGAAACAGAGAGACCCAAAAATAAAAGAAAATCAATGCTTGCACAGTTATTTGGAGCTTTGCAGCTCCTGCTTCCTGGAGTCTATAACCCACTGTTTGACAAAAACAGGGCTCTCAGCTCAGTCACCTTTGGAAAAAAAGGAACCCATAAAGCTCTGATGAGAGAATGAGCAGCTGCTGTGGATTTGCATACTTCAACATAATCCTAAGAGTCCAATAAACCACCTCATCCCTCTTCTTTCCCTGCTATTTTAGTGATTTTTATGTGATGCTAATGGAGGCCATCCTCAAAGTAAGGAATGCACAGAACCAAGAAAACTGCTCCATGTTGAGCTTCATTTATAAAAAGCAGAGCCAAGAAAACATGCTACTTAGCTACAGAAAGCGCCCAGCAGCCTTCAAAAATAAGAGTTTAAACCTCAACCAATGACTCTGCTTTCATTTTTCCTCCACAGGACTATGGCAAAATGAAAACCCTTACTTGCCCCGAATGAACCCATAAAGAAGAAAGGAAGCCGTGACCAGCCAAGCAGTAGTAGCCTTTAGCCTGAAACAGCAGGCTACCATCCAAACTCTACAAACTTATGTCCAGTGATCAGGGCCTAGCTCAAATGCTATCTTCTCCATGAATGTGTCCACCATTCTCCAAACCTAATAGTATGTCTATTCCCTCAATTCTTGGCCTTTGCCTCTGTGAATTTTAAAATACCTGAAGTACTTGGAGAGCAGCAGGGCATATATATTTCTTCTAGTACATAGGTTCCAAGAAGCAAACCATCTACCCCAACACAGTTTAGTTTCTTCATTAACATGAGTCTACTGTTGCACTGTATTCATCAACATTGCTTTACTATTCCACAAGACTCTTGCCCAGGAAGATATAAATTGCAAATAGCTTTGCTGCTCATTCCAGCAACTCTTCAATAGAATGTGCAATGGACTGAACGTTTATCCCCACCTTCCCCCCATATTCAGATGTTGAAATCCTAACTCCAAAGTGATGGTAGAAGGAGGTGTGGTTTGGGGGAGGTGATTAGGTCATGAGGGCAGAGGCCTTATGACTGGAATTAGTGCCCTTATTAAAGAGATCACAGAGAACTACTTAGCCCTTTTCACCATGGTGATGACACAGCAAGAAGACCCCATCTATGAACCAAGAAGAGTGCCCTTACTAGACACCAAATCTGCTGGCACCTTAACCTCAAACTTCCCAGTCTCCAGAACTGTGAGAAATAAATTTTCATTGTTTACAAGCCACCCAGTTTGTGATATTTTGTTATAGCAGACCAAACAGACCAAGACAAAAAGCATGAACCTTGTACCCTGAGACTTTTTGAATTTCTTCCCTCCCAATCTGTTTTTCCACGCTCACCAATTTTAAACCATTACATCATAATCTTTACCTAATTTTAATCAATTCCCCCCTCTCACTAAGCCAGACTTTAAAGTCTCAATATCCTGGCATTGCCTTTCCCTTCCTAAAATGCTATCAGATTTTGTCAAGGTAGAGTTACCCCCTACAGTGCTAAACCCTAAACTCAGGTAGCTTTACCTTGGCAACAGGTTATTCTGGTGATATTTTGAAGAGCCAGTATTTGACATGCCCAAACAATAACTGTTAATTATAAAGTAATTAATTCATGGGGCTAAATGACAGGATTGGTTTGGATATGACATGCATAGTATAATTACAGAGTTCTTATTTGGGGTTTGACTTTGGAGCCATTGAAGGGGATTTGGCTTTGATTGTTTGTATATCCCTATTTTCATAATTATTCCTTCGTGGATTTTACTTTTTCATGCCTTTGACTGAACACATGAGAGCACATGTGACAGAACCTTCATACCCTGGAGCAGGTGCTATTTTAAAGCCAACAACATAGTGGAACAGTTGCATTTTTTTTTTTTTTTTGAGACAGAGTCTGGCTCTGTCGCCCAGGCTGGAGTGCAGTGGCACAATCTCGGCTCACTGCAAGCTCCGCCTCCCGGGTTCACTCCATTCTTCTGCCTCAGCCTCCGGAGTAGCTGGGACTACAGGCGCCCGCCACCACGCCCGGCTAATTTTTTGTATTTTTAGTAAAGACGGGGTTTCACCGTGTTAGCCAGGATGGTCTCGATCTCCTGACCTCATGATCTGCCCGCCTTGGCCTCCCAAAGTGCTTGGATTACAGGCGTGAGCCACTGCGCCTGGCCCAGTTGCATTCTTTAAAGTCCACTTGTTTTTGCTCCACTAAGCACAACTCCCTTGGAATTTGGTGAGCCACCTATGCTTACTTCTCTGAGGAGCTGCTGGACATGTCACTCACCATATAGGTAAAGAGACAAATGGAGAGAAAAGATTCATGAGAGCAGGTTGATCAATAATACATTGATTTACTCAGTGCCTCCTGATGAGAGTCAGAATTCATGAGAATTTCCTTTGGAACTTGCAATTTTCTCACTGAAAGAGACAATGAGTTGTACTGGGCATTTTCTACTGCGGTTGTTTTCAGCAATTTCTAGTGTACTTTTTCATGTGTGTGGAGGGGTTACACATTTAATGACTTCTAAATACTAAGCCAGGGATATTTCCCACTGAATCATGAAACTTGGGTCACAAAAAAAACTTGTTCATGCTCCTCATTTACAAATGAGAAAAATAAGCCTATGGGTAAATTACTTGTTCAAGGGCACAAAGCTAATTCCCTCATATTCTTTCAATATCAGTACATAGACTGTCAAATACACATCCTCATAGCTAGGGACTGAACTCAGATCAGATTCTCCACTGATTACCTGTGCTGTATTTTCCTAAAAAACACAATTTCCATTTGTGTCTTCTGGATATGTGAAAACAAAGCACATCTCTAGAAGAAACCAAGATCTTCTCAACCTATAGATGCTTATCCTAGTTATTTACTTCCTTGCTGAGTGCTTGAAAAACATGCACAGACACATACACAGAGACTGAATGGACCAGGGAAATGAGTTAGGTGAAAGGTTAAATTTCTTTGTATGAAAAAAATGAGACCAATGCTCAAGAATATTGGACATGTTCTAACTAATGCACTAGAGTGGGTGGTCGCTAAGTATTTGGTTTTCATTGCTAAGGTTTTATTCCTTATACAAAGGGAGTTAGAAATGAAGGCCAGGTATGAGAGGATGATGTTTACTCCTCTGAAATACTTTCACCTCTAGCTATAGCCACAAGGTGATTAATGATGTCTACTTCAGGCAGCACAGGCAAACCAGATAAATTTTTGTTAAGAAATCAAGAATACCAGCAATAAACCAGATTATGTGTGCATATACTTTTAGATAAATAAGAAAGCAGTTTAACATTTCCCATTTACTATTTGTAAAATAGCCCACTTAAATAAATGACCAAAGAAAGAAGGAATTCAAATACATAGAGCACTCTTATCTCTGACTTCTAATATTCCTTTTATTCTAACTAACGTCTTTTGTCCCCCTCACCATCACCCAAGGTTATTTGCACACTTTAAACCAGGTGTTTCCATTTATAGCTTGATATTGCATAGAATCTAGGTGATAACGGCCTTTCTGCTTTTTATTACTCTTACATACAACTTTGCTTCTGCACTTCTCCCACTCTAGCCCTTCTCTATGCTGAGGATCTAAAAAGCTTTCTGAAGGGTGAGCAACACTTTGAGCCTCCAGCTATTCCACCTTCTGTCTTTTAAAACACTCAATTTTACCATCTGGTTTCTTAAAGAGGCAATGCATTTTAACCACCATAAAAATGAAAACATAGAATTAAGGCTAAAACAGATTGCTTCATCATCACCACAATTTTTAACTAGTCTCAAATGACCTATTTGTGACCACTCAGGTCCTCATTATATTGTAATGTTAAGCAGTTTAATGAGTGAAAACACCACAAATTGCTCATATACTTTTAGCTAATCATATTCACTAGAGGATAGAATAAACTATAAAGGTATAATTTTTTTTTAAAAAAAGAAGCAATAATATTAAGCAGGAGGACAGAAATGTTTAAGAAGCCATGTTATCTACTTAAAAGAATGTTGATCAAACATCAGAAGACCACGTGCTTAGTGTCTGCTCTGCTGCTAGCAAGCTCTGAGAACTGTAAATTAACTATGTTCCTTCACTGACCCTATTTTATCTACTACAGCACTGTGCAACAGAACACTTCACAGTGACAGAAAAGTACTATATCCACACTGTTAATATGGTAGCCACAAGCCATATGTGGTTACTGAATGCTTGAATATGACTAATGAGAGTAGGAACCTGAATTTTATTTAATTTTTAATTTAAATAGTTGCAAGTAGCTAGTAGCTATCATATTTGACAGTACAGATCTAAGATCTATAAAATAAGGTGACTCTAGGCATAGCTTAATACCTTGACAGTTCTGGAAAATCTATTGTGATATCTAATTCCGTTTGGCAGGTACTAGAGGTTTGCTGACCCAAACCCCCATGCACAGCATTTCCCTTTCCAATCCCCTTTCTAGGATATGGAGGACATATGACACAGCTGTCAACCAACAGCAGAAGTCTACTGAGTTTGTTGGCCTGATAAAGACAGACACGTTTAGAAGGACCCATTTTGCCATTTGACATTCACTTTTTCCCTTTTCACTGGCTGAATACATATATGACAGCTGGAATAAGGAAATAAAGCACCATGAGACAAGTATAAAGAAGATGACTGGAGTAAGGAAGCCTTCCTAGGCTCATGAGACAAGAAATATGAAGATGAAATACAACCAGAATTGAAAAGTAAAAAGATTTAAGAACATTGTTCCTTGAAGATGCCATTGAGCCACTGCAATAACCACCCTACTTATTTAAGCTATTGTAGCTGTGTTTTGTTACTTGCAGTTGAAAGCCCAGGACCACCGGATATGGAATACCATGAGGTTTAAGACTAAAAGTTGAGAAGAAAAGTCATTTTAGATTAGTTGAATTGGAAAGCTAGCAAGTGCAGGATGGCAAGGTAAAATGAAAGATCACAAGAGCATTGATCCTTAATGATGTGGAGCTAGCTACTACACAAGGACTGAATTTACTACCATCACATTTTCTGTGATATGACAGTTAAACAAACTCTTATTTGATTAAGAGCCTGTAGTTGGGGTTACATGCAGTAAAAATTTTTGTTACTTCAAAGTCAAACATGCCTAAATGATTCTGTACTTAGTTTTAATCATTAATTCCATATTCATATAGGGAAGAAGCCTTAAATAGAAATTTTGACCGCCCAAGATACAGTTGTTATGTGAAACAATTAAAATAATTAAACTCCTACTTAAGTCGCTAGAGTTCCTTGCAGTGAATGGCTTCCTAACTGATGTTCTGTTTAAGTCTCTATTTTACATTCAAGGTTTGCTTATAGTATGACGTAGATGGGATTTTGACAGATAATGATGCACTGACAAACAATAGAGATCAAACTGTAGAAAAGAGTGATCAATATCAGTAAAAGGCAGTAGAAAAGCATGAAGAATGGTGCAATAGCAGTTAATATCCTTATGGATGTAGTCCAAAGTCACGAGAATGTGGAATTTACTGAGTCCAAGATGTGGCCCCAGAGATAAAAGGTGAAAAATTGACTTACGATAGTGGAGTCTGAATTCAAGAGAGATTACAGTAGACAATCAGTTACACACTTAGAGAGTTCAGGCAGCACCACTTGGGTGGAAATGGGGACTTGACATTCAGATCACAAATGGCATTTAAGTGGGTCTCAATGTTTACAGGGCTTTAAAACCATTTGAAGAAACACTTTAAAATGCGGGAAAGGGAGTGAATGTGTTTGTGACTACCGAAAAGGTGGAAAAAAAAGTAAAATTGGATTTTTATTCCTATTAAAGTCTATTCACATAACTGATTCCACAATTCTGGAAAGAAGTTCCTCCACAGATATCACTGAAAACATCAACTTGATTGTCTTTTGGTTATTTTCAGTTGGAAAGAGAATGAGTGTGTTTGTGATTCCAGCCAGGAAGTTGTTTAACAAAAAGTCCCAGGAAAAGCAGTGGGACTGCCATGTGCATTTCAGGGAGAGTCTGAAGATTGCTGAGCAGAGTAGGAATAGAATATAGTAGACTGCTGTTGATTTTGTTAGTCAGCAGACAATCAGAGCGCTGCCTGCCCATCATGGGACAACAGGGCATCCAAGCCATGTGGGGAAAATGAGATCTCCCTTCCAGTTTGAAGGTCTCTCCTTATAATGTAGATGGGGAGGGGGGTGAGAGGACTGGTAGCTGTCTCCTATTGCCACATGGAAAAGGCATCTTCCTGTGTGAGGAAAGAGCCAAGACTCAGAGAACCAGAGAAAGCAGGGCTGGGAAAAAGAAAGAAAATACTATATGTGAAACTAAGTGTCACCAAATAATTTCCCAGTAACATGCCATAAATTCCCTTACTTAAAAGCCACTTCGAATTGTTTTTCTGACACCTTCAATCAAAAGTGACCCCACTCATATACCATGTCTACAGTACTCATTTCAGAATATACGGTTATTCTAAGAAGCCCATGACATAAGTATAATGTTAAGAAAGCAGGATATTAACCATGAGTATAATATGAGCTCATGTCTTCTTAAAATATGAATAGAAAAAGTACAGAGGGCTGGCGTGGTTGCTCACACCTATAATCCCAGCACTTTGGGAGGCCAAGGCGGGTGGATTACTTGAGGTCAGAAGTTTGAGACCAGTCTGGGCAACACGGTGAAACCCTGTCTCTATTGAAAATACAAAAATTATCCAGGCACGGTGGTGCATGCCTGTAATCCCAGCTACTCAGGAGGCTGAGGCAGGAGAATCACTTGAACCTGAGAGACAGAAGTTGCAGTGAGCTGAGATTGTACCACTGCACTCCAGTCTGGGCAACAGAGTGAGACTCTTTTTTAAAAAAAAAAAAAAAAGGAAAAAAAAAGTATAGAGGGCTAATATTCCCTGCTGGTATAAAACAGATTCATACCTGAGACAAGCAAAGAGTATAGGATTAATTTTTTAATGTGAAAACTCAGGAGCCAAGTTAATGTTCTTTTCTAGACGTAAGTAAATCCTGCACGGCAACGGGCCACAAAGCAGGGAGATCTCTTAGGTTGGTAAATGTAGGGATTTAAGAATTCTTGGTGATGATGGGATATAAGAGATCCCTAGTTTCACAACCAAGTTTGTCAGATAGGTAAATTCAGGTCAGAGAGGTTTTAAGTGTTTGAACCAAGACTAGAAAAAGTACCTACTTAAGTACAGTCTCCTTTTTCCAGTCTACCTTAGCATTGGGCTAAGCCTTTTTACTCATTAAGTGAAAGGCTGGGAGGGCACATTCCAGAGATGGGAAGCAACAGAAAAGTCAGAAAGTACAAGGAGTTGTGCTGGGCTAGAGAGGAGAGTTTGGGTAATGAGGATATTTGTTGTTTCAGTAACTAAACTCTCCTGGATAAGCTCTAAGAATGTCTGCCTAATCCTGATTTCTATTTTCTAGTCCTTACAGTCAGAATATGTTCTAGGGGTTATGCTTCCTACATACGGGCAAAAGGTTAACAGCCTTTCAGAGATTCTCAAGAAGTGACTCATTCAGAGTCCTCTAGACAGCATTTAATTCTTTAACTATAGATGGGGTTTGACCGGGTGGGAGTGTCATTGGTCTTACAGCTCCAATTAATTATTTTACCTTCCTCTTTTCCACTCACTTTACATTTTCCCTCCTGAGTTTTAATGATGCAAACAGCACTGAGGCACCATCATCTTCCATACCTAAACTGAAATGGATTCACATAATAGTTTTACAGCACTGAGCATTCAAGTCACATTTGCTGTCTGGTTTGCCTAGCTCTGCTTAATGGCCAACAGAAAATACTCTCAGAGACCTTTATAGGAAAGCAGAGGACTTCTTAACATAATAATAGCATCTTAACAATTCGCTGGAATGCATTATGGGCTTAGCTGGTTTTAAGATTCTGGCCCTTTCCAAGCTTCTGATGTACTTTTTTTCTTCTCACTCCCCAAAATGAACCTCATTCTCTTAATTTATCAGTCACTCAAAATCTGAGTGACTTGAAAATTGAAGACCATCCACTTGGATAAATTATTTGGTGTAATAATGCCTAACGATACAACCTAAATAATCATAGCAAACCCTGCCCTCAAGATCCCAGTCCCATATCCTATTACCCCATAAGGCTATTGAATCAGCCTAACTTACAGAATAACTGGTTCTTAGGTACTGCCAATGAACTGCAGTGTTGACAGTAAAATTACATGTACTATTTATCAGCTTAAAGATCTATTGTAGTCCTAGAGGACAATCACAGAGATGGCTGCTGCTTAAATGCAGATGGCTGGAACTCCAGTTACAATGACTGACCTGAAGTACAGTAGCTAGTGAGGGAGCTCAGGTACTAATGACATCCTTAAAAGAATGCATCTGAAATTTTCAACAGATACATGCTCATGATGAATACTTTGAATGACAAAAAAAGCTTAAAGTGGCTGTCTGCACTTACTGAAAAGGAAGTGGGAAAAATATTTCTTTCACTTAGTTTTAGGGGAAGTGATGTATAACAGTTGCTGGGGTTGGGGAAGGGATGTAGTTAATTATACACAGCACTAGTTTCCTGATTGAATAGGATATCCCAGCTATCACAAGGTTGCCAATGAGATTAGAGCTTCATAGACACAGAGATGGCCCTTGCAGTGGAAATCATTACATTAGGTGTCAGGTGATGGAAATCACAAGCAAGGAATGCAAACCCCCATTGGCAGACCCAGATTAGAGTCAGCCATGGAGTTAAATTATTACGTGAAATGCCATTCTGCTATTAAAACACAAAGAGACAAAGAGACAAGCCAAACTGCCCTTTAAACATGTAAACACCAAGCTTCCACTGAGGGAATTTATTTGTCCTTTACATGTAGGCAATACTCAGTAGCTATTGCCTCTAATGATCCTCCAGGGCTAGAGAAAAAGATGGAAGATGTCATAGTCAGCTCAGGTTGCCATAACAGATACCAAAGACTGGGTTGCCTAAACAACAGAAACGTATGTTCACACAGTTCTGGAGGCTGCAAAGTCCAAGAAAAAGTCCAGCAAGGTTTTGTTTCTGGTGAGGCCTCTCTTCCTGACTTGCAGATGTGGTCATTTGTCTTCTTGTGGCCTTTTCTTGGTGTGTATGTACGTATGGGAAGAGAAAGAGATCTCTCCTTGTAAGGCCACCAATTCTATCAGATTAGAAGCCTACCTTTATGACTTCATTTAACTTTAATTACCTCCTAAAAGCTTTATCTCCAAATACAGTCGTATTGGGGGTTAGAGCTTCAAAATATAAATTTTGCAGGAAAATACAATTCAGTCTGTAACAGAGGTAATGCCCTTTTGGGTTGGGAGTGAGTATGATTATTTTGTTCCAGTGAGACTTGTTTTCTCTACGTGGAAATAATCCACAGAATATAATAAGCAAAAGGGGTATAATCAGGGTCCTGCAGTGATCTATTAAACACACTGCCCATGTAGAACATAAGTAAGTGCACAGTAGTGTTTAATAGCAAATTTTTCAAAGAGCCAAATAAATCTTGGCAATATTAGTTCAGGTACATCAAACTGTGGATGTCTGGATCCTCCTCCCCAAATATCTGAGCCCTCCCATTTTCTAACTCTTCTCTCTCACAATCCCTGGCTGCTAATAGGGAAGGTGTGATGACAATTGGTTTGGGCCTTTTCCTTCTTCCTATCTGTGGACCCCTTGACATTCCCCACCGTCAGTCCTTTGTGACCCATATGATTTTATTTTCTGAAAACCCAAAGCTAGAGATTCCTAGGAAGAGCCAATTAGGGGATTTCTCTTTGTTAGAAGCTAGACTAGCAGCCCTGTGACTCACAGGCAGAGATTTGGGACAGGAATTCAGCATTTGAAATTACATACAATCATAAGGTATACCTCAGGTGAGTCATCCTTAATGTAAATTTTAAAAGTCATTCAAAAGTTATTTGCTCAAAGAACCTTGGCATAAGGCAGTTGAAAAAAACAAATGATAGGCACTGTTCATTATCAGCTGCTATTATGGCTGTTGTCACTATATTCAATCTTTCTTCCTTTTACTACCAACGGCCCATTTCCTCTTAAGGGAAAATAAAAGGCAAGTCAGTCTTCACCTTGAAAAATTTCGCTTAAATTCTTGTGAAACATATTAATTCAACAGAGCTTCTAAGACTGGTGAGTGCCAATTAAACATGGCCCCCAAATGCATTCACAGGTCTGGCTAAGTAACCCAGGCTCTCTGGAGTCTTTATTCTACTATCCCTTGCAGCCATAGCATGCTAGACACTGATACATAAACTAAACAAGATCTTTTATGAGTCAGCCTTTGCATGCACTCTATCATCTACATAGAGACCCCTATGCTTCAGCAAACTCCTGATCAATCACTATTCATTTAAAAATGTTTAATTTTTTTTTTTATTTTACTTTAAGTTCTGGGATACATGTGCAGAATGTGCAGCTTTGTTACATAGGTATACATGTGCCATAGTGGTTTGCTGCACCTATCAGTCCTTCATCTAGGTTTTAAGCCCTGCATGCATTAGGTATAAAAAGTTTTAATATTTTAAACAGACTTTATTATTTTAGAAAGTTTTAGATTTTCTAAAACTAAAACTAATATACCACAGGATCAGTAGTGATGACCTCTCTCTTTCATTTCTGGTATTAGTAATTTGTGGCTTTGTTTTATTTGTTAGCCTTGCTAGAAGTTTGTCGATTTTACAGAGCTTTCCAAAGAACCAGATTTTGGTTTTGTTGATTTTCTCATTCTCTATTGTTTTCCTATTTTTAATTTCAGTGATTTCCCCTTTAATTCATATTGTCTCTTTTACTTATGTTTGCCTTAGGATTAAATTGTTCTTCTTTCTCTAGTTTCCTAAAGTATAAGCTAAACTAATTGATTTGAGATCTTTCTTCTTTTCTAGTATACGTATTTAACGCTATAAATTTTCCTCTAAGCATTGCTTTTGCTACATCCCTACAGATTTTGGTAAGTTGTATTTTCACTTTTGCTTAGTTTAAAATACTTTCTAATTTATCTGTACACTCTGTTGTTGACCCAGCTGTTACTTAAAAATGTGCTGTTTAATCACCAAATGTTTTGGGAGTTTACAATCATCTTTGTTATTTTAATTTTAATTTCATTGGGGTCTGAGAATATACTTTACATTATATATATATATATATATATATTTTTTTTTTTTTTTTTTTTTTTTTTTTTGAGACAGAGTCTCACTCTGTCACCCAGGTTGGAGTGCAGTGGTGCGATCTTGGCTCACTGCAAGCTCCGCCTCCCGGGTTCACGCTGTTCTCCTGCTTCAGCCTCCCAAGTAGCTGGGACTACAGGTGCCCGCCACCATGCCTGGCTAATTTTTTGTATTTTTTTTCAGTAGAGACGGGGTTTCACCATGTTAGCCAGGATGGTCTCGATCTCCTGACCTCTTGATCCACCTGTCTTGGCCTCCCAAAGTGCTGGGATTACAGGCATGATATATATTCTTTTAAATTTGTTTAGGTGTTTCATATGGACCAGAACCTGTTCTATAATGATGAATGTTCCATGTGAGCTTGAGAATATGTATGCTACTGTTGTCAAAGTAATCTATAAATGTCAATTAGATCAAGTTGATTTATGGTGCTGTTCAAGTCAACCACACATTACTGATTTTCTGCCTGCTTGATCTATTAATTAAAGAGGTGTGTTAAAACCTCCAAGTATAAATAGTGGAGGTCTATTCTTCTTGCAGTTCTATCAGCTTTTGTCTTACACATTTCAACAAACTATTGTTAGATACACACAGATTAAGGATTGTTATGTCTTACTGGTGAATTGACCCCTTTTATCATTATGCAATGCCTACTTTTATCCCTGAAAAAATTCCATGTTCTGAAGTTTGCTCTGTCTGAAAATGATATAGTTAACTCCATGTTTCTTTTGATTTATCTTCCTCCATCTCTTTCCTTATGAAGTACTTAAATCTTTAGACGACATATATTTGGGGCCTTAGTTTTTCATCTACTTTGGCAGTCTTTTTTAATCTACATATTCATACAATTCACATTCAAAGTGATTATTGACATAGATGGATTAATAACTACTATGTTGGTAACCATTTTCTATTTATTGTTCTTTATCTTTCTTTTTTCTTTTTGAGATAGAGTCTCACTCTGTTGCCCAGGCTAGAGTGCAGTGGCGTGATCTCAGCTTGTTTCACTGCAATTTCTGCCTCCTGGGCTCAAGCAATCCTCCCACCTCAGCCTCCCTAGTAGCTGGGATTACAGGCGTCTGCCACCATACCTGGGTAATTTTTATATTTTTAGTAGAGACAGGGTTTTGCAATGTTGGCCAGGCTGGTCTCGAACTCCTGACCTCAAGTGATCCACCTGCCTCGGCCTCCCAAAATGCTGAGATTACAGTGTGAGCCACTGTGCCCAGTCTCTTTTCTCTTCCCCTCCATTTCTGCCATCTCTGGTTTTAACTGAGCATTTCATACGATCTCCTTTCATCCCCTCTCCTAGCATATTAATAATACTTTTACCAAAGTAAGACAAAAAACTTCAGGAGCTCCTAATACAAGTTGAGTCTCTCTCAATCATTTTATTGTAACAGGAGGCATGATAACACACATAGCAGTTAAGAGCAACTGCTCTATTGTTCCAATGCCTGTGGTTTAAATCCAAAAGCCTCACTGGATGAACAATAACCCAACCTCTTTAAGGCTCAGCATCTTATCTCACATTTATACACTGAGAACTAGACTTTACCTTACCAGGTAGCTGTAAGAATTTAACGTATTTGCACTTTGGCTGGCACATATTAAGCACTCAACAAATGCTAATTGTTATTGTTGTTGGTGCCATTACTTCACAGAACCAAAATCTGGTGACAAAGTTGACAATGTCAAAAAGAATCCAAGCATCCTAGATTTGGAGGCTCCCTGGGATCACAGGATCGCTCTAGGTACAAAACAGTCTATTAAATTAATTCTTAGGACTTCTCTCCCCCTAAAGTTCTTGGCTAGCCAGGCCACTTTTCTGAGTGACTTCAAACCCTCAAAGATCCAGACTACTCCATAAACGGGTTCAGGACCTAGATAAGGACTTCTGTTTAACAGAAGCTTGCTTACCTTCCACTCTTCCTCTTCCTTAAAATCACTGACAATGATCTCCAACAGATTGTTACAAAGGAATGAATGATCTCAGACTTACGATACAAGAAAATGCTAATAATTTGGAGGTATAAGAGTGCTAATAATTGCTAATACCCTATGGTTCTGCTCTGTTGAAATGCAGCCTGTTCAGCAGATTAGTATAAGAGCACAGAAGACTGACAACAGGCCATTGCCAAATCCTTCCCTGCAACCCAAAATTTCCCAAGTCCAAGATGCTAAATGGCAGAAATAGGCATTAATCAAACTGGTATTCAATACTGCAGTGAAATGAAGATTTAGTGTATGAGAATAGTTTTTATTTTTATGTAAGCACTTCTCTAAGAGCCTGAAGCCCTCTTCTGCTGTAGCAGGAGACAGTGTGACATACAGGAGTCCTAATAATTCCTAATACCCTATGGTTCTGCTCTGTTGAAATGCATTCTGTTCAGTAGGTTAATGCTGAAAGTACTAAAATCTGACACTAGATCTTGCCTTGAAATTAGACAAAAATAAAAAGAAACCATTATTCACCACAGTATAAATATTTTACTTAAATGTTATTTTTCTAATGCTAATGATCTAATAATTTACTTTTTCTTCCTGGATAGCAAAAAAGAAAAATCCTTCTTCTTACAGTTGTTTCAAATGCTTATATAGAACATTATAACTGCACTTTAAAATCTTTACATTTAGAAATTGGGTACTATATTATCAGTCCAGGAGGCACTGCTGTGAAAGATAATTTACTATTCTAAAATATCTATTTAAAATAAAGATAATTAAAGAAAACATAAGAGAAAAAAATTAATATTTTTTAAAGTTGCATTAATTCATGTAAAAAATTCACTAACAAATATACTGGGGCAATCTTAAAGGCAAACCCTTTCCAAACTCTGTAAAAGCTAAGTTTATCTTAATATTATCAGAATAGTTTAAGACTCAGTTTCAGAATACACTAAAGCTAAATAGTTGGTCCTCTGTATTCCATGGGTTCTGTATCTGTGGATTCAACTAAGGATCAAAAATATTCAGAAAAAAAATCCCAAAAAGTTTCAAAAAGCAAAACTTTGAATCTTCAGGAATGAATTGATATGTAGTCACTGTATTATATTAGGTATTCTAAGTAATCTAGAGATTATTTAAAGTACACAGGAGGACATAGGTAGATTATATGCAAATATTATGCCATTTTACATATGGGATTCAAGCATCCAAGGATTTTGGTATCTGTGGGGATTCCTGGAACCAATCCCCCAGAGATACCAAAGAACAATTGTATTTATGGTGGTTTTTCTAAATATTAATAACAAAAAAGTTTGCTCATTACCTTGACACATGTTAAAAAAAAGAAAGACTATAACAGGAATTTATTAATTGGTTGGTTGGTTGAAGTTAATGATTTCTCAAGTCCTAAGATACTGTACTCTGGAACACCTTCTCTTCTTCTTAAATCCAGATATGCAAAAGCATGGTCATTTGAGAGTCTTTCATGAAAGCTCCAATGAGGCAGAATGAATAGCAATGTGTGCTGAGGGTCTTATTTCTCTCAATCACTTTTAAGTATGGAAGACATGCTGACACGCCCCCATCTGTCACTTTCAAAATTACAATCTGTATTGTAATGATTGTAAAGTGAGGAATGGCATGTGAAATGTTTGCCCTAATAAGAGCAGCTTATGGGGGAAAGATGGCCGAATAGGAACAGCTCCAGTCGGCAGCTCCCAGCAAGACCAACGCAGAAGGCGGGTGATTTCTGCATTTCCAACTGAGGTACCCTGTTAATCTCACTGGGACTGGTTAGGCAGTGGGTGCAGCCTACAGAGGGCGAGCAGAAGCAGGGTGGGACATCACCTCACCCAGGAAGTGCAAGGAGCTGGGGGGCCTCCCTTTCCCAACCAAAGGAAGCCATGAGGGACTTTGCTATCCAGCCTAGACACTACACTTTTCCCAGGGTTTCTGCAATCCAGAGATCAGGAGATTCCCTCTGTGCTTATACCACCAGGCCCCTGGGTTTCAAGCAAAAAACCGGGCGACTGTTAGGGCAGACACTGAGCTAGCTGCAGGAGGTTCCCCCTCACCAGTGGTGCCTGGAACCTGAGCGAGACAGAACCATTCATTCCCCTGAAAAGTTCCCTCCCCACTCAGCAGGTCCCACTCCCATGAAGCCCAGTAAGCTAAGAACCACTGGCTTGAAATTCTCACAGCCAGCACAGCAGTCTGAAGTCGACCTGAGACAATCGAGCTTGGCGTGGGGAGGGGCTTCCACCATTAATGAGGCTTGAGTAGGTGGTTTTCCCTTCAGTGGTAAGGACTGGGTGGAACTCAACACAGCATGGTAAAGTGGCTGTGGTAAGACTGCCTCTCTAGATTCCTCTTCACTGGGCAGGGCATCTGTGAAAGAATGGCAGCAGCCCCAGTCAGCGGCTTATAGATAAAACTCCCATCTCCCAGGGACAGAGCACCTGGGGGAAGGGGCAGCTGTGGGCACAGCTTCAGCTGACTTAAACATCTCTGCCTGCCAGCTCTGAAGAGAGCAGTGGATCCTGACAAGGAGGGTTCTCTCAGCATAGCACTTGAGCTCTGCTAAGGAACAGACTGTCTCCTCAAGTAGGTCCCTGACCCCTGTGCCTCCTGACTGGGAGAGACTTCCTAAGAGGGGTTAACAGACACCTCATACAGGAGAGGTCTGGCTGGCAACAGGCCGGCACCCTTCTGGGATGAAGCTTCCAGAGGAAGGAGCAGGCAGCAATCTTTGCTATTCTGTAGCCCCCGCTGGTAATACCCAGGCAAGTAGGGTCTGGAGTGGACCTCCAACAAATTGCAGCACACCTGCAGAAGAGGGGCCTGTTAGAGGAAAAACTAACAAAGAGAAAGCAATAACATCCACATCAACAAAAAGGACCCCCCCGCCACAAAACCCCTTCCAAAGTAAATCCACAAAGATGAGGAAAAAACAGCACAAATTATTGATAATTCCAAAAACCAGAATGCCTCATCTCCACATGATCACAACTCTTCTCCAGCAAGGGCACAAAACTGGATAGAGAAAGAGTTTGATGAATTGACAGAAGTAGGCTTCAGAGGGCGGGTAATAACAAACTCCTCTGAGCTAAAGGAGTGTGTTCTAACCCAATGCAAGGAAGCAAAGAACACTGAAAAAAGTTACAGGAACTGCTAGCTAGAATAATCAGTTTAGAGAAGAACAAAAATGACCTGATGGAGCTGAAAAACACAGCACAGGAACTTTGTGAAGCATACACAAGTATCAACAGCCGAATCGATCAAGTGGAAGAAAGGATATCAGAGATTGATGATCGACTTACTGAAATAAGGTGTGAGGACAGGATTAGAGAAAAAAGGATGAAAGGGAATGAACAAAGCCTCCAAGAAATATGGGACTATGTGAAAAGACCAAACCTACGATTGATTGGGGTACCTGAAAGTGATGGGGAGAATGGAACCAAGTTGGAAAACACACTTCAGGATATTATCACGGAAAACTTCCCCAACCTAGCAAGACAGGCCAACGTTCAAATTCAGGAAATACAGAGAACACCACTAAGATATTCCTCAAGAAGAGCAACCCCAAGACACATAATCATCATATTCTCCAAGGTTGAAATGAAGGAAAAAATGTTAAGGTCAGCCAGGGAAAAAAGTCAGGTTACCTACAAAGGGAAGCCCATCACACTAACAGTGGATCTCTCTGCAAAAAACCTACAACCCAGAAGAGAGTGAGGGCCAATATTCAACATACTTAAATAAAAGAATTTTCAACCCAGAATTTCATATCCAGACAAACTAAGGTTCACCAGTGAGGGAGAAATAAAAACCCTTACAGGCAAGCAAATGCTGAGGGATTTTGTCACCAACAGGCCTGCCTTACAAGAGCTCCTGAAGGAAGCACTAAACATGGAAAGGAAAAACCGGTACCAGACACTGCAAAAACACACCAAAATATAAAGACCAATGACACTATGAAAAAACTCCATCAACTAATGTGCAAAATAACCAGCTAGCAGCATGATGACAAGATCAAATTCACACACAAAAATATCAACCTTAAATGTAAATGGACAAAATGCCCCAATTAAAAGACACAGACTGGCAAACTGGATAAAGAATAAAGACCCATTGGTATGCTGTAATCAGAAGACCTATCTTATGTGCAAAGGCACACATAGGTTCAAAATAAAGGGATGGAGGAATATTTACCAAGCAAATGGAAAGCAAAAAAAGCAGGGGTTGCCATCCTAGTCTCTGATAAAACAGACTTTGAACCAACAAAGATCAAAAAAGACAAAGAAGGGAATTACATAATGGTAAAGGGATTGATGAAACAAGAAGAGCTAACTATCCTAAATATACATGCACCCAATACAGGAGCACCCAGATTCATAAAACAAGTTCTTAGAGACCTACAAAGACACTTATAATCCCACACAATAATAGTGGGAGACTTTAACACCCCACTGTCAATATTAGACAGCTCAACAAGACAGAAAATTAACACGGATATTCAGGACTTGAAGTCAACTCTGGACCAAGCAGACTTAATAGACATCTACAGAACTCTCCACCCCAAATCAACAGAATATACATTCTTCTCAGCACCACATCACACTTATTCTAAAATCGACCACATAATTGGAAGTAAAACACTCCACAACAAATGCAAAAGAACAGAAATCATAACAGCTTCTCAGACCACAGTGCAATCAAATTAGAACTCAGGATTAAGAAACTCACTCAAAACCACACAACTACATGGAAACTGAACAATCTGCTCCTGAATGACTACTAGGTAGATAATGAAATGAAGGCAGAAATATCAAAGTTCTTTGAAACCAATAAGAACAAAGACACAACGTACCAGAATCTCTGGGACACAGCTACTAAGCAGTATTAAGAGAGAAATTTATAGCACTAAATACCCACAGCAGAAAGTGGGAAAGATCTAAAAGTGACACCCTAACATCACAATTAAAAGACCCAGAGAAGCAAGAGCAAGCAAATACAAAATCTAGCAGAAGACAGGAAATAACCAATGTCAGAGCAGAACTGAAGGAGATAGAGACACATAAAACCTTTCAAAAAATCAGTGAATCCAGGAGCTCATTTTTGGAAAGATTAACAAAATAGATAGAACACTAGCCAGACTAATAAAGAAGAAAAGAGAGAAGAATCAAATAGACACAATAAAAAACGATAAAGGGGGTATCATCACTGATGCCACAGAAATACAAACTACCATCAGAGAATACTATAAACACCTCTATGCAAATAAACTAGAAAGTCTAGATGAAATGGATGAATTCCTGGACACATACACCCGCCCCAAGACTAAACCAGGAAGAAGTCAAATCCCTGAATAGACCAAAAACAAGTTCTGAAATTGAGGCAGTAATTAATAGCCTACCAACCAAAAAAAGCCCAGGACCAGACAGATTCACAGCCGAATTCTACCAGACATACAAAGAGGAGCTGGTACCATTCCTTCTGAAACCATTCCAAACAATAGAAAAAGAGGGACTCCTCCCTAACTCATTTTATGAGGCCAGCATCAACCTGATACCAAAACCTGGCAGAGACACAACAAAAAAAGAAAATTTCAGGCTAATATCCCTGATGAATATCAATGCAAAAATCCTCAACAATACTGGCAAACTGAATCCAGCAGCTAATCAAAAAGCTTATCCACCATGATCACATCAGCTTCACCCTGGGATGCAAGGCTAGTTCAATATACCCAAAACAATAAATGTACTCCATCACATAAACAGAACCAATGACAAAAACCACATGAATATCTCAATGGATGCAGAAAAGGCCTTCGATAAAATCCAATACCCCTTCATGCTAAAAACTCTTAATAAAGTAGGTATTGATGCAACATATCTCAAAATAATAAGAGCTATTTATGACAAACCCACAGCCAATATCATACTGAATGAGCAAAAGCTGGAAGCATTCCCTTTGAAACTGGCACAAGACAAGGATGCCCTCTCTCACCACTTCTATTCAACATAGTATTGGAAGTTCTGGCCAGAGCCATCAGGCAAGAGAAAGAAATAAAGGGTATTCAAATAGGAAGAGAGGAAGTCAAATTGTCTCTGTTTGCAGATGACATGATTGTATATCTAGAAAACCCCATCGTCTCAGCCCAAAATCTCCTTAAGCTAATAAACAACTTCAGCAAATTCTCAGGATACGAAATGAATGTGCAAAAATCACAAGCATTCCTAACACCAATAATAGACAAGCAGAGAGCCAAATCATGAGTGAACTCCCATTCACAATTGCTACAAAGATAATAAAACACCTAGGAATACAACTTACAAGGGACATGAAGAACCTCTTCAAGGAGAACTACAAACCGCTGTTCAAGGAAATCAGAGAGGACACAAATAAATGGAAAAAAATTCCACACTCATGGATAGATGAATCAAAATCATGAAAATGGCCATACCACCCAAAGTAATTTATAAATTCAATGCTATTTCCATCAAGCTACCATTTACTTTCTTCACAGAACTACAAAAAACTACTGTAAATTTCATATGGAACCAAAAAGCAGCCCACATAACCAAGAGAATCCTAAGCAAAAAGAACAAAGCTGGAGGCACCATGCTACCTGGCTTCAAACTAGTCTACAAGGCTACAGTAACCCAAACAGCATGGTACTGGTACCAAAACAGATACGTAGACCAATAGAACAGAACAGAGGCCTCAGAAATAACTCCACACATATACAACTATCTGATCTGGAGAAATCTGACAAAAACAAGCAATGGGGAAAGCATTCCCTATTTAATAAATGGTGCTGGGAAAACTGGCTAGTGATATGCAGAAAACAGAAAGTGAATCCCTTCCTTCCACCTTATGCAAAAATTAACTCAAGATGAATTAAAGACTTAAATGTAAAACTCAAAAACCATAAAAACTCTAGAAGAAAACCTAGGCAATACCACCCAGGACATAGGGATGGGCAAAGACTTCATGAATAAAACACCAAAAGCAACTGCAACAAAAGCCAGAATTGACAAATGGGATCTAATTAAACTAAAGAACTTCTGCTCAGCAAAAGAAACTATCATCAGAGTGAACAGGCAACCCACAGAATGGGAAAAAATTTTTGCAGTCTATCCATCTGACAAAGGGCTAATATCCAGAATCTACAAGGAACTTAAACACATTTACAAGAAAAAAGCAAACAACCCCATCAAAAATTAGGTGAAGAATATGAACAGACAATTCTCAAAAGAAGACATTTATGCAGCCAACAGACATATGAAAAAAAGTTCATCATCACTGGTCATTAGAGAAATGCAAGTCAAAACCATAATGAGATACCATCTCACACCAATTAGAATGGCAATCTTTAAAAAGTCTGTAAACAACAGATGCTGGCAAGGATGTGCAGAAATATGAACTCTTTTACACTGTAGGTGGGAGTGTAAATTAGTTCAACCATTGTGGAAGACAGTGTGGTGATTCCTCATGGATCTAGAACCAGAAATACCATTTGGCCTGGCAATCCCATTACTGGGTATAGACCCAAAGGATTATAAATCATTCTACTATAAAGACACACACATACATATGTTTATTGCAGCACTATTTCCAACAGCAAAGACTTGGAACCAACCCAAATGCCCATCAATGACCGAATGAATAAAGAAAATGTTGCACATATAGCCATGGAATACTATGCAGCCATAAAAAAGAATGAGTTCATGTCCTTTGCAGGGACATGGATAAAGCTGGAAACCATCATCCTCAGCAAACTAACACAGGAACAGAAAACAAACACCGCATGTTCTCACTCATAATTGGCAGTTGAACAATGAGAACACATGGACACAGGAAGAAGAACATCAGACACAGGGGCCTCTCAGGGAGTGAGGGGAAAGGGAGGGAGAGCATTAAGACAAATACCTAATGCATGTGGGGCTTAAAACCTAGATGATGTGTTGATAGGTAGAGCTAACCACCATGGCACATGTATACCTATGTGACGAACCTGCACATTCAGCACATGTATCCCAGAACTTAAAGTAAAGTTTACAAAGTAAGAGCAGCTTATGTTAACAATGAATTAAAAAAATAGATAAAGAAAACAGTTCCTTAAAGAAGCAGTGCCTCAATAGCAAAGACATGGGATCAGCCTAAACACTTGTTATTATCAATGGTGGGCTGCATAAAGAAAATGTAGTACATATATACCATAGAATACTATGTAACCATAAAAAAGAATGAAATGATGTCCCTTGCAGCAATATGGATGGAGCTGGAAGCTATTATCCTAAGCAAATTAACATGGGAACAGAAAAACCAATACTGCATATTTTCACTTTTAAGTGGGAGTTAAATATTGAATACCAGTGGACACAAAGAAGAGAACAATAGACACCAGGGCCTACTTGAGGGTAGAGGGAGGAAGGAGGGTGAGGATCAAAAAACTACCTATTGATTACTATGCTAATTACCTGGATGATTAAGTAATCTGTACACAAAACCTCCACAACACTCAATTTACCCATGTAACAAACCTGCACATATACCTCCTGAACCTAAAAGTTGGAAAGAGAAAATAAAATATCAAGAAGAAATGTTAAAAAATAAAATATAAAATAGTATTACACTCTGAAAAATAAGCGGTGCTTTCTAGCTCTAAATTCTAAGACGAAGCTCTAAAATCAGAAGCCTCACCCTTCTCTCAATCTTGCTTTCAGCATCCCAAGACAGTTTAAGTAATGGTGGGAAATTTTTTCATTTACCCATTGCCTGTAGGCAGAAGGCTTTGGTCAATTACCCAGCAAGAGAAATGCTTAGAGCTAAGTGTGCCAGGAATCTTGCAGCAAGTAAGTGGCTGGATGAGTCCATTATCTGGAGATTCCAATCAGCACAAAACACAACATTGCAGGAAAATTCTAAAGAACTTGTGGAACAAGAGGAATGCAATATATTTCAAGATGTAAAGTTAGATGCAGTGCTTAAATTAAATTACTTCTTTATATATAATAAGCAAAAACAATTTGGATTATCAAGGCGGTTATTTTGGAGGTGTTCCGCTAATTAAGAATGAGCTAATTATTAACTCATATCAATAGAGTGCTTACTGTAGATTTAAAAATTCATAATTTTCTGATAGGGAGACTCCTACGCAAGTAACATGTCCTCTTCTTCCATTTGTTATTCGAGATGTTTTTTAATGGCTCATTTAATAATGTATGACCCTTATACTACTTTTATTTACTCCAATTACAGAGAAAATGGTATAAAAATCAGTTGTAGCACAGTTCACATGATAAATTCTACTCAAAGCCCAAGTCTGGCATTGTGAAAGGCAATTACGTGATATTTTGACAATTATAAGGAAGTCTTTAATTGTGCCTTACATTGCATAATGGCATTCCAAGAGAAGGAGAAGGTGCATTTTCATGAGAAATTAAGGAGGACGACAGAGAGGAAAGGAAAACGAATATCTTTTATTTGTTAGAGAACAAATCTAAGGATTAGAAACAAAAACTTCTTTGTCTACTAACATCATGGTTGGAGTCACAATTATGAATGAGAAGCTTAAGAGAGAAGAATGGGACCCAGAAAGACCCAGGGAATGGAGGTGGTGGGGAGTGCACTGCAGCCTAAAAAAAGGTGTCCAGTGAAGTATGAGTCTCACAATCTTGGGAATGTATTCCCAGAAAATAAAGGTGAAATGTCAAAGAGACACATATAAGAAATATAAATATTACAGAGGACTGGTCCAGGAGACACAATATCTGAGTAATAAAAGATCCACAAAGATAGAAAAAAGAAAACAGAGGAAAGAAAATAACCATAGGCTTATGGGTTTGAACTTCGAATTCTATCAATCAAATGTGAGGTCTAAATAAATATATTTTCAAAAAGTCAACAATTCAGAAACTGCCTCACACACACGTTTCCTAGGAGTTTACTTAATGATTTTCTCCAACAAAATAAGAGGGTCATAAAAAAGAAAGAGTGCTCTTGACAACCATGAAATGTAAAAGTAAAGGGCAGAGGGCAGAATGTGAAAGGGACAGAAGTGAAAGGAAGGAGAGAATTGCAAAATAAATGTCCTTGTAAGCATGGAGTCTTGACCCAAGAAGAGATGGAAGTTGAAGTACAGTGGCTGAAGTTGCAGAAGCAACGAACAGAGAACTTAGTAGTGACATACATTTTGGCAGAAGAGACAAGAGGAAAGATGAGGGTAGGGCACATGAACTATTACAGCAAAAGACGATAGAGGATCTCCTAAGATAAAAATTTAAATAATGGTCAAGCTAGTATATGGAGACAGAGAAATAGCCAGAAGAATTTAAAACAAATATGAAGAGGGTAGAAGGGGATAGAGAAACATTGGAGAGAAGGCTGTTGATCTTTATCAGAAACCCATCTGTACATTTGAAGACATTTATATTTTTTTAACTTCAAAAGGCTTTTAATTTAGATAAATGGAGTAAAGTCAACCTTTATGGTATTTCTGTCCTCTTCTCCAGTGTGCTGTTATATTCCAGGTCTAGCCATCCACCTATTAAGAATCTGGACACCTTGGACTCCTCCTGTTTACTCCTAAGAACTCCAGGGAATCTGTTCATTCATGATACCCTCCAGTCTTGTATGTCTGCATTTTCTCGAGAGTCTTTAGGATGTGGTCTTTGCAGCACTCTCAGCATGTCAATTCTTTGTTGCTCTTCTAACAAAATTCATTCCCCTCTAACATTTAATTACTCTAATTTTCCAGTTGATCTGATGTGTTTAATGTGAGTTATATAAATTTCTCATATGAATGATTGAATGTTGATGGTCTGATTTATCTTCCAGTCATATTAAAACCAGCTAATTTTCTCTTCTCAGAAAATTGTGAGTGTTTGGGTGGTATTTAATTATTATTGGCTGACATATTTAAGCTCCAGGGTGAGTATAAAGATATTTTCAATTTAATAGGTTTAAGATGTCATCATTCCATGCTGATGAATTTCTACTTGTTAGGAGAAAATCTTCCAGAATTAATGAACCTATTTGGACATCCTGATACAGCTTGAAGCCTCAGTTATACAAACCTTGACTATAAAATTAAATGGTGGCCGGGTGTGGTGGCTCACTCCTGTAATCCCAGCAATTTGGGAGGCTGAGGCGGGAGGATCACCTGAGATCAGGAGTTCGGGACCAGCCTGGCCAACATGGTGAAACGCCATCTCTATTAAAAATACAAAAATTAGCCAGGCATGGTGGCACGCCCCTGTGGTCCTAGCTACTGGAGAGGTTAAGGCAGGAGAATTGCTTGAACCCAGGAGGCGGATGTTGCAGTGAGCTGAGATTGCACCACTGCACTCCAGGCTGGGAAACGAGTGAAACTCCATCACAAAAATAATAATAATAATAATACATAAATAAATGGTACTGGATAAAAACTAAAACAAACACACCCCCAACATGAGCAAATGAACATCTGAAAGCTGAATAAATGCAGACATAAGCAGCCTAGGGACAAGTTTACTAAGAGCTTTTGAAATGTTTTCAGTACAGCCTATAATAACATAAACACTTTAAATCTGATTTATTTGAAAGGATTTGTGTGAAATACCACTCATAGCTTCCTCACACAGGATATATCTCCTCCCACCTCTTACAGTCCAGAAACAGTAACTCAACTCATTAAATATTAGGTTGAAAAAGATTCAATTAAAAAAAAAAACTTTAAAAGCAACCCAACAATAAAGTAAAACAACCATGCAATAGTCCAAAAGGATTAACAACATAATTAATTATTATTCTAATATCAAATGCCATATATAGAAGCAGGCTTGGTGCTGCAGTACACTTGTACCAATGTGACACAGTTTTTTGCCTAAATGTTTGGTCTTCAGATTACCTAGTGAGAGCATTTTTCTCTTTGTTTATTTCGTTTGCCTGGTTCTGGGCACTGTCCTACCTTATTGGATGCTTGGACTGTGCATTCCCTTCATTGCCTAGAATAAGACTGAGTAAATAAAACATTATAAGGGACTTTAGGGATCATCCATTGGAACGCTCTAATTTTACATCATAGGAAACCTGGGAAGGTAAAGGGTTGGCCCCAAGGTCACCTGGCTGCTTAGTAAAGACATCCAGCACAGGGGCCACAGTACATGGTAGGCAGTCAAATATCTTATTACCCAATAAAGAAATAACTACTTAGGTAAGATTAACAGGAATTCCTACCCTGGGTAATACATTGGGCACCCAATGTAATCCTTGAATCTCTAGAAAACTACAAAAGTGTATGGCTATGTGCAAAGGCCTATTTTTCCAAGTAGATAATATACAATGTCAACAGAGTAACAAATTGATCTGTGATCAAAGAAAATGTTAAGAATCACTACTTTAGAACAAATAAAAATGCAGCCCTACAAACAGAACTCTTGGCCTTACAGATGGTATAACCTGCTATGATAACCCTGTTCTGTGTGCATGTGTGTATGCATGCGCATGCACGGCACACGAAAATGCACCAGATGAGGAAAAGTATTACCCACAAACAGGCACGCTATCACGTATCCTTTAACTCTCTACTCAGCCATTTCAAATATATACATTCACATATATAGGACCTCTATAAAGTCCTTGACTGCCTTCACCCTTCAATAACACAATGGTTAAGTATGACAGAGCATTCTGTAAATGGCATGTAAAGAAAAATTTACTACATTTTAAAGTGATAGCACTGTGCATTTGAACATAACACTATTATTTCAAATCATGTGAACAAATGAATAATGGCTATCATAAACAGGAAGGTATAAGCTGTGCCTTTTGGCAAGAATTTTGGTCCTTATAAGCTCTAAGAAAAAAAATCCAAAACACTTTAAATGACATTTGCAGATGGTTTGTATCCTGTCTACCACCAGTTTAGCTTTTCACCAAATTGTATACTCAAGAGCTGGAAGAAACCTTATAGGTCACATGGGCTGACCTCCTACCCTCTTGAGGAGACCCTTTCATAGCACTTGACAGCCTGTGAACACAGACTGGCCTGAATTGGACAATCAGCCAGAACAATAGACAGCCAACTTGGTTCATAACTGTTTTACTGTTTTCACACTGCTTTATAAAATGATTTGGAATACAGTTTTCTGAAAAAGTATTATAAGCATTTATTGCATTTTTTCGTAGAGTCCCTTTAAAACTAGGATAAATAATTCAAATGGAATAATGTCAAAGAAATTGCAATAAACGGGGGTGATATGCACTCCAAGGCAGTTGGCAATCAGTGTACAACAACATTCATACTAATTGTAGCTTTTATTAAGTAGAAAACCAGTACTCCATTCACAGAGTTAACATTGGCTTTGTACTTCACTCTCATTACTCATTTCAATATATAAGCAAAATAATGAGTTATTAAATGTCCTCAATCTACTCTATTAATATAATAGAACTCCATGCTTATTTGCTGAGTTCATGGAGCTAGAGATGACGGTTGTCCAAAGCTGTTTCATGGGACTAAAAAAAAAAAAAAAAAAAAACCACTTTTCTCCAAGGACATCTAATGGTTCTATTTATTTCTTATTTTGCCCAATGAGTTCTCCAACTTCACAGAAAATAAGTGCCTAAGAAACTCCCTTGTGCCTATACCTTATAGAAACACTTGAATGCTGATATAAAGCCTTAGATCCAGGTCCAGACCTCAAAGGTAGCGCTTACTACTTTCTACCTATGAATTTCACTCTTACAAAGCACGTTTATTATATGCTTAGAAGCTGCTGGACAGCTAAACCCCTATTAACTTCAACTATGCATGCTCACACCACTCTCCCCTTCTACCCCTAATACCTCAACCCTAACCCCAGTCTAGCTCTGGAAATAAGCATTCAAGAAACCCTGTATGACTTTGAATTCCAGAAGGATGGCAAAGCCTTTCTAATGACCAAATGTCTCATGCAATACATATTAGTTAGTCTAAGTAATAACATTCACCACTTAGTTGCATGACATTTCTTCCTAAATATTGATGCAGTTATTAAACAGAGGTGTGGCCAGAGCATGGTCACCGAGATTCCTGACCTAGTCCCATATCTGGCCTTGTGACTGTAGATAAATCATTTCACTATAGTTCCATTCCTCCATCTGAAAAAAAGAGATAATGTACTGCCTTTATAACTATCAACTTCCTGGAAGTTTGAGTTTTGAGTTCTCCAGAGAGGGAAGGTGCACAGTGGAATGGAACCAACAACATATAGCAGGAGGCAAGACTTTGGTCTCAGCTCAATCACAATCTGGGTGGCCTTTATCCCACTAAAGGCCACTTCTTTACTGAAACATTGGGAAGTGATCCCCAAGAGCCCTTCTGGCTTTGCCAGTATCAGACTGTGGACTAAGTATTAGGGAAGAGTTCTGGGAAGCCCTTGAACGTGGCCTAGCTCATCTTATCAGGAATTCAATATGAAAGAGAACATATATGGTCCTGTGTGTTCATTTCTCAGTATTAGATGTGATGTCCTTTCTTTACATGTATGTAACTTCTTAACCTCTATGTACCCTGTGCTTTTTTCACTTCCAGAGTGCACTGGAATAGTTCTTTGAATACTCCGTTGAGGAATCAAACATACAGACACACACTGCACACACATAAGCAGATCCCTCAGAAAAACAACTCTGAGAAGCTTAGATTAAGAAGTAGCTGGTCTCATTTGCATACTCAGGAAAGAAAATTGTATGTGGCACAACAAACAGCCATTCCTTTCCTGATCTTGCAAAATAATCAACATTACAACCATGTGTACATGTATGTGCATGCATCTGTTTAGTAGCCTTGAACTACATTAACATGCTATGATCTGGTATTTCTCTCATCAGTTCCTCTGGAGAGGAGCAGCAAAGCTTAATGCAAAATTTAGTCCAAACTTTTAACACAGTGTTTCTGACAACTCTAGAGATTTATAGCCTGAATGTAGAATTATTCTGCTGTTCTTTTATTTCTCATTCAAATGCAAAGAAATTAATTTTCTGGTCATAATTTCAGTACTTCAGGGATATTACCAGGACAGAAGTAAAAATAGAAAACCAATAGATTGTCAAGTCCTATGGCTGAGTGTGACTAATAGCTATAGTGTCACAGATGTAATAATCTAATAAAGCCTCTGTACTCAGGGTCAAATGACATTAGTGCTTAGGAAAGATGTAAGTCTGGTTGCAGCAGCAGATTGCAATCAGCAACTCAGCATTAAAGACGGCAGTTCCTATTGTGTCCTCCCACTTTTATACCCTTACCACATACCTTTTTCTTCTCCAGTACTCTCTCCCTCCCCTCTGTTGATTCTTACTCTCGCTCTATCCTTGCAAAGCTAGAACAAGTTGCACCCCACCATTAAGATTTTCTAAGATTTCTCGACCTAAACTGCAATGTATCCTTTCCTTCAAGTCATAATACAGATAGAGTGAATTTAAGTTACTTTTGCCTCTCTAACTAGACTGTGAGGTTCTGAGGGAAAATTTCTTTCTTTGCCACGTGTTTTCACATTTTCTGCAATGTCTGGCCTTGTCCTGAGTTATTTCAAGTATGTCATGCATTATTTCCTGAGCAAATCTATTTTCTTCAATGTTTGTATCTACCAAATGAGATAGGAAAATTACTCTGAAGTTCTCTCCAGTTCTCCTATTTCATGATGGTACAGATTTGTACTCTGATGGTCTAGTACCACACTGCAATGGGAGATGGTAAGATATTAGGGCAGGAATCGCTAAGAGCAGCATTCCAGGCAGAGAAAACAGCACAAGTAAAAGCCCTTAGACGGAAAGTATTTGGCATGCAAATGGAACAAAAAGAAGTCCCAGAGTTATAGGAGGAGGTAAAAAATAAGAAAAAAAAATATGTCAGACAGGTTGTCAGACAGTTCACCAACATTAAACAGAGCTGAGATGCAGAGGTGTTGTGTTTTAAATACAGCTATTTTATCCACAGCCCTATAGCTACAGGTGAAGGGAAATTAGAAGAAGAGAAAATCCTATTCTAGCTTAATAGGAAATCCAGACTATTTGAGTACCTTTACACACGTTATCCCATCTTTTTAGAGTTGCATTAGTCTATTAAATCCTTTGTGAAATCAGAGGCAATGCAAATAGGGTTACAGTATTATTTAAATTACCAAAGTCTGAGAGTTTAGGATAAATATGTACAAATAGGTAGAAAGGCAGGAATTTATCAACTTGATGGATTAACAGGTCATCAGAAGCCCAAACTGATAGCTTCCAGTACCAAAAATTTCCATATGATTAAGAACCAAATTCACTATAATGTAGTTTATTTGGTTCATACGAAATTTTCAAACATGCAGTCTCTAGGGAAAACCATCAAAGGGTTTCTCTTGGTGCTCTAGATGCTATGGAGCTTTAAACTACGTGATGCCTTTCATCTAGCAAGAAACAGAATGAATTTATGATGCTATGAAATTTCCTCTTCCACAATGGTGACAGACTCATATAAAGGCTAACTCTTTGAGTTCATAAGATTGCATAATCTTATGCAATCTTATGATACTCAGGGTACTCAGAAGAGAGTACTGCTGATTGCTGGGCCTTTGAAGTAACTATAGGACTGGGTCAAAAATTATGCAAGGCAGCCTTTAAGATGGCCCCCAACAGTCCTTATGTTCTGGTATTCACACCCTTGTGCAATCTCCTCCCCTTGAGGGTGGACTGGTCTTACTGACTAGTTTCTATCAAAGAGAACACAGTAGAAAGGACAGGATGTTGCTTCCAAGATTGAGTTACAAAAAGACTGGCTTCCATTTTGACAGACTTCTCTTGCTATTACTCACTCTGAAAGAAACTAGCTGCCATGTTGGGAGCTGTCCAATGGAGAAGCCCAGGTGGCAAGGAACTGATGTCTCCAGCCAACAACCAGTAAGGATCTGAGGCCTGCCAATAGCCACATGAGTGATCTTGGAAGCAGATCTTCCTCAAGGTGCTCCCTGCAGATAATACAGCTCTGGCAAACAACTGGATCATAGCTTCCTAGGAGACCCTGTGCTACAAGCCATTCAGATAAGCCACACTCACATATTCCACATCCACAGAAACTTGGAAATAATAAATGTGTATTATTTTAAGCTAAGCTTTGAAGTAATTTCTTATAAATCAATATATAGCTAATACAGACATCCATTTGGAAGAGTAACCAATACTAAGTACTGGGGACAGCCTCCTGTAGCAATTTCCTTCTTCACTACAAAGTCTCAAAAGCTCTTCAAAATTAACAAACGAATACACAAGCTCTAGGTTATCAAGAAGCCATAACATATGCCAAAGTACAATGTACTTTCCCCTGTGTCCATTTATTTTCTACAACAGTGTCAGAACCATTAGAAGGAAATCACACCTGACTATTAAGTTAAGAGAACTAATCAATAATATTGACTTGATGTTTGTGTAGCCTAGAGCTATCTGACTTTGGTGTAACTATTTATCTTGGGAGAACCAAATTTTAACTGCTGGCCCAATGTTAAATATAATCCTCCTATATTTTACCTACCCTAATCTGTGAGCTGAGCAACCCATTCTCCAGTATACAGCATGATGAATTTTTTAAAAATCTATACTATGTAGCTTGTAGCTGCAGCTAACTAGTGAAGCCAGCAATAGGACCAGAATGGAAGCTAGACAGGAAAGAATCACCAGGATTTCATTTTCAGATATACTACAAAGAAGGCAAAAAGCTGCCTCAGGTTGGCCAGATGAGTTTTGCTTCTAGTGTTGCACTCAGCATGTTAGAGTATATCTGCCCCAATATAGTTTGGATGTATGCTCCCTCCAAATCTCATGTTGAAATATGACCGATAATGTTGGAGGTGGGCCTAGTGGAAGGTGTTTGGATTATGGGGCGGATCCCTCATGAATGTTTTGGTCCTTGCAGTAATAAATGAGTTCTCACTCTGAGTTCATGTGAGATCTAGTTGTTTAAAATAACCTTGGCTGGGTGCGGTGGCTTACGCCTGTAACCCCAATACTTTGAGAGGCCAAGGCGGGCAGATCACTTGAGACCAGTAGTTCTAGACCAGGCTGGACAACATGATGAAACCTCGCCTCTACTAAAAATACAAAAAAATTAGCCAAGCATGGTGGTGTGTGCCTGTAGTCTCAGCAACTCAAGAGGCTGAGGTGGGAGAATCACCTGAGCCCAGGAAGTTGAGGCTGCAGTGAGTCGTGATCATGTCACTGCACTCCATCTTGGGCAACGGCAGTCAGACTCTGTCTCAAACAAAACAAAACAAAAAAAGAGCCAGCCACTTCCTCCCTTGCTTGCTCCTGCTCTTGCCATGTGACACGCCTGCTCCCCCTTTGCCTTCCACTATGATTGTAAGCTTCCTGAGGCCTCACCAGAAGCCAAGCAGATGCTAGTGCCATGCCTCTATTTGCCTGCAGAACTCTGAGTGCAAATAAGTCTCTTTACTTTATAAACTACCCAGTCTGACGTATCCCTTTGTAGCAACCCAAAATAGACTAACACAGCCCCCAAATATTTTATTTTGTTTTTAAGGATTAACCTTAATGAAAACCCCTCTGAACTTGCCCTCCATTCTCTCTCTTGATTAGTCACTTTCTGAAGGAGTAGAGGAAAATCATGTACAATCGCTGTTGTTAATATACACTTGACTTTTTCAAGCTAGGCTGAGCCCAGGTATTGAAGAAAGTTAGTTAAATGACATTTCAGAAGCTTAGTCATCCTGAATAAATATTTTCTTTTCGACTAAGTTTAAGCAGAAAACATAATTGCACTTAGGTAGAAAGGCATAAAAATCGACAACAAGCAAAATCATTTGCCTTATCAATGCTACCACAACCATTCATAAAGTACAAAGTGCTTCTGTATGCTGACAACTAAAAGCATCTACCTCCTTACAGCTCACTGTCTGCATGGACAAGATTCTACTCTTTGGTTGTCTTCAGTAATATAATTTTATTATTCTACCATACCCATCAACATAACTTTACTAGTCCAGGTAACTCTTGCACAGGAAGGAACAAATGCAAATAACTGTTCATTTCAGAAACTTCTACTGTACCCATCAACATAACTTTACTAGTCCAGGTCATTCTTGCACAGGAAGAAAGAACCTGAAAATAACTGTTCATTTCAGAAACTTCCAGAAGAAATATTCAAATGAACAGCAAACAGACATTCAGCAGATGATAGGATTAAAATCAAAGCTCTTCCCTCAAAAGCTTCCCCTAGTTGTGTCCACCAATCAAAACTATTCTATCATGATCCTTACCCAATCCTGATCAAGCTTCTACATTCAAAGAGCTACCTTAAATCACACTCCAAAACCTCATAAATATCCAGACTGTGCATGCCCCTCCATCATGCTATTAAGACTCTGTCAAGGTAGTGCTCCTCCTCACCACAGTCAGGATAAACTCAATTTTGCCTTAGCAACAGATTATTCCGGTGGCATTTTTGAGGACCCAGAATTAACAATACTCCTAACTCCTTCTACTCTCACAACAGCCCCTTTAAGAAGCTGGAACAGATCTTAGCTCCATTTTATAGTTAAGGAAACGAAAGTTCAGAGGAGTTAAGTAATCTGCCAAATCAAAGATCATGAGCAGTGGAAGAATTTTTTTAAATAGAAGAAAACAGAATAAGAGACTTCTTAATACCAAGTATGAGATCTTAGAAGTCGACCTGTACATACAGGGGAATAAAAGATCTTGAAGACCAGAAGGGACAGATAAAAATAGAAAAGACATAAACCCAGGCCTCCATTCTCTTCAAGAGTGCATTTAGATACAGAAGGATGTTTAAATTGTTAAAGATGACAAAGGATGACCAGTACCCAAGAAGCTAACAATTGAAATGAGGCAAGAATTTAAACATTGGAATGGAGTGACTCCAATTCCCATTTCTTACAGAAGCCAAGAAAGAGAAAATTATTAAGAAGCACATGGTGGAGCTGCAGAAGAAATGTGGCGGTAATTGGGAAACTGGCAATTAGGAAATCACTTCTTGAAAATTAAGATAAAAAATATAGATGAATGAGAAGGAAAGTGCAGAAATATCAGTATAAAATACTAACAAGACTTACTAGATGATTTTCTAGTGACAGTTATTGTAGGTGGACATATATTAGTTACATGTTTCCTAAGGCCACATGGCAGAAAAATTTATGGAATTAGTGTCCAGAGGAAAGGCACATCAAAGATAAAAACATGATAAAGAAGAGCCAAATGGAAGAAGTACAGACAAAAACGAGGCTTGGTTTTGTTTACTGTGGATAGTCTGATGAAGTTCATGAAAAGAAAGCAGGATTTAGTTGAAGAATGGATGCTTTTAACAGACATAAAACATATCATTTCAGAGGTGTCACTATAGTTAGGCCTCACAAACAAGATCATATTTAAAAAAATAAAGATCTAGACCAGAAAACCAGGAGAATCAGAAGAAAGAAGGCACTGAAACCTGGTACATAGAACTAGCCCAACATCAGAAAAAGACACTGACAAATGTAAGGAATTAAAATTTTAAATTCAGCTAAGCCCTCCTGAAAATCAGTGAGGGATTACAAGAGGGAACTGAAGTATTACAGGCAGCAACCACCACTGCAGATTAAGGCACAGCAGAAAGACATGGAATAGGGAAAAGCTGAAGGAAAACTGTCAAGGATTATGTTGGAACAACATCACTTACTTAGAAGTCTGTTCTAAGTAACACAACTCCCCAATTAAGTGAGGAGTTTAAGATGCCACCTCTCCCCAGAACCGTTTTTCACAGGCCCAAAAGAAATCCACAAAAAAGGCAGGGCCAGCAAACCCTATAGCAGCAAAACCTATACCAGCTCAGAATTGCAGAATTCACAGCGAAAATGGAAAGGAGCTGCACCCATCACCAATATCCCAACTTTGCAAGAAGGTAGTACTCTCTCATATACTCAAAATGGGCATTGGTATCTGCTTCTTCCTTACACTTATTTAGAGCATTTTACCAAGGACCTTTATTTCTCTGTAATTCTTTGATGCCCTGCTGTTCTGAACAGAGGCAATCCAATCCAATTCCGAACTACTCATTTTCCACTGAGGCAAAGGTGTTTAGAAAGAAATGAATCAAATATATAAACTAATTATAAGAAGGGAAAGGTTCTCAGACGGTGATACCCTTACAAATGGGATGATCAAATTGCCCCCAAAGTACTTCCCAGCTCACACACACTTCCCCTTTACTCCTTTTATATTGCCTAATTTGGCCTGTCTCCTCCTGGTTTTCTGTGAACTCATGAAGCTCATATGCCTAAGACTTTGAGCTATCATTTTGCAGGCTGAGAAGCTACGACTAATAAATTCGTAGTTAAAACACCTGCAGTGGAGCCCAAATCTCCTGCATTTTGGTGAATAAAAATACTTTTCTGGGATAAAAAAAATTGTTCTCAGTCTCCAGATGATAAAAAGATGATGATTAACACTACTTACTATCCTTTTCTCATGTATAAAGAGCACTCAGTCTTTCTGTCACTCCAGGCTGGAGTGCAGTGGCACGATCTCCACTCACTGCAACCTCCGCCTCCTGGATTCAAGAGATTTTCCAGCCTCAGCCTCCCAAGTAGCTGGGATTACAGGCATGCGCCACCACACCTGGCTAAGTTTGTATTTTTAGTAGAGATGGGGTTTCACCTTGTTGGTCAGGTTGGTGTTGAACTCTTGACCTCAGGTGATCCACAAGCCTCAGCCTCCCAAAGTGCTGGGATTACAGGCATGAGCCACCATGCCCGGCTATGTCACTTTAATAACAGACAGAAAGATGATAGCATTAGGAGCATGGAGCTACCAGCTTTTTGCCCAAGTGTTTAAAAAGTGGACCACAGATGTAACACACATTTAAGTGAAGTATTTAAAGCAACTGATACATCTCAAACTGAGATTGCCTTCAAGGGTACTAAAATTTAAAGATTCATCTAATGTCCAACTAAAAATCATCTTTAGGTATTATTATTAGTTGAAGCAAACTACAAGGCACAGGGTGTGAAGAGACATGAAAGTTTAAAAAAAACTGAGCGGCAACAGTACTGGACATTTCTTTTGAATGCCCACATTCTAAAGCTGAAAGCCAGAGGGAGGAGTAGTGTCTGCAAAATGCCATAGTTTTATCTCTAGCTATGTATATATACATGTTCTTCCATATTTGCTGGCTGTATCTTGGGCCACATAACGAAAGTCCCAGACCTGTGATATCCCTTGGGTTGCTTGTCCAGTTGGGGAGATGTTGAAGCAGAGAGAGAAGTAGGAAGGGAGAAGCAGACAGGAGACAGTGCCTTGAACATACATGGCCCACATCACCTTTCACATCAAAGGCCTTTGTCTTCCTGTTTGCTTTATTGTCATCCTCAAAAGCAGCTCTACAAAAAGCCGCTGTTCACAGCCCTCTCCCTACCTCTAGACTGTAGGTCCTTGAAGGTAAGAAACCATTTTTATTTGTTATTCCATGTTTCCTGATCCCCGTTTTCTGGGGATCCAACCTCTGTAACACTTCTCCCCTGTAACTCTTCTCCCCTCAGACAGACAACAAAAGTGGTCAGAGAACCACATCTTAAAGCCTTTTAGTGCTCTCACATTTTTCTGAGCGGTTTTCAGTAGTTTTTTCTACAATCACACAACCACATGTTGTAGCTTCTGGATAAACAAAGTGATTAAGAAATGGAGGAATGATGGTAGGTTAAGGAACTATTATTTTTGTGAGTAAACCTCCTGGAGATATTTGAGTCTCTAAACTCCACACATTTCATAGAAGTTTGATAGAAATTAAAACAAAACACAAACCTCTAGCTCCTAACTGGTTTGTATACCCAATGAGTAGCTGGCTAACCTCTACTCTGAAGAGCCCTGCACAGAGAAACTGCAGGAAATGCATGTCAGTCCCAGAGCTGGACTCTCAGTGACCAAGAGATAAGATTTTTGGGATCACTTCTGACTCATTAGAACACCATGAAAAATAAAAGTTTCAAAAAATGCCTGCATGTGATAAGTAAAATGAAATGAGACAGTAGGGTCAATGCACTATGAGAGAACCCCTCATTTTAATAAAATAATCATTACAGCCCTTGATTCTACTAACAATGACAAAATAAGGTAGCAAGAAGGGAGAAAAAGCTTTTCAAGGTAAGGGCAATATTTATGTCATTAAGATGCACCAAGTTACCTTCTACTCTGGGTATATATATAATGAATCCAGCTAAACCATGGACAAGAAACATTTGGAAATTAGATAAAATTGATTCCTAGACTCCAGTAAAAGTTCAAGGGGAGGGGAGGAGGCGAGGAGCAGACTCAGATGGGAAACAAGTCATTATCAACTCCTCTGGAATAGCAATAAACTTCAGTATAGTTAAAGCATTTTTCTATGGAATTTTATAAACATCCCTCTGTGATCTCTTGATATTTCCAAGCTAACATACATGTGCAAATGGAGGACAGGTTTACGTAATGGCCAAAAATGAGAGAGGCTGACAATTGGTAGCTGGACAGTGTTTTCTGCTTAATAGAGGAATCAAAATATCCACTGGGTTTAAATACCCAAATGACCTATGCTTATACTGACCAGGCGTGTAGGGTGACTTCGTTTTGATCAAAAATCCAAGGAAACAGGACTTGTTGGGTTGTGGGTTTCCTGATGGCTTGGTGCCAGCTATGGATTTAGTTGATAAGGCCCAGTTTCTTTGTGTACATATTTGAATTAAATAAGCACCTTTGATGGACAAGGCCTCTAATTGGTTCTAATTAACACTCATATAGGCTGTGAAAACCTTCATCTGCATCCATTTTGTTTTGTGAGTCAAAATAATACATATTTTTAAAATAATTCTCCTCTGTGACTTATATATATCCTTACCTCCACAAGGATCCTGAGAGGCAAGCACTTAGCAAGCAGCCCAGGTTAAAGCAGAAACAGGGAATCTGTTGGGAAGAGGTCAAAATTAGGGGAAAAAAGAAGTTGCTCTAAGCAGCAGTTTATACATACTCCTTTGTGTACTATAAATACTTCTTCTTGCTCTCTTCCCACCATGCTTCCAGTTCCCATCTTTCCCTGTCCCTTCTACTGAAGTCCTTGCCCCGTCATCAATCACTATATCACCAGAAGGACCCATGCAAGGAGAGCAGAGCCTCTATCCTGACTCTGGGAGAAGAGCTCAAGCCAAAGCTCACAGGTCTTCTATTTGAGAAATCTGGCAGTATGAGGCTCTCCTGAAGTACTTGTGGCTATCCAGAGTGCTTATGCAGTACTCCACTCCAATGGCCTGAAGATTCTGCCTGATCCAGCCACAGTACAGCACTCTCATCAGCTTCTTCTAGGCCTTGAGCACAACTTCTTATTTATTTATTTAGTTTGTTTGTTTATTTATTTATTTAGTGTCACTCTGTCACCCAGGCTGGAGGGCAGTGGTGTGATCACAGCTTACTGCAGCCTTAACCTCCCAGGCTCAAGTGATCCTCCCACCTCAGCCTCCCAAGCTGCTGGGACTACAGGCGTGACACCACCCCCAGCTAATTTTTTAAAATTTTTTGTAGAGATGGGGTCTAGCCACATTGCCCAGGCTGGTCTCAAACTGCTGTGCTGAAGCTATCCTCCTGCCTTGGCTGCCCAAAGTGCTGGGATTACAGGCGTAAGCCACCGGGCCTGGCCTGGGGCAGAACTTCTTTTTTTTTTTTTTTTTTTGAGATGGAACCTCACCCTGTCGCCCAGGCTGGGGTGCAGTGGTGCGATCTCGGCTCATGGCAACCTCTGCCTCCCAGGTTCAAGCGATTCTCCTGCCTCAGCCTCCCAAAGTGCTAGGATTACAGGCATGAGCCACCGTGCCTGGCCCATAACTTCTTAAATTGTGTCTACACACAAACATGTGTAAGTGTCTTTTGTCCCCTTTATTTTTAATTTTTTTATTTCCATAGGTTATTGGGGAACGGGTGGTGTTTGGTTACATGAATAAGTTCTTTAGTGGTGATGTGTGAGATTTGGGTGCACCCAACTCCTAAGCAGTATACACTGCACTCAATTTGTAGTCTTTTATCCCTCACCCCCTTCCCACCCTTTCCTCCTGAGTCTCCTAAGTCCATTGTATCAGTCTTTTTCTTTTGAGACGGAGTCTCACTCTGTCACCCAGGCTGGAATACAGTGGCACAATCTTGGCTCACTGCAACCTCTGCCCCCCAGGTCCAAGTGATTCTCGTGCCTCAGCCTCCCAAGTAGCTGGGATTATAGGTGACTACCACCACGCCTGGCTAATTTTTGTATTTTTAGCAGAGACGGGGTTTTGCCATGTTGGCCAGGCTGGTCTTGAACTTGAGGTCAGGACCTCAGGTGACCCACCTACCTCAGCCTCCCAAAGTGTTGGGATTATAGGCATGAGCCACTGCGCCTGGCCCATTGCGTCATTCTTATGCTTTTGCATCCTCATAGCTTAGCTCCCACTTATGCATGAGAACAATGTTTGGTTTTCCATTCCTGAGTTACTTCACTTAGAATAATAGATGCCTCACTTAAACCTGAGGTCCTTCACTAGGAGGCAGCTTATTCCTAGTACCAATTCCACACACTAAGAATAGAAATATGAACAGGACATAGAAAGCCTCTCTCACTTGTGTTTACATCAATGGGCAGTCCTACAACTGGTCTGCATCAAGCCAAATGAACAGAACTGCAACTGTTCCTACAAGGATCCTACAAGGTCTTTTCACCACTCCTATATATGCTGCTACTGAAGTCATACAGATGATACATCTGCATTAACCATACAACTTGTTAAATGCTACACTGTACAGTGCTTTTCAGAACATTAGATTCAACGAAAACTAGAATCTTTAAAATAAATTCACTGAATTTTTATGTCTTTCCCAATTGTATGCATAATATTTGAGTCTAGTAACATGGACTAGAGTCAGATATCTGAATGAGAAAGCATAGATTTACTGCAGGTCCTCAAATAAGGTCATTTTCTACAACATTGTTTCCTTATAAAATTGATGAGGAAAAAAAAAAATCAATTCCCGGCTGGGGCTACTGTCTGGGTGGAGTCTGCATGAGTTTTCTCCAGGTACTCACTTCCTCCCACATCCAGAAGATGTGTAGATGGGGTTAACTGGCATGCCTAAATGGTCCCAGTGTGAGTCAGCGTGGGTGTGTGTGTGAGTGCACCTGGTGATGTAATGTCCTGCCCAGGGTTGGTTCCAGCCTTGCACCCTGAGCTGCTGGGATAAGATCCAGCCACCTGTGACCGCTTGAAACAGAGTAAGTAGGTTAGAAAATGACTCAATGAATGAATACAAAATATTGTAAAATAAAAATTCAGAAAGTCTATGATAATCATACAAATGCACAACAATAAATGACGTTGTGCTAAAGTGCTCAGTGAGCTTGCCATATTTGTGATTGTTTTTGAACTGCATGGTGGTAGGAGATACTTCTTAGAATTTTCACTTTGCAAATGTTTCTTCCTTAATTTAAATCCACCATCACGGCTGGGAATGGTGGCTCATGCCTGTAAAACTAGCACTTTGGAAGGCTGAGGTGGGAGGGTTGTTTGATGCCAAGAGTTAAAGACCAGCCTGGGCAACGTGGTGAGACCTTGTCTCCACAATTTTTTAAAAAGAATTAGCCAGGCATGGTGGCACACACCTGTAGTCCCAGCTACTCTGGAGGCTGAGGTGGGAGGATCACTTGAGCCCAGGAGTTTGAGGCTGCAGTGAGCCATGTTTACATCACAGCACTCCAGCCCGGGTGACACAGCAAGACCCCAACTCTTAAAAAGTAATAATAATAAGGCCGGACGCAGTGGCTCACGCCTGTAATCCCAGCACTTTGGGAGGCCAAGGCGGGCGGATCATTTGAGGTCAGGAGTTCAAGACCAGCCTGACCAACATGGTGAAACGCCATCTCTACTAAAAATACAAAAAAATTAGCCAGGCATCATGGCAGGAGCCTGTAATCCTAGCTACTCGGGAGGCTGAGGCAGGAGAATTGCTTGAATCTGGGAGGCGGAGTTTGCAGTGAGCCGAGATCACACCACTGCACTTCAGTGTCGGTGACAGAGAGAGACTCTGCCTCAAAAAAAAAAAAAAAAAAAAGGTAACAATAATAAAAACAAATAAACCCACCACCACAATGACCACCACGACTCACTGATTCACCAAGAGCTGGGTAATTATTGTATCTTGTTTTTGTTAACCTTTCTTAAAGGTATAGATAGCTCACCTTTATTTCAGTGTTTAATAGTAAAAGTGTTTTCAGTCTTTATTTAGAAGTTTGGTGATGTTTTCATGACCAGAAATATACGCCATGGAGACCTAACTCTTGCTTATATCAATCAGCCAATGGTAAATTTGGTTTTGTCATAAGTCATTTTGCTTCAAAAGTTGCAGTTCACTGGAACTTATTGAAGACATTAAGTGAGGACTTACTGTACTTACTAAAATTCAATATAAAGACTCCTCACTAGAACAAATATGGATATTTTTCATAGAAAGATTAGTTAGAAGAACATTAAAATGTTAGCAGTGGTCATAATTCTATGCAGTTTGATTGCCAGTAATTTTTTAATTTATTCAGTGTTGTGTAAGAGCTGGCTCATATGAGGTGGTAAGTGCACATCTCTTCCAAAATCTGCATTCAGTGTGACAACACTTGAAATTGGTGATGGTGGAATTATTTACACCTTAGAAATTGACAAATGCCACATATCAGGTTTTTTCTCTTCTTTTGGAGAGTCACTTGTTAAACAAAAAGCATACCACTTTTTGTAGTCTCTAGACTTTCCTTGTGAACACATAAAATTATAATTTGAGGTTACTTTTAAAGAAAATGAAATTTGAGCAAATTAATCTTTGTGTGTATAGCACGTTTTCATGAAGTATTAAGAAAAATATGTTTTTCTCCATAAAAGATCTATAAACCCAAATAGCCTTGCCCTAAAATTTCTGCTATAATTTAATCTCTCTCCTGTACCCATATAAACAAGCATGAAAACATGAGTGTGGAGAGAGGAAGTCACACCAAGAATTTATAGAACGTGAAAATTTCAAGGCCAGGTATGGTGGCTCACACTTGTAATCCCAGAACTTTGTGAGACTAAGGTGAGAGGATTGCTTGAGGCCAGAAGTTCCAGACAAGCCTGGGCAACATAGGGACATCCCATTTCAACAAAAAAAGTAAAAAATCAGTTGGGCATGGTGGTAGTGCCTCTAGTCCTAGCTACTCAGGGGGCTGAGGCATGAGGACTGCTTGAGCCCAGGAGTTCAAGACTGCAGTGAACCATGATCATGCCACTGCACTCCAGCCTGGGTGACAGAGTGAGACCCTGTCTCAAAATTTTTTCTTTCAATTAGTAGCCATTGACAGAGTAGACCCCAGATGAGTTAAAGCAGCAGTCCCCAACCTTGTTGGTACCAGGGATCAGTTTTGTGGAAGACAAATTTTCCACAGACCGGGGGTGGAGGGATGGTTTCGGGATAAAATTGGATCCACCTCAGGATCATAAGACATTAGATTCTCATAAGGAGTGTGCAACCTAGATCCCTTGCATGTGCAGTTTACAATAGGGTTCATGCTCCTATGAAAATCTAATACCGCTGCTGAGCTGACAGGAGGTGGAGCTCAGGTGGTAATGTTTGCTCGCCCGGCTGCTTACCTCTCACTGTGTGGCCCGGTTCCTAACAGGCCACCGCCCAGTACCAGTCCACGGCCCGGAGTTTGGAAACCCCTGAGTTAAAGGGCAAAGGACTGGACCTCTTAGGAATCAAGAAGCCAGGTCCCACTTTAAGTTCTGAATAGGGTCACTTTCACCTTTCCTAGGTTTCTACCTCTTGGGCTTATCTGCCCAAACAGAGATTAACCCTTTTGGATTCCTCTACCTTGTGACTTACTTTTTAAATGCCAATACTTAGAGAAACTACCAAAGAAGAGACCCAAGATGACTGTGAAGAGCAGTGGGTAGAACAAGTGTGTGCAAAAGGAGAAGGTGTCACAGTTATAGTTAGGATTCACTCTTTTTTTCATCTAGCAAACGAGCTAAGGTCACTATCAGACCACTTGATGAAGGAACTTGGTGGCAAAGCTCCATTAAGTGGTTTTAGGTAGAGTTTTTTTTTTTTTTTCTAAATAACTCTGGCCCCAGTTTTTACTGGACAGGAAATAACAACAATGATTTCCACCTTCCATGGTTTAAAGTAATTTAGCCATTTACAGGGATAAATCAAAAGGCTTTGAAATGTCAATGTGCTATGTAACAGACACTTTAGTTTCTAAAAAAAAGAAATGAGGATTTTTTTTTTTTACCTTGGTTGGGTGAACTTCAGATTACATGATGCTACCAGAATAAAATATGTGCTAACAGAAAAGTAGAGGAATCACAGGTATCTACTGAGACTAAAGGTTAAAAGATACTCTTAGGATAGTGCATATTTATATTTAGCATTTAATCCTCCATTTCTTACGTTGTCAAGTGTCTTCACCTAATCTTCAGTGAACTAATCACAACCCAAATGTGACTTTTTACAGGCGAGGAAAGAAATTTCTAGGACTGCTAGTTAATAGGCATCTTCCATCCCAGATAGCTAGAGTCCTGCTGGATGCTGAACTATGATGCTAGCCTCAGTGTAATGTGTCCTAGTTGGTCAGAACAGAACTCAGCTCAGAGCAAGAAAAAATCTGAGATCCTTAGCCAGATTACAGGGTTGTGGTTTCCCAAGAGAAGACAGTATAATCTATGAGGAATGTGCAATACCTGAGAAAGGAAAGAAAATAAATAAAGGAAGGTGGGAGAGGTGCTAAACCAAGCACTGTATGTCCTCCCTCCAATATGTGCATTCAGGAAATGGAGAGCTCATTCATGAGTGCCTATTGTGTACTAGATGCATTACAAAGATTATGACACTTGATTCTTACAACATTCTGATAGCAAAGAAGGATTCCTGTTTTGCAGAAAAGGAAAACTGAGGCCCAAAGAGTTAGTTGGGAACTAAGGATAGAAAGTTACTGATGGCCAGATGCAGTGGCTCATGCCTGTAATCCCAGCACTTTGGGAGGCTGAGGTAGGAGGACTGCTTGAGCCTAGGAGTTTGAGAATAGCCTGGGCAACACAGTGAGACCCCACTCTACAGAAAATAAAAAATTAGCTGAGTGTGGTGACACACATATGTAGCCCCATTTACTCAGAAGGCTGAAGTTGGAGGATCACTTGAGCCAAGGAGTTTGAGAACAGCCAGGAGTTCTACAAAAAATAAAAAATTAGCTGAGCATAGTGACATACCTGTAGCCCCAGTTAGGAGGCTGAGGTGGGAGGATCACTTGAGTTCAGGAGGTCAAGGCTGCAGTGAGCTGTGATTGCATCACTACACTCCAGCTTGGGTAACAGAGTGAGACTCTGTCTCAAGAAAAAAAAAAGAAAGAAAGTTAGTTACTGGTAAATCAGGCTTAAACTGAGGTCTGTCTGACTCAAAAGCAATCCAAGAGGAAATTTACAAAGCACCAAGAGTGAAAACTACATAATTCAGGCATTTACTCTACAGATGTTATTAATAAGTACAAATCATAAGGCTTACTGTTAAATGGCTACAGGGAAAGACCACATTCCAGAACATATGCCATAGCAGGCAACAACTCCAGAAGTGTAAACTTTGGTTAGAAGATCCCCACTCTAAGGTTTGGTATTCCCATGTACTGAAAGCTTGAATCCCAAATTGATATGAAATTCTATCATTCATCAGAAAGGAATTTTGACCCAGTTACTGTATACCTTGCCTGAAAATTGACAGCAATGGTGAAATCAAGTTCAGACACAGGATCTCCACATGTTTGAAACAAACATATCAGATAGCAATCTAGGGGGAACAGCACAGATGCAGGAATGCTTACCAATCAACCCTTGTGGTTGGCTGCTATATAGAACAGAGACTATGACCTGGACAGGCACAAGAGAGAGCATTTATTATATGGGAGCATTCAACATAACCCAAATAACATTAGCACTTTTTGTCATGATCTATTTACCCAAATTCATTCATCCCACTGTACTTCTTTTGTGTAACAAGACAGGAAACACAAGGCTTAGGGAGCCTTAGCATGCAAACCCCAAATCTTTGTCCCCAGCTTCCAATGCCTGAATTCATTGACAATTTTTAACAGTGTCACAAAGTGTGAAAATACTATGTTAGAAACCAGCTGAGCTGCCAGACTACTGCCTTAGAGTGAAAATGAGCCCAGTGTCTTTCAGACTCAGAAACTGGAACCTTGTCATACCAGCAATGTCTGCAGAGCAAGGAAATGGACAACAATGTATGGAACAGTAAACATCTGAAGGAGTAATAACCTACATATTACTTTAATTGCTGGCGTATACCTTCAGGAACCCTAGCAAATAAATGTCACAAGTGGAGCAGGCTGGCAGACTACCATTCCCTGACACCTACTTGGTCCTCAGGACCTATCTTTTCCCTCCTTGTATATATAAGGCTGGCTTTCAAATTACCTTCAGACCCATATTCTCATACCTGAAACAAAGGCACCTGAGCAGCACTCCGCACTCCTTAACTCTTGAAGTTTTCTACAATCCAGTCCAGTCCCTCCTGCTGCTGTCTCTTACTGGTTTTCCAAAAAATAGAAATAAAGATCAGAACTTTGGTGTTAAAAAGTCAAAATCAGGTTTATTTGAAATCAGAACAGTCTAAGTTTGTCAATGTCTCTGTAACAGCGGCACCCACAGTGTACATGAGGAACACAATTAAGAAGTAGAAAAATATGCCCCTGTCTAATGAAAGGAACAGGTTGTAGAAACAGAGTCAGTATCATGGAGTCAGCAGTACTTAGGAAGAGTGACTACCACTGTTGGTAGTCCCTATCTCTAGAACTCTAGGAAGGGGTTTCAATGCCATCATTAATGATGCACAGGGGACAGGAGGAGGGGGCTGCCCTTCATAAGACACTAGTCACCTCACACAATGTAAGGACACCCTGAACTTGTCTAGGTGATCTTGACAATTGATTCCAATTCCATCTTTTTCACATTACAGAACCATAGGCTCACTGGTACTGGACTTTTCCATCACAGGTTCTGAAGGAGATGGTGACTGTATGAATCTGCCAAGAGACTTGCCTGTGGATGGACAGCCCAGCACCACTGCAGGAAAATTACATAACTTGGAACTCATTTTGGTGGATGGCTGGGGAACACTTCCTTTTCCACTTATTCAGAGAAACTTCTGAAAATGGTTGGTTGGATCAAGGTACCCAATCATACAGGGTGAAACATAATATAATAGGAACTGCATTAATCTTGTGGTTACAAGATCAGACAAGACTATTGCTTCAGAGGTTTGATTGTCCCTTCAAAATAAACTATAGTTCATCTTGCTTTAATCAAACATTATAGGGGAATTATATATTAAGCTAATAGGCAAGATCTCAACTTCTAGAAAGGGGAGTCTCAAAGATGTCAGTTGATTGTATTCATTACCATGGTGAAAAAGACTCATACAGGATCACAGATAACAAATTTTTGAAATCGGAGGTTTGAGTTGTTCACCAGCTTATACAATAGCATTCTCATGGTGTATTCGTGTAAGTAATTAGTAACACAGTAAGTTAGAAAAACATGGACATCAGAAGGAAGCTAGTATCATTTAGGATAATTTCACGAATAATTGCAACCATTAAATAATGTTGGTGCCATCTGACACTGAGAATAGATCTTCAAAGAAATAATCCACAAAAGTTTACAGTTGCTAATATTGGCTTTTGTGGGTATGCTCTTTGGAAAATATCCCCTCTAGGATTCTATGGGCGAAGTGGACATAAGAAAAGTGCCTTCGGCCTAATACCTGGATCTAAATTCTAAATTCTAGGGTTAAATTATTATTTAAGATCTAGGGCTCTGCTCAAAAAGTCAGGATCTATGAGGCTAGTTAATATCTTAATTCCTGAAATCTTGGCACCTTATATTAGCAAAGGCAGAGGTAACTTTCATTCTTACCAGCAACTGATTTTTCAGGTTTCTAAATTCAATCTAGAAGGATATTTGGAAAACACCAACTTTCTACCAATAAAGGTACTAATAAGTCATTCAGATGCTAGATAATATATATAATTCAAATCCAAATCAAGAATAAACCAGGCTAGGCCAGGCACAGTGGCTCACGCCTGTAATCTCAACACTTGGGAGGTTGAGGCAGGTGAATGTCTTGAGCCCAGGAGTTGGAGACCAGCCTGGGCAACATGGCAAAACCCCATCTCTCAAAAACAAAAAGAAAAACAAAACAAAACAACAACAATGACAACAAACCATGCATTGCGGTGTGCACATCCCAGCTACCAGCTACTTGGGAGGATGAGGTGGGGGGATCACTTGAGCCCAGGAAGGCAGAGGTTGCAGTGAGCTAAGATTACTGCCACTGCACTCCAGCCTGGGTGACAGAGTGAAACCTCTCTCTCTCAAAAAAACAAAAAGTAAAATTAAATAAACATTTTAATCAGTATCCAGAAAAATTACTAGATTAAATCATTCAACAAATATTACTTGAGTGCCTGCTATATATCAGGCACTATTAGAGACACCACGTTTATAGCACGGAAGAAAAAAGTTCTTGCCCCCATGGAGCTTAAAGTCTATTGAGGAGGAAGAAAAATTAGCCAGGCATGGTGGCACATGCCTATAGTCTCAGCTACTCAGGAGGCTGAGGTGGAAGGATTGCTTGAGCCCAGAAGTCAAGGCTGCAGTGAACCACGATGGCACCACTGCACTCTAGCCTAGGCGACAGAGTGAGACTCTGTGTCCAAAAAAGAAAAAAAAATCCTCAACTCTCATAGCATTATTTAACAGATAATGTCAAAAAAGAAATATAAGCCAGGTGCAGTGGCTCACGTCTATAATCTGAGCACTTTGGAAGGCCAAGTGGGGTGGATCACTTAAACCCAGGAGTTGGAGATCAGCCTGGGCAACATGGCAAAATTCCGTCTCTATAAAAAATACAAAAATTAGCCAGGTGGGTTGGCATATGCCTTCAGTCCCAGCTACTCAGGAGGCTGAGGTGGAAGGATCACTTGAGCCCAGGAGGTCGAGGCTGTAGAGTGCCGTGATCACACCACTGCACTCCATCCTGGGTAACAAAGCCAGACCCTGTCTCAAAAAAAAAAAAAAAAAAAAAAAAAAGAGTAAACCAGGCCAAAGACTAATAAGTAAATTCAATCAGCACCATTTAAAAAAATACTTACACTTTATCCTCAAAGCAAAAATCTTGTTTCTCAGTGATTATGCTCAAGTTTTTGAGAGAGACTAAAGTTTTCCTTTAATTTTAATTATCCCACTGAATACACAATAGGAGTCACAAAATGGCAGTAGGAATGTAAAGAAGCCAGTGCTGCCAATTTAAAACGGCTACCTTTTAAGTGTTACTTGTAGCACTGTGGCACACTGCGTGGCTAAGGGACAGGGTTGGTGCATGCCAGCCAGGAAGCGAGCAGAAGATCCAGAAGGATCTAGAAGGATCTACTTCCATTTTCTCTCCTAACCTGGCCCTAGACAACTTCTGTCCTCCTTATTCTTAAATAGAAACCTTTTTTTTTTTTTTCTGGGAAGGAACACCTTGGAAAGAGGACCTATGCCAAAATGTATAAATACCATTATATTAAACACACAACTATACTGTACAATAAAATTCAGATGAGGCAACATGACTTCCAACGGCTGTTCACTGCCAGAAAGTAAACATTTGACGTTACAGTTAATTTCCTCATTTACACACTGAAATACCTCCGTCTTTTAAAGGAAACGTATGCAAAAAACTCGAGCAGAATTGAATACATTGAACCTCAACACACAATTGTTTCAGGATATGATATCCCAAAAAACTTTCTGCAGTGGCTGGTGATTGGCACTTGTGACAATTTAGTGTCCTAAAACAAGCTCTCAGGCAAATTAGCAATGTGTGCATTTTTACATTAAAAATACCACAAACGGGCTGGGCACAGTGGCTCACGCCTGTAATCCCAGCACTTTGGAAAGCCGAGGAGGGTGGATCACCTGAGGTAAGGAGTTCAAGACCAGTCTGGCCAACTTGGTGAAACCCCGTCTCTACTAAAAATAGAAAAATTAGCTGGGCATAGGGGCGGGCACCTGTAATCCCAGCTACTTGGGAGGCTGAGGCAACAGAATCACTTGAACCTGGGAGGCAGACGTTGCAGTGAGCTGGGATCGTGCCACTGCGCTCCAGCCTGGGCGACAGAACAAGACTCTTGTCAAAAAAAAAAAAAAAAAAGAAAGAAAGAAAGAAAAGAAAAGAAAAGAAAGAAAATGCCACAAAACATTCTTTCAATTAGAAAATTCTTTTCGTTATTTGTAAATTGAAGATAATACAAAACTTTCTTCACACAAAATTTATGAAAAGGACTAGGACCCACATTTAATGGAATAAAATGCTACCTAACACAGAATTCCTCTGTAAAATAAAATTCCAAATTCCATTAAATGGCAGCCGATGATAAGACACTTAAGTGCAGTCACTGGTGCAAAACATTAAGGACACAGCCAGATGATTAAATTGTGCATTTGTAAATCAAGATTACTCCAAAACTTTTATTTTATAAGGAAATTAATGAAGAGGAAACAAGACCAGAATTTGGACAAATAAAATTATACCAAATAGGCTGTTCTGTTATAAAATGCACTCAATCGACAGTTAATTTCCTCTACTGCAAACTGAAACTTGTACAAAACCTTTCATAAGAAACCTATGAAGTTTCCAATGCCAACAATATTTTTTTAAGAGACAGGGTCTCGCTCTGTCGCCTAGGCTGCAGTACAGTGGCACAGACGCAGCTCACTTCAGCCTCGTCCTCCTGGGCTAAAGAGGTCCTCATACGTGGCCAAGACTACTCGGGGAGACTACATCTGGCTATTTATTTATTTTGAGATGTAGTCTCACTGTGTCGCCCAGGCTAGAGTGCAGTGGCACAATTTCGGCTCACTGCAACCTTCGCCTCCTGGTTTCAAGTGATTCTCTTGCCTCAGCCTCCCCAGTAGATGGGATTACAGGCACATATCACCACGCCTGGCTGATTTTCATATTTTTAGTAGAGACGGGGTTTCACCGTGTTGACCAGGCTAGTCTCGAACTCCTGACCTCAGGAGATCCACTCACTTCAGCCTCCCAAAGTGCTGGGATTACAGGCATGAGCCACGGCGCCCGGCCTAATTTTTTTTTTTTTTTTTTTTTTTTTTTTTTTGTAGAAATGAGGTCTCCCTCTGCTGTTCAGGCTGGTCTCTAACTCCTGGACTCAAGCCTCCTTCCCACCTCCCAAAGCACTGGGATTACAAACACTAGCCACCACAGCTAGAGAGGCAGAGCATCCATATTGTTTGTAAAACATCAACTGCAATTAAGACCAAACTTTTAAAGGCAAATGAATGAAAAATATGAGAAGCACTCTTCGTGGAATACAATTAAATTCACAACTATACTGTATAAAAATGCAAAATAGCGAATGACCAACAGGAGGCTATCTGAAGTTGTCAATGAACAATTCCTGCACTGACCAGACAACATTTTCAAGTTTTAAACACCAGAAAACTTTTCTTTTATTTGAAAGTGAGTGGATGAAAGAACCGACTCCAAAAGATAACCACAAATATTACATTTTTAAAAGAAAGAAATACAAACAACATCGCAGCAGCTAATGGCCATTAACTGTCCTAATACCGTGCACAATCCCTCCCAATGGGAAGCTGATTCTTTCCAGGTCCAAAGTAACAGAAAGAGAGGCCAGGCGTGGTGACTCACGCCTGTAATCCCAGCAGTGTGGGACACTGAGGCGGGTGGACCACCTGAGGTCAGGTGTTGGAGCTCAGCCTGAGAAATATGGTGAATCTCTGTCTCTACTAAAAATACAAAAACTAGCCAGGCGTCGTGGCAGGCGCCTGTAATCCCAGTTACTCAGGAGGATGAGGCAGGAGAATCGCTTAAACCCAGGAGGCGGAGGTTGCAATGGGCCGAGATCATGCCACTGCACTACAGCCTGGATGACAGAATGAGACTCCGTCTCAAAAAAAACAAAAACAGAAAAACGAAAAGAAAAGAAAAAGTATACTACTACATTTCATATAGCCACATATAGAAAGCACACTACAAATATCTAACTCTCAATAACTATTACAAATGAAAAGCAAATTGATCTTACAATAGTTTGTGGAAGAAGTCGACACCCCTGACACACCAACGCTCCACCACGTGCCCACTTAACGATCGAAAACAAAATGGGCCCCGCCACAGGGGCAGGCTTCTTTTATTGCCAGTGTATGGCTCCACCCTCAAAGATCCTGATTGGTTGTGACTGAAACAATTGACCAGGATACTGTCTACTCCCACCTTCTCTATAACAGGAAAGTCCGTCCACACCCCGGGCCTTTGCTCCTTATTGGTGGGAAGGATTATTGCTTGGAGGTGTTGCGCGTGCAGTGGCAGGAACTGTGGGGAATGGAAGGAAAAAACTATCACAAAGTAACTCCCACGAGACTTTCTGCGTGGTTCCCGCAATGAATTCAAATAACGCGCCAACCGCTTTTACATTTTTTGCATATTATTGCCTTGTACGGGAAAGATCTTCCCAGCCATTTCTACCATTGGGATGAGACTCAATTCGTAGCAGGGAATTGAAACCCACCCCTCAGCATTTACGTTTGGGAAAAAGGAACGGGCGTGATGCCAGGACGGGGATCTACAGTGAAAAATGAGCCTAAATAGCTGTACACCTAACAATTGTGCATAGGAAGTAAGGGCATTAAATTGGGGATGGTGCCGCCATTGCAGGTGAGTTAAACAGAATGGGCATTAAACTAAGTGAGCATAAGCAGTTAGGAGAGAGTTTATACGACTGGGAGAATGGATGTGGGGTGATAAGAGGACTGAGGAAGGGGATCACGAGTAGAACTAGGAAATGGCCATACTAGCGTTTGAATCCATGACCCTCTAGCACCAATGTCTGTGTCGTAGACCACTATTTAAGAGTAATCAGCCTCCTACTAGAATTTCCTTTCCCCCCATCTCTGTCCACCAATTAGGTCCCAGCTCAAACACAGCCGCCTCCATGATGCATTCACTGATCCTTTCCCTCTCTTACCAGGCCCTCTCTTGCTGCTATCAGGTGGGGAATATGGGAAAACATTAGAATTGGGGTGCAAGGGAGTGCTGTCAGCACTGGCATCAGTTAGCACCGGGCTGGATGTGGCGAGAAGGACCCAGATTTGTACTGGGATGTTTGCATTTGTTAGGTTGCAGAAATTCTGCAAAATCCAGTGCAAAAAAATAACCTAGCCCATACCTGTCTCCTGACTGGTCAGAGAATTATAAATTTAGACTACAGTTGAAAGTAAACTTGGTAGGGCTGGGCGTGGTGACTCACGCCTGTAATCCCAGCACCTTGGTAGGCCGAGCAGGTGGATCACCTGAGGCCAGGAGTCTGAGGCCAGCCTGGCCAACATGGTGAAACCGCATCTCTACTAAAAGGAGAAAAAAATTAGCCACGCGTGGTGGTGCGTTCCTCTGATCCCAGCTACTCGGGAGGCTGAGGAAGGAGAATCTCTTGAATCCCAGAAGCAGAGGTTGCAGTGAGCCGAGATAGCTCCACTGCACTCCAGCCTCGGCGACAGAGTGAGAGTCTGTCCGAAGAAAAAGAAAAAAAAAAAAAAGAAAAGAAAAGAAAAGAAAAAAAGCACTGCAAAATATAAGATAAAATGCAAAATCAGTTTCCTGACAGCCACTGTGCTGTCCCTGCACCTGCTCAACCAACCGTGGCATGTATTTCCTTATTTTTAAGTGAAAACCACCACAAAACTTTAGACAGCATACATGAGGGGACCAAAAACAATATTTAAACAAGTAAAATGTTAGAGTCATCACTTTGGAAGGTAAAACACAACACTGTGACCAAATTCAGCTAAGGGACCCAAACTGTCTTAAATCCAAAGCCCTCTAGACTGTTTAAGTATGCTATTAAACATATTAAAGTATACTATTTACCGAGCATTGTGGCTCATGCCTGTAATCCCAGCCCTTTTGGAGGCCAAGGCGGGTGGATCATCTGAGGTCAGGTGTTTGTGCCCAGCCTGAGCAATATGGTGAATCCCCGTCTCTACTAAAAATACAAAAACTACCTAGGCGTGGTGGCACACACTTGTAGTCGCAGCTACTCGGAAGGCTGAGACAGAAGAATCACTTGATCCCAGGCGTCGGGGGTTGCAGTGAGTTGCAATCACACCACTGCACTCCAGCCTGGGTAACAGAGTCAGACTCCATCTGAAAAAAAAAAAATGTAAATAAGCCAAACAACAAAGTTGGTAAACCAAGTAAGGTATAATAGCCCCCAGGATTGGTCAGAGCCAGGAATTCAACCTATGTTGTTAACCACATTTGAGGATGGGTAGGAAGAAACCATTAAGAGAAGAAACTAGAAGAGTGTTCCCAATAAGATAAAGTGACTGAAATAAACAAGTGTACGTGTACAGTAATGGGATGAAGTGGGAGGGGTATCTTCTGCTACTTCAGTTCTACTTAACTCTTCAGCGTCCTTCAAGTTGAAAGAACACCAAAGATTACAGACCTCATTCCTTGGAGGCCCATTGTTTTATGATTTAGATTGAATGACCAAAGTATGGTCTTCCATTCCATCCAAATCAGTTGGGAAGCTGCCTTTTTTATGTTATGGAGGTGAAATTCACATAACACACAATTAAGCATTTTGAAGTGAACAATTCGGTGGTATTTAGTACATTTACAATGTGTAACCACCACCTCTACACAATCTTGAAACATCTGGCCCACCCCAGAAGGAATCTCAGTAGCATTGTTTATAACATTCTCCTTCCCTTAGCCTCTGTAAACCACCAATCTGCTTTTTATCTTTATGAGTTTGCTTATTCTGGACATTTCATATAAATGGAATCACACACATGACCTTTTGTGTTTAGTCTTTTTCATTTAGTATACTGTTTTTGAAGTTTATTCATATTATAACATGTATCAGTCCTTTATTCCTTTTTATGGCTAAACAATATTGATTATATGTCGATACCAGAATTTCTTTATCCATTCACCCATTTATGAACATATGGACTGTATTCACCTTTTGGCTACTGTGATTAGTGCTGCCATGAATATTCATGTACACGTACTTGGAGGGCTTCTTAACCATGCAGGCTTTTCACTCCACCTTAACCCTTCTGAATCAGAATTTTGTGGATGGGGTCAGGTATCTACATTTTAAACAAGAACTCCAGGTGATTCTGATAATTTCAGAATCATTTGGCTGAAGTTTGGGGTGGGAATCATAGTCTAGGTTGGGATTAAAAATAACCTACTGTGACTGTCCATGGGCTGGGATGAAAAGAATTATACAGATATGCTAAGATGCTTCTAAAATTAAAACTTGGCTTTTGAAATACTGATTAATAATCCCAACATTTTATGAGGCTAGGATAACCTTGATAGCCAAACTCAGGAAATGACAGGAGAAGAAATATTACAGGCCAAATTGGCTTATAAACATTTTATGCTTAAGTCCTGCGTATAACATTACTAAATCAAACCCATCAGTATATAAAGCAGGTATTGCTTATCCCACTAATGCAAGTGTAATTCACCTTTGGAAAATTGATCATAGTTCACCACATGAAAGCACTGAGCTACATATGTTCCATTCACCCAACCAAATTCATTCTTTACTTTCTCTATCTTGTTCTATGTTACCTGAGGACCGACCTCTATGGACTACTACATCATCCAGTCTGCCTTGTCTTTTGTCTTCCAGTTGTGTTAAACCACAGAGAAGCAGAGGTAAGAAATTTGAGAGGACATTAAAGAGGTCATTGCAGTGTCTGTATTCCCCCTCTAGAGTTACACTGCCTGCAAAAAAGCCCATCTCTCACAACTGCAGATTTTCCTCATTCTAATAACTCTATTCTCTCCTCTTGTACCTTTATGGCATTGGTAGTAACAGATTCCAATAGTTGCTAGACCCTGAGTTTATATCAGGCGTGTGCCACCATGCCTGGCTAATTTTTGTGTTTTAGTAGAGACGGGTTTCGCCTTGTTGGCCAGGCTGGTCTCGAACTCCTGACTTCAAGTGATCCACCTGCCTTGGTCTCCCAAAGTGCTGGGATTACAGGCATGAGCCACCATGCCTGGCCCAATTAATCTTCTGATAATGGTATGTGGTGCTCGTGAGGGCATTGAGTGATGCACACATTAATGAATAAAAACCATATCACCTATCAACAGTTGCAGAAAAAGCTTTGGATAATGTCAACTCATTCACATATTTTTAAAAGTCTCAGCAAGCATGAAATAGAAAATAATGTTCTTAAATCAATAAAGGATATATAACAAAACCTTTAAAAAATATCAGAATGAATGGCAAAAATTTATAAATGTTCTCACCAAAAGCAGAAATAGAAGTAAGATAACTTCTATGGCTACTAATAGTCAACATTATATTGGAGGTGCTCACTATGGAATTGACCACCCCCAATAAAAGGGATGAAAATTGAAAATGATGAGAGAATTTTGCCATTAATCGCAGATACCATAATTGTCTATATGGAAAATGCAAGAAAATCTACAATCAAACTATTTTAAATAATAAGAGTTCTACAACTTTGTTTTCTATTATATCACTGCTAAAAAATACCTATGGAAAACAAAATAAAGACAAGGACCTTTTGGAATAAATTAGCTAGTCTCAATGTTCAACTCATCATTTTAAGTTTTTAAAAAGTCATGTGAAATTTTTTGCCTGTCATGTTAAATAGACTTTCTAAAACTGCAAAGTCTGTTCTCAATTGAGTACATGTTCTATTAAATTCATTTTTACTTTATCAGAAACTGGTGGTCATAATAGAGGATTTCAAAAATTTCTTTCGTTCTTTTTTTTTTTTTTTTGAGACCATCTTACTCTGTCGCCCAGGCTGGAGTGCAGTGGTGTGATCTTATCTCACTGCAATCTCAGTCTCTCGAGCTCAGGTGGTCCTCCCACTTCAGCCTCTCGAGTAACTGAGACTACACATGCACACCACCACGCCTTTCTAGCTTTTAAATTTTTTTGTAGAGATGGGGTTTCACCGTGTTGCCCAGGCTGGTCTCAAACTCCTGGGCTCAAACGATTCGCCCACCTCGGCCTCCCAAAGTTCTGGATTACAGGTATAAGCCACTGTGCCTGGTCAAATTTATTTCAAATAGTATCATCTTACTTATCTGTTTACAATTATGTTCAATAGTTTCTGAAATTTCTAAAATCTCCCTTCCTTCATTTTTTTTCTTCACTGTTGACAGAAGATTCTTTATTTAACTCTGAATTTGATAGTTATTTTGTTCTAATAATGTTAAAGACATGATAATTTTCTGCATTTTTCTATCTAAATTTCTAACTGCTTTTATACTTTTAATTCCTTTCCACATGGATATTTCTCCTTTTCCTAAACATTGCACCACTTAGCTGTTTGTATGCCATATTTGTCTAAAAAATGTTTAGTATGTATTTAAAATGTTTATTATTAATGAATACATTTAACGAGTAAAAACATAGCAAAGATTTGATTAATTTATATAATTTAAATTCGTTCATATAAGTTATATTAGTTAACAAATATAACTTTTAAATTAATTAATATAAATTATAATATTTAAAATCAAATATGTGCACATACATTTAGCATCAAAAATAACAATTTGCACCAAACAGCAGAAAATTACTCACTAGGTTTCCAGACAAATTTGCTTAAGAAAAAAATAGTGCAAAATAATTTTGTATAAAAGAATGTATAATACTTTTAAGTGAATTAAGTATAAAAGATTCCTGGTAACTTGACTATTTTCCTGCTTTAGAAAATATGTTTTTGTAAAATTTTGATATTTGATCAAGTTTCATTTGTGAAAAGTAAAATGTATTAAGAAACAGATGTGTATTTTTTTATTTTATATTATATTATTTTATTTTATTTTATTATACTATAAGTTCTGGGATACATATGCAGAATGTGCAGTTTTGTTACATAGGTATACACCTGCCATGGTGGTTTGCTGCACCCATCAACCCATCATGTATATTAGGTATTTCTCCTAATGCTATCCCTCTTCTAGCCATCCACCCCCCAACAGGCCCCAGTGTGTGATGTTCCCCTTCCTGTGTCCATGTGTTCTCATTGTTCAACTCCCACTTATGATTGAGAACATGCAAGCGTTTGGTTTTCTGTTCCTTTGTTAGTTTGCTGAGAATGATGGTTTCTAGCTTTATCCATGTCCCTGCAAAGGACATGAACTCATTCTTTTTTATGGCTTCATAGTATTCCATGGTGTGTATGTGCTACATTTTCTTTATCCAGTCAATCATTGTTGGACATTTGGGTTGGTTCCCAGTCTTTGCTATTGTGAATAGTGCTGCAATAAACAAACGTGTGCATGTGTCTTTATAGGAGAATGATTTATCATCCTTTGGGTTTATACCCAGCAATGGGATTGCTGAGTCAAATGGTATTTCTGGTTCTAGATCCTCGAGGAATTGCCACACTGTTTTCCACAATGGTTGAACTAATTTACACTCCCAACAGTGTAAAGTGTTCCTATTTCTCCACATCCTCTCCAGCATCTGTTGTTTCCTGACTTTTTAATGATCACCATTCTAACTGGCGTGAGATGTTACCTCATCGTGGTTTTGATTTGCATTTCTCTAATAACCAGTGATGATGAGCTTTTTTTCATGTTTATTGGCTGCATCCAAACACATATTTGTAATAAAATAAAATTTTCCCTTTTATCCTACATTATTGTAGACTAAAGCTATAAACAATAGGAAAAAATCGTCAGCTTCCATCATGATCATATCCACATAAGTTCTAGAACAGAAAAGGCTAAACTATGGTGTCATAAATTACAACTGGGGTTGTTTGGGGGAATTGGAGCAGATGCTGAATGGAAATACATATACATATATATGGGTAGTTTCTGGTTGATAGTATTATTCTATATTCTTATTTGTGTTTTGGTTGCCCAGATGCATAGATTTGTCAAAAGCTTGCAAATGATATTCTTAAGATTAGTAAATTCATTATATATAAATTGTACCTAACACAAAATAGGCAAGCATATTCTAGTTTTGCAAAAGCAGTGTGAGATCCTAACAGCCTTTTCCTCCTGCTGATTATAACTATAAATTTTGGATAAAATATGAAAACTAGCTAAGCACCATGGCACACACCTTTAATCCCAGCATTTTGGGAGGCCAAGGAGGGCAGATCGCTTGAGCCCAGACGTTTAAGACCAGCCTGGGCAACATGGCAAAACCCTGTCTCTACAAATACAAAAAAAAATTAGCTGGTCATGGTGTCACACACCTGTAGTCCAAGCTACTAGGGAAGTGAAGGTGAAAGTGTCACTTGAGCCCCAGAGGTCAAGGCTTCAGTGAGCAGAGGTCGTGCCACTGCACTCCAGCCTGGGCAACAAAGTGAGACCTTGTATAAAAAAAAAAAAAAAAAAAAACTACTATCTGTGGATGGATAAAACAATCCAACCAAAACACAGGGATTGTCCAAATGGATTTTAAAAACATGTGATCCATCTACATGCTGTCTATAGAATATATACTTTAAACAAAATAAAGAAATTGAAAATAAAGGGATACAAAAGGATATATCATGCAAATAACAATCAAGGGGAAACTTGAATGGTTATACTAATATCAGACAAAATAGACTTTAAAACAAAAAATGTTATTGAGATAAAGACATTTTATAATGGCAAAGGGTCAATCTATCTGGAAGATATAGTAAGTATAAATATATATGGTAATTACATTAAACAAAAATATAATACAAAATACATTAAACAAAGCTGACAGAACTGAAGAGATAAACAATTCACCAGTAACATTTATAGAATTTAGTAACTCACTTTCAATAATAAATGGAACAACTTAAAAGATCAACAAAGCAATCAACTTGCAGAACACTATAAACCAATTAGTGCTAACAAATATCTCTAGAACACAGAGTATGATCTCCAACGAAATTGCAATTAAAATAGAAATCAGTAATAAGTATAAATTTGAGAAACTCACTCATAAGTGGAAATTAAACAACACACTCAAGCACCTAATGGACCAAGAAGAAATTAAAAGGGAAATGAGAAAATACTTTGAGATGGGATGCAGCTAAAGTAGTAATTTGAGAGAAATAGACCATATGAACAAACCTATATCAAGGTAAAAGACTAAATCAGTAATTTAAAAAACTATACCCAAAACAAGGCTCCGCCAGGTGGCTTCACCAATCAATTATATAAAACATTCAAAGAACAATACCAATTTGTCACGGTTAATTTAATCTGTCAACTTGACTAGGCCACAGGATGCCCAGATAGCTGGTTCAACATTTCTGGGTGTGTCTGTGAGGATGTTTCCAGAAGAGATTAGCACTTGAATTGGCAGACTGAGGGAAGCAAATGGCCCTCCCCAGTGTGGGTGAACTCATCCAATCTATAGAGGACCTCAATAGAACAAAAAGGTGAAGGAAAGTTGAGTGAACTCTGATGGCTGAATTGGGAAATTAGTCTTCTCCTGCCCTTAGTGCTCTTGGTTCTAAGGCCTTCAGACTCTGACTGGAATCTACAATATCAGTTTTCTGGCTCTCACACCCTTAAATGATGTCACTGGCTTTCCTGGGTCTCCAGCTTACAGATGGCAGATTGTGGGACTCCTTAGCCTCTATAATCATGTAAATGTAAACCAATATTTTATAATAATTACCTTGTAATAAATATAAGTCTCTCCATATATACGAATATATACTCATATATATATATATATATATATATACACAAATATATACTCATATATATACACTATCATGTGGGTCTCTTTATATATGTGTGTATATATATCTATATACACACACATGGATATATATACACACACTATATATATATAAATATATATTTATAATATAAATATATTTAATTTAATTTATTTATATTTATGTTTTGCTCAATGACCAACCATGTATACAATGGTGGTCCCATAAGATTATAATATTGTATTTTTACTGTATCTTTTCTATGTTTAGTTACACAAATATTTATCATTGTGTTACAATCGCCTAGAGCAAGAGTCTTCAATCCCAGGGCCATGGACTGGTACTGGTCTGTGGCCTATTAGGAGCCAGGCTGCACAGCAGGAGGTGAGCAGCAGGCAAGCGTTACCGCCTGAACTCCACCTCCTGTGTAATCAGTGGCAGCATTAGATTCTCATAGGAGTGTGAACTGTATTGTGAACTGTGTATGCGAGGGATCTAGGTCGTACACTCCATATGAGAATCTAATGCCTGATGATCTGAGGTGTAACAGTTTCATCCTGAAACCATCCTCCCTGTCTGTGGAAAAATTGTCGTTCACAAAACTGGTCCCTGGTGCCAAAAAGGTTGGGGACTGCTGGCCTACAGAATTCAGTACGGTAACATGCCATACAGATTTGTAACCTAGGAACAATAGCCTATACCATGTAGCTTAGGTGTGTAGTAGGCTATACCGTCTAGGTTTGTGTAAATACACTCTATGATGTTCACACAATGACAAAATTGCCTAATGATGCATTTCTCAGAATGTATCCCTGTCATTAAGTGACACGTGACTATACACACAGACCCACACGTACCCTATTGTTTCTATTTCTCCAGAGAACCCTGACTAATACACAATTCTTCATAAATTCTTCAAAAATTAAAAAAGGAGGGAACACTTCCCGATTCATTTTATTTTATGGGGCCCACATTATCCTGATACTAAAACCAGAGAAAGATATGCAAAAACAAAAACAAAAACAATGCTGCAGACCAATATCTTATTAATATGGGTACAGAATTCCTTAACAAAGTACTAGCAAACTGGATCCAGCAACACAGAAAAAGAATTATAGTAGCCAAGTTAAGTTTCTCACTTCTGTAATACCAGCTATTTGGGAGGCTGAGGTAGGAGGATTGCTTGAGGCCAGGAGTTCAAGACCAGCCTGTGAAATATAGCAAGACCCTGTCTCTAAAAAATATATATTAAAAATTAGCTGGGCATGGGGGTGCATACCTAACTCCAGCTACTGCCCCCATGACCCAAACACATTCCACCAGGTCCCACCTCTAACATTGTGGGGATCACATTTCAACATGATATTTGGAGGGGACAAACATCCAAACTATATCAAAGGCTATCTTAGAATTCTGTCTACCACAATAATAGACTCAGCTTGGCAGATCCAGAAGGTACAGATAAGTTGCATGAGCAAATGGGCAAACCCCTTAAACACCAATTCCTGTTATAGCGCCCTGTCTCTCTCAATCCATGCCTACAGTGTCCTTGGGGCATTCCTTGTGGTTAGCTGACTGAGGCAGGAAAAACCTTAAGCTTAGTTTACAAATGGGCCTGCAAGATATGCTTATATCATCTTAAAATTGAGAGCTGAAGGATGCCCAGAAGTACATACCTACAGCGATTCTTAAGCATTTGCTAAGGGTTTAGCTGAATGATTAGAGATTTGAAAGGAATAGGATTGGAAGACAGGCGACAAAGAAGTCTGGGGAAAGGTATGGGATAGATCTTTTTGAATTGGTACAAGCTATAAAGATATTTGTGTTCCATGTGAATGTCCATCAAAGGACATAATAATAGGTGAACAAAATGACACACTTTGTGAATGGCAGTCAGCTTCTTTCTCTAGTCACTTGAGTGTTTGCTCAATGGGCCCATGAATATAAGAGTCAATGGTGACAGGGATGGATGCTATGGATGGGCTCAACAATATAGGTGTCCTCTTATCAAGGCTGGCTTGCATAATACTACAGTTCAGTACCTAATCTACCAAGAGTAGAAACCAACATTGAGTCTCCGATATAGCATCATTTTCTATGGTGACCAGCCAGCTACCTGGTAGCAGATGGATTCCATTAGATGTCTTTCATCATTGGTGGGGAAGAGTTTCATTCTCACAGGAATGGACACGTACTCTGTATATGAATTTGTCTTCCTTTCCTATAATGCTTCTTCCAGTAGCATCCATCTGGGGATTCATAGAATGTCTTGTCTACCATCGTGGCATTCTATAGAGAATTATGGCCATGTGTCACTTCACAATGGGAATACATTCTGAGAAATGTATAACTAGGTGATTTTGTCAACGTGCAAATGTCACAGAATGTACTTACACAAATAGATGGTATAGCCTCTTGCTCCTAGGTTACAAATCTGTACAGCATGTTACTGTACCGAATACTGTAGGCAATTGTAACACAATGGCAAGTATCTGTGTATCTAAACATAGAAAAAGTACAGCAGAAATATGTTATAAAAAAATTTTTTAAAAGGGTACATCTAATAGGACTCTTACCATGAATGGAGCTTGCAGGACCGGAGGTTGCTTTGAGTCAGTGAGTGAGAGGTGAGTGAATGTTAGGGCCTAGGACATTACTGTATACTACCATAGAATTTATTATTATTATTTTTTAAATATCTGTAGGGGTAGCTACTCTGTGCTCTCTTATCTGTTTTTTATTATTATACTTTAAGTTTTAGGGTACATGTGCACAACGTGCAGGTTTGTTACATATGTATACATGTGCCATGTTGGTGTGCTGCACCCATTAACTCGTCATTTAACATTAGGTGTATCTCCTAATACTATCCCTCCCCCCTTCCCCCACCCCACAACAGGCCCTGGCGTGTGATGTTCCCCTTCCTGCGTCCAAGTGTTCTCATTGTTCAATTCCCACCTATGAGTGAGAACATGCGATGTTTGGTTTTTTGTCCTTGCGATAGTTTGCTGAGAATGATGGTTTCCAGCTTCATCCATATCCCTACAAAGGACATGAACTCATCATTTTTTATGGCTGCATAGTATTCCATGGTGTATATGTGCCACATTTTCTTAATCCAGTCTATCGTTGTTGGACATTTGAGTTGGTTCCAAGTCTTTCCTATTGTGAATAGTGCTGCAATAAACATACGTGTGCATGTGTCTTTATAGCAGCATGATTTATAATCCTTTGGGTATATACCCAGTAATGGGATGGCTGGGTCAAATGGTATTTCTAGTTCTGGATCCCTGAGGAGTCAACACACTGACTTCCACAATGGTTGAACTAGTTTACAGTCCCACCAACAGTGTAAAAGTGTACCTATTTCTCCACATCCTCTCCAGTACCTGTTGTTTCCTGAATTTTTAATGATCGCCATGCTAACTGGTGTGAGATGGTATCTCATTGTGGTTTTGATTTGCATTTCTCTGATGGCCAGTGATGATGAGCATTTTTTCATGTGTCTGTTGGCTGCATATATGTCTTCTTTTGAGAAGTGTCTTTTCATGTCCTTCACCCACTTTTTAATGGGGTTGTTTGTTTTTTTTCTTGTAAATTTGTTTGAGTTCATTGTAGATTCTGGATATTAGCCCTTTGTCAGATGAGTAGGTTGCTAAAATTTTCTCCCATTCTTTGGTTGCCTGTTCACTCTGATGGTAGTTTCTTTTGCTGTGCAGAAGCTCTTTACTTTAATTAGATCCCATTTGTCAATTTTGGCTTTCATTGCCATTGCTTTTGGTGTTTTAGACATGAAGTCCTTGCCCATGCCTATGTCCTGAATGGTATTGCCTAGGTTTTCTTCTAGGGTTTTTACGGTTTTAGGTCTAACGTGTAAGTCTTTAATCCATCTTGAATTGATTTTTGTATAAGGTGTAAGGAAGGGATCCAGTTTCAGCTTTCTACATATGGCTAGACAGTTTTCCCCGCACCATTTATTAAATAGGGAATCCTTTCCCCATTGCTTGTTTTTCTCAGGTTTGTCAAAGATCAGATAGTTGTAGATGTGTGGCATTATTTCTGAGGGCCCTGTTCCGTTCCATTGGTCTATGTCTCTGTTTTGGTAGCAGTACCATGATATTTTGGTTACTGTAGCCTTGTAGTATAGTTTGGAGTCAGGTAGTGTGATGCCGCCAGCTTTGTTCTTTTGGCTTAGGATTGACTTGGCAATGCGGGCTCTTTTTTGGTTCCATATGAACTTTAAAGTAGTTTTTTCCAATTCTGTGAAGAAAGTCATTGGTAGCTTGATGGGGATGGCATTGAATCTATAAATTACCTTGGGCAGTATGGCCATTTTCACAATATTGATTCTTCCTATCCATAAGCATGGAATGTTCTTCCATTTGTTTGTGTCCTCTTTTATTTCATTGAGCAGTGGTTTGTAGTTCTCCTTGAAGAGGTCCTTCACTTCCCTTGTAAGTTGGATTCTTAGGTATTTTATTCTCTTTGAAGCAATTGTGAATGGGAGTTCATTCATGATTTAGCTCTCTGTTTGTCTGTTATTGATGTATAAGAATGCTTGTGATTTTTGTACATTGATTTTGTATCCTGAGACTTTGCTGAAGTTGCTTATGAGCTTAAGGAGATTTTGGGCTGAGACGATGGGGTTTTCTAGATATACAGTCATGTCATCTGCAAATAGGGACAGTTTGACTTCCTCTATTCCTAATTGAATACCTTTTATTTCCTTCTCCTGCCTAATTGCCCTGGCCAGAACTTCCAACACTATGTTGAATAAGAGTGGTGAGAGAGGGCATCCCTGTCTTGTGCCAGTTTTCAAAGGGAATGCTTCCAGTTTTTGTCCATTCAGTATGATACTGGCTGTGGGTTTGTCATAAATAGCTCTTATTATTTTGAGATACGTCCCATCAATACCTAATTTATTGAGAGTTTTTAGCATGAAGGTTGTTGAATTTTGTCAAAGGCCTTTTCTGCATCTATTGAGATAATCATGTGGTTCTTGTCATTGGTTCTGTTTATATGCTGGATTATGTTTATTGATTTGTGTATGTTGAACCAGCCTTGCATCCCAGGGATGAAGCCCACTTGATTATGGTGGATAAGCTTTTTGATGTGTTGCTGGATTCTCTTTGCCAGTGTTTTATTCAGGATTTTTGCATCGATGTTCATCATGGATATTGGTCTAAAATTCTATTTTTTTATTGTGTCTCTGCCAAGCTTTGGTTTCAGGATGAATCTGGCCTCATAAAATGAGTTAGGGAGGATTCCCTCTTTTTCTATTGATTGGAATAGTTTCAGAAGGAATGGTACCAGCTCCTCCTTGTACCTCTGGTAGAATTCACCTGTGAATCCGTCTGGTCCTGGACTTTTTTTGGTTGGTAAGCTATTAATTATTGCCTCAATTTCAGAGCCTGTTATTGGTCTATTGAGAGATTCAACTTCTTCCTGGTTTAGTCTTGGGAGGGTGTATGTGTCGAGGAATTTACCCACTTCTTCTAGATTTTCTAGTTTATTTGCGTAGGGGTGTTTATAGTATTATCTGATGGTAGTTTGTATTTCTGTGGGATCAGTGGTGATATCCCGTTTATCATTTTTTATTGTGTCTATTTGAGTCTTCTCTCTTTTCTTCTTTATTAGTCTTGCTAGCGGTCTATCAATTTTGTTGATCTTTTCAAAAACACCAGCTCCTGGATTCAGACCAAAGGTATATAAAACCAAAAGATGGGGAAAAAATAGAGCAGAAAAACTGAAAATTCTAAAAATCAGAGTGCCTCTCCTCCTCCAAAGGAACGCAGTTCCTCACCAGCAATGGAACAAAGCTGAATGGAGAATGACTTTGACGAGTTGAGAGAAGAAGGCTTCAGACAATCAAACTTCTCTGAGCTAAAGGAGGAAGTTCGAACCCATGGCAAAGAAGTTAAAAACCTTGAAAAAAGATTAGACGAATGGCTAACTAGAATAACCAATGCTGAGAAGTCCTTAAAGGAGCTGATGGAGCTGAAAACCATGGCACAAGAACTACGTGACAAATGCACAAGCTTCAGTAGCCAATTCGATCAACTGGAAGAAAGGGTATCAGTGATGGAAGATGAAATGAATGAAATGAAGTGAGAAGAGAAGTTTAGAGAAAAAAGAATAAAAAGAAATGAACAAAGCCTCCAAGAAGTATTGGACTATGTGAAAACACCAAATCTACGTCTGATTGGTGTACCTGAAAGTGATGGGGAGAATGGAACCAAGTTGGAAAACACTCTGCAGGATATTATCCAGGAGAACTTCCTCAATCTAGCAAGGCAGGCCAACATTCACATTCAGGAAATACAGAGAATGCCACAAAGATACTCCTCGAGAAGAGCAACTCCAAGACACATAATTGTCAGATTCACCAAAGTTGAAAAGAAGGAAAAAATATTAAGGGCAGCCAGAGAGAAAGGTCAGGTTACCCACAAAGGGAAGCCCATCAGACTAACAGCTGATCTCTCGACAGAAACTCTACAAGCTAGAAGAGAGTGGGGGCCAATATTCAACATTCTTAAAGAAAAGAATTTTCAACCCAGAATTTCATATCCAGCCAAACTAAGCTTCATAAGTGAAGGAGAAATAAAATCCTTTACAGACAAGCAAATGCTGAGAGATTTTGTCACCCCCAGGCCTGCCCTAAAAGGGCTCCTGAAGGAAGCACTAAACATGGAAGGGAACAACCGGTACCAGCCACTGCAAAAACATGCCAAATTGTAAAGACCATCGAGGCTAGGAAGAAACTGCATCAACTAACGAGCGAAATAACCAGCTAACATCATAATGACAGGATCAAATTCACACATAACAGTATTAACCTTAAACGTAAATGGGCTAAATGCTCCAATTAAAAGGCACAGACTGGCAAATTGGATAAAGAGTCAAGACCCATCAGTGTGCTGTATTCAGGAAACCCATCTCACGTGCAGAGACACACATAGGCTCAAAATAAAGGGATGGAGGAAGATCTACCAAGCAAATGGAAAACAAAAAAAGGCAGGGGTTGCAATCCTAGTCTCTGATAAAACAGACTTTAAATCAACAAAGATCACAAGAGACAAAGAAGGTCATTACGTAATGGTAAAGGGATCAATTCAACAAGAAGAGCTAACTATCCTAAATATATATGCACCCAATACAGGAGCACCCAGATTCATAAAGCAAGTCCTTAGAGACCTACTAAGAGACTTAGACTCCCGCACAATAATAATGGGAGACTTTAACACTCCACTGTCAACATTAGACAGATCAACGAGACACAAAGTTAACAAGGATATCCAGGACTTGAACTCAGCTCTGCACCAAGCAGACCTAATAGACATCTACAGAACTCTCCACCCCAAATCAACAGAATATACATTCTTTTCAGCACCACACCACACCTATTCCAAAATTGACCACATAGTTGGAAGTAAAGCACTCCTCAGCAAATGTAAAAGAACAGAAATTATTGCAAACTGTCTCTCAGACTACAGTGCAATCAAACTAGAACTCAGGATTAAGAAACTCACTCAAAACCGCTCAACTACATGGAAACTGAACAACCTGCTCCTGAATGACTACTAGGTACATAACGAAATGAAGGCAGAAATAAAGATGTTCTTTGAAACCAACGAGAACAACGACACAACATACCAGAATCTCTGGGACACATTTAAAGCAGTGTGTAGAGGGAAATTTATAGCACTAAATGCCCACAAGAGAAAGCAGGAAAGATCTAAAATTGACACCCTAACATCACAATTAAATGAACTAGAAAAGCAAGAGCAAACACATTCGAAAGCTAGCAGAAGGCAAGAAATAACTAAAATCAGAGCAGAACTGAAGGAAATAGAGACACAAAAAACCCTTCAAAAAATTGATGAATCCAGGAGCTGGTTTTTTGAAAGGATCAACAAAGTTGATAGACCGCTAGCAAGACTAATAAAGAAAAAAAGAGAGAAGAATCAAATAGAGACAATAAAAAATGATAAAGGGGATATCACCACTGATCCCACAGAAATACAAACTACCATCAGAGAATACTACAACCACCTCTACGCAAATAAACTAGAAAATCTAGAAGAAATGGATAAATTCCTCGACACACACACCCTCCCAAGACTAAACCAGGAAGAAGTTGAATCTCTCAATAGACCAATAACAGGATCTGAAATTGTGGCAATAATCAATAGCTTACCAACCAAAAAGAGTCCAGGACGAGATGGATTCACAGCTGAATTCTACCAGAGGTACAAGGAGGAACTGGTACCATTCCTTCTGAAACTATTCCAATCAGTAGAAAAAGAGGGAATCTTCCCTAACTCATTTTATGAGGCCAGTATCATCCTGACACCAAAGCCGGGCAGAGACACAACCAAAAAAGAGAATTTTAGACCAATATCCTTGATGAACATTGATGCAAAAATCCTCAATAAAATACTGGCAAACCGAATCCAGCAGCACATCAAAAAGCTTATCCACCATGATCAAGTGGGCTTCATCCCTGGGATGCAAGGCTGGTTCAATATACGCAAATCAATAAATGTAATCCAGCATATAAACAGAAGCAAAGACAAAAACCACATGATTATCTCAATAGATGCAGAAAAGGCCTTTGGCAAAATTCAACAACTCTTCACGCTAAAAACTCTCAATAAATTAGGTATTGATGGGATGTATTTCAAAATAATAAGAGCTATCTATGACAAACCCACAGCCAATATCATACTGAATGGGCAAAAACTGGAAGCATTCCCTTTGAAAACTGGCACAAGACAGGGATGCCCTCTCTCACCACTCCTATTCAACATAGTGTTGGAAGTTCTGGCCAGGGCAATTAGGCAGGAGAAGGAAATAAAGGGTATTCAATTAGGAAAAGAGGAAGTCAAATTGTCCCTGTTTGCAGACGACATGATTGTATATCTAGAAAACCCCGTCGTCTCAGCCCAAAATCCCCTTAAGCTCATAAGCAACTTCAGCAAAGTCTCAGGATACAAAATCAATGTACAAAAATCACAAGCATTCTTATACACCAACAACAGACAAACAGAGAGCCAAATCATGAGTGAACTCCCATTCACAATTGCTTCAAAGAGAATAAAATACCTAGGAATCCAACTTACAAGGGTTGTGAAGGACCTCTTCGAGGAGAACTACAAACCACTGCTCAAGGAAATGAAAGAGGACACAAACAAATGGAAGAACATTCCATGCTTATGGGTAGGAAGAATCAATATTGTGAAAATGGCCATACTGCCCAAGGTAATTTATAGATTCAATGCCATCCCCATCAAGCTACCAATGACTTTCTTCACAGAATTGGAAAAAACTACTTTAAAGTTCATATGGAATCAAAAAAGAGCCCGCATTGCCAAGTCAATCCTAAGCCAAAAGAACAAAGCTGGAGGCATCACACTACCTGACTTCAAACTATACTACAAGGCTACAGTAAACAAGACAGCATGGTACTGGTACCAAAACAGAGATATAGATCAATGGAACAGAACAGAGCCCTCAGAAATAACGCCGCATATCTACAACTATCTGATCTTTGACAAACCTGAGAAAAACAAGCAATGGGGAAAGGATTCCCTATTTAATAAATGGTGCTGGGAAAACTGGCTAGCCATATGTAGAAAGCTGAAACTGGATCCCTTCCTTACACCTTATACAAAAATCAATTCAAGATGGATTAAAGACTTACACGTTAGACCTAAAACCGTAAAAACCCTAGAAGAAAACCTAGGCATTACCATTCAGGACATAGGCATGGGCAAGGACTTCATGTCTAAAACACCAAAAGCAATGGCAACAAAAGACAAAATTGACAAATGGTATCTAATTAAACTAAAGAGCTTCTGCACAGCAAAAGAAACTACCATCAGATTGAACAGGCAACCTACAAAATGGGAGAAAATTTTAGCAACCTACTCATCTGACAAAGGGCTAATATCCAGAATCTACAATGAACTCAAACAAATTTACAAGAAAAAAAACAAACAACCCCATTAAAAAGTGGGTGAAGGACATGAAAAGACACTTCTCAAAAGAAGACATTTATGCAGCCAAAAAACACATGAAAAAATGCTCACCATCACTGGCCATCAGAGAAATGCAAATCAAAACCACAATGAGATACCATCTCACACCAGTTAGAATGGCAATCATTAAAAAGTCAGGAAACAACAGGTGCTGGAGAGGATGTGGGGAAATAGGAACACTTTTACACTGTTGGTGGGACTGTAAACTAGTTCAACCATTGTGGAAGTCAGTGTGGCTATTCCTCAGGGATCTAGAACTAGAAATACCATTTGACCCAGCCATCTCATTACTGGGTATATACCCAAAGGACTATAAATGATGCTGCTATAAAGACACTTACACACGTATGTTTATTGCGGCATTATTCACAATAGCAAAGACTTGGAACCAACCCAAATGTCCAACAATGATAGACTGGATTAAGAAAATGTGGCACATATACACCATGGAATACTATGCAGCCATAAAAGTGATGAGTTCATGTCCTTTGTAGGGACATGGATGAAATTGGAAATCATCATTCTCAGTAAACTATCGCAAGAACAAAAAACCAAACACCGCATATTCTCACTCATAGGTGGGAATTGAACAATGAGAACACATGGACACAGGAAGGGGAACATCACACTCTGGGGCCTGTTGTGGGGTGGGGGGAGCGGGGAGGGATAGCATTGGGAGATATACCTAATGCTAGATGACGAGTTAGTGGGTGCAGTGCACCAGCATGGCACATGTATACATATGTAACAAACCTGCACATTGTGCACATGTACCCTAAAACTTAAAGTATAATAATAATAAATAAAAATAAAATGAAATAAAATAAAATGGCAAAAAAAAGAAAAACCTGCCTGAGACTGATTTACAGTTAACTTTAAAAAAAAAAGTAGAAGGAGTACACTCTAAAATAATAATTATAAGTATAGTATAGTAAAGATATAAACCAGTAACATCATCATTTATTATCATCATCAAGTATTATGTACTGTTCATAATTGTATGTGCAAGACTTTTCTATGACTGGCAGCACAATAGGTTTGGTTACACCAGCATCATCATAAACACATGAGTAATGCATTGCACTATAATGTTACTAGGTGATAGGAATTTTTCAGCTCCATTATAATCTTATGAGTCCACCTTCATATATGTGGTCCATCATTTACCAAAATGTAGTTACACAGTGCGTGACTGTATGCATCACCAAGGAACTCATCTCACAGCAAAGGAAGTGTGTAGCAAAGTCCTCATGCCATGGAAATAACTGCTCTTATGACACAATCCAGAAGCAGCTGGTCTAACTGAAAGGTGAAATTGGTTACTGAACACTCAGTTACAACACCAAATGGGAGAAAACACCTTGCGAGGATGGGATTCAGTCTCACAGGATGTAGTTTTTGCTTTAAATCAGAGCAGAATTATCTGGTGCTGTTTCCCCCATAGCCAGATCACATAGTTCCAGAAATTAAGGTGTAGAAGTGGGAATAACTCCTGTCACTATTACAACTAATAACTAACTCACAGCATTTTTGCCTCCCATTCCAGCAACTTGGAGCTCTGTTGGATTGGCGATCACATGCTTCCACCAAGAGAGACAAAATAGTTACACTGAATTGGAAGTTGAGACTATACTGCCTGAATATATAGGGCTTCTCATACCACTGAACTAACAGGAGAAAAAGGGGTTACTGACTGGAGAGATTGATCCAGATTATCAAGAGGAAATCTGTTTGCTGCTATACAATGCAATCAAGAATTACTATATCTGGAATCCAGGAGATTCTCTGAGGTGCTTCTTGATACTTCTATGTCCAATAGTAAAGGTTAATGGAAAACTATAGCACCCCCACCCAAAGCAAGATGACTGAGTAATCATACCCTTTAGGAATAAAAGTTTGGAGCACTCTGCCATGTAAAAAAAACTAAGAGCAGCTGAAGTTCTGGCTGAGGGCAAAGTAAATAGAAATTTTTTCAACTACTAGTTGAAGAAAATGGCCATAGATATCAACTACAACCATGTGAACAATTAGAGAAACAAGAATTGTGGTAGCTTTTCATATTTTCTCTTTACTTGATATGTACATGTGTTAATCTGTATATACTAACCATTTTTTCTCCTCTTTCTTTTTTCCTATCTTTGTTCTTATATACACATTATTGGAGCCTAGTTCTATAGCTTAGTGTTTAAATAACAGCATATTCAGTGAGACTGTGACTGAGTTTGAGGAATAATTCTCACTCAATATATCTATGGATATAATGACTTCAGACTGCATGTCTTTTCATTTTGCAAAAGGACGAGAACACTTCTAAGGATGTTAGTGGTATTTTCTTATGTCAAAATGTAAACAGTTTAGATTATGAGGCAATTTAAATGTGTGTAGAGGGTGCATATGGAAGCTTAGTAGCCAAAGGGTGGACTGTACCAGTTATCAATTCATTACTTCTCATCTCTGAATTTGCCCTTCAGTGTCTGCTCTGCAAAACTGCACTGGATGGTTTAGTATTCCTCCTTTGTAGTAAACATGATAAGATTTGTCAGCAGAAGAAGATGGAGGAATTGCATGAGGAAGGAGGCTTCTCTTACTGGTGCGCTGTGGGTTTGGTTTTGTTTTTGTCAGTCAGTGATGCAGGTGTGTGGGGATATCCAGTGAAGCCCAAGCCAAGATGCATACCAGAAACATGCAGTCCTTTTGCAAATTCACAGTTGTAGCCCATCCCTAGTGCCTACCTTTGTGTGGTCTTCAGAATATGGACTCCACATGCTCCATGTTTTATATCTGCAGCCACATCCCAACTCCCTCTGCAAGTTTGCCTGCCAGTGGTGACACAGCTGTGTACCAAAGAGTTGTTCCCTGCAGCCCTGCCAATATGAACACTTCATGTTCCAGGCCTCACAGCAGCAATAGTATCCCAAAACTCATGCTGTGCACCCACCCACTAGCTTTGCCTCACCAGCACCCTGGATGGTTGTTGTTTCCTGTTTGTCCAGTGACTGCAGACTCTCACTGCCCAGAAACACAGTGAAATTCTCCATCATCCAGTGGTTTGCATCCACACCTTTTCCTCAGCCTTGGTAAGGCATTCTCCTTCAGCCAGGCATGGAGGCTCATGCCTGTAATTCCAGCACTTTGGGATGCCAAGGCAGGAGGATCACTTGAGCCCAGGAGTTTAAGACAAGCCTGGGCAACAAAGTGACACCCTGTCTCTACAAAAAAAGGATGCAAAATTAGCCAGGCATAGTGGCACAGGCCTATAGTCCCAGATACTCAGGAGGCTGAGGTGGGAGGATCACTTGAGCCCCTGGAGATTGAGGCTGCAGTGAGCTGTGATTGTGCCATTGCATTGCAGCCTGGGTGACAGAGCGAGACCCTGTCTCAAAAAAAAAAAAAAAGGAATTCCCCTTCCAACTTTGTTCGGTACTCTCCTCAGCCCTAGGGTACATGTTTTATTTCTCTTTCAATATTTATATTAATCTCCTATCTTATTTAATAATTCTTTATATTAAACTTCTGTTCAAATTACTGTATGGATTCAGTCTCTTGATTGGACTCAGGCCTATATAAGAAAAGTCTAGCCAGTTTGACTGGGGGAGAAAAAAAACAGAGAAGATAAAAATCATCAATATCAGGAGTGAAAGAAGGGAAATCATAAATTATACAGTGAAGCATTATATATAACATAACATATTCCAGCAAACTATCTGCTTCTTTCTAGGGTTTTTCACTAGTTTTTCTGCTTCTCTTTTATTTCTAAACAATGGAGTGCCCAGGGCTTCAGCCTTGAGACTCTATCCACCCTTACCCAGGTCGTGATTTAATCTGCTGTCATGGCTTAAATATTATTTATCTATCTACACAGACACACATGTACATGTGTGCATGTATACATATGTGTATGTATGTATGTATGTATATGTGTACATATACATGTACATAAGCATTTAGCAACCTAGCATAATACCTGACACATAGTAACTGATTAAAAAATGGTATTTGTTTCTGCGTAAATAGTAGTTATTATCACAGATAAGGTACCTGCCTCAAAATAGGTGCCAGAAAGTTCCTTCCCTTCTTTCTTGTTCTTAGGTTGGCTCCCATGCACATATGACTTCCTTCCCTGCTTGTACTCATGAATTGCCCTCCTTTGTCTCTGGGGCATCCTCCAACCACTCCCTCTCACTCTCATCTCATAACTGGGACCTTAGGCTTCCTACTAAAGATGGGGAACAGGCATACATCTTTGTATCTGCCTTCTGGGCTAATTATTTGACTCTGTTCACAAATGATGCTCTATGATCAGCTCTTTGCAAACCTCACCTGGCCTAATCCAGCATCTGTCACAGTTGGCTGGATGACCATTGGCCCACAGAGGCTCAGCTCTGTCCTAGTTCTGACAAGGATTTCACGGAAATAATTCCCTAGGGAATTCAGGCTAATGCATCCCTTTCTCTGGGAGACAGGGATGAAAAGGAGCTGGCTAGCTCAATCTGATATCACCAAAAGGGAAAATTCAGCCACTTCAAAACGGTTTCTATCAAAATTATTCAGGACTACCCATGGCTACATAAGCATTAAATGCGGAGAAAGCAAAAATCATATGAAAGTCCCAGTCCTCACATGGTTGCCTTTCTGAGCTGAACTCAGCTCTGGATCTAAGTGCTGGGACCTATCTAAGATACAACTCTATTTCTGAACATCAAACCTCTCTTCCTATCATGGAATCATGAGCTACTACAAAGGAGGGGATGGGCGGTGAGAGCACTTTTCGTGTTACTTAACTGTATGTTGCATAAGATGTCAACTTGCACTTGGGCAGGGAAGTTCATTCTCTTGGAGGCAGAGCGCCTGAATTATCTCCCTCAATAACTGTCAAAAGAATAAGCGTAAATTGAAACTGTCATTCATGGGCAATTTTGTCGCCAAGAATGACATCTAATCTTTTGACCTAGAAACCACTTACCATCATAAGATCTCAATGAATGAGTGATTACAAAGTTTCTGAGAGAAACAGTAGCTCACTACAGCATTAAAAGGCAGGCTCTGACCTTTTCTAAGTAACAACTAAACCTGCTTTTATATAATGATATGTGCTATCTGGAGAGCAAAGCATATGTCTTTTTAATTAATTGATTAGAAACAGTCGTATGAAAGGAAATGGAAACACCAGCTGGTAATAGTCCTCCTTTATGGCATAATAATTCTTTTATTAACCTCAACTCTTGACACTTGAGGGAAATCTTTAGTGCTGCCATGGTGCTCTCAAGGAACTGGCTTTGTACTGAAGATCACGTGCCAGGATGATAAGAGACCTCAGCTGGGCACCCAAGGATGCCTGAGTTCTAGCTGTGTACCTAACAGACCTATGACTTTGACCTCTGTTTCCCTAAACACTGAAGGACTTGGACAAGATGACCCCTAAAGTCTCTTTGAGTTTAAACGTTCTATAATACTAGTGTTTTAAATACAAAGAATCATCCTGCTCCCTTTCATTTGATTTTCATCAGAGGGTCTTTGTTAGAGGATCAGTTAGATTTACCAAAGGATTCTAGTCATGAACACTTTTGTCCATTGTGTTTTGTCCATTGGTGGCAACATTCAAACAGCTGCAACTAGCTACAGCTAGTTTCTTCTCTAAGACTCCTTGCTGGTTCCTGATTCACCTGTACTTCTAAACATTGGAGTACCCAGAGCTCAAACCTCGGGCCTCTTCTCCATCTTTCTTAACCCCTGTAGTGACCTCATCTGTTCTCATGGTTTAAATACCATCTGAACAGTGATGACTCCATAATATATATCCTCAGCCCAGCCCTCTCCTTTGTATTACAGTCATATATACCCAACTGCCTACAGTGTGGAATCCAAATTAGGGAAGAGGAGTCAGTCTGGAGGGACCAGGGGAAAGCAAAAAGAAAAAGCAGATAAGCTATAAGTCTGCCTTTCTTTGTGATCCAGGACACATAGCCCTCCTGCGCAAATAACTCACAATCTTCCTGCACCCAACTTATCCCTAGACCCTCAACTGATAGAAAAATGCAAGTTAGCTCCATGCAACCTTGGCATTATCACTATTGCACAAAGCCCCCTTTAGCACACAGCAACATTCTATAAAATCCCCAGCAAGCCTTTGTCTCCTTGCAGTCAGCTTCTCTCTTGCTGGTCTGCCTGTTGTTCCCTTGAAACATATTTTCATACTTCCTCTAATAAATCTACCTTTCTTTACCTACAATTGTCTTAGTAAAGTCTTCTTACCCCCACGCCACCGAACTCAGATAGTCGCTGCTCTCCCATGACATACAAGACATCTCTTCTTGGGAGCTTAATAGGCACCTCACACTTAACATGTCCAAAAAAAGCATCCTCATTTTTAATTTATTTGTTTATATTTTTTTACCTAAAATAACTCTTCCACCAATCTTTCCATCTTCGGAGATGGCAACCACCTAATTTCAGTTGCTCAGGCCAAAATCTTGCAGTTATTTTTGACTTCTCTTTCTCTCACACCCTCTACCCAATCTATTAACAAATCCTGCAATTTCTGTCTATAAAATATATATAGAATGCCACCACTTCTCACCATGCCCACTGCTTGATCCTTGATGGAAACCATCATCATCTCTCACCTAGATTGCAGTAGCCTCCTGTATTCCTGCTTCTGATCTTACTGCCTGTATTCCTGCTTCTGATCTTACTGCCTTCTACACAATTCTCTATGTAACAGAGGATTCTGTTAAAATGTAAGATTATATCAGTCCAAAGCCCTTACAGTGGCCTATACAAACCTAAACAATAGCTCTGCCCATTGGCAATGCAAGTTCATCTTTTATTCTTCTTCCCCTCTCTCACTCCATTCCAGACACAGGGCTTCTTGTCTGTTTCTCAAACACACCCAGACATTCTCCTGCCTCAGGGTCTTTGCATTTGTTATTCCCCCTGCCCTGGATAGCTCTTTTCCAGGTATCCACAGAGCATACTGATTCCCTCACTTTCTTCAGATTGTGGTTGAAATGCCATCTTATCAGTAAGACCTTCCTCAATAATCTTATTTAAAATTACACACATCTCTTGCCAAGTATGCCTTTCCCTCCTTCTCTTATCTATCTTTTGTATAACACTTTTTATCCTGTTACACATCATGTATTTTACTTCCTTATTTGTTTATTGTCTGTGTGGAAGCCACAGGCTCTTGGCCCCCTAAAGGTTTGCTAAAAATCACCGACATGAAATGGATTGATTTATAGGAGAGAAAGCACATACATTTATTTAATGTGCATACATGGGAGCCTTCAGAATGAAGATCCAACTTTCCAGTGAGTTACAGAAACTTATATACCATTTTGAAATTACAGAAAGAATGGGGGTTAGATTCTGGTAAAAAGTTTATGGAAAGGAGAGAAGAGGCTTGGCTAGCAAAGGTGGCCTTGTTATGCTGATGAAGCCTCCCTCAGAGAGAACAGATGGTAAATGTTTCTTTTCAGACTTTGTTTTTCTTTCTTTTATCTTAGGTTCATGAAGTATATGTGCATGTTTGTGACATGGGTAAACTGTGTGTCGTGAGGCTTTGGTGTACAGATTATTTTTTCATTCAGGTAATAAAGCATATTATCCAACAGGTAGTTTTTCCATCCTCACTTTCCTCCCACCCTCCACCCTCAAGAAGGCCCAGGTGTCTGTTGTTCCCTTCTTTGTGTCCATGTGTACCTCAATGTTTAGCTTCCACTTATAAGTGAGAATATGTGGCATTTGGTTTTCTGTTTCTGCATTAATTAGCTTAGGATAATGGCCTCCAGATGCATCTATGTTGCTGCAGAGCACATGATCTCATTCTTTCTATGGCTGCATAGTATTCCGTGGTATATATGTACCACATTTTCTTTAACCAGCCCACCACTGATGGGCATTTAGGTTGATTACATGTCCTTGCTATTGTGAATAGTGCTGCAATGAACATATGCATGCGTCTTTATTGTAGAACAATTTATATTCCTTTGGGTATATACCCAGTAATGGGGTTGCTGGGTTGAATAATTCTGCTTTAAGTTCTTTGAGAAAACTCGGAACTGCTTTCCACAGTGGCTGAACTATTTTACATTCCTACCAGAAGTGTATAAGTGTTCCTTTTCTCTGCAGCATTGCCAGCATCAGTTATTTTTTGACTTTTTAATAATAGCCATTCTGACTGGTGTGAGATGATATCTCATTGTGGTTTTGATTTGCATTCCTCTAATGATTAGTGATGTTGAGCATTTTTTTCATGATTGTTGGTGGTGTGTATGTCTTTTCTTGAGAAGCGCCTGTTCATATCCTTTGTCCCTTTTTAATGGAGCCATTTTCTGCTTTTCAGTTTGTTTAAGTTCATTATAGATTGTTGATATTAGACCTTTGTCAGATGCATAGTATGCGAATATTTTCTCCCATTCTGTAGGTTGTCTGTTTACTCTGTTGACAGTTTCTTTTGCTGTGCAGAAGCTCTTTAGTTTAATTAGGTCCCATTTGTCAATTTTTATTTTTGTTGCAATTCCTTTTGGAGTCATCATGAAATCTTTGCCAGGGACTATGTCCAGAATGGTATTTCCTAGGTTTTCTTCTAGGGTTTTTATAGTTTTTAGGTCTTATGTTTAAGCCCTTAATCCATCTTGAATTGATTTTTGTATATGGTGAAAGGAAGGGGTCCAGTTTCAATCTTCTGCATATGGCTAGCCAGCTACCCCTGCACCATTTACTGAATAGGGAGTCTTTTCCCCATTGCTTGTTTTTGTTGACTTTGTTGAACAGATGGCTGTAGCTGTGTGGCTTTATTTCTGAGTTCTCCAATCTGTTCCATTGGTCTGTGTGTCTGTTTTTGTACGTTCTGTTTTGGTTACTGTAGCTTTGTAGTACAGTTTGAAGTTGAGTAGTGTGATGCCTCCAGCTTTGTTCTTTTTGCTTAGGATTGCATTGGGCTCTTTTTTGGTTCCACATGAATTTTAGAATGTTTTTTCTAATTCTGTGAAGAATGTCATTGGTAGTTTGATAGGAATAGCATTGAATCTGTAAATTGTTTGGGGCAGTATGGCCATTCAAATAATATTGATTTTCCTATCCATGAGCAGGGAATATTTTTCCATTTGTTTTTGTTATCTCTTCTTTTCAGACTTTTAAAGGTGTCAGACTCTAAATCTCTCCTGGATCCAGGGAAAGGCAGAGAAAGGGGAGGGGGCATGGCTGCATTAATGGAGATTCTTTATAGATACAAATTTTCCCTACTTAAGACAGTTTTGCAAGGCCACTTCTGTAGGGATGGTCAGGTGGCAGCCATTTAAAAATATGTCAAATACATATATTTTGGGAGTAAAAATATTTTTTGAGACAGGATCTTGCTCTGTTGCCCAGGCTGGAGTGCAGTGGTATGATCTCAGCTCACTGCAGCCTCGACCTCCCATGCTAAAGCAATCCTCTCACCTCAGCCTCCCAAGTAGCTGAGATTTCTGGCATGCACCACCATGTCCAGCTAAGTTTTGTATTATCAGTAGAGGCAGGGTTTCACAATGTTGCCCAGGGTGGTCTTGAACTTTTGGGCTCAAGTGATCCACCCGCCTTGGCCTCTGAAAGTGCTGGGATTATAGGTATGAACCACAGCACCCAGCTGGGATAAAATATTTTAATTTCCTTCAACTGTCTTTTCTCTTTAGCAGGTAAGCTCCTCTAAAACAGGGATTCTTGTCTGTTTTCCTAGTGCCTAGAAGAGTGCCTGGTACATAATAGGTTCTCAGTAAATATTTGTTTCATAAATAAATGAACTGTCTTCACTAACCAGATGCCTCAGAGATTCACCTCCCTCTTGTTAGAAAATGATAAAATGGCTTTGTAGAGTGAATTAGACTGTGAACAATATGTGAAAAATACTTTGTAGATGCAGAAATGATTATTTCATTATCTGACCAACGTACAAGGGACACATACAAATTGTTCTAATCTCAGAGTGAAAGAGTAATGAACAATGGGTTCTTGAATAAGTGCAGGAAGAAAATAATGAATTGTAGTTTAAATGAAATTATAACTCAATGGCCTGCATCACAGGCTTGCTTTATCTATTCTTTGAGCGCTGTCATTTGAGGGAAATGTCCTTTAGAGACAGAAAAAAAATGAGTCAAAGAGACTGGCCAAGTGAAGAAATAGGCCCAGCACTTGCATTCAGTAGGTCAGTATTTAAATGCCTTTCATTGTGGATCTTTTACTTCCCAGACATAATTTTCTAAGTAATATTCAACAATGAATCAAGTGAATATTTGCTCCTTTGCCTTGAAAACAAATTTTCTCTTATTCAGAGAATTCACTGACAGCAACTGAAAATTCTGGCTACCTCTGATCAGATACCTTCTTCATCCAAATAAAATCAACTGAACAATAATTAGTAATGATGACTGTGTTTTCCAAGGGAGGTTTTCATTTAGAGTAGGTCTACAAAATATGGTTTCTATTTTCCTGGAGGCATTTTAGCTGCTAGATGTAGAATAGAACATTAGGCAGGTAGATGCCATTGCTAAAGAGAAGGCCTCTCATCTAGGTCTTCACAGGGTTCAGTGCCAAATGATAATTTCTAGTTAGGCATATGTGGAAGGTCTTACCTTAATTGAGCAAGATGCTGGATTACATTTGTACAATCATATATTCAAGACAATGAGACAATGGTAGAGCAAAAACAGAATATCTAGTCTTACTATAGTATATTACAGTTTTAGAGTCTTCATACCAAAAAAAGCACTTGAGCCCTGAGGAGGTTGGAGGCCATGACTTTTAAAAGAATAAATGAAGAATTGTCCATCACACATGCCATTCATGTTAGGATTCTTATATGTATATTTCTTTGCTAGGCATCCTATTCCTGCTTATACCTGTGACATAGAGCAGGAAATAACATTTTGTTACAAAGACAAGAAAAATCTACAGAATCCAAAGTCATGACACAGAAAGACACACATTTTCCCTCAGCAGGTCTCAGTGCCTTTATGTGAAAGTCAGACAGAGAACTCAATAATTTCCACCCCTATCAGCAGCAGGGTTTTTTTAATGGTTACCAATTCAAATCACAATGGGAAATAGATACATATTCTTTACGTTGACCACTATGCATATCTGTTTAAAACATTAAAATAGCAAAGAGGTCACTTCTATAAATATGAATAAATTTACGTACTACTAATTCGGAAGTTCCATTAATATTTCTAATAGCCTCTCCTCTCAAATCTGTTACAAGGTAATGTGATGTGTTTCTTTTTTCCTGATTTTCATCATTTAAAGATGTTCTCTGGTAAACAGTGTACGTGGACACAGCATGATTACTAAATGTTTCAGTGTCAGTTGCCTATTGCTGTGTAACAAACAACCCTAAAACTCCACAGCTTAGAACAGTATCAATTTCTTAATTTCTTATGCTGTGTTGATTGACTGGGTGGTTCTACTTTGTGTGGTGTTGCCTAGGTCCCTGGGATGGCTGGAAGATCCAAAGTGGCTTTCTTCCCAGGGCTGGCAATTGGTGCTGGCTCCTGGTTGGGAGCTTGGCTGAGGCTGTTGGTTGGGGGCCTCAGTTTTCCTCCATGTGGGCCTGTCTATGGGGCTTCTTGGGTTTTATCATGGTGTGGTGGCTGGACTCCAAGAAGAAGCATTCCAAACAGAAAGGCAGAAACTGAAGATCACTCAAGGTTCAACCTTGGAAAATACACTGTCACTTCCACCACATTCTGCTGGTCAAAACAGGTCACAGGGCCAGTCCAAATTTACCTCTCAGTGGGAGGAATGGCAAAAGCACATTGCAAAAGAGCATGTGGGATGGGAGTTCATGCTGCAACCAGCTTTAGTAACATATTCCACCACAATCCTGAAATTTGCTTTTTACTTTCCCCTTTGCTGCTTTACTTCTCATTTTCTCCATATATTGGATTTTTAATCAGATCAGGTAGATGAACCAGATTAGAATATATTAAGTGCACAAGATGTTGTGCTCTTAGTTTGCAAACTATGTCAGTATAGATCAATCACGGGGAATGGAACCAGGCAATATCTATCTGAGGATTTTAAGGAGTTCAAGGGAGAAATTGTGGTGCTGTTTGTTAAAATGTATAGTCTGTGATTCTAGAAATTTATTCTGCAAAAAAGAGCCCAAATTTTCTAGTGTCTATGTGCGAGGCACCATTATAAATATTTTATATTATTAATCACCTTATTTAATTTTCACAGCATTTTGAGGTGTATTTTATTGTCTCCATTCTCTAGATGAGGAAATTGGGGTCCAGAAAATTAGATTAACTTGCCCAACTTATCACACCTAATAAACAGGTGGAGGCCGGGTGTGGTGGTGTGTGCCTGTGGTCCCAGCTACTCAGGAGGCTGTGGCCAGAGGATTGCTTAAGCTTGGGAGCTCAAGGCTGCAGTGAGCTATGATCACACCACTGCACTCTTGCCTGGGCAACACAGTGAGACCCTGTCTCATAAATAAATAAATAAGTGGACCTTCAAATTCAGTTATGTCCAACTCCAACTCCTTTGCCTGATGGGGCCAGAGGCGGTCCTCTAAGGTACAAGAACCAGGGTAGGGGTCCTGATGGCTGATGTCTAAGGGAAGTAAGGATTTACAGATCTACAGTAAAAGTTGGAAGGGAGGAGCAGCAGCTGGAATCATACAGTCTGCTCAAAATCAGGCTAGTTAGAAAAATTTGTAAAGGGCTACAATGAGCCAGAGATTAAATGTAACCTGCTTGTGAACAACAATATGGTTTGTTGGAGAAGAATTAAACAAGTTATTTTGTGAGATAACAGAGGATATGGATTCAATACATTTCTGTGTACCTACTATGAGAACTTATAACTGTCCAGAGGAATAGTCTGAAAGTGAGAAGTAACAAAACAAGAAGCTACCTACACTGAGTCCTATGACAGCTGAAGGCCCTTGCAGCCACTGCTCCAGGGCAGCTGGAGGGGTTGATATGAGAAGTTTGTTCAAAGTCCACATCCTTCAACAAAGTGGGGAGCAAAATTCCACTGAGCTACAAATGGAAAGCTATTGAGGTGTGATGGAAGGAGTCTTCACTTTTACATCAGGCACATTCTATTTGGAATCTTGATCTCAAACATACAACCGGTATGACCTTTGGGAACCCGTGTAACCTAGTTGAAGCTCAGTTTCCATATCAATAAATGGCGAATAATAGTATGTACTTTCCAGGGTAATTACGTGAAACAAGAAAAAAATCTGGCTGTAGGCAGTGGCTCATGCCTGTAATCCCAACACTTTGGGAGGCTGAGGCAGGAGTATTGCTTGAGCCCAGGAGATCAGTACCAGCCTGAGCAACATAGTATGACTCTGTCTCTACAAATTTTTTAATTAACTGGGCATGGTGGCATACACCTGTGGTCCGTGCTACTTGGGAAGCTGAGGCAGGAGGATCACTTGAGCCTAGGAGGTTGAGGCTGCAGTGAGCCATGACTGTGCTACCGCACTCCAGCCTGGGAGACAGAGCAAGAGCCTGTCTCAAAAACTGGAAATCTGTATAAGACCTAGCAGGAAGTGAACAAATATTTATTTTTTGTTTACATATACTTACTACATGCTGAGCACTATTCTAAGCACTTCACAAAATTTAACTCATTTAATCCTCATAACAACTTTCTAGGTATAAATACTAGGTGTAAATACTACTTACTAGGTATAAATGCTATTATTTTCATTGCAGAGATGAGAAAACTGAGACACAGAAAGGCTGAGTGACTTGCCCACGGTTGCACAGATAGTGAACAGGAGCACCGAGATTTGAACACAGACAGTCTAGCTTGAGAGTCTGTCTGCACTCTTAACCATTATATTACTTAAACATTATGTTAAGCTGCAATTTCTGAAGTCTCCGTCATTAAAACCTTCTAATGATTTATCCAAACAGAAGGATTTTGTATTTTATTTTCCCCCATTAAATTTGAACTTCTGCAAGCTATTTTGATGCAGGAGGCACTATTAGCTGGCAGCATGTTCAGAAACACTGCAGCAAGTTACCTTGTCTCCCAGGGCAAATTTTCCTAGGTACCATTGCTAAATAAATAGAGGTGGGGCCCTGGAGCCTCAGAGCCTGCCCCCTACCCACCCCACACTCCACGATGTTGCCTGGATGCATCTTCAGCCCACACATCCCATTTTGTGTCTGCAGGCTGGGTCAAGGAGGTTGACAGAGTTTTCATTCTTTACAAGGTTGTCATTAAGGACATACATTTTTATTTCTCTCCATTAAATTGTTGATTCCATTCTATAAAAGCTAAAATGTAGTCTCCAAGTGTGGGACAAAGTAGGCGGCTTGCCATGCATCTGACTTTCTATTTAATTTAGATAGAAAGGGGTTGAGAGATCACAGTGCATGATTTAGCCTTATACCTTTCCATGCACCAGAAACTACCACTTCATAGGAAAGTAATACAAAGCCAGAATGCACCTTGCTCCTTGATATAGGATTATGCCTAGTGGAGAAATAAAAGAATGACTTGCAGAGCAAGGTGTTAGGACTAGGCCAGTCCAGTTCAGGGCTAATAAGGATTTACTTTGACTCAGTTTGTTCTGTCGGGGAGTTGATCATTTAATGAACAAGAAACTGTCACTCTTGGGTATGTTCTGCTTCACTGCCTTTCTCACCCAGTTCCCTTGCACCATCCAGAGCAGACTGACCCCTATCTACTTGTCTTTCTCCTTGGAAATTCCCAACATGGAGGGGGCATTGTTCAGCCAAGACAGATGAAGAAAGGACATAAGGGAGAGGGCACCTGCCTGTCATTGCCTGGGGCAGGAGAGGGAGGAGGGAGTCTTTCAATTTCCCGTTACAGCTTTTCAGTATTCTCCTTCCCACTGCTGGAAGTACTGAGCTTTGGTTCCACTAATACCCTTTCCATGCTCTGGGGAGATGCCAGGTTTGAGAAAGAGCTGCAATAACTGTCTGGTTTTCCTTTTCTGAATCTCATGGGGCCTAACCCTCAAATTTGAACCTTGAAGAAAAAAAAATCCTAAATATAACCAGTCAGCCCTCATAAACTAGTTTCCTTTCCTTCACTCCTTCCTCTGTTTGTGTCTATTAGAGAGATAGTACTGCATCGGGGTTACTGCATACACCTTGGGGAAGACTGATATTACTTAACTATCTGAATCTCAACTGCCTCATTCATATAATGCAGAAAAGAATAAAACCTACATCCCTAGTGTTTTTGTGAGAATTTGAAACATATAAAACATTTAGAAAAATATCCAGCACAAAGTAAGTGCTATGTAAGTGCTAGCTATTATTATGTCATGAAGAAGATAGGGATGGATGAAGATGAAAACAAACAGATGCTGTAGAATTTCAGAATTCTGAAGATGAAAGCTGATCTAGAGATCAGCTGGTTTATGTCACTCATTTTACAGATAAGGAAACCAAGGCCCAGACAGAGGAAATGCTGGATTCCCACATTAAAACTCTTTCTATAATGTTACATCTCAGCTAATTTTATGCCTAAGGTGGTCCAACTCTGGTTTATCTATTCTTCCAGTCAACACATAGCAAAGGATTGTCATAATGCACAACTCCAGGAAGTTGTGCAATATAGTGGCTCTATGTCTAGGTGGTGAAATACTGTGGCTGATGGACTCCAGGTTGGCCTTCATAATCCCTACTCCTGGTGTTCACACCCTTGTGTGATTCCTTCCCCTTGAGTGTTGGTAGGAGCTATGACTACTTCTAACTAATAGGAAACTGCAAAGGTAACAAAAAATACATATATGTGATTATATTACATAAGGTGCTAATGCCCAGTTGGGCATGCTGGCATATGCCTGCAGTCCCTGCTACTTGGGAGGCTGAGGCAGGAGGATTGCCTGAGGTCAGGAGTTCGAGACCGACCTGGGCAACATGGCAAAACCCCGTCTCGACTAAAAAATATACAAAAAGTAGCCAGGCGTGGTGGTGCACACCTGCAGTCCCAGCTACTCAGGAGGCTGAGGTGGGAGGATTGCTTGAGCCCAGGAGGTTGAGGCTGCAGTGAGCTGAGATTGCACCACTGTACTCCAGCCTGGGTGACAGAATGTGACTGTGTCAAAACAAAACAAAATAAACAAACAAGCAAAAACAAAGACTCTAATGCCCATCTAGCTAAGAGTGACACTTTCTTCCTTGCTGGCCTTGAAGAAGCAAGCTGTCACACGTAGAAGAAGCTAAAGTTGGCCTCCAACAATGACCAACAACAGACTGAGGCTCTCAATCTGGCAGCCTACAAGGAACTGAATCCTGTCAACAACTACATGAGCTTGGAAGCAGATCCTTTCTGTCAAACCTCAGAAAAGGCAACAGCCCCAGCTGATACCTTGACTGCCTTGAAGGTCTCTTTTAAGACCTTTAGCAGAGGGCCTGCTAAACTGTGCCCAGACTTCTGACCCACAGAAACTTCGAGATACTAGGTGAAGGGATTTAAGGAAGGGAGGTGGTATAGAACAGGGTTGTGGTATAGAAACATTTATCTTGGCTAATTGGAAGAAAAAAATCAGAGGGGATGAGACTGGTAACAGGGAAATCAATTAGGAAACTATTGTAGTGGTCCAGGAGAAGCCCGAGAGATAGCTGAGCTGGGGTAGTAGAAATAGAAATGGATGCCATAAATGATTAAGCAGATATATCATGTTCTTCTTGTTTAGAACAATAACAAACAAAAGCAAAACACCACGTGATAAACAGATCCTTTTGGTTACCTGTACATACCTTTATCAGATAATAAGGCCACTTGATCACCTGGAGTTAAAGCACATGGTGGTCCCCAGCTCTCACTGTAAACTAGTGAAAAACTTACTGCCTTGGCTGTTTTCTTTCTGGTATGCAATTTCAAGGAAGCATTTCAAGATATTCATTTGTCCACAATAGTGCTTAGAATGACTTTGCCCAGAGAGCCAGAGTAATTATTTATTTATGAAAATTTTAAAAAGCAACCTGAGGTAAATGATTTGTTATGATGGCACTGGAGTCAGGGACAACATACTGTACTTACAACTCAGTCACACCTTCAGGCCAAGAATTCTAGTATGGAAGGTATGAATCCCCTGCTACCAGATTGCTCAGCAAACAAATCTTCCTCCCCCACAGGGCCCCAACAGGGCTGCAGATTGGTGTTTCTTCACCCATCAAAGCTGGAGCTTTGTGATAGCCTGGCTCATTAGCACACCGCTACAGATGAAGTCTAGCACCGCAACAGAACAAAAATTGCCAAGTTTATGAAGTTTTTCTTCTGTGTACTTTCTATCTACCATCCTCTCTATTGCCTCCACTTTCTTTATCCACATCCCTACTTTGTCTTTTTTAATCAGTCTGAAACTCAGAATTCTCATGCTATTCTGAATCATGCTACTAGGCAGAGAGATGTATATTATCTCGCTCCCTACATCTATATGTGATTATGTTAATCTATACATGATGCACCTATATTATTTACAGATTAACTCACATTAAGGTGCCTATGACTTTAAGTTTGCTCCTTGGCATGTGAAAAAAAAGCTAAATATCAAGTCGATGACTTAATTATAAATTAGCTGGTATGTGGTCATTTCAAAATCTAGACATATATTAAAACATCATGTTGTACAATGTAGATATATTCCATTTTTAATTGTCAATCATTCCACAGTAAAGCTGGCGGGGGAAAGAGTAGCAGATCTCCAGAGGACGTTGAATCCTCAACCACAGCAAGTCTTGTATGCTAAGGTCAGGGCCCTGGTTAGGAAGGAGTAGGATGCTGAGACTTCGGCTGGTAGATCTGGGTTGATGCACTCAAAAATCTCGATTCTCCAATTCCTCTAAACCCTCTAGGCTTGTAGAAGTGGCCCACTCCTCCCTGTGAAAAACTAGTGTACCTCCTCCCTTGCTTGCAGACAACAAAAAGGCCTTTGTCTTATAAGACAACCTGCATTACTGAAACAGCCCTTTAACCCCTAGAAAAATGGTGAATTAAAATACTCTGGATAAATGGCAGGGATCAGTGTCACCTTTAGACGCCTAAATGATGTAGGGGTTGTTGTATCCATCATATTCCCATTTAATTCGCCAGATTGAACACTACAAAAAAAGCTGACATATTCTGAAGAATGACAACAGAATACTCTAAACTCAACCAAGTAGTACCCCTAATTGTTCCTGCTGTGCCAGATACAGTATCTTTTCTAGAGTAAATTAACACAGCCTCAGGTTGATGGTATGTGGTCATTGAGATCAGAAAAATACTACTTTTCTTTTCCACCCCAGTCAGGAAAGATTACCAGAGGCAGTTCATATTCACATGTAACTGACAAGACAATAGCATCCTTTTTTTTTTTTTTTTGAGATGGAGTCTCGCTCTGCCACCCAGGCTGAAGTACAGTGGCGTGATCTCAGCTCACTGCAACCTCTGCCTCTCAGGTTCAAGTGATTCTCCTGCTTCAGCCTCCTGAGTAGCTGGGATTAAAGGTGTGCACCACCATGCCCAGCTAATTTTTGTATTTTTTATTATTTTTAAGTAGAGATGTGTTTTCACCATGTTGGCCAGGCTGGTCTTGAACTCCTGACCTCAAGTGATCCACCTGCCTCAGTGTCCCAAAGTGCTGGGATTCAGGCATAAGCCACGACGTCCAGCCAATAGCATACATTTATGATCTTGTTCCAAGGCTATATTAACTTTCCAGGCCTCTATCTCAACATAGTCCAAAGGGATCTGGACATACCTTGAAACATCACTCAGTGGGCTATAGTGATGACGTCATGCTAATTGGACCAGATAAGGAAGAAGTAGTAAGTGCATTGGAGACCTTGGTAAAACACATACATATCCGAAGGGTAGACAAAAAACACAATGAAGATTCAGAGAACATGCCACATCAGTGAAGTTTCTAGATACTCAGTGATTTGTAGCATGCCAGGATATCCTCTCTAAAGTGAAGGGCATATTATTTGTACCTCCTGCCACCAGGAAGGAAGCACAACACCTAGGCAGCCTGTCTCTCTGTAATGGGTACAGTGGGTGGTAGGTCAGTGGTTGTTTCACTTCTCTCCAAAGTTCCTTTATGCTTCCTAAATTTAAAGGGTGAGAGAAGAGGAGAGGATAAGAAAGGGAAAGGGAAAGGAGAAAAGAGAATGGGGAGGGGAGGGGATGAGAGGGCAATGGGGATAATAGAAAAAGAGAGAAAGGAGAGATATGGAAAGAAAAAAGGAAAGAGAAAGAAAATGAAAGGAGATAAACTAAAAGAGGTGAGAAACATGGATAAAGAACAATTAGGCTAGGCACAGTGGCTCACGCCTGTAATCTCAACACTTCAGGAGGCCAAGGTGGGAGGATTGCTTGAACCCAGGAGTTTGAGACCCGCCTAGGCAATATAGTGAGACCCCACTCAACAAAAAATAAAAAAGAGAGAAGAAAATTATATGGAAGAGAAAAATGAAAGACAGCAAAGAAAAACAGGAGACAGTGGGTATATTGAAGAAAAGGAATACAAACAGGAGGGAGATAAGCAATTTCTGGTTTCCTAAATTGAAATTAAAAATTGGAGTGAAGGAGTAAAACTATGTCAAATCATTTTAAAGAACTAATATCGGTTAGGCACGGAGGCTCATGCCTGTAGTCCCAGCACACTGGGAGGCTGAGGCAGGAGGATTGCTTGAGGACAGGGATTCAAGAACAGCCTGGGCAACATAGGCTGGTGTATGAGCTCCTATGTTTGAGACTCCATCTCTACAAAAAACTTTCTAAAAAATAAGCTGGGTGTGGTGGTGCACATCTGTGGTCCCAGCTACTCCAGAGGCTGAGGTGAGAGGATCACTTGATTGCAGGAATTCAATGCTGTATTGAGCTATGATCACACCACTGCACTCCAGCCTGGGTGACAGATCGATGTCTCTTTAAAACAATTATTATCATGGTGAAAATAAATGCAAAGAAGACCTTACAGATACTCCTTGACTTAAGACAGGATCATATTTAATACACTTAACTTACCAAACATGATAGCTTGGCCTAGCCTACCTTAAACATGATCAAAACCCATACATTAGCCTATAGTTGGGCAAAATCATCCAAAACAAAAGCTAATGTGTATCATTTTCACAACATCCTAAAGTTGAATCATCATAAGTCAAAACATCGTTAAGTTGGGAACTGTCTGTACTTGTGTTTAACGTTATTTACCACATTTTCCCCGAGATGTGGAACCAAAGCCTCTCTCAAGCAAATAACTAATGAGTAGAAACGTAATAAACTGCTGCCACTTCCTCCTCTAGAACAAAATGGAATAAAGATGAGAAAAGAGTCGTCTGCAGAACCACGTTAGTGTACATTAGTAGAGGAGAGGAAAAATAGAACCCCAACTTTGTAACCCCTGACGTTGTTCATGGTGTACGATGCCACTGTTGGAAATCAGAACAGTTTGGTCAGATCTGGGGTGATTTCTATACACATCTTTTCACCTGAATTGTCTGAAAGCCAGGTCTTCAGAACGTACATGGAGGATCTGTCTGCAAGGCCATACCTTGCCCAGGGATAGAGGGAAAGAAGGCAAATATCTCTATTTTTATTTATTTATTTATTTATTTTTGAGATGGAGTTCCGTTCTTGTTGCCCAGGCTGGAGTGCAATGGCATAATCTTGGCTTACTGCAACCTCCACCTCCCAGGTTCAAGTGATTCTCCTGCCTCAGCCTCCCAAGTAGGTGGGATTACAGGTACCTGCGACCACGCTTGGCTAATTTTTTTGTATTTTTAGTAGAGACGGGGTTTCACCATGTTGGTCAGGCTGGTCTCAAACTCCTGACCTCAGGTGATCTGTCTGCCTTGGCCTCCCAAAGTGCTGGAATTACAGGCATGAGCCACCGCACCTGGCCAAGGCAAAGATCTTAAGGGGCTAACTCCACCTCTCAACACAATCAGCATATTAGGAAAAGCCTAACTTTTAATGTTCCTGCTAACACAACAATAGCACACCGTAGGAGTCTTTAAAACAAAACTAACTCCAAGACCTACACAAAAACAGAAACTTCATAGTGCAGTTCTATTTTTTATTTATTTTTAACAGGTTATTTATTGAGACAAGGTCTCACTCGGTCATCCAGGCAGGAGTGCAGTGGTGCAATCTTGGCTCACTGCAGCCTTGACTGCCCAGGCTCAAACAATCGTCCCGTCCTGGCCTCCTGAGTAACTGGAACTATAGGTGCATGCCACTACACTCGGCTAATTGAAAAAAAAAACTGTAGAGATGGGGTCTTGCTTTGTTGCCTAGGCTGGTCTCAAACTCCTGGGCTCAAGCAATCCTCCTGTTTCAGCCTCCCAAAGTGCTGGGATTACAGGTGTGAGCCACCACGCTCAGCCTATTTTTATTTTTAATTGTGGTTAAAAAAAATAGCAAACTTTACCATCTTGACCATTTTTAAGTGTAGAGTTCAATAGTGTTAAGTCTGTTCACATTGTTGTGCAGCAAATTTTTTCATCTTATGAAACTGAAACTCTATACCCCTTGAACAACAACTCCCCATTTCTCCCTTCTCCCAGCCCCTGGCAATCACCACTCTACATTCTGTTTCTATAAATTAGACTACTTTAGATACCTCATATACATGGAATCATACAGTGTTTGTCTTTTTGTGACTGACATTTCATTTAACAAAATGTCCTCAAAGTTCATTCACATTGTAGCATGTGATAGCCTTTTTAAAGACTGAATCATATTCTATTGTATGTATATGACACATTTTGTTTATCCATTCATCCATGGATGGAGGTTTAATTTGTTTCTACCTCTTGGCCATTGTGAATAATGCTTCCATGAACATATGTGTGCAAACATCTCTGAGATCCTGCTTTCAATTCTTTTGGATAGATACCCAGCAGTGGGATTGCTGGATCACATTGTAATTCTATTTTAAAAGTTTTGAGGAACCTCCTTTCTGTTATCCACAGTGGCTGTGCCATTTTACATTCCCATCAACAGTGATAGTGTAGCTATATTAAACCAAAATAACTATTGGACCAAACTGCAGAGATAGCCAGGGATAAAGATAGCTAGAGTCAGCATGCGGGGGTTCTCTAATAAGGTATCTTTGTTAAAGATCGCTAGTAGTAGAGCACTCACTCATCAAATCAAGAACATACAAAATACCCAGAAGAGGTCACCTAGTATTTACACAATCATTAATGTCTTTGATCTATCAGATTTCCATGGGCACAGGCACTGGGAACTTAAGGAACCACATAAAACAAGACATTTTAATGAAAGTCCATTGTAGGGATCTTCTGCTGAATGGAAGTTTTCTGATTTTGGTATTGCTCTATATGCTTTGCAGAGCAAGAAGAAATCAAAATGCTTTAAAAATCATTGGCGTATTTTCATATGCATTTTAAGACTCTATGCTAGCCTGAAAAGCAGTGTATAATATTTCTCTCCCGTGGATGTCAGAGACATATTCCAGACAGAATTTGTACTTCATCTATGTTGTAGCTGCTGCTTTAGACCCCCTTAGTATTCCTAGTCATGCATTTGGCTTTACATCTTGGTATTTCCTCTGCATGCTTCCAAAGCCCACAGAGAACAGCAAATGGCACTCTGAAGCTAACCCTCTACTGTTTTCCAGGGTGTCATGTCATTTCCAGCAGTTAACTGAAGCCACATGGATGGCTGTGATCAACTACAAAGAAAACCTATCTGAGTACTCCCCCTTCCCCAGTTCAGTCCCCTGTCCCAAAGGTAAGATGAATAAGTGGGTTTGGGTAATATTGCATGGCTACCTACAAGTTAAATATACACTGAAAATACAGGCACAGACAAAGATATAGGCATGAGGCGAGAGAGGGAGGGAGAAAAGAAAGGAGGGAGGCAGAGGCAGACAAAGACAGAAACAGAGAGAAATAGAACAGCCTCCACTCTTGGAGAGTTTTTGAAACAAGAAAAACCCTTGAAACACTCTTGGAAGGCAGGTAAGAGGATACTGGTTCTGCCTTGCTTGGATCAGAGGTGCAATGCCCCATTGTCCCTCTTTTCTTTGACATTTGTCACTGTAGTGACTCTTACCTGGTTTCTATGAGTAAATGGTTACAGTCAAGTTAGCATTTCTCTTAAACTTCGTATCTTTCTCTTCTATCTGTTCTTCCCCAGCACAGGTATGGCCTGAATACAATGGATCTCATTAAGGCCTACTGGCAACCAGGTGATACTGCCCACTGATGCCACATTCTACTCCACTGATACCATACTGTCACATTTTCCTTTACCAAAATGAAATAATGAGTACCATAAAAAATTTGAAGGGCAAGTATGCTCTATCTTATTAAGTTATTGTCTCAGGCCAGGCGCAGTGGCTCACACCTGTAACCCCAGCACTTTGGGAGGTCAAGGTGGGCAGATCACCTGAGGCCAGGAGTTCAAGATCAGCATGACCAACATGGTGAAACCCCCTCTCTACTAAAAATACAAAAATTAGCCAGCTGTGGTGGTACGTGCCTGTAATCCCAGCTACTCGAGAGGCCAAGGCATGAGAATCGCTTGAACCCGGAAGGTGGAGGTTGTAGTGAGCTGAGATAGTGCCACTGCACTCCAGCCTGGGCGACACAGTGAGATTCTGTCTCCAAAAAAAAAAAAAAAAAGTTATTTTTCTCATGCATATAGTCATCACTACTTCTTTCTACTAGCTTTGCTGGGCTCCAATGACCCCAGAAAGCAGTGGCTCAGGCCGTTTTGGTTTTCCTCCTTCTTTTCCAATCATTAACTCTCTACTGTGACTGTAGGTGCTTTCCTGTCCAGGTATCTTGCTTTGGGAATCTTCATCCAGGGACGCTTAAAGAATTTTTTAAATGATGTTTTCTTTTTCTTTTTATGAGAATATTTATAAAGGGAGGGTATTTGGCCTCGCAAATACTTGCCTTCAATGTGTCATCTTTAATGAGAGACAGACAGACAGACAGACACACACACACACACAGAGAGAGAGAGAGAGAGACAGAGAGAGAGAGAGAGAGAGATTGGCTGATTCCAAGGCCTTACTACTGGAGATAAAGGGAGAAGGGTGAAATGTAGAGTTCAAGGGTGAGAAATCACCTCTGTACTTCTTTTCATAGGAAATAGCCTGAGGCTGTCGCAGCCCCAATTCCATCATGCTGGTAATGCCTAGGACAGAGAGGAGTATCTATTCGGGGAGGTAGTGGTATTTGAGGTAGTGGAAGATAGGAGAGAGACAAGTTTGAAAGAGAAATATTTTGGTTCTCCCTATTACCATAGGCTGTGTAAGACTTTAAAATGGTTGTGCCAGCAGCAAACTAGATGTGGGAGCTGTCAAGAGGAAGAGCTAGGGGTGGCAGTTTCAGGGTGCCAGGAAGTATTGAAGGGGACTGAAAAGCTGCTTTCAAAGAATATTAAGTGCCATCCCAGCACCAGGATCCTCCCAATAGGCCCCTGGCTGGCAAAAAGGTGTAGCCTGGCTCAAAACAGCCCCATGATCACGATGGTCAGCATCATTATGATCACAGCTATATCTTGATAAGAGTTATGTTCCCAGTGCTGCACATGCATTAATTTACTTTTTCACTATCCCATGAAGTAGTCCTGTTACTACCCCATTGAAAAGTGCTGAAACAGAGACTCAAAGACTTTAAGAAATCTTCCCGAGGGTGCACACCTAGCAATGGCTAAAGCCGGGAAGAAAACCCAAAATGGTTTCATTCTGAGGCCTGTGGGTCTTGACTTACTTCCTCCTCTATTGCTTCCCAAACAATAACAGCAAAAGGAAATGTAACTGTAGGGGTTGTTTCCCAAAGTTTTTTAAATTAAAAAGTGTATAAGTGGCTTTTAGAAAGATGTCAACAAAACAGAGGCAATGTAGTACAGGTGCTGACCGTGAAATCAGAAGACCTAGGCTGTTGTTTCAGCTTTGCGTTAAGAACTAAGTACCACTAACTCCATTTTGGCTTTAGTTTCCCTGTCTGTGAAATGAAGAGCTGGAGACAATCTTGACAAAGACCCCCAGCTCTCTGAGGCAAACAGTGTGCAATTATTTTAAAGGTGGGAGAACAGAAACAACTCTTAAAAATGCCAAAACAGGCGGGGTGCGGTGGCTCACGCCTGCAAACCCAATGCTTTGGGAGGCAGAGGCAAGAGAATTGCTTGAGCCCAGGAGTTCAAGACCAGACTGGGCAACATAGTGAAATTCCGTCTCTACAAAAAATACAAAAATTAGCCAGGTAGTATGGCATGCACCTGGTTTCAGCTACTTGGGAAGCTGAGGTGGGAGGATCGCTTGAGCCTGGAGATTGAGACTGCAGTGAACCATGATCACACCACTGCACTCCAGTGTGAGCAACAGAGCAAGACCCTGTCTCAAAAAAAAACAGAAAGCCAAAACACTAAGTATTAATATCAGTCAGGTGTAAACACTAGTCTTAGACCCATTCACAAAACTGATTATGCAGCAGAGCCTCCCCCCATCCATGAGCACTGGATGCTCTCTGCAGGAAACAATGTTCAGATGCTATTTAATCACTCACGCTCTCCTCACATGCCTAAGTGCTGCAGACAAATAGAGTTTCACTCTGGCTGCTCAAATCTCTTCAGACTGCCAGTATGCTTCCAGTACTTCCAAATATATCTTAAATATTATATATTTTAAAAGAAATCTTGAATTCTCCAATGGCCTGGTCCACTTTTGCATATAAACATCAAGAAAACTTCTTGGGTTTTCCTTGAGTTTTACTAATCTTATTTCTATTCCTTTTTGCTTATTTGCTTATATAACTTATACTTTTCACCTATTGACACAAGACCATCCAGGATATTCTAATTTTCTCTTTTCAGAATTTTAAACAGTTTTGTGGCAATCTTCCAATCATGTTTAGTGATAAAGGTAACAGATATTCCTGTCATTTCTGCTTTTCTGGAACACCACACTCAGTGGACCTATTATTCAATGTTCTGGGGGAAGTCATAGATGAGTGTGACATTATGAACAATACGAACTTGGGGTGCTAGACTGGTAGCAATCAGTATTGTCACTTTTCCTTTTTTAGAGTACTTTAATGCTTACCCTCCTTTCTCTGTTCTCTATTGCCATAAAGAAATTGTCTTGGTGGCCACATGTGGTGGTTCATACCTATAAACCTAGTACTTTGGAAGTCTGAGGCAGGTGGATCGCTTGAACCCAGGAGTTTGAGACTAGCATGGGCAACATGGCGAGACCTCCATCTCTACAAAAAGTCAAAAAACTTAGCCAGGCATGGTGATGCACACCTGTAGTGCAAGCTACTCAGGAGGCTGAGGTGGGAGGATTGCCTGAGCCTAAGAGTTAGAAGCTGCAGTGAGCCAAGATCGTGCCACTACACTCCAGCCTGGGTGACAGAATGAGACTGTGTCTCAAAAAAAGAAGAAAGATATTGTCCTGGTATGCCTGGGTCACTCAGATCACTTGGGAAATAATCAGAAACAACTTTTTTGCTGACAAACATGATGACTTTGTATTTGGGAGATATGTTCTCTAGGAGTATTTGGCTAAAAGATTATTTCCCTTCACCTGTGGTAACAATTATATTTTGTTTCACTGTGTTTGCATCAACTAGGTCCAAAGTACATATATATGTATATGAGTTTGTACTTATACAGTGCATATATAGTTATATAGCACACACATTTTGGATCATATATACATATATATGTGTGAATATATGTATATTCATAAGGCTCTTATAAGTAAGATTGTGCAAGTCAATGGATAGGGTCTGGCCAAGCTGTACTTCCCCTAAGAGTCTGTTTGTCTGTCTGTCTGAACATACATCTAATACAATTTGCATTATCTGGCATTAAAATCCATGCCTAGCATCTTATATGCTTTGTATAAGATCAAGTAAATCAGGTTTTCAGGTTGACAGAGTTATTCATTTACAGATCATCCAGTCTTTCAAGAATTTCAACACTGATTTCTATACCTTTGATAAAGTCTTGAATTTTTCCCTCTCTGTTTCCATCACCACATATACAAATGCTTTTTTTTTTTTTTTTTTTTTTTTTTTTTTGAGTCAGGGTCTTGCTGTGTTTCCCAGGCTGGAGTACAGTGGCGTGATCATAGCTCACTGCAACCTCGAACTCCTGGGCTCAAGCCATCCTCCTGCCTCAGCCTTCTGAATAGCCAGGACTACATGCAGGTTTGACCATGCCCGCCTAATTAAAATAAATGTTTTTTGTAGAGATGGGGTTTCACCATGTTGCCCAGGCTGGTCTCTAACTCCTGGCACCCAAGTGATTCTCCCACCTCAGCCTCCCATAGTGCTGGGATTGCAGGCATGAGCTTCTGTGCCCACCTATGCAAACACTTTTAAGGCTATCATGTGTCCTCTAGCTCGGATCTTTGTCCCCACCAAACCTCATGCTGAAATGTGATCTCCAGTGTTAGAGGTGGGGCCTAATGGGAGGTGTTTGGGTCATGGAGGCTGTTCCCTCATGAGTAGATTCATGTCCTCTCTGGCAGGTGGCTGGGGTGAGTGAGTTCTCACTCTATTGATTCCCACAAAAGCTGGTTGTGATAAACAGCTTGGCACCTCTCTTCTCCCTCTCTCTTGCTTCCTCTCTTACCATGTGATCTCTGTACACACTGACTCCCCCTTGCCTTCCACCATAAGTGGAAGTAGCCTGGAGCCCTCACCAGAAGCAGACATTGGTGCAATGCTTCTTGTACAGCCTACAGAACTGTGGGTCAAATAAACCTCTTTTCATTATAAATCACCGAGCTTCAGGTATTCCTTTACAGCAACACAAATGGAATAGGACAAGACGAATAGTTAGAGCAGTGGTGTCCAATCTTTTGGCTTCCTTGGGCCACAGTGGAAGAAGAAGAATTGTCTTGGGCCACACATAAAATACATTAACACTAATGATAGCTGATGAGCTACAAAAAGCAATTGCAAAAAAATCTCTTAATGTTTTAAGGAAGCTTACAAATTTGTGTTGGGCCGCATTCAACACTATCCTGGGTCGCATGAGGCCCATGGGCCACAGGTGGAACAAGCTTGATTTAGAACATTCAGCCTCTTTTTGAAGAGCTAATACTCTAGTAGGTGTAAGAACTACAATGCCAAGCCCATTCCTTTTCTCATTTAAGGAAAATGAGTCTAGGCATTGTACAAGACAGTGTCTTCTCTCTTCCAGTTTGGTAATCATAACATCTATTGACTGAAGAACTATTGGTTATATCTGTGACAGAGTTGGAGTTGGCATTAGAAACATGCCTTTTTGTGTTTTTCATAACCTCAGGGCTGGGCGTGGTGGCTCATGCCTGTAATCCCAGCACTTTGGGAGGCCAAGGTGGGCAGATCACCTGAGGTCAGGAGTTCAAGATCAGCCTGGCCAACATGGTGAAACCCCATCTCTACTAAAATTACAAAAATTAGCTGGACATGGCGGGTGCCTGTAATCCCAGCTACTTGGGAGGCTGAGGCAGGAGAATAGCTTGAACCTGGGAGACGGAGGTTGCAGTGAGCCAAGACCGCGGCCACTGCACTCCAGCCTGGGCAACAAGAGCAACACTCCATCTCAAAAAATAAAGAAAGAAATAAAAAATAAATAACTTCAGGATAAAACTTAGACATCATAAAATTTGCAAGTGAGATGGGATGAGACCTTTTTCACCATCTTTCAAGTCTTCACACATTACATTACACTTTTCCTATCTCCAGTTGTCTGCTTGCACTTATGACATTGGACTTACTGCTGACTATACATAAACATTTCTACTAATCTGAGGTAAATCTGCCCACTTTTGTTTTTCCCACTATATAATATGTGCTAGAATTTGGACCCATACTATCCATGGCTGATTTTCTATAACAATGTTGTAGTCTTTGTTAAATTTTTTACAACAGAAAGTGGGAATGCAACAGTACCAACACTGGATTCTGAATTGTAGTTTTATTCTAGTTTTTAATAACAATATTGTCTAACATTGTTTAAAACAGCTTTATTGGCCAGGTGTGATGGTTCATGCCCGTAATCCCTGCACTTTGGGAGGCCGAGGTGAGTGGATCACCTGAAGTCAGGAATTCGAGACCAGCCTGGCCAACATGGTGAAACTCCATCTCTACTAAAAACACAAAAGTTAGCCAGGCATGGTGGTGTGTGCCTGTAATCCCAGCTACTCAGGAGGCTGAGGCAGGAGAATTGCTTGAATCTGGGAGGCGGAGGTTGCAGTGAGCAGAGATCATGCCATTGCACTCCAGCCTGGGTGACAAGAGTGAAACTCCATCTCAAAAAAAACAAAAAACAAAAAACAAAAAAACAGCTTTATTGAGATATCATGGAACATCTAAAAAATTCATTCGTTTAAAGTCTACATTTTAGTGGTTTTTAGCACATTACTAAATTGTGAAATGATCACCAATATTTAATTTTAAAACATTTCCATCACTCTCAAAACAAATCCTGTACTCATTAGCAGTCACTCCCTAGTTCCCTTTCCACCCAGGTTCTAGTAACCACTAATCTATTTGGTGACTGTAACATTCATCTATACTGGAAATTTTATATAAATGGAGTCATATAGTATGTGGTCTCTACTGACTTGCTTCTTTCACTTAGCATTGATATTTTCAGTGTTCATCCATGTTGTAACATGTATTTGTACTTCATTTCTTTTTATGGTCAAATAATAATCCATTGTGTACATATACAGTTGACCTTTTAACAATGTGGGGGCTAGGGGAACTGACCTCCTGTGCAGTAAAAAGTTCAAGTATAGGCTGGGCATGATGGCTCACGCCTGTAATCCCAGCACTTTGAGAAGCTCAGGCAGGAGGATTGCTTGAGCCCTGGAATTTGAGACCAGCCTAGGCCAACATGGTGAAACTCCATCTTTACTAAAGATACAAAAATCAGCCAGGCATGGAGGTGCATGCCTGTACTCCCCAGCCATTTGGGAGGCTGTGAGGTGGGAGGATTGCTTGAGCCAGGGAGTTCAAGGCTGCAGTGAGCCTTGATTGCATCACTGCACTCTAGCCTGGACAACAGAGTGAGAATCTGCCAAAAGAAAGAAAGAAGAAAGAAAGAAAGAAAGAAAGAAAGAAAGAAAGAAAGAAAGAAAGAAAGAAAGAAAGAAAATATAATTTTTGACTCCCCTAAAACTTAACTGTTAATAGCCTACTGTTGACCAGCAGCCTTACCAATAACATAAACAGTTGATTGTCACAGATTTTGTATGTGATGTGTAAGCTAGAGAAAAGAAAATGTTATTAAGAAAATCATAAGTAAGAGAAAAGACATTTACTATTCATTAAATGGAAATGGATCATCATAAAGGCCTTCATCCTCATTGTCTTCACATTGAGTAGGCTGAGGAGGAGGAGGAAGAGGAAGAGGAAGAGTTGGTTTTGCTGTCTCAGGGGTGGCAGAGGCAGAAATGGAGGAGGTGGAAGAGGTAACAAGAGAGGCAGGCACATTCAGTGTAAATTTTATTGAAAAAAAAAATCACGTATAAGTGGACCCATGCAGTTCAAACCCATGTCGTTCAAGGTTCAAGGGTCAACTGCACCACATATTCATTATCCATTCATCAGTTGAGGGGCATTTAGGTTCCTTCTATTTTTTAGCTATTAGGAATAATGCTGCTGTAAAACGTTTGTGCACAAGTTGTGTAGACAGGTTTTTCAATTTGCTGGTGTATATACCAAGGAGTGGAACTGCTAGATCATTTTGTAGCTATATGTTTAACTTTGTGAGGAGTTACCACGCTGTTTTTCAAAGTGGTTGCACCATTTTACAATTCCAGCAGAAGCTATGAAGGTTCTACTTTCTCCATATCCTTATTAGCACTTTTCTAGTCTGCTTCTGATTTTAGCTATCCTACTGGGTTTGAAGTAGTATCTCATTGTGCTTTTGATTTGCTTTTCCCTAATGACTAATGAAGTTGAGAGTCTTATGTGTTTATTGGCCATTTATATATCTTCCTTGGATACAAGTCTATTCAGATACTTTGCTCATTCTTTTAATAGCAACCAACCTTGTTTCCTGGAAATTTGCTGAATTCACCTATTACTTCTTCCTTCATGTATAAAGGCTGTACTTTCCTGTTTCTCTGTGTGCCCTATAATTTTGTTGAAAACTCAATGTTTAAAATAATATGGCAACTCTGGAAATCAGATTCTCCCCCAGGGTTTGTTGTTTCTCTTTGTTGTTCTTGTTGCTGCTGCTGTTTGTTTGTTTAATAACCTTTCAGAATTAATTATGTTATGTCTATAATTTTTTCTAATTTTTGAAACAGGGTCTCACTCTGTTGTCCAAACTGGAGTGTAGTGGTGCAATCATGGTCCATTATCCCCTTGACCTCCCAGGCTCAAGCAAACCTTCTACCTCAGCTTCCCAAGTAGCTGGGACCAGAGGCACATGCCACCACACCCAGCTAATTTTTATATTTTTTTGAAGAGATGGGGTTTCCCCATGTTGCCCAGGCTGGTCTTAACTCCTGGGCTCAAGCAATCCTCCCACCTTGGCCTCCCAAAGTGCTGGGATTACAGGCATGAGCCACCATGCCCATCCTGTCTGTAATTTTTATTGTGTGTGGCCACCGAAGTCTCTGCTTGCTTAACCTAGTGGTCAGCTAATAATTGGACAGAGATCTCCTTTAATACCTTCAACCACTAAGTCTCTCAGTCTTTGCTGAAGGTTTCATTTTATGGTTTGTCTTTTTTTTTTTTTTTTTTTTGAGACAGGGTCTTGCTCTGTCACCCAAGCTGGAGTGTAGTGGCAGGATCATAGCTCACAGCAGCCTCAAACTCTTGGGCTCAAGCAATCCTCCTGCCTCAGCTTCCCAAGTAGCTATGACTAGAGGCACAAGCACCACTATGCTCAGCTTTTTTTTTTTTTTTTTTTTTTTTTTTTACTTTTTTGAGGGAGACAAGTCTTATTATGTTGCCTAGACTGGTCTTGAACTCATGGCCTCAAACAATCTTCCTGCCTCAGCCTCTGAAAGTACTGGGATTACAGGCATGAGCCACCCTACCTGTCCCTTTGTTGAAGGTTTCTTCATGTGGATTGCGGCATAGCTTCAACACTCTGCCAGGCAGTTAGCAATTCTGCTTTAGCATTCATCTCCTGCATGTGCATAGCCTTAAGATCAGCCAGAGATGAGAGATTAGGGCCTTTATAGGACTTTCTTTGGCATGTGCACAAGTCTTGCATATGTCAGTGGATTTCTATGTCCCAAGAATATACTGGAGCTTTTCAAAGACCCTTTTGGGCATCTCATTCCCCAGTTTTTCCTTTTAACTTTCTTGGTCAGCCTCTTGTTAACCCCAACTGGTAACACCACCTCCAATGACTATGATACTAAGCCATCATCACTTTTTTTTTCCCCACAAATGACCTAGGGATAAGACTGTTCACACAGAGTAACCTCTAAGCCAGATTAAATGAAGACAAATTCCGAGAATGGAGCTTTCCTGGGAACTGGCAGATGGGTCAAATAGTGATAGGCTGGGTGCAGTGGCTCATGCCTGTAGTCCCAGCACTTTGGGAGACCAAGGCTGGAGGATCACTTGAGACCAGGATTTTAAGACCAGCCTGGGCAAAATAGGAAGACCCTGTCTCTGCAAAAAATGAAAAGATTGGGAGGCCAAGGCAGGAGGATTGCTTGAGACCAGCCTGGGCAACATAGTGAGACCTTGTCTTTACTAAAAATAAAAACTAATCAGCCATGTGTGGTGGTGCATGCCTGTAGTGCCAGCAGCTCAGGAGGCTAAGGTGGAAAGATCGCTTGAACCTGGAAGATTGAGGCTGCAGTGAGCCATGATCATGCCACTGCACTCTAGCCTGGGTGACAGAGTAAGACCCTGTTTCAAATAATATATGTAAAATAAAAGAAAAAGAAAGAAATTAGCCAGGCATGGTTGCATATGTCTGTGGTCCCAGCTACTAGGGAGGGGTGTCATAGACAGGGTCTTGCTCTGTTCCCCAGGCTAGAGGGTAATGGTGCAAACTCTGGCCTCTACTCACTATATACTGGTAACACTCTCCCAATTATGATCACCAAAACTATGTGCAGACATTGTCAAAATCACCTGGGGAGCAAAGTCAGTCAGCCTAGGTAAGAACCATTTCCCTGGAGTTACAGTCCAGCAAAGTAGGGCTGGAAACAGGGCTGATTCTCAGGATAATTGTAGATTAGCAGTGGGTTAAATGCTAAAAGCCTCAAGACTTAAAGGATTGACACTCTGACACTGAAATTTCCAGCTCTAGGTGGCCTTGAACCATGGTAACTATATATCCTCCTTCCCTCCCACCCTCCAAAAGTCTTGATTTCTCATCAGTTTATTCCTCTGGTGATATTGATTTGTGAAACATAGAAAATTGCTGGCTGGGCATGGTGGCTCACACCTGTAATCTCAATACTTTAGGAAACCGAGATGGGTGGATTGCTTGAGCCCAGGAGTTCAAGAACAGCCTGGGCAACAAGGTGAAACACCACCTCTACAAAAAATACAAAAATTACTGGGTGTAATGGCATGCACCTATAGTCCCGGCTACTTGGGTAGCTGAGGTGAGAGGATCGCTTGAGCCTGGGAGGCTGAGGCTACAGTAAGCCATGATTGTGCCACTGCACTCTAGCCTGGCTGACAGAGCAAGACCTTGTCTCAAAAAAATGTTTTAAAACTTGCTATTTCTATTACATATCTGGTACTCTTATTTTAACATAATCATGAACCAGAAGAAATGATCCCTTGGAAAACTATGTACCTTAATTCTTGGTTGGAAATAAGTTATCTTGGGCTTCAAGGTCCTTGCTAAGCCTCAATGTGCTTTAATCCCATGTATTCAGGCCATCTGGGAGAGGGAATATTTTACCAGTGGCCTTTTAAAGATATCGTGCAGGTAGTGAGAGCTCCCCAAACCTTTTTATTGATCTCCTTGGATTATTTTCTATATCACACTGCCAGGCCAACTCTTCTATCCTCTTCTGAAATGTTCAATCTTTTCCTTAATCAAATAGATTATGTTACCTCCATCTTTCATTCAATTCACTCTTTGGATATATATTTATTGAGGGCCTACTATGTGTCAGGCATTATGCTAAGTACTATTGATATAATAATTAAATAAAAATGACAAACTGGTTGGGCACAGAGGCTCATGCATGTAATCCCAGCACTTTGGGAGGCTGAGACAGGAAGACTACCTGAGTCCAGAAGTTCTGACACTGTCTCTTCAAAACAAAACAAAACAAAACAAAACTATTCCATGACTTTATGGAATTTTTGTTCTAGGAATGTAATCAAGAGAAACCAATAATCTCATAAATGAAACAATTACAAAATGAGAGAAGCATATGAAAGAAGAAAAACAGGGATTTAGATCGAGAATAGCAGGACATGCTGGTAGGAAGTCCTCTCAGAAAACATGATATGTAAGCTGAGATCTGAAAGATGAGAAGTACCAGCCATAGGAAAAGTGGAGAAAAACAAGTTCTAGGAAGAGAGACTGGCATGTTCAAGGGCCCTGAGTTAGCTCTTTGCAGTCTATTGCAAAATGGCAACAATCTGTCTTTTCTTACTCTATCCAGTCCCTTTGCAATGTGACTTTTCAGCTTCTCCCACCAAGAAGTGGAAATTATTTTTACTCCCCTTGAATCTGGGCTGGATTTGTACCTTGCTCTGGCCAATAGAACATGGCAGAAGTGACAGTGTGCCAATTTGGAACATAGGCCTCAACATGCCCTACACACTTTTTTTTCCCTTGAAACCCTGCACAGTTATCATGTGAAGAAGCCAGGTTTGGCCCACTGGAGGATGAGAGACCCCAGAATGGAGATGTGCCATTTCAGCTGAGGCAAGTCATCTTAGACCAGCTAGCCCACAGCTGATCCAACAGCTGGCCACAGTTGTCAGAGAAAACCCAGCCAAGACCAAGTAAACCACTAAATGATCCCTGCCCAAATTGCCAACCCAGGAAATTCTGAACTACATTGTTTTAAGTCACTTATTTTGGGGTAGTTTCTTACACAGCAAAAGTTAACTTGTCTACCCTTTAATGAGAACAAGGTACTTGCCCTGCTCCAAACGTAAAAAATCTCTGCTTTTAGAATTATTCCATGGTCAAATTTGTTTAAAGCCAGCATGCAGCAATCATTTATAAACTTGGCCCTTTCAAAGAGCAACTGGCCATGTTATTTGCCTAGTTTCACCTTGAAGGGCTTGCTTAGAATCAACAGAAGCAGAGTGGCCTCACCACAGGCTTCTAGTACAGAAAGGCAGAAAAGAGCTCAGATGAAAGGCTCGCCTCAGGAAGACATTGGGGAAGGAGACATGCTCAAGGAAATTGTAAAACTTTAAAATCACATGGCAGAGAAATGCTCCCAAAGATTGGCTTCTTTCTTAAAGGAGAGTTGCAGAAAGGCAGCTTTCCATCAAAAGACAAATTTTATCTTAGAATTCAGACTACTATAGAAAGGGAAGGCTAGGGACTCTGAAACCACATAGTAAAAAAGATCAGGGACACTTGTGATTGGCTTTCAGCAGGGTGATATGAAATAAAGGGTAAGTTCACCTGTGATTATAAGTGAATTCAATTTAATAACTCCCTTTGGAAACACTCTATACATAAAAGCTATAAAAGCCTGTGCAGGGGTGGCCTCATCATCTTGATACCACAATTGATCTGGGAAAACCATAAAGCCAACACAGATCCTGTTCATTGAGCAAGATTCAGCAAATCCCAAGCTGACACATCAAGCACTTTACATCCATGGGTCACAGCCACTGGCAGGCTGGTTGACCTGGCTCCAAGTGAATATGTAGCCAGACTGCATACCATGCTGTAAACCTCAGCACATTTCCAAGCAAGCAAGTTAAATTGCAACCAGGCCACTTCCGGCCTAAAGGAGGTTGCTAATCTAAAGAAATTCTCCTATGGACTGAAGCCTTTTAACCTGGGCAAATGGTTCCAAAAGTGTCATTCCCAGACTAGCACACCAGCATTACTTAGAAAGTTGTTAGAAATACAAATTGTGGGGCCCCATCCAAGATCTATTGAGTTGGAAACTGTGGTTGGGGCCCAGCAATCTATTTTAGTAAGCCCTCCAGGCGATTCAGATGCAGGCTTAAGTCTGAGAACCACTGTTGTAGGTGGTTGTGGTTGGCCCCGTTCTTAGAGTAGAATTCTGGGTCTTTAAAATGTATTTGTTTATTTCATTTTAGAGATGGGGGTCTTGCCATGTTGCCCAGGCTGGTCTCAAACTCCTGGGCTCAAGCATCCTCCCACCTCAGTCTCCCAAATTGCTGGGATTACAGGCGTGAGCCACCACACCTGGCTGAAGAATTCTGGGTCTTTAAATGGCCAGTCAGAGCAAGCTTAGCACTCCTTACAGTGAGCAGGGTTCTCCTCCTTCCCTGAACAACCTTACTGGATAACTATATTTGAAAGTTGAGCCATAGCCATAGGAAATATTTCTCCAGTAACACAGTTTGTATTTAATAATCATTCAGTAACAAAATACAGAAACAAAAGGTCATGGCACCCTAGTTTCTCAGGATTAGAAGACTGCAAAGATCATGTCACGTACTGCTTCTCAAACTTTAATGTGCATAGAAATATTTGGGAATTTTTTTAAAATACAGGTTCTGGCCGGGCATAGTGGCTCACGCCTGCAGTCCCAGCACTTTGAGAGGCCACACTGGGAGAATTGCTTGAGCCCAGGAGTTTGAGACCCAACTTAGGCAGCATGGTGGAACCCTGTCTCTACAAAAACTTAAAATTTAGCTGGGCATGGTAATGCATGCACCTGTAGTTCCTGCTACTCAGGAGGCTGAGGCAGGAGGATCCCTTGAGCCCAGGAGGTCGAGGCTGCAGTGAGCCATGATTGCACCTCTACACTCCAGTCTGGGTGAAAGAGTGAGACCCTGCCTCCAAAAAAAAAAAAAAAAAAAAAATATATATATATATATATAAATATATATAAATTAAATGCAAGTTCTGATTCAGGAGGTCTAGGGTGAGGCCTTAGGGTCTTTGTTCCTTAAAAGCTTCCAGGATGCACTGCGTGGTATCTGCACTCAGCAGTTTACTCCTGCTAGGGTGTTCAAAGGTCAGTGCCATAGAAATCCAGTATCTGGTTTCATTGGTTTTCTTGGCTTTGTGCTTGTTAAACCTGGTATTTCTATTGATACAGCATTTGTATAGGTTTCTCATACTCTTCAGTTTGATATATTCTAAGAGTAAGCAATGCTTTTCTTTTTCTAAGGTGTCAAATTGAGAATGAAGCAGATCCTCCTACTGTGAAAATGACCCTAAAGTAAATTGGTTGAAGAAATTAGATCCCAAAGATTCTTGGTGAATTCTGATGCCTTCATCAGTATATTCATATTAAAAAGAGATGAAAGAAACCAAAATAAAAGAATTACGGGCTGACAGGACAACTGGATTAAGCATCAGTTCTATTAAAAAGGGCTAACTTGAAGATATTAATAAATCTCTTGAAGACAAATTTTGACTCCAGCTCTTTAGAGGATCCAAAGTGACCTTGATGGACAGTAGAAGGGATTACAACATAAAATTCCTTGAATAAAAATGTATTGATTTAAAAACAAAACAAAACAAAAAAAGGCTTCCAGGTGATACCAATGCTGTTTGTCTATGGACCACACATTGAGTTGTAGGCCTCTAGTCCAAATCTGATGCTTGAATCCCCTACCTGGAACTTCCCCAACCTGGCTTTGCCTCAGAATCACCCAAGGAGCTTTGAAATGCAGACCCTTGAGTTCCACTCCAAATTTCTTGAGTCAGATTCTCTTGTAGGCTGCATATCTAGATTTTTTAAAAAGCTCCCCAGGTGATGTTGATACAACCAGATTTTCAGCTGTCTGATTTGGCATTTGTTAGCCACTAGCCTACACTGCATTCCTACCAAGTTACCTGGTCTTGCAGCTTCTGCTTAAGCCTTTCCAGGGAAAGAGTAAACTCCCTTGGGGGTGCTGAATGCATTTACAGAGAAGCACTAATCATAGTTCTTATATTTAGGTCTTTGACCCATTTTGAGTTAATTTTTGTATATGGTATAAGGTATGGGTCCAATTTCTTTCTTTTGCATGTGGATATTCCATTTTCCCAGTGCCATTTGTTGAAAGAACTGTCTTTCTCCATTGAGTGGTCTTGGCACCTGATATGGTTTGGCTGTGTCCCCACCCAAATCTCACCCTGAATTGTAACATTCCCCATGCGTCCAGGGCAGGGCCAAGTGGAGATAATTGAATCACGGAGGTGTTTCCCCTATACTGTTCTCGTGGTAGTGAATAAGTCTCACGAGATCTGATGGTTTTATACAGGGGAGTTCCCCTGCACAAGCTCTCTTGCCTGCTGCCATGTAAGATGTGACTTTGCTCCTCATTTGCCTTCTGCCATGATTATAAGGCTTCCCCAGCCATGTGAAACTGTGAGTCCATTAAACTTCTTTCTTTTATAAATTACTCAATCTCGGGTATGTCTTTATTAGCAGCATGAGAACAGATTAATACAGCACCATACTGCTGAAAATAATTTAACCATATATGTGAAGGTTTATTTCTGGACCTCTATTCTATTTCATTGGTCTATATGTCTGTTTTTATTCCAGTATCATACTGTTTTGATTACCATAGCTTTGTAGTAAGATTTCAAATTGGAAAAGGTCAGTTCCCAATTTTTTTCTTTTTTTTTCTTTCTTTCTTTTTTTTTTTTTTTTTTTTTTTTTTTTTTTTTTTTGAGATGAGACAGGGTTTCACTCTGTCACCCAGACTGGAGTACAGTGGCATGATCACAGCTCACCACAGCCTCGACCTCCTGAGCTCAGGTGATCCTCCTACCTCAGCCTCTTCAGTAGCTGGGATTATAGGTGCATGCCACCAAGCCCAGTTAATTTTTGTATTTTTTGTAGAAACAGTGTTTTCCCATGTTGCCCAGCTGGTCTCAAACTCCTGGGGTCAAGCAGTCTGCCAGCCTTGGCCTCCCAAAGTGCTGGGATTACAGGCATGAACTACTGTGCTTGGTCAATTTTATTTTCTTAAGCTTATTTTGGCTATTTGAGGTCCCTTGACATTCTATATGAATTTTAAGATGTATTTTTGTATTTCTGCAAAAAATTGGGATTTTGACAGGGATTGCATGAAATCTGTAGATTGTTTTGGGTAGTATGGACATTTTAACAATATTGGGTCTTCCAATTCATGAACACATGATGCCTTCTTATTTTTGTCTTTATTTCATCAATGGTTTATAGTTTTCACTGTATATCTTTCACCTCCTTGGTTAAGTTTATTTCGAAGTATTTTATTATTTTGATGCTATTGTAAAAGGAATTTTCTTAATTTTCTTTTCAGATTCCTTGTTAGCACATAGAAACACAACTGATTTTTTTCTGTTTTTATCTTGTATCCTGAAATTGTGCTGAGTTCATTTATTGTAAGAAATGTTCTGGAATCTTTAAGGTTTTCTACACATAAGATCATACCATCTGTGAACAGAGATAATTTTACTTCTTTTTTTCCCCCAATTTGAAGGTCTTTCATTTCTTTTTCTTGTCTAATTGTTTCAACTAGAACTTGCAATATTATGTTGAATAGAAGTGGCAAATGCAGACATCCCTCTATTTTTCCTGATCTTAGAGGGAAAGCTTTCAGTCTTTTACCATTGAGTATGACATTAGTTGTGGGCTTTTCATATATAGCCTTTATTATGTTGAGGAAGTTTTCTCTTTTTTTGAGATAGGGTCTCACTTTGTCTTCCAGGCTGGACTGCAGTGGTACAATCACAGCTCACTGCAGCATCAACCTCCCAGGCTTGAGTGATCGTTCCACCTCAGCCTCCCAAGTAGGTGGGACTACAGGCGTGTGCCACCATGCCAAACCTGGCTAATTTTAAAAATTTTTTGTAGAGACCGGGTCTCACTATGTTGCCCAGGCTGGTCTTGAAATCCTGGACTCAAGCAATCCTCCCATCTTGACCTCCCAAAGTGCTAGGTTTACAGATATAAGCCACCACCACCAGCTGACGTATTCTTCTATTTCTAATCTGTTGATTGCTTTTATTATGAAGCGGAGTTGAATTTTGTCAAATGCTTTTTCTATATCCATTGAAATGATAATATGGGTTTTTTTTCATTGTGTTAACATAGTATAATATATTGATTGATTTTCATATGTTGAACCATCCTTGTACTCCAGAAATAAATCCCACTTGGTCATGGTATATAATCATTTTAATATGCTGCTGAATTTAGTTTGCTAGTATTTTCTTGAGGATTTTTGCATCAATATTTATAAGAGATATTAGGTTTTTTTTTTTCTTGTAGTGTCTTTGTCTGGCTTTGATGTCAGAGTAATGCTGGCCTCATAGAATGAGTTAGAAAGTGTTACTCCTCTTGAATTTCTTGGAAGAGTTTAAGAAGGACTGGAGTTAGTTCTTCTTGTAATTCATAGAATTCACCAGTGAAACCATCTCATCCAGGCATGTTTTTAGTGGGAGGCTTTTGACTACTGAGTCAATCTCCGAACTAGTTGTGGGTTTATTTAGATTTTCTGTTTCTTCATCATTCAGTCTTGGCAGGTCGTGTCTTTCTACAAATTTGTTCATTTCATCCAGGTTATCCAATTTGTTGGCATACAGATGTTCACAGTACTCTCTTATAATCCTTTTTATCTTTCTAAAATCATTACTAATGTCCCGGTTTCATTTCTGATTTTAGTAATTTTAAAATATTTTTCTGCCTTCTGCAAACAAATATTTTTTTTATATTATACTTTAAGTTCTAGGGTGCATATGCACAACGTGCAGGTTACATATGTATACATGTGCCGTGTTGGTTTGCTGCACCCATTAACTCATCATTTACATTAGGTATTTCTCCTAATGCTATCCCTCCCCCATCCCCCCACCCCACAACGGGCCCCAGTGTGTGATGTTGCAAACACATAATTTCTTTTTGAGACAGAGTGTGCTCTGTTGCCCAGGCTGGAGTGCAGTGGCGTGATCATAGCTCACTGCAACCTCAACTTCCCAGGCTCAAATGATCCTTCCACCTTACTGTCCCAAGTAATTGGGACTACAGGTGCACAACACCATGCCCTGCTATTTAAAAAAATTTTTTTGTAGAGACAGAGTCTCACTATGTTGCCCAGACTGCTCTCAAACTCCTGGGCTAAAGTGATCCTCCTGCCTCAGCCTCCCAAAGTGCTGGGATTACAGGCATGAGACACTGCACCCAGCCCCAACATATAATTTTTACCAAATTTTTTTCTTAGTTAATCTAGCTAAAGGTTTGTCAATTTTGCTGATCTTTTTGAAGAATCAAATTATGGTTTGTCATTCTTCTCTACTGTTTTTCTATTCTCTACTTTATTTATTGCTGTTTTAAACTTTATTGATTATTTTCTTATGCTAGCGTTAGGGTTCTTCTTTTTCTATTTCCTTAAGGTATAAAGTTGGGTTGTTGATTTGAGACCATTATTCCTTTTTAATGTAAGCATTTAGTTATAAATTTCTCTTTTAGCATTGCTTTTGCTGCGTTCCAAAATTTTTGGCATGTTGTATTTCATTTTCATTTGTCTCAAGATATGCTCTCTCTTGTGATTTCTTATTTGACACATTGGTTATTTAAGAGCGTGTTTTTTAATATCCATGTATTCATGAATTTTCCAGTTTTCCTTCTGCTGATTTCTATTTTCATTCCATTGTGATCAGAAAAGACACTCTGTCTGATTTCAGTCCTTTAAACTTTATTAAGGCTTGTTTTGTGGCCTAACATATGGTCTATCCTGGAAAATACTCCAAGTATATTTGAGAAAAATGTGTATTCTGCTGTTGTTGTGTGGAGTGTTCTACATATGTCTGTTATATCCAGTTGGTTTGTAGTGTTTTTCAAGTTCTCTCATTACTTGTTGATCTTCTGTTTGGTTGTTCTATCCATTATTTAAAGTGGGATATTTGGGGTATTGAAATATCCAACTTTCATTGTAGAGTTGTCTATTTCTCCCTTCAGTTCTGTCAATGTTTGCTTCATATATTTTTGAGCTCTGGTGTTTGGTACATACATGTTTATAATTGTTATTTCTTCTTCATGAATTAACCTTCTAAACAACATATAATGTCCTTTTTTTATCTCTTATAATAGTTTTTGACTTAAATTCCATTTTGTCTGATGTTAATAGAGCCACTTCTGCTCTCTTCTGGTTACTATTTGCATGGAGTATCTTCTTTCAGCCTTTCATTTTCAGTCTATTTGGGTCCTTATGTCTAAAGTGAGTCTCTTGTTGGCAATATATAGTTAGATCATGTTTTTTAAAAACCTGTTCTGTTTTCCATACGTCTCAGAGCTTTCTTTGTCCCTCATTCCCTTCATTACTGCCTTTTTCGTGTGTCTATGTAATTTTTTGTAATGACATATCTTGATTCCCTTCCCATTTCCTTTTGTGTGTATTCTATAAATATTTCATCTGTGGTTACCATGAGACTACATATAATACGGTAATGTTATAAAAATTTACTTTGAGTTGATACGCACTTAACCTAACTTGCATACAAAAACTCTATTCCTATACAGCTCTATCCCCTCATACTGTTCATGTTATTGATATCACAAATTATATCTTTATAGATTGTGTACCCACTAGCATAAATTTATAATTTTTTGCAAGTGTCTTTTACATTCCATAGAAAATGTAAAGTGGAGTTACTAACCAAAATTACAATAAAAAATGACTTTTCATATTTGCCCATGTATTTGCCTTTATTGGAGATCTTTATATCTTCATGTGGCTATGAGTAACTGTCTAACATCCTTTTATTTCATTCTGAAGGAGTCCCTTAAGCATTTCTTATAGCGAAGTTCTAGTGGTAATGAACTTTTTAAGCTTTTGTTTATCTGAGAATATCCACTAAGTTCATTATTCTTAAATAACTCTTCAACAAGGGGATTACATAGATAAAATTCTATATCAAATAGATATATTTTTATAGATACATTTTTTTATATCTAGATAAAATTCTAAATAAAAATTCCTGATGGGGATTGCTGGCAAGATGGCTGAATAGGAACAGCTCCGGTCTGCAGCTCTCAGCGAGATCGATGCACAAGGCAGGTGATTTCTGCATTTCCAACTGAGGTACCCGGTTCATCTCATTGGGACTGGTTGGACAGTGGGTGCAGCCCACAGAGGGCAAGCCGAAGCAGGCTGGGGTGCCACCTCACGTGGGAAGCACAAGGGGTTGGGAAAGTTTCTCCCCTACCCAAGGGAAGCCGTGAGGGACTAAGCCTGAGGAACTCCAGCACAGATACTATGCTTGTCCCACGGTCTTCGCAACCCACAAATGAGGATAATCCCTCCCGTGCCCACCCCACCAGGGCCCTGGGTTTCAAGCACAAAACTGGGCGGCCATTTGGGCAGACACCCAACTAGCTGCAGGAGTTTTTTCCATACCCCAGTGGCACCCCAGCGAGACATAACCGTTCATTCCCCTGGAAAGGGGTACTGAAGCTAGGGAGCCAAGTGGTCTGGCTTGGCAGGGCCCACCCCCACAGAGCCCAGCAAACTAAGATCCACTGGCTTGAAATTCCCACTGCCAGCACAGCAGCAGTCTGAGATCAACCCAGGGAATTCAAACTTGGTGGGGGAAGGCGTGTCCGCCATTGCTGAGGCTTGAGTAGGTGGCTTTATGTTCACAGTGTAAACAAAGCCACTGGGAAGTTCAAACTGGGTGAAGTCCACTGCAGCTCGGCAAGGCTGCTGTGGCCAGACTGCCAGATTTCTCTTCTCTGGGCAGGGCCTCTGTGAAAAAAAGGCAGCAGCCCCATTCAGGGACTTATAGATAAAACTCCCAGGCTGGGTGCGGTGGCTCACACCTGTAATCCCAGCACTTTGGGAGGCCGAGGTGGGCGGATCATGAGGTCAGGAGATCGAGACCATCCTGGCTAACACAGTGAAACCCCATCTCTACTAAAAAATACAAAAAATTAGCCGGGTGTGGTGGTGGGCACCTGTAGTCCCAGTTACTTGGGAAGCTGAGGCAGGAGAATGGCATGAACCTGCGAGGCAGAGCTTGCAGTGAGCCAAGATGGTGCCACTGCACTCCAGCCTGGGCAACAGAGCGAGACTCCATCAAAAAAAAAAAAAAAACAAAAAAACCTCCCATCTCCCTGGGACAAAGCACCTGGGGAAAGGGGTGGCTGTGGGCAAAGCTTCAGCAGACTTAAACGTACCTGCCTGACAGCTCTGAAGAGAGCAACAGACCTCCCAGCACAGCATTCGAGCTCTGCTAAGGGTCAGACTGCCTCCTCAAGTGGGTCGCTGACCCCCATGTATCCTGACTGGGAGACACCTCCCAGTAGGGGCCAACAGATACCTCACACAGGAGAGCTCTGGTTGGCATCTGGCAGGTGCCCCTCTGCGATGAAGCTTCCAGATGAAAGATCAGGCAGCAATCATTGCTGTTCTGCAGCCTCCACTGGCGATACCCAGGCAAACAGGGTCAGGAGTGGACCTCCAGAAAACTCCAGCAAACTGGCAGTAGAAGGGACTGACTGTCAGAAGGAAAACTAACAAACAGAAAGGAATAGCACATCCACTCAAAGACCCTATCCAAAGGTCACCAACCTCAAAGACCAAAGGTAGATAAATCCACAAAGATTGGGAGAAACCAGCAGAAAAAGGCTGAAAATTCCAAAAACCAGAATGCTTCTTCTCCTCCAAAGGATCACAACTCTTCACCAGCAAAGGAACAAAACTGGACGGAGAATGAGTTTGACAAATTGACAGAAGTAGGCTTCAGAAGGTAGGTAATAACAAACTCCTCTAAGCTAAAGGTGCATGTTCTAAACCAAAGCAAGGAAGCTAAAAACCTAGAAAAAAGGCTAGAGGAATTGCTAACTAGAATAAGCAGTTCAGAGAAGAACATGAATGACCTGATGGAGCTGAAAAACACAGGACGAAAACTTCGTGAAGCATACACAAGTTTCAATAGCCAAATCAATCAAGCAGAAGAAAGGATATCAGTGATTGAAGATCAACTTGATGAAATAAAGACAGAAGACAAGATTAGAGAAAAAAGAATAAAAAGGAATGAACAAAGCCTCCAAGAAATACGGGACTATGTAAAAAGACCAAACCTAAGTTTGATTGGTGTACATGAAAGAGACGAGGAGAATGGAACCAAATTGGAAAACACTCTTCAGGATATTACCTAGGAGAACTTCCCCAACTTAGCAAGACAGGCCAATATTCAAATTCAGGAAATAGAACACCACAAAGATACTCCTCGAGAAGAGCAAACCCAAGACATAATCGTCAGATTCACCAAGGTTGAAATGAAGGAAAAAATGTTAAGGGCAGCCAGAGAGAAAGGTCGGGGTATCCATAAAGGGAAGCCCATCAGACTAACAGTGGATCTCTCTGCAGAAACCCTACAAGCCAGAAGAGAGTGAGGGCTAATATTCAACATTCTTAAAGAAAAGAATTTTCAACCCAGAATTTCATATCCAGCCAAACTAAGCTTCACAAGCGAAGGAGAAATAAAATCCTTTACAGACAAGCACATGAGAGATTTTGTTACCACCAGGCCTGCCTTACAAGAGCTCCTAAAGGAAGCACTAAACATGGAAAGAAAAAACCAGTACCAGACACTGCAAAAACATACCAAATTGTAAAGAACATTGACACTATGAAGAAACTGCATCAACTAACTGGCAAAACAACCAGCTAGCATCATAACGACAGTATCAAATTCACACATAATAATATTAACCTTAAATGTAAATGGGCTAAATGCCCCAATTAAAAGACACTGACTGGCAAACTGGATAAAGAGTCAAGACCTATCGGTGTGCTGTATTCAGGAGACCCATCTCACATGCAAAGACACACATAGACTCAAAATAAAGGGATGGAGGAATATTTACCAAGCAAATGGAAAGCAAAACAAAACAAAACAAAACAAAAAACAAAAACATTAGTTGCAATCCTAATTTCTGATAAAAGAGACTTTAAACCAAAAAAGATCAAAAAGACAAAGAACAGAATTACATAATGCTAAAGGGATCAATGCAGCAAGAAGAGCTAACTATCATAAATGTATATGCACCCAATACAGGAGCACCCATATTCAAAAAGCAAGTTCTTAGAGACCTACAAAGAGACTTACGCTCCCACACAATTACAGTGGGAGACTTTAACACCCCACTGTCAATATTAGACAGATCAACAAGACAGAAAATTAACAAGGATATTCTGGACTTGAACTCAGCTCTGGACCAAATGGACCTAATAGACATCCACAGAACTCTCCACCTCAAATCAACAGAATATACATTCTTCTCAGCACCTCATCGCACTTATTCTAAAACTGACCACATAATTGGAAGTAAAATACTCCTCAGCAAATGCAAAAGAACAGAAATCATAACAAACAGTCTCTCAGATCACAGTGCAATCAAATTAGAACTCAGGATTAAGAAACTCACTCAAAACAGCACAACTACATGGAAACTGAACAACCTGCTCCTGAATGACTACTGGGTAAATAACAAAATTAAGGCAGAAATAAAGATGTTCTTTGAAACCAATGAGAACGAAGACACAACGAACCAGAATCTGTGGGACACATTTAAAGCAGTGTGTAGAGGGAAATTTACGGCACTAAATGCCCACAAGAGAAAGCAGGAAACATCTAAAATGGACACCCTAACATCACAATTAAAAGAACTAGAGAAGCAAGAGCAAACAAATTCAAAATCTAGCAGAAGACAAGAAATAACTAAGATCAGAGCAGAACTGAAAGAGATAGAGACACGAAAAACCCTTCAAAAAAAATTAATGAATCCAGGAGCTGGTTTTTTGAAAAGATCAACAAAAGAGATAGACCACTAGCCAGACTAATAAAGAAGAAAAGAGAGAAGAATCAAATAGATGCAATAAAAAATGATATAGGGGATATCACCACTGATCACACAGAAATACAAACTACCATCAGAGAATACTATAAACACTTCTACACAAATAAGCTAGAAAATCTACAAGAAATGGATAAATTCCTGGAAACATACACCCTTCCAAGTGTAAACCAGGAAGAAATCGAATCCCTGAATAAACCAATAACAAGTTCTGAAATTGAGGCAGTAATTAATAGCCTACCAACCAAAAAAAGTTCAGGACCAGACGGATTCACAGCTGAATTCTACCAGGGGTACAAAGAAGAGCTGATATCATTCCTTCTGAAACTATTCCAATCAATAGAAAAAGAGGGAATCCTCCCTAACTCATTTTATGAGGCCAACATCATCCTGATTCCAAAACCTGGCAGAGACACAACAAAAAAAGAAAATTTCAGGCTAATATCCTTGAAGAACATCGATGTGAATATCCTCAATAAAATACTGGCAAGCCAAATTCAGTAGCACATCAAAAAGCTTATCCAACACAATCAAGTCGGCTTCATCCCTGGGATGCAAGGCTTGTTCAACATATGCAAATCAATAAACGTAATCCATCACATAAACAGAACCAATGACAAAACCACATGATTATCTCAATAGATGCAGAAAAGGCCTTAGACAAAATTCAACACCCCTTCATGATAAAAACTCTCAATAAAGTAGGTATCGATGGAACATATCTCAAAATAATAAGAGCTATTTATGACAAACCCATAGCCAATATCATACTGAATGGGCAAAAACTGGAAGCATTCCCTTTGAAAACTGGCACAAGACAAGGATGCCCTCTCTCACCACTCCTATTCAACATAGTGTTGGAAGTTCTGACCAGGGCAGTCAGGGAATAGAAAGAAATAAAGGTATTCAAATAGGAAGAGAGGAAGTCAAATTGTCTCTGTTTGCAGAGGGCATGATTGTATGTTTAAAAAACCCCATCATCTCATCCCAAAATCTCCTTAAGCTGATAAGCAACTTCAGCAAAGTCTCGGGATACAAAATCAATGTGGAAAAATTACAAGCATTCTTACACACCAATAACAGAAAAACAGAGAGCCAAATCATGAGTGAACTCCCATTCACAATTGCTACAAAGAGAATAAAATACCTAGGAATACAATTTACAAGGGACATGAAGGACCTCTTCAAGGAGAACTACAAACCACTGCTCAAGGAAATCAGAGAGGACACAAACAAATGGAAAAACATTCCATGCTCATGGATAGGAAGAATCAATATCGTGAAAATGGCCATACTGCCCAAAGTAATTTGTAGATTCAATGTTATCCTCATCAAGCTACCATTGACTTTCTTCACAGAATTGGAAAAAACTACTTAAACTTCATATGGAACCAAAAAAGAGCCCGCATAGCCAAGAAAATCCTGGGCAAGAAGAACAAAGCTGGAGGCATCATGCTACCTGACTTCAAACTATACTACAAGGCTACAGTAACCAAAACAGCATGGTACTGGTACCAAAACAGATATATAGACCAATGGAACAGAACAGAGGCCTTGGAAATAAAATCACACATCTACAACCATCTGATCTTTGAGAAACCTGACACAAACAAGCAATGGGGAAAAGATTCCCTATATAATAAATGGTGTTGGGAAAACTGGCTAGCCATATGCAGAAAACTGAAACTGGACCCCTTCCTTATACCTTATACAAAAATCAACTCAAGATAGCTCATATTCTTAAACGTAAGACCTAGGACCATAAAAATCCTAGAAGAAAACCTGGGCAATACCATTCAGGACATAGGCATATACAAAGACTTCATATCTAAAACAACAAAAGCAATGGCAATAAAAGCCAAAATTGACACATGGGATCTAATTAAACTAAAGAGCTTCTGCACAGCAAAAGAAACTATCATCAGAGTCATCGGGGGACCTGCCCCGATAATCACGTAGGTTCTTTTCTATTTTTCCTAAGCGTCGGCTGGCTTGAGAAATAAAGGGACAGAGTACAAAAGAGAGAAATTTTAAAGCTGGGCATCCGGGGGAGACATCACACGTTGGTAGGATCCGTGATGCCCCACAAGCCACGAAAACCAGCAAGTTTTTATTAGAGATTTTCAAAAGGGGAGGGAGTGTGCGAATAGATGTGGGTGACAGACATCAAGTACTTAACAGGGTAATAGAATATCACAAAGCAAGTGGAGGCGGGGCGAGATCACAGGACCACAGGACTGAGGTGAAATTAAAATTGCTAATGAAGTTTCAGGCACCATGGTCATTGATAACATCTTATCAGGAGACAGGGTTTTGAGATCAACCAGTCTGACCAAAATTTATTGGGCAGGAATTTCCTCTTCCTAATAAGCCTGGGAGCGCTATGGGAGACTGGAGTCTATTTCATCTCTGCAGCCTCGACCATAAGAGACAGGCTACGCCCAGGGGGCCCAGTTCAGAGACCTACCTGCAGGTGCACATTCTCTTTCTCAGGGATGTTTCATGCTGAGAAAAAGAATTCAGCGATATTTCTCCCATTTGCTTTTGAAAGAAGAGAAATATGGCTCTGTTCTGCCCAGCTCACCGGCGGTCAGAGTTTAAGGTTATCTCTCTTGTTTCCTAAACATTGCTGTTATCTTGTTCTTTTTTCAAAGTGCCCAGAGTTCATATTGTTTAAACACACATGCTGTACAATTTGTGCAGTTAATGCAATTATTACAGGGTCCTGAGGTGATATACATCCTCCTCGGCTGACAGGATTAAGAGATTAAAGTAAAGACAGGCATAGGAAATCACAAGGGTATTGATTGGGGAAGTGATAAGTGTCCATGAAATCTTTACCATTTATGTTTAGAGATTGCAGTAAAGACAGGCATAAGAAATTATAAAAGTATTAATTTGGGGAACCAATAAATGTCCATAAAATCTTCACAATCCATGTTCTTCTGCCATGGCTTCAGCCGGTCCCTCCGTTTAGGGTCCCTGACTTCCCCCAACAAGGGTAAACAGGCAACCTACAGAATTCTCCCTACAGGGAGAAAATTTTTCCAATCTATCCATCTGACAAAGGGCTACTATCCAGAATCTACAAAGAACTTAAACAAATTTACAAGAAAAAAACCAAACAACCCTATCAAAAAGTGGGCAAATGATATGAACAGACACTTCTCAAAAGAAGACATGTATGCAGCCAACAAACATATGAAAAAATGCTCATCATCACTGGTCATTAGAGAAATGCAAATCAAAACCACGAGATACCATCTCACAGCAGTTAGAATGGCGATCATTAAAAAGCCAGGAAACAATAGATGCTGGAAAGGATGTGGAGAAATAGGAACACTTTTACACTGTTGGTGGGAATGTAAATTAGTTCAACCATTGTGGAAGACAGTGTGGCAATTCCTCAAGGATCTAGAACTAGAAATACCATTTGACCCAGCAATCCCATTATTGGGTATATACCCAAAGGATTATAAATCATTCCACTATAAAGACACATGCACATGTATGTTTATTGCAGCACTATTCACAATAGCAAAGACTTGGAACCAACAAAAATGCCCATCAATAATAGACTGGATAAAGAAAATGTGGCACATATACACCATGGAATACTATGCCGCCATAAAAAAGGATGAGTTCATGTCCTTTTCAGGGACACGGATGAAACTGGAAACCATCATTCTCAGCAAACTATCACAAGAACAGAAAACCAAACACCGCATGTTCTCACTCATAAGTGGGAGTTGAACAATGAGAACACATGGACATTGGGAAGGGAACATCACACACTGGGGCCTGTTAGGGGGTGAGGGGCTAGGGGAGTGATAACATTAGGAGAAATACCTAATGTAGGTGACGGGTTGATGGGTGCAGCAAACCATCATGGCACATGTATACCTATGTAACAAAACTGCACGTTCTGCACATGTACCCCGGAACTTAAAGCAAAAACAAACAAACAAACAAAACAAACCAACAAAAATTCCTGATAAAATCTGTGGTGGATACCAAAATAGTTCAAGTATGGTCTTACCTTTCTTACAGTGCAGATCAATTGATCATTAAAAATGGCCCCAAAGTATCTCATCTGTAGTTGTCCCTTGGGTGAGCCCTTTAAAATTGTTTTATCAGACACAGGATCACAGGATTTTAGGGCTGGAAGGGATGCTAGAGATTTCCACAAAGATATTATTGAAATAAAGTTAAGTATCTATTATTTGCCCTCTTAAAAATACTGTCTCAAGAGAACCCTGAACATTACACTTACACCAAAGCATGCTTCCTTATTTGAACATTTGAAAGATATTCTAAATATGTGGGGTTCTTGGATTTGTGCCCAGGATCTTGTCTTTTAGGATAGAAGTTTAGGATAAGTGACACTTCCAATTATAATTTGTCACTGAAGTGGGCCTCTCTAACTCATTTCAATAATAGAGTAGTTACTTCGGGTAGGCAGCCTGGGGGTTTCACAAAAGGCTGAAAATGTGCATAGCTGATAATTAAAGTCCTTGTCCATCTGACCTAAATCTTTCTTTGGCTTTTGTGAGATTTTTTTCCCTGTACAGGTAGAATCCTATTCTAACAAGCTTCACAAGACACAAAAATTGCTAGTTTTATCCTAATCTCCATAAGAGGGAAACCTACTGTTACAGGGTATAGAGAAAAGCAAACTATTTGTGGTTTTTATTTTTTTGACATGAAGCAAATGTTTATTATTGTACTTTATTTGCAAACAGTACATTTCGCTGGGGATGCTGGGGGTGGGGAGGGTATGTATGTAAGGAAATGGTTTTCCTAGCTGGAGCAAAACTGTTTGAAAAAAAACACAGACTTGTCTTTCTTCTAAGTGACTGTACAGAATCCCTTGAAATTCTCAAATATCACTGTAGTATGTGATTTTCCTCATAAAAGCTGTGTTTTGTGTAAAAGAATCATCACCTTCCTAGACTCCCTTCATTTCTGCTCACTTTCATTGCCAGCACTAGCAGTTGGCTTTCTTTTCAGTTGGCATTTTTTACACTAGGGTGGAAGGCAAAATTATTTTGTCTTCATAGGAGTTCCGGCTTTAAGCTGTAGACACTGAATGATTGGCTAGGCTCAGCGAGTATAGGTCAACAGGTGTCTCACTCTGTATATCAGCCTGGTAGGGAAGGAAGTTCAAATTCGTGCCTCAGCAAAACTGCAAATCACTACATGATGTGGACATCCTGGATTTCTCCTAAAGGGAGAGATCTTAAATGTTGTCTGTGAATGCCAAAGACACATTATATTTGAAAATACTTAAATGTTTTCAAAAAGCTGAATTGACATTTTATGAGAATTTAGAAGGAAAAACTGTTTTAGTGAAGGCACTTGCTTTAGAAATTAGAGACATCTTAGCTAAAGCTGTATGTATCAGAGCAGTAAAGCCAACAGATCTTGGCTTTAGTCAATAGGTGGTAAGGATAGGGTAGTGTGACCGATATTGCAAGCCACATTGTTAAAAACTGTAGACAGCTTTAGTGGGTATTGGATAGGTCCTATCTTTTACAAAGTTCTCAAACTACCTATTTCCAATGTCAATTTTAGCTCTGAGCTCACTATCTCTCTAAAACTCTATACCTGTCATCATTCTTAGTGGAGTTTTTTGGTTTTATTTATTTATTTATGTATTTATTTATTTATTTATTGTAAGACACTCAGTCACCCAGGGTAGAGTGTGGTGGCACAATCTTGGCTCAATGCAGCCTTGACCTCCCAGGCTCAAGTGATCCTCTTGCCTCAGCCTCCCAAGTAGCTGGGACTACAAGCATCCACCACCACACCTGACTAATTTAAAAAAAAAAAAATTTTGTAGAGACAGGGTTTTGCTATGTTGCCCAGACTGGTCGCAAACTCCTGAGCTCAAATAATCCTCCCACCTTGGCCTCCCAAAGTGTTGGGATTACTGGCCACCACACCCGGTCCATTCTTAGTGGATTTAATATACACATATAGATGATCCTTCCTATACCCTGACCTCTCAATTCCTTGAACCCCTCCCTACCAATTATCTTGTCCTCCATGCTGCTTTGGTCTCTCACCCCAGAATCTCATTACCAACACACCCACCAGAAACTCAATTTCAAACCTCCCACTCTGGGCACCATCTCCTAACTCTCCAGCTCACTTGCCTTAGAATCTCAACTCCAACAATCCCTCAACTTCACAGGGCCCTCAAGTGTAGGGATCTTACCATCTTTTCACTGATTTTCAGCCCCTCAAATCTTCACTTCCCTTCTGTCATTAAATTATATGGTTTATCTTATAGCATTCCCTTGCTTACACACTCTATTCCCTTATCTCTATCTTCCTTTGTTATTCTCACCTGACAAAGTCCCAGCTTGGTTAAATCCTCCTCTCCATCAGCACTGGATCTGCACCTGTGCAACCCATTGGACCTGGAGAAAAGCATCAAATTCTGCTGACTGCTCCCACTTTACCTTCCAGACCGCAAACCTCCAGTGGACCCAGGGTGCTTCCCAGCATCATGCTGTCTTTCCCCAGGCCAGTTACTTTCCCACACTCCCAGATCATGATTTCATACTCTATTAGTCCATTTTCACACTGCTGATAAAGACATACCCAAGACTGCACAATTTACAAAAGAAAGAGGTTTAATGGACTTACAGTTCCACGTGGCTGGGGAGGCCTCACAATCATGGCAGAAGGTGAAAGGCATGTCTCATATGGCAGCAGACAAGAGAAAAGAGCTTATGCAGGGAAACTCCCCTTTATAAAACCATCAGATTTCATGACACTTATTCACTATCAAGAGAACAGCATGGGAAAGACCCACCCCTATGATTCAATTACCTTCTACCGGGTCCCTCCCAAAACACATAGGAACTGTGGGAGCTACAATTCAAGATGAGATTTGGGTGAGGACACAGCCAAACCATATCACATATCTTCTCTGTTCTCAAACTTATTACTCATCCTTACTATTTTCATTCTCTGATGATTGATAACCTTTCTTTCTCTTCTATCAAGAAAATGACAGCAGACAGAAGAGAACTTCAACATGCTACCACCACCAAATCTACAACACTATCTACAGCTTAACTATATTCCCTATCTTCTCTTCTGTTCCTATTGAAACTGCCTTTGCAAAAATTATAAGTGAGAAAATTATGGCAGTGAAAGAGATCTGATTTAACACACCTCCCCCACCCCCATCTTGCCTTTCCCTGAATTATTCCTGAGGATTTTGGTCAAGTTAACTTTGAGAGACATTCAGGTTATAGTTTAAATGATAGTAGCCCCTCCCCAAAACTCAACCACCTTTGCAAAGCTAAGGAAAGGCCACCAGACTATCGGGAGGAGAGGAGCCTGATTCTGCTAAGGTGTAGACCTGAATGATTGCCAGCTGTTGCTGCAAATAATATCAGTATTGTAGATGGCCTTTTGAGATACCTTTTCAGGTTTTTGGCCTGTCAGACCCCCATGGCTCCACCTGGACCTGCCAAACCGCTCCTGTTGGCCCCACCCAGGAACGATTCAGCTCAAAAAGGCAACTTTGACCCCCTATTATTTCATCTCCACCCCAACCAATCAGCAGCAAGAACCCATTGCATTGCAACTCCCACCCCTTTCCCCAAACTGCCTTTGAAAAACCCCTACCTATGAGCCTTGGATGGGATTGATTTGAGTACTAACTTCATCTGATACGTGGTGTGGCCAGCCTCGTATCTATTAAACTCTTTCTTTACTACAATGCCATGGTCTGTTTTTGTGCAGTGAGTAAGAAGAGCTCATCAGGGGGTTACACTATAAGTGAGCTGTGTTCCTATTCGTGACCACTCTTGTGTGCTAACACATAACACACTTGTGTACTGGATCCCTTCCCAACTCACATACACCATGTCAGTAGGGCAGAATTTTTACCACATCTCTCGTGACTTGATATTTTCCCTCTCCACTGGATTATCCCATGAGTACACAATCCTGCTATTGTTTCTCCTACCTAATATGCCCCCTGGTAGAGTAAATGATAGATGGAGGATGGGAAGGATGAAGAGGCCAAAATATACTTTAAGAAGCTTTTGCACAGTTAAGATGGAAAATGAGGTGGGTTGAATTAAGACAGTGGAAATGGGGACTGAATGGGGAAGATAGATTCAGGAGACATTTCAGTGAGTCAATCGATAGAATTTGTGGTTCCATTATTTGGGGGTAGCAAGAGAATTGGAGGGAGAAGAGGCAGAGCACTGAGATGACTCTGCCTAGGTGAAATACAAATAGAAATGTCATCAACTAAGAAATGGGAAAATTGAGTTGAGTCTGGGGCTTGTGTTAGTTTGCTAGGGCTGCCATAACAAAGTACCACAGACTGTGTGGCTTATATAACAGAAATTTACTTTCTTGCAGTTCTGGAGGCTCAGTCTGAGATCAAGGTTTTCAGTGGGTTTGGTTTCTTCTGAGACCTCTTTCCTTGGCTTGTAGTTGGCTGTCTTCTCCCTGTGTCTTCACATGGTCTTCCCTGTGTGTGTGTGTGTGTGTCTGTGTCCTCATCTCCTCTTCATATAAGGACATCAGTCATATTCAATTAGGGCCCACCCATGTGAACTCATTTTATTTTAACCACCTCTACAATGACTCTATCTCCAAATCCAGCCACATTCTAAGGTACGAGGGGTTAGGACTTCAACATATGAATTTTGAGGCGGCACAACTCAACCCACAACAGGTTTTATATTGGTTGGGATGTTTGTGGGACATCCAGTTGAGATCTCTTATGGCAAATGGGCTAAGGCTTGTGTTGGGAGTCTTCCCCAAAGAGTAAACAGCAGCATCAAGAGAAAGACTACAGAAGAAGAGAAAAGGGCCAAGGATTGAAACTTGTGGAATGCTTGTATTTGATTGGCACTTAGAGATGAAGCATAGGACGTAGCAATTTTAAAAGGGTATCAGAGACCAGCTAATGCAAGTAGGAGTAGACTTAACTTCTAAAAGTTAGTAATGGTACATTTTAATAGCTTCCATGTAAGCCCCCTCCATGCCATCTCTCAGACTCTGCTATTTCCATCTCAATTATTAAATGTTGGCAGCACTATTTTTTCCCTTCTCTATCACTACCACCCCACCAAATTGCTGAATAGGGCTACATTCCTAAATTGATTTAGTTCTATTTAAAGAGTATATTATGCAGCTAAATGAAAAACTCACTATAGGTGCTATTTGAAACTCAAAAAGGTGCCATTTGAATACCACTGGCAGATTAATATTCATGACCCACACATACATACACACACACATACCTGGTTATAATACCCTCATACAGTTCTTGGAGGGGCTCTGAAAGATGTGTGGCCTTTGCTACTGGCAGGCCACTGACAAATAACCCTGTCTTTGTCTCCAGTGGGTCCATGGCAGCACTCAGAGAGCTGAAGAGTACAGGGACAGAAAATGTTTTCACACTCATCACTATATTAGTTCCACTTAATAAATATGTATTCAGCAAGGGTGTGCTTTGTGATAATTTTACCTGGACTGCCACTCAGTGGCCATTTGGAGAAATACCCAGAAGAGAGATGCCACTTCCGTAAACTCTCCAGTGCTTTCTAGGGAGGGCCAAATGCAAATGCTTGAACTATATTTTACATTCTTTGTTTTTTTAAGTGTGCTGAAATCCATGTTAGTGTTACTAAATTTTAAGCAGTAACAGTCAAGGATAGGATTTAACATTCTCATCATGAGTATTTTCCAAGGTTCAGAAGGAACTTGAAGGATTCTTCTGCAAGATTTTTCTCTCTCAAGATCCCCAAAACTCCCCTCCCTGTCATTCCACTGTGGGTTCCTTTCTGCCCTTTCCCTGGGGACAATGTTTCAGTGGTGCACTTCCTGTACTCTTATCAGCCCATCTGTAATCTTCCACTCAGCTTTTTCTAAACATGAGGCAAAGGGAGAGTATAAGGAGCATTGGAATCAGGAGTAAGTCATAACAAAGGGAAAAACTGAGTTGCAGAAGACAATTCTAAAAAGATGACTTGAATGAAAACATTTGATGCAAGGGGACAAGTCATGAGGCTATAAGGGAAGAGTGTTCCAAGTAGTCCACTCAGTATGGCTAGAACAGGGATGGGTGGTAAGGGGGCAGTAGCAGGAAATGAGATCAGAGAGTTAACTAGAAGTCAGACCATGGAGAACCTTGTAAAATATAGTAAGGTATCTGGCTTTTACTCTGAGACAAGAAGCCATTGCAAACAATAAAATTATGGATACTGGTTGTAAAATCCACTCTCAGATTTTTGGGAAACTCTTGCAATGAAATAAGCATTAATAGTTTCAATATAAACAAGAAAATATATTTTAAAAAGCTTTCTTGTAATAAGTGAGTTAAAAACATACTTTAAAAAGTTTTCACAAAGGTAAAAATTAAGAGGTTTTCATTTAAGTCATCTTTTTAGAATTGAAAACCTCTTAATTTCTCAGCAAGGTAACATTTCCTTACCACCTCTTTGAAGGGTAGGTGCCCCATCCCCTATATCTCTCTCCTACTTTTTATCCAGAGAACTTTTTTTTTTTTTTTGAGGAGTCTCGCTCTGTCAAGTGAGTGCATGAACATAGCTAGAAATGAAAATGAAGTTTGGGAAAAATATGAAACTATTTTCCTTATATATGGATGTTTTCTTCTCTTTTTGCTTAGGAATATAAAACTATGTGATTTCAATAATCAGATGAATCCTTACCATTCTTTGCCTGGTGAACTCCTATGTAATCTTTAACAAGTCTGACATCTCCCTGACCATCATCTCCCCCAAGATTGAATTAGTCACTTCATCTGTGATCCACTACTACATGTATATGTCTTGGTTTTTGCATTTATCACACTATAGTCCTATGATAATAATTAGTATTATAATTACATTCTAATTCTTACTAGTGGTAATATTAATTTACATGTGAGGTACTCCAGAATCAAAGCTGCCTTATTCATCTCTGCAGCCTCTATGCCTAGTGCAATGCCTGGCACACATGAAGTACTTTAAAAATATTTGGTGAGTGAATGAATAAATCATTAAATAAATGAATTCATGAATTGACAAACAAAGAATTAAATCTTGTTAGTGCCAGGTTCCTATGCACGAGAAACAGCTTCTTAAATATCCAAAGGACTACCATGCTGGATACTGCCTCTTCAGACTTGCAAATATCAATTTCCTGGACCACCCACTGTACTGGTTTATTACATCCTGTTATCACTAGGAAATGTGAATGAATTGTTTTCCCAGTAGCAGGGATAGCTTTGTAAGCAGTAACTGGTAAGTTTTGCTGCTTAGACTATAGTTTAAAAGGAGGCCAGGTTCATGGGCTTGGTTTTCACCCAGGCTGGTTCAGCTAATTCCGTAGTCCGCCCATAGAATGCATCTCCAACTCTAGCCAGGGAACTTGTCAGTGTGAGCCAGTTGTTACAAGAGGCTGTCACATATAAGCCTGGAGAACTTGGTGAAGGCTGTGGATAAAACTGCCCGTCCTGCTGACAGTCTGTCAGGAGTTTCACCTTGGGACAGGACTCCAAGCCCTCCACATTAGGTCTCCTGGCTCCCTGAGAGTGCCAGGTATAAAGAAAGCTGCCTGGGATGACTGTGAGGCTGAGCATCCTTTGGAGCTACTCTCAGCACAGGTAACTGCCACACTCAACTACTTCCACTGCTCTAAAGGGAAGCGCTCAGGCACTATGGATGTGGTGCAGCCACTGGCTACTATGCAGTTTCTTTTGAACAGACCCATCAGTGGCCTCTCTCATCCACCTGACCTGCCTGGCAAATGATAAAGTCTGTCCCGTGGCTATTTCAATATGGTAGAGATGTTGCTGCATTAGAATCTGTCACAGATATAAAGTGTAACATCCCAAAGTTAAATTTGGCTGAAACAAACAGATAAGTTTAAAGGTTTTGAACAGCCTTAAATGATCATGTCCCAGGGATCAGTCCATCCTCAGCAGAAGGTCATATCACTGAGAGAAAAACGAACCCAGTGCCAACCCCAACTGGTAAGGGATACAAAACAAGTAGATTCTGAAAAGAAAATCATTCCCTTAAAGTAGAAAGCACCATAATGCCGATAGCAAACTATTCCTGCGCTATCTTTAGACCAACCAGCAGCAACATGAATAAATAAACTGCTGTGGGATCTTGCCAGCTTATAACAGGGCTTAAGGTCAGTGAAGCTTTGTCAGACCACAATAGCTAGGAAATCAGAAAGGCATGAACTCTTGGAGGAAAGCAACACAGATCCAGTTCCCTATGGCATAAATGTAAAGGATCCAAGCAGAGGAACCCAGTAAAATGTGGGGGTTGTGAAGATGAATGAGAGTCAAGCTCACTTAGGACCACAGTCCCAAACAGCTAAGGTTTGTTTCAAATCACGTCTTCTATACACAACTGAGTGAATAATAACTGGAACCTGTAAACATCAGGGGCCGAACCCAAGAGAGAATAGACTACCCTGTAACAATATATACTAATTAAATTCAACTTGGTGAGGTTTAGTTCTAATATGACTTAATTCATATTGTGTCTTGTTATTGATTTGTGGCCGAAGTGAAGCAAAGCTCTCTTTACAGCTAGCACATTTTGAAGTGCCACCCACAAACAGGAAAACATGCAAATGCGATGTCTTCTAAAGTGCTGCAGTTCCACTATAGCCATTAAAGATGACAAGTATGTGGACTTTGTTGATCTATGGGAATGTGTATGCACAACAATGTTAAGTGAAACAGTGTGTGCACATTGATTACAGCCCTGCAGGAACCCAGTCTGTACATCAGCCAAGATCATAAGTGAACATGGAGCAACACAAATAGAATTGAATATGCATGACATTCTGAGTCCTCTTTTTTTCCAGTAGAGTTGTTTAAGCTCACAATAAAAATAAATGCTACTCAGGAGGCTGAGGTGGGTAGATCTCTTGAGCCCAGGAGTTCGAGGTTACAGTGAGCTATGATCAATGCCACTGCATTCCAGCCTGGGCAACAGAGAGACGCTGTTTCAAAAAAAAAATAGATATATAAATTGAAGGGGTGAAAAATATTGCTGCGCTTCTAAACCTGTGTAGTAGTGAAGCATGTACTGAAATCCAAGTCCATCCACTCCAGAAAGAGAGTAAACAGTGGAAAGATGACATAGTGACACAGCAAACAAAGGGACCTGCTTAGAAACACAATACTGAGGCAGTGATGGGCTAAAGCAGAATTTTAATGATACTGTAGATTAGCTGGATGTTTTCAAGCAGTATGCATTCTGTTTGAACAGTACTCCCTTCCCAACAATTAAGGGAGACTATTTACTTTTCATACACCTGCACTTTGAATCATGTATGTAATTATCAGTTTTTCAAATGGACCTGAGGAAGCATTGCAATTGCTAGAGAAGTGTTAGGCCAAAATTTTAAGGCCTTAGTTTGTCTCTAGAGCAGGGAATAGAGGCCCTCTTAGACAGCCATGAGACCAGAGAGACCTGGAGGGCAGGATACTGCAGCAATGCCAAAAACACCGCCTACCTAGACTCCCTCGCTGGCAGGAGGGGCAATGGCAATGAAGCCTTGGTTTTGCTCCTCACACTGCTGGGACATGTCTGTCCTCTCTGCAAGTAGCTTGGGCAGACATGTGGCTGTGCCTGTGCATGAGCCATATAGCACCTGCTTATCCGTTTTGCTATTGTTTTCCCCCACCTTTTGGCCATTTACCAAAAGCAAACAGGATGGAGAGGAAATGCAGTGACCACGTCTGGATTGTAGCTGGTCCTCCCTATTTCATAGCAGTGGCAGTGCCATATGGAGACTTGCACTGCTTGCATAAGTTGGGATAGCAATAAGTAAGGTCTATGTGGTTTCTCCAGGGCAGGACTTGCCAGATTCTCTAAGCACTTTATCTGAGGGTTGGATTTCGTCAGTTCAATGGAGAGTTTAGGGTGGCGTGGGCTAAGTTCATGTCAAATCTACATACCCTCCCCTTGTTTGTGGCTTAGATAATTTCTGCCATTATTTTCTTCCTACTTTTCCCAATTCTCCAAGGTCACTGTGCTCTGCATCAGAGAGAAGCACTGAAGCACACACACCACTAATAAATAGTCTCCTAGCATCATTGTGTAGTAGGTGTTAAGTACATATCTCATAGGCAACTGTAAAATTGCCCAGAAGAGTTGCTGCACATCTTCCCAGAGCAGTGTTTGTAGCCTTTGTAAACTTACAGGATAAATTAGAGGCATCTTCTCTGACCAGCAATGCAGGGAGAGGGGACAAGATTGGGATTTCTGGCATCTTTAGGGGAAAAAGGAAACCAATGTAATATCTCTGCCAAGGCTCTCAATTATGGCTTTATACAACAATGTTCTCAGAAATAAAACTCCTCTCCATTGACTGATCAACACAGCATAAAAATCCATCCAGGGAGGTCCCTGATATAATGCCTGATGGTACTGACAGGCAAAGCCTGACTGTGTGACACTCCCACATTCAGTCTCATCATCATCGGCGAATATGAGCGGGGAGGAGGGAGCCTCAGCCGAGGTCTTTATTTTATAGACTGTGACTTCAGTGAGTGGCTGACCTGCACTAATCCAAAGACAGAAATAAAAACCAAAAAGGAAACACAGTCACTTGTAATGCATGTCGATAAAATGCTCATTGAAGCCTCTGAACCAGATGACAATGTGATAGACCCTGTCCAAGGGGACAAAGGCAGGAGAAATGGCCTAGAATAATCATCTGACTGGCAGCACAGAGCCAGGCTGTTGCAGAAACCAGTCCTGACATTTACCCTGGCACACCTGTTGATGTTGAAGTGAGAATGCTTTGTTCTATTTTGCTGACATGGAGGCTAGCCCCAGGCCTCCAGGCAGACCTTTGCAAAGGCTCTCTGGATGGAGACTTCCTGCAGGAGACATCACCATAGAAGGTTTTATTTAGGTAGTATAGTATAACCGCTAAGGTTTATTGAGCACTTATGTGCTAACTATGGCAGAAAAGAGAAGGGACATTCAAAACAGGTAAAGAAGGCGAGTTTAATGAGGAAACTGTTTACAAAGCTATGGATGGGGTTAGGGTAACCGGCAACAGATGGTGAACCTAGCATCAGCTGGGAGCTGTTACCACCCCTAGACTGAGGAAGCAAAAGAGTGTGGCCTAGGTCATCTGTGCTTAAAAGAAGCTGTGAATCTCCATCTCGGAAAAAAAAAAAGAAGCTGTGAGTGACTGTGGGGAGAGGGATGCAGCCAAATGCAGCCATGAAATAAGGAGAAAGCCAGGTGAATGAATACCCTGACCTCACTCTTCCAATCTCCCATCTTCATATGGAGAAGCTTAAAACAAAGAGTAAACTAAGGGGATAATCTCTTTCCCCATTTCTTTATCTGATGGGCACCTTCTGGGCCTATGCATGTGGTTCAGAAAGCACTGCTACAGGGCTCAAAACAAATAGCACAGAGGGAGACTTGAGCATCCCCCTCACCCCCACCACCTGGAAACCCTTTAGGTACCAGGTGAGTGGTTTTATTCTGGTTATGTTTACATGGCTTTAAGATGTTTGATTTGATTAAAGAATCACCACCACAATAGAACTGAAAAAATCACATTCTAAGTACTACACACACACACACACACACACACAAACACAAACACAGATGTTAATCGTAAAGTCGAAAACAACCAAAGTGCCCCCAAATAGGGGAGAAATTAAGTAATTTATGGTTCATCAACTTGATGAACAGTCATTAAAATGACGGCCATGAAGACAAATGAAGACTAGGTAACACCATGGAAACTTGGGTTTGGCGAAGAAACACAATATGGAAATTGCACACATTATTATTATATAAGTAGTCAGAATTTGCTTAGCAAAGTAGACTGGAAGGAAATAAACTATCCATCCAACGAATACTTATTGAGTGCCTATTCTGTGCACCGTTCAGAGCTAAGCATTTTACACCTTCTCAAATCCACACACTGATATTATGCGACCCCCATTTTACAGATTAAAAACATGAAGGGGAGAAAGATTGATTTACTAAAGCTAATAAGCGCAGAGCAGAGCTGGGGCTTCAAACTGCTTCACTCTGACTTCAGATCCTGGGCCCCTCCTCTACTGCTCTTTTGCCAAATGATAACAGTGGTTGTGCTGGGGTTAGATAATTCAGAGGCCTTCTTTCCTTTTCCAGATGTTTGTCACAGTTGTATTTACTTTCAGAATTTGACAAATTGTTTGATTAATTAAAACCATAATGAAGATTGCCAAGCAGAACCTCAAAGCAATAAAGAAGGCTTTTTAACAATTCTCAAAAGGAAAAACAATAACACAACAACATCTTCTTCAGAGAAAAGGTAAATTTATTGGCCTTCAGGAAATGAGCAAAAAAGGTAGAAAAATAATTTAAGAAGATGCTGGCTCCAGGCAAGTCCCTCACTCCCCACTGAGAAAGAAACAGATCAAGCTCATCCAAATCAGATAGCCTACAGGAAAGGAAGATGTCTGCCTGAGGATGCATGCCGTTTACTTGTTTACTTAAGTAAGTGATGGTCCCTGGAACCTTGGCAGGGGGATTAGTACTGAAGGTAGCTGTGAGCAAGACCTGCTCATCTACATGGTATAATGTGAAGGTCACTGTATTGGAAATTTTAAAAGCTTCATATTTTCCTGATGCCTCAACATTCCCACAAACAGGCTGTGAGCACCCCACCCAGGTGACCAGTTGCACCAAGGTCATAAAGCTGGTCCCTTCTACAAAGCTCCTCTTCTTGCCGTCCCCTGACTATGACCTTCAAAGGCACAAGTGAAATTCCCTTTTGCTTGTATGCTGCACTTTGACTCCCTATAAAAGCACCTAGCTTTGTTCTCCCTCTCCCCCACCCCCCTACCCCGTCCCCCTTCCACTCCTACCGGCTTGGTTGAGTCCACTCCATTGGTACTCCTCCCATATGGTCCTCTGCATGGCGTGCCTCCCTCTCTAGGACCTGTGAGTATAATAAATGCTTTAATTTCAGATGTCTCTCTGAGTGCAATTTCTATGGCCCTGTTGGAGTGATCCTTAAAGACCCCACAAGGGGGCTTACTCCCCCATTTACAACACAGTCATCAATTCAGCAATTGGTTTCTAAGAATAAGCTTTAAAGTCAGACAGATTTGGGTTTCAACCAGGCTCCAATATTTCACCAGCTGTATGACATTTTGTTCAAGTCTCTTGACCTCTTTGGGCTTTGTTTCTTTCATCTGTCAGTCTCCCTCACAAAGTTGTAGGGATCTTAAGGCTTAATGAGATTATATCTATAAAGTCTTTAGAACAAAGTCTGGCATATACTAAATGCTCAATAAACACTAACATCTCTAATTTCCAAGAAGGTACCCCAGATAGAGAATATTTCCCACTGAAAGAAATTAAATTATTTTACCCCCAAAATATATTTCTTTGACATATTTTGAAAGGGCTGCTGCTTAGCCATCTTGACAAAAGTGGCCTTACAAAGCTTTGTAAGGCCCCTTCTTTCCCCACTTAACACAGCTTCTTAAGAGGGGAAAATTTGTATCTGTAGAGAATCCCCATTAATACAGCCATGCCCCCTCCCCTCTCTATGCCTTGCCCCAGATCCAGGGAGAAATTGAAGGTCTGACCCCTTTAAAAGTCTGAAAAGAAACGGATACGGTTTGGATCTGTGTCCCCACCAATCTCATGTCAAATAGTATTCCCCAGTGTTGGGGGTGAGACCTGGTGGGAGGTGAATGGATCTTGGGGGCGGATTTCTCATGAATGGTTTAGCACTATCACCCGGTACTGCCTTCATGATAGCGAATGAGCAAGTTATCCTGAGACGTGGTGGTTTAAAAGTATGTAGCACCCCCCCAGCCTTGCTCTCTTGCTTCTGCTCTTGCCCTGGGAGATACTTCACTCACCCTTTGCCCTCCACCATGATTGGAAGTTCCCTGAGGCCTCCCCAGAAGCAGAAGCTGCTATGCCTCCTGAACAGCCTATAGAACGGTGAGCCAACTAAATCTCTTTCCTTTGTAAATTACCCCGTCTCAGGTATTTCTTTATAGCAGTGCGAGAACAGACTAATACAGAAATATTTACCATTTATGCTCTCAAGAGAGGCTTCATCTACATAACAAGGCTACCTTTGCTAGCCAAGCCTCTTCTCTCTCTCCTATAACTTGTTTTTACCAGAATCGAAGCCCCAACTCTTTCTGTAACCTCAAAATGGTATATAAGTTTCTGTGACTCATTGAGAAGTTGGGTCTTCATCCTGAGGGCTTCCATATATGCATGTTAAATAAATTTGTATACTTTTTCTCCTATTAACCAATCCACCCCATTTCAGTGATTTTTTGAGAATCTTTCAGGGGCCCAGAGCCTATAGCCCCCAGACCACACAATACTGATGTTTCCACTGTAAGAAATTCATGAATCTGGACTAATGGTTATCCCCTCCAAGTATTCCCTTTGGTCATTTTCATTATCAGGCTTCAAAATCAAGGGGGTTGGTGAGCAATGGCCATGGAATAATAGCCTGGATATGGCAGAAGAGAATGATGAACCCCACCTCTTTCATGCCCTGTGAAATTGAAAAGGTAAGGAAAGGAGAGGGTTTTGTTTGCAGTGAATGTGTTCCATGGAGAGGCAGAAACAGGAGAAAATCAACCATCTTTGAGTTAGAGTGAACAGGAAGTGTGAGGATTCCAGGCCTTCCTCTCCATCTCTATTAATACTTCTGGGAAAATAAAAGTAGGCTGTTATATCCATTGGAGAGCCACACACCCAAAGAATAAAATTCTCCAGGAGAACCTGAAATGATAAATAGGGGAGCTTTTGTGCCTTCTCTAAGCTAAGGGACATTTAACAACAGAAGGCCATTAGTTAAGTTTTGTGGTTGAGGATGTGGGCCCAGGAACAAAACTGCCTGAGTTTTGACCTCTTTGCTAGTTATAAACCAGAGGACTTTGGACAATACATTTAGTGTCTGTGCCTCCATTTCCTCACCTTTGAAATGAGAGAGATGTGATAGTGCATAGGACACTTGTGAGTATTAAGTGTCTTATAACATTCTAAGTGCCTAATAGAGTGTCCAGCACTTAGTAAGTGCTCAATTAATGGTAGCTGTTAGTACTGTTACCATAGCAGACCAAAGTGTAAAAAGCAATTTTGTTTGAGAAACAGAAATGATTTCACATAACTGCTTTTAAAATTAAGAGTTGAAACCATAAATTCTAGTTACAAGTGATAAAAAGCTTTCTTACATTTCATATTACGGACACATGGGGTAGGAGACAGCAGAGGGGATAAAATCAATCTGGAAGGAGAACCAGAGAGAACAGCCAAGACAGACAGCAAGGAAAGGAGGAGACAGAAAGGGAGTCGTGTGATGAGCAGGTGCTGGGTGTGCGAGTTACCATCACCTCCTGTTTCCCTGAACTCTGGACTTCAGAGGAAGTTGTCACCACCTTTTGAAATACATTGCGTTTTTTGGCTCTTAGAAGTAGTTTTTCTGCCTTTTTTCTAAATCTCAACATTAAGTTCTGAAATAAAATTATTTTTTTCATGAAAGGATGAGGGTTTTATACCTGCACACAGGTGAAGGGATGACTTGGGGTTTAGACGTGTTCTTTAGAAGGTGAAAAATATCAGCAAATTGACAAACTCCATCTGGAAGTCCTTTGGCCATGAAAGCTGTCAGAATAACTCCGATCTGTTCTTTGAGGCTGTCTCACTTGTGTTCATAAGTTTACATGTAGAACACTATGGACCTCTCAAGTTCTTCTGTCCCTAGGAGCAAAGGCAGAGGTGGGCTCCACAGGTCAGAGGTTCTTCCCCTGTTCTGAGCCTCAAACCAGAACATTGCAAAACAACTGGCCACCCTGGGAATATGAATCATTTTAGTGCTTTCCGCCTTTTTTTTTTTTTTGAGACAGAGTCTTGCTCTGTCACCCAGGCTGGAGTGCAATGGTGCAATCTCAGCTCACTGCAACCTCTGCCTCCCGGGATCAAGCAAATCTCCTGCCTCAGCCTCCAGAGTAGCTGGGATTACATGCACCTGCCACCACACCCAGCTAACTTTTGTATTTTTAGTAGAGACGGGGTTTCACTATGTTGCCCAGGCTGGTCTCGAACTCCTGACCGCAAGTGATCCACCTGCCTCGGCCTCCAAAATGCAGGGGTTACAGGCATGAGCCACCATGCCTGGCCCTGCTTTCTGCCTTCTAACTTGTTTTGAGGTTTGGAATCTGTGCTGGGTAGGGGTAGGGGGTTGCTAGATCCCCTCTGGGCTTATTCTGCTAGGCCAGAGGCAGCTAGGACTTTGGGTCCTCATGAAATTCTTCCCAAGTCTGTAACACTACGACTGACAATCTAGCTTAGGGGCTGGCAAAGTTTTTCTGTAAAAAGCCAGCTAGTCAATGTTTAGGTTTGTGGGACATACAGGTCCCTTCACAATTAATCAACTCTACTGTTGGAGTACAAGAGTAGTCATAGACAATATGTAAATGAATAACTGTGGCTGTGTTCTGATAAAATTTTATGGCCACTGACATTTTAATTTTACATAACTGTCATGTTTAACAAAATAGTCCTCTTTTCAAACATTTAAAAGTGGAAAAACCATGTTAGCTACTAAAACAGGTATACAAACAGAGGTGGTGAGCCAGATTTGATACATGGGCCACAGTTTGCTAAGCCCTGGTCTAGCTACGAGATTGAAAACCTGGAATTTGGGCCAGGTGTAGTGGCTCATGCTTGTAATCCCAGCACTTTGGGAGGCTGAGGCAGGAGGATCACTTGAGGCCAGGAGTTCAAGACCAGCCTAGGCAACATAGTGAAACCCTGTCTCTTAAACAATTTTTTTTAAAATTAGCCAGGTGTGGTGGTATGTACCTGTAGGTCTAGCCACTTGGGAGGCTGAGCGCAGGAGGATTACTTGAGCCCAGGATTTTGAGGTTACAGTGAGTGAGACCCTTTCTCAAAAAAAAATTTTAAAAACATCTGGGCTTAGAAAGATGCTGCAGGACAGTGGAGAGTGATGATCCTGAGATCCTGGACTCCACCCCTATGCAAGAAAACTTTTCCTACAAAGCTGCTTCGTTGCATAAAGAGGAACTATCAACCCCTCATTAGATAACTTGAATTCCTCATTGCCCAACTACCTCAGATAATTAAAGTGTTAAATTTCTATCAAAGCAATATTAATTTTGCCTTCCAATTCCAATTCCTGTCTCTACTTTTGGAGGTTAATGGATTTGAAGAATGAATGAGGTAAGTTCTATCGTCAGATAAATTAGGGACTCACACACTAAGAAACAACTCACTGAACAGAATGGATGGGATTTGAATCAATTTATATAACCAACGGGAAAACATTCCAAAAGCTGCAGCAACTAACATGTTGAAACATGCACATAACTTTCCAGTAAGACATGTCTCAGTGTAGACATTAGATGTTTGAGTTATACTTTGCAGGTAAGTGTGCACAGATTCCCCCCACAACCTTCAGGGACCCTAAGTTATGAATCATGCCCTAAGTCCAACCCTCTCATCTAATATAGGGGGAATGAAAGCCCACTAAAGGGAAATGAGTTGCACAAGGTCACACACCTGTCCTACAGAGGGGGTGCAGAAACACTTGGATTTAGGTCCCAAAGAAGAAGGGCAAAGGCTACTATTCCTAGCCTTAGGGCTGGAGAAGGTGGAGAAGAGTATACACCAGATGGTTAAGGGATTCTCCCCAGGTAGCAGAGTTACCCAGTTTTCACAAGGGATTGCAAGTGGGGTGGTGTCAGGTAGAGAAAGGTATAGGTCAACTTTTTGGATGCCTATTAAAAATGTTCACTCTGAGCCAGGAATAGTATTAAGTGTGTTTTATACACCCCATCTTCTTTAAGCCCACAGTTATTCTGAAGCCATCCTCAAAGGGTAACAAGAATTGTGGACAGAAATATAGTTATAATTAAGCATTAATTAGGCTGCACTTTGACCTACTTCCTTGTAACTGAAAGTCACATTTGCATCCCCATTGTTCCTATGGTAGGCTCTCTGACATCAAAATCATAAGGCTTTGGTTTGAGAATTGCTTATGATTTTTTTTTCAGATCCTGAATCCCAGCAAAACAGATGATGTCAACAGTTTGAAGACCCCCACAGAGGAACGGAATCAGTATGAGAATCCAGTTTATTCACCTCCCTGTCCCATGACTTTACCCTACACTCTTTAACCAATCAACAATCTCCACACTTCAGCCCCACTCCAAAACTCTTAAAACCCTAGCCAAAAACTCCTTCAGGAGATGGATTTGAGGTTTCCTCTCATCTCCTGGTTTGGCAGCCCTACGATTAAACCTCTTTCTCTGCTGCAACCTGGTGTCTTGGTGTACTGACTTGCAACAGACCTATTCCAGTTATAACTCTACCCTACAAGGTAGATATGAAAATTCCCACTTATAGATGGGGAAACTGATTGAATGGTACAAGAGATCTACTAAAATAGTTTTAACTCTGGCAGGAAGAGAGCCCTTAGCTACCTGAGGAAGACCAGCCTCAGCAACTATGGGAAGAGCAAAGTCCATTCAAGCTGTGACAGTGAGACAGCCAAGTATAAGGGGCTCCCTGGCAAAACTCCAACCAGCCTGCATGCTAGGAGGAATGCACACTGGGGTGGGGCCTCAGGAAGTTCATGCCATTTGCAGTGGGGAGGAGCCTGGGCCTTCCTCTTCCTGTGTGGAACCTGGGATTCAAACTGAGAGGCAGGAAGTGCGCCAGCAGAGACTCTGGCTTTGCGGAGGGTCCCTGTTTCCCGTTTTTTCCCCTTTCACCCAATAAAACCCCGCCTTACTCACCCTTCAAATTGTCTGCAGGCCTAAATTTTTGTGGCTGTGTAGCAAGGACCCCATCTTTAGCTGAACTAAGGAAAAGTCCTGCAAAACAGCAAAGGTAGCGTCAGAAGTAGAAGCCTCAGCTTTCTGGTACCTGTGACTGAGCTCCCAGGGCCTGCTCAGGGATGCACCTTGGGGAAGGTTTGGACTGCAGGTCTATTTTCATTCTCATTGTGACCATTATTCACATCCCATCGCACTATACCACTCTATCTTTTCCCCTTCCTTCCTGCTTTTATGACCTAGGGAAGCAAAGGTTCAACTCATAGTACATGACAACCACTAAAACCATGGACATTCAAGCTCTGTTCAATGATCAATCAGTGCTTTGTTCATTGTTTAGATTATCTGTGGGGACATGAGATATCACATCTCTTTACTTCACAGAGGCAATGTCCCATAGTGACTAAAAGCACAAATCCTGGAACAGAGATCCTGGAGCCAAACTCTCTAGGCTTGGATCCCATTCCCACTACCTACTAGCTATATGACCTTGAGCAGTTTACTTAACTTCTCTTTGTTTCCTGCCTTCATCCATAAAACGGGGATACTAATAGTAGCCACCTCACAGGATTAAATGAGTTGTTACACATCAAGCACATAGTGTGGACTTATATGAGTTAATTGCTATTGTTATTGACTTCAAGGTTACATCCTGAGTGAGTCAGACTGAACTAGGAAAGCTGCCAAGACAGGTACAAAGGGTGTTTGTGTGAAGGTGAGTGTATGAGGAGTAGGGCGATAGGGAAGGTGAAACAAGGAGAAAAGGAGGAAAACATAAAGGTTGAGGAGGAGGGAGGAAGAGAAACATAAGGTGGGAAAAGGGATGGACAGGGCCAGGGAAAGGAGCAGGAAAGAGGCAGAGAAATTCAACAGCAAACACTCAGCAATGTGAAAGAAGTGGGTGCTTTGAACTACATACTGCAGCAAACATAGAGGTGGTCGATATTAGCCAGGTTATATAATAACAACAATGGCTGCATTGACTGAATACTATGTCCCAGACTCTGTGCTGGTGTTTTGTGTGTGTTTCTTGTTCAATTCTCAGCACACTCGATGAGAATTTTACCACAACCCTTTTCACAAATGAGAAAAGTTATACTTAGGGTGACTAGGTAACATATCAAAGGTCACCCATCTAGTAAGATGTACAGAGACCCCTGGATTCAAATTCAGGTCTGCCTAACTCCAAAGCCCATGCTCCAAACACATCCTATGCCTGCCACCCAACCAACAGTTATCTGTGTTTGAAATCTGTTGGCATCAGATTATACCCACAGATGCACTTCTTTTTTTTTTTTTTTGAACATTGCTAGACAAAATTTTATTCAGAAATTTTGTGTAACCAACTTACTATCACTCCACAGATGCACTTCTAATTCACTTAGAATAGTAGTCTAATAAAAATCATAAATCTTTGAAAAACTACTAGGTATACCTCTACCTTTTAGGAAATTCCCTGAGAAGACAAATAATCAAGCCAGACTAAGACATCAGCTGGTCTGGAATACTAATAGGTTCACATTCTTGGTGTCTTCAAGAAGAGCTCACTGCTGAGGAAAATCTACTGGATGAAGGGAATAAAAGGGGGAATAGAGTATAGGCCCCAAACTGCTGGAAGCATTACCTTTGAAAACGGGAAAATGAACCTGAGAAGAACACATAGCACCTGAGATGACAGCTCATATCCTTAGCACACACAGATATCTAGAATGAGAAGGGATTTTTAAAGATGATGAATTTCTTCATTTGAAAGGTGAGAAAACTGCCCGGGCGCAGTGGCTCAAACCTGTAATCCCAGCACTTTGGGTGGCTGAGGCGGGTGGATCACTTGAGGTCAGGAGTTCGAAACCAGCCTGGCCAACATGTTGAAGCCCCGTCTCTACTAAACACACACACACACACACACACACACACACACACACAGCCAGGTGCGGTGGCACACGTCTGTAGTCCCAGCTACTGGGGAGGCTGAGGCATGAGAATTGCTCAAACTCAGGAGGCAGAGGCTGCAGTGAGCTGAGATCATGCCACTGCACTCCAGCCTGGGCGACAGAGCAAGACTCCATCTCAAAAAAAGAAACAAAGGTGAGAAAACTAAATCTGCGAGCAGGGAAGTGCTTCATCCAAGATCCTATAACCCACAGAGTCTGTTGGGTTGAGCAGAATTCCTTCCCTCATTTGCCCAAATGAAAGACAAATGTTAAGATGGAAGGAAATGTGCTTTTCCCCACCCTGATGCAGGTGTGCTTTCTAGTTGACAAGCCTGAGCTCTCAGCTCATAGCAACGGGATTTACCCGAGTTTCTAATTAAGAAATTATGGAAAGAAAAAAAATGCACATACACTCAAATTTCAAGTAGCAGATTTAGGGAAAAGCAGGAATTCTCTGGGGCCTTCCCTTACACCTTTTGGAATGTTTATCCTCTTGTTTTTCCCATGCCCTTCTCTCCTCTCCCCATTTCCATCTCCTGAGGGCTCCCCAAGGTTTCCCTTGGCTGCAAAGGCCTGGGTGGATACTCCCTTCCTGGAACCCCTATGTGTTCAGAAAATCTAAAAGGACCCACTCTAAGATTAGATTTCTCCTAGACACAAGCTAGGCCAATAAATCACATGACTCGGGCTTTCACTGGCTTCAGTCAGCTCTGGGGTCTCCATTCTGAAGTGATTCCCTAAATCCAAGAAAGATATTTGCCCCAACATGCTTTAAGAATGTATTTGACGGCCAGGTGCAGTGGCTTATGCCTGTAATCCCAGCATTTTGGGAGGCTGAGGTGGGAAGATTGCTTGAGTCCAGGAGTTTGAAACCAGCTGGGCAACATGGTGAGTTTGCTTGAGTCCAGGAGTTTGAGGCCAGCCATGGTGAGACATCCCCTCCCCACCCCCCACAACACAACTCTACAAAAAATACAAAAATTAGCCAGGAGTGGTGATGCGCACCTGTAGTCTGAGCTACTCGGGAGGCTGAGGTAGGGGGATCGCTTAAGCCCAGGAAGTTGAGGCTGCAGTGAGCAATGTTCACATCACTGCACTCCAGCCTGGGTGACAGAATGAGACCCTGTCGCATAAAAAAAAAATGTATTTGAAAGATGTCCTTCAAGTTTCCTCCTTTGTTTGGCTGGAAAGTCTTGTGTAAGCTTTTCCAATTTAAACATCCATTGGAACAAAGTATTTGCTCACTTTTCTGTTCTGTACTTGCTGCAGGGCATCTCTTAAGCACAGTTTAATCACATTGCTGGGAACTGCAATTATTTTGCATCTCCCGGAGGCTCCTGAGAGACAACTGTAAATAATGGCTTATTCTCTTCACCAAACAAGAAGGCAATTGACTCACACAATTGCCTGAAGACTGGGCCTGGGAACTCCAGTTTCATTCCACAGGGATGCACTTAAAGGGCTGGCGTAGAGAATGAAAAACTCCCCAATGGAGGTAGGAATGGTCATTTTCAAGCCATATGTTTCTTCAGACGGATGCCTAATTTTAATTTGCCTTTGAATACATTTAGCTCTTGCTCCAAAATTCTCTTCTCATGATTCCTCTTTCTTGCTTATCAGTAGGAGGATGTTGCTGGCTGCCTGGGGTCTCTGGGGACAGTTTTCATATACGAGCTCTGGAAAATTAAAAATGATCCTGGGAGGCCTGCTAGCTGGCAGTTTATAAAATAGATTTTAAAAGAATAATCTTGAGTAACTTTTCTAAACACTAATGTTAAACTTCATATTTGTTTAGGAGCCCCTCGGACTCCATTAAAAGCCGTCTTCTTTGCTAGGATCTCTGGTTCTGGGCCTGGGAAAGGATGACTAGGAGGTTCTCCCCTCGATTTGAATACTTGAATTCTCTGTAACTGCCTTGACAGTGCAGAGCTGTGATTGGTGCAGATTAACCACAAACAGGTGAAGCTTTGGGAGTTTTCCAGCGTGTCTGAATTCTAATCGAAGGCAGGGCTGACTGTTTCGATTTCATTCAAACATAGCCTCAGCCTAAAGTATCACTGTGTACACTTAAAGAAGCGTCAGACAGAAAGAAAAAGGGCTGCTATTGCCAAAATGCTCGAGAGGTACATTCTAGGGTGGTGGGAGAGAGCCCAGGACACAGAGTCACAGGCTGGAAATGAACTCAGAATTCTCTCTTCTGGGGATGGCAATTCTTGGGCTGCTCTTGAAGGCTCACAACACCAGGTCCTTCCCTTCCAGAGACATAGACTTATTGCCCTGACCTGAAATTCTGCCCGTAGAGACTCAGGTCTAGTGGTGAGGTGGTGTCCTCTGCCTTTACCATCCTCCTTTTTTCTTTTTTTTCTTTTTTTTTTTTTTTGAGACAAGGTCTTGCTCTGTTGCCCCAGCTGGAGTGCAGTGACACGATCATGCCTCACTGCAGCCTCAAACTCATGGACTCATGTGATCCTCCCACCTCAGCCTCCCAAGTAGCAAGGACTACAGGTGTGCAGCGCCATGCTCAGCTGATTTTTAACTTATTTGTATAGAAGGGGTGTCACTATCTTGCCCAGGCTAGTCTTGAATTCCTGGGCTCAAGCAATCCTCCCACCCCAGCATCCCAAAGTGCTGGGATGACAGGTGTGAGCCACTGTGCCTGGCCTCTACCATCCTCCTAAAGAGGCAATTCCACGGGGTAGGATGCCACTTGAAGACATCACCCATACTTTTTTTTTTTTTTTTTTTTGAGACGGAGTTTCCCTCTCGTCACCCAGGCTGGAGTGCAGTGGCACGATCTTGGCTCACTGCAACCTCTGTCTCCCGGGTTCAAGCGATTCTCCTGCCTCAGCCTCCCGAGTAGCTGGGATTCCTGGCACCTGCTGCCACGCCTGGCTAATTTTTTGTGTTTTTAGTAGAGACGGGGTTTCACCATGTTGGACAGGCTGGTCCCAAACTCCTGACCTCAGGTGATCCACCCGCCTCGGCCTCCCAAAGTGTTGGGATTACAGGTGTGAGCCACCACACCTGGCCCACCCCTACATTTTGAATGAAGCCTTAGGTTCTTTCTCCTGAGGCAGGAGAGAGGCCACAGAAGAACCCAACTCAGAATGTTAAAAGGAAAGAGGGGAAGGGGTCCCAGGATGGGAACTGAAGGCAGAAGTCAGGAGGAACATAGCAAAGCTCCACTCTACCTACCTCATGATTTGGCTTTAGGCCCTTCCTGGCAGTCTAATGGCCCTAGAAGTCCTGAGCCTTAGGAACCTGGAAGGAAATTAAACAGGCCAGCTGCCTTTGCAAGTCAGGAGTTAGGACACAGAAACACCCCTCTCTCCCCAGGAGTACCCCAGTTCCTTTCTCCCCTCCACCAGCTGTGAGTCAGGTAAATTTTTTCTTATCTACATGAGATAATATACATAAGTCAGTGCTTTCCTTCTGCTGAACTCCATCCTTCCCCTTTGGAATGTGAGTGTTTGTCTTCCATTTCCTGGCACTTCTTTTCCCCTTCATCTCAGCCAGCACCTTTAAGGAAGGCCAAAAGAGCCCTTTCTTCCCACGAGTGAGGGGCTCCCTCTGGGGCTGAGCAGCAGATGGGTAGAAAGACAGCCCTGGCTGAGAGCTCAAGCAGGTCATTTGGCTTGTGGCAGAGCCGCTCCAGCTCTTGTCCCCAGCCAGAGGGCCACCTCTCACCTACCTCTGCAAACAGCGTAGCAGGTGCTCCTAGACACGGGGCCCACCGAGGGCCTTAAACCAATCTTGCCACAAAGAACAACTCCTGCAAAGGCCTCTGGGGCTCCTGCTGAGACCCAGGGCTCCAGGAACCTGAAACCTTAAGTGGAGCAGATGTGTTGGGGAACTTTGTAACAATGCTAAGGGAACTGACTCCAAATGGCTGGGGGAGATGTGAATGGGGCAGGTACAAGCTCTCTCTGCATTCCTAGCCTATTCTTCCTCCCAAAGCAACCAAAACCTGGTTTCCGTGGTCAGAGAGGAAAGGAAAGATATCTGAGAAATTAAATCGTACTGGAGGATTAATGGGAACTGGCACGAGGGTGATTTGTGCTTTTAAAGATGGTCATGCTTAACACAAGAATGCTCAGGTGAAATTGCTGACATCAATGCTGGGGGCAGATAGTACATGGTGAGAGGGAGGCCTTCTGGTACCTCTCAAATTACAGCAGGCAAGTGACTGTGTTCCTGGAAGGCCAGTCCTGGCTCTCCTCTTCAAACATCTACGTTTCGCTTCCCATTCTCATACTTGAGCCACAGAGAAGGGCTGAAATTTCCCTCTGAGGTGCCCTTCTTGAACTCCTTCCCATGGGAACAAACAATTCTGGATCTCATTGCAAGACCACAACACTGAATACTCATTCTCTGTCCCCAGAAAACGTTCTTCTTAAACCCACAATTGGATTGCTCATTGAAAGCTATATTTTCTCTGGGAAGTGAAAGATGTTATGCCAGAGTTGCTCTCTCAAAGTTTCTGAAAACAACAAAGCATTGTTTTGTACCACCAGGACTCAGGCTTAGGACAATTATAAAATGAATCAGCAGCATTATAAAATTGTCTCTCATATGACTTATGTTGTATCATTGTTTCCAAATCTTTTAATCGTCCAAAAAGCTATTATACCTAGGGATTACCAAGTTAATTGAAGGGAAAAAGAATCCAAGAACTCAATAAACCTCACTGTCCCTAAACTACCTGCCTACCTTTCACGATTTTTCCAGTTACGTAAAGGGTCACTGGTTTTGTGGCTTTGTTTTAATGACGGTAGTAGTGAGAGATGAGGAGGGATCCTATTGTCTCATCTTCTCCTAGCAATCCTAATGCACTTCGAAGTGCATTGAATTCAAGAGTCAAAAAAAATCTGGTTTCAAAGCCTGCTACCTATATACCAAATATTTACACTTTAAGATGAAGGACATTATTGGGTGTTCAAGGAAAATTAAGAAAATATTTAAAGAATGCCTCCAAAGCTTGCACCTCATGCTCTGGAGAAGAAAAAATAATGAGAGGAAAATCTAAGCAACACTAAGTGAATTGGAGATATTACAACAAGGGTCCAAACAAATTGAGGTTTCTTTGGAAAGCAGTATGTTTTAGGTTCTAGAAAAACTGAAACAAGTTGTCAAGAGAGTCCCACAGAGACTTTCCACATTTTAATTGCATTTAATTCTTACAGCAATCCTCTAATATTTGGTTAACATTTAATAGATAAGAAAACTCGCCAGGCATGTTGGTTCATGCTGGTAATCCCAGTGCTTTGGGAAGCTGAGGCGGGAGGGTCTCTTGAGTCCAGGAATTCTCTACAAAAAATAGAAATAATTAGCTAGGTGTGGTGGCACATGTCTGTGGTCTCAGCTACTCACGAGGCTGAGGCAGGAAGATCACTTGAGCCCAGGAGTTTAAGACTAACCTGGGCAACAGAGCGATATCTTGTCTCTACTAAAAATTAAAAAATAAATTAGCCAGGTGTGGTGGTGCATGCCAATAGTCCCAGATACTCAGGAGGCTGAGTTTGGAGGATCACGTGAGTCTGGGAGTTTGAGGTTGCAGTGAGCCATGATGGTACCACCACATTCCAGCCTTGGTGACCCTGTCTCAAAAAAGTAATAATCATAATAATAATAATTGGGCAAAGAAAAAAGAAAGACACTCTGATTCAAAGTTGAGACATGGGCCCAGCTCAGTGGCTTATGCTTGTAATCCCAGCACTTTGGGACATTAAGATGGGTGGATCACCTGAGGTCAAGAGTTCGAGACCAACCTGGCCAACGTGGTGAAACTCCGTCTCTACTAAAACTACAAAAATTAGCTGGGCGTGCTGGCACAAACCTGTAATCCCAGCTACTCGAGAGGCTGAGGCATGAGAATCACTTGAACCCAGGAGGTGGAGGTTGCAGTGAGCCGAGATTGTGCCACTGCACTCCAGCCTTCTGGGCAACAGAGCAAGACTCTGCCTCAAAATAACAAAGAAGGATATGCACCCAGAGAGCAGCTCTGGACAACATTACAACATAGAGATAACTTCATGTTCATGCAATGGAAACATACTTTACTATTGGTTAACATAGAAATGTCACAAAAGTCAATCACATACAGAGAATGCAAATGCATTTTGTAAATATTTCTTAAATTCTACATTCTCAGACTGTAATGAATTAACATTGAAAATATATAGCAAGAATATAATTAAATAATAAACAACAATATAGAATTTTTAAGACTCTTAGGTTATTCCCAGGTCAGGAAAAAAATGCAGAGCAAAATGACAGAATAATTTTTAATGAAATATAAATACAGCATTTCATAATACATAGAATGCTGCCAATGCAGTACTTAAAAGAAAATGTAGCACTGTAAATGCCTATATCAATAAGAAAGAAAGAGCAACAGGAATAGAATGAACTAAATCTCTAAATCCCTTTAAAAGGGAATAAAGCAACCTCCCAAAATATAGAAACAGAAAATCCCAAATAAAAATAAGCAAAATGAGCTGAGCACGGTGGCTCGCACCTGTCATCACAACAATTTGGGAGGCCAAGGCAGGTGGATCATTTGAGCCCAGGAGTTCGAGACCAGCCTGAGCAACATGGTGAAACCCTGTCTCTACCAAAAAAATACAAAAATTAGCTGGGCGTAGTGGCATGGGCCTGTGGTCCCAGCTACTCGGGAGGCTGAGGTGGGAAAATGGCTTGAGCCCAGGAGTTCTGAACTGCAGGGAGCTGTGATCGTGCCATTGCACTCCGGCCCCTGGGTAACAGAGCAAGACCCTGTCCCTAAATAAATAAATATATATATATTAAACAAAATTGAAAAGATAAAAATAACCATTTGGTAAAAACAAAAATAAAACCCCAATAGTTGTTTCTTTGAAAAATCAGTGGAACTAACAACCACTGGCCAAATGATTTACAAAAGATTAAAAACACACACAATGTAATAAATTAGATACAAGAGATTTAACAATAAGACAAATTCAAAATACTTGGGGTTATGTGCCCCTCTTCTCTCTTTCTATAGCATTCTGTATATTGCTATTAAAACATTTATCACACTATACTTTAATTATATGTTTATTTGTCCATCTCCTTATATTAATAGGCTTCTGGCAGGAAACAGATGCCATACTCCAAAAGGTTTTACAGAGGAAAATCTAATAAAGGGACTATTTGCAATAATATGCACAGGGTTAAGGGAACCAACAAGGGATGCTGCAGCACCCTGGGGCAAGCAACAGCAAGTCTCTACCACCCCTAGCCCAAAGAGGCAAGCAGCAGGAATGGTTTCGGGAAAGCATGGCAAGAATTGAAGCTGGTAGAGAGGGGCTGCCTCCCAGAAGCTATGGCAATGGGTAGAAGAATGAAGCCACTACTAAAACACAGCCTGCAAGGCAGGGAGCCAACGGAATAAATATGCCAGTCTCTTGTACCTCCCAACTTCTCACTTCCTGTGAAACTTTCATTTCCTGCCATTCCTCCCAAATGTGGAATCCTACCTGAAGCCAGAGGGCAGAAGAGCCTTGGTGATTGAGTCCACAGAGGTCAGCCTCTTAGGGCAGAGCAGGGCAAAGAATGAGTTACAGTAGGGTTATGGGGGACACCAACAGGGACCAACCAGCACACTCTACAACCTGATTATAGAGTCCGTGAGAACAGAGACTGTATTGTTATCATTATTATTATTATTATTATTTTGAGATAGGGTCTCACTCTGTTGCCCAGGCTGCAGTGTGGTAGTGTCATTATGGCTCACTGCAGCAGGTGATCCTCCCATCTCAGCCTCCCAAGGGGCTGGGACCACAGGCATGTGCCACCATGCTTGGCTAAATTTTTGAATTGTAGAGATGAGGTCTTGCTATGTTGCCCAGGCTGGTCTTGAACCCTTGGCCCCAAGCAATCTTCCTGCCTCAGTCTCCCAAGGTCAGGATTACAGATGTTAGCCACTGCACCTGGCCCAGACAATGTATCTTGTTCATTTTTATGCCACCAGCCTTTAGGGGCAATGACTCAATAACTATTTATTGAATTAATACATGATTAAATGGAGTGAGCTATTATCATTTTCACCTACATGCTAATGAAAGTAATAACTGAGTAGCTATGAATGAGGACATGCACAAATATACACAATATCAACTATGACATGGGAAAATTAGCATGAATGGATTATTCTTAGAGAAAAGCAATAGAAAAAGGAGTATTAAAATAATATAAAATCAGGCACCTGGCTCTGATCAATTCACTAGAGAATTTTTCTAAGGAACAATCCTTCTATTAAACAATCTGTTAAAAAATATAGAAAAGGGTGTCTTACCAAACTTGTTTTATGAGACAAATATGTTTTTTAAAATATATATAAGGAAACAACAATATAAAGAAAGAAAAGTACAGGTTAGTCTTGTGAATATGAATACAGAACTTCTAAAAAATACTGTAGCAAAAAGAATGCAGTACTGCTGTGACCCGGTGGAAGGCTTACAAAAAAATTATAATGTTACGAACACTGTTTTTTGTATTTTATTTTGTTTTCGAGACAGGTTCTCACTGTCACCCAGGCAGGAGTGCAGTGGCGTGATCATGGCTTACTGCAGCTTTGACCTTCTGGGCTCAAGCAACCCTCACACCTCAGCCTCCCAAGTAGCTGGGACTACAGGTGTGCACTACCATGCCTGGCTAATTTTTGTATTTTTTTGTAGAGATGGGATTTCACCATGTTGCCCAGGCTGGTGTCAAGCTCCTGGGCTCAAGGGATCCACCCACTTTTGCCTCCCAAAGTACTGGGATTATAGGCATAAGCCACCGCACCCAGCCTTGAAACACTGTTAACATAAGATATCATATTAATGGACAAAATATAAAAATCCTATCCACGTATGCCTTCAACAAATATGTATTGAGAGCCTAGTATTTATCAAGTACTGTTCTAGACACTGGGGATACAACAGTGAACAAGACAGGCAATGAGCCTGGCTCTCTTGAAGCCTCTAGTCTCATGGTGGAGATAGATAACAAGCCAGTAGCTAACTAGAATAGTTTCACAGGGTGACAAGTGCTTTGAAGAAAATAAGACAGGATGACACGATAGAGTGACTGCAGGTGGGGGATGGGGGTCATATTAGATAACCTTACCAAAGATGTTTTGAGCTGATGCTTGATATTTCAAAAGTTGGTGAGACCGGGTACGGGGGCTCACGCCTGTAATCCCAACACTTTGGGAGGCCGAAGTGGGAGAATTGCTTGAACTCACGAGTTCAAGACCAGCTGGGGCTACATAGTGAGACCCATCTCTACAAAAATTTTTTAAAAATCAGCCAGGTGTGGTAGTACAGGCCTGTGGTCCCAGCTACTGAGGAGGCTGAAGTGGGAAGATCGCTTGAACCTGGGAAGTTGAGACTGCAGTGAGCTGTGATCATGCCACTGCACTCGAGACTCTGTCTCAAAAGAAAAAAAGAAAAAAAGAGAATGCTGGCGAGAAGACATTTCTTAAAGTTCAAAGCTTCCACTGATTAAACAAAATAAAAAGGCATGGGAAGTTTTCTTTCTTAGGAGGAACATTCTGCAAGCCTAAATTCAAGAGCCAGAGGCACCGGAGACTCTAATAAAAACGTAAGTATAACAAGGATGTCTCTTTCATCAGTCTTAATTAACTTTTTAATAAAATGAGACTGAAGAAAAAGAATAAGTTATAAATATGTGAAAGAAAAATAAAAATGTCACTCGCTCAAATGACAGGACTCTATAAGGAAGATGTCCATGGCATCAACACAAAATTCATTAAAAATAATAAAGATGTTCAGCAAAGAAGCATAAGATTAATAACAAAAGTTAGTCACATTCCTAATAAGAGTGACACAAAGCTAGACAATATGAAAAAGGGGATTCAGAATAATGACAAAATGTTAAATACTTGGTTATTCCCTTAATTTGAGAGAATAAAGATATATTAAAATCACAGAATACTGATGGGAGAAGGAAAGGAAGGCATGAATAAATGATACTATTTACCAAGATAAATTAATACTGGAGAGACCAAGTATCGCAAAGGTAACTAGGTTTACATATAAATTTAATGCACTACAAATGAAAACCACTGAGAGAAATTTTATAGAATGTGACAAGTTGTTGGGAAAATTCTCCTGAAAGAAGACGATGATTGTAGACTCATCCTTTAAGAGTTTCAAATTAAAGGTGACAGATTGAGGCTGGGTGTGGTGGCTCACACCTATAATACTAGCACTTTGGGAGGCCCAGGTGGGAGGATGGCTTGAGGCCAGGAGTTGAAGACCGGCCTGGGCAACATAGGAAGACCCCAACTCTACAAAAATAAAAATAAATTAGCTGGGCACAGTGGCATATACCTGTGGTCTCAGCTATTCAGTAGGCTGAGGTGGGAGGATCACTTGAGCCCAGGTGTACAAGATTACAGTGAGCTATGATGGCACCAGGGCACTCCAGCCTGGGTGATAGAGCAAGGCCCTCTCTCAAAAATAAAGGTGGGGCCTTTGGAAGTGATAAAGTCATTAGGGCTCTCTCTGCCCTCATGAATGGAACTAGTCCTTTTTTTTTTCTTTTTAGTCCCTTTCTAAAAGAGGTTGAAGGGAGCTAGCTGCCTTGCACCCTTCTGCCTCATGAGGATATGCAGGAAGAAGGGTGAAGCACAGAGCAAGCCCTCACCAGACACCAAATCTTCTAGTAACTTCATCTTGGACTCCCCAGCCCCCAAAACTGTAAGCAATAAATTTGTATTGTTTGTAAATTACCATGCTTGAGATCAGGAGTTCAAGACCAGCCTGGACAACATAGTCAGACCCTGTCTCTACAAAAAAATTTAGAATTAGTCGAGGGGGCAGCATGCACCTGTATGGCCAGCTACTCAGAAGGCTGAGGTGGGAGGATCACTGGATCCCAGGAGGTCAAGGCTGTGGTTAGCCATGATCATACCACTGCACTCCACCCTGGGCAAGAGAGAGAGATCCTGTCCCCAAAAGAAAGCAATTTAAAAAAATAAAAAATAAATAAATAAATTACCTAATCTAAGGTATTTTGCTATAGCAGCCCAAATGGACTAAGACAACACATTATAAACGAAGGGAGAAAAGATTAAAATGATAAAACTTGATGTTTGTGAGGTTATGGTAAATTAGGTACAGTGACACATTGCTAGTGGAACTGTATACTAATTTGTTTTCAGAAGAAGCCGTCTACTAGTATTTGATGTGATTTTAAAATGATATTTATTTTTTGTAGAGACAAAGTCTCACTATGTTGCCCAGGCTGGTCTTGAACTCCTCGGCTCGAGCAATCCTCCTGTCTTAGCCTTCCAAAGTGCTGAGATTACAGGCATGAACCACCACCCCTGGCCTTGATGTTCTTTTGATCCATCAGTTCTGCTTTGGAGAATATACTCTATAGAAATAACATAATATATATATAAAATGATGGTCATATAGCATTGTTCTTCATCATTTTGTGGGTTTTTTAACTTTTAGGTTCAGGGGTACATGTGAAGGTTTGTTACATAGGTAAACATGTCACAGGGGTTTTACATATTATTTCATCACCCAGATATTAAGCTCAGTACCTAATAGTGATCTTTTCTGCTCCTCTCCCTCCTCCCACCCTCCACCCTCAAGTAGACCCCAGTGTCTGTTGTTTCCTTGTGTTCATGAGTTCTCATCTTAGCTCCCACTTATAAGTGAGAACATGGAGTATTTCATTTTCTGTTCCTGTGTTAGTTTGCTAAGGATAATAGGCTCCAGCTCCATCCATGCCCCCACAATAGACATGATATCATTCTTTTTTAGGGCTGCATGGTATTCCATGGTATATACGTACCACATTTTCTTTATCCAATCTGTCATTGATGGGCATTTAGGCTGATTCCATGTCTTTGCTATCGTGAATAGTTCTGCAATGAGCATTTGGGTGCATCTGTCTTTATGGTAGAATCATTTATATTTCTCTGGGGATATACCCAGCAATGGGCTTACTGGGTCGAATGGTAGTTCTGCTTTTAGCTCTTTGAGGAATCACCATAGTGCTTTCCACAATGGTTGAACTAATTTACACTCCCACCAACAGTGTATGTGTTCCCCTTTCTCTGCAACCTCACCAGCATCTGTGTTTTTTTTTAATTTTTAATAATAGCCATTCTGACTGGTGTGAGATGGTATCTCATTGTGATTTTGATTTGCATTTCTCTAATGATCAGTGACATGGAGCTTTTTTTCATATGCTTGCTGGCCACATGTATTTCTTCTTTTGAAAAGTGTCTGTTCATGTCCTTTGCCCACTTTTTAATGGGGTTGTTTGGTTTTCTCTTGTAGATTTGTTTAAGTTCCTTCTAGATGCTAGATATTAGACCTTTGTCAGCTGCATAGTTTGCAAATATTTTCTCCCATTCTGTAGGTTGTCTGTTTACTGTGTTGACAGCTTCTTTTGCTGTGCAGGAGCTCTTAAGTTTAATTAGATCTAACTTATTAATTTTTGCTTTTGTTGTGATCGCTTTTGGTGTCTTTGTCATGAAATCTTTGTCCATCCCTATGTCCAGGATGGTATTGCCTAGGTTGTCTTCCAGGGTTTTTATAGTTTTGGGTTTTACATTTGTCTTTAATCTATCTTGAGTTGATTTTTGTATGTGGTGTAAGGAAGGGGTCCAGCTTCAATCTTCTGCATATGGCTAGCCAGTTATCCCAGAACCATTTCTTTATAAAAATCAGAAACAACCTAGGAGCTCCCTGCAAAATAGCCAAGCAAAGTATGGTACACAAGAATGGTATAGCACCACGACACACTTCATTTTGCTATTCAAAATAACAAGCAGATGGCTATACCCACTTTAGGAAAATTCCCCAAGCTTTATTTATATGATTTGTAGTTTTCTACATATTATATATTTTATATTCCCAAAAAATTATTTTTTAAATGGCAAACATATAAACTAAGTTAATACAGCACACAGAATGTATGTGAAATGGTAGTAAGTAAAAACGTTTAACATAATATTAAACACTTGTTGGCCGGGCGCAGTGGCTCATGCCTGTAATCCCAGCACTTTGGGAGGCCGAGGTGGGTGGATCACGAGGTCAGGAGATCGAGACCATCCTGGCTAACACGATGAAACCCCGTCTCTACTAAAAAATACAAAAAATTAGCTGGGCGTGGTGGTGGGCGCCTGTAGTCCCAGCTACTGAGGAGGCTGAGGCAGGAGAATGGCGTGAACCCGGGAGGCGGAGCTTGCAGTGAGCCAAGATCGCGCCACTGCACTCCAGCCTGGGCGACAGAGTGAGAACGAGACTCCGTCTCAAAAAAAAAAAAAAAAAAAAAGCACTTGTTGGTTACAACTATAAACATAAGTGTATGTGTAAGCACTGACAAGGACTGGGAGGAAATTGCAGTGATAAGACATTTATATTCATTTCTTTTTTAAATACCAGCTTTATTGAGATCATAAATAAATCATAAAGTTCACCTTTCTGAAGTGCACAATTGAGTGGCTTTTAGTACATTCAAAAGTCAGTGCAACAATTGCACCATTTAATGTTAGAAGATTTTCATCATCCCAAAAAGAAACTCTGCACCCATTAAGCAGTCACTTCCCATTCCTGTCTCTACCTAGGCCGGGCAAACACTAATGTACTTTCTGTCTCAATGGACTTGCCTATTTTGGACATTCCATACAAATGGAATAATATATTGTTACATGGTCTTTTTTACAGGCTTCTTTCACTTAGCATAGTGAGTGTTTCAAGGTTCATCCATGCTGTAGTATGTATCAGTACTTCATTCCTTTTTATGACTGAATAATATTGCATTGTGAGGATATACCACATTTTGTTTATCCACTCATCTGTTGATAAACATTTGGGTTGTTTCCATCTTTTTTTTTTGTTTTTTTTTTTTTTGAGATGGAGTCTCACTCTGTCACCCAAGCTGAAGTGCAGTGGCATGATCTCGGCTCACTGCAACCTCCTCCTCCCAAGTTCAAGTGATTCTCATGCCTCAGCCCCCAGAGTAGCCGAGATTACAGGCCTGTGCCACCACACCTGGCTAATTTTTGTATTTTTAGTAGAAATGGGGTTTCACCATGTTGGTTTGAACTTCTGACCTCCAGTGATCTGCCTGCTTCAGCCTCCCAAAGTGCTGGGATTACAGGTGCGTGAGCCACTGCACCTGGCTGTTTCCACTTTTTAACTATCATAAATAGTGTTTTCTATCATTGCATATGAGTTTTTGTGCAAATATTTTTTTTTACTTCTTTGAGTTACATTCCTAGGAGTGGAATGGCTAGGTTGTATTGTAACTCTGCTTTTAACCATTTGAGGAACTGCCAAGGCTGTTTTCCAAAGCTGTTGCACCATTTTACATTCCCACAAGCGATGCAGGAGGGCTCCAATTTCTCCACATGCTCAATAACACTTTTTTTGTTGTTTTTTTTTTTTTTTTGAGACGGAGTTTCGCTCTTGTTGCCCAGACTGGAGTGCAGTGGCGCAATCTTGGCTCACTGCAACCTCCACCTCCTGGGTTCAAGCGATTCTCCTGCCTCAGCCTCCAAAGTAGCTAGGATTACAGGCATGTGCCACCACACCTAGCTAATTTTGTATTTTTAGTAGAGACGTGGTTTCACCATGTTGGTCAGGCTGGTCTCCAACTCCTAACCTTAGGTGATCCACCCATCTCGGCCTCACAAAGTGCTGAGATTACAGGTGTGAGCCACCATGCCCGACCTCAATAACACTTATTTTCTATTATTATGACCACCCTAGTAGTTATAAAGTGGTATCTCATTGTGGTTTTGACTTGCATTTTTCTAATGGCTAATAATGTTGAGCATCTTTTCAGGTGCCTGTTGGCCATTTTTAATCTTCTCTGGAGAAACACCTATCAGATTATTTGCCCATGTTTTAATTGGTTTTGTTATCTTTTTATTGTTGCATTGTTAGAATTTTCATATACTCTGGATATTGGGCCCTTATCAGATGTATGATTTATAAATATTTTCTCCCATTCTGTGGGTTGTCTTGTCACTTTCTTGACTGTGTCCTTTGCTGAACACAAGTTTTTAATTTTGATGACCACTTTGTCTACATTTATTTCTTTCAGTGCAGTTAAGTTCTAATTAAATAAATATTGGCTATGTAATTCTTTCAGAAGGGAATGACTACTGGTGGGGATAGGGAAGAGCAGACTAGTGAGTGTGTCTTGTATATTGCATTAGAGGTTGTTTAGTCCTGGACTATGCCTGAGCCACAGACGAGAGTTTCTGCTCACAAGATGGATTCTTTATGCTATCTATTCATTCAAAAAATATGCCTTGGTTCCCACTACTTATTAAGAAAATGAAAGAAGACAGTTCTTGCCCTCAAGGAGCTGACGAAATAGGAGGGGAAGTAAGATACCTAATCTCATCATTGTAACACTAGGTACAATGATGAAAACCATGTAAGGTGCTTAAGGAAGAGTTCAGATTATGGAGCGAACACATCTGGTTGGGGGTTTTCAGAAATGCTACTTTGGCTGAAGACATTTTAAGCTATGGGGAAAAAACAACCACCACTAAATCAAGAAGAAAACCATAGCCACTGAGTAAACAACAGTGAAAGGAATGCTGGAATGGGGGATAATTTTCCTAAATGCTCTATTTAAATTCAAACAATGCAGGGTTTCTTTTTTTTCTGAAATACACACCCTCCATTTTGATTTGTATGTCTGAATTGGTGCAGCTAGGTATATATCATATTCTTTGTTGATGAAAGATAGCCAATCCTTTAAAAAAACACATTTCTTCCTTATTATAACGTTAAATTTACCCTAGCACCATCTGAATTTGTGTGTAAAAGAGCTCTCCTTGAATGAGAACCAGTGAGCCTCTGGGGTTCATGTATTCACTCAACAAATAACTAATGAACTCCTACTATGTATCAGGTACTCCAAGAAGGGAAGGGTGAGAGAAATAATCATGAGTAAGAAAGGCATGCTTTCTGTCTTCAGAGAATTAACAGTCTAGGGAAAGAGACAGAGATATAAATGGACAATTGCAATACTGTGTAATATGGGAAGTACAGGGTGTATGTGCGTGAGCATCTAGCCTGAACTTGGGGTTGATTTTGGATACTGGAGAATGTGATGTCCAAGGTGGGACCTGAAAAATGAATAGGAGTGTTTTGCTTAAAGGCAGGAGCTGGCAGGAAAAATTCCAAGCAGAAAGAAGTGTACGGACAAAAGCAAGAGGACATAAGATCTTTGTGGAACTGAAAAAGATTAGGCAACCTAGGGTGGAGAAGGGGTGGCTTGTGGGGAGGGAGAAATGAAGCTGGGGCAGAACTAGACCAAGAAGGATCCTGTAAGCCAGGATGAAGGGGAGTAACATGGTCAGCTTTCTATTTTAGATTAGTTGGCAGCTGCAAGGAGAATGCATAGGAAGGGAGCGAGACAGGAGCCTGAGAAATTTGTTCGACTACTGAACTCTAAGCAAGACAAGAACACCTTAGGGAAGCAGCAAAGGAAAGAGAGAGAAATGGGTAGATTTGTGGATTAGTTAAAAGGTAGAATCGAAAAGACAGAGTGGTTGATTGGATATGTTGAGTGAGAGAGAGGGGAGTCCAGGTTGATGCCCACCAGAGGGCCTCCAGTGAGCACTGCTCAAAGGACTAGGAGGAGCACAAAGATGTTTATGATCTAGTCCCTGTCTTCAAGGAGCTGATAATCTAAGAGACAGAGCTGCTGTCACATACTGTATCTTCCTGTACATTAGAAAAGATGCTCCCTCCAAGGGTGGCTTGGCAGTGGATTTCAGCCCCTATTTGTCCCTCAGCCAGGCACATTTATACAGGGCACAACTAGAACTGAATTTGGTGACTCTGCTAGTAGAGGAAAAACTCAAAATGCAAAAATATAGGGTTAGAAAAGATTGATGCTGCATGTGCAGTACATAAAGAGCTCAGAAGGGATGGAAGGAACGTGGGGTGGATTTCCTACAGGGTGAAAATTGAACCTGGCCTTGAAGGCTGGGTAAGACCTTCATAGGTGGATATGAGGAGAAGTGTGGGGGAGAAAATGGAACACCCTAGGTAGAAGGGATAATGTGAGCCAAACGGCAGAGGTAAGAACAATGGAAAGCAGGTGGAGGGAATAACAGTGGTTCAGTTGGCAGCAACACGGACTACAGAAGTGGCTCTTTCCAGCTATTTGTCCATGGCAGAAGTCCTCTTAGAACATGAGAAAAGTTGGCTGGATCACATGTGTGCACATGTACACACACACACATATGCACACATACTGAAATATCCCTGGTAATTCTCCATTTTTTCCTTCCTCTCTTGTATTCTTCCCTTCCAAAGTACTTCCCCGTAAAGTAAATGTTGTATTCAGGAAATAACAAAAGGGACACCTTGGCTGTTAGCATTTAGTGATCCCTTAGGATAGAACACTGTAAGATAAAACTACAAACACTTTGGGCTGGCTGTGGTGGCTCACACCTGTAATCCCAGCACTTTAGGAGGCTGAGGCGGGTGGATCACCTGAGGTCAGGAGTTCAAGACCAGCCTGGCCAACATGGTGAAACCCCATCTCTACTAAAAATACAAAAATCAGCTGGGCATGGTGGTGGGCACCTGTAGTCCCAGCTACTCAGGAGGCTGATGCAGGAAAATCGCTTGAACCCGGGAGGCGGAGGTTGCAGTGAGTCAAGATCATGCCATCACACTGCAGCCTGGGCAACAGAGGGAGACTCTGTCTCAAAAACAAACAGATAAACAAACAAAAACCTACAAAGACTTCGGCCATGGTCTTGACTGCTAGGCTAGGAAGCTCTGAGGGTGGCTGGTAATGGGGAGACATTGGACTCTAGTATGGAGGGAAATGCCACTCTTAACTTGGTGCTTCAGGATAGTTAATCTGCCAGTGTTGTTTAGAATGGACTGAAGAACAGAGGGGCAAAAGATAGGGAGATCAAGGTTTTTTTTTGTTTGTTTGTTTTTAACAGAGTCTCACTCTGTCGCCCATGCTGGAGTGCAGTGGCGTGATCTCTGCTCACCGCAAGCTCCGCCTCCTAGGTTCAAGCCATTCTCCTGCCTCAGCCTCCCGAGTAGCTGGGACTACAGGCGCCCGCCACCACACGCAGCTAATTTTTGTATTTCTAGTAGAGACGGGGTTTCATCATGTTAGCCAGGATGGTCTCGATCTCCTGACCTCGTGATCCACCTGCCTCAGCCTCCGAAAGTGCTGGGATTACAGGCGTGAGCCACCGCACCTGGCCTGTTTTCTTAAATTATATAAAAACCTTTGCAGATCGCTTGAGCCCAGGAGTTTGAGAAAAGGCTGGGCAACATGATGAAACCCCGTCTCTACAAAAAACACAAAAATTAGCTGGGCATGCTGATGCATGCCTGTAGTCTCAGCTACTCAGGAGGCTGAGGTAGGATTGCTTGAGCCCGGAGGTCAAGGTTGCAGTGGGCCATGATCACGACACTGCACTCCAGCCTGGGTGACAAAGGGAGACCTTGTCTCAAAAACAAAATAAAAAAATTAAAAAGTGCCAGACTCTCAGTTAATTCTCTCTAGGATCAGAGGAAATACCTGGAAAGGGAAAGGGATTCTCTACAGAATGTAGATTTCCCTTGCCAAGAGGCAGCTTAGCACGGCTATTTCAAAATATGTCAAAGAAATATATTTGCTGTAAAATTCTTTGATTTCTTTCAGGGCCTGCTATCTGCCATGTGATACAGTATCTTCCTTTTTCAGTAATAAATCAATATCAGAATTAACCCTTCTGTGCCCATCTATCCACTTTCCATACGCACTTTTCAGGTAAATCAGTTTGGTATTTCGAGCACAGCTCAGTGGCTGAAAGAATTTGAAGAGTCATTTCGGAAGATAAGAGCAATGAGAGGGACTTGAAAGTGTATGTTACGGAAAACTCCAGACTTTAATTTCACTACCACACTTCCAAATTGGTTTTTACATCATTCATCACCTCAGCAGAAGGAAAATTTAGCAATCTCAAAAGAGATCCCAACCAACTGCTTCAATCTTAGAAACAATTTGCACAAAGATTAGACCACGCTTGTCCAACCCAGGCTGCATGCAGCTCAGGATGGCTTTGAATGTGGCCCAACAAAAAGTTGTAAACATTCTTAAAATATTATAAGTTTTTTTTGTGATTTTTTATTTTAGCTCATCAGCTATTGTTAGTGTTAGTGTATTTTATGTGTGGCCCAAGACAGTTCTGTCTTCCAATGTGACCCAGGGAAGCCAAAAGATTGGAAACTCCTGGATTAGGCAAAATAATACAAAGCAGACCATTAAATAGGCCTTATCTCTAAAAGGTGAATAATGAATATTATTTTTTAATAGGTAAGACAATACGATAATAGTCATCTAATTAACCATCGGTCTGGAGTTTTTCTCTTTTCAGAGCTCCTATAGCTACTAAAGATAATAAGGTCTGGAACTTAAAATTTCCAGCACAGCATTGATGTTATTTAGAGTAATAACACCTTTTTAGTTTTATATCCTGCTTTTCAGTCCACAAAGCACTTTCATATACGTTTATCACATAAATGCATAACACCTTTGTGAAGATGATGATCGTTGATGATTCCCATTTTAGGTTGAGGAACTGAGGCTCAAAAATGTTACCTGACATTTCAAAGTCCACACAGCTAGCAAGCCGAACTAGTACTCGAAACCTGGTTTTCTGATTTTAAATTATCTGTTCCTGCAAACCCCCAGATACCTGTGTGTATCTCTCCCCACACCCACCCACCCATTATGTCTATAAGCTCCTGAAGGGCAGGGGCTGCATCTCATGCTTTCCGGTATTTCCACAAATCACCAGGCATTCATTAAATTCATCCCACGAGTATTTCTTGAGCAACTACTGTGTCCCAGGCCATGTGCTGGGGGACTGGGGCTACAATGATGAACAAGTCACTGCCCTCAAGTAACTTATAACCAGAGGAAAGTGACAAGTAAACAACCTATTACTTAGTGTGGTGTCTTCTATGTGCTACAATAGTGTTTGCCATTTATTAAGCGTTTCGTGTATGTCAGATACTGAGCTAGGTGTTATCTCAGATAATACTCAAAACAATCCTATGAGTTGGTTCTATAACTGTTACTTTTTTTGTTTTAAACAGATGAAAAGACTGAGGCATAGAAAGGTGTTGTAACTTGCCTAGGGTCAAACGGCTAGCAAATAGAAGTGCCAAGATTTGAGGCTTGGTCTGTGTGACTCTTAGCTACCATGTCATGCTAGGTCTAATAGTCGACCTTATGTATTGGATGGGAAACAAACCCTGAACAAAAATGATCCCTCTCTATTGCTTATTTCAGGCTTGAGACAGTCCCTTTAGTAAATAGAATTGTGCCTGAAGAGCTTACCCCACATCACAAGAAGGCAATAGCATTACTGAGGTTGTATTTGCGCAGCTATATCATTCCAGCAACTTAAGAAAAACAAACACATTTAATCTCTTTTCCACATTTAATCCATCAGCAGCAACCCATTATCAAAATAAAGACTTGGATTTATATTAATGTTATCATCTAAATTAAAAAGAAATACACTCAGAACCCGAGTTTGGGTCCCAGGAGACAGGCACTTCAAAAATGAAATGACTGTCACTCATTAGTTATTTTATTTCAAATACTTGGCCCCATAAACATTAGCAAATATTTGACAGAAATGTGATTTCTGTTGTATATCACAATGAAGTCAAGACCACTGAAACGTGTGCAAAGAAAACAATTCTCAACTTACTTTAATTACCCAGGGACTGAATGATTCTGATTTGGCTAAAACAGGATGGACCACATACGATTTTCCATATTCAATCCATTTTTAAAGGAATCTCAAACTTTCCCGTGAAAATGACTATCTGGAACAAGTAAAAGTCACATTAAAACCAGGGAAAAAAAGGCTTGATGTCTCTTTTTAAATTTTTCACTTATTCCACAGTAAAAGATAAAATAATGTTAAAGAACATTTTTTTAAAAAAAGAAAAACTCTTACCCCTGATTTCACAACCTGAACACAACTCCTTTTTTTGTATTTCCATTTTAGGCCTACCCATATGTAACCATGTTCTCCATAACCGCATTCATAGTGAATACACAATGTGGTATTTTGTTTTTATCACTTGACATCATACCATAAGTGTTTTTGTTGTTGCTACAGTCTTCTCCATTATTATTTTAAAATTTTTCATTGGTCACATCAATATTCCATAGATGAGAGGGACCATAATTTATTGAACCATTCCCCTGTTGTTAAACGTATAAGTTGTTTCCAATTGTTCAGAATTATAAATAATAGAGAAATGAACAGTTCATTCAGGCAGGGTTCTTTTCCCCATACTTTTGGATATTTCCTTGCAATAAATTCCCAGAAGTGGAGTTACTGGGTAAAAGTATGTGAAAATTGTTTAAGGCCGTAGAATCAAATGGATTGTTGTGGGGCTTATCTCTTACTTATCCTTCAAGATCTAGTGCAGTTTCCCTCCCCCGACTCCTACATACATCATATATTCTAGGCATAATCACTTATTCCTGTATTTGAGCATTAACCATACCTTGGATATACCTCATTTGTGGCAAACAGTCCACTTACTTATGATCACAAGATGCGCTTCCTTGTCTGTAAAATGAGGATAATCATATCTAACTCACAGAGCTACTGGAAGGATTAAATGAGATAATGTCTGTACAATCCCTAGCCCAGTGCTCAGCATGCAGTCAGTGCTTTAAAAATGGAAACCATTATTATCATCACATTGTATTGCAATTAAGTGTTTACCTGGCTACTTGACTGTGGGCTTTTGAGAGGAGGGATCATGTTTTGGTCATCTTTGTGTCCCTAGGATATATACAGCACAGTGCCCAGTGCACAATAAGCATTCCACTAAAACAATGAATGGATGGATAAATGAATGAATTAATGAATAAAATGAATTTTCATTGAAAAATTACACTGCCACCAGCGCTGTTTGAAAATGTCAGTTTTGTGCAACCTTACCAGCATGAGTATTTATGCTTGATTTCTACAAAGCAAATTTATTTTTTAGCATACCCAAGGCTATCTCTCCCCACTAATGTGAAAAATAAATAATACTTGGGGAAAATTTTCAAATTTTTATTATGCTGAAAAGATTGAGAATACAGTCTATAGCTGCAGTAGCCACTAACCACAATGGCTATTTGAACTTAAATTTTATTTTTGATAAAAATAAAATAAAATTTAACGTTTATTTCCTCAGTCTCACTAGCACATGTGAAGTGCTAGTCACATATGCCTAATTATGGCTACCATACTGGACAGCGCAAAATGTTGTATTAGATAATGCTGGTCTATAATCCAAAAATAATTTTCTGCTTGGTTTTGGAAAGCATTTCCTAATAAATTTGCAGTAAAGTTTATTTGAAAAGTTGCATTTGATTTAGACTGATTTTAAAAACAATTAATATCCCCTGAGCATCTACCAGCTGTGGAGTGGGAGAATATAATCATGGAGCTTGAGAAGTAGTCTGAAGAAGGCTAAATGATATTAAAAATTTGCCATACAGTTCCTCAAAAACTTAAACATAGATTACTGTATGATTCAGTAACTCTGCTCCTAGATATATACTCCTCACAACAGCAAAAAAAGCTACGTTTTTTTGAGACAAGGTCTCACTCTGTCACCTGGGTTGGAGTGCAGTGGTGCAATCACGGCTCACTGCAACCTCGACCTCCCAGGCTCAAGTGATCCTTCCACCTCAGCCTCCCAAGTAGCTGGGATTACAGGCACATGCCACCACACCTGGCTAGAAAACAGGTACTTTAACAAATACATGTATCACATAGTCATAAGCAGCACTATTCAGTTATATTCAGTTATAAAAAGGAATGAAGCAGGCCAAGTGCAGTGATTCACACCTGCAATATCAACACGTTGGCTCAGGCAACATGATGAAACCCCGTATCCACAAAAAAAAATGGAAATTAGCCAAGTGCGGTGGCATGAGCCTGTAGTCCCAGCTACTCGGGAGGCTGAGGTAGGAGGATTGCTTGGACCCGGGAGGCACAGGCTGAAAGTAACAGGAATTTTCCACCAGGAGCCAGCTTTTAGCTATAACCAAGGAGACCAGAGGATGGGACTGAAGCTGGTGGGAATGGAGAGATCTTTGCTTGCTCTGGGTTTCTGTACCACTTGGGGAGATTGAGAACTTTCAATCTGGGCCAGGCACGTGGCTCATGCCTGTAATCCCAGCAGTTTGGGAGACCAAGGCAGGCAGATCACTTGACTTCGGGAGTTCGAGACCAGCCTGGCCAACATGATGAAACGCCATCTCTACTAAAAATACAAAAAAAAAAAAAAAATTAGCCAGCCGTGGTGTCACGTGCCTGTAGTCCCAGCTACTTGGGAGGCTGAGGCAGGAAAATCGCTTGAACCCAGGAGGTGGAAGTTGCAGTGAGCCAAGATCATGCCACTGCACTCCAGACTGAGTGACAGAGCAAGACTCCATCTCAAAAACAAAAAACAAAAAAAAAAAACAAAAAAAGAACTTTCAATTAGAAAGCACTATTGAGATGCCCTTGGTCCTGGATTTGGTCTCTGTGCAACCCAGTTACCTTAGTTCTCTTAATTTGGTTCCCCAAAGTTCTTATCCTGGCAGTTCATGACCTGGCATGCAAGTGTCCTAGAGGCTAGTTCTGGCTGTGTTTATGGTGTACTGAGTGACTTTGACAAGTCTTTTCCTCTATATTGGCCTCAGTTTCCTCATCTGCAAAAACACTGGTCTAAAAGGCCTAGTTTTCAAGATAAGCTGGTTTTCAGGATAAGTCAGTTTTCAGGATAAGAGCACCATTTTCTTCATGAATTCGAGAAAGCTAAACCATTTTATCTTTTTCTCCAAGTAACTATCTAAAGAAACTGAAAAGGCGGAATGGCACATATGGCCAATCAAGACTCCTCCTCAGAAGAAGGCTTTTTATATGATTAAGCTACTTCTTTAATACTCCTACAGTGTCCTCCCCAAAGGATATGGATAAAGCCCTACAAAGTAATTCTGTCTGTCCCTTGAGACCTAAATATGCTACTTCATCAATAAGTGGGGGACTCAATTGTTCTCCCATCAGTGGCTCAGCCTGCACTGAGCAGTCCAGACTTCACTGGCCAGCCTCACATGTGACCAACATTATACTCACAGATGAAAGACACACCTCAACCTACCAATTGATGGTCAACAAGGAGAATCCTTCAGCTGAAAACTAGAACCACTGATTGGAGGGAGAAAAAATAGGGCTGGGGAAACAAGTCCTTCTACCCTGGTTAGAAAGAGAAGAGATAACTGGGTGCTCACACTCTTCTGGTGGGAAATAAGATGGTGGCTGTCATATTGAGACTGACAGGGAACTAGCAGGACCAGAAAGCAGCTAAGATTATGGTAAAACTAGACCTGCCTCTGGGACTACAAGTAAATTATAGCAGGATCAGGAAAATATCTGCTATGGAAGCCTGTTTTGAGTGTTGCATGTATTCTCTGTAAAGCATTTCCTTGGTGTTTTCTCCTTAATTTAAATTTAAAAATATATTTTTTAAGAAAATCAGGCCAGGCCGGTTGAGGTGGCTCACAGCTGTAATCCCGGCACTTTGGGAAGCTGAGGTGGGCAGATCACTTGAGGTCAGGAGTTCGAGACAAGCCTGGCCAACATGGCAAAGCCCCATCTCTACTAAAAAATACAAAAATTAGCTGGGCATGGTGGCAAACACCTGTAATCCCAGCTACTCAGAAGGCTGAGGCAGGAGAATTGCTTGAACACAGGAGGCGGAGGTTGCAGTGAGCTGAGATCCTGCCACTGCACTCCAGACTGGGAGACAGAGCGAGATTCCGTCTCAAAAAAAAAAAAAAAAAAGAAAAGAAAAGAAAAGAAAAGAAAAAGAAAATCAAGCCGGGCACAGTGACTCACACCTGTAATCCAAGCACTTTGGGAGGCTGAGGCAGGCAGGTCACTTAAGGTCAGGAGTTTGAGATAAGCCTGGTCAACATGGTAAAACCCCATCTCTATTCAAAAATACATGCACACACACAAATTAGCCAGGAGTGGTAGTGCGCATCTGTAATCCAAGCACTTCAGGAGGCTGAGGTGGGTAGATTACTTGAGGTCAGGAGTTCAAGACCAGCCTGGCCAACATTGTGAAAACCCTGTCTCTACTAAAAACACAAACAATAGCTTGGTGTGGTGGTGCATACCTGTAATCCCAGCTACTCAGGAGGCTGAGGTACAAGAATCACTTGAACCTGGGAGGCTAAGTTGCAGTGAGCCGAGATCGCGCCACTGCACTCCAGCCTGGGTGACAAGAGTGAGGCGGGAGAGATGGGAGAGGGAAGACAGGGAGAGGGGAAGAGGGGGAGGCGGGGAGAGGGGGAGAGGGGAAGAGGGGGGGGAGGGGGGGAAGGAGAGAGGGGCAGAGGGACAGCCAGTTTCAGCTGTCTCTGAAGGAATCCCCCTAAAATGTGCTCTGTTGGCCAGGTGTGGTGGCTCACACTTTGAGAGGCCCAGCACTTTGAGAGGCCGAGGCAGAAGGATCGCTTGAGCCTGGGCAACATAAATCTGTACAAAATAAAAAAAAAAAAGCTGGGAGTGATGGTGTGTCCCTGCAGTCCCAGCTACTCTGGAGGCTAGGCGGGAGGATTGCTGGAGCCCAGGAGGTCGAGGCTGCAGTGAGCTATGATTGTGCCACTGCACCCCTGCCTGAATGACAGAGCAAAACCCCATCTCAATAAAAAAGGTGGGGCTCTGTCCACACTAGGGCCAGACCATTAAAGAGGAAACACGCGGGGAATCCTAATGATCACAGTAGTAATGACTGAAGTGAGAGACGCTCAAGGGAAAGAACCCAAAGGGCCTGAGTCACCCCACTGGAGCAGCCCTCCTTTGCTTTCTGGCAGATCTGCTTTCCATTTGTTCTGCTTGCCTGCAACCCTGGAGAGCTCTGTGCTTTGTTTTAATAAAATCTCCCCACTCTCTTCCAGTGCCTTCCTGCCTTCTCTAACTACAAAGTTCTTTAAGAAGCCAAGGGAGGCGTTACCTTCTTGTATGCAGTCAGACTTCCACAGGTAAGCCAATCTCTCTCTCTCTCTCTCTCTCTGTGCAATCTCCATTTATGAACATGGGTATATTTCTTTTAAAGAAATATTCTTTGCCTTCAAATATTTTTTTCCTACTAATCAAATCATTTCAGCCTTGTCCCCAATTGAAGTTCTCTCTTCCTGCCCACCAACCCCCCTGAACATGTTCCCAGGCCTTGCCACCATGTAAACCCGTAATCTTTTATACCACTATCCATATTGGTTTATAAAACAGAGGTATGCAACACATTGGAAAGAAAAAATGGCACCTGTCAAATACCAAACCCTATGAAATGCCTGTGCAATTTCACTTTTCACCTAGTAAATATCCAATTATTTTCCAGAATAGCTCTTTCCAGAATTCAAATCTGTTTCCATTAATATTAAAAGTTTAGAGGTCTGGGAGAACAGGAAGTGGCTGATTAAAAGCAGGTGGGGTTCATTATCTGGTTAATCACAATCCAGTATTTCCCACCTCCATTTGCCTCTCCCCCTCCCCCAAAACCATGTTCTGCCTCAGCAAAGGTCACACTCAAATTCTGCAAATAAAAACTTATCCTATAACATTTCAAGAGTGGAGCTGGGTTTTGGAGGGCTTGAGACCAGAATCATTATAAAAGAAATTTATTTCATACCATTTTCGCCAGGAAAGCAAATATCTTCCAAAGCATTGACTATCATTCTATCGCACAGAAAGGATGCCGATTGTGCTTCTTAGAGTCAGGCTCTGCTTGAATGTTAGTAATAGAATATTTAGAGTTGGAAGTGTCTCCTGGAGATTCCCTGCCCATTTATTAGATGGGGAAACTGAGACTGAGAGAAGAGAAGGGATTTGCTGAAATTGTACCTCCAGTTAGTGGCGGAGCTCAGACAAGGACACGTCAGTCCTAGGCATTGCTGGTGTGTGGGAAAAACGCCAAAAGGGCCTGACTGGAATGAACTGCAGTCATTTCTCTGTCTACTACATCTCCATGGGCCACATGTTCATGGCTCAGCTTTTACTTGCTCCCCTGAGAATTGACTCAAAGGCAAAGCCAAAATGGATATTTTAATGCAAAGCACATTAGGAGGCCAGAAGGCAAAAGGAGGTACTGTCTGGGGCTGCTGGCTGCACTTGGCTGGGAAGGCTTTGCTCCAGACCTTAGGAGACTGTTCATTCGGATGTTCTAGGTGCCAGCGCCAAGGGGAAGGCAGGGCAAAGGCTGAACACTGGCTATGGCAGTGCCCACCCCTTCATGGAGTCCACATCTGACAAGCAGTGCAGGTGGAGCTATGTGACATGTCCCTTGGAGGTGAGGAGCAGCCCTCTCAGTGATCCAACGTTCCTCAGAAATTTTTAGGAGCTGAAAGCCTTCCAAAGTGGGGCAACTATGTTAAGGCTTGATGGGGGGAAAAAAAGGCACGTGTTTTGCAGCATGGTTTGGAAAAGTATTCAGACAGGACACAAGGGAACCGATCCCCCAAAAAACAGGGACCAGCCAGTGCCATCACTATACACAGGTGACCTTGGTAGTGTCTTCTCTACTCCCAAGACTACTCGAAACCATGTCTTAGATGTCTTGTATGTTGCTGGTGGGAGTTTCACAGCTTCTGTGGAAACCTGCCTGGTGGTTCCTCAAAAGGCTTAATATAGTGTTACCATATGACCCAGTAATTCCACTCCCAGATACACACATACTCAAGAGAATTGAAAGCAGAGACTTGAACAGATATTTGCATACTAATGTTCACTGCACTGTTACTCGCAATAGCCGAAAGGCAGAAACAACCCAACTGGCCATCAAGAGATGACTGGATAAACAAAAAGTCTATCTATCCATACAATGGAATGTTACCCATAAAAAGGAATGAAGTACTGATCCATGCTACAAGATGGATGAACCTTGGAAACATTTTGCTAAGTAAAAGAAGTCAGTCATGACCACGTGTGGTGGCTCACACCTGTAATTTCAACACTTTTGGACGCTGAGGTAGGTGGATTGCTTGAGCCCAGGGGCTCGACACCAGCCTGGGCAACATGGTGAAACCCCAACTCTACAAAAAATACCAAAAAAAAAAAAATTAGCTAGGTGTGGAGTAGCTGTAGTCCCAGCTACTCGGGAGGCTAAGGTGGGAGGATTGATTGAGCCTGGAACGTTGAGGCTGCAGTGAGCCATGATCTTTCCACTGCACTGCAGGCCTGGGCAATAGAGACCTTATCTCAAAATAATAATCATAATAGCCATCCTAATGGGTGTGAAGTGGTATCTCATTGTAATTAACTACCTGCCCTCTCTTAATGGGTCTTACGGTCTTGCTTTCACAGTGATTATCCTAGTGTCTATTTTTTCTTGGAACTCTGGACAGGTCTGCATATGGTTGGAAAGATGACCCTTTGTGAAACTGTGCTTGAAGAAAGCAACAGCTCCCTCTGCTGTCCCCAGCCACACTTTTGGTACAACTTTCTCATATTAATGAGTCAAGATCTCCCTACCTAGGTTCTAACCCAGTTTCTTCTCACCATACCATGACACTGCTATAGGCTCCACTGCTGTTCTATCTCACCAATTTGAAAAAGGAAAACCTACTCATCTTGCTTCCAGTCAGCAAATGATTCCTGCATAGATAGATGTGCATTGATTGCCGGCTAGGAGCCTTCAGCCATCCTGTCTTAGTTCGTTTTCTGCTCCTATAACAGACTGGGTAATTTATAAAGAAAAATAGATTTATTTGGCTTATGGTTCTGGAGCCTGAGAAGTCCAAAGCCATGGTGCCAGCATATGCTTGGCACCTAGTGAAGACCTTCCTGCTGTGTCCTAACATGGCAGAATGGCAAGCAAGCATTCAAGACAGAGGAACAGGGTTGAAATTATCCTTCTATCAAGAGTCTATTCCTATTATAACAGCATTAATCCATTGATGAGGGCACAGCCCTTATGGCCTAATCACCTCTTAAAGGCCCTACCTCTTTTTTTTTAAGATTGATGGTGTTTATTGTTCTGAAAATAGAATTCTGCCGTTTGCTTGGGGCTCTGGACACTGCAAAACTGAACAAATGGAAAACTCAAGAGTCTTGCTATGCATCAGTGGGGGTGCCATCCAAATCCAAGGCAAATAAACGGCATTCGGTACTCACTGTGCACAAAAGGAGAGCATTTTATTTTCATGGATGTGGATGAAGTACAATTTCTTCAGTAAACTCAGGAAAAACTGTTAAGGGGCAACAATGAACTCTGCATTTAAAGAAAAATAGAAAATGAAAACACAAAATCCTAAAAAGTAAATAAAGATTCTGTGTCAGCACACTGGTATCAAAACACACATCAACAGCACGTCTTAATCATACGGGAAACAATCCTTGCTTATCAGAGGTGCATATCTAAATTCTATAGCTTACCAATATCTTCTTGGGAGTAGGCAAAAAAGAAACAGAAAACCTCACATTAAAAAAAAAAAAAAAGTTTCTTTTCCCTAAATGTTTTCCTGAAGCTGAATCTTAAGGCGAGAGGACGTCAGTCATCCTCGTCATTCTCACTGAGGTCGTCATCGTTGTTGTCCTCCTCCTCTTCCTCCTCGACTGCTGGGGTCTCCACCCTGGAGCCACTGTACTGAGATCCACCGGAGCTTGTGGCCAGCATCCCAATCGCAATGTTGGTCAGGTCACTGGCAGAAAGCCACGTGCCATTAGACCTGGAACCTGCCGTCGTGAACACACCTCCAAAAGTTCCCTGAGCCATTTCTGTCACGTACGGCTCCAGAGCCTTTGGGACCAAATTTCTGGCCATTTTAAGGTCTTCGGCAGAGCAGCTCCCGGACTCTAGCCCAAAAGTCATGCCCATCCACATCAGCACTTCTGTGTCATCGTGGATTTCAAAGGAGCTGTTAAACTTAAACAGATATTCTGATTTGTCGTCGGAGATGCTGCAGTTGATGACGGTCTTCTTGCTACTGCTGATGATGATGAAGGGCACGTGGATGACTGAGTTGGGCAGCGGCCGCTGGCTGACCTGCTCCTCCACATACTGGTTTCTCAGCACCAGGTTCTTGAAAGCAATTTGCTGTAGAATAAGTTGTTGAAGTTCAGACTGTTTCTGCTTTATTCTTTCAAGTCTCTTCTGTCTTTCCACCCGTAAGTTCTGACAGTTCTGAGCCGAGTTGGTGGTCAGACCAATCCACTTGATCTTCTTTTTCTCCCTGGAGATGATATTCATGGCCATCAGCACGTTTAAGGCATCGTAGGTGCGCCGTTTTATGTTTTTCACGTCATAAGCTGACTCGTTTGGTGAGGCGTGGTTGCTGGCAGCTCTGAACTTGGCGACCAGCTCGCCCACCACTTCCTGGCAGGAAGTGGTCCCTTTCCTCTGCACCGTCTCCCAGACCTTCATGGAAAGACGGCACAGGCCCATGCCATTCTTCTCTCCTTTCCTGTTGTGCTGCCCGGCCCAAGGAGGTGAGGAGTAGGAATGCTGGTTCTGAGAGGCAAAGTGAGTGCTGGGTGGGTTTGGGCTTCCTACCACAGGGATGTTTGATGCTGCTGGTCTCTGAGGCATACCAATTACCACTTGCTGGTCAATGTTGACACTGGACTGTCCAAAGGTTTTCGGCAAGAGCTGCTTCCCGAGCGGGTTCACGGTGGAGGTGTGAACGGCCACGGGGCGGCTGGTCTGGTTCTCGTCCATTAAGACCTTGAGTTCTTCGTTAGCTTCAGTGAGACTGACATATTTTGCCATGTTAACAGATTTGGGAAATAAATGCTATAAATGTTCACCTTTCCAGAGAAGAAAAACAATTCTTCCAGGCCGAGTGTAGGGCTGCCGTGAGGTGCGTGGCGTAACGTGCGTGGCGTAACGTGCGTGGCGTAACGTGCGTGGCGTAACGTGCGTGGCGTAACGTGCGTGGCGTAACGTGCGTGGCGTAACGTGCGTGGCATAATGTGTGTGGCGTGTGGTACGTGGTGTGTGGTACGTGGCGTGTGGTACGTGGTGTGCAGTACGTGGCGTGTGGTACCTGGCGTAACATGCGCCACGTGAGGTGCGCAGCAGCAGGGGGGCGGTCCGTGCAGTGCGCCTGCGTGCCTTTTCACGCCTTCAGCCTTTCCTCCTCTGGCCCTACCTCTTAATACTGTTACAATGGTAATTAAGTTTCCAACACATGAACTTTTGGAGGACACATTTAAACCATAGCACATCCTAAAGGGACTGATGAAAATCAGACGTGTAGGCCTCTGCAGGCCCGTCTATCATTTCTTCTCAGCCATTGTCTCACAAGAAGCTGGATCTGGGCTCTTGCAAGGATTATTTCTTCACCTGCTGGTCAAGAAGCTTATTGTGGAAGAATCCAGTTTTTGTCTCTCTACCCAAACAGCTACACTAAGCCTTCCTGAGTAGATAGAGATGGGAAAAAGGAGTTAACAATATACAGTATCATTTATTTGTTGGGCTGTGGTACAATCAATAGACTAAGTCCACAGCCTACACCTCACTTTGGAAGCTACACACATTGCCAATGAGAAAGAAATCTAAAGAGAGAACAAGACAAAGCCCAGCAGAAGCAGAGGCCTGTGGCAGTCTCTTTCTCCCACCGTTGGTCTCAACTCTGCCTTACTCACCAAAAGTCCTAATAACCATGCCACACAGGCTCTGTGTCTTCAGGCCTGCTTCTCTAGTCCACACCAACTTCCTCTAGCACCTCGACTCTGGAAATAATGCATGTGATTGCACACAAGCATACACCTCAGCCTCAGATACACAGAGGTGCTGTCTCACTCACCTCGGGCTGCCGTAACAAAACACCATAGACTGGGTGGCTGAAACAATAGACATTTATTTTCTCACAGTTCTGGAGGCTAGAAGTCCAAGATCAAGTTTCCAGCAGGGTTGGTTTCTGGTGAGGGCTCACTTCCTGGCTTTCAGATGTCTGCCTTCTCACTGTGTCCTCACATGGCAGCAGGGCTTGGAGAGATCTCTTTTGACAAGGACACATCCTATCCTATTTGGGACCCACCCTTATGACCTCATTTAACCTTAATTACCTCCTAAAGACCCTATCTCCAGATACAGTCAAATTGGGGGTTAGGGCATCAACATATGAGTTTTAGTGGGTAGGGGGACAAAATTCAGTCTATAGCATTTGCTAAACAGAACCAGAGCTGGACAGTAGTGAAAGAGTAGTGAAATTGGGGGTTAGGAGTTCAACATATGAATTTTATTGGGTAGGGGGACAAAATTCAGTCTATAGCATTTGCCTAACAGAACCAGAGCTGGACAGTAATAAAAGAGGTAAAACAGATATTATTCAGGAACTATGGCAATGGGGCAAAAAGACCTCAGGATAGAACTGGGCTCAATTCTTTTTTAAGGCAGAGTCTCACTCTGTCACCCAGGTTAGAGTGCAGTGGCACGATCTAGGCTCACTGCAACCTCCGCAATCTCCGCCTCCTGGGTTCAAGTGATTCTCCTGCCTCAGCCTCCTGAATAGCTGGGATTACAGGCTCCCGCCACCACGCCCGGCTGTGAGCCACTGCACCTGGTCTGGGCTCAATTCTAAATGCAGTAAATGCAAGAGGATTTATAGCCAAGGAGCAGAGCAAAGTGGTCAGTGGATGAAAAATTACTAAGAAGATACATCAAGGGTAGATGAATTCTTGTTAAACCAACTTAACAAGATTCTTGCTAAAGGTAGGCTGGGGTGATCAGATATCAAGGGTGGGGAAGAAGAGTGTGATCAGATATTGAAGGTGATTGGATATCAAGAGCAGGGGATTCTCACTAAAGTGACTTAAGCTAAACTCCTGCTAAAACTAGACTTAGCAAGGATGAGGTCAAAAAGAGGGCTTAGAAGAGCCTGTCTAAAGTTTAATTAAGGAGAGAGTTTTAACCCCTCTGGTTCGCCCCAAATTTATGTTTTCTCACATGCAAAATGCATTCATTCCATTCCAACAGTCCCCAAAGTCGTCACTCTTTCCAGCATCAACTCTTAAAGTCTGAAGTCCAAAGTCTCATCTAAATATCATGTAAATTATATATTGGTGAGACTAAGGTAAGATTCATCCAGAGACAAAATTCCTCTCTAGCTGTGAACCTATGAAACCAGACTAGTTATGTGCTTCTAAAATACAATGGTGCCAGAGGCATAGGATAGACATTCCCATTCCAAAAGAAAGAAATCAGAAGGAAGAAAGGGTAGTGAGTCCCAAGCAAGTCCAAAACCTAGCAAGGCGAATTCCATGAGATCTTAAGGCTCAATAATAATCCTCTTTGGTTAAACACTCTACCCACCACTTGGGTGGCAGTGTCACTTTCATGGCTCTGCTAGGGCCCTGCCCCTTCAGTTATCAGAGAGGGTCCAGCCCAAAGGATTGTCTATAAAGGCTGCCTTGCCCCTGAGGCACAGGGCGGGGTCACCCTGGCCCACTGAAACTGGAGAGGTGGTATCACCCTTTGAAACTGAGGTAGAAACAGCCTTGCCCCCTGGGCCTGTGGTAGAAGTGTCAGCCCTGATTATCTATAAATGCCTTCATGGTTATTCTTATTTTTCCTTGAATAACAGTGCAATTAGCAGCCAAATAGGTAAATGGTCTGCTCCTGAGAATCCAAGAACTTCAAAAGTCTTCCTTCATTCTGTGTAGCTTTCTCTGTCTCCTTTAGTTCAAACTAGTGTTTTTGCTCATATAATCCCACTTCTATTCCTGGCTTCCGCTGAGATGGCTGATTATACTCATGAGTCCCACCCACAATCTCTTCATCAAATGGTTGTCCAGCTGTAGGGTTAGTGTTCTCTTCAGGACAAGTTTCATTTTTTGCAATATGGATAGGCTGAGAATATTCCAAGTTGTTAAGTTCTGGTTCCTTTTTGCTTAACAATTCCTTCTTTAATTCATCTCTCTCTTCTTGCATTTTACTATAATTAGTCAGGAGAAACCAAGCCAATCCCTCAACACTTTGCTTAGAAATCTCCTTAGTTAAATATCCAATTTCTTCACTTTCATGTTCTAACTTCTGCAAAACACTAGGACACAGTTCAGCCAAGTTCTTTGCCACCATATAACAGAAATCACCTTTCCTCCAGTTTTCAGTATCTTGTTCTTTATTTCTCTGTGAGACCTTACCAAGATTGCCCTAAATGTCCATATTTCTAGGATGTGCTGCAAGACTCTAGCCTTTACTCATTACCCAGTTCTAAAGCCACTTCCACATTTTTAGGTATTTTTTACAGCAGCACCCCACTTCTCAATACCAAAATCTGTCTTATTGTATTTAGATTACCATATCAAAATACTGTAGACTGGTGGCTTAAACAGCATACATTTATTTTCTCACAGTTCTGGAGGCAGGAAAGTCTAAGACCAAGGTTCTAGCAGGATTTGGTCTCTGGTGAGCACCCTCTTTCTATCTTGCAGATGGCTACCTTTTCACTGTGTTTCTCACATGAAAAAGCGAAAGGAGAGAGAGAGAGAGAAAGATTGATTTCACTTATTATAAACACATAGTCCTATAAGATTAAGATTCCACTCTTATGATTTCATTTAATTTTAATTACCTCCTAAAGACTCTATCTCCAAATATAGTCAAATTGGGTGTTTGGGTTTCAGCATAAGAATTTTCAGAGGATGCAATTTAGTTCATAGCAGGTGCTCTGCTGGTTTTTTTCTCACTGCCCTGTGGTAGCTGCAGACAGGTAGGCTTTGCTGAACTCATTAAGCATTGGTAGAACTTCTCAGAGGCTTTGCTCAGAACATAAGGCCCCAACAGAGCAAAAAATGGCTCCTGACATCTAAGTGTTGACATGCTTACCAGGCCTCATCCAGGCTTCCCACTCTAACATTTAAGAGGCCCAGAACAAGAATACAAACAGAGCATATGCCTGATAATTAAAAATTATAAGTCAAAGCAAAAAAAATTGTTAAATATGTTCTATCTTCTATTTTGACAACTATACCTTTATAAAAGCAAAATCGATATGTGTAAAGTGATGGTTTTAATATTATTGAAAGCAAAATATCAAAGATGACTGAGTTTAATTATGACTCTGCATGTCTGAGTGTTCTTATGGGCTAGCAATATATGGATGAGTAATAATGTAAAGACATACATATTTCAGGAATTATTTTGTATTCCACAAAATTAATTTTTGTCACCTTCAGCAAAAATCAGTTATTCATTGCTGTAATAGTAAATTTTCACATAATGTATAATTTTCAGTCATGATCCAAAGCAGAGGTCAGCAGACTTTTTCTGTTAAGAGATCGATAGTAAAAATTTGAAGCTTTGCAGACACCGTACAGTCTCTATTTCAACTACTCACTCTGCCATTGTACAGAAGCTATAATACTCACCACGTAAACAAATGAGTGTGGCTGTGCTTCAATAAAACTTTATTTATAAAAATAGGCAGTCCACTTGTGGGCCATACCCCTGAGCTAAATCAGTAAAAAATAAAATGTAGGATGACATCAGCAAAATGGCAGAGTAGGAAATCCAACCCTCCTTGCCCCACAAAAACAATGATCTAACAACTACCCACGAATGAAAATAACACCCAGGAGTTTGCCCAGGGCTCAGCAAAGTAAAGGTTCATCTAGTCCTACAGAGCAAAGCAACCTCTCAGTACCTAGAAGAAGAAAGGAGGACAGATTTAGGAGGAGACTTTTCCTAACCTCTCATGGCAAAGGAGTCACACACATTTTAGCCCAATAAAAGGGAAGGTAGCTTGTCCTAGTGGGTCAGAAGGTGGCCTGCCAACCAGATGAATGCCAAATCCTTGCTGTGTGGCTTGGGGAAAGTTGCTACACCTTTCTGTGCCTCAGTATCTTCATTTAGAAAATGTTAAGCCTTCCAGGTGCTCAATAAAGATCCACCCCTTCATTTGCATAAAACAGTTTGAGCATTATTTGGTTATCAATTTAGCTTTCGTTTTAACATCTGCCGTTATCAACTTCTCTTTAGAGAAATTTCAAGACCTTCCAAGATTCCACATGGCTCAAATAGAATGCAAGTTGTCAAAACAAAACCCTCCTGGCCCTTCAGGGTACATGAGGGAGGGCTGAATAAGGGTCTGTTGGGTGCTTCAACTTCTGGGCCACTTGGACCAGGATCCTGTATGCGGTATTGTTTGGATGAGATTCCTGAGCTCCACTTGGCAATATTAGAAAATATGCCCATGGTCCCAGGAGTCTCTGGGATTGGTGGTGGTCAAGGCAGGGAGGGGATAAGAATTTGATGCTACAGCCTGGGTGTGGTGACTCATGCCTGTAATCTCAACACTTTGGGAGGCGAAGGCGGGCAGATCATTTGAGGTTAGGAGTTTGAGACCAGCCTGGCCAACGTGGTGAAACCCCATCTCTACTACAGATACAAAAAGTAGCTGGGCGTGGTGGTGGGCATCTGCAGTCCTAGCTATTCGGTAGGCTGAGGCAGGAGAATCACTTGAACCTGGGAGGCGGAGGTTGCAATGAGCCAAAATTGCACCACTGCACTCCAGCCTGGATGACAGAGTGACTCTGTCTCAAGAAAACAATTTGATGCTACAAAAAATAATTTTTCTCTGGAGAAGGAGAGACATGTTGAGAGCTGTCTTCAAATATCTAAAGAGCCATCCTGTAAAAGAAAACACAAACTTGATCTTTGCTACTCCAGAGGAAAAAATTAGAAACAGCAGGCAGAAGTTACACAAACGCTGGTTCCAGCTCAATTTAAGAAAGTCATTGCTAATGACTTAAGTGATTCAACAAGGAAAAGGGCTATTCAGGCAGTAGTAAACTCCCTGGGCAGGTAGTATTCAAGCAGATGCCATGTGTCTATCTGCTAGGATGCTACCAAAAATTTTATTGGCCAGATGGACAGTTGGGATAAATGTTCTTTCTAAAGATCTTCTAACACCATAGGGGTCTCCATGCATGCATGGGACAACATCAAATTTAAGTAGGCTCAATCTCATAGGGCCTCAACTAACTTTACAGAATTTTAAAATCTGATTATTGCGATGGCATGCCACTTTGGGATTATGTCACTGTATTTCCTTCAGCAAGCTCAAAACATTTTGCACGTCTCTTTCCTATCATTTGGCATTGTACGCAAGGCATGATTCTCTACTGATTGTGAAACAAAGGTCCCCAAAAGATGTAACTTCCGGGAGTCATACTGAATTTGTGGGGGACTTACAAGCAGAACACAAGTTTCCTGACCCACAACCCAACTCCAGTGACCGCCCTCACAATGGAAAACATGCTCCATTGCTCTGGGATAGAAGAGGCTCACTTGACCAATTTGGAAATCCTCTCACTGTGTTGAGATGAGTAGAAAACAGAATGTGAACTTTCCAAGTTCAAAGTCTATTTCCTACTGGGAAAATGAGACATCTGGTTTGTAGTTAAAGAAGATGGATCCTAAGGGATCTGTGACAATAAATTGCTTTTCTAAATCTGCCTTTTAGAAATTTAAACACACATTCATCAGAAACATATGGATTGGATATACAAAAACCTGGAATGCTGTTGGATTGGCAAACAATAAGAGAATCTTAGAATAATGGGATAGAAGAGATTTCTAAATGTTTGACTGTCTAGTCTGTCTTCCCTCTAGCCTAGCTCTCTTGCCTCCATCAAGCAAGAACTCTGTAATGAGGGCCTATTGTGTTCTCAGCACCTGTTGTGTTGGGTGGCAGTTAACAAAAAGCAAGCCAAAAATTAGTCGGTTTTCAGTAAGATAGTCATATTATGCTGAAGAAGATATCCTATGGGCTAACCTTGGTCTAATGACATGCAACTACAAGGAACATCAAGGAGCCAAACTGCAATTAACCGTGAACCCCATTGTCTTCTGGGAAATAGAGAAAACTTCCATTGTGCCCACTGAGTATTACAATACAGGGTTGAGGTGGGAAGGGTGGGTGTGGGAGGTACAGAAAATATAGGGACAGGGACCCCTCAATTAAATGGCTTACTGTTAATTGACTTTTCTGATTAATTTCTATGAATAATCCATTTCTGCATTAAAGTTACCTAAAACAAAAATGTGGCTATATCAGAGGCCTTAGAGATGCCTTGTTCAAGGCTGGGTGTGGTGGCTCATGCCTGTAGTCCTAGCACTCAGGGAGGCCTAGGCAAGAGCATCACTTGAGCCCAGGAGTTCGAGGCTGCAGTGAGCTATGATTGTGCCACTGTACTCCAGCCTGAGTGACAGAGGGAGACCCTGTCTCTTAAAAAAAAAAAGTGCTGGTTCAAACTCTCAAGGCATGCATATGTAGGGATGTGTATGTGTGGGGATGTGTGTGTTGGCTGATCACTCATCAATGGATGTTTATAAACACAGTCCTTCACTAACCACAAGTTGTCAGTCTTATAGCCAGACTGTCAGTCCTAGCGTCAGCTCACTTGGAAAGAGGCTCACGGAGACCCAAATCCAGGCCACCTCTGGAGCAGAGGCAGGCTTGGGAAAAATCAAATAGTTTTTTCTACACTTCAAAAAAGCAGAAAGAAGACTGGTTTCCAGAATCTAAGAGGACTAAAATGGATTTCCATAAGAAAATTCAATTTGAGTTGTAAGGAACTGTAACTCTTTTTGAAAATCGGTCAAGCACTTGGAAAGTATGGACCACAGATTTTTTTAAAGATGCTGATAAAATGTAAGATTTGAAGGATGGCTGTATCTTTTCATTCAAAGAAAAAATATAGATCACAGGTTAAGTATATATTTTGCTTAAATTTCTATAGCAGAAAACAGGAAAATTAAAAAGCTTTTAGTATTTTGGCAAAATTAGAGGTAAATATTTTTTAAGTATTTATAATGGAATACTAGATAGCTATTTTTAAAAAGAATAAAATCTGAGTGAAAAATATACGAATTCTCTGTTGTTGTTTTAATTTTATTTTATGTATTTATTTTTTTTTTAAGGAGTTTTGCTCCGGCTCACTGCAATCTTGGCTCACTGCAACCTCCGCCTCCTGGGTTCAAGCGATTCTCCTGTCTCAGCCTCCCGAGTAGCTGGGATTACAGGTGCCCACCACCACGCCTGGCTAATTTTTTGTATTTTTAGTAGAGATGGGGTTTCACCATGTTGGTCAGGCTGGTCTTGAACTCCTGACCTCTGGTAATCCACCCGCCTTGGCCTCCCAAAGTGCTGGGATTACAGGCATGAGCCACCATGCCCCGCCTGTTTTAATTTAAGTTCCAGGATACATGTGCAGGACATGCAGGTTTGTTACATAAGTAAATGTGTACCATGGTGTTTTGCTGCACCTATCAACCAATCACCTAGATATTAAGCCCAGCACGCATTAGCTATTTATCCTGATGCTCTCCCTCCCCCAACCTTCCGGACAGGCCCCAGTGTGTGTTGTTCCCCTCCCTGTGTCCATGTGTCCATGTGTTCTCATTGTTCATCTCCCCCTTATAAGTGAGAACATGCAGTGTTTGGTTTTCTTTTCCTGTGTTAGTTTCCTGAGGATAATGGCTTTCAGCTCCATCCATGTCCTTGCAAAGGACATGGTCTCGTTCCTTTTTATGGCTGCATAATAAGAATATAGGAATTATTTGAAATATTTTTGCATCTAAGTCTGAAGTTATTTCGAAATACAATTTGATAAAAGAATGCCATAAATGTTTATCAGAATACATGAACAAGCAAGTTCATAGCAGCACTGTTCATAATAGTCTCAAACTGAATGTCCATCAACGGTAAAATGGAAAAATAATGTGTCACATTTCAATAACATGGAATGCTTTTTTTTCACGGCAGTGAAAAAAAAGTACAGCTACAGAAGGTGGATGGATTTCACAGACATACTGTCGAGTAGAAGAAACAAGACACAAAGATACATGTTATATGATTCTATTTATGTGGAGTTCAAAAAAAGGCAGAACTAATCTCTGGTGGTAGATGGCAGAATGGAGGTTATCTTTGAGCATGGTGTGTTGACTGGATGGAGGGGCTGTGATTTCCTGGAATTATCACAATTCATGGAGCTTTAAGGTGGAATTTGAGCACTTGCCTGAATGCAAACTGGACCTCCATAAACAACAATTCAAATTTTTTCGAAAGGAACAAAAGGCATCATACTTGATATCTCCATCTTTGGCTCCTTTTCCCCTATTTGTCATTCCTCAGATCCATCATCTCATATTTTATCCTTTTCTGTGTTCTGAGTTCTAACAAAGACAGCATTTATTTATCCCAGTATGGTAGTGTGGGCTGTGCACCTGTATGTCTGCTTCACCAGGTTGTAAGTTCCTAGAGGACAGGGAGCATATCATAATCATCTTATCCCCAGTACATGGTAGATACCTGGTCCCACATCTTAGAGACCTTACTCTGGCCCTTCCCTAGATGTAGCCCTCATAGAAGAGGAATCCACTGGACCAAAAGAATGTGTCCAACCACAGTCCATGCCCTTCCTTTCTAGTGCATGCTCTGGCTGCCCAGGTCCTGGGAATTCTCTGGCTAAAGGGCCTTGTGCCTTCTTTCAGGGCCTGTGTGGGTCTCTATCCCCAGTCCATCCTCCCAAGGGTGGAACCCCTTGCACAGGAGGACCAGGGTGTTTACGTGCATGTGTGAGAGACCCCTCATAGTACAAGATGGAGTTGGAGTGGAAGAGAAGGGGGTCAGGAAGTCAGGCTGGGAGCTGGGAGCCTAGGACCACCCCATCTGTCCTGTCATGTTTTGGCATGAAACTCTGAGAAATTCAAGAATTTAAAACTTGATCCTGGTTTTCAGATCATTATAAGATATGCTTTGTTTGTAAAGGTAGAACAGAACACACTTTATTAAATGCTGTTAATTTATAACTTGCAAATCTTCAGACATATGGTAGGTGGAACTGAGTCCCTTTGTACATTTGCCCTGGGCCCCACATATATTATGGGCAGGCTTGTCTGACATGTAGTAGCTACTCAATACATAATTAGCTAAATGAATAGCATGGGCTGCTATTCTCATTTCAGATTTGCATTTCTATCACTGGCTCTAAATGTGATTGCATGAGTAAGTCCTATCCACTTATTCCAGAGTAATTCATGTCACTGATAATGACATATTAAAGATGACTACATTTTTGGTTAATCAAGCTAACCTGCCTATTCCCACCACCACCACCCAGATACACACAAACATCCATGATAAAAGTTTTGCTTTATTTTCTGTTTATCACCTTTAAGGATTGTTCTAGCCTAGAACTGGGTTTCTCATTCCTACTTTATGATCCTTTATGCAATCAATTGGCACATGTAAAGTCTGTGGAATTTTTTTCCTTTTACTTGCATCCAAGGGCTTTAAACAGATGGTTGCTGCTACAGATCTTCTAGCCTCTGAGCAAGGCACGCTCTCCTGGGTTTCTGATTGCTCCTAGGTGTGGGGCATGTGTGGAAAGCTTGCATTTTAATCTAGGTTTTAGAGGTGGTGAGAGGTATACCTTGGAAGAGAGGAAAAGGGAAGACGTTTGAAATAGAAGACCTGGAGTCAGTACAGATGCAGTAATAGAATGGACATGTTCTGGGCAAATGACAGGAAGCAGAAGAGCTTGATGAATGCAGAGGGTCTGTAAGGGCATCTGACTGGTTCACAGGCATGTCCCCAGCACCTAGCTCAATGCATAGCACGTAGTAGGTACACAATAAACACGAACTGTATGAAAAAATTAAATGAATCAGTGATGTGGGGAGTGCAGTTGCGAAAAAAAGAGACTGAGGTGTTTGTTTGGACTTGGTGCTAAAGGCAACGGGCAGTCACTGAAAATTCTTGAGCAGAAGAGTGACTTGGTAAATGAGGTGTTTTAGGAGGATGTATTTGACATAAAGGAGATACTAGAGGCAAGGAGTTCAGGAACAGAAGGTTTCAGTGATTTGCTCTGCTTTCCCTGGTGTCATGCATTGCTTCTATGATTTTCATCAAGTGAGATCTCAATGCTGGACGGAAGAAAGAGAGTGATTGTGAGTCATCATTCAGTTTTCCATGTACTAGATTTTGCATTAGCTCCTTATTGCAGGGCCTGGATTTGGAGCCATATGCCACATGACAGGTTTTTCATACTGAGTGAGTCATAGGACTTAATACTATGGAAGCAAAGAGCTGTCCATCAGAGTAATCAGACCCAATATACATAAAGGTGTTTATGACTCATTGCAAGGATTTTCTAGCCTGCAATATGAATCACCAAATGCGCTTCACGGCCCAGTGTCTTTTGTATCAGCACTGGATTTCTGAAGATACGTTTCCACAGGACTAATTTGCAAACACACAGCAAATTCCAGTAGGAATATTCCATGAATGCCTTAAATTGTCAAGAGCTCCCCACCCAATTTACTTGAACTAATAGAATTGGCACCCTTTGCAGTATTTGCACTGGAACATGCACACTGCTCCATCAAATGAGGTAGATACAAATGGATGTGTATTCTGGCAGCTCAGCAAAACCTGCATATTGCCCAGAACAGAGACAATGCAGCTCTAGGTCTCATAGCCCAGAGACCAGGTTAATAACAAGAGCAGCTACCATTTATAGGCACTTACTATATGCCAGGCCCCATGAAGCACTTTGTAGATGTTATCTAATTCCATCTTCACAGACACCCTGTTAGGTATGGGCTTTTATTATCCAATTTTGCAGAAAACAGATGAAAATATTAAGTAAATCAGAAAGACTAAGCTAGGACTAACACCCCAAATCTGACCAACCACCAGAAGGACTGCTGCTTACTGGCAACAAGAACCTGGGCATGTCAGTTAGTCTTCCTGAGCCTCAGTTTCCCCATCTATAAAAAGAGGATATTAAATAATAGTACCTACCTCACAGAGTTGTTGGAAAGATCAGATTAGCAGACTGCCTGGCACCATATAAACACTCAATACATGGTAACTAACATCAGTGTTATTTTTTCAGCTTTGTTGCAGTACAATTGACAAAAATTGTATTTAAGGTGCACGACTTGATTTTTTTTTTTTTTTTTTTTTGAGACAGGGTCTCACTCTGTCACCCAGACTGGAGTGTAGTGGCATGATCTTGGCTCACTGCAACCTCTGCCTCCCAGGCTCAAGCAATTCTCTGGCCTCAGCCTCCTGAGTAGCTGGGACGACAGACGTGTGCCACTACCACCCAGCTAATTTTTGTATTTTCAGCAGAGACAGGGTTTCACCATGTTAGCCAGACTGGTCTCAAACTCTTGACCTCGAATGATCCACTTGCCTCAGCCACCCAAAGTGCTGGGATTACAGGTATGAGCCACCGCGCCTGGCCCACAACTTGATGCTTTGATATATGTATACATTGGGAAGTGATCACCACGATTAAGCTAATTAACATATCCATCACCATACATAGTTATCACTTTCTTTTTTGTGTGATGAAAACACTAAAGATGTACCTTTTTAGCAAATTTCAAGTATACACTACTGTATTGTTATTATAGGCATGGTGTTGTACAGAAGATTTCTACAATTTATTCATCTAGCATAACTGAAATTCTATATCCATTGAACAAGAACTCCTCATTTTCCCCATGCCCCAGCCCCTGGCAACCACTATTATATTCTCTGCTTCTATGAGTTTGACTATTATAGATTCCATATACAAATGAGATCATTCAGTATTTGTCTTTATGTGTCTGGCCTATTTCACTTAACAGTGTCTTCCAGGTTCATCCATATTGTCAAAAATGGCAGGCTTTCCTTATTTTTTAAGGCCAAATAATATTCCATTTTATAAATATAAGAACACATCCCCCACTTTCTTTATTCATTCATCTGTCAAACACACTTCACCACTAGGCCTTATGGCTTCTACCTTCAGAAGTCATCAATAGATCCTGGCTCTGTCACCAAAGTTGGGCAGTTGCAAACCAGTTGGAACAAATACTAACAGTGCTAATGCAGATGAGTTACCTCCACTCTCTGGACTTTATTATCCTAGCCACCATCTTAAGAACTTGGATTTCCAAAATTATCTTCTGGAGAAAAGAAGAACAAGGCAGCGTCGGGCATGGTGGCTCACATCTGTAATCCCAGCACTTTGGGAGGCCGAGGCAGGAGGATCACCCGAGCCCAGGAGTTTGAGACCAGCCTGAGCAACAAACATAGTGAGACTCCCATCTCCACAAAAAATTTTAAAAAACTAGCCAGGCATGGTGATGTGCACCTGTGGTCACAGCTACTTGGGAGGCTAAGGTGGGAGGGCCACTTGAGCCCAGGAATAGAGGTGCAGTGAGCTGTGATTGTGCCACTGCACTCCAGCCTGGGTGACAGAGCAAGACCCCGAAAGAGAGAGACAGAGAGAGAGAGAAAGAGAAAGAAAGGAAGAAAGAAGAAAAGGAGAAAGGAAAGGAGAAGTAGGAGGAGGGAGAGAGAGAGAGAAAAAAAAAGAGAAGGAGGGAGGAAGGGAGGGAGGAAGGGAGGGAGGGAGGAAGGGAGGGAGGGAGGAATGAAGGAAGGAAGGAAGGAAGGAAGGAAGGAAGGAAGGAAGGAAGGAAGGAAGGAAGGAAACTAAAAGAATGATTTGAGTTAACCTAAGTAAAGAACAAAAGTAAGAACCCAGTCCATTCTCAGTACGCCATTGTAATTAAAAGCAAAGATCCAGCCCAGTCCAAGAGACTAGATTACACTGTTCTACATGAAAAAACAGCCAGAGCTGAGCTCACTGGATACAGCCACCACACCCACTGAGCCTGGAAGCCCACAAGAGAAACAACTTTATCAGGCCAACCAAAGTTATTTGGCCTAGGTGTCTGGGCCTTTGCAGGTATTTTTCTGCCTGAACTTGAAAAAGATGCCCTAGTCACCTCTGCTATCAAAGTGTACCCAAGTTGGAAAAGGCATCCATCTTCATATGGCAATTTGGAATCATTTGCATGAGCTAGAAGCACATTAAGTCTAAAACCAATTGCTACCTTAGGCCCAAGTTCTCAGGAAATCAGGGATACTATTATTTTATGAATTTGAGTTCACTTGTCATGTGGAATGTATAAATACATAGGATTTTAGAGAACAGATGTGTTACAAGTTATGACAACTCCAGATGATGGATCATGAATCATAATGGCAGAGAGCTAGCTAGCTAGCATGACTGATTTAGCATATGTTTTTCTCAGGAGTGGTCATCTCAAAACGGTTGGCATTTTGCTCTCTTGTTCTTTCTTTCTTCCTCTATGCCCCTGCATAGATTTTAAGGCCCAACCTGAGCCTCTCTACTTCCAGGATGCCTCTCCTGACCAACTGCTATAGTTTTCCTTATTTGCATAACTCATCTCACATTCACTACATTGTGCTATTTCTATACAACTGTCTAGGACTGCGATTAACACTAATCACCATTTTCTTAGCTGTTCATATATGTATGTCTTCTCACTTCTAGTTCTTAAAGACTGAGATTGTATAGTTCTACAAATTATGATTTATCCCGAATGTTTCCAAAAAGGCTTCAAGATGGCTGGGCCTGTTATCCTAGAATTATTTGTATCTTTCACAGAATTTAGCATAGTTATACCTAAAGAAAGTAAGTCATAAATGCTTGTTGAGTGGAAGAATGAAAAAAGGATGAGTCATTGATCCATAAAAATCCAGTATATGGATTTGGAACCTTATTCTCAGCCTTATACTGATAATCAAAGGAAGGCTTCTTCCCTTCTCTGGGTACTCTAAGCTAAACATGTATAGCACAGGCAGGCATGACCCAAAGGTCCACAGCACAGGAGAGCAGCAGCATTCAAGGATCCAGGAAGGACCATCAGATTTCACAATTACCTTCTTCTCCATGACTTTCAGTATGTAGGACTTTCAGATAAACATACAGATATGGACAACCATGTATCCCTTTAAGCAAACACCTGCATTTACTAAATAAATAAACCATCCTTGCTATTCTAAACACATTAAGAACTCTCCTGCCTTGGGGTCTTTGCACTTGCTCTTCCCTCTACAGGGAAAGCTCTTTTCTTCAAATCTCTCCATGACTCACTCTTACTTTCCTGTGTTTTCAGGTCTCAGCTCAATACACACTTCCTATGTGAGGTCTTCCCTGATCACTCAATGTCTCACTGTCCCAAAAGTCCCCATCCACCAACCCTGCTTGAATTTTTCTTTAGAACTTGTCGCCACTTGACTTCATGTACATTTACTGGCTTGTTTATTATTGACTGTCTCCCGCTTTTAGAGTGTAAGCTCCATGTGGTGGAGGGTGGTACTTTGTCTTTCTTGTTCACTGTATTCCCAACACTTAGCATAATTCTTGGAGTGGGTAATAGTAACAGCTCCAGTATAAGGAGCTATTAAATAATATGCTAAAACTTTACTGTGTTCCAGGCACGATGCTAAGAATTTTATACAAGGTATTTTATTTAATTCCTATAACAATCCTGTAAGGGAGTGCTTTTTGTTTGTTTGTTTGTTTTGAGGCAGGGTCTCTGTTTTCCAGGCTGAAGTGCAGTGGTGTGATCTCAGCACACTGCAACCTCTGCTTCCTGGGCTCAAGCAATCCTTCCACCTCAGCCTTGTGAGTAGCTAGGATGACAGGAGCAGGCCACCATGCCTGGCTAAGGGAGTGCTTTTAATATCCCCATTTTACAAATAAAGAAACTGAAGCTCATAGAAGTTAAGCAGTTAAGCAACTTTCTCAGCATCTTACAGCTAGTAAGCCGTGGCCTGACTATTCTGACCATGTACCATAAGTGGGTTACAGGAAGGGGATTGTGCAGGCATTGAAGATCAGATACACAGGATAGGCAAAGATCTAACTGAGCATGGGCAGTTAGGAGAGTGTTTATACAACTGGGAGAATGGATGTGGGGTGAGAGAGGACTGAGGAAGGGGATCATGAGTAGAACTAGGAAATGGCCATACTAGCGTTTGAATCCATGACCCTCTAGCACCAATGTCTGTGCTATAGACCACTATTTAAGAGTAATCAGCCTCTTACTAGAATGTCCTTTCCCTCCATCTCTGCCCACCTGTCAGGATCCCGCTCAAATGCAGCCTTCTCGATCATCAGTGATCATGTGTTCACTGATCCTTTCCCTCTCTAACAGGTAATGGGCTCTCTTGCTGCTACCAGGTGGGGAATATGGGAAAACATTAGAGTTGGGTGCAATGTAGTGTTGAAAACACCGGGATCAGTTAGCATGGGGCTGGATGTTGTAGAAAGGCCCCAGATTTGTACTTGGGGGTTTGCACTTGTTAGGTTGCCAATGTTCTGCAAATTCCAGTGCAAAGAAATAACAAAGTAACTCATACCCGTCTCCTGATTGGTCAGAGCAAGCTAAATGCAAACTACAAGTTGAAAACAAATATGGTAAACAACAACAAAGTACTGTATGGCAGCCACCTGGATTGATTCCAGTAACAAATTCTAACAGTACAGCAACCATCCTTTCCAGTCTTTTGCATATCCTTACCTCCTCCTAGGAAGTTCTTCCCTACTATCTGTGCCCGTGGAAATCTTACTCCACCTTCGACCTCCTCTCTGAAGCCTTTTCTAATTTCATGCTCTCCCACCCCCAACAGAGAGACTCAACAGAGGTGTTACTATCATATGGGGGACATGGGGAGGCCACACCATTTTTAAGTGGCAGAGGTGGGATGGAAGCCCTGGTCTACCTGCAAAATCCATACTCTTTCCATGTAGCATTTTGCTTGTTACCTGGCATTAAGGGCTGTGCACTCTAATTCCACATCAGTTGAGTCTGTGGAATGGGCAGCAAAATACACAGAAGAATGGATAACTATCTAGTGAGCATATGCAATTACAAGATACACTTAAGATCTCTTTCTCATGGCTATGGTCCCTCCCCACTTCATCCCTTTCCCTTTATCTTATAGTTGCTTAGCAGCAGCAATACCCACAATGTTCTCCTGGGGTTCAGCAAAAACAGAAAAGCTGGACAAGAAACAATGCTGTACAGGTGGGGGCTGTATAGGTAGGAGGTGTAACTATGGAGGCACCCTCCGGAACCCTTGGTAGGATGTCTTTGTCTAGGCCCAGGTTGAGTATATCTTACCTTTTGGGTGGTGTGCTGCAGGGACTGATCTTCCCAACTCTGACTATCCAAGACAGGGATTATTTCCTCTCCTTCTCCTTATTTTCTTTCTTTCTTTTCTTCTTCTTTTTTGGAACAGGGTCTCTCTGTTGCCCAGGCTGGAGTGCAGTGGTGTGATTATAGCTAACTGCAGCTTTGAACTCCTGGCCTCGAGCAATCTTCCCACCTCAGCCTCCCAAGTAGCTGGGACTACAGGCACACACCACCATGCCCACCTAATTTAAAAAAAAATTGTAGAAATGGGGTCTCACTACATTGCCCAGGCTTGTCTCAAACTCCTAGCCTCAAGCAATCCTCTCACCTTGGCCTCCCACAGTGTTGGGATTACAGGCATCAGCCACTGCACCCCGCCCAGAGTGACTTTCTAACTGCAAATCTGAATTCCGCCTCCAGTACCTACTAGACTAAAACTAGCCCCCTTCCTCTTTCCTGTTGCTCTGTCCATCTCCAAACCCAACCCCATGCCTCCGCATCCCTTTGATGTATTGTCTTGGCTCTTCTGGATACTACAAGGTGAATGGTCTGAATTTACTGACCTGATTATCCCCCCAGGGACTATACCCTCCCACATATGCACTGGCAGAAGAGGAAGCTGTTTGAGAGGAGAGGGCCATTTTGAAATTAAATAATAAAAGAGGCTTGAGAAACATGCAAGTTCCAGAGTAGAATTCTCTAGCCAGGGTTCTCAACATGTGGTCCATGGACCACCATCCTCAAAATTGCCTAAGGAGCTTGTTAAAAATATAGAATCTCAGGCCTCAAGCCCAGACCTACTGAATCTGCATTTTAACAAGCTCCCTAGTTGATTCCAGTATGCACTAAAGTTAGAGACCCATTTCCTTTATCGGCCTTAACTGCTTAAAACAGTGGTTCACAGACTTGGCCACAAATCAGAATAACATGGTGAGCTCAAGAAAAATATTGGCTCCTGGGTCCCACCCCTAACAATTGTGATTCAATTGGTCTGTGGCGGGACTGGACATTTGAGAATTTTAAAAGCTTCCCAGGTAATTTTAATGTGCAGCCATAGTTATAAACCAATGGTATAGAGGAAACACATGCAGCTCCATAGATAAGAGCTCCTCCATCCAAGGTTGTGTTTTCTGTGTGATTGTGTGTGTCTGTGTATGTGTGTTCAAAAATGTTAAAGTTTTTGCTGAGCCTGAGGTGTAAAGCAACATCTTCTGGGCAGATTTGGGAATTTCACTGGGGGTGACAACAGGCACTCCCAGGAAAAATATGCAGTGGGCTGACTGGTCCATTGGGAGAAATGATCATGTTGTATCACTCAGTTGCCCAATCACCCTCAAGGATTGGGGCCACAGGTGCATCCCTGGCATGGATGACCTGGCGGTGCCCACCCTTAGCACTGTGTCATTTGTACCATTAAAGTTGTACCCTCTCTGTTGGGCTCATTTGAGGCTCTCTTAAGATCTGGTGATTAATATAAAGGTGAAGATCCAAAGAGCTGACTTTTGCTTTTATCTGCACTGCCCTCCCCCCAAAGAAACAAGATTTGCCTTAAGTAGCCCCCAAGTTCATGGTTTCAGCCACATAAAAGGCTCCAGACCCATTTATGTGTCTCAGTTGTGATTGATGAATAGCCGTCCATCCTCCTGTGACTGGAGTTGCTGCTTGTTGTCGTACTACATAAAGCAATTGTATAAATTACCTCTCATCCAAGTCACAAAATATGTTTGCCAAAATGATTTCTTCTAAAATTGTAAAAGTGAAAATAGAGTACACAGAGAGAAATTGAGTTTGCTCCAAGGGGCTATGAATTCACCATTAAGAAAGCCTCGAAAAGAGATTAGCAATCCATCTGGTGTGTTTGCACATCGTTTAGTGCCATTTTGGGGCATTTCTGAAAATGTCAGTCACGGTGGGGAGGAAGAGAAGGAGGTTCCATTGGCCATTAAGATGATATACCAAGAGGCTGTGGTTATCAGGGCATGCAGTGGGGCAGCGCTTCACCAGCTCTGACCTCAGCTCAGTGAGAATTGCAAAAGCTCCAAAGTTTAATAAAAATCAGTGGCTAGATTCCAGTGCCAGGGGGTTTGATAAAGCATTGTCATAAGCTTCAGGCCATGTTCTTTGAACAAAACAACTCTCTATATTCTTGAATATCCCCCCCAACACACACACACACACACAGACACACACAGTCTTCTTCACCAAAGAAAACTGACAAATGGACAAACTCATATTTTCCAAGCCAATCTGGGAAAGATCTAAGCTAAATATGGGACATCTTAGTTAAGTATTTTGCCGAAAAGTCTCACTCTTTAGCAGTCTTAAAATTAAGACAGACTGGGCACAGTGGCTCATGCCTGTAATCCCAGCAATTTAGGAGACTGAGGCAGGAGGATCACTTGAGGCCAGGAGTTCCATACCAGCTTGGGCAACATAGTGAGACTCCATCTCTATAAAAAAAATTAAAAATGATCTGTGCATGGTGGCACATACCTGTAATCCTAGCTACTTATGAAGCCAGGGTGGGAGGGTCACTTGAGCCCAGGAGTTCAAGGCTACAGTGAACCATGACTACACCATTGCACTCCAGCCTGGGCGACAGAGTGAGACCCTGTCTCTAAAACAAGTAAACAACAACAACAGCAACAAAAACAAAGATATAAATATAATCAGAACATTGTACACAAATCATGTTGTGACATAGTTACATTTTATATAAAATAATTCTTCTTTAGCAGGCTGTGTATCTTCTATGACCTTCTCTTTTACTGTTATTAGAAAATTATACTCCCAGCATTACATTTATATGTAGTAAGACAGACTACACTTTCTTCCACCTCATTACATCTATTTGTAGTAAGACAGACTACACTTTTTTCCACCTCTTGGTGAAAGGAATTTTGTCTACTCCCTATGCTTACCTTGTCCCAAAAGCTGAAAGTCTGGATTCTGGGGCTATTTTCCAAAATGACAGAGGATATCAAAGATCATGCAGAATAGATCAAAGTAAGTGTTCATAATGTAAATGCCTATTTCCTGGAAGAGGCACACTCTGAATGAGACAAGGAGATAAAGCCCTAGAGATCTGCCACGCCACTGAGAAATGTCAAATGTGCTCGTCTATTTCCTTTTTCTTTTTCCCCTGGGGAAAGTGTGAATGAAAGTCCTACTATCACAAATTATGCAGTCAAGTTTTTCACATTTGGGGAAATTGCAGGGGTCAACACATCTGAGTGCAATGGATAAGGCTGGCCATGGAAAAACCACCTTCGTGATCATGGTATTTCCACTGCCAGGTAAGTGTCTCAGATGATTCTTAATCCAGAGTTCATTACCTTATTTTCTGTTTCGATCGGAATTGGAAAGCCATCATCAGGTTTGAGAGAAACTCTACAACAGTATAATGTAAAGTCAGTGAGGGAAGGGAGTTTTGTCTGTTTTGTTCACCAGTGTATCTCCTTAGTATAGCTAAGTGTATTAGTCCATTCTCATGCTGCTAACTGGGTAATTTGTAAAGGAAAGAGATTTAATGGACTTACAGTTTAGCGTGACTGGAAAGGCCTCAGGAAACTTATAATCGTGGTGGAAAGGGGGAAGCAGACATACCCTTCTTCACATGGCAGCAGGAAGAGAGGTGACAAGCAAAAGGGGGAAAAGCCCCTTATAAAACCATCAGATCTCGTGAGAACTCACTATCATGAGAATAGCATGGAGGTAACTGCCCCCATGATTCAGTTACCTCCCACCAGGTTCCTCCCATGACAGGTGGGGATTATGAGAATTACAATTCAAGATAAGATTTGGGTGGGGAAACAGCCAAACCATATCACTAAGTATCTAGCAAATAGTAAGAACTCAATAAATATTTTCTAATCTTGTTGTTGAAACTGTAAAACAAACTGAGTTTAAAATCTAGGCAGCCACTGTAACCATACAGTCACCTGTTCCTAAAGTCAATAGAAAAAAGAACAGACCTTCTCCAACTCTATCCTGTGTCCCCTGGCCTTGGCCCCGTTTATTCCTCTACCTCTGCTACAAATCCAGGTTGTGTTCATGTGGGTTGTGAATAAGAGCTCCATATCCCAGTCCTGAGCTGGCCACCATGACAGGGTGGCATGGAGGGGAAGGTACTTACTGGGACAGGACAACTGCTGGCAGAGCAGATGGGAAGGAAGGACAGTCTGCATCCCAGGGCTACTCACAGCTCTGGTAGGCACCATGCTTCTAGCCTCACAAAAGGCAACTCCAATAGGCTGATGCACACATGCAGAGGCTTCTCTCCCTCCCTGGCCACCAGCACAAGAGCTTTTCAGTTCCCAGAGCTGTGGAACAATTGGGAAACTCTAGGCAGGATCCACATGACACTGAGTACCACAGTCAAAATAACTGGGGTCCACCAGAAAGAAGCCAGTTAACAGATTGGTCAAGACATAGTCAGTCTATTTTATACATTTTGATAATTCTAGATGTTGAAGAAGATTCCCTTCTTAGAATATTGCCTTGTCAATAACAGCCTGATTATGTATTGACCAGAAATTAATTTCGCCAGCATAAAAGCATAGGAATAATTTAGAAAATGATTTTTTTTTTGAGACAGGGTCTCACTCTGTTTCCCAGGCTGGAGTGTAGTGGCACGATCACAGCTCACTGCAGCCTCGACCTCCCAGGCTCAGGTGATTCTCCTACCTCAGTCCCCTAAGTGGCTGGGACTATACGCATACACCACCACGCCTGGCTAATGTTTGTATTTTTTGGTAAAGACGGGGTTTCACCGTGTTGGACAGGCTGGTCTCGAACTCCTGGGCTCAAGTGATCCTCCCACCTCAGCCTCCCAAAATGCTGGGATTGCAGGCATGAGCCACTGCATCTGGACTAGGAAATGATTTGTATAAACTAAAAGCTATTGCAAAGTTCATGAAAGAAGAACAAGTGAAAGATAACAAAACAGAAAATTTGGGGGCTGAGAAAGCACCCCTAATCCCATGATCCTAAAAAGTTGTTTTTTTATTTTTACATTTTCCCTACCTCCAAGCCCCTATCTCTATTCATACTTTAATTTTATATATGGCATTTTAAAAATCATATATTATGCCTTGTTTACACAAGTAGTACATGTTCATAACAAAAACTTAATACAGAAAAATTAATACAGATAAGAACAATTATACAATATTATAAATAGTACTTATTTATAATAATAAATATTTAATGTATTAATACAGATAAATGGTCTACAATCCTATTAATCAGAGATAACCATTGTTAACATTTTGGTTAGCCACTGTTTAGTGTGTACTTCTTAATCTAACTATATAAGTATAGACAAAGATATTTTACCTACGCACAAAGGTGCACACACTTGTGGCCAAATGCATACAGACCCGAAGTTTCCTATTTAAAAAAGTACCTTTTTGGTTTAATGATAGTTTGTGAACACATTTCCATATTAATAAATACATCATAGTAAGATGATACCTTATAACCTTTCCCAGCCTTATAACTCCAGAATTATTATTTTATAATCCAATGATCAGGGATGCTGCATTGAAAATATATTCATTACTCAAATTATGACCCATTACCCATTCTGTATCCTGCACAGGACATGGGGAAGTACAGATATATCTACCATTTATTAAACCTGCTTAGTATGTACCATGCCTTGTGCCATTGTCACATTACAAATGTCTCTCACAACAACCCTGTGATATGGGTACCATTGTTCCTAGTGGATGAAGAAACTGAGAGAAGCTCTGAATGGGTATTTCAACCATTCTCAGACCTAGAAAAAGTAGAAGGGCTCCACACTGAAGACACATCTGTCTGACTTTCAAGCCCACTCTTGTTCTCTGTGGCACTCATTTGGGAGTTGAGCTGTGGTAGTTAGGATATGATTAGAGAATGGACTAGAGCAGAGTAGTAAGTGGGGACAGCAAGACAAACAAAGAGTCTCAACTTGTGTTATATCAATGATAAGTCCCATGGGCTATGAGAAACTGCAGAGATCCCAACTGGGGGAGTAGTCACAGAAAGTTTCATGGGAAGGTGGTGTCTTAGTCAATTCTTACGTTGCTATAAAGAACTATGTGAGACTGGGTAATTTTTGAAGAAAAGAGGTTTAATTGACTCATGGTTCTGCAGGCTGTACAGAAAGCATGGCTGGGGAGGCCTCAGGAAACTTACAATCATGGTGTATTATGTATTGACCAGAAATGAATTTGACCAGCATAAAAGCATAGGAATAATTTAGAATATATATATATGTGTGTGTGTATGTATATATATATATGTATGTGTATATATATATGTATGTGTATATATATATGTATGTGTATATATATGTATGTGTATATATATATGTATGTGTATATATATATGTATGTGTATATATATATGTATGTGTGTATATATATATATATATATATATAGAGAGAGAGAGAGAGAGAGAGAGAGAGATAGGGTCTCGCTCTGTCATCCAGAAAACAGGGAAGCAGGCATGTCCCTACATTTTTGGAGCAGGAGGAAGAGAGCGAAGGGGGAGGTGCTACATACCTTTAAACAGCCAGATCTCATGAAAACTCACTATCACAAGAACAGCAAGGGGGAAATTCGCCCCCATGATCCAATCACCTCCCACCAGGCCCCTTCTCCAACACTGGGGATTACAATTCAACATGAGATTTGGGCAAGGACACAGACTCAAACCATATCAGGTGGAATCAGAGATGGATCTTGAAGGATAAGCAAGGCTGGCACTTTGTATGGGGTAAGGGAGCAGCAAGAGCAAAGGCTTGGTGGTGGAAATTTAACATTCAATGGTCTTGTCCTGGTAAGGAGACTCGTCTTATGAGAGGAAAGGGCTTGCCCTGGCAGGAACATACATGCAGGCAGTCATCCATGTATGTTCCTGCACAGTGTCAATGAGAGTCACTCATACTCTGACAATATTCGGGAAGCCAAGATTTGTAGAACATTCTGTTTCCATATGGTTAGTTAGTTATGAGTTTCAGAACTTGGAAACCTTGCAACCTTCGGAAAGAACCAGACTACATATTAACGGATTAAAGTTTCAAATGTCATTTTCCATTTCTGTCCAAATGAGGTTGAGACATTTTTGATGAAAAAAAATATCAAGCTTCTCATGACTAGTTTCTTGCACGGTATCTGAATGATTTGGATCACTGGTTGACTTGATGGTAGCCACTCAACACCAAGACAGAATCGTTTCCAATCATGTGGATTTTCAGTATCAAAGACAGATACTGATACTAAGTGACAGAAGTTAGGTTTCAGAGTTGAGCATGATGCTTAAATCTCTTCTTCTGATTAGCTTTGATAACTCCATGTCTTTAAATTTTGTTTTATTCTTTTGCGACAGGATCTCACTCTGTCGCCCAGGCTGGAGTGCAGTGGCACAATCAAGGCTCACTGTAGCCTTGTAATCCTGGGCTCAAGCGATCCTCCAACCTCAGCCTCCTGATTAGCTGGGACTGCAGGCGTGAGCCAACATGCCCAGCTGATTTTTTTTTTTTTTTTTTTGACTTGTAGTAGAGACAAGGTCTTGCTAAGTTGCCCAGGCTGGTTTCTAACTCCTGAGCTCAATCAGTCCTCCTGCCTTGGCCTCCCAAAGTGCTGGGATTACAGGCATGAGCCACCATGCCTGGCTCCATCTCTTTAAAAAGCAATCTGCCTCTTTAGTTTGATCTATCATTTGTCTCTGACCCTCCCCAGAGTAGCTTTCTTTTGAACATCCTATGTGAGGGACTACACACATTCTAAAACTAGGCTTCATCTTTTGATACAAACCAGCTTCCTGAATTCTGTGTGCAGGTATACACTGTTTCTGCACATTTTTGTCTACATGACACCACAAACTGCTCTGACTTGTGTATTTTTTATTTTTTTACTTTTCAACCAATGATTTTGGTGAGTAGATCCAGCCTGAAGATAAGCAATAATACTTGTACTTGTTCCACTTCGACTACCCAACAGTGGCTAATGGTTCAAAGGTCATCAATAAGAGATTGGATTTGGTTTTAAAGTTCTCTTTTAAAACCAAAGAAAACACAGTGTTGCACTAGGCCCTGTATATAATGTTTGGCTTGGATGCAGGTGAGAGGTTCTTGGGAAGGCTTGATGCAACACAGTCTTCAAAGACTTTAGAAATTGGCATTTCCCCAGTTTGCTTTTAGCATCCAACTTTTGTTGCTGATCAGAGTTGACACTTATTCATAGAGGCAAAGACAGAAAGAATGTGAACCCTTGGGACAGCTAAGAAGGGTGGAGGGATTGGTCTGAAAGATTCACAAGGTGACCCAAGTGGGGATTTCTTCGGCCAAGTGGCTAGAACTGCTATTAATTCTTGCTGTCTTCAGATGTGTGGTAGTGAGTCATCTGCTGGGGTAGGATTAGTCTTATTTTGTAGGAATGGACAGCACAAAGATTCCACCCAGATCTTATATAACATGCTGGCCCCAGAGCTCAACACACTCTCTTTCTATAATAATTCTTAGCTACAGAGCATTTTACCAAGTTTGAATAATCACTAAGCTCAGTTCTTGAGGAAGAACGGAAGTGCCACCATACAAAGCTCAATCTTAGGGATCATATACCAACACAGATCTTTCCATTTCATACAATCAGTCCTCTCAGAAGTTGGTTTTCTCATCAACCCAATTAGTGTGGTCCTATAATCTAGGAGTTGGAAAATGGGAAATTGAGTTCTGACCCTCATTAGCTGTTAGACCCTGAGAAAATCATCTCACTTCTCTGAACCTCCATTTTCTCATCTACAAAGTGGGCATCTATATATCTGCCCTGCGTATGTGTCAGCACTGCTGTATGAAATAAGATAGCATACATAAAAGTACTTTGGAAATCATAACTTATAACAAGTATAAGAAATTATTGTGATTACTTTGGTTTTGTAGGGTATGTTATGGTTATGTTGCCAACAAAACCTAAATAACAATTTCTAATATAAAAATATTTTTTTAAAAAAAACAAGCATTGAGTACACTATAAAAATGTGGAAATCTGGGCAGCAAGTTTGGGCACAATATGGCAGTCTATGACCCCAAAACTCATTTGAGATAAGCCAATAATAAAAGAGACTTTTTTACTTTAGGAGCTTCCAAATGCCCACCCTGACAAATGGTGCCCAGCTCTGAGTGATACTGGGACCCTTGAAGCATTGCTAAAAGCCCACCACCCAGATGTTCTGTGCATGTGTCCCATGCTTAGAAAACTCCTAAACTTTCCAGAAACTACCTATGATAGTTTAAGATGTTATTTACTCAAGACAGTGGCATGGGAAACAAGCTCAAATAAAAGGAGTATGCCTTTTGTGCTGAAGATCCAGAGCAGGGGTTGCCAACTTCTCTGAAGAGTCAGACATAACAAATTCCTTACATTGGGGTAAAGGGAACAGAGCAAGCACAGGTCTGGAAGTAGACAAAGATCACTAATCCAGATGGGCCTACCTCGTGATATCTCACATATACTACCATTTTAAGATCCATTTGAGCTAATAAGCACCTTTTTCTTTTAAAATGCAATGTCTAAGGCTGGGTGTGGTGGCTCACGCCTGTAATCCCAACACTGGGAGGCCAAGGTGGGAGAATCAATTGAGCTCAGGAGTCTGAGACCAGCCTGGGCAACATAGTGAGACCCGGCCTCCACAAAAAAATACAAAAATTAGCTGGTTGTGGTGACGTGTATCTGTAGTACCAGCTACTTGGGAGGTTGGGGCAGGAGGATTGTTTGAGCCTGGGAGGTAGGGGGTTGCAGTGAGCCTAGATTGCGCCACTGCACTCCAGCCTGGGTGACAGAGTGAGACCCTGTCTCAAAAAAATATAAATAAATACAATGTAATCTCTTTGAAGATAAGGTCTATCACCCACTTATACCTTAGTGTAAGTGTCTTTAGTTAATCCTTAGTCATGTTCTCCCATCTGAGATCTGTTATAATGTAAGAATAAACATTTTGACTGAAGAGTAAGAGTAGTTTTAAAGTTTAGCATATTTTGGGGAAGGGCAGCTTGGAGTGGACAGTCAGAGGGAGATATCATAGAGTTTCTGTGGGTAAGGCAAAGAAGGGCCACCAGGAAGCAGGAGCAAAGTGCAAAAATCGAAGATGAAGGACACGACAAGACCCAGGATATGTTCTCAGCTGTTCCTGTAGGCAAGTAAAAATAATAAAGACCTGAATTTTGGTATGCTAGCTGTGGGTGGCCAATGCCTAATCTAGAGAAATGACAGTGGGACTGAATTGTTTTTCATGTTTTTTTTCAGACACATGATCTCAGTTTGTCACCAAGATTGGAGTGCAGTGGCACAATCATGGCCCACTGCAGCCTTGATCTCCTGAGCTCAAGTGATCCTCCCACCTCAACCTCCTGTGTAGCTAGGACTAAGGTGTGCACCACCATGCCTGGCTATTTTTTATTTTTATTTTTATTTTTGTAGATACTGGGTCTCACTATGTTGCCCAGGCTGGTCTTGAACTCCTGGGCTCAAGTGATCCTCCCATCCCAGCTTCTCAAAGTGCTGGGATTACAAGTACGAGCCACCACACCTGGCCAATGGGACTGAATATTAATTTGACTTAAGGGAAAACAGAGTAGAAGGAGAGGAAAGGACACTGTGCACATAATGGTTCCCAGTCACTCATGATGATCTAAGCCACAAGGACCCCAGAACACCTTACATTTAGCCTGAGCCACAGACACAGCACAAGATTGAGTCAGTGTGGCCTTGAGTTCACTGAGCCATGGCTAACAGTCCATCAGCAGAGCCATGCTTCATCCTTTGACTGAGGCAGCGCAAGCTCACCAGGGCAAATGAAGTCTCTAGGTGAACATAGGTTGTTCTTTTCAAGTAAACAGGAAAAGAGTGAAAGCTTTGTAGTAGCCCCAACAGTGGATATCATTTTAAGCAAATTCTGTAAGCCAAAATCCACATTTGTGCATTAGGAAAATAAGATGGAGTAGTGGACAATACAGGGTTGGATGGATCTACAGACGTGATAAAACAAGTATAGCAAAAAATTGGTGGCAAAATCTGGGTGATAGGTACATGGATGTTTACTAAAAATATTTAAGTTTACTGTATGTTTAAAATTTTTCATAATAGAAGGGTGGAGGGGCAAGAGATTCTTCCCTCAGAAAAAAATCCACATTTGCAAAAGTGATCTTTTAGGGCATGGTACACTTTTCTAGAAAAGGATTTTCCTGATTAACTTTTAAACAAGCCCATCACTTCTGAGGAGTGCAGTACACAAATGAAGTGGATGTCATCCTTGCTGAAACTATATTAGCAGATTCTTCATTTCCAGGGAGAGAGGGAACATGAAAAACATAGAGATGTCTAAAATTTCAGTGCAAATGTAACCAGTTTATAATTTTTTTAATACAATGTCCCCAAAAACTTCAAGAAAGAAAATATTCCCTCAGTTTAAAATGCATGTTAAAATCTGCTTAAGTGTGTGGGGGGGGGTTGGTCTGTGTATGTGTGTATGTGTCTTAAATTCTGTGGAAATTAACATGATTTATTTAACAAAAAGCAGACCACTGAAAGAGGAGGAAGGAAGAAACTGGTCAGGCAGGCAGTTAGGGTAGGTCCTCAGTTGAGTTCTTTCAAATAAAGAACAGCTTGCAGACACAGATAAGGGAACTGGCACAGAGGTGCTTGCCTAAGGTATGCCCACAGCCACATAGATAAGAAAAGCTACACAGGAGACTTGCCTAGACATCCCTGCAATGGAAAATTCCATCCCCTGACACATGTGCAGTAAGGGGAATAAAGCAATATGGAATAACTCAAGCAAAGGGCCCACATGTGTACTAGGAGGATGGGGTGGAGCTACCATAAATTTGCACCTCATGCAAATGAGACACCCAACCCTCATCAGTTTCTAATAAAAGCCTCTGTATTCAACTGTGAAGTGGCAACATTTTTTTTGGGGACCCCTCTCTATGGCAGAGGGCTTTCTCTCTTTCTTTTGCTTATTAAAGTCCTGCTCTATCCTCACCCTTGGAGTGTCTGCATCCTTGATTTCCTTGGCCATGAGACAAAGAACTTCGGGTGGCACCCCAGATAGAAAGGCTGTTTCACCATTACAGATCTGTGAGTTAAAGGGGGGTGAACAGAGATCTTGTGTGCAGAGTTTCCTTTATGAGGAAACAAGAGTGAGGGATCAAAAACAGATCCACAAAAATTAGGTAAGGAGACACCTTCTAAATATGGGGTGATAGGGTGGTCATTCAGGTTCATGCTGCTGAAATGAGTCTACATAATTGGACTGTCCTGTTCTTGCTGACTGTAGTGAAATAAGGCAATAAAAGTGCAGTTTGGGTTTTCTCTCTCCTGCTTGGAATCATGATACTGGGGTATGGCTTGGCCTACAAAGCGCCTTCCCATTTGATTTGCTCCTCTACACAGCGCTGAGAATTTGAATGTTTGAATGGCAATTGTAATTCTCATCTCGCAGATGGAGACACAGAGACTCAGGGAGAGTCAGAGAGGTCACACATAAAGGCTAGGGCTGGGCCACAAACTCCCATTGCTTGGCACCTGATCGCTGTCTCTATGGAGATTGAACCTGAGTGTCTTGGTGACTTCAGGTACTGTGATTAGGTGTAGGATTTCAAGCTATTCCAACATAGGTTTCAGCTATGCTAAGACAGCATTCCTTAAGACAGCTGAAGCCTTTCAAAGTACTAACTTTTCTGCCTGACTCTTATTCTTAGAAATGACACCTGGAAGGCACAGCTTCCCGTTACTCTAAGTGGCAACAATTTTTGCTTCTGCCTAGACTAGCCTGTTGTCTGTCTTGCAGGGGCAGGGCTGCGAACTTTGTATGTTTTAGGACTTTCAACTGCCAGAAGGCTAGAAGAGGCCCTTAAGTGGCCTTGCTCTAATAATCAGTACCTGGTGAGTCAAGAATGCCTTTGTGTGATACAGCTCTGCTTCTCCCTACAGGATTTGCTAAGCAAAAGAGAGGATGTATTATTGTCAGAAATGATCTAGTCATTGAACTGTAGCTAGTGAAACTGCCTTTACAAAAACCCTAACAGTGAAGAAATTATGGCAGTGAAGGAGATCTGATCTGGCCAACCCTCATCTTGCCTTTAGCCTTCAAGCTGCCCTTAATTATTCCTGGGCTTATTTGGGAGACATTTAGTTTATAGTTTAAATGATAATAGTCCTTTCCCAAAACTCAACTGCCTTTGTAAAGCTAATGAGAAACCACCAGACTAGGAGGATAGAAAAGCCTGAATTTCATTAAGGTATAGATATCAAGGATTGCCAGCCATTATTCTGGAGGTCACAAGATATGCAACTTTCCCAATTACTCCTGCAGATAACGTCACCATTGTAGAACCTACGACTGGCCTTTTGAGATATCGTTTCAGGTTTTTTGCATGTCTGACCGAAGGCTCCACCTGGACCTGCCAACTGCTCCTGTGGCCCCACCCAGAAGCGATCAGTCCAAGAGGACAGCTTCAACTCCCTATTATTTCATCTCTGACCCAAACAGTCAGCACTGTCCATACCTTAGCTCCCTGTCCAGCAAACTATCTGAAAAACTCCTAACATCTGAACCTTCCATGAAACTGATTTGAATAATAACTCCATCTTCTGCATGGTGTGGCCAGCCTCGCGTTAATTAAACTCTTTCTTTACTGCAATGACATGGTCTCTGTGAATTGATTTTGTTTGTGCAGTGGGCAGGAAGGACCCCTTGGGCAGTTACACTAGGACACCTGCTCCCTAGGTTTTTGTACTCAGCATTATGGGAAAGATACTCACTCCTCTTTCTAGCCCTGAACACAGAAAAGCAAACATGTTGGGAATGTCAAAATGGCAGGAGAAATTGTGCCTTTTAATCCAAAGGGATGTTTGGAGAAGAATGATCAGTCAGCTTTGTTTCCCCCCAACCCCCACCCCCTTGGCTCATTTCTTACAGGAAAAGGGGGAGGAAGAAAAGTTTGTCAGGATTTTGCAAATGAAAAACACGTCCACACTGACAGAAATAGACTGTTTTCTATTAAGGAATTTGGTCATGGGAACAATTATTTTTGAATTTATCATCATGTTTATAAAATGATATTCCAGAAAAGATTAGAAGGAGAGATTTTGTGAAATAATTCCTCTAGCTTGGTTCTCTTTGTGAATGCCTCAATAAACAACGTTAGCCATATTGCTGTTGTTTTCTATTGAACTTTGACCGGGAGATTTAAAAATTGCTGCAAGTGAGACAAGAAGGTTCTCCTCTATTTTCCAATTTGTGATATTAGTGTTTTCTATTTATTAAGTTCTCCATGCCACCTAGTGTTTATCTGAAGAAATACCAGATGATTGTTAGCAAGTCCCCCAGTCCTGTGCAGGGCTTCAAGTTCATGCAGTAACTCAGTTAGACATGCTCTGTGTGACATCCCGACTGACTGAAAAGTTTGTGATGATCTTCAACACTAACACATATGACCCAATTCTTCTCCCTGAAGAAAACATTAACTTTTTTTCTTCTATAGCAAGCTTGTCCAACCTACAGTCCACGGGCCACATGCATGCAGCTCGGGACAGCTTTGAATGTGGCCCAGCACAAATTCATAAACTTTCTTAAAACATTATGAGATTTTTTGCAATTTTTTTTTTTTTTTTTTTTTTTTTTTGCTCATCAGCTATTGTTAGTGTATTTTATGTGTGGCCCAAGAAAATTCTTCTTCCAATGTGGCCCAGGGAAGCCAAAAGATTGGACACCCCTGGTCTGTAGGACTTACTGGCATCAAAGAAGTCTAGAATGGTCATTAGAATGGTCATGGTGGAAGGGACATTCCAGACCTTTACACCCCAGCCCACTGTTGTGCCAGGAAACCCTTGTGTACAATGCAGTGTTTCACAACAGCCTCCCTGGAACATCAACTTTGCTCTTTATTTTTTTCTTTGAAAGTATCTGAAATATATGACAGGAAAGCCAGGAGGGGCCTGAAAACCATTCAGAATCTCTGTTTCTCTCTGTGGCTGCAGCAGTAGGCAGAGAACGCACAAGAAAGAAAGGGCCTGTTTTATCTCTGGCAGGCGCTGGCCCAGCAGCAGGATCCAGGTTGTGCAGCTCACAGAGCTCTAGCTGGAAGGGCTTGATTGAATTCCTCCTCCCTCTTCCTACCCGCCTCCAAAAACAACAAACCCCTTACAAACAATGCCCATGATGTTAGCAACAATGAAGCTGTCCTTTTCAAAATGTGTCTTCTATCATTTGCCTTCAGTAATTACCAAGGCCTTCTAAATGCTACCACAAGCTGAGCTAGGGCTGGAGAGGGTGTGGGGGCAGGGAACAGAGCTGTAGGAATGAAGTCCAGTTTTCCAAAGGGACCCTGGCAATCCTGCTGTGGCCCTTTTCTGGGTTTACAGAAAGTAGTGGTTGTCATAATTCTGGCAAACACATGCCCTGTATTTTATACAACAGTTCCAGTTTCAAATAGTTTCCCTTGTCGTTCACGTAAGCACACTTGGCCTGGTCACATTATGGATTTCTTTTCTTTTTTTTTAAGGTGGCTGCTTGGAAAATATGCTCACCATCTCATTAGAGCCACGGTCTAATAAGGAGGAAGCCCCTTTCTGCCACCCTTTGACAAACTTCCCCACTTACTGTTATTACTTCCCACGGGGCCTGAAGGGCCACAGGTTGCTGATAGGGTGAGGGCTTGCAAAGTCAGCTGGGGGCTTGAAGAGCTGGCAACCTTGATCTACACATTTGGAGCCTATAAAGCACATTCACTTTGGGCTAGTAAACAAAATGGATCTGAATTTTTTTTTTTTGTTTCTGTGTATGCTAATCTGGGCAATTTGCAAATCTTACTACAACAGACGAAATACTATTAACATGACCTTATTGAAACCCACATCTGTAGTGAGACAGGGAACCAGTCATCACAAGTGTCTCCACGCAAGGCCCCAGAGGATATCTCCAGGAGGTGAGAGCTGCATTTGACAAACTCCATAGGCTCTGAATCGCCTGTCAGTTCTGCAGAGAAAAGCCAACGTTCCTGCTGACCACACACCATACCCGATGTCCTTAATTGGAACTCTGTCACCATAACATGGAGCTCTTGGGTCCCGCCTAACCCTTGGTTTTGTTATAGGCATTAAAAATGGGGGACCTCAGACCAGCTGGAAGGGAGGTGGTGCTGTCAAAGTGGGGAAAAAAGACAAAGAGAGGAGCTGGGCATGGTGGCTTACGGCTGTAATCCCAGGGTTTTGGGAGGCCAAGACGGAGGATCATTTGAGCCTAGGAGTTCAAGACAAGCCTGGGCAACATACAGAGACCCCACCTCTATAAAAAGTAGAAAACATAGCCAGACATGGTGGCAAATGCTGGTAGTCCCAGCTACTCAGGAGGCTGAGGCAGGAAGATAAGTTGAGGCCAGGAGTTTGAGACTAGCCTGGGCAACATAGTGAGATACCTGTCTCTACAAAAAATAAAGATTAAAAAAAAAAGCCAGGTGTGGTGGTGTGTGCCTGTAGTCCCAGCTACTCAGGAGGTTGAGGTGGGAGGATCACTTGAGCCCAGGAGTTTTAGGCTACAGTAAGCTATGATTGTACCACTGCACTCCAGCCTGAATGAGAGAGCAAGACTCTGTTAGAAGGTAGGAAGGAAAAAAGGAAAGAAAGAAAGGAGAAGAGGAAGGGAGGAGAAAAGAAAGAAGGAAGGAAGGAAGAAAAAAAGAGAAGGAGAACAAAAAAAGGAAGAAAAAGAAGAAAAGAAAGAAGAAAGACAAAAGGAGAGAAGAAAGGAAAGAAAGAAAAAGAAGAAAAGACATTAAAAGAAAAGAGAAAAGAAAAGAAAGAAGGGGAGGGGAGAGAAGAGGAGAGGGGAGGGGAGGAGAGGGGAGGGGAGAGAAGAGGAGAGGGGAGGGGAGGAGAGGGGAGGGGAGAGAAGAGGAGAGGGGAGGAGAGGGGAGGGGAGGGGAGGGGGAAGGGAAGAGAAGAGGAAGGGAAGAGAGAGGGAGGGAGCTAGCCAGAAGCAGAGGAGGGCAGAGGAAGGGCACACAGGACACCAGAGCAAGAGGTCAGAACTGAGAGACCTCCAACCACGGGCTCAGGGTCAAGGCAGGCCCAAGCAAGATGGGGAAGGAGGGAGTCATCTGCCAGGCCTCCCAGGCCTTCAAGCCACACCTGCCAATCAAGTCTCCCCAGCAGGATCTAAGGAAAAAGATGAGTGAGTATTCTGTTACTGCAAATATTCTCATTTCTTTGAGCTATATCACCGTCTTCTGTCTCACTCTCTTTTTCTCTCTTTGTGAATCTCCTTCTTCCCCTTCCCCTGTTCTATCATTCTGTTAACCTGCCTTCTCCATGCATCTATTCGTCTTTTTTCCTTTCTTTCATCTGGCAGCTCCAAAAGCACTTTCTGATCCATGGAGTTTCCAGTAGCTGCTCCCTTATTGCTGTGGAATCAGGGGTGCCAGGGTCCTTGAGCCTCAGAGCTGCTTCTTTGAAGGACAACCTACTCCTTTCCCCTGGCCTCCCCTTTCCTGTGGCCACCATGCCCCAGACAGCAGGGCCTCCCCTAAAGAGAGCTTGCTCTGGTGAGTAGAGTGGCTTCAGCAGGACCCAGTCTTTTGAGTCACGGTGTGATCTTGGGGTCTGGGCCCCCAACTCTGGCAGTAGCAAGACTTGAAGCTCCACAACCCAGGGCTTTGGCAGCCCCTCCGCAATTTCACAGTATAGGCTCTGTGGCCTACATGGAATGCAGGTCCTGCTAAGAGCCCCCACCATTAACTGCCTGCTCTGGACTAAGTGACATCAGACTAAAAAGTAGCATTCTGGGCCGGGCGTGGTGGCTCACACTTGTAATCCTAGCACTTTGGGAGGTGGAGGCGGGCGGATCACCTGAGGTCATGAGTTTGAGATCAGCCTGGCCAACATGCCGAAACCCCGTCTCTGCTAAAAGTACAAAAAGTAGCTGGGCGTGGTGGTGGGCACCTGTAATCCCAGCTACTCAGGAGGCTGAGGCAGAAGAATCACTTGAACCTGGGAGGCAGAGGTTGCAGTGAGCCGAGATCGCACCACTGCACTTCAGCCTGGGCGACACAGTGAGACTCTGTCTCAAAAAAAAAAAAAAAAAAAAAAAAAAGGCAGAACATTCCAAGCTGCTGTTCTTTAAAAATAAATAAATAAATAAATAAATAAATAAATAAATAAATAAATAAATACTGCAATGTTTAAAAACCTCTAAAAAAGTATTTCCCAAACTTCTACTCCCTGTTCTTAACTTCAGTGGCTGCTTGGGGGAAATAGATCCCTTTAGTTTCTCTGCTCTGTTGTGTTAACAAAATTGTTCCTCGAATGTTACCTTAGATTAATCTGGAGAGGAGAAAAACAGATCCAACTCTGCAGCCATCTCTTATTGCTACAGAGTATTTGAGGGAAAATTTGCTGAAAGTAGATTTTCACACCACTGGGAGCCAATGAGTCAAAAATGGAAAAACTTAAAATATTTCAAAAGTTGAAGTAGTGTCACTGACTTATTCTGCTGGGTTTTGCCTAGAATGAAGGCTGGTCCTCCAAAGTCAGAGACAGAGAAAGGAAAGGCAGCAATTGGATGGGAGACTCACTTAGGTCCGAGGGTCCGAATGACTGCTCGCCAAGCTAAAGGGTAGGGAAGGGCCACTGAATAGGGCCCAGCTCTGCAGCCCTATTCAGAGTCCCATTCAGTCCCTGTCTCCAAGGAGCGACCGGAGGTCAGGGGGAAGTCCGGACAGCTGCACTTTGCAACTTGGAAGTAAAACTCCAAGGCTTTGATCTTTTCTTCTTCTTCCTTCATATTTAATCTTGTGTTTTTAATTTCCTTCTTTATTGCATATTTGACAAACCCAACTACTGAATCGGTGGAATCTTGTAAATAATGCACTGTGTTTCCTCCTCCAAACCCAAGAGGCTTGGGCCCATTTGACCTCTGTGGTTTATGCAAAATCACCATGGGCCCCCGAAGAAGATCTACATTTCCAAAAGTCACATAATCATTGACACTCACGCTGAAAGGGGCAGTTGAGATCATTCTCATCCAGCCTCATCATTTTACAGATGAAACTGCTGTCCAGAGAAACTGGGAGGCATGTGAAATGTCACAGGCTGAGACCCAAAACTCCCAACTCCCAATCCAAATTATTTAACGGCATTACAAGGTTTAGTGGTTTGAATCTATGCCTGATAATGGATGTATTTAAGGGGCCACGGTCATGCAATGTATTTTCTAACATGAGTGTATATGTGTACACACACATATCCATAGACATGTAATCTCCACTTAGGATCAAAAGAAAAAAACATCAGAACTTCCTGTTGGGTTAGTGACTCATGAATACCCAACCAAATCACCATGGGCACTGTAGCTTCTTTACATAAGTCCCTGACAAACAACACATTTTATCTCTGGTCAAAAGCTACTGGTATCACTCTTTTGGGGGTAAAGTCACAGGATATTCTCTCGGATGCCCACCCAAATCCCATAGCCATCCTATCTGTGTTGCCTACCAAAAAGGCAATAGTGCCACTAAGGATGGCGTCTCTGACTCTGATATCAGCTCTGTCTCCACTGGTTTCCCCAGCTCTCTGATCTTCCGGACAGACCTGCTCCTTTCTGTCTCCTTCTCAGTGAGGGAGGAGATGAAGGCTTAATAGGGACTTCTCAACCTTGTCAGCATGAAATAGAGAAAGGGAGCTCACATCATGATCTCCATTGGTGGCCCTATTGGGGAAGGTCTGATGTTACACCAGCTCCTCCTAACTTTCTCCTGTACCCTTCAACTTACATGTCCTTCTCAGATCAACCTTCTCTGCAGGTATACATCCTATAATTGCTGATGCCAGGTGTTGGACATCAGATGATTATACCCACACTAAACTCATGGTACCCCATTTCTAAAACCCTCCTCTGATGAGAAGAGCACCTGCCTGTGAGCTTCAGACTCAAGTTACCCAATACCAAAAATCTTGATCTTCAATGTTGACTCAAGTGGGCTACTTCTTTAGGTAGAGCAGCATCTATCCTTGAGGCATCTGAAATACCCACTCTGTGATACTTGGTGGATGGTTAACCCTCTATAAACAGAAATATAGTTTGGATATTTGTCCCCACCCAAATCTCATGTTGAAATGTAATCCCCAATGTTGGAAGCAGGGCCTGGTGAGAGGTGTCTGGATCTGGAGTGGATCCCTCATGAATGGCTTCAGCCATCCCCTTGGTGATAAGTGAGCTCTCGCTCTGAGTTCACATGAGATTTGGTCATTTAAAAGTGTGTAACACATCCCCCTCCTCCTGCTTTTGCTCTGTGAAGTGCCTGCTCCCACTTCACCTTCTGCCATGATTGAAAGGTCCCTGAGGCTTCACCAGCACCATACTTCCTGTATGAGCCAATTAAACCTCTTTTTAAAAATAAATTACCCATTCTCAGGTATTTCTTTATAGCAATGCAAGAACAGCCTAATACAGACAGCTATAGCCATAAACAGCTATATGCACTATGGAATCATAGATATATGTTCATACCAGAAATCGACTTTGTTGAATTTATTCTTTCTGTCAATATTTTACTTTCATTCATTCATTCATTTATTCAACAAACATTTACATGTCACATGGATGGCTCCTTGAAGATTAAGCTGAAATGCCACAGTTTCAGAAGAACCTTCTCTGACCACCTAAAGAACCCACCAACCTTCCGGCCCTGCCATCGGGTGACCCTTTTATTTCCCTCAAGACATTTACCATAATCAGAAATTATCTTATGGATCGAGTTACTGTCTCTCTCCTCCAACCAGAATGTAAGCTTCCTGAGGACAGAGGTCTTGGCTGTCTTGTCCACAGCTATATTCCAACACCTATGTTTTCCTTTCTGAAACCTAGAGGTTAGCACAAAGCCTGTATAGAAAAGGTAAGAAATATTGATTAGAGATTGTGCAGCAGCTTAAAAGAATGGGGAGGGCTCAATATGTATCACCATGGAAAACTCTCCAAGTGAGACTGTTTTGTGACAAAAGCCAAAAAATCTGCCTAGTTTAATATCATTTAGGCTTCAAGAGAACACTCTAAACCAAACTGTAGATTTCTGTATATACGTATTCCTATGTAAATGCATCAAAAGGGTCTGGATAAAGAGGAGGGAACACTTCCAAACTCATTCTGTGAAGCCAGCATTACTCTGATACCAAAGCCAGACAAACACAGAATAAGAAAACTACAGACCAATGTCCCTGATAAATAAGGATTTAAAAAACTCAATAAAATATTAGCAAACTGAATTTAACAGCACATTAAAAGGATTCTACTCCATGACTATGTCGAATTTATACCTGTGGTTGTGATCTGTGTCCCTGCCCAAATCTCATGTCAAATTGTAAGCCCAGTGTTGGAGGCGGGGACTGGTGAGAGGTGACTGGATCATGGGAGGAAAGTTATCATGAATGGTTTAGCACCATATCCTCAGTGCTGTCCTTATGAATTATCACAAGATCTGGTTGTTTTAAAAGTGTGTAGTACCTTTCCCCTGTCTTCCTCCTGCTCCGGACACATAAGACATGCCTGCTTCCCCTTTTGCCTTCCACCATGAGTGTAGGTTTCCTTAGGCCTCCCTAGAAACTGAGCAGATGCTGCCATGCTTCCTGTACAGCCTGCAGAATCATGAGCCAATTAAACCTCTTTTCTTTGTAAATTACCCAGTCTTGGGTGTTTTTTTATAGCAGTGCAAGAATGGACTAATACAACCTGGATGCAAGGATAGTTCAACATACAAAAATCAATCAATGTAAGCCTGGTGTGGTGGCACATACCTATGGTCTCAGCTATTCAGGAGGCTGAGGCAGGAGGTTTGCTGGAGCCCAGAAGTTAGAGACCAGCAGGGGCAATATAGCAAGACCCCCATCTCAAAAAGTTAATCAATGTGATAAATCATGTTAACAAAGTAAAGAACAAAATCCACATGATCATCTAAATTGATGAAGAGAAAGCATCACTCAAATGAAAATTCAATACTTTTTCATGACAAAAACACTCAAGAAACTTGGAATAGAAGGACAGGCCATATATGGAAAGCCCACAACTACTGTCATATTCAGTAATGAACAACTAGAAGCTTTTCCTCTAAGATCAGGAATAAGACAAGGATGCCCACTCTTGCCACTTCTATTCAACATAATACAAGAAGCCCTGGCCAGAGCAATTAGGCAAGAAATAAAATGTGTTCAAATTGCAAAAGAATAAGTAAAATTATCTCTGTTTGCAGATGACACGATCCTTTATGGAAAAAAGCCCTAAAGATTTCACACACACACACACAAAAATCTGTTGCAACTAATAAAGAATTTCAGCAAAATTGCAGGATGCAAAATCAACAGGCAAAAATTAGTTGTGTGTTTTGTGTGTTTTTTTGTTTGTTTGTTTGTTTTTTTGTAGCACAAGCGACAAAAGCAAACATAGACAAGAGGAACTACATCAAACTAAAAAGCCTCTGCACAGTAAAGGAAACAATTAACAGAGTGAAAAGGCAACCTACAGGATGGGAGAAAATATTTGTAAACCATGTTTCTGATAAGGGGTTAATCTCCAAAATATACAAGGAACTCCTACAAATTAATAACAGAAGAATAAATAACCCAATTTAAAAGTGGGCAAAGGACTTAAATAAACATATCTCAAAAAAGACATGCAAATAGCTAACAGAAATATGAAAAGATGATCAACATCACTAATCATCCAGGAAATGCAAATCAAAACCGCAATGAGATATCACCTCATACCTTTTAAGATGGCCATTATCAAAATAATAAAAGATAACAGGCATTGGCATGAGTGTGGAGTAAAGGGAACCCTGTACACTGTTGGTGGGAATGTAAAATGGTGTAGCTGCTATGGAAAACAACAGTAAGGTTCCTCAAAAAATGAAAAATAGAACGACTATATGAACCAGCAATCCTACTTCTGGGTATACATCTAAAATAATTCAAAACAGTATCTCAAAGAGATATCTGCACACTCATGTTCATTGCAGTGTTATTCACAATAGCCAAGAGGTGGAAACAACCCAAGTGTCCACTGACAGATGAATGGATAAAGAAAATGTGGTATATACACACAATGAAACATTACTCAGCCTTAAAACATTACTAAGCCTTAAAAGCCTTAAAACATTACTCAGCCTAAAAAGCCTTAAGCCTTAAAAGCCTTAAAAGGAAAGGACTTCTAACACATACTACAGTGTGGATAAACCCTGAAGACATTATGTAAGTGAAAAAAGCCAGTCACAGAAGACAAATAATGCATAATTCCACTTATATGAAGTGTCTAAAAATATCAAAATCACAATAATAGAAAATAGGTCTGGGTGGACGGAGAAGGGGGAATTGATGTTTAAGGGGCATAGAGTTTCAGTTTTGCAAGATTAAAAAGTTCTAGAGATCTGTTGCATAACAAATTGTATATACTTAACACTACTCAACTCCACACTTAAGATACTAAATTTCATGTCATGTGTTTGTAACCACAATTTAAAATAAAAATTACAAACAAAACAAAAATTGGGGTAGATATAGAGGGAACTGGAACAGGGGAGTCAGAGGAAAACTTTTGATTTTTTTCTCTTTTTTAACATTGAAACTGTTCTCAGTTATTACTTATGTAATTGAAATCATTGTTTAAAGTTTTAGAAAAAAAAAATCAGAAAAGGACCCTACTCTGGAGGCATTTAGAGTCTAGTGAAAGAGACATTCATCTACACAAAGCATGCACGGGCCAGGGGAGTGTGGTGGCACCAGGTGCAGTGAATATGGGGGACAGAAAACTTGTTCCTCCTGGGCCAGCAGAAAAGGACTCATGGGGGTGGCGGTGGTCATTTTGTGTCAGACTCCAAAGACAGGTAGATATTTGTCTGGGGGAAGGTTAGTCTAGGCTCTAGAGAGCACACCATTCAAAACCTTCCACTGCAATTTCCAGGGGTTCAGCTGCAATATATCTAAAGCACACTTAGCTCAAATAATACCATGAAATATGAGGGAGGAAGAAGTCTTAAAGACCCCTTTGGAAAACACTTGATAAAATAGCTAAACTAATGTCAAGAAATGCTAAAGCTCTAAAGCTTATTATATGCATACACAAAGTGATCTAAAGCAGAGTTGGGGTATGCCAGACCCCACAATCATTTCATACAGTTCAGTTTAGCCTAACAACATGACTGCATAGAATTCCTTGGAGGATTCACTAAGTAAGTAAGAATGATTTTCCACCAGCAAGCTTTTTAAATGTCTGTATATACATCTGCAGTGCTTGAGGGGGATTAAGACATTTGCTCTCTTTCATTCTTCCATGCATTTGAGCTTACACTATTAATTTGCTCAGCAAACCATTTTATTCATGGCTAGAGCAAAAGAAGCTTTAACTCAACTGTTGTCTGAAATTCAAATGGGTAGGGTTTAAATGAGAGGGTCCACCATACAATCAAGATATTTATCTAGTCAACTCTTAGTTAGCACCCTAAATAGAGGAGTAGTGTTCACAGAGTGCCAAAAGCATTTTGCTTTCTTTCAGGGATACTGACATTGAATTTTTATTTTCATCATCCCATTTGCCTTTCCTATTTTGTTTTCTTCAGGTGAAACAAGAAAACCAGTTCACAGTCCAGAGTTCCTCGGCTGGCTAGAATAACAGATAAAAATAGCCAGGTTATGAGGTCTAACTTTCCCAAGGGACCACATTGCAGCTACGATTGCTCACAGTAACCTGTTAGCTCCTTACTGCCTCCCACATCTCCAGGGCTGGCAAGAAAATGCCAGATCCCAGGCTACAGTGCAAGGTCATTTCCAAGAACAAATCGTTCAAAACTCTGAAGTCAGGGGTAGCAGCTCCACTTTAGTCCAGAAATCTGCCAACTCAGGTGTAGTGTAGCATCTTCTTTTAGGAAGTAGTATAACACTGTAGTTAAAAGTGTGGTCTTTGAAGCCAGTCATCCTGGATTTGGATCCCAGCTCTGCCACTTGCCAGTTGTACGATCTTGGATGAGTCACTTAACTTCTCTGTGCCTCAGTTTTCTCATCTGTTAAATGGGTGTAATGATCATTGTGAGGTTAAATGAGTTCACATGTGTAAGATGCTTAGGTTAATTTTAAAGCTGCCAATACATCCAGCTTGGGCAACATGGTGAAACCCTGTCTCTACTAAAAATACAAAAATAAGCCAGGCATGGTGGCATGTGCCTGTAGTCCCAGCTACTTGGGAGGCTGAGGTGGAAGGATGGCTTGAGCCCAGGAAACAGAGGTTGCAGTGAGTTGAGATCATGCCATTGCACTCCAGCCTGAGTGACTGAGACCACCATCTCTAAAATAAAAATAAATAAATAAATAAACTGCAAATGTATGCTAACTCTTCATTGGTTCTTCCTTTCATTGGGTCAGCATAACACCTCCAGGCCTCCCCCAAGGCTCATGTAATCTTCAACCTTCTGGTGGCTACGTATTCATGGGGACATTTGTCACATGGTATTGTTAATCTGTTGCATTGTTAATCTATCTGTCTTCCGCCAAGATTGTAAGCATCTTGAGGGCAGGGCCAAGTCATTCTTGGTTATATCTGTAGCACCTGATATAGTCCCTGGCCAAAAAAAATTGTGTCAGCTCAGTACAAGTCTTTGAATTAAGCTCCTTTGAGTTTCCTTTAATTCTGAGCTCAGTGGTGTCCCAGCCAGAGGGCCCAAATGGCTCATTTCTGAAGTCAATGACCATGTCTCATTGTCAGGATCCTCTGTGAACAGTAGGCGGGGATCATGGGCCAAAGGATGTCTCCACCAGAGTTTCACCAAGTACTTACAGTATCAGGAAGAAAAACCAAACAGTTACAGCTGATGGACACCCATTTTTCTGTAAGATGCTTGAGAAGTGGGTGGGTTGAAGAAGCCTAGGCATGGCAGGGTGAATGATGCTCCCCCGAAAGATGCCCACATCCTAGTCCCCGGAACCTGTTACTTTACATGACAAAAGGGACTTTGCAGATGTGATGAGGTTAAGGAGCCTGACTTGGGGAGAGTAGCCTGCATGATCCAGGTGGACCCAATGTCATCACAGAGGTGTTTATAAGAGGGAAGAAAGAGGATCAGAGTCAGAGAAGGAGATGTGACCATGGAGGCAGAAGTCAGAGACAGAGTGAGATTTAAAGATGCTGCCCTGCTGGCTTTGAAGGGGGAGGACGGATCTGTCCACCGAGGCAGGCAGGCAGCCTCTAGAAGCTGGAAAATGGAAGGAAACATTCTCTGTGCAGCTTCCAGAAGTGTTGCAGTCCTGCTGACATCTTGATTTTAGGACTTCTAACCTCTAGAATTGTACGATCATAAATCTGTGTTGTTTTAGGCCACTAACGTTGTGGTAAATTCTCACAGCAACAATAGGAAACTAGGGTAGGAATGCCATCTAACAGTTCTTCATTTATTTCTAAAAAGAAATAAGTTAATCGATCATTTCCATGATTTTACCTCTCCAAATTGGAATTGCAGAGGTGGTGGCCTGGAAGCACATGTTGTAGTTGATAGGAAATATCTGATGTTTCTTATTCAGTTTGGAACTCAGGACCATCTTTCAGCATTTCAAATGAAGTTGCTTTTCTCCTATACTCTCCTGTACTTAATCTTAAAAAGCATAACACATCACATCATTCTCTCATTGTTCTCTTCAAAATCCTTGGATGGTCTTGTATTGGCTACAGGATAAAAAGCAAACTCTTCAGCATTCCATTCAAACACGTGGCCCTAGTTGCGTTTCTTTTCTTCTCTTTCTCTCTCTCTTTCTCTCTCTCCCTCTCTCTCTCTCTCTTGTCTTGCTCTGTCACCTGGGCTGGAGTGCAGTGGTGCAATCTCGGTTCGCTGCAGCCTCCACCTCCCAGATTCAAGCGATTCTCCTTCCTCAGCCTCCTGAGTAGCTGGGACTATAGGCCTGGCTAATTTTTTTTAATTTTTTTTAGAGACAGGGATCCCACTATGTTGCCCAAGCTGATCTTGAACTCCTAGCCTCAAGTGATCTGCCCACCTTGGCCTCCCAAAATGCTGGGATTGCAGGCATAAGCCACTGTGCCCAGCCTCCTTGTTGGTTTTCTAGATTCAACTTTTACCATTTCAAGCCTCCTCACACCTTATGTTCCAATCCATGTGGCTTCATGCTCCTCCCAATTGTATTAGTCCATTTTCACAGTGCTGATACTGACATACTGGCTGGGTGTGGTGGTTCACGCCTGTAATCCCAGCACTTTGGGTGGCTGAGGTGGTTGGATCACCTGAGGTCAGGAGATCGAGACCAGCCTAACCAACATGGTGAAACCCTGTCTCTACTAAAAATACAAAAATTAGCTGGGTGTGGTGGTGGGCGCCTTTAATCCCAGCTACTTGGGAGGCTGAGACAGGAGAATCACTTGAACCCAGGAGGCAGAGGTTGCAGTGAGCTGAGATAGTGTCATCGCACTCCAGCTTGGGCAACAAGAGCAAACTCCGTCTCAAAAAAAAAAAAAAAAAATATCGAGACTGGGTAATTTATAAAGAAAAAGAGGTTTAGTGGACTCACAGTTCCACGTGGCTGGGGAGGCCGCACTAACATGGCAGAAGGCAAAAGACACACCTTTCATGGCAGCAGATAAGAGAGAATGAGAACTATGCTAAAGGGGAGAGTCCTTATAAAACCATCAGATCTCATGAGACTTATTCACTACCACGAGAACAGCATGGGGAAAACCACCCACATGATTCAATTGTCTCCCACTGGGTCCCTCCCACAACACATGGGAATTATGGGAGCTACAGTTCAAAATGAGATTTGGGTGGAGACACAGCCAAACCATGTCAGTGATCATGCTGTATGTAGTCCCATGCACCCTCCCCGGTGCTTGGTTAGGCTGTTCCCAAGGGGAAGGTTTACTTCCCTTCCTCCCCTTCCTGCAATAAACTGAGGTACTAGATCCCCCAGCTGATTCCCAAAACCTCCCTTGAGCCCTTTTTACATTCCTCCTCATTACATGTTTATGCATTTCTCTATCACCCTAGAACATACACACGAGGCCAGGAAAAATATAAATTTCTTGATGATCTCACCTCTCACTTCTCACCACTACTGTTTCCCCTACACACATACACACACACACACACACACACACACACAGCCATACACATAGTAGTCACTCAATAAGTGCTGAAATAATTAATGTGTATTAGGGTCAAACATGATAGCACAGCAAGGAGACCAGTGCTCTTTCCATTCTGCTAAGGAGAAAAGATGACAAGAGTCAGGATTCGGACTTGGAGATGTCTGGGTTCAAATATGTGCTCTGGCATACACTAGCTGTGAATTTTAGGCCAGGTACTGAACATCTCTGTGCTGTAGTTTCCTCATTTGTCAAATGAGAATAATAATACCTTCCTTTATGACTATAGTTAGTGTAATGACATGATATGTTCAAAGCCTTTAGCACAGTAACTGGTACTAAGTAAGCACTATATGTGTCTGCTATTATTGTTTTTCTTTTCTTTCTCACTCTGTTGCCCAGGCTAGCACACAATAGCATGATCTCAGCTCACTGCAGCCTTGATCTACCAGGCTCAAGTGATCCTCTTACCTCTGCCTCTCAAGTAGTTGGGACTACAGGAGCAGGTCACCATGCCTGGCTAATTTTTTTGTATTTGTAGAGACAGGGTTTTGCTATGTTGCCCAGGCTGGTCTCAAACCCCTGGGATCAAGCAATCCTCCCGCCTCAACCACCCAAAGTGCTGGGATTATAGGCATGAGCCACCATACCCAGCCAGCTATTATGATTAACATTATTTTTGGCTGCGAGTGGTGGCTCATGCCTATAATCCCAGGGCTTTGGGAGGCCCAGGCAGGAGAATCACTTGAGGCCAGGAGTTTGAGACCAGCCTGGGCAACATAGCAAGACCCCATGTTTACCAAAAATTAATAAATTAGCCAGGCATGTTGGCATGTGCCTATAGTTCTAGCTACTCAGGAGGCTCAGGCAGGAGGATCACTGGAGCCCAGGAGTTCAAGGCTGCACTGAGCTATGACTGCACCACTGCACTCCAGCCTGGGCAACAGAGCAAGACACTGAATCTAATAAGTAGGTAAATAAATAAATAAATAATTTAAAAAGCATTATTTTTACTATATAATCCTTGTTGGCACAGGCTAGTCCCTTCTCCTCCTATTGGCCTTGTTTTTCCCATTTCACTGTAATAATGGTTCAAACCTCTCAGGATAATCTCCAGGATTACACTTTATTTTAAAATGTAAAAAAAAAAAAAATGGTTATTTAGAAATATTTAGCGCTGGATGTGGTGGCACACACCTGTAGCCCCAGCTACTCCGGGGACCGAGGACGGAGGATCTCTTGAGCTCAGGAGTTCAAGGCCAGCCTGAGCAACATAGTGAGACCGTATCTCAACAACAACAACAAAAAAGTTTAGCAACAGTCCCGTTCTGATTTTACTTACCATATGCCTCCCACCCGCAATGCACCCCCATCACCAAAATGGGATCTCCTGAAGTTAATGAAAATTAATACTAACCTCTAAATAAAAACATTACTGTTCTAAATAATGGTAATTTCTAAATACTTTGCTTACACTGTATATTGCAGTGGACTTATCCTTAGAGTACCCATTTTGTAAACAGCTGAGGGTTTCTGTTATTTTACATAAGATTTGACATCCAACTCAAAACTGAGACAGGGTGGAAACTTTGTCAAGTTCAAGTCATCTCTGCAGCACCAATGCTTTGCCCTCTTTTTAATGAGCTGGCGTCCTCCTTTTGAGACAGACTGAAGTGAACTTGGATCAGACCCTTAGTCCTGAAACAATGCGCCCTACCTTTGTTGAAGCGCAAAGAGCTTTTCTGTGCAAAGGCCAGTGTGTTTTAACAAATGGCATTCCGCACATTTTCTCGACCGAGGCTCCAGCCTCAGCGGGATTCCACTGCATTCTTGACAGTCCGGCTCCTTTCCTCTGGCAGGGGGTCAGCCTGGGGCCACTGGGGTCAAGGAACCTCCACGGGCTGCCCCTGCCTCTTAGGCTGACAATGCAAGCCCGCACCGCGGCACTTCCTGCTCTAGCAGCCTGGTCTTGTGGGTGCTCAACTACCCAGTGAGAGGGGCCCCCAGGCTGCGGAGGAGGGGACAGCCCGGGCTGCACTGGAGGTGCCAAGAAGGAAACAGAGAGGGACAGAATCCTATTTTATTTCATGTTTTTAAGGAGGGGCCTCTGGGAAGGGGCTGGAAGGGTTAGCCTTCCTTAGGAAGCTCTTGTAAAAAACCCCGGGCGATGAGCCATGCACAATACTGCCCCGTGGTCCCGATTGCAGGTGGACCTCCTTGTAAGTGTTTCATGGCCATCAAAAGGCCCCTGGCAGGAAGGAAATAGTAAGAACAGTGCTTATATTTGGGTAGAGAGATGATGGGTGACTTTCCTCTTCTTTCTTACATTCCCTGTATTTTCTCATTTATTTTAACAATGCCTACACATTGCTTGTGGGATGTCAGTTAACAGCCTCCCCTTAAAAGCTCCTTCCCATTGCTGCAGACTGTGTCTGCAAAAAAAAAAAGAAAAAGAAAAAAAAAAGAAAATTCCCACAGGCAAAAGTCGGGATAAGGGTTCGACCTCCAGAAGGCCTCTTTTAAAACGCATAAATGTGTATGGAATGAGCTGGGGTGCAGATGAGGAGTGAGGGAGGTGTGGCACAGGAACCCATTAGCAACCATTAGTTTCTTTTTGTTGTTTTTGTTTTGTTGTTGTTGTTTTTAACTTTTAATTAAAAAGTAAACTTTAACGTCAAAAATGCAAACTTGGGGAAGGCAAAAAGATCACACACAAGGCTGTCACTTCACACTTAGAAGGTTGCACAGCGGCCGGGCAGAGGCGCTCCTCACTTCCCAGACCAGAAGGCAGCAGGGCAGAGGCGCTGCTCACTTCCCAGACCTGGCGGCAGCCGGGCTGTTGTTGTTTTTGAGAAAGTCTCCCTCTGTCGCCCAGGCTGAAGTGCAGGGGAGTGATGTCGGCTCACTGCAACCTCCACCTCCCAGGTTCAAGCAATTCTCCTGCCTTGGCCTCCCCAGTAACTGAAATTACAGGCCTCCGCCACCACACCTGGCTAATTTTTTTCTTTTTTTGAGATGGAGTCTCCCTCTGTCACCCAGGCTGGAGTGCAGTGGCACAATCTCGGCTCACTGCAAGCTCCGCCTTCTGGGTTCACACCGTTCTCCTGCCTCAGCCTCCAGAGTAGCTGGGACTATAAGTGCCCACCACCACGCCCAGCTAATTTTTTGTATTTTTAGTAGAGATGGGGTTTCACCGTGTTAGCCAGGATGGTCTCGATCTCCTGACCTCGTGGTCCGCCTGCCTCGGCCTCCCAAAGTGCTGGGATTACAGGCGTGAGCCACCACACCAGGCCTAATTTTTGTATTTTTAGTAGATGGGCTTTGCCATGTTGGCCAGGCTGGTTTTGAACTCCTGACCTCAAGTGATCCACCTGCCTTGGTCTCCCAAAGTGCTGGGAAGGCATGAGCCACCCCACCCGGCCAGCACCCATTAGTTTCTGACCAAGGATTAGTTTGTCTGGTTTGCAAGCCTGGGAGACTGGGCCCTGGTGCAGGAGGCACAGGATAGAGCACTTTGGCTTGTGTAGGGCTCAGAAAGTGGCTCTGAAAAGGCTGTGGAAGGTAAAAGGCAAAACATATGAGCAAATGCTCTGTGTGCACGTGTGCCTGTCTGCCTGCCTGCCTGCCTGCCTGTCTGTCTGTCAAAGTATGAGAATGTTCACACCATAAAGAAAGGACAGAGGAAAAAGCTGGGATAAGAATCTGAAGTTTTGTGGAGGAAAGTTTAAGAAGGCAGACCTGAAATGGAAACCTCAGGGCATAGCCTTATTTCCTCATTTGTAAAATGAGCAGATGAGGCCAGTGCTGTCCAACACAGTTGCCACGGCCACATGTTGCTATTGAGCACTTGCGATGTGGCCCGTCTGAATTGAGATGTGTGATAAGTGTAAAATACACACTGGTTTTTGCAGAGTTAGTATAAACAAAAGAATTTCAAATAGCTCAGTATTCATTATTAAAATATTGATTACATGTTGAAATTATAATATTTTGAATATATTGCCTTAAAGAAAATATGTTACTAAAATTAACGTCACCTGTTTCTTTTTCCCTTTTTAGCCTAGCTACTGGAAAATTTAAATTACACTTGTGGTATGCACTGTATTTCTATTGGACAGCACTGGGTTATGCAATCATCTTAGAGCTTCTTAAATTTCCCCATTGAAAAATCACTAATAGCTTACCCAAGTACCACTGAAGCGGGTAGGGAAGGCTGGTTCAGAACATAATCTGAAGCAGCCTGCCATAAGCATGAAGTTCCTTTGAAATCTCATGTTTTCAGTTTTAAAATGCTTATGTGATTGTTTTGCTACAAAAATAACAGGTCCAAATTATAAACAAACAAAACAAACAAACACACCACCGGTTCTCTCCCTGCCTCCATTCTCCAACTGAACTCTTTAAGTAAAAAGACATAATAATATTTCTCCTGTCATTTCAAGCCCCACACCCCCCGCCAGCACACTGTCCTGGGGGTCTGCAGACCCCAGTTTGGGAAACACAGGCGGTGATCTCTAAACGAGCCCTTCCATTTTGCAGTTTCTATTGGAGGCTCCTGAGTTCCTAATTGCCACATGTCCCCCTTTGTTCTGAGGTTCTCACCTTTGCTCCCTCTTACCCCTTAAAGTTCCCAAGGCCCTGGGAGTGGAGTGGGCCCAGCAAAAAGGACCGAGACAGCCTTTCTCTCTCTTTTGTAGCCCCACAGAGCTATGCACACAGGTGCCCCATAAATACTTGTCGTATTGAATAGTTCAGTAACCAGAACTGGGGGCCCAGCCCTCCTCCTGCAGCCAGGCCGCCTCCTGCTGCTGCTAGCAGTGTGAAAAGGTCTTTCAAAATGGTCCTGCTTTGAAAATTAACTAGGGATAAAAGTTGCCTCTGATCCTTTAGGGGAGGCAGATAGACAGCATAGAAACCAAATGATAAATAAGCAAATTAGGCAAGAATTCAATTTGGAACCAGCGCAACTCAGAAATTAATGTGACACTCCATCATCGAAACCAAAAGGTAACCCTTATGAAAGTTACACCCTAATAAGTGGGGTCAGTCAGGATCAATCACTTCCTAAGCACATTTCACATTTCTCCCCTCCTAATCTTGCATGAGCTTCCCAATGAACTTGGCCACCTCAGGGTGACACCTTTTCCCACTTTAATATTCCTTTTTAGACTCACAATTCTGACTTCCCTTGACTCTCAACGATGCTAACAGCATCCACCTCTGGGCCACTCACCAGGCTGTGGCCACCCCAAGCCTTGGTGCAGAGGGATCCCACAGCACATTCTTGAACAGAACCCTTGGAAGTTACAAATATTATTTTCTGGGTCACTTGATGACTGACCTTGACTAAGCCTCCACATGGGGTGCAGTTAAACCACCATCACCAAAGTGTAGCTTTGCTTTCTCAAGGGGTCTGCTCAGATCACTGTGCCCTCCTCCTCCTGCTCCCAGCCCGTGAATAATCTGCAGCCAGAAGCTGGTAACCTGCTGGCAGGGTAGGACAGAGGACTTGGAGTTGTTTACACAAATGGGAAAACCAGGCCTCTGTGGTCCCTACTCTTCCTTGGGAGCTCCTCTGATTGGAGGCCCAGGGAGCTGCTTCTGAGTACGGAGTGAGACTTACCTTCAGGCTTGGATAGGAAACCTCTATAAGCATGCTTCCTGGGTCAGAATGAACTCACTCAGCTGTTCTGCAGCTCAGGAAACTCTGAAGGGCTACCCTGTGGTTTAATGAGCTTCAGCCAGTAAACCTGGCACCCTGGCAGGTAGGAGTTCCACAAACACTCAGCCGGTTCCCTGGAGGGAAACAAACTGAAATGCTTCTAGGTCAATGTGGCCCCTTTTCTATTAACAGAAGGAAAATTTGAAATTCACAAGAAAACCCAAGTCCCATCAGTGCAGAATGATTGGACAAAGGCTGTTTGCTTTCTCCTGTGGCCAAGGAAGATGTTGAATGGTGTAACGCAGGAAGTGTCATGGTGTTCATGTTACTTCAATACTTCCCATAGATTGATCTAGGTTTAAGCTTGGTCCGATTTCTGGGAAATCAAGTGCTTCTTCTCTAATCATAGAATATGTGAACTAGAAGCAGTTTTGCTAGCAATGGGCTCAGCTTCTTCATTGCACTTGTGAAGAAATGAAAGCCCAAAGAAAAAGGAATTATTTGCCTATCTCACAGCAAATTGATGGCACAGATAGAGTGAGAATCCAGCTCTCCCAGCTCAGCAAATATTTAAGACCACTTGCTATGTGTCTCAGCCTATTCCTAGGCATAGCGAATAAGGCAGACATGGTCTCTACTTTCTCGAAACTTCCCATCTCTTTTTTGCAGCTTTGAAATGCAATTTCAATCAAGAATATTTGGAGAATATTTGGAGCCTGATTTCCACCAGCAGGCGGGGACTAAAATTAGTCCCGCTGCACTGTGGCTTTGGCCAGTCCCTGAGCACCTGCATGCTTGTCAAGCTGCACCCTTCTCCTTCAACTTCCCACCATTCATTCATCATCACATACTTCTTGAGCTCCTTCTGTGTGTCTGGTGTGGTTCTAGGTACTCACTGGGGCATTAATTGTGAAAAAGACAGACACGGGCCCCTCCTTATAGAGTTTACAATACAGGGCTGACTTTACTACACACTCTCCTACTCTGCCTCTTAAACAGGGCTTTAGCACTGGATGCTTATGAACGTAGTGCCGTCCATATGCAGAGCTAAGTACATAAGCCAAGAATTCTACTGTCATGGAATTATCCACAGGCCCTTCTCATCACATTCCCCTGCCCTTCACTTTTTGTGACATCCCCTCTCTTTGCGAATCTGCCCTGGATATTCATTTTAAGCAGATTTGATGGAGGAAGTTATTAAACAAGAGAAACCTACACAGTGTAATTTCCTCCCCCTTCTGCATCTCCCAGGAATAGACCCTATCACCAATCTCCATCCTACTCAAACAGCTAGAGGGTTGGGCTTTTTCTTGAATGCTGTGGCCCAGGCCTTCATAACCAGTCCCCAGTCCCACAGCCTGCACCACTCCCAGAGAGAATGGGGCTCTGTTGTGGATCTATAGGGGAACAGTTCTGTGGAGGGGCAAAACCCCAAGCTGCAGGTAACAGTATACCCAAAAGGCATTGCTGCCCATCAGACATTAGGAGAGGAGCTCTTCCTCTCTCTAGTATGCCTAACTTGGGTCCCAACCATAGCTGAAATGACATAGGTCAAAGAGGTTGTTGACTGCAGTGAACAGGTGATTCTTTAATTATTTATTTTTGGGTCCCATGCATGCTTAGAACTTCACTGCAAGGTTAAAGCAACAGCCCACACAAAAGTTGGCTAAACATGTAAGAGATGGAAAATGTTGATGGTGGCAATCGAATATAAATGTGCATATGGCTGGATTCCGGAAACTGCCGGGCGGTGCACCTGACGTTGAGCCCCAGCAAAATTCTTGACCATATGATCAAACAGGTGGCTTTTGCATATTTAGAAAAGAATGTGGAGCCCACACACTATTGGACTTTAAAAGGTTAAAGAGGAAACCTCTGAGCAGTTCCAGTCAAGGAGGGATGTTTGATAATGAGAAGCAGGAAGGGCCATAGTTATTGTCACCTGGAGGAGGTTTTAAATTCAGGTCGTCGTAAAGACAATAAAAGCCCCGAGAATGACAACCTACAGTATGGATTGTATTTTGCAATGGTAAACCTGTACAAAAATGCAAATGACAAGCTAGACTACTTTATAATGGGTTGCTGATACTCACCTTTGTTAAAGTAAATTAAGATGGAGATTGGACCTGAAGAATCCCTGAGTAGACAAAGCCGGTTAGGGCTCATGAGTGACCTTAATCTTGCTACAATTGCAGATGTAAGCAAAACTTGAGCTATCTCTTGTAAATACCTATAGTAAAGAAAACCAGAATGTAAGCTAGACCAATCAGAAAGTCAACAAACTGGGCTGGATGTGGTGGCTCACACCTGTAATGCCAGCACTTTGGGAGGCTAAAACAGGCAGATCTCTTGAGGCCAGGAGTTCAAGACCAGCCTGGACAACATAGTGAGACATCGTCACTACAAAAAATAAACAAAACATTAGCCAGGCTTGGTGGCATGCACCTGTAGTCCCAGCTACTTGGCAGGCTGAGCTGGGAGGATTGCTTGAGCTCTGGGAGGTCGAGGCTGCAGTAAGCCATGATCATGCCACTGTACTCCAGCCTGGGCAACAGAGTGATACTCTGTCTCAAAAAGAAAACAAAAGAAAGTCAGACTGGGCACGGTGGCTCACGCCTGTAATCCCAGCACTTTGGGAGGCCGAGGCAGGCAGTAGATCAGAAGTTTGAGACCAGCCTGGCCAACATGGTGAAATCCCATCTCTACTAAAAATATAAAAATTAGCCAGGAACAACAAAGTGAGACTGTCTCCAAAAAAAAAAAAAAAAAAGTGAACACACATAATTATATAACTAGAATTTTTTCCAACACAATAGATCAAATAAGGCAACTGTATAATTGTAACCAACCAATTTTTTTTTTTTTTTTTGCTTTACTTCTGTGTTTGGTTTGTCCTATAAAAGCCTCCCTCTTGTGTTTCCTTGGTGGAGCTCCTGAGCCACTTCTGGAATTGTTTGCTCAAATACATTCTTTAAAATATTATTGTGCTTCAGTTTACTTTCTTAACACCTCTATTTCCTTTCTCACAAAACAGTGTTGAAGCCCCTTCTCCAGATTTTCTGTTCCAATAAGTACACTTCTTTTCTTGCATATTCTAAGTTCTGCTGATCTTCTGCGTGTTCTACATTGTGTTGTCTTTGATGGTACTCTTGTAAAAAAAAAATGATGACACTTGGGCTAGATAATAACATTGAGGGAGATTTGCACCTAGTAGAAGAACATTGTGCTTGGGGAATTCATCAATGGTAGCTTAAAGCTGGAGCAAAGAGTAGGTCTCTCTGGAACTCCAACTCTGTGCTGATGAACATTTACTTGTCAAAGAAAGATGCAAGCAGAGAGTCTCTTGATCAGATTTGCTCATGACCCAAGTGGAGAGGGAGAGCTTGTCCAAATCTATTCACAGAAATACACACAAACTCCTAACCCATACCCTTAACCTGAGACATTGGGATATCAAGAGCTGGAAGAATTGACCTGCTCAAATTCCTGCTATGAAGGGGAGTCCTTGCTGGTTGCAGATCTTGGCTCTTATCTGCTTGATCTCTACTGCAAAGAAAGGGAGGCATACACACTTCTATAGCCCCTCTGTTCTCACTCCAAGTAAGCCCTGGGAGAAAACAATGCCACATAGGTATCGATTTCATTTGAAGATCCTGGGAAAATGAAATTCTTCGTAGAGCTCACTTCATTTTAAAGCTGTACATACCAGTCTCACTTTTAGGTCTAAAGGAAGTTGGTGTAACAAAATACAATTTGAACATGAATATTAGCATTCTTACTATAATTATTTGTTCAATAACAAGACATTGTTCTCAGGATATTCTTTAGGTCAATCTTGTCACTGACAAATCCATCGCTGAGGATATAGGCAAAGAAGGACAAAGTAACTGTGAACAAACAATGCTGGCTTCTCTAAAATGGCCTGACCTTCAGCTGCCTTCCAGCCCAAACACCCTAGATTTATAAAATTCAGATATAACATCACTTCTTAGTTTTAGAGGGTATCTTAATAAAGTTCCTTGAAGTTTTGGCCTACTCAGCACTTTTTAAAGAACATTCAAGCAACACATTCACTTTGCTTTTGGAAAATAGTCCATGAATTCACTTTGCTTTCGGAAAATAGTCCATGAACGATGCCTGTCCAAACCAAGGAGCACTGCCCAGTGTGGTTGCAACCTCTTGCTAAGAAAGCAGCAAATTTTCTGAATATATTGAACGGGACCCACCCACTTTTCTTTTAGTAACTTAGTTCATTTGGTCTAGAAAGTCCTTGGGTTGAGGACACACGGATGCACACATTCCCCCTCTCTCTCTGTCTTTCTCTCCTCCCCTCTCTTTTCTGGAACTCCTTTTTGAAGAGGTGGTAATATTTTTATTCCTGTATTTTATCAGCAACTTATTTGCCATGGGATGAGGAAGGCATTTGTTACAACATTTTTGTGTATACTGATCAGTTACAAGGAAAGTTGTGCCTTAAAATACTCTGCCTGGAAAATACTTTCTATGTCCAAGTAAACAAGGTAGGCCTTAGTTTAAATTCTGACTTACAACTGGGAAGGAACAACCTAGTTTACCCTCTTCTGAAACCAGAAGTAAATGCAACTCTGCATTTCTCTTTTCAAAGTCTCAGGAAAAAAAAAAAATTAAAACACATGTAATGTGCCCACAGTGCCTATACCTGCTATTATGCCACCGTTTTTCTTTATTCGTTATTTCTCAAAATTTTCAACTACAGATATGACTAACTTCTCCTGAATTAAAAAATGTGTGTCTAATTATATGAAGATTTCAAAAAAAGTGTAAAGACACCATGAAAAGTCTCAAATGGTCTCTATGTAGTACGTTACATAGGTTACTTAGGTGAGTTCATGCTAGAGAAGGCAAACCCTCTATCTATACTTACATTTGTGCAAATTTATGGAGTACATGTGCAATTTTATTATATGCATAGATTGTATAGTGGTCAAATCGGGGCTTTTAGGGTATTCATCACCAGAATAACATACATTGTACTCATTAACTACACAATGTGTATATTTACGCACACATATTTGCAAAAGGAAATCTTTCCAAAAGGTATATGAAGCACCTCCCATATTTTCCTCCCTCTGGTCACATAAAATATAGACTCTTCAGATCTCTGGTCCTCCCTTAACAAGGGGGTATTCTCCAGGAACCAGTTTGGGTTAGCTTTACAGGAGAGTCAATTGCAAGATTCATGACAGTGACCAAAAGGGCTCCACTCTCCAGTCACTGATGAGGGACAAGACTTTTCCGTTGTTTACCAGGGTTTCAGAAAACATGGCCAGAGAATAATCCCTGAGGGACACTGTGAAGAACACCTTTATAGGATTTAAGTGAGAAAATCAAGCACAGTCCTCAAGAAACAAACAAAAAAAGCATGAATCCCCAGCCAAAGCAAAATGGAATTTTTAAGTCAATTATCCAAATAACTCAGCAACAAAATTAAAAAGACCCATTCAATTTCATGGGCATTTAAGACCCCAAAATGATCATAGACTGAATGGTGTCCAATCTCAGATCCTCTTTGGCTATATAGTAATATCATCCAACTCCAGGCTCAGACCTACACACTGCAGAGAGGCAGAAAGGCTTCAGGGCATTCTGATGAGAACTAGAAAGCCACACTGAGTTTGTCCCTATTTTTATGTGAAACAAAATGCTAGGGGTGAACTGCCCAGCTTTGGAACTGAATGCAGAGAATTGCCTAGCTCGCTGCTGGACACCCCACAGATATCCACCTGCAAATTCCTCGGGATTTGTACAAGTCAATGATTCTGTATTCACTGCCTTCTAGTAAGCATTTGAGACCTATAACTATGAAAAATCTTGCAGGTAATTTCCCCAGTAATTCCATTAATCCCAAGAGATAGCTAAACGTGGCTCAACACACTCAGAAATCTCATGGCAAATTTATTCTCTTCATTTTATTCAAAGCCTTTTAAAATAAGCCCCAATTAAAAGTGATGCTAACAATAAGGTCTGCTCTTAAGCTCCCTGGCTATCCCCTTCAACTGTGTAGAACTAATGTAATCCATTGAGTGATTGTCAACTCACTGAGATTTAGAGTAGGTAGGAACTTTAGAGATTATATTCAAATACCCAAGCATTTCCTAAATACAGCAGTTCTTTTGATCCAAATGAGGTTTCCAGAGCGGGATGTGGCGGCTGGTGGTGAAGGGAGTACCACCACTCCCTGCTGTCAACCTCTCTGAGCCCTACTCCCACATACCTGGAATCAACACACCAGCTGCTTTAACCCACACACACTCCAATTAAGCCCTACAGTGACCAGTTATAATTAAAATCCAATGGTTAGTGTTAGCTTTTCTTAAATAACAAGAATGATCAAATAGTAAAAATTAAGTCACTCAGGCTAGCAGAGAGTATCGTGGATTATTGGGTTTACAAATGGAATAAATTTTGTTTATAGGTAGCAATCCTTGAACAAATCACTTTTTGGCTTAATTGTTAACTGCACTTGAAAATAAACCACGTGGTGAAAACGAGAGTGTGGTTTGCAGAGAGAAAAAAAAGAAAATGTATTTAAAAAAATAATAACCAGCCCTTACTTGAAAAACAAGCAAACCCATACCGATGTGATTGGCCTCTCTCTCCATAGAGGAAGAGTGTATGGAATGAGTGAATACAAGCATTAAGGAATGAACAAATGAATTAATTCTACTTATAAAACACCCCCCACAGCAAGCTTGCACAACAGCAAGCTTTTAAAGAAGAGTACGAAAACTCTACTCTGTACAATTTGGCTGGTAGCTGTGTTACATTTGACCGTTAACATTTTTTGTACGTTTATGTGGGTTTTTTTCCGAGACAAGGTTTTCACTCTGTCTCCCAAGCTGGAGTGCAGTGGTGCAATCACAGCTCACTGCAGCCTCCAACTCCTTGGCTCAAGCGATCCTCACACCTCAGCCCCCCAAATAGCTGGAATCACAGGTGCATACCACCAAGCTTGGCTAATTTTTTAAATTTTTAGTACAGAAAGGGTCTCATGATGTTGCCAGGCTGGTCTCAAACTCCTGGGCTCAAGTGATCTGCCTGCCTCAGCCTCCCAAAGTGCTAGGATTACAGGTGTTAGCCACTGCACCCGGCCACATTTATGTATTGCATTAGCATGGGAGCCCAGTTGTATCTCTGCTACCTGCCTACATGGTGCCTAGCATATAGTTGGGGCTCATAGCAATTTTTGCAGCTGCTTAGTAACTTCTCCCCATTGAGTGTAGGGCCCATATGTTGACAGATGGGACAGAACGTGAGCTTCCTGATCCCATAAAGGCAGCCCCCTTTTCTTTTCCTGCTCCTCACCACTAGGCGAGGTCTGCAACTCCACACCAACTCCGTGTCCTTTGTGACCTTCCATAAGGTAGGACAGGTAGGCCTTGTCCTTACTAGAGACCCAATCTCACAGCAGGGCTGAGACTTTGGAGATAGGAAAGTATTGTAGGCCTCAGATGAGCCAGTTTATGGAGTAGGCAAAAGCCCAAACACCACCTGTTTTCAATATGAGTTTCTCCATTACCAAACACACATTTTTACTTAGGCCTCCAGTTAGGCCAAAGGCTGAACCAGCCTCCAGTTCCCCACCGGCCCAGCCCTCCCCGCAGTAGGGATTCACCTGTATAATCAGCTTGCCTGGGCCATGGTGGTCTGGCTGGCACCCACTCATTGTGCCCTCAAGCCTGAGTGCTCACTCAGCATATCTGCTATCCAAATAGACGCCCGACAAGTCTGGCCACATCACCAGACAGGTTCCTTCTTGCCTGTTATTAAATAAATGAATGGGATGAGCCACATCTTCCCTCTGAGGAATAGCCAGAAGCATAGACTAAATGTAAACCATCTTCCTCTCAGCTAGTCATGACAAGGTTCTGAAGAACATCTGATATGGTTTGGCTGTGTCCTCACCCAAATCTCATCTTGAATTATAGCTCCCACAATTCCCACATGTTGTGGGAGGGACCTTGTGGGAGATAATTGAATCATGGGGGTGAGTCTTTCCCATGCTGTTCTCCTGATAGTGAATAAGTCTCAAGAGATCTGATGGTTTTAAAAGGGGAGTTTCCCTGCACAAGTTCTCTTCTCTTGTCTGCCACCATGTGAGATGTGCCTTTCACCTTCTGCCATGATTGTGAGGCCTCCCCAACCACATGGAACCGTGAACTTATTAAACCTCTTTCTTTTGTAAATTGCCCAGTCTCAGGTATGTCTTTATTAGCAGCATGAAAATGGACTAATAAACCATCTTAGTGACATGTTCTCTTGAGGATGTGAAACTGGCCAGTGGCTGGTGTTTTTTGGAGCTAATGAGTGATATGAGAAACTTGGAAGCAACCACCCACACTCATCCCTTCCTCTCCACCATTGCCTCAAATCCCCAAATGACAATGTCATGGTTTCAGCTCCAATCTTTGCTCTCTGTGAAAATGTAGATCCTCCAGGAGGGAAAGCAGACCATCAGAACCTCTGGGGCTTGTGGGGCGCAGGTAAAAAGGAGCTGATATCTGGGAGGTTGAGTGGGCCTGGAACAAATTTGACTCACCTCACACTTTTTTCCAGAGCAAATTCTGAATTGCACACAACTCACAAAATTCCAAATGGAATTTCAGCTGGTGACCCTGTTATAATGTGGCATATATTATTGCCACTCAAAGTGAAGTTCCCAGACCAGCAGCAGTGGCATCAGCTGGGAGCTTATGGTGTATGAAACCTCAGGCTTCACCCCAGACTTACTGAATCAGAATCTGTATCTTAAAAGATTCCTAGATGTTTGATGTGACATTGAAAATTGGAGAGTTATTAGTATACGGAGACTCAAAGAGCCCTGGTTTCAAACCCTGGATGTAGAACTTACTAACTTTGCAATCTTGGGAAAGGTCATTAAATTCTCTGAGCCTCAGTGTCCTCACCTGGAAAATAAGATTATATTCCCTGTCTCACAGGGTTGTTATAAGGATTAAATGATAGTGTTTATTATAATATTAGTTAGCACAGTGGCTGGTACATGATAAGTATGGACTAAGAGGTAGTGATCAATTCATTATAATCCCAGCACACTGGGAGGCCAAAGAGGGTGGATCACTTGAGCCCAAGAGTTCGAGGCCAGCCTTGGCAACATAGTGAGACCCCATCTCTTTAAGAAAATTAGCCAGGCCTGGTGGCACACACTTGTGGTCCTAGTGATTCAGGAAGCTGAGGTGGGAGGATTGCTTGAGCCCAGGAGGTCAAGGCTGCAGTGAGCCATAACCATGCTACTGCACTCCAGCCAGGGAGACACAATGAGACCCTGTCTCAAAAACAAACAAAAAAAAAGGTGACAGGCAAGATGGCGGAATAGGAACAGCACCGGTCTGCAGCTCCCAGTGAGATCAACACAGAAGTCAGGTGATTTCTCCATTTCCAACTAAGGTAGCTGGCTCATCTCATTGGGACTGGTTAGACAGCAGTTGCAGCCCACAGAGGGTGAGCTGAAGCAGGGTGGGATGTCACCTCACCTGGGAAGTGCAGGGGGTGGGGGAACTCCCTCCTCTAGCCAGGGGAAGCCCTGAGGGACTGTGCCATGAGGAACAGTGCACTGAGGCCCAGATACTATGCTTTTCCCATGGTCTTTGCAAGCCACAGACCAGGAGATTCCCTCGGGTTCCTGCGCCACCAGGGTCCTGGGTTTCAAGCACAAAACTGGGCAGCTGTTTGGGCAGACACTGAGCTAGCTGCATGAGTTTTTTCATACCCCAGTGACACCTGGAACGCCAATCTGGAAAGGGGGCTGAAGCCAGGGAGCAAAGTGGTCTAGCTCAGTGGATCCCACCCCCATGGAGCCCAGCAAGCTAAGGTCCACTGGCTTGAAATTTTTGCTGTGAGCACAGCAGTCTGAAGTCCACCATTAGTGAGGCTGGAGTAGGCGGTTTTCCCCTCACAGTGTAAACAAAGCCTCAGGGAAGTTTGGACTGGGTGGAGCCCACCGCAGCTCCACAAAGCTGCTGTAGTAAGACTGCCTCTCTAGATTCCTCCTTTCTGGGCAGGGCATCTCTGAAACAAAGGCAGCAGCCCCATTCAGGGGCTTAGAGCTAAAACTCCCATCTCCCTGGGACAGAGCACTTGGGGGAAGGGGCGGCTGTGGGCTCAGCTTCGGCAGACTTAAACGTTCCTGCCTGCCAGCTCTGAAGAGAGTGGCAGATCTCCCAGCACAGCACTCGAGCTCTGCTAAGGGAGAGACTGCCTCCTCAAGTCAGTTCCTGACGCCGGGGCCTCCTGACCAGGAGACACCTCCCAGCAGGGGTTGACAGACACTTCATACAAGAGAGCTCTGGCTGGCATCTGGCAGGTGCCCCTTTGGGAGGAAGCTTCCAGAGGAAGGAACAGGCAGCAATCTTTGCTGTTCTGCAGCCTCCTCTGGTGATACCCAGGCCAACAGGGTCTGGAGTGGCTCTCCAGCAAACTCCACCAGACCTGCAGCTGAGGGGGCTGATGGTTGGAAGTAAAACTAACAAAAGGAAAGGAATAGCATCAACATCAACAAAAAGGACATCCACACAGAAACCCTATCCGAAGGTCACCAACATCAAAGACCAAAGGTAGATAATTCCACAAAGATGAGGAAAAACCAGTGCAAAAAGGCTGAAAATTCCAAAAACCAGAAAGCCTCTTCTCCTCCAAAGGATCATAACTCCTCACCAGCAAGGGAAAAAAACTGGACAGAGAATGAGTTTGGCAAATTGAGAGAAGTAGGCTCCAGAAGGTGGGTAATAACAAATTTCTCTGAGCTAAAGGAGCATGCTCTAACCCAATGCAAGAAAGTTAAGAACCTTGAAAAAAGGTTAGAGGAATTGCTAACTAGAATAAGCAGTTTAGAGAAGAACATAAATGACCTAATGGAGCTGAAAAACAAGCATGAGATCTTTGTGAAGCATACACAAGTATCAATAGCCAAATCAATCAAGCAGAAGAAAGGATATCAGAGATCAAAGATCAACTTCATGAAATACAGTGGGAAGACAAGATTAGAAAAAAAAGAAGAATGAAAAGGAACAAACAAAGCTTCCGAGAAATATGGGACTATGTGAAAAGACCAAACCTATGTTTGATTGGTGTACTTGAAAGTGATGGGGAGAATGGAACCAAGTTGGAAAACACTCTTCAGGATATTATCCAGGAGAACTTCCCCAACCTAGCAAGACAGGCCAACATTCAAATTCAGGAAATACAGAGAACACCACTAAGATACTTGCTGAGAAGAGCAACCCCAAGGCACATAATAATCAGATTCACCAAGGTTGAAATGAAGGAAAAAATGTTAAGGGCAGCCAGAGAGAAAGGCTGGGTTACCCACAAAGGGAAGCCCATCAGACTAACAGTGAATCTCTCTGCAGAAACTCTACAAGCCAGAACAGTGTGGGGGCCAATATTCAACATTCTTAAAGAAAAGAATTTTCAACCCAGAATTTCATATCCAGCCAAACTAAGCTTCATAAGTGAAGGAGAAAGAAAACCCTTTATAGACAAGCAAATGCTGAGAGATTCTGTCACCACCAGGCCTGTCTTACAAGAGGTCCTGAAGGAAGCACTAAACATGGAAAGCAAAAACCAGTACCAGCCACTGCAATAAGATACCAAATTTTAAAGACCATTGACACTATGAAGAAACTGCATCAACTAACGGGCAAAATAACCAGCTAGCATCATAATGACAGGATCAGATTCACACATAACAATATTAACCATAAATGTAAATGGGCTAAATGCACCAATTAAAAGACACAGACTGGCAAATTGGATAAAGAGTCAAGACCCATTGGTGTGCTGTATTCAGGAGTCCCATCTCATGTGCAAAGACACACATAAGCTCAAAACAAAGGGATGGAGGAATATTTACCAAACAAATGGAAAGCCAAAAAAAAAAAAAAAAAAAAAAAGCAGGAGTTGCAATCCTAATCTCTGGTAAAACAGACTTTAAACCAACAAAGACGAAACAAGACAAAGAAGGGCACTACATAATGGTAAATGGATCAATGCAACAAGAAGAGCTAACTATCCTAAATATATATACACCCAATACAGGAGCACCCAGATTCATAAAGCAAGTTCTTAGGGACTTACAAAGAGACTTAGACTCCGACACAATAATAGTGGGAGACTTTAACACTCCACTGTCAATATTAGACAGATCAACAAGACAGAAAATTAACAAGGATATTCAGGACTTGAACTCAGCTCTGGACCCAGCAGACCTAATAGATATCTACAGAACTCTCCACCCCAAATCAACAGAATATACATTCTTCTCAGCACCACATTGCACTTATTCTAAAATTGACCACATAATTGAAAGTAAAACACTCCTCAGCAAATGCAAAAGAAAGGAAATCATAACAAACAGTCTCTCAGACCACAGTGCAATCACATTAGAACTCAGGATTAAGAAACTCACTCAAACTACACAACTACATGGAAACTAAACAACCTGCTCATGAATGACTACTGGGTACATAACGAAGTTAAGGCAGAAATAAATAAGTTCTTTGAAACCAATGAGAACAAAGACATAACATACCAGAATCTCTGGGACACAGCTAAAGCAGTATTTAGAGGGAAAATTATAGCACTAAATGCCCAAAGGAGAAAGTGGTAAAGATCTAAAATCGATGCCTTAATCAAAATTAAAGAACTAGAGAAGCAAGAGCAAACAAACTCAAAACCTAGCAGAAGACAATAAATAACTAAGATCAGAGCAGAAATGAAGGAGATGGAGACACGAAAAACCCTTCAAAAAAAATCAATGAATCCAGGAGCTGTTTTTTTTTTGTTTTTTGTTTTTTTAAAGATTAACAAAATAGACTGCTAGCCAGACTAATAAAGAAGAAAAAAAAGAATCAAATAGACACAATAAAAAATGATAAAGGGGATATCACTACAGATGCCACAGAAATACAAACTACCATCAGAGGATACTATAAACACCACTATGCAAATAAACTAGAAAATCTAGAAGAAATGGATAAATTCCTGGACACATATACCCTCCCAAGTCTAAAAGAGGAAGAAGTTGAATCCCTGAATAGACCAATAACAAGTTCTGAAATTGAGGCAGTAATTAATAGCCTACCAACCAAAAAAAGTCCAGGACCAGACGGATTCACGGCCAAATTCTACCAGAGGTACAGAGAAGAGCTGGTACCATTCCTTCTGAAACTATTCCAAACAATAAAAAAGAGGGACTCCTCCCTAACTCATTTTATGAGGCCAGCATCATCCTGACACCAAAACCTGGCAGAGACACAACAAAAAAAGAAAATTTCAGGCCAATATCCCTGATGAACATCCATGTGAAAATCCTCTATAAAATACCAGCAAACCGAATTCAGCAGCACATCAAAAGGCTTATCCACCATGATCAAGTTAGCTTCACCCCTGGGATGCAAGGCTGGTTCAACATACCCAAATCAGTAAATGTAATCCATCACATTAACAGAACCAATGACAAAAACCACATGATTATCTCAATAGATGCAGAAAAGGCCTTCAGTAAAATTCAACACCCCATCTTGCTAAAAACTCTCAATAAACTAGGTATTGATGGAATGTATCTCAAAATAATAAGAGTTGTTTATGGCAAACCCACAGCCAATATCATACTGAATGGGCAAAAGCTGGAATAATTCCCTTTGAAAACCAGCACAAAACAAGGATGTCCTCTCTCACTACTCCTATCCAACATAGTATTGGAAGTTCTGGCCAGGATAATCAGGCAAGAGAAAGAAATAAAGGGTATTCAAATAGGAAGAGAGGAAGTCAAATTGTCTCTGCAGATGACATGATTGTATATTTAGAAAACCCCATCATCTCAGCCTCAAATCTCTTTAAGCTGATAAGCAACTTCAGCAAAGTCTCAGGATACAAAATCAATGTGCAAAAATCACAAGCATTCCTATACACCAATAATAGACAGAAAGCCAAATCATGAGTGGACTCCCATTCACAATTACTACAAAGAGATTAAAATACTTAGGAATACAACTTACAAGGAATGTGAAGGACTTCTTCAAGGAGAACTACAAACCACTGCTCAAGGAAATAAGAGAGGACACAAAGAAATGGAAAAATATTCCATGCGCATGGATAAGAAGAATCAATAACATGAAAATGGCCATACTTTCCAAAATAATTTATAGATTCAATGCTATGCTCATCAAGCTACCATTGACTTTCTTCACAGAATTAGAAAAGGCTACTTTAAATTTCATATAGAACCAAAAAAGAGTCCGTATAGCCAAGACAATCCTAAGCAAAAAGAACAAAGCTGGAGGCATCACACTACCTGACTTCAAACTATACTACAAGGCCACGGTAACCAAAACACCATGACACTATTACCAAAACAGATATATAGATGAATCGAACAGAACAGAGGCCTCAGAAATAACGCCACACATTTACAACCATCTGATCTTTGACAAACCTGACAAAAACAAGCAATGGGGAAAGGATTCCCTATTTAACAAATGGTGTTGGGAAAACTGGCTAGCCATATGCAGAAAAATGAGACTGGGCCCCTTCCTTACACCTTATACAAAAATTAACTCAAGATGGATTAAAGAGTTAAATGTAAGACCTAAAACCATCAAAACCCTAGAAGAAAACCTAGGCAATACCATTCAGGACATAGGCATGGGCAAAGACTTCATGAGTAAAACACCAAAAGCAATGGCAACAAAAGCCAAAATTGACAAATGGTATCTAATTAAACTAAAGAGCTTCTGCATAGTAAAAGAAACTATCATCAGAGTGAACAGGCAACCTACAGAATGGGAGAAAATTTTTCCAATCTATCCATCTGACAAAGGGCTAATATCCAGAATCTACAAAGAACTTAAACAAATTTACAAGAAAAAAACAAACAACCCCATCAAAAAGTGGGCAATGCTATGAACAGACACTTCTCAAAAGAAGACATTTATGCAGCCAACAGACATATGAAAAAAATGCTCATCATCACTGGTCATTAGAGAAATGCAAATCAAAACCACAATGAGATACCATCTCACACCAGTTAGAATGGCGATCATTAAAAAGTCAGGAAACAACAGATGCTGGAGAGGATGTGGAGAAATAGGGACAGTTTTACACTGTTGGTGGGAGTGTAAATTAGCTCAACCATTGTGGAAGACAGTGTGGCGATTCCTCAAGGATCTAGAACCAGAAATACCATTTGACCCAGCAATCCCATTACTGGGTATATACCCAAAGGGTTAGAAATCATTCTACTATAAAGACACATGCACATGCATGTTTATTGCAGCACTGTTCCCAATAGCAAAGACTTGGAACCAACCCAAATGCCCATCAATGATATACTGGATGAAGAAAATGTGGCACATATACACCATGGAATACTATGCAGCTATAAAAAAAGGATGAGTTCATGTCCTTTGCAAGGACATGGATGAAGCTGGAAATCATCATTCTCAGCAAACTAACACAGGAACAGAAAACCAAACACCACATGTTCTCACTCATAACTGGTAGTTGAACGATGAGAATACATGGACAGAGGGAGGGAAATATCACACACTGGGACCTGTTGGGGGGTGGTGGGCTTGGGGAGGGATGGCATTAGGAGAAATGTTTAATGGAGATGACAGGTTGATGGGTGCAGCAAACCACCGTGGCACATGTATAGCTATGTAACAAACCTGCACGTTCTGCACATGTATGCCAGAACTTAAAGTATAATTTTAAAAAAAGAAAAAAAATCATTATTATTTGTGCATCTGATGCTCAACTGCTGGTGTATAATCACATTCATTTCCTTTTTCTCTCCCTCAGGACCGAAATGGCAGTGGAAGTCCACTGGCAAGTTAGGTCTAAGTCCTTAATGGAAAAGGTACACACAAGCCCAAATATTAATTCAAAGCACACTTCTCATCCTTTCCACTCTATGCTGACTAGAAAAATGGTTTTATTTTTTGAACTCTGTCAGAATCTGTAAGTCCGAGATTGTGCAGATTTCATTATGATTAGTCTGGCCATGCCAGCGGTGACTGCCAGAGAAGTATGACATGGGTGACAAGATGACACAGTCCAACCTTTAAGGAAGCTGGATAAGAGCTAATGATGCTGGTTACCACCAAGCTGACAGGACTTCCTGTCACAGCCTTGCGTCAGCCACTATGTGTCCATACAGTCAGGAGACCGATGACTTTTGACAAAAGAGCAGAACTGGCACCTTCAAGGAATACTGGCTTCTTCTAAGGACAGAGGTTCCTTGGGAGGCCATCGCCTGGCTCCAGCCATATGGCCACACTCATGTGACTTGAAGCACTGCTTCAAGACCTGCCTTTGGAACCCATTCTGAGCCACGTGAGAAAAATCTCTCTTTTTCTTTCCTAGTCACATCCCATTTCTCAGCAAAATTGCTCACCTGGAGACTGAGGGAAACCTGTAACGTCTTGGCTTCCCTGACATCTAGATTACATACAAAAGGATCCGGTTGATGAAAGAACCATTTGGCCAATGCTCTGGGATTGGCCTTTACTAACTTTTGGCTATTTAAATAATCATATCCCTCATCAGAGGCTGAAGATATGCCCCAAGGTGGGGGTTACTCCAAGTGTGCTGCAAGGTGGGAAGGCATTCCCCACTGAGTTGCAGGAACAGTGGCTAACCTCTTGAGGGGATGACCTAAAAAGACACTACTTGAAAAGTGAAGTCTTATTTGTTAAAGGAGAAGAAAGACCAAGTGTGATGATGATGATGATGATGATGATGATTATATTTTGAGACAGAGTCTCACTCTGTCACCCAGGCTGGAGTGCAGTGGCACCATCTCAGGTCATTGCAGCCTCAACCAAGCTCAAGCGATCCTCCCACCTTGGTCTCCCAAGTAGCTGGGACTAGAGGCACATGCCACCACGCCCGGCTGTTTTTCTATTTTTATTTATTTATTTATTTTTTTTTAGAGACACGGTCTCACTATGTTGCCCAAGCTGGTCTTGAACTCCTGGGCTCAAGCAATCCTCCCACTTTGGCCTCCCAAGTAGCTGGGACTACAGGTGCATGCCACCAAGCCTAGCTAAGTTTTTCTATTTTTTCTAAAGACTGGACTTTGCATGTTGCCCAGGCTGGTCTCGTACTCCTGAGCTCAAGCAATCCACCCGCCTTGGCCTCCCAAAATCCTGGGATTACAAGCATGAGCCAGTGTGCCCAGCTAAATGTGACTATTAGGAACTGAGAGCAATTGTCTGAAGGAAGGGAGAGTCTACAGTTACATCAAGCTCTTGGCCACAGCTAGAGAAGGATGAGTCTGCATTAACCATATTTTGACAAAGCCAAAAACCAAATTCAAAGGCCATGTCTGAACATAGGACAACTAGGCCTGAAGAAGGGAGGTGGATGGAAGGAGTAGAGCTGCTGTAAGGACAGTGGCTTCAGGGTTGGTAGTGGAGAAAGAGACACGCATCAAGGAGGGTGGTGAGGAGACGAGTATCATCATAGACGGAATCAATCTTGAAATCAAAAGTAATATTATGTCCTTTGGCTATGCATGGTGGCTCATGCCTATTATCCCGGAACTTTGGGAGGCCGAGGTGGGTCGATCACTTGAGGTTAGAAGTTCAAGACCAGCCTGGCCAACATGGTGAAACCCCATCTCTACTAAAAATACAAAGATTAGCCAGGCGTGGTGGCATGTGCCTGTGACCCCAGCTACTGAGGAAGCTGAGGCAGGAGAATCACTTGAACCCAGGAGGAGGAGGTTGCAGTGAACCAAGATTGCACCACTGCACTCTGGCCTGGGCAAAAGAGCTAGATTCTGTCTCGAGAAAAAAAAAAAAGGACGGGGGGAAGTAATATTATGTCCTTTGAAAGAAAGTGCCCTGACAATGCAGGCATAATTAAGGGCACTCATCCCAGCTGGAAATAGAACAAATCTTTCCATAGCAACATACTGATATTTGAAAACAATTGACTAGAATCCATGACTCTGGTGAATCTGGGCTCCTCTCTCTGGTCTGGCCAGGCAGTGATGAGCCACATAGCCAGAGAAGAACAGAATCACTGGAGCACAAATGGTGGCCTGATCTCTACCCCAAGCCTTCCCTTGGGTACCGCCACCAACCCCCAACCCATGACAGCACACGACAGTCGATACTACCAACCCCTGAACAGTCTTGGCCAAGGTTGGGAACCATTGTTATTCTCCATTCACCTGAATTCATGTGAACACACCAAATACACCATCCAACTCTCACTGTGTTTGGTGGCACCAAGGGAAGTGCTTCCCTCCTGCCATAGAGACAACCAGGAATTCAGCTAGGCTTCTCCATTGTAATTGGAGAGGAGGCCATGTGGGGCCAACATACAATCACTACTTTCAAGGCTAATGCCACAAGGCATTTCCTGAAAACATTTCCTCCCAAAATGTTAGTTATTAGGTTAGGCTATGCTCTAATCTCTTGTTAAAATTTAAAGCGTTCAAACTAATGGGTTTGGAGTATGAAAAATATCTACAGATCTTAACACAGAAGAGCCAGTTTTTTTCCTAAAATTATTTGGTTGTTTATTTGTTTTAAGTATCTCTTGGCAACACATATGATTCTGCAAGGACCTTTTTGTTAGCAATTTCTGAAAACATCCATTTCCAGTGGAAATACTGATGGAAACTTCAAAGGCTTTTCCACCTAATCACTGAGCAAACAGTACATTTGTGTACACTTTGGAGTCTGCAGAGAAACCTTTCTAATATTGAGAGCTGCCCAAAGATAGAGCATCATTGGAAGTAATGAGATCCCTGTCACTGGAAGTGTTCAAGCACTGATTGGGCAACCACTTGACAGGACTTTCGTAGAGGACAACCAATTATTAAGGATTCAAGATTGGCTGACCAAGGTGGCTCAAGCCTGTAATCCCAGCACTTTAGGAGGCCACGAAGGGAGGCTCACTTGAGCCCAGCCTGGGCAACCTAGTGATACCCTGTCTCTACAAAAACATAAACAAAAAAAAACAAGCTGGGCGTGGTGGTATAGGCCTGTAGTTCTAGCTATTTGAGAGGCTAATGTGGGAGGAACCCTTGAACCCAGGAGGTTGAGGTTGCAACAAGCCATATTCACACCACTACACTCCAGCCTGGGTGACAGAGTGAGACCTTGTCTCCAAAAAAAAAAAAAAAAAAAGGATTCAAGATTGACTTGGATGACCTTTAAAGGACTGTGGGAGTTGAATTGAGCTGGTGTGTGTCTAGAAAGTGATATAATGATTTCCATATAGCTCTACCTTCCGGAATCCCTGAAGCTCAATGAAGTTTCCTATTCATACCAAAGTTGCCGATGGCTAATGCACTGATGTAGTGCTCCATTTCTCCATCCCAGATGTAGCAAGAGTGCCCTAAATTCCTACTAGTGTTACCCTCTGGTAGTACACAGGTGTAGCCAACCCAGTTATCTGCCTACCTTATAGCCATTCCTCCCTTATACCTTGTCAGTTATCTTCTGATGTGTTCAGTGTTCATCCTCCTTCCTGCAGCCATGTCTATTAGGTAGGACTGGCCTCAGTACCTGGCACAAAACTTGGATCATATTTATACTCTGCAGTTTAGGGCACGTGAGCTGATTCTAAGCACCAAGAGGTGAGGGGACATCTGCTGGAAGAAGGTATGTACTGGGAAAGATTGTTTAGCTTTTCAAACGAAACTTGAGGGAAATAGTCTTTTATTGCTACCAGCAGAAAGTGGTATGTGGAGATGTGTTCTCACTAGAACTGTTTCAGCCATCTTGCAGCCATGAGGAGCTTCAACATGCTGAAATTGGCAGAGCTGAAAGATGGAAAAAACCTTGATCCTTGATAACTACATTGAGAATTAACCATCCCTGAAGCTTCTCTACATCATGGCTTTTTGTTATGTGAGACAATAAGTCCCTTATGGTTTGAATCATTTTGAGTTGGAGTCATCATTGCTTGCAGCCAAGAGCATTGTAACTAATACTACAGTCTTTGAAGCAATCTTGTTCTGAAACAACTCTTCTAATCTGTGGGATCTGGGCCAGAAGATTATTTTTTAAATGGACAAGGGAAGTACTCAAAAATCCCCTTTCCCTTCAACTCTGATCTATAAGCATCCCCATAACCTCTATATCCTCACCTGATTTTCCCTTGATTTCCCTTGAGGAGTGATCATGCTCAGAGTGACTCCTTGATTTCTTAGAAAATAACACCCTCCACACCCCCCCTTTTTTTTTTTTTTTGTGAGACGGAATCTTGCTCTGTCTCCTAGGTTGGAGTGCAGTGGTGTGATCTCGGCTTACTGCAACCTCTGCCTCCAGGGTTCAAGCAATTCTCCTGACTTGGCATCCCAAGTAGCTGGGACTGCAGGCATGCACCACCATGCCCAGATAATTTTTGTATTTTTAGTAGAGACAAGGTTTCGCCATGTTGGCCAGGCTGGTCTCGAACTCCTGACCTCGGGTGGTCCGCCCACCTTGGCCTCCCAAAGTGCTGGGATTACAGGCACGAGCCACCGCGCCCGGCCACACCCTCCACTTTTGCTTGACCTTTTCTGGATCCTGGGGTATGGTGGACCGCGCCTGGCCACACCCTCCACACTTGCTTGACCTTTTCTGGATCCTCAGGTTCTATTTAGGAATACTCCTAACTAAAGCCCAACCAGTCAGTGTGACGGGATCATTGCAGTCTGAAGCAATTCACCTGATTCCTTTCTTCCCAGTATTTCTCTGGATGCACCCTGATTGACTGCCCAATAGGGCTATGTGTCCTCCATCAAAGGCCAGGCTCAAAATCCCTTTCCTTAGGCCAATGGTTTTCAAAGGGTAGTCACTGGACCAGCGGCATCACATGGAAACTTGGTAGAAATGCAAATTCTTGAGTCCTATCCCAGACCTACTGAATCACAACCTCTGCGGATGGGGCCTGGCTAACCGTCTTATCAAGCCCTCCAGGATACTGTCATAGACTTTGGCTACTGCCATGACTCATAACTGGAAGTGTGAAAGCTTCCCAGGGCTCTAACTTGATTATTTTGCATTGAGAGAGTCCCACCTAACTCTCTTTTTTATTTTTTTGAGACAGAAGAGTCCCGCTCTGTCACTCAGGCTGCAGTGCAGTGGCATGATCTCAACTCACTGCAACCTCCGCCTCCTGGGTTCAAGCGATTCTCTTGCCTCAGCCTCCTGAGTAGCTGGGATTACAGGTGCGCACCACCGCACCCAGCTAATTTTTGTATTTTTAGTAGAGATGGGGTTTTCACCATGTTGGCCAGGCTGGTCTCAAACTCCTGGCCTTAAGTGATCTACCCACCTTGGCCTCCCAAAGTGCTGGGATTATAGACATGAGCCACCACGCCCGTCCTGACTCTATAATTATACTTTCATTGCTCATTATTTGATTGTCTATCTTTTGCACTAGTGGTGAGTTCCATCGGAATGGACACCAAGTCTGTTTTTCTTCATTACTGTATTCCCAGTGCCTAGCACAATACCTGGCACATAGCATGTACTCAACCAACGTTTGTGGAATGGGTTAAGAAGGGCCCTCATGGGCCACACAAATTGCTGGGTGGCATATTTTGTTCTGTACTACATTCAGCAAATTCCTAAGGTAATTATCTAGTTAAAATGTTCCAAGTTGTATAATACGTTTTCTTTGTCTTAGTCCATTTTCTGCTGCCATAACAAAATACAACAAACTGGGTAATGTACAAAAAAAAGAAATGTATTGGCCAGGCGTGGTGGCTCACACCTGTAATCCCAGCACTTTGGGAGGCTGAGGCGGATGGATCGCTTGAGTCCAGAAGTTTGAGACCACCTCGGGCAACATGGTGAAACCCTGTCTCTACAAAAAATACAAATATTAGCTTGGTGTGATGGTGCATGACTGTAGTTCCAGCTACTTGAGAGGATGAGGTGGGAGAATCGCTTGAGCCCAAGAGGTTGAGGCTGCAGTGAGCCATGATTGTGTCACTGCACTCCAGCCTGGGTGACAGAGTGACCCAGAGTGACATGTCTCAAAAAAAGAAAAGAAAAGAAAAAACATCTATTTTTGACAGTTTCAGAGGCTGGGAAACCCAAAAGCAGCTACCAGCATCTAGCAAAGGCCATCCCATGGTGGAAGGGCAGAAGGCAGAAGTGAGCACATGAGATGGAGAGAGCAAGATGGAGGCCAAACTTAATCCTTTTTATCAGGAGTCAACTCCTGTGATAATTAACTCGTTCCTGCAATATAGGCATTGATCACTTCCTAAGGGTCCCACCTCTTAACATTCTTATAATGGCAATTAAGTTTCAACATAAGTTTTGGTAAAACCAAAACCATAGCCAAACCATAGCACTGTCCAAGCTGCGTACAACTGATAAATTGACTTGCAGGTTTTCTCAATTTGAACTCAAAATGAAGACAACTTCAAATTATTCCAGAATGTGACTTCCACTTAGACAACTGTCATGCTAAGAAGCCATGGGTACTGGCCACTGTCCATTATAGACTGTGTCCTGAGGGACACTTTCCTTTGTTTTTGCAAAAGACTTGACTCTGAAGAACACTAAAGACCCAAGGGCCAGTCTAAGAAGAAACATGCATAGTGCCTAAAGGGTCCAAGAGGGCCTTTTGTTGGCACCAATCCACCTCTACTCACCCACCCCCCACGCCCTTCCAAGACCACATGGAATTTGGGGGAAAAACAGATTGGAATTAGGTACTAGGAAACACTTCTGCATAGCTTTCTCCTTTCTCCCTGTCAACTCTGGAACCAGAGGAGCTGGTGCAGCTTTGCTATGTAACCAGGAGATTTAACAGCTTTAATTTACAGAAGGGATGGCACCTCCCCAGGACCTCAGAGTCTTAGGAAATTGGCAGGAGGGATGGGGTTGAGGATGGGCAACTGAGAGGTGCTCTTCTGAGCACCCTGCCTGCCTTCTAGGGAAGAGTTTTATGTGTGGAATTCTTTTCCTCTAGTTGTATTGATAGAAAAGAGTAGAAAGGGACACGTGTTAAGGATGGAGGAAGGTGAAAAGGCCAGGTAAAGGTACCATTGGGAGCTTTTCCTATTTGAAATCCCTAAAAGCAGAATATGTAATTATTGGAGATTTAGAATCTTTTCTTGCTAGGAAGAACCAGGCTTTACACTCCCATCTGCTCATTTTCTGTAGAACCTCAGCCATGCAATTTCATCTAAATGGAGCCCTTCCTGGTATCACTTGGCAATGGCAGGCATACAGAGACACAGCCTTTGCAGGAAAGCTCCATTCTACATGTTTACAGTGCATAGCCCACAGAGAGGGCATCAATAATGCAGATGGGCTGAGATCCATCTCAGAGTCCCCGCATCAGGAGCTCTTCCCTGCCCAGGCTCCAACCTGTGCCCACTGCAGGAGGTGGGGCTCAGTGGCCAGGTCTCATAAATGCAGCTAGCCCTCATCCAAGGGCCCAAGTGGCCATTGAGCCTGGTGAGCAAGGCACTGTAAAATAGCCACTGCTCTGGGCGAAGGCCTGTGATGGAGCACCTCCTGTCACCTTAGCCCCTGGAAGGGCACTCCCAACCTTGGAACACCATTGTATGTGTGCATCTTCCCAGTATCTCCTTATAACAATCCCAGCAGTAGGCAGGGCCCTTAAGAGAAAAGCCCCCAAAGTTAAACAGTTGCTTTGTAGTTTTCCAACTGTGATCTAGGGTACACAAGTGGTAACTTGACATAAGCCACTTGGGGTGGGGAGAGGCAAGTAGGCAGGTGTCTGTCCCTCTCACACCTCACCAGAGTGGCTCCTCCTTAACCTGATTTATACTTGGTGCCCTCAACCCACCAGCTGGCTGCCTAATGCCCGAAGAGGTTTTCCAACTCCCATATAATCCCAGGTCCCTGCAGGATGATGTCTGGGGAAGTAGACCCCAGGGATACCTCTTGTGTTTCTTTCCAGCTAGGAGGCCAGAGCAGAATAGAGTGGCCTAAGACATCTGGGATCTCTGGAATGACTCTGGCAGTAGGGGTGAGGGTGGGGCACCTAGAAGCAATGTTTGAAGATGTGGCAAAGATATGTGCATGTGACTGGCCAGAATTCAAAGGTGTGACGGGGTGGGAAATGGGGAGGACCACTTAAAATATGTCTTACTACATTCCAAACCTGGACATCCAAAAAGTATCCCTTGAATTGAACTGGAATATCTTCACTGGAAAGCTCCAAATCAAAATTGTTGGGGGGAGGCTGGTGTGTATTAGGTGTAAAGGGAGTTGAACCCCCACGGGTTGCATAGTACAGCACTGAGCACAGTGTCAAGCCCAAGGATGACTCCACTGAATCCATGCTACACACTCCTACCTAGTTCTTCTTTACATATCCTGTGCATCACGTCTCGTCCTACTCAAGAAACTGTGTTAGGGCCTGCCCACTTGAATGCTAAATTACCTTGCCTGGCTTTTGAGGGCTTCACAGTCTCATCCCATCCTTCACCAGTCTTGTACTAGGAAACCCATCACCTCTGCCTTTCAGACACATTTCTCTTCTGCTTCCTCACTCCCCACACCCATCCCACCACCACCCCCAGACCACACTTTGTCCCACCTCCCTGCCCTTACTCTTACAATCCAAACCAGCCAGTGCTTTACTGAGTGTGGAAGGCAACCTGTAGCATCCAAGGAATAGTAAGAACTAATGATGGGTCCTGCTCACGAGAGCTCCTAGGAGAATTTCCTCCCCTCTCTTCCCTGCCTAGTCAAATTCTCCCCTCCAACCATGCCCGATTCTAGCCCTGCCTCCCCAGGAAGTCACCCTGAACTTTCCAATGTGCACCCCTCTCCCTTGACCTGCAAGACAGCTCAGAGCTCGTGATTTCACTGGCATGTTTCCTGAGGAGTCTTGTCTCCCCAATGGAGACAGAGGCCCCATCCTATGTCAAGTTTTCCTCCTGCCCTCCTATTCAAAGGCCAGGGCCAGACCTGTCATAAATCATATGATTGCCTCAAATTCCTTGTGGTTTTGGAGGCCAGACATCCAGAGCCACATGACTGCTAGCCAAGGGCTGGCCTCTCTGGACACTTTATTTTTGGAGTCCCTGTTTCAACATGACAAGCACCTTCAAATTCTTCAGTTGGATATAAATTACAACTCCCCAAAAGGAACCTGGTTGACAAACTGTGCAATGTGGGTCACACAGGGGTTCATCCAGCCCTGACTTAGGTACAGGCTGATGGTCCAAAGGGTGGGTTGAAGAGTAATGAATACCTAGCTCCAATGGCCACCTCAGATAGTGCTGCCCTCTCCCCATCCCACTCTGATTCACCTTTTGGCTCCAGGGATTTTGTTCAGCATCAGCTGATCACCAGCAGCCTAGAGTATTAAACATTTTTCTTTTCTTTTTTTTTGATACGGAGTCTCACTCTGTTGCCCAGGCTGGAGTGCAGTAGCATGATCTCGGCTCACTGCAACCTCTGCCTCCTGGGTTCAAGCGATTCTCCTGCCTCAGCCTCCCGAGTAGCTGGGATTACAGGTGTGCACCTCCCCACCCGGCTGATTTTTGTATTTTTGGTAGAGACAGGGTTTCACCATGTTGCCCAGGCTGATGTCAAACTCCTGACCTTAAGTGATCCACCCACTTCAGTCTCCAAAAGTGCTGGGATTACAGGTGTGAGCCACCATGCCTGGCCAGCATCTTTAATTTGAGCAATTACATAAATCACTGCTCATTGAGTAAGAAAGAATTCCTTTTTTTTTTTTTCAAAATGGATCGTTTACTCGTTCTGAGAGGGTAGCGTGCCTTTAGTTCTAGGAATTCACCTTCCCCACAGCCCCAATTCTATAGGTTTGAGTCTCTGTCTCTGCAGACCAGTGAGGCATCACTTGTCATTCACTTGGAGGTAAAGCCCTCAGTCCCTGCTGATTTTGCTGCTCATCTCTGGACCTTCTATCAAGGTGGAGGTCAAACCCAGAGTACAAAGCACACCTAGGTCAGGATCTTTCCCATTCTGTTCTGCACATACTGCCCTGTGGGGATGCTGGGACACATGATCAGCACACAATCAACAAGAGGTCTGGATTTCTTTCCTAGGTAGGAAGTGAGAAGTTAAAATCTCTCCTTCCTAACACACAGATTTTGTCTGTAGATGTCTTTTCTAATGTGCACTAAGACCAGTCCTGCAGGAAAAACCTATTACACTCCCCCTCTAGAATAGTGCCTGTTCATCCCTGTTCTTTGGGTCTAATCTGTGACCCAGGTGTAAACTTTAAGACGGAGTCTTGTCAAGGGCTCTTTAAGAAACCCAGATGATGTTCACTGGCCCCTACTTATCCCAAGATGTGTTTACCTCCCACACAGAGCCCCAGCTGATTAAGCAGGTATGAATTTTTCCTATGTAAACCATGATATTTTCCTCAACAAACTGTATTTCCTTAAGTGTTCAGCCTTCTCAGCACTGTCGCTGCAAGGGCACCCCCAGAACCATTCCCACAGCCTGTGAATGGGTAATTTCACATTCACAGGCTGTCCTGGAAAGGGTAGACAAGATACCTCGAGTTAATAATTATTTCTTCAGGCTGGGCGCAGTGGCTCACGCCTGTAATCCCAGCACTTTGGGAGGCAGAGGCGGGCAGATCACTTGAGATCAGGAGTTCAGGAACAGCCTGGCCTACATGGTGAAACCTTGTCTCTACACTACAAATACGAAAATTAGCTGGGCATGGTGGCGAATGCCTGTAATCCCAGCTACTCGGGAGGCTGAGGCACGAGAATCACTTGAACAGGGGAGGCAGAGTTTGCAGTGAGCCAAGGTCGTGCCACTTCACTCCAGCCTGGGCGACAGAGTGAGATTCTGCGTCGAATACTAAAATAAAATAAAATAATAAAATAAAATAAAATAAAATCGTTCTTCAAGAACCAGCACATCAATGATGGCACATAATCCGGATGCACTGGAGTTCTTTCTGCTTTGAAGTCCACAGAGCAAGGAGCCACTGTGTGAAGTCAAAAACCCTCTTCATCATCAAGATTTGCCTCCAGGTGGCCCTGGACTCCTTGGCCCATACTCAGGTCAGCCAAGTTAATCAGTGCCTCCTATGGCCATTAACCCGACCCTTCCTCAGGGGCAGGGCAGCTCTACATATGGTAAGCTTGACAAGCCTTGTCCTTTCCTAATGATTCAGACAATGTAGGGTAAGGGAAAAGCAGCAATCGAAGGAAAAGTAGCACTTGAGCAGGCTCGGCCTGATGGCAGACCCACCGATGCTTCAAATCTGGTTCTTGCATTTCTTATGTGGGTGTCACCCTTGGCCAAGTTACCCGACTTCTTTGCATCCTTTGACTCATCTATGAAATGGACTGACTTCTACTCTGCAGAATTCTGTAACAGAATTGATGTGGCCCAGCCTTAGTGCCGGGCACACAGGTTCTTCCTGCCTCACCTTTTTTTTTTTTTTTTTTTTTTTTAAGATGGAGTCTTGCTCTGTTGCCCAGGGTGGAGTGCAGTGGTGCGATCTCAGCTCACAGCAACCTCCAACTCCCAGGTTCAAGTGATTCTCCTGCCTCAGCCTCCCAAGTAGCTGGGATTATAGTTGCCCACCACCACACCTGGCTAATTTTTGTATTTTTGGTAGAGACGGGGTTTCACCATGTTGGCCAGGCTGGTCTTGAACTCCTGACATCAAGTGATCTGCCTGCCTCGGCCTCCCAAAATGTTGGTATCACATGTGTCAGCCACCAGGCCCAGCCCCTGCCTCGCTTCTCAGTCAGGAAGTTATAAGTAAATAAACAGCAAATAACTAGTTTCTTTTTAAATAATGTCTAAATGTTCATTACCGCTGCCAGATCCTGTTGCAAAGTGTTCCGAACTGAAACAGCAGAGTAAAAACCATTTGTTATGCACATTTTAAAAGAAAGGTGAGGGTGGGGGCAGTAAAGACCTTTAAAGACAAATGCACTGAAAGAGGACAGAGAGATCCTAATGTGTGTGTTCAGAAAACCACCCACTGGCTGTGATTATTTCTTTTTGGCTGACCTGGCACCAAAATGCTCTGTGCAGTGAGTCACCATGAACAGCGGGTTACAGTCAGCTTTAGGTTATCTGTGGTGATGCAGAAAAGCACACACAGGCAGTGGTAAATCTAAGAAATTCTATTTGGTCTCTGGTATGCATTTTATATATGTGTATTTTCTTTTTCTTGGCAGGAGACTTACCTTCTTAATTATGTTTCCCTTAGGCTATTATTAAAATGAGTCCACATTCCCCAAGCACACCCCTCTGACAGCCATAGGAAGGCAGCCCTTAAGTGACAGGGTAAGATCTACCTGGTATTTAGTGTTTGAAAATACACAATCACTTAATAAATCTGTGTGTAGGTTTGTGTACACATACACACACACACACACACACACACACACGCACACACACACAGGTCTTCTAATCCTACTATGCAAGAAACACAGGAATTAAGAATAACATGGAGTGGCAACAAAGTTGCTGCCAAAGGCCTCCCCAAAGACCAGAGAACAGGATCATAAAAGCCTCCTGGGGTCATCACACATATACTTTTATCTTAACTCTTTAAGCACACTTGTTATCTTTCATTAGCTTTTACCTAGTAGGATTGATGTGTGAAGATCTTTGTCTTTGCAACAACCCTGTGCTTTTTTTCAGAATTCCTAACATTTAAGAAATGTCAAAAGTAGAGTGGAATGTACATTTAATTGCACATGTGGACGCTCATGCTGAGGAATGCATTTCTTTAGATTTTACTGAACTCAGAAGTCTCTCAAACACTGATTCATTAAAAATTCAACTTTACAAGAAAACTGAAGTTGGAACAATTTATTTGCATATTCTAATGACTGAACCATTGGATGCAGTAACCAAGGTGTAGTTACACATTTTCCTAGTATCCTCATCTCCATTCTGTGTGGTGGTTGATGCTGCTTCAAGGCATCTGGACTTTTGAAAGCATTAAAAGTACTTCAAGGCCAGTGTGGTGGCTCATGCCTGTAATCCCAGCACCGTGGGAGGCCAAGGCAGGAGAACTACTTGAAGCCAGGAATTGAAGACCAGCTTGGGCAACATGGCAATACCCTGTCTTTACAAAAAAAAAAAAAAAAAAGCTGAGTATGGTGGTGTGTGCCTGTAGTCCCAGCTACTTAGGAGCCTGAGGTGGGAGGATCACTCAAGCACAGGAGTCCAAGGTTGCAGTGAGCTCTGATGATGCCACTGCACTCCAGCCCGGGTGACAGAGTAATATCCTGTCTCAAAAAAATGAATACTTTATTCTAATAGAATATGAGTAAATTCCAGGTCACAACAGCTCCTGTGAACCATTCCTAAGCATGAACAGTGGTATTAATGTGCTGTGTTCTGAGAGGATCTTCCGAACTGCTTTGGCTAATGTCTTCTGCACTGGTGATGATATGAAAACAAACTACCAAAAATAAACCTTAACAAAAACAGAAAGCATCCAAATTGTACACTCTGGGGTTATAGTGCTATAATGCCAAACTATTCCTCACTCTATTCAATGTTTGTTTCTTGAAAAACTACTTAAATTAATCTGGGCCAAAATACAGTAAAACACAACATGTGCTACCACTGAGAAGCCATGCCTTTAGAATAGGAATCCTAAACTTAATTACAGAGCCGTATCCTTAGAGTCTCCTATTCTCAATATTCAAAAAATTAACCTAAAGAAATAGGACATTATAAGCATAAAATGCTACCTTTTTGATGGGCGCAGTGGCTCATGCCTGCAATTCCAGCACTTTGGGAGGCCGAGGTGGGAAGATCACTTGAGCCCAGGAGTTTGAGACCAGCCTGGCCAACATGGTGAAATCCTGTCTCTACTAAAAATACAAAATTAGCTGGATGTGGTGGTGCACACCTGTAATCCCAGCTACTCATGAGGCTGAGGTGGGAGGATTGCTTGAGCCGGAAGGCGGAGGTTGCGGTGAGCTGAGATTGCGCCACTGCACTCTAGCCTAGGGGACACAGGGAGCCTCCGTCTCAAAAAACAAAAAACAAAGCAAAACAAAACAAAAAAAACCCCACAAACAAACAAAAATCAAACAAAAACGCTACCTTTTATATGACAAAAAGGAGTAAACTTCTATTCATATTCGCTTGTATATGCATAAATAAACTTTGGAAGAAGACATACATAAGTAAATAGTAAGAGCTTACTTGAGGTGTGGGGACAACTTGGCAGATGGAAGCAGGAATGGGAGGAAAATTCACTCAGTCTCTTGATGTATGTTCTGTTTTTTAAACCCTGTCAATATATTACCTAATTAAAAACTAAGTACACAAGTAAATATTACTTGGCATTTGGCTCATTGATAGAATAGAATTCCTGTTACCAAATGTCATCTCTCAGGTATTTTTCACATATATAAAAAGGAATTTTAGAAGAATTTTAGGAGTCAAAAATTAGAAACTGAGTTTGTGAAGTGTATCACGGTATGCAGTTATATTTTTTCCCATGAAGTTCAAAGTCAGAAGAATTTTGAGTACTTTGTTGTTGTTTCAAAAAAGGTAGAAAGTTACATTTGGCTTAGCAGTGACATTACATGTGCATGCGCGTGTGCGTGCACACGCACACACACACACACACACCCTCCTCTAGTAGATAACTGTTAGTATTTTGCCATTGAAAGTAATGGCAAAAACTGCAGTTACTTTTGCACTAACCTAATAACCTACTACCCTTTAGCTATGTAAATAGACATATTCTGCTAACAAAGGGGAAGCAGAAATTTGTGTAGCACCATTCATACCTATTTTTATTTTGATTCTGTAATCACAAATGACAATTTTTACTTCATGTGAACTGTTAGGTTTTGAACACTCAGTAACTAAACTTTAGAAATTTACGTCAATTCTTCGCAGTGTCTTTTAATCAAAATAACAGGTGCTAGTTACGATTTTTGAAATAAAATATAAATCTAAGAGTTGTAAAATCTTTAAGGTACAGAGTAGGTGATGTGTTTTAAAGAAAAATAATTTATAAATGACTTTGTAAAACACAAGCCCTTCACATGCTGTTAACTTTGGAAAAGTCAGGTCTTCTCCTAACAAGGCTTTTATTCTACTTCATACTCCAAACTCTTAAGGTTTTAAAATATTCAACTTGCCTTTCTTCTTTTTTGGGGAGTGGGGGTGAGCTTGCCAGCTGCTTAGAAGCCAAGAGTTATCCAGTCAGACCTGAATGGAAAAATCTATGATTTGTTTATTTCATAGTTGAAGTTCAAAAGCAAGAGACAATTTAAATAATAAAAGAGTAACAGGAAAAAATGCAAAGAAAGAAAACAAATCAGTAAGAGTTCAGAAGAACCTTCAAGAATACTTAATTTGGAAAATGTTATTGGTTTAGAGAATTTGACTGGAAGAAAACAGCTGGGCAGAGTTCAAGGTTTTAAATTAAAAACAATCTAACAAGGTCTATGGGGATAACTCTCTGAGCCATATTTTGGAGACCAGATTCATTTCTACCAAGTAAAAGTAATAGCAGTCTAAGCTAAAAAGGAAATTCCTCACAACTGAGGTAGTTACTAAGTATCAGCACATTTTCCAAGTTCTCACAAGGCCCCTTAGCTATTTACAATCTATTTTCCCTTATATATAAATGGAGTGCCTTTTCAATTTTATGTCTTCTGATTTGTTTTAAAAAAAAAACCACTTATACACACCAGCCAGAATATGCCTATTTTATTAACATCATGCTTTAATAAATAACTGGCTACTTCTAATAAAATTAAGCCTCTGTTTACAACAGCCCCCAATATTCCATTTTGACCACTCTGCAGAATTTGGTGTAAAAAGTTGAATGAAATGTAGACCCTGAGCTATCAAGTAATTATGTTTCAATATAAAAATAGAGAATTACTCTTACAACTGAAGATTGAACAATAACACAAACAACCTCTTTGTGGGTTTTAGGTTCGGTAAAATTAGTTGGGATCTTAATGGCTGTCTAAAGCAGGAAGAGACAGAATTTTAGTCTTTCTGAAGACTTCTGGGAACTCCTTTGAAAGTGATTTGTTACATTATCAGAGTTTTATGAGCTATCATTTGGTAAGGACACAAGGAAGGGATTCCCAAGGCAGTTGTTAGTCTTTGGCCTGGGACAACAGATATGGCCATGGCCTTTGCCACTTCACCCACGTGGCTAAAGGTCACCACTAAGATGTAGTATTCTCAGCTCTACCTACTCCCACCCCACCCCATCCCCCAAGAAAAACAACACATACAAAAATCTGGACACCTAGTTCTCCCCTAAGTGGGCTCCTTGGCTGATATCTTGGATCGTAGCACATTGCTGTGAACCATGGCAAGTCCTTTGTTTTACTGATAAGAGGGGGCTAGGTAAGAAAAAGACTCAAATGAGACACCTTATACTCTCTTAAAACAAAAACTGGGATCCCAAAACAAATGGAGATACACATGCACAGACAAAAACTTTGCCCGAGTGTTGACAGCTATTCCCTGAGCCCAGGCTGTACCCCAGTTCTGGCTAGCTCTCAGACAGCTCCCTGTACATAATTGGGTTTGAAATCTCGACCACTCTAACAAAGGATATTAATTCAAATAGGGTCAGTGTGAACATGAAAACTAGCACAGGGTGGGCTAGCTAACCTGCCTGGTTTTAAAAAAAAACACCCCTAAACCCAAGTGTGAACATGTGATAACTGGGACATCCTGAATGCTTTCTATCTTTCAAGGGGGATGATATCCAGAATCTTTTTCTAAATGGGTTACATTTTATGTATAAGTGGGTTCAAGAAATGGACCTATAGTGATCTTAGCTTATGTAATTCAACTCATTCAAAGCAGTAGTCTGCAGTCTCTTCCAACTATCACCAATAAATGAAGTACACATAACCTCCTTCTTGGATTGATGCTTTGAATACAATCTGACAAGTGGCTCAGAAGCCTGCTTGTGCCCTCACATTCTGTCTTAATAATAATTTAAAAAAAAGAAAATCACCTCCACGTCTCTCCAGATAAGGCAACTAAAATAACAGGGAGAAATGGAAATTTTACTGCTTTTTGGGCTTTTTCTTTTAATAAGATAACATGATAAATAAAACCTGCTTCTGTACAGCTATTTAATATTTCAGAAATACGTACATGTTACGTGCCAAGAAGGGACCCTGGTTTGCTTGTAAGAAACAAGGCGAGATCACAGTTGGAAAAAAAAACCCACAAACGAAATGAGAAAAAAACATACAAACAAATAATAGAGTGATAAAATCACAAATGCACAACTAACTATAGTTCTGTACCTACACTGTTAGCCACGTTTAACATGGTTTGGGGGAGCAGGAACCAACTCAATGCACAGTCCCTTTTCCTCCCAAAACTGAATGAGAAAACAAAGTCAGCACTTCTTAAACCAGTGGCCACATAGTAAAAACTGTACATTGTTGTCCATTCATTTAAAAAGCAAAGTCACTAGGATGGTAGAAAAGTGATAACTGGTGCCTTTTAACTTTTTGATGAACACTTTTTCTCAGAGTTTGAGAATTATCTCCACTCTCTCTGCATAACCAGGAACAAGATGCAGAAGACAGTGAGGAGGTAGGCCTGTGCCCCAGGACGGACACCAGCACTGTCGGCTTTCTCATTGGCACTCTTCCCAGCATGGTCAGTGGCATTGTAGTCAAACTCTGAAGGGCACTGCTGATACTCACAGCCACTTCCACTTCCTTCTCCACTACTTTCATCACCTAGTTTAAAAAAAAATGGAATAGAAATTTCATTCCACTTGTTCTCATCAGAAGACATACAAGAGCAATTCGTACTTTCAAACCACAAATGCTTACTGATATCAAAGAAGTCCACGTCGTTCCCATTGTATGCATTCTTCATCTTGCTGGTCATCACTCGAAGAGCCATGATTTGACGAAGGATCAGTATGTCTGGTTTGCTGGTGTCAACCTGGACCTCTGGGTTGTTGCCCTGGTTGGCTAATCCATTTCCTGTCACTGCAAACAGGTACCTGGAATGTAAAATGACCCCAGTAAGATGATTCGTAAAGCGAAAAGATTTTATCTGTCTGCCTCCCAAAGTGCTGGGATTACAGGCGTGAAGATTATGAAGATTATACAAGAGGTTATCAAATACTTCTGCTAGATTCTAGTATTTCCACTAAGCAAAATTAGATGGAAGTTCTTTAATTCCTAATGAACTCTAATCTTTCTTGTTCCTGTGGATTCCTCATTTCTCCAATTTGATGGAAACCTTCTTCAAAGCTATCACAGCACTTTTGGAGGCTAAGGTGGGTGGATCACTTGAGGTCAGGCATTCGAGACCAACCTGGCCAACATAGCGAAACCCTGTCTCTACTAAAAATATGAAAATGAGCCGGGTGTGGTGGTGTGTGCCTGTAATCCCAGATACTCAGGAAGCTGACACAGGAGAATCACTTGAACCCAGGAGGCGAAGGTTGCAGTGAGCCAAGGTTGCACCACTGCATTCCAGCAGCTGAGATTGCAGTGAGGTTGCAATGAGCCAAGATTGTGCCACTGAATTCTAGCAGGGTGACAGTGATACTCTGTTGGAGGAAGGAAGGAAGGAAGGAAGGAAGGAAGGAAGGAAGGAAGGAAGGAAGGAAGCTAGCTATCCCTCTTGAGGAGGATGGTGGGTTGAAGTAAAGAAGTATGGGTACTGGCTGGGTGCGGTGGCTCACACCTGTAATCCCAGCACTTTGGGAGGCTGAGGCAGGCGGATCACAAGGTCAGGAGATCAAGACCATCCTGGCTAACATGGTGAAACCCTGTCACTACTAAAAATACAAAAAAAAAAAAATTAGCCAGGCATGGTGGCAGGCACCTGTAGTCCTAGCTACTCAGGAGACTGAGGCAGGAGAATCACTTGAACCCGGGAGGTGGAGGTTGCAGTGAGCCGAGATTGTGCCACTACACTCCAGCTTGGGCAAAAGAGCGAGACTCCATCTCAAACAAGCAAACAAAAAAAAGTATGGGTACTTCTCTAAGTTACTGAGCGTCTAAGGGAGGGACACAGGGCATCAAGTCAGAGAATGGAACCTTTGAGAACTGGTTATTTATGAGGCTAGGCCATTGGACAAAGAGCCACAGGCATTAAATATTTTAAAAATAATGACACTATTGGAACAGCCCTAATACGAGACTATAACTACTGTCAAACTTTTGACTCAGCACTCTTTGTAAGTAACTGGGTGCCTTCTCAACACTCCTAGTGCAAAGCCTGTTCCTAAGAACACCTAGAAGCCTTCCATGTTGTTGCTACCTACTGTGAATTGCTTCCTGATGCCTCGGTTGACAATTGAGAGAACCCTCTCTGAAGGTCACCCAGGCATCTAGGAAGGGAGAAACTTCAAATTCATTCAACAGACACTAACCTGCTTTTGCCTTTCCCATTCCAACAGTCATCCTCATTGCCGTTTCCTGCAGCCATCCTCTCATCGTTGCAAACGTTGCTCGGAAGGGAGGACCAGAATTTCTTGGCCTGTTTCAGTTTCTCCTTGACATCAGTAACCTAATTATGAAACAACAACAACAAAAAAAGATCATTGTAAGACAAGACAAAACTACCTACAAGTGTGCCTTCTGGCCATTTCCAAAGTATCTCCAGAGTGATATGCAATTCATTTTCAACTTTAATTAGAAGAGGAAGATGCAACTCCAATTTATATCTTAGAAGTACAAAACCACTCAAATAATAGTTGAAATGCAAGCTCCAAAGGAGTGGCCTAGACCCCTTGCCCACCTCATTGTAAGTACCATCTGAGGCCTACCAGTCTCCATGCCCTGTAGGCACAAAGATAACATGCAGTCTCTTCTCCTAAGGCTTTTAGAGTCAGGATCAAGCATGTATATTATGCACTCTGTGAAACATAGCTGCTATTGCTCTTTCTCTCCATCCCTGTCTCCTCAGGCTCCCTCTTCTGTGTTCCTACTACTGTAGGAATAGTTTCTTACATTTTTGTAGCATATTACTGTGGATAAAGCAATTTGCCTACAGTTACTCACTTTTCTCCCATCTCAGCTTTTACTAAACATCATTTTATGTTAATAAGCCTGGAACATCTACTTCTCCCTCTTTGCCTCCTTGTTGGTGCCTTTTGAGAACAAGGATCTGCCTTATTTCTCTGAGCTTCTCTATGCCTAGCACAGTGATGGGCACATAGTAGATGTTCAATAAATGCATGGTGAATCTAAAGAGAAATTTTGAGACAAGACTTATTGCATCATAACTCCTTGGCTACCCAAGAACTTTCTGGGCTAGAAAATGGGACAGGCAGATTGACTGACATCCACATCCTATTTGCTTGAAAAGTGACACCTGAAAGACCCACACTTGTTAGCCTTCCAGCTAAAAATTCATTTTGAGCAAGAGTTTTCAGTTCTTTGTCATTAAACACGGCCCTTCCTGCCAAAACGCTCACCAGTCGGTCCAAACTAGTGCCAGCTGCTGTGGTTGGGCGTTCCTCGGGGTGATGTGGTCTGAAGCGAGCACTGAAGGCACTTTCAGAGATGGAACGAGAAATTCGTCCAGCTGGGAGGGGCTTGGGGGGTCCACATCCCTGGAAAACCTGCATTAGAGTAAGTGTCGTCATGTTAGGGAAGTCACTCCCAAGGCGGGAGGCGGAGGCGGGGGAGGTCCCTAGCTCCCCTTTCCAGCATCCTGCCTTCATTACCTTCTGAGACACTTGAACACTATTATCCTGCATGTTCATAATAGCATCAGAAATCTTCACATCGATGGGATCCATGACCGATTCAATGTTGAAAGGACCCTCTAGCCTCTCTGCCACCATCAGCATAGCATCTAATATGAGGTTTGGGGAAGAACAATACAGCATAAAAAGTCAATCATTAGTTTGGCCTTGGGTAAATCAATCTGATTTTTTTTTCTGTCTGTTTCCTGCATGGGGGCAGGGGAAGTAAGGCATGGATCATAATGAATTCTTGTTTTTATGTCTATTTCCCTTACACCAAACTGCATTTAGTCACTATGTATCACTAGCTCTCTAAAGTGTGAAATGGCCAGATGAAGGCTTAGTTCTACAGCAAGGAAACCCAATCAGGAACTTTCCTCAATACTGATTATTCGTGTGTCAGCCACTGTCACTGTAAGGCTCTTAGTTAGCTCCCAGATGACAAACCTAAGGCTGGAGACAAAATAACATGCCAGCTCTCCCAGAGACTTCCCTAGGATCTTCTCGTTTCACATTCCATTTACAAGAGTCAAAAACATAAATCAGTTAAGATGCTGGCATATTAATTCTTTTCTTTTGTTTTTAAAAACAAAACCCCTCAGATCCTTGAGTGCACCGTTGGATAATACAAATGAAAGGGTTCCTAGGAATTCTAATGACTTTTCAAATACTAAAACTTTGAATAATCCAATTTTTGTATTAAGAAAAACTTCTCATTGCAAATACAATGGCTTCAATTTATCTTAAGGCATGTACCTCCTTTTTTTTGCAAGTGAGAAGATGACACAAGATACAGTACACAAAATTAGTGGGCTCACAGTATATATCTTCACCGATTATCCTGCTTTAGACTCTGGAGTAGCATGGCATTTTCCAGTAAGCACTGAATCGCTTCAATAAAATACATTGTCTTTGTTTTCTTGCCATATATGTTTCTTAGGATTATGAGGCTTAGTATTTTTGCCTGCTACCTGTTTTACAAAATTAGAAGAACTTGGAAATGAAAACCCCAAATGACAAAAAGGATGCTTCATTAACGACAAACAGTGAACTTTTAAACTTGTTTATCCCCCCTTTACACTCTAGTGCTTAGTGCATGGCAAGAAAGGAGTTAGACCCACATTATCTATCATCTTCAGGTAGTGCAAGGATGGTTACTTGAAAGAAGAGCTAGTTCCCGGAAGATTGTGTCCTACCCAAAGAACACAGCTGACAATTGCAGCCCCCAGCTGAGCTTCTATCTAAGCTTTCTAGTGGAAAGCAGCATAGGCATCAGCATATCAATGAAACCAAATCTAGTCATCAAGCTTTCACCTTCAACCTAGAACAAATGCTACACAACATTTTAATGCACGGGGTCATTTCTCTAAACTACAATTCCGATGTCACAAACCACAAATAGATTTCCATGAAATGCAATTTTTAAAACAGTAATAACAAATGAAGTTTCAGAATGCATTGTGGTAAGCGCCAATCAAGTGATGCTTCTAACTCTAAGTAAGGGCTGAAAGCATGAATATACCATTGTACTACAGGAGAGAAAAAAAATGCTTTTGATGTGCTAGCAAAAGGAGACTTTTGTAAACAAGTGGAGCACAACTTAAATGTGTTCATCATTGTCAAATCATCAGGGCTGCCACGTACAGAAAGCACATTCCTTCGTAAGCTGAGAAGAAATCACCTGCTCCCAATAAAAATATTATGAATAGACAGAAAATAAACATCTAAAATGCAGACGTTTAAATAACAACAACAACAACAACAACAAAACCCAGTGCATTTTGTAACTCCTTATTCCCCTAGTGGCAAGGAATGGCCAGATCACTAATGTGTTTGTGAAAGACTGAAAGGAAACATAAACCCCAATTCTTCTGGCTGTTTGGCGTCTTTGTAAACTCTGAGCCAGCCGGCTATACACAAGAGCCTGGGAATGGAGGGGGAAGCTGGGCCTTTGTTGGGGCCGGTGCCATGGTGTTGTGTGTTGCGCAGCTGAAGAATGCAACTGAAGAGCATTCTGCCTGCACTCTGCAGCCCGGGAGCCAAAGCTGCCTCTAACCCCTGGAGGAAGTCATGATTGGCTATCAATTGGCTCTTCTGTAACAGCAGCCAGCCCTGATAAGAAGCCTCAAGAGAAAGCCAAAGATGATTGGTTTGGAGTTTGGGTTTTCTTCTGGCTGATACGAGCCACGGAGGCCCTTGTTTGCGGGATATCTGACTGGCTCCTGCCTCCTGCCAGGACCTGGCTGGTGTCCCCGCCAGCAATCCCAATACTAAATTCCCACTGGCAGCAACATGCGACATTAATAGGGTTGGCCCTGAGTCAAATGAGTGTTAACACAGCTACAGTATGTGATGGAGAACAAGTTGCATAGCATAATTTATGATTCTCCAGAAACTGACTTTTGTTGGTGGGGGCAAGGGAGGTATTTGGTTTATATTTCCAAGTGAAGGTTTCATATAAACCAGCGTCTTATAAAACCAAGTTCTAAGGTGTTTTAACTATTTGGATCCATCCTGATAAAAGGCTGACAAGACTTCAACATTTACTAAAGGGTCTCAATTCATGGCCAGTTGCAGATGCAGTTAAGAGAGGAGAGGAAGAGCATGGCAACAAGAAGACGGATTTGGAAAACCAGTTCATCCTTAGTCTCTTAAAGGGTCTAGTCCAACTGCATTATTTCAGTGCTCAAGACACTGGCACTGAGTTTCCCCCCATACCCCCAGCAACAAAGCATCCCCTTCTCACTAGGGAAAGCGATTCCTTTTGCATTGTGCTGCCAATAATCAGAAACCCACATCTTCAGCCTCCCGACCTGACTGGAAGAACAAAAGGCAGTTTCCCGACTTAACCCCAAGATCTGATTTAAAGAAGGGGGAAAAAGCCCTTGACCATTCATTAGCTGCAGTCATTTAAAGGGGAAAGAAAAATTCCTTGCAAACAGAAAAAAAAAAAAAGAGAGAGAGACAAGAAATAAAAAAAGAATTTACAGCAGAGGCATGTAAATTGGGACTGAATTCTACAACCACAAAGCAGATTAATTAAACCCTTGTGAAAAATTCATGAAAAAGCACTGGAGATTAACAATGTCTATTACTCCTGGTCTTTTATATCTGCTTATTAGAAATAAAGAATAGTATACCCATTAAAAACAAAGTTTAGATACAATTATATACCTCATCCCTCCAAAAAGTTATCACTTAAAATAACTAGGGAAAAATCGATTCAGAAATCCTATCAACTTCTACTTGGGTTTGTTTCTTCAAAGATAACAAATGTAATTTTAAAAATGCCCAACAAGAACAACAACAGCAACTTAAGTCCTCTTTGTTTTCGAGTAACTGATTTAAAACATCAATAAAGAAAGCCAGAGTGTGGTTTTGATTTGATATGGACCTGTAAACTCCAGGAAAAACACGTAGGAGCATTTGTATTTTAATATAAGGATATGAGTTTAGTTATAGTTGCTGCTAGACATGTTAGAGTATCAAAATAGTGGCAAGGGCCATGCCCTTCTGCATTCCATTCCCAATGTGTCTGTAGAAAAGTCAGCAGAATTCGATCACTGTCACCATACACTTTTTTGTACCATATGGCAAATTCTACTACCTTGCCTGGAGAAACAGTGAATTATAGGGGCAATTGAAAAGGATCACCAACTTTCTTTAAAAATTCAATTTTGCAAAAGTGAACTGCAAACTTGACATTTGGGTGTGGGGATGAGTGTGGGATTAAAGAGAGAGAGAGAAAACAAAAACAGCGACTTTAGATCTGGAAATTCTATGGGTTTTTACTTCCATGAGAAATATTTTGAATCAACAATTTCTCCCATGGCTTCATTCTGGGCATGATGTGCCATTTGGCCTGTATGTCTTTGCTGGTCTTATGCCTTCCCTTTCATGAGATTCTGCTTTTCTGTGTGTAGAAGATTTTTTCAGGTCTTCTAGCTTTGAGCTATTTAGGCTACAATTGTGCTGAAGTGCTTAATATTCACATCTTTTTTTATCCCCCTGTGTCAGTGTTCTTAAGAATCTGTTGGAGCCAATTTATTGATGCACTTTCAAACGGAGTTAATATGGTAATTAGCTCTCACACAGACTAAAAAGCATTCCCCAACATTAACACCCCTCACCTCCCCCCAAAAAACCAAGCCAGAATACTGCATACATGTTCCCATGATTTGGACAAATAAGTGAAAAACAGGTGCTTATAAAGACACTCAAATTCGGCAATTATGCAAAGGTGACTAGGGTGGGGAAAAATGTGAGTTTCTTTTTGTGAGCTGTTAGTATGTGTGTGCGGTCCTACTAATACTCAGCATAAGGAACTTCAACACTGGTTACTGTTGCTTCAGGCATCAAGGTAATTGACAACTGGACATTTAAATTCTCCTTAATTTGTCCTTTCCCCAAAATCATAACTAACCCTCTCTGCAATTGGCCACTTCATTTACATTGCTGTCTGGGTTCTGAGAATGGTTTTCTAGGTGGAATATATATGCAGGAATATGTATCCCTTAAATTCTCAGGGCTAAAGTCCTTCCACTCTCACCAGAGCAGACTACTACTGCTAAATGGTGTACAGAAACAGAATCCCTGAATTTCTCAATCAGATTTCACCTGATCCAAATAACAAATGCGTATCTGGCCGGTTTGCAGAAGATTTAGTTGCAGTGTAATAGATATAACATTTTAAAAGCCACTTTTACAACTCCATGAGGACTGTACTCCAGCATTTACATGGATACAAGCCTATAATCATAAACACAACTGACTTTCAGGCGGGAAATATCAAAAAGACACTTTCTCAGTGAGTGGCTCATGCCTATAATCCCAGGGCTTTTGGGGGGCTGAGGGTGAGAGGATCGCTTGAACCCAGGAGTTTCAGGTTACACAGAGCTATGATTGTGCTGCTATACTCCAGCCTAGGTGACAGAAAGAGACTCTGTCTCCAAGAAAAAGGCATTTTCTCATTATTAAAACCTGGCAGCCACTGTATCTATTACCTTCAGAAATGCCACCATTAGTTTGAGGGAACATTCACTTGCAGTAATGTTTTTACTATTCTCAAAGTAGTTGAGCGTAGTCAGGATTCTGACAAACACTAAATAGCAAACACTTAAACAAACAAATTTCATAGCTGCCAATTACAACATTCCTTGTGACTGGAAGCTAAGCTATCTCCAGCAACACAAATATGTTAACCACTTGCTCACCTATGAAATTGTTCCATTCAAAATCGAGATCCCCTTGGTTGGCCAAACAGCCTCTCATGATGTTTGAGCAGTAGTTGTAACATGGCTTCACAGTCACGAGACCCCGGCAGTGGGAGCAGTAGATCATCTTCAACAGGGCATGGGTACACTGGGCTGTGGGGTTTACCTAATGTGTGAAAAGAAAAAAAGACAGTAGTGGCGGGGCTAAAATAGAGACAGAAATTGCTTCTATCACATTGACACTGAAGGCTTGGCCATGAACTTAAGAATGAGTTGTGATTGATCACAATTAGTAAGCCTGGACTGCCTCCTGAAGACATAGATTAGATAAAAGATACATGTTGGGACAGGGGAGAGGAGGGAGATGACCCAAAACAAACAAGGTGCACCAACTCCCACCCTGTAAACACCCATTCCTCCCCCACCCCCTTCCCTCCTGGAGTCTCTCTCTCACACACACATAAATTGCTCAATTATCTCAAAATCCTTTTACAAATAACTATGCAGGGTGAGCCATGAGATGCAGTGGAGGAGACTATCTTCATGTGCCCACCATGCACGTCCTGCTAATAGCCTCAACCATCAGTGTTTGTCTTTGCCAGACTGGAACAGAAGCACATCTTCTTCTGCATTACATTGACTACAAGGCTGTCCTTTGAACCCTAACCCCAAATTAAGGTTTAGAAGGGTACCTACGGTGTCTTCTGTTCTGTGCCAAGAGCTGTGCAGAAGGCAAAGTTAATATATTCTACAAGGCAGAATATGAGTAATCTTAAACTTAGGGGGTGTGTGAAGGTTTTCCAAGGCTTGGGAGTACTAAAGCACAGAGTGTTCACAGAACACTTGATGAAAGAGGTGGGGCTTTGGTTAAATTTTCGAGAAAGGGGCTGGACTTAAGTGGTCAAACAAAGGGAGAGCATCCTGAGTTAAGTTCAATGAAATGAACAAAACCTGTAGGAGAGTACAGGACATGTCACTGCATCTCAGAATGGGGTTGGGGAATTGCGGGAAATAAGGTCAGGTGCACAGGAGTATGCGTGTGGCCAGAATTTAGAGGGGCTTAAACATCAGGCAGAAACTGGGATACCAGTTGCCAGGCACGGTGGCTCACGCCTGTAATCTCAGCATTTTGGGAGGCCGAAGTGGGCGGATCACAAGGTCAGGAGTTCGAGACCAGCCTTGCCAGCATGGTGAAACCCCGTTTCTACTAAAAATACAAAAATTAGCCGGGCATGGTGGTGTGTGCCTGTAGTCCCAGCTACTCAGGAGGCTGAGGCAGAAGAATTGCTTGAACCTGGGAGACGGAGGTTGCAGCGAGCCGAGATCTCACCACTACACTCCAGCCTGTGTGACAGAGTGAGACTCTGTCTCAAAAGAAAGAAAGAAAGGAAGAAAGGAAGAAGGAAAGGAAAGGAAAGGAAGAAAGAAAAAGAAAGAAAGGAAGAAAGGAGAAACAAACAAACAGGGACACCATATGGCAGGACACATGGGGCTATGACTGGAAGTTTGTGAGGAAGGAAAGGAAGAAAGACAGAAACATTACCCAAGTCAGATTGGGCTGGCTGTCCTCTCCAGAGAAATGGGACTTCATTTCATCTAGTTTTATAAAGTGAAATTATTTGGGGTGTAGAAGAGCTGATTCCATCCGGTCACTTGTTTTCCTCAATGCTTAGAAAGGATTGGGGCTAGGTATAGCATTCTAGCAGCTAATTAAAAGTTCCTGTCTCCTCTTTCTCTCTGCCCCACCCTCCTCTTTTGGAGTCAGTATCAGAGGATTAGTGCATTCTTCTGTGTAAGTACCCACCAGTTCTGCTAACACAGACTTTTGGAGGCAGATACCACCACAGGGAAGAGATGCTGGGATGCAGGGCAGCCCGGCAATGCACTTCACCTGCTCTGGAGTGTTACTTTGGATATCACTTATCAGCAGTGCCCTTAGGAACAGGAACAGGGGATTAGTGGTGTCAGGAGAAAAAAAACAGTCAGGCTCCTACGTGATGCATGTGCACATCCATTCCCCTCATCCCAAACAAGGCTCTAGCCTAAAAGGGGGGAATACGTGTAACAATAAAATGGTAATTGTATACACTGCCCTACCAAGAATTAAGATTTTTCCACAGTTTTAACCATTCCCAAATGTTTTCCTAGGCACTAAATTAGTCCTAACTATGTATTAATGTACAGTAAAATTTTGGCTAACCAATATACCCTGGAGGAATGGCCTTTTCTGGATAGCCAGATTTGCTGGACAGCTGAAAGTTCATTCCTTTAAAGTCACAGATTGTTAAGACTTCCCTACATGTCCCCCTCTCCTTTTGTAAAGGAGCAAACAGGACTGGAGGGGGGAGGTGGCCTGAGAAGCATAGGATCACAGAAGTCTTAGAGTTGGAAGGGACCAGAGAGATCACTGAGTGTTGCTCTCACATTTGATAGATAAGAAAAACCAAGCCAAAGCCAAAGAGATTAAGCAACTTGCTGACAGTCACCTCACAACATCGGATTCCAGTACTATACCTTATCAAGCATTTGTGATGAAAAGATTTCCCAGATGTATCACGTTTCCCTGCCAGATGACAGGAAACTGTAATCTTAGGCACTGGTTATTTCCTACTTTAGTTTTAGTTGGGTTCCACATTGATGAGACTGCAAAATGGCTAGATTTTAAAGAGGTAAAAGTTATGCAAGTGGCTATGAAATGAAAAATCACTGAATAGCACGTGGCATTTGTTGAATATTATGCTTAAGAGGAGACAATGCCCTCGTAAGAAGAAACGTAGAAAGCTAAGGGGTCAACAAATAGTTACTGAGCACCTACTATGTGCCAGGGATTATTCTGGAATGCATTTGAATTTAGGTAACAAGGCAAGTTAAGAATTTCTATATTAGAATACAAAACCTGTTCTACAAAATACAAAGCAATTCCAATGTGGTACAGGACTTTAGGAAATGAGCAAAAATTTTAGACCCAAAATAGTTATATTCAGAAAACACTTCTTTTTTCAAAGAAGTCCTTTCTCATTCTTTTAAAAAATAACTCTAGGAAGTGGTTCATTGTATTCTTAGTTCAATTGCAAGTCAAATCATTTATGCAACAGACCTTGTAGTACCCTCCCCTAAAATAGGCTGATGGAGGCTCAAGTTTTAAAAAGAGACCAAACTAAATGACACAGTAGAGTTTTATTAAGGGAAATTATGATGCTGAGTTTGGCAGAGTTCTTCCATTTCATTATTTGGCTAAGTGCTGGCTCATGCTCTGTACATGATTTGTTGTGTAACTACTAAAAATGGTCACAGGCAACTCAGCTACAACATGCTAGGGAAACACTAAATAATACCAGAACTGAAAAGAGAGATGAGGAAGTTATAAGAAAAATGGAAAGAGAAAGGACATATAAAATATCAAAGTTAGGAAAAAAAATCTGTCTTTTGTCTCATAACCACTAGTCAGACCACCATGCACTATTTCACATGAAGGGAATTCAGAATCTGGGAAGCAAATCCGTTTTAGTGGGATGAGGCCCTAATATAAAGGGAAGAGTTTTAAAACAGTCACGAGACCTAAAGAAACAGGTCTCCCCTGCAAAGTCTCATCCCCCTAGAAGAAACAGCAATAATGCTAGCACTGCCCAGGCCTTTGGTCCCCACCCTTGTCGACCTGCCCAGGCTCAGAACAGTGAGCCCAGAGTGTCAAGGACTCTGGACTACCCTAGTGAGTAAACAAAATGGTTGCCTCTCTTTTGGAGTCTTTAAGAGCCAAAAGTATGCCACCACCATGGAAGAAAAAGCTACACAGTATATGGCACATGTTGAGTAGCCTTTATCAAAAGTGCTTGGGACAAGAAGTGTTTGGGTTTTTTTTTTTTTTTGGATTTTGGAATATTTGCATTATAATTATGGTTTGAGCATCCCTAAACCGAACACCCAAAATCTGAAATGCTCCAGTGAGCATTTCTTTAAGCATCAGGTTGGTATTCAAAAAGTTTCAGATTTAGAGCATTTCGGATCTTAAATTTTCAGATTTGGCATGTTCAATCTGCAACTTTAATTTAAGTTCTCTCGTGGAGCTTCTGGTGAAAGTCCAAGATCTTCTGGATCCAGTGGTGGCACTTACTGTCACATGGTAATATACCAGGCACTGCTGGGGGCTCTTTCATTAGCTCTCAATGGTCTCTCCACACTATTAGGGGCAAATCTCTCACCCTTAAGCAAACATAACAGTGGACTAAGTCAGACTTTGTTCTGGGGCTTTATTCATTTTGAATAGAAATTCAAGTTCATTCAACATTCTACTCCCTGGTAACCCTCAAAATCAATTACTTCTTTTGAGTCTTCCAAAACTTATTTGCTGAAGTAGATTTATTCCGTAAGACCCAAAACCAAGCAGTAGATCATGCCACACAGGGATTAACGAAAAGGTCTTCCTTTAATCTTCAGTTATGTATTTATTCTCCATGGCATGGCATGGTGTGCCACTTAAATTGTTCAATTTGATTGCTACCTTGGGGCACAGCTCTTGACTAACATTTGATATGTTTTTTTCTTTTATTTAGAAGGGTTGGTTGAGCCTAGATATTAGTAAGTTCCAGAATCCTTGGGGCTGGGGTAAGAGCAGGGGTAGGAGTTATGACTACTTTTTACGAAAGTCACATTTTTCAGACCTCTCTTAATGATTTAATAGTTATTTATTAAAATCATATGAAGAAATGGGAAAAGAAAAACTGTACACTCCTCCCTTCCCCCTTTAAATAAAAAGAATGGTTTAATGATCTCTTAAAGAAAATGCTTATTTAGCTTTTATGGTTTCGTGGTCATGAGGGTTTTGATGTCAAGATTCAAGAGAAAATTTTTCTGTTCTATGGCAGAGTTACTACTGATAGATTTTACTGGATTTTATTGGTTTCTATGATACATTTACACAGTATTTAGTATGTGCCAGGTTCTATTCTCAGTACTCTACATGTATTAACTCATTTAAGCCTCAAAATAATCACATAACATGAGTATTATCTCATTTCACAGATGAGGAAGTGGAGCCCCAAAGAGATTAAGGGACTCACACAAGGTCTTCCAGTAAATGGCCAAACCAGGATTTGAATCTAGGCAATTTGGTTCCAGAGTAGGTGTACTTGACTTCCATGCTATGTACCTAAATGGCTTCTTTTGAGTAACAGACTATAGGAACCTTGATGGCAGTACATAAGCCTAATCCTTTCACCAGAGCTCCTAGAACTAGTACAGTATCTCCATGTACAATGTACACTCCACTATGGAGCTGGATGTTTTCTAGTGACAATTTTCAGTTTTCAATGTTTATTGACCAAATGAATCAATTTTTATGTTGGAGGGTAATTTAGGATGCAACTGTTCTACATGGAGCAATATCTCACTAGATACTTGGATGAGATAACATTGTTTAGTAAAACAATAATGACTTACTGAGCCAGTGCTATGTATTTAGAACTATTCAAGGTGCCGCAGGTGAGAAAAATGATATGAATATATGTGTATTACTCATCAGTCCCTGCTCACAAAGAATTCAAAGGCTCAAGAAAACACTGCTGGATGTGAAGAGAAAAAAGTTCACTTGAACAAAACCAACCAGAAAACAATTACATATTTTACCAATTTTAATGTTTTGAAAGAACTATACTAATGTAGCAGAGATGATCAATTCCTACTATAAAACGGTACGTAATGTGCATAAAAATAAAAAGATTTCTACATTATTTACATAAGAATTAGGTTTGCTTCATTTGCTTTTGTGGGGTGGTATGATAGAAAGGGAATATCATCTGGACTGAGTACTTCCATATTAACTCATATATCAAAATCAATCTGAGTTATTGACCCATAATGACAATACATTGATACCAAATTTCCAAGCCTATAAAATCCTTCAAGACTGACAGAGGTCTTTCTTAATGATAAGGTAACTGTAGGAGGTACCTTAAAATTTAAGATTTTAGGAGCCAATCTATGTTTCATGATAAAAGTCAGTGTGTATGTGGGGGGGAAGATGCCTCATTTCCTTCTCAACTTATTAAAACTCTTTTAAAAATACTCATTCCTGCCTTCCTCAGGATATATACATTTATCATGACATCTGCATGCCATATCTGCTATAAAAAGCCTTTTCTGCAAAGACTCTTTTCATATACATTGAGACTTTCTACCCAATAACCTGCATTTTCCAAACACCACATTAAAAACTACTGCAAGCAGCCTGAAAAAAAAAATGCTGGAACAGAACTCTTCACACAGCCTGGATTTCATTTCAGTAATTCAGAACGAGCCTTAAGCCACATTACACAGTGATGACAGTCAACACGCTGTACTGAAGCTAGAAATGCATTTCCTTTTAGTTTATTTCACCTCCTAACATACATTCATTGCACTATTTTTTTGTTTTTGTTTTTTGCACAGCCAATAGTAGCAAGCAAGCAGAAAAGGTCTAGATTTTATCTGTTGCTTGGTAACAAAAGCACCCAATAGAAATAACAGAACTATTCCCAGAATTACGGTAAGAGTGATAGGGAACCCACACTTGCCATGGGATGTGATGAGTTTCTTCAACAATTTCCTAACCAGTTTTGAATTCAATGCATATACACAAAGAAAGGAGGATGAGAAGTTCCTAATGATTCCTCTAATAACAAAATCTAAAAAGCATAACAAAATATTCAGTCAGGAATATTTCTGGAGATGTTGTAGATAAAATTGAAGCTTCATAAATACTTGAAATGTGTCTTGTCTTTGTTTCAAATGATTAGACTCAGTTAACACTTATAAGTCAACCCCCTTGAAAAGGGCTCTATTTTTGTTTTGTGAGTATGTAAACTCAATGTATTCAATTTGACACCTCCTGTACTCCTACCATCCTCACCCCTTCCCCACTCCATAGCTTGAGTCCCATCTTCCTCTTTGCAATTCTAGATTTTAATATTGTGAGTGAAAAAGAATATTGAGAGTTGAATATGTGTCTACACTTTGCTTCTTAAAAGCTTTTTGTATTGACTATTTTTTAAATTTGTATTTATAATGATTTTGGGAAGTGGTAAAATAGTTTGTTTAGTACTCTTGTAGGCTTCTTGGTTTCCCACAGTTAATTCTGAGAATGATGTCCAGAAGAATGCAACACGGGGAAGGCACAACTGCTTACATCCCCTTAACCTGGGAGGTGGGGAGATGCAAAACTAAGGCAAATAGAAATAAAGAGGGAGCAATGAAAATTGTTTTCAAGGCAGGACAGTCATTTAGACATCCCAATGGTGAGGCACTGATTTCTAATTATAGCTTCTGTAGTTTGGGGTGGGGTGTAGGTGTAGACATAGTCCCATTATGTCAGTGTTAACTGAAACCATGAGAATGCAACTCTCTTTGGCATAGGAGCTATTAATTTTCATGATGCATGTAACCACTTGTGCATTTCTGAAAGACCACAACAGACTTCATCCTTCCAGGCAAAACTGCTGCTACAAGCAGGTAAATAAGAAATGTATCATGAACCATGACAAATAACGATGGAATAAGTAATACAAAGATGTGTAGTACGAGGGTACTCTTGAACCACCTGTTACTAATTAAAGGGGCTTTTGGGAAGTTTGAATTGTAAAGCTCAATGGAGTGAGCTGAAATCACTGGAGATGTGGGCCCAGAAAAAACAAAAGCAAGGCAAGTGTACTTCAACTATGAAGTGTCTTTCTCTTGAAGTAACTTAAGCTTGCTGGTGCTAATGGCCTTGCAAAGGTTCAGTGATAATCAAATCATTGCTCAACTTTTAACTGCAACCCCTTTGCTGCAAAAGTAAACTGGACATCCACTCACGAAGAGAAAGTGGGAACATCTCTAAGTATGCAAACAAGACCATGATGCTTTTCATATTTCACTTTAAAGACCTCTTTGTAGGCCGGGCGCAGTGGCTTATGCCTGTAATCCCAGCACTTTGGGAAGCTAAGGTGAGAGGATCACTTGAGCCCAGGAATTCGAGACCAGCCTGGGCAACATAACGAGACCCCCATCTCTACAAAAAATAAAAAATTAGCTGGGTGTGGTGGCACGTGCCTGTAGTGCTAGCTATTTGGGAGGCTGAGGCAGGAGGATTGCTTCAGTCCCAGAGATTGAGGCTGCAGTGAGCCATGATCACGCCACTGCACTCCAGCCTGGGTGACAGAGCAAGACCCTATGTCAAAAAAAAAAAAAAAAAAAAAAAAAAAAGAAAGAAGGAAAGAAAGAAAGACCTCTTTGTAGACGAGGTGGCTGATGGGGTGGCTCTCTTCAATTAGGGAACACATCCCTTACTTTGAAAGGTCTTTTTTTCAGGCCCGAAGCAATTAATATTACTGGGCACCAAAAGAAGAAATGTTCATTTCTTGGGTTGTTCTAGATCCACCTGCAAACTGTGCTTCTTGGGCAGGAGTTAGCAGAGGTGGGAACCCATATATATAAAAAACATTACTTGGGTATCCAAACTGGTAGAGAATCTTATTTATAAATTAATCAAATGAATTTTTCAACATGTTCATTTTGAACTGTTTTTGATAGCCAGATCCTTTATTGTCTTTCCAATACCACTGTATCTCAAATTTTTTAACTGGCTGTCATACTCCAAAAATTAATGTAATAAATATTTTCTCAGGTATGCAAGTATGCCTTGCATGCTTGTATGCAGATGCATTCCACAGATGGTAGATATTTATAGAATTCTTGTTTCAGCGCCTTTAGAAACTGACTTGATGCCTATATGCTTTATTCATTTAGATAATATAATTAATTTAATTAAAGGGTTTGATTTCAAGTCAGTCCTTAAATTTAGAAGCTCAGTTGTAAAGCAAAAACATTGTCTTTTTTAGGCATTCCCAATTGTGACCACAATACTTAAAGTAGCCACAAAACTTTATTTTCAGCTAAACAATTGGCAAGTTATGTTTCACTCTATGTAAATTCAGGCATATTGCTCCTATTCACGGTCTTCCCATACAACTACACAATTATCTCTTAGGCTAACATGAGAATACAATGACTATAGAATAGAGATCAAGTCTAAAAACAAAAATTGTTAGGGTTATATTTAGAAAGTAAATTTCTCAAGGCCAGATGTGGTGGCTCATGCCTATAATTCCAGCACTTTGGGAGGCCGAGGTGGGCGAATCACCTGAGGTCGGGAGTTCAAGACTAACCTGACCAACATGGAGAAACCCCATCTCTACTAAAAATACAAAATTAGTCGGGTATGGGCGCATGCCTGTAATCCCAGCTACTTGGGAGGCTGAGGCAGGAGAACTGCTTGAACCCAGGAGATGGAGGTTGCAGTGAGTCGAGATTGCGCCATTGCACTCCAGCCTGGGCAGCAAGAGCAAAACTCTGTCTCAAAAAAAAAAAAAAAAAAAAAAGTAAATTTCTCAAAGAATTTAACAATACTAAGGTAGACAGGGGATCTTTTTTTTTCTATTAAGAAAAATTCACACCAAAAGCAACATCAGAAAGTGATTGTCTGTAATCCCAGTGCTTTGGGAAGCTGAGGTGGGAGGATCGCTTGAGGCCAGGAGTTCAAGACCAGCCTGAGCAACACAGCGCGACTCTGTCTCTACAAAAAACAAACAACCAACCAACAACAACAACAAAAACCCAAAAATTACCCAGGCATGATGGCGCATGCCTGTGGTCCCAGCTACTCACTCGGGAGGCTGAGGCAGGAGGATTGCTGGAGCCCAGGAGATCAAGGCTGCAGTGAGCTATGATTGTGCCACTGCGCTCCAGCCTGGGTGAAAGAGCAAGATCCTGCCTCTTTTAAAAAAGAAAGGAGAAAGAAAAAGTGATTGTGACTATTTCACATTGGGTCACATACCTTTGTTGCATAAGTAAGGGTGTCTGAATCTTAAATATCAAAGTCAAGCTTCTTGGTTTCCCATGGTTAATTCTGAGAACGACGTCCAGAAGAATGCAACACAGGGAAGGCACAACTGCTTACTTCCCCGTAACCTGGGAGGTAGGGAGACGCAGAACAAAGGCAAGCCTTTTCTAGCCTTCAATCCTCTAACCTGCAATCAATTGTCTCTAAACTTCTCAGTTTGGCTACCCTCCCCATCCATGTTTGTAGGTTCAGTTCTCTAAAATAGCTCCAACCTTGCAAAGTGAGGCTAACACCAAGGCAGGCTTGAGTCTGCTGTCTGGCCCTTTTTCTCCAAGAATCAACACTGAAACTCAAAGGAAGGGGAGAGGGTTAACATAAAGAAAGTACTTTTCAAACTAGCAAAGGGCTCTTGACTCTCTTTCTCTTTGGCACAAGTGTACACGCACATGCACATGCATGCACAGATGTCCAAATCACACAGCAGTGTCTTTCTGCCCTTTCAGTGGAGGATGAACATGAGGAATTGTTGAAGGAGGGCAAATGTGCTGGGTGTACCACAATGCAAATAACTTTGATCTGATTCACTGTGCACTGTTTTAGGGACTCTGACAAAAGTATGTCCAAGATTAATAATGGTTGCTGGGGTTGGCAGAAGTTCAAGAATCAGATATTATTCCTTTAATTATAACAATCATCTCCCCACTTACCCTCAACTCCACCCTCATATGCCCCAATAAATATTTGCAATTTACGATGAAAATATCAAAGAAGGAGTGAACAAAAACATACTAGAAAGAATTGTTTCCTGACAGTTTATGGCCTGGAGATGAGAGAGAGAACAAACAACATAATGAATGCAATCAATCAATTAATCCTTATTATCACCCAATTCTAATATGAAAAATCCCATGAGCACCTATTTTTCATAATAAACCATTCTTTAGAATCTTTATCCTCACTCTGGTGAATATAAGTTTTCTCTCCAACTAGAGTGACCCGTGTATCCTGGCCAGTCCACGACAGTCCTGGTTGCTTACTAACAATTAGTGACACCTGGCCAGCACGGTGGCTCATGCCTGTAATCCCAGCACTTTGGGAGGCAGAGGCAGTCAGATCACCTGAGGTCAGGAGTTCAAGACCAGCCTGGCCAACATGGTGAAACCCCATCTCTACTAAAAATACAAAAATTAGCTGAGTGTGGTGGCACATGCCTGTAATCCCAGCTACTAGGGAGGCTGAGGCAGGAGAATCGTCTGAGCCTGGGAGGTGGAGGTTGCGGTGAGCAGAGATCTCGCCACTGCACTCAAGCCTGGGTGACAGAGCGAGATTCCAAAAAAAAAAAAAAAAAATTAGTGACACCTGTTGTCGTCTGAGCCTGGGAAGTGGAGGTTGCAGTGAGCGGAGATCTCGCCACTGCACTCAAGCCTGGGCGACAGAGTGAGACTCTATCAAAAAAAAAAAAAGTGACACCTGTTGTCTGTGAATAATTTGTTAATAAGCACCTCCCGATTTAGACAGTAAGTGTCCTGTTTGGATAAAAAATTATATGGTCACCCTAACTGTAGATAAACTGTGAGAGGCAATCAGGTGTCTATTTTCATGTTTGTAGTGCTGTCCAGTTTTTATGCTGTCCATTCTTCCAGTCCTCAAAACAACCAAATGGCCTCAGCAGAATCTGCTGTTGTTGTGCATCCAGGCTTTTTAGCAATGGCCTACAATTTGGCTTTCCCTTTGAGGGCCTAAAGTTGACAGCACTAAGATCAGCCTTGCAAAGATCACTTTGCCCCAGTATATTTATGTTTCTTCCCTGGTATTGACTCATGGAAAGGTAGAGGTGGTGGGGTCTTCAAGAAGTTTTCAGATTTCATTTGGGGGAGGGGAGTGGCAGTGAAGGAGCAGTGGAACCCCTTTCCCCTTGAAATCTTGCTCAGATCCCTGCTGTGTGAAGTCAAAGAAAGCAAAGATTCTCTGGTGGAACTGGGAGATAAAGGCACAGTTGCACGGTCTCACCCACAAAAGACTTCCTTCTCTGTTGCTTCTGCTCAATGAGGCCCCTAAAGCAATATCCTGCTCAAGAACAGAGTCTATCGGCCAGGCATGGTGGCTCTCACCTGTAATCCCAGCACTCTGAGAGGCCAAGACAGGTGAATCATTTGAGGCCAGGAGTTCGAGACCAGCCTGAACAACATGGTGAAACCCCGTCTCTACTACAAATACAAAAAATTAGCCAGGCGTGCTGGCACACGCCTGCAATCCCAGCTACTAGGGAGGCTGAGGCAGGAGAATTGCTTGAGCCCCGGAGGTGGAGGTTGCAAGTGAGCCGAGATCCTGCCACTGCACTCTGGCCTGGGCAGCAGAACAAGACCCTGTCCCCACCTCCCAAAAAAAAAGAACACAGTCTATCTAGTCCAATTCGCTGAATTTCCCAATGAGGAAACAGGTTCATTTCATCAGCTCCTGATCACATACTACAATTTCACTTTCTGTATTGGTAATTCTGCAGAGTCATGAGTCAACAGCAGTGTAGTCCACACTAATTGTCGTAGAAACCTGTCTTCCAAAGAGCTCTGAGTACACTTTCTAACAAGGAAACATATGCTCACAGAGATTAAATGCTTTCCTAGACTATGACTAGTAGGCTGACAGTCACACAAAACAACCAAATGTGGAGCCTGTGTGTGTATGTTTGTTTGTGCAGAAAGGAAGTAGAATAAGAGCTAAAATGGGTATGGCAGTATTAACCTACTTTAAAAATTAAGATTCCTGAGTAAACATATATTCCCCCTTCTAAGAATAGCTACAAAAAAACCCCACAATAATAATGATAGGTGAAGATTCTGATCACAGTATTGTTTAGTAACTCTAAAATGTACACGTGTAAGGACAGTGTGTGGGAGAGAAGAGGTAAGAGAGGAAGAAAAGGCTGCCATTGAACCAACAGAATTTTGGTGATTTATTTTTCTACCTTTCCCAAACATTCTTTTAACATGAAAGAAAACAAAACAAAAACAAAACAGAGAAGACAAGGAGTACTTACCACGGAGACCTTGCTCACGACATCTCCCGCAACCGCTAAGCCTTGAGCGAAAGTACGGGCTGCTACAAAAGCACGAGTAACCTGGAGCTTCAATTTGCGAGGGACATCTCCGAAGGGCTTCAGCTGCTCCGTATACTTGCTCACACATTCCAGATACTCATCTGTAAAGTGGTACTGGGAGTTCACCAGGCGGAACATCCGCTCCAGGAGGCGAGCCCAGAAGTCATTTAGCATTTCTTCCAGGTTCACATTTCCCACCACGTAGTAACGTTTCAACTCTACGAAGAGATCTTTAAATAGCTCAGAATTTTGCATGTATAAATGGCCATATGTCTTCACAAACATATCATTCAGGGATTTCTCTGCATTTTCAAGTAGTTCTTTGAAGAATTCTGAAACCAACACCAAAAAAAAAAAAAAAAAAAGGAAAAACGAGAGTTTTCAGTGTTTAAATAACTGCTTTTCCAGTAAATTTGAAAACTGGAAAAAAAACACAATTAAATTGGAAAACGTGTTTGTATATAGGGTGAATTTCTTTTGGGGAATGTGGCATCTCAGATCATTTGCCAATGAAAGGAAAGCTGTGTCACAAAGTCACTTACATAGGTGTCTGAGAGAGGAAAAAAATGAAAATTTAAACCAACAGCTTCTCAGGAGTCAGTACAATACACACATGCTCTCATTCTCTCTCTCACTTTCTCTCTGTCATAGGTGAATAAAGAAAAACTGGAAAAAATGTGCACATGAAGTCTAAAACATGAGATTTCCCTCAACTTTTTACTTAAGAATCTAAGCCAAAGTTAACCATGCCTTCTAATTGTAACCTAAGAGCAGGACAGGTGTTTTCAAAAGTCGTTATTTTACTTGGGCCTGAATTTTTTTTTCATTTCTCCTTTTCACTTATCTATATGATCATGCACTATAGCTGCCTGGAAAATGGTTGAGGCCAAAAAACATAATCAAACACCCCTACAAGCAAGCACATAAGTTTTCTGAAAATAAGTTCCTGGGTGTTTCTCTGTGACAGTAGTACAAATTGGGAGTATCCAGCTTGATCCTGGGTTTCTAAAGGATTTATACAATAACATCATGAGACTCTTTTCAATGTTCCTTCTGATAGTGTGTGTGTGAGTGTGTGTGTGTGAGAGAGAGAGACAGAGAGAGAGAGAGCACATGCATAATGGACTTAATAATAAATATAGCATATTTATGAGACAACATGAAAAAAACTGAAAAATGTAAATGAGAATACCTGGTTATTTCAGATTTACTTTTTGGCCACCATACAGCCACAGCCTAAGGTTAGAGATTTTAATCTCTTAACTACAAATGGCAAACTAGTTTTCTTCTGAAGCTTTCCTCAGGAACTTCAATGAAAAAACAAGCCAAAAGTGTATTTGTAACATTAATCATTCTTAAAGAATCTCTTGCCTGGTATAAAAATAAACACCTCATGATATCAAGTTTATAAGCAGGAAATATAACAAATACCAAAGCAAAATATAAGGACCACATCAAATAAGAAACTGCCTCTGAGTAAATATGGAACAGAAAAGAAAATATGACACCTACTTCAAAGCCAGAACATTGGTGAGCTTATCAAAATGCAATAGTTCTACAAAACCATTCTCTTCTCACATTGGGTGGGCAACTCAGAGACTGGCCACTAATACCAAATAGCTTTTCAAAACCTGGACTGAGGAAACTGAATACTTTTGCAGGGAGATGTATGTGTGTGACTCTCCTGACATGCCAAGAGATTCTATACCTATGTCTCTCAGCCCCTAACTCATCACTTAGTTATTCCTTGAGGCCTGAGGATGAAGTCCACAGTCCTCCCTGGTTCCAGCTTTTCAAACATTGTAGGTATGGCTTGTGTTTTTTTTTTTTCTTTGCTTCTCTCCTTTTCCTTTTATCTAGTTCTTTTCCCTTCTATTGCTTGCCTTTTATTTACTGGGCTTTCTTCAGAGAAAGAAAGGGAAATGGACTTCCTCTGCATAGTAAACAAATAGGCAGGTCAACTCATCCCCATTACAAGTGTGCAGCCTGACATTTTTACCAAAGCTCTCTCCCTGAAAGTGAGAGGGCAGAAACTGCACAAAGAGTTAGGTGAACAATATAAGAAGCATACCAATCAGCTACCTGGGATGGCCTTTTATTTTCTCCAAAATCCCCTGAGTGGTTCTCAAAGTGTGGGCCTGGGACCAGCAGGATCAGCATCACTTGGACACTTGCTATAAATGCAAATTCTTGGCCCCACCCCAGAGTTACTGAATCAGAAACCCTGGAGGGTCCCTTTTGCTGGGCATCATTCCATTTTTACTATGGGCACTCTCAGCACCAGCTAGCCAACTGACTTGTCCACAGGCCAAATGGCTTGGTGGACAGGCCAAAATTTTCAGCTATCTGTGATTCTGATATACCCTAAAGTTGGAAAACAACTGCTCTAGCTGCTGAAACTTCTCCCATTTCACCTATCAGTTGCAATCACCAACAACTCAGGGGCTGTGTTGAGTATGAAGCAGTCAGGACAAGCATTAATGTTTTAATTAAGAGAAAATGTCTTTCCAATGAATTGTGTTTTTAAATAAATTTATTGCATTCCTAGGAATGACTTTTTTATTGTCTTGGGGACAAATTTTCTTGTGTGGAACTCTCTCAACTAAGTGTTAACATAGATGATTAAATGTATGCAGTACTTTTCTAGAGTTCAAAGTTGAGAAGGGACCTTAAATGTCATCTGGTCCATGTCCCACACCATGCTTGAATTTTGCTAGCATCCTTGCCAAGTGGTGATTGCTCATGGAGGGCATAAAAGGCACACGTGGATTGCGTTATTATATGACCAGTGTGTTGCACACATAGCTATCACATATTGGAAAAACAAAGCTTTGCCATCATTGAGAACAATATGCAAGCCTTGTGTGTCAATCCAGTGCTATTAATATTTCATGACCAAAAAGAGTGGATTCCAACAGCTACCACATGTCCTTCCTTATATTGAATTTTTATTATATTGCTCATAAAATTGGCACATATCAGCAGAAATTGGACATTCAGAATTATTTGAGTTGTGCTTTCAGACTCATTTAGTAAGTAATTCTCAAAACTCACTTGCATTTTTAAGGAACGTCACCTAGAGTCATGTTGGTTTTTAGGGGTGGGGCGAGGTGCGGTGTGACATTTCAAGCTTAGTTTTAATTTAAAACTTCTAATAAATGTCAAAGTTTAGCCTTTTGACAAAGTGCTGCAAGTCAAACAAACACTAAATCACTGAACACTTTACAGAAAAAGTAAAATATTATCAATCTTGGAGTTCCTCATTCAGGTCAAGAGCTTATGGGTGGATGCAGCCATATATAACATAGCTACTTTGGAGTACAAGAGAAATGGCCTAATGAAGAGGAGAATGATTTGAAACTGACATGCCCCTGTCCGACACCCACCATGGACCATACTTTGGTTTCCATGACTCACATTCTGTCCAGGAAAGTGTGTGTGTGTGTGTGTGTGTGTGTGTGTGTGTGTGTGTGTGTGTGTGTTTATGCTAGCGTGTACTTTAAGAGCCTAGGTTGGTGCTATATACATACTAAATCCTAATTCATTTCATCATTCAGAAAATTTATTTTCTTTCCTTCACATTTTAAAAGACTCTTTAATGTGGCTATATAAGTTGCAAATATGAAGACCATTTGGGTGAGCATATGGTTAATAAATGCTTGAGAAATTCTATAAAACTGATAATAATGAGTTAAAACGTCATAATTTCTCCAAATGGGTATGCAATTTGACAAGTATGTACTGAGTGGCTCTTATGGGCTCAAATCAAAGCACATGGTGTTTTGCCATGCATCTTAACCTTCTTCTTGCACAATCAGACCATAATGAAAATTTCTGGTAAGACAAATTTCCCCCATCCAATTCACCTTTACCATACACTGCCACTCTCCACATACGGTTTTATGAGAATACCAGAGATTTTTTTAAACATCTATAAAATTGTTAATCCCTCACTACATACAAAAAGTTCCTAAATATTCATATATTTAATCTATGAGAGTCAACCAGACAAAAATCAGGGGATCCAGAAGACCCAGACTCATTTCTTTTTAGATGGATTCTTACTAGCCCTGTTGCTTGGGACTATTCTACCTATGCCTTTTGCCTCAAAGGGACCTCATAAGGATGGCAGACATCATTTAAATTCTAAAATCCATAGCAATTGGGTACAATATCAACCAAAGCATAATAATTTGCTATTAGAAAGAAGGAGAAAAAATCCTTTTGCATCTGTTCCTCCTATTAAACTAGCAGCTCGCATGTTCTTGCATAATTCTTTCACATCCCCAATCCTCCTTTCTATTCCCATGACATTTACTTCTACAATGAGGAATGAAGCATAAATTAGCCATTCAGATCCTGGTCCACAGCCATCAATAGCAACTTCAGTAATCGCTGCAATGTTCATCTCCATTTTTTTTTCAATCATTCTCAGAACTCAGAATCAGGGTCAGATCTTAACTGCTGAAGAAGAGCTGTACAGGCCCTAGACACCTAGCAATCATTGCTCATAATCATTATGCCTGAAACTAATTACAATACACTTGGTGACTAAGAGAGAACCAGCCAAGAGCAATGTAAACCAGGATTCCACAACGATCAAAAGCCAAGCAAATTGGAAGTTAGATCTGTGCAGCAATTGCTTGTATTCATGTAAAAATGCTGCTCAGGGAATCTGTTTTAAGTAAAGCTACTGGTGTCTGAAAGAAAGTTTGAGAGGTGGTGGTTTGCAAGGATTTGAAATATAGTGTCTGTGATCAGCGTTTATTTCCCCTTCAATTTTCAGTTTGAAGGCTTAAGTATATACATTCTAAAGATAAAGCAGCTGCTACTCCTTGAGCTCATGAATGGCCACTCAACACAGGATGGAAATAAACACTGTAACATGCTATGAATCTAAAGCAGGAGGACACAGTGGGAAAAACAGGAGATCTCTCATTTGGGGACTGTATGACCTTGCTTGGGCAAAAGGCCTAATCTCTCTGAGCCTCTTTTATCCCATCCATAAAATGGGGCTATTATCACTCACCTCATATGGATAATGCTTGGCATAAAGTAGATGCTCAACAAATAAACATTATTACTAATATGTGAGATGATAGTGTTGTCACTCTTAGAGTTTCTTTGTATCTACAATCCTTTAAAAAAAATCTTTAAAGACTGGTTTTTATCTTTCCTAGTGGAGTCAAACATTATCCATCTGAGGGGACATAAATGAAGCCAAAGCTGCTGGAGGTCTTCTAAGAAGACGCAAGGCCTTATAAAATTGGGAACTGTTTATCCTAAGGGAAATGCTTAATGGTTCTACCTTTAAAGGTTGTGAAACGTCCCAGACATCTATGAGGGTGGGAGTGACTGCTGGGTGAAAAATAGGGAATGGGGAAACCTCACCCTTGAGAAGAGAGCTTACATTACATTAAACAAGAGAATACCATACACACACCACACACATATAAAAAATAAGAATAAATCAGCAGGTCGACACCCCCCACCCATGTATTTCATTTGCATACTACCTTCTTTGCCAGAAGTCCACTTGGTATAAGGATTGAGCTAGGGAAGTGTAAGTACTTTCCAGTTCTAAAATCTAATCATTCTAAATGCAAGTAGTACTAATTTAACATGGGAAAAACTAGAGTGAAAAGACAAAACTTTTCCATATAAATGTTTTCTATGTAAATATCCTGTCTTTTAAAAAAGAGAAGAACACCATGTACTTCTGGAACTTCTATCCCCAGCTACTTGTCTTGCATCAAATAAACATTCAAAATTCTTGAAATAGGCCAAAGAACCTCCAGTTCTGCTACTAAATGCCACATTAGTTACTCCTTTATAAACAATCAACTGGCTATTGATTAATGCATTCTAGAATTAACCCATAACCTTAAGAGATTGGGGCCCTTTTCATTTGATCCATTTTTTTTGGTGCTATAAATTACCACCTGGTATTTACATTATTAGGAAGCTGCCTTTTACATATAAGGATTGATTTTTCTCTTACTATAAATGCTGTATTTCATACCCCTGGTGTGGCATGCAAACATTAAGTTACTAGATCAACAGAAGTGCTGAAAAAAGAAGCCTCCTTGTAAATGCTACAAATCATACCTTTCAAACTTCTAAGAAAATTTAAAGAGTTACACCCATCGACTCTTTCACCTAAGATCAAGTAATTAATGAAGAACAGCAAACATAAGCATATAAAAATGTAAGGAAAAAAAGGAAAAGCATCAAGCATTTTACTGACAACCTGAAATTTGATTTATCACTATCTCCTCCTGTTTTGCTTTTTTGATAAAGTCTGCATATGTTTTTTTGTTTGTTTTTTTAAACAGGCATTTTTTTCTCGAGCACGGCATAATCTCACTCTTCTAAAGAGTACCTGCTAAGGCTAGTGTACCAAAAGATCATATACTCAACTTATGTTTATCAATTGATAGCAAATCAATATGCTGCTCCTTGGCCAGGTGCAGCAGCTCACACCTGTAATCCCAAAACTTTAGGAGCCCAAGGCGGGAGGACTGCTTGAAGCTAGGAGTTTTAGACTACCCTGAAAAGTGAGACCCCATCTCTACAAAAATTTAAAAACTTAGCCAGGCATGGTGCTGCATGCCTGTAGTCCTAGCTACTAGGGAGGCTGAGATGGGAGAATCGCTTAAGCCCAGGAGTTCAGGCTGCAGTGAGCTATGATTACACCACTGCACTCCAGCCTGGGCAACAGAGTGAGACCCTAAGTCTAAGCAAAACAAACAAACGAACAAACAAACAAACAAAAAACAGGCTGCTCCTTGGTGGACAGGCCAATCACCAGCTGTAGCTCTTATTAGGAGCTATTAGCATATCACAGAGTACTAGGGGATTCTGCCAAAATAAGATCAGCCTTTCTTCCCAAAGTTGCTTTTATTCGTGAACACATTTTGAATGCTAAGGCTCCAAGGGAATAAATACAATGTTTACTGATGGCCCCCATCTTTGGCTAATGTGGCCAGGGACACAGGCTCAGTATTGTAAGGTCCCTTTTGCTGGGCATCATTCCATTTCTACTAAGGGCACTCTCAGTACCAGCTAGGCAATTGGCTTTAGCATGCCCAGAGTTCTGTGCATTCGGAAATGCCCAGAGAAGGTTTCAGACACGTATAAGTAAGCTAGGGAGCTGGAGGAGCCATTGCAAGTGTTCCATGTACTAACCTCTATGTGGATCAGTCAGAGAGGTACCATATAGCTTCAAACACACATCTCATAATAGAGTCTATCTGTTAATAATCTAATGTCAAGAGAAAAATCAGGCCAGGCACAGTGGCTCACGCCTGTCATCCCAGCACTTTGAGAGGCCAAGGTGGGCAGATCACCTGAGGTCAGGAGTTCGAGACCAGCCTGACCAATATGGTGAAACTCTGTCTCTACTAAAAATACAAAAATTAGCCAGGTGTGGTGGCATGAGCCTTTAATCACAGCTACTTGGGAGGCTGAGGCATGAGAATCACTTGAAGTGGTTGAAGTGAGCCAAGATTGAGCCACTGCACTCCAGCCTGGCCAACAGAGTGAGACTGTCTAAAAAAAAAAAAAAAATTCAGAACATGAAATAGCAAATCATTATGATACCAATTTGCATGTATGTATATGCATTATCTACGTACACAAAAAGATTAGGTAAATACAAGAGTGACGGTTGGGTGCTGGGGATCAAGGGTAATTTTTTTCATTCTATCTTTCTTGATTTTGTTCCCCCAGATATTTCAGTGACATTTTATAATCAGAAAAGTGATATACCTTCATGCTTTCAAAAGTAACTATTTCCCTTTATTCCCTTCATTCTATTTAACCACTGGAGGATTTGATGTATTTTTCTACTTTTCCAAATTTTCTACAGTGAGCACTGTAATACTTAATAAAAAGAAAAACATTATTTTAAAACTTCACCAAAGCAGTTTCCATATTTTTCATAAAGAAATATATAATTTTTTCCTAAATAGTATTCCTCATTATAGCAACTTGAAAAATATGGACAGGTAAGAAGAAAATATAAATATAATCCCCACTGCTAAAAGACAGTAACAATGGCTTATCAAATTTCCTTCCTCCCTTTTTCCTATGAAATACATGTTGCTACGTGGTTGAAATAAAATGTATTTACACCGTGTTCTTATGTAACACTATATGGTTAGCATTTTCTATGTGATTAAAACTTCTTCAGAAGCATCATTTTTTTTTTCGAGACAGAGTCTTGCTCTGTCACCCAGGCTGGAGTGCAGTGGTGCAATCTCAAATCACTGCAATCTCCACCTCTCTGGTTCAAGTGAGTCTCCTGCCTCAGCCTCCCGAGTAGCTGGGATTACAGGCGTGCACCACCACATCTGGCTAATTTTTGTATTTTAGTAGAGATGGTGTTTCACCATGTTGGCCAGGCTCGTCTCAAACTCCTGACCTCAAGTGATCCACCCATTTTGGCCTCCCAAACTGCTAGGATGACAGGCGTGAGCCACTGCACCCAGCAGAACCATCATTTTTAATGGCTGCATACAATGACACCACATGGACGGAGAATAGTGTAATCATTGTGGGGCATGCAAGCTTATTTCCAATTTCCTACCACTAGAAATAATGCTGTGATGAACATCCTATTAACATCGTACATAAGTGTTTATGCAGATCTTTCTTTCCTTGGGATGCACATCCAGAAGTGGAATTACTAAATCAATGAGTATGAACATATTCAAAACTGCTGACACACTGCCAAATCTATCTGCAGAAAGGGTGTGTCCATGTACCATCCTTGCTGTTAGAGTCATATTTATTACAAGAGTTTCCATTGCTCTGCTAATTCTTTCGAGAGAGGGTGATGAAGATGGGTGTGGACAATGAACAAGAAAGGGCTGAAGCCTGCCTGCACAGGGAATTCTCTCAATCAATCGGTTGGAGTCAGTGCTAGATCAACTAAGCCCTGTTCTTTGCCTGGACAGACAGACACATAGAAGTAGAGCAGGCAGTGATGAACAACATTCCAAACTCCCAGGCCCAAAGAGCAATGAACCAACAGAGTTGATAAAAGCAGTTCATCTGAAGCTCTTCTATGTATTTACTTCCCTCCAGACAGATCCATTGCTTCTTGCTGATGTCATGCCTTCTGAAGAAGTCAAAGCTAAGAGGAGAGGCCCAAAGTTAAAGTGCTTTGGGCTCGTAAAGCTGCACATGCATTTTCAATCCGATGAGATAGCCAATGCTAAAGTCACAATTGGTCACACTTCAGATAACAACTCAAAAGGCAGAAAACCTTTGTCAATAGAGAAATGTGTGCATTTTGTCTGAGCTTTTGATTTGATTACAGTAAGCTGGCAGTGGCTCATTCTGGTCAAGTTTCACAGAGAGATTATAAAAGAATTAGCAAAAGTAGCTGGCTTTTTAGTCTCTTTCATATGGAAAGAAAAGAAAATAGAATCATAAAGGAAAGAGTAGCAGTGCTTTCAAACTAAATCGGAGACCACTGGCATAATCTGGAAGAAACACTGCATTTGCAGGAAGGCCAGAAGGCCTCATGTCTTTCTCCGTACTTTCGAGGCTACTCAGCCTATGAAATGTTGCCCGCTGTACTACAGCAGAGGTTTTAGAAAGCAATGATTTTTTTAATGTCTTAATGAAATGTGAGGTGAGGATTAAAAACCAATCAATGTTGTATATTATGCTATGCATATCTATGACACACTTACTTTGAGGGTGTTTTAGACTTTTTCCAATGTAAAACCCTCTCAGGGGATCTTTAGTAAGTGTGGCTATATAAACGACAATTATCTATATAGGTAGAAAATAGTTAAAGTCAGGGGTCAGGAAAATTCCAGAAATTTCAGCTTAGTCAATGGCCATGAAGCTTATCTGGACATATTTGTCTTTTAAGGTTAGCAGATAGCTCGCTTCCACTGAGGTCATGCCTTTCACGGGCATATAAATTTTAATGCCTCCTACTCACTGATCCTCTGCACTGGTTAATGGCTAATATGAACTACAGAAAATTTGCAGTTGGTGATTAAAATGCAGATTCTGCTAAGTCTGAAGAGTGCTTCGTGCCCTGCCTCTGTGAAGTGATAGGAAACAAGGGGCCTTAGGGCTTAAGGGAAGGGTAACTGCTTGGTTTACACTTGGCCCATGCAGATAGATGGGACAGACAATTATTTCTTTTGTGTGCATTTTAAGCTAATTCAGAAAATTTCTACTATTATTCAAGTTAACAAGCTTCAGGCTCATGGGAGGGTTTTTCAAAGACCTGGTGAAAGTAGCTGAGAGTTAAAAAATGATAGAGGGAAAATAGAGGGTACCATACAGACGGCTAATTAACATCTTGTAAGGCCTTTCACTAAAGCAGCTGGTCTAGTCACATGTTTAAAAGATTCACAGAATTGGTAGGATTGAAAAGGGTTTTAGAGAGCATCTAGCTCAACCCCCTCATTTTATGGATGGGAAAACTGAGACTCATTTAATTGCCCCAGGTCACAGTCACAGTGGGTTCACTGCAGAACTAGGATGATAATTCACTGTGCACTGCCTCCCATCCAAAGTTATTAAATTTGCTCTGAAAATGACAAATTAAAGGAGTTTTCCCAATAGACTAGCATCAGACAACAACCATTTCCTTAGTTATTTAAACATGCAGAATATCTACAGTTTGATACAGGCAGTTATGTAGCAATGACATTACTTCATAGCTGTAACATCATTTTTACTATGTAATTCAGAAATACATTTAACATGGCAGCTGTAATCACCTTAACCTATTTGGGATTTTAACTATGCTTCTTTTAAAAACAACTATTTTCTCACAAAATGCCAGGCATTTGGGGGCGGGTCTTTATGCTGTGGTCCCAAAACACGGATTATGCCCCACTTCTATTTCTATTCCCTTTGCCAAGCAATTTTCCCTAACTCCCTCCTGAATTAAGTATGTGATTAGCATATTCATGAGATGACTGATTCAGCTAAGTTAATTAGCAGCTCTACTATCAAAAAATTCCCAGAATTGGCCAAGAGGGGGAGCAGCTAGCTCTGTCACTACCACAATCTGGCTCTATGTCTCCAGCAGAATACAGATTTCTGGTATTAAACATCCTAAGTTAAAAAGTGGGTTTAAAAAATGATAGCATAGAAAAACACAGAGGCCAGTCTTTAAACTCAGTGATATAGATTTAAAATATAAGAAATCTGATGATTTTTGAGGGGGAGGAAGTGTTCTCTTGTACGTCACCCAAATCCGAACACACACACACATACACACACACACACGCACACACACGAGTTTATATCTTAAAAACTGATATAGACCGTACAGTCTCTTGAGATGTGCAAACGATAGGAAATTAAAAGTACAGAATAAAAAAGGGCCTTAGAGGTAAGGGAACTGGAGAAGGGACTCATCTCTCAAATCCAATGACTATAAAAATGTCAGAACTGGCACTAGAACCCTGACCAGGGTCAATTGAGGAAGAATGATGGAAAACTGGGATAATGAGATGATTTCTGGTAACAGAAGGCTAACTCTCTACAAGCCCCCAAACTTTATTTTTGTTGAAAAGGTTTTTTTTCAATAATTACTTTAAAAGTAATTATTTCTACCTTAGAAAGAAGTGGTATCTCATAGACATAGACAGGTTTTGATGATAGACAAAGTTGTCTGGGGTCAAGGTCACCACTTTGAATTTACACTGTAAGCTTGCAGATGACAAAAGGTACTCCCTTGAAGTTGCCTGACCCATAATATTTCCATGTGTCCTTTTACTATTTCCTTACTATATGTCCCCAGCTGTCTCTGTGCAACTTCACTGCTCCATCTTGGTTCCCTACCACCATCTTTTTAGTCTGCCCAACTTTCTCTCTTCAATTCACACCAAGAGCCAGGGTTTAGCTATTATAATAGTTTGGATAATTCTTTGGCCAAAGCATCCACCCTTGAATTTCTGAGAGTCAAGACATATCCTATAGCCTGTTAATCAATGCCCTTGGATCGGCAGGCATTGAGAATTACTGGCAAGTCCTAATTGACAGCCTTAAAAATTAGTCAATCATCGCCAGGCGCGGTGGCTCATGCCTGTAATCCCAGCACTTTGGGAGGCTGAGGTGGGCGGATCACCTGAGGTCAGGAGTTCGAGACTAGCCTGGCCAACATGGTGAAACCCCGTCTCTACTAAAAATACAAAAATTAGCTGGGCGTGGTGGTGTGTTCCTGTAATCCCAGCTACTTGGGAGGCTGAGACAGGAGAATCGCTTGAACCCAGGAGGCAGAGGTTGCAGTGAGCCGAGATTGCGCCACTGCACTCCAGCCTGGACAACAGAGCAAGGCTCCATCTCAAAACAAACAAACAAAAAATTAATCAATCAATGCAGCACCCACTAGGGGACTATGATTTGGTGGGTACCAGTCAACTAAGGTTTTACCATATAAAATTATCTCATTGTTTCTGTAACCTAACATGGAGAAAATGTGCAAAGTATTCTGGCATTCCAGTATTCCAGCATTCCAGTATATTGATCTCCAGATCAAGTACATTTCAGCTACTACCCATTAAAAAAAAACCTTGTATCTATGTTCCCTAACTTTATTGTCTATGCCATATTTTATGTTATATTATATTATTTTATTTATTTGTTTTGAGACAGGGTCTTGTTCTGTTGCCTAGGCTGGAGTGCAGTGGCGCAATCTTGGCTCACTGCAGCCTTGAACTCCCAGGCTCAAGTGATCCTCTCACCTCAACCTCTCAAGTAGCTGGGACCATAGGCGCACACCACCACTCCTGGCTAATTTTCATATTTTTAGTAGAGACAGGGTTTCACCACATTGCTCAGGCTGGTCTCGAACTCCTGGGCTCAAGCAATCTGCCCGCCGTGGCCTCCCAAAGTGCTGGGATTACAGGCATGAACCACCATGCCCAGCCTATGCCATATTTTAATTTGAAGTCAGAAAAAACACTGGAGTTTCATAATCATTAAAGTTTTGAAACTGATCAAGGCACAGTGTTAACATATTTATTGAATGTGAAGCCTGGTAGGGAAGAGCAAGAAAAACTTTCTATCCTTTTTAAAAAACACATGTTAACACTTACTGATAAAGTTTCTCTGTATGGTTTAAGAAGAAAACAACAACAACAACAAAACACTACACATTGGAATCATAGTAGTGCTATAAAACCATGGGGAGCGAGAAGGGAAAAGAATAGCTAAACCAGTAGGCCCATAGGCAATGACTGTGGGCTCCCTGCCAGGAAGATACAAGTCTAACAAGAAATGAGGTGACTTGCAGTAGAAGGCCTTGGAACTTGGAAACAACTTTATCTCCACTACATTGTGCTGCCAACGGGAGAGTCATTTCTAAAGAGCAGATTTTTTTTTCCTTCTAAATTCCATTATGAAGCCCCTAAGTGGTGATTTTTAAATATCAACATCTTAAGTTTTCAAAAATGACCATTTAATTAGCTTTCTAAGTTTTCTCCCCAAAGTAAAAGAAAAGGCTTAGGTTATTATCTTGAATGAGAAATGCCATGGTCAGGAAAACACCATTCTTTTCAATAATAATAATTCAGTGATCAGGAGAGACAGAGGAGGTCTAATGATAGATTTTGCCAATAACACCCATTTTCACATGGTATTAACATATTGTTAAATACTTTTAACAGCTACAGCATATATGTAGGGGGATATGGGTAATAAGAAGGATATACAGATATATAAATTGTTCCCATTCATCCAGGGAAAGGTGATAGAACTAAGACATAATTTTGCACATAGCGTGTTTGAAAAAATGGGTAGGATCAACGGCATACTACATAGACAGTGTTTTAGTTCAACTACATTATAGATTAAATATGCTTTTGTGGTCTCACCTGGGAACCTAACACTTATTAAATTGGTTATAAGTTTGAAATAACACATCTCAAAGCCAACATTTGAAATACAACCTGTTCTTTAACTGAGGACTGCCTTATCAGCTATATCAAATCTAATTTAGTCTAACTTTCTCACCATGGTAACAAGCCCTTTGCAGAAATACTCAAAGACATTTCATATCTAGAAAATTTGTCTTGTACTTCTTCACCACACATAATGTCAAGAAAAGCATGCTTCAAAGGTACTATGTAATTAGAATGGCCTTTAAAACAGGCACAAAGGAAATCAATCCTCTTAAAACTAAATCTACTTCATAAAAATCTTCAAACTGAGTGAACAGCACCAGGGAAAAGAATCCTGAGGTGTTTTGGACTCCATATTCTATTTTTTAAAGTCTGTTATCTGTACCATTGTTCAGATAGGATCAAAGTACACTTTCAATTGGCTCATATTGGCTATTTCTTCAATATTAAGAGAAAGTGTGCCTGCAAGAAGCCACGTCTGGCATAGGTGATTAGAATGGGTTCTGTCGTGGCTTTTACATGGAAAGACTATGCCAGAGCTTCAGCTAATGTGAGGTTGGATGGAGCCCAGCTTAATGAAGACTATAGTAAAATGGCTACTTTTGGGTCTCTGCTGCATGGAAACTCAAGAACTTTAATCCTGCCTGTGTTCTGCAAAACTTTTAGGAATTCTAGTTGTCTTTGGGGATCCATTTTGAAATTTAATTTGAAGTCCAGCATCTGTAAATTCTCTTTATTTTGACTAAGACAGTTTTCAGATGCCTGCTTTTTATTATGAGGTCTTTTTTTTTTTAAAGGGACTTGCGTCAACAACACTATTCTGTGTTCACCCAAGAAAATAAATCAAAGCATTTAAGTTAAACTAATCTATTTTTTGTCTCCTTGTGACCATATTTCCATAATGCCTACCATACAGATTCCAGTGCATCCGGAAGTATTCTAGCCATAAAGCTACAGGGTAAACTCGTCTCTGGTATCCAACAAGGACAACATCTTGGGAGAAAACTTAAGCACTGAGGGAGCAGAGGAGCTGTGAAAAAGCTACAGTACAGACCTAACTGCCGGTTCTTACATATGACTTGAATAACATACCATCAAACTTCTTGTAACGTGAAGCAAAGACAGCTTGCAAATGATTGCACTGTTCGCTGACCACACTTTTGAAATCATCTTTACTTTGCAGGCTGTACTTCTCCTCCATCTCTTGAGAGCAGCAGGTAGAACCCTGGGGACAGATCTTCAAATGATCACCTGCAAGATAAAAAGTAAGACAGTCAATGTCTATCATCATTCATGAAGTCCAAGAGGGAAAGGTTTGATTTAGGTTCATTTCAACCTGTGAGGCTCCTGCAAAGGCCCAGGCAACATGTGTATCTAACAAGTTCCAGGAAGTCTAAAAATATTCATTCCCTTTTTGAGAAAATAAAATAATAAAGCCCTCTCCAAAAAGCAAAAGAACTTTCCAATCAGAGAGATGGCTAAACCAACAGGAAAACTGGTGTAGTCAATAAACAATATAATATTCCATGTCAACTAAAGTCTCTTTTATAAATTCCCAGAGATTCTCATATTCTATGCTAAATACTGCAGAAGTCATGCAAACGAGACACAGTTTTTCCAGATTTGGGAGTTTACACTCCAAGAGAGACTGTCCTTAATGACGAATGGTTTATAAAATATGTGACAACAGCCAAAAACTGAGCAAATACATGTGCAATAGTTACACTGTGGGGAAACAAAGGGATTTGTGCATTTCAAGGGTTGCCAGCAAAGAGGAAACTATAGGGGTTTATGCTGGATAATCTGAGCCTATGATAAATCACAAAGGGGTGATGGTAATCCTCAATCCTTGAGTTTAAGATTTTTTTTATCCAATGTATTCTGTGCAGATGTCAGAGACTATATCTACCCTATGATTCTGTGTATGTAGCATCATCTCAGTATAGACCAACAACTTCCAATAAACACCTTTATGTAGTGATGCAGCCCCAAGAGTCAAGGGAAATGTCAAAGACACATCACTCCACAGCAACCCAACCCACGAAGTATCTCCCTCCCTTATACCAACTGCATTTGGCTTGCAGTTTGGAGGTGAGGGTTGGGCGGGGGGTTTTTTCTATATGCCCCAGAGTTCCCCCCCTTGTTCTCCTCTGTCACAGAACAAAATTGTGCTTTGAAGAGACGATGTCTCTTCTCTTATAATGACCACAAGATGCAATGCCACTCAAAAATAAACCCCACTAGCTACTATCACTTCAGTCTCTCCAATATTAATTGGTGTGGTATAATTTTGTACACGTTTACAAGGATTGACTCTCACTGTTCCTTCTGCTATTGCTGTCCATGTTCTATGCAAGTCAAAAGGGGTCTGAAAAGAGAGATGATCTGAGGAACTCAGGAATGAGTATACTGAAGACATGTGAACCTGTCAATGGTAAGTGTGACCAATCAACAAAGGGATGGGGAATTAAAAGCTAATCATTCAAACAACACTAATCATGGAAAACGAAATGGTCCATGAGCTGGCCATTGCTGCTTCTTGGCCATGTGTACTTACAGGAAATAGGGCTTCACCTAATGGAGATATCAAAGCAGCTTTAGGGTAGCAGGGTATTTCAGATAAAATTGAGCTGGCAATTTATTTGACTAACACTAGATTGTCAACTGCACATATGCAAATAATTATATAATCATATATGTTCCCGATCATTCTTCCTTCCTGGCAGTTAAAAAGTAGGGAGAATGTTAGTGCCCCCAAAAAAGGGGAGTATGCAGCATTAAAGGACCATGTAAGGAAGGCAGAAAGAGCAACAATCTTCAAATAACTTCCTCATCCAGAAACTGCTAAAAGTTTATTTTGGCATTTCTGAAAACCTTGGTCAATAAATAATTCTACTAACAGAAAAAAAAGGGAAAAAAAAGGTTGTGTAATCAAGTTTAGAGCTGTGAGTCTGCAGAATATCTTAGATCTCATTAGTGACAGAAGAGGGGTTGCTAAGGCTCGGTTTTATGGAAACACCTTTGTTACAACCAAAAACAAAACTCCCTCTTCACTGGCTTAACAAGTTCACAGCAGGCCTTCGGTACTGGGACACATAATTAACACAGAAAGATTCAGTTGTCTCCTGGTTTCAGTGTTGAGGTAAGGGTTCCCTCCATTACAATCTAAACACATAAAACAATATGAAGGCCCCCAAATAGTACAGTGCTGTCACTATATTAAATAATACATATTATATTCATACCCCCTGTAGAAAATGAATTGGAATGCTCAGAATGAGAACCCACATAGGGTGATTTAAATGAATTACTTCATAATAAAGACTTTAAATAAAATTTTTAAAGATTGCTATAAGCTAAAATTCATCATAGGATAGGCTGTTTTTTCAAGCACCTGCAAAGATTCCATTGTGGTATGCATGAATTTTCAAGGCAAAATAACTTGTCAGTTTGGAAAATAAACTATACTCACCTAATGTTAACAGGGTTCACACCTAATAAAGGGTCACTTACTGGATCCTATCAAAATAGGTTTCTAAGTTCACAGAAAAGTACCCATCATTTTTCCCTGCCCCCAGTGTACATGGGTACATGCACAAACACATGCGTACACACACACATACACCTCAAAGCAAGAAAATACTAAGAGACAGCAGGAAATAATAATTTTCTCTGTTGAAGAAGGTGCTAGATGTTGACAGGTTTAAACTCACCCACAGGGAATTTATACTAAGGATACACCCTTCAAAAACGGGTAGCAGCAATAAAAGTTTTCCTAGTAACCTGGTCCGAGTGGATGGCACCATTTACACTGCCACACATAAAAGGCCCAGAGTGGCCCATGCACTCCACCCATCTCATCTCCACCAGTGACCCTCAAGCAGAACCTTATCGAGACTTGCTGATACTGGAACACTGGGGCACGTCTTTGTTTTGGCACTATTTTTTTTTTTTTTTTTTTTTTGAGACAGAGTCTCACTCTACTGCCCAGGCTGGAGTGCAGTGTCGTGATCTCGGCTCAATGCAACCTCCGCCTCCTGGGTTCAAGGGATTCTCGTGCCTCAGCCTCCCAAGTAACTGGGATTACAGGCGTGCACCACCATGCCTGGCTAATTTTTGTACTTTTAGTAAAGACAGGGTTTCACCATGTTGGCTAGGCTGGTCTCGAACTCCTGACCTCAGGTGATCCACCCGCCTCGGCCTCCCAAAGTGCTGGGATTACAGGCGCGAGCCACCATGCCCGGCCTGCAATATCTAATTTTAAAAAGAAAAAAATAGTGCACTTTCATCTCAGAGAGATCTTTCCGGGAAGATTTTGTCTAATGGTGAAAGGCTTGCCTTATGTAAAGGACAACAACAGGGTAGATACTTGGCTAATGTTTCTGCTGGCAAAGTCGTCTGCCCCTCAGTGCAAAGTTCACACTTTGGGCCATATAGCCCCGAATGCACCACTTATCCTGTCTGCATTTCTAAAAAGCGTTACTTGAAAATGTAATTTGACATTCTTGCCAAAAGCCCTGTGACACACGTAGTCCAAGACACACTTGTGAATTAAACCCCAAGACATTCTTGGGCTACTGGGGATTCGGTGCCACAACTAGTTAGTGCTAATGAGAAGCACAGGGAGGAAAAGGAGGACAAGTCTGGGTACATTTGAAAATGAAATTATAGCTCCATGTTCTGGTAAAAAATCTTTGAAGACTTGAGCAACTAATTAAGTTTTTTTTTTTAACTTGAATATTTCTACTTTAAGCACCCAAAATGGTTTATTTTGAAGGCTAGGGCGTGCATATTATTTGAAAGGCATTCTGTCTTATGTGTTTGAGACTGCTTCTAAAATGCTGTGCCTGAGTGAGAAATCTTTTCTTTCTGGAGATTTCCTTTCTAAGCCCGGTGATCTTATATTCTTCTCACTGAAGAAAGATGCCACAATTTTTCCTTTAGGCTGAGAGAGCTGAACACGAGGACAACAGAATAAAGATGGGACAGGTAGACAGCCACTGTGGGGGTAGCATTGGACACTTGCACTTTTTAACAAGGGCTCTAGGTGATTCTGACCCTTCCTTAAGAATTGTTGTCAGAAAGGCTTCTGAATTCCAGCTGTGGAACAGCTGAGTATAGCAGTTAACCAGTTAGTCTACTACCTTAGTGAATAGTAGATTATGATCTACAACTGCCATTTCTCTCCCCTATTTCCCTAATTCAATCTCCTGCTTCCATGGCTCTTGACATACAGTTTCTTCTTCATGTATCGCTTCTAGTCCATTAAGACTCTCCTGTCTGCTTTCCACTCTCTTTTCACTCTAACCATGTAGTTCTCTCTTATCCCACCCCACCTCTTAAGTGGTGCATAATATGAAACTGAAGGGTTTTTTTATTTGTTGTACTTGTTGAGAATTCCTTGTTCTTAATTTAAAAAGCAGGTGAATTCAATGCTTTATGGTTTTCCAAGGAAGCACCTAAATTAAGTTGCTTTTTGTACATGGCCCTTGATTAGTTTTTTTCTTTGTGGGTCAGTGGCCCTCAATAGAAAAAAGGTCCCCCAGCCCTGTCCTAGGAGGCTTGGATGGGATTCAATGAAGCGTGCTTTTAAAGCTTAACTCTCTGGCATTAAAAACAAAACAAAAAAAATCACTCGAAAGAGCCAAACTTTTTTCAATCACACCAGCTCTATGTAATTTCTCTTTAGTCTTAATATCAATGCCTTAGTTTTCAAAGCTGAACAAAGACAATCACAATAAATTACTCTCAATCCTGCTGAGTGTGTATTGGTTCTTTTTTTTTGAGGCACTTCAAATCAATGGTTAAAGAAGTAGGCATTGAATATGAGGAATCTATTCCATCATTTAACAGCGCTCTGAGGCAATCTGTGAAACTGTGCTTTCTCATTTTATCTCATTTACTCCTCTCACCAAAGGCTGCCTCTGATGTACAAATGGGGTGCGGCTAATGTTCGTTTATTTTCAGTTGCTCATAACTCAGCTTCCCATAGAAAATGTTATAAATGGTAGATAGGTGCTCAGGCCAGCCCTCAGCTTATTTACTACTAACTTGACTATTTTCTCTTTCTTTCTTTCTTTATTTTCTTTCTTTCTTTCTGGTTTTTTTTTTTTTTTTTTTTTTTTTTTTTTTTTTTTTTTTTTTTTTTTTTTTTGATGGAGTTTCGCTCCTGTTGCCCAGGCTGGAGTGCAATGGCGTGATCTCAGCTCACCGCAACCTCTGCCTCCCGGGTTCAAGCAATTCTCCTGCCTCAGCCTCTTGAGTAGCTAGGATTACAGGCATGCGCCACCACACCCGGCTAATTTTTTATTTTTAGTAGAGACGGGGTTTCTCCCTGTTGGTCAGGCTGGCCTCAAACTCCCAACCTCAGGTAATCTGCCCGCCTCAGCCTCCCAAAGTGCTGGGATTACAGGTGTGAGCCACCACGCCCGGTGACTATTTTCAACTATGTCTAACAACCATTTTCTATATCTCTCTCAGAAAATACATTTAGAAATCCAACTAGATGCCAAGAAAGTGTCTCTCCAATTCTCCCCACTTTTTTGGGAGGTGGGGCAGTAATAGAGGAATACCGGTAGTTACCACTTAGGGGTCAGCTTTCTTTCTGTACCTGCGGGAAATAAAGAAAATCTCTAGTGTTTACTCCCCCAGTGTCCTAAATGGAGAAAACAGAGCCAGAAAACATTGCAAGACACTGGTAGAGAACCCAGGCTTTGCCTGCACCAGTGGGATTTTTAAGGCAGACACTCTTGGTACTCGGACTAATTTTACCAATAAAGCAACCAAATGCCTATGGTAAATAAGAGAGACAAACTGTTCCTTAAGGGTAAGGACCGCAGTGAGGAACATTTGAGAAGAACAGACTGGAAAGCACTATGAAAACTGCAAACATAAGAGACTATGATTTTGCATTGGCCTTTCTAGAAGAGTGCCTCACTTGAGTTATGAAGAAAACTTAGCTCTTTACAAGGGGTTTTTTTAAGGAGTGAATTTAAAAGGTTCCAAATATTTAAAACTACTTGGTTCTTTTATTCTGCAGAGATAACAGCAGCAGTCTAGGGATAATTAAGTTTTATCTAGAAGTCAGGAATATGGGTTTGAAGCCCAGCTCTACATGATTGGGAAGCTTTTGGTAAAGACTCTTGGGAAAGTCAGTTATCCACTGGAACCTTAAAACGAAAAAAGCCCTTTGAAAACAAGGAGGCATTATGTAAATGTAAGACAGTACAATTGCAAAACAAAGAAAGAAATGAACATCTCTTATGCTCTGATAAGCTACTGAAGTTTCGTGTTAAGAACCATTTCTGACAACTTGTACTAGGTGAGGGAGGGGCGCCAGAAAAGCAGCACCTTGTTAAGTTCAGCCTAAAGCTGCCTCCTTACACATTTAAAGTTTGGTTTAAAGGTTTCCCCGTACACAGTGAACTGTAACCTAAACTGGGTGTGTAAACAGACTGTAACTTGCTCTTGCACCAATCACAGGTGGCCAACGGTTCAAACCATGTTCAAATAAGGAAATCACTGAGCTGTAACCAACTCAGCTGTTTCTGTACCTCACTTCCGTTTCCTGTACATCACTTTTCCTTTTCTGTCCATAAATCCTCTCCAACTACATGGCAGTACTGGAATCCCTCTGAACATATTCTGGTTGTGGGGAGGGGTGATCAATTTGCAAATCATTCTTTGCTCAGTTAAATTCTGTTAAAATTAATTTGTCTGTTACCAGTAGAGGGTCTTGACTGCAAGTTGTCCAGGTTCTTGGTGTTTTGAACAAATAATTGGACAAAATGCACAGCAAAGCAAGGAAAGAATGAAACAACAAAAGCAGAGATTTACAGAAAATTAAAGTACACTCCACAGGGTGGGAGCCAACCAAGCAGTGGCTCATGGGCCCCAGTTACAGAATCTTCTGGGGTCCAAATACCCCCTAGAGGTTTCTATTGGCCACTTGGTGTTTACCCCATGCAAATGAAGTAGTGGCCTGCAATCAGAGGCTAAAATGAAGTTACAAAGTTACACTCCTATGCAAATGTCTGATTGGGAAAGCAACCAATCAGAGGTACTTTCAATTTTCCTCCTGCCATGCAGAAAAAGGGGGAAGGCGGGGCGGGGCATGGTGTTGCAAAGGAAGTAGCCTCTGGTCCTTTTGTCACTTAAGCGTGGAAAGTTGGGGTTTTCCTTTCAATTTAGTTATAGGAAGTCAGCATGAATCAGCCTCAGGTTCCCTGCCTCCAGACCCTATTCTCCTGCCTCATGTCCAAAGTTTTTCTTTTAACAAACTTTTCTTTTCTAGCTAGTTCAGAAAGATGTGGAAATAGGGCACATCAAGGAGCTGAACGGCATGCATATGTGATGGTGAACTGATGGTGACCAAGCCATCAACCAAGGGATTCAAAGGGCCATCAAAAGCGAAGCCACAGGAGCTTAAGGAGACATGATGAGGAAATATAATGTGATATCCTGGATGGGATCCTGGAACAGAATAAGTACATTGTGGGGAAAAAAACTAAGGAAATCAAACAAAAAGGTGTATGCAAATGTTCATAGCAGCATTATTCATAATAGCCAAATTTCCATCAGCAAATGAATGGATAAACAAAATGTGGTCTACTGTATCTGTAAATAGAATATTACTCAGCCATTGGAAGGAAGGAAATTCGGATACATGTTACAACATGGATGAATCTCAAAAACACTGCTAAGTGAAAAAAATCCACATTTATATAAAATGTCCAGCATAAGCAAATCTAGAGATAGAATGTAGATTCTTGGTTGCCCAGGGCTGGGGGAGAGGGGAAAGAATGAAAGTGAGGATGCCAGCTAAAAGGTACGGGGTTTCTTTCGGGGGTGATGAAAAATTGATTTTGGTGATGGAGGTACAACCTTGTAGATATACTAAAAGTCACTGTACACTTCAAATAGGTGAATTATTTGTTATATTAACTATATCCCAATAAGACAGTTACCAAAAAACTCAGGAAATCAGAATTAAGTGTAGGCTTTAGTTCGTAATTATGCATCAATATTGGTTCATCAATCATGAGAAATATACCCACCCTAATGTAAGATGTTAATAACGGGATACTGGGGGTGAGATATAGGAAAGTCTATGTGCTATCTTCCCAACTTCTGTAAATCTAAAACTCTTCTATTAGAAGTTTTTTTTTTTTTTTTTTTTTTTTTTTTTTTTAAGAAAAGCAAGTCTTGGCTTTCAAATTAAAAAGCATAAATACATGTGGCCAGCGGGGAAAAACTTTCATCATGCTTTCAAAAATATAAATACTTGATGTAATTCTAATATTGGGGAGCTGTATTAAGCTATTATTTGCTGGAGCAATTTTCCTAATCCCTCAATTGCTACTTTACTCTTTTTCTAATTTTTATTGTTCTAAACGTAAAATAATTCCTTGCTGTTGGTCTAAAGCATTACCAAAATAGTTTCTGTTCATTTCTTAGATCTAAATTCATGTAGCCACAAAGTGAACTAAAATGCAGGTTGCTATATAACTCCAGCCCCTCTAAGCTACCTAAGACCCCATGAGGAACATACAATGCTCTGCTTCATGGGAACAAAGAAAGAAAATCTCTAAAGGTTTTTAATAACTCCAGGGAGGTGGGGGGACGTGTACATTAATCCATCCTCCCTCCTTCCAAAAAGGAGTGAAATTACTGCATAAAATGTGCTATGTGCATCCAAAGCCTGGAGTCATCTGACCTTAATAACAAAGCACGTAAATTACAGTCATTATGCAGATGTATGATTTGAGATCACCTACTAATCAGTAGGAGAAATGCAGCCAGTTAGCATTTTGCAAAACCTTGCCAAAATATAGCTCTGGAGGGCTTAAGACTGCCAATTATTTCTAGGTCCACTAATCCTGCAAGGTAGTATAGAGAAGGCCAGTCAGAAACACATACATTCAATAATCAGTTTTATTATATTTTTCTAAGAATAACTTTATGTAAGTGTAGTTGGAAGAGTTAGGGTTGCTACTTTAAAACTCTACACTTCATTTCAATGAGCTTATAATAGCTTTAAACTGCACTCCAGACAGAAATCAACCAAGGCTTCTTACTGCTTTTCAAATGATAAGCAAATTGTCAACCAAGGTTAATATCTGACAATCTTAGATCCCCATTTTAACTATACCAAAGGTTTATTAAGGCACACCAAACCAAACTGAGTGAATGGCCTGAAATGCACACTTTGACCTTGTGTTGCCATCACTTCTGAGCAGCTGAAGCAACTGCATCTATTTTGCACATTTACAACCACTACCTCCAGGACTCAAAAGGAATAGTAATACTACTAGTGATTAACCCAAAACTCTCCAAAAATTCTGAGGCTCCTGTAAATACTTTCTAAGCAGTGCTAATAAAAGGCTCACAGAAGTGTGCTGGGGGACCTTGCGGGATAGCAAGGAGCAGACAGGAAAAGATGGAGCTCTCTTACTTGTTTTGCAACTAACAAAGGAGATCTTTTCTGTCAATAATTCAGGTGCACATATCTTGGTAGCATCGTTTGAGAATTTCTCTTAAGTAGCAATTATGATTTTCACTAGGCTCATAATTTAACAGAAGGCCTAGGGATAAATAAATGATTCCAAATGCCTCTACGGATTTCATACTCATTCAAGTGATATGAAGGAGTCACATGTGAGTTTCAAGCTCTTTAAGAGAAAAACAAATACACAGACTTTGAAGGTGTTTGTTACATAGTGCCTATGAAATTAAGATTTCCACAACTCTCCTCAAAGTCCTTCTTGTTTTATTGGTGAATTTTTCTCATACTCCCACTCCCCTAACTCTGAGGTTTTCTTTTTACAGAGAGTGAGATGAGAGACTGTATGGAGACTGAGATTCCCAGGGTTGATCACGTCTGTTAGAGCCCCAGTGATACATTCAGCTATGAATAAAAAGCAGCCTAGACAGAAAACGCCATTGGTGAGGACTTTTTTTCCCTCTGGAACCTGTATCCCCAAGCCACACATCATAATAGCTGGTAGACCAAGGCCTTAGCAGGGCCATCTCTGAGACAGCTGATCAGACCTGGCTTGGAAGGTCATGGTGATTCTCAGAGTAGGGGAGGGCTAGCCGCCAGCACTTTGCCCTTTCTTTGCATCTCCAGTGACTGCCCCAGTGGGCAGTCTCCTGCACACCATCACAGAAGACCTCGGAGAAAGCAAAAGGAAGAAGGTATCCTCAGGAAGACATCAGACACACCCCTTTCCTCCTCCCCTAGGGGCTGAATCAACACTGACTTCCAACAGCAGATGATTTTCCATATTATTTCCAAATAATCTCTAAAGAAGATCCTGGGAATCTCATTCTCAGATAGCCTGCCACAGCCATTTAGAATTCACAGGAATATCCGAAATGGTTAACAGCTGAATTTGCTGCAAGTGTAGAAGAAAATACAGTTGGTGAGTGGGGAGGCTCACAGATATCAGACATTTCAGACACCTGCTCTAATTGAATGATTAAAGTCTGCCTTCTTACGTACATTTCATGGATTGTGTGAGTCATAACAATTTGTTGTTGTTGTTGAGACACAGGGTCTCGCTTTGTCACCCAGGATGGAGCGCAGTGGCGTGAACATAGCTCACTGCAGTCTCGACCTCCTGGGCTCAAGTGATCTTCCCACCTCAGCCTCTCGAGTAGCTGGGACTACAGGGATGTGATACCACACCCGGTTAATTTTTGTATTTTTTGTAGAGATGGGGTTTCACTACATTGCCCAGGCTGGTCTCGAACTCCTGGCTCATGCAATCCTCCCCCTCAGCCTCCCAAAGTGCTGAGATTACAGGCATGAGCCACTGCACTCGGCTGAGTCATGACAATTTTTAACATCAAATTATTTTCTCTTTTTTAGTAATTGCTTTCAGCTTAAACAAAAGGGAAGGTAAAAGCTGTCTTTAGCTTCTCTTAACCCTCCTTTTCACAATATACCCAAAATTTCTCCCCTCAAAATACAGCGTGGTAAGAGGTTTTCAGTAAATTTACTGTCTAGAAAAAATATACCAGAAGAATAACATATTCATTCATCATTAATTCTCCAAAAGATATTTCTCCAAATGGCTATCTAGAAAGCCTTTATGTAAACCCACCAATGGCAAAGTCCACTTCCTCACATAAAGAAAAATGATTCTGGGATGGGCACAGTGGCTCATGCCTGTAATCCTAGCACTTTGGGAGGTCAAAGTGGGAGGATCGCTTCAGCCCATGAATTCAAGATCAGCGTGGGCAACATAGTGAGACCGTGTCTCTACAAAAAATTTAAAAATTAGCCAGGCATGGTGGCGCACACCTGTAGTCCCAGCTAGTCAGGCAGGCTGAGGTGGGAGAATCGCCTGAGCCCAGGAGGCTGAGGCTGTAGTGAGCCATGATCATGCCACTGCACTCAAGCCTTGGAGTGGGGTGGGGGGGAATGTTTCATTCTGCAAACAAAACAAAACAAACAAACAACAACAACAAAAAACAAAAAACAGTGATCCATGCAAACCATTCCTCAAAATTCTAGCTAGGCATCAATAAAATGGTGCAGAGGAAAGTAAGATTTACATTTTTAATGTCTGTGCTTAATTACATCCTTTAAAACCCACTTCACAAAATTCTTGCTAAAAGTCATAGTTAAGTTACGGCTTACTCTGATACAGATCTGCACTGAAGGACTGTTAATAAGTCCCAGTTCCTATGGATATGGACATGAGCCACAGTTGACCAGGGGTTAATTTTATAACATGAGAGAAAAATTCTTCTGAACCTTGGAATGGGCAGATGAGGGAGAGGCAGAGCCCTCCTCATACTCCCCATCGTTTTGCAAGGCTGAGTTTCCCCAACCCTGGCAACTGGCCATGAAGTCTTCAAGCAGCATGTTATGCAATATGAAGCATGCCATTTTCAGTAAAAGCAAAACAAAAACAAAAACTCCTCCTCACCCATTATCTAAAGCCCTAGCACCTGGGCCACATGCCCTACAATTTATTACCATTTAATAGGCTCTTTGTTATTTAGAAAAGTTTTGTTGACAAATGTAAAGATTTCAATGTGTACTTCCTCTTCCAGGTCAGTTCCTGGAGCTTTAAGTAAAACTTGTCTCAGTCCTAATTTTGGAGTGAAAGCCACTATGTTGCTATTCAGAGAATTACCTGTGTTTATCCCTTACCCTTTGTTTCCTGCCTCAAAGTCAATCATAATATTTGACGAAACAGTCCCACAATTCCATGGTGTGCCAGTTACTTTGAGTTTCCTTGGCTTGGTGTGAACCCCCCCATCAACTGCCCCCCGCCACCAAGAAAGCTTTTTGAAAACCTAAATAGATCACGTGCAATGGTTTTCCATTCTCTACATATGCATTAGCCACCTGAGAAACACAAGGTCACTAGCAAAGCACAGATTCCCCTTATTTAACGAAGTTGCCTTTCCTGGAAGACTGAGTTTGCTTAAGTTTTCAATGTCCTCAGCCTTTATTATAGACTCTACCAGCTTGCCTTTATTAGTGAGGCACCCCAGGTCTGACTGGGACTTATCCTAGTGGCTTCTTAACACCATTTGATTCTCCAATCTCACCTTTCAGAACCTTTCCTTTAGAATCAGACCTGTTAATTAACTACATTTGATTTATTCATTATGATTAGAAAATCCACTATATTTACCACTTCGTGAACTAGTTACTTCAACTAGACCACTGCAAGAGATTATCTGGGAATGGAACTCTGCCCTAACATTTTCCCCAAGTCTAAGTCAAAGATTTGATTCACTTCTCCCAAACTAACCTTTGACCCGATTTGGCAACACAAAAACATTGTTGGTGCTTAATGCAGTATTTATCAAGTGACTCTTATGTGCCAGATGCCATCCATCAGTGCAGAAAATACAAATGGCTTGGTCTCCGCCCTCTTGAAAATTACAAGATGAACAGACATGGATTTTATTGTTGTTCTCTAGGCTTTTTCTCTCTCCTTCTTACTCTATAATGTGAATTCCTCCAACCCCCTCCCCACCACAAGATCTCTGAGGTCCTCTAATCTTATCTTGGAACAACTCAAGTCCAAAAGACAGGAGAGATGATGCTAAATCAGGCAAATCAACTCAACCCATGTTTCTTCTCACTTTGGAACTTCAACAGATGTGCCATAGGAGGTGCCTTTGGACAAAGTAGGAGAGAGTCACACACTCAGATATAACCTATACATTGCCATATATACTATGTCCATTTTTGAGACAACCAAAACTACTGAAGGCATTATCTCGGACTCAGAGCAAAATCTGACAAGGCAAGGGTGAATAAAACTCCTTGGGGACCTAGTTCTGCTGCCTTTCTTGGTCAACAAAGCAAAATCGGCAGAACAAAGACTTCCCACACACATGCTGTTTCATTTCCTTGGTTTGACAAATCAGAAGTCACTAAACATTCAAATCTCCTTTTAAGAAAAAAAAAAAAAACTCAGACAATGTTAGTGCTTTGATTTTTAAAGGCCCTAACCTGGTCACTTGATAACAAGCTTCCCTAAACTTATATTTGGATAGTCAATAAATTATTGGCATAGCTCCGTTCAATTTTTGTAGTAGAGGTCTCACCAGAGGAGAGCTTCTATGCCCTCAAGTGACTGATATATACTCAACAACGAACAATTTGAGATACCACCCAGTGCCTCTCCACACACTAGGAATAATCCCTGTTTTTTTCTAGGCTCTAAAAAACCCTGATAAAAAGGTGCCTGAACTCAAAGGCAAGGTATTGATTAGCCAATTCTTCAACTGGGCTGCCATCCAGCCACCCGCCATTTTCCTCTGGTTTCTTAAGTACCACAGGGAAGGAAAAATAAAGCCAGATCTTAGGTGCTATATTAAAGTATTAATGTGTCTACTTATGACATAAAAAAATTTACTTCCTTAGAGAAGAAGATGGAAAAGTTATTGCCTCTTTGTCAGCAAGTGACACAGAAAAGAGAGAAACCAGTCATTTACTACACATTCAAGTAAGGCCTGTTCAATTCCTAGTCATCTTCAGATAACCCTAACCATACCAGGGCCCTCTTAGGCACCACTGGGCCAAAGAGATAGATACAAATGCTCCAGAAAGTGCGCTGCAAGTGTCCTGGACTTCTTTACTGCAGAACTAACCAAGAATGAAACGGCTGCATCTTACCATTTTTGCTTTGGGTATGAATGAAAGGATAGGAGCCACTCTAATTTGAGCCTGTAAGAACTTAGGGTTGCTTCCATGGGGCTGATATTGGAGTTACTATACAATGTAATGCCTGTCACAGGACCTAAGAGAAACATCAGCACTTCAGAAATCTGGCCCACAGACAAGCTTGAGACCGGATGCTCACAAATTGAAAGTATCAGACAGCTTTCTCTGACCTGGTGCAACTGGGTGAGTGGGTGCTCATTCCGTTACTTCAATGTCTAGCTTGCCCTCTCTAACTCTTTTTGGTAATGGGCCAACTGCTCACTCATAAACCAATTGATTTGGTCAAACACTTGATCCCAAAGAAGTTCCAATTACTCCTCTACTCCTAGAATGTGGCCTGTCAGCTACTTTAGGATGAGCAACAAACATGGGGGATGGGGAAGTTCTTTCTCTCTTACTCCTGCACATTAGAGGCCTGAAGGAGTGAGAGAAAAAGAAATGGAAGGAAATGGGTCAAAGGAGAAAGGGAGAAAAAAAAGACAGTATATATGACCAAGGGCCCAGGAGTGGGAGAGTCACCTACAACTGATGCAAGTGGTGATCAGGCACCAGGGTCTTTCGTTCTGTGGTAACTCCCATCAAGCACAGGGACACGTTTTTCTCCCTAGTTTCCATTACACAGAGCCTGCAGATGGCACGCAGCATTACTACTGCAATTATTGACTATAATTATCATGAAAAGTCTTTGATGTGATAGCAAAAATTATTAAAATAGCCTTTCTTAGAAAAGAAGGGCAATAAATACAACCTCATTTGGAAAATTCAAGGACCTAATTTTGTACCAGGACCTTCTGCCAGCAAAGAGTAAGTTACTTTAATATACTTATTTTTAGCCCCTCTCCTTGAGGATGTTTCATCCTATGTGGAAAACACATAATGGTATGCAGTTCGGGATATACTTTAAGAGTACACTTAAAGGTACTTCAAAGGAAAATAAAAAAATAAACCTTCTCCTTTCAGATACACGCATATTTACATAAGCTCCTAGTTTTTCCTGATCCCACAGTAACCAATGAGAGGCAACTGTTTTTTAAACTGCCTTCAAGGATGAGAACAAATATGACAACTGAATTAAATGTCGGTCTTGTTTTAAAGATAATACTTGGCAGCAGTGCTGTGCTTATCGGTTTGAAATAGTAAACACTGTAGTGTACTTTAAAAAGTATCAGTACCAGAAGTATGAAAGAACAGAGAACAGCCCACTTTGTTCTCTTTATCTTTCACTGGATCATAAACCATGCAAGGTCATGTTTTATTTATTTATTTATTTATTTATTTATTTTTTTTTTTGAGACGGAGTCTCGCTCTGTCGCCCAGGCCAGACTGCGGACTGCAGTGGCGCAATCTCGGCTCACTGCAAGCTCCGCTTCCCGGGTTCACGCCATTCTCCTGCCTCAGCCTCCCGAGTAGCTGGGACTACAGGCGCCCGCCACCGCGCCCGGCTAATTTTTTGTATTTTTAGTAGAGACGGGGTTTCACCTTGTTAGCCAGGATGGTCTCGATCTCCTGACCTCATGATCCACCCGCCTCAGCCTCCCAAAGTGCTGGGATTACAGGCGTGAGCCACCGCGCCCGGCCATGTTTTATTTTTTTAATCTAGCTACTCTTATGTTTTAACTCTGAGTCAAGACAGCATAATCCTAAATTGTATGCAATGCTACAGCAGCACATACATTAAATCATATTCTGAAATCAGTTTCAATGTGGGGAAGAACGGCCTTTCAAAGGCTGAAGCCAAATTAAATGTCCAGCATTATAAGACCTGATTTTTCCAAATGAACTGCCTAAATAAGAATGAGTTCTACCAGGCTATCCAGAAAGCATGCTTATGTTTTTGCCCATGAGTGTTTCTATTAATATTTTTTATATATGACAATTAACATAGGCCAGTACAAAGACCAACTAACCTAACCCAAATTTACTTGACTAGAGTTAAGTTCAGTCATGCAGAATGACTATACTAGAACTGCATGAGCTTGAAAAAGAACAATAGTTCAATCTCGAGTTTCATAAATATACATAGGAAAAGGTGCTCAGTAGCACCAAGTCTGAGCTTCCATTTGGCCGAATGACTTGGTGGTATGGGCAAGTAGAAAATATACTCTTATAAAAAAGCATTGTTTCGTTATTATGAGATGAACCTTCATAGCTCCATGATTTGTGGCTACAAACATAACACACTATTACAAAATGAGCCTATATTAAGAAATAGTCATGATGCATTTTGCTTATTGGTTTAAAACTCTTCTAACAGCACTGACACACTTGGTAGCCTTGGGACCGCATACAGAACCCAAACTTCTTTTTATTCCACCAGTAAGTAGCAGTAAGCAGCAACTTAGAACAAGAAGGGTCAATGAAAATGTTTTGGATGTGTGCACCATCCAAATTGCATGTTGAAAAGTGACTCCCAGTGTTGGAGATGGGTCCTAGTGGGAGGTGACTGGGTTGTGTGGGTGGATCCCTCATGAATGGCTTAGCACCATCCCCCGGGAGAAAAGTGAGTTCTTGCTCTGAGTTCCCATGAGACCTGGTTGGTTAAGAGAGTATGGCACCTCCCCACTCTTTCTCTCTTAATCCCGCTATCACCATGTGACATGCTGTCTCCTACTTTCCCTTCCACCATGATTGAAAGCTCCCTGAGGCCTCATCAGAAGCAGATGCTGGAGCCATGCTTGTACAAACTGCAGAACCATGAGCCAATTAAACCTCTTTTCTTTATAACTTACCCAGCCTCCAGTATGTCTTTATAGTGATGCAAAAATGGCGTAACAGTCAGGCACTTCAAGAACCAAGAATTTTAGGTTATTCTGTGCGATGGCATAGATATGGTTTGTATGGCCCCTTCAAGTTTCATGTTGAAATCTAATCCCCAGTGTTGGAGGTGGGGCCTGGCAGGAGATGTTTGGATTGTGGAGGGCAGATACTTAGTGAATGGCCTGGATCTCGCAGCAGCGAATTCTTTTTTTATTAGAGATGAAGTCTTGCTCTGTCGCCCAGACTGGAGTGCAGTGGCGCAATCTCAGCTCACTGCAACCTCCACCTCCTGGGTTCAAGTGATTCTCCTGCCCCAGCCTCCCAAGTAGCTGGGATTACAGACACCTGCCACTACACCCGACTAATTTTTGTATTTTTAGTAGAGACAGGGTTTCACCATGTTGGCCAGGCTGGTTTCAAACTCCTGACCTCAGGTGATCTACTCACCTCAGCCTCCCAAAGTGCTGGAATTACAGGTGTGAGCCACCACACCTGGCAGTGAATTCTTACTTAGTTCCTAAGAGAGAACTGTTGGCAAAGAGCTTGGCACCTCCTCTCTCACCATGTGATGCCTGCTCCCCTTCCCCTTCCACCATGAGTGAACGCTTCCTGAGGCCCTCACCAGAAGCAGATACTGACAATATGCTTCTTGTACAGCCTGCAGAACCATGAGCCAAATAAATCTCTTTTCTTTATAAATTACCCAGCCTCAGGTATTCCTTCATAGCAACACAAATGGACTAAGACACTCCACATCACCAAGGATCCTCAATCAGAACAGTTCAGTAAAAAACAAATGGATAAATCACAACAAGTGGGAAACTCAAGAGAACAGAAAAGCTTGTCTGGAGCATGATTTACTATCTAACTACATACTGTATAGTATGTATGTCAGAACAGTGTGGGAAATTAGCTATAAATGTTTTGACTGGACTCTCTGTTCTGAGTCTCTGAGGTAGGGAGGCATCATGTTATATGGAAAGCATAACAGCTTCAAAGGTAAATAAGCCCAAGTTCAGGCTAAGTTCTTTCTTAATTAAAAAAATAATTTTTAGGGCCAGGTGCAGTGGGTCATGCCTGTAATCCCAGCACTTTGGGAGGCCGAGGCAGGTGGATTACTTGAGGCCAGGAGTTCGAGACCAGTCTGGGCAACATGGCAAAACCCTGTCTCTACTAAAAGTACAAAAACTAGCCAGGCACAGTGGTGCATGCCTGTAGTTCCAGCTACTCGGGAGGCTGAGGCAGAAGAATTGCCTGAGCCTGGGAGGTGGAGGGTGCAGTGAACCAAGATAGCACCACTGCACTCCAGCCTGGGTGACAGAGGAAGACTCTCTCAAAAAAAAAAAAAAAATTTTTTTTTTTAGAGATGGCGTCTCTGTCACCCACGCTGGAGTGCAGTGGCATCATCATAGCTCACTGTACCCTCAAACTCCTGTGTTCAAATGATCCTCCCACCTCAGCCTCCTGAACAGTTAGGACTACAGGTATGCACCATCACATCTGGTATTTTTTTCGTTTTTTAAGAGACAGGGTCTCACTGTGTTGCTCGGGCTAGTCTGAAACTCCTGACCTCAAGCACGAGCCACCTCATGGTGGCTGGGATGATAGGCCCACGTCACCATGCCCAGCTTAGGCTCAGTTCTGTTGCTTACCAACTGTGCAATTTTGAGCCACCCTCCTAACTTCTCTGAGACTAGTTCATCTTCTGTAAAAGGAGGACAAGAGCAGAACCTACCTCAGAGAGTTGTTAGAAGCATTAAAATTATACAGTATACCTCAATCAATAGCAGCTATTATTATGAACACTGATATCAGAAGATGCTATATATTTCTCAGAAAGGGGATTCTTTCTATGTTTCAGAGTTCAGCTATGTTTAACCAATGGGGGAGTGTTTGTTTTCTTGTTGTTTCTATTGTTATCATTACTATTATTTTTAGTCTTTGGAAATATTTATTTCTAAAAATTACAGACCAAATGGAAATTTAGCTTTATTTAGCAGAAAGACAAAACAGTCCCTTGATAAAAATTCAGGCTACAACCTGCAATACTGCTCTAGGATTATGAGCTACAGAATCTTTTCTTTAGCTTTTGAAATGGTTCTGTTATGAGCTTTGAGAGATTAAAGAAAAACAAAATATTAAAGGTTGATTCTTATGAGAGTGCCATTATTTTAGGCCAAATAGGTCAAATATCAGCAATTTCACATAGTCTGACTGAATATTTTGGGGAATCAACTTAGCAACAATATCCAAAGGTTTCTACAGATAAATATGATTCATTTGCATCCTAGAATATCTAACTCATGAATAAAATTCAAAAGATTAAGACAAGACACTATTTGCTTGAGTAGATATGCATCTGACTTTACAAAAATATTGTGTGCCCAGAATATGCACTGTGTCTGCTGCACTATCCTGACAAATGATCAATTTCTTCCTAATAGCCAATCATTTTGTTGAAAGAACTCTCCGCTCTATGAAATAAAGGCAGATGCTTTGGAAATTTAGACTGTCTAAGGATAAATGTATGTCAAATAAAAACAAACAAACAAAAATTCCACCCGGAGATGAAGGGAGTTGGCTCCCTATCACATCAAAGGAAGGGAGAACAAAGATGGAAATGACAGCTCTCTGTACCATTGTGATGCATTTAAGTGCTGATTTTTTTTATGTTGCTGATGACAGTATATCGACCTTAGAGCGTCTGTCAGTTTATCACCGGATCACCTCCCTTATACTCTCTTTATGTCTTAAATATTTCTGTCAAATAGGTCTTCCTCTACTCAGCTTTAGATTGGTACCATAGATTTCCCTCCATTATCCTCTTACATTTGTGTGTGAAGATTCACAGACATGAATGAAAAAAAAAATCATCAGCATAATACTTACCTGCCAAGATCTACAGCCAAGATCTGGAGACACGAAAAATGATTACTTCCTGAACAAGTGCTTCTAGAACAGGAGTATGAGGGATGGAGGGGGGAAGGGAAGAAAGGTCCCAAGAGATACCTGGCCTTGGTCTTGAGTAGTACATAGGACTTAGGACACCAAGTAAGTGTGGATAAACAAATGTGTACTGGTGACCACACAGCAATATTAAATTTAACAACTTGATGGGAGAGGAAAAGTACAAACCCCATTACATAGTTTTTGCTATATTAGAGTAAGAATCTGTGACAAAAGCAGGGCATTACTGAGGGAGTTCGGAAAGTAAACAACCCTCAAGATGCCTGGAGACTGGTTTAAAAAGGGGAAAGAAAAAAACTTACTTATAGTCGCCCCAGAATAATTACTTATATTGGCGGGGGAGGTGGTGGGGACTGGAGAGAGAAGAGAACCTTCCTTGTGGTTAAAAGGCAGAAGAAAAAGCAGTGGTGATTAAAGAAAAAAAAATAGTCCAGAGAAGGAATAGAGAAAATCCTGTAAGGCACAGCAGGTTAAACACAAAATAAAATCTAGGCAGGAGCAACTTGCAAGAGATTGCAAAGGCTATAGTAAGAGGCTCTTTTGCTCTATCAAAGGGAGGAAGCCAGTTAGAGGAACCACTTAATCACAGTCACAGGGCTAAAATGGAGATGGTGGAGAGACTGAATGAATTCTTTGTCTTGTAAGGAGATGCGCATTTCCAAACCAGAACACTGAACTCGGCAGGTCAGAGGTACTAGATCAAATAGTGGTAAACATGATGCCCTGCATCTAATCAACAAACCAGGAGTAGATAAATCACTGGGACCAGATGGTATCCACCAGCCAGTTTTGAAGTAACTCAAGGGTGAAACTGTTTTGGCCAACATGTGTAGGCTGTCTTTACAAACAGCCACTGTGCCCGAGACTGGTGCTTGTCAATGTAATTCCTATTCATAAGCGGGGTTCTAGAAGGGACCCTGGGAAGTAGAAACCAGTAAATCTAATTTCCATAATCAAGCAGGCTGGCCAACTTTACGGGAAAGGTGAAATCACTACACATTTATGAAAATAAGGCCTATGCTGGGGGGGGAGAGAAAACCCAAATATTTTGGCAAAGGAGAAAAATCTAATAAACCAGGACTCTTGGGGTGGGTGGTGCAAGTAGAATATATGAATAAAGGGGACCCTGAGGATATGATTTATACAAAGCGTGCTAAAAACACAACAGAAAGTATTATCACGTTATCTACATTACTGTGCATTGTCATTGAATCTTAAAGGACACACACAAATGAGATAAGGAAAATTCAGATGTTAGATAAAAAGGTCAGGGCAATTATTTGCTTTATAAGAGGTTATGAAGACAAATGAAAATAGATTAAGGTTCAGTGTGCAAAGACAGGAATATTATTTCTTTTAATCAAACATATGGAGAGGCTTTAAAATGGTTGTCTCTTTTATCACCTATTGATATACTAAATTTATTCAATAAACAACCCTAGAAGTATAGCAATGGCTTGCTTATACATTACTTCAAATTGTGGGATGACCCACTAAGCAAGGGAAGCCTTGGGTTTGCCGAAAAAAAAAAAGAAGAAGAAGAAGAAGAAATATTCAAAGTCTGTGAAATTTACTGTAGGAGACTGAAGCCACCCTCTGGAACATAGCCTTTATTTTGTACACAAATACTCCAGTTGCACATTTAACCAACTCTACTGTCTGATTTCTAGACATTCAGTTCTGCACTGGGTTAAAAAGGGTCAAAGAGTGAACCCAAATCAATGACAGCAGAAGTGACAGCTGAAAAGGAAGGCAGAAGCAACTGCAGCAGAACAGTCTGGGGCCATTTAGCTTAGGGGCAAATAGTTCCTCATACTTCAAAGAGCCCTAAGGACATTGCTGCATTAGAGCATCATTTATTAAATGATTCTCATAATGGTGACCCTGAGTGTTTTTTAACTGATTACGGTTTTTATCCTTCTGTTTAATAAGTTAGGAGAATAAATACTTTAGAAATATTTTCATTGAAATATTTAAAACATGTTTAAAAGACAGTTTGATAGGTAAGGGAAAAATCTCTTACTCATAACATTTTCTTTTCATATGAAGTAAGATAACTAAGACATTATTTTAAAGCTATAAGCAAAAGGTCAACAGTTGGTATAGGCTGCAACTTAACAGCTTCACAAAAGTTCTAGATGTTAGAGAAAACAGACCTAAGAGGTGATTTATTAAGGAAAACTGGTTTGTTTGATATACATTTATAACCTTTGAAATATTCCAAAAAAGAACATTCATTTTTCTTCTACCTGAGTGTGATGTCCTTGCTGGTGATACGCTACCAGAAAACTGACCCATGCAGCAAGGCTGTTACTTTCAAAGGGCATCAAATAGCTGGTTCATATTACTAAAAATATCAATCCCAGAAGATATAGAAGAAAAGAGCTAAGTAAACATGAAAATAGGGTTTATATCTTAGAATGGGCTTATTTATTTCTTGAAACACAGTTTGCCATTTGGGAAGAGAGATTCTGCTAAATACACTTCACACCATTCTTGAGTTCTCTCAAGACAACTTGGACTCAATGGAGGAAATAGATCCAAAACACTCAAGAAAAAAAAAAAAACAAGATGATTAAGTAGCGCCAACTCTCAAACCACATGCCTTAGAACAAGCTGCTGCATACACCAGAAAAGCACCATTGCTGGTCTTTGCCATTAAATGTGTAAAGTGCTCCAGGGAAATGAAATGATACAAAACCTGGGTAACCCTGAAGGCTGAAATAATAAATTTTCTAGAACACAAAACTGCATAAATTGTATCGTTCATTTTCCTGTAAATTAGAGTGCCCGAAAGCAAAAGTTGCTCTTCTCTCAAAAAGAGAAAGAATGAGGAGGCAGGATTCTGAGTAAGAAAAAAACTCCAAAACAAATTAAATACAATAATAGAAGCAAAGAGCTTGAAAAATATAGACAAGGCCCAATGCAATGGCTCATACCTGTAATCCCAGCACTTTGGGGAGTCTGAGGCGGGAGGATTGCTTGAGCTCAAGAGTTCAAGACCAGCCTGGGCAACAGATTGAGACCTCGTCTCTATATAAAACTTAAAAATTAGCTGGGCATGGTGGGGTGCGCCTGTGGTCTCAGTTACATAGGAGACTGAGGCAGGAGGATCACTTGAGCCCAGGAGGTCGAGGCTTCAGTGAGCTGTAATTGAGCCACTGCACTCCAGCCTGGGTGACAGAGTAAGACTCTGTCTCAAAAAAAAAAAGAAAGGAAGGAAAGGGGAGGAGAGGAGAGGAAGGAAAAATACAGACAGAGAAGGGAACAGAAGAGGCAAGGAAAAACAGTGGGTCACTCATTTTTGTTCTAAAAATGTCAATGTACCAAATGTCACATGCCATATCTGTGCCCTACATGTAACATAAACATAATACAAATGTTCTACATTTGAAAGAACAAGTTAAGAATGGTTTTACAATTTTAAATGGCATTGATTTTGAGATTGAACTTTGATATAAACCCAGCACTGCTCCCAGTTTATAAGGCATTTTATAAATGGACATGTGTGTGGTCATAGATGGCACTTAGCACTGATATTTGGGGATCATTTCTTTAGAACAATGCCTTCTTAACATTTCCTACTTCTTAGCAGAATCAGACACTAACAGCACCAGAGTAATGCCCTGGTAAAGGGATGAAAAGCTTACAATATTGCCAGCATTTCTGGAAGGAACAAACATCCTCTGTCAGAGTTGTCCTGAAAACAGCCCTGTGTGATGGCTCACACAATCTTTATTTCATGAAAACCTACACAATGATGACTTTTCAGTGAAAGCTCGTAAACTACTTGTTTCCTCTCTGAGTGATGAATGAGTGCTGCTGTGGTCCTAGAAGAGGTTTCTGGGCTCCCTCAAGCTCCCATCCATTGCACAGCTGTCTCCCACTACAAAGAACAGGTAAATCCGGACAAAAAAGCCAGGCTGACGGTAGAATGGGGCAAAAGGGTGTTCCTTCTGGAAAAGCAAATGTCAGCTACGATTTGCTATTCTGACAGAGAGCTGGGAATGCCATGGCAGAGAGGCCAAGGAGTGTCTGGCTAAGCTGTAGTCAAAACCCTGCCTTGTTCAGTATTAGGAATTAACCACACATGCACATCCTCGCCCTGAGGAATGTTTATTTCTGTGTTTTAAAATCTTTTATTATTATCATTTTTTAGTTATTTTTAGTGCTTTTGTTTTCTTTTGTTTTGTTTTGTTTTTTGCAGGAATGAGGTCTCACTATGTTGCCCAGGCTGGTCTAGAATTCCTGGGCTCAAGTGATCCACCTGCCTCAGTCACCCTAAAGTGCTGGGATTACGGGCATGAACCACCACACCTGCCTGGCCTATTTCTGTTTTTAAACATACAGCTCTTTTTTCTCTTGTCCTTCCCCAAACACTCTCAATCATTTAATTATGAAAAGGATATACAGTTTTTCTCATTCCTCTCTTCCCAACATCTATCTACAAGGTTGCACAGTAGAAATGCATTTGATCAGGACGAGAACCCTGGTCTCCTGTGGTCCAGCTTTTGATTTTCTTTTTCCCCAACCCTCATCAGCTAGGCAAACCATGCTGTTAGCATTAGAGTACTACAAATCTGAAACTCAAGTGAATAATGTCCTGCTGGGCATGTTGCTTGCTCCCCTCTCCAGAAATTGCCCCCCCATCATGTTTTAAAATTTAATTCACATATTGTACAATACACTCATTTAAAGTGTACACTTCATTGAGTTTTAGTATATTCACAGGGCTGTGCAACCATCACCACTATCTAATCCCAGAACATTTCCATTACACCAAAAAGAAATCCTGTGCCTATCAGCAGTCACCCCTCCAACCCTTCCCCAACACACACACCAGCCCTGGGCAAGCATAATCTATTTTCTGTCTCTATGAATTTGCCTATTTTGTACATTTCACATAAAAAGATTCATGCATATTGTAATCTTTCTGAACTGGCTTTTTTCATAAAACATAGTGTTCCAAGGTTCATCCATGTTGTAGCATGTATCAGTACTTCATTCTTATTTATGGTTGTATAATATTCCATTTCATGGGTATGCCACATTTTGTTTATCTATTCAACAGTTGATATTGATATTTAGGTTGTTTCCACCTTTTGGCAACTGTGACTAATGCTGCTACCAACATGTCTATATTATTTGATTTTTATTCTGATGCTGTATATATTTGATATAGAAACCCTTTTAGAACACTAAAATCTCAAGAATTTCCAAAGTTAGAATGAGTCCCAACCCCCACCCCAGTATAGGGTTTCAATTCTCTTGGGTTTATACCTAGCAATGGAATTGCTTGGTCATACGGACCAAAAATTCTGTTACACTTTCTGAGGAAATGCCATTCACAGACATTCTGGAGTGAAGAATTCCATCTGGACTGGCCTCAAATTTAAGCTTAACACAAGTTATTGGTCTCCACAAGCTGATGTTTCATACTGCTCAGGCAACCAGAAACAACAATAGCATTTAAATTGGAAGTGATGACCAAAACAAAACAAAACAAACTCCAAAACAAGGGTTTTAATCCCTCAAATAAGAAAACACACTTAAATTTAGTCACTACTTCCTGTTTTCAACCTAAAATTTAGACAGGGCATTCTGAACTTCAATATACACACATAATTGTAAAAGTAGAATGAAATAGTAAATAAGAATCAGATAACCTTCTGTTTAATAACTTTCATGTGAATTACATCTTTCAGAAATGGTAAAGAGAACACATAATCAACTCTCAGGATCAGAACACAACAAATTATTCCAAAGATATCTAGACACGAATGCTGCTGAAAATCTAAGAATACTCACTGTTCCAAACACAGCTAAAAAACGTGCTTCCTAGTAGCTAAGAAATTTAAGACTGTTTCATTCTATATCAAGATGTTCTACTAATACAGCGAGTGCAAACATTATCAACTTATTTTAGAAGCCTGGCATGGGTGGGTAAAATGTCATTCTTGTCAAAAGATGGTGGGAGGCAGCAATTGGCCTTTCTGGGGGGAGTCACAGAGCTTGTTGATTTCTTTTCTCTCTGAAAATTCTTTTTATTCATTACTCAGGCTGCTGGGCAGAGCATTTTCCCTGATTACAGCTGTGGAATTTTAGCTCCAAAGCCAAGTAAGTTTTTTTTGTTAAAGCTTCTCAATTTTTTTTTCTTAATGTTTTATTTTATTGCAACTGCAGTTTTGGTGGCTGCCTGTAGACACACCCTGTGGTTTCCACCTAATTTTTAAAACTTCATCTTTTTATGACAATTTCATCAACCGTTCACCACTACAGTGTTTGCTTTGCCTCGACCTTCACCAACTTTCTTTTCTTTCTCTAGTCACTCAACCAACATTTATTGAGTAACTAGAATACATCAGGTACAGTGCAAAATGCTAAAGATAAAAATGAGCACATTCTCTGCCCTCAGGGAGCTCAGAGTCTAATGTGGATCATGCCATAAATCCACCTCTTCTCACTTCCATTTCCATTGCAGTTATGACAATATTTTGCCAAGCCCCCAAGTCAAAACTACCTATTTGAGAGGCTGCTGAGTTTCAGATCTGGGTCTCTTGAGCCTCCCTACCCTCAAGCAGACCCTCCAACGAACAGCTCTATCACACTCAAATTATTTGATTTTTAATCTGATGCTGGATGCAAACAATGATAGTAAAGATGCTTCAGAACACTAACATCTTAGGAATCTCTATTAAAGATATAAAAGTTAGAATGCATTTATTTTCAAAGATCTAAACCTGCAGACTGATTTCTCTTTAGTTTTTGGTAGAAGAGGAAATAAGCCTGTTAAAACCTACAAATATGCACTATTTTCTGCATTACACATCTTTCCTAAATAGTTACAGTTGTTTCACATACTTTTCTTTGCAAAAAGATGGAGCAACGTCCTATACTGGATGTTAGGTTACAGGGCACATTTTTTAGTCAGTAAGAACAGAAATGGCAGATGACTGGATAATGAAATGTTAATAAGCAATCCCTCAAGAGCTGGACAGAAAGGATATAACACTACAGCAGAACATTCATCAGCCTTCCAAGTGTTTACATGCTATGAGAGCAGCCTTCCCAAGTCCTTATCAGCTTCATGGATTTCAGAGGTCAAAAGTATGTAATGAAGGCATGAATCAGGTATGCACTGAGATGATTCAAGTGTAAAAGCATGTCAGATCATAATATCAAGTTCCAAGACCAAAGCTCCAAATGTTATTACATAATGGCACACACATGTTTTCAATGGTTCAGTTCTGTGATTCCCAGCCTATGGATCTTAGAGATATTTCCAAAAGTCTATGGATTTATAGTTCTGCCAAGTACCTTCTGCACACTGAATACTGTCTCACTTATAGAGCACACCACTGGTTTTCTCAGACTACAAAAGGTTGGGCTCCACTACAGCCAGCACTAAGCACTACAGTGCATGGGATCTTCAGAGAACAGAACACAGGCCAGCTTGTGAGACTCTGTGGGCAGAAAAAGTGGCAGGTAAACCTCAGTAAGCCAGTGCACTTAAGAAAAATTATCAAAATGATTTATAATAGGATGGTGAACAATTCCTTCTAGACTGTGGGCCTGGCCTCTTACTGCATCTGTGTGTGTAGCCAGGGTAGAAGTAAGTGATATTCGAAATGATGGCCCTGAGGTGCCACTGAGGCAGGAGAATAGGGTCTGGAGGCAGGGAACCTAAGGCCAATTCACGGTGAATTGAAAGGAAAACCCCAACTTTCCACACCTAAGTAACAAAAGGACCAGAGAGGCTACTCCCTTTGCAAACCCCCATCCCTTACAGAGTGGCAGATGGAAAATTGAAAGTACCTCTGATTGGTTGCTTTCCACAATCAATCAGATTGCAAGCCAAGTCTTCATTTGCATAGGAGTATAACCTTGTAACTTCACTTTAGCCTCTGATTGGTTGTATAGGGTGTAACCTTTGTAACTTCACTTCAGCCTCTGATTGCCAGCCACTACTTTATTTACATGGGGTGTACACCAAGTGGCCAGTAAGAAACCTCTAGGGGGTATCTGGACTCCAGAAGATTCTGTAACCAGGGCCCTTAAGCTGCTGCTCAGGTGGCTCCCACCCTGTGAAGTATACTTTAATTTTCAATAAATCTCTGCTTTCATTGCTTCTTTTATTCCTTGCTTTGCTGTGAGTTTTGTCCAATCCTTTGTTCAAAACGCCAAGAACTCAGACAACTTGCAGTCAATACCCTCCATTGGTAACACCATCAAAATCAGATTAAATTCTACTCTGTGTGATCCTTTTCAGACATTGGGGTATAGGGCTTTCTTGCCTCTTTGTAAAGTGCTCTTGCGATGTATATGTAACCTGCTTAGCCAGGAGATCGACTTGATGGTGTCTCCTTCCTCAACCTTAGGCTAAGTTATGTCTAGGAAAAAATGTAAAGTTCTCATAATGTTTTCTTCCTAAGCAAAACTATTTTAAATCATTTTTAATTAGCAAGTTCTTTCTGTGAATATACTGTTTCCTGTTCTTAGGGTGACCACAAATTATAGGCCAAACCAGGACACATGGGAGAGTGAAAGAAGGTGCCACTAACAATTATACTGAGGGCTGGGTGCGGTGGCTAATGCCTGTAATCCCAGCACTTTGGGAGGCCAAGGCGGGAGAATGCTTGAGCCCGGGAGTTTGAGACCAGCCTGGGCAACATAGCAAGGCCCAGTCTCTACAAAAAATTAAAAAATTACCTGGGCATAGTGGTGCCTGCCTGTAGTCCCAGCTACTTGGGAGGCTGAAGTGAGAGGATCACCTGAGCCCAGGAGGTTCAGGCTGCAGCGAGCCATGATTGTGCCACTGCACTCCGGGTAAGTTGACAAAGCCAGACCAGACTCTGTCTCCAAACAAGAACAATAACAACTATGCTAGGACAGCAGGTGTAAAGCTGAACTGTGCTAGGCGAAACTGGAACAATGAGCCCCTTTCCTTACCTATAATTTTTCAAGAAAAGTGGCAGGCACAGTGGCCCAGCACTTTGAGAGGCAGAGGCAGGAGGACTGCTTGAGGCCAGGAGTTTTAGGCTGCAGCAAGCTATGACAGTGCCACTGCACTCCAGCCTAGGTGACAAAGTGAGACCCCATCTCTTTTTTAAAAATGTAAAAAGAAAATTATCTATTTGCTGAGATTCTTTTGAATAAAATGACAAAAAACATGGCATACCTGTTAAACACCATGTTACCTATCTTCCAATTGTGAATCATCTTAAAACACTATTGGAGATTAACTGGATGTGTTGTTGTCTTCTTGGCAGCATATGAAGTTTTACTTTAATTTCAATTATGTGGATAGCCAACCTAGGCCCAAGACACCTTGGAGGCAGCAACACTTCATTTACACAGCTCTGCAGCACATTTCCCAGGACTCCAAACATCCACGGTGATTGTGGAATTCATTCTAGCCTCCGTATCCAACACTAAGGGAAGGTTTTCAATTCATAAAAGCACTGTTAATAAAATTTACCATTTTTCTATGTGTTTTGTGTTCTCATGACATATCATCTAAAAATTGTGTTGATTCACTTAGAACTTCACTTTTAAGGTTTTTTTAAGAGCATGGTAATTTTACCATCTAAGAATATAAAGAAAAATTACTTCAATATAACATTGAGTAACATTATTATTATTATTATTTTAGACAAAGTCTAGCTCTGTTGCCCAGGCTGGAGTGCAGTGGCGCAATCTTGGCTCACTGCAACCTCTGCCTACCGGGTTCAAGACATTCTCCTGCCTCAGCCTCCTGAGTAGCTGGGACTACAGGTGCCCGCCACCACACCCAGCTAATTTTTTGTATTTTTAGTAGAGACGAGGTTTCACCATGTTGGTCAGGCTGGTCTCAAACTCCTGACCTCAGGTGATCTGCCTGCCTTGGCCTCCCAACGTGCTGGGATTACAGACCTGAGCCACCACGCCCGACCGAGTAACATTATTTTTATACTTTGACATGGTTTCTTAATTTTGTTCGCATATCAAAGTCTAGGTACTACTTTAAACGTAAGAATCACAGCAGATATCATAAATTACAGTATCTTATGATATGCAAAATCAGGAAATTAATCTTAGTCTACTCACAATAATTTTATATAAAACTACCTCTTTTAATCCCCCCAGAGCAGGGCACACCATTAATTTAATCTTTGTTAGTGCTGTATGTTTGCTTTAAATCCTGTTACTGCATTCCTTCATGCAATCAAGTGCCCTTTAAAAACTAGTATATCAGTTACATTTGCCTCCTCTGAGAGAGGTTATGACCCTTTTATACCCTGTGGGGCTTTTGACCCTAGTTCCTGTTTTTCTTATATTTCTGTTAAGTTACAGTTCCCCCAGAACAATTGTCGCTCAAATGAGATAACTAGAGTCTGTCTTAAATGATATTGAACTTTTTCCCATTAGACAGTGTGAGTTAAGCAAAGAAACCTAATATAGTAGTACGATGCATTTGATAAAGAGTGACATGAAAACCTAGTCAAGAATGTCAAAATATTTTAAAAATACTTTGCTCACAATGTGAATTATAATGCAGCCATTTTGTACTACTCTCTCCTAAATGAATTTAAACTGAATTAAACACCGAAGTATTCACAAAGCTTTCTTTGCAGGATAATTATTTCTGCATATGATATGATTATTTAAGTGAGGATTCTTGAAAAGTAAGTAACTAGTTAGGGGTGCAGTACTGGGCATTTAATTATCCTAAGGGATTGTGAAAAGCAAGAGGTTGAGAATTGGAGTTTAAATAAATCATTTTCATCAGAAAATTGTTTAATGACCTATGAAATATTGAACCAAGGAATCTGGAGTTGAGTACTCACATACCAGCTGTGACTAATATTACTATTAACAACCCACCATTCAAGAGGCAGATCAAAATAATTAACACTCAACTTGATAAAAAAAAAGGTTAAATCACTCCCATATGATTGCTTTTAAAATAAGCATGTTACATCAACTAGTTGATTACTTCGTTAAAAATCAAAGTTGACAAGGTAGATGGAGTGGAGGTGGGAGGTCAGCTCTCTCAAGCCAGTACATATGAAAATAAAATTTCAAAGTCAAGTGTCTTCTTACCAAATGCTTTAAAACAAAAACAGAAGAGCACGCCTCAAAACCCACCCACATTGCTTCAAAAATAAGTTTTTGCCCTGAGAATAGAAGATATGCAATCTGAGGTTTTTGTTCACGTCAGAAGCAACAGCAGCAAAATCTGTCCCCAAAATTTTCTGGCAAAAAGTCAACAATCTGTTTTGTCTTTTACTGTTAACCCAAAACAAAACATGGCTGGAGGGAAGACAGAGGGGAGCCATTTTGCAAGAATTGGTTAAGACTTCCAAGGTTATTTCATTTGATGGAGAAAGACAATTTTCTAGAGAATGATTTGAAATAAAGAAGCAAATAACTATTGATGGAGCACAGGAAAACCTCATCATTTTGGCTAATCTGCATCAACTGATAATTCCTATACTTATAAAGTTCTTCAGGGTTTTTGTTTGTTTGTTTTTGAGATTGGAGCTTATTTTTTCATACCTTCACTGTTCCAATGGAACAGTTCCATCATCTCTACTTTTCAACCTGGATCACATTTCCAGGCTTACACAACAGATGCTTGAAATGCTCCAGTTGTAATAAGCCTTTATTCTCCTTGGATGTTCTTCAACCTCCAGAAGCCACTTACAGATTTAACTAATTTCCCTTCTAAGGATTGAATGACCACTAGCTCAATAACTATTTGAGGACCTAGTTCTACATTCAGAAAAAAATCCATAGAACTGCTAACCAAAAGAGATGTCCTTTTAAGACTGTAGCTCTTGGGGGTGGGGTGAGGGGAACTCAAAGCAAAAAGGAAGTTTCAATTACTCTGTGAAGTGAAGCAGAAAAATTAAGTGAGATCCAAGAAAACTTTATTAGCTATGACAAGCAATCCTTAATGCTTTTGTTTCATGAGTGCTCAGAAACCTTTGCTAAAATATTTGAAAACTCATCCAACTATGGCATCCCAACTTAGTTAATATGCGCGTCTCTGTGGGTGTGTATACACCCAGACACACACCCGTACACACACATACAATTAGTCTTAAAGCAAATTCCCATTCACTATGTTTTATGAGCACCATTAAGAAATGAAGAAAAGTCCTAAGACTCCTTCCTGTTCAAATATAAATGTAATTGGAAACTATGGCAAAGTTTTAAACTGTTAACTAAAAGTCTACTTTTATTCTTGACTTCTAGGGCTCAGACTAGCCTCAAAATCTCTTCCCAGAGTTTGCCATGACCAGTGGAACAAACAAGACAAAGTATAAAACTATAAATCGCTAAGAGGCAATTTGCTCTGTGTTATTTTCTTAAGGCAAATATGTAGTCCTTTGAATTCTGGTGTTCATTATTTTAAATTACTATCCATTTCAGAACTTAAAAACTCACATACACATATATTACTACAAACTCTTGCTTTACTCAAATCACTGTTGTCTTTTTGGAGAGATCAGCAGCCCCCCTGCCCTGATGCTAAAATATGCTCAGGTTTTGTAATCTAAACAAACTCATCAAATAAAAGCCTGCAGCCATCATTTCTAAATATAAATAAAGCCATCTTTATACACAAAATTTGTCCTTAATGGGTATAGCATTTCTTTGACAGAAAAAAAAATTGCTTGAGTTGATTTCTCTTTGTCCAAATTCGTTAATATAAATATAACAAACCTTAGGCCATTATACCACTTAAAATGTTTTTCATAGGGAGAGGCAATTAACTTATCCAACAGAAACTGAGGCCCCAAGATAAGCAATTTACTTCTCAGGACGTTCTAAGTCATTCTAAAATGGAGCCAAGGTCTGCAGGTGATTTCATTGAAATGAGTGCTGCTCCTATCCCAAACACAAGCCACTCCACCCAGACCCTGGGACAACAGCTTAAAAGAGGTATGGAAGGCCGGGCGCGGTGGCTCACATCTGTAATTCCAGCACTTTAGGAGGCCGAGGTGGGCAGATTACCTGAGGTCAGAAGTTTGAGACCAGCCTGGCCAACATGGTGAAACCACATCTCTACTAAAAATACAAAATTAGCTGGGTGTGGTGGCAGGCACTTGTAATCCCAGCTACTCAGGAGGCTGAGGATCGCTTGAACCTGAGAGGTGGAGGTTGCTGTGAGCCAAGATTGTGCCACTGCACTCCAGCCTGGGCGACACAGCGACTCCGTCTTTAAAAAAAAAAAAAAAAAAAAAAAAGAGGTTATAGGAAACCCCATTTTTTCTTTTAACTTTCCAAAGGTATTTCTGTTTTGCAAGGAGCCCCCAAGGATATCTGTATATGTATCCTTAGGGGCTCCTTACAAAACAGAAATATGTGTAGTAGGGAGAGTACTGGAGAGACAGTCATGCCAGCTCTGAAAAGAGAAGCCCTTTCAAAGTCCCTCCTTTTTCTTATCAATTCCTTTTCTACTCACCCACCACCATCTTTTAGAAAGGTCCATCTGCCTTGATAGTTGAAAGTAGAATGAAATGACAATTCTCCACTCCCCACCCTATGATTCAGAGGTTAAACTCAACTAATACCTCATAATTGCTGAACTGGAATTTTGCGAAGCCCTTTGATAAGGTCTCTGGTACAAATTAGGAGCATTTTAGGCTTCTGCTTAAGAGCATGCACGTGTCTTACAAAGTGCTGCACTTCCTGCTTATCACACTTTTTGAAAGTTGCTAGGATATTTTAGATAGTTAGCTTTGAAAGTTCAAAGTAATTTTCAATATTCTGCTCCTTAGTGTGTGGCTTTTAAAGTCCTATTGTTGGACAGCATGAAAGCCAAATGACCCTACAGGTTTCACTTTTGAGTTTTTGCTGATACCAGAGGGATGTGAACATATGCTGTGCCTTGAAATGCTCTGAATTCCTTGAGTATCTCCATTAACACTTTATTGACACCTTCTCAACTTCTATATCAGGCCCACTGTTATGGCAATTGGAGGGGTCTGAGATGGAATCTCTTTACTTCCACATATTTTTGGACTGACAATAGGAGTGTACTGGATTGCAAGTAAAAGCACTCCCTACCAGATGTTCATCCTCAGATGAAGAAGAAAGGAATTAAAGAGAATCAAAACAGCTACTTGGAGTACTGTTTTCTATAGCATTTTTAGAAAACAATAAATAAAAACATGTTCTCTAAACCTTCCATTTTCTTCCCTAAAACATAAAGCCTCATCTTGTTTTCTCCTGGATAGGAATCGAACATACAACACAAGAAACAGAAGGTAGGGAGAAATGCATCCATTTCTGCTACGTACACAAGATGGGATGCACCTAGAATTTATTCTGAGATCAGCTTTACTTGCTATTTTTAAAATGATTCTACAGTTGGGTTATTGAAGACACACACACACACACACACACAGAGCATAAATAAGCTCAATTAGTTCATAGTGACAGATGTGTCAAAAAGGTATGGTAATTCCATCTTAACAGTATTGCTTAAGTTCATTCATTCAGTGACACTGAGTGTCTATGTGGCAGGCAGGCAGGCATCAGGCTCAGCGCTGAGGTTACAAAATCCCAACCTCAAGGGAACTTCCAGTTCTTGGGGTTTCCCATCACCAGGGCTCAGGGGCAAAGGGTAGTTGATGATCTGCCAAAAACGGGGTTGTAGAAAGTCAGAGATCAGAAAGGCAATTCACTTCAAGGTTGTCCAAGGTCCCTTTCTGGAGTCTCTAGAATAGGAAAGGAGAGGTAAACTATCTCCAACTTTGACACTAAAGTAATTAGTGACATGTCAAATTAATGGAGGAAAATGAGCAAACATCAGGCAGGCCACTGTCAAGGTGAGCAAGTGAGTAGCCACATGACTCCTCTTATCACAGGGAAGTGATTGTAGACTGGGCCCTCAAAACATCACTCCATAGACAGAAAGCAGATTAATGGTTGCCTAGGGCAGAAAGAGAGGGAGGGAGATGAGGGGTGACTGCTAATGGTACACAGTTAATTTGGGGGGGTGATAAAAATGTTCTAAATAGACTGAGGTAATGGTTGCACAACTCCATGAATATACTAAAAACCACTGAATTGTACACTTTAATGAGGTGAGTTTTATAGTATATGAATTATATATCAGTAAAGCTGGGGGAAAGACACCAATCCATGATAGTGCTGAGCTGCAAGTGTTTGGCAACGTGGGGGAGAGTCTGAGAAAACCCATAGCCACCAAAGGGATGAAACAAGCCTGCTCTTTATACAAAAGAGTAATTTGCTTGTGCCTAGAGTGACATGTGCTATTCTCAAACTCATGAACACTATGAAGAAAAGTTTTAGAGAAGGGCAGCAAAAATTAAAGGAATAGGAAGGGAGAAGCCCAGTGGGAGGAACAGACTAAAGGTGGAAGGTAGGTAGGGAAAGAGAAAGGAAATGTGCAAAGTCACAAAGAGTAGGGCCAGGGTGAACCAAGAACTTCTTTAAGTAAGGAAACCTTTCAAAATTTAAAAGTGTTAAATCGCAGGAGTTGGGGGTGAAAGGGGCAAAAGCAACCTACAGTCTGTTATACATGTAGAGAGGAAACAAGACCTCGTGAGTTGATCTGACTGTATGACCTTGAGAAAAAATCAGTGACCCTTCTTGGGCTCCCACTTCCCAGTCTTCAAATACAATGTGATTCTTAATTATGCTCAGATCCTCTCTGATTAATCAAGTGGAGCCCTTAAAGAACCAGGAGCTCCTCATAGCAGGGCTATCATATTCTGCTCTGAGTCTACAATACAGAAATGTATTAAGAAAGTCATTTCACAGGTATGTGGATGGCATTTAAATGGATTTGTGTTTCACATGAGATATCCAAACGCTCCAATTATCCATAGGGTTTTAAGACCTTGGCAAAACTTTTGATGAACCTTGTTGGTTTAGGCTGGAAAAACTCCCCAGCAACCTTCAGGTTTGTTATGAAATTGTTGTACTCTATTATGAGACTGTATATTTTTTGCTGCCTGGTTGGCCAATATGGTCTAAAACAATATAAACACTTCCACTTCCACATACTGCACAATAAAGCATCTTCAAAGCTTCTGACCATTTCAGACCTCAATTTGTAAATATCATCTATCATGCATGACAAAGTATCTCACAGGATTAATACAATCATTGAAATTCTGCCAACATTTGCGTACTGTGGGATTACAGAAACTGAACTACGTACTCCTGGTATGTGTATATGTAGTAGTCTATAGCTTTTTGATCTGTTAATGTGTCCTCTGGGAAACAATGCTAATGGAGGCAGTTCAGAGTTAAGTCCTCCCCAAGTACCACAAGAAACATGGTAAAAAGATGTATAAAGGCATTTTTTTGTACATTTACACTAATGGGTAGCTTATGAAAAATGCAAACATCTACCTATCTACTGTAATACAATCAGATTTGCAAAAACAATTTGTTCATAATCATGAAATAAATACTATTTTTAAAAGGTAAAAACCATCAAAACTAAAAAGAAAAAATCCTTAATGGGAAAACCACTTTACAACTGAGGCAATTTCCATTTCTTAACAATATTAAACAAGCAAAACTGCAAGTAGTTACAAATTTTTGAAAACAAACCACTTGTACTTGGGAATACCATAGTCTCTGGCCATTTAGAAATCCAATTCTCATGCTCTGCTCAGAGGAGCCAAGCCTCCTCCTTTCTTTTTCTTTCCAGCCACTGAAAAGCATACTTTTTCTTTTTTTAAGAATGACAAATGCTAACCCAGGAAAGCATGTGGTGCCTCTAACTTGTGCAACTATTTAAAATGAGTATCCAAATTTGAACCTTACTTCATACTGTCCATTTCAACAGTCCTTAAAATATGTTACTGGTCCTGATACTGGTCTAATCCCTTCCATAGCAGCAGAATCACAAAAGTACACTAGGGGATTATGCAGTAGGGTTTGCAACAGTAAAAACTCGTTTAGGAAGGGAGAGAAGAATGTAACTTGAAATAAGACAGAGAGAAATGGGCCCTCTTCAAATTTCCCAGCACAGCTTTGAGAGCCGTCCTATAGCCAAGTCTCCCCAGGGTTCTCCTAATCCTCGGCAGCCACTGAAGACAGCCAGGATGAAACTTTTTTCTGAACAAAGAAAACTGAAAAGGGCCAAGTCTCAAAGTCACAGGCTCCCAGCTCGCCACTGGCTCAAAGCCAAGAAGAGCCCGTGTGCTCAGGCCAGCAGCCGTGCAGCTAATGGACAGACAGCAGGCTGAGAAGGGCACTGTGTATGTTGGGGAGGGAGGCACACAACCTACCCCGGGCTCTCCCCTGCCACCCAGGGCCACAGGGCTGCTCTCTCTGTCCCCCAGCCCTCACCAATGGCATTTTACACTCGCTTCCAGCAATTAAGTCCCCATATCTGACATCATTATCCCCTGGCATGTGTGCATGCATATGTGTGCTTGTGTGTGCATGTGTGCATATGCATCTTTGTCTGATATAAGCATTCCTACCTCCATGATGGAATCTAACACAAATATCCTTGCAGATATAAGACATTCATGTTGAGGGTTCTCTCAGTGTCAAGTAACTTAATGTGTTGGTAGCTCAGAGTTTTCCTAGCTATAAAACACAACCAGTTCATGCACTGCAGTGGTTTATTGAAAGGAGGCAATAAAAATGGCAGTAAAGCACTCTGCAACCATGACCTGGATTGCCTTGGCACTATACACACGGGGTCGACAGCCCCATCCCCTTGCACTTGTGAGCTGGTTCTCTGGAAGTGTTCTTCCATGCCTTCATGTGTTGGCTTTCGGGTTCTGTCTCCTGAAGGAACTGGGAAGGCTGGCTGTCTTTGCTTTTGTCTCTCCCCCACATGGGACATTGACAAGGAGGCACCGGGCAGATAGTCAATGTCTGTGGCCTGCAAACATGGACACAGACAACAGTGAGGACGCTTCTCCTGGAAGGCCTTCAACCTCAGAGCAACTGGACAAGCAGAACAGCTTGGTGTTTTGTTCTTCTTTTTCCACTCCTAGATCCATGGGTCAGACTCCTGCCTTCCCTACTGTCCCAGCTTTTTCCTTCATTTTCCTTGAAAAGGTGCTAGTTTCTTTACTAGCATAAGCACCTCCCTCTAGTTCCTCGAGACCCTCGGGATGGGAGGCATTAGGGAAAGAGAGAGGAAAACATATCCAAGGAAGCTAATCTACACCAGGGCTCTGCCAACTGTGGGATCATGACCTCCAAAGAACCTGGAGAGAATTTCAAGGGGGTCAGAGGCCCTGGAGCCCAGAGCCTAAGACCTCCCAACATCTGTTGTCAGTGAGGGTAGAGCAGCCTTTTTAATACAATTTCCTCACATGCAACAGCACCAGTTCTTTTTTCAGCCCTTAAGTGTACCCAACACCCACTCCCATATGACCTCATCTCCCAGTACTACCCAAATTATTGTCCCATTACATTGTCCTATAGTGCTCATTTCCCTTGGCAGCAGGGTTGAACAAAGAATTTAAATTTTAAGAGGAATGCTATGTGTTTCCAGTCTTTGCTGCCCTATCATGAACACCATCCATCAGTTGGAACTTCAAAAAAATATTTTATGATGCTTATATTAATAGTTAACAACATGCATTGAGCATTTGTTATGTGTCAGGCACCATGCCAAGCACTATATTATCTATATTAGCTCCTTTGATCTTCACAACTCAATGAGGTAGGTACAGAACTATTATCTTATCCTCCCCCCCTTTAAACATGAATCCTGGAACAGAGTCACTAAGGAACCTGTCCAAGTTCAGAGCTAATAAGTGGCAGTGAGGCTCTAGAGACTACACTTTAAAAAATTCTTTCATGAGATATAATTCACATACCATACAATTCATCTGTTTAAAGTATACCATACTTTTCTTTTTCTTTTTTTTTTTCTTTTTTTTTTTTTTTTTGCTTTTGATTCAGGCTCTCGCTCTGTCACCCTGGCTGGAGTGCAGTGGTGTGACCATGGCTCACCGCAGCTTTAACCTCCCGGGTTCACGCGACCCTCCGACCTCAGCTTCCAGAGTAGCTGGGACTACAGGTGTGCACCACCACACCCAGCTAATTTTTGTAGAGACAGGGTTTTGTCACATTGCCCATGCTGGTCTCAAACTCCTGGGCTCAAGTGATCTGCCCACCTTGGCCTCCCAAAATACTGGGATTACAGGCATGAGCCATCATGCCCAGCCCATGCAATGGTTTTTAGTGTATTCAAAGTTGAACCATCTCTTCAGCCATCACCACAAGCGTTAATAGAACATTTTTATTACACTAAAAAGAAATCCCGGGGGCCGGGCACGGTGGTTGATGCCTGTAATCCCAGCACTTTGAGAGGCCGAGGTGGGTGGATCACGAGGTCAGGAGATCAAGACCATCCTGGCTAACACGGTGAAACCCCATCTCTACTAAAAAAATACAAAAAAAACTAGCTGGGCGTGGTGGCGGGTGCCTGTAGTCCCAGCTACTCTACTCGGGAGGCTGAGGCAGGAGAATGGTGTGAACCCTGGAGGTGGAGCTTGCAGTGAGCAGAGATCACACCACTGCACTCCAGCCTGGGCGACAGTGCGAGACTCCATTTCAAAAAAAAAAAAGAAAAAAAAAAAAAAAGAAATCCCATAACTTAACCATCACTCCCTAAATTTTAGACAGCCACTGATCCTACTGCCTATGGATTTCCTTATGCTGGACATTTCAAAGAATTGGAATCATATAAAATGTGGTTCCAGAGCCCATACTCTTAACTATTACCTGACACAGAGGAAGAGGAGGTTGTCCACTGACAAATCTCTGACACATGTTCTTTCACCAAGCCAAAAAGCCCTATTACCAACACCATCCCCTCACAACATGAGACACCCTGCAGCATGCTTCTGTTGTTGGCTGGAGGTGTGGCTTGGCAGGCAATTGCTAGGGCCCTTGAGAAGTAATGAGGAGATGGCATGGCCTAAGAAAATGAGCACAGACTTTGGAGTCAGAAAGACGTGGGTTCACTTCATACACTGCTGGTGGGAATGTAAACTGTAGTTGCCACCATGGAAAATGCTTTGGCATTTCCTCAAAAGGTAAAACACAGAATTACCATATGGCCCAATAATTCCAATCTAAGAAAACTGAAAACAGGTGTTCACATACAAAGCTGTATACAAACATTCACAGCAGCACTATTCACCATAGCCAAAAGGCAGAAGCAACCTAAGCACCCATCAACTGATGAATGGATAATGAAATTATGGTGTGTCCATACAGTGCAATATTCTTCAGCCACCATGAAGGGAATAAAGTGCCAGTAGATTACGCTAAGTGAAAGAAACTAGACACAAAAGTCATATATTGTATGATTCCATTTATATGAAATGTCTAGAATGAGCAAATCCAGAGAGACTGAAAGCAGATTAGTGGTTGCCAGGGGCTGGGGGGAGGCAGGAATGAGAAGTGGTGTCTTAATGGGTACAGAATTTTACTTTTGAAGTCACGAAAATGTTCTAGAACTAGATAGTCTTAATGGTTGGATGACACTGTTTATATACTAAATGCCACTGATACTTTAAGTTGGTTGAAATGGTGAATTTTATGTTATGTGAGTTTCAACAAAAAAAATGAAATCGTTTAAAAATGAAAGATCTGGGTTCAAATCCATGCTGACTGATCCTGTGCAAGTGACTTAGAGAAGTCTTAGTTCCATTATATGGAAAGTGAGGGAGGGGTCATTTTACAGGGTTTTGTGAGGATTAAAGGAGATAACCCATAAAAATCACAATGCTGGCACATAGAAAGTGCTTAAGAAAGAGAAACAATTGGTCAGCCAAGAATAAAAACCACTGCCCTCGCTCTCTAGGCAAAAATACCATATGTTCTATTTTCCACCTCAAACAGTTACATCTCTGTAGACTACAGCAATCCTAAATAGCAAACAATAACAGAATAACATGAAAACTGGACTTCGTTGACCTGGAGACTGAGGAGTCCTGAATTTTCTTTACAAAAACTTCGAAAGTGCCAGATCCTAACTCCAAGGTCCCATTCCTAATCAAGCAGTGGAGTCTTATACATGTGATGTGGGCCGGGCGTGGTGGCTCACACCTGTAATCCCAGCACTTTGGGAGGCCAAGGTGGGAGGATCATTTGAGGCCAGGAGTTTGAGACCAGCCTGGCTAAGACGGCAAAACCCCATCTCTATTAAAGGTACAAATATTAGCCAAGCGTGGTGGTGGGTGCCTGTAATCCCAGCTACTCGGGAGGCTGAGGTGGGAGAATCACTTGAACCCAGGAGGCGGAGGTTGCAGTGAGCCGAGATCGCATCACTGCACTCCAGCCTGGGCGACAGATCAAGACTCTGTCTGCCCGCACCACCCCCACCCCCACCCCCCAAAAAAGTGATGCAGTTCCTGGATGGCAAGAAGTTGTAAGGCTAAGGATCTATCTCAGTCAATCTTTGGAAAACTCCAAAACTTTCCAAGAATAATATAGCCCCTCTGAATCCAAAGCGTCTTTAGTGAGGGAATTACAGGAAATGATATACATAGAGGAGAACAGTTTTAGTTTGAGAAGAATCCCTCCCGCCAAACTGAATATAAGGTATTTATTTCCTGGAACAGAAGGGCAGCATTTTGTTGTTGTTGTTGAAACACTTATCTATATACATTTATATGCAATGTGGATGTCTATTTTTGAAAATAAATTCCTTTCTAAGGTGTTGTTTTCCCTTGGTAAATGAGTCTTTAACACGACTGAAAGCTTCCCCAGCAAGAGATGGTTTCCATAATCCGTGAGAGGCAAATTGCACACAAAACAGATGTAGACACAACTGAATACAGTCCTGCTAAGATCCAATGCCAGAGATTAGAAAGAAGATGTGCTTCCAATATGCTTTTAATTACTTTATGAAGACAGTCCATTCGAGGGCTCAAATATGCAGTGAGCCCTAGTTAGACAAGCTCCAGATAATCCTTCTAGAGCTCAGCCCTGGCGGATGCCTCATCCACACCAGCAATTTTTAGTAAGCAATAGCTCTTACCAGCCCTGCACTCCTCCCTCAACATAGAACCAGAAGTCTACTCTTTGCATACTAACTGGCCCTCCTAAGCAGCACAAGAGGCACATGGTAGAAAAAATGGACAGGTGATAAAAGAACCGGGGTCAGTGGGCCCCAGATACCAACACTTCTGGGCAGCACATACAAAGGAGATCATACGTGAGCAGCTACTATGAGGATGAAAGGAACATATGCTCAAGAATGCAACAAAGGATATTAGTTACAGTCTATTATGCTATCACATTTATTTTGAAAATGTGAATTTGTTTCAATGCAATTGATATATTAAGGAAGAAGTTGAGCATAATGAAAATTTCACGTTTCCTTATGCGTGAGCTTGTCTTCCAGAAATAGGAGGTGAATGCAGGAAACCGCAACCAGCTGTACCCAGCCATGTAGAAATACGCAAAACACATATATTAAACATCCACCAGCTCCCTCAGTCCAGTGGTATGAGCCACCCCTATCTCCACAGTTAGTGCTACAGCTTTCCATCAGATTTCAGATAACTCTCCATCCACCACTTCATAATAACTCACACAAGCTGGAACCCTTCTGACTTCCCTGTCCACAGTTAAACTTCAGATGTCTTCAAGGTCACATGCCATATGTATGGCAATATTTGTGTATTTCTTAACCATTTAGCATGTGTGAAACTGTGCTCCTAAGTTTCTTTGGTTCCTTTTTACTTTTTTAATGTGTCAGTGGATAAGTTTGTTAGTGTTGTGCCCTAACCCCAATTTTCCCATAACGCCTACTGTTGTCTTACCACACAATTTGGCATAGCATGGTGATTTTTAGAAATGACTATGTTGTGTTATAGTGAACTGACTATACTTTCCTGCAAGGTTTGTGCATTCAGTGGGTTAAATGGCACATTTAGTTGATCAGTCTCACTTTTTACACGCCCTTTCACCAGAATCAAGTTAATAAAAGTGAATCCTTCAGCAAGCCCAAGGGAACATATACCTGGCATAATCTGACTTAAGCCCTACATATCTAAATGGAATATGTAATCAAAACCAAAATGTCCAGCTAACCAAATTAACACTTGTCATAGGATGAAAAAGTATTAAGATCATAAGAAAACAACTTGATTACAAAACAGGCAAAAGGTGGGTCGGGTGCGGTGGCTCATGCTTGTATTCCCAGCACTTTGGGAGGCCAAGGCAGGTGGATCACGAGGTCAGGAGATCGAGACCATCCTGGCTAACATGGTGAAACCTTGTTTCTACTAAAAAATACAAAATAGCTGGGCGTGGTGGTGGGCGCCTGTAGTCCCAGCTACTTGGGAGGCTGAGGCAGGAGAATGGCGTGAACCCAGGAGGTGGAGCTTGCAGTGAGCTAAGATCGTGCCACTGCACTCCAGCCTGTGTGACAGAGGAGACTCCGTCTCAAAAAAAAAAAAAAAAAAAAAAGGCCGGGCACAGTGGCTCACGCCTGTAATTGCAGCACTTTGGGAGGCCAAGGCGGGTGGATCACCAGGTCAGGAGATCAAGACCATCCTGGCTAACACGGTGAAACCCCGTCTCTACTAAAAATACAAAAAAATTAGCCAGGCGTGGTGGCGGGCACCTGTAGTCCCAGCTACTTGGGAGGCTGAGGCAGGAGAATGGCGTGAACCCAGGAGGTGGAGCTTGCAGTGAGCTGAGATCGCGCCACTGCACTCCAGCCTGGGCGACAGACAGAGCGAGACTCCGTCTCAAAAACAAACAAACAAACAAACAAACAAAAAAACAGGCAAAAGGTCTCAGCGAACTCGTCACTGAAGATATATACATGGTAAATAAGCATGTGAAAATATGTTCAACATCATATGTCATTAGGGAATTGCAAATGAAAACAACAGTGAGGCATGTAATGGTATCTCACAACTCCAAATGCTGGCAAGGTTATAGCGCAAGAGAAACTCTCATTGTTGGTGGGAATGTAACATGGTACAGCCATTTGAAGGCAGTTTGGCAGTTTCTAACAAAACTAAACACACCCTTATCATATGATCTAGCAACTACTCTCCTTGGTATTTATTCAAATGAGCTGAAAACATATTCACACAAAACCTTGCACACAGATGTTTATAGCAGCTTATTCCTAATTGCCAAAATTTGCCAAAACTTGGAAGCAACTAAGATGTCCTTCAGTAGGTGAATCTGTGGTTCATCCAGACAAGAGAATTTTGGTACTAAAATGAAATGAACTATCAAGCCAAGAAAAGACATAAAGAAACCTTAAATGCATATTATTAAGTGAAAGAAGTCAATCTGAAAAGGCTACGTACTGTTTCCAACTATATGACATATGGAATGTCATACAGATTCCAACTATATGACATTCTGGAAAGGACATAACTATAGAGACAGTCAAAAAGATGAGTGGTTGCCAGGAGTTGATGGAAGGAAGGGATGAATAGGTGGAGCACAGAGGAATTTTAGGGCAGTGAAACTACCCTGTCTGATACAATAATGATGGATGCATGTCACTATATGTTTGTCCAAGCCTACAGAATATACAACATCAAGAGTGAACCCTACTGTTGCCTGGACACATGGGCTCACACCTGTAATCCCAGCACTTTGGGAGGTGGAGGCAGGCGGATCTCTTGAGGCCAGGAGATCGAGACTAGCCTGGGCAACATGGAAACCCCGTCTCTACTAAAAATATTTTAAAAACTAGCCAGGTGTTGTGGTGCATGCCTGTAATTCCAGCTACTCAGGAGGCTGAGGCAGAAGAATTGCTTGAGCCCGGGAGGCTAAGGTTGCAGTGAGCCAAGATCACACCACTGCACTCCAGCCTAAGGGGCAAAGCAAGACTATCTCAAAAAACAATGAGTGAACCCTACTGTAAACTTACAGACTTTGGGTGATGATGATGAGTCAATGTAGGTTCACTGACTGTAACAAATGCACCACTGTGGTGGGGAATGGTAATCACGGGGGAGGCTATGCATGTGTTGGGGTAGAAGGTACATGAAAACTCTCTGTACTATTGTAACAATACAACTCGAGAATTTTCTTCAGGGAACTGGAAATGCACAGAGACATACACTTTAATGTGTCCAAATGAACTAGACAATCCCCACTACCCAGAGCAAATGGCTATGCGCAAGATAAAAATGTAAAAGGCCTAACAAATTCTGACAATTTTAACTCCTTTGTAAAAAGGAGCCATACAGCCTTTTTCTTTTTCTTTTTTCCTGGAAGGAATAGTGCTATTGATTTTTCAAAAGTTAATAAGTTTTAAGGATCTCTGTCAAACAAAGCCATTTCCTTCAGATGAAAACAGGAGAGTGGCCATACCCTGTTGTTAAAACCTGCAGTGAATTAAAGTCATTTCTTAAAAAAAAAAAAGTTGTTTCCCCTGAGAATCTCAAAGTTCAAACTTTGAAAGAGGAAAGAGGAGATGAGAGGAACTTTAGGGTTGCTATAAATGTCTCAGTCTTCGGTTTGAAAGGTTACGTAAGGATGCACAATTACCTGAGTAGGAGTGAGAGCCCAATCCAAAAGCAGACTCTGAGCATTGTCCTGGTACATGTGGAGCATTTCTGTGAAGCATTTCTGGAAGGCTCCAGAAGGCTCAGGCCCCGGGCTATAGCGTGACAGGTACAAGCAGGAACCATGAAAGGTCCCAGGTCGGGCATCATTTCCCAAGGGTGTCATCAAAGACCTCAAGGGTAAAAAGGAGTGCTGAGAAGCTACCAAGACAGTCAGATCTCAGGCAAACCCTTCCCTTACGCCTCCTGCAAATCTCTTAATAGCCAGTGTTCCCTTTTCTGACCTACCACTGGCTCCCAACACAACAGAAAGAGTATCTGTGCTAGCTGTCAAGCTGGACTCTGTTTAAACACTCTCTCTGCATAGTCTCTAACCCAGCAGGAAAGCACTGCCTTTTGGGATCTCTGCAGAAGCCCTCTGAAACTTCCACAGGCCTCAGGTCACAGCCAGAGAACCCTAAATCAGGACTCATAATGAACTCACATCTGTTTGTACAAAAATATTAAAATGCATCTTAATACAGGTAACTAACTGATGTCCCCAAGAGTCTAGGATTACCTCGTTATCACTGTCCTGCACCTTTCCAGCTGTGAGTGAATAAAGTAAGTATATTTAAGTACAACACAGCCTCTATCTCACAGGAAGGCATTCTTTTTGATTTGTTGTAGAGCATTCAGTTCAAGGACTCAGTATTGCTTGGGATTGCAAACAGGGTGACTTGCAGTGACATTTGCAAGCCATATACTCTTCAAGGCAATTTTTATGGGTTGTCAGGTTGGGGGACATGGGGAAAAGAGCATAAAAGTGTTCATGATCTACATGGTCTTAGAAGAAATGTAAGAAACACCGAAGAATTCAGTTGTTAAACATCGGGAACAGTCAAAAAGTCTGGCTAATTTGCTTTTGATTTTTACTTGAAAGTATTTATCATCAGAATAGAAGTAATTGTCATAATAATGGCAATGCCTCACATACATATGGTGCTTAAAGCATCTTCACGTATATTATCATTTTATTTTGTCTGCACCATAACTCTTGAAGGCATTATCCTATTTTACAGTTACAGAAACTTAGGTTCAGTTTCTGATCAGAATAATGAAGATAAAAATACTCCTCTCTGAGATGCTTGTGAAGTTAATAACAGATTCATCAAAATTAAGTACTTAAAGTTCCTGGCCCCAAGCTTAACCCAGAACAGGCATTCCAATACTAGTTAAAATGCAAGTCATCTAATTGCTGAGCTTTTATTCCTTTCCCACATCACCACCCCAACAGTGAGGCAGCCAAAACTAACGTTTGATTTGTGGGTGTATTATACATGTGTACATATTATTAGGCTAATGCTAAAATGAAAGGACAGCCCCAAAATACCAGCTAGGCAAGGGGACAGGACTGGGATCGAGGCTTTGCTGATATTTGTTTTCTGTGCAGCAACTTTCCTATGTGGGGGCCTAGGGAGGAGGGGGCTTTTAAATAGCTTTAACAGTAAGCACTGGAGTCCATTTTAACTCAAAAAATAAAAATAAATAAAATAAATAAAAAATAAAAATAAAATTTAAAAAAACTCTGGCCCAGCACAGTGGTTCATGCCTGTAATCTCAGCACTTTGGGAGACTGAGGTGGGAGGATCGCTTGAGCCAAGGAGGTCAAGGTTGCAGTGAGCTATGATTGTACCACTGCAGTCCAGCCTGGGTGACAGAAAGAGACCCTGTCTCAAAAAAAAAAAAAAAAAAAGATTCTAAGCAGTTCTTTCAGATGATTCTACCAGGGACACAAATGGAATAGGAAAATGTTTAAACAAAGAATACATATTTGCTTGTTTAAATTAAAACTGCTCTAGGCACATTATCAGGAAACTTTATCTGAAAAGTAATTGGGCAAAGCCTAAGGGATCTTAATTTTAATACAAAATGTTTCAGATAGAATGAAAGGGACATGATTTTATTCTGTTTCAAAGAACAGCAATAAAGACCCTGATGACCCTGTATTATATACAATATGCAGCTCCTAATGACATTAATGGAAATGGGAGGCAGGTGCATATTCTCGGAGACTAAAGAACAACCTGAGACATGGCTATTAAGTCAGAAATCTGTCTATTCAGATGCCCCCTGGCCTCCCTTGTTTTAAGGACCATCTCAATAACTAGCAGTTTTGTTAGAGCATTAATAGTCCTAATTCGCTCTGACATACTTGAACTAAAAGTATCTATTCTCTGAGTACAAAGACTACTACCCCACCCCCAGTTTCTAATCCCTTTAGTTTATGGTTTTGAGACAAAAGCCAATTTTATGCAGAATTAGATTTTGGGAAAAAATAACCCACATGCTAATCCACCCAATGCTTTTGGACACCAAGCTAATTCTCATGGTCATTAGAGGGAAGGTTCTGTCTTAATACTTGAAGGAGGAGGCAGCCAGAAGCCCATAGTCCCTCCCTCTGAGTGTTGAATCAGGAAGTTTCATGCGACCTGACATGCTGGTGTCAGAAGAAGTTGGAATCTTCACTACATAAAAAAAGGAATACCTACACCGCTAGCAAGCTGGCTGTTTCAACCTGTGCTGACATGGGATTCAACTGTACCCCGACAGGATCCTGTTTTCACATACATCCACTAAATCTTACTTGGCTATAGCATATCAGCCTCAGTTCACAAGAGCAAAGTGGCTTTATGGACAAAGGCCTACAGATATCCTTAGGGTGGGCTGAGAGGCTCTACTTTGGTCTCCCAGTATTTCCTGTTATTGTAGTAATGCTGCATGAAAGAAAACAGTGGGTTTCAATTATATGCTGCGAATAATGTCCCAAAGCATTTTGCAGGGATATTAATTCCTTCTTATTTATAGTTGTCTGCCAGAATGTAAACAGTAGAGAATTGGAAGCATTTCACCAAAGAAAAGCAATGACAGAAAAAGGAAGAAAAGAAGAGAGAGAGAGAAAAGAAAAGAAAAAAGAAGAAAACAGAAAAAAAGGAAAGAAGGAAGGAGAAAAAAAGAAGGAAAAGTGCACAGAAAACTAAATGAGATTTTCATTTCAACCTTGTTAGTGAATTATAGCTTATGAGTTTAAGATATTATGCTCAAATTCTTTCCTGAAAGGTTTAGGAATAATTATATAGGACTTAAAGGACAGGCAATGCCAGATAAACCCAATAAGTCTATCATTTGTAATAGAGGCAGTGTTTCCTGTAAATGAGCGCTAGATTTCATTTCATAATCATACTTCGAAATGTTTGTTGATTATTAATTACATGGTACATTGGACTTCTGAGGTCATAGCTTTTTATTTTCCTAACTCTAGTGCAGCACCGATAGGGCTCAAATGCTTGAATTGAGTTCCCCAATAGCTTCTTCAGTTTCTAACATTAAGTATCCATCCAGCTCAGAGTAAATCATCCCTAGCTATATTATTTTCATGTTAAGACTTAAGCTCAAAACTAGGTGGATCAGGAACTGTTTTTCCCACAACTTTGTGTTGTCTAAAAGCCTTATGGGACAAGTATTCTGCAAGGCTCTTCTATGCCATAGATGACAACAAATCTTTTCAATAGATAGATACACAGATTTGTTGCTAAAGGGACTTTAGCAATGCTGGCCATAAGGTAGGTGGCAGGCTAGAATATACACCTACCTGGGACCACAAATGGGCAAAGCCCTTACTTTAAAAGCTTCACGGTGAAAAGACCCTTTACGTACCTGTCAGTGACCGGTCTTAACCTTCTGTGTTTTTAGTCCACTTGATGTTGAGGGAAAAATGTGCTTCAAAGCCTAACATAACCACTGTTGTTATATCAAAGTGCTACAACAAAGATGATGCCTTGGAATAGGCTTCTGGACATGTATGACTTTTCTTAACGGAAAGGAAACTGGGCATTTTCCAAACTGAGTTAGTAACACTTACTGAGCCCCTGTACTATATGTAAGGCATGATAGGGGATTATAAAGCTGAACAAGATATAATGCCTGACGGCTTCAAGGAGCTTACATCCCTGTAGAAGTAATAAAACCAACAGCCAACTCCTTTTTTTTTTTTTGAAACGGAGTCTTGCTCTGTTGCCCAGGCTGGAGTGCAGTGGTATGATCTCGGCTCACGGCAAGCTCCGCCTCTTGGGTTCACACAGGTGCCCACCACTATGCCTGGCTAAGTTTTTGTATTTTTAGTAGAGACGGGGTATCACCGTGTTAGCCAGGATGGTCTTGATCTCCATCTCCTGACCTCGTGATCCACCTGCCTCGGCCTCCCAAAGTGCTGGGATTACAGGCATGAGCCACCGCGCCCAGCCAGCCAACTCTTTTTAAGAGATGGACTCTCACTATGTTGCTCAGGCTGGAGTGCAGTGGCTATTCAAAGGCACAATACTAGCACACTATAACCCCAAACTCCTGGGCTCAAGTGATCCTTCTGCCTCAGCACCAGCACAGCTACCCATAGCCTTTTTTTTTTTTTTTTTTTTTTGAGACAGGGTACGAGTCTGTCACCCAGACTGAAGTGCAGTGGCACAATCTGAGCTCACTGCCACCTCCATCTCCTGGGCTGAAGCCATCCTCCCACCTCAGCCTCCTGAATACCTGGAACTACAGGCGTGCGCCACTATACCCAGCCAATTTTTTTGTATTCTCAGTAGAGACAGGGTTTCATGATGTTGCCCAGGCTGGTCTCGAACTCCTGAATTCAAGTGATCCACCCACTTCAGCCTTCCAAACTGCTGGGATTACAGGCATGAACCACCACACCCAGCTGCCAATTTTAATATAAGGTAGAATATTGCCTTGAAGACTGGAACTGCGTCTGTCTTACTCTCTCTTATATCCCTAATAACTGACACCTAGCTGGGCACACAGGAGATATTTGATAAATGCTTACAGAATAAATGAATGAACAATTCATCATTCTAATGTCCATTCATTCATTCATGGCAAAATGCTATGGGTCAAAAGCAATTTCCAGATGGGCATCTGAGAAAACAGATGCAAAGATCTACAAGAGATGAGAAGGACTGTTAATCAGCAGAATTAGGGAGGGCAAAATTTAGGCTAAAGGAAGAACACGTGTATAAAGGCCTGCGGGCGAGACGAGAAGACAGTCCCGGCTGTTTTGGGGAAACAGCTCATCTGGTTTCACTATATGTAGAGTACAGGGAGTGGGAAGAGGGGGACATCAAATTGGGAAAGGTAGAAAGATGGGATGGAAATTACCCAGGGTCTCTACCCAAGATGACTCTGTTGTGACCATGAAATATACATGTGGCCAGCACCACGGACCGTGGGTACATACTGCTGTTGGACCTGATAGCCTGAAAGACTCTTCTGAACATAATGAGCACTCATGGGTGTTAGATTTCGGGCAGGAGCATCCTAAAGCAAATTTTGAGTAAGACGACTTATCTGAATGTTAATGCCTTGACATTTAACCTTCTGAAGGAAGAACTGCTGGGTTCAAATTCACACTCAGCGACTATGCACTCACATAAGGGGAGGAGGGTCTCCAGTCTTTCAGAAGTTCATGCACAACATTCCAGGCACTGGCTGAGGCAGCATGTTCTTCCCAGTGCGCAACTTCAAGCAGAGAAGCTTGAAGTGAGAGAGGCACACCCAAGCCAGCGTTCTCGTTATGATCTAAGCTACCGGTCGAACTCCAGCTGTCTCAAAAAAGCTCCACAGCCTACTTCTTCACCTCAAACTGCTTTTTTTGATCTTTTCTAAAATGAGGTCTCTTCTGATGTACACATAACTTGCCTCCCTTTCCTCCTCTCACCCACCTACTCATCTTTCATAATGAATTAGCGTATTAACTAATGTCTAGCCTAAGACAAATGGGAACATAGTAACACATTACCTATCTGGAACCTAAATATAAGCCCCCAAAGGGTTTCATCAGCCAAAAATCCATGCACCACAGCCATAGGAGAAGCCCTCCCCTCACAGCTTTATGTATACTGACTTGGCATAGAGTTTTGATGAGCTTAACGCTATAGTTCCAAAGAGCACAAGGGAAGTTTCCAAGGAGGGACAGGAGTTGCTAAAAGCGAGCAAGCTAACAGCAGTACAGAATGACAGCTGACAGCAAGGAAGGAGACAAAAACCATTCAGAAAGCTCAGTTACCCAGAACTGCTCATTTCAAGGTTTTATTATATTCAAGAATACATATGCAATGAGGAAAGAGCTTTCCTCTTATTCCCCTTATCTTTCCAGATCATCTCATCAGCTCTCAACGCATTTGCAGTGAAACACAGACTATTATAGCTGGAAAGGATCCTAGTAATATAATCAAGTTTAACGCCCTCCTTTCATGAACACCGGGAACAAGACCTTGATGTGCTCACTTGCTGAATGCCCATCCCCCAGCTGGTCAGCAGCAAGGCAGGGACTAGCATCCAGGCTTCCTGATCCCCAAAGGCTCTTTCTCCCGCCTGGCAGTGATGTTTATGTGCTCATGTTATAGCTGTGTCCACTTAGAATAGGAAAAAAGAAATCAGCCTACAGTCTAGTGTAAATATTGAAATTTGATAACATCAGACCGGAAAGAAAATATTTTAGAACTTCTGAAAAGGTCAGTAAAAGGAATTAAAAGCTATGTATACTGTCAAGTTTCTAGAAACCCATCCCGAATCAAATTTTGATTATTGCTGTTGTTGTTATCATCTGCCTACGCTTATGAGTTTGAGACACCTTCCCTAATGAGGGCTCTAAGTTACAGTGAATCCCTAAAAGGCCATGCAACAAACATCCCTTCATAACAGAAAGCTTTCTCTGCCTCAGCAGATGGCCCTCTTTCCAAGCAGTCTTTGTTAACAACAGTTCTAGTACAAAAAGGCAATGTGGGCTGCTTTTTGCTCCTGGTTTCCACCCTTACTGATCGCTTCCTTTCCTCCCAAGAGGCCACTTGTAAACCAGGACTGGGATAGAACAAGAAGAGAAGGTCTGGAAAAGAATGGCCTGGATCCCAAATCCTTTTAGTTCTGTATTGTTGGAGCTTCTGTGGTTTTCTGCTGGTTAATTTTGTAAATCGATTTGGACCTTACATATTGTTCTTAATTATTAACAGGCTTTAATCTGTTAAATGTACTGCAGTCAACAATACCCAAAAAAATTGCTTCGTGAACACAAGGAGGGCATGGGAATCAGAAAAGAATACATTCTACTACCTTTCTGCAAAGCACCTGGAACATTATTGTATAATTCTGGGCTGTGCACATCAAGCAAGATATAAGCTGAACTGAGGGCTCAGCTGAGGGCAGCTGACGTTATTGCAGAGTCAGGGAAAGGGTGGGATAAGAAGTGAGGAGAGTCTGGTACAGAAAGAAGACTTAAAGGGAAACATTCATCATTCTCACTCCTGTGGCATAATAAAGGCCCATTAACTCTACAAACGACAATCTAGGGAAGCTACCAAAGGTTAGAAGAGGTGAGGAGTTGTATTCACTTACAATAGGTCCAGCATGGTGGCTCATGCCTGTAATCCCAGCACTTTGGGAGGCCAAGGCTGGTGGATCACCTGAGGTCAGGAGTTCGAGACCAGCCTGGGCAACATGGTGAAACCCCGTCTCTACTAAAAATACAAACATTAGCTGGGCGTGGTGGTGCATGCCTGTAATCCCAGTTACTCAGGAGGCTAAGGCATGAGAATTGCTTAAACCCGGGAGGCAAAGGCTGCAGTGAGCCGAGATTGCACCACTACACTCCAGCCTGGGAGACAGAGCAAGATTCTGTCTCAAAATAAATAAATAAATATTAACGTACAATAAAGAGAGGCACTATCTTATATCTAGTAGCCAGTCAACAGTCAATCTGTTATTCCTAGAGGTGGGATAAACTAAAGAAAGCATGGCTAAAGCAAATCAGGGCTACTGGGAGATATCCCTGAACACCCTGGGACCATCTGAGATAACCACACTGGCGTGGACCCTGTGGCTTATCCAATGAGACAGCTCCTACTGATAAGGACACCTAGCTTTTCAATGACTTATCACTCTTGTTCATTACAGGAAATTAATCTATACAGCTGCATCTTGTATGTCCCAATTGTGTTTCCATTGGGGATGCCCCAGCCTTTTAAGGTAAAGAAAGACATAGAAATGGTCCTAAAAAGGATACAGCTGTCACCCAACTTCAGGCTTTATTGGCAAACTCCTTTTCAAAAACAAAACAAAAAAAAAAAAAAAAGGAGAGCATAATAATCACTTGCCATTTGTCAGACAGCCCCAAAAGAAGCGGCTAAACTCTTTCCTCTCCTTCCGCTTATATAGCCCTCCTCCTTTACCCCACCCTTTGAGCACCTCTTTCACCAACCACCTGTCAAAATAAAGCAAGCCATGGATCTTTCAAAAACTGACACTGGAAAGAAGCCGTTGGATGATTTCTTTCCAGGACCCGTTGAAAGATAAAAGATGAGGCAGACAATTTAAAAGGCGAGACTGTACCCTCCGGATCACAAAGCTGAAAGCAGACAAACCGTGGAAGCCAATGACACAGGAAACGCCCTTTGACCAGAGACAGACACTAGGCATAGCAAAGTTATTTTCAATAAAGAATAAGAAACTGAATTAAGCCATTTCACAACTAATAGTCATAGAATCATTTCATTGTAAAAAAGTGGGAGAGGAGGGAGAATGGAGGGTTATTACGAGCTCCTCCTTTTAGAAACAATGACACTGCTTTCTAGGAAGTTCTGTTCAGATGACAAATGTTTTAGGAAGGGTTTTGTTTGGGGTTTCTTTCCTTTGTTTTATTTTTAAAAGTGAGACACACAGACATGTGGGAAACCCTCTTCCAATCAAAAGGACAGAAGAACCACAAGAAAAGGCACTACCCTTCAAGCAACTAATTTGTAGTTCAGGTTTAACCCACTCTCCCACCAGCCAACAGTTTAGCTGTTTCTGGGAATGTTGCTGAACTAGGTTTTTAAAAACCAGAGTAGATGCAGGTTCCTGGCCAGAACTAAGAAAAAGGGTGAATTTGGGAAGTGCTTAGAGAGAGAAAAAAAAAAAAAACAAAACCTGAACTCTCAGAACTAATGCCCTGGGTTCAACTTCGTATTTCCTTCCCTCCCCTACACACCTGTAAGCAGAGGAATTTGGCATGTGCTGATGTTAGACTAGACTTTAGGCATAAGGGTAAAGTTTCCTTCCTTTCAACCTTCTGAAAGAAAGAAAAAAAAAGAAATGTATCATAAAATTGAACTTAAGGAAGTTATTCAACAGAAGCCAAACACACAGGAATGATCATTGCTGTATTCGAATATAAAACCAAACACAAAAAAACACACATTCAAAACACCAAAAATAATCTAAATATCCATTTGTGGTACATATAATAGATTACAGTACATTAACTTAAGGGAATATTATTCAGTCATTTGCAATTTTTAACTGTATAAAACCACAAAAGCATTTTTACAGTTGTTATATTAAAAACAGGAGATACACCCAGTAATACATACCACAATTTAAGCCATATAAAAACATATGCACACCGGGCACAGAGGCTCACACCTGTAATCCCAGCACTTAGGGAGGCCAAGGTGGGCAGATAACTTGAGGTCAGGAGTTGGAGACCAGCCTGGCCAACATGGTGAAACCCTGTCTCTACTAAAAATACAAAAATTAGTCAGGCATGGTAGCGGGTGCCTTTAATCCCACATACATGGGAGGCTGAGGCAGGAGAATCGCTTGAATCGGGAGGTGGAGGTTGCAGTGAGCCGAGACTGCGCCACTTCACTCCAGCCTGGGTGACAGAGCAAGATTCTGTCTCAAAAAAAAATATATATATATATGTATATATGCAGGTGAATAAGACTGGATCGTGATATGTAAAACATACCTAAGTTACTCTTATCACTACTGTTATTCTATCATCTCTTCAACTGGAAAACATTTATCCTATGATAAACCATAATCTCTGGAGGTCTTATGACAGTATGACAACTCTCAGTGCCAGGTACAAAGTCCTGAGAGCAGAGTTGATCAGGGCAAGGAGAAAAGAGGGGCTGAAGAAGAAGAGAAGATGCTGTCCAGCTCACCCCAATTATTTCACTTCCAAGTTCTAAAGTGGCTTCAGTACACAGGTTCTTGCTTCCCCAGTGTGCAACTTTTTCCAGGTTTCTGGCCACTGGAGGTGGCTGTATTTATTATTGTCATCATGGTGTTGGTAGCTACTCATCAGGAGAACCCTGACTCAGAGACTAAGAGATATGAACTCATACACAAGAAAGAAGCAGTTACCACTAAAGACAGGAAGAGTTTGATTCTTTAGTCTAAAGACCCAAGACAACACCATGGACCTAAAATCCTGACTTTCTCACCTGTTGTTTTGGTTGATCTTCTATTGGAAGATCAGTAGAAGAAACAGCCATGTGAAATTATGTTGACAACACTGATTATTAAGCTGTTTAGTGTCATTTACGTAACAGCCTCCATAATACATTCTTTCTAGATTGAGCAACAACAAGAAAATACCTTGCCTGAAGAGCTCTCATGTTTCTTTTTATCAGATAAACAAAAAATGCATAACCAGTTGGTGTTCCTATTTTACCCCCAGCTACCCGCAAGCCCACAGTTCATTCACTGTAATAGCCTTTCAAAATTCTTTACTCCATTTAAAATTCTCCACTCCATCCTCCATCTTTTTTATTTTCTGTTTACATTAAATGGGTTAATCTACATGATGCGTTCAAAATAGGCCCATAGTGAGTGCTCAGTAGTTGTTACCTATTGTTATTAAATTAATAATTAATAACAATTATCACCATGATTGTACGAATCCTATTGAATATGATCAAATAATTTTAAGTAGATAGGGTTTATATTATAATTAAAAATTTATGGCCAGGCATGGTGGCTCACGCCTGTAATCTCAGCATTTTGGGAGGCCAAGGTGGGTGTATTACCTGAGGTGAGGAGTTCAAGACCAGCCTGACCAACACGGTGAAACCCTGTCTCTACTAAAAAAATACAAAATTAGCCAGGTATGGTGGTGCATGCCTGTAATCCCAGCTACTTGGGAGGCTGAGGCAGGAGAATTGCTTGAACCCTGGAGGCAGAGGTTGCAATGAGCCAAGATCATGCCACTGCACTCCAGCCTGGGCAACAGAGTGAGACTCCATCTCAAAAATAAAAAAATGAAATTTTTTTTAAACCTTGGAAGAGAATGGTACGAATTTTTTTAAAGTTTCAGGCCCTGCTAGACTTTTTGTAAAAATTAAAGACATATGGTTCAAGAATCAGTTACCACTTCTTTTTAAAACTGCACCCCTGATGTTTGAGGGACCAACAGATTTCTATTACTAAAGCAATTAGCGGGCTGATGAAATCATGTTAGCCCCTTATGTTCTTAATGAAAAAAAATCAATATTGACTGATTAAAAGAAAACAAATATTAGGAAAAGAAGAGAGATATGAGATGAGAAAGGACAGGTCAAGTTTATAATAAATTGTTTGAAAAGGAACACTGGCACAAAGTCAATTGCTTCAGTGGACAGAATTCAATATAACTAAGAAACCTAAGTTATATGGTATTAGAAGAAATCTCCAATACTTTACATTTATTTAGTGTAAAATGCTGTTATTCTTTCTTAATGATCAAAATTTTCCTTCATTTCAAAAGAAAATGACTATCACGACTGAAATACTTTAAGAACAAATTAATGGTCCCTAGGAAACTGCCTGCAGTTGAGGTTATACTTTCAACAACAGCATACACTACTAAATATACAACATTAGAAAAATTCAAGGTTTGACACAACTCTCTGATCACACATCTAGTAACTGTTGAAAATAGCGATAAATTCCTTTACCATCAATTTTTGTTCAGAAAACGACTTAATACTTGAGGCAATTTATATTTGGCAAAATGTAGGATCTAAATCTACATTCCCTAAATGTCACCCCAGGAAGCCACAAAGCATTGGCATAACACTCATGCATATAACATGATTCAAAGACATTTCTGAAATCAATAACTGCGCCAAATGCAATCATTTCTCTTTATTCTTAGTGATCAGCTTGCATTCCCCTCACATTAAAAACACATCTCATTTTTTTAGTTGTTTTTCCTTTCTGCAAAATATGAGGATAAAACAGCTGCTAGGACTTCAAGAAGAAAAACAAATATCCTGTCCTAACAGCCGAGTTGCCATTAGTCTCTCGTTAATATGGTCGATTACAGAAATGTCTTCTATAAATTTGACTTATTGGAGGGAATATGGGCTGAATTATACAGTATTTTTAAAGAAACACGAACTTATCACTTTCAAACACAAAGTGACCGCAGGAAGTATTGGCAACTAAAGCAACTTAAAGACCTACTTTAATAAACAGATATTTTTGTAATTAACACAATGGTTTTGATTACAATGGTTGTTCCTGAGGTGTTTGGGAATAGTCTCTTTCCCTATGTAGGTGTTAATCATTTCCTGATATAATATTTACACCATTTATTTGCTTAACAAACCTTTCATTACAGACCCAGCAGAGAGAGAAGCATGCTTATCCCCAGAATCTCATTGTATATTACTTCACTCTTGAGCTTAGAAGCAACCAAGAAAATCTCAGCACTCCAAGAGAAACACTAAAAGATTACTGGTAAAAAAATGGCAAATGCTTTATCTGTTTCTAAACTAAAGCAGAGGCCGGGCACAGCAGCTCACACCTGTAATCCCAGCACTTTGGGAGGCCAAGGCAGGCAGATCACTTGAGCCCAGAAGCTCGAGACCAGCCTGGGCAACATGGCAAAACCCCATCTCTACAAAAAATACAGAAATTAGCCAGGTGTGGTGGCACACGCCTCTAGTCCCAGCGCTTTGGGAAGCCGAGGCAGGCAGATCACTTGCGCTGGGAGTTCGAGACTGGCCTGGGCGATATGGCAAAACTCCCTCCTACAAAAAATATATAATTAGCCAGGCATGGTGGTGTGTGCTTGTGATCTCAGCTACTTGGGAGGGTGAGGTGGGAGGATCATCTAAGGCTGGGAGGTTGAGGCTGCAGTGAGCCGTGATCACACCACTGCCCTCCAGGGTGGGTGACAGAGTAAGACCTTGTCTCAAAAAAAAAAAAGTAAAAATAAAAATAAAGCAGAGACAATCACATACCCATAAACTTAAAGCTAAGTTTAGATAAAGATTGGTTTGCCCTATCATAAGCTCATGCAGCTCAGCCCACACCCTGAGTGCCTCCTAGCATATGGATCATTAGAGCCATTGTAAGAGAAATTAAACACTTATATTCTTAATCAGAAAACTTACCCTTATAATAATAGTAGGCTGAGGCTGGGCACAGTGGCTCACGCCTGTAATCCCAGCACTTTGGGAGGCCAAGGCGGGCAGATCACCTGAGCTCAGGAGTTCGAGACCAGCCTGAGCAACATGGTGAATCCCTGTCTCTACTAAAAATCCAAAAATTAGCTGGGCGTGGTGGTGGCTCACACCTGTAATCCCAGCTACTTGGGAGGCTGAGGCAGGAGAATCACTTGAACCCAGGATGCACAAGCTGCTGTGAGCTGAGATTGCCCCATCGCACTCCAGCCTGGGTGACAGAGAGAGACTCGGTCTCAAACAAACAAAATATAGTAAGCCTATACTATTTAAAATAGGGCATATACCATAATCTTCATATTTAAATTCATATTTAAAGTAGGGCTCACCTTAGTCTTCATATTTAAGCAAACTTGCCCCTTGCCTACAAACTTGCTCCCAATTTACAACAATGCAGTCAGTTCACTGCATTAAATGGAGAGCTTGGGACTTCAGCCTTTGTCATGGCTATGTAGTATGCCCTTCAGAAGAGGGGTCCACATTAGAAAATAGCTAAAAATACTTGCTTGTAACCCAGAAACACTGGGATGTCACAGCTACTCATGTACCTCTAGGTAAAATTGTCAGGCATCCGAGCTAGTGTCTCTATACATACCCCAGCCTCAGGGTTCCTCATTAGGACTTTGAATTTCTGAACAAACTAAGAAATAGGGATCTACTGGCCAGGCCCCGTGGCTCACGCCTGTAATCCCAGCATTTTGGGAGGTTGAAGCGGGTGAGTTCACCTGAGGTCAGGAGTTCAAGACCAGCCTGGCCAACATGGTAAAACCCTTCCTCTACTAAAAATACAAAATTAGCCAGGTGTGGTGGCAAGCACCTGTAATCCCAGTTACTCGGGAGGCTGAGGCAGGAGAATCACTTGAACCCGGGAGGTGGAAGTTGCAGTGAGACAAGATTGTGCCACTGCACTTTAGCCTGGGTGACAGACTGAGACTCTGTCTCAGAGAAAAAAAAAAAAAAGAAATAGGGACCTATCTCACAGTGTTCATCTAAAATTCTGAAAAAACAATCTTTCTTGAAATACGGAAGACTCTGTTCTCAGAGCAGCAGCATGTGGCAAGGAAGGCTCCTTCCCATCCTGTTTTGATAACTGCTAAGACTTATCACTCAGGCTGCATTTGCTTACAATCCTAATCTCCCTGGCCAGCCTATGCACTTGCTCCCTGCACAGCCAGGACCCTCCTCTCCTTGAGACAACCTGCCCACTCGGTCACCATTGATAAAGGCTTGGCAAGGGAAGGAATCTTGTCACCAATTGACAGATGCATTCCATCCATATTTTGCTAAACCAGAGTTTTACTATTGCAAGGCCAGGGGGCTTCATCTTGAGCCACCCACCAATCAAATGACAGTATTTCTGTGGTCTCTATGAAAATGAGAGCGGACTCAGACCTTTCATAAAAGCCTAAAGGCTTTAGCACTAATTGTCTGGTACCTTTGCAGACCACCTAGAGGACAGAAAACAACAGTGCAAAGTGACACAAGCGTTAACTTTGCATTTTCCAGTGCCCCTGTAAACCCAATCCTTAAAATGATGGCCACAGTATTGTAAACAAATGTGAACCTGAAAGAGCCAATCCTTCAAGGTGGATCCCAAGTGGTTAACTAGGCCTAAATTTAAAATAGAATCAAGTGGTCATTTGCTAGCTAAAGGTGACATACTTCCTCTGAGTTTCCTGAAAACACCCACCTCCGTTTAACTTTGGGACTTTCAGAACTCCCCTGAAGCAACCAATCAGAGCTCACCTGTACCAACCAATCAGGGCTCACTTGTATCAACCAATCAGGGCCCAGCTGAGTCAACCAATTGGAATTAAGCAAATTTCAGTCTTTCATTTGCATAACACTTGCTTAGGAACCTAGGTGGGAACTTTTGCACTAAAACCAGAATCCAGCCAGGCTCGGTGGCTCACGCCTGTAATCCCAACACTTTGGGAGCCCAAGGTGGGCAGATCACTTGGGGCCAGGAGTCTGAGCCCAGCCTGGCCAACATGGCAAAACCCCATCTCTACAAAAATTAGCAGGGAGTGGTGGTGTGCACCTGTAGTTCCAGCTACTTGGGAGGCTGAGTTGGGAGAATTGTTTGAACCTGGGAGGCAGAGGCTGCAGTGAGCCAAGATCACACCACTGCACTCCAGCCTGGGCGACAGAGCAAGACTCTGTCCCAAAACAAAAACAACCAGAAACCAGAATCCTCTCTTTGGTCTCTGGAATGTGCACTTTTGTTTTACACTGAAGGATGTGTCTCCCCAGTTTACAAACTGTTCACTGGAATGAAGTCTTTTTCCTCCAAATTCCTTTTCAGAGAACTTTTGTTCACAATATGCAACCAGAGAAAGTGTTCCATGTAAGCCAAGATAACTCGGGCCTATCTTCCCTGCACTACTGCACAAGTGCTCTAGGACTCATCTCAGGATCCACTGCCAGAAACACAAACCCTGGCCATTCACTGGGGGCGGGAGCTTGTGATGATGTAAAAAGCACTACTCCTAGAAAATGAGAAGGCCTTATAGGCCCATAATGTTCAAGAAAACTATGCTTTGCCCTGATTGCCATTCCCTTACCCCACATCCAAGACCAAGGGCTTTTCCTTGGAAGTAGTTATCACAACTGTAACTAATTACCAATTTTCAGAATTATTGAATCAATGTCTGCCTCACCATTTAGACTGTGAGCTCCATAAGTGTGAGACCTGGCTTGTATCCTTTTTATTCACTGTTCTATCCCCAGCGCCTAGCAATTAATAGGCACTTGCTAAATATCTGCTGAATGAATGAATCCAGTTTAGGCACCCCCTTTCTACAGATGGGAGTTCATATGTATAATCTCATATTCACAAGTCCTAAAGAGTCAACTATGCCCTCTGAAAGCTTTTTTCCTAAGAGCAACCTATTTGCAAGGAGTACTCATTCATGTATTCATTCAACAAACATTTTTGAGTATTAGCCAATGTGGTAGGCATTGGGTATAGGGCAGTGAATAAAAGAGGCAAAGCCCCTGCCCACAGGTCAGGTGGTGATAACTAAGAAGAAGAAAGCAGAGAGGAAGAAGGACGAAGTATATGAATATATGTGTGTGTCTGCAGGGGGTGGGGGGGTGGGAGTATCCTATTTTATACAGAGACCAGGAAAAGCTTCTCTATTAAGGTGATAGGTAATCAAAGCCCTGAAACATGTGAGGGAGTGAACCATGCTGCTATCTGGCAGCAGGGTGTTCAAGGCACTGAAAATAAGAAGTGCAAAGGCCCCTGAACGTGCCTGGTGTGCTTGAAGGAAAACAGAGAGACCAACATGGCTAGAGTGGGATGGGACCTGGATAAAGATAAAGCCTGAGAAGAGAAGACCTCGTGGGCTGGCACAGGAGAAGGCAGATGTGCTCATAAGCCTTGATTTTCACTCTAGCTGGCATGGGGAACCATTGGAGCATTCTGAGCAAAGGAGTGATACGATCTAAGTTTAAGAGAATACCATCACACTGGTTGCTATGCTGAGAACACAGGCTGGGGAGAGCCAGAGCCAGAGAGCTAGAGCAGGGGAACTGATATGGGCGACTGCAATAATCCAGGCAAGAGGTAATGAGGGGTGAGACCAGGATAGTAGTCACTGAGATGGTAAGATGACAAATTTTACATATATCTTGAAAGCAGAGCCCAAAGGTAGAGATTATGAAACATTAGCTAAGCTGAAACATATCCCATCCAGTCACCTAAATCTTTATTCAGATTACAAGAAAATTGATGCAGTCCCTTATTGTGGAAGGTTGTTATTTCATCATTTGCTCTCCAACCTAAAGAATACACGAACATCTTCTAAGACTGCCTCACTGCTTAATAATCCATTGACCTCATACCAGAAGAGCCTCCCAGAATGTGTCCAGGCCCATCAGATCTGAGAGGGCAGAAAGAAAAGTTAGTTCCAAACTGTGGGTAAACAACAAGGCAGAACATTAACCAACCAGCCAGCTGGGGGCATTTAATTCAAATTCAGTTTAAAGTGAACTCATTTCACTACTCCCCTTTAAAAAAAATCTCCCCATAAACACAAAGAACTAATCCTTACCATAGCCTCCAACATCCTGGTGACAGGTGATGTTTAAGGACCATTTCTAAAGTACATTGGTAAAAAGTTGTCTTATTTTGCTTTTTAAAATCTTAGCACAGGGAAATCTTCTATAATTAAGGCAATTTAAACAATAGTAGATAATAATTTGACTATAAATTGTAAGGAATGTAATGACTGCTTACTCTGGCACCAAAAAACAGGACTTTCTGTGAAGTCACTGCCAAGAAAAATGATACTCCCACTCAGACTGGACCACTGCAAGTAGTAACTGCTAACCACATGCTTTACACTGCAGTTTGCAAGGACACAGTGCTTTGTTTTCATCTCTGACCAAACACCAGACCGAAAACTCAATGGAGACAAATGTGTGGTGAAATAGAAACAATAACTGAAGGAAAAAAAAATATTCTGGTGGCTTAATGCTTGCTGGGATGATGACGTCAAGGGTTTGGTGAACTAAGGAAATGTCTACAGTCCAAAAGAAACCACTTCCAGCCTGCTCTGGTAGGCAGAAGGTGAACAGAAGAAAGAAGACAGGCTTTAAGAGGCCTGCAAAAGCCAAACTAACAAAGTGGCTTTGCAAAGAAAGGACTAGCATGAAAAGAATGGTTGCGATGATGCAGAGATCAAGTCCTGACCCAAACCTCCAGGAGAAGAAGACGGAAGTGAGCACCTAGTAGAAAGGCTGATGCAACAAAAAGGGGCAAAGGTAGCCTCTTCTAAAAGCACCTCTGAGGCCAGGTGTGGGGGCTCATGCCTGTAATCCCAGCACTTTGGGAGGCCGAGGCAGGCAGATCACCTGAGGTCAGGGGTTCGAGACCAGCCTGGCTAACACGGTGAAACCCGTCTCTACTAAAAATACCAAAATTAGCCGAGCATGGTGGCGGGTGCCTGTAGTCCCAGCTGCACAGGAGGCTGGGGCAGGAGAATCACTTGAACCCAGGAGGCAGAGGTTGCAGTGAGCTGAGATTATGCCATTGCACTCCAGCCTGGGCAACAAGAGTGAAACTACGTCTCAAAAGGAAAAAAAAAAAAAAAAAAGAAAGAAAGAAAAAGCACCTCTGCAGGCACAGCCAAGTTCCTGCTAATGTCTGGAACAGACAGCGTAAGAAGTAGCAACCATTTGTCTACCGGGATTAAAACAAACCACATGAAATACTAAGCGCCCACCTCCAAGCAAGCCAAGAAAGAGCACCACGCTCTAGGTTAAGGGGTAAAAAAACATGTTTTCCTTTTCCTTTCCTTACTTAGGCATCTAGGACTGAATGTATGCAAAAGTTAAAAATAAATGAGATAGCTTAAAATAATTAGATTTAAAAAGGGTTATCTTAGCCTGTTTGGGCTGCTAAAACAAAATACCAAAGATTGGGTGGCTTCTAAACAACAGAAATTTATTGCTTGCAGTTCTGGAGGCCAGGAAGTCCAAGATCAAGATGCTGGTAGATTGGGTTCTGGTAAGGGCATGCTTCCTCATAGAGGGCCATCTTCTCACCGTAATTTCATGTGGCGCAAGTGTTAACGGTTTTCTCTGGGGCCTCTTTTATAAGGGCACTAATCACATTCATGAGGGTTTACCTCCCAGAGACTCCACCTCCTAATACCATCACCTTGAGGGTTAGGATTTCAACATATGAATTTTAGAAGAATAGAGTAAGAGCACAGCAGATATGAATAAAAATATCTCGTCCTGGAATGAGTACAGAAACAAAAAGTCATGCTTAACGTTCCTGAGCACCTACCACATGCCATGCAGTATGTTAGGAACTGGGGATACATGGTTTCTCAGATCTGGCATGATAGGGCACATAGAGCTGCCTTTTTTTTTTTTTGACAGAGTCTCACTCTGTCGCCCAAGCTGGGGTGTAGTGGTGTGATCTTGGCTTGCTGCAATCTCTGCCTCCCAAGTTCAAACAATCCTTGTGCCTCAGCCTCCCGAGTAGCTGGGATTACAGGTGCATACCACCACACCCCAGCTAATTTTTGTGTTTTTAGTCGAGAAGGGGTTTCACCATGTTGGCCAGGCTGGTCTTGAACTCCTGGCCTCAAGTGATCTGCCTGCCTCGACCTCCCAAAGTGATGGGATTACAGGCGAGAGCCACCATGCCCAGCCAAGCTTTGCTTTTTTTTAAGGTTCAAATAGCTACATAGTCAGACACTATCCTTAACTTCTAGTGTTTCTTATGATTATACATTTACCTAGTTTGGTAAATGTTTACAAGGGAAACCAGTATTCAAATGTGTCACCCTTAACGAGGAACCAACTGTTGTTGACTTCAGGTCAAAACTCAGTTCCCTAAACTGACCACAGCAGGTAGTACAGTATCAGAAACTAAGTTGAACCTAGATGTTCTAGAGGGCTTTCAAAAGAAGGTGCAGAGGGGCCAGGTGTGGTGGCTCACGCCTGTAACCCCAGCACTTTGGGAGGCCAAGGTGGGCGGATCATGAGGTCAGGAGTTCAAGACCAGCATGACCAACATGGAGAAACCCCGTCTCTACTAAAAAATACAAAAATTAGCTAGGCGTGGTGGGGCACACCTGTAATCTCAGCTGCTCAGGAAGCTAAGGCAGAAGAATCGCTTGAACCCGGGAGGCGGAGGTTGCAGTGAGTGGAGAATGCGCCATTGCACTCCAGCCTGGGCAATAGAGCAAGACTCTGCCTCAAAAAAAAAAAAAAAAAAAGAAGGTGCAGAGGGGCCGGGCGTGGTGGCTCACGCCTGTCCCAGCACTTTGGGAGGCCAAGGCAGAATCACTTAAGGCCAGGAGTTCGAGACCAGCCTGGCCAACATGGTGAAAGCCCATCTCTACTAAAAATATACAAATTAGCTGGACGTGGTGGTGCATGCCTATAATCACAGCTACTTGGAAGGCTGAGGGATAATCTCTTGAACCTGGGTGGCAGAGGTTGCAGTGAGCAGAGATCATGCCACTGCATTCCAGCCTGGACAAAAGAGTGAGACCCTGTCTCAAAAAAAAAAAAAAAAAGGTGCAGAGGAACAAAATCATAAACCACAAGCTCTGAGGTGAAAAAGCCACTGAATTAATAATATACAATTTTTAACACATTTTTTAAAATAAAAAGACAAAGTGACACGTAGATTGACTCCTTGTTGATCCAGCACTGTTGGGAAACTGGGTGCTCTAGATAGGTAAATGTGTAAGTTAACTAAATTTCCCCCTTAAGGGTAGTTTTCATATTTTGAATATTTCCAATAGAACTCTTTTTTTTTTTTTTTTTTTTTGAGACAGAGTTTCACTCTTGTTGCCCAAGCTAGAGTGCAATGGCTCAATCTCGGCTCACTGCAACCTCCACCTCCCGGGTTCAACTAATTCTCCTGCCTCAGCCTCCCGAGTAGCTGGGATTACAAGCATGTGCCACCACGCCTGGCTAATTTTGGCATTTTTAGTAGAGACGGGGTTTCTCCATGTTGGTCAGGCTGGTCTCCCAACCTCAGGTGATCCGCCCACCTTGGCCTCCCAAAGTGCTGGGATTACAGGCGTGAGCCACCGTGCCCAGTAATGGAACTCTTTCTAAAATGTACTTTCTGAACTTTTAAATCAGAATAAGCCAAACACCATTATTTAATACTGTAATGAAATATACTAGTGCCCTCGATGATTATGGTTACAAAGGTGGCTTTGAGCATTCGCCCATTCTAGGAGATCTCAAACTGCCAAGATCAGCAAGTTCTGGCTCTCCCATTCAGCTTCTGGTCACCCTCCAACTGTCCTCTCTCACTTCTTCCAGATGTCAAGTCTTACCTGCCTCTAACACGATCCCTTCCTGTGATTCCCATCGGCCCCCAACCAATACCATTTGCTACTTCTAATCTGCCATAGACTGGGAAACTGGATAACCAAAGCATTTTATCTTCTCACGTATAAACCCTATCTACCTAATTTGAATGCAAGTTCCTCAAAAGCTTGATTCCTGCTTGACACCTCTTGGAATCCCCTGCACCCAGCATACTGCTCTGGATACAGGAGCCATTCAATGATTGCTGATAATAAATTTCTGAAGGCCTTTTCTCCACATAGAATGCATGGGCTTTATGACAGCTGTTTCCATCATTTGGCTTTTCTGCTTACTTCCACATTCCCAGCTGTGTTCTGGATGGTTGCACCAGCTAGAAGCCTAGGGATTTACTGTACTTCTATTTCTTGATAAGATACTTGAAGAGAATAAACACATGGCAAAGAGGACATTAAAGTAAGGGATAAAGAGATTTATTTTAATTTTACCAATAAAGAAAAAGGGAAGAAATATCACCTAGCATGTTGACACTTAATCAATAAATGACAGCAAGGCTGGATTCTGTTCTAATTCTTTCCAAAGTATTCTCATTGTGCTTGTCTTATGTCTCTACCTGCAGCAAAGCAGCACTCAGTTGTGGTTCACACTTATATCTTGATTGAAAACATTTTCCTCCATGTTTGACACACCTTTCTCTTAAATCCAAGTTAGCCAAAATTAAAACAACCATGCACTGATTCTAAACTAAAGGCTTTATCTCAAACAACATTTTGTGATGAATCTCATTGGAAAATTTAGAATAATAGAATCTCAGAGATGGAAGGGACCTAGGCCAGGCATGCTGGCTCACGCCTGTAATCCCAGCACTTTGGGAGGCCGAGGCGGGCGGATCACGAGGTCAGGAGTTCGAGACCAGCCTGGCCAACATGGTGAAACCCTGTCTCTACTAAAAATATAAAAAATTAGCCAGGAGTGGTGGTGTGCTCCTGTAATTCCAGCTACTCAGGAGGCTGAAGCAGGAGAATCACTTGAACCCAGGAGGCGGAGGTTGCAGTGAGTGGAGATCATGCCATTGCACCCAGCCTTGGCAACAGAGCAAGACTTCGTCTCAAAAAAAAAAAAAAAAAAAAAAGAAAATTAAAAAAAACTACCATGGGCCAGGCACAGTGGCTCACGCCTGTAATACCAATACTTTGGGAGGCCAAGGTGGGTGGATCACTTGAGGCCAGGAGTTCAAGACCAGCCTGGCCAACATGGTGAATCCCCATCTCTACTAAACATACAAAAAACCAGCCGGGTGTGGCAGCACACACCTGTAGTCCCAGCTACTCGGGAAGCTGAGGCAGAAGGATCGCTTGAACCCAGGAAGTGGAGGCTGTAGTAAGTTGAGATCACGCCATTGCACGCCAGCCTGGGTGACAAGAGCAAGACTCCATCTCAAAAAAAAAAAATACACACACACACACACACATTCATCCATCCATCCATCCATCCATCATGGCCTAGTCCTTCCTGAAAAAAGTATTATTTCATTGGTATGGGGTGGTACCCAGGCATTAGTATATTTTAAAAGCTCCTCAGGTGCCAGGTGGTTCAATTTCACCCCATTTTTCAAAGAGGGAAGAACCTCACCAAAGGTATTTGACAACAAATTTGCCAGAGTTAGGCTAGAACTACTCATCCTAACAAGCCATGTCTTCTCCATGTAAACTACTCCATCTACAACAGTGGAGTCTCTTCCCTCCCTCACTCTCCCTCTCTGTCCAACTATCCCCACCTATCTCAAAGTAAATATATTTTCTGAATATTCTTTGCCTTAGAATCCCATTGCATAATTTTTAAAAACCTAAATGATGTATGTCTGCTTCCCTGTATCCTCATGCTTTTTTTTCCACACAAAGAATCCCGAGAGATCAATCAGGCATGGTTTACCCTTAAAGAAGCCATATTGCTTCTCCCTAGATAGGTTGGACTCAACCCACCCTTTTCACCATTATTATCACACATGCCATCTTTCAAATCCCTTGCAAGATTCAACTTCAATTCTCTGTCAGCCCACTTAATTTCTAGTTTGTACCTGGGCCTTGTGAAACCTAGTGGACTTCCCTCTTCTGGCTTAAACTCTTTGTATTTTGTGAAAGATGCCTTTTTCCCTGAAGCAGCCTCTTTTACTCTGCCAGTTAGTCATGCCGGGTTCTTTTTTTCTTCCCCCGAGCAGTTGGTCTTTTTGATGTCTGGCACACATTTATCTGGGCTTCCAATAAGATGTTTTTACATAGTTTCCAGGCTTCCTGGAGGTTATTGACTTTTTTAACTCTCCCATTCAGTTTTTTCCCCTAATTTCTAACATTTGTTAGAGTTTCTTTCTCAAAAGTTGAATACCTGGCTGATGCAGCTCTTTGATTTTTCTCTCCCACCAGATTGCTGAATTAAATGCATCAGAACTTAAACATAATATTTCAAATTACCTCCAGGATGGAATCGCTTCATGCATTTTCTGCACTTTCATGTTCTCTATAGTAAGCAACAGATGTTTAACCAAGTAGATTTGAAAATGCTAGTTTTTACCTGTTTGTATTTTAGTATGTCTGTTTATTTATATAAAATATTCTGATACCCTTCAAAGCTTGTGTTCTTCTTGGTAAAGACAATAAACTTGAGTTTTTTTATGTTAAAAGGTAACTGATGCACACTGAACAGTTGCATGTGGTAAATTTGCTCTAAATTGCCTAATCACAACAGTCTCAACTGTTCATTCTTTAAAGAAGTGTATCTCAAGGCATTAAGAAAAACAATTCTGAATCTTTCTGAAAAATTCCTGGCCAGTGCAGTAGCTCATGCCTGTAATCCCAGCACTTTGGGAGGCCGAGGTGGATCACCTGAGGTCAGGAGTTCAAGACCAGCCTGACTAACATGGAAAAACTCCATCTCTACTAAAAATACAAAATTAGCCGGGCATGGTGGTGCATGCCTGTAATCCCAGCTACTCTGGAGGCTGAGGCAGGAGAATGGCTTGAACCAGAGGCGGAGGTTGCGGAGAGCTGAGATCGTGCCATTGCACTCCAGCCTGGGCAACAAGAGCGAAACTCTGTTTCAAAAAATAAAAAAAAATCCTATAAGCATTCAGTTATTAATGAAGTGGTAAAGACAAGTACTCCCCCAAAAGAATAAAAACGTTCTCCAAGCTATACCAACATATGCATATTTACTTTAAATTTATTTCACTTCAAAGTGTTTAGATACAGGCCTGGAATGGTGGTTCATGCCTGTAATTCCAGCACTTTGGGAGGCTGGATCATTTGAGGTCAGGAGTTCTAGACCAGCCTGGCCAACATGGTGAAACCACGTCTCTACTAAAAATACAAAAATTAGCCGGGTATGGTGGCACACGCCTATAATCCCAGCTACTCGGGAGGCTGAGGCAAGAGAATCCTTTGAACCCAGGAGGTGGAGATTGCAGTGAGCCGAGATCACGCGACTGCAATCCAGCCTGGGCAACAGAGCGAAACTTCATCTTGGAAAAAAAAAAAAAAAATTAGCCAGGCGGTAGTGGCTCATGCCTATAATCCCAGCTACTCTGGAGGCTGAGGCAGGAGAATTGCTTGAGCCTGGGAGGCAGAGGTTGCGATGAGGCAAGATCACGCCACTGCACTCCAGTCTGGGCAACAGTGAGACCCTGCCTTAAAAAAAAAAAAAAAAAAAAAAAAAAAAAAAAAAAGTGTTTAGATCCAAAAGATTCCTAGGAGATCAACAGACCATGGAATGACAATCTATCATCAAGGCAGTATAATCTCATTGTAGCACTAGTGTCTGACAGAGAACACAATAGAATTGGCTATGTTATTCTCCCACTTGTTTAACAAATATTGCACTGACCTACCACACTTGGTACTGCTACCCACAGACAAGACGAGGAGTTGTCATCTTTGCCCTCAAGTTGCTTCCAGTTGAGAAGACAAACACGTACCTGCACACACAGTTAACTATAATACAAGGCAGTTATGTACAAAGACCATGGACTGGTTCCAACAGGGAATTAGGAAGAAGTGGGCACATAACCCTGGAGAGTTCAGAAGTGACTCAATGAAAGAAGTATCATTTGAGATGCTTGGAGCCACTGAAGCTCAAAGCACAGGAATAACTCTAATCAAAGCAGTGATGTAAGGAAATTAAGCTGGCGATGTTCAGGATAGAACAGGGATTTAGGAGGGGGGGACAGACAAGAGGCAGGTAGACCAGTTAAGAACTATTTAAAAAGAGTCTGCTGACAGACCTCCCTGTCTTTATCTCTTGCCTCGCCAACCCTTAACCCAAAGAGCCACTAGTTATCTTCCTAAAACAGCTTGACTGACGACATTCCCCTCCCTCAGAAACCCTCATTGGCTCAATTGTATTGTCCAGGAAATACAATTTATATTCCTTCTACCATTAACACTAGATTGTCTATGTCTGGGTTTGACATTTTGTCTACAAAAGATGTGACTGGATCCTCTCCACTATAACACGAAAATTGTGCCGTTTTGATGATGGTCTGTTACTAGTTAGCTGAGGGTCCTCCCATACTTTATATCTCAACAACCTCTATGGGAATAGAGAAGGTACTTTCTTGTCTTACTATCTGTACAACATAGCATGAACTATACTCTAGAACAGATAAGACCTGGGTTCAAATCCCACCTCTGTTATTCATTAGCTATAAGATTGTGAACATATTTCATAATCCCTTTGAATTTGTTTTCTTGTCTATAAAATGGAGATGATAATTCTGATGTCATATGGTTGTTGTGGGTTTTAAATGAGACAATCATGTAAGTTCCTTGGTATAGGGCCAGGCCCAGAGAAAGCATTCAATAGCTACGAACTCTTATCATGAGGCCAAAATACATTTTTAAAAACATAAATAAGAAAAAAACCTCAGTGCTAAAACAGTTAATGTCATTGGGGAGCCAGAGAGACTCACTTCCAACTGCCTCAGATTAACGCCAATGTTGTTTCCCTTGTACACATAACAAAAAACTTCCTTTTTCATTCCTCAGTCTAGTCTCCAGTTAATCCTGAAATTGCATGCAACCCAACGTGAATCAAATAAAAAAGGAAAACAGTAATTATGCTGAATCAGACATTTTATATTTATATGTTCTAACCAGAGACTGAGCTGCATAAGCCAGAACTTTAACTAAATTCTTTTTTGAACATGTCCAGAAGATACCTCCTGTAAACTACTTGGGACAATTTCTACAGTGATAGGCCCTGTGGCTCAATTCGACCCTCCCCAAGTGAAACACAGAGCCAAATTGATGATTCCAACAAAACAGGAGATCACAGATTCATTGCAAAATCCAACACATTACTTACGGTGGGGAAGGCGGAATACAAATCTTAAAGACACATGCTGTGTGTCATATATAATCAACTCACTATTAGAAAGTATTGCTACCTCTCCAACACACATACACACGTACTTTTTTTCCACGTAGTCATAACAGCTTATAGGAGTCCTGGAATCCTTTGTGCATGTACATATGTATGTGTGTGTGAGCACATGATCATAGGTGCATTGCTCATGAACACAGAAGGGAACAAGAAATAAAAACTCCAAAACTGCAACTAGGGCACAAAGTTCTGAGTATCATTCAATGTCATTGTGAAGAGGACCTTTGGCAAGTTCATGAATGCTTCTAACCCACTGCCTCACTCTTAAAAACAATTTCAACATAGATGAGTAATAAAATGCCCATTGTTGCATACCCTTTACCTTTGTCTTTATGGAGGGAGGCATAATGAAAATGGTTAGATTTTTAAACTTATCTTCATTAGTATTTTCATTTTTACTAGTGAACTAGCTTTACCCAGTTAATATTCTATAGTATTAGAGTCCTAAATCCCTTCTCTCTTTGAAATGCCTGGGCACTCCCTTCTCGTCATCTGTATCGCTTGTATGGCACTTATCACCACTGTGTTGTATTCTAATTTTGTGTGTGCGTGGCTTATCTCCTTACTAATAGGAAAGGTCCTGGTGGCAGAAGCCCCTCCTGCCTTTCTTGCTGTCTCCACAATGCTGAGCAGAGGATACTGCACATAGTGGGCGCTCCAAAAGTACATGGCCATTGAAAGCTGAACAAAAACATAATCTTTGTGTTAAAGATCCCTTTTGATCATGGCACCTGGACTCAGCATTATTTGAAAAGTACAGGGGTCAAGCAGACAGGCAATGCAGGACCTCAGTTGGAAGCCCTGTCAGCATGATGTACTCCCTGACACCCTTGAGAGCACATCAGATGATCCTAACTATGATCTATAAAGACTGAGACTCCTCCAGAACATGGAGTATTCTTAAAGCCTGTTCAAACCTCTAGAAGGCAAGTGCAAGGCCATCTGGAATAAAACATTAAACTTGGGCTGAGCCTGGGGCTCAATGAGCTAGGTACCCAGACTTTGTGATACTTCACCTGGAAAATGATCCTGGGTGTTTTGCACTGAAAAAAGCACATTCCCCATCCCAGGCAAAGTGCCTGGCAATTAATCCATCCAGACCTAGGCTGAATACAAGTCACTATATTGACTATCCCCCTTAAAAAATGACCAAAATTATCTGAGTGTAGCTCAGAGAAGACAAGGCTAATGTATGCATCTGGAGAGGCCAGGGTGATGGTAAAGATTACGCCTGTTTCTATACTGGCCGTCTAAAGGTATTTACTTGGGTCTGTCTGTGTTGTGACAGTGTCCTAGACTCAAATGAATGCCTCTAACACTCCACATTTTTGAGCCATTCAGTCATGCATTTTTGTTATTGTTGAAAGTGGTGCGAAATTGCACTGCATGAGCTAAAGTCCTTGGTGGTCTTCCAAGGATTCCAGCTAAAAAGGCACTTCCTTTGTTCCTCAGGAGAATGCAGTCCAGTAGGTCATTCAAAAGGGGAAATAAAAGCAGCAGCCCAGGGAGGGAGATGAAGGACAAGACAAAAAGAATAAAATGTTTTGGGTGTGAGCACATTAGCTTCCATTTCCTGCTGCTGGTCACTAATAACTCCCCTATCTTTGGCATGGGGGAATGTCCAGATAGACATATACGCAAAATATCCCTCAGGTGATTTCTGGGGATGATGACAATCAAAGGGAACACCTAGCACAGAGTCTCTGAGCACCCTTCAAGCTTCCTTTTTCCTGAGATGCTGGCTGGGGAAGATGCCCTGCCACAGCGAAAGACTGCACAGAGCAAAGTTGGGGAAACTGGGGAGGGCAGTTTCACAACCCCACTCGCTGAATGCCTGCAGTCAATATCAAAGGCACATATTGTTTGCATGAGCAGAAGATGAAACCTTGTCACATTCCCATTAAGTGCAGAGCTGCATCTACCCCTTCAAAATGTGGGAATGACAACTGTAACCTTCACGCCAATCATCTCCGCTGTGCCCAGGCCTAAACTGTGCAGGGCACAAAGACCCCAGGTTTGACCTGCAGAGTCCCCAAGCTTCAGCGGCTGGTGGTTCACTTCATTTTTTTTCTGGCGGGGCAGGAGGAAGGGAAAGAAAGAGGGCTTTTCAGGGCTCTACAACCAATAAAATCGTGCCGCTTTGAGGACATACTTGAGCTCCCCAAAAGACAGGCAGCTGAAGGGCAAACAGTGTCTAATCAGTAGTGAGCATGTTATTTGGTAACTGCCAAGGTGCAGTGGGCGCCTGGGCTGCTCCAACAATTTCTTCGCTTCTATTTCTAGACAGACGCCAGTTACACTCCAAAAGTGCCCAGCAACTTCCCTCAATTACCTTTGTAATTAATATGTAATTGATGACTGCACTTAATCTCCAAGGTTATTAATAGCCCTTCCAAAAAATGACCCCCAAATCTTCCTAAGCCTTTGGAAGCGCCTGGTTGAAATTACAGTATTTCCTTTGCTGGCTGCCGGCCCCCTGCCCGCCCCACCCGGAGACCAGCACGGCAAGGCAAAGGCGCGCTCCACTCACTTCCATGAAAGGTTCGGAGTGGAGGCTCAGCCCCCCCCCCGGGCTCGAATCTCTCACTCCTCCGTTAGATTACGCTGGCCACCAGCCAGCTAGATTCGTGGTGCTTTCTGAGCCCCCAGGGCGAACGGGCTACCTGCGCGGCCGGCGGGGCTGCGCGCAACAGTTGGCCGCTGCTAAGAAGACAGTGCGACCCGGAGGGGACCCGGCCGGACACCGCCGCCAGCTTCGCTGGGAGGGACGCAGGGCACCCGCCGAACGCTGCCTCCCCAGCGCTCCGAGAGGGGCTTTCACAAATACCCCCATACACCCCCCATCCCACCCCACCGGCGCCAAAATCCGGTGAACTTTCTCACAGGCTAAGCCGTCTCTATTTGCATAACCATCTCCAAACTGAGATTCAGGTTTCCTGTAATCAGTCCTTTCAAAGGTCTGTAATTGAAAGTGCAATTAACCCTTAAAATGAGGTAAGAAAAAAGAAAGAGGGGAAAAATACTCCTCTGGTCTGATACCTTCCGGAAAGTAGGAGAGTTCCCAAAAGTCAGGGTTTGGAGGGGTGGAGAGTGGGGGTAGTCGTTTGCTTTTTAAAGGCGACTTCTGAAGCGGTTGCGGCTACTAAAACTCCTAATCCTTGTCAGCGGTGCAAGAGAGGCGGGGAGAGAGTTTTAAAAGAACATCAATGAAACATCAATTCAAGTTCCACGTTTTGCGACCCCCAGAATCTAGCAAGCTCCGGGACGTTTCCCTCCACCACACCCCACTGGCGACCCCCACCCCCACCCGGCCTCTCCTCACCCATACAACAAAGCGGGGCGTCCTATAAGGAGTTCAACCCGGAAAAGGAGAAGTAGCCGGTGACACGCACTTTGAGGGCCACAGTCCTCAGGGGCTTCCCGGGACGGCGAATAATGCAGGGGGGAGAGGAGGAGCGGAGGCGGGGAGCGGAGCGCGACAGTCGCACTGGGCAACCCGGCGGCGCCCCTCCGCTCGCAGTGCTGGGAAGGGGGGAGCGCTGCGCCCGCGGGGAACGTCCTGCGCCCGGGCTGCCTGGCTCTCTCGCTCGCTCGCTCCTGCCCTCTCGACTGCCCATTTCTCCCTCTAGTGTACCTGCGTCCGGCGCAGGGGGCGGCGGGGCGGGGGAAGGGAGTTGCAGCCTCCCTTCCCGAAGTGTCGGTCTCTGCGCCCACCTCCCGGGTGTGCCCACCTACCGTTGATCTCGTGGAGGGGGGCATCGTTCTTGTTGAAGCCTTTGGACACGTAAAGACGTCGCACTTCCGAGCAACTTTTCGACTTGAGCTCGGCAGCCAGCAGCGCGGCGCTGAGCACTGCCAGGGTGCAGAGAAGCGCGGGCAAGCCGAACCGTGCCATGGTGCGGGCCGGGGCGGACGCGTTCCCACCTTTGGGACCGGACGGGAAGCGGCGCTACGGCAGCGGGCCGAGGGCTGGCGGAGTCGGGGACTAGCGAGTGGAGCTGGAGGGAGAAGGAGTTGGAGTTGGTGGAAGAGGCGAGCAGGCGGAGGAGACGCGGGGCGAAAAGTAGAGCTGGGCCTCGCGTCAGGCAACGGTCCCCGGTGCCAGGCGCCGGGCCAGGGGAGAAGGAGGGCGTGGAGGCGGCGCGCGGCCCAGGGAAGCAGAGGCGCGGGCTGGTGACCTCGGGGTTTCGCGGGGCAGCGAACCCGGCAAGCTGACTGGCCGGCGAGGCGGGGACGCGGGGAAGGAGGGAAGGGTGGCAGGCGCCGCGGGGACCGCAGAGGGTGTGGGCGGCGGCGGGCGTTCGCTGCGCGCTGCTTGGGCTGCCCTGCGCTGGTCCGCTCGTCCGGCTGGACTCGGCTCGGCTGACTCTGCCCTCCGCCGCGCGGCTGTGCCCTTCTCAGCTCTGCCGCTGATTGACTGGCCGGCGTGCGCGGCGACGCTCCGCAAACTTGGCCAAGCGGGCGGCACTCGGGGGGAGGGGGCGGGCGTCGTGGGGGGGCCGGAGACAGGCGGGAGCACGCTGGGCCGGGCCGGGAGAAAACCTGGAAGCCGGGTTGGATCCGGAGCGGCCAAATCCACTTCCTAGGGGGCCGCACCGGGCGCCCGGCGCTCCTTCGCGTGACACGCCCCACCCGGCTCCTCCTTCCTCCCCTCCTCCTCGGAGGCGGGGAGCCAGCCCACCGCCCCCCAACCACAAAGGGAAGGCCAACTACTCCGGGCTGAAGGGCCCAGGTTCTGGGGAACGGGACGGCCTGGGACTTGTCCCGAAGCCCATGTCTGAGCCCCAGGCCTTCTTGCGCGCGGCCACCTGACCCGCCGCCTATGGGCAAAAGCCGCGCGGAGCCCTCCCGCCGCGATATCCGCCTCCCCGCTGCCATCCCGCACCCGCGGACGCTCCTATCCGCGCAGCTCCCGGGCTGGGCGGGGAAGGCACATTACTCGCATTGTTTCGCTGCAGGCAGCAGGGGGATTTGGGGCTCCGAGCTCGTCCTAGAGCCTCACCTGGTCTCCCCAGACCTGCTTCCCATAGGACGGTACTCGTGAAACACCAGTTTGTCCAGGACCCCATCAGGCATCCTCCTTCCCGCATCCGCAACACTCCAACCCCTCGACGCCACTCCCACCCCCGACCCGGTTCTACTACAAGTCTAACCGAACTCTGAAGCGGGAGAAACCCCCAACCGCGAGGTGAGGGGGCAAAGACAGGGTTGACCGCAGAGATCTTGGAGACCATTTGGCCCAACCCTTCCTTCTATTAAGGGAACTGGGGCCCAGAAATGGGAAGCGACTTGGTAAATAGCACGCCGGGGAAGGGGGCGTCCAGAACCCGGGACTCTTGACTCTCGAATTTCATGGAATAATGGTAGCCCAGGACTCCCAAACCCCCTACCCCCTCAAGCCCCTTGAGAGAGACTGACACCCCTCTGGGACTCAGTCCCCACTTTTCCACCAGAAAACTGGAAATGGGAGAGACTTCCCATCTTGCAAGCTTTGTCAGATTCCATTAATGAGTGTTTTTTTGAAGCTCCCAGCGCTCCTTAAATGAAGGGAACTGTGCAGCTCGGGAACTTGTCATTACCGTTGTTATTGTTACAATCTGCTTTAAGAGGTTGGGTTGAGAAGTGCCTCAGACACCTCGGGAGTGTGCTGGGAACTGGGCAGATAAAAAGGGCTGGAACTTATTATTTGGCTAGACTCTCAATTCCCATAAAATTACATAGGGCAAAGATACGAACCATCATTACAGTTATCACCCTCAGAGGGTTTGTTGAGACTTTCTCCACTGTTGTTTGTAAACCACGTTGACATGGCTGGCTATGAGGAGCTGTTATTTTGAATACCTGCTTGCAGACTCTTCTACATTTTGTTAACAGACTATCAACATGAACAGACTGTGACCCGTCTATAACTGTGACTTCCAATTTCTGTGGGCTGGCTGAATATTTAACTCTGAAACTAGGAGAGCAATTTTTTTAATGTGCAAACTCAACTACAATTGAATTTCCTGCCATTTTCAAGACTTTCCTTAAACTGGTAACCATCAAGTCCTGAAGGCATTGCTAGGGCTTAGCTGAGCACTTTTAATTTTCATTGATTGATACATTTACTTAAAGATGTTCTTCACCAAGGAGAATATGCTCTGAGATGCAACGAGCATTATTATAAAATGGAAGCCAGTGACCGTAAGAGAGAAAATGATACTCCTGAACCATGAAGGCCAAATCAGAAAGCTACTTCTCACACCAAGGCTGGGAGGAACTCATTCGTTGCCGCCGCTCCCCCCCGCCGCCCCCGCCCTCCCCAGGTTTACTCCTGCTCTTCCTCATAATGTATTATTAACCCAAACTTGAGCCTTTTCCACCAGAAACAGTAACCTCTGGCTACAAACAGATCTGGACAAGTCTGAACTTTACCAAGGGAGGCAGGAACCCCAAGCCGTGCTCAGAGGCGGCTCCCACTTCAAAGCCTCCTTTCATTTAAATACAAACAGGGTGAACAACTGGCAATCTACGAAACAAATACCATCCAGAAGGGAAGCTTTCTTTTCAGATGGGCCAGAACTCCTTCTTCCCTCTCCCACTCCCATCCCTGCTGTCTTCAGAAGAGGCTTCTTAGTGGAGATGCACCTACTCCTTGTAAGTTCTCTCAACGCCAAAAAATAGAGACTGCATGTTGACTGCAAAAATCGATGACTTCTCAGGCTGATTAACCGTCATATAACTTTTTTTTTTTTTTGCTTTTTAGAATTGTGGTAAAAAGCACACACATACGCAATTTGGTATCATTTTAACCATTTTGAAATGCACACTTCAGTGGCATTTAGTACAATCATAATGTACAATCATCACCACTAGTTACAGAACATTTTCATCACTCCAAAAGGAGACCACATACCCATTAAGCACTCAAAGTTCATTCTCTTCTCCTTCCAGTCCCTACAAACCACTAATTTGCTTTGTCTCTATGGATTTGCCTGTTCCAGACATTTTGTAGAAATGGAATCATACAATACAGGGCTTTTGTGTCTGACTTCTTCCACTTAGCATCATGTTTTCAAGGTCCATCCATATGGTAACATGTATCAGTACTTCATTCCTTTTTATGACTGAATAATGTTCCATTTACGGATATACCACATTTTGTTCATATAGCACTTTACAAGTTTGCACAGTGCTTCCAGGTGCACCCTCATATCTTAGAATATTTTGTTTTTTGTTTGTTTGTTTTTAATTGATAAGCAAACCAAGTCTCAGCAAGGTTCTGTGGCTTCTCCACAGCCACAGAGCTCTTGGGTGGCTAAACCAAGACTGAAATCTAAGGCCTCTGACCAAATCCCATGCTATTTTTGTTGTGGTTGTTGTTGTTGGTCAGAGAACACAGTGCTCTGGGTCTCTTTTACTGTCAGCAGTGAATGTACAACTGCCAAGGTCCTGTGGAAGTATCTTTGTTTTAGATTGATAAATGTTCATTGAACACCTCCTATGTGCCTGACAATGTTCAGTCCTAGAGGAAGGGAAGATGTATAAGCCAAAAGGAGTTTACAGTTTTATAAACGGTGTGCAAAGGCTTGCTTAGATAGAATGCACTAATGGTATACTTGTTTTTCCCAGGTCAGGAGTTTCCCCTGATATGACACTGGGAGGGGGAGGGTACATTTGCTGGTGGGCAGAGAGAACAAAGAATGCATTCCCATGCTTCTGTCCTCCAATCCAAGAGAACTGGTTGAGCCAGGTCTACTCTCTCAGCTTTGAGGACACTTCTCATGGCCTGCTGGGGAGCTACCCTGATTTCCAAATATGGGGCTGGGAAGAACCAAGCCTGGACACAGTGGCTCATATCTGTTAGGAGGCCGAGGCAAGGGGATTGCTTGAGCCTAGGAGTTCAAGACCAGCCTAGGCAACATAGTGAGACTGTCTCTACAACAAAATAAAAAGTATCCAGGCATGGTGGTGCACACCTGTGGTCCCAGCTACTTGGGAGGCTGAGGCAGGAGGATTGCTTGAGCCTGGGAGGTAGAGGCTGAAGTAAACTGTGATCACGCCACTGCACCACAGCCTGGGTGACAGCATGAGACCGTGTTTCAGGAAAGAGAGAAGGGAAGAGAGGAGAGGAGAGGGGAGGGGAGGGGAGGGAAGGGGAGGGGAAGGGAAGGGAGGGAAGAAAAGAAGGAAGGAAGGGAGCTCCCTCCCTTAGTTAGGGTAAGATGTTGGCCTGCAGCCCTCTAGTCTTTCCCTGTATCCAGCCCATTCCCCACACAGCCATCAGAGTGAGGCTTTGACAACATCTTCTGGACAATGTCCTTCTGGCTGATTTTTGTAGAGACGTTTTGTCATGTTGCCCAGGCTGGTCTTGAACTCCCAGGCTCAAGTGATCCTCCCACCTCGGCTTCCCAAAGTGTTAGGATTATAGGTGCGAACCACTGTGCCTGCCCCCCCACCTTTTTTTCTTTTTCTTTTTTCTTTTTTTTTTTTTTTGATGCAGGCTCTGTCGCCTAGGCTAGAGTATAGCTTCCACCTTCCTGGGCTCAAGCGATCCTCCCAGCTCAGCCTCCCGAGTAGCTGGGACTACAGACACATGCCACCATGCCCAGCTAATTTTTTTTTTTTTTTTGTATTTTGTAGAGACAGGGTGTCACCATTTTGCTCAGGCTACATTTCCAACTTTCTTACTGGCCCTTCCCTATCCTGTATCCTGTGCTCTGGCCCCACAAGAATGTGTCATCATTCTCCGTCCTGCATGGATTTCTCTACCTGTACCCTGCCCCTTCTTATGCTATCCTTTCATTCCCCTCCATTTCCTGGACAATTCTTTCATACTCATCCTTCAAGACTCAGCTGAGAAGTCACATCTTCTGGAAAGCTTTCCTGGATTCCTCCAAGCAGAGCTAGCCCCTCCTCCTCCTTTTAGGCCTCCAAAGCACTGTCTGCATAAAATGACTACAACACTTGCTCCTTAGCAGAGGCCACATTTTCTTTGAGAGTTCCTCCACTACCAGCCTCCAAGATGTCTTCTAGCCTTGCTTTATTTATTTATTTATTTATTTATTTATTTATTTTTGAGACAGAGCCTTGCTCTGTTGCCCAGGCTGAAGTGCAGTGGTGCAATCTCGGCTTACTGCAACCTCCGTCTACCAGGCTCAAGCAATGGTCCCACCTCAGCCTCCCAAGTGGCTGGGATCACAGGTACACACCACTGCACTAATTTTTATATTTTTGTAGAGACAGGGTTTTGCCATGTTGCCCAGGCTGGTCTCAAACTCTTGGACTCAAGCAATCTGCCCATCTAGGCTTCCCAAAGTGCTGGGATTACAGGCTTGAGCCACCACGCCTGGCCTTAGGCTTTATTTTTATTTGCATGCCTATTGCCTAAAAGAGTACAGGTTCACCAGATGGGCAGTTTCCCTGGGGAATAAAAGACCTACATTTGTATTTGAAACCTCCTGATTTTTAAATGTTAGTGACTGCTTCAGAACTCTTAAAAGTTTGTTTGACAGATTCAGCCCAGATTTCACCCAGTAGCTTTCCTCCCTCGCCCCATGCCTGTCTTTCAAGCAACCAAGCAGTATCTTCTGTTTACTTTGTACAAAGGTTGGTTCTGTGAAGGTTCCAGAAACTTAAATGATAGATGCCTTTGAGGATCTGACAGCCTGTTTAGGGAGGTAGGACCCATATATACATGGAGAAAGACACTGGCAAATATAAGGCAATGCATGTATGCCAGTCATCCTGAGACAGGAGAATAGGGTCTGGAAGCAGGGAACCTAAGGCTGAATCACTCTGACTTCCTAGAACCAAGTCAAAAGGAAAAACCCAACTTTCCACACCTAAGTAACAAAAGGACCAGAAGCTACACCTTTTGCAAGTCCCCTTCCTTTTTTCTATGTAGCAGATGGAAAATTGAAAGTACCTCTGATTGGTTGCTTTTTGAAACCAATCAGACATTTGCATAGGAGTGTAACTTTGTAACTTTGCTTCAGCCTCTGATCGGTTGCGTTCCACAACAAATCAGACTTTTGCATAGGGTGTAACCTTTGTAACTTCACTTCAGCCTCTGATTGGGGGCCAACTCTTCATTTGCATAGAAGTGTAACTTTGTAACATTATTTTAGCCTCTGATTGGTTGCTTTCCACAACCAAATGGACGTTTGCATAGGGTGTAATCTTTGTAACTCCCCTTCAGCCTCTGATTGCTGGCCATTACTTCATTTCCATGGGGTGTACACCAAGTGGCCAATGGGAAACTTCTAGACGGTATTTAAACCCCAGAAAATTCTGTAACTAAGCTCTTGAGCCCTTAAGCTCAGGCCCGCTCCCACCTTGTGGAGTGTACTTTCATTTTCAATAAATGTCTGCTTTTGTTGCTTCATTCTTTCCTTGCTTTGTTTGTGTGTTTTGTCTAATTCTTTGTTCAAGACACCAAGAATCTGGACACCCTTCACTGGTAACAATCCCAGTTTGCTCTTTTTTATGAAGGCTGGTTTCTTTCTTGGTCACTCTGGACATTTTTACAGAAGTGCCAGTAATTAAAGGATCAGCCACCTGGAAGGAGTTGATGTGAGTAAATTCATTCCTGTCTCCCAATTCCATATATCCCTTCAGTATTCTTTCTTTACTGCCTGAAATTTGCTCTAGCTTTCCTTCTCCCTCAGAGAGCTCCTTCGTGTTTACAGATTTAACCACCAACTGTAGGTCCCCAGCACCCTACTTTTGTTTTTGTGCCTGTGCAGTGGCTCCCAGTGCTGTAGTTGCCTAACTGTCTCAATCACTTGGATCTATTGCATCCTCCTTTCCATTCCACAACCATCAACCCCTATCCAGCTTCCATTACCTCTTGTCTAGACTGTAGAGCCACCCTCCTAACAGATCATCTGGCCTCCAATGCTCCTCTGCATCCATCCACCGAGGGAGAATCCCCAAATCCATCTTCCTATAACATTTATAAGCATCATACTCCTTGGTTAAAAAGTATTTCATGGGAAGACAATATCACAATAATAACTGATATTGGTTTAGTACTGTGGAGTTTATGAATTGCTTTCACATGTATTATCTGTGAAGTATGTCATATTTTCCCTAATTTATGGATGAGGAAACACATTCAGAAATTTAAATTGAAATCCTCTGAGTCCCAGTTTGATGAAACAGCCATTTTATACTATACCCGAAGCCCAAAACTTGCCCAGGAAAACATCAAACTCAGTACAAGGCTGGTGGATACAAGACTGGAGATGGTAGGAACCCCTTGAGGCCTTGTGGGATGAAGGGGAGTCCACCTAGGCAGAGAGCCAGGGTGGGGAACGGGAGGCCAGCAGAGGCCCGTGAAGGCATTATCTTGAGTGAGTACAGGTTCATCTGGGAGACTATGATGAAGTAAGTTGCCAGATAATGGAGGCACATTATCCTGGGGTCACAGTGCCATCTTGAGCCTATCGACACTGAAGATTTATAAGCAGAGAGGGAGATATCAAAGTAGTACATTGGAAAGAATGATCTGAAGGGGCGGGAGGCATAGGATGGATTGAAAAGTGGCAAGTTGCAGTCTCCTCAAGAAAGAGACGAAGGCCCAACATTTCCTCATCCAGGGATTCTGTATGAAGAGCAAAAAATAAATACGGCCAGGCACAAGGGCTCATGCCTGTAATCCCAGCACTTTGAGAGGCTGAGGTGGGCGGATCACTTGAGCTCAGGAGTTCAAGACCAGCAGAGGCAACATGGTGAAACCTTGTTTCTACAAAAAATAAAGAAAAAATTAGCTGGGCATGGTGGCACCTGACTGTAGTCACAGTTACTCGAGAGGTGGGAGGATTGCTTGAGCCTGGAGTTTGAGGCTGCAATGAGCTGAGATTGCACCATTGCACTCCAGCCTGGGCAACAGAGCAAAACCTTGTCTCAAAAAAAAAAAAAAGAAAAGAAAAAAAAAGAAGGAAAGAAGAAAGGCAGTGTTACCCAATGAAAGAGGCTATGGGGCCAAGCAAACAGAGTTAAATCCTGGTTCTGCCATTTACTGTCTGTGTGTCCTTAGATAAGTAACACCCTCCCTGAGCCTTATTTTTCTCGTGTGTCACACCTACACTATCAGGATTAAAAATATAGAAAGATAGAGCGATAGATACATATATAGGGCATCCCTCTTGGCCCAAAGCATGCCTAACTCATTTTTGTACCCTCAGCACCGGGCACAGAGTAGAAAATACATATACCTCGAAGTAATTGGAAAGCAATTAGCACACTGCCTGATACAAAGCATTCATTTATTTATCCATTACTCGTTCCTTCACTCAACAAGTATTTACTGAGGATTGCCACTGTTTTAGGCTTTGGAGATATAGTTATGAATAAAACAAAATCCTGTCTCTCATGGGGCCTAAAAGCGGGCGCTCAATACATAGTAGCTACTATTATTATTATTATGGTTGTTATAAATTCCACGTACTTCGCATTTTGCTCACACCCAGCCCTGCCAGCACTAAATGCTATTTAGTATGATAGTAAATTGATCTAATAATTTTGTATCAGGGCTCCTGAATTACATCTGTATTGGTCCATAATTAGCATTGAATTATTAATTATTGTGTTGTAGAACAGAAAGGGATTTCAATTGCTTTCATACAATATGACCTTCTCACTACAGAGAAGGTGTTTCTTATTATTCCCATTTTCCTGACAAGATAACTGAGGCCCAAAGAGTAACATGGCCATTCTTATGTAATAATCATATAAGTGATTAGTATTTGCATTATTATTTGTGATAATAATATAAGTGATATTATTTTATACTTTACTACAGGGACAAAGGTTGCATGAAGTATGCAGCTTTTATAAAATTTACATCTCATGCCCCATGCTCATAGGAGAACAAAGACCAAAGGCAGTATAGGAAGAGAGCTGGCTAATGTTCCCTGCACCTAAGCTATAATTTATAGTCTGATTTATAAAGAGCATTTCTAATTACTGAAAAAAAAAACCCACTTTTCAGTGAGTACACTTCCATGTGATGGCAGAATGGTTGCCATAGATATTCATTACTCTAGCTTGTTGTACATGATTAGATCGCAGCGCATTTCAGTGTAATTGGGGGAGAGTTCCTTCTCTAATTTGCCCACTGGACATAAATGGTTCATTCATGGAAATAAAATTATTTCTTTCTTTTTTTTTTTTAGACAGAGTTTTGCCTGTCGCCCAGGCTAGAGTGCAATGGTGCCATCTTGGCTCACTGCAATCTCCGTCTCCCCGGTTCAAGCGATTCTCGTGCCTCAGCCTCCAGAGTAGCTGGGATTACAGGTGCCCACCACCACGCCCAACTAATTTTTTTTTCTTTTTTTTTTTTTGAGACAGGGTCTGGCTCTGTCACCCAGGCTGGAGTTCAGTGGCGCAATCTCAGCTCACTGCAACCTCCACCTCCTGGGTTCAGGTGATTCTCATGCCTCAGCGTTCCAAGTTGCTGGGATTACAGGTGCCCGCCACAACACCTGGCTAAATTTTTGTATTTTTAGTAGAGACAGGGTGTCACCATGTTGGTCAGGCTGGTCTCAAACTCCTGACCTCAAGTGATCCACCCACCTCGGCCTCCCAAAGTGCTGGGATTACAGGCATGAGCCACCACGCCCGGCCATATTCTTTTGATTAAATAAAAACACTGACACTTCGAATTGGCTCTTAGATTGTTGAAGTCACTTCTGGAACATTCATTTTTCAAACGTGTTTCTATTACTCTTCCACATCTCACCTGGCTGATGAGAAAATTGCACAGGCAAAAAGAGACAGGATGGAGGCAGGGAGTTTACATTATTACAGCAGAGGCTATGGGAATATGAGATCTGGAAGGGGCCTTGGCATTCTAGTCAATCCACCTCAAACTTGACCTTTCCTTTTTTGTTTTTCAAAATCTCAAGCCTGTAAAGGGCTGTCAGAGGCAAAGCACGAGGTCTGACTCAAGCAGTTGCTGTAGCAATGGTGTTTTCCAACCTTGCTTCTTCTACTTGGATTTCATATGAGAATAAGGGCTCCCAGGTATCAGGCACATTTATGGCTCAAGATTGCAAAGGATGCCTAGTGACATGTGGTAGTGCACATTGCATTTTATATTCATTCTCTACCCCATTTGGAAAAGCGGACAAGCTGTCTGGTGTCAGCTTCACTCTCCCAGGGCTCCAGGGAGCCAAAGGGCACCCTCCCCCAACTCTGGCCCTGAACTTCATGAAACTTGCTCCTCTTCAGTGAGGATCAGAAAACTGAGTTACAAAAACAGAAAGCAACAGAATTTTTTAAATGGACATGAAAATGTTCTTAATGAAGTGCCAATTAAGCCCAACAGGTTTTTTTGGACTTGCACTTCAAACCTGGGGAGTTGGAATGAATTCCTTTTCTTCTTTTCTCCTCCTCCTCTTCTTTTTCTTACTTTTTCATAGCACCATCATCCTTGCCTTTATGTGAAGAGACAATATGCATTTTTAAGAAGACCCAGCAGGGAGCAGGCATTTTTATTCCAAAGAGATACCGCAGATAAAAAGAGTTGGAGAGAGGGTCAGCCATGGTTTGACATTTGTCATTTTCTAACACTGATGGGCAATGTCTGCGGAACTGCTGCTGTTACTGCTGCTACAACAATAACGCATTCAAATGAGGAAGGAAACTATGAAACCTGGATAGACATTCCAAGAGTGTAGCTGAATCCAAGCTGTACACCAGCACGAGGGAGTTGGCTTTTCCCATGTCCCTGTCTACTAATATATGCAAGCTTTTCTCACCCAGTCTGACTTTCGATGATAATTCTATCCAACATTTTCTTAATAATTCTCAGAGGGCCTGGCGCGGTGGCTCATGCCTGTAATCCCAGCACTTTGGGAGTCCAAGGCGGGCGGATCACAAGGTCAGGAGTTCAAGACCAGCCTGACCAATATGGTGAAACCTCGTCTCTACTAAAAATACGAAATTTAGCCAGCTTACCAGGACAGTGAAAGCTCTCACTTTTCTTCTTTTTCTTCTTTTTTATAGAGACAGGGTCTCATTCTGTCACCCAGACTGTAATGCAGTGGTGTGATCACAGTTCACAGCAACCTCAGCCTCCCAGGCTCAAGCGACCCTCCCACCTCAGTCTCCCTCCCAAGTACCTGTGACCACAGGTGGGCACCACCACACCGGGCTTTTTTTTTTTTTTTTTTTTTGACTTTTAGTAGAGGCAGGGTCTCACTAAGTTTCCCAGGCTGGTCTTGAACTCCTGAGCTCAATCGATCCTCCTGCCTCAGTCTCCCAAAGTGTGGGATCGCAGGCACGAACCACTGCACCTGGCCATCATTTTTTTTACTTGCTTTCTTCTTACGTGCCTAAAGTTTCCTGTCTTTTACCTGCATCATATCTCAACTCACTTAAACAAAAGTCTTCTTTCTTCTTGTGTAATTCTCAAACATTTACCAAAGCAGCTGCTCTCTACATCTGTCATCTCGGGACTTTCAAGCGAGTGCGGGTAATGGGTGATGACTAGAACACAGTGCTGAGTTATCAAAGCCTGCGCAGGATGCTCAGAAGCTAGAAGAGCTGGAAGAGTGAATGCAATCAAGTTCTGGAGGGAGAGCTGAGGATCAATAATGAGAAGTGACTGTATGTACACAGCATCATGGAATGGAACTGGTGACATTACCAGCTACAGAGCCAAGAATGCAGAACCAAGTGGAAATTGGGTAAATGTAGAACTTGATTAGGCTTGGGCTCAGTGGCTCACACCTGTAATCCCAGCACTTTGGGAGGCCAAGGCAGGTAGATCACTTGAGGTCAGGAGTTTCAGACCAGCCTGTTCTCAAAATTATACAGGCGTCATGGTGCAGGCCTGTAAGCCCAGCTACTCTGGAGGCTGGGGCAAAAGAATCACTTAAACCCAGGAGGTGGAAGTTGCAGTGAGCCGAGATCGCACCACTGCACTCCCGCCTGGGTGACAGAGCAAGACTCCATTTACGACAACAACAACAACAACAACAAAACCTTAATTGGGAACTAGAGAGGAAAGTCAGGGATGACAGCTACACATCCTGTTGGGGGCGTGGCCCATCTTTACTAGTCAGAAGAAGCTGGGTGCCTGGCTGTCAGACTGCTTAAAGGTAACTGATTGAGGTGGTTCTCTACTCTGAGCTGATTCCTGTTAGTTGTTGCACTGTGAAGGCCCAATACTGGCTTGACTCCTTTGATGTTTCCTTAAGGCTGGTATAAGAGGTTGCTGCTAGACCCTAGATAATAGATAATAGCTATTCTTTTTTTTTTTTTTTTTTTTTTTGAGACAGAGTCTCACTCTGTCGCTGAGGCTGGAGTGCAGTGGCATGATCTCGGCTCACTGCAAGCTCTGCCTCCCAGGTTCACGCCATTCTCCTGCCTCAGCCTCCCGAGTAGCTGGGACTACAGGTGCCCACCACCACGCCCAGCTAATTTTTTGTATTTTTAGTAGAGACGGGGTTTCACCGTGTTAGCCAGGATGGTCTCGATCTCCTGACCTTGTGATCCGCCTGCCTTGGCCTCCCAAAGTGTTGGGATTACAGGCGTGAGCCACCGCGCCCGGCCCTTAATAATAGCTATTCTTTATTGAACTCTTGTCAGCTATACACTTCCCTAAAAATATTATGTATCCCCTTTTGAACACTTGCCATGCATTATTTAATCTTTGTGACTTCCCCCTGAGTAAGTTCTAAAGTGGTCCCCATTTCACAGAGGAGGAAACTGAGGATCAGGGAGACTAAATCCCTAGCCATAGGCACCCAGATGGTCAGTGGCAGGGCTGAGAGTTGTGCCCAGTTCTGATATTAAAGCCTGTACTCTGACCATCAGCTTTCCAACACTATTTGCATCCCAGTAAGACCCTGTTTCATTTGAGGCAATCAGCAGTTGTCATGGCCTAGACCAATGAACTAAGGTGCTAAAATATTTTCTTTCTTTTTAAAAAATTGAGGTGAAGACCAGGCACAGTGGCTCACACCTATAATCCCAGCACTTTGGGAGGCCGAGGTGGGTGGATCACCTGAGGTCAGGAGTTTGAGACCAGCCTGGCCAACATGGTGAAACCCCGTCTCTACTAAAAATACAAAAAATTAGCCAGGCGTGGTGGCACATGCCTGTAATTCCAGCTACTCGGGAGGCTAAGGCAGGAGAATCACTTGAACCTGGGTGGCGGAGGTTGCAGTGAGCCAAGATTGTGCCATTGCACTCCAGCCTGGGCAACAAGAGTGAAACTCCATCTCAAAAAAAAAAAAAAAAAAAATTAGGTGAAATTTACCCGTTTCCCTCTGTGGGGCCTAAAATTTACCATTTCGAAGTGAACAATTGAGGAGTGTTTTGTGCATTCACAATGTTGTACAACTGCTACCTCTAATTAGTTCCAAAACATTTCCATCACCCTAAACAAAAATGTGGTTCCCATTAAACAATAACTCCCCATTTCCTTCTCTTACCAACCCTTGGTAACCTCTAATCTACTTTCTATGTCTATCAATTTGCCTATTCTAGGCGTTTCATAATAGTGAAGTCATACAATATTGACCTTTTGTGTCTGGCTTCTTTCATTTAGCATAATGTTTTGGGGTTCATCCAAGTTGTAGCATGAATCAATACTTTATTCTTTTTTATAGCTGAATAATATTCCATTGTATGGATGGAAATACCATACTTTATTTACCCAGTCATCCATTGATGGACATTTGGGCTATTTTCCACCTTTTGATTATTGTGAATAAAGCTGCTGTGAACATTTGTGCATGTGTATTGTTTGAGTATCAATTTTCAATTATTTGTAGTATTAGCATACTTTCTTTTGTTTTATTTTTTTCTTCAGATGGAGTCTCACTCTGTCGCCCAGGCTGGAGTGCAGTGGTACAACCTTGGCTCATTGCAACCTCCGCCTTCTGGCTTCAAGTGATTCTCCTGCCTCAGCCTCCCAAGTAGCTGGGATTAGAGGCACCCACCACCATGCCCAGCTAATTTTTATATTTTTGGTAGAGATGGGGTTTCACCATGTTGGCCATGCTGGTCTTGAACTCCTGACCTCAGGTGATTTGCCCGCCTCAGCCTCCCAAAGTACTAGGATTACAGGTGTGAGCCACCGTGCCCTGTGTTAGCATACATTGTTTGACAGGGGGAGACAGGATCTCACTCTGTCACCCAGTCTGGAGTGCAGTGGTAGGATCATGGCTCCCTGCAGCCTCAACCTCCTGGGCTCAAGTGATCTTCCCACCTCATCCTTCAGAGTAACTGGGACCACAGGTGCATGCCACCACGTGCAGATCTTTTTTTTTTTTTTTTGGTAGACACAGTGTCTCACTATGTTGCCCAGGCTG